>NC_000006.12:130070790-132570790 GCF_000001405.40 Homo sapiens | reverse complement strand
AGGACACGCTGATGCAAATTCCTGACACAGATACGGTGAACTTGGTAGGATAGACCAGGGGGTCAGTAACCGCAATGTACCTGTCGATGGAGATGAAGCACAAGTGAAAGAGAGAAGAGTAACAAAATGCCACATCACAGCAGGTGTGGAAAGTACAAAAACTCCTCCCAAAATACCAGCAGCTCTCCACCGTCCTGACCATGCTGAAGGGCATCACAGTCACACCCACCAAGAAATCAGCGCAGGCCAGAGAGGCAACGAGAAAATTGGTCGGAGAGTGCAGCTGCTTGAAATGGAGGATTGAAATCATCACCAGGAGGTTTCCAAACACAGCCAGCACAGCCCCAAAGCCAAACACTATGTACAGAATCACCCGGGATCCCGGCGAGAAGGGGATTTTCACACAGGACCCATTCACGTTCGCGTAGCACAGCTGCACAGCCACCAGCAGGGATGAATTGCTGCTCATAACGCTGTTATTTACATATGGAGAAGTTTTGTCCTTGTTGATTATCACAAAAAATACAGGATTGTTCCTGATTTTCAGTGCTCCTGCGGAAAAAAACACATATTCACCAGGATGCCAGAGGAAATGATCAGATATTATCTCTAATATAATTTTTCAAGTTTCCATTTTTATTATAAATCCCAAATGTTTATGACAAAATAAAATTTGACAAAAATTATATTGCACAAGATTATTGGAGATTGTTTCAACTGATAAATGTCTCATGCTCTTAATTTGATAAAATTCCTTTTGATTTTAAATATCCTTTCATATTTTATTTTTACCTTTTGAGTTTCTCTGTGCAACAGTCGCTGATATGGAATGTAATTATGGAGCTGAAAGATCACCTCCTGTTATCTTTATCTCTGTTATCTGTCCTGCATTACCGCCTTAAAGATGAAGTCCTTTTAGCTAAATAAATGCCTTCAATGGGAAAATCCCTCGATGGAATCCCTGTAGTGCGCGGTGTGAACTAGTATGATTATTTTCAACAGTGATTACTAGGAAAGTTATTCTACAAAACAGGTCTCTACTCTATATTAAATTCTATTATCATTATTGTTTTAGGCCAAAGATTTGTTTTTCCTTAGTGCATAGACTTGAACCATTCCCTTGTTCCCAATCATAACTTAGCCACCCGGGTTTTTGTTACAAAGATACAATAGGGTGTAAATAGTAAGCATCAATACTTGGCTCTTTCTCTTCTGTTAAGAATCAATTTTCCATCTGCATTGGTTACCAACAAGCAGAAATTATTATAATACATAGTGAGGGGAACTTGAGATTGATAAAATATATTGCATGAAAGCATTAAAGAACGACATGCTGTTTAGACACACCGGCATTTCTGAGATGCTGGTGGAAAGACCAGTCCTCTTCTCAAGACATTGTTACTGGGAACACATCTGCAATGTGTCTGCATCCACATGACAAATGGGCAGTGAGCCCTCTCTCTCTGACTACGCATTTGTTTGCAATTCCTGGTGACTGGCCTTTGTGCTCCCGATGCTAAAAGCAGTCAAAAAAATAAGAATAATGAACAGGAAACTGGAAAATGGGAAGAGAATCCTCAGTAATGTTCCCAACCCTGGAATGTAAAGACACTGCAGAGTGAAGAAAATATTGTTATTATTATATTATTGTCTTCCTGAAGAAGGGTTCAACTCTCTTTCCAGTACAGGGCTGTGACTTTAGAGACATTTGTGAACTTGCTTTTCAAGTTATAAAGAGTGATAAGTATTATTATTAATCAATCTCGCTATCTGATTCCTACTCAATAAAATTAACACTCTTAACCAAGTAGTTTTCAGATGCTTCTTAATATTTTCTGTATGTCTGATTTTGTGAAATGGTGTCAATTTCTTATATAGACAAAACCCCGTGCGGGGCTTTCTCAACTTGAGCACAATGGACTTTTGAATTCAGATAACTCTTTGATATGATAAATTATTCTGTTAATCACGTGGCTTTTAGCAGCACCCCTGCTACGAGATGTCAGTAAAATCCTTCTAGTTGAGATACCAAAAACGTCTCCAGACATTGCCAAATTCCTCAAGGGACAAAATCAACCCCCTTCCTCCATTAAGACAATTGTCTTAGGCAATAAAAAAGTGTCAAGTGATGCCTCGATTTCAAATAGAAAAATAACTTTATATCCCTTCATCATTCTGATATTCATTTATTAATTCATCTATTCAACACATATTTATTGAATTCCAGTAGCTGTGTATTCAAGTAATGAACAAAACTGTTATGACCACTATACTCACGAAGCTTATAATCTTAAGAGGAAAACAAAACTTAAGGAAATAGAAAGACAGATTTACAATTTCAAATTGTGATAAGTACTACACAGACGAAAGACAATAGCGTCTACAGTAAGCACAATGACAGGCAGATGAGACAAAGGGGTCCCTAAAAACATGAGAAAACAAAAATTCTACTTTAATATTTATAGAATTTTAGATATTCTATTTTTTTATTGTACCACTTAAACGTACTAGAGGATTCTGTTTTAACTTATACTTTAATGTTCTGGATTAGTGAATAAAGAGCCCTAGTCCAGTGCTGACATGGGATGTCAATTGGAGGGTGTTTTCAAGGCCTCTAAAATTATTGCACATATACAACTCTTTCAATCTTGCTCCTAAAACCATCATCATAAATGGATTTGGATCAGATAAGATCGAGAGTAAGCAGAAATCCTCTTTCCCAGAGTTTTATGATTCTAACACCCGGGGAAGAATTTGGAGGCAAACTTTTGAGTGTCTTGCATCAGCTAAAGTTTTCAGTCTCACTTCTACACTTGCTCTTTAGTTTGCAGGTTGTGAACTCCTTAAAGACATTTCTAAAATAAAAGTCCACTAAGTAAACCATCTCCCCAGTGATCCAGAGTGTGAAACATTCTTCATTATGACTAAGGTGGGAGAAAGATGTGATAATGAGGCCCTGTTGTTGCAGTACCCAAACTCAGAAGTTTGTTAATAAGAGAAAGGGGAGACAAATGTTTTGTACTCTTGTCTCTTTGGATTAGAGGCTAAAAGCAACCAAACACAAAGCAGGGTCGAAGTGTTCAACTGTAAAGGAAAAGAAGTGGGCATTGATTATATGCAATCAATTTATCTAAGTTATGGTCTAAGTAATTCTTCAAGTTAGTGCATAGCTGAGTCAGTGCTCAGGTTGATTCATTCCATAATCCATTTGTGTTTGACAAGTATTTCTTAGAAATATAGATTAACAGCTTGTGGAATACTTTGAGTAGGGTGAGAAACAGTATGAAAGTACTTTTTCTTCAATCACAGCCTCCAAATGAGCTCTAGCAAATCTTCCTTTTTTAATACCTTAGTTTTATATCTGAGGTAGAACTCATACTTGTCCAGTCATTTTTCTTCATTTTTTCGTTTATTTGCTATATCAATTTATACAAGTGTAATTAAAGTAAAGAATTCTAGGTAAGTGTTTTGTCAAAACAAATTTGTAAAACACACTGACACTTAGATCCACTGGAAAATGAATCATGCACTGGAATCCTTGGATTCTATTGTTTTTGTTTTTGAATTAATTTATTTATTTTCAAAACCCAGTTTATTGTGATACATTGATGTAATATTATACTAAAACAACCATAAATCTCTAGGACATTTTATCTATATAATTTTAAATTTGTGAATATCTTATCCATTATAATTCCAACAAAACTTATTTTTCTTACGAATACGAATTATCACTAACTACAATCCTAAAAACCATATTACTTTGTATTTTGAAATATTAAAATAAATTTTATGCATATTTCTTTAGTTAAATATTTCCTGATTTACAAATTACACAATACAGTCTCTGAAACTTTGTATACAAAAGTAATTGTCGAGTGCTGTGGATCAAAGTATAAGAATCAGTTTTATTCATTTATTAAACTCAAATTGACAACTATGTCAATTATGTTATAATTATGGTAAGCAGACTAATTAGGATTTTGTAGAAACTACAATGTCAAATTTTATCTGTGTAAGATGATGCGATTAGACACATTAATTGCCCTTTGCAGCCAATCTTACCCCCACTTCCTTTCTCCTGCCATGGGCAAGCACTGATCTCCTTTCTATCGCTATAGATTATTTTTGCCCATTCTCAAAATCACATGTGAAGAGAACCACACAGCATGTACTCCTCTGTGACCAGCTCTTTCACTCAGTTCAGTATCTGGGAGATTCATTCATGTTATTGGGTATATTCGTTGTTCATTTCTTATTATTACTAAGTAGGATTGCATGGCATGAATATACCACACCTGATTTATTAATATACCCCGTTGATAGACGTTTGGACAGTGTTCCTGTCGGGGCTGCTATAGCAGTGCTGTAAATATTCATATACAATTATTTGCATAAACACATGCTTTTATATTTTTGGGTAAATATCTAGATGCAGAATTGATGGATTTTATGGGAAACTTATGCTTAACTGTGTAAGAAGCTAAGAACTATCTTCTAAAATAATTGCACCATTTTATGCTCCCACCAGCAACCTGAATGTTCCAATCGCTCTAAGCCCTCTTCAACACTTGGTACTGCCATTTCTTTTTGTTGTATCCATTCTACAGGGTGTAGCAGTATCTCACATTTTTAAGTTGGTGAATAATGATGTTGAGCATCTTTTCATGTTATTATTAGCTGCTAATGTATTCATTTTAGTGAACCATCTGTAAAAACGTTTGCTCATTTTTCACTGAATTTTATTTTTTATTATTGAGTTGACTGGATATATCTTATTTCCAAATACATGCTGTAAATGTCTACTTTTCAGTCCCTTGACAGTGTTTTTGAAAAGTAGAAGGTTTTAATTTTCAAAAAATTTAACTAATTTGTATGGTTATTGACTTTGTTTATTTTCTAAGAAATCTTTGCCTGTCCCGATTATCCCAACTTTTTCTTCTATGCTCCCTCTAGAATTTTTACAATTTTAGTTCTAATGTTTAGATCTAATTTCATATTAATTTTGAATGTGTTGTGAGGAAGGGTTTGGGGTTTAGTAGTAGCCATAGTAGTAGTATACGAATATTCAGCAATTCCAGCAGCATTTCTTTAAAAGGCTATTCTTTCTGAGTAACTGAGACTATAGGCATGTGCCACCACACCCAGCTAATTTTTTATTGTTAGTAGAGACGGGGTTTCACCATGTTTGCCAGGCTGGTCTCGATCTCCTGACCTCATGATCCACCCGCCTCAGCCTCCCAAAGTGCTGGGATTACAGGCGTCAGCCACTGCTCCTGGCCTCTAGTAAGTCAGGTTGTATTAATATAAGGCTTCCACTTTGCTATCCTTTATCAAAATTCTTTAGTCCATTCCATTTCTTTTGAGATTTCATATAAATTTTAAAATCACCATGCCGATTTCTGCTCAAAAAAACCTGTGGAATTTTTGTTGGTATAAAATTGAGTCTATAAATGAATTATGGAGTGAGAGGTGCTAAAATATCTGATTAAGGTAAATTTGTTCATTTATCCTTTTAGTTCTGTCATTTATGATTTATAAAGTTAGATGCTCTGCAATTAGGTGCATGCATATTCAGGATTGCTACATTTTCCTGATAACACTGAAGAACTGGGCATCTTAAGTATTGAGTCAACTAACCTATAACCACGTTGCATCTCTCCATAGTTAAGAAGCCAATAGAAGAAAAGCAACGGAAACTAAAAGTAGCCCAAATTAGACAAGAAAGGAGAAACAGAATTAAAATACGAAAGGCACAAATGAAAAACAGATAGCAAGAAAATAGAATTCAACCCAAATATATGAGATTACTTACATCAGAAATACATGTTATATATATTTAATAGCAGTACTTTATATATAAAATATAATATAGATTAATAAGTATATTTATATAATATGTATATATAAATATATATTATTTTAATAAGTATAAATATATACTTATTAATATATATTTATATATAAATATACTAAGTGTATAAATATATAAATAAGTATATATATTAATAAGCTGAGATTTTCAGAGTGCATTAAAAAAGCAATACCTAACTATATACTGCCTACAGGAGATACATTTTAAATACAGACAGTTTAAAAAAAAGAATTGAGAGAGATATACTATAATAATAAGCATTTAAAAAGCAGGTATGGTTATATAAATAGCAGACAATGTAAAATTTACACAAATAGTACTTTAATAAATAAAGAGGGACATTATATAATGATAAAAGAACAATGTTCCACAGGAACTGAATGTTAAGAGGAAATCTCTGAATAGGTTCTGGTTTTCTGGAATCGATTATCTGGTATAAGCATATTTAAAGGTATTACTGACTCTGTTTCCAGTGATAGATAGGGAACTGGTATTCTGTGGCATACAGCGGCAAAACATTTACTCAAAGTATCATCTGTAGACACTTATAGTCAAATGCTTACAGAAAAGGCTCTGGGGGACCATGGGTTTGCTGCCATACAACATTTTAACAAAAGTGAGGAGTATAATGGGTTGGTTAGTTACTTTTAACTGCTCTGGAGAACTTGGGGAAAGAAAAGGGTAAGTTTTATAGGCTAGGAGGACATGAAAGCTTCTATGAATGCACTGAAAGAATCTCCTATCTCTTATTGCCACAGGGATATGTTTCTGAATATTAAACCCAAAGTCTAATTTTGTAGGTGGTTGAATTACAAAGTGAACTCAGTTTCCAGATTCCCAGGGTCTCTTTTATTAAAATCCTGGAACTGATTTAGAAGGAAAGGGGTTCTGAAAATTACTATGGTGACATATAGACAGATGTTTATAAAACTGGGAACCTCGAACTCCTAAATTGGGTCGAGCCTCTTCTGCCAGTCGAGGCAGCCTTTTCAGCCCTGTCTGAGGAGGTCAGTCTCCTCTCAGGTAAAGAATCTATAATGTCCTCTTCTGAGGTAGTTGCCTTACAACGTACTGCTGATCTTCCTCAGAACCTACTCTTAATACCTTTTCTTGCTTTTAGACTGACTTACAGTCAGTCTCCGGTCCAAATAGGAGAGGTACATAGTGTGACCCATCAGGAGGTACAACGCAAATCAAAAAAGTTGGATGATTTTGACAATATATACTAGCAGAAACCTGAAAACTATCTATGGGACTGAATCTAAACCATATAATACCAATATGGAAAGAATGTAAAGTTGGATTGAGCTGAATATATTGATATGAACCCACTACGCAGACAGTCTATATTAAATATTTTAGTTCAAGGAGCTAGGAAGAGCTCCAACAGATTGCTTGGTCAGATGATTGAAATATGGATCCAAATGTAATACCAACAGAAGATGAAAGGTCAGAACTTCTTTTCTTTGTTGTCAAGAAAGGCATCCAAATACTTAGGGAAACTTGAATGCTTGAGAGAATTTATCATCTAAGATATGCTCATCCAGTGCAGGAGGGACCAGGAAATATGACCTTCACCACAACTGTATGAAATAAACTTATGAGGGGAGTCCAGCATCCTAGACGTGTTCTACAGTGGAATAACAAAATAATGGAGCAATACACACTTTCTCCAAGAATGTATGGAGAAAATATAACAATGAGGTGAACTTAAAGTTGGGTCTAGTTGGCTGAGGAGACAAATTGAAGGTAAAAACACGGAAAACTTAACCAAGAAAGAGAGAAGAGTGTGTGTGTCAAGTCTTGGAGAAGAGGAGGTGTCATGCATTGTCAGGATTGGCAAGAAGGCTTGTGTTGTTGTAACACAGGCATTGTTTAGGCAGCAGCATGGAATAAATGAGAAACGTGCACAAGATTAAAACTGACCACACCTGCGTTCATTCTCCAAGCAGTTTGGATTTATGCAAAGGTCAGTGTGTGGGAGGAGAGAGGACAAAAATATACTTGATGATAGGTACAAATCTTTGGTATCACACACTCAGGTATGCTATGAATGTAATTTACTTTTCTGCAATTCACTTAAATTTGCTTATATGCTTGCATTCCTTTGGGTACAATAAATAAATCTCAGTACATTTAGGGTTTACTCCTTTTCCCCAGGATGGCATCCAAGTTCCAGTGGACTTGACCTCCACATTATTATCTGTGGGTACTCTTTGTGGTCTGTCTTGAGGAATGCATTTCCCTAACTTTAAGGAGCACACTTAGCAGCATTTTACCTCCAAGAAGGCAAGTTTTCCTTCCAGCCTTGTTGTGAAGTCTTCCTCTTCCAATGCATATGTCTCAGCCACAGGTCTCTGAATCCTGTGGCTAGTGCTGATGGGCTGGCTTAGCCTTCTTTCTATTGCTAGGAAGTCATTAAGTTTTTAAAGAAATGTCAGGTCTAAGATGGGGGCTGTTAAAAAATATTGCCTTCCATGCTTTTGCTCTAAGTCCTTTCCTGACAGTCAGTGACTTTAAAAGCCCAACTTTGCTTTTGTTTGTTTGGTTTTCATTTCCTATGCCAATCACCCTGTATCTATCCATGTAATTACAAACCTTGTGTAAAACTCTTCCAAATACACTCTTTCGTAGTACTCTGATATTTCTGAAATCAGGTATGACTACTGAGGTGCCATTTTAACACTTCAATCAGTATTGTTACAGGGTCACAGTCCTAACTCTATGCCCTGGGTTTTCAATCAGACATTCACAGTATGAGACATCTGAGAAAACTCCAAATGGGCTCCCACATCTAGTCAGGATGACTCTCAGGATACAACTCAAGTCGCTGTGCTAATGGGAATTGGGACACTATAAGATATCCTACCTTCTACAGAAAACCTTACCTATTCACTATTCTGTTCCTAGAGCTATTTGGCCTTTATTTTACCATATTAACAAAATTCTTGAATTAATTCTTACTGTGTAACTAGCCACATGTTCATGGAGGAAATGGATTTGGGAATGACTCCTGGTAGCTTCTGTCACTCCTGAATATAGCACATAATTAACTTTTAGAAGAAAGAGTTGGAAGATCTGATAGACCTGCTGCAAAATAACACTTATAATACATTAATAAATTAAGATGTAATTCCTAAGATACATTAATGCCTTTAAAATGTAGTTTCTGAAATATACCAATGCAGCTATTATTTCATTTCATATGTTAAAAAGCTATATGCCACAGATACATACTCAAAAGATATTCTCCTTGAATGAAAACAGACAAACAGATAACCCTTATTTCAATGCTCAGATCAGAACTGAGATATGTGAAATGGCTTTATCAATTTTAACATATTATTTTATCACAAACGAGATAATTTACAAAGTAATTATTCCCTCCTCCACCCACATACACACTGCCTGTAATACATAAGATGAGACTTTGTAAGAATGCATATAAGAACATACATTACATATATAGGGGCTGTATTATATATACTGTTTTGTAAGCTATATTAGAGTTTTTTGTTTTGTCTTTAGTAAAAAAAAATATTGTGATTGTCTTCACATGTAAGTTTGTACAGGAACTCTTAGCACTTTTTAAGGACTTCATAACATTCCGTTACATACATAAAGTACAATTTATTTAATTTATTCCATATTGATGTAGGTTTTTCCCAATTAATAGTTAAGAGTTATGCAACAAATATGCTTGTAATGTGTGCTTAATTGCCAGGCTCTTTTCCTAGGATTAATTGCTAGAAATAGAACTGCAGAATCAAGCAAATTGTGTGTTTCAAGTTTTGTTTTTTGTTTTTATTTGCTTTTGTTTTTGTTTTTGTTTTTTTTTTTGGAGATGAAGTCTCGCTCTGTCGCCCAGGCTAGAGTGCAGTGGCACAATCTCGGCCCACTGCAACCTCTGCCTCCCAGGTTCAAGCAATTCTCCTGCCTCAGCCTCCCAAGTAACTGCAACTACAGGTGCATGCTGCCACACCGGGCTAATTTTTTATATTTTAGTAGAGACGGGGTTTCACTGTGTTGCCAAGGCTGGTCTCGAACTCCTGAGCTCAGGCAATCTGCCTGCCTCGGCCTCCCAAAGCGCTAGGATTACAGGCATGAGCCACCGTGCCCGGCCTATTTTTTAAATTTTTTTTACAGAGACAGGGTTTCACCAAGTTGCCCAGGCTGGTCTTGAACTCCTGGGCTCAAGTGTGGTTCATCTGCCTCAGCCTCCCAAAGAGCTGGGATTACAGGCGTCAGCTATCACACCGGGCTTTTCTTTCTTTTTATTTTTTTTAACTTTTATTTTAGGTTCAGGGGCACATGTGCAGGTTTGTGATACAGGTAAACTTGTGTCACGGGGGTTTAATATGCAGACTATTTTGTCACCCAGGTACTAAGCATAGTACTGGATAGATATTTTTCCTGATCCTCCCCCTCCTTCCACCCTCCTCCCTCGAATAGGCCCCATTGTCTGTTGTTCTCCTCTTTGTGTCTGTGTGTTCTCATCATTTAGCTCCCACTTATAAGTGAGAACATGCTGTATTCGGTTTTCTGTTCCCACATTAGTTTGCTAAGGATAATGGCTTCCAGCTCCATCCATGTTCCTGCAGAGGACATGATCTTGTTCTTTTTTATGGCTGCATAGTATTCCATGGTGTATTCTTGTTCCATTAAGCATGCTATCCATAGCTTTTCAAAAGTTCTCTTTTCTTCCCTAATTTTTGTCTCGAAGTTTAAGATATTTAAATTGAGCACATGACAATTAGGGTTTTCTGTTATGATTCTGACAATAGAAAATTATGAAAGCAATATTTTCTTCTAATTTTGTAACCTCTAGAAGAAATCAGCTTTGATTTTGTAAATGATATGAGACAAGATGCTTAGCAATATTTTTCCAAAAAACCATATGTCCAATCATCATTTCCTGAATAAACTATTCTTTTCCTATAATTTAAAATACATTATTATTTTCATCATCAACAATGTGCAAACTTTGGATAGTGTTTACAGAAAAAAAAGACAGCAAAATGCCTTATATTATGACTGAAACATAAAATAACAACCCGTATGCGATGCGAAAAACTATCCCATAAAAATCACCATTGCAGAAATTGAACCAAGGCTATTTCCACATTTGTGAAACATCTCCAAAATATAAAATATGAGTTCTGTCCTGGGCCTGTAATGGCTGATGTATAAAGCTCAGAGGCCTGTTAGAAGCTGCAGAAAAACTGGACCCCAAGAAATAAGCTTCTGAAAATGAAAGCAAGGCAAATCCAATCTAGAGAAAGACATAGAGGGCAAGACTTACACAGGGACTAGGGAACCAGGAAACCTTTGAAAGTGACAGAAGTTAAGTATGAAATGAAGGTCTGGAGGAGGAAAATAACTAACAACTGACAAAGTAGGGAAGTGGCAGATTTGCAGAAACTGGAAATACGAACCTTGTATTAACGATCATTTAGTAAATATGTTTCTATCAAATGCTTAAAAATGTCCACTTCAACAAAACAATAAAAGTATAAAGCTTATGCAATTAAAATTGAAGTACCATTCATCTTTCCAAATAATGTATTATATTCACACACTGTTTTTCATATCATTATTGCTGGAAAATTCTCATTATATCACAAATTCCTTAATTTCAAATTTAGGCTGATTTAGAGAATAAGTTTATGGTTGATAAACTGTCTTTTCATATTGTCCAGTTATAATAAGTTTTATTGCACCCCTAAGCCAAGGGTAAAATAAAGCGTAAATCAAAGTATTTGGAACACAGTTAGAGTAACCAAACTAGGAAAATATCTCATAAACATAGGAAGGTATGATAAAACCCCAAAGAGAACCAACGAATGAATCAATCATCATATATAGTAACCATGAGGTTTAAAATGCTACCACTTTAAGCTGGGCACAGTGGTTCACGCCTGTAATCCCAGCACTTGGGAGGCCAAGGCAGGTGGATCATGAGGTCAGGAGTTCGAGACCAGCCTGACCAACATGGTGAAACCCATCTCTACTAAAAATACAAAAATTATCCAGGTGTGGTGGCGCACTCCTGAGGCAGGAGAATCACTTGAACCCAGGAGGCGGAGGTTGCAGTAAGCCAAGGTCATGCCACTGCACTCTAGCCTGAGCGACAGAGCGAGACTCCGTTTAAAAAAAAAAAAAAAAGTGCTACCACTTTGATACCTTCCCGCAAGAGGTCTCAATTGGAATCCTGGGGTGTTTGCCTTTGTCTTTTCTCTGCAGCAGCCCCTGAACTCCAATTTTTGCCTCTCCAGTTACAAGAGACTGCCAAAGTCGTGCTTAGCTTCTTAGCAATTGCATTTTTCTTTGTTTCTTGGGTTCTTAGCCACAGAGAATTTCAGAATTCGGAAAAATGTCCAAGGGCAAAAGCAACACGGGATGCTGCCCTCACTTCTCTGCTATTCTCCCTTCTCCTGAGTGTTGGTTTCTTAAACACTGGCTTCTTTGGTCCCTAAACTACAAATTTTTTCCATACAGCAATTGGAGACTATTGACTGGTTTAGGACACCATTTTCTGCTTAGCCTGTACGTGTCACAGCAAGAATAGATGCTGTTGTGAATATAAGAATTTTTGCAGAAGGCCCAGCTCACTTCAATGTGCTTCCTTTCTCTCTAGAATTTTGTCCAACAATTCTAGGCTGTCATAGTTGCTATCCAATACTTTAAACAGTTGTTCTATGTGTTCAGTTGAGCTTTTATAATTGTCCTAAGTGGGGGAGATGGTTTGATCAAGCGGTGTCATCACAGTCCAAATCAGAAATTTCTCCCTTGCATTCTACAATTTTTGTTATTTGCTATTTTATTTTATTTGTCTTATTTTATCATCCAATTAATAATATTTTCTAATTTTCAGTTTGATTTCTTCCTTGTCCCATGGGCATTTGTATCAGACCATCGTATTTGTGCATCTTCGTATTCTCTGATTAACACTTTACTGCTTACTCTAAGACACCCCTGAGGACACCAAACCCATTAGTGGCATGAGGGTCCATGGTTTGTGGCCAATGCCCAGAGACTAGTTTCTCCCATCACTTCAAGACTCAAGTGGTGTGGGAATTCACTTTTGCAAAGGTTATTGAAGTGGCCAAATGAAGATACCCTACAGTTTCAGGGGACAAACTTTCTGTGGCATGAATTTTGACCTGTGAGAGATAGGAGGTAGGAGACAGACAGCACATAGATACTATTTTTGTATAACCCATTTGTAGACCTCTACATAACCAATGTCTGGATTCTTTGTGGCTTGAGAAGCAGAGAGCAGTAATTTTCAGATCTAGAACTTTGATTTTTAAAAATGGTTTACAGTTTCCAAACATGATTATTTCCTTGAATGTGGTCAGCTTTGTTATATTAAAAACTGTTAAAGGTAATCAAGTTAGTTACTGTAAAGCATAATATGAATTTCCCATTGGTTTTTAAACTTTTTTCCACCATTTCTGTTGATTTTCATGATATTATCTTTTCTCCTTTTTCCTGTTTAAATTGAGTTGAGACATTCTATATGAAAAGTTGATGTAATAACTTGAGAACTGAGATATTATGCTTCTCCAGAGAAAATGTGCCTTTACTTGTGGTGTGTGGCTAGAAAAAAACAACAATCTGGGATAATCCTTTTCTCCATTATAGACATTGAGACTATCTGAAGTGAAGTCTTACCCTGATGTTTAGAGAATAGTAGTCTTCCAGACTGTAACAAAAACCATTAGTGGTCGGTGCTGCCTGGGCTCATTTTTCTTGTTAGACTCTAAAATCTAATCATTTCCCACTAACCCTATCAGGTTGTCAAAAGCTCTGCTTCAAGGACATGCATAGACATTTATCAAAAGAAGATGTACAAACAGCCAACAAACATATGAAAAATTGTTTAACATCACTAATCATCGGGGAAATTAAAACCACAATGAGATACCACCTTACTTCTGCAAGAATGGCCACAACTAAAAAGTCAAAAACAATAGATGTTGGCATGGATGTGGTGAAAGGGAACACTTTTACACTGCTGGTGGGAATGTAAATTAGTACAATCACTATGGAAAACAATACGAAGATTTCTTAAAGAGCTAAACATAGAACTACCATTCGATCCAGCAATCCCGTTACTGGGTATCTACCCAAAGGAAAAGAAGTCAGTTTATGAAAAAGACACATGCACACTCATGTTTATAGCATCACAATTTGCAATTGCAAAGATATGGAACCAATCTAAGTGCCCACTGACTAACAAGTGGTTAAAGAAAATGTAGTACATATACACCATGAAATACCACTCAGCCATAAAAAGGAACAAAATAATGTCTTTTCCAGCAACTTGGATGGAGCTGGAGGCCATTATTCTAACTGAAGTGACTCAGGAATGGAACACCAAATATTGTATGTTCTCACTTAAATGGGAGCTAAGCTATGAGAATGCAAAGGCTTAAGAGTGATATAATGGACTTTGGGGACTCAGGGGAGAAGGTTGGGGGGGGTGAATACATACTGGGTACAATGTACACTGCTCAGGTGATGAGTGCATTAAAATCTCAGAAATCACCACTAAAGAACTTATCCATGTAAACAAAACCACCAGTACCCACAGAACTATTGAAATAATAATAATTTTTAAAAGCTCTGCTTCACTCTTCATCTTCTCAGATGCCCCTTTTGGTATTGGCCCTAAAGTTTAGATTCACCTCTCTGAATTTCCTTTTTCCCTGGATCTTAAATAATTATTGACTGCCTTTATATCTTTCTGATATTTTAAAGATTTTTAAAACACTTTTTCCAGATTTCCTGAATCTTCTCACTAGGAGAATGGAATAAGTAACCTATTCTACCATTACCGGAAGAAGATGTCCCACATAGGAATTTTTTTAAATAAATGTAGTAAGAAAATTTTCTTTGGTGATATATATTTTATAATTCAAGGTCACTGAGTACATTTTGCATCTTAAGTAAACTAAATAATTACAGAAAAATGTATTTCTTGTAATCTATTTCTACATCAGGGTAAGAGTTGTTGATGTCTGGGACTAGTTCTCAACGGTAATAAGGCAGACAGACAAATTTATTTTCAGTCATATTACCTGCAAATAATAGTTTAAATTCCTATTTTTGAATTTCTATATTGATTTTTCTCTCATCTAGGTGTGTTAACTAGCAATGTGAAAATATTGGACCATCTTGTCTTTAGCTGGAGCCTAAAAGATACACTTCAAATGTTTCATCTCTAAGTATGTGCTAAATATGTTTTGGTGATAAGTATGGTTTTTGTCACAGTAATAAAAGAAACAATGACCACTTAAAACTCAGAGAAATAAAACTTAGGCAAGATACAGCAGCCTTCATTCTAAAGTTCAGTATTAACGGATTTGGTGTTTCAGTTCTTACTCTTTTGAGTGATGATGTGATGGACTTAACCAAGCCTATTGAAGAGTTTTCCTAAAATCACCTGTCCAACTCTAATTCAGCCATCTATGCCCAAAAAGGTTATCACATGGTACCAACAAAAGCATTATACAGAATACTCTAGATATGAATTCCAAAATGACTTCTATTGAACCAAGTATAAACTTTTCCAGAGAGTAAAATGTAAAGTTATAGCACACATTGTTTATACTATTTTAATACACTTTTTTTTTACAGTATTAGCATAGAATTTTGACTCTGCAACACTCAGGTAGTGAAATGCACATTATTTTTAGTGTGAGAAAAACTATTAAGAAAAGTTGTGGAAGCAAGTTATACATTATTTTCAGGAGATAAAAGTTGACATAGAAATAACAACTACTGGTGATCATTGGTTATTCTTGCACAATTTCCATTTGCTAATAATCTTTGTGCCAACCTTTTTGTGGTAGATTTTTTCACATGAAACATTTCTGGGCAATGTCTATAGTTACTTCCTGATCCCAAGGCTGAATTATGGGTTCCACCATATTATGGGTGAGCATGCTAAGATTCTGCCCAGCCATTAAGCAGGAGAGGCTTACCTGCTGCCTCCCAAACTCCTGGAAGGCACAATCATTAAAGAAACCGGGAGGAATAGTCACAGAAGAGCAGCAAATAAACAGACCCTTTGGTAGTATCATCCCACGTGGACTGTGTCTGTTATGAACTGAATTGTTACCCCAAATTCATATGTTGAAGCTCTAACCCCTAGTACTCAAGTCTAGATAATTAAGTCAAAATGAAGTGATTAGGGTGGACCATAATCCAATATGACTGCTTATCTTTATGCGAAGAGGAGTTTAGGACACACGCACACAGAGAAAGACCAGGTGAGGACACTAAAAGAAGACAGCCATCTGCAAGTCAAGGAAAGAGGCCCTCAAAAGAAATTCACCCTGCTGACACCTAGACCTTGGACTTCCAGACAGTAGAATCATGGGAAAATACACTTTTGTTGTTTAAGCCATCCAGTCTGTGATACTTCCTTATTGCACCCCTAGCCAAATAATACAAAAACCACTTAAAGAATGCAGCTCTAGCCAACTAATACAGTGTTGCAAAAGACACTTAAAGAATGGCCACTTGTAATTCCAACACTTTGGGAGGCTGAGGTGGGCAGATCACCTGAGGTCAGGAGTTCGAGACCAGCCTGGCCAACATGGTGAAACTCCATCTGTACTAAAAAATACAAAAAGTAGTCAGACATGGTGGCATGTGCCTGTAATCCCAGCTACTCAGGAGGCTGAGGCAGGAGAATCGCTTGAACCTGGGAGGCGGAGGTTGCAGTGAGCCGAGATCACGCCACTGCACTCCAGCCTGGGCAACAAGAGCAAAACTCCATCTCAAAAAAAAAAAAAAAAAGAAAAGAGAAGAAAAGAAAAAAAGTCCACTTGAAAATAAATGAAAGTTGAGCATTAAAAAAAAAAGATGATTCAAAATTTCACATCCAAAAATGCAATTCAGAATTCAGTAAATCGGAAAAAACAAGTGCATGTGGCAAGGATGTGTACAAAACATAGAGACAAGTGACATGTGTGAACCACTTTATCATTTATTATTTAATGTAGTCAATATCTTTACAATAGTTTAATAGTTTAATCTTCCTGTGACCTTTTTCCTGGTTAATTTGAAAAGTGATATATTTCTCCAATTTTGAAAAGTTTTATTTGTTTCTTATATTTAATTTCCTTATAAATTCATAATTTTAAAAATATTCTTAATTTTCTCAACTTAGTGCTTAAACTTATTCTAAAAATAAACTAATGGTTGATGAACTAGCCTTTAAAACATCTCCACTTAAAATAAGTTTTATGGCTTTCCTAAACCAAGGATAAAATAGAGCATAAATCAAAGGATTCATGGCTGAGTTATAATAAGCACTCCAACAGCAAATTTCATAGATATAGGCAGGGGTCAGGAAGCCCATAAAGGCATCAATTAATATATCAACTGTATACGGTAACCATGAAATAACAAATGCTAGTACCGTGACCCCCAGGGTTTTAGCTGCTTTCCTCTCTCTCTTGGCCACTCTGATTTTATAACTCTCTGAGGATGATTCTACTTTGCTACTAGTAGTTTCAATTTTTATAGCTTGTTGTTTAGCTATAAGAAAAATCTTACTGTAAAGAATTATCATAACAAGGGTAGGTATGAAGAATAACAGAAAATCTATCAACACCCAGCCTTGACTTACAATAATTTGACAGCCACCTACGCAGTTGAGAGCACTTACTAATTCCTCCAGCCCATCATCATTGACACCTGTGTAGAACACAGCACCGCTGTACGTGAGAGGCAGAATCCAGGACACGCTGATGCAAATTCCCGACACAGACACGGTGAACTTGGTAGCATAGACCAGGGGATCAGTAACCACAATGTACCTGTCGATGCAGATGAAGCACAAGTGGAGGACAGAAGAGTAACAAAATGCCACATCACAGCAACTGTGAAGAGTACAAAATTTGGCTCCAAAATACCAGCAGCTCTCCACCGTCCTGACCATGCTGAAAAGCATCACAGTCACACCTACCAAGAAGTCAGCACAGGCCAGAGAGGCAATGAGAAAATTGGTTGGAGAGTGCAGCTGCTTAAAATGAAGAACAGAAGTCATTACTAAGAGATTTCCAAATACAGCCAGCAAAGACCCAAAGCTAAACGCCGTGTACAGAATTACCCGGGACCCAGGAGAATAGGGAGTTTCAATACAAGATCCATTCACATCCTCATAGCAAAGCTGCACAACAGGTTGGGAAAAATTGCTGGTCATGGTTCTGCTGTTTGTTGTTTGCTATTTCTGTCCTTCCTTGTGATAGGGAATTATAATTTTGAATTCTGAAAATTAAAACAAAAACAAACTGCATATGTGAGTACTTACAAATTTTGTTTCATATTATATTCTTTTTCAATTTTAATTATAAAGAGAAATTAAATTCAAAAACATAAAAGATAATTCTGTCTTTAATCTCATAATTATTTCTGTCGCTATGTCTAAACCTCGTCATTAACCCCAAGCAAATCTACTATGAATTTTCATCAGCTGAGTAATCACATTAACCAAGTAATTGAAGAAATGTAATTTAAATACCTGGTTTTATATACATGTGAATCCTTCTTTTCAAAGGACGATCATGTATAATATAATTACATATTTGAGAAGTCACCTTTTAATAAGCTTCCATCTCCTAGGACATTTTAGGAAGCCAGCCAATCCATTGTACCCATTATAAATTCTTCACAAGGAATCCCCATAGTGTAAGGTGTGAATCATGAAATGAATCCCACTTTTGATAATTATAATTAATAAGTTCACCTACAATAGGAGAACTGTTTCTCTGTGCTCTGCAACTTGGTAGAAACACTTATGATTTTCATAACCATGAGATTTCTTTAAGTTCAACTGTCCTGAAATAGCCTAACCCAAGATTTGACAATAGTATTACCTATTCCTTATTTACAAGACTATCTATATAATTTGCAGCATCCAGCACAAAATAAAATGCAGAGACCCTTGTTCAAAAGTATGGACAAAAAGTGTCATTAAAGGTACTGAAATAGAAAGCTTTTACCTTTCTTTTATGGTCTTTCTTGGCCTGTCATAGTGTTCGATATTTGCTATGGAATGCCCTTGGACAAAGAGGTATTTGCAGGGCAAGTGAGGACTCTCACAGGTGTCTGCATTCCCTGCCTTGCAACTCAGCTTGCACATGGTCCACCCACTGCCAGATTCCCCCTCCTACCAGCTGCTGAAGTAATATGCCATAGTCAGGATGGGGGTGAGAAGCTGAGCCAGGGATTTGCCCTTCTCACAGGCCTGCTACCTCAACAAAAGGCAGACCAATGACCCCCAAGGGATTACAACCTGCACAGCAGAAAGCACTTGATACCTGGATTGGGGTTCATGAGGGGCTTGGCCCTGCTGAGGAGCTCATCAAACGTGCTGTGACGCTGCCAGCGGGAGATGGAGGCAACAGTCTATGCCTAGCCCTGAGACTGTGGAGGATGTGCCTGGCTGCAACTCTCCCTGTGATGCATCCAGTCCTCTGCAGGGATGAAAAGAGGATGGCAGTGGTCCCTGGTCAGAGCGGGTAGGAGGAGACTGGATGGAGCCCAAGGTGCCAGGGGGCAGGGGAACATGAGGCTGAATACCCCTCCCAGGGAAGAAGGAACAAGGTGTAATGCAAGACTACTAGTGGTCTGAAGTTCCAAGCACCCAGCACATGCTCCATTGTCTCTTCACTTAACAACACACACATTTGAATTTCAAAGACAGAAATTCAAGACAGCAACTATGAGCATGAAACCCTAATAGTAGGTCTCTGCACTGCTGCCCCAGTCATATGCCCATGGAATAACTGCCTGTTTCATTTCAGATATTAAATTATCTCTTTGTAATAGCAGCTCAATGATGAGGCAAAGAATACCCCATGTGGAGGTAACTGCGAAATTTCCAGACAAGAGGGTGTAGAAGCTGAGGTCCAGGCAGTTCTGAAAATAACAGCCTTTCTTGACATACAGGCTTGTCCCCATAATACTAACAGTAATTTAGGGGATTAAGAAGCGAGATTAAGGAATGAAGCTCCATAAAAAGAATTTCAGGCCTGGGGGAAAAAAATAGCTAATTTTGATCCTATATGGCACCTACTAAGTAGGAAATGATAAAGACCTTTTTCCTCCACAGCAGTATATATAGGACTTGAAAATACAGATATGATATGCCAGTTAGGATAAAGGTACTAAAAATATATAGAAATAAATTAATACATGTATTAAAGGTGTGACATAAAAACAATCATTCAGTTGATCATCTACCAAATTCTTTTTGGCAATGCTATTTTACCTTTCCTTTAATTCTCAAACCTAACTTGATCTCACCCTACTCTTACTGAGTAACCTTGCTTCTCTATATTCTGAAATGTGATACATGCAATTTAAAGACCAAAAGCATTCAGGGTTCAGAGCTGCATGATGCAGGTAAGAGTCAAGGATGATTCCCAGGTTTTCAACTTGCCAATAGGCAGGATACAGTAAGCAGGAGAAAGAGTGAGTCTAGAAAAGAAAGATGATGGGTTAGGTTTGGACTGGTCAGAGGGACATAACACTGGAGTCCTTCAGTAGGGAATTTAGCCTATGAGTTTTCAGCTCAGGAAAGAAACTGTGCCAGAAACAGTCATTTGGGGTTGCTCACATTCTGCTGTTTTGAAACCATAGAAAGAAATTTGATTGCCTGGTGCCCATAGCCAGGATGTCCAATGCTGTAAATGTGTCCAGTTAAATGAAAAAAATAAAAATAAATAAAAATAAAAAACCTACCAGGCACTAAATGTGTGTTTTGGGTGAGGGGAGAATAGAAGAAAAATAAAAACTAAAACTAAACACACCCACTCATTTGAATGAAAATAATAAATAAATAAAATCAACAACCAAAACATGAAACATTCCAGAAGAAATGTGTTTTATAGAGTTGTAGGATGCTACTCAGTATTTGTTGACTGGATTAGAGTGTGCACAGTGAAAATAGAAGGAACAGAGGAGCACCAAGTTCAAAGTTATGCCTGCAAAAAGAAAGAGTAGCCAGAAATACAGATAGAAAAACAGGAAAAAGTGGTCCCATAGATGTCGTGGAAAGAAAGAGGTTCAGGTAAGGGAGGCATAGCCAGGAGTGTCCAATGCTGTAGGTGTGTCAAGTTAAATGAAGACTGAGAATTGTTTGTTGTCATTAACAACCAGGTTAATGATGAGCATGACTGGACTTCTGATGGAATGTTAGACAGAATCTAGATGGCAGTGGATTGAGAATGAATGAGAATGGAGAAGGAAGGCAAGTGAAATAATAAACAATGACTGATACTGCTCAGCTGTGAAAAGGAAGAGACCTATATAATAGATAGCAAGAGACATGGGTTCAGAGAACATTCATGTTGTTATTAGTGTTTGGATTTGGTTTTATTATTTGTTATTTTATTCTGGGGTGTTAAAGAAAAACTAGTGGAAAATATGAGACCAGAGACTGAGTTCCAACTGGGAAAGTTTTACTGCCAAGCAGGGAACCAAGCACAGATCTAAGCTCTGGGAGATTGGATTCAGGGGAGTAGAAATAGCGCAGTTACTTAAAGCCAGAGGGCCATGAACTGCCTCTGTCCTGTATTAGAAAAGTGAAGTCTCTGAATGTTTCTGATTGGCTGCTGATACCTAGGCTCATTGGTTAGGTAAGCACCAGAACCACTGGAGGTATCTGTAGCCATACATGGGGCATCCGCCTTGGGATTATGGCATTGTATTCGTTTCCCATTGCTGCTGTAATAAATTAACCCAAATTTAGTGGTTAATCACAGCACAAATTTTTTGTCATGTTGTCTTACATGACTGGAGTTCTGGATTTTAGAAATTTGAAATGGGTCTCAGTGAACTAAAATCAAGTTGCCAGAGGTGGGCATTCCTTTCAGAGGATCTAGGGGAGAATCTCCTTCCTGCCTTTTTAAGCTTCTTAGCATTCCTTAGATTGTTGTCCCTTCCTCCATTCATAAAACCAGCAGCATAGCATCTTGAAGTTTTTCTCTGACCCTGACACTGACTCCCCTTCCTCCCTGTTACACTTCTAATGACTTGCGATTACATTAGGCCCACTTGGCTAATCCTGGATAATCTCCTCATCCAAGATCCTTAATTTAATCACATCTTCAAAGTCTCTTTTGCCATGTAAGATAACACATTCACAGGTTCTAGGGATTCGAAAATGAACATCACGGTGGGGATGGGATGGAGTGTGCATTTTTCTACCTACCACAGGCATCACTTGCTTCTGCTGCTGGCAAGAAATGTGGTCCATGGATGACGGTGTCCCGCTGCTCCTGTCACCTCTGTGAGATGCCTGTCTCCAGGTTTTTTGATCCCCTCAGGCATAGAAGTCAGAAGTCAGAAAAGTAAGAAGGATGAGCATTATTTGTCAGGAGAGAAGCTAGAAAACAAAACTATCAAGTTCTTACCTTTTGAGACCAAAGAACTGGTTGAAGTAAAAAAGTTAAGATTAGAAAATATACACGCTCAGATAAAACAGGTTTTTCCTTTTCCACATTTTCTTCCCAGACAAGATGAAGATTTCTTTAGGACTTTCAGTCAAGATGGTTCAGTTAGTTCATTCATCTACCCCTGTGCTCCAGATGAAAATATGGAAAGAGCAGGCATATAAAAAAGAAGAAAGTACAGCAAAGTTCATAAATCAGACCATCTTCTCTGTGTGCAAGAAAAGATACAAACACAACATGTGAGCAGAGCTGAAAATGAGGACGTATGAGTTTTGCAGTTTCGGAACCAGCAAAGGAACCCAGGATCTTGGCTCCTTTAAAGAGGTCTAATAAAAGTGCTCTGTGCAGACAGGAAATAGTACATGCTCATTGCTTAAAGTCAGGGGCTGGAGCGAGGCTTATAACCTTGCAGCACACGTGAAAGGATGCTGAAGCCAGGTGATTTTGCCCCAATTCCACCCAGGACTTCGGCTTTTAGAAAGATCTTAGTCTAGGGAGATATAAGGACACAGACACAGATTCATAACCAGGCACTGGGCTGAGCTACCCACTGGCTGACTCCCTGGATCAGGGACTTATCCTGTATGACAGCAGAACAGGAACTGAAAACACCATTGTAGAGCAGGGTCGTATTTGGGGAAACTTCAGGGCTAGATCAAGACAACTTCAAAACTACCAGCACCGGGCGCGGTGGCTCACACCTGTAATCCCAGCACTTTGGGAGGCCGAGGCAGGTGGATCACCTGAGGTCAGGAGTTCGAGACCAGCCTGGTAAACATGGTGAAACCCTGTCTCTACTAAAAACTAAAAAAATTAGCAGGCGTGGTGGCAGATGCCTATACTCCCAGCTACTTGGGAGGCTGAGGCAGGATAATTGTTTCAACCCAGGAGGCAGAGGTTGCAGTGAGTTGAGAATGCACCACTGCACTCCAGCCTGGGCAACAGAGCAAGACTCTGTCTCAAAACTAAACTAAACTAAACTAAACTACCAGGCACTAAATGTGTGCTTTGGGTGAGGGGAGAATAGATGAAAAATAAAAACTAAAACTAAACAAACCCGCTCATTTGAATGAAAATAAGAAAGAAATAAAATCAACAACCAAAACATGAAACATTCCAGAAGAAATGTATTTTATAGAGTAGTTTGACAAAGACAAGTACAACTTATTTGGTGATAATTCTATTCTAATATTTGGCTCAAATGTAGATTCCTTAGGAGATAGTGTTTAGGAGGCCTTCCATGGAAGCCTGAGAGCTACGTTTTTAAGAAGCACCTGCAGGTGATTCACCAACCACAGATGAGATTATGGGAAGTATTATTTTATTTCTTTTGTATTTGCTATTAGAACATTCAATTCAATGCAAAATCCATAGTAGTCCATAAATAAACATTTATTGAGTGAGAATCTAGTACATGATCTTTCACTTTATTTGCCTTTTCAATATGGCATACTATCTTCCTTCTATGGAAGTATACCTTCTAGCACCACTTCTCATTTTTTCCTCTATTTCCTGATATAAATGATGGTCAGAAAAGAGTCAACACGTAAAGGAAGAAGAGGTTTGCTCTAATGAGAAGCTCAGTGAGAAAATGGCAGCTATTGATTGCGGGAGCAACATAAACTTTACTCCCAGCCTTGCTGATGATGGACAGGTAAACCTTCAAGTCACCATGGAATGTGTGGACGTCTCCATACCCAGAGCCTGCCTCCTTCTGGAAAATAATTTATTCACAGGTAGGTTTGAGTCTATGCTCCCCAATCTTTTTCACTTTATTATATGTACCTTACAATAGGGTAAACCAGAGGGAATTTGGGGTATCAACATAAGACATCTTATGAAAGTCATACATTTGCTTTATATAACATAGTTAATGTAACTGACTAAGACAGTCAACCTTAATGTTCCCCTCAGCTTGACTAAACTTAAGACAGGCTTCTTCCTGACTTGAGGCTCCTGACCACCCTTTCTTAGAGCATTTACTTTAGAAAATTAGTATTTACGAATTCTTTCTCTGTGCTTTTGAGAGGTAAGTCTTTTTAAAAGCTTCTTGCTAGTTTTATAACCCAGGAATGTCTTTCTCAAGGTCCTGGGAGCCATCCCTTTGAAATGTAATTATCAAGAAAGATGATAACATCCTTATTTCCCAGTTCCTGTAGGAAGGTAGAAGTCTTAACTTCAAGGGATGCCTTGCTCCAAGCTGGAAAACTACCTCCTGTCATGAAGATATAAGAAAGTTCACTTTCCCTTTTGGTGGGGCCCATTAGCAAACACAAGTGGTCTACAACCTCCTCTCCCTTAACTTTCAAAAACTTTTCAGCCCTTTGTTTCAGTGAAGTTGAGCTCAGATGAGTTGAGTTCTGGCCTTTCTCCCCTGTAGCAATTGTCTGCAGTAAAGTCTTCCTTGTCTTTAACTTTGTCTGGTGCAATTTTTTGCTTTGAAATAGTAAAAATATAGTATAGCGTTTATCGGTTGACTATTGCATGTAACAAACAACCACAAATTCTCACTCATATATGACATTAAACATTTATTTCTCACATATCTGCGTTTGAGCTGAGTTGACTCTACTTCAGGCTATGGCAACTGGGGACAGGGAGGACTTGGCTCTGGTTAATGCTGTAGCAAGGCTTACGTATCTCTCATCCTCCTTGGATCTGCTGGCTACCTGAGCATGTTCTCATAGCAATGGCAGAGGTTCAAGAGAGCAAACGGAAATAGGATATCATAAGGCCTAGGCTCAGAATTTGCACACTGTCTCTTCTGCTCTCACTCTGCCTCACATGGGCAGAACTGCAAAATTATATAACAAAGGGTGTGAATACAGGGAGAAATGAATAATTCAAAAATTAACTCAACTACAAAAAGTGTTAAGAAATATCCCTTTCTTAGCATGATGTGGAAAAACAGCAAATGATGGAGGTTGCTCATTCCACCTGGCACCTACGGAAAAAGCATCACACTGTCAGACCTTGCTCAATGTGGGCAACCATCAGAAGAGACTCAGTAGCCAGAGTGTACTAGCCCAAGAGCACTGACCATCCTGGGCCCAGTCTGATTGTCCTGAGTACTGAGTGGATTAGTTTCTCCAGGACTTCGTGTAATCCATTTGCAACACATCATTATGGCATTGGTTCAGAAACCCTGATTTAGGTAATAGCGTGATGTCCATCAGATATTTACCAACATTTTCAGTAAGTTTTATGTGTTATTAACCAAAACCTGTTGTCTATCTTGATATGATATCTTGATATGATATCTCAAATGATGTTCTCATAATGTAGTGTGTCTTTATGGCAGACCCAGAGAGTGACACTGTTTAGATCCCTCTTCAACAAAGGAGTCTGGACCACTTGGGCATCCTATTTTAGATACCATTGATTTATTACATTGATAACATTATGCTGATCATGCAGGATAAGCAATTTGTAAATAGCACACTAGAGGCCTTGGAAAGATACATGCTTCTTAGAAGTTTGGAGATAGCCTCTATGCAGATTGAGGGGCTCTCTACTTCATTATAGTGGTCAGAGATGTCCCATCCAAAGTTAAAGACAAATGATTACATCCAGTACTCTCTACAGCTAAAAAAGGAAGCACAATGCTTGGTTTACCGCTTTAGGATCTTGAGAAAATATATTCCATGCTTAGGAATACCACTCTGGTGCATACACTGGATAATACTAAATTCTTCCAGCTCTCGGTGGGGCCTGGAGCAGAAGATGGCTCTACAGTGGGTCTAAGCTATAGAATAACTGTCACAATTTGACGACCTTGCAGTGATGAAGGTATTAGTAGTGGAAAAAGAGGCAGTGTATTTTTTATGGGAGGCTCCACTGAGAGAAACACAGTGCAGTCCTCTGGGAGTCTAGAGTAAGGAAGATAAATACCTTTTGAAAGATAGCTCTTGGTGAGCTACTGAGCCCAGGAAGTGATGGAACGCTTGACCATGTGACATCAAGCTATCATGTGTCTGTAACTGCCTATTATGAGTTAGGTCTTGTTGGATCCTCCAATGGAAATGATGCATGTAGGACCAAACACAAGCAAGGCCAGTGGGAACATGTGAGCAACATGAGCCCAGAGCCCATTACCTACCGCCTTTGCAGCAGTACCCCCTCCATTTCACACTTCAGGAAACTAAAGAGGAGAAAAACACAAGCTTGGTTTACAGATGGGCTGTCTCAGTATGTGGGTGGAAGCCAAAAACGGACAGCAGATGCATTATAAACTCCCTTAGCCTTAGATGACAGAAGAGAGGAAAACAAACTCCCTAATAGATGAAGCTTTGGTTTTGCCTAATTGGTCTTAATTGAGCAACACCAGAAAGTTGTCCCATTTAAATAACTCCTCCCTTCCTAAAACTTCACCCTTGTTACTTTCTTCTTTTTACAAACTGTTACTCTTTGAACATCTCTTAAAATTTCTCTTGTACCTTTATCCACTACCAACCTAAAAGGGAACCCCTCTGAGAATGGTATGTTTTATTGTTAATGCTCCCATATGAAGAATTTAATTCATTTGGCAAGTAGTTATTGTTTAACAGCTCATATTACTGATGGGAAAGGACGCAGCACAAACAGCTTGAACACAGCCTGAAATGTCAGAGTGTTCCTAGGTGAGGGGAGAAAGTAGAGACAGGGTAGCTGGGGGACTCCCCAGGGAATTTTGCCTGTTTTATAAATTTAACAAGGATGAATTAGTACAGGGACCTTATATATTCTTATCTTTGAAGTGATCTGTGATGCTTAGCTTAGTATTGCCCTTAGGAAATAATGAAACTTGCCCTTTGGCATTAGACGTGTGTGTGTGTGTGTGTGTGTGTGTGTGTGTGTTTGAACAGAATAAAATAAGAATAAAATATAAATGTCAGCTCTTATGTTACACCTGGGAAGATAGTCTATAATTTTTCATTTCCAAGAAATGTCGTTGCTTTTTCCAACTGATTCACAATGATAGTATTTGCAAAGCATTGGCTTTGATGATAGACAGACATGGATCTAAATATCCCAGCTCCAGCATTTACAACATATAATCTCTCTGGAGCTTTTTTCTTCATTAATAGTTCCTATAATTAATATTAATAATAAGAAAAGAAAATCAAAATGCTAATTCTAAAAACACACAAAATACAAAGGCAATGCAAGCTGTTTATAAAAATATCATTTTATTTGTGTAGGTGTATGTAATCTTTAAACTGTTTATTTGGATTTTCACTATCTCTAACTCTTAGGAAAGTTTACAGTAATTTCTTCTCTATGAAAAATTTACTTTTGAGCTCATGTTGTGAGTTCAAATCGGTTAAGTGGCTCTTTCAACAGAACTCTGGAGCTCTTCCTGAGCTCTAATTTCTAATAAAAAAAATACTTTTCCAACATTGCTTTTTTGGTTAACAGTCTTGATTGTATGATTTCAGAAAATAAATCTTAAAAATATAAGTTTTGAAACTATTTCAAAAAATCCTTATAAATTTCTTTCTGTTAAAACATTTACAAAACATAACACAAACAATTTTTATGTGATAGTGGTTTCCTTATTGGCTCTTTGGTCTCCAAAATCTGCAGATGTGTTTTACATAATGGTCATTAATACATAAAACCTCAATAAGAAAGTTCCATAATCATATCCATTTTATAGGTAAGCAGCTATGATCTACAAAGCGTAAGTGACTTATCCAAGATTGCAGATGATGGAGATGAGATTTAAACCCAAGTAATGTGGCTTTACAACCTCACTCTGAACCTTTATACTGCATGGTATGCAGTCTTTGCAGGAAAAAGAAGGTGTATGTTTTCAAAAAGCTTAACATTTACAATCCTCACAGTAAATCTCTGAGATATCATATACTTCATGAATCTCCACTTTAGGTTAGGTAAAGTAAGGAAACTCAATATTGCAAGTTTACAGGCTTTAGCACTTTTTCTCATTAAATAAAAAATTACCTTTTAGTGATTGGGGTAAACAAACCTTTTCAATAGACTAAAGTTGGACTTTTCCTAAACATTGATTATTAAGCATTTTCTATTTTAGCAAACCAAATAAAGGAGAGAATGGCCAAGTTTTTAAATATAAAAGATTAATCGATCATTATTTGATGGGTAGAAATATAAAAGAATTGATTGTTCTTGCTTAAAAAATATCTCTAGGAACTTAATAAGTGTAAGGCACTGTGCTAGGTATTGAAATAATGTAAACAAAGACTTAGCAGCAAATGAAAAGTACATAACAAATTAATATAGTCAGTAAACATCAAATTACTTGATTCATAAAGTATAGGAATATGTCTGTCTACAGGCAGAAAATAATCTAAAAACTATTGCTGATGTACTGTAACAGACTTAGTATTTAGGTATAGTAAACAGAATACATTTTGTGTGTCAAAGGGCATATCTGTTGCTTTTAATGCTCACTTCAAAATAATTTGATTTTCAAATTAATATCACTAGTGTATTTCTGCTTTCTTCAAATGCAATTCTGAAATGTCATTCTTTAAGACTGACCTTTAAATAGGTTGCAATGTATCAAAAATGAATAGTGAAAACATAAGTCGAGGGCATGATAGCTGAAGAAAAATAAATATAACATCTTAAAAGGTTGCAAACACATGAGAAGTTCAGGAAATCCAGCTAATCATCAATTACATCAGTAATAAATGAAGAAACTCTTGCACTAATAGCCAGTTATACTGACAGATCTCTGAGAAGAGCTAGGTGATCGTGATGGTCTATTATAATGAATTATTGATGGACTATTCACAGCCCTGCCACTAAATAATTGATAAAGTTTCTCTAACAGGAGCAAACTACAGCAATTATTCTATAACTTTCTATGTCTGAACTCTCTGTTTTAATATTTTTAAGAAGCACGAAGAGCTTCACATAACGTAGTAGTTGTCCTTTTAGTATCAGATAATTGAGAAAAATACATGTGAACAAAAGTTACTATAAATTGAGCAATGCTGTTAAATAAACATGTATTATTTATAACAGTATATACACATAAAAGACATAGTATTTATACAGCCTCCACTTGGGACATAAGTGGATTAATTACCTTTTTGCAATAGTTCTGCAACCTCGCACTGGCTGAAGCAGACAATTTGGAACCACAGTGCTCCAGGATTGAGACCAAGCTCAGCAGTATGTTCCAAAGTCAGATTTTACTTGCAGATAGTCTTGCGGAGTGAAGCCTACTACCACCCTCAGTGTGTCTTATTCCAAATATATCCACGGCCCTGCAGCAACTTGGTATGCAGCTGGTGAAGAAGTTTATAGCTTATTTGTATAAATAAATGATGTGTAGAGAAGAGAGGAGTGGTGTTGCATTAACAATCTAGTTAATTTTGGGGAAAACAAATTTTTGATCAAAAGACTTCCTTTTTAAGCGCTATGAGAAGAGGAAAAGAAAATAAACAAGAAAGAGTAGATTGGAAGTGTATTCTCCATTATGATGTGGATAGATCTTGGAAATATCACTGTACAGTATTTATTTCTGCAATCAGTTCATCTAAAGATTACACTCTACATAGTACAAGTAAATGGAATGGTATATATTTTTAAAGTCCGCCCAAATTGTTTTCCTTTTTTTTATGTGTTAATGTAAGTTCACACTTGGAATTGAAGGAAGGAACTCACATTTCTATAAAGACATTACCTGACTCCCAAGTTCTTGAGCTCCTTTTTAAAGAAGGAGAATACGGGACCTTAACTGTGAGCATTTGAAAGTTGATCAATAAAGCTGTTCCTTGGCAGTATTATCTGAACCACAAATAGGTACCCTGCTATGAAGACTTGCATCTTCCTTTTGTCCTCTTTTACCTTTAATTATTTTCCTCCTAAATAGTCTCTGATCTTTTTGAAAGGTATTAACACACAAATAGGAAACAGCTTAATCTTGTGTAAAGTATTTCCAAACTGGTTCATCTATAAAATGTATGATATGTAATGTGTGTGTAGCTCCATTTACTCAGTTACTTTTTCTTTTCATTTTATAAAACAAACCTATTACAGAATTGTCTGGGAAAATCAGCTACCTAAACAAAGATTTCAGGCAGTGATTCAGGGATTTGAGAAGGGAAACCATTTTATTATTTGTCTTTTCAAATTTTGACTGTAGCTGGAAACACTTAATGTATACTTGTAATTAAAAAGAATTAAAATTTATATTGATTGAGAAATGTATAATCAGATGGGAAAACTGAAGCTGTTCCTAGAGTGTATAATACCAATTTGGATATTTGCTATTTTGAAACAATCCTTTGTTATATTTGGATTACTCAGCTTTATACAATTTCAATGCCAAATACAATATCTGGTTCAAAGTAAGACCTCAAAAGTGAAAAACTGCTCATTTGAATTGGCTTTTAAAAATTCTTATTTTATTTAAAATTACTAAAAAAAGAACTACAGAAACCATCGTTTTGTTCACATGCTTATTCCACAATAATAAATTATATTCTCCAAAAGTAAGATGTAGTGTGTATTCACATAATCATTAAACATTTTCTTTGCTAACACAGTCTTTGTAAAATGAGCAGGAAGAACTGCCAGGGTTCAGAAAATAAAAGTGCTCAAGCATTTTTCAGATGATCTCTGAGCACTAGAAAGTTCTGCATTCCAGCTCTCTATAAAGTCTTTTTACATTAAAATAAAGTTTCAAGAATTTATAATACTGTGTCTACTTCTCAAGCAAGATATACGTCAAAGATTTTTGTCCTCAGAGAATCTAACTTATAAGTAAAGCAGGAGCTTTACTTTCCCCTTTGTGTATTTTGGACAGCTGAACACTGATCATGAGTGTGGGAGAAACTACAAAACTTGAAAATATTTGAAGATACGAGTAGGAATCTCAGAGAAGAAAGTAAGGAACCAGAAAACCATAAAAGAATGCTAAATGGAAAAGAATCAGCAAATCTTATTCACTTATCACTAAATCTAAAATATGTCAAAATACATGAAGACAACAAATGCTTTAGAACAACTGTTGAATGTATTGTCCTACAACTTGGCATATGATCATGCTTGCCTCTCTATGTCCAAGTGTTTATTTTTGCAGTTGACCTTAATTTCAAGTTAGTTTTGAGGTCTCTACAGTAATGTTTTTAATCTGTCTCTACTTCTTCAGAAAATAAATTAGTTGTTGACGAATCAGTCCTTAAGACCTTGCCGCTTACAATAAGTTTTATTGCCTTCCCAAACCATTGGTAAAAGAAAGCATAAATCAAGGGGTTCATAGCTGAATTATAATAAACACACCAAACTAAAATCTCATAAACATAAGGAGGAGTTATAAAATTCATATAAGCATCAATCACTGCATCAACGAGGTATGGTAGCCAAGAGACAAGAAATGCTGCCATAGCAATTCCCAAGGTTTTGGCAGCCTTTCTCTCTCTTTTTGCTACTCTTTCCTTGTAACTCTCTGAGGAGGACTGAGCTTGGCTGGCTGTACTTTCTATCTTCCTAGCCTGATGCTTGGCCACCAAAAATATCTTACTGTATATAAACACCATGGCGACATTGGGTATAAAGAATAGAAGAAAACAAAGTAGGACCCAGTTTTGATTCAGTGGAGCCTGGCAGCCTCCTACACAGGTTAGAGCAACTACTAATTCCTCAATTCCTTCTTCGTTGGCTCCCGTGTAAAAGATCGAAAAGCTGTATGTGACAGAAAAGAACCAGGAAAGAACAATGCATATCCCTGAAACTGACACAGTAAACTTGGTTGGATAGGTCAGAGGATCAGTAACAGCAATGTATCTATCAACAGAGATACAGCATAAATGAAATAAAGAAGCAAAACAGAAGGATGTGTCAAAACATGTATGGAATTTACAGTAACTGTCCCCAAAGTACCAACAGCTCTCCACAGACCTCACTGTGCTGAAGGGCATCACAGTGACTCCCACCAAGAAGTCAGCACAGGCCAGCGACGCAATCAGAAAGTTTGTAGGTGTGTGCAGTTGTTTGAAGTGAAGGATAGCAATCATGACCAGTAAGTTTCCAAACGCTGCCAGCACAGCCCCAAAACCAAGGACGGCGTAGAGGATAGATCGAGGACCTGGCGAGTAAGGAGTTTTAATGCAGGATTCGTTCACGTTCTTGTAACACAGCTCCACAGCCTCAGCTTGGGAGAAATTGTTCACCATTGCTTTCTTGTTTGAACTATTTTAAAGTTCTCAAATTCCTGCTTTCAAAAATTTTTTTAAAAGGAAGCAATTTCAAAGTCTTCTAGGAGGGGAAAATATCTCCAGTTAAAATGATAAAAGTTTGTGATTTTTCTACCAGTGCTTTTCCATATTAACTATAACGTCTTGATCTTTCTAAAAAGTGTTCCCACATTCACATTTTAATATATTTAGAGTGGAAATATGTTGCAGAAAGCCATTAAAAATATAGTCAAATATATTCCTAATTAAATGGCTGGCAATACACTTAGTCCAATGAGATATATATATAAAATTTACTAATCATTAAAAAATTATTTTCTTGTGTGTTAGTTTATCTTCTGAAAAATCTCATCTATAACCACCACAGTTGAGAAGTAATTAGGCTATCAAAGGCTGAGCTTTATTTCTTACATTATCTCCCCTGAGCAGCACTTTAGCAGTAATGACAAACTATGCTTCATTTATTCATGAAGGAAGAGGTAAATTACATCTCCTTCAAACTATACCTTCAAAATCCCTATGGTATGGAGTGTGAAGATTAAGGAAAAGTTTCCTCATAATAGCTTTAAACTTACTTTAGGAACACATTTCTTCTACTACTTATGTTTTCAGAATTTGTATTTTTTTTCTTTTCATATTCTTTCACGATTCAGACAGCTTGAGATGATTTAGAGAAAAAATCTTATTGAACTGATATTAGTCAGTGTAAAAGTATTTTCCAGGCTAATAGGCAGTGTTAGGTGTCTAAAATTAATAATTAAAATAAGCAATAACTCACCTAACATCTTACCTTCCCATCCTTAGAAAAACGGTGTAGTTTTAAACCTATCACAGAAGAATAGACAAAAACTGGGGTGGACCGGAGGGATGTTTTTAAATAAGCCATATCCTTGAAGAATAGATTCATGCTGAGTCATCCAAGGTGCAAATAGAGACCAACTTGATTTCTCTAGGTGTATGAGTCTGTTCGTATACTGAAGCTTAGGGTCTTAAGAAGGTTTAAAGAGTTCACCTAACAACAGTGAATGGTTTTACTTCATTTAACCATGAATAAGTGCAACCTTGCATTGGAATCTTAATCTTTGAGCTAGAGACTGAACTACTTTTATTGGCATTAACCCTATGCCATGGGTCTGGGCTCTGTTGAAAGTACAGATTCCTAGAAAAGGTTACATGCATACACATAAGTCAAATATATTCCTAAATAAATGGCTACTCTTTCCTTGTAACTCTCTGAGGAGGACTGAGCTTTTCTTTATAAGGCTACAGTTTTTAGGTAATAGGCTTCACTAGTCTGTGAATTTTAAATTTTGTGTGTGTGTGTTTGTGTGTATACAGGTGTGTGTACAGGTATTTTCAGGTTTCTCTAGTATTTTCTGGCTTCACTGATCTATGAGTTTTAAATCAATTTATTTTTACTTTTATTTCCCAGTTCTTTCTTACCAGAGCCCTCACTAGTTTGATGGCACAAGACTTAATCTCCTCCTTGCAAAATGTCTCCTTGTTACTCCTAGGATTCCTCAGAAAAGTGCATCTGTGTGCACACAAGTCAGTCTACCCAATAAAATCACATTCCATACCCCCATGTTCTCCTCTTCTTCCCCAGGTCTCCTAAGGTCCACTGCATCTCTTGTTTTACTCTCAAAATGGCTAAAAAAATTCCACCACTGCCACATACGTGGTGCCCTGCCTGAGATTCTGAATGTCTATTTAAAGAATGCTATTTTCCTAAACTTTAAAAATCCCCACTTCCCTAACACCCAATTGAGGATGCTGTTGTGCAAAAAGATAGTGACCACTTTCCTCAGTTTTTTATACTTGAGCCCTAAAATAGCAGCCTTTAGTCTCGTAGAGTGTCTTAAAACTGGCCCATTCCTGGAAGCCAAGACACTTGAGTAGCAAGGTGCATCCCTAAGCCCCACATCTTGGTGTTTAATACCTTTATCCAGTAAGAGCAACTAGGGCTTCTTTATTATTCAAAGAAATGATTCATTCCTGCATGGGACAGGGAAGGAACTACAGGAGGAAACTGGAACACATTTGGATGCCAAAAATTAAGAAAGTTTTTTTAAATGTTGGGGTATTTCATAAGAACGATGTTGCTAGCATAAATGAGCTCCTACTGACTGAATGTGGGACAATTTGGGTCCTTATATGATTAGGGGGAATAAAAAGTATAAAACACTGAAAAAGAATCAATGATGCCACACTAATCAGATATAGATAAAATGATTGATAAATAGATAGATAGATAGATAGATAGATAGATAGATGACAAATGAAAACTCTTTCTTACAATAGAATGCAAAGTGCTAACTGATACATATGAAGAGAGTATAAATTTGAAACATTATTGTTTTGGAACCGTCACGTTAATATTGATTTAGGCAACAATCATCACTAGATGCTAAATTGAGGAGGGGTGGAGTTTTATGAGAATCAGGTAGTACTTATATGGTTTAAAGTGTTTCCCAGAAATTGCTTATTAGCTGCAAAAGAAAAAATAGTAGCTATATAGTGGAGACATCAAACAAGACCCTGACAAGGTGATCAAAATTAATATCCCCAATGAAGGGCAGATGGCCAGGTATGCCTCTGGATAAGATACTATGAGATGCACAAAATATACTGTACATGGTATTCCAGTCAGGAATGCATAACCTGGATTTAATCATGAAGAAATTTCAGACAAACCCAAGTTGAGAAACATCCTATTTTTAGAAGGGTGGAGGGCAGTGGGGGTTGAAGTTATATTCTTCAAAAATGTTAATGTTGTAAAAGCCTAAAGAACTTCTCCAGAATAAAGGAGACTAAAGAGCAAGAGAATTGGGGGGCCAAGACGGGCAGATCATGAGGTCAGGAGATCAAGACCATCCTGGCTAACACGGTGAAACCCCGTCTCTACTAAAAATACAAAAAAAAAAAAACCCACCAAAATTAGTCGGGTGTGATGGCAGGTGCCTGTAGTCCCAGCTACTCAGGAGGCTGAGGCAGGAGAATTGCTTGAACCTGGGAGGCAGAGGTTGCGGTGAGCCAAGATTGTGCCACTGTACTCCAGCCTGGGTGACAGAGCAAGACTCTGTTTCAAAAAAAAAGAAGTATGTGATCCTAGAATGGAGTGCCTTACTAGGTCAACTGACAAAATTAGAATATGGGTGGTACTTGGTAAAGATATTTTATCAATGTTAAATTGCTGATTGCTTGATTTTTATGTCCTTGTATAAACAAAAAAATGTTAAATTGCTGAAATATTTAGGCCTCAACTTACTCTCAGATGACTCCAAAAAAACTGTATATTATCGGGGGAATCTGCCCCCAATATTTCAACGTAGGTTCTTTCTATTTTTCATAAGTGTTGGCCAGCTGAGAAATAAAGAGAAAGAGTACAAAGAGAGGAATTTTACAGCTGGGCCTCTGGGGGTGACATCACATATTGGTAGGACCATGATGCCCCTCTGAGCCACAAAACCAGCAGGTTTTTATTAACAACTTCAAAAGGGGAGGGGGTGTACAAACAGGGAGAGGTCACAAAGATCACATGCTTCAAAGGACAAAAAGGAGAACAAAGATCACATGCTTTTGAGGAAACAGGACCAGGGCAAAATCAGAAACTCCTGATAAGGGTCTATGTTCAGTGGTGCACATATCGTCTTGATAAACATCTTAACAGAAAACAGGGTTCAAGAGCAGAGAACCAGTCTGACCTCAAATTCACCAGGATGGGATTTTTCCCCACCCTAGTAAGCCTGAGGGTACTGCAGGAGACCAGGGCATATTTCAGTCCTTATCTCAACCGCATAAGACAGACCCTCCCAGAGCAGCCATTTATAGACCTCCCCACAGGAATGCAATTCTTTTCCTAGAGTCTTAATATTAATATTCCTTGCCAGGAAAAGAATTTAGTGATATCTCTTCTACTTGCACATCTGTTTATAGGCTTTCTGCAAGAAGAAAAATATGGCTCTTTTTGCCCGACCCCACAGGCAGTCAGACCTTATGGTTGTCTTCCCTTGTTCCCTAAAAATCACTGTTATTCTGTTCTTTTTCAAGGAGCACTGATTTCATATTGTTCAAACTCACATGTTTTACAATCAATTTGTACAGTTAGATACATCCCAGTGGTCCTGAGGTAACGTACATCCTCAGCTTATGAAGATAACAGGATTAAGAGATTAAAATAAGACAGGCATAAAAAATTATAAAAGTATTAATTTTGGGAACTGATAAATGTCCATATTAAAATGAAATCTTCACAATTTATGTTCAGAGATTGAAGTAAAGACAGGCATAAGAAATTATAAAAGTATTAATTTTGGGAACTGATATATGTCCATATTAAAATGAAATCTTCACAATTTATGTTCCTCTGCCACAGCTCCAGCCAGTCTCTCCATTCAGGGTCCCTGACTTCCTGCCACAGTACATACACAGGGATAAAGATGGAGAGAGAGAACAAATGTTAGAGCAAATGGAGCAAAGTTCAAATAGGTGAATCTAGGTAAAGGGAATATAAATGTGCTTTGCACAATCTTGCACAAATTTCTGTAGCTTTAAAATTATTTCCAGATAAAAACTTCCTTTTACAAAAAGCAATATTCAAAAACTGAGTATTTAGTATATCCTGTCCATTCATCATCTTGTGCAAGCCACTCGCAAACCCCCACCACCACACCCAAATAAAACTCTACAAACTGTGGTTCAGGTTCTCTGCCTCAATTAACCTCTGCTTTCCCCAACACCATTACTCCCAACGTGAAAAGCTTTCAGACGCAGTCTCATTTCAATATAATGCTACAATTTCACTGCCAAAGTGTAAGACTTAATGTAGATATTTGTATTTCTGGTAACTTCATGATTTCTTTGAGAATAACAAAGAATGTAAAATTGCAATATATTTGAATGGTCATTTTGCTATTCTATTGATTTCCCTGCAAAAATGAAGATGAGTCTGTGCTCCAAAGCTGTATTGATGCTCTGTTTTCTAAGATGGGAAATTAACTGTAAATTTTAAACAAGTGTTTTCTACCTGTTGCCAAATACTTCTAGTCATCAAAATTTTTAAAAATACAGTTCTTTAAGCAGGGCTATCCATTAAACATACACATACATACTTATTTCTGCCTATCTTTATCACTGTCCCCACCCCAACCCAGCCCTCTCTCTGAGACTGTTTAACAAGCAAGAATAATTACGAAAAATACTTCTTTCCTATAATCATCATCTTCACGAATCCTTTAACACAAAGAAAAATAGGATGTGACAGAATCCAAGCACACTGGTCTGGTGAAAAAATACAGTTATAGGACTTGCTACAGTCTGTTACATTTGTGCCTAATTGCCTAAGAAAAAAATCTTGAAATAAATTCTCATCAATGCAACAGAAATGTTTTCTACAGATATAATTGATTAACTAGGAAGGGCACAGACACAGAAATACCACCAGTCTTCATTGACAAGAAATAATGATTAACAGCTCCTTTAAACCCATTTTTACTTTCCTCAGTGCTAGAAATTCTCAGCAACATGTCACTCTTTTTCTATATATATAATTTTAACTTTTATTTTAGATTCAGAGGGTACATGTGCAAGTGTATTAGTCATTTTCATGCTGCTGATAAAAACATATCCAAGACTGGGTAATTTATAAAGAAAAAGAGATTTAATGGGCTCACAGTTCCACATGGCTGGGGAGGCCTCACAATCATGGCAGAAGGTGAAAGGCATGTCTTACATGGTGGCAGGCAAGAGAGAACGAGAGCCAAGTGAAAGGGAAAACTCCTTATAAAACCATTAGATCTCGTGAGACTTACTCACTACCACAAGAACAGTATGGTGGAAACTGTCCCCATAATTCAATAATCTCCTACCAGTTCCCTTCCACGACACATGGGAATTGTGGAAATTACAATTCAAGGTGAAATTTGGGTGGGGACACAGCCAAACCATATCATTTCACCTTGGCCCCTCCCAAATCTTATGTCCTCACATTTCAAAAACAATCATGCCTTCCCAACAGTCCCCTAAAGTCTTAACTTATTCAGCATTAACTCAATAGTCCACAGTCCAAAGCCTCATCTGAGACAAGGCAAGTCCCTTCTGCCTATGCGCCTGTAAAATTGAAAGCAAGGTAGTTACTTCCTAGTTACAATGAGGGTACAGACAATGAGGGTACAGACATTGGATAAATACACCCATTTCAAATGGGAGCAATTGGTAAAAACAAAGGGGCTATAAGCCCCATGCAAGTCCAAAATCCAGTGGGGCAATCAAACCTTAAAGCTTCAAAATTTTATCTTTTGACTCCATGTCTCACATCTAGGTCATGCTGATACAACAGGTGGGTTCCCATGGTCTTGGGTTCTTATGTCTTCCTGTAAATTATGGGGTCTTCCTGAAACCTTTATAATAAATTAAGTTTCTGCCTAAAACAATCTGGAAATGGATTTGATGTTGTGGATGAGAAAAAACGAAAATTCCAGGATCATTTCTTACATTCTGGCCTATATAAGCTGGTAGAGGAAAAAGCTTGGGTAGTGGATGGAAGAGGAGGAGATTTCCAGTTGGCACGTTTTGATGTTGAGATGCCTTTGAACAATCAGATTGAGGACTGTCCAATAAATGGATAGATCTGTGTAGAGCTGAAAAGACTAGAGAGATTTATTTGGGGGCCATAATCTTATATGTCACAATTAATCACCCAGGGAACTAAGAGTTAAGGAAATGGTTATTTATTATGAATCTTCTGTGTGTCAGTTATCTACCAAACATCATTGTAAAGTAATGAAATTGCTTTTCTCATGTCACATGCAAGTCAAATAATTACAATCCTGCACTATGGCCTGAACAAAATTGTTCAAGATGCTGTATTTTACTTTATGACTTATGGAAGAAGTTAGGTATAATGCATTACTCTGTTCTCATGCTGCTAATAAAGACATACCCAAGACTGGTTAATTTATAAAAGAAAAAAGTTTAACGGACTCACAGTTCCACATGGCTGGGGAGGCCTCACAATCATAGTGGAAGATGAAGAAAGAGCAAAGGGATGTGTTACATGGCAGCAGGCAAGAGAGACCGTGTGCAGGGGAACTTCTCTTTATAAAACCATCAGATCTCGTGAGACTTATTGACTGTCATGAGAACAGCACAGGAAAGTCCTGCCCCCCATGATTCGATTATATCCCACCAGGTACCTCCCATGACACACGGGGATTATGGGAGCTACAATTCAAGACGAGATTTGGGTGGGGATACAGCCAAACCATATCATATAGTAATGGTTCTGAAATTTCTATTATTAGATTCTTTCTAGACCAAAATCTAATTAATATTCTTACAGACTTCAAATGATATAATGGTTTTTTTCAACAATTTAAAAAAAATTTCCACTTCTTGATCAGTATCAGAAGAAATATTAAGTCATGATAGTTTTCTTAACCTTTTTTTAAAAGTGTCTTCAAATACTAATTTTTGAGGAAAGTTTATTCATAATTTAGAAATAATTTACTTAATAATATTATAAATTATGATGATTGAAAATAAGATCTTTAAAGTTGTAGGTAAAAATATAAAGGGGATTGTGATATATTACTCATTATTTCTGGGCATTTCTTTATTGCTGAACTATTTTTAAGATAACAGCTTCAGTCTAGTTTATGGCCCTCTTATTTTCCCATACTCTGCTGCCCCCTAGCGGTCAATCTGAACAATACTAGGTTGATCAAATGAGGGGACGCCAAAGTTAAACAGGTAAATGCCCCAAACGGAAACATCTGTTTTAAAATTATCCCCATGCCAAATACTTTAACGTATGGCTACTCTCTACGCTACTCTTTCCCTTCCCTGCAGAACCCAGGAGGTGGAGGTTGCAGTGAGCTGAGATCATGCCACTGCGCTCGAGCCTGGGCAACAGAGCGAGTCTCAGTCTCGAAAAAAAAAAAAAGAAAGAAAGAAAACAAACCTGTTTTCAAAGGTGCTTTTGAGGGTCCTTTCCATCATTTCATGAACCTCCTAAAAGACACCGTATTCTCGGATTTTTTTCCATGCTTGCGAAGTTTCCAGAAACTGCATCAGCATTAAGCAATTAACTGCGGAAATGACTAGTGATAAAGACAAAATTGACAAAGAAATTTGGTTATTTCTGTGGTCTGCAATAACTTAACCATAATTATGATTGACAGCATATACTTGGACATCTTAGAATTTTAGACATTCCATTCAACTTGGAACATATATTAATAACATTCACTAAAATATAACCTAAAGAGGGTTAAACATATTTTTTTATTTTGACAATGCTTCCCATGTAACTCAACATGTCAAATAATCCTGTTTACCTCTCTTTTGGGATGCTTCAGGGGCTCTCTGTTGCATCCCAAAGTTAGAGGTCAGAAAAGACCATTTTGAAGCCGAAATTTGATTGTAGGAAGCCTGTCAGATACGTTAAAAGTTTAAAACACTTGCTATTACAAAATAGAATTCCAGGTCACCACAGGTCACTATTATTACCTGGAATCTTTAAAAAGGCAAAAACCTGGCCGGGCGCCGTCGCTCGCGTCTGTAATCCCAGCGCTTTGGAAGGCCAAGACGGGCGGATCACGAGGTCAGGAGATCGAGACCATCCTGGCTAACAAGGTGAAACCCTGTCTCTACTAAAAAAAATACAAAAAAATTAGCCGGGCATGATGGCAGGCGCCTGTAGTCCCAGCTACTCGGGAGGCTGAGGCAGGAGAATGGCGTGAACCCAGGAGGCAGAGTTTGCAGTGAGCAGAGTTCGCCCCACTGCACTCCAGCCTGGGCGACAGAGCGAGACGCCGTCTCAAAAAAAAAAAAAAAAAGGCAAAAACCTTTACTCATTGATAGAGGGAAGACTTAGCTTTCCAAACAATCTGTCTCTTTTCTTTTCCTTCTTTTTCCTGTGGTTTATTCAAAAGGCAAACAAAAATCTTTCATTTGTCTTTAATATTCTATGAAAGTCTTACTCAAGAGAGAAAGCCAAATTTCACCCATGCATTAGTGTACTATTAATGTCAACCCCAATTTTTAATAACATCTTATAGACAAATCTATCCTATTTTAATCAGTTTGACCATAAGGTGAGATTTTCATAAACCTTTAATAACCCTTTACAAATTTTTGTTGAAGAGATCAGTGCTCTAAGAGAACCTTGTTGTGCTTTTATTCCAATGTTCAGTTTATGGAAAACCTGTATAATACCCCTTTAAATTTAGCCAATATGTTCACACACAGAATTTCTTTTACAAGATTAATTTTTCACAAACCTTCCACAACTTGCTCAAACCTTCAGCTTTATCCTTTCTAAATTAAAACAGTCCATTAGCCCTTTAATCTAGGCAAACAAAAAACGAACAACAAAAAGAAAACACACACATTCCCATGTTTTCTTATGATCTTTTATCAAAAGCACATTTCACCTTACTCACACAGCTTGCATGTAAAACTGTTTTTTCAGTAGTCTTATTTACATGTTACAATGTTAACTCTTAGTGATTTTTATTTTTGGTGAAAAACCTACTAAGTGGATTTTAATTATGTACTAGGTGTGAAGCCTAGGGCCCAGACAGATAAAGTCTGACTTTTTTTTTAGCATAGCCAGGGGCTTGAGTAACTCCACGTCTCCAGACCTTACCTGGAATCTAATGGCTCCAAAGCAGTTACGTTGAACAATTTTCAAAAGTTAAAGAAGCAGTTTATTACCTTAAAGAATTTAGCAAACCTAATGTCTGACCTGCCTAATTTAGACCAACTATCTTTATTTTACCAATAGTATTTAAAACTCTTTATTTCCCAAAGCTTACTACAGTCACGTAAAGTGAAAGGCATTACCGTTTTTATTTTTCTGAAAAAAAAATTGATTTAAGTGCTTATTATTATTAAGCCAATTAATCAGAGCTCTTTTATTTATAAATGTCACACACACAACACATATAAACACCCAGAAAAACAGGAGGATCCAGTATTGATAAGACTTTTCATTTGCCAGTTTTCAAGTTTCTTAATTGTATTACTGGCTTCAGAGTGGAATCCTTGGAAAAACAGGGCTAGGAAGACATCAGTTTCTAGGGCCTAATTAGCAGGCACATCCTGAGGGCAAAAGAGATTCCCAAAATTAAGGGTCTTATTTTTATACCAGATCCTGGATCCGTCCCCCTACCCAAAAAAGAGGGAATCAACTGATCTCCCATGGGAGTCATAAAAAGAGGGAATCAATCGATCTCCCATGGGAGTCATAAAAAGAGTGACTCAACCGATCTTTCATGGGAGTCATAAAAAGAGTGACTCAACCGATCTCCCATGGGAGTCATAAAAAGAGGAAATCAGCCGATCTCCCATGGGAGTCATCTCTCAGTGGGGGCAGGGGGATGGGGACATTTCCATACCTTCTAGGTGGCCAAGAGCACGCTTCTCTGATCCAAATGTGCAAAGAGCCATGTATTCCCCCATAACTGACATTAGCTATCCCCAAAAGTATATTTAGCCTTAATTCTTGAGGTTTCATGGGGAAAACAAAGGTTTTTCCCAAAACAGGGTCTGTGGCACCTCCTGTTTTTCCCAAGGAGTCCCAGGCTTTCCGAAGTTCCTCTCATGTGTGCATCAAGAGTGGCAAGGAGACAAATGAAGAAAAACAATTCAAATGGCTGAAAAGAAAAAAAAATGTTTTCCTGAAAAAAACGAGATCCAAGAATAGAAAAAGCCATGAAGGCCTTTCAAATACACCTATAGCTTGAATATCTATTTTAATTAAGCTGACTTTTAACCAAATATCTTATTGCTAGACTCTAGCCAGAACAAACAAAAATTATTTCTGGCTTTTGAACTTACCAAAGGTACCTCCCAAGTCCTCAGAGAAAGGAAAATTCAAGATGGGAAGTCAGAAGTTGTTCATAAAGGGGAAGAGAATCAATAAATGGCAAAAGTCACAGAGATATCGAACGAGAAAGGGCTCATCCCCTAAGCCAGGAATTGAGCCCTGGCCACCACTGTGAAAAGATAAAGCCTTAGCCACCAAGCTAAGCATTGGGCAGTTTCCATCGCTCTTCCCAGAAGGAGCTGAAAGCAGTCACTTTTGAGCTTGCAATAGCTTTTAACTGATTAAGATAATTTTTAGAGCTAACTATGATATGAACCCCAAAATTCCTGTTTTCCTGGATGGCAGAGACCAAGAGAAACTACCACCATGTGGTTATAGGGTGAAGCTCCCAAGGACATAAAACAAGATAGGAGGGAAATCTCAACTAGCTTTTTTTGTTTCAGGCACCTGCAGCAAAGCATGTACCTGACCAGTTTGCCGGGCTGGCTTGAACAGTGAGTTTATGGGGGTCCTAGGCCCACATTCTATCCTAAGGACCTCTTTTTATGACAGAACAACACAGAAAGACAAATTCTTAGCACAAAGCAAACCAGATTCACTACAGCTTAAGATTACTCTCATGAATCTTTTTTCTTATTAATTAAAATTTTGCAGAGGAGACAGTGATTTTTACCATTCCTACAACTGGTTTGCAAAGAGACAGAGAGGCCAGAAGTCTGGCTGGTAAGAAATCCTTACCATTTTTGCTGGCATGCCACGTTTCTGGGTTCCCTTTCCTTGAGTCATCCTAGTGACCCTGCTGGCTGCACCATAGCCCTGGGGGCCAAGCTGCAACACAAAGGAAAATCATCTTTTTTGGTTTCATGGACCCACAGGCAGAAGCCTCTCAATTTTGTAAGATGCCACCTGAGGTATTGCATGGGGGAATCGAATTAATATTTTCCATTCTGGCCAGGGTAAAATACATGTGGCAAAACATAGACGTTAGCCACTCTGCCTAGCACTGAATATCACACTGGCAAGGTTCAAACTTGCCCCCTGTTGGGCCCTGTCTGTCATCTTTGATCCACTCAGAGTCAGGTGGAATGATTTTCTGACCTGGAGTTTCAACATGTGGTCTCTGGAAATGATGAAAGAGCAGACAGTTGCCCTAAGTAACAAAAAAGATAGAAAAGAGAAAGGAGAGAAAGGGAGAAAAACACTGCCTGCGGCAGGGTGGGGAAGGCAAGGAGCTGAGGGGAAGCCAGAGAAATACCCACCCATTGCAGCGTCGCTGAATCAAAAGTTCAGGCAGCCACTCATCAGTCACAAAGGGATCTTTTCTTCCAGTCCCATGAGCTCTCAAGTTTCCCCTCTGGGGAGGGAAAAGTTCCCATATCCCATGGTCCTGTCCTTGCCTAATCCGGTCACCCATTGTCATTAACAAAAAGGGCAAGGCAGATTAATCCAGAGAGAATAGTCATTAACACCCTATAGTGCCAAATCCACTTTTAACAAAGAGGGATTTTACTGAGGGGAGAGCCTCTAACCCCCTACATCTTACCAGGGACTCTGACTTTCCTAAGTTGGGCCTTGAACCCAAACCCATACAGGTTTCCAGGCAAAATGTACCCCACTACTTACCCGAAGTCAGCCAATTGGTGCTGCAGTCTATATCCTTTGGATTGACATAGTAACTAAGCCAAAAGGTTAGTAGATTTGAGTTTTTAAAAAATCAGTTGCTTAACCTTTTTATTTGGCTTTTGTAAAGTCTTTAAATAAAAAATTGAGCTTTTATTAGAAGCTTCTGCATATCAACAGGCATCTATAGATGAGACTAATTTGGGAGCCCACATTTTCAAATGCACTTCAGTGCAGTGTTATTTGGAACGTTCTACTGTAAGTTATCTTTAGTAAGATTTTGCCATTTCTGTAAGACTCTGCTTCTTCCGGGGCCTAATGTGTAAGCTGGAAGGAATTCAGTTCTTCAGAAATTAAAGATCCCATTTTTACCTGAAATATTGGGCTTTCTCAGGTTCCCTTGACCAACTTAGCCACTCATTTCTTTTCCTATTTAAGCGCACAAGAAAAATGAAACAAAGGGGTAGAACACAAAAATCCCTGCAAATTTCCAAAAGCCAAATTTTACACCCCCTGCAATTATGCCATTTACTACCAGTTTCTTTCTGACTGAGTCAGATGTGAGAGACCTCTAACTGGATCCAAGCCAGTTAATTACGGGATCCATTCTGATCTTGGACCCAGTCCAGTGTCTGTCGCGACTTCCAAATCCAGCTTGGATCAGAAATTTGCTCAAAGAAACTCAGAGTGTTCAAAACACAAATCTGTGGAGCCTCAGAATCCGAGCGAGAACTTAACCATATTCTCTAGCTGCTCTGAGAGAGCAACAGACACAATGGGTCCAGCGGGTACCTCCCTTGGTCACGCAGTGCTCATGGGGGTCGTTAGAAGCTCTACTTTAGATCCAATTTCTGATGCCATCTGATAAAAGAAAAACTTCAGCCAAATTAAATTTAAAGGAATTTGATTGAGCCAAGAAGATTCATGAACTGGGCAGCCTCCCAAACTAGAGTAAATTCTGAGACTCCAGTGCAGCCACATAGAGGAAGAAGATTTATGGACAGAAAAAAGGAAAGTGACATACAGAAGATAGGAGTAAGCACAAAAACAGCTGGATTGGTGACAGCCCCGCATTTGCCTTAACTGAACACGGTTCAAACAGTTGGCTACATTTGGCCAAAACTCAGTGATTGGTACAAGTGTAGGCTATGATCTGTACCTCCACTTGTTTGTAGTTCACGATGTACGGAGAAACCTTTAGGCTGAACTTAAAATACATAAGGAGGCAGCTTTAGGCTAAACTTGTTGTAACACTTTGCTCTTGCTACTGTAGGATTACTGTAAAACCTTAGTAAGTAAAGTTTTGCCTTAGGCTCTATTTTTCAAGACACTTGGACTAAGACTTCTGTGAATTGTCTATTATGAGCTTTTACTAAGTTTTCTAGTGTGGTGTCTTGGTTTGGTTTCTCTAGAAGCAGAAACTTGGGCTCAGAATGGAGAATTTGGAAAGAATTCTCACAGGAGAAGGGCAGTAAGAGAAGTTGGTTCCACAGCATGTTCTGAGAAAGACTGTGGTCTTGGCTGGAGACTTTTGGTTGGATCCCACAGGGAAGCTCTGGAGCACAAGTTGCACCACAGAATTAATTCCAACGTAAGTCCAGGGACTGATGTCAATTTGTCATTGGTTGAGGTTGGGGGGAGTCAGCGCATATTGACTCTGGGTGGGGCAGCTCCCTTGGGCCAAGGGCAATTTTCTAGAGTAGAAGGTAGCTGTGATTGGTGCTTAGCTGATTACTCACAGCAACTATGGATTGGTTACTGAGGCAGTCAAAGAGAACCTGGCTGAGGTGTCAATAACATCTACCACAGGAGGTTTGTCTATCTTATACTTTATAACAGGATGTAAAACATTTGTATTAGAGCTTGCAGGCATTTTCTCTTCATTTGTCATTCTCTTTCACTTTGTTTATGATTTTAATAAGACATTGTAAATGTTTGTGCCATAAATACAAATCATCTTCTTTAAGGTTCTTGCTTTTCTTGCCCTTTTCACTCAAAGTAGAAAAACAATTATTTGGATAGAAGGAATATGATACAGGTCATAGACCTGGCTCTACACAAAGAACTGAAGAGATTTAGAAATGGAATATGTAAAGGTAAAATAAAATTTTTTTCTCTTATTTTAAGTTACTCTAAAAGATGAATGACTTTGAGAGTATAACAATACTCTACATACATACAAAACCATACAATATTGTTTTCTGTATAACAATAGCAGAAGAAATGAGAAGAAGGATTTGGGAATATACTGTTATAATGTCCTTGCAAATACCTCATTTGAAAGTAGATTTAGGTTAATTTTTTAAAGAGGTAAAAATAATTTTTAGGAGGAATACACATAATAAGTCAATAGAGAAGATAAAATAGAATCATTTAAAAATTCCTGATAAAACCCAGGAAAGAAAGAAAAAGAGGAAAAATAAAAATAGAACAGACAACAGCTAGAGAGATGGTAGATTTTAATTCAAATTGTCAATAACCTTAAATTTAAATGATCTATACATACTAGTTGAAAGACAAAGAATTTAAAACAGAATAAAAAAACAAGACACAACTCTGCTGTCTACAAAATACTCACTTGTAATGTAAAGGCATGGATAGGACAAACATAAAAAGATGAAGATAGATCATATCAAACTGAATCAAATGAAATCTGAAGTAGCTACAATAACTTCAAACAAAATAGATGTCAAGATAAGGATTATTATTAGAGATAAAGAGGGGTACTATATAATAATAAAGGGGTCAATTCATCAGGAAGACATAACAATCCTAAAAGTGTTTACATATAACAACAGAACTTCAAAACACATAGGGAAAATCCTGAAAGATATGAAAGAAAAAGTAGAGAAATTTACAGTTCTAGTTGGAGACTTCAACCCTCCTCTCTTAGTAATTGATGAAATAAGTAGGGAGAATATCAGCAAAATCCCCCAAACACTACCAACTAACTTGAACTAATTTACACTTATAAAATATTCCACCCAACAGCAATATTACTCTTTCTTTTGTAGTGTACATGAAATACTCATTGATCATATTCTGGGCCAGCAAACAAAACTTAACAAATTTAAAAGAATATAAATCATACAAAGTATGTTTTCTGACCATAAAAATATACCAAATATTAATAAAATAAAATTATCTTAAACACCTCAAATATTTGGAAAATTAAACAATACATTTCTAAAAATCACCATGGGTCAAGAGGGTGTCTTAAGGGTTATTTAAAAAATAGTTTGAATGAAATGAAAGTAAAAATTCCAACATATCAAAATGTGTGTGACGCAGCTAAATCAGTACTTAAATGAAAATATATAGCAGTAAATGCTTACATAAGAAAAGAAGAAAGATCTCAAGTCAGTAACTTAAGCTTCCAGCTTAAGAAACAAGAGAAAAAAGGAGCAAATTAAACTTAAAGCAAGTAGAAGGAAGGAAATAAATATTAGGACAAAACTAAGTAAAATTGAAAACCAAAAAATAATAGAAAAAAAATCAATGGAACCAAAAGTTTAAAAAAATCGATAGTATTAATAAACCTGTTTCCAGGCTAAGAGATAAAAAGAGAGAAGATGCAAATTACAGTATCAGAAATAGAAGAAAGAATATTACTACTGATCCTGACACATCAAAGAGAGAATGGGGAATGCTACAAACAACCCTGTACATATAAATTCAACAACTTAGATGAAATGGACAAACCTCTTAAAAGAAACAAACTACCAAAACTCACTCAAGAAGAGATAGATCAACTGAATGGTCCTATATGTAATGAATGTGCTGTATAGTTAAAAGTCTTTAAAAACATATAAAGTAAGGCCCATATGGTTTCACTGGTGAATCCTCCTGATATTTAAGGACAAAATAAAGCCAATCCTACAAAATCTTTTTCAGAAAATAGAAAAGGAGGGGACACATTCCATTTATATGAGATCAGCATTGTCATGATGCTGAAACCAGGCAAAAACATTATAAGAAAAAGACAAGCAAAAACTCCAGACAATAGCCCTCAAAAATACAAATACAAGCATTATCAACAATATATTAGCAAATAAAATCCAGCAATATATAATAAGAATAATATATCACCACCAAGTGGGATTAATCCTAGCAACGCAAGGCTGGCTCAATATTTGAAAATCAATAACTATCTATTCACCACATTAACAGACTAAAAAGTAAAAGTATGTCATCAATAGGTGGAGAAAAAGCATTTGACAAAACTTAACATTAATTAATGATTAAAATTCTCAGCAAACTAGAAGTAGGAGAAAACATCCTTAACCTAGGAAAGGAAATCTTAAAAAACCTACAGCAAACTTCATGCTGTTCATCCTGCTTAGTGGTGAGAAACTGAATGCTTTCCTCCTAAGCAGAAACCCAGCACAAATGTCCTCTCTCGTTAGTACCATTCAGTGTCATAATGGAAGTTCTAATTAGTTTGACAGAGCAAGAAAAACAAATAAAATGCATACAGAATAAGAAAAAAATAAAACTATATTCACAGATTATATTTTTTGTGGGGAAAATAGTGATTTTATTTTAAATGCCAATCTGCCACGTAACTTCTGACTAACCCCAAGTCCAGGAATGCCGCCAAAATGTCTTGCTGATGTATTACTTTTTATTTAGAAATACCTATTTATTGTAAGTTTTCCTCCAAAACCTCCCTTGATGCTGTTACAGAAATCTTAGGCCCTGATGCTCATAGCCACCTGCACATTCCTTCCAGAGTACATATACTTTTCCCTCAAGATACATGCCCTGGGTCTCAGGGTTTGCAGTGCAGAGAACTATGTGTCTTGTGGCCACCCAAGACCATGCTGCTGTCTGTAAGTTCCCTCTAATAAGTCACCCAATACCAATGAACTAGATTTGTCTGCCTCCTTCTTTGGTTTCTTGGCTTCTTTGGCATTTGGGGGTCACTTTTTATATATACCCTTTCACAGAACAACCGTCTATGTAGAAAGTTCCAAATAATACACAAGCTCATAAAACTAATACATTCCTTTAGTAAGGTCACAGAATACATGGATGATACACAAAAACCAATAATATTTCCATATTTCAGCAATGAAGAAGTAAAAATTAAAATTTAAAAATACATTATAATAGTACCCAAACAAATGAATAAATTATGTATGACTCACAAAATATGTGCAGAATCTGTATATTGTAAGTTACAAAACACTGATGAAAAACAATATAAGAAAATCCAAATAGATGTGGAGATATACTATGTTTATGAATTGAAAATCTCAATATTAAGATGTCAGTTCTTCCCAATGTGTTCTGTAAAGTCAAAACAATCCCAATCAAATTCCAGCATGATTTTGTAGATATTGACTAGCTGCTTCTAAAATTTCTACAGAAAAGCCAAGAAACTGAAATAATCAAACAATTCCGGAAAACAAAAAAGTCAGAGGACTCATATTATCCAATTTCAAAACTTACTCTAGAGCTTCAGTAATCAAGACAGCATGATGTCGGAGAAAATATATGCATAGATTAATAGAAGAGAATATGAAAAATAGAGAGAGGTTCACAGAAACATAGTCAACTGAGTTTTGGCAAAAATGCAAAGGCAATTCAATGGAGAAAAGATAGACTTTTCAACAAAGGTACTGAAATAATTGGACATTCATATGCAAAAAAACAAATGAAATGAACCTTAACAGATACCTGATACATTCTACAAAAATTAACTCAAAATGAATTGTAAACCTGTATGTGAAATGTAAAACCATAAACCTTTGAGAATAAAATATAGGAAAAATTTGTATAACTTTGGGTTTGGTGATGAGCTTTTAAATTAATCACTAAAGGCATAATTTATAAAACAAAAATATGGCAACCTAAAATTTATCAAAATTAAAGACTTATTTCTCCATGAAAGACACCATTAAGAGAATGAGCTGGGTGTGGTGGCATGTGCATATAGTTCTAGCTACTTGGGAGGCTGAGAAGAAAGGATTGCTTGAGCCCAGAAGTTTAAAAAGTTGTATGTCCAACAATCAGGCCTATGTATAGCCCCTGCATTCTAGTCTGGGCAACATAGCCAGATCCCAGATCTTTTCTGAAAGAAAATTTAAAAAATTTTAAAAGAAGAGAATGAGAAGATAAGCTACAGAGCTACAGACTAGGAGAAAATACATGTAAATGATATATTTGATAAAGTACCAGAATACAAAAATAATTCTTAAAACTCAACAGTGGGAAGACAACCCAATAAAAAGCAGGCAAAAGATTTGAATTAACATTTCACTAAAGAAGACAGATGGATTTCAAATAAGCATACATAAAATCACAATGACATGCCACTACACACCCATGAGAATGAAAAAAAAATGTTTTTCAATTCAACAATATCAAAAAGTGACAAAGAAGTAGAGTAACAGAAATCCTCAATCATTGCTGATGGGAATGCAAAATGATACAGCCACCTTGGAAAACAATTTGGAAGTATTTTGTAAAATTAAATGTAGAGCCAGAATTGCCATCTTCCAGTAATTTGCCAAAATGATTAACACAAAGGGAAAGAGGAGAGGCACCTGATACATGTTCTCTAGGCCTTTTAGAAAACATGGAGTTGTTCCTTTGGTCACATACATGCGAATCTACAAGAAAGGTTATACCGTAGTCATCAAGAGGTTGGGTGCTGTTCAAAAATGAATGCCCCACAACTATCACCATGGAAAAACTGGAAGAGTCTACAATGTAACCCAGCATACTGTTGGCACTGTTGTAAACAAACAAGTTAACGGCATGATTCTTGCCAAGATAATTGATGTGCATATTGAGCATATTAAGTACTCTAAGTGCCGAGACAGCTTCCTCAAACACGTGAAGGAAAACGATCAGAAAAGGATCTCAAGGAGAAAGTCACCTGAGTTCAATTAAAGCAGCAGCCTGCTCCATCCAGAGAAGCACACTGTGTGAGAACCAATAAGAAGGAGGCTGCTAGAACTTATTTCCTATGAATTCATGCCATAATAGGTGTAAAAAAAATACCTGTAAATTGTAAAAACATTTCTCTTCATTGAGTAGACGTGTGGTGGCCCCTCCCCCGGAGCAATATTTAAAGCAAAAATAAATGAATAAATATACACTTATACAGTCCAACAGACCTACTTCTAGATATTCACTCAAATGATTGAAAACTTCTATTTTTACCAAAATCTGTATTTAAGTATTTATAGAAGTTTTATTCATAATTGCCAAAAATTGGAAACAACCAACAGGTGAATGGATAAATAAGCTGTGTTATATCCAAACAATGGAATATTATTCAGCCACAAAAAAAAACAAACTATAGATTTATACAACAATGTGGATGTATCTTAAATGCATTCTGCTAAGTGAAAGAAATCAGACCCAAAAGGTTATATATTGTATGATTGAATTTATAGGACATTCTGGAAAAGGCAAAACTCTGGTGATAGAAAACATAAGTGGTTGCCAAGGGTGGGAGGAGGGGGATGGGTTGAATAAGGGTTGTTGTGAAAGGGAATTTTCAGTATGGTAGAACTGTTCTCTATGGTATTGGAGTTATGGATACATTACTCTATATATCTGTCAAAAATCCACAGAACTATATACCACAAACAATGAGCTTTATACAAATTTAAAAAATCAATCAGTATATTTGTGGATCATAGGATAAAATGCAGATCTATGACAACTGAATTTAACTGCAAAGTCAACATAACCTAATTTCACTGAAGGGGATGGGTAAAGAGCCGACCTTGGTGATTTTTAGAAAACATTGTTTTGACTCAATATTATAAGGCTAAAGACAAAAAGAATTGTACATAAACACTGCACTAAAGATTTTTTTCTCACACAGAGTAGGAGTTAGCAATTCTGAAGCTATTAGGTTGGTGCAAAGGTAATTGCGGTTTAATGGCAAAAACCACAATTACCTTTGCACCAACCTAATTTTTTACATTATAGAAATAAGAACATAAATGGTAGATAATGGAAGCTAGGTTTCTCACTTCTAGCGAAAGAAGCTAAAAATTAGGACAAGGGAAGGCTAGAATGACCCCTATAATGTTGGATTAGAATTGGGAATGCCTAGATGAACTCGTGTTTATATATATAGATAAAATCTGATATAGCTATGGATATGTAAAACAACTGGAAAACAACTTGGCAGTTTCTTGTAAAATTAAATTTATAGACATACTTTATACAAGGCTTATACTGCATATAATGTATACTGTATACATTTCTCTATGGATCAATTCCCTGATTCCTTACCCCAACTCACACAAACCCCACCTCTGCCCAGTCCAAGCACTTTTATTTTTACCAAATATATTTTGGGGCATGCAGCCAACATGGGGATGGCATGAAGCCTGGAGTAAATATCCTACATACATGAATTAGTATATATAAATTTATTTCCTAGCTCTGTCCATTGAGGGGAGCGTAGAAGCACTGACACCCTAGTAACAATGAGAAGGTTAGTGCCTTGATCTTGATTTCTTTTCTTTTCTTCTTTTTGGTAGGGTGGGGGACAGGGTCTCACTCTGTTGTCCACACTGCAGTGCAGTGGCATGATCTTGGCTCACTGCAGCCTTGACCTCTTGGGCTCAGGCAATCCTCCCACCTCAGCCTCCTGAGTAGCTGGGACTATAGCTACTGTGCACATCACCACACCCAGCTAATTTTTGTAGAGATGGGTGTAATAGCCAAGGTTCTCTAGTGGAACAGAATTAATGGAATACATATATATATATATATATATATATATATATATATATATATATATATATATGAGTTTATTAAGTATGAACTCACATGATCACAAGGTCCCATAGGCTGTCTGCAGGCTAAGGAGCAAGGAGAGCCAGTCCGAGTTCCAAAACTGAAGAACTTGGATGCTCAGGGGCAGGAAGCGTTCAGCACGGGAGAAAGATATAGGGTGGGAGGCTAGGCTAGTCTAGCCTTTTCACATTTTTCTGCCTGCTTTATATTTGCTGGCAGCTGATTAGATGGTGCCCACCAGATTAAGGGTGGGCCTGTGTTCTCCAGCCCACTGACTCAAATGTTAATCTCTGTTGGCGACATCTTCACAGACACACCCAAGATCAATACTTTGCATCCTTCAATCCAATCAAGTTGACACTCAGTATTAACCATCACAACAGGGTTTTGCCCCATTGCCTAGGCTGGCCTCGAACTTCTGGGCTCAAATGATCTGCCTGCCTTCGCCTTCCAAAGTGCTGGGTTTACAGGTGTGAGCCATGCTACTGTGCCTGGTGGTCCTGGCCTTTGATTTCTAAATAGCTTTTTCCAATAAAAAGAAGAAGTGCTTAATAGTAAAATGACTGATTCTAGAGCTGGAGCAGGGAGAATACAAGCTAATTTAGTTGGTACTGCTATACCAATGCTGATTTCTTAGTTTTGACAAGTGGACCATGGTTATGTAAGATGTTAACATTAAGGAAACATTAGGGGAACCTGGGTGAGGTATATACAGGAGTGCTGTACTATCTTTGCAGCTCTTCTATAAATCTAAAATTATTCCAAAATAAAGAATCGTTTAAAACATGGGGGAGAAGAAAAAATGTTTTCTAGCTAATGGGAACTACGTGAGCGAAGCACAGAAATAAGAAAACCCCTGGTTTGTGACTGGGGAGCTAGCTGCTGGGATGGAGGGGAGAGCAGACAGAGAAAGAGGAGTTATTTAAGCCAACATATTCCAAGCATAAATTTTGATGCTTGGAAAGGCAGGATCAGACCATGTGGTCCTTATATGTATAGGGACCATATGATGCATCATCTGAACTGAAGCACGTTTGAGAATGAAAGGGCATGCTCAGAAGACAGGCGGCCAGGACAACAAGCATAAACTAGGGCTGTCCTAGCAAACTAAATATATGGTCACCCTGTGTATATGCAGGGGGCTTGGACTTGATTTTGAGAGCAGTGTTTTCCATTATGCATATTTAAAAGTTTTACAGGCAAGTTCCACCATCAAATACACTCATAAAATACTGGGTAAAAGAAATTTTTACTTGTTTCTTTCCTGAACCACTTCTCAGCGTCTTTAATTTACAAATATGCTCTGTGAATCTTCAAGAATGCAATATAATATGTTTCCCAAACATTTCTTTGTAGACCAATTCCCTGATTCCTTATTTCAACCCACACAATTCCCCAGCTCTCCCCAATCTAATTATTTTGGTTTTTTTTCTTAAGAAATACAGTTCAGGGAATGCTGCAATCATGGAAATGGCATGAAGCCTGGAGCAAAGTTCTCAGATTAGAGCTTCAAATATTCAGTGGTGGCTTTGACAATAATAAAGTTGAGAAGACCTGGAGATAGAAGATCCAACAAGGAGGCTATTGCAGTGGATCAGGATGTCAACCGTGAGGGACAGAGAGAAGAGGGCACATATGAACAACACTTAGGAGGTAAAATTAGAAACGAAAATACCAGTCATCAGGAGGTAAAATTAGAAACAAATATACCGGTCATCATGCTATAATGGCCCATGTAAGATTTCCACGGGATATCTGTTTATTACCTCCATGTTCAAAAGCTAGGGCAAAATCAATTCTGTGCTTGATATATGACTAGGCACTTGTGTGATCTTAAACAGAAAACAAGTAGACTGTAGAGAGACATGGAAGGTGCTTAACAATAAGGCACAACTGAACTAACTCTTGTTTATTAAGTATTAATTTAAGCTTCCTTTTAATCTAGCATAGATTTTTTAAACCAGTTGTGGTTTTCCCACTGTATTATAAATAAAAACAAACCTTCATAAGTCAACTTGTCCTTCTCACTTACCAATAAGTCCCTGTTTGCTCTATTTACCTTTATGCGTCTTTTACTTCTTTGGCTTTCCCAGAAGATCACATAGTGGTCATGTAAAAAATATTTTTAGTTCAGTAACTATTAAATGAACCAGCAATTATCTCCTTCTATTCCCTGGAATTGCTATCCCAGACACTGGAGATACAGCAGTGGACAGTTCTCCATCCTACATGAGAGATGTTACATAGGAGGTATTTATGGTATTTATATTAATAAGGACACCACAAGTGTGCAGATAACATTCCCCACTCAACAACTTCTGGTTTCCTTCAAAATCTCTCCAAGAAGGCCCAAATCTCGCAAATTACTATTTCTGAAAATCCAAATTACAAGCTTTCAGTCATAGGTAACTTCTGCACATGGAAATGATTTATTTTGGGAGATGTGACATTATCACTCATCAAATTAGGAGACTTTTAAAGCCCTACCACTTTCAAGACACCTGGCTGAATTTAACTTGGTAGCAGCCAGATTCACAGATGGAATACTGTGTCAGGAACTCTTAGTAATTCATTTATCTTAATACTTCTAAATTTTGCAAGTTTGTCTAGACTATAATTCTTTTTTTTCCCATTTGAATACCAAAGGATGAAATCTTATTCTAAGTTTTCAAAAGACCTGGAAGGAATCCACTCATAACATATTTTAAAACAAGGAATTGGAATGAGCCCAAGATGAGGGCTCAGACAGCTAAGTTTTGGGCCCAGCATAGTCAGTAACTATCAGGGTAACTTGAAGAGGCCACTTAATCTCAGGTTCTTCTGTAGTGCATTGTACCTTCCCTCCCCGGAGCCCAGAGTTCTATCAAAGGTAATATGAATGGGTATTTGGAAAGTGCACTAAACCTCACATGGATGTAAGATCCTTTCATGTGTTCCTTCAATGATTGAAATGTTTCTTCCTACGTTCACCAGCCACTTCCTAATTCTCAAGTACAATGCACTACTTTCAGTTCTTTATTTACTTGAACTTTGTGTAACAGGTGACATCATGGACAATTCCCTCCTTTTTTCCTTCATTCTCTAGTTTACCTTTTCCTGGTTTATTTCCTATCTTGTGGGTTACTCGTTTTCAGGGTTATTCTTTCTCTGTCCATCTCTCTTAAGCAGACAACATTCCACACTTAGTGTTGGTGAGTTCCAATCAGAATTCTATCCTGGGTTTTGTTTTTTTCCACCTAAGTGCGTCTGGACTTTTGATATCACCTATCCGGGTAATCATTTTAGAAAATAGTGTTGCCTTAATATAGGCAAAGGCTAAGCCAATCTATCTTCTAATTAATTTGGAGAGGGCTTTCTTTCATTTGTAGCAATTGATGCTTTTCATCTAACAATTACAATATATTTGCATATTTATCATTGGAACTGTCTCTGCTTGTTTTAAACCCTGTGAAAACTACGCCCTGCTTTTCAGGAATGCTTAGAATGACTTGTATGTACTAGGAAAACTTGTTTACAAGTGAGCACCCAGAGATGACTCTTCACTTATTCCTTCATTGTTCCTGCTAGGATTGTGTACTCGCCTTTGCATTTTTCGATAGAGCTGTCAACGCGATCTACTGCAGTTAAAGGTTAGCAAACAAGACAGGCAAGAGCTAATGGGGCGGGGTGAAGACCCGCGTGCAAGAAGGCTGGCTTCACCAGATAAAGAAGACAACTGTCCTCCATTCTGTCCTTTTTTGCACGCAGGCTAAGAGGCGTTCACCATCTCTACGTCAGGCTTCAAAGAACAGCTCCCTTGCAATTTTGCTGATACCCCCATTCCTTAGCTTGGAACCGGAGGGGCGGTGAGGGCCGCTGTCACTCAGCCCCGCGGGCCAATAGAAAAGGGGTGAACCCCGCCTTCTTCCTGAGTTGTGCTGCGGGCATGCGCACTGGGCGTCCCCACGCCACCGCCCATCAGCTGAGAATTGCAGCTGAGGGCTCCGGGGTAGGTGGGTGACGGCGGTCGGAGGTGTAGGAGGGAGCCGTGGAGGTCCAGGTAAGAGGACCCTGGGGAGGGGGCTCCCTGGCCGGGCGACAGGGAGGCGCGGTGCCCCTGCGGCTGCTGCGCCTTCTTGTTTGTGCGCGTGGTCAGGTGGCCGCCGCCCTGCGCTCTGCAGCAGGCACTCGGGAGGCTAGGAAGGGCGGGACTGCCCCAGCTCCCGGAGCGCCTGCGGCTCCCCACGCCCCCCGGCCGGGTGCAAGGGCGCGGCGCGTTCCGCATTCCGGGTGCGCGCGGCTGTGGTCAGGTGGGCCTACCCAGCCACGCACCCGCCGCGGTCCCCTGGGCAGAGCTCCGGAGGCGCACGGCTGGCGGAGCGCACCCCGGGGAGGGCGCCAGAGCCGGCTGGGGCCCAGCTCAGGAATCCAGACACGACCAAATGACCTCTTCCTCTTTTCAACTCACGGATTGAAAAACACACTAAACTTCCCGAATATAGAGGAACTGAAAAATGTATGGCTGTAGCAGGCGAACCGTGTATGTTTATTTATTCAGAGGATCGTAGTATTGTTTTTTTAATTTGGCTTGATGACTTTAACATACTTTGACATTCTTTGAGTATACACCTTTAATTAATTTACATAAAAACCTTTAAACGTACATAAAATATTTCTAGTATTTCCTCCACCTTGTTTTCTAGTTACTTTCTTTAAATTCAGACAAAGAAAAAAAGTTGCATTTCTGATCAAATGCTGTGTGTTTTTTCCCACAAATTTCTTACATTTGTTTGGCTCTTATCTGTATACGTTAATTTTTGTTTACCTCAGATCGTTGTATTCTGACTATAATTATATATAATATATAAAACTTGCCCAGAATCTGGAAGAAAAGAAAGTAATTATGAAATGCTGTGCTATTTAATAATGTTGGAAGTGGACATTTCTTCTGCAGGTTCTCTGAGCACACCTGGGCAGAGGCTGATAACGGTGTTAAACTGTGTTTTGTGTTGTGGACAGGCCTTATAGGCTACTTTGAGAAGTTGGCCTCAGACTCGTGACTAGTTAAGAATTATGCTCTTAACTTCACAGTTTCTGTAGAGGTTAATATGATACCATATTAACTGATTAACATCATAATTTTTCCTCAGATATGTTACTTATGTTGCTCTTGATAACAAAATCAATCCTTATTTTGGTTATGACCCCAAACTTTAAGTGCTGATGATTGAAAAGTAAATTATAGAAAATATTCACAGTAAGTCTGAGTGAAGTTTGCTGTGATTCCATTTAATTTGCAAGTTTCATGTGTGAAAGTATGAAAAAAACAATCCTCGGTATTGTGAACTAAAACCAAGTAGTACAAAAGGTCAGTGATGAAAGAGCTAAGGCCAAAGAATACAGTTAATGTAGTTTTTGCAGAGGATACTTATGTAGACAGAGCACCCTCACATTCCTTGAGCATTTACTATGCACCAGGCACTGTAGATTACACAGGATGACAAGGTCATCTCTCTCCTGTTTATATTCCAGAAGTAGCTCCTGTTTGTATTCCAGAGGTGTAGGGATAAATAATAAACAGTGATTAATTCGACTTTTGAGTATTGTGAAGCAGTAAGTTAGATTGACAAAGAGTGACCAGTGGTGAGTTCTCACTTTCATATCAGAGTGGTCACAAAGGTTTCTCTAGCATGTGATGAGGCCTTGCTGGGGAGAAGGAGCCAGTCACGTGGAGATCATGGGAAGAGCCTTCTAGAAATAGGAAATGGCACCCAGCAAAGGCCCAAGGCAGCAAGAAGCCTGGGACCTTCGGTATCTGAAAGAAGGCACTGGAATTTTATGTTTTGGAAATGGTAATATTTACCCTCACGCTGGGTGTGTGTTCTTAGGAGGTGGGTACATTCATTCATTCTACAAATGTTTGTTAAGCACTTGTGATGTAGCCAGGCAGTGAGAATAGTGCAGTCCACAAAACAGACAAAAAAATGCTCACCCCCCACCCCTCAGAACTTACTTGGGGTAGAGGGTATAGAGAAGTCCAGTTGTTTATGCTGATGCTAATGATTAAGAAAGTGAAATTGACTACTTCTTTGCCCAGGGTAGATTTATAGAGCATGAGATATATGCTAAATGGAAATCTTAAGGATTCTACAGTATATCGGATTTTAACTGGGAGTAGTGTTTGACACTTCAAGATTAAATTTTAACATTCCTTTTGTTCATTCCTTTGTGTTCTTTAGAAGCCGTCTTGAGAAGACTCTCATCTGAGTGTTGCACTTTGATTCTCCCTTCCTGTTTTTCTCTTTATAGTGTTTGTATATCTTCATAGAAAGATGATTATTGCAATGTGGAGATTAGCACTGTGCAATAGATCTTTCTGTGATAATGGAAGTGGTCTATGAATGAGCTGTCCAAGCTGCTGGCCACTAGCCACACAGAATTTTTGAACATTTGAAAGGTGTCTAGTGTGACTGAGGAACTGATTTTTTTCATTTAACTTAATTTTAATTAATTTTAATTTTTTAAAAACGAGAGCTACAATGTAATTTAAGTGATACACAATATAAAATGGTGTAAATTGTCACATGAAAAAATGAAATGTAGAGTAAAAGTGTAGTTTCTTACTGCAATCAGTTATCTTGTTAGCAGCTTAAAATAACCTGTAATAAGATTTTTTTGCTTTTATTATTTTAATCGACAGATAATGATTTACATATTTGTGGATACATGTGATACATCAGTAGATGTGTACAATGTGTAATGATCAAATCAGGGTAATTAGCATATCCATTACCTCAAACATTTAACATTTCTTTGTGTTAAGAGCATTCACAATTCATTCTTTCTTCTAAGTATTTGAAAATATGCAATAAATTGTAATTAATTGTAGTCACCTTTTAGGGGTATAGAACACTAGACTTCATTCCTCCTACCTAGCTGTATTTTGGTGTTAGTTAACCAACCTTTGGCTATCCCCTTCCCGCCATCCTTCTCTGCTTCTAGTAACCACTATAATTTTAACAGCCCATTTAGTTAGTGGCTAGTCTGTTAGTACAGGTCTAGGTAATGAATTATATAATTATTATTCTGAGCAATTAAATAGGAATTCTGAGTGGGCTTTCAAAAGTATTCAACAAGAGTACTTTAGTGCGTAGCAGCTCTGGGCTAGGTAATGGAGACTGATGTGGAAAGCAGACATCTGAATAACTCAGCATCCATTTAGCCTATATGCAGAGATCATAAGCTTTTAATCAATTTGTAGTTACCTATCCTGTCTGTCTATGCTTGTATATATATTTTTTAAAGACAACCATTTGGTTCCTTTCCTTTGTGTGTCTCATTATCAAAAGAGCCAACTGTTGTTGCCTTTTAGATACCACTTATTAGCAGAATAATAGAGAAAAGGAGTAAGCTATTCCTCTGTGTTACCTTGATCAACTCATGTAGTTATCCCAAACATATTCCTTCATCTTAGGAGTGGGAATAGCAAAACTTCATATGGGGCATGCAGAAAAGTGGTAAATTTGGTTTTTCTTTTGTCTTTTTTTATTTTATGTTATGTTATGTTATGTTATGTTATGTTATGTTATGTTATGTTATGTTATGTTATGTTATTTTGAGACGAGTCTCGCTCTGTCGCCGGGCTGGAGTGCAGTGGCGTGATCTTGGCTCACTGCAACCTCCGCCTCCTGGGTTCAAGCGATTGTCCTGCCTCAGCCTCCTGAGTAGCTGGCACTACAGGCGCATGCCACCACACCCAGTTAATTTTTTTAGTAGAGATGAGATTTCACCATGTTGGCCAGGATGGTCTCAATCTCTTGACCTTGTCATCTGCCTGTCTTGGCCTTCCAAAGTTCCGGGATTACAGGCGTGAGCCACCGCGCCCAGCCCAAATTTGGTTTTTCTAACTGAGTTCACCTGCCCTCAATTTTGTTATACAAGGAAGCAGTATGGCTTAGTGTTTAAAAAATGTCGGCTCTGTGGTTATTTTCAAATATTTGCTCCTTTGCTTATAATGATAATGAGGCATAATGATATGCCTCAGTTTCTTCATGTAAAAAAATCACATTAGCAATTATACCCACATGATAGGCTTATAAGAATTAACTGAGAAAATAAATTTAAAAGTCATAAGCACAATGCTTAGGAAATGTAAGTCCTGGATGAGTGTTGGCCATTGTTAACTTTGTTTTATTTTACACATCTTTCTTCTCTATCTTTTGCAAATTGCTTTTCATTCTTCACACATGATTCCTGGCTAGATACAGTGGCTCAAACCTGTAATCCCAGCACTTTGGGAGGCTGAGACTGGAGGATCGCATGAGCCCAGGAGTTCAAGACCAGTCTGGGCAACAAAGTGAGACCCCCATCTCTATAAAAAAATCAAAAAATTAGTGGGATGTGGTGGCAGGTGCCTGTGGACCCAGCTACTCGGGATGCTGAGATGGGAGGATTGCCTGAGCCTGGAAGTCAGGGCTGCAGTGAGTCGTAATCACACCACTGCACTCCAGCCTGGGTGCTCCTGTCTCAAACAACAACAACGCCAAACAAAGAAAAAGTAAAACAAAACTCATAATTCCAGTCAATCTAAGTAGCACCTCTTTGGGTGAATGAAGCCACTTGCCAATTGTCTCACCAGCAGGAACTTTCTCACATTTAGTAGCTTGAGGAAAGGGATGAAGAAAATTGATTGTGTTTGTGACTAAGTGATTGATTTTCCAGAGAGGAAAAAAGGTGGCCTTGAAAGAAAACAGTGAGAAGACTTGGGCTACACTGGTGTGAGTTTTAAGGGTAAGGAAAATGCTGTAGAATACTGTCCTTGACTTGATGGAACTCTTTATGGGAGAGAGAGTAGGCCTCAGGTGTGCTTGCATGGTTTTGAGACAGGTGATGAGTTTCTCTTGGTCTTGTGCTGATGCTGGTCCTGCAGCTGCAAGAACAGATCATAACTTTCCTCTGTGTAGGGTGGAAAAGCATTTGTTCTCTGGATGTGCATTATCTCATTTTGATTCTGGCAGTGGGCCCAAATGCTAAGTGTCTTGCCCAAAGTAGAAATTTCCAGTTGCTACTTCCATGGTGTGCCGCACAGGCAATGGCTGAGTTCTTGTAGCTTCACAGACATGTAGACACGAGAGAAAGCCAAGGGTACGAGCTGGAGACATGGATGTGCGACTCATTCAGGTATAGATTAAAATGGAACCATGTATATGGAGGAGCATCCCCAGAGATTACATGAATAACAAACTGAACATTTTTTCATTCAATGTGTTTGTTTTGGCTTGTAAGCCAGTTTTTCCAGAGATCTACTTGATAGAGGGAAAGGAGAAAGGAAGATGTCATTGAACCAAGAGAAAATTGTCTTTCTCCATACCTTGGAATATTATTTGGCAATAATGAAGGAATATTATTTGGCAATAATGAAGGAATGAAGGACTGATATATGATACAGCACAGATGGACTTTGGAAGCATACTAAGAGAAAGAAGCTAGTCTCGAAGAACACATTGTATGATTCCATTCCTATGAAATGTCCAGAATAGCAAAGCTATAAAGATACAAAGTAGATTAGTAGTCACCTTTGGCCAGTGAGGTTGGGGAGAAATGGAGAGCGATTGCTAATGATTACAAACTTTCCTTTTAGCGTAATAGAAATGTTCTAAAAGTGATGATTGTACAATGTTGTAAATATATTAAAAACCATTGGCTTGTGTACTTCAAGTAGGTGTATTGTATTGCCATATCTCAATAAATTATATCTCAATAAAGCCATTTTATTTATATAAATTTAAGGGGTGCACATGCAGTTTTGTTACATGGTTATATTGCATAGCGTGAAGTCTGGGCTTTTAGTGTAATCATCACCTGAATAATGTACATTGTACGCATTAAGTAATTTCTCATCCCTCACCCTCCCATCCTTTTGAGTCTCCAATGTCTTCTTATTCCACTCTCTGTCCATGTGTACACATTATTTAGGTTCCACTTACAAGTGAGAACATGCAGCATTTGACTTTTTTCTGAGTCATTTCACTTAAGATAATGGCCTCCAGTTCATCTGTGTTGCTGTGAAAGACATAACTTCAGTCTTTTTTAAGGTTGAATAGTATTCCATTGCATTTATATACACTACATTTTCTTTATCCATTCAGGAATGTTAATAGACACTTGATGGGCACTTAGGTTAATTCCAAATCTTTGTTCTTGTGAATATTGCTACAATAGACATATGAGTGCAGATTATCTTTTTGGTATAATGGTTTTTTTTTTCTTTTGGGTAGATACCCAGTAACGAGGTTACTGGATCAAATATTAATTCTATTTTTAGTTCTTTGATGACTTGCCATGCTGTTTTCTGTAGAGGTTGTACTACTTTACAGTCTCACCAACAGTGTGTGTGTTCCTGTTTCTCTGCATTCTTGCCAACATCTGTACTTGTTTGACTTTTTTTCTTTTTTTTCCGTTCAAGATGTGTTTGTGGATGAATTTTTAATAGCCATTCTGACTGTTGTGAGATGATGTCTCATTGTGGTATTAATTTGCATTTATCTGGTGCTTACTGATGTTAAACATTTTTCATGTGCTTCTTGGCCATTTGTATGTCTTCTTTTGAAAAATGTCTATTCATGTGCTTTGCCCCCTTTTTAATGGGGTTATTTGTGGGGTTTTTTGTTGAGTTGTTTGAGTTTCTTGTAAATTCTGGATATTAATCTCGTTGGATGTGTAGTTTGCAGATATTTTTCTCCCATTCTGCAGGTTGTCTGTTCATTCTGTTTATTATTTCTTTTGCTGTGCAAAAGCTTTTTAGTTTAATTAAATCTCATTTTGTCTGTTTTTTGTCTTGTTGCCTGTGCTTTTGAGGTCTTAGTCATAAATTCTTTTCCTAAACCAATGTCCAGAAGAGTTTTCCCTATATTTTCTTTTAGTATTTTAATCGTTTTAGGTATTACTTTTAAGTCTTTAATCCATCTTGAGTCGATTTTTTTTTTTATATGTTGACAGATAAGGGTCCAGTTTCACTCTTCCGCATGGGGCGATCCAATTTTCCCAGCACCATGTATTGAAAAGGGCGTCCTTTCCTCAGTGTATGTTTTTGTCAACTTTGTCAAAAAGATCAATTGACTGTAGATATGTGACTTTACTTCTGACTTCTCTATTCCATTCCATTGTTCTATGTGTCTGTTTTTATATGAATATCATGCTGTTTTAGTTACTATACCCTTTTAGTATAATTTGAGGTCAGGCAATGAGATGCCTCCAGCTTTGTTCTTTTTCTTAAAATTGCTTTGGCTATTCAAAACCTGTGTTTTTTTTTTTTTTTTTTTTTTTTTAAGTGACTTGGAGATGCATTTAAAATTGCATGGTTTCAAGGATGTTCCGGATGGTGTTGGTGTCATTGAATCCCCATGTCTACTCTTGTTCTGTCTGGGCCCAAGTCCAAGGCTACCTGGAAGGAAGTTTATTCCTGTCTCCCCACTGTAGTGGTCCAGCTGTCTGACTTTAGGTTTGAATTTACCCTTTAATGAAATTGCTTTTGGATCCATCTCTAGGATTTGGTGAGACCCAGAGAGCCCAGAATAGATCAGCTGTACCTGAGAGGGAAGTTGGAGAATATCTAAAAGCCACCAGGACTTTCAGCGTGGCCAGGCACATTCAAAGTGCACCAGAGTTCCAGGCATAGAACCAGTACTGTTCTAATGGTCTCAACAGTTCAGCTGTTGTACTTCCTGCCAACACTGTCCCTTAGAGCAAAGACACATACTTCACTGTGGCTTCTTCTCTACCAGAAATCTTCTGTGGCATTAGTTCTATGTGGTAGCAAGCATGGATAGCCTTGGCATCAGAACCCTGGGACTGAATCTCACCTCCACCTGTGGGTGGGTTGGGTTACCATTACTTAATCATAATAAGCCCGCTGTTTGCTCATCATTAAAACAAGAATAATGCCACTTAATTGAAGGAGGTTGTGAAAAAATTAGTCTGTGAAATACTTTTTGTGTCGCAGATGTGCGAGAAATGTTAGGCCATTCCTCTCTTTCCCTTTATGTTGTTTTCCCCTTGTCCCAGCTGTGAATCATCTGATCCAGGGTTGGCCAGGAACCTTCCCTTCCTTTTGTAAATACCATACTGCATGTGGCCTTTCCACGTGCTCTGGGTCTCTCCACCCCAGCCTTCACGTCCTTGCCTTTGTTGTTCTGCATACTGGTCATAACCAAGCATCCAAATCCTATGTTTCTATTTCATAAATTCTTTCCAGACAAGGATGATGGTCATTTTTTCTTTTTGTAGCCCTTCTCATTTTAGCCTAGCACGTGATCTTTTATGGATTTGTGGGGTTTTTTGTTGGTTTGCATTATTAACTTTATCCTTCCTCCTAAATGACAAACTTGATTTGAGCAGATACTGTGTCAGTGTGTTTTGTTTTGTTTGCATCTCCCAGGTGCTTAGTTTAATGCTGGGCATGTACCAGGCTCTTAGTAGAGAGCTAGCTTACAAATTGACCACCAACAATTTTGCAGTATTCCAGTGCATATTCATGGAAAAGATGGGGTGGCGGTAGTTGAAATTCTTTGCTGTGCGCAGTTCTGTATGCAGGGACATTCCTTTTCAACCTTCTTTCCAAACCCTGATTGGAGTGGTGTGGATTGAAGAGGTAGAGAATGTCATCTCACCTGCCTCCTGTGGCAGTATCTCAGTGTCTCTTCTATTCTGAGATGCTGGCTGCTGAAAGGGGAGAGTCATTCGTTCTCCTTCCTCTGTCAGGAAGGTTTGATAAACATTTTATATGACATTTGCTTCGCAGTAGTTGGCTCTGCTATTTCAGATTTAACCTTTTCCATTAAAATTAGAGCCCTATTAATCATACATTCCTGAGCAGGTCCTGTGTGTGTGTTAAATTAGATATTAAGGTTGGTACAAAAGTAATTGCCATTTTTACCATTACTTTTAATGGCAAAAACCACAATTAAAAGTAATGGTAAAAACTGCAATTACTTTTGCACAACCTAATACAGTGAAATTTCTGGGGATAGCCTGAAGTCTGTGTTCCATTTAATAAATATTTAAATGCCTGTTTGTGCTAAGAGTTGTTTTAAATATTGGAGAAAGATAAATAAGCATGTGGGCCCTGCCTTATAATTGTTTGGAGTTTAGTTAAGGAAAAAATATGTAAACAACTAAAATTATATACAGGTAAGGGATTTAATAATTTTTCTTGAAGAGATCAAAGACGTTTTCAAAGGAAATATGCAATTTGAACCTTATTTTAATTGTTTGATGTGTTTAACATGACTCTGTCCTTTGAAGTCCAGTTTTTTTTTTTTTAGTAGACATGAGAGTTTTGCTATTTGATGTGTCACTTTGCCAGATTTCAACTCTATTAGATTAATCAAGTTTGTCCTTGTAACTTCACAGATTGTTAATTTGGAAAATGTAAGCCAGTAACTTAAAAAATATATCTGTGTGACTTTTATATTATTTAGGTGACTGCTTAGAAAACTGCACAGCATCTGATGAAATTAGCGAATAAGAACATCAACCATGTCTTACACTCCAGGAGTTGGTGGTGACCCCGCCCAGTTGGCCCAGAGGATCTCTTCTAACATCCAGAAGATCACACAGTGTTGTGAGTTGAGTTTTAAATGGACTTCACTATTTGTATCCACTCTTAACTGAACTTGGTGGAGGTTCATAAAAGGACAACTCTGCTGATTGAGAGAGGGAGGAGCATTCCTCTAACAACAGGTTTTAAAGGGCTCGAACTCTTTAGAATGAATGCAAGAGAATTATATTTGAGATAACACTTACTGCATTTTTCTATAGGAAGTCAGGGCCAGGCACATAATACATTATTTCATTAAATAAAATAAAGATTTAAAAGGATAATGGATTCTTATATCTGCTTTAAAGCTATCTGGTTCTAGATGAGATGATGAGACCTGATGACTCAGTCTCATAGGTTTGGAACCAGGTAGCACTACCAAGGGCTTAAGGAACATAAAGTTTATTAAAAATAAAATCTGACTGGATATGGATTAGGTTAATCTTATGATGGGCAAGTATGTGGTACCTTATTAAGGAGCAAGAGGAACTAAGGAGAGGACGTTTTAATCTATTGAGGAAGGTATTTTAGAAAATCAGACCTGCATTCCCCACATATTCTTTTTTTTTTTTAGAGACAGCCTCACTCTGTCGCCCAGGCTGGAGTGCAGTGGTACGATCTTGGCTCACTGCAAGCTCCGCCTCCCAGGTTCACACCATTCTCCTGCCTCAGCCTCCCCAGTAGCTGGGACTACAGGCGCCCGCCACCACGCCCGGCTAATTTTTTGTATTTTTAGTAGAGACGGGGTTTCACCGTGTTAGCCAGGATGGTCTCGATCTCCTGACTTCGTGATCCTCCCGCCTCAGCCTCCTAAAGTGCTGGGATTACAGGCGTGAGCCACCGCGCCCGGCCAAATTATTCTTTGCTATACTTGTCAGAGATAGATTACCAGTAGACTGATGCAGTGTGGCACTTCATTCGGAAGTATTCATCGTCAGGATATGTATTAAAAAAATCATTATAGCAGATTTGAGTGGATAGGTTTTTATTTTTTTATTTTTTTTTACTTTTTTTTGTTTGTAAATTATGGTTAATCAGATACCTTGGGTGATTCTAGTCTTGCTCTCAGGGTTTGGCCCTCGGGGCATTACCTGAACTCTTTCATCCTTCGGAGTATGTTAATATAGTTTTATTCTTCAGCCTAGTTCCTTACAAGGCTATTCTTTTTAACAGAATGTTAACACATTGCAGAAATAGTGTTTTCAAATGACCATACTCTGTTTCTTTATCTAATCATTAACTCCTCAACAGCTGTTCCTCTACCTGAATTATTTAAATGAGATGCTAGTGTGTTTTAGGAGCAAAGAGAATAAAACTAGACTCTAAAAAGGTGCTGCTGTGCACAGTGGTATAAAATAACCCTTATTCTGATTTGGGGTGATTTCTGGGTTTTTTACCTATTTCTGGAAGAACAAGGAAGTGCACAGTGCCAGGCACCACGTTGTCCACAGCAGGGACTGTAGGAATGGTACATTGAGAACTGCTGCAGTTTGTCACAGGCCACCGGCGTTGGCTCTGCTTTGCTCCTCTGGCATCAGATCTGTTCTGATGGTGGCCACAGAAGAGCCTCTTTCCTTTTCTTTTTTTTTTTTAATGGCTCCCTTGCTGCTGGTTAGAAATAGCACTGGTCTGCCCCAAGTGTATCTGGCTACCTGTGCAAAAATTAAGGAAGTTTATAATTCTAATTACATATGTGGAAAATTAGGACCTTTATGCAAGAAAGGAGGCCAAGAGGCCTTTCTCCAAAGAAGAGGATAAGCATCCTGTGTTGGGAAAGCTAAACAGTGTTAGGAATTGAGGATGAGGAATGACTGTCCTGTACTGAGATTGTAGAAGTAGCAAGCAGTAGGTAGTATGAAAGATACATGGATTGAAGATTGTGTGTGAACATGAACTGGAAGGAGAAAAGAGTTGACTTAAATCAGGCCATGTTCCCTAAGAAAGAGATCAGTTGATCCAGAGGATGAGAAGTGACAGATTGGGCCAGAGTTGAATATTTATGGCAGGTTGGTAGCTAAGTGTGCGAGTACATCCGGGGCAGTATTGGATCATGTGAAGGTCTGGCTATGATACTCCACAGTCTATGTGAAGAGCTGTTAAGAAGACTGGGACTGTTGGCAGGGCATGGTGGCTCACACCTGTAATCCCAGCACTTTGGGAGGCCGAGGCAGGCAGATCACGGGAGGTCAGGAGTTCGAGACCAGCCTGACCAACATGGAGAAACCCTGTCTCTACTAAAAATACAAAATTAGCTGGGCCTGTTGTGGCATATGCCTGTAATCCCAGCTACTTGGGAGGCAGAGGCAGGGGAATCGCTTGAACCTGGGAGGCGGAGGTTGCAGTGATCACGCCATTGAACTCCAGCCTGGGCAACAAGAGCAAAACTCCATTTCAAAAAAAAAAAAAAGACAGGGACTGTTCATGCAGGTGAAGGTACAGTCACCATCTGCAGATGTTTGAATCACTGTCATATGTGAAACAGAAGCCATATGTCCTGCATGAACATAGGGGCCTCCACAAATGTACGGAAGCTACAGGTAGTCAGATTTCACCTTGAGAAGGAGGAAGGGCTTTTGAATAATCCAAGTTGTTAAGGTAGAATTGCCTCCCTCAGGAGGAATGAGATTCCTTATCAGTGACCAGAAAAAGGATGGTCAGATATTTCTCAGACTTATTAATAAGAATTTTAAACATAGGAATAATGGTTCAGACTAAGAGGGTTTTAATTTTGATATTCTATTGTGATTCATTCAACAAATAATTTTTGGGATACATAGTACTTGCTAGATACTGTTCCAAACTGTAGGAATGTAGCAGTAAACAATCTATAAGGTCCTGCTCTCATTGTAGTTTACAGTGTAGTAAGGAGAAATAATGAGCAACTTAACTTTCTGTAAAGAAAATATAGTGAAAGTGAGGTGAGAGCAAGTGACTGGGGAAGCTACCTTTACTTTAGATGGTCTTTGAATGAGGATGAGGAGGGACTGGTAGTGAGAAGATTCAGAGAAAGGGCATTTCAGACAGAAGGAATAACTAGCATTAAAAATTCAAAAGCAGACCTGGGCTTGAAATACTCAGAAAATAGGGAAAAGGGAAAAAGCTAGTGTGGCTGAAGCACAGCATCTGGGGCAAGAGTGCCAGGAGATGAAACCAGAGGGGTCTGGCGGGTCAGCTGGGGCCTTGCAGGTGGTTCAGGAAGTTTAGATTTCATTTTAAGAGGCAGTGGAAATCACTGGAGGCATTTAAGCAGAGGAGAGACATAATCAGATCTACACTGTGAAAAAATTACTTTGGCTGCTGCTTAGAAAATAGACATTGAGGGAATAGCAGGGAGGTATGCTGGTCATCACAGAGGTCTGGGGAGAGCTCGGATGCTGGCTTGCACCAGGGTGATGGCAGTGGGGATGGAGAGAAGCAATGAGTGTGTTTTGGAGGTAGAGCCAGCGGGACTTGCTGATGCATGTGGGTAGGGATGGTAGAGGAAGGAAGGAGTTAAAGATGACTCCATAGTTTTTGCATTGAGCAACCGACTAGGTGGTGGCAAGTGTGTACTGAAACGGGAGGGACTACAGTTCAGGACAAGTAGGGGAGAGTTTTGTTTTGACTAAGTATATTTTGAGATATCATTTAGATATCTAAGTGGAGATATCAAACATCTACTTTAGATACAGGAATTTGGAAGTCAGAGTGTCCTCAGAGTATAAATGGTATTTAAAACCATAGGTGTAAAGTAATCACGTAAGAGTGAGGAAAGAGAAGAGGCCTGGAACATTAAAAAATGTGGAAATCAGGAAGGTAGCATGAAGAATCTAAGGAGTGACCTGTGAGGTAAGATAAAAATCAAGATGTGGTAGATTTCTAGAAATTAAAGAATGTTTCAAGAATGAGTGAGGCATTATCTCTCCCTAATGCTGCTGAGAGACTAAGATAAAAGCAGATAATTGGATTTGGTAAACTGGTGACTTTGAAAAGAACATTCTCATAGCCATATTGCAAGTGTAGATGGAGGAAGGGAAGGAGAAGCACCCACTCTTTCCATTTTAAAGAGACTTTCCAGATTTTCTCCTCATCTCTGCTTATGTCATTGATCAGGTGGCTACACCTAGCTGCCAGAGAGGCTGAAAACATCTTAGCAGGATTTCAGTGTGCTCACTAAAATTGGGGATTATTCTATTTGAGAAAGAAGGATGAGAGAATCAATATTTAGTAGGCAACTAGCAGACTCTGCTATGAAAGTAGAAAGAGGATCAAAGAAAGGGTTCCATTTTACACTGCAACAGAGAAATTCTGGTAAGCGTATAATTGCAAAGGAAATGTTTTGAAAGTGAGGGCATGGGAATGGACCACTAGCAAGTTCACATTTCATCCACCGTATAGAGGTGAGGCTACGTGTGGTACAGATGGAAACATGGTGGGCAAACATGGGAGATTTCCTGTTTGAGTGGGTCTGTTCTTAAATGAAATGGGAAGCAAGGTCATCAGATAGAGAATGGGCGGGAAAGAAGGGGGTTTAGCAAATGTGTTGAGTATACATTTAAGATTTGGGGCCATGAATTTAGTGAAACCAGTCATCACTGTACTTTTTCTAATTCTGAGATTCAATGTCTAAATGAAGGGGAGTTTAGATTAGATAAAGTATTGTTAAAAATCTAACTACTGTCAAGTATGTGTACTGATAAGGGCTATGCAGAAATCACGTGGAAGTGAAAGGCAGAAGTGTGAAATTTCAGTTCACTTTTTTCCCCATTTGGTAATGCTAATAATACTGGGTGCGATTGAATAAAATGATACTTTGCACCACATTTAGGTTCTCTTCACACTACATTTGCAACTTTTGAAATTGTGTCAGTACAATTATCTGATTTTACAAAAGAAACCTAAAGAGAAGATGCTGTAAGTAAGGTAACCTGTAATTAGAATATGAGCATCTGTTAAACTAAAGCTAAAGTCTTCTTGAGTGTTGCAGTGGGAAAGTTTATTTTCACATTAGTTTTGATGAAATAAACACTTATAAAATATTAAGTTTTATGGTTTAGTTTATACCCCCAAAAAAGGAAAATGGCAGTCAAAAATATTTTTAAACCATTTTTTTGGTTTAAGACCATCTGCAGTCTTTTGAATTTGTTTCACCAGTAAAGCATTTAAACCATATTATAATGATATAATTTATATTAAGCATAAAATATTTAAATATTGTAAATGCTTACATGTAAAATAAATTAGAAATTTAATTATATTAAAATAATAAAACTGGTAAATAGTTATAACAAACTATGACTTTATTACAGGCTCTGTAGACAGTTTAAAATGATTAAGAAAATATTTGTATCCTATGAGAGAAAGCGTTGACTCCGTAACAGTCAACAAGGCCCTTGTGCCACCCATGCTCCATCTTTTACCCATGGCATAGACAGTATTCTCTGTTGCTGGCCTAGCATGCCATCCAGTCTTTTTCAACCCAAGGCTCCAGGCAACCATTCCCAGTAGACTGGAGTTGGCAGGCAAACAAAATCGTTTGTTATCACAGGTCTAGAAGATCACCATGCCTCTTAGAAAGGCTTAGATTTAGTTTTCAAACTTTGGATTGAGATGTTCAAAAGTGACATTTTTATTAGCAACATCTATGCCTGTTTACCTTCTATCATTTCTCCATATTTTCTGTCAGACATACTCCTAGCTGTGATGTATAGTATAAGGATAAGCAAGCCTTTGTGGGTTTATAAGTATAAGGTACCTATCATATAGGTAAACCAGAGTAGGCATTTTCACAAGGGCCATTCATCCTTGCCCAAACACAAACAACATAGAAAAATGTCTTGAGAACACACAGAGAAACTCATGTTTTTAAAAGCAGCAGAATCAATATATCAAAATACATCACATAAGTAAACACAGGCTTGCTTTTTCAGACTTTTTAAAAATGGAAGTATAATGTATACATTGAGTACTAGACAAATTATTTGTGTATAGCTGAATGAATTTTCTATTGTATTACCACAAATGTCAAGAAATAGAACATTCCTTAGTCCCCTAAAACCTTCTTGTGCTTACACCCCTTCATGCCCTTCGGAGATAACCAGTGTCCTGACTTTGTTAACATCATTGATTAATTTTCCTTTTTTTAATCTAATAGAATCAATAATCAAATAGAATTATTTTATGTTGGGCTTCTTTCATTATGTTTGTGGGATTCATCCATGCAGCTGCAGGTCATTTGTTTTCGTTACTGTATAGTATTCCATATTTAAACATACTACAATTTATTTATTCTTTCTACTGGTTGTAGTGTTTCCAGTTTTTGATTTTGTTTTTATTTTTTGCTAGGATGAACAATGCTTCCCAGAACATTCTTATATGTTCTTTTGGTGCATGTATGTGAAGGAATTGGGTTACTGGCTCATAGGATATGTTTATGTTCAGCTTTTGTGGATAACAGCTAAACAGTGTCCTAAAGTGGTTGTACCAGATATGAGTACAGCCAGTGTATCAGAGTTTGTGCTGCTCAAAGTCCTTGTCAACATTTGATGTTTACAGCTTTTTATTCATTTTAGTCATAGGTTTCTCATGATTTACTTTGCAATTCTCTGATTAGAATCAGAGTTTTTAGAGTGTAGCTGAGCTAAAGAAATCAATGAGATAATCGGAAACATTTCTAATCAAGCAAGCTGTATGTGATTGCATGTACATTTCCTGAAATCAGATCCAAATAGCGGTGTGACCTTGAGTAAGCTCTCGAACCTTCCAAGACATGGTTTTCTCATGTGTATTTTCTGTGGGCTAGGTTATGGTCTCTTCAAACTTTAACAGGCAATAATTCTAACCAAAGTTTTTTAAGAGTCCCGAAACTCTTCTAACAGGTACAAGATTATTCTATGTTTTGTTAAGAGGCTGATTGCCATATCTGAATCCATAATGCATGCTCATAAAATCCCATAATTGAAGAAGCCATCACACTCAAGACTAGCTAGAGTTCCACCAAGGCTTATGTATTATTTTTAAGTGTTAGGAGATGGGAAAGCTGGGGCACAGAGGTTTGTATCCTGTCAGAATTAACAAAATTTTGTATTGAAGGAAATTGGTGAATAGAAATGAGAATAGCTATGAAACACAGTCCTTGAGATAAAAATTTCCCTAACTCCTAAATAACATAGTAAGCCTTTCCACTAGTGCTAATGTGAATTCTCGCATTTGAGTATTTTTTTTTAAAATAATAACCTGAAAGAGGAAGATGTAGTGTGGCTAAAGTTGGAAAGTGAATAAAACAGATATATTGGAAACATAAAATCTACTCATCAGAATTTATGAGTATAGAAGTTTCTGCTAAAATATGCATCATGTATCACATGGGCTTGTGGATGTGTGTTTTTTCCAGAAAATTTGGAAAGACAGAACCTTCTAGGGGCACATAAAGTATGAACGTAAGCTTTTAAGTGCTAAGAGAAGGTGACTGAAAAATATTTTTGTTGAATCTTCACTTGTTTCATTTTTAATCATCTCTCCTACAGATTAAAGGTATTAGTTCAGCATAGACTTTAGTTTAAAATCGAAACAGATGTTTTTGGTTTCTCTGTGTTATAATTAGCTTCCTATGCTGCAAGTATACTTTTCAAAATTGTTTATTAAGAATTGGTGCATGGCTCCTGTCCCCATAAGGTTCTTTGAGATGAAATTAAAAGTCTATGTAAAAGTGTGAGCCCTTTTGTTACTTTTAGAATGATCACAGTTCTTTTAATTAGTTAGGGTCTGGTGAAGGGGACACTTGTTTTTGCATTTTAACACATGACTGCACAAAAGGGAAGCTAATATTATCACTTTTTTTTTTGGTGCCAGGGCAAATATTTTTTTAAAAAAGGAGCTCCAGTCCTGAGAAATTAATGAATTTACTGGAACCATATATTTACTCAGGAATTAAGAATGTTTCCTTTTTTTCTGGGGTAATCTGTTGGTGGGATGGGAAGGCAGTTTATTAAAGGAAAAAGAGTTGAAAAATTGTTGCTTCCCTCCTCCTAAAATGCTGTTTGAAATATTTATGTCTAAGATTGCACATCTGAAAATGTGGTTGGATGGTTTTTTCCCCCACTTAGAGGAGAAAAACTTCAGTAGTTTTTATTTCATTGTGATTTTCTTCATGCCTAAGGTGCTAACATAAAACAGAGATAGATGTGAAAGTTGCTATCTTGTCCAAGGAAATTTTAACAGAGTGTGACAACTTTTCTTCTCTTCAGTGACTTTTCCTTTATGACTGAACATGGTGTTTATGGCCGGATATGAGTGAATTCTTTGTTTTATGAACTAAATCTTTAAGATGTGGCTCCAAGATGCTTCAAGGAGCTTTATCCCTCACTCTCCTATCTGTGAACCATACATATGCTTCTGCCCTGAACATGAACTTTCTTACCCTTGGTTCCAACCCCAAACCATAGTAATGGGTGTCTTCACTCCCTCTGTTTAATCTAAGTGTAAATCTTAGTGGTTCTACCGGTCAGATCTGTCTGTGTCTCTCCATCTCTGCCATTACCACATATGCTCAAGCTGCTGCTATTTCTTTGGATGACTGCAGTCTCCAAATTGTTCTCCTCACTTCCATTCCTGCCTCTTTCCGTCTTCTCCAAATAGTTGCCAAGGTAAACCTGTAAAACTGTAAATCAGATCATGTCATCCTATAGCTTGAAAGGCAACAGTTAAATTCTGTGGCTTTTATAATCAGATATAAATCCCCACCATGCCCCACAATATCCTCAAGATCTGATCCCTGCCCCCACTTGTCAACTACCACTCTCTCCCATGGTGCTGCTCTGCTGCTCCACATTCCACCAGGTAGATCTTCTTTCTGCTTAGTGAACAGTCAGCTCATCCTCACCTCAGGGCCTTTGCACTTGCTCCTCTTCTGCTTCAGACATCTTCCCAGATCTACATGTAACTGGTTTCTTTCTGGCATTCAGGTCTTAGGGCCCAAAGCTCACTTGTTTAGCAATGTCTTCCCTGCCTTATCATTTTGCTTCCTCCAGTCATTCTTTTTCTCATTAACCTGTTTTGTTTTTATATTGCCTTTTATCAGTAAATTAAAGTACTATTATTGTTTACTTATTTTTTTACTTTCCTACTAAAACCTTGGCCCCCAGAGATAAAGGGCTCATGTCTTGGCTACAGAAGTATTTACACATAATTTTATTCGTTCATTTTTTAATGAAATTGAGATCACACTATACAGGTTTTTTGGTGCTTACTTTTTTTTTCTCTTGTTATTGGTTGCTTACTTTTTTATGTGGTTATGCCATTAAATGATTTTAATTAATCCTTCATTAACAGACATTTTATCCTAAGTGTATATGTTTAAAAACCTGAGAACCTAACCATTTGTGGTGCCTCCACAAATGAATCCTCTGAGTTCTCTGTAGATAAAGTGTCATGGTGACCATGTGATAAAAATCCTCATGTGTATGTTTTGATACTACATTTATTTAAGAATTTCTATAATAATGACTAGTTATTTTCCAACATGATCTATGCTCAGTAATTGTATGACAGGGTAGTTTCTCTTTGATTACACATATTCATGGTTAGTTGTGTAGTGGCTACTCAACTGCCCTGTGAGGCTGTCCCTCTGTACATTTTGGTTGATTTGGTGCTGAAGTAGGAATCGAACAGTATAAGTTAAGCTTGGCATTTAGTTTTGGTTTCCTGTAGTGATTTTGGCAATTATGGTCCTCATCTCTTTGATCCCTTTTTGTTGTTTTCACCAATTACTGAACAATGTTTTTATTAAACAGTGTATTAGTCCATTCTCACATTGCTAATAAAGACATACCTGAGACTGGGTAGCTTATAAAGAAAAAGAGGTGTAATGGATCACATTTCCACATGGCTGGGGAGGCCTCACAATCATGGCGGAAGACGAAGGAAAAGCATGGGGACTTCTTACATGGCCATGGGCAAGAGAGGACTTGTGCAGGGGAGCTCCCCTTTATAAATCCATCAGATCTCATGAGACTTATTCACTATCATGAGAACAGCACAGGAATGACCACCCTCATGATCCAATTATCTCCCACTGGGTCCCTCTCACAACATGTGGGAGTTGTGGGAGCTACAATTCAAGATGTGGTTTGGGTGGGGACACAGCCAAACCATATCAAACAGTGATTGCCCTTTATACTTAATCCAAACTTTTTTTCTTAAAGCAATTGTTAATTGGTGTGCCTATTAGTTGCTTAGGAAAAAACTAGAAGTCATACAAGATATTATTCTGCAAGTCTTGGTACATTTATTTTCCTACTCTTCTTTCTCATTATAGTATCATTATCATTATCATTATTTGAAGTTACGTATTAATGATATTGAGTATGGCCACCTACTTCTTTAAGATAGTTTGCCTTTTATTCCATATAAAGTCAAAGAAAATGCCCACAGACATCACCAAGATACTGTCCTAGTCTGTGGACTGTTCTCCTGCTTGGGAGCATGGAAACCTTCAACAGATATCCAGCCAAGGCCTGCTTATTTGTGAATACCCAGTACACTGCCTTGCTGCTGGGCATGGGAGGAGAGTGGGGCAGGGTGGCCCAAGTACACCCAGTGATTTTAGTTGTATGGTATTTCCTATATACCCTGCTTTGTTCAATAATCTCTTTCTGGAAGATATGTAAGCTAGTATTTTAAAACTATTTTTAATTAACTGTTTACTTTGTGCCTTGTATTAGGTATCTTTTATTCCTTTTTTTGTGCATTGTTTTTGATCTTCCAGTCACCCTGGTCAGGTGAGAAAATTTAGGTTTGGAGTGGTTGTCACTTGCTCAAGTTTGTACAACTGTTAAGTGGCAAAGCTGGTATTTGAGCCCAGGAGAGTCTGGTTCATATAACATGGTGTATTTGGATCATGCTGTATATTGTACCAGGGTGTTACTTGTGCATTTATGTTCATTCCCTGTGTGAGTATTTATTAAACACCTGTGATGTGCTAGGGACTGTCTGGATGCTGAAGCTATGTCAGCGAATAAAATAAAAATACCTGCCTTTATGGAGTGAACCTTTAATGAGAGAAGACAGACATAAAATAAATAAGTAAATTATGTCATATGTTAGAAGGAGATGTTAAGTGTTACAAAAAGAAACAATGACAAAAACATACCGGCATGTGCTGGAGAGGGGTTTGCATTTGATAAATAGGGTGCACGGGGAGTTGGGATGGACCATACTGAGGAGTTCCTCGTTGAGCACATATTTGAAGGAAGGAAGGGAATGTGTCCCACAGTATCTAGGGAAAGAGTATTTTAGATGGGGAAATAGCATGTCCATGGGCCCTCAGAGTTAAGCACCCCTGGCCATTAGAGGAATGGAGAGGAGGGAAGAGAGAGAGTTGGTACCAGGTCAGGTAGGGCCTTGCAGGCTGGTGTAAGGACTTTTACTCTGGGTGGAGCAAGGGTTATGAGGAGAGGAGTGCAGTGCTGGTGCAGAGGCAGTGCAATGTTGGACTCAACCAGAATTTTAGATTTTGTCAAGTGGTTAAGAAGGGAGAGAGGGGCTTAAGATATATGCAAGAGTCTGGATATGGACTGACTCCAGAGTTTAAGTTGGTTAGGGAGTGGGTGACGACATTGGAGGTGAGGAAATGTGGCAGAGTGGCAGGATCAATGGATGGCAGGTTGGAGTTGGGGCCAGGGGAGTGAGCTGGACATGCAGGAGGTGATTTCTAAGTAGATTGCCTGAAACCAAGATTATGGAAGAGTGACAGTTCCTGGTAATGAGAAGGTGTTTGATGGGATCTTGGAGTGTGTGGCTGAGGGAGGGTGGAGGACAGAATCATTTCAGTAGGAGACGTGTGCAAAGAATGGAGGCCAGCAGGATGGTGGAAGGATCGTCAGCCTGTGTATTGAAATCACAAAAAAATTAAGATAGGAGTCATGTTGGACAGAATGGCAGCGAGCCAGAAACTACAACCAATGAAGAGTGAGGGGCGGCCCAAGGAACCTAAAATGACTAAACCTGCAGTGGGTGGTGATCATGAGGCCTGATGTGTTCTGCGTCTGTCTGTTATTGTGCTTCTTGTCATGGGGTCTTTATTTTTGAATTTGTCCTTCTTTTCTGAGTTCCTTCAGTCTCTAGTTAGTCAGTGCATGCATGTTATCTGGCCATCTCTTAAGAGTTCTTTTGTGATCTTCCTTTAAACTGTGATTACTTCATTGAGTTTTTTTTTTTTCTTTTAATCCTGTGGGTATTTTGGGGTATAATTTTTACCATATTCACTTTGTGGCAACATGTTCTCCTGCTGTGAGTTCTTTTAGGGAGTTTTACTGTTCTTTTCCACATTTTAAAATAGTCTTTTGTGTGGTTACTCTCCCCATTTTTTTTTGTTTTTCAATGGAATGAGTTTGATTTTCCTGGCAGGAGATTCCTGTGGAGGGAGAGGGAAGTGCCCATTTCTCTGCTCAAGGGCTCTATTCTCTCTGCTGTGCTGTGCTGTGCTGTGCTGTGCTGTGCTGTGCTGTGCTGTGCTGTGCTGTGCTGCACTGAGGGACTGTTTCTTTCCTCCTCTGCCTCTCAGCCCCTAGCCTGGTGTAGGAGGGCTTCCCGCTCCATCCCTGATGTCATCCCAATCACTTCATCGGCCCCAAGATGCACAGACACCTCTTTCCAAGGTGTTCCCCACCTGGTTTTTGAGTAGGGTCGGCAGCCCATGGCCTCCTGAATCTGTTCCGTGTCTCCTTTTCCCACCTTCTCCAGCAGAGTCCCCGGTGCTTCTCAGCCCTGCTTCTGCCCATTCTCACTCTGGGTGGGATCAGCTCTTCTGATGATTTGCTGGTGACAGTGTGGAGCTCTGCAACCCCGGTTATTCTCCGCCCCACCCATACGGCTTCCTGCTCAGGACCTGCTATTTTCTGTTGCTTTTGGCCGTATGTACACGTTTTTGAGAATTTGGTCATATTTACACATTTTGTGTTAATTTCTCTGAAAATGTAATTTTTATGGGTTTTCTACCTGCTCCCCCATTCTATAATATGCCTTGAGGAGGGAAGAAGGAGGAATATTCAGAAACATGCTTCTACCGTGTTTCTATAAGAAGCAGAAATCGATTTTCAGTGTTTTAGAAACAGCTGCCAGCATGTGTTGGCAGTTAGAACTGATCAGAAATGACTGAAGTAAAAGGTTTGGGAATCACTGCCTGTAAACTAGAGGGGAACTCGTGACAACAATTCAGCTGCTTTTGGAGCAGTAGGAGAATTATTGGGCCCTCGAGTGGATGACAGGAAGGAAGCTCATCATGATGGGCAAAAGATGTGTCAGCGGGGTTGGGGAATTGCAAGGCGCAAGGCCTCACCACTGCCCAGTCCTTTCCTGTTTGCTTCTTACACAAATCACATTGTTATGGAACCGTTGTTGCTTCTGATTCCAGACTACCTCAGAGCAGGTAAACTGAGCAGATCCATGTGAAAAATGTTAGGATGAATAAATTTGCTAAAAGACCCAGCTTGTAATGTTCCAGCCATCTAGAAGTCCAAATTATTGTTTACATACAATTTTAGATGACTTGTTTTTGTACTTTATTTTTAAGAACTGTGCCCTCAGATTTAACCCTTTATTAATCTACAATAGCTTTAAAATGCCCCCAAATTTCCACTGATTTGACCTTTATGCCTTTCTACCTTTAAAGTATCCGGGAAGAGAACCAATGACAAAGTGAAAATTAAGTGTGTTGTAAATTTGAGATTGCTTTGTGGAAGCGGGCTATGCCTTCAGATATTCTGTGCTGGGAAGGGGAGCACAGGAAGCCAGTGTAGTTGGGCCTTGCGGGTGGATGCTCTCCATTGAGCTTCCAGCCTCGAGACTCATCCTTTAGAAGATCCTTCTCCATCTCCCTTCCCACACTTTCTCGTCTCTGCAGTTTGGATCAGTGCTTTTGCTCACAAAGAAGACAAGTGTTCTCTTCAGGTCATAAGACAGAGCATGAGATATACTAGTGCTAGAGGGGAAAAGCCAGAATTATTTTAGTAGCCATCCTTCACATTCTCCAGGAAGTTTTTCTACTTGTGATACACTTTTTAGAATTTTAATACACTTTTCTTGGTTTTTCTTGAAAAATAGATAGACATGGGTATTTCTAATGATACATTTTTCTCTACACATTGTACCCTATAACGAACCTGGATCCTAACTCTAATTGTACAAGACTTATTAGTAATAACATCTTGTACTTTTATTCTTACAAAGATCTATGCCATTTCTAAAATGTTTACATATATATCATCCTTTTTTTTTTTTTTTTTTTTTTTTTAAGACAGAGTCCCACTCTGTTGCCCAGGCTGGAGTGCAGTGGCACAATCTTGGCTCACTGCAACCTCTTCCTCTGGGTTCAAGCTATTCTTGTGCTTCAGCCTCTCGAGTAGCTTGGACTACAGGGGTGTGCCACCATACTTGGCTAATTTTTGTATCTTTAGAAGAGATGGGTTTTCGCCATGTTGGCCAGGTTGGTCTCGAACTCCTGGCCTCAAGTGATCTGCTTACCTTGGCCTCCCAAAGTGCTGGGATTACAGGCACGAGCCACTGCGCCTGGCCTATATCACTTTGTTTAACACTCCAAACCACCCTCTAACAAAGCTAGAGGGTTTGATAGACGAGGAAAGATTGGAGTCTAAAACAGAGTTTGTTTCTTTCAATATTTAGATTTTTTTTCTAGTCCTGTTTTAAATATGTCACTTATATGCAACTGCTAGATACATGTCACTGGCACATAGTAGCTGACTCCTCCCTCCCAATTACGGGCTATAACTATCTTTTGTCAATTGATATTTATCATCTCTACAATTCTTATAATTATATCATAGATTATTAAGTATTAGCACTCAAGTATGGTTCACATTAGATAGTCAAGAAATGTAAATAAGAAGCTGAACACTTAAAAAAAACTGAGAACTCCCTCATAAGACAGTTTTAAAATACATGGAGCAAACACTGACAAAACTGCAAGGAAAATAGACAAAGCCACAATTATGGCTTTCGGTACCCTTCTCTGAATAATTGATAAAACAAGTAGATACAAAATCAGGATACAGAAGATTCAAAGTACTAATCACCTTGATGGTGACAGCCACTTATAGAACAGTCTATTCAACAACAGCAGAACACACGTTTTTCTCAAGTGCACCCAGAACATTTATTAAGATAGACTCTATTCCTGTCATTAATCAAGAGTTTCAACAAACTTTAAAAGATTCAAGTCATACAAGATAATATTCCTTGACTACAGTGAAATTAAATTAGAACTCAGTAACAGAAAGATCCCTGGAAAATCCCCTAATGTTTGAAAACCAAACACATTTCAAATAAGCTATGGATCAAAGAGAAAGCCAAAAAGAGGAATTGGAAAATATTCTGAACTGAACGTAAATGAAAGCATCACATATCAGAATTTGTTGGATGGTATTAACTCAGTACTTAAGGGAGCACTAAACACCTGTATTAGAAAAGAAGACAGGTCTCAAATCATGACGTCAGTTTTCACCCTAAGAAATTTAGAAAAAACAACCGAAATTGCAAAGTCAGCAGAACAAAGGAAATACAAATCATAGTGGAAATCGAAGGGAGAAAAAAAATCAATGAAACCAAAAGCTATTTCTTTGAGATCAATAGAACTGATAAACATCTAACCAGACTGAACATGAAAAAAATAGAAGAAACAAATTACTAATATCAGGAATGAGAGAGATGATATATTATAAATTCTACATATTTTATATGTAAAAATCTATACATATTTACATATATTCTGTACATTACAGAATCTATCATATATTTAAAGGTTTTTTCCTTTGAAATGGTTTTTATTTTATTTATTTCACTTTAAGCTCTGGGATACATGTGCAGAACGTGCAGGGTTGTTACATAGGTATACATGTGCCATGGTGGTTTGCTGCACCTACTAACCCATCATCTAGGTTTTAAGTCCCACATGCATTAGGTATTTGTCCTAATGCTCTCCCTCCCCTGCCCCTCATCCCCTGACAGGCCCTGGTGTGTGATGTTCCCCTCCCTGTGTCCATGTGTTCTCATTGTTCAACTCCCACTTATGAGTGAGAACATGCAGTATTTGCTTTTCTGTTCCTGTGTTAGTTTGCTGAAAGTGATGGTTTCCAGCTTCATCCATATCCCTGCAAAGGACATGAACTCATTTTTTTTATGGCTGCAATTAAGAGAGTATTATAAACAACTTTATGACAATAAAGTTGACATCTTAGATGAAATGGATAAATTCCTTGATAGACACAAATTATCAAAGTTCACTCAAAAAGAAGTCAGTAACCTGCCTAGCTCTATATCAAGAAATTGAAATTACAACTTAAAACCTTCTCACAAAGAACCAGACTCAAATATCTTCACTAATGTAATCTATCAAATATTTAACTAATTGTACACAAACTGTTCCAAAAAATTGAAGAATTCGTTTTAGCAGGTCAGCATAATCCTTATATTGAAACCAGATAAAGACAGTAAAAGAAGAGAACACTACTAGGCTGGGTGCAGTGGTTCATGCCTGTAATCCCAGCACTTTGGGAGGCTGAGGCTGGCGAATCACCTGATGTCGGGAGTTCAAGACAAGCCTGGCCAATATGGTGAAACTCTGTCTCTACTAAAAGTACAAAAAATTAGCTGGGCATGGTGGCGGGCACCTGTAATCCCAGCTACTTGGGAGACTGAGGCAGGAGAATCGCTTGAACTGGCAGCAGGAGGTTCCAGTAAGCTGAGGTCACGCCACTGCACTCCAGGCTGGGCATGACAGAGCAAGACTCTGTCTCAAAAAAAAAAAAAAAAAACCCAGAAAAAAACACTACACATCCATTTCATCTCATGACATAAATGCAGAAAATTTAAACAAAATTTAACTAATCAAATCACCAATATTTTAAAAGGATGTAACAAGTGGAGTATATCCCAGGAATTCAGGGTTGGTTTAATACTGAAAGAGCAATAAATATTGTTCATTATGTTAACAAACTTAAAAAGAAAACCTATATAATCATCTCAATAGATGCAGAAAAAGCATTTGACAAATTCTACTTCCATTCCTAACAAAAATTCTCAGTAAACTAGGAGTAGAAGTGAGCTCTTTAACCTGACAAAAGATCATCTATGAAAACTTACAGAGTGTCACACTTAATGGTGAAAGACAGAATGCTTTCCTTTATAAGATCAGGAACAAGACAGGGATGTCTTGCCCTCACCACTTCTATTCAGAATTGTACTAGAGGATCCATCTAGTGCAGATGGATAATATAAACAAATAAAAGGACTTCACATTAGGAAAAAAAGAATTAAAACCATTTGTATTCACAGACATAAATGTCTATGTAGAAAATCTGATGGAATCTACAATTTAAAAAAGCCTGCTAGAATAAAAAAGTCAATTTAGTAAGTATCTGATCAATGTACAAAAATAAATTGTATTTCTCTATACTGGCAATGAGCAATCAAAATAAAAATTTGAAATTTAAAAAGCTGGCATTTACAATAACATCAAACATTATGAAATACTTAGAAGGCAATATAAGTGAAACACTTGAACACTGAACAGTACAAAATATTGCTGAAATTAAAGAAAGCTTATATAATTGGGAAGATATACCTTGATCATGGATCAGAAGACAATATTGTTATTTGAACAGACACTTCAACAAAGAAGATATACAGATGACAAATAGGACATAAAAAGATGTTCAACATCATTAGTTATTAGGAAAATACAAATTAAAAGCACGGATACCACTATTAACCTATTTGGCAAAATTTAAAAGACGGAGCATACCAAGTGCTGGAGAGGATGTAGAGGAACAGAAGTTTTCATACACTGCAGGTGGAAGTGTAAAGTGGCATCACTTTGTAAAATAGTTTGACTGATTTAAGAAAGCTAAATGTAACACCTGTCATACTATCCAGCCGTTCTACTTCTATTTATCCACACACAAAAATTAAATATATGCCCATACAAAGACTTGTAGGGCATATACTTATAGGAGCTTTATTTGTAATGGACAAAAACGGGAAACAACACAAATGTCCATCAATAGTGTTGTATCATACAGTGGAATACTCAGCAATAAAAGGAATGCACTATTGATATACACAGCATGGATGAATCATAAAATAATTAGGCTAACTTAAGCCAGACACCATCCTTTTTCAAAAACGAATAAATACTCTGTGATTACATTTATATAAAACTTTAGAAAATGCAAAATACAGAAAGCAACAGAAAGCATATTAGTGATTGCTTGGTGATGGAGGGGGGAAGGAACAGATATGCAGGAGGGAGGAAATTGCAAACTACAACAAGGAAACTTTTGAGGGTGAAGAATCTAATAACTGTCTTAAGTGTGATGATGGTTTTACAGATGTACACATATGTCCAAACTTGTAAAACTATAGTTTATGCGCTTTGTCAGTTGTACCTCAATAAAGTGGCATTTAAATAAAAAACGTTAATAAGAATATTCCTATTATTCATTTCTGACCTTCAAGAGAACAACAGACTCTGTTGAGCGCTTACTATATCCAGTACACGGTGCCTACCTATATTGTTCTCGGTTAAAGTTTATGACAGCTGAGAAATAGGTGCTTTCTCACTGTTGAAGCAATTATAGCTTGGAGACATTAGGTAAATTGCCCAGGGTCAGCAGCCAGGAAGAAGTGAGATATCAGGCTGTCTGGCTCCAACTCTACTTGCTGGTCAGCCTTCAATTGTACTTCTTCCTCAGTGTGATGTGGCTGAGTCTGTGTTGGAATCTCAAAATCACCTGTCCAGGGATTTTACTAACCATTATTTTTTTTTCTATGTTTGGCTGTTACAAGTTGGTTATTTTACGTTGAAAACAGATGTTTTCTGCTAAAAGAGAAGATAGCTATTCTTAGTTATTTGGAGACAGTTCTTTAAAGGTACTCTGTGTGTGTGTTAGGTTGATCTGCCATGCCGCCACAGCCTGGCCAGTCTCATTTGTCAGACAGCATCCATTTGCTGGTGAAGTCTGACGGGTGGTAACATTATGTATTAATAGCCCCTGATACCAAATTCAGCCTACAATTTTATGACAAACTATTCTTTACTGTAAAGCTTTTTTCTTAAATAATCCACTAGATGGCAGCAGACCCACGTGGAACAGAATGGATCTTCATTGCTGTAGAAGAGCCAGAAACGGGACACTGTTTTGTTTTTGATGACCCAGTAGTGCATCTTTTTCGGATGTGTAGGAAATGGTATTATTTTTCTGTTATGAAAAATGTAACATACTCTTTGAAGTCACGTCTGTGGAAGTGAGTAGTGGTACAGATAGTTCAAAATTGTAGATAATGCAAAAATAATTTTTTCTTTGTATTCTCGTAGAGACACATGTTGATTTAATCCTACCTGTATGCATTAGATGAACTTTTCTTCAAGAAACTGTTTATTCTTAATTCTTTTTATGGTTGGAAAGACTGCGGCTTGTTTCATGAGTTTTTTTCTTTAATTGGACCTATGCCAATCAAAATAGAAGATGACTGTCCTATAAATTCATAGCACCTAAGGCTAGATAATGAAGTGAAATCCTACAGACTGGACTTGGGAGAAAGTAGGAGGATTATTTATTTTTCCAGATCACCATACTGCTTGTCATCTGACTAGAAACCTCTTATCTCCCTTTCTCTAAGCTTATTTTTCTCAAGCATTTTTGAACATGGTCAATTGGGGTGTCGCAGAAGATCCTGTGAACCACATATCCTACTATCCATACCTTCTAGAAGGGGAAGAACTTAGGAGATGGCCAAAAACCAGAGAGTAATAACATGATAGAGTGCTAACAATATTTTTGCAGCAAATATGCTATAAAAATGCTCATCCAAAACAATGAAAAAGTGTTTTGTTTCTAAATTAGTATAAGAGCAGCAGATGAAAATGAGGTACTCAAGCCAGCACCTATGATGGGTGAATAGCATATTCTGAGAATCAAAGAACTTCAACTCAGTGTACATGCATGTTCAATGGAAATTTTGTGACATTGTTAAATATTTTACTAGATAGACTTAATGCAGTGACTGCAGTAGGCCCTCCTTTTCCATGGATTCTGCATGGATTCAACTAACCATGGAACAAAAATATTCAGAAAAATTTTAAAAATAAAACACAGTACACTATAACAATTTACATAGCATTTATTATATATTAGGTATTGTAAGTTGTGTAGAGGTGATTTCCAGGAGGATGTGCATAGGTTATATGCAAATACTATGCCATTTTATATTAGAAACTTGAGCATCTGCAGATTTTGTTGTCTTTGGGAGGTGGATGGAGGGAGGCATGGAACCAATCCTCTAGGGATAGTGAAGGATGACAGTACATTCAAATAACATGCCAAGTTGAGTTTTTAAATACAAGGTTTTAGTAATTTTTAATAACTGAGGACAAAGACTGGCCAACTTTCCCTGTAAAGGGCAGATTCTTTTAGACTTTCTTTCATTTTCTTTTTTTTTTTCTTTTTTGTTAACCCTTTAAAACTGTAGCAACAGTTCTTAGCTTGGAAGTCTGTACAAAACCAGGTTTCAGGCTCTACGGGCCATAATTTGTTGACCCTGGTGTAGGAGGCTAATGCTAGTAGTATATAAAATCAAGTCTGTGGAATCTTGGCAGTTCATAAAACCCAGAGAAAGAGCAGGCGTTTCTTCCTTGATCACTTTCAGCTGGGAAGAAGGATCCTTGTGATCCACTGCCAGACCTAAACTTACTTTGAGCACTGCTGGAAACATCTAACATCTCAATTCAACTCCTTCAAATTACTTCTTCAATCTAGACACACTTATTTTTTCTTTGTTTGCTTTGTCAACTGTCACACACCTGGATTATGAAATAATGTGTTTTAACATCTTTTACTTTCAGTCCTTTTAGCACATTGAAAAAAGTTTTTTGAAAACCAAGAAATCTACATTCTAACCCTAGCTCTTGTACTAAATAGCTATAGTTTTTGGAACAAGTTATTCTGTCTGGTTCTCAACTTCTTTGTTTATAAAATAGGATTGAACTAATACCGTATAATATTTTTTCCAAATTTGATTTAGTAGTTTCAGATTTATGTTCCTATAAGCCCTTTATCACCTGATCAGATGATGCCTTTAATTGATCCTCAAGTGTAGACCTGCTCAATTTAAAGGAATGCAACCAAATTAATGTTCACGTTCAGAAGCCCTCTCGCTGTGCCTGGTACGTAGCAGATGCCCAGTAAATGTTTGTCGAGTGAATCAATGAATGAATAATAAATGGGCATAACTACCTTTCTTAACTCTCCATTTATTTATGCTGTATGTTTTAGAAATATATATTATTTCTTACGTACGTTTTGATCTTCCCAGTATTCTTTTTATGGTTCACTCATAAAACTATTCATTGAGGGTCAACAATATGATAAATTCTGGAAAAACCAAAATGAATAAAACTTAGGCCTTGCCTTCAAGAAATTTGCCTTCTAGTTAGGGTGACTAATAGGTATTCTGATCATTTCAGTGTAGGTCTGAGTATGATATTAGAGGTTTGAATCTCCAAACTGAAATGTCCTATTTCTTACCCTTCAAACCATTACAAATGCCACCTTCATTACAGCTTTTTGGATTGTCCTCCAATAGAACACACATATTATAGGTCATTGTTTGAAACATTGTTATAGCATTTGTTGCTGCTGCACCCTCTTTGAGTTTATATGGTGTTTGTACTTTTGGGGTTTTTTTGTCCTTTTCTAGTTTGTATGCTGCATAAGTGTAGGGGGCCTTGTCTTCCATTTCTGTTCATGAGAAGCTCTCATTAGTTAAATGCATTCTATTAGGCAATAACATAATGGTTGTTTTCTGAGAGGCTTCATTTTATGAGACATTGTATTATCTTAAAAAATTGTTTCAGAGTGACAAGGAGGTTGTTAGCCAGAGCCTTTGATTTTTAAGAAATTTCAGTATCTATAAAACCTAAATCTACAAAACCAAAAGCACAGAGTAAATGTAGCTTTTGATTATAACTAGATTGTTAGTGATAGTGACTAATACTTTCATTATTAATCACCTGTATGATAATGAAGGTAAGCAATGTTCAAAGAATCTTAAAACAGTTTTGTTGCTTTAGCAACCAGTTTTTTTCCCCCTCCAAAGATTGGCTCTGTGGTGCTACTTCTCAGTGGTCATATTATAACCAAAAAGATCCCAATCTAATAGTAGTTTTGGGTATTAGGTGGCCCAAAATAAATTTCACTATAATTTATCCCTTTTGTTTTCTACAGTGAACACGCCTCCTTTTTTCATACCTAAGCTTAAAAACAAAAGCTCCTGCGTGACACACTGCTGCTATCCCTCATGCAACGAGAACTCCTTTCCCATTTCCACAGAAGGGATAAAACTGAGGTCTATTCAGTTCCTGTAGCCAATGCCAAATTTAGGGGGTGATTTCCTGTGTGCTCCTCCTCTTTCAGCAAAACTGAACAGCAGTATTCCTTAGCCTGTGGAACAGTGTCTCAGAGTAACCACAAATGGTACATTCTATATATAACAGTGGAGGAAATAGGGAAGGAGACGAACAGTTAATATATCTAAATATATACATTGCAGAGCAAGAAAAAGAATACTGGCAGGTGCTAAGTTACCACTCTACAACTGATCACAGGCTGCAGTTTGTATTACTATTTTCCTGTTATAATAACCATTCCACTTTCCTCTTGCCTTCTTTCAGCACCTCTGCTGTTTGGGATAACCCAGATTTTCAGCCCTGGGTCCTTGTTGCTCCTGCTCACAGGCTATGTGGTACTCACTTTTATGAGTGAAGATGGCAGTATTATCAGGCCCCCTCCAGTTCATCTCCCTTTTACTTGTGTATGAGCGTACCCCAAATTCCGCTTAATAATTACCTCAATCAACATACTACCTTGGCCCTAAATGACCAGTTGTAGTCTTGAAAACGTGATTGTTTTCCTCCCTTGGATGTTGTCTCTAAGTCACCTTGAGAGATGGAAAAAATTGTACAAATGGATAATTAGGTGTAATCGTGAAATATTGGACTTTACTTCGACCTGTTACTTCCCAAATCCAAGTTTCTTTCTGGCTGTAGGTGAAACAGCACCATGGAGTGGTGGTTCTTTGAGACCATAAGGATCCTTCAGTTTCCCAAGATGCTTGTCTCCCAGGTGGTGCCAGGATTGAGTCTCAGTAGGCCGTAAACATTCTAGAAGTCCAGCAGCTTCTAGATAACAGAATACATGGCAGAGCAGTGAATCCCATTGTCCTTGGAACACCGTTAATTTTTTTTCTCTGTAATTTCTTGAGCAGAAGCATCGGTGTGTGGAACACCTTGATTGTGACTAATAGGTGGATTAGGAGTCTGGTAGAAGCATGGGGTCGGGGGAGTGGGGACGGGCCACAGGGGGCACAGTGGGTGCTTAGAGGATGCATAACAGAACCCAGAGTAATACCATTGAAGTGAATATAAAATTCTGCCTCCTCCAAGATGGAAGGAGCAGCTAGTTGGGTCAACCCTCAACAACGGCACATCACTAGTTTACTTTTTATTTTTAAATTAGCACGTTATTGAAAGTGTTTGTAAAGATAATTAGCCATAGAAAATAAAATGGGTAAAATCATCTCTGTAGAGCGTATGGATGTGCATCTGGGAAGTCCAAAGGATGAATGAAAAAATTAATACAAAAAATCAAACAAAAATGATTTAATAGAGTATAACATGAGATTGCTATTGCTGCAAATTGGTGTACGGCAATACCCATGGTCATGTCAGTCTGAGTAAGAGGAAATCCATATTGTTGAGTCTATATGTGGCTTTTGTTCTGACAGCCATTGCTAGTTTATTATTTCACTGAACAAGTGCTTCAGGAGTTGGGGTGAGGGATAGGCTGACTGACATACGTAGAGCAAAATGTAGAAAGGCTGTACCAACAAGATACAATTCATGGTGAACAGCTAGAGTCACTTGGTTACCTTGTACCATTGTTTATTCTATCCAGGGCTCAGTAGCAAGGCCAGAACAAGTCTCAAAAGGAAGGTTTTGCTCCAACATTCTAAGGGACCCCTGTGTTTTTCCTATTGGGATTTGCTACTAGTTTTCTTCGGTGCCCTGAAATTGCACAGGCTTGATGTACCATTGCATCAGCTGGGTCATTAAAGCCAAGTTGTAGATCTGCTTATACCACCACTTGAACTCGCTGGATGGTCTTTTCTTTTTGGGAGTTGAAGCTAAAGCTGGTAACCTTTGGGTCATTCAGTAAAGGGTGGAAGCAGCATAAAAAGTCTGTTTCTCATTTGTACTTGAGGCTACAAAGAAAAGCACTTTGCAGAAGTATGCCAGTTATCTACAGATTAATTCACCAAGATTTTTCACTGAGGAAACACTGCCCTGTATTTTCATGGATTTATTTTCTACCTGCTGGCTTACTTATGCTTTGCAGGCATCTAAGAGTACATGTTGCCTCCTGCTTTTCTGGTCCTAAAAGCAGACGTAACCAGTGTATTGGACTAATGTAGTGTCCTGTAGGAGGAGATGATCCGTATCCTTGACAACGAAATTGTAGTACAAAGATAGACAGTGTGCATAACCGTGAGATAAGCCTGTGAAGGCTCGCTGATGTCCCATCCCATTGATAGCAAATCCTTTCTCATGTTCTCTGTCCTTTAGGGTAGAGCAAAAAGTATTTGCCATATAAGCAGGTATATACAGGTTGCTAGAGATTGTGATGCTCTGTTGTAGTAAATCCATCACATTTTGAGGAACAGTGCAGTTGGAGTCACCACCTGAATAAGCTTTTGCTAGTTATCATGAGCATTAGCCTTCTGCATTCTCCAGATAGGCCGGTTAAATGGGAATGAGAGGCATGTCCACTCCCTGCTCTTTCTGTCCTTGATGGTGGCATTTCTGAGTAATTCCCAGGGAATAGATAATGCCCTTGGTTTTATTTTTTTATTAGAGTGGGTCCCCAGGGGCTTCCAATGATTTCTTCCTTCCATAAGAGCCCTTACTCAGGGAGTATGAGTGAGAACTGGGGGTTGCTCAGTATATCTGTTCAGAAACCGGAAATTACCACATGGTGGAACTAGGCTCCCATTGGGCCTGTCAGAATCCATTTCTACTCAATTCTTTAATTGGCTGAGTAATTTTATATAGCATTCATGTGGTGTACTTGTTTGTACTTTGCAAAATTGATATGCATTTCGGTCCTTTTTTTGCTATTCAGTTTATTCATGAATATTAAAGTTCCTATTCTTGGCCCATTTTTCTTTTTTTTTATTATACTTTAAGTTCTGGGATACATGTACAGAACGTGCATGTTTGTTATATAGATATACACGTGTCTTGGCCCATTTTTCTACTGGATTGTCTGACATTTTCTAAATTATTTATAGTTATTGACTATTGCTCCCTCTTTCTTATATATTATGTAGTCTTTACCTTTTGTTTTTAAGGCCTTTGATTGTAATTATATTCTCAACTGCTTTTCATAATTTTTACCAATCAGAAACATAAAAGTTTAATTATCAGTGAAGTTGAAGTTTTGTTATGTACACATTTGCCTTTTGTAAATTGCAAGATTATAACCTTTGTCCATTTTTTACTGGGCTGTTGTTCTGTTACCAAAAATAATTACCATTGTAGTTTAACCTCTTTCCTCATCATAACCTGCAGTTACTGTCTCCTGTGTGTATATGAACACACACTTACATATATACTTGTGATATATGTACACATTTTTTGTATAACATTTAACCAAGTTATTTTATGTAGTCAAATTTGTCAATATTTTCCTCTGTGGATTTTAGTTTTGTGTCATGCTTAGCTAATATTTTATATCTCTTACTCCAAGATCATGTATAAGATCATATAATAAAAACATTTATATTTCTTAGAGCAGTTTAATATTTTCAATTTTACTATTTAAATTAATGGTTTATTAAAAATGTATTTTGCTATATGCTGGGAGGTAGGGTTCTTTCTCCCCTGCCCAAATGGTTAGTCAGTTTTCCTGGTGTCATTTATTAAATAATTTATTTTTTCTCACTTGCTATGATTTTTTCCTAAAGAACAATAACACTTTAGAGTTGAGATAAATACCTGCCAATAGTCTATCGATGCCCATACTACAGTTTGTATTATCAATACGCTTAAGAAAATAAAGCCCCTATAAGGCAGTTCAAGAAAATCTGTTGAGGTTGAGAGGGAATATATAGCTAATTATAAGCAGCCATAAGTTAAACACGGCAAACAAAATTTGTTTGTCTTATGAAAGGAAAAATCAACCCCCAAAAAGCAAAAATAAATTCCTATTAAATTAGCCAAATGCTAAGAGTTGCTATATGCTTTGATTCTTCTCTAGTGTTTCTGTTTTTCAGCTTTCACTTAAAAGCAGTATTTATTACATCATTCGCGGTGACCAAAATTATCCTGCATTTTGTAATACTTTATCATTCCCTTGAGCATGTAAATAATGAATAGTTTTAAAGCATTTAAGCTATATAAGTAAACCACTCATTTAAATAAAAAGAATGAGGGGGTTAGATTGTTAAGAGTTCTTTGGATTTTCAGCTTATTTCTACTTGACGTTTTATTTATGTACCATGACATTTTATTTATGTCCCCACATACATAAAACTGTAGGTCCTCCCCTTTTGTGTAGAGCCTTTTTTAAAAAAATTGCAATAGTCATAGACTTCCGGATTGTGAGTTTAACATGACTTTTAAGCCCTGGACTTTTTATTTTAAAATCTTTTCTAAACCTCACAAAATATATATATAAGTATATAGTACAATGAACCTTTCACCTGGATTTGCCAGTTGTGGGCATTTTTCAACTTTTGTTTAATGTGTTTTTTACTTTCTGTATTCAAATTTCTCCAGTTGTCCCTATGATTTTCTTTATAGTGCTTGCTTTTTTCCTGATTCAGAATCCAGTCAAAAATCATACAGTGTCTTTTGGGTATTTTAATTCCTTAATTTAGAAAGCACCTCTGTCTTTGTCAACTTTTTTTTTCCCTTTTGTGACATTGACGTCTTTAAATGCCCAGGCAAGTTATCTCGTAGATTGTCCCACAGTCTAGACTGGTCTAATTTCTTTTTGTGATTAGATTCATGTTAAATATTTTGGCAAGAAAAATCCTCAGATCATATTGTGGCTTTCTCGCTGCAGCATGCCACAAGGTTCATAATGTCAGTTTTTTCCATTCTCACTGCTAAATTTGGTCATTTGTTTTCAGACAACAGATTTATATATGATAAAGTTATATCTTTTGTAATTAATGTCATCTGTGTGGTGGTAATTTAAGTTGTATGAATGTCCTGTGATTTTAGCATTTTTTGATGACCTTGCTGAAATCAGTTATTACATGGATAATTGAAAAATGATTTTTTGTAATTCTATTCCTCTCATTTATTAACAATAACTTATTTATATTATATTCTAATGAAATATGTAATTGTTACTTATTTCCTCACAATTTTTATGCTAGTAGTGTTAAAGTCTGTGTGCCCTTGTATTTACTTAATAATATCCTGATGGGATAAGGAAGAAGATAGTATTTTTGGGTCATAAGTGCATTTTCACAAGTTAACATTCTCACACAATTTCCTCTTGAAAATTTTTGTTACTAATTAGATTTAAGTAAACCATTTAGTTATTCTTTTTTCCAGTTAATATTTTCTATTTTCATCTTTGTTTTTCTGTCTCTTTTCAACTGCCCAATTGCTTGTACATATTAATTTTTAACTCTTTCTGTTACCTTAACTTTTGTGACAATTAATACATGAATTTTCTATTATAATAGCTGTGGAAATACAAAGAACTCTGAATCAACTTGGAACACCTCAAGATTCACCTGAATTGAGGCAACAGTTGTAAGTATCTAGTTAAATAAATAAAAGAGAAAGAAAAAACTCTATTGCTATTATTCTGTTGCTTTTACAGTATGTAGTATATTATGTTTACTGGAAGAAAAAATGGAAAAACAATGGAGTTTTTCTGCTACCTTATCCATACATTTGTACCAAGCTTTTGTGTAGATTTTTCCCTGTCTGGAGTAGGCAGGTGTTTTTATATTAAAGATCTGGAAGACTGAGGTGGGCAGATCACAAGTTCAGGAGTTCGAGACCAACCTGGCCAATATGGTGAAACCCCGTCTCTACTGAAAATAAAAAAATTAGCCAGGCGTGGTGGCGAGCTTCTGTAGTCCTAGCTACTCAGGAGCCTGAGGCAGGTGAATCTCTTGAACCCGGGTGGCGGAGGTTGCAGTGAGCCGAGATCACACCACTGCACTTCAGCCTGGGCGACTGAGCAAGACTCTGTCTTAAAAAAAAAAAAAAAATTCCTTGATAGGCTTACCCTATCAAAGCAGAATTTCTTTAGTTGCATTTCTTACAGTTTTTAGGTAGGTTGTTTTTGACAGCTGTTGAAAAATTATACTCTAGTATCTCAATTTATGTGATTTACTTTCCATAGCTAAAAATCCCCGCAGTCACCAGAGTTTTATTTGGTTTAGATCCAATACATAACCAGCTACGTGAGCTGTCTCCCCACAAGTTTATACCTACATCCTTGAATTTCAGAGAGCATTAGCTTCCGTTTAAAAAAAAGTTATAATGAATTATATAGTACATATTCCAGTAAATTAATATGCTGTTAGAAGACCAGCAGTCATAGTGATAATATTTTGTCTGTGGTATGTTGTGGATTTTACAGAGTATTTTTACATATTTTATCATTTAAACCTTACAGAATTAGAGTAAGAGAAATAGACCAAAAGAACTGTTTCCATTTTGTTCATGTCTCTTACGGGTTTAACGAGTTACCCAATGTCATTTAGAACTTAACTCTTAAATTTTATTTCAGTACTGTTACAGCTGTAAATTTCAAGTCACATATATCTAGTAAGCAATACTTCTAAACAACATTAACTATAGAGGGAAAACTGCAAAGAGGACGATATTAAAAGATAGGTAATAGGAATTCATATTTTTAGGAAGTACAATTTGAAGGACTTACAATTATCTCTAATTTATATTTTATTTTTCCACAGTGGGTAAGTGTCAGAATGGTAAAAATGCTCCAAATCTAAATAATAAACCACAATTCATTAAACTAAAGTAAAATGGAATAGAAGTACATAATTCATAAAAGTTCTAATATTTTGATAGAGTTAATAATGAAGATTCTGAATATATATCCGTAGTCACTAAGGATTTTTTTTTTTTTTTTTTTTTTTTGAGACAGGATCTCATGCTGTCACCCAGGCTGGAGTGCAGTGACATTATCACGGTTCACTGCAGCCTGGACCTCCTAGGCTCAATCGATTCTCCCACCTCAGCCTACTGTGTAGCTGGGAATACAGGCACATCCACCATGCCTGGCTAATTTTTGTATTTTTTGTAGAGATGGTGTTTTGCCATGTTGCCGGCACTGGTCTTCAATTCTGGGCTCAGACAGTCCACCCACCTCACCCTCCCAGAGTGCTGTGATTACAGGCATGAGCCACCATGTCCAGCCTAAGGTCTTCTTTTTAAAACTTTGACTATATTATGATTTCCAGAGATTTACAAAAATGCATTAAAGATAGGGTATTTGGTAAATAGAGATAGAAATAGATTTTAATTACCCTTTGTCAGTCAAATACAGATCCCTATTCTTAAGCATATTCTTATACAATATCTCATTATTTTAAAGGACCCCAAGTGTGACCAGACCATATTTAAAATGAGATGAAATATATAAGAGGTACTGATGTTGTGATTTGTAAAACATCACAATTAATATGAGCTTTTTTTTAGTGTCATGTTTTTAAGTTGGAAATCTTTTCAATTTATAAGATAGCTAGATAAAATATGGATATGTAGTCAGCACTCTGTATCCATAGATTATATATCCCCAGATTCAACCAACTGCAGGTCAAAAATATTCAAGAAAAAAAAAAAAACAACACAATAATAAAAAAAAAAACTGAACTATAAAATATAGCAACTATTTACATAGCATTTACATTATTGTATTGGGTATTATAAATAATCTAGAGATGATTTAAAGATATGGGAGGATATGCATAGGTTATATGCAAATGCTATACCTTTTTATATCAGGGACTTGAGCATCAGCGGATTTTGGTATCCACAGGGGTCCTGGAACCAATCTGCAGATACTGAGGGATGACTATAATTTACTTCTTTTATTTATTGTGTTCTTTCCCTTTACAAGGAAATGCCATTATTTTTTCCAGCGTAAACTTAAATAATAGTAAATTTGTACCAATATTGCCTCTTTCCTTTTTATTTTTATTTTTTGAGACAAGAGTTTTCCTCTGTTGCTCAGGCTGGAGTGCAGTGGTGCAATCTCAGCTCATTGCATCCTCCACCTCCCATGTTCAAGTGATTCTTCTGCCTCAGCCACCCAAGTAGCTGGGATCACAGGCATGCTCCACCACACCTACCTAATTTTTGTTATTTTTGGTAGAGATGGGGTTTCGCCATGTTGGCCAGGCACGTCTCAAATTCCTGGCCTCAAGTGATCCGCCTGCCTCGGCCTCTCAAAGTGTTGGGATGACAGGTGTGAGCCAGCATGCCTGGCCCCTCCCCCCCGCCTTTTTTTTAAGTATCTATAGCATATACATGTTCACATAGAGAAATAAGAGAGGCCAGATATAACTAGATCTGGGAACTGGGCAAAGTCTAAGGTAACAAATCTTTTCTTGCTTACCTGACCTTCCAGGTGTGAGATGCAGATAAAGGGCTTCCACATCCCCAGTATCTCAAACATAAAGGATCAGACATCTAACAGTCTCTCCTTCAGGTTCCCTCTGATTCAAGTCATCTGTGTTTCTAAATGGCCGTTGAATTGATTTCTCTAAGCTTGCCTACCCTGTGTGAGTGAAGAACCTGACATATAATATTTGCTCATTATTTATCAAAGAATAGGATATGAAATTTTTTTTGATAGAGAAAGTTGAGAGCCAGTTTATGAAAAGGCAATTTTTGTACAACTGTTTATCAGTGTTGATTCAAAAGGCAGAGTTGAAGCTTAAAGAAGTATATTAGTCCTTTGGCTGTAATGCGTGTTTTCTCACTTTAGGCAACAGAAGCAGCAGTATACTAACCAGCTTGCCAAAGAAACAGATAAGTACATTAAAGAGTTTGGATCTCTGCCCACCACCCCCAGTGAACAGGTATCAAGCTTTAAGACACATTGTTGATGTATTGAATGTGAAAAAAACCCAGTGCACTGTAGGATCTTTGAACTGTTACGCTAGAAAGGAAATTATGCTAGAAAGGAAATCAAAAATAATTCTGTTTGAGATTAGTTCACAGAACACAAAACTATATTTAATTGCTCAGGTAGTATCCTGTGGTTCAATAAAGCAAAAATTATTTCCATGCATTTGCCCTGACCCATAATTAAGTTAGTTCTCAGAAAATGCTTCCTGAGTAATTATTTCCTGGCCTTCCGGGGCTGACTGCGTGGAACATGCAGGCTCATTCAAGATGTGAGGTGTCCTGGGGGCACATATTTATTTCCCTGCTTATTTAATGGAAGTTATTACTTAGCTAAAAGTATAAGGCTTTATTTGCCTGAAAAAGAATTACTTTAAAATAGCCTCAAAATAATAAGCTAGTTTTTAGCAGCGTGAAAACCTGAGGTGAGAAATCCAGCATAATGGGTCTTTTGCCTCAAGTTAAATATGCACAGTATTTGACATACTATCAGAATGTTACTGAGAGTTAATCTGTAAGGCCCTGTAATTGGGGAGTAAGTGAAAACTTCAGGGTTAAATAAAGAGCCAACTACCGCAAATTCAGTTGAACTTCACAGCTAGATTCTAGTTGGCTTTTTCTTCTCTTTCCTCTAGCGTCAAAGGAAAATACAGAAGGATCGCTTAGTGGCAGAGTTCACAACATCACTGACAAACTTCCAGAAGGTCCAGAGGCAGGCTGCTGAGCGAGAGAAAGAGTTTGTTGCTCGAGTAAGAGCCAGTTCCAGAGTGTCTGTAAGTATTTTAAAAGACATTCTAGAAATGAACATGGTTACTTGCTAAGGGTCCCATAAAAGTCTATAGTAGCATAATTTTTTAAGTCATAAAGATCTGTGAATATCTTGGAAATCAGCTCTTGAATATTTATTTTTATGCTTTCCTGCTCCATTTTTAGAAAAGGATGATAATTTTGTATTACGGTGGTGATTTTTTGTGTCATAGTACAGAAGATTACAGAGTATATAAAAATATAGAGACATATTTTGTCAAAAAAGATTAGGGATCAAATCCTGAGTAGTATTCTCACATCGTCTTGGTACTGAGGCTTTCTGCTTGTGTACACGCTAGTGTAGAAAGCACTTTCCTCCTGGATTACACCAAGATGACGGAGATGAATGGCGCAAGTATGTTGTATCAATATTGAAAATGAACATGAGCCTGGAGAAAATAAATGAAAGGAAGCTTTACAATAGAATTTTGAATTAATCTAATTTTAAATTCCCTTAGAAACTATCATGAGTTATTTTCTTATTCATTAACATATGGATTCCAAGACTACATTAAGCTTTAACTAAATAATACTTATTTGATCCTTGAGAATATTTAGTGAATTCCTTTCTTGTCTACTTAGAATATAAAATTACTTATAATTATATTATTACTTGAAGCAGTTGACCTGAAAAATTAGAACAAGAACTTCTTTCTCTCTGTCTCTACACACACACACACATACACACAGACACGTACATAAATCAGTTTAGTTTATTATAAGGGAAAATATGAGTGTTTATTTTTTCTCATTTTTGCTTTTTTTGCCCCTTCTCATTCCATCCTGTTACTAAATTATTCAGGGCAGTTTTCCTGAGGACAGCTCAAAAGAAAGGAATCTTGTATCCTGGGAAAGGTAAGAAATACAAAACATTTTACAGATCAAAAGGTAATTTTTCAAAGTTTATACATTAAGGTCCCTGGAACAGAATTAAAGCTTTCAATATATTATATCATAAATATCCTAAGTTGTTTATATGTTGAAAACAGAGTAAATTTGAAAAAAATTTTAAGTAATTATAAAGTATTTATTACAAAATATATAAAGTTTTCCAAATAAATGTTTATGGACTTAATTATTAATATAGACATTCCCTTATATGAGGTTTAAATCAGCTGAGAAGAAATACCCAGTTGACAGATACAGCTTCCAATAATTAAGTAATAACTCTAAACTCACATTAGCTAAAATGATATAAGTGAAATGAAAAATGAATAAATTTTATTAATATATCTGTTATATTCTTAGAATTTTTTTGAGTAGTTCTGTGACTTTGGAGAATAAAATATCCTATTTAATGAATATATCTTAAATAGGAAATGAGTCCCATTGTTTTGAATACCAATCTTTGTTTTTTTCCACATTCATTTTTTTCTGTTAGCCAAACTCAACCTCAAGTGCAGGTGCAGGATGAAGAAATTACAGAGGATGACCTCCGTCTTATTCATGAGAGAGAATCTTCTATCAGGCAACTTGAAGTAAGGCTTACATTGTAGACTTGGGCTGCTGCTCTGGTCTTAGTGAGTTTGTTCTCAAGATGCTTAGGTAATGCTGGGAGAATGCATGAGACAGAAAAATTTTGTTTTCTTTTTGAGACAGTCTCCCTCTGTCACCCAGGCTGGAGTGCGGTGGTGGAATCTCGGCTCACTGCAACCTCCGCCTCCCAGCTTCAAGCGATTCTTGTGCCTCAGCTTGCTGAGTAGCTGGGATTACAGGCACGTGTCACCCCACCTGGCTAATTTTTTGTACTTTTAGCAGAGAAAGGGTTTCACCATGTTGGCCAGGCTGTTCTCAAACTCCTGGTCTCAAGTGATCTGCCTGCCTTGGCCTCCTAAAGTACTAGGATTATAGATGTGAGCCACCATGTCTGGCCCAGAGAAAGAAAATTAATGTATCAGTTTGGTAGCATTTGTAATGTATGAGTTGGAATAATTCCTTTTTTAAAAAAATAATATTGTCCTTACTGTTTGTGCTAGGACGAGGGATCATACTCCCTCCTACTGCAGCTTTTTAAAAATTATTATTGTTATATCAAGCCATCTATGGACCACCTTAGTATTGAGAAAATACCAGTGTAGAGATAAATGTCTGTCCAAGAGTCTGGATGTCTTCCCAGAGCACATGATACACATCATACCTGCATGAGTAAGACCTTTTATAAGGCCTTCAAAGAATTTTATTTCTCTTTACTATGTTTATGACATCAAAGAGATCTAAAGGATTTATTAAGTCATAGTTCTTATGGAACCTACTTAGTTCCTAGAAAGAAGGCTAATAATAGCTAACAATGGCTACAATTTATTGAAGACCTTCCATGTGCCAGGCACTTGTGGGATGAATTCTTTATGTTAATTATCTCATTTAGTCCTTATAAAAACTTTATGAAGCAGTTAATTGTGTCATTGAAGAAAAGTAAATTTATATTTAATCACCAAGTTTATAACTTCTTTATTCAGTAGTGACATTTCACTAATCCACTGCATGTTCAAATTATTAATGTGAGACTTTAAATTTACACCTAATGTTTTATTACTTTAAATTGTCAAATTGATGTGTAAATTTTACTAGAAATACATGCTAAGAATATTTTATACCCTTGTAAGTAGATACTGCTTGTGATAACAAAACTATCAGGTTGTATAAAATGAACTCAGCAATCCATGGCTCTTCTCTATTATAGATCCTTCATTTCCATTCATTTCCATCCTGCCTCGCTCACTTGGTATTTTTAATGCCACAAACTGATTTTAGAGAACTGGTGGCTATTGTTCAAATTCTTCTTAATTATTGTCAAATATTTTCCTGATATTTCCAAAGTTTATGTATTATATTTGTGTATTATAGATGCATGCTCACCCATGTGTGAGTAGTGGTTTGGGTTTTTAAAATTTTTCCTCTTTTATGGAATGGGGACTGAATTTCTGATTATAATAATATATGCGTTTTCTCTTAGGCTGATATTATGGATATTAATGAAATATTTAAAGATTTGGGAATGATGATTCATGAACAAGGAGATGTAATAGGTAAGACCTGCTGACTTAGATTTTGGAGGTGAGAGCAAGCTACATGCACTTTACCTGCTGTAACTTTCTCACAGAAGAGTAACCACTTTCTGTCCCTTTTTTGGTTTCCCTGGAACCAAAAGCATGGTCTATAAAACACAGTAAGCATCACCCTTGGCATTATCTAAAACAGATCTCATTTTTAACTCGTGCTGGTTGAAATAACCAGCTTCATTTATTTCAGAAGCCCAAATTTAATCAGGGCCTATTGCTGCCAAGACCATGGAAGGCACCATGAAACATTATTCCAGCTTATTTCCAGGGCCTCTGGTTTTAGTCTTACTCCAATTTATTTGTCATCATGCTAAGCACTTTTGGGGAAACTTGTGGTATATGTAACTGTGCATGACATCTTGTCTTTTAGGTATTAGGGAATAGGTAGACATTTGCCTAATCATTCATTTTAATAGCTTTTTGGTAGATGAATTTAGTAGTATTACATAGAAGTTAGGAATTCTTTTTAGAAGTGATTTTCTTTTCTAAAGTTGCTAAGAATCCCTTAAGTATTGAATGTAATAGCATTTCAATTAGGGTGTAGTTGTTAACATTCATCAGGATCCTGACCATCTTGAAGTCTGGAGCTATGTATTGGTATGTCTAAAGATGCTTTTAGTATATTTTCTGAATTTGGTCCAACTGAAATATTTGCACCTTTACTTCAGTGTAACTATTTTTTATCCATTCTTACCCTCCTCTGTATCCCCAGTAGATCACAGGGTAAAATTTCAAAAACCAATTTATTCATCATCCGAAATATGTTGAGTGGCTACTATGTCCAGACACAAATCTAGGCATTGGAGATTCAGCTGAAATTAAATAACAGATAAAATACCCTATCTCAATTGATCTTATAATGGGAGGAAAGACAATTTTTTAAAAAGGCGAGAAAAGCAAGTAAATGGTGATAAGTGCTATGGAGAAAATAAGGCCAGGGTAGAGGGATGGGACTGCTAGGGGTGGAAATTGTTGCTGCTTGACACAGGGTAGTTAGGTATGATAGGTACTTACTGATAGGTAACATTTTAGTGAACCCTTGGTAGATTTAAGGGAGCAAGTAAGAGAAAGTGTTCCAGGCAGAGAGAACAGCGAGTACAAAGGCCTTGAGGCAGAAGCATACCTGACATTTTTAATGAGCAAGAAGGAGATGGAGATCATGTCCAAGTGCAGGGGATGATGTCAGGTAGGAAGATTTCAGTTTTTACAAACGAATGAGAAGCCAAGGAGGAGTTGAGCAGAAGAGTGCTATAACCCTGCTTCAGTTTCGAAAGACTCACTTGGCTGCTGGAAAAAGACCAAAAGCAAGGAGGTCACCTAAAAGGCTATTGCAGTCATCCAGATGCTCAATCTTGTTGGCTTGGATTAGGATGGAACTAGAGGGATGGTGAGAAGTTCATGGATTTCAGATATTTTTTAAGTGGACAGCCGAAAAGATTTACTGACTGGCTGGGTATGAGTGTGAAAGAAAGAGTTAATTTAAGGGTGATGCTAAGGTTTTAGCTTGGCCCACTATGATGGTGAAGTTACTGTTTTCTGAGATGGGGAAATCTGTAAGTGGAGCAGGCTTAGATGGGTATAAATCAATCATTTTTGAATATGTTAAGTTTGAGGTGCCCCTTTACACCAAGTGAAGGTTTTCTTGACATTATTAAAGTGAACATGGAGTTCAGGGGAGAAGTCTGGGCAGGGGATCTAAATTTAGGAGTGATCTGTGTACACATAGTATTTAACACCACAAGATTGGGTGAGATAATCCAGGGATTAAGTCTGGGTAGAGAATAGAAGGGGTCTGAGGACTTAGCCCTGGATCCTCTAAATGTTTAGAACAGTGTCTTCAAACTACATGTATTCATTTATGTATGGTTTATGGTTGCTTTTGCACAGTGAAGGGGTAGCTGAATACTTGTAACAGAGATCATACAACCCACAAAGCTTATTCATTTTCTGGCTCTTTGCAGAAAAAGCTTCTTAACCTCTGATTTAGAGCCCAGACAGTTGAAGAAGAACAAATAAAAAGACTAAGGAATAGCCAGTGATATGGAGGAAATCCAAATGAATGCATCGTCCTAGAAGGGAAGTGAAAAAAAGTGCTTCCAGAACAATAGATGGTCAGCTGTTTCAAGTGCTGCTGTTAGGCCAAGAAAAATGAGGATTAAGATTTGACTACTGGATTTAACAGTGTGTAGGGCATAGGTGACCTCAATACGAGCTGTGTTGGTGAAATAGTGTAGGTGAAAGCATGATAAAAGTAGGCTCAAGAGAGAATGGGAGGAGAACAGTGGTGGATACCAAGTATAGATAACTCTTTCAAGGAGTAAAGAGGGGAAGTGAAACAGAGAATGCAGTCATAGCTGCAAAAATGGATGTGGAATAAATGAGAGGTTTTTGGTTTGCTTGTTTTTAAGATGGCAGCTATGGGATTGATGAAGGTGATCTACCAGGGAAAGAAATACTGATGATAAGTAAGAGAGAGAGGAAGTTTGCTGGACTGAGGTTTTTGAGTTAAATGATAGGAAATGTGATAAAGTGCACAAATGGAAAATTTGGCTCTTGCTCGGGGTATATAGTTCTTCCTGGCAACAAGAAAGTTGTCAGAACACACAAATATTGCATGTAGATAGGGTCATGAAAACGTGTGGAAATGTCTTCTGATGGTTCCTGTTGCTTCAAAGAGCTGGAAATCAAGGTCATGGGCTGAGAATGATAATGCCAGAGGAGGCCTGAGAAGCTTGAGGAGAGAAGAGAAAGTATGACGTAGTCTTTCAGAAGTCAGAGAAATGAAGTAGACCTGCTTGGCAGTCATGACTTTAAAGTGAAACACAGTTAATCCTTTTTACATCCATAATCAGCTGCATGGGTACTGGTTGGGGTTTTGTCATATGACTAAAGTGGAGGGGCAAGGGGGCTAAGGATGAGAGTAAGCTGAGGCTAAGTGATTGTCCAAGGACTCTAAGGCTAGGGTAAGGAGGGAAGTGAGGACATGCCATATGTGAGGGACAGTGAAGAAGTGGTAGGATCAATGAAAGTTGAAAATTGTTGGAGCCAGGGAATTAGAAGGAGTGAGCTCTAGAGATAGAAGGTGGTGATCAAAGAGTGAGACCCTTGAAATTGAGATTATGGAACAACTGCAATTATTGGAATGTCAGGGTTTGGGATGTGACCATGGAAATGGGTGGGTGAGGAAAGGTGTTCGTCTTTGGAAAAAGTATGGTCAGTGAACTGTGAGGCCAGGGTGTTAGAAGGGTCAGCAGTTGGATCTTGAAGTCACCAGTATGTATAAGAGAAGTGTTGGAGAGAGCATCAGTGAGTCAGAGGCTAAAATATTCAAGGAATGAGAAGAAAAGGCCATGCGATTGATAGATGTCTGCAACAAAGAGAGTTGGCTGAGTTTGATAGCATGAGCCTTAAAGCTGAGAGCTGGTAGGGAGGAAGAGACAAGGGCAAAGGGTCTCATGCTTCAAAATGACACCCGTTCCACCTCCAGGCCCCTGGAGGGTGGGAAGAAAAACTGCCACCAATTGAGAAGGCTTCATGGGCCCTCGGTGAGGGCTAGATTTTAGCACAGAAGTATGTTGATGACCACAGAGTAAATGGCCTTCAGCACTCTGTATTTACCTTAAATAAACATTGTCACATGCTTGCTACTGAGTCGGCCATTACAGAACACAAACTAAGTAGAGCATAGGTATTATGCTCCAGTAACTTAAATTACATTCCATTTACAAAGACATAGAGGGAAAAGAAATTGAGAAACATTAATGACTAACATAATGATTAAGGGATCAAGTTTTAGCATTTGGGTTTTTCTGTTTGTTTGTTTCCCTCTGAGGACATAATATTCTTTGAAAAGTCAAGGTACCAGTTTTTATCATGATGAACAAAATCTTCAGCAGTAGAAAGAAGAGAGTTGATCTCTTGTGCATTGGTCTTGACATAGACCAAGCTGTGGAGTTTGACACTGAGACATCTCTTGTGCTGACACTGATTTGATAATGTCAGGGTGACAGTACTTTTCAGGGGTTGCCAGGTAGAGCTGGAGTTGCTCTGTAATGAAGATGATTAAGGTTCTGTTATACAAATGCTCTTATATTGTTTGGATCACCTGAAAAATAGTATAGGTGTATACTATAATTCTTAAAGCCAGCTTAAAAAAATTCAACTTTATGATATACTACTATTAACCTTTGAATAATGACCATATTTAATCTTACCTTGAATGAAATTTAGTGATTTGTTACTGGAGCATCAATCCATGTTTAACACATTTGTGTGTGTGTGTTTTATTTTACAGATAGCATAGAAGCCAATGTGGAAAATGCAGAGGTGCACGTTCAGCAAGCAAATCAGCAGCTGTCAAGGGCAGCAGATTATCAGGTAATTTAACTGTGATCAATTTTCTTATAACTTATCCTTTTCGTATGTGTGTGTGTGTGTTTGTGTTGAGGAAGCAGGGAGAGATTAGGTTTAAAATGGCTGAAGATGTTAAAATTTAAAATCCCATGGAAGAGAAGTCTGTTTAAATAATACCAGTCAGTTTAGAACTGTTTTTAGCCTGTGTTCTTCTCAGGGTTGAACCAGAATTGTTGGCCCACAGGGAGAGAAAGTTTAGTGTTTGGGCGGCAGAGACAATTCTAGGCTTTCTGATGGCCGGGGATCTCTGATGTCATTGTGACATTTCTACCCAGAAACCTTTTTGTGATAGGCCCCTCCTTCCCATTTCTTGCTGCTCCCTTTTACTTTTTCTTTCTTTTTGTCAGTGACACACTGGACTAAAGAGGCAAATTTCCTTGTCCTAGAGAGATTGCTTCAGGTCTTGTGGAAATCATATTAGCTTGGAGTGTCACTGTTCATTATATATTCTGTCCACATTCAGCAGACCCTTCACCAGGAATGAATTTATTTCTTGAGTCGGGTTAATATAGGGAGTCCACATGCATGTGTCAAATATAAATTATATGTCAAGTACTATACAAATATTAGAACTATCAACTATTAATACATCATACAATATGCAGACCTTTGATGTTCAAATTGGATAAGGCCAGGCTCTTTGGAAACCCCTAAATACCATGTAGCATTTGATTTCCTTTTTAAAACTCCATTCCTTTGTTGCTATCATTCATAATTATCATTTTCTTGACCTTATTAACTTTTTTTTTGACACAGAGTCTGGCTCCGATGCCCAGGCTGGAGTGCAGTGGTGTCATCTTGCCTCACTGCAACCTCTGCCTCCTGGCTGAAGACATTCTCTTGCCTCAGCCTCCCGAATAGTGTGTACCCCCACGCCTGGCTAATTTTTGTATTTTTTGTAGAGATAGAGTTTTGCTGTGTTGCCCAGGCTGGTCTGGAACTCCTGGGCTCAAGCGATCCACCCATCTCAGTCTCCCAAAGTGCTGAGATTACAGATGGGAGCCACCATGCCCAGCCGCTGTTAACTTCTTATAAAATATCTAAGATATTGTCACCTTCTCAGACATTTTCAATTGCTTTTTGTTTTTCTCACTAACCTTAGAAGTTGCCTTTATTTCACAGTCCATCTTTTACTGGACAAATTACTGCATATTCAGTGATAAGTAAATAATAATGAAGCTATGGAGATTGCTGAGTTATAACCAGTTGTATTCACTGACAGTCACTCCTGTTTATTATCTTTGTCCATGTCATTCAGATATGCAGCTCAGTGAAATTAATATCACTATATCACTGTGTCATGGACTTTAGGTATCCCTCACGAATAATTGAAAACACACACACACACACACACACACACACACACACACACACCCCTGCAAATGCCAGAAGTCTTCTGGAGCTGTTAGCATATAACTGCTGAAACTTAACAGGATCCATCAGTGACTAGGTTCACATGGTATTTTATTTTGCTTTTGGATTTGGGGGAAATGTGGATATTCTGCCAAGTTTTACTCTTCCTCTTCCTTGTGGAAGGCCAAGCCTACAGGAAAAAGCACATGTCCCAAGCTACACCCCAGGACTGGAAGCTGCCCCTAGGCTTAATTCCCCCAGCTCCCGAAGCGGGACGAGATGGCCATGCAGCACAAGTGCTGAGAAAAGAGGCAGCTTTCCAATAGTTCTGTTTGGAAGCCTTGATATGTTTGGGTGAACCCTAAGAATAAGGAAGGTGAGAAATTCAAGTTCACTTATCACCACATTGCCCCAGGGTCTCATTACCCCACGCTAGGGGGAGTACCCCAGGCAACAAACACACCATTGTGGGATACCCGTGATGACTCACAGGTACATTACATGTGTGTTTGTGGTAACCAACTGGAGTCTGGGAAAAATATTTATGCATGGTATTGAAATTTTAGAGAAATTGTGTTTGATACGTAAGGAGTATTCACTGGAAAAATTAGATGAATATGTGGAATATTCAAACTATTTATGGTTTTCAGTGTAATTTCAGACTCAGAAATGTATCTTTTTATAAATATTTTGGTACTTCTACTTGACACAAAGTAAATTTACAAATTTTTCTACTTTGTAAGAAAAAGGATTCCTGCATGTTGATGTGAGGTACAAACGCCATTAAAGAAATCTACAACTGAACCAGGAATGAAGAACGGAACAAAATTCTTAACCATTCGGTTTTCAATGACAGCATTATGATTTTGTTTGCTCTGTGGTTTTGTTTGTTGAGATTTTGAATGTAGTTTCCCATTAATATTAAAGAATGAGAATGATTTTGGAAACTCATTCCAAAATCATTGTATTTTGGAAACAAGAAATATGTGTGAGGGGCTGGGCGTGGTGGCTCACGCCTGTAATCCCAGCACTGTGGGAGGCCGAAGTGGGCAGATCATGAGGTGAGGAGAATGGGACCATCCTGGCCAACATGGTGAAACTCCGTCTCTACTAAAAATACAAAAAAAAAATTAGCTGGGTGTGGTGGCACGCGCCTGTAATCCCAGCTACTTGGGAGGCTGAGGCAGGAGAATCTCTTGAACCTGGTAGGTAGAGATTGCAGTGAGCCAAGATTGTGCCACTGCACTCCAGCCTGGGTGACAGAGCAAGACTCCATCTCAAAAAAAAAAGAAAAGAAATATATGTGAAGAAAAGTTGCCAATTTGTACTTACTGATATCTTCAGAGAACTCATTTTTAAGAAAAACTTTAATAAAAGGTAAAGAATGTTTAAGCTCGTAAGCTGTTCTTTATTTTTATTCATAGGTAACCTCAGTCTCTTGTTTAAGTCAGTAACTTATTTAGTGGTGTCTTCTTTCTTAAGGTCAGCCACACCCTTAGAAAAATTACCAATGAAAGTTGAAAAATTGCTCCCTTAATTGTAGCATTAGTTCAAGAATTTTTTTGAAAGAATAGTGCCATATGTATTAAAGAGATTTTTGAGGAACAAAAAAACACAGTCAAAAATTTGAGGGCAATATACTACTACTGATTTTACTCTAGAAATGAACCAAATTATTTTTAGTTGCTGTAGAGGTACTCCACTAAATCTGTAAACATGTTTTTTTGTTTTGTTTTGTTTTTTGCGTCTGCAGCGCAAATCCAGAAAAACCCTGTGCATCATCATTCTTATCCTTGTCATTGGAGTTGCGATTATCAGTCTCATCATATGGGGATTGAACCACTGAAGTTATAAAGGAGCACACTGTCGCACTACATTGTCTAAATTATGTAGGAAGATTCCTGTAATCATGTTTTTTTAATTATTATTTTAAAGCTATTGTATAAAGGATGGTTCCCATACTTTGTTATTTTTATTGGGGGGGTTGGGGTGGTTCCTTTGGATTAAATCTGATATTTTCTAATACTGAAAGATTTTCTAAATGTCACTGCTGACATAACTCCCTTGGTCTTCAATTTAATAGTTGTTAAGTTTTTGCCCACATTGCATATGCCTTTCATTTATAATTTATTTACCCTGCTTGACTTAGTTTTGGGAATTCGTAAATTTAAAGGTGTGTGTATTCTGTTTGCATCTCCCTGTCACTGTGACACACCTAGATGTGTGTTACTTCAATTAAAATTCTCAAATTTAATTTTGATTTGCTTCAGCAGGGAAAATATTCTCAATAATGTAAAATAATTAAGGTCTATACATGGGTTGTATTTTTCTGGTTCACAACAGCACAAAGTGTCTTTCATTTTTTTGTTGGTTTTCTTTTAAGATCTTTTTTACCCTGAAGTCGGTGAATACTTTTCTAGTTTATTTGATACTCTTTCTGTGTATATATTAAGCTTTTGCTGTAGATTGCCTAGTAAAATTACTAAGGATAGGTTGTTTTTACATATGGTCTATTTAAGTCTGATGTTTACGGGGGAAAGTGTAGTTACTAAAAATGTTTAACATAATTTGGAAGAAGAGTATGAACAACCAATACCAATACCTATTGCGTTTGGATTCTTAAGACCCCAGTTTGTTATTCCACTAAACTAGTTATCTTAACCATATCATCTGGTTTTGTGGGCCATTATTTACCTTCCCTTATGTCTTATAGAATAATGGTTAATATTTTTAGGTCAAAATTACTTTTGGAAAGTAACTTTCCCACAATTAACTGTTTTTGAGCACCTGACAAAATTTAGTGTTTACCTTGCGTGCCATTTTGTGTCATCCTTCATTAAAAAAGCAATTGGAGGTTTGCCAGTTATCTCACTTCCCTTTTTAAATCAATGTTGTTTTAATGCACTAATCTGAATTCTGTAAAGAGGATTATCTTAGTTTATACTTTGTATTTTATAATGTTCTTGTATAGCAGCTCGGTACTGAAGGCGGTGTTTAACTTGGCAAGCTCTGAGACTTCAAATGGGAACAAATAGTAAGTAGCTAAGTAAACCACATCTTTGCAACCAAAATAAAGATGAGTTAAAAGGTATCTGGTTAGGCCTATTTCATGAGGACTATGCTCTGGTGGGACCACAGGTCACCTGATACTTAGTGCTGTGCTGCCTGAAACCTCAGCATGGAGACATCACCACATGCACTGTGGCCATTCAGCATCTTTCTGGAGCACCAGTTCACTCCAGGTTTTTATTTTAGGGTGTCATCGATTTTACCTACTTTGTCAGACTGGTAGAAGTTGCTTTGCATATCAGAAAAACTCCATTTTTTTCCACAAAAGGGATTACAGAAAACTCTTTTGTGAGTGAGTGATTGGAACTTAGAGACTCCTGTTGCCAGAATCAGACTGCCCTAGAACAGAATGGACAATGCAGGGAGGAGAATTCACACAAACAGCACCTGTTCTGAGGCCTGTGCCAGCCCACCAGGCCTGCTCAAATGTGGTCTTTACTTCAAGTGCACAGAGGCACATGAGGTTTCTGGTGATAAACCAGCGTCTTACCGCTGTTTTAAAGTCCCATCCCCATGGCTTTCACAATCAGTTCCGTTTTTTTTGCTGTACTTGATAAAATGTTTATTCTCATACAGGTCAAGTACATTTACTTCTATTCACAGTGAGTACCCAATAACAACAAAAGCGCTTACAAATTTGGGGGGCGTGATTTTAGTACCTTTATTTGAAGTGTAATCATTTTAAATTATTATTATTTTAACTGGGGCAGTTATCAGTGGTTTAAACAGGAACTTTAGTGGCTTCAATTTGTTTAAGAAACATATTAAGTTTGAGGGAAAAATTTCCCATGAAATATTTGGAACGTAAGAGTAGTATTGATTAGAGAAAATTAAATAAGAAACATAGTATGGTAGCCAAATTTTTTAAAAAATCTTGAACTTTTCTGTAGGTCAGTTTTAGAACTGCTGTGAAAAGTGAAGGTTGCCCTGTGGAGATTAAAATTAGAGTTGTTTTCATAACTGACAGCATGGTGAATCCATTTGAGTCAAAGTGAAGAATTTCCTCATCAAGTGACTATACATTTGTTTTTGTGTGCTCAAAAGAAATACTCAAACACAGACTGATATTAACCAGCCAGGTAAATTGAACGACAATGTGGCATTAGGTATTTGGCTGTTTATTGGTCGTTAAATACTATGGTTTTGCAATATGATTGATGGTAAAAGAGTGATGTCATATTGATACTAGAGTAGCTTGTTTTTTTAGTAGGTGTGGGACCATCTCTTTTACAAGTGCAACTCAGTCTAGGACAGCCATGGATGCAGTGTCTGGAGTTGGACCCTCTGAGCCCGCTGGCTGCCCCAGTAGCATCTGCATTGGTGACCAAGGACACTGCACTTTGAAGAGGTCGCCACTGGGTTATTTAGTGTCTTCACTGCTTTTGTTAAAAATTGTAAAATTTTGTACACAAAAAGTTGTGTTTTTGAATATCAATTGTTTAGACACACCTACAATGATAAATAAGTGCCTTTAAAGGCCCCTCTTTCCATGAAATACATCTGTGGTTTAGCAAGGAAAGTACAAAATAGTTTATGTAGTTGGTATAATTTTTATTTGTGTCTTCATGTAGAAAAAATGAATGTCATAATAAAATATAAAACTTACGTAAAGAAAATAAAGTCATTGTCCACCTTAATAGCTAAGGTCCACAAGGGTAACTTATGCAGCATTTATTTTTTTTGAAAGTCAAAATTGAATTTATTTCTTTCACATGGCTGGTTTGCTGCAATATGAAGTTTCAGAATGGGCTGAAGTAAGTTGATTGAGGGATTTGAGTTGAATGACATTTTCAAGTTCATTTAAATATGATAAAAATTCATTGGTGGTAAATAACATCTGTCTTTCCTGGAAAAAAAAAAGTTGTGTATTTTCATGATTCAGTTAAAACAAAAAATGAGCCTGTGAATCCCAGGCCTTTTTAGTCCTCCATAACATTTGAACAGTTTGACTTGTCAGCAAAGAAATACACTTATCAAATTTTAAACCAATGGGAGCCTGAAAGTGTTACAGTGTACTGCTTCTTTGACAAAATTCTGTTTAACAACTACCCTAACATAATTTATAAATCAATTAAGATAAAACCATTTTTTTCTGAGTATTTAGGAATTTGTGTCCTCAAAATACTGTGACATGAAAGATAGGAAAGAAATTACCTGGTTGCCAGACATGCACGATTATCTTTCCTCATTTCAGCTGGATTTTCCAAAGTCAGTAGATTGGATAAAGCAGCATCTCATTCACTGAGGTCACAAGATAGGTAGGAAACTTCTTTAATGTGAATTTTGCATATTTTAACAATTCAGTTAGAAAAACAGAAACCACTTGATGGATTATAAGTGTAAAGTGTTTTAACATAGGGAATTAGACATCAAAAGGGTGGGTGAGGAAGGTGTCTGCGGCCCCAAAGTGGGTGGATCTCAGGAGCTGGCCCAGGCACTGCTGTGACTCTTGAGAACATCCAGAAGGCTGTGCTGTTGGCGTGCAGCACTGACAGTGTGTCTCAGGGAGCTGTCCCCAGCTGTCAGCTGTTAATAGCTCCAAAGCCAGTGCCTTGCAAGAGATTTTGAAACTGCTGTGAAACTCATGTCCTCTGCCCGCCTACACTTCTGTCTGCAGTGGCCTCTGAGGAAAGATGGTCTCTCCTTTTCTCATGGTCAACTCTCAACTTAGAACCAGAGACAGAAGGAGTTTGTGGGAAGTGTGGTTTCTGGTCTACCTGCACTGCAGAGGACATTCTAGAAAGAGAAGTGAGTTGACAGTCTAGCATAATTGTGAAACAAACACTGAGATGTACAGTTCAAACCACGTGAAGTGGAAGCCTCAGAATTTTCCTCACTTTCATTAAAGATTCTTTGATGGAAAAATTTAGAAGCATTGGCTCTAGATGGTAAGCAAGTCATTTTTTTCCAACCAAAATAAAAAATACATATACTAAGCTTCTGGGGCCCCAGGACTTAACACAGTTTCCTTCCTTCCTTCCCTTCTTCCTTCCCTCCCGTAGTAGTTGCTTAATAAATACTTAATTTGGCACTTATTTGGGGCCGGCTTTTTGCCAGGCTACTACATGCCTGGGCATAGTGTTCTAAGAGTGAACCAAAAGAATAAGCTTCCTGCCCTCAGGGAGTTTATGTTTTGTTATTTGGCATATAAAAAGAACTTGGTGTGTTAAAAGAAGGGAAATAGCTGTGTGAAAGGAATGAGGCAAGGAAGAAAGGGAATGTCTAAATATAAATCTCCGTTTGGACCAGCCTCCTGTTTATCCAGTTTTCCTTACTAAGTAACTGAATTTCATTTTCTTTTCTTAATTGACAGACTACCAGAAAATTGCTAGTTTTCTAAAGAGAAACTACTGATTTGAGTGATGATCTGTGTGTAATGGCTCCAAAAAGGAGCCGTTCTCTTGGTGGCAGCAGTTGGATTCAGAGCTTGGGCATCCTGATCATCAGGACAGACATTTACAGGATATGTATAGAATTACTGCCCCAAATAGAGGGCAAAGCACTAGACAGAAGGGTGAGATCCAAGGGGAATTTGGAATCTATATTTCATCAGAATGCACTCAAAGCAAAAACAGTAAGTATGCTCCATATAAAGAAATGTTTCTTAAAATGTTTTTAATTTAACCCTACCCATCCCTTGGCAAATCTTTTTCTTTTAAATCAAATAGGAATAAAGAAGAAAATCTTCCTATTGGCCCATTTTCTCATTATTCAAATACCATATCAATACACCAATTTTAATTCTTTGTTTTTGTAATCATTTGGTTAACATGAATATTATGTAATATTTTTCTCCAAATAATCCTAATTTTAAATGCAGAAATAGAGCTAAATAACACACTAAATAGGTTTTTGTAGACACTGTAGCTTCTGGCAAGTTTTTAAGAGGTTGGTCACTTAATTGCTTAGAGTGGGATTCCCGTAGGTTTTGTGTAGTGATGGCATTTATGCTTAAAATGTAAGTGGTGGAAGGCAAAACCAGATTTCCTGTCCAGTCGTTACACGCACAACACCTCTACTTGTTGACGAGGGAGTTTTCTAGAACTGAATTGAATCTTTAAATAAACTTGAAAGGGCATTAATTCCCACTTTGGCCAACCCAAAGTACAAATTTTTAAGTGTTTACTGTAAGTATCGTTAGGCAGTAGTTACTAACTCCAACACCTAATAGCATTGGTAGAAAGCTTATAAATGCAGTTATTTAGCCTCGACTAAGATTTTTCTGATACCTAGTTTCACTTTTTAATGCCCTCTGAAAGTTTTTTGATCAGTTGTTTAATGGGAGATCTGAAATGTTAAACTCAGACCAGAAAGAAGAGAACCTGTTTTCTAGAAATTAGGTTTTTAATCCAAGTAAGATGCAAGCTTTTGCTTTTTTAATAACTTGTATAGCTAAAAACTTGACGGTGAAAAGCTCTCAGATCAAAGCTGATCCTTCTGTCAGTAATGATTCTAAAAATAAGCAAGATTTTAATGGGGAATATATTTTATTTCATTCTTATCTCAAACCTAGGTACTGTGGTCGTTTTGAGTTCATTTCGAGGCATTTTCAATGTGCCTCAGGCCACATCCAACCTCTTCCCAGGGCCAGATTTAATGTTCAGCCTCATAAAGGTTATCATAGTTTTAACATTTAAGTACTATTTTGCAGTGGGTATATACCAAAATTTGCTAATAGTAAGATAACCTTAGTTATATATCATTCACGTTAGTTCTATCTTGGAGGCAATAAACATTTCTTGTTCAAGAAATTCATGTTCTATCTTGGAGGCAATAAACAAACATTTTTTGTTCAAAATTAGGGCTACCCTATTGTCCTTATGTCTTTTCCTGATCTGTGGTCAAACATTTTTCTTAGTCATTTAGAAATTTTCTATGTTGTTTTAAATTTTCTTTAAATCTAGAATGGAGTATGTGACCAATACTTTCCTTTGGAATGGTATGGACATTTGAAATAGAGCCCATTCTTTATAAAGTATAAAATATGTTTAATGCTAGTATTTTTAACTAAACTTTTGAGAAACTAGATTCACATGCTGTTGTAAGAAATAATACAGAGACCTCTTTCGTGTACCTTTCACTTTGTTTCCCACACAGTGAACATCTTTCAAAACTGTCATACAATATCATACCCAGGATACTGACACTGGTATAGCTAAGATAGAGAACGTTTCCACACAGAACTTTTTCTAGCACAGGGATCCCTCATCTTGCTTTTGATGACCATACCCACTTCACTCCCATCCCTACTCCCTTCTTAACCCTTGGCAACCATAATCTGTTCTCCATTTTTATAGTTTTTTTTTTTTTCATTTCAATAAAGCTGTATAACTGGAATCATAATAATATGTAACCTTTTGGGATTGGCTTTTTTTCATTTAGCATGATTTTCTGGAGGTTAATCCAGCTTATTATGTGTATCAAGTCTATTGACAGGTACTTTTTAGTGTGAATAGAATCCCATAGTATAGATGTACCACAGTTTGTTTAACTGTTCACCTGCTGAGAGACATTGGGCCAGTTTTTGGCTACTATAAATAAAGTTGCTATAAACATTTGTGTACAAGTTTTTGTGTGAACATAATCTAGTTTTCTGGGTCAAATGCCCAGCAGTTATATAGTAGTTGGGTCATATAGTAGTTGAATGTTTAGTTTTTAAGAAATTGCCAAACTTATACCAAGTAGCTGTACTATTTTATATACCCACCAGTGGTGTATGAGTGATCTAGTTGCTTCATGTCCTTTTCAGCATTTGGTGGTGTCTCTTTTTTATTTTAGTCATTCTGATAAGTGTATAGTGACAGCTCATTGCAGTTTTGATTTACCATTTTCCCTTCGCTAATGGCAATGATGTTGAGCATCTTTGTTTCATATGCTTATTTGCCACCTGTATCTCTTCTTTAGTGACATGTTTCTTCATGTCTTTTCTAATTGGATTTTTTTTCTGTTGAGTTTTGAGGGCTTTTAAATAATGTGTGTGTGTGCCTCTGTGTGTGTGTGTGTGTATTTTTTTCTAGATACTAGTCCTTTGTTGGATGTGTGATTTGCAAATATTTCCTCCCAGTCAGTAGCATGTCTTTTCATTTCTCTTTTCTGGGCCTTTCACAGAGCAGAAGTGTTTAATTTTGATGAAGTCCACTCTATCCATTTTTCTTTTTATGGATCATGCTTCTGGTATCAAGAACTTTGCCTCTCTCCTTAGATCCCCCAAATTTTCTCTTTTATGTTGTTTTCTAAAAGTATTATAGTTTACGTTTTACTTTTAAGTCTATATTCCATTTTCAGTTAATTTTGTATAAAATGTGAGACTTAGGTCTGGGTTCATTTTTTTTGTTGTTGCCTATGGATATTCAATTACTCCAACATGATATTTGTCGAAAAGGCTCTTTTTTGTCCATTGAATTGTTTTTGCACCTCTGTCAAAAATCAGTTGAGCAAAAATGAGTTAATGAGAAATCAGTTGGGCACATTCGTGTGGGTCTATATCTGGGTTTTCTATTCTTTTCCATTAGACTATGTGTCTATACCTCCACCAACACCAAAATCTTGATTACTGTAGTAAGTCTTGAAATCAAATAGGCTGGTTTATTCCACTTTCTTTTTCAAAATTGTTTTAGCCACTTAGTTCCTTTGTCTTCCCGTATAAACTTTGGAATAATCTTGTCTGTATCTATTCAAATATCTTACTGGGATTTTGACAGGAACTATGTTATACCTATACATCAATTTGGGGAGATTTGACATCTTTACCATGTTAAGCCTTCCCGATCATGATCACAGGATCACTTCACTTCATTTCAGTTAAATTTTGTTTTCCTTCATCAGTATTGTGTGGTTTTCAGCATACAAGGTCTGTACATGTTTTGTTAGATTTATACCTAAGCAATTTAATTTTTGAGAGAGATTGTAAATGGCATTGTATTTTGAATTTCCTGTTCACATGTCTATTCTAAGTACATAGAAATAAAGTGAATTTTTCTATTTTGTATACTGAGACCTTATTGAGCCCACTTACTCATTTTAGGGGATTTTGATTGATTCCTTGGGATTTTTTTTTTATATAGATAGTCATGTCATCTGCAAATAATGAATAGTTTTATCTCTTCATTTCTGACCTATATTCCTTTTTTTTTTCCTTTCAGTCCCTTAATGCAGTGGGTAGAAATTCCAGCAGAAATAAAAGCAGTGAGAGTAGAGATCCTTGGCTTGTTTCTGGTCTTAGGCAGAAAGGATTCAGTGTTTCACCATGAAGTATAATGTTAGCTGTAGGTTTTTAAAGTAGATGCTCTTGCTAAAGTTAAGGAAGTTATCTTTTATTCCTTTTTTTCTGCAAGTTTTTATTATGAATTTTATGTTGAATTTTGTCAAATGCTTTTTCTGCCTTAATTTACATAATGCCATTTTTCTTCTTTAGCCCATTCATGTGGTAGATACATTGATTGATTTTTGAATGTTGAGCCATTGTTACATCCCTGAGATAAACTCCACTTGGTCGTGGTGTATCTTTGTATATATAGCTTAATTCTTTTGGCTAATATTTTGTTAAGGATTTTTGCATCTGTTTTAATGCGACATACTGGTTGGTGGTATCAGGGTAATACTAGCTTCAAAATGAACTGGAAAGTATTCCTTTCTCTTCTGTTTTCTAAAGCGGATTGTATAGAATTGGTGTCAGCGCTTTTTAAAACATTTGATAGAACTTTCCAATGAAATCATCTGGGCCTGGAGATTTTGGGGGAGGGAGTTCTTTTTATTGTAATTTCCACTTTTACAATAGTTATATGGCTGTTTAATTTATCTATTTCATATTGAGTTGTGACAGTTTGTATTTTTAGATGAATTAGTCCATTTCATCTAAGCTCTCAGATTTATATGTAGAGTTTTTGGTTGTATTTTTTGTTAGACTTTTGATGTCTGATATTCCAAAACTCCTTCATTTATCATTTCCTTTCTGTTTAGAGCACTCCTTTAGCCTTATTATTATTATTGTAGTTCCATTGGCAACAAATTCTCTCAGTTTTCTTTCATCTGAAAATGTCTTGATTTTCCCTTGATATCTGAAGAATATTTACATTAGACATAGACTTGTAGGTTTATAGTTCTTTTCTTTCAGCACTTGAAAATTGTTCTGCCACTTCCAGCCAAGAGGGGTGGCTCACGCCTGTAAGCCCAGCACTTTGGGAAGCCAAGGCGGGCAGATCACTTGAGGTCAGGAGTTTGAGACCAGCCTGGCTAACATGGCGAAACCCCGCCTCTACTAAAAATACAAAAATTAGCCGGCATGGTGGTGCACATCTGTAATCCCAGCCATTTGGGAAGCTGAGGCAGGAGAATCACTTGAACCCGTAGGCGGAGATTACAGTGAGCTGAGATCGCACCACTGTACTCCAGTCTGAGCAACAGAACGAGACTCCTTGTCAAAAAAAAAAAAAAGGAAAGAAAATTTCATGGTTCCCCATGAGAAATCCAGTTTTTTAAATTGTTTTGGTCCCTATAGATAGGTGTCATTTGTCTTTTTTCTTTTTCTTTTTTTCCTTTGTGTTTAGTTTTTAGTTGTTTAACCATGATGTATCTTGTAGATTTGGGGGGTTTATTATATTTGAGGTCTTCTCACCATCTATATGTTTATGTCTTTTGCCAATTTTGGGGAGTTTTCAGCTGTCATTTTTTTCAAGAACTTTTTCAGTCTTCCTTCTTTCTTCTTTCTTTTGAGACTCTGATGACACAAATGTTAGATTTATTGTAGTTCCGTAAGTCCCTGAGGTTCTGTTCATCTTTGTTCTGCCTGTTTTCTTCTGTTGTTCAGACTGTGTAATTTCTATCATTTTATCTTCAGATTTATTCATTCTTTCTGCAGTAGCTTCCATTCTGCTATTGAGCCTATCAATTAAGTGTTTCATATTGATTCCTGCATTTTTCAATTTTAAAATTTCTGGCCCTTTACCGAAAATGTTGGTTGACCCCTGGAGTATAAACCTATACTATAGAAGAGAGTATCAATTTTTTTTTTTTTGAGAGGATCAATTTAAACAAAAGTTGGTCTCTTTAAATAAATAAAGTACACATAACTTGGTGAAACCGATTTGGAAAAAAACAGAAGACATAAAAAATTTAGGAATGAAAGTACAGATAAATAACCAAACATAGATTTTAAAATAATAAGACACTATAAACAACTTTATGCCAATATATCACAAAACAGAAAATGAATAATTTATATGAAAAATGCAAATTACCAAAATCAACTACGAAGTAGATGATTTCTGCTTCCTGCCATATGGTTGACTAGGTATACTCAAGGATCCTCCTGCTAAAATACAGTTAGTTCTTGGATAAAATACAACACACATAATATTAGTTCATTTCCTGGCTCATTAGAAAGAAAGATAATCACTAAAGGCTATTACCAATGAGAGTGGGCTAAAATTAAAGTAGTTGAGAAACAGGAAAACTGTGCCTCTGAGACTTAAGCCATGGACTCCAGGCAAAGTAAAGAAAGTGAACCTAAGATTCCTTCATAAAACCAGGAATGCTTTAAAGCATTAAAGTAGTCCTAAGTCAGTGGACTCTGGTGGTTACTCTAAGAAGTGGATGAAAATCCCCTCCGAAGGAAAGCCTCCCTAATTAATGCTTCTAGATTAATCAAACATGCAAGGAAACACACCATTTGCATTGAGAAACAGTAGATTTAGATATTCAAGGAATTCAGGTATTGCAATTAGCAGAAGTAGAATAACAGTTATATGTTTAAATAATGTATGAATTAAAACGAACATGAAATGAGAGATGTGTTAAAAGGCAGATATTAAAAAGAACCAAAGACAACTTAGGTATGAAATTTAATTATTGAAATATATAACATAATGAATGGTTTAAGAGCAGATTCACCACAACTAAAGGAATTGTTGACTATCAAGTTTTAACTGAGGAAACAACATATTGCAGCAAAAACAGGTAAAGGGATAGAAAATAAGAATTAGAGATTATGAGACCTGAAGGATAGAATGGGAAGGTTTAATATGTGCTGATTGGAGTCTAAGAAGTAAAAAATAGAAAAAAATTGAGGTAATTGCTGACAAATTTCCAGAGCTAAGAAAAGCCTGGGACCTGGTATGGTGGCTTATGCCTGTAATCACAGCATTTTGGGAGGCCAAAGCAGAAGGATCACTTGAAGCCAGGAGTTTGAGATCAACCTGGGAAATGAAGCAAGAGCCCCCACTCCATCTCTACAAAAAAAATTAAGAATTAGCCAGATGTGGTGACATGAACCAGTAGTCCCAGCTACTTGGGAGGCTCAAGTGGGAGGATCACTTGAGCCCAAGAGTTTAAGACCAGCCTGAGCAACATGGTGAAACTCCATCTGTACAAAAAATACAAAAATTAGCCAGGCATGGTGGCACACACCTGTGGTCCCAGCTACTCAAGAGGCTGAGGAGGGAGGATCACACGAGCCCAGGAGTTCAAGGCTGCAGTGAGCTATGATGGTGCCACTGTACCCTGTCTAAAAAAAAAAAAAGTGGATCCACATATACAAGAAGCAAAATGTATATCAACCAGGAAAAGGAAGCCAATGTATATTCATTATACTCAAACTTCAGAACAATAAAGGCAAAGATATCTTAAAAGCAGCCAGAATAACTTATCCACTTTTAAAGGAATAACGAATTGACAGACCTTTTTTTTTTTTTTTTTTTTTTGAGACAGAGTCTTGCTCTGTCACCCATGATGGAGTGCAGTGGTGTGATTTCTGCTCACTGCAACCTCCATTTCCCGGGTTCAATTGATTCTCCTGCCTCAGCCTCCCGAGTAGCTGGGAGTACAGGTGTGCGCCACCACAACCTGGCTAATTTTTTTGTATTTTTAGTAAAGACGTGATTTTGCCATGTTGGCCAGGCTGTTCTCGAACTCCTGACTTCAGGTGATCTACCTGCCTTGGCCTCCCAAAATGCTGGGATTAGAGGCATGAGCCACTGCACCTGGCCAACAGTAGACTTTTCAGTGCCAAAACTGGAAGGCAAAAGACAGTGGAATAACATCATTAAGGTACTGAGAGAATAACTCAATAGAATGAGTGCCCAGTGAAATTATCTTTCAAAATCAAGGGTATATTAAAAACACTTTTTTCTCAAAATGAGAATTTACAAACAAGGGACTTTCACTTAAGAATAAAGATGAATTTTAGAGTACAGCAAAATGACTAGGAGGAAAGTCTGAGATGCAAGAAGGTATGGTGAGCTAAAAAATCAGTAATCATGGGAAATGTAAATAAATACTGTCTATATTAAGAAGTATTTACTCTGTGGAGTAAAAAAGAGCGTAATTAAAATACTAGCAACATTTTACATAACTCAGGAAATGTATATGTGGGGAAAGTGTCCGGGAGCACTTAGAAGTTAGTGTGAGTGCTCCAAGATCCTGATACTCTTTAGGATGGAAGTTAAGATAATGAATGACTTTAGATGTTGTTAATCTAAGTACTTAACAGAAAATTTTCAGATAACCTTTAAAGAATAGCAATACAATATAACTTTCAAACCAGTAGAGAGGAAACATTCTGAAATAAGGGAAAAACACTTTAGAAATCCCAACTTTGATAGACCACAAAAATGCAAGAAGGAAGAAAAAGCATAGAAAAAGCAAAGAAATGGCATAGTATATAATAAATGGTTACAATAAATATAAATTGCCTATCTCACCAGATTAATAAAAAAAAAAGTCTACCTTGTTCAATATATACAGTTTACAAAAGACAGTACAAGGACAGAGAAAGACAAAAAGTAGAATTAGGGAAAATAAAACAAGCAAATATACCTGGTTAGGATAGCTGTATCAGTATTAGCCTTACAAATATTAAAGTGAAAAGCATTAATAAGGATAAGGAGACTCTCAAAAATAATAAAAATTTCAACTGAAGTAGGTATAACAGTTCTAAACAAAGTTATTAAAGTAAAAATGTAGAGGGCAAAACGGAAAAAAAAACTATTATGTTGTATTTGAAGTCACTCAATTTTTAGCTCGAGCAGCAAAAAAGTAAATAGAACAACATGGTAACCAAAGTTGATTCAATTAATACATAAAGGATCATGTTCCCCCAATTTAGAGCATGTGCATATTTCTTAAGCATGTATAAAAGATTTAGAAGGAAAATGATAAAGGAATGTTTTGGGGACCTCTGATAGGGAAAGATTTCTTAGAAAATCTGCAAAAGATATTAACCATAATCTACATAAAGTCAACTGTTTTATTTCAAGCCTCTCTGGAAATAGTTTTGTTGACTGATAAGAAACGCTCTATGTCAGTCAGCTAATCAATGTCTAGTGAGTCTAACTCTTTCCACTACACAGTAAGTTCCATCTTAGGGTGTTTTACTTAAAAGCCTGGTGTCAAATGTTACACGCACAAAAACTTATTAGTATCTTTTTAACCAATGTATCTTAGGAGATACGGAATTATTTCTAACACACTGGTTGTATTTACTAATTTTCCGCTGAGCCATCATAAAAATAGAAGTCACATCGTCACTATTTCTTGCTTGTCCAACCCAGTGTCTATGGTACCCTCGGCAGTTATTCATGGCTCCTAGGCCTTCTTTTAGAGTACTGTCTCTCTTCTATTGGCTTTGGATGGAATTGACTCCATCCTAACTGCAGAAATGATAGGCACTGCTTTACATAAATCAGTCAGCCTAATAGCATTCTTTTTGCCTCAGAGATTGGTTCAGAGATGGGGAAAAACCCACTCTAGGCAATCAGCTTGTGACTTACTTTCCTCCAATTGGTGATCCAATTAGGGCAGTGTGTGGAATGTGCTGCTCTGTATGTGCAGCCAGATGCTCATGTTCATAAAAAACATTTTAATACTGTGATGGAAGATACAGCTTCGAGACAAAGACACAAGCTTGGGTAGAGTCATTCATTCATTTAGTAAGCATTTGCTGAGTGCTTAATAAATGCTGGGCCCTGAGAAAAAGCAAAATCTTATTCAGCACATTCTGACATTGGGGACAATGCGATAGTTGATAGCTTCCACACTTAATTAGAAACAAAGATTATCTCTTAAAACCTCATTCTTGTATCTAGGAAGACTTTTGTTTTCCCAATCAGAAATTGTGGTTCCAGAAAAAGAACAAGACAATGAAAACATTGTATAAAAGGTTTCTTTCAAACTTTTTTCAATTGACAGTTTTTCACCCCAATCATCTTGATGCAGAGAGGCTTCAGAAACACAAGTGACTCTGTGTTCAGACCAAGTACTTGGCCTCGAGAAGATGAATGATCAGACCAACTCACCATATGATTATAAGGGTCAGGTAGTTTAAAAAGAAATTACAATCTGAATTGAACCATGGATGAACAGTGTTGCTATTGAGCTTCGAATCCCAGCTAATAAGCATAACCTTGTAAAGAGAGGTTACTGTTTGGGAAACTGCATGTTCTTGCAGGAGGGCAAAGCTTTTGCAATATAAATAGTTGTAAGGGTACTAGCTTTCATCTTTAATACCTTAACCCTCTGTGTTTAGAGTTTTTGTATCCAGGGCTGAATTGAGAATTTTAGAAACCTTGAACACTGAAGAGATTGTAATAACAACCCCATGTGTAATTTATAAAATCTTCAAAAGAAAATTTACTTTTTCAAAATGTTATAAAACTCTGAATACTGAAATGAAAATGGCTTCATTTTTACATTTTATTTCAAGACGCTACATAAATTCATCAAAGTTAAACTTTTCTTAGTCATTCCTGCTGTTTTGCTGGTGCCCTCGAAGACTCAGCTTGTTGAGTAATAATTCAGCACTGATTGCATTACAAGTATCTACTGATTTTCATGTAATTTTCCAAAATATAGATGGAGAAGAAGAACATTATTTCTGAGAGGAATTTGATTGTGTATGGTGAAGAGTATGTTTTGAGCTTGGCTCCTCTAGACTTACTTTCTTCCTGAATGGGTCTAATAAGAAGCACCCTTCAATCCTAAATATATCTTTCTCTTACACAATGACAAGGTAATGTGGGTTTTAAAAAAACAATGCAGGTCTTCATCTTGGCACTGTAGAATGCTTGATGTACATTAAACATGATTGGAGGAGACATTCAGTTGGATAAGGGTCACTGTGATTCACTGTGATTCAAAAGGCCATGTCAGGCCCATTGCTCTGGCAAAATTTAATATGCAAGAGTTGGTAGGAATGTGCCTCAGAGAAGTAGGCTGAGGTTGAGCCAGTCATTTCTGACTAAATAAAGAAGAATGCTTGAAAATCTGTTCTTCCCTCATCCTCGAAGCTGTTAATGATTTGTAAAATTTTCCTTCTTTTTATTTGATCATAGTATTAAGAGCAAATTAAAAGACCAACAGCTCTTGCCTAAGGCTTCCAATATGACATTTGAGTATTATTATTGTTTTTTGTTTTCTTTTTTAAATCTAAAAACCTTCTGGAGCTCTCTGGAATAGAGAAAAAAAAAAGGTTGACATTCTTTTTTCTTTTTGGATAAATTGTTAACCAGAAAACATTTGTCATATCTAGATCTTAAAGCAAAAGTAAATATTATCTTCATTGAGAAAAACAATAATCTCAGTTCCTTACTTTGTATTTCAATACTTTTTAATTTTTGTTTCTCTCCTTAAGACTATTTCTAAATTATCTAAATTTAGTGGCATAATTGTCTCTTATATAACGATACTATTACTTGGAAGGCATTATTCTTTTTCATTGAAATATAATTCATCATTGAGAAATAAAGGCACAGACACACAGGCAAACACATACTACAATGGCACGATTTTATGTTTTGAATAGCATTTAAGTCACAATTTAATATGTGCTGCTTTTCTTTGGGTCATCAATTGTATTACATTCTCTTAGATTCTTAGTTTCTTTGCCCTTAGAATTCCTTTAAAAATGATGATGGCTGTTGGGTTGGGAGCAGTTAACAGGGAAAGGGAAATAGTCTTTCAAAATCAGTCTTTTAGGGAGATAAGTTGTTCCATTTAAATTACAATACTCAACTAGAGGATTTCAGAAGAAATGAGAACGCTGTAATTGAACCACAGTGCTTCTTATTTTGCCCCCCATGCCCATCCCTTTTAACCCATAAAGAAATAGTTTTCTTTTATTGAAATTCTCTCCAGTGGATATTGACTAAAGTTATACAGCTGAAACAACCAGGAGAACCCATGCTTCTTTCTCCGTATAATAACCATTATAATGTAAGAAAAGTTACACTGGACAAGTTAGGCAAGGAAGACTTTATTCAAGACAATTGCAAAAGAGATCAAGACTATCACAATGGAGGAGAAATTGAACTCAATCACACTGAAACAGACAGGAGAATTTTAAGCATTGAGGTGAGTTAGTAAGTACTGAAAGACACTAGAGGTGAGATCGGTAAATGGGATCAGGCTATCTGTGTTTGCTAATTGGCACCTACTGAAGTTAGGCTTCTCCTTTCCCACAGATACAAAGAAATAAAGGTGCAATTTTTCTTGGTGATTACATTTCTAAGGCATGGTTCTTAGGCTTTGGAGAAAGATGCTCCTGGGTTGTAGAAGATTTACTTCACAAAGGGATAGAGAAAGAAATTATAATTGCAAGTTTTCTAAAGTAAATGATCTAAGAAAAGGGGCCTATGCTCACAAAGAAACCTGTCTGAAGTTTAGTCAAGCTGAGGGGATTGTTGAAGCTGTCTTAGTCGTAATTTCTACTGTTTGTTGAGCTCTGCATGCCAGGTACTGAACTGTATGTTCTACTTAACATTTACTGGCAATCTTCCCATTAACCCTTTGGGGTAGCTTTTATTATCCCATTTTACCAAAGAGGGATTTTACAGATGAGAAATCTAAGGCTCAAAGAGTTTAACTTACCCACAGTCACACAGCAAGTAGATGCTAGAGCCAGAATTTGAACTGGGGAGCCTGCCTGTCTGCAGAGATCATACTTTTAATTACTAGACCATCCTACTTCATCTGTACTTCTACTGAATATTCAGAGAAGTGGTAGGATCATTGCCAAATACTTCTAGAGAAGGTACTTATAAAAGATTTGCTGTTGTCAAATCATCTTGGGAAGAATGCCCTTAATCACTATGGCAACACAATATTTATGCATACTTATCTGGACCCTGGGCATGCCTGCAAATGCAACAGCATGTTTCTTACTGTCAATTTTGGAGGATCCCCAGTTGATGTAGCTCTGTATTTGCTCATAAAAATTAGTTATAGTAGGATAAAAATGAGGAAAGACTAGGTATAGCCATTAAAAACACATGTTAGGAGCTGGATGTGGTGGCTTATGCCTGTAATCCTAGCACTTTGGGAGGCTGAGGTGGGTGGATCACTTGAGGTCAGGAATTCAAGACCAGCCAGGCCAAAATGGTGAAACCTCATCTCTACTAAAAATACAAAAATTAGCCAAGCATGGTGGAGCACGCCTGTAATCCCAGCTACTCAGGAGGCTGAGGCGGGAGAATTGCTTGAACCCAGGAGGCGGAGATTGCAGTGAGCTGAAATTGCACCACTGTACTCCAGGATGGGTGACAAAGTGAGACTCTGCCTCCAAAAAAAGGAAAAAGAAAAAAACACATGTTAGAATGCAAGGTTGATTTAATATCTGAAAGTGATTAATGTAATATGTTAATACAATAAAACAAAAACCCACATGATTTAGAAATGTTTTTGACAAAATCCAATCCTCATTCATGATAAAAACTCTCAACAAACTAGAAAGAAAAGAAATTTCTTTAGCTTGATTGATAAAGGGTATCTTCAAAAAACTCAAAGCTAACATCATCTATAATGGTGAAAAACAGAGTGCTTTGCTTCTGAGGTTGAGAATAGGAAAAGGATATTCATTCTTACTATTTTTATTTAACATTGTCATTGAGATTATAGCCATTGCAATAAGGTAAGAAAACGAAAGGTATCTGGATGGGAAATGAAGTAAAACTCATTACTTGCAGATGACATGACTATTTATGTAGAGAATCAGAAGTCTACAAAAAAGCAAATAGATTAACTGAGTTTTACAAAGTTGTAGGATACAAGATCGGTATGCAAAAACAGTTATATTTCTGTATACCAGCAATGAACATTCTACAAATAAAATTAAGAAAATTTTATTCTTATGAATATTCTACAAATAAAATTAAGAAAAAAATTATTGATTCACAGCATCAAAAAAGTATAATGCTTTTAGAAATAAATTTTACAAAAGAAGGGTAAGGCCTGTACACTGAAAACTATAAAATATTGCTGAGAGATATCAAAAGATATCTAAATACCTGGAGATGTATTTTGTATTTATTGATTGAAAGCTAAATATGGTCAAGATGGCAGATATCTCCAAATGGATCTACAAATTCCATTCAATCTCTATCAAAATCCCAATAGGAATTTTTATAGAAATTGACTTGCTGATTCTAGAATTTATGGGGAAATGCAGAAGACATAGAGTAGCCAAAATAATTCTGAATAAAAAGACTGACACTGATGGACTTACACATTTGATTTCAAAATTTACTATAAAGCCACAGGAATTGAGAAAGTGTGATATTGGCACAGGAATTGGCACAGATCAATGAAAGAGACTTGAGAGTTCAGATATAAACCTTTACATTTATGATCAATTGATTTAATTAACTTGGACCTCATAAAGATGAGATGTGCCTTCTGCGTCTGTCCCAGAAAGGTTAGCCTTCAATACGTAACAGCCCAAATGGGAGCCAGAGATCAGCTTGTGTTGGACAGACCAGAGCTAGATGGGTAGGCCTTGTTTAAGAAAAAGAACATGAAATTATGAATGCAAAATTAGCTATGAAAATGAGGAAATCGCAAAATACAACGTTTTTTAAAAAGCACATGAATAGCACAAACATCACAAAATCCAGAAAAATAAGTTATTAATTAACTGCCTTTCACCTCTGTAACAATTGTTTTCTACATTTTTGGGTTGTACACTTTGATTATCTCCTCATATGAAAAATTTTGTAACATTTTCTCTAGAGAGATTGAAAATATAATTCAGTTTTCTCTCTAGCACAATGGATGGAAAAGGAAAGTTCAGAAAGCTTTCTTGAAGCTTCACCACTCATTACTGGTAATGTCACATCTGAGTTTCTGGTTCAGGCAGTGCTCGGAAAAGAAGTGGGAAAACTCCAGCTCTTTGATATCACGGCTTATGGACACCGATGGCTGCTACTATGTATATGGTCCACTTTTGTTAGGTCTTTGCTGCCTCCTGTTCCTACTGGGCAGTACCTTAGAAGAGGAGTGAGAGGAAGAAAAAATTATCTTTAATCCTTGGTCATAGCGGCCTACAGGCAGGGAGGCATGTCCTTGTTCCTTTCTCTTAAGGTCAAAGATTGAGTCCTGAGGCTCAGGTTGTGTGTTGGAGCTCAGCTGATATGGAGGTATTGTTGACAGCCTACTAGTCCTACTGCAGTCCCTGTACCACTGGCCAGATTATAGAGGGTGACTCCCAGCCTGGGCAATACTTTGTACTTCATGCTGCCTGTGCATGGCTAGGGTCAGTGCTTCTTCCGTGGTTACCCCAAGAACACAACAAGTCTTAGAATGGGCTAGTGCAAGTGACAAGTCCTGGAGATTAAGCTTCATTAACATCCTAGTAAATCTATAAATCCACCTCTTAATGTCAGAGGAGTTCAAACTAGAGCGACTCCATCTTGAGTGAGGGCAGGGAAAATGAGGCTGGGACTTGCTGGGCTGCATCCCAGAAAGAAAGGTATTTCTAGCCTCTAGATGTTTGCAGTTAAGGGAACAGATTGATAATGTTTATTCAACAGACCCAGACTTGGGAGTGTCCTAATATCCTGGTATCTTGAGAACAAAAGCATTCCTAATTTTGCTTTAAAGATAATAATATTTATTCTTGTGAAATGTAATTAAGAAAATTAATCCTTTATCACAAACCCTTGTAGCAGAGCACATCTCACCATGATATTGTTTTATCATATATATACACATACACACACACACACACACACAAAAGCATTATACCTAGGGTGGACGTGTTCCTCCTTTTACTTTCGGGAAGTACTACTCTGTCTATGGAGTAGCTGTTCTTTCACCACTTTACTTAATAAACTTACTTTTGCTTTGCACTGTGGATTTGCTCTAAATTCTTTCTTGCGTGAGATCCAAGAACACTTTCATGGGGTCTGGATCAGGACCCCTTTCCTGTACGTTACTACAGCTGCCATCCCTCTGGAGGGTGTCTTGTATACATTGCCAAGCAGAGCCTCAAAGCTTTCCTGTCACAGAATGTTAGAAGGCAGTTAGCCACATGCACTCATTAGCATGCCATCCCTACAAAAAACCTTGCAGTCAGTTCAGAGTTTGGATTTAGTTAAAAGGAGATATGCCAATGGCCAGATTGAGTAGGGTGAGAGGGATGGAGAGTGTAGAAGTGAAGGAAGACAGATAGCAGGGAGGGACAACAGGGCCCTTTGAGAAAACTCCCTAGTCATAATTTAAGTGGATATTAGACTCATCAACAGTGCTTGAGCATAAGGAGAGAACAGTGGTTTGGTGGTTTGTTTTACGACGTGAGGCTGCCGTGGGATGGAAAGAGAAGACCAGAAAGAATTGCCACTGAGTCTGCTTCTCTGCTGTGGTAACTTCTCTTTGAAAGGACTAGACACAGGGAGGAGATAACTTTTCCAACTGTCAGAGAGAACAGTCAACACTAGGAATCAGGAGGCGTATTGCAGAAGGGATCTCAGAAAAGAGCTGCAGTGAGTGCATGAAAGGTGCCCTAGGGCAGCACAGGCCAGGCCCCAACAGCATGGTCATGGGCGTATCTTAGTTTAGTTACACAGCACTTTCTAAAGTTCAGGCACCTGAAGGCAGCTGTGGCAAGAAAGTAGACACCCAGGAGATGACACTGAAGTCACTAAGACCCTGTGGGTTCCCTATTGGGCCTATGGGCATGTGCTTAAGGTGCTAGAGATGCAGGTGTAGATGGCTTTTCTGAGGGTAGGGCATCTGCTGTTGCAAAGGGACCAATGAGCTGGCTCATTGAAGGCAACACACATTCTGTTTTCTGGGAATTCCAGACAGATATAAGAAGCAAGGGCCTGACATTCTGTGACTTGACAAACTGGGGCTATTAATCTATCAAATTTAAGGTAAAAGTAACCATACACTAGAAACTGCTGTTGGTGGAACTTTGAAGATCACTGGATGGCATATTCTGAATTGCCTTCACAGTAAGAATTCTCCAGGGAAGAGACACTTCTACTGAGAATCACCTCGTTCCCTCCAAACCAAGAAATGCCCAGCTCTATGTTCCTCATTCTGCAATTGCCAAACTAGTGGCTAATGAGGAGGTGCTATTACTCTGTTTCTCACAGGAGTCTTCTAGAACATGTGGCAGGGATGATGGATGCTTCCATGCTCCTATTGACCAGCTAGCAGAGGAAGTGAGAATGACAAAGTTTATACCTTATAAACAACACCATCAGCTATCACTGGGTTATGATTTTTACATTCATAAACATCATGATCATAAAAATGTCTTCATTGATTTTTATGTTTCATGTTTTCATGTTTATAAAGATAGTTCATGCTTATTTTAAACATAGAAAGTAGAAAACTGAAAACTTTCATTTATCCTGCTCTCCAATAAATATTATTTAACAGTTTGGTTTACATCGTTCAATAATTTTTTTCCATATAGACATACACATCCATATCTATATATGCGTAACTCAAATCTTCCTAAGTTCCCAGGACATTGGAACCATCTTTTACTATAGCATCTGAATAAAATAGCTTGAGTCCCTATCCTAGGTAGTTTTGAGAATCTAGCATTTCCTCCAATTGCCCCAACAATTCCCCAGGAGGACGCTGGTAGAGTGGTTATTATTTCTTACTCTGGATTCTTGTTCCACGCTTAATTCCTTACTGGTTTTGTTGCCTTTTCCTTACCCCTGCTGACTGCCCCAGGTTCTCTCTGGTTTACTTTTCTTCAAAACCTGAACACAGCCTCTTCTCATTATTTTTCAGTGCCCAGCTACTATTGTGTGAAATTAAATTTTACTGAGGGTTTGGGGTTTAGGGAAAAGGTATGGAAATTAACTCTTGTTCATATTTTTCTTTACATTTAACTTTTCTTGATTATAGTTATTGGTCCTGTGCTATTTATGGCAATTACTACCAATTACCATTATGATACATATCATCTTTAATGACTAACATTCACACCATGCTTGCTAGGGGCCAGTCTTCATGCTAAGGACTTTTTATGCCTTGCCTTATTTAATTTTCATAACAACCCTGGGAAGTAGTTATTATTATAATCATTATTTTACAAATTGCAAACCAAAGCTAAGAAAGATTAATTGATCCATGGTCACACAGCTAACTAAAGTATGGCCAAGTTTTAAACTCAGGCAGTCTGGCTATGAAGGTTCATGTCTTCAATCACTATGCTGTTCTGCCCTCATGCCTTCATAAGGATCATAAATGCTGCCCATTCTAGTGATCATTAATGTGTTTCACAAAAATTAGTCCCGCTTGGATCACATCCTATGTGGCAGCTACAGCCTTTACTGTGGTCTACATCTCCATTGCTATGGTTTGAATGATGATCTCCCCTCCAAAATTCATGTTGAAATGTAATCCCCAGTGCACAAATATTAAAAGGTGTGGTCTTTAGGAGGTGGCCTTTGGGAGCTTGGTCATTCATACATGGGATTAGCACCTTTATAAAAGGACTTAGATTGAAGAGAGGCTCTCTTGACTTTGCAACCCTTCCACCATGTAAGGACACAGTGCTCTTCCCTTCTGGAGGATCCAGAAACAAGGCGCCATGTTGGAAGCAAAGACCAGACCCTTTCCAGACACCAAACCTGCTGGCACCTTAATCATGGAATTTCTAGCCTCCAGATGGTGAGAAATAAGTTTCTGTTCTTCATAAATTACCCAGTCTTAGGTATTTTTTTATAGCAGCATAAATGGACTGAGACATTCATCTTTCAAAACATTTCTTTAGTTTTATTCTTAAAATCTCCTTCCAAATCAATTTTCTTTTTTTCCCCCTCAGTGGCCATTCTAGCCTTAATAGTCTTGAATGAGCCTGACTACCTTAATTTCCCTTTAAGACTCACCTTGGCATTAAGATAAATCAATGTCTATATTAAACTGTAGCTCTATTACTTTTCTGTTACCTTTTTAAACATGTTTCCCTAGGCCAAAAACATTTCTTCTCCTATAAGGGCATCTTGTTGGAGAACTCTAGAAATCAGTCTCCACAAAACATGGGAAAATCCCAGAGGCCACAGAAGTGTCAAATGGGAGATTTTATATATGATATGCTAGGCAACTTTGGTCAAACTGTGCATTAGCAAGGAGCTAGCTGAGTGTAGTCCCTGAATATGAATGCAGATGCTGTAGAGCTGTGTCACAAAAGCACTTGTCTTCACAAAACACACAAAAAGTTTTAGCAAACATGCAGTTACCTAGTGTGATGGGCCGGGTGTGGTGGCCCACACCTGTAATCCTAACACTTTGGGAGGCTAAGGCGGGCAGATTGCTTGAGCCCAGGAGTTTGAGACCAGCCTGGAAAACATGATGAAACCCTGTCTCTACAAAAAATGCAAAAAAATAATCCAAGTGTGGTGGTGCACACCTGTAGTCCCAGCAACTTGGGAGGCCAAGATGGGAGGATCACCTAAGTCCAGGAGGTTGAGGCTGCAGTAAACTGTGATTGCACCACTGTACTCTAGCCTGGGCAACAGAGCAAAACCTCATCTCAAAAATAAATAAATAAATAATTGAAATAAAGTGTGAAGGACACCCGTAGCTGATCTGACCAATCTTATCTATTTCTATCCCTTCCATAAGACATAAAAAACGTAATTTTTTTTGAGACAGGGTCTCCTTCTGTCACCCAAGCTGGACTACAGTGATGGAATCATGGCTTACTGCAGCCTCAACCTCCAGGGCTCAAGTGATCCTCCCATCTGATCCTCCCATCTCATCCTCCTGAGTAGCTAGGACTACAGGTGTGCACCACCACACTCAGCAAATTTTTGTGTTTTTTGTAGAGATGGGGTTTTGCCATGTTGCCAAGTCTGATCTCAAACTCCCGGGCTCAAGGGATTTGCCCACCTCAGCCTCTCAAAGTGCTGGGAGTACAGGCATGAGCCACTGCATCCAGCCATAAAAAAAACATTTCTAACAACCAAGTGAATTAATAAAATGTGCAGGTCCAGATGGAATGATAGTTTCCTCCACCCTATCCCAGATGCTTGAAAAATATCTTGAGAAATCTGGTGTAATGTCACAGAAGCTTTGAAAACGGATTCCTAGACTTAGGAACCACTGTCTTCTAAAGATGATTTTGTGACACTCCTTTTTGACTATAAATGGAATCATCTTGAAAAAAAGGTTATGCTGCATTTTTCTGAAACAACTATCACAATTTAGCAATGCAACTAAAAACTTATATGACATTTGACCAGTGTCCCAACCTATGTCCTGGGACTTGTGGGTATTTACTCCAGGAAACAAGAAAAAATGCTATATCATTAAGTATCTTAATTGCAAACATATGTCATAGAAAAAAAAATTAGAAGTTATGCTCAACATTGTGGTATAGTTGTTCAAATTATTGAATGTACTTAAGTGCATTTTATGCAAATATAAAGATTTCATAAAAGTATGAAATAATGTTAAAGATATGGTATAAATAAAATATATGCGAAATGGTGTACTCCTTTTGCTTACAATGTAAATTATGTAGCTGTATGTTCTGGAAGAAGGAGTAGAGCTTCCTGAGAAGACTGCTCTCTGACTCCTGGTCTTCTTCCTGGCTTGCCATGCTGCCTGGAGTTTCTCCTCCCTGGGTTATTACCTCAGACGGTGAAAAATGATCAGAGCTACAACTAAGTGCAAATGGTGTCAGCTTCATAACTCCCAGAGTCTGGACCCACACACCTCTCAAAAGATAGAAATTGATCATGCATAAGGACTAGGACAGAAACTTTTCCCACTCCTTGAACAAATATTTAAGTGTACACCTTGTTGCCAGAAGACCAAGGCCATATTGCCTCTGATCCCTTAAGCTAGGGTTTCTTGAGTATAGTTAGTAGACCCTCAATTGAAATAACCTCTTGTGCTTGTTAAAATGCAGGTTTCTGGCCAGGTGTGGTGGTTCACACCTGTAGTCCCAGCACTTTGGGAGGTCGAGGCGGGTGGATCACCTGAGGTGATCCACCTGAGGTCAGGAATTCAAGACCAGCCTGGGCCACATGGTGAAACCCCTTCTCTACTAAAAATACAAAAATTAGCTGGGCGTGGTGCTGCACACCTGTAGTCCCAGCTACTAATCAGAAGGCTGAGGCAGGAGAATCCCTTGAACCCGGGAGGCAGAGTTGCAGAAAAAAAAAAAAAGCATGCTCCTGAGATTGTAGGAAACCTACAGCATCAGAAATCCCTGTGTTTATGGTCCAGGAATCTTATTTTGCCAACCTTCCCAGAAAATTTCACAGGCAGAACTGTACTACCCTATCATATTCTCTCCTTGCAAGGCTTCACCTCCCTCCCTTCCTCCTGCATTACTAGTGCTTCGGCTGGCTCTTGCCTCCCTGGCTGTGCATCCCTTCCTGGTGTTGCACCTCAGGTTTGCCATCTAAGGCCCATGATCATTAGGAACCTAGGACTTCAGAATTGTATACTTCTGCTTTTCCATGTGCTTTTCAGCACTGCTTGACTTAAAAAAAAATACTATTAAGAAGCATTCTGCTGTAGCTCTGCAGATCTGCAGCTCTGCAGTTCAGCAACTAGACCCCATACCCTATGTTTCTCAAACATTCCCCACATTTGTCCTCTGCTCATTTACCTTTGGAAGAGGCATGAGGAATTAGGGAGGATCAGTAACATTCACTAATGACTTCCCTGCCAAAATATCACCATTCTCTGTGTCACAGTCCTCTCATGACATATGGTTATGGTCTCTTCCTCTTGACCTGTGTTTGTGGCACCCTGCCCCAATTCAATATAGAAAAACAAAAACAAGCAAATAAATTATATGTTAAAGTTATCTTTTTATTTTAATTTACCAAAATACTAAAAAGATTTGCATAACCTCCAGAAAAGGGCATGTTTCTTATTTCTTGATTGAATCATTCATCCAACAATAGTATTTATTTGAAAAAGACTGTCAATTATATTTTACAAATTCCAAATTGGCCTGCCTTTTAAAGTCTATGAAAAATCATCATCAGTTAACTTTTCCATTAAAACAAACAAAAAATAAGAAAAAAATTTGGCATTGATTTTCTGCATGTCTCCACCATGTTCTGGGAAGATAAAAATCAGCATGAAAAATCAAGATTAACACCATATATCTGGGCATGGAAGTACATATTTATATAGTAGGGGTGCTCTAATATACACCTTTCGAATTCAAATGCAGACTGGTGCACAATATGGGCACAATTTGTTTTCACTTTCACCAAAAGTTGGCCCAGGACTCCAGAAACTAAATGATTAGAGATTTGATTTTCTCGTCTCCATCTATTAATATATTTAGAAAAGCACTTTACTTGATAACAGAAGATTAGATGAATTGTGATTTGTCTCCTGCCCCCAAAATATCTTTGGGCATCCTAGTCTCTGTGACTGAGGGTAAGCAGCTCCAATACTCCCCTGCCCCAGGGACAAAGGGGACTCATCTGGGTCCCATGACTTGTGCTCTCCCATCTACACATCTTGTGAACATTCCTGTGTGAACATGTGCTCTCTTATGACATCCTCCTTATGTCTTGGTTCTTGGTTGGTGTATTAGTCTGTTCTCATGCTGCTAATAAAGACATACCCAAGACTGGGTAATTTATAAAGAAAAAGAAGTTTAATGGACTCAGTTCCACATAGCTGGGGAGGCCTCACAATCATGGTGGAAGGTAAAGGAGGAGCAAAGCCATGTCTTACATGGTGGCAGGCAAGAGAGAATGAGCCCAGTGAAAGGGAAACCCCTTGTAAAACCATCAGATTTCATGAGACTCATTCACCACCATGAGAACAGTACAGGGGAAACTTCCACCATGATTCAGTTACATCCCCTGGGTCCCTCCTACATACGTGGCAATTATGGGAGCTATGATTCAAGCCGAGATTTGGGTGGGGACACAGCCAAACCATATCAACTGGCATTATGGGTTAAATGAGTTTATCATCTCTCAAATAATAATGGTAATAAGAAGACAACAACTTTAAAAAGTGAATCAAACACATTGACCTGGAAGTAGCCCTTGGCTCCCTTTACTTCAAAACTGAAATTTCTTCTGTGGAATATGCTGTCCCACTTGAGAGAAGATTGCAGTGTGTTTAGCAGAGATAAAGATGCTTTCTCTTCTCAGCTTCAATAGGGAGTCTCTCAGGAATTTAACAGGTTATTGGTTCAATCGAAAGCTTCAGTGAGTAAATTGACTCTTCTTTCAATCCAGACACCCGACTGGTGATGTAGTTCGCCAGCCTGTTGTGTGTCAGGCAGGCCCACCTTTGTATTAACCCCTTTGAGGTATGCTTTCTGGCTCCTGTGGAGGTACATGACTCTGGGTATGTCTAGCCATGCTTACCGAGATTCATTTATAATCTTAGCATTGGTGTATCAGAAAACTTGTTTTAACTGGTTTATACTTTTGAGGGTATTTGTGGTATTATCATTTTTAAACATACTTGTGTTCATATTTATGTTCAAAGAGTCAACCCCATGCAGGATGAATGGAGTAAACCTAACACATAATTAATATGCATTTTAATTTCAACTATAATGCCATGATTTTTCTCTAAAGCAGAACTTGAAACATTGAATGGCATGCTTATTTGTTTATTCCTAAGCAAAATACTTAAATGTCTTAAGTTTTTTTGTATCTCACTCACATTACTTGATATCTAATTTGACTCAATTGAATACAGGAAAAAATGGAGATATGTATGTGTATATATATATATGTGTGTGTGTGTGTGTGTGTGTATATATATATATATATATAATTTCACAGAAAAAAATACAGTCAACTAGTCCAGCAAATAACATATCTAAATATTGAAAAGCATATTTTAAACCAGTAAATGACAGAATTAAGAGACATTGAATATCTAGAATAAGGACTACAAGGAAGAAAATATTAGGAAACACCAAATTTGCTTTCTAAACCTCTTGACACTTAACTTTTAAAGAAGAATAGAAATAAAGAGACATTTTCTGTTTGCAGCCTCAGATTTTGTTTAAAATTATATTGTACAATGGTGATGACTACACCATTTGGCTCCATCTGAAGAAAGAACATGATTGAGTGAGCAAGTTTTGACATTTGAAAATCAACATTGTTTACATTTAAGAAAATTCACTATAGATTGTTTTTAATGAGTTTAAAGAGGTCTATAAAGACTTAAGTAAACTGTATTCTATGTTCATATTACTTCTCTTCAATTATATTTTCCCAAAAGTTCAATAAGTGTAAACATGCTAAATGAAGCCATATGTCCAAAGCAGACAACAATCTTAACTCTCATTTGCATTATACTTAAGTTCAAAGCATTTCCCCACTTAAAATGATTTTAAAACAAAAAGGTGAACACTTGATAGGTTCATAATTGGGAAATAAGTTATCAATAGAGTAACAAATTTGTGAATTTATACCCAGAATACACAAAGAAAGGAAACACATAAAAATATTTTACCCAGGTAATCTATTGAATTTCTAATGTAAAATAGGGTATTAAATCTTGTGTACAACAAGATACATTATGGATATAGATATGTGACCTCAGAATTTAAAAAAATTCAAAACAAGCAAAGATACGGAATCAACCTTAATGCCCATCACCAAATGAATGGATAAAGGAAATGTGGTATATATACACAATGGAATACCATTCAGCCATAAAAAGGATGGAATCCTGTCATTTGTGACAACATGGATGAGCCTGGAGGACATTGTTAAGTTAGATAAGCCAGGCACAGATAGACAAATATTGTATCATCTCACTTGTATGTAGAACCTAAAAAAATTTGATTTCATAGAAGTTGAGTAGAATAGTGGTTACCAGAGACTGGGAGAAGGGGGAGAGGGGAGATGAAGAGAGGTTGGTCAATGAGTGCAATGTTACAGTTAGATAGGAGGAATAAGTTCTGATACCATATTGCACAGTAGGGGTACCACAGCTAACAATAATGTATTTTATATCTCAAATAGCTAGAAGAGAGGATTTTTTTAGTGTTCTTGCAATAAAGAAACAATAAATTGGTGATGGATATGCTAATTACCACGGTTTGATCATTACACAATGTATGCATGTATTGAAACCTCACATTGTACCCCATAAATATGTGCAATTACTATGTGTCAATAAAAATAAATTTAAAAAATTCATAGCAGAATGATGTTGTTCAGTTAGGGACTGAGTTCCTTGTTTATATTTTTGCCCTTCACACTTTACATTCAAAAAGTATTTATTGAGTGAGTAATATGTAGGCAGGCAATACATATTTATTTTTTCCATTTGGAGATGGCAGCGGAGTGTGTATGATGCATATAGTGTCTCAGGCACTCATATTCCAGGACCCACAGTTTAGGAGATAGAGCTAGGAGTGAAGATATGTTGGATGCCATATGAGTAGGTATATGGAGCTACCATCCCTTGGAGTAGGAAATTAACTCTTTTATCCTATATTTCAAAAGATATCCTAAGAAATTAACATAATGAGTTCCTCTCAGGCTTCTGTGTGGAGGAAGCAGGGGCCCAGAGGGATAAATACTCAGTTATTTGCATGTAAGGGCATAGGGTCCTACTTGTCTCTAGTATTGTCTTGTAGACTTCCCTTTTCACTTGCAATACTCTACCCCTTCCACAACTTTACTATCTCCAGTGGTATATGAATAAAGAGAATCAGCCCAAATTCATGTTCATCACTCAAGTTTAGGGATTCTCTAAAGGTTAGCACAGTCTTCTCCTCCTCACCTTCCACTGAGACCTGAGTCTCTTTGTCTTCTCAGTGGCTGTTGTCCCTGTGACCTCAAAACAACTGCTTATTACTCTATTATCTGTATATACATTCTTGCATTAATTACTATTAAATTAATGTAATTCAGATTTCCTAGAAGACAATAGCCTGAATACCTACTGGAATAGCATATGCAGGCACAGGTGTCCTGGGAAACTTGTCTCCAAGAAAATTACATGTACTTAGGTTTTTACAAACTCAGCAAAATGGGTTCCATGTGCTGAGAAGATACAAGCTTGCCAGCTCCGTCTCAGGGCTGCAGGTTAGAAGGACGGATGAAAGGCAGGCTCATCTCTGCTCCTTCCCTGCCTCCAAGCAGGTTCACATACATGCTGCTGTTTGCCCCTGTACACACCCTGAAAAACTTTCTCCCTAGTGAATTGCAGACTCTAAACTCATTTCAGAGTTGGTCTCAATAAAATAACATATGTCTATCTCGAAGAAAGGAGAATTTAGTATTTTCACATGTAACTGTGAATTGTAAAAACTATTAACTGTTCTATTTAACTTGAAAATAACAATAGTAGTGGCCTCATCATTAGAATACACTATAAAAATTGGTACATGTTTTCTTCTTAAATTTTCTATATTATGAAAAACATCCTGGAAAACTACAAATGTATTCAATTTGGTACGTAGACCATGGATTTCAAGTGATTTTTGAATGTTTCATTGCTCTGCCACCCTGACAGCTGAATTCATCCCAAAGCACCAAGCATTTTCTGTGTAACTGGCAGGGTTCAGTTGCCGTGTGGAGATCTGACTGGTCGGCCAAATGATAGTCTCATGGCATATTTAAAACATCCATATGTTCTTGGAACCAGAAATAACCTCCTCCTCCATACTGGTGTCCAAGTAAGTATCTCCTAGCAGTATTTTTTTTTTTTTTTTTTTTTTGAGATGGAGTCTTACTCTGTCGCCCAAGCTGGAGTGCAGTGGCGCGATCTCGGCTCACTGCAAGCTCCACCTCCCGGGTTCACGCCATTCTCCTGCCTCAGCCTCCCGAGTAGCTGGGACTACAGGCCCCTGCCACCACGCCTGGCTAATTTTTTGTGTTTTTAGTAGAGACAGGGTTTCACCGTGTTAGCCAGGATGGTCTCGATCTCCTGACCTTGTGATCTGCCTGCCTCGGCCTCCCAAAGTGCTGGGATTACAGGCGTGAGCCACTGTGCCCGACCCTCCTAGTAGTATTTCTAAGGGCAATATTGTTTAAATTAACTATTCCTTTGTATTCCTTTGATAAAAGAAATGGCCATGCTTTGATTAGTATTGTGTTGGCACAACAAAAATCTGTAAGAGAAGAGGAAGGAATAGTTCTAATAAGATCACATTCTTGTTATTTGGAAACTAGCATTATTCTCCACTTTCATATTTATAATAGCAAGCACACCTCTCTAGTGAAGAATAACCAATGAACATACTGTTTTGTGGAATTAAACTAACATAAAAAGACTATTTTTGGCTAAAGAAGAATACAATTCTTAAAAAGCTTGTATTAATTTTTCCTTCTGAAGTTTTCCAATGTTACATTGCATATACGTCTAATTTTTAAAATAGAATATTATGAGAGCACCAGCATCCACATTGTTTAAGTTAAAAAATTAGATGAGGTGATGGAGGAAATGTTGAACCCAGGTAAATAAATGCAGTTGTGAAATTTACCCTGATTTTTTTTCCATGTAGAGATCTGGAAAGGGTTAATTTCATTATGGACTGGTACTCTATCTAAATAAGATTGAAGAAGCAAAGAAGAGATATTAAACTTGAGTTAAAGCAAGTTCTGTCTAGAAAAATGGGAAACTTGGGGAATTTGACTAGTCAAAAATTTTTAGTGATTAAAAGCCAACTCAGTTGTCTAGACATTAAGAGAACTAGAAATAAATGGGAGGGAGGGCATGGCACACTGCACCCTGAATCTGGAGGATTGGGGCCTCACACTTAATGCGTTTGGGAGTCATGAAAGCTTTGGGGGCATAGCAGAGTATAATAGGGGAAGGTGTTATCAGGATAATCTGATTGAGGCTCAGGCTAAAATTTTATCTACTCCTTTGCTAATTCCACAGATATTTACTGGACACTTAACTATTTGCCAGGTATTGTTCTTGTGTCATGGGATGAGGCAGTGAAGTACTCAGACCAAAATCCTTGCCCTTATAGAGTATATGTTGTAGTTGGAATACAGACAATTAACATAAATGAAGTGATTAGTATGTTCAAATAGTGATAAGTTTTAAGGCAGAGGAAAAAAAGAAGGGAAGGAGAATAGAAAGTACGAAAAAAAAAGACTTGAAATTTTAGATAGGGTGGCCAGAGAAGGTACTAGCTAGTGAAAAAGACTTGAGGCAGTAGAATACCTGATGTGCTTATTTCTTGGCCAATATTTCTGTTTCTAAGAATATGGTAGACTAAAAAATTGTGAAGCATCTCTTTGGAAACATCATTAAATGCTGGTACCATATAATAAATGCCACCTGTATTATATTTCTGTTGTTGTATAATAAAATTCCTTATTTAATAATAGCTTTAAATAACAATGACCATTCATTATCTCTCACCGTTTTTGTGGGTCAGGAAGTCAGGAGTAGCATAGCTGGGATCTACTGCCAAGGAGACTTGCTCACATAGTTGTATAACTGATGTTGGTTATTGACAGAAGCCTCAATTCATCCCCATATGGGCCTCACCATGTTGGCCTCACCACAGGCTGCTTGGGTATCCCTAACACATAAGACTCGTTTCCCTTACAGCAAGTTATCCATGAGAGAAGCCAAGATGGAAACTGCCATGCTTTTCTGACCTAACTTTAGAAAACACACTGTCATTTCCACATCATTCTAATGCTCACAGGAGTCCACCATGATTCCAGGAGACTACACGAGTATGTGAGTACCAGGAAATAAAGGTCATTATAGCTCATCTTGGAAACCAGATGCAACACTGCCACATAAACACAGTTATACACTCAAGAAATGAAGAAAAACAGGTAGAAGAAGCTAAAAATCTTAGTACTAAGCAGCACTCAATTAATAGTTACCCCCAAAAGACTTGGCAGTGTCCATCTTCCTGCGAGTAAGGCATAGTCTTCTAACCACAGCAGTTACTAATAACTAAGGCTTAGACCCAGAGAGACAAAGATTTGGAATAAAGAACTAACAATATAATATGAAGTCTGAAAGTGCTACATCCATTGCAAAAGAAGAACTAGAAAAGTTCGCCCACCAAGAAAAGAAAACAATAAGAAGTGTCATTTATATTGGCCTGGGTTTTGGGAAGGAAAATGTTCCCTAAGAATTTGTAGCCACAGCCAGATCTTCACATGGCTTCAAATTTGGATTTACACTTCCTGCAAAATCCAAGAACCCCATACTAAAAAATTCACAGAACATGGTCCTGACTTGGGTAGCCTTGAGGTGCCTGGCAAAAACAATTATAAATCCTCTCTTCAAGCCATGCCCTCCATGATTCCTATGTAGTATATGCTTAGCAAACATGAGAATACACTACTAAACTATAAAGCACACAAGAAAAGAAAGCATTATACATGAGAGTAAAAGGGAACAAGAAGTCACAGAATTGAACATGCAGAAATTTGAATTAAAGAATTGTTAAAATAAGAATGCAGCATAACTTTTGATAAAATAGTGAAAGAATTAAAACTGAAATAAACACATAAAAATGATCAGGCAGATTCAAAAAGAAATAACAATACCAACCACAAACTAAGAATAAGTAATATAATCACCAAGGTTATAATTTCATGGAAATGTCCTACTTGTAGCATGTCAGAGCAAGGAATTAAATAAATCTCCTCCCCATAAATCTGGACAAAATATCATATGAACATTTCAGTAAATGCAGAATAGGATATGACAAAACTAATACCCACTTATGATAACAAAAATCTCAACAAATAAGAAATAGAGGGAAACTTCCTCATCTTCCTAAAGGGCAGCTAATATCATACTCAATTGTGAAAGGCTAAATGTTTCTTCCCTAATTTCAGAAACAAGGCAAGAATTTTCATTCTGGTTACTTTTTTTCAACATTGTATGGGAGGTTCTGGCAAAAAAATAAAAGGCATTGAGATTGGAAAAGGAAAGTAAAGTTGTATTTATTCCCAGATGACATGATCCTATATTTAGAAAACCTCAAATATTCCAAAAATAAAAAATTTAGAACTAATAAATAAGTTCAGCAAGGATAGCTATAAGATAAATATTTATTTTTATTTTTATTATATTCGCAACAATCTGAAAATTTAAGAAAACAATTTCAGGCCAGGCACAATGGCTTACATCTGTAATCCCAAAATTTTGGGAGGCTGATGCAGGAGGATCGCTTGAGCCAAGGAGTTCAAGACCAGCCTGGGCAACATAGTGAGACCCTGTCTTTACAAAAAGTAATAATAAAAAAATTAGTTGGGTGTGATGCATACCTGTAGTCCCAGCTACTCAGGACGCTGAGGTGGGAGGATCACTTGAACCCAGGAGTTCAAGGCTGCTGTGAGCTATGATTGTGCCACTGTACTCCAGCTGGGGCAACAGAGGAGATTCTGACAAAAAAAAAAAAATAACGAAGGAAGGAGGAAGGAAGGAAGAAGAGAAGAGAAGAGAAAAGAAAAGAAAAGAAAAGAAAAGGAAAAGGAAAGAAAAGAAAAAAAAGAAAAGAAGAAGAGGGGAGGGGAAAAGATGGCCGATAGAGGCAGCTCCAGTCTGTGGTTCCCACCGAGAAGTACAAACATGACTAGTGAATCCTGCTCCATCAACTGAGGTATCCAGGTTATCTCACCAGGTCTGACTAGGCAGTTGGGGGACCCACATAGAGCAAGGAAAAATAGGGTGAAGTGATGGCTTACCTGGGAGCCTCATGGAATAAGGGGAACTCCCCCCGCTCCAGCCAAAGGAGGCAGTGAGTGATTGTGCTACCCTGCCTATGAAACCATGCTTTTTCCACGGAACTGTGCATCTCATGGATCAGGAGATCACCTTGTGAGCCCACATCACCAGGGCCTTGGGTTTCAAGCACAGGGCCTTGGGTTTCAACCTGCTCAGGTTTCAGCCAGCAGTAGCAGGCTGGAGACTGCCTAAGCGACCAAATTCCCATGGGAGGGGTGGCCACCATCACTGCAGCTCCAGTTGGCTGCTTTCCCCTGCCAGTGCAAGGAGACTGGGTGGTCTGGACCAGGAGGAATTTCCCATGGTGCAGCACAGCAGCTGTGGCAGATCGTGGTCAGCCTACTGCTTTAGGTGGGACCCGGACCCATCCCTCGTCACTGGGCAGGACCTCCCTGCAGGAATTTCAGCAACTCTAGCCAGGGGTTTACAGACAGAACTCTGATTTCCCTGGGAAGAAGCCCCTGGCAGGAGGGGAGGCTGTAGTCTCCACAGTTCAGGGGACATAGTCTTTCCTGCCTGTTGGCAGTACAGATGAGGGATTCTCCCCAGCACAGTGAACCTGCTCCACCAAGGGACAGCTGGACTGCTTCTTTAAGCAGGTCCCTGATCCCGTGGCTCCTGACTGGATAAGATCTCCCAACAGGGGTCATCAGACACCTCATACAGAGTGTTCCTGCCAGAATCAGCTAGGTGCCCCTCAAGGATGCAACTCCCAAAGGATGGCCGGCAGCCATCTTTGCTGTTCTGCAGCCCCCATTGTGACACTTCCAGGTGCAGGAGACACCCAGGCGAATAGACTCTGGAGTGGACCCCCTGCAAACCACAGCAGCCCAGCGGAGGAGGGGCCTGACTATTAAAAGAAAAACAGAAAGCAATGACAACATCAACAAAAAGACCCCATAAAAATGCTATCCAAAGGTCAGCAGCCTCAGAGAACTCATGAAGATGAGAAAGAATCAATGCAAAAACACTGAAAATTCAAAAAGTAGGAGTGCCTCTTCTCTTCCAAATGATTGCAACACCTCCCCAGCAAGGGCACAGAACTGGGCTGAGGCTGAGGTGGATGAATTGACTCAAGTAGGCTTCAGAAGGTGGGTAATAGTAATAACCAACTTTGCTGAGCTAAAGAAGTATGTTCTAACCCAATGCAAAGAAGCTAAGAACCATGATAAAATATTACAGGAGTTGTTACCCGAATAACAAGTTTAGAGAGGAATATAAATGACCTGATGGAGCTGAAAAACACAACACAAGAACTTCACAATGCAACTAGAAGCATCAATAGCCAAATAGACCAAGTGGAGGACAGAATCTCAGAGCCTGAAGACTATCTTGCTGAAATAAGACAGGCAGACAAGGTTAGAGAAAAAAGAATAAAAAGGAACAAACAAAACCTCCAAGAACTATGAGATTATGTAAAAAGACTGAACCTATGACTAATTGACTAATTGGGGTACCTGAAAGAGACAGGGAGAATGGAACCAAACTGGAAAATACACTTCAGGATATCATACAGGAGATCTTCCCCAACCTAGCAAGACAGGCCAACATTCAAATTCTGGAAATCCAGAGAACCCCAATAAGATGCTCCACAAGAAGATCAACCACACGATACATAATCATCACATTCTCCAAGGTTGAAATAAAGAAAAAAATATTAAGGGCAGACAGAAAGAAAGGCCAGGTCACGTACAAAGAGAAGCCCATCAGACTAACAGCGGAACTTTCAGCAGAAACCCTACAAGCCAGCAAAGATTGAGGGCCAATATTCAACATTCTTAAAGAAAATAATTTCTAACCCAGAATTTCATATCCAGCCAAACTAAGCTTCATAAGCAAAGCAAAAATAACATCTTTTTCAGACAAGCAAATACTGAGGGAATTCATCACCACCAGGCCTGCCTGGCAAGAACTCCTGAAGGAAAAGCCATTACCAGCCACTACAAAAACACACTGAAGTACACAGACCAGTTGCTATGAAGCAATTACATTAAAAGGTCTGCAAAATAACAAGCAAGCATCATGATGATGGAATCAAATTCACACATAACAATATTAACCTTAAATGTAAATGGGCTAAATGCCCCAATTAAAAGACACAGAATGTCAAGCTGGATAAAAAGTTAAGACCCATCGGTGTGCTGTAGTCCAAGAGACCCATCTCACCTGCAAAGGCACACATAGGCTCAAAATAAAGGGATGGAGGAAAATTTACCAAGCAAATGGAAAGCAGAAAAAAAGGCAGAGATTGCAATCCTAGTTTCTGACAAAAAGTACTTTAAACCATCAAAGATCAAAAAAGACAAAGTAGAGCATTACATAATGGTAAAGGGTTCAATTCAACAAGAAGAGCTAACTGTCCTAAATATACACACACCCAATACAGGAGCACCCAGATTCATCAAACAAACTCTTAGAGACCTACAAAGAGGTCTCTTAGACTCCCACACAATAATAGTGGGATATTTTAACACTCTACTGCCAATATTAGATAATTGAGATAAAAAATTAACAAAGATATTCAGGACTTGAATTCAGCTCTAGATCAAGTGGACTTGGTACATATCAATGGAACTTTCCACCCCAAAACAACAGATTATACAATTATCTCAGTGCCACATGGCACTTACTCCAAAATTGATTACATAATTGGAAGTGAAACACTCCTTGGCAAACACAAAAGAACTGAAATCATAACAGTCTCTCACATCACAGCTCAATCAAATTAGAACTCAAGATTAAGAAACTCACTCAAAACCACACAGCTACATGAAAATTGAACAACTTGATCCTGAGTGATTCCTGGGTAGATAATGAAACTAAGGCAGAAATCAGGACATTCTTTGAAATCAATGAGAACTAAGATACAACATACCAGAATCTCTGGGATGCAGCTAAAACAGTGTTAAGAGGGAAATTTATAGCACTAAGTGCCCACATCAAAAAGCTAAAAAGATCTCAAATCAACATCCTAACATCACAACTGAAAGAACTTGAAAACCAAGAGCAAACATATCCCAAAGCTAGCAGAAGACAAGAAATAAAACCAAAATCAGAGTGGAACTGAAGGAGATAGAGACATGAAAAATCCTTCAAAAAATCAATGAATCTTTTGAAAAAATTAATAAAATAGATAGACTGCTAGATAGACTAATAAAGAAGAAAAGAGAGAAGAATGAAATAGACACAATAAAAAATGATAGAGGGGATATCACCGCTGATCCCACAGAAATACAAACAACCATCAGAGAATACTATAAACACCTCTATGCAAATAAACTAGAAAATCTAGAAGAAATTGATAAATTCCTGGACACATATAACCTCCCAAGACTGAACCAGGAAGAAGTCAAATCCCTGAATAAACCAATAATGAGTTCTGAAATTGATGCAGTAATAAATAGCCTACCAAACAAACAAACAAAAAAAGCCCAGGACCAGACAGATTTACAACTGAATTCTATCAGAGGCACAATGAAGAGCTGGTACCATTTCTTCCAAAACTATTCCAAACAATTGAAAAGAAGGTACTCCCCCCAACCCACTTTGTGATTCCAGCATTATCCTGATACCAAAACCTGGAAGAGGCATAACAAAAAAAGAAAACTTCAGGCCAACAGGCCCGACGAACATTGATGCAAAAATCCTCGATAAAATACTGGCAAACCGAATCCAGCAGCACATCAAAAAGCTTATCCACCACGATCAAGTTGGCTTCATCCCTGGGATGCAAGGATGGTTTAACATATGCAAATCAATAAATGTAATTCATCACATAAACAGAACTAAAGACAAAAACCACATGATTATCTCAATAGATGCAGAAAAGGCCTTTGATAAAATTTAACATTACTTCATGTTAAAAACTCGCAATAAACTAGGTATTGAAGGAACATACCTCAAAATAATAAGAGCCATATATGACAAACCCACAGCCAATATCATACTGAATACTGAATGGGCAAAAGCTGGATGCATTTTATTTGAAAACCAGTACAGGGCAAGGATGGTCTCTCTCACCATTCCTATTCAACATAGTATCGGAAAGTCTGGCTAGGGCAATCAGGCAAGAGAAATAAATAAAGTGTATTCAAATAGAAAGAAAGGAAGTCAAATAGTCTTTGTAGATGACACGATCCTATATCTAGAAAACCCCATCATTTAACCCCGAAAGCTTCTTAAGCTGATAAACAACTTCAGTAAAGTCTCAGGATACAAAATCAATGTGCAAAAATCACAAAAATTCCTACACACCAACAACAGACAAGCAGAGAGCCAAATCATGAGTGAACTCCCATTCACAATTGCTACAACGAGAATAAAATACCTAAAAATACAGCTAACAAGGGAAGTGAAGGACCTCTTCAAGAAGAGCTACTGCTCAGGACATCAGAGAGGACACAAACAAATAAAAAAAAAAGTCCATGCTCATGGATAGGAAAAATCAATATCATGAAAATGGCCATACTGCCCAAAGCAATTTATACATTCAATGCTATCCCATGAAACTACCATTGACATTCTTCACAGAGTTAGAAAAAACTATTTAAAAATTCATATGGAACCAAAAAAGAGCCCATATAGCCAAGACAATCCTAAGCAAAAAGAACAAAGCTGGAGGAATCATGCTACCTGACTTCAAACTATACTACAAGGCTACAGTAACCAAAACAGCATGGTGCTGGTACCAAAACAGACACATAGACCAACAGAACAGAATAGAGATCTCAGAGATAAGACTGCACATGTACAACCATTTGATCCTTGACAAACCTGACAAAAACAAGCAATGGGGGAATGATTCCCTATATAATAAATGATGCCAGGAGAAGTGGCTAGTCATATGCAGAAAACTGAAACTGGACCCCTTCCTTATACCTTGTACAAAAACTAACTCAAGATAGATAAGAGACTTAAATGTAAACCCCACAACTATAAAAATGCTAGAAGAATATTTAGGCAATACCATTCAGGACACAGACATGGTCAAAGATTTCATTGTGAAATCACCAAAAGCAATTGCAACAAAAGCCAAAATTGACGAATGGGATCTAATTAAACTAAAGAGCTTTGCACAGTAAAAGAAACTATCATCACAGCAAACAGACAACCTACAGAATGGGAGAAAATTTTTGCAATCTACCCATCTGACAAAGGCCTAATATCTAGAGTCTATAAGGAACTTAAACAAATTTACGAGAAAAAAAAACCCAACCTCATTATAAAGTGGGTAAAGGACATGAACAGACGCTTATCAAAAGAGGACATTTATGCAGTCAACAAGCATATGAAAAAAAGCTCAACATCACTGATGATCAGAGAAATACAAAACAAAACCACAATAAGATAGCATCCCATACCAGTCAGAATGGTGATTATTAAAATGTCAAGAAACAACAGATGCTGGTGAGGCTATGGAGGTATAGAAATGCTTTCACACAATGGGAATGTAAATTAGTTCAGCCACTGTGGAAGACAGTGTGGTGATTCCTCAAAGACCTAGAGTTAGAAATACCATTTGACTCAGCAATCTCATTACTGGGTATATACCCAAAGGAATATAAATCTTTCTGTTATAAAGATACATGCACATGTATGTTTATTGCAACACTAGTCACAATAGCAAAGGCATGGAATCAACCCAAATGCCCATCAATGATAGACTGGATAAAGAAAAGGTAGTACATATACACTATGGAATACTACGCAGCCATAGAAAGGAATTAGATCATGCCCTTTGCAGGGACATGGATGGAGCTGGAAGCCATTATCCTCGGCAAACTAATGCAGGAACAGAAAACCAAACACTGCATGTTCTCACTTATAAGTGGGAGTTGAAAAATGAGAACACATGGATACAGGGAGGGGAACAACACACACTGGGACCTGTCAGAGGTTGGGCAGTGGGAGGGAAAGCGTCAGGAAAACTAGCTAATGCATGCTGAGCCTAATACTCAGGTGATGGGTTGATAGGTGCCGCAAACCACCACGGCACACATTTAGCTATGTAACAAACCTGCACATCCTACACATGTAACCCAGAACTTAAAATAAAATAAAAAGGAAAAGAAGAGAAAACAATTCACAATAGCATTAAAATAATTAAATACTTAGGAGCAAATTTAACAAAAAAAGTGAAAGATAGATACACTGAAAACTATAATATTAAACATTGCTGAGAGAGTATATAGAAGATCTATATATATGGAGGAATATTTCATGTTCATGGATTGGAAGACTCAATATCAAGATGGCAAATTCTCTTCAAATTCTCCCTAGCAGAAGAATGGCAATAATTGCCAAACTCATCCTAAAATATATATATGGAAATGCAAAAAAACCCAGAATATTAAAACAATTTGAGAAAAAAAGAAAAATTTGCAGAACTTATAATTCCTGATTTCAAAAGATAGTATAAAACTACAGTAAGCAAGATGATGTTGTATTGGCATAAGAACAGGCCTGCAGATCAATGAAACAGAATTTAAGTTCTAAAACAAACTCTTAAGTTTATGGTCAATTTATTTCCAACAAAGATGCCAAGGCAATTCCTTGGGAGAAAAAAATAGTCCTTGCAAAAAATAATCTGGTACAAATGAATATTTACTTGCAAAAAGAGGGATTTAAACCCTTACCTCATACCATACACAAAAAATAATTAAAATAGATCACAGATCTAAATGTAAGAGCTAAATGTCCTATCTTTTGCCGTGTGTGTGTTGTTTGCTTAGTTTTCTTTGTGTTTGGCATTTATCTATCCTTAAACTCTCCCAGATGTATGAAATATCTCAAACACACTCTGTACTCTGTTAATTTCAGGGTTCTGAAAGTTCTCATGGAGTCTTCTGTTCTCTGCAAATGTGGTTCAGTTTATTTCTATGACTGAGTCAACATCTTTGAATCTCTCTTCACCAAATTTTTGGGAAGCTCTCTGTTTCTTTTGTGTCTGGGACTCTGATTCATGGCTCCATAATAATCCTCTTTCTTGCTCTTGCATACCTTAGAATGGATGCATAGAAGATAAGTTTTAAGATTTTGCAAATTCAAAAATTCTTTATTTTACTCTCATGCTCAATAGGTAACTGATATGGTTTGGATGTGTCCCCACCCAGATCTCATCTTGAATTGTAGCTCCCACAGTTCCCATGTGTTGTGGGTGGGACCCAGTGGGAGGTAATTGAATCATGCGGATGAGTCTTTCTTGAGCTGTTCTGGCGATAGTGGATAAGTCTCACGAGAACTGATGGTTTTCTAAGGGGGAGTTTCCCTGCACAAGCTCTCTCTTTGCCTGCTGCCATTCATGTAAGATGTGACTTGCTCCTCTTTGCCTTCCACCATGATTGTGAGGCCTCCCCCGCCACGCAGAACTGAGTCCATTAAACCCTTTTGCTGTGTAAATTACCCAGCCTTGAGTATGTGTTTATTAGTAGTGTGAAAATGGACTAATACAGTAACTCAGCTGGGTATTTATTTTTAGGTTGGAAGTCACTTTCCTTAAGAATTGTGATGGCTTTATTCTAATGAATTTGGGCTTCCAATTAGCTTTTGAGATGTTCCAGCCAATCTGATTCTTTGTTAATGAAAATTTTTCCTCGTCTGGCAATCATCCACATGCAGTGATTTCATGATGATCTTCTGTAATTTCATTTTCATTCTTGGCCCAGTGAGATTTTTGTAAATTATTTGATCCCTCTCCTGCTTTTCCCAAATCTTTCTGCTTTGTCTTCTGGAACTTCTGTTATTTGGATAGGAACTACTGACTAATTTGGTCAAGTAGTTAAAATCTTATTCTCCTGTCTGATTTTTGCTTAACTTTCTTGAGCATTTCTTTTTTCAACATTATGCTCCTAATCTTCTTTTGAGTTTTTCATTGCTGATATTTTATTGTTAATTTCTCAGACTCCTTTCATTATAAAATTGTTCTTTCTTCTAGTATCCTGCTATTATTTAACTGATGCTATATTTTTTCTTAGCTCTCTGAGTATATCAGTGAAAGAGTTTTGTTATGTTTTGTTTTCTCAGGATAGTATCCACTTTTTTGAGTTGAAATTTTTGTGTTTTTTAAATTGATATATCATAGTTGTACATATTTTTGGGGCATATGTGATATTTTGATACATGTATGTAACACATAATGATCAAGTCAGGATAACTGGGATATCCACATCTCAAACATTTATCTTTTCTTAGTGTTGGGAACATTACAATTCTTCTCTTCTAGATATTTTGAAATACACAACAAATTATTGTTAATTATAATTTTCCTACTGTACTATCTAATACTAGAATTTATTCCTTTTATCTAAGTATATATTTGTACCTGTTAACAAACTTCTCTTTGTTCCTCCCTCCCACTTTCCTTCTCAGCTGGCTTTTTTTTTTTTTTTTTGGATGATCTACTTTCCTTTATTAGTTTTTCATTGCTGTTTTGGTCGCTGACTTTCATTTTAAAACAGTAGAAAGTTTCCTCTAATACCTAAAGAACCTTTGAAGTTCATTCATACTGAAAGCTGGACAGCAAAATAGGAAATTCTAGGGCCTGGTAGGACTTGTACACTGTGGGCTTCATCCTGGGATTGGACTTGGCACTTTTATTGAGGAGTCTCCAACATTAATATCTTTAGGCTGAGTAGATCCTCCAGTGAGTAATCTATCTCCTGTTTGGAGGGTTTAAGTCAGCTCTCAGCATTCTAGGAGCTAGTGGAGAAGAAGGGGCAGTCATTTGACAGTCATCACTTCATTTATGCTCCCTCTTTCCTTTATAGGACTCCTGTCTTCAGTGTTGCATGGTCCCTTTCTCTCCCAATTAAAATTTCTCTGTTATCCTTTCTGCAGAATAAACCTTCATTTTGGCCTGGAATTGAAGAGAATCATTGGAGCAGCTGAGTAGAATAGAGGTGTAACCACCCAATGGGTTCTTCTTGGCCACTGCCCAGATAGAACCAGTTAATTGAGACAGGGGAATTGCAATAGAGAAAGTATTTAATATACATAGAGTCAGCTAAATGAGAGACCAGAGTTTTATTATTACCTAAATCAGCCTCCCTGAAAATTCTGAGGTCAGAGTTTCTATTTTATTTTATATCGATACTTTTAGTTTTTTTCTGGTAAGTCTCCATGGAGCTAAGGGTTTTGTTTGTTTGTTTGTTTGTTTGTTTGTTTTTAAAAGATAGTTTGGTGTGGAGGGGGCTAAGGAATGGTGAACGCTGATTGGTTGGGTCAGGGAGGGAATCACAGGAAGTTGAAGCCATCCTCTTGCACTGAATCAGTTCCTAGGTGGGGACCACAAGACTAGATGAGCCAGTTTACCTGTCTGGGTAGCACCAGCTGATCCATCAGAATGCAGGGTCTGAAAAATAACTCAAACACCAATCTTAGATTTTACAATAGTAATATTATGTTTTGGAGCACCTGGGGAAGTTAGGAATCCTGTGGTCTCTGGCTGCATGACTCCTAAGCCATAATTTCTAATCTTATGGCTAATTTGTTGGTTTTACAAAGGCAGTCTGGTCCCTAAGCAAGGAGGGGGTTTGTTTTGGAGAAGGGCTATTGTCTTTGTTTCAAAGTTAAATTATAAACTAAATTCCTCCCAAAGGTAGCTGGTCTATGCCCAGGAATAAACAAGGGCAGTTTGGAGGGTAAAGACAAGACAGAGTTGATTAGGTCAGATTCCTTTTTCTGTCATAATTTTCTCACTGTTATAATGTTTGATAAGGCTATGTCAGAGTGGGGAGTTGGATTCCCTGACTCCTAAAGTTTTCAAACACTTCCCCACTCCCTCACCTTCACTTGCAGGGCCCTCTTGAGTCCCCAGTGTTTCATCATCTGAAGATCTTGTGACTTAAATCACCTTTCTCCTGAAATGTTTCTACTACCAAGTTAATATTTAGTTTTCTCAAGTTGCCAAGCAGGTTGCCATTGATCCATAGGCTTTATAGCTCCCAAAAAGTTTGCTGCTCTTTTCCTCCTTGTATTCTCTTTTCCTTTATGGGTTTAGAGCTCCAAAAACTTACATTGGTGGGTTTCAGGAGGGAGTCCATGCAAATCAGGTGTTCAGCTGAACACCTTTATTCAGAAGTAGGTTATAGTATTCCTTATATCTTTTTATGTGGCAGAAAGTTTTCATAATTTAAATTGGTTAGAAAATTTTATGCTAAATAATAGAGACAACCAGGGCAAGGTCAGTGGTTGGCTGTTGGTAAAGGGAAGAACGACACTGCATAGTTAGCACAGCCATATGGAACCACCTGTCTCAATCACACAGAGAAATCACATTTGTCTTGATCTCAAGCAAAATTACTATCCTTTTAAAATAAAAATATAAATAAAAATACTTCTTGGCCTTTTGCTACACATGTTCACATTTTACCACTCCTTTGATTTTATTCATTTGTTTGTTTTTTAAGGAGAGTAGATATTAAATAGCAATTTAGTAAATGTAGTAATTATGGAGCAATACAAAATAACAAGACGTATTCACATTTTAAATTCTCAGAATTAATAAGTAGTTCAAAATGATTTCCTAAGGCCACAGACTTGTGTTTGAACTTTCTTACAAATGAATAGCCATCTCAGAATTCTCTCAGGAACTAGGTCTTTCCATTTGGTCAGAGGTCAGCATGATGCAGCTGATAAGGGCGAGTGCTTTGGAAGTGATGTCAAAACCCTTAGGGGGAATCTGCAAGTCTGAGAGGGCCTTTATTCATCCAAGTCAAATTCAAGGATCCCAAGCAGTCAACACTCAAGAGACAGGGGAATAAAAAGTCTGTCTTTAATTTCAGTGGGCCCCTTGGTCCCCAGAGTAACCGCCTCTGACGCCACTTAAAGGCTCATCTGCCAGCGATGGTGAAAAATTCATATTTAAGGTCAACGCTGCTGGTTTGGTTAGTCTGATGGAAAACTATGTTACGCTAAGCTCATCCAGGGAGGTTGGGTGGGGTGCCTTCGCCCATCCCACTTTCCCTTTGCCTTTGATGTTATTTGCCCTGGACCACTTTACCTCTGTATTTATGGCTAACGACATGCTGGAGTAGACCATGTCTCTTGTAACCATGTTATTGGAGTCAGCCGAGGTTAACAGGACTCTGTGCATGCTTTTAATTACGGGGTTTTTTAATGTTTTCTTCTGCTTCTTTTATTTCACTTTTAGTCACTTCTGCTGCACTTTTCTCTCTTTCCAGTTGACTTCCCCACTGTTTAATTTCAGAGAGAATCCTGCCTTTCATTAATGACCCGTGGCACAGAAATAATAGACAACTTAGATGGACAAAAAGGAAGGGATTTCAACTTCTTGAAATAGAATGTGTTTGTTATGCAAGAACAGGTGCAATGTGGGAGGTAAACAAAAATTAGGTGCTTAACTCACTTTCTATTGCTTTGTTCTGGAGAAATTATTTCTTGAAATGAGGAAGAGTTTTGTCTTTAGGCTTATGTATTTATTTTATTACTGCACACTCATACAGCACTTCTTTGTGCCAGGCTCTAAGGACTTTACAAATACAAGCTCCTTTAAGTCTATTAATCCTATGAGATAGTTACTAATTTATCCACATTTAAGAAATGATGAAAATGAGGCACAGAAAAGTTAACTACCTTTCCTAAGGTGGAATAGCTGGTAAGTGGCAGGGCCAAGATTCAATTCCAGGCAATCCCCTGTGCCAAAGTCCATGTTCTTTCTTTTCCCCCCAAATGAAATGTTATTTATTTTTTTTTATACTCTGCCTATAGAAACTCCAAAGGGGAGAAAGAAAAGCAGGAGATAGGGAAGGAGAAAAAGAGGGAAGGACACAGAGGGAGAGGAAGGGTTGGAGGAAGAGAGGGAGAGAGGAAAGAGAGAGAGAGGGAGGAGAAAGACAATCATAAATTTCAATGATCAGTCACTTTCACCACTATCATCACAAGCTGGGTTTATTTAATTCAAAATAAAGTATGTGCCCGTTGAAAAAAATGCTTGCAATGTAATCTTATATATGCTGCAAAATAAAGTGTGCCTGCACTTGAAAACAGAGAAATGATTCATTAAAATCTGCATCTGCTTTAAATCAGGCATTTTAATTTGCTTGGTAGACTAGGAGTGTGGGGTTATAAAGAAGTTATTTCATCATATTTTTCAGGATATTCAAAAGCTTCTCAATATCTAAGGAAAAAAATCTATATAGAAGAAAGATTTCAGTTTCTACTGTGTTCCTAAAAATTATATTCTGTTTCAATATGCTGACTCAGTAAATGAGTCTTAACTTTTGCAAAAAATGGGTTAAATAGATATTAGAGAGATGCTCTGTGAGAATGTATGTTTTCTAAGAAAATACAGCTTTTCCATAACATGTGGTTATGAAATATACTACAGAATTGGAGATGTATTTTAACTCTGTGCTTGTGTGTGTGGTGGAGCCTGGGTCCTGGACAGTGATGTCATGCTACAGAGGAAATAAAGCTGGGAAATGAAGCTGAAATAGTGAGACTCAAAGAATGACTGTAATGTGTAGATTACATTGAGCGAATGCAAGAAGGGAGGAGGCTGAGAATATTTATGCAACAAAGCCAATGATTCAAAATGTTCCATACTTGGATCCCACAGGGGCGCAAAACCAAAAAAAATGTCCCATACATACCCAAACATTGATTTTGTTGGCTGAATTTGCTTCCCAATAAATTAAGTTGATAGGTTTAAACATCTATGCTTTAGGTATTTGGGATATCACATAATGAAATGCACTGGCATTTCAGACCTTCGTGAACATCATACTCAAGCGTTGCTCAGAATGACACATCTCTATTCATTTCCTTAGTGCGTGGATGCATTATTTCTTTATGGTGGTTTAAATTTTGTGTCTTGGCTCCATAAGAGTATCTTGATACTGTTCTCTTTTATATAAATACTCTTTCCCCAGATTTTTGCTTTGTTTTGGTTACTTTGTTCCAATAATTCTTGCCACATGGAGAAAACACACCATACTTTATTTATTTAGGGGAATGGAGGCCCTTATTTTGTTCTTTCTTTTGAAGGAGCTCAAAATAACAAAGTGATACTATTTCAAAAATGGTTTTATATTAAAGAAAAATGTTTCATGTCCAACTCAAGAAGGGAAAAAATCTGTCAGGTTTGTGACTACCTCTATTTTGATTCTACCTCTAATATTTCCTGAGTTACTTAAATTACTAGAATGCAAGCTCCACGAGGGGAACGAATGAGTATTGTTAGCACATCTCCAGTACCTACAACCTATAGGTACAAAATAGATTCTCAAATGTATTTGCAAATAAATAAAGTAAAATCCTGCATTTCAACCTCTAAATGAACATTTCACAAATTTCAAGCAAACAAAATATACAAACGGGTGAATCCCAATGAGTTAAGGAAGTGAATGGTTTCTTAGAAAGGTTTTGTTTCATAATATACTTGAAATTTTTAAATGTTTTCTTGCTTAGACATTCTCTAGTTACATGAAAATCAACTGCTTTAATAATTTTTAATCATTGGTAAAAGTAGAGAGATTTGTAAATCATGGTAAATATTTACAAAAGGGAGATTTTTCAGAAAACAATATTTTTCCATTATAGAATGAATCCTGTGAACATTTCCTTCTATTAAATATTTGAGTACTATTTCTTAAAGCGTTCTTTCCATAAAAATCACAATGTTCTTAGACTTTCTGGTTTTAAAGTTGTGGTGCTCCCCCAACTAAAATTTGTTCTATAGATGAAGATCATTCTTCTAATCACAACCACATAAAAGACTGCTCACAAATCTGACATAGTATCTCACATATATTTAAACTATATTTTAATCTTTAACTTTCCTTTTCAGGCTGGATTGTTAGTTCAGCTCTACTGCTACTATCATCTCTTTGCACTAGCTTGTCTTCCCTGTCATCAATGTCTATGTCAGTTGGGCAGAGCTTTCCTGGGTAATCTATTTAGGTTAAATTCTGTTGTCTGTTGGAAGAACCCAAGCTCTTGTTCTCCAGGTTTAGAAGCTCCCTTGTGAAATGCTACGAACTAGCCAAATTAATGCAGTGGCCATAATTGATGGAAATTTACCTTGAAATCTGGTATCCAAGGGAGGTGGGGATCACATGGGCTGAGGCCATGGGACTGATGCAGGTAGGACTCTGGTATCCCGCTGTCACCCTCGTCCTGATTTTTACACATCTCCCACTCTTCTGACTCATTCAGAGGAATTCAATCTGTTGCTTTTTCTAGTTCTTTTTCTCTTTTCAGCCAAAAGAAACATGCGGAATTGACATTATCTTAAATACATGCTTTTCAGGTAATTTCTTTATATTAAAGGAGTCATTTGTTCCATTAGGTAATGCAGAATGGACAATAAATATGCTTTAAGAATAACTACCACATAATCGATCAGTTTGTCTAACTTTACCACTCTTATTAAATAACATGCAGTTTACCACATGGCATTTGCTCTTGTTCACTGTGAATTAAAGAATTAAGAATGAATATGCTTTCCTATTACTTATTATTTCCTAGGGAAATAGATCGATCCAGGAATTTCTGCAACACTGAATTAAGAGATCGCTTTTAAAGAGGAAGTTCTCAGAGCTAGACGTGGTCTGTGTTGGCTGGCCATTTGGCTTCCTCTTTCTGGGAGGCAGATGAAAGTGATTCCTAGAGGTCAAGTCAAAGTTCCTTTCCTTGAATATTTAGGCCTCCTAAATATTCTTCACATAGATGAACCTACACAAGATAAATCACAAGAGTAGATATTTTTGAAATATTTTCAAATCAAAATGTTGGTTTTGCTAGTCAAAAGGGCTTTTTAACAATATATTAAATATACAAATAATATTGGATTTCTCTGGTTTAGATACCAAATCATGATATCTTTTGACTCTCTTAGGTTTGATTATTTTTCTGATTTTACAGTCCTACAGTGTAATTAGCAAAAATAAATATTATTTATCAGTTTTTAAAAGGAAAACAAGTTTCCCTTCCTTTTTCCTTTTCTTTTCCTTCTTTTCTTTTTTGAGACATGGTCTTTTTCTGTCATCCAGGTTGGAGTGCAGTGGAGTGATCATGGTTCCCTGCAGCCTTGACCTCCCAGGCTCAATTGATCCTCCTATTTCAGCCTCCTGAGTAGCTGGGACCACAAACATGCACCACTACACATGGCTAATTTTTTAAAAAAAATTTTTGTGGAGATGGGGTCTCACTATGTTGTCCAGACTGGTCTTGAACTCCTGGGCTTAAGTGATCCTTCTTCCTTGGCCTCTCAAAGTGTTGGGATTACAGACATGAGCCACCAGGCCTGGCAAATTTTCTTTTTAAAATTAGATTTTCAAAATATTTTGTGCCCACTAATTGGTTAATGTTATGTTTGTAGTCATGATCTGAATTATCTAAGTGCCTGTACTCTCTAATATCACAAGGGGTCACAAGATAAACTCACAATTTAAAACAAATGTAATCATGGCAATTTTCTCCATAACTTTCTGTTGCTGTGTATTCTAATCACTGACGGTATACTTGAAAAAGATAGCTAGATCACTTTTCTCTAAGTTTCTCCTTAAAAAATATCCACTTTCATTTTATGTTACATAAAGTTTAAATTTTCTACATGATTAGTTCTCCTTTTCCTAACGTTTGAAAAGAGGAGAAAAATGATTATTACCATTTCCTCTAACAAGAATAATTGAAGTTACTTTAGTGTGTGTATGTGTGTGTGTGTGTCACTGTGTGTGTGTGTGTGTGTGTGTGTGTGTGGAGAGAGACAGGATAAGAGAGAAAAAGAAAAAAGATGACTCTCTTTCTTCGATTTCACTCAAAATCATTTTCCCTCTCCATATCACGTCCCCCACAATGCCCTTTTTAACACTAAAATTTTATATGTCCCATTGCTATATAACCAATTTCAGTATATAGCCACTCCTCTGGGAACTCAGTAAGCACATAAAATTTTAGAAACTTGTGTCAAGAAAAACTCCAAACATGTGTAGCAAATTGACTTACTATGGTTTGCTTATTTGTATCTAACAAAAATACTACCAATAGAATTGTTTAATAAGATATGGAATAACTTGTGAAACATTTAATTTTTTTTTTCTTTTTTAGGGACAGGGTCTCACCATGTTGAGACCCTGGCCTCAAGTGATCCCTGGTCTCAAACCCCTGGCCTCAAGTGATCCTCCCACCTCAACCTTCTAAAGTGCTGGGATTACAGGCATGAGCCACCATGTCCTGGAACATGTAATATTAAAAAAGAATTCCTTCACAATTGAGAAAATATCTTGTTGTCTTTGCTTTTATAATAACTGAAAAACAATTTTCTCCCTTAGTTTCCTCCAAATGGAGAGAACAACACTGACCTCATAAGGTTGTTGTAAAGATTAAATGAGACAATCTATGTAACATACCTGTACCCCTGAGTAAGCATATTATGATTATGGTCATGGTTTTATTCCTAATGCTAACAATGCCTGACTCCTTCCATATCCGCCTCTTAAAAGTTATTCTTTATTCTTTTGGTATCTCAGTTTCACTGTTGGGATTGGTTTTGCCAAGTATTAATTTCCATAAACATTTGAGAAGGAGAAAGAGTAAAGAGGAAGAGGGCATTGTAAATATAGTGATATTCTTCCAAGTCCGGACTCCTTCGAAATTATCATTCTGGTTATGTTCCTATGTTATCATTATTATTGATGGTTTAACTTCTAAGGCTAATTTTCTAATTGTCTGGGGTTTTGATAGACCCTGTCTTGTCAATACTGTTTTAAGGGAAGTAACAGAAGTTATCTGATCAATTATAGCAGTGACAGTCACTGCTATAGATTATTTGGTTTAACTTGTACAGTCTTTTATTTAAGTATTTAAGTAAGGGAAAAGATGCCTTTGAAGATCAAATAGTATTTCTGTAAAGCTGAGTTAATTATCTAATTTGGATTTTTTTATTAAACTTTAAGTTTTAGGGTACATGTGCACAACGTGCAGGTTTGTTACATATATATGTACATGTGCCATGTTGGTGTGTTGCACACATTAACTCGTCATTTAACATTAGGGATATCTCCTGATGCTATCCCTCCCCGCTCCCTCCACCCCACAACAGGCCCCAGTGTGTGATGTTCCCCTTCCTGTGTCTATGTGTTCTCATTGTTAAATTCCCACCTATGAGTGAGAACATGAGGTGTTTGGTTTTTTGTCCTTGCGATAGTTTGCTGAGAATGATGGTTTCCAGCTTCATCCATGTCCCTACAAAGGACATGAACTCATCCTTTTTTATGGCTGCATAGCATTCCATGGTGTATATGTGCCACATTTTCTTAAGCCAATCTATCATTGTTGGACATTTGGGTTGGTGCCAAGTCTTTGCTATTGTGAATAGTGCTGCAATAAACATACGTGTGCATGTGTCTTTATAGCAGCATGATTTATAATCCTTTGGGTATATACCCAGTAATGGGATGGCTGGGTCAAATGGTATTTCTAGTTCTAGATCCCTGAGGAATCACCACACTGACTTCCACAATGGTTGAACTAGTTTACAGTCCCACCAACAGTGTAAAAGTGTTCCTATTTCTCCACATCCTCTCTAGCACCTGTCCATGCTCATGGATAGGAAGAATCAATATCGTGAAAATGGCCATACTGCCCAAGGTAATTTATAGATTCAATGCCATCCCCATCAAGCTACCAATGACTTTCTTCACAGAATTGGAAAAACCTACTTTAAAGTTCATATGAAACCAAAAAAGAGCCCGCATAGCCAAGTCAATCCTAAGCCAAAAGAACAAAGCTGGAGGCATCACGCTACCTGACTTCAACCTATACTATAAGGCTACAGTAACCAAAACAGCATAGTACTGGTATCAAAACAGAGAGATAGACCAATGGAACAGAACAAAGCCCTCAGAAATAATAACACATATCTACAACTATCTGACCTTTGAGAAACCTGACAAAAACAAGAAATGGGGAAGGGATTCCCTATTTAATAAATGGTGCTGGGAAAACTGGCTAGCCATATGTAGAAAGCTGAAACTGGATCCCTTCCTTACACCTTATACTAAAATTAATTCAAGATGGATTAAAGATTTAAATGTTAGACCTAAAACCATAAAAACCCTAGAAGAAAACCTAGGCAATACCATTCAGGACATAGGCATGGGCAAGGACTTCATGTCTAAAACACCAAAAGCAATGGCAACAAAAGTCCAAATTGACAAATGGGATCTAATTAAACTAGAGAGCTTCTGCACAGCAAAAGAAACTACCATCAGAGTGAACAGGCAACCTACAGAATGGGAGAAAATTTTTGCAATCTACTCATCTGACAAACGGCTAATATCCAGAATCTACAAAGAACTCAAACAAATTTACAAGAAAAAAACAAACAACCCCATCAACAAGTGGGCGAAGGATACGAACAGACACTTCTCAAAAGAAGACATTTATGCAGCCAAAAGACACATGAAAAAATGCTCATCATCACTGGCCATCAGAGAAATGCAAATCAAAACCACAATGAGATACCATCTCACACCAGTTAGAAGGCGATCATTAATTTGGATATTTAAATGTGGAAATTTTCAAAGAATTGAGATGTGAGCTTAGATTTAGAAATAAAAGAAAATAAAATCTTGCAGCATAGAAAACAAACATACACATTTTCTTTTTTATTCATGTATTGATAAGAAGCTTCAAAGGCTTAACACCCATTCCCAGAATATGTCATATTTGTCAGTTTCCATGTGAAAAATAATTGCTAATCATTTCAGCTTTTCAATTAAGGGAACCTCTAGTCATTGTTTATTATTCCTAGTAATGACTGTAATGACTTCAATTAGGTTTCTGGAAAATTAAATTTTTATATTTATGTATCTAGTCCTTATGTTTTCTTTATCATGGTAGAAATTTCTTTAAAGCTCCCCAAAACCACATGTGGCATTTTTGAATCAAGTGAGTAGTACTGAATCCTCTTATTCTCAGTGTGGAGTTCAATTTGTTTTTAGTTTTGAATTGATGCTGGTTGCTCAATTTGACTAAACCTAGGCTTTTCTTTAAATTAATGGCCATAGAATTCTAAGCATACAGAAGTACAAGTATTTAAGGGCCAAGTCTACAGAATAATCAAAAAGGTGGTTTCTAGGGAGTTCTGCTTGGAGAGAATATCACTATTTTCACAATGCCCTCTTCCTTTCTACTTTTTCTCTCAACACGTATATAGAAGCTAAAGCTTGGTAAATGTAATTCCAGTGGTGACCTGAGACACCCAAAAGAACAACTGTTAAGAAGAGGATGTGGGGGAGCCAGGCATTGTTGTTAATTGTGTCAGGCCACCAACCTTCCTGCTTGTATCTATTAAAAATACTGTAGGCTTAAACAATTCACTCCTCTCTAGGACTCTATTTGCAAGATGAGGGTATGGATTAGAGAGTCTCTACCCTTGCAAGACTGACATTCTTATAACTAATTCAGCACATTTTATTACTCCTACTTTCTCTTACTATAATCACTGGCAGCTTCAGTTGGCTTGCCCTCTTATAAGTGAGGTTTGCCAAAGTGTGAGGGCATTGATATTTATTTTGTGCCACAGATCACTCGGATGAGTACAATTTCCAATCGATTAGTCTCATAAATCCCCTACACAACATTTTAAACATGGCTTTACATTAATATAGACTATTTAGTAAATCTATTTCTTCCCTACCACATTTTTGATACACATTATGGTTCCCTGTAAAGGGAAATTATAACAGACGGTCATTAGTGATTAAAAAAAAAGAGCATTCCTTTTTTTTCCACAGACTATTTTTAGTTGAACAGTTTTATTTCAGAGCATAGTTTATAGATACTACTAAAGTTTAGGATTTGCACAGAGAAAGTGGTTTGCTTGCTATGATTTTCATAAGAACCTAAGAGTGATTTTCTGTGCCAACTGGCACTCAATTTCAAAGAAACCTCAAGAATTCAGTTAAGCAAGTCTCAAATTTCCTGATAATAGGAGTAAATGCACTATATCCTCACCTTCTCCATCCACATGACTATCATCAATATCATCTGTTATTAAAATGAATATATAACATTGAGCTAACAGTAGATCATAGCATCTTGCTCATGTAAAAAATATCAGCCCTGCTGAAAGAATGTTTCATGATCATTACCTAATAGCTTTAATTTTTTTTTTTATTGGAGGTGAGGTGAGAGCTGGAGAAAGTATGTAGTTAAAAAAAACCCTCAAAACACCGTAGTTCTATTTTTGGCTTTTCTGCCACTGACTCATAGTATGAACTTGAACCAGTCACCTATCCACACAAGTGACTTAGTTTATAGACTAATGTGAGAAAATGCTTCAGCTTCCCTATTTTGGAGAACTGCTGAGATCACTTACATAAATATTTTTCTCTGAGCTCCCTAGAAGACAGGAACTTTATAAATATTTAGCATTATTGTTGAACCTTAGGTACAAGTAAGCAGGAAAATTATGATACTCTCAAGAAGAAATACTTTAGCCCATCCTAGCTCATATAGGGAGACTGCATTGGCTTATAATCGTCCCTTGGGTTTTCTTTTTTCCTCAATCCTTCCCCCAACCCCTTGCAGTCGACTAATGTAGAAATACAAACAAACCTTAGCAACAGAGGGTTTGGAGGTAAGGAAACTCAGCATGGGGGCAGTCACACTGGCAGATTGCAAGCTATGTATCAAAGTGAGGAGTTAAAATAAATATAACATTTCAAATCCTTGATTGAAAAGTGTGAGAAAATGATTCATTTTAGGAATGACTAATTTGGTTGAATGTTCTGAACTTAAGTAAGACCTCACTGAATCGCTAGTTTTGTCTATTTGATTTCTTTTGTCTACTCATGTATCCAAAGGATATATGTGGAGAGAAGAAGCCTAAACAATGTGCTTGTAACTAATATGTTTAAAGTCGCTCTGTTTATTTCAAGCAGAGTCTTACAAAGCTAATTCACCTGTTTCTCTGCAAATGCTTGCCCAACAGACTGCTCCTCCAACCTTTTAATGGAACTGGGCTCTGGAATGATGTTCCTGGAATGCATACAAGGGTTATTTTTGGATGGTGGAATTTCAGGTGATTTTTTAAGTTTACTTTGTTATTCACACTTTTCTGCATTTCCTGACCTTTTTCTTTAAATAACCAGCAAGTTTCAGTTTTAACAAAAACAGTAGTTTTAAAAACTAATTTTGAAACCCTTTACCACTAATTTCATTCTCCTCTCTGCTACATTCCCTAAGTTTTCAACAGACCTATGCTTTCTTCCTGCCTTCGTTACAAATTTAAGACAAGCAGCAATGCAGTAATTGATTTCCAACATCAGAAAATTGAGTCCTCTATGCAACTGAAGTGTAGAGTTGCTTTTGATCCAGAAAACTCAAGCAGCGTACAAAGCACACATAGATAACATTTTCTATTCTGTCTCAAATTACTGGGTGATTCAAGCCAAAGCAGAGTGGATCTCTTGAGTATGAATTATGCTAATGTTCTGTTTGTTGACCTGATCTCAAAATGGTTATATTAGTTTTAATGTTTCTTGAATGTTCAAGGCGTTTCGGATGCAATGCCAGTCACAACAAAAGACAATAACTTTACACTCAATGAAATAATAAATGAAAACAATTGAAAACTTTCTCCTTTGTGTATTCATGTGTGGTCTTTTCTATGTTTGCCTCAATACCAATGCAGAACACTCAATTACATCTGGGGCCAAGGTTTCCCCCACAGAACAACTTTGTTACGAGGATGCTTACAGGAGCATCTGGGCATGCATCTGTTCACTCGTCCTACAAGTATTCATTAAGCACCTATTGCAAGATGTCCACATTCTAGGCAATGAGAAACCAGACATGGTTCCTGACCTAAAGAGGCTACTGGAGGAAAACAAGCCTGTAGACAGAAAGTACACTGAAGTGTCAGGGGTGCCATATGGGGTCTGGCAGAACATTCCATGGGGACTACCGTGGATAGTATCCACAGATAGGATGCTATCTTACAGTGAAGTGTGAGAAGGAGGACAAGAAAATACTTCAAAGGAAGGAAGGCAGAAGTGACAAACCCTGCGAATAGGCACAGTGATGCAAAATAGCACGGCTCTCCATTGAGGATTCCAGAGGGATTTTTCATGTGGTCTACAGGCCGATGGGTGAGTGAGATGGGAGTGATGGAAGGTAAAGCTAAAACAGTTAATGGGGGAAGAATTCTGGAAGGCATGACCTCTTTTTGTTTCATTAAGGAGACAAAATGTCCTAATAGATGTGAATTTGGGGTTTATATAACGAACCCCAGGAAGCAGATGTAGCAATGTGCTTGTTCCAGGTTCCTCCACACTAGGAATAAAAGTAGGGTCACAAAACAGAAAGTTTGCCTTTAGTCACTCTGCAGTAATTTAACTTCCCTGAAATCCCTGCCCAGGATAGTGAGAGGATAGTGAGTGTGTCCCACCCGGTGCCATGAGCCACTCCTCTGGGACTCCATTCCCCCTATTTTGTTCCTCTTTCTCTCCATATCCCCCTTCCTTTCTTCATGGCTGAAGCCACGTCCCTGGTATGGTGCTTGTAAAAACCCAATTCTAAGGTTGCCACCCTTACATTGCTGTATGGCTGTTACTGCCCTTGACATTTGCCCAGTGGGTCCTGGTGGAGGTGAGGCACCAGCTACTTATATTTCATAGTCTCCATGCCCAGTTCTTGTAAGGCTTTGCAGGCTCTTTTATTTCTCATTTTATTTTGCGGTTCCAACATCACTCTTCTCTGATGCTGGCCTATTGCCATTGGCCAGCCCTGCGGACCTTGATCCAATCTCTCCTTGGGAAAAGTCCCTTCCCAGGCAAGTCCCTGAGCACTTTGGTAAGCAGATCCACCTACAGGTCACCTTCCAGACATGATCAAATATTCCCGTATCCTTAGAAGAATATAAATTAGATGCATGACGGTAACTTTGGAAAAGTTATGGGAAAAGATAGGCAGGGGGAAAAACAGGCTGAAATACGAGGTGAGGAGAGAGAATGAGGAGTGTAGGGTGGCTAGTGTGGAGCTTGCTCTTCTTACCCATATTTCTCATCTGATATTCTCTCTTATTTGTTTTTCTATTTTGCATTGTTTGTATTTTTATAAAGACAAAATTTCGAACTTTTTTGGAAACTTGGCAGATCATAAATAAAGGAATAAATAAGCAAGGTAAATTTTAGTGGCCATATTTGTATTTAGCATTCTAAAGACAGGAGTGGTCAAAGGTAGAGGCAAAACCAAAACAAAACAAACTTTTGACAAACATGGTTATGGCCAGAACTTGGAATAGCAAGAAAAGAGAATGTTAAATTAAAATATAACTCTCAAATGACAATTCACCCCTTACCTTCTCTGCTGATGGCAAAGTAGTTTGGCTGACTTTGTCCCATCAACGCCAAACCAAACCAAACAAAAACTAGGTGAAGGCAAGCGTCAGGGCTCCAACTCCTGCCGTGAGGAGCAAGCTCTGCGGCCCCGCAGGGTGGGAGGGTGAGAGAAATTCTCGAGGTGGGGGGCTGGGGAAAGTGAAGTGTGTCCCTCCATTGCAATAGGGACGTCACTGGGAACAAAGGCTCTGGAAAGTCGACAGCAACGGATACGGAGACGTGAAGGTTACCCTGGACGGGCCTTTCTGTGCATCGCACCCCAGACTACCCCCTTTGCTCACTCAATTCCTCCTCTCCAGGCTAAACTTGCTCTCTGCCGTCAATGTCCATTCTTTCCCTGGTAACCTCTCGCCCACGTCCCGCAGAGCCCACGCTCTTCCCGCTCTAGGATTCTCTTGCCCTCCTCCTTTTCCCTCTGCCTCTGGCCTCCTTTTCTCCTCTCTCGGCGTCTGCCTCCTCCTGCCTCCTCCTCCCTTTCTTTCCGGGAAGCCCCTCGCTTTCCTTCCCACCGAGCCCCGACCTCGGGGACCAAGTCAGGGGTCGGGGGCTGCAAGTGGATCCGCTGGAAGGGCCGGGCAGGGTGAGAGTTGGCGGGGCTGGGACCCGACGGGACGGAACGGGACGGGACCGGACGGGACGCGGCGCGCCCTGCAGGCGGCCCGGGGCGGGGAGAGCGGGTCCTGCCCCTCCCGGGCGGGCGCGCGGCCGGCCCGAGGGGCGGTCCCTGGGCTCCCGCTCGCCGCCGCTGCCGCTCCTCGTTCTGCTCCTCACTCCCCAGCGGCTGGAGGCCGGTACCGGCGGGCAGGAGGCGCCCGAGGATGTGCTGCTGGCCGCTGCTCCTGCTGTGGGGGCTGCTCCCCGGGACGGCGGCGGGGGGCTCGGGCCGAACCTATCCGCACCGGACCCTCCTGGACTCGGAGGGCAAGTACTGGCTGGGCTGGAGCCAGCGGGGCAGCCAGATCGCCTTCCGCCTCCAGGTGCGCACTGCAGGCTACGTGGGCTTCGGCTTCTCGCCCACCGGGGCCATGGCGTCCGCCGACATCGTCGTGGGCGGGGTGGCCCACGGGCGGCCCTACCTCCAGGTAAGCGCGTCTCCTCCCGGAGCCCGCCCGGCCGAGCCCGGTCCCGTCCGGACCCCAGAGAGGGCGCAGGTGCGGGTCGTCCCCGGGGCCCGCAGCTCTCTCTCACCTGGCGCAGCCCCGCGCCCCCGGCCACGCTCACTCTCGCCTCCGCGGGCAGCGCCTGCTCTCCCGGAGCCCCAGAAGGCGCGCGGTAGGGAAGCCGAGCACGGATGACCCCAGGCAGGTTTCCTTCTTTGAACACTTTCCTGTCCCCAGCGCCCCACTTAATAGACGCCCCCCCGCCTACACACCTGCAATACACCCCGCTTCATCCCTGATGGGAAGGGAGAAGGACCTAGGCTTTGGCTTTGGGGACCTAATGGGACAGCTCTCAGAGGAGGGAAGGGACAGAGCGCTTTAGTACGTCGCGGACTTGCTGTCTAGGAGTGGAAATCTCAGAACTTCCCAAATCGTGGCTATTTGGGAGCCTCCAGGCGCGGGGCTGATGTCAGCTACACCATTCTCCAGAAGAATGAAGGGCCCCTAAGAATCGCTTAGGGACTTTCCTATTCCGAGAGCTGTTCAGGAAGCCACATTTAGAGACCAAAATCGAAGGTCCCCAGGCAAAATATCCTATGAAGTGACAAAACTTTGGCTTACTTTAATAACCAATAAAGTTAATTTGACCGCTGCTGATTTACTTTGAAGGAGCCTAAGTAACCACCTTGCCTGTTCATGGGTGCTTTACTAAATAGAAAGAAAAAAAAAAAGGAAGAAGAAGATTGTGAGATGACCAGAATGATTAGGTGGCTAGGTTTCCTGGACATCCTTGCTTGATCGTGACCAACGTTTGGATGGCGGTGAACGTACACGCTTTGTTATTATAAAAATTCATCCGAACATACTGCCCTTTGCTAAAAGTCTTGATCCAGATGAAAACTCCGAATTGTTCTGGCATTGCATTAAGGCTTTGATAGTATTTAAATCAGTGTTCTCCGTGGATTTAGAGTGCGCTTCTTAGTAATTTTATCCCCAGGTTCTTTTCGACTGAAATATGCCATCAAACTTGAACGCTGATTCTGGCACTGAGCTGTTAACTCTGGAAGGAAATAAAGTGACAACAATAAAAAGTTCAAAACCACTCTATTATCTATTTTTTCATAAATTAATCGTTTCTTCCCCCAAATAAGTAACTTTACAACTCCAATAAAATAAAGTTTTATGAGGATTGCATTCTGCTGAAGTCACTGATGTATAAATATTCTCCTCCTGCAGCATCTCAGACATTAACTTTATGAACCAAGTATTTGACCACAAATGCAGGCCTCACTAGGGGAATGACTCATTCTCCTGTAATATAAAGTAGACAATACCTTATTTAAATACCTATTTAACGTTTTTTAAAAAAGAAATTTTACCGTTTAGGGAGAGGAGTATAGTATGCCCCTTAACTATCCTTGCATGTTCTACAAAAGGGAGCATAACTCTTACTATGCTAATATTATAAAATGGGACATACTTTGAATGTTAACTCCATATTATTTTCCCTCAAAGAGTAGCATTTCTAGAAAGCCCAGCCAATTGTATGTCAAATGAAAAGCCGTGAGTAGAATTCTGATTCAACATGCCATAATAGGCCCACCACAAAGATAAACTTGGTTAAACTACAGTGTTTTCACCCTGTTTGTGGTTCTTCATAGAGATTGCATAGGACTTAGTTAAGTACTCTTTAGATTGATTTTGAAACATAGAAATTTTCTTAAAGTAATTAGTGAATACACATCACTATGAGATAAATTATGACTGGCTGCATTCTCAATACATTTAATGAGCAATAAATAGGACTTCCCGTCCATTTTTATTCCTAAGGAAATAAAATCATTTTTACATGTAAAGGATGATCGTTTTCTTACTTGGCTGACATATTTTACCTTCCATTTCCATAAACATTCTACTCATTTTAGGACATATAAAATGCATTAAAATTATGCTATTCAATTAAATGGAAAGACAGTTAACTTAAAATCTGTTTAATAAGATGAAATACACCAAATAATATAAATGAAATAAATGTATCAATTTCAGTTTTATTATTCAGGCTGAATGATTCCATTCTCCAACGCTCGAAATTCAGTCTCCTCTCTAGAAACTATTTATTTAAGGTTCTTCATACACTAGTGTGAGAAGAGTATTTTCAGCAACTATACCAAAAAGTGAATAGGATTCTCTTTTTTTTTTTTTTTTTTTTGACAAAGTCTCTCTTTATTGCCCAGGCTAGATTGCACTGGTGCAATCTCGGCTCACTGCAACCTCACCTCTCAGGTTCAAGTGATTCTCGTGCCTCAGCCTCCCGAGTAGCTGGGATTACAGGCGCCTGTCACCATGCCAGGCTGATTTTTGTATTTTAGTAGGGACCGGGTTTCACCAGGCTGGCCAGGCTGGTCTCAAACTCCTGACCTCAGGTGATCCACCTGCCTCGGCCTCCTAAAGTGCTGGGATTACAGGCGTGAGCCACCACGCCAGGCCATAAATAGGATTCTTAAATGTAGCATATTTGATTCTATTAGTAGACTTCATGTTTTGTGTAATTTTGCTCCCGGCGAGAACAACATTTATATAGAACAATGACACAAAAAACATTGGCTCCCGGGGCATCAATAAATGCACAGCAGCCACTAAGAGTTGGACAATTACACCAGGGTGTATGATAATAACCTAAGTTGCTATCCTAGTCACCTCATCATGTGGCTTTTTGGCATGTATTTTATTTTATCCTTTTAAATTTAATTTTAAACTAAAACTTTAGTTTTTAAAAATTTTTCTGACTTTTATTTTCCTAATTATATTAAACTCTTCTTTCAAAAGGGTGTTAACTCCTTGAGAACTATGTAAGTGTAAATTTTTATCGATCAGGTAGAGAATCATTGGCTTAATAGATGTCACAAGTCCAAATGTCTATAGATGTCAGGAAATAAATCTAAGAGTGACTGGAGGCCATTAACTTAAGTGAAACAAGCTAGATGCAGAAAGATAAATACTGCATGTTCTCACTTATAAGTGGGAGATAAATAATGTGTACACAAGGATGTGGAGTGTGGAATGATAGACAATAGAGACTCAAAAGGGTGAAGGAGTGGGAAGGTGTGGAGGAATAGAAATTACTTATTTGTTACAATGTATGTTATTTGGGTTATGGATACACTAAAAGCCCTGACTTCACCACTATGCAATCTCTGTGTGTAAAGAATCTGCACTTGTAACGCATACATTTATATAAATTAAAAAATGAGAAAAAAGAGTGATGAGAGCTTGAATGGAACAGGCAGGATGTAATGCAACAGAGAGGAGATGGCACTGAGGGAACTGGGGGTTTTGTGAGTGAATTACTGTTAAAAAGGAATGTAAATTCAGTATTGCCAGATCTTCTGTTTGTTCTTTTATTTTGAGAGAAGACAAAATTTAGATTCTCTTTACTCTTTCTTTTTCTTTCTTTCTTTCTTTCTTTCTTTCTTTCTTTCTTTCTTTCTTTCTTTCTTTCTTTCTTTCTGTCTCTCTCTCTCTCTCTCTCTCTGTGAGTGTGTGTGTGTGTGTTTAAATAAAAATCTAATTACTAAATACTGGCAACAATTCAACCATCATATAGTGTGCATTCACACACACTCACACACAATTTCAGCTGGGATATATCTTATAGACAGCCTAATCTGGGACTCAGAGAGAAAGTCTAATGTTAATAAAGAATCAACCCAAATAATGAAAATTCATGAAAGGCAGAGAAGCAAGTCCCATTTCTTTTTAGGCCAGTTCTATTCTATGCCAGGAAATGGGTCCAGTATTGGGGGCTTTGCCCATTGTTCTGGCTGTCTATTCTTGGTAACAAACCATCTCCATACAGAGTAGCTTAACGCAATGACAAATTTCTTTTGCTCACAAGTCTGAAATTTGGTGGGGACAACTCCAAAGTGGGTGGTTGGAAGAATATGAAGCCTTGTTTCCTTGAAGTTATGGCTGGCAGTTGATGTTGGCTCTTGGCAGGGACCTTGCCTGGTGCTGTGGTAGGATCATAGCCTCTCTGTGTGGCTGCTTGACTTTGTCACAGCATGGTGGCAGGTCCCAAGAGGGAACCAAGAGGCCAGGTGGCAACTGTACAGCCTTTTATGACTTAGTCTTTCACTGTGGTCACAAGCCCACTAGATTCAAGAGGGAATGTAGACTCTATCTGAACATCACGTAAGAAGACAGTCACATGGGAATTCAGCAGTGAAGCCCCAAGTCTTGGACTTTCTATGTTGGGGGAGACTTTTTATTACTGATTCAATCTCATTACTGATTGTTGGTCTATTCAGGTTTTTTAGTTCTTCTTGATTCAGTCTTGGTAGGTTGTATGAGTCAAGGAATTTATCTATTTCCTCTAGGTTTTCTAGTTTGTGAGTGTATTGTTGTTCATAATAGTCCCTGATAATCTGTTGCATTTCTTTGATATCAGTTATACTTGTCTATTTTTTCATTTTTGATTTTATGTGGGTATTCTCTTTTTTTCTTGGTTATTCTAGCAAGTTGTTTATCAAGTTTGTTAATCTTTTCAAAAAACTAACTTCCTTTTATTGATCCTTTGTATTTTTTTTGTCTCTGTTTTGTTTAGTGTTGCTCTGATCTTTATTATTTCTTTTCTCCTACTAATTTTGGGTGTGGTTTTTCTTGTTCTTCTAGTTTTTTTTAGGTGAATTATTAGATCATTTATTTGAAATCTTTCTACTTTTTGATGTAGGTGTTTGTTGCTATAAACTTTCCTGTTAGCACTGCTTTTACTGTACCCTATAGGTTTTGATATGTTATGTTTCCATTTTATTTCAGAATTTTTTTTTCCTCTTTAATTTCTTTCTTGACCCATTGGTCATTCAGGAGTATGTTGTTTAATTTTCATGTATTTGTGCAGTTTCCAAAGTTCCTCTTGTTATTGGTTTCCAGTTTTATTTCATTGTGGTCTGAGAAGATACTTGATATGATTTCGATTTTTTAAAATTTGTTGAGACTTGTTTTGTGTCCTCACATATGGGCTGTCCTAAGGAATGTTTCATGTGCTGATGAGAGGAATGTATATTCTGTAGCTGTTGGATGAAATGTTCTGTAAATGTCTGTTAGGTCCATTTAGTCTAATGTGTAATTTAAATCCAATGTTTCTTTGTTAATTTTCTGTTTAGATGACCTGTCTAATGCTGAGAGTGGGCTATTAACGTTCCTATTACTGTGTTGGAGTCTATCACTCCCTTTAGATCTAATAATAATTGCTTTATAGATCTGGGTGTTTTGGTGTTGAGTGCATATGTATTTAGAATTGTTGTATTTCTAAATATATATGCAGCTCTTGCTGAGTTGATCCCTTTATTATTACATAATGACATTCTTTGTCACTTTTTAGTGTTTTATACTTAAGGTATGTTTCACCTGATATAAGCATAGCCACTCATGCTCACTTTTGATTTTTGTTTGCATGGAAGTTCTTTTCCCATCCTTTAATTTCAGTTAGTATATGGCTTTACAGGTGAGATGAGTATGGTAAGCAGTGTATAGTCAGGTCATGTTTTTTAACCCATTCAGCCAGTCTGTATTTTTAAGTGAAAGTTTTAATTTGTTTACATTCCGGGTTATTATTGATATGTGAGAGCTTATTCTTCTTATTTTATTAACTGATTTCTAGTTGTTTTGTGTATCCTCTGTTCCTTTCTTACTCTCTTATTTTTTATTATTGTGGTTTTGTGGTTTTTCTGTAGTGGTAACCTTCTAGTCTTTTCCTTCTTTGTATGTTTGCTCTAGTAGTTTTTATATTTCATGTGTTTTAATGATATTAGATATTGTTCTTTCACTTTTGGGTGTAGGACTCCCTTGGCATTTCTTATAGATCTGGTCTAGTGGTGATAAATTCCCTCAGCTTTTGCTTGTCTGGGAAAGACTTCATTTCTCTTTCATTTTATAAAGAATAACTTTTCTGGGTATGGTATCCTTGGTTGGCAGTTTTTTTTCCTTTCAGCATCTTGAATATATCAGCCCATTCTTTCCTAGTCTATAAGGTTTCTGCTGTTAGTCTAGTCTGACAGACGTACCTTTATAAGTGACTTGATGCTTTTCTCTTGCTTTTTTGAGTTTTCTCTGTGTCTTTCACCTCTGATATTTTGACTATAATGTGCTGAGCAGAAGAACTTTTTGAATTGTATCTATATGGAGAACTTTGAGCCTCTTGTTTCTGGATATCTAAAGTTTTTTGCAAGACTTGGGAAGTTTTTATCTATTGTTTTGTTAAATAGGTTTTCTAACTCCTTCATTTTCTCTTCACCTTCTCAGATCCTAAATTCAAATACTTGGTCACTTTATGATGTTATATAGGCTTTGCTCATTCTTTTTTTATCCTTTTAATTTATTTTTGTCTGAGTTATTTCAAAATACCTCTCTTCAAGTTCTGAGATTCTTTTGCTTCATCTAGTCTGTTGTTGAAACTTTAGAATGTATTTTTTATTTAATTCAATGAATTCTTCAGTTGTAGAATTTCTGTTTGGTCTCTTTTTTTATGACATCTATCTCTTTGGTAAATTTCTCATTTATTTCCTGAATTGCTTTTCTGGTTTCTTTGCATTATTTTTCAGTATTCTGTTGTGTCTTACTGAGCTTCTTTAAAATCAATATTTTGAATTCTTTTTTGGGGGGTATTTCTTAAATTTCTTTTTGATGAGAATCTGTTGCTGGATAATTATGGTGTGCCTTTGGAGATACCATATTTCCTTATTTTTTCATGCTTCTTGTGTCCTTACATTGATCATTTGTGCATCTGATATAACAGTTGCTCCAGTTTTTTGAATTTGCTTTCATAGGGGATGACATTTCTTGAAGATTTATCTACGGTGTTGGCTGGGTAGGGCACTTTGGCCTTGACTCTAGGTGTGGGTGGTTGTATAGTCTCTGTGTAATTTTTCCAGCTGTAAACAGTGTCAGTGGTGTCTGTGATTTCCTCAGTGGTTTAGGGTGTGATTATTAGTGGAGGTTGTGGTGAAGTTTTGCTGGGAACTAGGACATTAGGTGGGCCAGTCTTTGGGCCTCAGTGGTGGCAGCAGTGGGTTGAGCATTAGCCTCTCCAGGTGCTGGGAATATCATGGTGGGTCAGGAGGATGGGCAGGTTATCATGCTTCTGGGTAGCAGGTATGCTGTGGCAATGGCAGTAGCTGTGGTGGGACAACTTTCTGGAACCCAAGTGGTCAGTGCTGGTGTTGGTGATGTCCATGATGAACTGGGCAAGCTGGTCCTCAGTCCTGCAGATGGCACATGAAAATGTATAGCTGCCTTTTTGTTGGGGTGGCAAGGTCACTTCCAGTGGCTCCTGCCTCAGCCCAACAGTGGTGTCTGTGGGTGATGAGTGTCAGTTGGGCTCCAGGGATATGGAGGTGCAGGGGCTCTTGGGCCCCCAGGCAGAACACATTCTGGCAGGGGCGGGGCTTTCATAATGGCACAGTGCTGCAGCTGCTTAGGACTTGGGGGTTTGTAGGACTCAGCATGAGCTCCCTGTCTAGAACAATGCCATTATGTGATCTCTAGGCAGTTCTCTGTGAGTCTCAGGGCCCATGAGAGTCCAGGGGCTCTCCTATGGCTAGCATTGTAGAATTCTGTGGCAGGAATGTGGACCACTTGGTGTCTCTCACTTACCCTTTCCTCACATTAAGGAGCCTCTCCGGGCTCCCAGCTGATCCCAGCTAAGCTGGCTTCCTTGCTTCCCTCTCCTTCCTTGCTTTCAGTGCTTCCCATCACTTCTCTGTTGAATTCCAGTATTCTCTCTCAGATGATCTATTCAAAATGTGATTATCTAATTGCTATTTTAGCTCCTCTCTCTGGAAAAGGTGAGTACCAGATGCATTTAGTCAGCCATCTTGAAGCTTCCTGTCTACATGCATCCTTTCTCTGTTGGCACTACTGAAATTGGGGGCAATCTTTACTTATTCTCCTTTCCTTTTCCCACCCCCTTCTCTGTCTGACACACACACACACACACTCACTCCACTCACAAGGAGTTGGAAGCAGTTGGTAATTTTTCAACTGTCCTCCTATTCTATACCCTCTCCACCCTAGAAAAAGACTTCTGAAATTCAGCAACCATATATTTTTCAGTAGCTGGCAATCATTAATTCAGGGTTAGATCCAATGAGACTACCTCCAGAGGGCAGTGTGACATTTACCTGCAGACCTGTGGAGTTAAGAAATCAGATTTTACTTAAGGCCACAGGCCCTTTAAAACTATATCCAGGGACCTGGCATATGGAAATTTGCGCTGCCCATTTTAACCTTTTTGACTCCTTCTGGAGATATTTCCGCAAAGAGGATATTAACAGGTATGATCAAGATGGGAAAGAAAAGAGAGAAATGTGGTTGTAAAGTGAAGCCTATCTCAACATAATCTATTGGATAAATTGTTCTGGAGCAGCTCATGCTTGTGGAAACATTTCCCTTGAATGCTGCCGAGGTCAGTTTCTACACCATCTTTCACAGAAGTGTCAGGGTGAGGTGGGAAGCCATCTCCTTTTGCACTGGCTTTTCAAAACCTCACTATTTTGTCTCAGTGAATCAGTTCAGCTCTCATTGCCCTGATGGATTCATGTCCTTTCCTTGTTCTTTGCCCCTTTTTGACACAGAGCAACTCCACCCCCGCCCGAATCATTTAGCAACTGTGAGTGCCCATTTGAGGCAAGTAATGCAGCCGATGAATGCTGAGTTTGTGTGAATTAGAGAAGAGAGCAACGTTGTTGAATATGCCTGTTGAATTTGCATGAAAATTGATTCACCCTTCTTATGGGGGTATAAATCGCTGGTGAATGGAGGCTGAAACATATGTTATCATTTCTTACAGCCTTGCTTGCTTGTCTCAAAAACTGAGGCCTGTGATGCGAAGTGTCTTCAGCAGCAGGGTAATTGCTGCCGGGCCACTTGCTGAGGAAGTGCTTGGAACTGATTTGAAATCACAGAAAACAGTGAGCATTCTTTGTGGTTAACGATGTGCTTCTTTTAAGCACACCCCAGCCAACGGCGACAAAGAAATGTTTGGAAAGCAAATTGAAAGGCTGTAAGGGAGAGATGAAGAGAGTGTGCAACCCTGACACAGCTCAGCTGGTGCTTTGTTAAGAGATATTTATAAGTCTTCAGATTATGCCCCCCAATTTCCAGGCAACGAAGAGACTTCTCCAAGTGTCGTGCTTTGTGCATTAGTAATAAGGACACATGCTCCACAGTAATGCTGGAACACAGGATGATGCTCTTCAGCTGTGTGCTTCTTCCTGGCGGAGCAGATGATTTCATAATTAGCCTGAGGAAACAGGCAGACCTAACAGCCAAGGAAACAATGCACCTGAATTGACAAACGAAGTTCAAGGCTTTAGGCAACCAATGGCATATTTCTAGAGTGTTGGAAGGAGAGGCAAGAGTCTACTTCAAAGAAACTGAATGGTGGTTTATTGATTTTTCATTTGTAATAGAGCCATATTAAAATAAAGTTACTGGTGAAGGGGATGAATTCATTACACATTGTCATGTTTCTGGAAGTATTTGATCCATACGTAATACAAAAAAACTGCGTATGGATGACTCACAATGCTTTTTATTGTAACTTAAAAAAAACTGGTAAAGAACTTTTAAACAGGAAAAACATTTCTCCAGGAAGCTTCTTCTAAATCTATTTCTTTTTAACTTGTTAAATTTCAGTAGAAAAAAAAAGCTGTTCATAAGGACACCATATAGCATATACGCAAAAATGTCTGCAAAAATAATTTCAAATGGATAATTTTTATTAACTGTAAGCTAGGGATTGTATATCTGAGTATCATACAAATAATGTATAGATCAGATTTAATTTATTATGAAGGTCTATCTTATTCATCTAATTTAGCCAAACATTGTGAGAAAATCTTGACGCCATTCTTTCTTTTATGAGCTAAATATTGATTTTTGCATATTTACTCGCTGCCTCTTAAGAGCTCATATTTCGGTTGATTCCCCTCAAACCTCCTACTCTTCCTTGCCTCTCCCCTCAATGTTTCAGGTGAGAAAACTAAACCTTAGGTAACTATTAAATGGCGTATTGGGCCATACAGATCAGCAGCCTGGATTTATTCCTCTGAGTCCCAGTTTGGTACTCTTCTTCTCCTGAAAGCAAACTGTAGCTTACATAAAAACATATGTTAATTTTCCTCCTAAATAGTGAAAGAACATGTATAATCAGATACATTTTAAACAAATTGATAAAATGAAATCATGGCATTTCTCTTACTGCTTTTATTCCACTATAAATGGCACACTGACACATTTCCATAATATGATTTTTATGATTTTTCATTCATCATATGCCATACCTTGTGATAAGTCCTTACAGTGTGTTCTCATGCAATTCTCGTGATAGTCCTGTGAGGTCAATATCTTATTACTCTCATTTTGTAGGTGTATAAATGTGGGCCTTCATGTCACAAAGCATGGAAATTGTCTGTGGCTGTCATATGACTGTTTCAGGAAAGTACTCAGAATGTTGGAATGTTCATTTACTGAATATTCACTGAATGTTTATTGAACACTTCGAGATGCTGGGGACACAACATTGAATGAGATAAAACCATTGGTATCACGGAGCCCGTATTGTGGTGGTGGGGGTAGCATTAAACAAATAAATAAGCAAGAGAAACATCAGAAAGTACTAAGTGCTAAGTGCTGTGCAGATAATTAAAACGGAGTGATGTGATAAGCAGTGTGTCTGTGTGGCTATTTGAGATCAGGATGCTGATACTCAAAACATGAAAGAAAACAAGTGTCCCAAGTTTTGAAGGTTGTCTTTCGACGTTAACCATAGTGTGTACAATTCAAAGCATTATGTACTATGAAGAAGATGATCTGGCATAGGCATCAAAGAACTCAGTAGACCTTGAATACAGGAAACTACCTACCTGGGGAAAATATAATTAATGTTTTTTTCAAATGTGTCTGAACCGCATGAGCTCTCTTTTCTATTTCTGTGGCATTGTTACACAGATGTTTAGTAAGCTCAGCTAGAGTCTTTCAAGCTTTGATCTAGAGACTTGGTGATTTTATAGAAGTTTCTTTCTTAATACTAGGCGTTGATGTATTTCTCTTATATTCTGTATTCTTTCTCATCTTCAATAATATTAGAGAGCTAAAGGCCTTTGAGAAGACAGATCAACAAAAATGTATGCCTGAGGAAGATTTCCATCTTTCATGCAATTTTTAAACTAAAACTTTGAAATCTCAAGTTTCTTAGGAAAAACTAAATGTCTGCCTTTTTTTTCTATGAAGTTTATACATTGAAACCTCACTTATAAAAGGAAACTCATGACAGATGTAACCAGGTAGACACTAGGCCTCCTGGTACTTGGCAGACCCAGATCCTTTTGGATAGGGCCAAGATGAGTTCATGCTATGGCAGATTGCAGTCCAGTCATGAGCAGGCCAAGTTAATAGAGAAGTGAGAACTGGGAAAGATACTTTTTATTCCTATGTCAAAATTTCAAGTTCATCTGCACATTAGAATCACTTGGAGATGTTTTAATAATTCCAGTGCCCAGGCAACCCCATCCCCCACCAGTCAAAGCACAATCCTTGGGAGGTGGACACAGGCATTAATATATTTTTCAAGTTTCTCCATTGATTCCAATGTGGGCCAAGTTGAGTAACTACTGACCTTATATGGTTAGGTTGTTTGATAGGAATCAGGCAATTCAACCTGCAGAAGCATGGAAAATTGCAGACATAGGACATGGGGATACAAAGCAAGATTCCATACACAGCCATTCAGAGTGACCATCTGATGTTTTAAACAAGGGCTAGCATGTGCTTGCACATTTAAGATTATTTTTTAAGATAGGAAAATAAGCTTGGTTTTCCTGGCATGGAAACCCTTCTGGGATAAGCTTAATGAGTAAGTATTTTCTCTAATTTATATAGTGAGGGCTGGGCACAGTGGCTCATGCTTATAATCCTAGCTACTCAGGAGGTTGAGGCAGGAGGATCACTTGAAGCCAGGAGTTTGAGGCTGTAGTGAGCTATGATTGCACCACTGCACTCCAGCCTGGGCAACAGAGCAAGACTCTGTCCCCCAAATAATAATAATAATAATTTATGGACTGACACAGCAATCGTTGAACTGAGGGTAGAGGTGTGTTTCAAAATTTTCTGAACTAGGAGCCTTTCTTTCATCCTCATAGCCCTCTCCCATTCCTACACACCTTTTGTCAACCGGTACCAGCTGCTGTATTTCTAAGCAACACGAATAACTGCACACACAGAGTTTAAAATTTAACAGTTGTGTGTGGTCACAGGGCGTCAAAGCAATGTTATTTCATTTCATTAGTAAATGAAAGTCCTAGGTAATTCTAGGCTTGTATTTAAGCCAAGAGAAGTATTCTTCTCCAAAGTCTTTTATTAGAATTAACAGTAACAAAATGGACCCCCTTTTTATTCTGAAAAATTCTCCAGCGTCTTTCCAGTTATGTAAATAGATATCCCTTCCCTTCCCTTTCCTCTCCATTCTCCAAGGTTACTAATAAGCAGTGAAATGCCCTCAAGCTATAGTTGCAGAAGGGAGGAGGAGGAAGAGTAACAGCAGTGGTGGATAATTAGTATCTTATTAGAGTATGGAAGGAACATTTGCAAGTTGATGACTGTGTCAATGCTGCCAAATCTTCTAGAGGTACCAGGAATGATTCCATGTGCTTGGCAGATATTCAATAAATATCTGCTGAGCGGTAAAGAGCAGGAAATCTTCTAGACGGGGTGTGAATCCCAGCACTGCTTGCTGCTTATTCATTGTGTGGCCCTTGGCAAACTCCTTAACCTAAGTGACAGTTTCTTTCTGTGAAGAAGGGAGATCATATTTAATGCATGGGCTTTTGTGAGGATTAAATGAAATAGGCATGTAAAATTCTTAGGAGAGTATGTGACACACTGAAAACACTTAATAAATACAAGATATAATGAATCAATCGCTTAGTGTAATGAGACGATGGTCAGAAGACCACATGAAGACAAATATTCCAGCTTTTGAACTTAGGGGAAAGGTCTCCACTAAATATATAGGTGGGAGAGATTATAGTAATTTTTGAAAAAACTTCGAAGTCAAACTTGAAGTAATTGGTTTGTGAACACCTTGTAATCATTAATGACTAGAGACCAGTATGGTTTCAGTACACAAATTATACAAGACTGCATTTTCTTTTGCATTTGATTTGCTGGACCTGTAGATTAGGGTATTAAATATAAGTGCATCTGAGTAATAGTAAGGTATTTTGCAGGGTTTCTCACTATATCCTTGTAGAGGATGCACTAATAAAGTTGAATTAGTTATAATCCTAAATATTTTAAACCTATACCCAAACTCTTTTTTTTTTTTTTTTTTTTTTTTAGATGGAGTTTCACTTTTTTGCCAGACTGGAGTGCAGTGGCGCGATCTTGGCTCACTACAACCTCCGTTCCCCAGGTTAAAATGATTCTCCTGCCTCAGCCTCCGGAGTAGCTAGGATTACAGGCGTGCACCACCATACCCGGCTAATTTTTGTATTTTTAGTAGAGATGGAGTTTCACCTTGTTGGCCAGGCTGGTCTCAAACTCCTGACCTCAAGCGATCCACCTGCCTCGGCCTCCCAAAGTGGTGAAATTACAGGTGTGAGCTACCGTGCTCCACCCCAAACTCATTATTAATAGACTGGCTACATTAGGTTACATAATGAGGACTTAAAAGATAGCGATATTCTTAAATAATAAAAGGAAACTAAAAGTTAAAAATTCATTGGGAATACAAGTAAAGTTCAACAACTCTGTTAAAAAATGATCTGTGCATGTACACAGTATAAAATTGTACTTAACTGGAATTCATAGGAAAAAGCTCTACGTATTAGCTATATTGTATTAGCTCAATACAATGTGGCTGCCAAACAGATAAATGCAACATTAGCCTAAAATTCTACTGTTCATATCAAAGGAAGTAATATTGACATAGCACCCTATCTTAGGCTGACCACACCAGAGGACTCCTTCTGGAAATAGCTTTTAATGGACATATGGATAAACTGGAGCATATCAAAGAATTACAAGGATGGTTGAAACCTTGGGAAATCTGAGTACCTGAGGAAAAAAAAACAGCTGGCAATATTTTGCCTGGAGAAAGAACAATGAGAAAGACATGATCATTGTCTTTGGCGTTGTAGTGTACAGTCTTGCTCAGGAAAGGTGGATTAGTGCCTACTTATTAAGCCCCAGAAGAAAGAAGAGAAGACCCAATAAATATAATGAAAGAGTAGAAGAATTTAGCTTACTATAAGGAATACATTTCTGACAAGCAGAGATATTAAAATTGAGTAGATTGCCTTGTAAGATTGTGAGATCATGAGCATTGTCACTGGAAGTATTAAATACTGTGTGATCATTTCTTAAAACATTTTTGAGACAAATTCTCCTTTGGTGGGAGCTGGGATTAGGTTTCCTTCAGCCTGTCTTCCAACTTACGTGTGATGCTAAAATTACTTTGCATTTACACTTTCAGGTTATTCAAGAAATGAATGGAAGGGAAGACATTAGCAACTATAAAACTGTCTATATTGCTTTTTCACCTGCCTCAAGAAGTTTGCCTGGTCTCTGGATAGATATGCATTGAATCATTATCATCACAATGGTTATGAGATTATTTCATCTCTTTTCCCGTTTTTTTTTTGTTTTTTTTTTTTGTTTTGTTTTGTTTTGTTTTGTTTTGTTTTTTGAGACGGAGTCTCGCTCTGTCGCCCAGGCTGAAGTGCAGTGGCGCGATCTCGGCTCACTGCAAGCTCCGCCTCCCGGGTTCACGCCATTCTCCTGCCTCAGCCTCCCAAGTAGCTGGGACTACAGGCGCCCGCCACGAAGCCCGGCTAATTTTTTGTATTTTTAGTAGAGACGGGGTTTCACCGTGTTAGCCAGGATGGTCTTGATTTCCTGACCTCGTGATCCGCCCGCCTCGGCCTCCCAAAGCGCTGGGATTACAGGCGTGAGCCACCGCGCCTGGCCTTTTCTTTTTTTTTTTTTGAGACGCAGTCTTGCCCTGTCGCCCAGGCTGGAGTGCAGTGGCGCGATCTCGGCTCACTGCAAGCTACGCCTCCTGGGTTCACGCCATTCTCCTGCCGCAGCCTCCCGAGTAGCTGGGACTACAGGCGCCCGCCACCACGCCCAGCTAATTTTTTGTACTTTTAGTAGAGATAGGGTTTAACCGTGTTAGCCAGGATGGTCTCGATCTCCTGACCTCGTGATCCGCCCGCCTCAGCCTCCCAGAGGGCTGGGATTTACAGGCGTGAGCCACCTCGCCCGGCCTCTTTTCCTGTTTTTAATTTCAGTATATTGGTTGGGCTCAGTGGCTCACGCCTGTAATCCCAGCACTTTGGGAGGCCAAGGCAGGCAGATCGCTTGAGGTCAGGAGTTCCAGAGTTCGAGACCAGCCTGGCCAACATGGTGAAACCCTGCCTCTACTAATAATACAAAAATTAGCCAGGCATGGTGGCAGGCACCTGTAATCCCAGTTACTTGGGAGGCTGAGGCATGAGAATCGCTTGAACCCAGGAGATGGAGATTGCAGGGAGCCAAGATTGTGCCACTGAACTTCAGCCTGGGTAATGGAGTGAAACTGTGTCTCTAATAATAATAATAATAATAATAATAATAATAATAATAATTTCAGTATATTTTGAATTCTCTATAGTTGTTATGTATAAGTTTTGAAATCTGAAAAAATAATTAAAAGAGGGAAAAGAATGTTTTCTGACTGGTATATACTCAAAAGAAGGTGGAGGGCTTCAAAAGCAAAGCTGAGCGTGAAGTTTCTGAGGTCCTGAGCCCCTCCCCTGGTGGTACATTACTTTGACCTAAGAACAGTCTACATGTTCTCTGCCTCCTGGCCTTCCTTCTGGGTAGGCATCTTAAACTTAACCTGACTAAACTCCAACCTGTTTCCTTCCCAGGCTTCCCCATCTCTACAAATGGCACTTCTTGTTAGCTTTAGCTCCAGTCAAAAATTAGAAGCCATCCTTCTTTCTGCTCCTTCCTTCACCCAATATATAAAACCCATCGTCAAGTTCTATTGACTCTTCCTCGAAACTAAATCTAACACCTGCCCACCTCTCTCCAGTGATACTACCACTCAAGCTTGAACCTGCAGGACCACTGCCAGGCTCCTGAGTGTCTTCCAACTACCATTCCTATTCCTTCTTCTCCTCATTCCTCACATGGAAGCCACAGAAATACAGAGATACAGATACAGATACACATTATGCCACTTGCTGCTTATAGCTCCCTACAATGGCATGTAAGTTATCACAGTGTTTAGGGCCTCATCTGATCTCTGCTGACCTCAGGGACCTCTTTGGGCACTGTAATTCAGTCCCACTGGCTTTTATTTGCTTCATCCCACTGGATAACCCAACCTCCTGTCCAGGCCCTTTTCAATAGCTAATCTCTTCCTGGAAACTACTTTCTCCACACATTGCATGGATGGTTCCTAATTGTGGTTTACTTCTTAGCCTAAGTATCATTGCCTCAGTGGTGACTTTTCTGATCACTCACCCTGAAATAGCCTTCTGATCCCCCTGTTATCTCTGTTTTATTTTTCTGTAAGTATTTATCTAAAAATTGTTGGATATTTTATTGTTTAAGTTTCTTTAGAAATTGTCTGTCCCCCCCAACTAAACTATAAGTTCCATTGTCTACTGTCCAGTATAGTCATGTATCCTCAACCCTACATAAGGTCTGAAGAATAGTAACTCAATAAAGTATATGCTGGGGAAAGAAAGGAGAGGGAAGAAGGAGGAAAAAAGGAAGAATGAAAGGGAGGGAGGGAGGAAGGAAGGAGGAAGGAAGGAAGGAAGGAAGGAAGGAAGGAAGGAAGGAAGGAAGGAAGAGAGGGAGGGAGGAAGGAAGGAGGAAGGAAGGAAGAGAGGGAGGGAGGAAGGAAGAGAGGAAGGGAGAGAGGAAGAAAGGGAGGGAAGGATAAAGGAAAGAACTAGTTTTAACTTCAAAATTTATTCCTTGCAAAAAATAGACATAACCAGTTAAGATAATTCATTTTTTTTTGAGACAGAATCTTGCTCTGCCGCCCAGGCTGGACTGCAGTGGATGATCTCGGCTCACTGCAACCTCCACCTCCCGGGTTCAAGTGATTCTCCAGCCTCAGCCTCCCGAGTAGCTGGGATTACAGGCGCCAGCCACCACAACCGGCTAATTTTTGTATTTTTAGTAGAGATGGGGTTTCACTATTTTGGCCAGGCTTGCCTCAAACTCCTAACCTCAGGTGATCTGCCCGCCTTGGCCTCCCAAAGTGCTGGAATTACAGGTGCGAGCCACTGCACCCAGCCATCATCCAAATTTTTTAAAAATTAAGGTGATGGGATAGGATGAAGGCAAAGTAGTATCTTATTCAGATGGTGTAGTCTGAAATTGTTTTTTCCACTGAAATATATTATTCCAAATAAAGAGTCAAAATTTTGATTTTATGCTGTATCTTTCATGATTCTATAATTATAGCAAGGTATTACATTATCCTACGTGACAACTGAAATGAGACAGTTGGCATGGGAGAAAATTCAGGATGTTCATTTTTAGAAGGTGACACTTAAAGAACAAACAGGTTGCTCAGGTGGGCCTCTTTCTCATTGGAACACTAGCTACAGGGTTCATATTTTGGCATTTTAGTAGGTATTTAACAGATCCCTTATTAGACATAGACAGTTTCAGCTTTATCTGAAGTGGTTTCTAAAAGGTAAGTGCCTTCTATTTTGACATTCCACTTAAATTTCTAAGATTACTGAAGAAATAACTTATTAAGATCAGCTTATATTGAACTCTGAAGATTGTGTTTATATAATTTGTTTGTACAGCTCTGTGATTTTTTAGGATCAAAGATTCCCTTTAACACAAAATATTTATTATTATACTATCAATATTATTAAACCACCATAACACTTATTGTAGAAATTGATATTATAAACAAATGTTTGAAGTAACGAGGCTTTTGAGATTTAGAAAAAGAAAAACTACAAGCACCTGTTGAAGAAAATGATGACAGATGGTAACATTTTTCTCAAGAATCTCCCTGCAGCTGTGCTTACATTCAGTTTTCCAAGCTCAACCAAGGTCTATTCATATCTTTTATTATACCCGTAAGAGTTTTTACTTCCTCCTGTGTAACACAGCACCAGTCAAAGATTTTATTTGAGAGAAAAATAGACTGACAATGAGTGAGAACCAATTTAACATCTGTGTCATCATGCTTTTAAACAAGAGGTCATAGCAAGGTTTTTTTGGTATATGTTATCTCAGTTTGAAAGTGACAGCAAGTACTGAGGCTATCATGCTAAATAACAGATGTCAACTTACTATCAGCTTCTAATGGCAATTTCTGTTATTGTTGCTACATAGCATTTTGAAACCTCAAGTATATATTTCATACATTTTTCAAAGCACGAAGTGTTCAAAAGAAAAAATATCTTGTGACAACATGTTTCAGGAGTAATAGTCTACGGTACAACTGAAAACTAGCTTTATTATTGGAATTGAATTATTAACTCATTTTCAGGTGTAACAAGTAATTTTTATCTAAAAATGTATAAACAAGCTAAATACATAATCAATATAATCCACAAAACCAAAAAAATCATACCTCAGTGATGATTCATATTGAAACTGATCTAAATCAAAGTGTTTGAATTAGAATATGACTGAGAGCCACATAAAGCCATTTATATAGAATAACATTACCTCAAGTATATTTCACTTTGCAGATCATTAATACTGTATAAATGTGAGAATGACTTCTGTATATCAGCTTTTATATTTACATTTTAAAAAACATCTACTTTTTTCCTTAAATTCTTACAAAATTTATACAGAATCATGATTCTCTGAATCCTCTCTATCCTTCTTACCCACATAAAGTCTAATTTTAATGATTCTTAATTGGAGTGACTTTTATCAATATTGTATATTTATGATATGTGTATATGATATGTTAAATACGTATATTATACAATTACATTTTTATAATGACTGTGATATCAGGCCATGACAACGAGAGTGCACAGTGATCAATATTTCTATTTTTATTTTTCAAATCCTGGAATATAAAGCACCATAGGAAGATAGCTGAGGAATGGCCTTTACCATGAGTGCATAATAGAGCTGCATTTGATTCTATTTGCTAAATAAAATGAGGAGTGGGTGAGGATGTCATTTGGTTCTAATTCTAAAGGTGAAATCAGATGTAGTGAAAATGATGTAGGAAGTTTTCTTAAGTATCTGTTAAGTACTATACAGTATGGTTTTGTGAATGTCAACTTCTAAGTGACTTTACCTGTATTCAAACTCTTAATTGGTCAATGTTTTACTGTGTCTGTTTCATTCTCTAGTATTTTTCCTAGAGGATGATAGTAACACAATAACCTATCCATTGATTATCCACTTGAATAACATTTATCCCTTTGTCAGACTGTCAGGAGACTTAAATTCATTTAACACTTTTTTTCAGTTTAACCAATCTGAATCTCAAGACTGATGGTTTTATTGCTGACTGTGCTTTCAGTGGCTTGCTTTTTTTTTCTCCTTCTATTTCCCTCTTTTCTTTTCGGCTTTTCATCCTCTAGGCAAGAATAGTTGAATGCTATGAAGTTTAGGATCCCAATTTTTTTTTGCCTTTTTCTCTTCTTTTACTTCATTTAATTGTGCTTTTAAGATTGGCCAATATGCCACTTCTGTTGTATAATATTGACAGCATTAAGGCTGTGTTTGATTACAGTCCATGTATTTTCTTAATACAGACAGAAGAAATAAGGTACTACTGGGGAATACTTTGGTCTCATTAAGTTAAACTATTTCTATACCACAAAGCTGTGAATATCAGATGATAGGTTCTTGTGTTTTATCTTTTATTTTCAAAATTATCTCCTTATTTAGATTTAACAGAAAGAAAAGCAGGATGCTCCTTTTCAAATATATGCATGTATTTCATGAGCATCTTCAATATGCCAGTCACTTTGTTAGGTACTGAGGATATAAATTAACATCAGAAAACCTTCTGAAACATGACTTCTCCCTCTTAGATCTATTTTTTTCTTATTTATTTAAAATAGGTAGGGGATTATCTCCTTGTGTAAAAGGATTTAAAATAGTTGTTGCATGTATAAACCCTTTTTTTTCTGAATACTAATGTCGGTCTCCTAAGATTCATGTGCGTGTAGGGGCTAAAAGGTCACAACAACATTCCCAGATTTCAGTGCCAGATGTGTCTGTATGACAGATCATGCAGACCCAAACTCATTCTAGCATCTGGTTAAACACAATCCATATCCGGTCTTAACCATGTGTAAATATAATTAAGAGCAAATGGGAAAATAATTGTCTTCCCCCCTTTTTTTGTTCCATTGACAATGTAAATAAGTATTCTAAAGGCACAAATTTATAACTGAAATACTAAGATTAACTTTTGAATTCTAGGCAATTATCACATGGTTGAAAAGATAAGGCAATGCCTAAAATAGATTGCATGCTACATGGGAATGTAAATAGAGGAATAGGAATTCAGAGAGGGAATGATCACTTCTGGTTGGAATGATCAAAGAAAACTTCATAGGGGAAATAGAATCATGAGCCTTAGCAGGAAAAAGAGATTCAGTAGGTGGAGTTAGTGGAGAAGATATCTTAGTTGAATGAAGAGAGTAGGGGGATAGGGAAGAAGAATGTGAACAAAAGCAAAGAGCTGGGAAAAGGCAGAGTAATTGAAGGGAGCAATTAGTACAGGTCCCGTGGTGAGATTGATAATAGGTAACCTGGAAAGCCAGGTTAGGCTCAATGTGAGGAAACCTGGACTCTAAATTATAGACTTTGTACTATATACTGTTGAATAAAATGCAATGACACACTGAGGGTGATTTTTCAAGGAAGACTATGACAGAGTATGTAAACGTGGAGTGTGGGAGATAGGAACAGTGAAAATGAAATAGAACTAAAAGGTAGGTTTGTTTTCAAAGGAAGACTTGATAGAAGCAGGGGCTATGTGTGGAGATGTGAGTCACAGGAAAGAAGTTAAAGAAAACTACAGGCCGGGCATGGTGGCTTACACCTGTGATCCCAGAACTGTGGGAGGCTGAGGCAGGCAGATCACTTGAGCTCAAGAGTTTGAGACCAGCCTGGGCAACGTGGTGAAAACTCATCTCTACAAGAAATAAAATTGAACCCAGGAGGATGAGGCTGCAGTGAGCTGTGATTCCACCACTGTACTCTAGCCTGGATGACAAAGTGAGACCCTGTCTCAAAAAAGAAAAGAAAAATAAAGACTACAGTTTTGAATTTAGATAGCTAGGAGAATAGTAGTGTAATTAAAGAAATTCAGGAACTCAAGTAAAATATGAATACAATTTTGGATCCATTGCATTTGAAATGACAATAAGACTTCCAAGTGAAAAATACTTTTGAATATGTGATACTGAATAAAGGTGATAATTTGTAACTATTGGAGCAGATGAGATTCCCAAATGGTGAAATATGAAGACAGAAATATAATTTTAAGGACAGAACTTTGAAGTCCTTAGTTAGAGAATGGGAGGTGAAAATAGAGTCAGGGAATAACAGAAATAAACTGTTCAAGGTGGACAATCACCTGTAGGGCTTTCCACGTGGAGAATGTGCCTTGCTTTGTTTCCCGGACTTGTTCCTAAACTTAGGGGGAAGAATTCAGTCTTTTATCATTAAGTATGTTAGCTGTAGGTTTTTTATAGGTGCCCTTTAAAGGGTTGAAGAAGTGCCCTTCTATTGCTAGTTTACTGAGGGATTCTGCAGTGAATGAATGTTATAAACTGTTTTTTTCTTCATTTATTGGGTTCATCATATGGTTTTTCTTTTTTAGACTTTTGATGTGCTAAATCATATTGATTGATTTTCTAATGTTAAGACAACTCTGCATGATCATGCTATATTATTCTTTTTTTATGTTGCTGGCTTCTATTTGCTAAGAAATATTTCTATTTCTATTTTTAAGGAAATACCCATCTAGGTCCATGAGTGTTGATGGTGTGTAGTTTTTTTGGTAGTGTCTTTAATTTTGGTAACAAAGTAATGCTGGTATAAAAAAAGGAATTAGGAACCCAGGAGGCGGAGGTTGCAGTAAACTGAGATCGCACCAAGCTGACATCATGCCATTGCACTCCAGCCTGGGCAACAAGAGTGAAACTCTGTCGCAAAAAAAAAAAAAAAAAAAAAAAAAAAAAAAAAAAAAAAGAGGAAGTGTTCTGTCCTCTTTCATTTTCCAGAAGAAATTGTGAACAGTTGGTATTACCTCTTCCTTAAATATTTGGTAAAATTCCAAGTGAAAGCATCTTGGCCTAGAATTTTCTTAGGAAGGTTTTTACCCATGAGTAGATTATAAAGCTATTCAGAGTACCTCTGTTTTTCTGAATGACTTTGGCTGGTTTTTGTCTTGTAAGGACTTTGTTTCTCATCTAAAGGATCCAATTATTTGGCTTCAAGGTAAGCATAATATTATTAACCTTTTAGTGTCTGTAGGATCTATTGTGATGTTTCTCCATTTCATTTACATCTATTTTCTATTTATTCCATCTTTGCTTTTTTTAATCTTTTTCTGCTTTCTTTTACAATCAGTATTTTTATTTTGATTCCATAAAGTAGATATTTTTTAGGATAGAAAGAATGAAAATGGGAGCTCTCATGCATCATAACTGAAATTCTCTCAATAAACTGAGATGTGTGATCATAAGCTGAGGGTGGGGAAATTTCGGAATCTTGCATAGAGAAGGTTTAGACTATTTGTTTTGGGAGGTGTCTTCAGAAAATAGCAAGAGATTAACATGGATTTCCAGCCATTAGTGAGGGCCCAGCTGAAGTAAACATGTTAAATAATAATATTATTTGGATAGCTAAGGTGTATTATAGTCAAATCTGAAGATCTGCCTCCAAAATAGGACCTCAAAGTTGGAAAATATGAAAAAAAAATTTTTTTTTTGAGATGGAGTTTCTCTCTTGTCACTCAGGCTGGAGTGCAATGGCGCAAACTTGGTTCACTGCAACCTCCGCCTCCCAGGTTCAAGCAATTCTCCTGCCTCAGCTCAGCCTCCCGTGTAGTTGGGATTACAGGCACCTGCCACCACGCGCGGCTAGTTTTTGTATTTTTAGTAGAGACGGGGTTTCACCATGTTGGCCAGGCTGGTCTCAAACTCCTAACCTCAGGTGATCCACCCCCCTTGGCCTCCTAAATTGCTGGGATTACAGGCATGAGCCACTGCGCCCAGCCTGTGAAAAAAATTATAGTGGAATTACCATGGTGGTTAGGTTAGTTCATATTTAAATTTTATTTCAAATAAGATCCAACCATATTTTCCTTCAGTAAGGTTGAAGATATGAGCTTCTTTTAGACAACTGCTTCTTTTTTCCGGGAGTTCAGAACTTTGAAATAATTGGCAGCTGTCTTTTCTAAATATTAAGCACTCACTTGGTTACATAGGGCAGATGGCGCAAGGGGTCATCAACATAAGTTGAGTGAAGTTTCTCTCATTTTCTAATAACTAAGTTATCTGAAAAGCCAGAAAAAGGTGGAATAGCTGGAAGGAGTTGGTATTGTTGAGTGGAAATAGAATGAGTGGAAAATTGGCAAACCAGCTGGATATTTTGTGGAAATAATGGTTTTGGAAACATATTTGCAAGACTCGGATAATTATTCTACTCTTTGAACTGATTACAGTTTGTATTGTATTGCAAAAACTGCTTGGATCATGTAATGAAATATGAGTTCAGTGAAAAGGCACAGTTAACTGATCTAAATCTCTCATTGTCTACAGACATTGTTATTTCATTTACATATTGAAAATCTATGTGATGAAAAATGGGAAAATCACAGACTCACAGGAGTATTTCATTTAAATTGCTTTCACAATTGCAACCCAGTTCTCAAAATAAGAATTTTGACAAACCTCAACTTTGGCAGAAGAAAAGTAACATTTTATGTGAAAAACTGACATAGCTAATTTCTGGAGACAGAAAAAAATAAACAAAAATAAGCGTACCCATCCTATCCCAGCAGTGGCCACTACACTGTAGAAGAGTGAAAAAGGATCCAGACTCTGGGGCCAGAGTGCCAAGGTTTGAATCCTGCCTTTCGGTTTACTAGCTGTAAATCCTGGGCAAGTCGCTTAGCCTCTTTGTTCTTTGATGTCTTCATCTGTAAAATGGAAAAATAGTTTTATCTGATAGATGTGATTTGAAGATTAGTTTAGTTAATACATGTAACAGGTGTAAACAGGGCCTGGTGCATATAAGAAGCTGTAGTTGGCCGGGCGCGGTGGCTCACGCCTGTAATCCCAGCACTTTGGGAGGCCGAGGCGGGCGGATCACGAGGTCAGGAGATCGAGACCATCCTGGCTAAAACGGTGAAACCCCGTCTCTACTAAAAATACAAAAAATTAGCCGGGCGTAGTGGCGGGCGCCTGTAGTCCCAGCTACTTGGGAGGCTGAGGCAGGAGAATGGCGTGAACCCGGGAGGCGGAGCTTGCAGTGAGCCGAGATCCCGCCACTGCACTCCAGCCTGGGCGACAGAGCGAGACTCCGTCTCAAAAAAAAAAAAAAAAAAAAAAAAAAAAAAGAAGCTGTAGTTATTGTTACCATTGTCAAGAAAGGTGAGTTAGACTCTGCATTGCCAACAATTTGGGGTTTTAACATACTAAAGAAAATCTAGATGTGGTACCCTGGATGGGAAACATATGCACACTTATAATTACCATACAAAGATGCTTGGAATAAAAATGCCAAATGCCATCTATTTGAGTATGACTTTTATAGACAATGGGAGGTTTTATCTTATATATTACATTTTCTCAGTCAAACATAGCTATAAATTCTTCAAATACAATTTTACTGTTAGCAAAAGTAATTATAATTATGTTTCAGCATGTATATTCTAAATCAACTGTACAACTTCTCAAAAATAAAATATCATCAGGTACTGAAAAACCAGAAAGGCAGTAATTAAGGCAAATTTTGTGTCTTTTATAAGTGACAAAAATTAATACTTTGATTTGGATGACTCAACAGAGTAGGCGAATGGTAAAAGGCATAAGAAGATATTTTGGGGATAAAACCAAACTATGGTGCAAAAAAGAAAATATGTATCGAATGGGCGCTAACCATGTAGGCAGTTATGACCCCGCCCAAACCATCTCATTTGTTTATTTTTCAAAATCTATAAAATAGGTATGTATTATCCCCATTTTAGTAATGTTAAAACTTAAGCTTTCAGAGTTTTACTTCAACAATTCTTCAAGGCTGTTTAGGAGTACAGCTGGGAGTCACATCCTAGTCATTTTCTTCCAAAGCCCATGTTCTCTCCACTGCACTGGTCTGCCTCCCAGAAGTGATAGGTACACTGGCTGGGCGCGGTGGCTCACACCTGTAATCCCAGCACTTTGGGAGGCCGAGATGGGCAGATCACGAGGTCAGGAGATCGAGACCATCCTGGCTAACATGGTGAAACCCCATCTCTACTAAAAATGCATTAGCCAGGCGTGGCGGTGGGCACCTGTGGTCCCAGGTACTCGGGAGGCTGAGGCAGGAGAATGGCGTGAACCCTGGGAGGTGGAGCTTGTAGTGAGCAGAGGTCATGCCATTGCACTCCAGCCTGGGCGACAGAGCCAGATTCCGTCTCAAAAAGAAGTGATAGGTACACCGTTGAACAAATTTAGTACAAAAATTATGGCTAATCCCCCAAAACAAAACTTCCCTAGTTTTTCAATATCGTGTAATTCAACTAGTTTTGTTTCTTTGCATATTTCCCATTGCATTTTATTTTAATAAGGATATGCCATTAAAAGTCATATTGAAACAACCTATAATCCGCACTTGCCCACGGATCTCTTTGCTTTTATGAATGGTGAAGTGGGGCTCCACCAGGAGTTGTAATGGAAAGAGTGATGACCTTAGGGCTGATTCTGGCTTTGCTGCTAACTAGTTATCAAACTTTTTTTGTATAAATGCAAACTTTGCGGTAAGACATTTCATAGTGCTATAGTCCCTCTTTTAATTTTTCCAAGGAAGGAAAGGCACACAATGGTATCAAATGTTCATTCATTCCATCTCTTGATGCTCTACGATATTATCAGTCTACACTATGCTTTCCTGAAAGGCCAGAAGTTCAAAGATGGACTAGTTTCCCAGGGACCTGATTCCCCAGTTGGAATACTCCAGCCCCTTGGAAATTCCCGGGATTTATAAAATAACTCTAGACAACAAGACTTTGTCTTTAAAGGTCCTATGAATTCTTTTCTCTCTGTATTTAGGTATCCTGATTTTTCTTTTCCATATTTTCCACAGGATTATTTTACAAATGCAAATAGAGAGTTGAAAAAAGATGCTCAGCAAGATTACCATCTAGAATATGCCATGGAAAATAGCACACACACAATAATTGAATTTACCAGAGAGCTGCATACATGTGACATAAATGACAAGAGTATAACGGTAAGGCATCTATGAGTGAATGCATGCATGAACAAATTGTATATTTACACTTGTGAAGCACTTTAAAGAATAAGAGAAACAAGTCATATAGTCTTTTTTCTAATATTTTTGAAATCTTTTTTGATTTTTTTTAGTTTTTTTTTTAGTTTTTTCTTTTTTACTTTTTTAGAAGCCAAAAATGTGTAAGACCAAAAATTTCAATAAAATCCATTTTTGTGTGAGTTTAACATTTTGAAGATCCCTTTAAAATTTGTATGATTTAGCCATAAATACATTTTACTTTCTTCTCCATAAAGTTTGAAAATACACAACAGATAAATGTTTGAAGAAATGTATTACACAAGAAAGAATTATGAATCTGAATATTAGGATATAATTCATCTGATTTGTAATGGACTCATCTTTGTAAATTTCTAAAATCAAGATGAATAGGTGGCTGATTATAATTGCCTATTGGTATATTAAATGAGATTTCTTATTTTCAGACTTCATGCAAAAATTAATATCTTTATGTGCATTCAAATTAAATATTTAGAAGATATGTAATACTTCAGAAATTTCCATGAATTGTTTGGATTAATTTTATTTTGTGTAGACCAATACGATTACCTTTTTATTTTGTAAATCAAAGCTTCAAAAATGGGAATGTAAAAAATATGAAGCAGTTCTGATTAACATTCAGCATAAAGAGTGAACGAGGCAGAAAAAATGCATGCAAAGAGAGGGATTACTTTTTAATGCAATATACAGTGCAATTATACTTTAATTGGAATAATAATTATAGTCATTTGACTTATTAAGAAAGAATATAGCAAAGAGAACATTTAAAATACTTTTGCGTTATTATTTATTTTCAAAGTTCTTATTACAAAGATCTGGCAAAAACACCTTTATCTGTGAGAGGATTGAACAATTTCTTTACACCCCAGCAAACCCTCCCCAACCCATAGCCCTTTGGGCAATCTCTCCTGGTTGCTCAATGGAAACCGATTTCATCTGACAGTACTTTCCATAGTTGTGGTAAACCAGTCCCTAGGAAATTCCCAGGATTCATAAAATGACTGTAGATTAACTGTAGTATGATTTAAAAACTCAGAATCAGAAATCCTTCTATATTTATATTTTCTGTAAATGTATACGTGTGACTAGGCTAGTGCCTAGGAAAACATCTACTGTAAAAGGAAAAGTATTAGGTAATTTTAATTTTTATTGTATTAATTTTTCCCTAAAATCTTCCATGGCATTTAATTTTCCAAAGTCTCTGCTGCTGAACAAGAATATTTGTTTAGAAGCTACCAGTTGCAAGGTTAAAGTTTTGGCGTGACAATGATTTATTGTTGTCATATACTTCAAAGTGTAATTACTGAGTCAATTGTCCTTCAGTATGTTTTGGAACACATAATCTTGCATGCTGAGAGATGATTCCTTCCAAAAAGTAACTCATATATTTGGATCCTTAATGACTTAATCAAATTTGTGCAATTAATATTAGAGACCATGTTGATAACTCCAAATGTCATTATTGTCTTTTCTTCACTTCTATATCTTGTTTACAATAGAGTTCTTTAAACTCAACTCAGTGGTAAGGAAAGTGCTCTCATGAGACCTAATCATGCCCATGTCTGATCCCCAGGATAGCACTGTGAGAGTGATCTGGGCCTACCACCATGAAGATGCAGGAGAAGCTGGTCCCAAGTACCATGACTCCAATAGGGGCACCAAGAGTTTGCGGTTATTGAATCCTGAGAAAACTAGTGTGCTATCTACAGCCTTACCATACTTTGATCTGGTAAATCAGGACGTAAGTGTTTTCAGGTTTTATGATTGTAGGGATGGGCTTATTGAAAGTGTATACGAGCATTTTTGCTTACATTATTGTATTCAGGAGCATGTTAAGAGAAGGTGACTTTGTGTCTTCCTCCCCTTTTTATTAAGACAGGTCCCCATCCCAAACAAAGATACAACATATTGGTGCCAAATGTTTAAGATTCCTGTGTTCCAAGAAAAGCATCATGTAATAAAGGTATGTGACTCATTCATAGGCTAAAATTAATTTTCATGAGTGGAAAAATAAATTGATGTTAATATAATGAAAACAGTAAAAGTATAGAAATGTTTTTCAATTATTTGAAAGTTTTTTAGAGAAAAAAGAACTGGCTTGGCTGACCTGCATACTTTTTCAAGAGTCTGAAAGCTTGGATTATATCTAATATTTTGGTTATCTCCTAATTTTACATGTCAAAGGTACAAGTTTTGGTATGCACATGAACACCGCTAATTATTATTTTAGGCAACATTTCTACAATTGGAATTACTGGAATTGCAATTTAAAATAGTATGTTTACGTATTGATAAATTATACCCATGAAGGTTACATTCCTCACCAATAGTGTTTGAGAACATCTGCTTCATTGAAAACACTGGATATTGTCATAAAAAAACAGTTATAATAATTTTTTGAAAATAGAAAAAAGAAAATTAGTGAATTTCTACAGAAATAAAGAAATACAGAATTGGGTAGTAAATAAACCCAATTTGCCTGTGCAATACAATTATTTTCCACCCTTCTGGAATGGGCCTCCCAGAACTTTTGCATCTACTTAGCGAATGAACAAATATTTTTAAAAAGTTACAAGTCCTTGGCTCCGTGCTAGTAATTGTTAATTCCACAGAGGCCAAAGGTATGATCCATGCTCTCAAAGAACTTACAGTGAGATTGGGGAGACATGGCCAAGACACAAGAAAGAATAAGATAGAATTAAATAGTGCATACAGAATACTGTAAACATTCAGAAGGCCAGATGTTGCTGCCTTTCTGTCAGTTCCCAGACTATGTAATGAAGCGATGTGGATAAGGAATGAATTGCCAGACTCTGGAATCTAGAGGGAAATACATGGGTTTGAGAATCATAAGTCCACCCTTTAATTAAACTATGTGCTCTCAGGTAAGTCACTCTGGGGTAATGCTGTAGCCTTAGGTTTTCTCATCTGTAAAAGATGGACAGCCATAACACTTTTCCTATCAACCTCAAGACATTTTAGCAGAGATAGAAACACTGAGCACATTCTATAAGTTTATTCGTGGCTAAAATTTGTTAATTTCTAATATATTTCCCTAGTTTTCTTTTGTTTACAAATATTTTTGTTTACAGTTCTGCCTTTGGTTTACAAAATGATTCATAACTACATACAGAGGCAAAGGGAGTGGCTTTAGGGAATGTTATTGAGTTAATATGTAGTCCTAAATATTTATAGGTTATTTTTGCAAACAGGAGACTGTGACTGCAGGTGAATCATTTACCTCTGTGCAATAAGTTATTTTCTACTTTGTGTATGGAAAAGGGGAATGCAAATTCTAATTTTGTATAATTAATACCATGCCCAAGTCCTTCCCTTGTACCAATGAAAAGTATTCCTCAGGAAAGAGAATGTTTCATTTATATGTACTGTATGTCATTTGCAGTAAATTTAACTGGAACCAGGCTTAAGAGGCAAATGTAAAACTGTAGATTCAGAAATAGAAACAAATGTTTCAAACAACCGGTCCTTTATCCACTTTCTGGCAAACATTAATTGTAAATTTCTTAACCACTTACTGTGAATGCATTTTTATTCTTGCCATTGTTAATGCTAATAATTGAGTTGAATGAAATAAAATAATTATGTATGTTTCAGGGAGGTCAGTGTATGTTTCAACCCTCTATGTAGGATATTTGCTTGGTACCTCATCTTTCTTCACTAACTTTCCTATATGAAGCATATTAAATGATACTCAGATAAACTTTCCTATAAGAAGCGTATCAAGTAATTCTCAGACACATGAACTTAGAATTAAGTACTTTTGGGAATACATAGCTGTCTTCACTAGACATTTGCATTAACATGAAAGGCATTGGAGCATTTTTTGCAATGTTTGGAGGTCTTCTAGACAACAAAAGTTATTTACCTTGAGCAAAAGGGATTTGAGGGAAGGACAGTAGGTCATAAGGGAGTGCTCATACAAACTTTTGTTGTTACAGGGGACAGAGGTTTGGTGGCTAGAATTTAAAATCCTATTATTATGTGAGAATACCACTTATAGGATAGATTCCTTATCTTGCTAAACCTTAAAATATTTTAAAGTTTATTAAGTATTATGAAACATTTTCCTTGAAAATTAACTAAAATAGGATATTATTCAAAAAATAAAGAAAACTCTACTGAAAAAATAAATTCAAAATATTTAGTAATATGTAAGTGGTTTTAAGGCAGCCTTTCAAAACCAGTTTTCATTTGCAACTTATTCAAGATTTCAACAAAATTTTAATGATGTAGAATTCATAAATCTAGGACTTGCCTTAAGTTGTCTGATTTCCATGCTCTTTTTTCTAGTAGAGAGGATTTCTAATAATTTAAGAAAAGTGTATATTCTTTCCATAAAATCAAAGACTCCTATGTTTTGAAAAGCCATCAGTTAAGAGCTTCTCCTTATTTTTCATTTTATGTTCCATAAATCACTGTATCAAAAAGCCTCAGTCCTTTTCTTCTGCAAACAAAAAGTACTTTCACAGAAATGAGAAGATTGATTTTATATCATATTGTGTGGTGTGTCATTTGCAGTGAGTTTTAAGAATATCGATCACAGTTGAATTGTGAGAAGTCAGTTTCATTTTCTGGTGTCTAATTCGCACAAAGAATTTGTTTGTATTTGCAGTTTAAATGTTGATAGTGCCTAGACCCACTTATCTGTGGTTCCATGGGTTAAGTTGCCCATGGTCAACTGTGATCTGAAAATATTAAATGGAAGATTCCAGAAATAAACAATTCATAAATTTTAAGTTGCATGCCATTTTGAGTAGCTTGATGAAATCTTGCACTGTCCTGCTTCATTCCAGCTGGGACGTGAATCATTCCTTTGTCCAGCATATTCACACTGGAAACGCTGCCCATCCGTTAGTCACTTAGTAGCCATCTCAGTTATTAGACTTACTCTTGCAGTTATCAGATTGTCATGGTATCAGAGTTCTTGTGTTGAAGTCACCCTTATTTTCTTTAACAATGCACCCCAAAGCACAAGAGTAATGATGCTAGCTAGCAATTCAGATATGCCCGGGAGAAGCCATCAAGTGCTTCTGTAAGTGAAAAGGAGAAAGCTCTCAACTTCATAAAAAAAAAATGATAAGGTTGTTAAGACCTATGCTAAGAATGAATCTTCTCTCTGTGAAATTGTGAAGAAGGAAAAAGAAATTCATGCCAATTTTGCTGTCTCACTTCAGACTGCAAAAGTTATGGCCACAGTGCATGATAAGTGCTTAGTTGAAATGGAAAAGGCATTAAATCTGTGGGTAGAAGACATGAACAGAAACGTTTTCCGATTGACAGCAACGTGCCGCACTAGAAAGCATTGAGCCTATACAAAGACTTCAACAAGGGATTGCCTGAAATGAGTGACACCAAGCCATTTACTGCAAGTGGGGAATAGTTGCAGAGATTCAGGAATATAGATTCTGATCAGTAGTAGCCTAATACTATGTCACAATACCTACGTTATTCATTATGCTCCATCTCATTATGTAGGGATTGTATCATCTCGCATCACAGGAAGGGTGAGTACAGTATGATAAGATATTTTGAGAGAGAGAGAGACCACATTCACGTAACTTTAATTACAGCATATTGTTATAATTGTTTTGCTTTATTATTAGTTATTGTTATTAAGCTCTTACAAGAAAGTATTTGGAAATCTCCTAATTTATAAATTAAGCTTTAATGCATGTATAGGAAGAAGCATAGTATGTGTAGAGTTTGTAGTTTCTGCCATCCACTGGGGATTTTGCAATGTTTTCCCCTCAGATGAGGGAAGACTACTGCATACATTTCATACTTATAATAACTATAAGACTAAGCAAAGAAAATATATCAGTAGTTTGATAAGAATGACTAAATTTAAAAATATTTATTACATTTAAAATTTAAATTTTAACCATGTAAAAATTATTTGCTTCTAAAATTATAAAATAAGGTAAATAATCTCTAAAATGACTAAAATATAAAATAAACATAAATGATTTTATCTCTAGAAAAGATAGGATTATAATACAATTATTGGCTGTTGAAACTCGTTTGTGATCTCAATTTATTGATTTGTATTTTGATTCTTAACAAAATGTTGAAAATTGTGGCTTGAAAATGTGGGTATTATCAGATGACAGCATATCACATTGCAGGTGAATATGGAAATTGTAGAAAAGAATATTCTTGGTAATTTATATTTAAACTGTACTTCTCATGTGAGGTCATCTCTTTGTCAGGTACTCGAGACCACTCTGCAGCCCACCTCTCCATATTTCAGCATGACTCTTTTTAAGCTTTATTTTAGATGTGACTTTACCGTAAATTTAAAATTTTTTAAAGACGGTTGATTCTACCACTCTCTTTAGTCAACAGTAATGGCATTGCCATGACTATTAGTCGTGGTTGGATATACTTTGCTAGAAATGGGGGTTATTGAATTGGCTTAACACGCTGCTTTTTTTGAGGTGCTTTTATTGTCCTGGAATTCTCATAGATGAACTACACTCCTAATATATCTGTTTAAATGTGATGTGTCTCATTCCATTTAATAGAAAATTTGCTGATGGCCTATTATGGCAAAGGGGAGAAAAAAAGAAAAACAGCCAGCCAAAATCATCATCCCTTAGTCCTCTCTCCTTAAAGGACTAGCTCCCTAAATAGGGAGGCAGTACACCTCATACTACGGTAGGTGGGTTCCGTGACTGGATGGATAGTTCAGGTTTGAATTCCTTCTTTCCATTTATTAGTCATGTAACTTACAGAAAAGTTGTTAGCCACACACAGTTCAGTATTTTCATTTAAATGGAAATGGTGCCTCCTAATGGAATTGCTTACATTAAGGATCAAACAGGAGTTGTTGTTTTTTAAGCACTTAGCACAGTATCTGACACTTACAAAACTATTAATAAACTCAACTATTATGATCAGGCAACTATTTATTTTCAATGTTGCTCCCTGAATGACTTTTCATTGAAAACTCCCATTTAGTGAGAAGGCCCGGAAAAGGATGCAGTATCAGGCTTAAAGGCTGACCATTGCTGGGTTTTAAGAGAGGATTATACTTACTAGTTGTGTGACCTTAGGCAAATCAATTTACCTCTCTGTGCCTCAGTTTCCTCCTCTGGAAAATGGTGATAATAATAGTTCTTACCTAACAAGATTGCTATGAGTATTAAGTGAATCAAATGAGTTTAATATTTATAAAGTATTTATAACAGTGCTGGGAACATAATTTCTGTTAAACAAGGTAAGTAAATTCAATAAAATTTTGTAGATCACTAGCAACACTCAATTGCTAATCTGTTGATCATCTTGTTAGGTTTCTGGATTACAGAGGGATCCCAAACAAGTCAACCCTTTCTAGGCAGTCAGAGTTCCAAAGAAAACCTAGTTTGTCCATCACTTCATTTAGGGAGGTCACCTTGAAAATTTTCAGCTTTGGAGAAATGTGAAGTTGAGGTAAAACACTGTCATCATCCTCTTCATCATCAATTGCTACAGGAAGAGAAATGCTATGCTTTATTACTTGATACTGAACAGAACATCTTTTTTCTCCCATGAAATATCCATGCTTCTGTTCTCTTCTATTGGTAGCACTCATAAATCTCAATGATTTCATTTGGGGAGTGTTTCCTAGAACATGAAAATTTAAGAATAATTGACATTGAATAGCCATGGAATGTCCTTGAAGCCAGATTACTGTAGAGCCATGAAATAGCCACTCGAAAATTGATTTTCCTATAGTAGGCACCTAACATGAACGTTAGGCTTAATACAACATGTCAAATGGACATTGCTGCCTGTTTTTCTACTGTGCTCACTTAAAAAGACACAGTCAAATGGAAAACCTTATCATTAACACGTTTCTGAAATGTTAAGTGCGATAGAGGGTTTCTATTTTCTGAGAATGTGTAAGTCTTTGGGGTTAAATTTAGTAAACTGTGGGAATTTAAGCATTCTCAATGTCAAACTACATGCTTTTATGGCTGTCAGAATTAGCTCTTCTCTGACAGTATATCTCTTTCCTTCTTTCCTGAAATAATATTTCAAGACATATTTTAATTGATGCAGTTTTTCCCCCGATGGAAACAGCATTTTGGTTTGTTGTCAGCCTGCATTTGCACAGACTGCCCCGTCTAGTTCTCATTGTTTTTTTATGTGTTCACCTTCTGTTTCACTTTTTCATATGGGAGACTAGGTGTTTGCTGTTAACTACTGACTTAATGGTTATTTGTGTTTTTAACCCATATCCATTCCAACTCTAGAATTTTTTCTTCTTACTTATTGATGTTTCCCTTCTATCTTTTCTTATTTAACTCTATTTATTTTCTAAAGGCAAATCTTTGGATTTTTAGCTAGATTCATGTTGAAATAAATTAACTTTCATAATCTATCTTACGTGAAAATACTTTCCATTTCTCTTAAATATTTTGCAACACTCTATTTGGTTATTAAATTATTAACACCAATGGATTACCCCTGCACCTCTGGGTTTTGTCATCAATTGATAAAATAGATGATTCTTGATCTTCTAGAGAAAAAGTTATGCTATAAAAATCAAGAATCTTTTCCTTTAATAATTTGTGTTACAATGTTTATGGATGCCAAAAATTATTCCTCATTTCTAAGTGTATTGTAAGTTTTATCTATTTTTTATCTACTAGACAAGAGATGAAAATACTGGGGCATTTACTGTGGCTGAAACTGTAACTTTGTACAGAAAAAAAGTTGGTAGGAACACTTCCCCTAAAAGTAATGATTTGACTCAAATTAGTGCATTTGAAAGACTGCTGACTTAGATTGTTCAATGTTGTAAAGTTCATTCAAGATCCTCTTGAGTTACATCTACTTCATGGAAACACTGGAGATCGTCTAGCTACATGGGTGTTCTTATTAGTCACTTGAGAGTACAAGGTAATTAAATTTGCTTTGAAAGCATGTCTTTTCATGGAAGTGATTTATTGCTAACTCTGTCACTAATTAGCTTTCTGACCCTAGAGAAAGTACTTAACCTTGCCTGGTCCTCAAATTCCTTGTCTGTAAGATAAAGGGATTGGACCAGATGACCTCAATAGGCTCTTTCTACTTCTAAATATCTGTGATTTGACGAAAACAAAAAGAAAAGTCTGTGCTGGGGTTTGGCTGCTGCTCTGTGGTCTGAGTTCCTGACATGCATGCTTTTCAGTCACAGGGCATGCTGAGGTGAAAATACTGAGTACGCCACTGCCTCCCTTGAAGTTAAAAGGCCCCTTTCTTTAGCACCTCGAGCATGGACTTGGAGGATAAGTTTGGAGGCATCTTAGTCCTTTCTAGAGCATGCCAAAGTGCCCCAGAATCCCCAGGAGAATCCAGAATGTCTAGAGACATGTGTGGCTGCTTGGTCTGTTGACAGAAATACTTGATTTTTTAAAAAGAGGCTCATAGACTTTCTTATTTCTGGGCTATACAACACTCACTTTTTTATCTTTAAATTCCCATGCACTTAACTAAACTTGTTACTGATATTATTTAATGGCTATTAAGTTTTGGGAACAGCTGGTTCTAAACACAGAAAGGCTGCAAATGTAAAGTATTCACAACAAATCAAATTCTGAAACCACAAATCTTTATAATATCCGTATTATCTAGTGGTTGTACCATGGCCTACAGGGTCAGAGCAACTGGTTTGAATCTTGGCTCCTCAGCCTACTAGTGTGGAATCCAGGGCAAGCAATTTAACTTCCTTGAGCCTTAGGTTCCGTCTGTACATAGGGCTGATAACCGTATTTGCCTCGTATGTTAGCTGTCATCAAATGAAGGCAGTATCTGTAGAGTGCTTATATGTTTGGCAATGTATTAGATAGCTCAATAAGTACTGGCTATATTCCCAATTTGCTTCAGTTTTCAGATACCTCTTAAGTCACAGAGATAATGTCATTTTAAAATAAAGATAAAAATTAGGAGTGCCAGGGTGAGCAAGACTTTACTGAGATAAGTTGGTGCAGTGTACAAGAATTGGCTCTGGAGGTAGTTAGCAGTTGTGTTCAAACTCTCTTTCTCATTCACTGGATAACCTTGGGAAGACTAAATGCTCATAGCTTGCATCTTGACTTGCAAAGTGAGGAAAATAATTTTCAGCAAAGATGAAATGAAAACAAGTGAAAACACCTGTTGCATAATAGGCTCGTCATTGCTTGTTTTCTTCCCTTGAAGGGAATTATAGAGATGAATGACTAAAACTTCATCTAGTGTTTTCTCATTCTTGGAGTCAGGGCTGCACTGAAACAATGGTAGGCAGTAAGTCTCTATTTTATTTTGAAGAAAAGATTCCCTGGGAATTAGATTTCATAGCTTGCTTCCATTACTCTAACCCAAATGAAATTTAAGCTAATTTCCTCCTGTTCTTGTCTAAGTAAGGATAAAAACCAACTGGTGACTATCCTCTGGGAAATAATCTTTGACATTCTTAAGTCACCCATTAGTCTTCCATTCTATGGCCTTAAAATAATGCCATTTTCAACTGACATGAAACAATTTTTTTTTATTTTTTAATTTTTCTTCTACCAACCAAGTCTACTCCAACCTTGTATATCTTTTTCAGGTAGTACAAAAGTTTAGATGAGAAAATTGAATAGCACTAGCACATTTCTTGGTAATTATTCATTATAAAAATTAGTAAATAATTTAATTAACAGCACTTTATTGAAAGAATACTAAGATATTTATGTTGAATTCTAGATGTTGATAGCACAATGGGATTAAGAGGTGTGGTAACATTAAATTATGAATGACTTTTACTTACATGCAAGGAAGTATGTAGGTAAAATACTTTCTTGTTTTTTTGATACTTTAAATACATTATTTCACTAGGTTTTCACAGCCTCCCACAAAGTAAGTTGAATAACCACCACTTTCCATATGAACACACTGAGACACAGCAAGCTTATGTAGCTTGCTCAACATTACACAAATTAGGTGAAGTAGAGCCAAGACTTGAATGCAGATCTTCTGAGCAATACTAATGGGGCTTTTTCCATACAATTTTGCTAGCCTTCTACTTCTAAATATCTATCCAGGCCTTATTATTTTTTTCAAGATGCATAAGTTACAATGAAAAATAATTTGCGTGGAAGAAGTCTGATAGCTTATATCCAGCCATGAGTTCTTTAAGTAAACTTGTCAGAACCTGAGCTACTTTTTATTTTTTGACAGCTTTGTTGAGGTATAACAGATATACAAAGAACTGCACAGTTATAGTGTGTACCATTTGATGAGCTTGGAAATATGCAGACACTTATAGTGACATCACCAACCAAGGTAATAGACATATTCATCACCTCCCTTGTTTCCTTGAGTCTCTTTGGTTTTTTTTTTTTGTTTTTTATTGTGGTAAGAACATTTGACATGAGATCTACACTCAACAAATTTGGAAGTGCAAAATACTATATTCTGCTGGACTACTTTTGAGTCCTACGGAATTAATGCATAGACACAGGACACAGGACTGTGTGAGCAGACCCCACCAGAATCTTCCAGAGACATCAGTCCAGAGATCCTGGAAAGTGACTTAGATCTAGTCACATATGAGTACACAGAGACTGGGTGATTTCACCCTTGGGGATTACAAATGCTCATTAACAATGGATGACACATACGAAGTTTCATTTGTGATTTAGGAAGTCTTTAAAGTAAGATTAGAGTAAGATGATTAGGCTAAAGATTATGGCTGCAAAAAGGCTTCATGTTAAATCTTGGAGATGATATTAGGGAGAAAGGAATTGGAAATAATTTCCGTGGAAAGAAGTTAGTGAGACTGCTAATCTTATTGGACACGTCTTGTAGCATAAAGATTGCTGGAAGCAAGCCAAAAGCTTTCTGTTTAAGCTGAGCTAAGATCTTCTTTGGAGTTAAGTGAAATTAATGGTAATGGACTGTTTGATTCCCCTTTGCTATAACGATCTGTAAAAAGCTACTCATGAGAAGAAATACTAACATTTTTCACTTGGCAGTTAAATTTATGACAAAATACCTAAAGTGCTCTAAAACACGAAGAGATATATGTTGTTGGAGAGAAAACTAGAAGTGTTGGCATCTCAGAAAAGACCTAAGAACCAGACTGACAGTCTGGGTTCTAATCTTACTTTAACCTTTGGTCAGCTGAAAATTAATGTGACTGCACCACAATGCCTCTCAAGAGACCAAATTCATGTTAATAACAACTCAAAGACTATAAATCTGTATAACTGAGAAGTTGTTCTAAGTGATCTTTAACCCTTAAAATTCTGTGACTTCTTTCATTGTATTATTGGAATTGACAAAGTTGGAAATTTATAGAATAAGTGTATAAATATATACGAATAAAATTATAATAAAAGATTTTCTTAAAATTTTGAAAGGAATTCAGATAATTTTTGTGTGTTGCCATAGGATATCACAGGTCAATTTTATTTTTTTGTTTTCTATTTTCAATGGAAACAATTGTATACTTATCAAAACAGGAAGATATCTGTTGCCCTATGATACAACAATGAAATTTTTAATAGTTTTTATAAATGGAGCTTTTAGTGATTAGCAGGAAAAATTATATGTGGAAACTCACTTTTGATAAGTGAGATATTTTATATTCAAGTTTATAAAACTCATAAATCAGAGGATACTTTTTCACACCTTTACTGAGTTATCAATACCTTCTTTAAGGTATCAAGACTTTCTTTGGGTCATTTAACATGAATGTATTTGTGCATCAAAAATTCAGATTATATATAAGAGCTTAATAGTATATCTCTTTTATGAAGAAAAATACTACACTAACATATCAAAAATGTTATAGTTGAGATTTGCTTCATTGAGCTATTATTGTATTTTTCTTGATTCATAACCTAGGGTGCATGTTAGAATCAGAATCTTTAGGGAGGGAGTCCAGGCTTTTGTGATGATAGTGGTTGTTGCTGTGTTTTGGGAAAAGTTCCCCAAGTGACTCTGATATAAACCCTCTGTTTGAAAATAACTGTTTTATATATATTAAAATTTCCCAGGAGATTGCATTTGTCAAGTTACATTTTATGGCACCTAGTAAAATGCCCTTCATATTAAGTAGCAGTAATACATCTTATTATAGTAATAAAGTATTTTATTCAACAAATATTGTAAAGGGTGAACACATATTGAATGTCTATCGAAATATACTATGTTAGTTGCATGCACATGAAGAAGAGTTAAGCAGTTTATGGTTTTGAGATAGTTTATTCCTTGATGCATTGCTTGCTGTTTTTTTTTTTTTGGTGAAAATGGAGAGGCAAAAACACCAGCTGTTTCCTGTAACCACAGCTGAGTTTTATGAACTAATTCAGATAGAAGGGGTAATTTCTTCTAAGACAGAAAAAAGATTTATGCTCTAGTGAAATATATACATGGAGGTTAATGCTATACATTCATGTTTATAATGTAATGGGTCCATTTTAGGAACCATACACTGAAAACCACCTCACTGACTTTAAAATGCATCTCATTACCAATAAAGAGAGATCTTTGCACCACTGAAATCTCACTGAATTGCTCTGTGTGGAATTATAAAAATTAGTGAAGGCAAGACCATGTAAGTAACTGTTAATAATGCTCCCATAGCCTCTTGGTCTTTAGCTTGTCCTGAGGAAATGTTGAAAATATAGGAGAGACACTTTGGTTTATGGTATGTTTCAGAAATCAGATGTATACTCGATATGCCCACTATATATTTTAATCAGCTGGAAACATTCCTTCACACTACACCTGTAAATCGTGAGGAAGAATCAGAGTATCTAGTGAGTGTCTGCTTTGGACAGCATTCAGTGCTATGTCTTGTATATAGAGCAATATAACACGTAGTTTTTCAGCCCAAAGACCTCACAGTCTGGATGGGAGGAAGAGATGTACACATAAATATTAGAGAGCCCCCAAAGCTGCCGAATGAACATTCATGTCAAGCTATGTGATAGTGGCAGTAAAGGAGAAGAAGAAAGGAGAAAGCAGTGATTGTTTGGGCACAGTCCCATGCCATATGGAAAGAATAATTTGGGGAAAGCACAGAGTAGATGAATTTTAGGTAGGTGGAAGTAGTGGTGTGGTGAGCATGACTGCAGAGGCATAAACAGAGGCAACCTCTGTTGATGTGCTTAAGCATCAAGATAAAATTAGATGATAAGAACCAACATTTATTGAGAGAACTGTCCAATTTGGGGATTGTCAGTCCTCATAAACAACCTATGATGTAGGCAGTGTTACTATCTTCATTTTACAGATGAGGAAACTGACGCCCAGAAAGGTTAAGTAATTTGCCCATTGCTGGGGAAGATGATCTATTTAAAAAGTAAACAGACATAAACACTTTTGCTGGTTTAGCCTCCAAACGTGACTGTTAGGTCTACAGAAAACAGCATTCATTGACTAAAAAAATAGGACGCTGACTTCAACATTAACATTCTGAAGTATTACACATTGGTCCCTGAGGAAGCTCCACTTGGTCCCACATGTGGCAAAGAATACTTGATACAACCAACATCTGCCCATACTAAAGCCAGCTAACAGCTGCTGGCTAAACTTTAAACCCATAGTCTAATACATCAAATTAGAATGCAGAATCCCTGCAGTTACTTGTTGTCAGGATAAATGGATTTTTTGATCAGAGAATACCTTAACCATACCAAAGTCCCCATTTTGTAATATTGAAGGGAGGACTGAAGTCTGAGGCCTTTAATACCTAAATGGGGTCACTAATTTTATCTTGAGTATTACTCCTGTGTGGCTTTAACAAATTTTATTTATTGTTAAAACTCTGGGCCGGGCGCGGTGGCTCACGCCTGTAATCCCAGCACTTTGGGAGGCAGAGGCGGGCGGATTATGAGGTCAGGAGATGGAGACCATCCTGGCTAACACAGTGAAACCCCGCCTCTACTAAAAATACAAAAAATTAGCCGGGCTTCGTGGCGGGCGCCTGTAGTCCCAGCTACTCGGGAGGCTGAGGCAGGAGAATGGTGTGAACCCGGGAGGCGGAGCTTGCAGTGAGCCGAGATCGCGCCACTGCACTCCAGCCTGGGCGACAGAGCGAGACTCCGTCTCAAAAAAAAAAAAAAAAGAAAAAGAAAAAAAAAACTCTGGCAATTTGTATCATATTCTCTAAAATAGAAATAAAACCAGCCTCTTAATTGCACACATGTGCATGTAACCATTTAGTTCTTTAAAGTGAAGCTAGGCAGATGCAGTGGCTTTCACCTGTCATCCCAGCATCTTGGGAGGAGAATTCGAGACCACCCTGGGTAATGGAGGGAGTTCTTGTCTCTAAAGAAAAATTTAAAAAATTTAGCTGGTACCAGCTAGTTGGGAGGCCGAAATGAGAGGATCACTTGAGCCCAGGAGTTTGGGGCTGCAGTGAGCCGTTTTCTCACCACTGCACTCCAGTCTGGGAGACAGAGCAAGATCCTGCCTCAGAAAAAAAAAAAAAAGGAAAGCTGCAGGCAGTTCCTAAGAGGACGATGGCCTTTCAGTTCTTGTGGAAATGACAAGGTCTTCCCTAGAGCCAGTGACTTCACAGTGGAGTTTGTTAGAGCCATGTCCATTTCCATCGCTAATGTCAGCTGTGTTTTCTTAATAATTTAAATGTATGTGATATATGTGGGTTTTTTTATAGAAAAGGTTTGTCTCATTTTGCTTTCTATTTTACTGAAGCATGGGCCTAAAGAAAGTTCTCAAGGAATTATTTATTTATTTACCAAGCTTTGAAAAAATACTGCTTTAAGGTCATCCTCCAAAGATGTATGTTTGTTTCTCTTAGTCATCACAATCTTCCATAGTCTTTATAAAATTACCTTTATTAATAAAATTGGGTATTTTCTCCATAATAGCTGATTTTAGCCTCATACCTTCAATGTAAAATTGGTCCTTTAGGATGGAAACTAAACACAGGGTTTTTGAATATGCCCCTTTACTTTTCCCTTAACTTTTATGATTTTGGTGTTAGTATATACCCATATATAACATAAAAATAACAATTCATATCTTCTCAAGATTACTTTGAAAATGCTTTTAAAATATTGAATTTTAGAAGACAAGTATTTATGGATTGCTCATCATGTACCAAACACTGTGCTTTACTTACTACCTCTGCCATTTTCTAGATGAGAAAACAGGCTCAGAAAAATGTAATGTCATCTCTAATGTCATGGAGCGAGATGTGGTAAACATAGAGTGGGAACCTAGCCTTGTTTAATTCTAATGCCTGAGATCTGAATTACTGTGTTGAACTCTTTTCAGTGCAAATGTGCTACACACATAGGTGTTATTAGTACGTGTATTATGAACACCATTTATTTAGTCTAGTAGGGGGAGCTTTAACACTTTATTTAACCTATATGAACCTAAGCTTGAAGGGCCCTTCCTGTCTTTCTGGTCACATAGACCTGATTTCAAATCCGGGCTCTACCATTTACCACTTATATGACCTTGAGTAATTTACAGAACTTTTCTGAATCCGTTTTCCCATTGGCAAAATGGAGATATGACCTATCACAATACTACTGTAAAGTTATTTGGAAAATGTTTATGGAACACCTGAGGCACAATAGATGTGAAATATTGTCATTTTATAGTAATCCTTCTTTCCTCTAACAGTCTAAACCTTCTGTTTGCTTTTGTCAACATTTTATTTCATGGTTGCAGAAAATGAAGTCCAGAGGAAAAAACTGCCTTTCTCATCCAGTTAATTAATTGAAATTGAGATTGAAATTTAGGTCATAAATTTTTATTACTTATCTCTATCTCTCCTTCAAAATATGAAATATAAAACAATTTCAAAGCAAAAAATACACCTAAGATTTATATCTCCATTTTATCATCTCTTAACTATCTATAATTAAATAATTTTTAAAGCTTTTCAAAAAGCTCTAAATTACTTGGATATTATTATCCAGTAATTTAGAACAGCTGGACACTCACTTTGATTTCATTGACTTTTCTGAGACATTTAAAAGAGGGAAAAATTGAAATATTTATATTTAACTAGATTTTTATATGGTATATTAGTTCCTTTATAACTTGGAATTCATTACTTTTACTATCTTTCCTTTTTATTTCTATACTTCCTTTTAAGATAAAGTTTAGTTCCTTTAAGAACTGGACTGCCAGATGAACCTGATTTGTTTAGTAAGGCAAACTCTTATTGTAAGTGTTTGTAAGATTCACAGTTGAATTACATTTACAAGGTTAGAGAACTAAGTTCTTTTTTCAGTGGTAAACAGGAAATGTCAGTACTCTGAGTAATATTTTCCACTCATATAGCAAATAGAATTTTCCAAAAGATTGTTAGTTCAGTCACATTTTTTTCAAACTATATTTACTCCAAGTGCTAAGAGATATTTTATGGGATAATTTATTTCTTCTTCAGCTTGAATTAATAATCAGATAAAATTCATATGTGATATGATGTGCTTCTGGACTGGCTTTTAACAATCTTGCAAAGAGGTCACAACTGTTGAGTTTTTATCTCTCATCATTTGAAAGATTAAGGAGTTTTTTTCTCTAGAGAACACTTTATTTTCTAATATGAGAATATTTTCTAACGTGTATTTGTTTCATTTCCAGTGTAATATATACTTCTCATAATAAGTAAAAAAGTAAAAAATATATAAAATAAAAAGTAGTAGTGCCCTCTTTCTCCAAATTCTACTTTCCTGAGGTGACTAATGCTAACAGATTTATTTGTATTTTTCTAAAACTTTATGCTGAAGAAAACATTTACAACATTTATATAGGATTTTTTTGGGTTAATCTCTTTTATTTGTAAACAAATTAGGATCACTCTATATCTATTACTTTGAATTTTGCTTTTCAAATTAATGCCCTCATCATTACTGGACAAAATATTATAACACATTATTTTTAATGTTTACATAATTTAATCTCCTATTATGTATAAACCATAATTTTTGCAGCCATACACTTTTGATGCACATTCAAGATGTTGTAAGCTTTTTGCTACCATAAACATTGCTTCAGTAAATGTTCTTGTAAGTATATCGTTATGTATTGGTGGTTTCATTCCTATACGCTAGATTGCTAAATGGATTGAATCAAGATTACATGTATTTCAAACTTTAATATATTTGTCAGATTACTTTATAAAATTCACACACTAGCTGTATGTGAATATTTTCTCATCCCTTCTTGAGCACTGGATATTTTAGTCTTTTAAATTTATTGCCTGTTAATGGATGAAAACTAATATTTCTGATTGCTTTGGCTTGCTTTCCTTAGACTACTAGTGAGGCTTATGCTCTTTTTATGCTCTCTTCTGTCAGTTTGCTGTTCAACCCTTTACCGATTTCTTTTTAAAACATTCTTTTATTGAATTGCCTAGATAAAAGTGCACAAACAGTATAAAACTCATTGAATTTTCATAAGGTGAACTGACTCATGAAACCAGAATCAAGATCAAGAATAGAGTATCAACTCAGAAGCGTCCTTTGCGTCCCCTCCCAGGTACTGTCTGTCCCCAGAGGTCACCAGTTTGCTGACTTAAATCACTCTTTACTAATTTTGCCTGTTGTGAATTTTTTGTAGGTAGACAGAAACGCTAGTGCTCTTCTGTGTCTGGCTTTTTTTGCCGAACGGGATGTGCAAGTTGGCCATGTTGTTTGTAGAAAATAATGTGTTCATTTTCATCTTTGAATTTCATTTTCTGAACATACCAGAATTTTTTATTCATTTTTATTGGTTAGCTATTTCTGTGAACCAAACCAACCCAAAGTTCAACAACTTTAAATAAGCTTTAAATGAAGAAGCACATGTTATAGTTTACAAGTCAGCTTGGTGGTTCTTCTGTTTGTAGCTGGGCTACAAACAGGTATGTAACCAGCTTGGGTTGGGTATGCAGCTTTCTAATAGTGCCTGGGCTCTCTCTTCTTGTTGGGAGTCAGCTGGTTGTAAGCAGGTCTAGGAGGCCTCAGCTGAACAAGTGGGCTCTCCTTTATAGTATCTTGTTCTCTAGAAGTCTAGACTGGGCTTGTTCAAATGGTGATGGCACAGTTCCAAAAGAGAGAGTAGAAACTGTAAGGCCACTTGAGGCTTGGTTTGGGATTAGCACGCCATTGCTCCTGCCATAAGAAGCAGGCCCAGCCTACATACCGGAGAATGGTGATAGACTCCAACCCCTGAAGGTCTAGTTTGTGGGAGAACTTTCTGACCTTACCTGGAGTTGAGTCAATTTAGAGAGCTGAGCAAAATACAGGGATAGAGGAAGCAGTGGGAAAGGACCTGGGAGCTCACTGGGTCCCTAAGCATGCCATCCCTGCTTGGTACCACAGGGATCTTTTGGGAGGGTGACCAGAGGCACAGGGTAAAATGCCACAGGGAGAAGGAAGTCCCCAGCTGAACTTTGTAACAATTTGAATCCAGCAAGAAGCCTCCTGGCCAGAACCTGGGGAAGGGCACGAATCTGGTGTGCAGACTCCACGGGTGAGGGAAGAACCAAATCCTTTTTCTTCTGCACCTGGGAAGTGGCTAGTCTGGGGCAAGTTCTCAAGCCGTGCTCATCTACTGCCTGGAAACAGGATGTTGGGGGAGGGGCATGATGGGAGGGAGACCAGCCCTTCAGATTGTGTGGGAGCTGAGTGAGGCCTGTGACTGTTGGTTTTCCCCTACTTCCCTGGCAACCTGCATGACTCAGCAGAAGCAGCCATGATCCTCCTAGGTAGATGACTCCATTGACCTGGGAACCTCACCCCCATTCCCCACAGCAGCTGCAGCAAGACCCTTCCAAGGAGAGTCTGAGCTCAGACACACCTAGCCCTGCCCCCACCTGATGGGCCTTCCCTACCCACCCTGGTAGCTGAAGACAAACGCTATATACTCTTGGGAGTTCTAGGGCCCCGCCCACCACCACTTCCTCTTCGTACCACCACAGCTGATGCTCTCTGGAAAGTGCCACCTCCTGGCAGGACGCCAACCAGCACAAAAATAGAACTTTAAATCACCAAAGGTAAGAACCCTCACAGAGCCCATTTCATCTCCCTGCCACCTCCACTGGAACAGGTGCTGGTATCAATGGCTGAGAGGCCCATAGACAGTTCACATCACAGGGCTCTGTGCAGACAAACCCCAGTACCAGCCTGGAGCCTGGTAGACTTGCTGGGTGGCTACACCCAGAAGAGATATAACAATCACTGCAGCTTATCTCACAGGAAGCCACATCCATAGAAAAAAGGGGAGAGTACTATATTAAGGGAACATCCCCTGGGACAAAATAATCTGAACAGTAGCCTTCACCCGTAGACTTTTCCTCTGACAGAGCCTACCCAAATGAGAAGGAACCAGAAAACCAACTCTGGTGATATGACAAAACAAGGCTCTTTAACACCCCCAAAAAATCACACTAGCTCACCAGCAATCGATCCAAACCAAGAAGAAATCCCTGATTAACCTGAAGAAGAATTCAGGAGGTTACTTATTAAGCTAATCAGGGAGACACCAGCGAAAGGCAAGAAAATCCAAAAAACAATACAAGAAGTGAAGGAAGAAATATTTAAGGAAATAGATTGTTAAAGAACAAACAATCAAAACTTCAGGAAACCTTGGACACTCTTATAGAAATGCAAAATGTTCTGGAAAGTCTCAGCAATAGAATTGAACAAGTAGAAGAAAGAAATTCGGAGCTCAAAGACAAGGTCTTCAAATTAACCCAATCCAACAAAGACAAAGAAAAAATAAGAAAATATAAACAAGGCCTCCAAGAAGTCTGGAATTATGGTAAATGACCAAACCTAAGAATAAGGAAGAGGTATTCCTGAGGAAGAAAAGGAATCTAAAAGTTTGGAAACATATTTGGGGAGATAATCAAGGAAAATTTCCTTGGCCTAGCTAGAGACCTCGACATCCAAATACAAGAAGCACAAAGAAGATCTGGGAAATTCATCACAGAAAGATAATCACCTAGGCACATCATCATCAGGTTATGATGAAGTTAAGATGAAGGAAAGAAGTGTAAGACCTACGAGACAAAAGCACCAGTTAACTTATAAAGGAAAACCTATGAGATTAACAGCAGATTTCTCAGCAGAAACCCTACAAGCGAGAAGGAATTGAGGCTTTATCTTCAGAATCCTCAAACAAAACAATTATCAGCCAAGAATTTTGTATCCAGTGAAACTGAGCATCATATATGAAGGAAAGATATAGTCTTTTTTAGACAAACAAATGCTGAGAGAATTCGCCACTATTAAGGAAGCACCACAAGAGCTGCTATAAGGAGCTCTAAATCTTGAAACAAATCCAGAAACACATCAAAACAGAACCTCTTGAAAGCATAAATCACATAGGACCTATAAAACAAAAATACAATTTAAAAAGCAAAAACAAAAAACAAAAAATCCAAGGTACACAGGCAACAAATAGCACAATGAATGCAATGATACCTTACATCTCAATACTACATTGAATGTAAATCGCCTAAGTGCTCCACTTAAAAGATATAGAACTGCAGAATGGATAAGAACTTACCAATCAACTATCTGCTGCCTTCAGGAGACTCACCTAACACGTAAGGACTCACATAAACTTAAAGTAAAGGGGTGGAGAAAGGCATTTCATGCAAATGGACGTCAAAAGCAAGCAGGGGTAGCTATTCTTACATCAGACAAAACAGACTTTAAAGCAACAAGCAACAGCAGTTAAAAGAGAAAAAGAGGGATATTAAATAATGTTAAAAGGCCTTGTCCAGCAGGAAAATATCACAATCCTAAACATACATGCACGTAACATTGGAGCTCTCAAAATTGTAAAACAGTTACTAATAGAACTAAGAATTGAGATAGACAGCAACACAATAATAATGAGGGACTTCAATACTCCACTGACAGCACTAGACAGGTCATCAAGACAAAGTCAACAAAGAAACAATGGATTAAAACTATACCATGGAACAAATGGACTTAACAGATATATACAGAACATTTCATCCAACAACTGCAGAATGCACATTCTTTTCAACAGTGCATGGAACCTTCTCCAAGACAGGACACGTGATAGGCCATAAAACAAGCCTCAATAAATTTAAGAAAATTGAAATTATATCAAGCACTTTCTCAGACCACAGTGGAATAAAACTAGAAATCAACTCTAAACAGAACCTTCAAAACTATGCAAATACATGGAAATTAAATAACCTGCTCCTGAGTGAGCATTGGGTCAAAAATGAAATCAAGATAGAAATTTAAAAATTCTTTGAACTGAATGACAATAATGACACAACCTATCAAAATCTGTGGGATACAGCAAAGGTGGTGTTAAGAGGAAAGTTCACGGCCCTAAATGCCTACATCAAAAGGACTGAAAGAGCACAAACTGACATTCTAAGGTCACACTTCAAGGAACTAGAGAAACAAGAACAAACTAAACCGAAACCCAGCAGAAGAAAGGAAATAACCCGGATCAGACCTGAACTAAAAGAAATGGAAACAAACAAACAAAAAACAATACAAAACATTAATGAAACAAAAAGCTGATTCTTTGAAAAGATAAATAAAGTTGATAGACCATTAACAAGATTAACCTAGAAGAGAGAAAATCCAAATAACCTCATTAAGAAACAAAATGGGAGATATTGCAACTGATAACTGAAACACAAAAGATCATTCAAGGCTACTTTGAACACCTTTATACACATAAACTAGAAAACCTAGAAGAGATGGATAAATTTCTGGAAAAATACAACTCTCCTAGCTTAAATCAGGAAAAATTAGATACCTTGAACAGACCAATAGCAAGCAGTGAGATTGAAAGGATAATTAAAAAATTACCAACAATAAAAAAGTCCGGGGCCAGACGGATTCACAGCAGGCATTCAAAGAAGAATTGGTACCAATCTTTTTGACATTATTCCACAAGATAGAGAAAGGGAGAACCCTCCCTAATTCATTCTATGAAACCAGCATCACCCTAATACCCAAACCAGGAAAGGGCATAACCAAAAGAGAAAACTACTGACCGATATAACCAATGAACTTAGATGCTAAAATCCCTAATAAAATGCTAGCTAGCCAAATCCAACAACATATCAAAAAGATAATCTACCATGATCAAGTGGGTTTCATACCAGGGATGCAGGAATGGTTAAGCATAGGCAAGTCAGTAAATGTGATACAGCACATAAACAGAATTAAAAACAAAAATCACCTGATCATCTCAATAGATGCAGAAAAAGCATCCAACAAAATCTGGCATCCCTTTACGATTAAAACTCTTAGCAAAGTCGGCATACAAGGAACATACCTCAATATAATAAAAGCCATCTACGACAAACCCACAACCAGCATAATAATGAATGAGGAAAAGTTGCAAGCATTCCCTCTGAGAACTGGAACAAGACAAGGATGCCCAATCTCACCACCCCTCTTCAGCATAGTACTGGAAGTCCTAGCCAGAGCAATCAGACAAGAGAAAGAAATAAAGGGCATCCAAATCAGTAAAGAGAAAGTCAAACTGTCCCTGTTTGCTGTTGATATCATTTACCTTGAAAACCCCAAAGACGACTCCAGAAAGCTCCTAGAACTGATAGAAGAATTTGGCAAAGTTTCTGGATACAATATTAAGGTATAGAAATCAGTAGCTCTTCTATACTTCAACAGTGACCAAGCAGAGAATCAAATCAAGAATTCAACCCCTTTTACAATAGCTGCAAACAAACAAACAAACAAAAACAAAAACAAAAAACTTAGAAATATACCTAACCAAAGAGGCCAAGGACCTCTACAAGGAAAGCTACAAAACACTGCTGAAAGAAATCACAGATGACACAAACAAATGGAAACACATCCCATGCTTATGGATGGGTAGAATCAATATTGTGAAAATGACTGTACTGTCAAAAGCAATCTACAAATTCAATTCAGTCCCCGTCAAAATACCACCATCATTCTTTCTTCACAGAATTAGAAAAAACAATTCTAAAATTCATATGGAACCAAAAAAGAGCCTGCATAGCCAAAGCAAGACTAAGCAAAAAGAACAAATCTGGAGGCATCACACCACTTGATTTCAAACTATAAGACCATAGTCACCAAAACAGCATGGTACTGGTATAAAAATAGGCACATAGACCAATGGAACAGAATAGAGAACACAGAAATAAACCCAAATACTTACAGCCAACTGTTCTTCGACAAAGCAAACAAAGACATAAAGTGGGTAAATGACACCCTTTTCAACAAATGGTGCTGAGATAATAAGCTAGCCACATGTAGGAGAGTGAAACTGGATCCTCATCTCTCACCTTATACAAAAATTAATTCAAGATGGATTAAGGACTTAAATCTAAGACCTGAAGCTATAAAAATTCTAGAAGATAACATTGGAAAAACTTTTCTAGACATTGGCTTAGGCAAGGATTTCATGACCAAGAACCCAAAAGCAAATGCAATAAAAACAAAGATAAATAGTTGGGACCTAATTAAACTAAAGAGCTTTTGCACCTCAAAAGGAATAGTCAGCAGAGTAAACAGACAACCCACAGAGTGGGGGAAAATTTTCACAATCTATACGTCTGACAAAGGACTAATATCCAGAATTGACAACAAACTCAAACAAATCAGTAAGAAAACAAACAAACAATCCCATCAAAAAGTAGGCTAAGGACATGAATAGACAATTCTCAAAGGAAGATATACAAATAGCCAACAAGCATTTGAAAAAACGCTCAACATCACTAATGATCAGGGAAGTGCAAATCAAAACCACAGTGCAATACCACCTTACTCCTGCAAGAATGGCCATAATCAAAAAATCAAAAAACAGGAGATGTTGGTGTGGATGCGGTGATCAGGGAACACTTCTACACTGCTGGTGGGAATGTAAACTAGTAAGGCCACTATGGCAAACAGTGTGGAGATTCCTTAAAGAACTAAAAGTAGAACTACCATTTGATCTGGTGGTCTCACTACTGGGTATCTACCCAGAGGAAAGTAAGTCATTATATGAAAAAGATACTTGCCCACGAATGTTTATAGCGGCACATTTCGCAATTGCAAAATCATGGATCCAACCCAAATGCCCATCAATCAATGAGTGGATAAAGAAACTGTGGTATATATATATATGTATATATATATATATGTATATATATATATGTATATATATATATATGTATATATATATATGTATATATATATATATGTATATATATGTGTATATATATATACATGTATATATATATATGATGGAATATATCTATATATATGATGGAATACTACTAAGCCATGAAAAGGAATGAATTATCAGCACTTGTAGCAACCTGGATGAGACTGGAGACTATTATTCTAAGTCAAGTAACTCAGGAATGGAAGACCAAATATTGTATGTTCTCACTGATATATAGGAGCTAAGCTATGAGGACGCAAAGGCATAAGAATGATACAATGGACTTTGGGGACTTGGGGGAAAGGGTGGGGGTGGGCAAGGGATAAAAAGACTACAAATAAGGTGCAGTGTATACTGCTCAGGTGATGGGTGCACCAAAGTCTCACAAATCACCACCAAAGAACTTACTTATGTAACCAAATACTACCTGTGCCCCCGTAACCCTTGGAAAAATAAAAAATAAAATAAAATAAAAATAAATAAGGAGAGAATACACACAAGGGTTACTGTGCAGGTAGAAGATGAAAGACTTGGCACCTTCTTTGATGTTAGGGGTTAGGACTTTAGTAAAAATCCAAAAAGAAATGCTGGTTTAGCGGGGAGTGAAGACAATGCAGTCTTTTTTGGAACCATTATCATAACTTGATTTATATGCTCTTTTGTTAGATTTCTTCCTTTATCTGCCAAGAAAAGAGATTGGCCACATTCCTGAAACTGTAAATTTTTCTTTGAAAACTTATGCAGGTTGTGAATTACAACATTTAGATTAAGTGTGGTTTTTATACAATATGGAATAAATCACCCGTGTTTTTTATATGTTTTCTTCATATGTACATCCATTTTAATGTAGTTTTTATGGCTGCATACCTGAGAATATTTAAACTCTGACAAAAAGTATTAATTGCAAAAGTTATTTTAGGCTTAACTTAAAGGAGATGTTGACAAGTTTAGGGAAAAAAACAAATCAGACTTGTAAGACTAATGACCCTTGCGTTTGTCCTTGGGACCCACCTTGATCTTTGAGTTTGGCAGGTCACTTCAACATTTGAGTACCCAGTGGGAACACTGAAGTGCACTGAAATGTACTGGATTAAGTTAGGGTGAAGATAAATAGCAAAGTAAAAATTACAGAATCCTGGGTGGTTGTTATATGAATGATGTTACATTATTTTTTCTGTTAACTTTGCAAATTAAATAAAATGCAAACAATCAAATAAACCCAAAGATTAATAAGACAGTTGCCTTCCTCTCAAGAAACCTACATCTATAGGAAAATACTTTCTTATGCAGTATCTGGAAAGCAACAGGAGATTTAGGACCTTTGAAAAAGTGAGTTCAGTGTGAACCTCTTTACTAAGATAAACAGACTTCCTGGAGTCGGGGGTATCTACCTAGGATGGAGATTCACCCACGGACATGAAGGCCAGTGTTTATTTAATGCAGCCATAGCCTGAGTTTAGTTTGTTTTCTCTTTTTCATGGAACTGTTCTATAAATGAGAACTTTTTAAATGGGGGCCTCATGTTCAAACACATGGAGAATAAGAAAAAAAAAAGAGAGAAGAGTGAGAACTAAAAAAGTCATCCACTCCTATTCATTTATTTGTTTAACTTTCATGACTTATAAAAGACTGTATTTCTTCATTGTAGCAATGGTTCACCACAAATTCTGCAAGAAGTTAAGCATAGTCTTTTAAATATTTTTGCTATCCCTTTTCCAACTAGAGGGCAACACTCCATAAAATAAATCAAATAATTTTTTTTTTTTGAGACAGGATCACACTCTGTCGCACAGGCTGGAGTGCAGTGGTACAATCTTGGCTCACTACAACCTCCACCTTCGGAGTTCAAGCGATTCTCCTGCCTCAGCCTCTCAAGTAGCTGGGATTACAGGCACCCACCAACACACCTGGCTAATTTTTGTATTTTTGGTAGAGATGGGGTTTCACTATGTTGGCCAGGCTGGTCTCTAACTTCTGACCTCAAGTGATCTGTCTGCCTCGGCCTCCCAAAGTGCTGGGATTACAGATGTGAGCCACTACACCCAGCCCAAATGACATTTTGAAACAGTCCTACAAAATTAAAGTACAAAATTATTTTGAACCTTATTTTAATTCCTTTTCTGACCATAGCTCCCTCCCTTGTATCTCCACTGTATCCTGTACAGATAAGAAAGGTAGACAATCAGTCACCCGGAGAATGAAACTTGAACCAGTTGGACCAGGGTGCAAATCTAAGCCTGCCACTAAGAATACGTGTTAATTTCTTCAGTTTACTTAATTGTGCCTCAATTTTCTTGGTTGCAAAATGAAGACAGTAATACCAGTCTCAGTGTCGTATAAAGATTAAATGTGATAACTTGTGTAATGTCCTTGGTACATATAAACACTCACAAACGATAGCTATTATTGTATATTAGCACCTTTTTTAGTGGAATTTATCTTTTACGTGATCATAAAACTTTAACTCCTTGACAATTGATCCAATTGTGGCTTAGATCTGCAGCCTTGGGTACAGTTTCTTATAGCGTTTAGTAAATGCTTGTTGGATGAGAGACTCAAATCTAGACTCAAGCCAATAATGGGGAGTTGTAAACAATGTTCAAAAAATTTATTTTGTTCCTGGGACAAATGCATTTTGAATGGGTGGCACTGTGGATTATGCATCTAGTTAATCAAAAAACAGCTCTGCTGTGCTACTTGCAGATCGTACATGGAAGGGGCAAAAAAATATGATTTAAAGACCTGGACTTATTATCGGTTCTAAAGCAAATTTATTTTGTACCTTAGAGACCACTTATCATAAATTTCTCCTGCTTTCATTACCAGATAGAACAGAACTTACTTTGCAGGCATTTAAAAGGCCAGTGAATTCTAGACCTTTGGATAAAAACCAACATAGAATTCTGCATGAAGCAATATTATTAATTTGTATTGCCTACAATTAGATTTAGCCTTTAGACTATGCTCAGAGAAATAAAAAATGTCATTGATGTTATTCCCCTGCTGCTAGAAAAAAAAGATGGGCCATTTATTACATTTTTTCATTAAATAAAATCCTTAAATTATGATGAATAAGTGCTAAAATAATATACTTTATTTAAAATTGCCAAAACCATGACAAATTACATATAAACACAGGTACTAGAAGTTTCAGGATATGAAAACTTTTATTAAAAGGAAGTTAGTTTAAAGACATGCATATTTAAATTGGTTATTTTTATATGTAAGTTATATTTTACTAAGTAAAAACCTAAGTTTTTTTCTTTCTTCTAATTTGGGCTCTGGTATTTTATCATGAGAATCATGTGTTAGTAATTAAGTTCTGCCCTTTCTTGGATAGAATTATTAGGCCTTGAAATCATTAAAAAAAATCCCCCCATCCCCCACAACAACAACACAACAACAAAAAAACAGACCCACAACTATAACTTCAAAGGAGACCAAAAAAGCAAAATGTAATCCAGAGAAACAGAAAATGTTTGATACAGAACCAAAGAAGGGTCTTGGTGTCTTTGCTGGGATCCCCCCATCAGGAGATGTAACTGGTTGGAGGTAAAGCCACATGTACTGGCATCTGTCATTTGGTCTGTCAATCTTGACAGCAGATTTAGGTTAAAGAAAAAAAAAAGACTCCTTTAGTTATTCTAAAGGCCTAAAAACTCAGAGGATATAATTGGGTTTACAGAAGAAAACTCCGTTGTTCTAGAAACACAGCTCAAAATCCTTCCTAGTCAGTTATTACTCTAAATACAAATTTTACATTAAAAAATAAGAGGAGATAAATTATGTTGCATTGACTCAGTAATAGGGAAGTAAATATTTTCAAAGGCTTTTGGAGACTATTATCTAATTAAGTATGATAGCTTACCACAAATATAAAATGAATGTAGTTTTCAAGGAAATATTATAGACAGATAATGGATGGAGATTATGAGAACTAACATTTTGAGAACTAATAGGATAAATGCTTTATATATACCCTGCACTGTATGGAATTCTTTTCTTTTCTATTCTTTTTTTTTAGAAGAGGAAGAAAAACTTACCAATTTATTCTGTGAGGCCAGCATTAAGCAGATAATATAGATAGACAAAATCATCACAAAAAAGAACCTACAGACCATTATTCCTCATAAATGTAGACACAGAAATTCTCAAAAACACTATAACACTGAATCCAACAACATGATAGTATTTTTCTATGTTATCTGCTACAAATATTATTTTAGGCTTTTACATTTAAACCTAAAATTTACCTGGAATTGACATTTTATAGTTTATAGTGTGGGGTAGGAAATGACACAAGATGTTTTTCGATGCCACTTTGCAAGCCAGAAAATTCTGTGGCCGATGGAACCTCTGCTCATTTGTTCCCATTGCCCCACTCTGGACCGTGGCCCCTGGGTTGGCCTGGCTCTGCTGCTGGTTCCTGTCACATAGGGCAGCTGGTTCCTGTCACATAGCTCCTTTTGCACCTGCTGTTTGGCGGGTCCTGGGTTCTTGTCCCATGTCCAAGAAGAATGAGATTACTTGGACAACTGAAGAGTCAGCAGGGTGGAGAGTTTTACTGAGTGATGAAACAGCTTTCAGCAGAGAGTGAGACACGAGTTGGGCAGCCTATTTACCCAAAGTTGGGTAGTGCTCTCAACTCAAAGGTGGTCAGTCCCCCAGTGTGGCTGAGTCTGGGACTTTCATGAGTTCAGAATAGGAGAATGTGTGTGGATTGGTTTGTGAGTATGCAAAAAAGGCTAAAATAAAGACACCACTCAAAGGTGGTACAACAGCGTAAAACACCAATTAGGGAAGGGTAGATATGTGTTAAATAGGTGAAGGGTGGGGATCAATCAAAGGAATGTGCGCCAAATGGGAACAGAGGTTCTCAATCCAGTCTGTGGATTTATCCAAGACTTGTGGCTTGGTTTTCAGGCTTTAAATTGTCTTTAGTTTGAAGGTCAGGTTTCACCAGGGACCCGCCCCTATCTGCCTAGGAATTTGTCTGCCTCCTGCCGCTATCAGAGTCAAGATTGATTTTTTTCCCCCCATATGAATAACCAGCTGACCTCAGGTCATTTACTGAGAAGACTTTCTTCTCCTGTGTGGGATTTTTTATCTCATGCAATCCTCATGATCACCTTGTGTGGTAGGAAACAGAGACTCATACAGTTAATTAAGTTGTCAAGTTGTCATGGGCCATTCAGTTAGTAAGCAATGAAACCAGAATTTTTAAAAATACACTGTAAAATTAATATTTGCTTACTGTAAAAACTCAAATATAAAAGATTGTAAAGTGAAAAGTAAAATGCCCTAACTTCTATTAATACTACTCAAGTGTCACTGCTTATAAAGCCATCATAAATGTTTTCTTGTATTTTTCTGAAATTGTCTATACATATGAAATCAATACCTTTATGTCTATTTCTGTTTATATTTTCATTCCTTTCTCTTAATAGATATAGAAAAAACTTCATATATCTTATATGTATATATGACTTTCTTGTTTTAACTTTTAGATCCTGATAGGATAACACTATGTATTTTGACACTTGCTTTTAATATTTGACAGTACCTTTTGAAAAATGTTCCCCTTCAGTATGTATAGATCCATTTTATTATTGTATGAATATCTGAATTTAATATAATTTAAATAACAATATTAAATTATTTCCGGTTTTATGCTATTATATTCTTTCTATTCAAATCGCCTATTGACAGACTTTTTAAATGTTGCCAAACTGATAGGTGAATATTGCCAATCTGATAGGTATGTCATTGTTGTTTTCATTTCAGTATATTGAATTCAATATATTTATTTAACACCTTTTTCTCTGTTTGTAACCATGTGGATCTCTTTTCCATGGACTTTTTTTTTTTGATACAGGGTCTCACTCTGTTGACCAGGCTGGAGTGCAGTGGTGCAATTTCGGCTCACTGCAACCTCTGCCTTCTGGGTTCAAGTGACTCTCCTGCCTCAGCCTCCTGAGTAGCTGATATTACAGGTGTGCACCACCATGCCCAGCTAATTTTTGTATTTTTAGTAGAAACGGGGTTTCACCATGTTAGCCAGGCTGGTCTTGAACTCCCAACCTCTGGTGGTCCGCCCACCTCAGTCTCCCAAAGTGATGGGATTACAGGCATGAGCCACTGTGCCCAGACTTCCATGAAGTTTTGATTCATGTATTTTGCCCATTTTCACCATTTTGTTTTTTGACTTGTTTTATCAGAACTTTTTATATTAAGGGAATTAAGCCTTTTGTTTGATATAAGTGTTGCAAATAATTTCTCCATTATTTTGGTAATTTAATGTTTACTTATCTTTCCTTAGTTTAATGTTGCTTTGAATTTCTTCTGTTAATCTTTACTTCCCCAGGATAGGAGGATGGGTCACATAAAATAAAGTTGTAGTACTCAAGCATTTTTTTAGTGCATAGTTCTGTCTCCTTTGTCGTTCTGTGATGTGGAGTTATGTTCCTGTATATTGCCCATTTCTGCAGTTTTTCATCCTCCATAAAACATGTTAGTACATGTGCATCTATCTATCCTGCATAGGACTGGCAGAAATTCAGATATACTCACCCCTTTGATGTATTGCTGAATTGAAGCGCATGTATTGACTGAAAGAAACAAACGAAACCACCAAAAAACTATTGGAAAAGTTCTCTGAATCATTTTTTCTGCAGCATGAAAAAGCAAAATTATATATATCTACTCTGTATGAACTGTATGTGCATTTGACTCTGTGAAATGCTGGAATTTGAAATACAGGTTAAACTAAAAAACAATTCATGTATCATTTAAAAACAGCTCATACCTATAGAGATGTATGCAATAGCATGTCAAAGAATAGCAAGATCTAATCTTCATGTTGTGTTTTCTTAATTACACACACACAGACACTCATACACAAATAACAAAGGCTTTAAAAAAAGTCAGCCCCATGTAATGAATTGGCAGCAAGTAGTAAAACAATGAACTGTTACTCCAACTAAGGAGAAAAAATTTGCATATGAAATAATTGCATTCAGTAAAAAAGTTACATATGTGATAAATTGTACAGAACTGAGTATAGTTTTAAACTAATGTTTACAACAAATTATGTGCTAGACACATTTCTCCTTTAGTTTTTGTAATAGATTAAAAGTTGATTTGGGCCAGGCGTGGTGGCTCACGCCTGTAATCCTGGCACTTTGGGAGGCTGAGGCAGGCAGATCATGAGGTCAGGAGTTTGAGACCAGCCTGGCCAACATGGTGAAACCCCATCTCTACTAAAAATACAAAATTAGCTGGGTGTTGTGGCACATGCCTCTAATCCCAGCTACTTGAGAGGCTGAGGCAGGAGAATTGCTTGAATCCGGGAGGTGGAGTTTGCAGTGAGCCGAGATCACACCTCTGAACTCCAGCTTGGGCAACAGAGCGAGACTCCATCTCAAAGAAAAAAAAAAAGCTGATTTGTATTTCTATTTTATAACTAAAGTAACTGAGTTTCAGTAAGGTTAAGTAATTTGCCTCAGGTCACACAACTAGTAAGGGGCAGACCTTGGATTCCAAACCAAGTCTTTGGCTTTAAGCTACCACATAGTACTGCCTCCTGAAAGAAGTTCTGAGCAACAGGGCAAATGTGAGCCAAAATAATCACATAAGCATCCAGGGAAAACAAAACTTGAGCTTTCAAAAATGAATAGGATTTAAATAAGCAAAGTTGCATAAGGGGGACTTATTGGATGGGGAAAACAGCACGAATGAAATCGTAAGTGTAAGAATGAACATAGTGCATAAAGGGAAGGGATTTCTATGACTGGAATTCATGCATATGGGACCATGGGGGTAACATGCAGCTAATGACAGTGAGCCCTGAATGTCAGAAAAAGAAGTACTGACTTTATCAGCTACAGGACGGGCAGTGTGGAGCCATTGAATATGATTGGTCAGATTAACAAGGTGAAAAGTGCGATTTGGGAAGATCATCTGCTTGGGAAATAGAGTGTTCTCCAAAAGGCAAGTTACTAAACATGTCTTAGTCTGTGTTGCTATAACAAAATACTTTAGACTGGGCAATGTATAAAGAACACAAACGTATTTCTTACAGTTCTGGAGGCTGGGAAGTTCAAGGTCAAGGCACTGTCATTGGTGTCTGCTGTCTGGTGAAAGCTATTGTCCGATTCCAAGATGGCACCTTGTTGCTGTGTCCTCACATGGTACAAAGTAGAAGGGCATGAGAATGAACCCAGTCTTTCAAACCCTTTTGTAATAGCCTTAATCCCATCCATGTAATCACCTCTTAAAGACCCTACCTCTTAATACCATCACATTGATGATTAAATTTCAACATGAGAATTTTTGGGGGACACATTCAGACCAATAGCAACATCCAAGAAGATAAGTAGATGACTATTGTTATAACTCCTATAGGATTAATGAGAGATGTGGATTAGGATGATAGCTATGACTAAAAAGCAACTTAGAGGACACTTTGAAGATGAAAAATGGGAAATAAGATGAGTCTTGCCGGGCGCAGTGGCTCACGCCTGTAATCCCAGCACGTTGGGAGGCCGAGGCGGGCGGATCACGAGGTCAGGAGATCGAGACCATTCTGGCTAACACGATGAAACCCCGTCTCTACTAAAAATACAAAAAATTAGCCGGGCGCGGTGGCGGGCGCCTGTAGTCCCAGCTACTCCAGAGGCTGAAGCAGGAGAATGGCGTGAACCCGGGAGGCGGAGCTTGCAGTGAGCAGAGATCGCGCCACTGCACTCCAGCCTGGGTGACAGAGCGAGACTCCGGCTCAAAAAAAAAAAAAAAAAAAAAAAAAATGAGTCTTGTTGTTTTAGCATGTTGTAAATACTCATTGTTCTCTTAAAAAAGTGTTTTTCAAGCACATTATAGAACCAGGCTTAGCTATTAGTTATTTTGGGAATGCTTTGTTTTATATGTATATTTTTCCAGATAGCCGAATTAAAATTTCCACCTTAACCTATTTCCCATTTAGAAAAAAAAAAAAAAAAAAAAAGAAAGTGTTGCTTGCTGCCAGTGCTCATTTCTCAGAGCAAACAAGAAATGGGTTAATCCAGATTTGAGTAGTCACCTCAGCCTTCGTTGCTTGTCTGAAGACGGGAAGAAACAAATAAAGGGTGATTGAAGAAAATAATTGTCATTGACAGTTATTATCATCATCAAACCCATTTTTATTTCAACTGAATGTTGCTTGGATTTATTTGAAGCAAATCCCTTAGCCTAGAGGTTCATGATATTTCAAGAGCTGTAGCTTTGGCCAGGCGCGGTGGCTCGCACCTGTAATCCCAACACTTTGAGAGGCTGAGGCAGGCGGATCACAAGGTCAGGAGTTTGAGACCAGCCAGTTTGAGACCAGCCTGGCCAACACGGTGAAACCCCGTCTCTACTAAAAATACAAAAATTATCCAGGTGTGGTGGTGCATGCCTGTAATCCCAGCTATTCGGTAGGCTGAGCCAGGAGAATTACTTGAACCGGGGAGGCAAAGGTTGCAGTGAGCTGAGATCATACCACTGCACTCTAGCCTGGGTGACGGAGTGAGACTCCATCACAGAAAAAAAAAAAAAAAAAAGAGCTGTAGCTTCATTTTGAGCTTGCCCTTAACATTGTATTATCTTCATCCTTAGGCTATTTTGCCTCATGGTAGAGAAATGGCAGCACAGACTTCTGATGTAGCACAGTTTCTCTTTCACATCCAGGGGAAAGGAGAGGATAGCTTTTAGCTACCATGTAAAAGTCTACAGATTCCTTGTGATTGGATCAATTTCAGCTCATATCAAGGATGGGATTACATAAGTGGGCTTAGGCCACCCAAGGAAGTTGGGGATCATTCTTAGCCAAAAGATGTAGCTCGGAAGTTCAGGATTCCTGATAGGAAAATATTGGGGAATTGATGCTGGAAAGCAACAGAAAATGATTATTATATAGCTTTAGCTTCTCTACTGTTCTAGAATTTGATCCATAAGACTGTCAGATTCATGTGTGATGCATCATTATTTCCTCCCTCAGCACCTAACGAAGAGCACATAGTATGTAGATATAGGTGGGGCTTTTGTTGGTGGGTGGGGAGTTGTCATTTGAGTCCAAGAATGAACATTCATTCATAGGAACATCTCTTGAACGAAAACATTTTTAAATCAAAGTGATAAGGAAAATTTATACTTAAAACTATATATAAACATACACAAGTGAATGTAAATAAGTTGCCTTTGATAAAAGAGGGATGCCATATTTCAGAAAAAGATCTCTGTAGAGAAAATATAGCTAAGTCTTATACATAAAAATTAGAAAATCAAATCCTTAATATATTGAGATGGCACTCACAAATATATATTTCATGATTACATAGTTTGCAATATCATTAATATTTATGGAAATATTTTTGCCTGAATATTTGTGACATACAAGCCTTAAAATTAGATTTTGAAATATTGGAACTTGTGAATGGATTACTTGTATAGACTTACTTGTTGTCTGTGAGTGTAAAATGTTAAAATTGCATTTAAAAACTCAGGATCCAACTTAAGATAGTAATACTAGTACTATTGTTTGAGCACCTACAAGGTATTTGTTGCTTCACATGGACCAGCCATTGAATGCTTAAATAATCTTATAAGTAAGCCTCATTATCACTAATTTACTGCTAAAGGAACCGAGTTGGTGAGAAGTTAAACAAAGAAATAGAGATAGAAAATAATAAAGCAAGAATCAAACCCAATAAAATGTGTTCCAAAAAAATGTTCCACCATTATGCTGCTTGTCTTATTTGAAATGTATCCCCTTGAGACATGGATTTATGTGCAATTGATTTACTAAGGAAGTGCCAGGAGAAAACACTGGGTCGGGGGTTGGCTGGTGGGGAGAGTAAGGCAAGGGAAGAAGAAGCTGAGCAAGAGTGTGATTCTGTTGCAGTTCCAGCCTCAACCCAAACCCATGGAGAACATGTCCCATCTGGGCAAGGTTGCTGGACATCCCCATCTCCATACCTTTCACCTGCCCCAGGGGAATGTATATTTTGTGGCACTAGTTCTCTGCAAGGTAGTCCTCCGAGGAAAGTTGCAGATACAAGTGATTAGAAATGAGGAACCTAGAACAGAACCAGGTGGTAGGTGCACTGAAAAGGCTCCAGGGATCTGAAGTGTTCTTGGTAGAGCACTGATGCTGTCCCATCCGTGACCCTGCTAATAAAGATACGAGTATATCACGTGGTGGTCAGGAGCACATTCTTGATCCAGACCGCCAGAGTCAAATCTGCGCTGTGACACTTGGGCAAGTTTCTTAACTTATATGTGCTTCATCTTCTGTATCTGTAAAATGTGGAATAATTCTTTTACCTAAACACATAAGGTTGCTTTGAGGATTAAATGAATATATATATTCATCTAGTCTGTACATAGACTAGAGCTGGATTGGAAGCAGAGCTATTATCATGTGACTTACTTATGGCATGTCCCACAGCTGGTTAGTCGCACAGCCAAGATGGGACCTCTGGGACACTCCTACTTCTTGCTGGCCATATACGTATGAATTTAAAATTAACTACTTCTTGTTGGCCATAGATATGTTAATTTCAAATTTTCATAAAGTTCTAGGTGATCTCTGCTGTATTGAATATCTCAAGTAATTGATAATTACTATATATGCTAATATAGGTACAGAAGGTACCTTACAGTTCATGAGTAATCTATTAAAAATTCAAACAACAATATATACACTAAGCATGCTGTGTTATAAACTGTCTTAAAAGTAATGTTCTGTTTTGTTTGTTTTTATATTCTTGAAGTGTTTGGCCAAAGGACCTAATTCATTCATATTTAAAAATAAATGACTGTAAATCATAACATGTTACCTCTTTCATCAAGTCAAATAGCCTTAATCCTAAGTGCCTAGGTGGAAATTCAGAAATCAATAAGCAAGGGAGAAAGATATTGGTATGTAGTAGAGGTATGTAGTAGAGGAAGTGATTCTCTCCCAACATATTACTCTTCAAGGGCATTTACTGAAGTAACTATTTTTAACTTACGCAGGTCCAATTAAGAATAGTAAATAAACTGGAAGAGTAAAACAAAAGCAAAGTATTTTATGTGGCAATGTTCCAATGTGAAGAAAAAAATTTCAGGTAGCACATGCATGATTGCACATACATATTAATGAATTGATGATTTATACTTATTTGTGTTTGATTATTAATCAGGACTTTTATTTGCAAGTAATAGAAACCCAAGCTGAACTAGTTTCAGAAAAAGAAAGGAATGTATCGATTCATTTATTAAGAGGAAAACTTGAGTAAATAAACCACAGTTGGTAGAGATGCAACTGGTTTCAGGAACAGCTTCAGTGAAGTGTTCGAACTCTGCCAAACCTGTCTTATCTTGTCTCTGGTACCTCTCTGTGTGCTTGCTTGATGGTATCTCACTGAATGCTGGCTTCTTTCATGTGCTGAGAAACATCATCCCTGGAGGTTGCTGAACCTCACAGCTCATATTCAGCTTCTAGAGGGGGTTGAATTCTTTTTCGTCGTTTGAAAAGTTCCAAGATAGGCTGGGCACCCTTCCCTGAACTTACCAATTGTGGCTGGCAGGGCAAGGTTGTGTTTGAAGATGGTAGACGCATGAGAATTCGGGATTACAGTAAGGGGTGAGTTATTTCCCAGAAGCCTCCTCGCCCTCATTTCTTCTCTTTTTCCTTCCTTTTCTTCATCTCTTTCCCACTTCATCTCTTCTTGCCATCACCTCATGTGCTTTAGCTGACAGGTCCATTCATGCTGTGGCCCCTTGACTGTGGCCCCTTGACACCACATCAGCAAGTCAGGATTTGCATTGCACCCTTACCTTCTTCAGAGTGGAGTGTCTGTGGTGCAAAGATGCCATTTCCTTGTTAATTCTGGTTGTCTCTCATACCTGGGATACATTGTCAGGCTAAAAGAGCCGTTCCTGTTAGGGATGAGGATACGGCAGGAGACATGGAGAGAGAGGGGCAGATACCTCTGTGCTCCCATTGTCACATGAGCATGTCAGCATGATCATATGCTCATCCATCTACATGGTTAGTTCTGGCTGAAATGTTCCCATAGGCAGCATCACTTTAGGAGCTAGCTGACCTCTTGATAACTTTTTCCAGAGATGGATTACGGGCTTTTATGTGGGCAGCAACTTGTGCCTCAGGTGGGTATGTAAAGCTGGGTGCCAGGAACAAGAACAGGCAGGAAGAAAAGTGATGGGAATTTACAAAATTTCCAGCTCATTACAGATTACACCCATCGCCTCTCTCCTTTTGTTTTAGTTTTGAATTTATCGAGTTGCAAGTTGTTTTTGAAGAGCTGTGTTCCACTCGTCCTCTCATGTTTTAACAAGCAAGGAGCCACAGGTTAAATGGGTAGAGTTGGAAGAATGAGTACAGGAAAATTGTTCAAAAGGGCGCTAGTAACCTCCCTGTGTTTCTCACATATTGCTGAGTATAATCAGACAAGACAAGAAAGGTACTTTCTCCCGCTTTACCCCCAAAATTAATAGCTAAAGCATGACACACATATATTTAGCTATAAATAAAAAAACCTATTTAGCTTCAGTCATGTATGAGAAATGTGTATTTGTGATGAGTTGATGAGTTCGTGTCACAAACAATGACAGGGACAATCATGACCTAGGTAGAAATGTACAAATCTCCAAATTTTTAGTTTGTGGTAGAAAATTGAGGATGTATGAATTTCCTAGGGCTGCTGTAATAAATGACTGCAAGCTGGATAGCTTCAAACAGCAGAAATTTATTCTCTCACAGCTCTGGAGATCAGGAGTCTGAAATCAAGATATAGGCAGGGCCAGGTTCCTTCCAAAAACTCCCCTTCCTTGCCTCTTCCAGCTTCTGGTAGCTTCTGGCATTCCTGGGCTTGTGGCAGCATCACTCCAATCTCTGCCTCCATCTTCATGCCTCCATCTTCTCTCTGTATGTATCTATGTCTGAATCTCTCTCTCCTTTCTCTCATAAAGACACATGTCATTGGATTTAGATCCCACCTTAATCCAGTATGATCTCCTCTCAACCAATTACATCTGCAAAAACCCTATTTTCAAATAAGGTCCCCTTCTGAGGTTCAAGGTAAACATGAATTTTCAGGAGACGCTGTTCAACCCAGCACAGGGAAATAAAGCAAAAAAAAAAAATATGTTTCTTTCAGCCAGCATTATTGTTTAGGTAATTGGCTATTTGAAGCCTCCAAAACCATACGGATTTTTTTTTTTCCAATACTCGGTGTCTTTCACAAAAAGCCCTTTTTGAACTGAATCTGTTTTCAGGGTAGGTGCTGGTGAAGAGAGATCAGCAGGTAGGCACAGTTTTGTCAAAGATCTCATTCTTTCAGTCACTGAAGGGAAATATACATTTCCCCTAAGATTTTCTTGCCTCAAATTCTGAAACATTTTCTTCGTTCTAAGTTCTAGGGAATTCTGCAACACATAGAATTTTTTGGTATTATCTCTGTACCCAGTCACTTGGTCTTAGGTTCTCTATGTCTCATCCCACTCTGTATAGCTCAAGTTAAGTAGAATAAGATGCCACCAAGTGTAGATTCTTTGAATCGTTTCATTACTTTCTACATTGTAAAAAATGAATATATAAAATGGGTTCCTGATATTTAAGATTTTTTCAATCATATTGTGTCCTTTGCATCAAATTCTATCCCCCCAGCTCTGCCCTCAGGCAGCTACAGAGTGGATAGAAACGCTTTCCTCTCTCATCAAAATAATGAAGACATTTGCTGAGAGCTGATTAGGAGGTGTGCATAAATTGGGAAAGGTTTTAGGATAGCCACTTCAGGGAGCTGAACAGAATGCAGAGCAAAACCAAAGAAAGATTGACGTTCTGAGGCAAAAGTGTGAGTTATGAACTTTGAAGTCTCATGCGAATACTTGTATAAAGTTTATCTCCAGTGTCCTTAGTGGAGGATGAGAAGGAGCAGATGACAGGAGTGATTCACCATTTGAGCATTTGGGTCAGTTGTGAGTGCTGGTGAGTGATGAGTTCAGTGACCTTCCAGGAGAAAATGGCTGGCTGAGCAACTGGAAAAGTGTGAAAGAGCTAACAGGAAAGGAAAGAGGCACAGAAAGAGAATTTCAGAGGTAGTGTACTCATGGGCAGGGTGTGACAATGGGATTCAGTAGCTGAAGTGGGATGCAGTATAGTGGAGATAATCAAGAAACTAAGAGGCAAATGAATTTAATGATTCAGCCTCATTGATGTTGGCTTCATGGAAAGGGTAGTATTCATTTTATTTCAATTCAATAAATAGTTATTAAGCACTCTTTGTGCTGCAGGGGCTATGTGAGGCATATTTGACCTGGATAAAGTGCGTAAGAAGAGATGATGAGATTAGGAAAAACGGTCGTTGTCAAGGTCAGCTTTATGGTCAGTGTTAATTTCCACCTTGGTTTTGGCTACTCTTGAGCAACTGTTTATTGTTGTTCTCTGCTTTTCTTGCTAAGATATCTCAAGTGTATCTGAAAGCTCCCGTTACTTGATCTAATGGAAGAGACTGTTTTCCTCTTTCAGGTTGAAGTCTTTCCCTTTCTGTCTGTGTTCTGGTTTCTGGGCTGTTCCTTTAATACACACAGTAGTTAATAAATAACCCACGGCTGCCAGGCCCTCCTTGCCTGGTCTGTTTTGCCATCAGAAGGTAAGCTCACGGGCCTGTCACCATTCTGGGTCTGTACACCCCACCTTTGTACAAGAATGTGGGATCAATAACATAGTTTGATGTCATCAGGGGAATTTCCATGTTTGTGTCTTGCCTCCACTTCCATATGCACTGCTTTGTATTTCTTTTTATTTATTTCTTCTGCCATCATACAGCCAGGCTACAAGCAAGATTAAATTAAATGTTCATTCCAGTGTCAGGAATACCAATATATCTATATTCGTATACTTTCTATGGTCATGACTTTCTTTAATAATTCGTACAATTTTAATATTTTTGAATAGAGGCAACTCTTGGCATTCCCCCTGTGATTGTGATAATAATGTGAATGTGTGAAGTAACCAGAATAAGGAACACTTTTTAAATGCTACTCTGATACATTACAGGGTCAGTATTTTTTTTTTTTTTTTTTTTTGAGACGGAGTCTCACTCTGTAGCCCAGGCTGGAGTGCAGTGGGGCGATCTCAGCTCACTGCCAGCTCTGCCTCCCGGGTTCACGCCATTCTCCTGCCTCAGTCTCCCGAGTAGCTGGGACTACAGGTGCCCGCTACCACGCCTGGCTAATTTTTTGTATTTTTAGTAGAGACGGGGTTTCACCTTGTTAGCCAGGATGGTCTCGATCTCCTGACCTTGTGATCTGCCCGCCTCGGCCTCCCAAAGTGCTGGGATTACAGGCGTGAGCCACAGCGCCCGGCCCAGCCTCAGTATTTTTAATTAAAAAATGTATAACTCTGTCATCATTACAAGTAATATAATAATGCAAAAACAAAAGTCTTGTCTTTTCCGTGGACAGTTACCCAGCACATCAGAAAGTCGGGTTAATGCAGCATTCAGCCAACAAGCAGGAAGGGGCATGGAGCTCTGTGTGTGCCTCACTCTGCTTCCTCAGATGGTGCCTTGGCTAAAGAAGAATAGCATAACATAGTTTAAAACACAAGTTTGTTGACTGCTTAAAATGTTTGTAGAACTTGTTGTGGGAGCAGAAAATAACGAGCAGCCTCCATCAGGGGATTGGTAGCAGTGCCCTGGCTTGATCAGGCTTTGTAAGCATGGCGTGAAGCATTGTGGGAAATCCTATCCTGTGCTAAGCATTTGAGCCAATGGCCCTGTCCTGCACTGATCAAAGTACTCCCATTTCCTCAAGTTGTACCCTCCACTAAACAAGTTATGTCCATCCTTAAGGAACATTCTTGGTGTCTCACTTAATATCCCCATGGTGGTCTGAAAATTTCCTCTCTAGAAATTATTCTTCTATTTTTCAGGAGTTTGATAGTCAGGTAATTTTTTCTCCCATATTATCAGTTTCTTAATTTATATTTATCCTTACATGTCATTTCCAAGCACTTCTTTTTCTTTCTTTTTTTCCCTGTCTTTGCTCACATCCTTTCTATTTTGCCAAGGGCTTGCTTCTTCCAAGCCTTTTTATCCTCTCCTCCCGTGATCAGTACCCAAGTTTGCAGCAAGGTTCCTTGTTGTTTTATGGGTTGGTGTTTTTGCTTAGGAAATCCTCATGTTTTAGGCTGCACCCTCAATCTGTAATCTGAAGGTCAGATTACAGTTTAATTCTTCTTGAAGCCCTCATCAAGTTTCAAAGAGAAGCCTTGTTATTTGCCCTTTGTAAGAAGGAACACCTTGAAAGGCCATGGGTCTGTCTTCTCATCCTAGAGGCCAAGGGGCACTGGGACTGGAGTGGCAGGGAGGCCATGAGCCCCCTCCCCAGGTGTAAGACTCCCAGTCTGGCACTGCACCTCTGAGGGCATCTGCATGTGGTGGTCCCTGCTAGTGGCTTCCAGAAGTACCTTCTGGCATTGGCTCCTGAGGTCATCACCCTTGTTGATGACAGCTGTCGGCAACTTGCCTTACTGAAGCCTTTCATCCTCCCTCCCACCGGCAGCAACTTCCAGGGTCCTTGATGCATCTCCAACACGCTTCCTACAATAATGTGTAGCCGTAGGAAAGTACAGACTTTGGGGTCACACTAGCCTGGTTTAAAATCCCATCACCCTTTCCCAGCTGTGGTACTTTGGGCTTGTTGTCTAATCTCTGAGTTTCAGTAAATCTGTAAGATAAGGATTATAACATCTTTCTTATAGATTTGTTGTAAATATTAAATGAAATACATAGAATGATTCATATGTGGCTAGTAGATAGTAGGTCTAAATAAAAGACAGATGTTATTATTATTCCAGGGATAAATTGGTAGCTTTGCAGTTTGGTGTTAGTTTTAGCACTTCCTATGAAGACAAAAAAAAAAGCACTTGCTCTTAAAAGTTTCTTTCAAGCTGTTTATTTGAAGCTCCCCAAAGTCAAGCACCACCCAGCATCACACACCCTTCACTCCCTCTTCCTCTACTTCAATGAAGGCCACTAGTTTCTGAAACTGTCGTGACAGTAACCAACTCTCCTTTGCCCTAATGGCTTCTTCCCAAGATCTACCTTACAGAGCTCAGTACAACCTTAAGGTTCTGCCTGAATTTATGAGGTATTTAGCAAAAATCTCACATGTGCCTGAATATTTTACTGTTGACATCTTAGCAGTGCCCTGTCCCCCTTGGAGGACCGAGGAACCCAAAAACGTCAAGTCTCAGACAGAAGCTCAAACTAGACATAAAAATGAAATTCTTATAGAAATTCTGGGTTTTACTTCTGTGCAATCATTGTTACTATGCAACCATGCTTGAACGATAACTACCCTTTTCAAGCAAAATAGAAAAGTTTCTGCCTTCAGGCCACACGACCTTTTAGAGACAAAACAAGTGCAAACAAAACCGTGTGCAATGTTTTTTCCATGAATGTGATGTTGAAAATGTACCTGAGGCTTAGGTGTGGCATGACTCGCTATGTAACACAGAAGAAAACTGGATTTAAAAACTGGAATTTCTTGGCTGCCCATTCAGACACGACCCACTACATACCATTTCCCCCCTTGCTTAGATTTCCCTACAGAAAAGAGAAAAACTGTGGAGAAAATGGAAAACAAAGCCATAGGAGAAAAGAGCTGAAAACACTTCATGTAAATGTGCATGCTGAAAGTAGAGAGCAAGCAAGGATTTTAAAATGCGGTGCCTGAATTTGAGTAGTTAGGACTAAACACAGAAGTGTTGATGAACTCTAAGGCTAAACTCTTGGATATTTAGCAACACGCCAGGGCTACTTTATCAGCTGAACAAAGATTCCAAGAACTCTGAGGGGAAAGAAAAAAGAACCCTGTAACTCAGCGGTCTCCAGCCTTTTTGGTAACAGGGAACTGGTTTCATGGAAGACAGTTTTTCCACGGACTGGAGGATGGGGGAGATGGTTTTGAGATGAAACTGTTCCACCTCAGATCATCAGGCATTAGTTAGAATCTCATAAAGAGCACGCAGCCTAGATCTCTCACATGCACAGTTAGTTCATAATAAGATTCGCACTCCTATGAGAACCTAATGCCACTGCTGATCTGACAGGAGGTGGATCTCAGGAGGTAATGTGAGTGTTGGGGAGCAGCCATAAATACAGATGAAGCTTTGCTCACTTGCCCACTGCTCACCTCCTGCTGTGCGGCCTAGTTCCTAACAGGCCACGGACCAGTACTGGATTGGGGACCCCTGCTCTAACTGATGCAACACCTACAGCCCACCTACACCAAGTACAAGGCTCCATTTGGTCTGCATATAGAATCTCTGGGATGCTAGGGTGTGCTTCACTCATTCTGAGTTGATTCCTAGGTTCTTGGACTAAAGTGGGCAAGTGTTATGAAGGGAACTAACAGAGCAAACAGTGGAAGGACCACATTCATGTGGATCACGCTTTCCACATTAGGACCAATTTCACTGCCCATTCTACTTGTTTCTAGTTTTCCTCTTTTAATTTGAGCAGTGTCACAAGCGCACATAGCTAACAATGTTTTTTTTCTCTTCCAAATTCTAATAATAAAATTGTTATTGGCTTTTGATCTTAATCATTAAAATAAAAATAAAATGTGCAAGGAAACTTGCAGTAAGTTTCCTTGTTGTTTCATGGGTGGATTTTTTTTCTTAGGAAATCCTCATATTTTAGGCTATACCCTCAATTTGTAATCTGGAGGTCAGATTACAATTTAATTCTTCTTGAATTTCATTGATGATAAAATCACCAGTAAAAATGATTGAGCCCTAGCCTTCTTCTCAGCACCATGCATTTATAGAGATAAATGAGATCTCACCTCTCACCACTGGTAGGGATGGGTAAAGATAACATTTTGAGGTGGAAGAGAGGGAGACTAAGAGCGTTTGTGCCCACAGCCTTGACTTCTTTTTTTCTATGTGAAAAAAAAATGCTATAAAGACACATGCACATGTATGTTTATTCCGGCACTGTTCACAATAGCAAAGACTTGGAACAAACCCAAATGTCCATCAGTGATAGACTGGATTAAGAAAATGTGGCACATATACACCATGGAATACTATGCAGCCATAAAAACGGATGAGTTCGTGTTCGTGTCCTTTGTAGGGACATGGATGAAGCTGGAAACCAACATTCTCAGCAAACTATCGCCAAGGACAGAAAACCAAACACCGCATGTTCTCACTCATAGGTGGGAATTGAACAATGAGAACACTTGGACACAGGGTGGAGAACATCACACACCAGGGCCTGTCGTGGGGTGGGGAGAGTGGGGAGGGATAGCATTAGGAGATATACCTCATGTAAATGACGAGTTAATGGGTGCAGCAAACCAACATGGCACATGTATACATATGTAACAAACCTCCACGTTGTGCACATGTACCCTAGAACTTAAAGTATAATAATAAAAATTTAAAAAAAAGTGAGAGGCAGGAGGAGGAAGAGCAAACCTGGAAAAAAGCAAGCAATTTTCAAAACAATTGCTCTGCAGAATGGGCAAAGGACAGGACAGTGAATTAACAACCAAAAAAAAAGCCGATTAGTAAAGTCCTGTTTCTTGGATTAAATGGTTATCTCATCTTTGTTGTTGCCGTTGTCATCATCATATCTTTACCATTGTCACTGTCTCCAGAACAAATTAGACTTGAACTACACAACCTTGACATAATTGAGAAGAATATCCCTTTGAGAAACTGACAGTAATTTATGCTAGTTTCACGTTTGTTGTGGGATGTTGTAGGGTGGTCTTATTTATTGTGTCCTCCCTCTCATTTATGTTCGTGTAGGTTGAGCCAGTGATACAGAGAGGCCATGAGAGTCTGGTGCACCACATCCTGCTCTATCAGTGCAGCAACAACTTTAACGACAGCGTTCTGGAGTCCGGCCACGAGTGCTATCACCCCAACATGCCCGATGCATTCCTCACCTGTGAAACTGTGATTTTTGCCTGGGCTATTGGTGGAGAGGTGGGGCTAATGATTACTGAGATGTAACACAATTAACTGATCATATTTCCCGCCACAAATATGATTCTAATTAATACTTAGAAGTAAAGCTTTAACGCTACTTTTGATATGAAGGTGGCTTAACTCCATTTTCGTAGGAAGGGATTCTTTCTTTAAGTCATTTTTATTTTATTTCATCAATTGTAGATGAATGGGGTTCCAGAGGGTTGAAATATCCTTGAAGATGGCTGGTTTTTGAGTGGAATAGAGCTCTCAGGGACTTTCATAGGACATTGTCTCATGGCATTTTCCATATTTAGGGCTTTTCTTATCCACCTCATGTTGGATTATCCCTTGGCACTCCATTAGATCCGCATTATGTGCTCCTAGAAGTCCATTATGATAATCCCACTTATGAGGAAGGTGAGTTTATTATTCATATGTTTTACCTATGATTTTTATAAAAAGTTTTGTACCTTGTAAGTCTTTAACAGAGTTGAAACAAAATAGCAGCCAGTGTTAGAAGGAATTAACCTATATATTTGTCATTCAAATTAGGATACTTTTTAAAGTGAAAGTGGGTACTATTTATAATTATACTGTAACAGCAGGCATTAACCAGCACCAAACCAGGTAAATGAGCACACGCAGTCACTAATCTTACAAAAAAAACACTTGCATGCTACCTACCAGGAAGTAGAATAATAGACTTTTCCTTTGTGATGTAGATTAGTCCCAATACATGGTGTTTATGGAACATTTTCTTTCTAACTGCACGTAAGAAAAAGTTACCATTTATTATACTAAAAAGTGTAAGCATTTTGTTGTGTGGTAAGCAAACCATAGATGTACTCAAAAAGTACTTATGCAGTGACACCGTGTAATATGATATTGAAGTAAAGAAATGTAAGGATGTACATTTTGTTTCTGAAATCATTTGTATGATATTCCAAATCCTAACATTGATAGATTTAACACGAAATTATCAACAGAAGTAACTCCAAGTTATTATTTTATATTGACTCATGCAATTTTTCAGCAAATACTGAGCTCCAACTATGTGCCAGATCTGTGCTTGAGGATATAGAGTGAGTGAAAAACAGATGCTGTTCTCACCCTTACAGAAATTATAGCCCAATGTGAAAAAGAAACAATCAATTTTTCATAGCAATCATATGAAATTATATGTATGCCAATTGGTCCAAAGAAGATACCTAACACTATGAGAGTATTTAATTGGTGACCTAATCCAGCCAGGAGTGTGTATTGGTGGGGATGGGCTAAAAAGTCTTCATTAAAGAATCAAACTGTTCATCTGGGTGACTGGAGATGCTGAAGGGTTAGGGTGCAGTGAAGAAAGATGCTGATGAACCTGCAGAGGAAGGCTGAAGCAGACCATCTAAGATCTTGTAGGACCCATTAAGGATTTTTACCCTGAAGACAATGAGAAGCAATTGAAGAGTTTGATACAGTGGAGTCAAATATTGAGATCTGTATTTTGAAAAGACCACTCTGGCTGCAGCAGCATGAATAATAGATTTTGAAGAGAGGACACGTGGTATGATATTTAAAGAGTGATGTTTCTATAAAAGTAGGTGTCAAGCTATTCTATTTGTGAGCAAGCCAATAAAGTATCTTTTTTTACCCTAAAGTAATTAATAGGAAATAGTTTCTCTCTGAATTCACTTTAATTTCCACCCACCAATTATATCCCATACTCTGAACCATGAATCTATGTTAAAAGTTTAAAACTTTCATAAACCAAGCAAAATAACCTATTAATAAATTCTAAAAGTTAGATTTTCCGTGAAATCATATGTGACTATAAAACATAAAAATTGTCATCACAATAACAATGGGATTAATTATTGAATATGTCTTATATTGCAACTTTTAAAAATTTTTTACATTTTTGATTTTAAATTATTAATAGAATAAATATTCTATACAATGTATAATACTTCTCCAATTGGAAATTCTATGTGAACTACTTCTTCCTTTTAGTCTTTATTACAAAAGTAGAAGGCTTAATTTATTTGCCTTCTCTGTTGTCAATTAAGTTGACTTTCTCATAGTTTCAATGTAAAAATGAAACATAAGCTTATTTTCCTAACAGGTTAATAGAGAACTCAGGATTTTTAGTACTTTCTATTTTTATTCATGTACATAATTAGACCAAATTTTAGATTATAGTAATTTTATTTTTATAAATATAACATAATACGAATTTGTTTCCAGAAAAGTTTTTTAATAATCATTTTATATGTGCTTAAGAAATTATTACTTTATTTACTAGATTATCTATTAATGCTCCAAACAGCTAATGCAACTAATGAACCTAACTATACAAAATGCAACTGGAATTTCTACTTATATTTTTTCCCTGTCAAACTTATAAGGAAGTAGATGCCAAAAATATAAAATACAAAACAAAATTTTGCAAGATATGTCCAGAGAAAATTCTAAGGTCAGTATAGATATTCTACATTATCATGCTTATTTGTATCTGCACTGATAATAACACAAAAGGAGAATTGATTTTTATGATTTATTTGTTTAACAATTGATTGAAACCCTGGTAGATGTGTGACCACTGTACGTGTGACTAGCTGCCATTTATTGAGCACCTCATTTGTGCCAAACACTGTTCTTAGAACTTGGTGTTTAAGCCACACATCACACTTATGAGGTAGTAGTGCTACTATTATGGCCATTTTCCATACTGGAAAACTGAAGCACAGATTAGGTAACTTTATGTCTTCATCTGTTCTGTGCTGCTATAAGAGAATACCACAGACTGGGTAATTTATAATGAACAGAAATTTATTCCTCACAGTTCTGGATGCTGAGAAGTACAAGTACAAGGTACTGGCATCTGATGAGGGCCTTCTTACGGGTCATAACATGGCAGTAGGCTTCACATGGTGGAAGGGTAAAGACAGCAAGAGAGAACAAAGCCACTTCTGAAATAATGGCATTAATCGATTCACAGGGGCCAAGCCCTCATGACCTAGACACCTCTTAAAGCTCTCACCATTCAATATCATCACAATGGCCATTAATTTTCAACAACATTCAAACCTACTTTTTGGAGGAGATAGACATTTAACCATAGCATTTGCCCCAGGTGACATAACTCATATGCAGCAGAGCTGGGATTTGCATCCAGGTTGGTCAGCTCCAGAGTCAGTGTCCTTAATTGTCACATCACAGTGCTTCCTTGTGATGACCCTGAATATCTGAAGAAGCTGGAGTCAACAAACACATAGCAAATATTTTATGTTCACAATTACAAACTCATGAAGCAGGAAAGTAAAGCTTGGATTTTTTTCCAAGGCTGTTAGGGAGGTTGAGAGGTAAGAATTTCCTGGGATAATTATTGAAATACTTAATTTTAACAACTTATTACATCTGAAAAAAATTAAAAGTAATGGATATCTTCTAAGTATGTGTGTGTGTGTGTGTGTGTGTGTGTGTGTGTTTGTGAGTGAAGGGTATATAACATGCAATGAGGAATATTTGATATAGAGACCTTGTGTTTAAAAATGATTGACTAGAAATAGATTAAGCTGATTGATTTAAATGAGACAAGAAAGGAAACTGAGGGGAAGGAATCAATCTGTTAGTTACTGCAGAAGGAAGTCAATTAATTTCCAAGTTAATGAAATGAATTTATGAAATGTTTGGGGCTCATACTCTCCCTCCCTGTAATGAATATTTCATAACGACAAGTGTGTCTTATTCATCTCTCATCCCCACAATGCCTAATGGAGTGCCATTTACATAATGGATTCTTAATGACTGTGTGTTGATTGAATGGCTGTTGAATGAAGAAGAAAATGGTGACAAACTTTAAAGAAATAAAGTGAATCTTTAGTAGTTTTTTTCTTCAGCAGATGGTTTCTAAACTAAGGAGGTTTTACCTCAAAGTAAATGTTATTGAACTTCATCTCGAAACAATATAAAATAAAAGTTTTATTAAGTTATTTATTCTATATTCTAATGAATGACTTTAGAATCTTCATTCTGTCTTCATGTTAGATAATTGTGGAATATAACAGCCAGATAACGGAAACATTTCTCTTGTAGTATGCTGTGTGAGTCCACAAAGGTTGCAGGCAATATGGCTACTCATCTTTTAACTCTTGTTTGTGAAACTGAATGTTGTCTGCCACTAATCTCTGCTTGAATCCCTTTCCCTCATGACAGTTTATGGAAAATAAATAAACCTATTTCAACAGAATATGAAAACTTTAAAAAATTCAAACCAAGAATTTTCTTGGGAATGAAAACATTTTAAGAACCAAAAATCACTTTAATTATGTGCTTTTGTTCTAGGCTTAATAGATAATTCTGGACTGAGGTTATTTTACACAATGGATATAAGGAAATATGATGCTGGGGTGATTGAGGCTGGCCTCTGGGTGAGCCTCTTCCATACCATCCCTCCAGGGATGCCTGAGTTCCAGTCTGAGGGTCACTGCACTTTGGAGTGCCTGGAAGAGGTATGCAGCATCTGAGTCTGAGCTGCTCTCTGCAGATTCATCAATGCTCTTAGAAACTGTGGTGTGAAAAATTCCGCACATGTTTATTATCGATTCCTTTCTTGTTGACACACTGTGAAACCCTTATCGCAATTTTAGTAGGACTTTTGACTGCTTTTTTAAATCTTGAAGCTACAGGAGTAGAACTCTAAAGACAGAAGTAGTTGGCAGGGTGTTTTTCTTCTTACTCCTACCTTTTTTGTTTGTTGCATGTTGCATGCTGTATATCATCTTTTACAATTTCAACCTTTGTTTGTGTAGTCTTTTTCTTTTCTCTAGTTTACCTTTTATCCATATTGATTTTTCCATCATTTATTTTCATTTTTCTCTGCCTTATAGTTTCCTTCCCTTTCTTCACCACAGAGCAAAAATAACTAATATAAAAAAATATATAGGATAGAAGAAAAGTATATTTAGTAATGACAATTTTCACTTCAAGTTTTTTAATGAAAATATTTCAACATGGATCATACTCTTTATGAATTATATGATATTGTGGTTGAGGACAGTATGGCAGACTGGTGAAGTGGAAAGATTATGCTCTTCTGAGTTATTTAGGCCATAGTTCATAATTCAAATTGCCATGACCTCATTTACAAGCTGTAGGACCATGGGCGATTCATTTAATTCCATTGACCCACTTTCGCTTTCTTATCTGGAAAAGTGGGAATAATATTTCCTTTTAAGAATTTGGGTTTTCAGGTTACTAACATACTGGAATCTTTTTGCTAAGAATGTTTATTGCCTCTTATCCTCCTAAAAGAAGGAAAAAGGAGGATAACATGTAGAAATGGTCTGGGAGGCCCCTTATAAGCATCAGCTCCCCTACTTTTCTCCCGGCAAATGTTGCTTCACAAGGAGAACACTGAACAATCCGAATTCAAACTCTTTTTCAGTTCAAGCATTCATTTAAATTGCTTTAGCTTTTTATCTCAGTTGTCCCTCCAAGTGTGTTTGAATGTAAACTGTCTGAACATGCATTAATGTGGGCTAATCGGGTCTTCCTCGGTGTCTCCTGTAGGCTCTGGAAGCCGAAAAGCCAAGTGGAATTCATGTGTTTGCTGTTCTTCTCCATGCTCACCTGGCTGGCAGAGGCATCAGGCTGCGTCATTTTCGAAAAGGGAAGGAAATGAAATTACTTGCCTATGATGATGATTTTGACTTCAATTTCCAGGAGTTTCAGTATCTAAAGGAAGAACAAACAATCTTACCAGTATGCATGTTTTTGTTCTTTTTCATTGACTGTTATGAAAGTCATGAGACATATCTGCTGAGATGTGGCAAGGTTTCTACTAGTGAAATGAATTTTTCCTTGCATCTGTATTCTTAACACCACCCACTGTGGGTGTTGTACAACCCAGATGGAATGTGTTTGATCTGTTTTCCAAAATTGAAACTCATTTTTCTTATAATTCCCAGGAGCAATTCAAGTTGTTGACTGAAAAATAAAAACAACCCCAAACAAAAATCTCAGGTTCTGAGGACTAAACATTACTCTTTTTTTATACTTGACATTCCAGTTAGTGATTCTTTGGGTTGCAATTCCTGCAGTGGTAAAATAGAGGTGTCTTTATGCTATGTTGAAGAGATAGGATATTTTTAGAAGTTTCATTTTAGTAAAAAGGAATGTAAGGATAATTCTTTTATCTGATAAAGCTATGTGAATATAGCTAATTAAACTATGCTGTGTGATCCAGCTTGACATAATACTTGGGGTTATGGTGAAGGAGAGAAGAGAATGAAGGCTTTAAAAAGGTTATAATGCTTTGTTTTCTCAAATTTTTATTCCATGACCATCAAGCTCACTTGTAGTATAATTTTCTACCCTTATTTTACTTTTAAAAGTCAGATCCCTATACCATTTACGAAATGAGAGTAATGGCAATATCTTTTCTACGTGATGCTGGAGACAGGGTTTTTAGATGGGATGAACTGTCAGGGAGAAGACATGGCACAATAGGATGTAAAAGGAAAGCTGAAAAAACAGAAGAAAGTGATAAAGAGGAAAGGGATCTTCTTTTTACTAATAGCTATCCCTTAAATCCATAGCTTTGGATCTTAGAAATTCTTTGATACATCCGGAGAGTAGAAAGAAGTTTGAGAAATGGTGATCTTGTCAAGGTTCTTAAGGACTACACTCTATTTTATTATGATGTCTCTGGGGTTTTCCAAACAGTGTTATCTCAGAGTTTCCTAACTGACGCACCATGATTATGGCATAAGTGCGATGAGATACTGTTCTCTGGGCCCTCTGAGTGGCGTGCAGGGAGGTCAAATTTAAGAGCAAAAGCCCAGAGATTACGGCCTCAGGTCTATGAATAGCTTCATCTGCTTACCTTAAAGGGGAAACATAAAAATGTTATCATTTTCCATATGTATTGTAATGTACAAAAGGATGGAAAACACTAGAACAATAAACTTCTATTAATTTGCCTCACGATTCTATTGTAAGGAAATAAAGGCATGACTAGAGACCTTTAAAGAAAATAATGTAAATGAAGAGGTGATCACAATAACTACTATCTATGTCTGAGGTTTATTAAATGTTCATTTGTTGCTAATGCCTATGTGTTATGTCATTTAATCTCCTCGTAACAGCTGTGAAAAAAATAAGGACTTTTTTTTTTTGAGATGGAGTCTCACTCTGTCACCCCGGCTGGAGTACAGTGGTGCGATCTCGGCTCACTGCAACCTCCACCTCCTGGGTTCAAGCAATTCTCTGCCTCAGCTTCCTGAGAAGCTGGAATTAAAGGTGCCCGCAACCACGCCTGGCTAATTTTTGTATTTTTAGTAGAGACGCGGTTTCACCATCTTGGCCAGGCTGGTCTTGAACTCCTGACCTCGTGATCCACCTGCCTTGCCCTCCCAAAGTGCTGGGATTACAGGCGTGAGCCACCGTGCCAGGGCCAAAAATAAGAACAATTTTTATCTTTAGGTTTTAAATGAACAAATTGTGCCTGGGTTATATGTAGTTCATCCAGCTAGAATGTTGTGGAGTCTGGTGGAAACACAGAGAGTCCTATTTATTTGCTTGCTTGTTATATCAGCAAACCTAGAATTAAACAGATCAGGGGTCTTCTGCTGAATGAAATTACTTGGCGCATCCATTCATACAGCAAATATTAACTGTTGACGTACAAATGTATTTGATAAATAAGCCAGCATAAAACTTCAATCTGAAAGCTTTTGCTTTTATGTTTCAGGGAGATAACCTAATTACTGAGTGTCGCTACAACACGAAAGATAGAGCTGAGATGACTTGGGTAAGAAAACTTTTATTATTATTAAAGTTCATTTATGGAGAGAAAGAAATAAACTTGATTTTAGAAGAAAAAGGTAAAAACCATTTCCATTTAGAAAGAAAAGTTCTAAAAATCTTGAGTATCAAGTATCATAAAAGTGACATCAGAGATGTTTTTAGCATTTTCTAAGACTTCAAATTAACTAATGATATTATAGTATTAAATAATACTTGGAGTGTAATTAATTGACTCCTTCATGAAAAGCTATCCTTAGTCTTTTAATTTTTCTCATCTAATATTTTTAAAAGAACTGTGGTCATTAATTGACTGTCTGCTTGAGTCTGGCTTAGATAAATACAGACTTCCAAATGAAGAATGAATTTCATGACCTTGAGGCCTCTGACTCAAAGAGAAATCTGGTCCCAACAGATTTACTGGGGGAATTCCACCAAGCATTCAAGAAATAGATAATTCATGTCTTACTCAATCTCTTTCAGGAACACTAAAAGAGGGAACACCTCCCACCAAGTCATAAAATGTAGTTAACATAATCTTAAAACTAAAACTTCACAAGGATAGTATAAAAGGGGCCAGTAGTATGCACCTGATGGAAATAACTTGGACAAGAGTTTGACAAACCAAATCCTTTTTTATATACAAATCTAATGATAAGACCAACTTGAGTTTAGCTAAGGAATATAAAATTGATTTAAATTAGAAAATATATTTATTGAAAGAAAAAGATATATAATCACCTCAACAGAGGTAGAGAAAGCATTCATTAAATTCAAGTTTATTGTTGACAGGGGAGACATTTAGCAAGCCTGGAATAACAGGGAATTGTCTTAACTAGGTAGAAGTTAGCTATGAAAAAGCTATAGCAAATATTAAATTAAATGAAATACCGTTTTTTTTTTCAAGTTAGGAAGAATATAAGGGTATTTGTTATCACTACTTGTATTCAACATTGTACTGGAAAAGAAATGAAAATGAGATATAAGGATCAGAAAGAAAGAAGTGAAGAAGCAAAACACATTACTCACAGATACTGTAATTTTCTGCATCAAACCCTCCTCCAAATTGATACTATCTAAAATTAATTGCATTTGAGTATATAAGAAATTATCTCAAGAAAATACAATTTAAAATAAAAATTAAACAGAAATAAAATCTAACACTAGATGTGTTTGATCTCTGTGAAAAAATTATAAATCTTTATTGGGAAACATTAAAAGAATGCCTAAAGACAGTAAGAGATACCGTGTTCATGGATAGAAAGGCTCAGTAAAATAAAGAAAATACTTCTATTCATATTGGCTCATAAATTTGATATTATTCTAGTAAAAAAATTTCAGAGAAATTTTACGATTTGAGGTTTTGGTATTCTAGCTAAGAAATCTTCACCAGACCAAGGCTGCAAATATTTTCATGTATTTTTTAATTTATATAAACATTTTGCTGTTTTAGCTTTCACATGGAGCAAGTTGATTCTAAAATTTACACAGAAGAGCAAAAGGTTAAAAATAGGCAGGACAAAACTGAAAAGAACAAGATAGAAAACAATCTACTAGATAAGAAGGCTTATTTTAAAACTGGCGATTAATACAATATGCTTTGAGTCCCAAGTTAGAAGACTTGGAGCAGAAGAGGCATCTCAGAAACAGACCTACAAATTCTACAGATGGAAACTTGGTTTATGATAGACATAGCATTTAGATAAATGGAAAAGGATAAACTTTTTATTAAAGGATGCTGGCACTAATGGCTATCCATATGACATAAATAAAACTGAGTCTTAATTTCACACAATGCATAAAAATCAATGCCAGATGTATTAAATATTTAAATGTGAACAGCAAAAATTTAAAACCGCTGGAAGAAAAAATACCTGAATATATCTTCATGACTTTGGAGTAGTTAAGAATTTTTTAAGCAAAGCATAAAAGCACAAACTGTAAATTAAAGATTAACAAATTTGACTACGTCAAAGCTTTTGCTTACCAAAATAAAACACTATGAAGAAACTAAGAAGAGTTTTAAACTGGGAAAAATATTTGCAATACATAGATTAACAGGACATTAGTATCTAGCTTATAAAACAAAGTCCATAAGTCAGTAACAGAAGAGAAGCATACAATAAAAGAGGATAAGACAAAAGCATTTCAAAGAAATAACAACCCATATAATAGATACTATAAATATATGAAAAGATGCTCAATTTTGTTTAAAACCAAATATAAACCAGAGTGAGATGTTTTGAACTAACCAGTTTGGCAAAATTTTAAATAGCATTTCCGTTATGCTGAAACTGGAACACTTATACACTGTTAGTAGTGACTTAAATTTGTAAAACCATCTTGGGGAAAAGTATGGCATTATCTAGTAAAATTAGAGATTCATATATACTCTACTCAATTCCATTCCTATGTAGATTTAACCTTGGAATTACTTTTGCAGAATGTGTTTCAGGAGAGAAATATGTAAACTATTCATAGTAACATATAATAATATAGGAAAGAAAAAATTCTGGAAATCTCTCAAATACCCATCAAAAGGAGAACAAATAAATGTGGTATTATTTAATGAAACAGTGTAAAGTTATGAAAATTAATGAATGAAAGCTGCCTATATTAACTTGAGTGTATCTGAAGAACAAATAATGTTGATTGAAAAGAGCAAGCTTGTAGCAGAATATATATAGTGTGATATTATGTATGTAAAGTTCAGGAAAATTAAACAATATATTGTTTAGGGATACATACTTCAATATACTGAATGTAAAGTGTAATGAAAAACAACAGAAAGATAAAATATTAAGATAGTAATCACCTTTGGTTGAAATGGGAAGAAGAGGGATAGAAGCTGGACACACATGGAGTAGTCAATGTACTGGTGTTGGTTTTATTTTTTTCTCATGCCTTATGTATAATTTTTGTTGTTGAAATATTATTTTACTAAAGACATAATAAATGAGTTATTATTATAGTGGGTATTTTGGTGCACTGTCTTGATACCCTCTTCAGGGCCAACACAACCAAACCTCAGCCACTGGGAATGTCAGATGATAATATGATAGCTCACAGCTGTGTACCTCACTGGACATTCCCCTTGGTATTAGAAAATAACTTCTTAAAATTTTACTCCCTACAGTAGGAGAGCCAGCAGTCAATGACTAGTTGATAAGATGCTGCAAAGGCCCAGCTTTCCTTCTACAATTTGGTACAACTCTGAACAGCCATCCTAACTTAAGGATAAATTAAATACAATATTTACTGAGGCATCAAATGCAACTTCATTTGCACATCAGCATCTTCCTTTGCCTAATCCTGCCTTGCTCATCAAGTGCAAAACATCATGTTTTTGCAATTAGTAAAATCATTGTATATTAGCCCCTAGGTTAATTTAGAATATAAACAATATTAAGTTTTTCACCTTTGTTTTCGAAAGCTGGATTTTGCTGGATACAGAATTCTTGGTTGGCAGTTGCTTTGTTTCCTTTGCAACACTTGTGAATATATAATTCAATATCTTTTTGTTATTTCCATCATTTATGATGAAATGTCAGCTGTCAATTGTATTCTTGTTCACCTATATATGATGTGTCATTTTTCTCTTGCTCCTTTCAAGATTTTTTCTTATCTTTGGTTTTCAGCAGTATGACTGTGATGTGTCTAGGTATGGCTCTTTTTGTATTTACATTTGGTTTTTGTTGAGCTTCTTGGGTCTGTAAGTTAATGTTTTTCATTAAATTGGGGATTATTTCAGGCATTATTCCTTTGAATATTTTTTCTACCTTTTTGTCTTCTTCCTCTCATTCTAGAACTCCAGTTACATGTATTTAACATACATGAAAACATATATGTTAGACATAAATGCTAGAACATTTAATGTTGTCCCATAGATCTCTGAAGTATTTTCACTTTTCTTTAGTCTTTTATCTCTCTGTTATTTGAATAGGACAATTTCTATTGATTAATCTTCAAGTTCACTGATATTTTCCTTGCTCATTTGAAACTTGCTGTTGAGCTTATCCTGTGAAGTTTTTATTTCGTTTTGGTACCTCTCAGCTCTAGAATTTCTATTTTTAAAATTGTTCTTCTTTCCTAATGTCATTCCTTTTTCTGTTCACTCATTTTTGAGACATTTGCCTTTAACTACTTGAGCATGTTTTTCTTTAACTCTTTGAACACTTTGTAAAACGGCTTTATTGAACATATTTTTATCTGTTTTCAAGTCATTGTCTGATAAATCCAGCACATCAATCTTACAATCCATTTCTACTGACTTTTCTCCATTGAAGGTAGATAATAATTTCCTGTTTCTTTTCCCACTTAATAATTTTTGGTTGAAATTAGACATATTAGATAATATGTTGTAGTAACTCTGGATTCTGTTCTTTTGAAGGTCTTTAATCTTTTTCCAAATTTTAGTAGATAATTAACTACCTAGATTCAAAATATGAAATCTTTCTCCCCGTCGTATGCAGCTGCTAATGTTTATACACATGAAGACAAGATTCTAGAAAATTCAATTAAATCAGAAAAATTTCCTGCAAAAATTCCTGATTGATTGGTATTATGCTAACCAAACATCCTTATGATTCTCTGAAATGTTCACTGTGTTGAGAAGTTTACATCCCATCCGCAGAATTTATTAGGTTATTTAAGAAAGGCAAATTTTTAAAGTGGAAATAATTCTATTAATTTTTAATTGTGTCACTACCTTTCTAAAAAGCCAGTTTTTTAACTTTTCAGCTTTAAGATGTATTAAATTTTAATATTGGAAGGAACTGTATGACATTAATGACTTGTGTGCTTTAAATGTCAAAGTTGGTAGAACACATACTTTGCTAAATAAACTATCTGTTTTCAGGGAGGACTAAGCACCAGGAGTGAAATGTGTCTCTCATACCTTCTTTATTACCCAAGAATTAATCTTACTCGATGTGCAAGTATTCCAGACATTATGGAACAACTTCAGTTCATTGGGGTTAAGGAGATCTACAGACCAGTCACGTAAGTAGTAAATGTATTTTATGATGGGGTAACGTATTTCAGAGAAAGATGGGCTTTATTGTCATACTGGATCCATTACCACATTATAGAAATTTTTATGCACTGTTTGTTCTATTTGATTACTTTTAACTGGGGAGACCAAGTAACCTTTTTGATTACTATGTCCAGAGTCCCCAAGACCACCCTCAGGTTCTGTGATTTGCAAGGAGTACCTACAGTACTCAGCAAATAGTTGTATTCATGGAAAACATGAATATGGTGAAAGCATGCAAAGCAGAAAGAACAAAAGGAAAAGCTACATGAAGCAAAGTCTAGAGGAAACCAGGCGCAAGCTTCCAAGAGCCCTCTTCCAGTGGAGTCACACAGAATGCACCAAATTACACCATCATCAAATTGTGACAACATGTATGGAATGTTGTCTATTGGAGAAGCTCATCACAGATTCAGTGCCCAGAGTTTTTTGGAGGAACTAGTCATATAGGTGGTCTCTGCCTACCACTTACTAAAATTCCATACTTCCAGATGGAAAGCAGTTGTTCAGCATAAACTGCATTGTTTGCACAGTATAGGCACAATGAGTCACTCTTATCATTAGAGAAAGTTTATGTCAATATAGGAAATCGTTTACTATTTAAGTTTCCAGGCACCTGCCAAGGATTATCCTTGCAAGCAGGCCTTTCTGAGGTGGGCCTATTATGTTAACTCTTTAGGTATAATTGTTCTCTTTCGGTACAATTATAGGAGCTATTTAAGATATAATAAACAAGATTCATATTTTCCTTGCCCTCTTGAGATTGTATTCTGGAGTGAGGGAGAGGTAATAAACAAAAAAAGATATTTTAAATAGTAATAGATGTTATGAAGACAAAACAGTGAAGGAAGTATGTAGTTGTTGTCAACAGGATAAAGAAAGCCTCTCTGGGTTGGTGATATCTGAGCAGCGACCTCCGTGATAAGGAGCCAGCTATAGAGATATGCAAATTCTGCACAGGAAAGAGCCAGTGTAATGAATGACCCTGTGGTTAGTCTGAACCTACCGTGTTTGTGGAGCAGCAAGAGAGTGCATTTGGCTGCAGAAGAGTGAAGTATGGTAGAGAATAAGTGAGGACACATGAGAGCAGGTGGGACCAGATGATTTAGGACTTTATGGGCAACATAAGGCCTTGGGGCTTTAAGTGCAAAGGGAAGCAATTAAAGGATATAAATAAAGTCAATTTGGCTACTATACTGGGAAAGGACTCTAGGAGGGCTAGACTGGAAGGAATATCAATCAGGAAACTATTGTGATTGTCTAGTTGAGGGATGAAGGTCACTTGTGCCAAGGTGGTGACACCAAGTTGATGAGACACATTCCATTCAGGTTACTTTTTGAAAGGAGCACCCACAGGCTTGTTGATCAATGGCATCTCATGGAGGCAGTGAGGGATAGAGCAGAGTAAAGGCTCAGTGATGGTGTGAATGGTGTTAGGGGAACATGCTGAGGATGATATTGAGAATTCTGTTTTGGATATATTAAGGTTGATGTATCTATTCTTACTGATGTCAGTGAGAAGAATTAGAATGGCTGGTGGAAATTTGGGGATGGCTGAATTTGTTTTAATATAGAGAAGAATTTTCTAATGATCACTACTATTCAAAATGAAAGGGACTGACGTAATTATGTAATTAGAGAAAATATACACATAGAGGTTTTGTTTTTGTTTTTGTTTTTGTTTTTTTGAGACAGAGTTTCGCTCTTGTCACCCAGGCTGGAGTGCAGTGACGCGATCTCAGCTCACTGCAACCTCTGCCTCCTGGGTTCAAGTGATTCTCCTGCCTCAGCCTCCCAAGTAGCTGGGATTACAGGCGCTCGCCACCACGCCCAGCTAATATTTTGTATTTTTAGTAGAGACGGGGTTTCTCCATGTTGGGCAGGCTGGTCTCGAACTCCTGACCTCAGGTGATCCACCCGCCTCGGCCTCCCAAAGTGCTGGGATTACAGGCATGAACCACCATGCCTAGCCACACATAGAGTTTTGAGACATGTATTTAAGGAGAGAGTGAAAAAACATTCAGTGAGGATATGGTAAAATGCAGATGATGAAGGAGAATAGAAATATGGTCAAGTTTTTGTGCCTAAATATTACAGGATTATAAATTATGAACTGAGACCCACTCCTCTTTTTGAATTAAATTTATGATTCATAGATAGGTTTTACTGAATTTTTTTGCAAACAGCAAAATGACCACTAGAAGAAATGCCTATATCTAATAAAATACAAATAACAAAATGCTTACATAAATTGGTTTATAGTTTACTAAGTATTTTCATATGCATGATTTTATAATTCATTTTTACACAATTCCAACAGGTAGAGCAAGACATGCAATCCCGGTTTTATAGGGGAGGAAATAGAAACCAAGAGATTAAGAAATTATTCAACATTATATAGTACATAATAAAAGGGAGAGTTGGGGTTTGCATCTAGTCTCTGATCTCTTTCTCCCCATACAACATGCACATATAGGCCAATATATAAATATACATAAATATATAACAAGTAAATAATTACATATGTAAACAAATTAAAACAACAAAAATCCAAGCATCACATAAAATATCATTTTAAAAACACTAGGATGTAGTCTTGGTTTTCAAATATTGATGTTATATTGTTCCTTACTTAGCCTTGAGTAGTCTTTTTCTCATTTAGAATATTTTTTACATATTGAATGGAAATTTTCTAATCGATGGTTAATTTGAGAGAATGTTAAAAACAAATGGATATTAAAAGCTGTATGTTTGCAAGATGATTTAAATGCATTCTATGGCCTATTTTTTTTTTTTAAGTTTAAATGGTATGAAGCCTCTAAAAATGTTCGGCTCTCCTGTTTCCCAATGAGCTCCACCAGTGTCCATACCTTTGGTCTCCCTCAGGAAATACTCAAGTTGGGTTTTCATAATTTGGAAAGACAGGGAGAATTGCTTTACAGAACAAGGCTAGTTTTGAGATGTCATTCTCCCCTGCCAAAAAAAAGAAAAAAGAAAAAAAAAAAGGACAAAACCCATTTAACTTCATGGTTAAATTTATTCCTCAAAAATATGAGCACAAAAGAGCCTCTATTTAAAAATACATGTTTAGACTTTAAATTAGACATTAAATCTAGTTCATCACCACAGTGACATAAGTGATAGTGAAGGCCAAACTAACAAGGTGCTGGCTCAAACATCAGAACAAAAAATGGCTTAGGTGCTTTTTTTCTGTTTTGCTTAGAAGAATATTACCAATTGGTATTCAGCATATAATACTAAAAAGGAATATCATATAACATATGAACAAAACTCTTCTATTCTGTGCTTTTCATATAATGATTAATCAGGTTCTATATTTTATTTTAAACATTCTATAGCAATCCTAGGAAGGATTGATAGAAAAAATGAGACAACTATGTCTTGTCTCAATTTTATTGTCTGTTCTCGGGGGTGCTATTTCTGTCTGCCTCCTACAGATCTGGCAAGTCTTAAGGAAAAACAAAAAACTCACAAAGATCAAACAACAAAATAGATAATGAGTTTAGATAAATTGTGTATTCCCTGTTGTACCATAAATCAAGACTGAATATGCAGGTCTGGTGAGATGTAAGTAATGGATAGTTCCTGTGTTATTGGTTCTGTTCCTAAAAAAGCATCAATAGCTGTTTCTCTTCCTCTTTGCAGAAAAATCACTTTATGTTTTTCCTATTTAAAACTCACACGTGCTTATTATAAAGAGTTCAGGTAATGCAGAACAAGTTGTTATAAAGAAGGCAAAAGCAACCACCTCAAATTCTACTCAACATAAACATTGCTAACATGTTGAATGAATGTTATTATAAACATCTTAATATGTATATATTTATATAAAATGAATTGATTAAATACTGTTACAAGATTACAATTTATGCACTATTTTTGAAAAACCATTGAATTTTAATTTTGTTTTAACTTATTAGAAAGAAACTAAAGTAAAACTGAACATTTGTTGAAGTTCAAATAAATGTTGTTGGTGTTGTTTTAAGCACAAGAAATAATATTTTATGAAGAGGGTCTCGAATGTTGACAAAATAGATCATAAAATCATCAAGTTGTTAGATTCACTGTATGTTTCAATTTTAGGTCATGAAAGATGGAGACGTTTATACTTTCATATTTTTCCCACTTCTGCTTTCTAAACCACCAAGTATTTATTATTTATATTATAATTATTATATTTTCAAGATTTTTAATGTTTACACTTAATTATGAAACTATAATTCCCAGAATATTTAACATGACTTGATTAGATAAATCAATTCAATGATAACCCTAATCTTTATGATTTCTACATTAATGAGTTTTTAAATTTGAGTCATTAGGATTTTATCTTCAAGTTGTTTAATCAGTAAGGGCTTCTGAGTGCCTTATGCCTCAAGTTCTTTCAATTTGGGAATTTCTACTCTTTTATTTGGATAGCAGTTTGGCTGGATATGATATTTTAGGGTCATATTTCTTTCCCTTGGGAGATCTCTCTGGACGAATGGAGGAATTTTTCCTTTACTTGTAGGATTCATAAGTTCAATTGAATACACTTTAGTGTTGAGCATCTGAATTAAGTTTTCCTGGAACACAAAGTGTTTTTATTTATTTATTTATTCTAAACAAACAAACAAACAAAAAACGGGATACATGTGCAGAATGTGCAGCTTTGTTACATAGGTATACGAGTGCCATGGTGGTTTGCTGCACTTATTGGCCCATCTTCTATATTCCCTCCCTTCACCCCCCATCCCCCAACAGGCCCTGGTGTGTGTTGCTCCCCTCTCTGTGTCCGTGCGTTCTCATTGTTCAACTCCCACTTACGAGTGACAGTATGTGGTGTTTGGTTTTCTGTTCCTGTGTCAGTTCACTGAGGACATTGGCTTCCATCTTCATCCATGTCCCTTCAAAGGACATGATCTCATTCCTTTTTGTGGCATCATAGTATTCCATAGTGTATATGTACCACATTTTCTGTATCCAGTCTATTACTGATGGGCATTTGGGTTGGTTCCATGGCTTTGCTATTGTAAATAGTGCTGCAATAAACATACAAGTGCATGTGTCTTTATAGTAGAATGATTTATATTCTTTTGGGTATATACCAAGAATGGGATATTGCTGGGTCAAATGGTATTTCTGGTTCTAGATCCTTGAAGAATTGCCATACTGTCTTCCGTAGTGGTGGAAATAATTTACATTCCGACCAACAGTGTAAAAGCATTCCTATTTCTCCACAGACTCGCCAGCATCTGTTGTTACCTGACTTTTTAATAATTGCCATTCTGACTGGAATGAGATGGTATCTCTTTGTGGTTTTGGTTTGCATTTCTCCGATGATCAGTGATGTTGAGTTTTTTCATATTTCTTGGCCACATAAATGTCTTCTTTTGAGAAGTGTCTGTTCATATCCTTTGCTGACTTTTTAATGGGATTGTTTTTTTCTTGTAAATTTGTTTAAGTTCCTTGTAAGTTCTGGATATTAGATCTTTGTTGGATGGGTAGATTACAAAAATTTTCTCCCATTCTGTAGGTTGTCTCTTTGATCTGATGATAGTTTCTTTTGCTGTGCAGAAGTTCTTTAGTTTAATTAGATCCCATTTGTCAATTTTGGCATTTGTTGCAATTGCTTTTGGCGTTTTTGTCATGAAGTCTTTGCCCATGCCTATGTCCTGAATGGTATTGCCTAGGTTTTCTTCTAGGGTTTCTATGGTTTGCAGTTTTACACTTAAGTCTTTAATCCATCTGAGTTAATTTGTGTATAAGGTGTAAGGAAGGGGTTCAGTTTTGGTTTTCAGCCTATGGCTAAGCAGTTTTCCCAGCACCATTTAGTTAATAGGAGATCCTTTCCCCATTGCTTGTTTTTGTCAAGTTTGTTAATGGTTGTAGATGTGTGGTGTTATTTCTGAGGTCTTTGTTCTGCTCCATGTCTGTTTTTGCACCAGTATCATGCTGTTTTAGTTACTGTAGCCTTGTAGTATAGTTTGAAGTCAGGTAGTGTGATGCCTCCAGCTTTGTTCTTTTTGCTTAGGATTGTCTTAGCTATACAGAGTCTTCTTTGATTCCATATGAAATTTAAAATAGTTGTTGCTAATTCTGTAAAGAATGTCAATGGTAGTTTGATGGAAATAGCGTTGAATCTATAAATTACGTTGGGCAGTATGACCATTTTCATGATATTGATTCTACCTATCCATGAAAATGGAATGTTTTTCCATTTATTTTTGTACTCTTTTATTTCCTTGAGCAGTGGTTGATAGTTCTCCTTAAAGAGGTCCTTCACATCCCTTGTTAGCTGTATTCCTAGGTATTTTATTCTCTTTGTAGCAATTGTGAATGGAAGTTCATTCATGATTTGGCTCTCTGCTTGTCTATTGTTGGTGTAAAGGAATGCTTGTGATTTTTGCACATTGATTTTGTATCCTGAGACTTTGCTGAAGATGCTTATCAGTTTAAGAAGTCTTGGGGCTGAGATGATGGGGTTTTCTAAATATAAAATTATGTCATCTGCAAACAGAGATAATTTGACTTCCTCTCTTCCTATTTAAATACTCTTTGTTTCTTTCTATTGCCTGATTGCCCTGGCCAAAATATCCAATACTATGTTGAACAGGAGTGGTGAGAGAGGGCATCCTTGTCTTGTACCAGTTTTCAAAGGGAATGCTTCCAGCTTTTGCCCATTCAATATGGTACTGGCTGTGGCATTGACATAAATAGCTCTTATTATTTTGAGATATTTCCATCAATACCTTGTTTATTGAGAGTTTTCAACATGAAGGGATGTTGAATTTTATCAAAGGCCTTTTGTGCGTCTATTGAGATAATCATGTGGTTTTTGACTTTGATTCTGTTTATGTGATGGATTATGTTTATTGATTTGCATGGGTTGAACCTGCCTTGTATCCCAGGGATGAAGCCGACTTGATTGTGGTGGATAAGTTTTTTGATGTGCTGCTGGATTTGGTTTGCCAGTATTTTATTGTGTATTTTCGCATCGATGTTCATAAGGAATATTGGCCTGAAGTTTTCTTTTTTTGTTGTGTCTCTTCCCGGTTTTGGTATCAAGATGATGCTGGCTTCATAAAATGAGTTAGGGAGGAGTCCCTCTTTTTCAATTATTTGGAATAGTTTCAGAAGGAATGGTAACAGTTCCTCTTTGTATTTCTGGTAGAATTCAGCTGTGAATCCATCTGTTCCTGGGCTTCTTTTTGTTAGTAGGCTATTAATTACTGCCTCAACTTCAGAACTTGTTATTGGTCTATTCAGGGATTCAACTTCTTCCTGGTTTAGTCTTGGGAAGGTGTATGTGTCCAGGAACTTACCCATTTCTTCTAGATTTTCTAGTTTATTTGCATAGAGGTGTTTATATTCTCTGATGGTAGTTTGTATTTCTGTGGGGCCATTGGTGACATCCCCTTTGTCATTTTTTTATTGTGTCTATTTGATTCTTCTCTCTTTTCCTCTTTATTTTCTAGCTAGTGATCTATCTATTTTGTTATTTTTTTTTTTTCAAAAAACCACTTCCTGGATTCATTGATTTTTTTGAGAGTTTTTCCTGTTTCTATCTCCATCAATTCTTTTCTGATTTTAGTTATTTCTTGTCTTCTGCTAGCTTTTGGATTAGTTTTCTCTTGCCTCTCTATCTCTTTTAACTGTGATGTTAAGGTGTTGATTTGAGATCTTTCTAGCTTTCTGATGTGGGGATTTAGTGCTATAAATTTCCTTCTTGACACTGCTTTAGCTGTGTCCCAGAGATTCTGGTACGTTGTCTCTTTGTTCTCATTGGTTTCAAAGAACTTGATTTCTGTCTTAATTTCATTATTTACTCAGGAGTCATTCAGGACCAGGTTGTTCGATTTCCATTAATTGTATGGTTTTGAGTGAGTTTGTTAATCCTGAGTTCTAATTTGACTGCACTGTGGTCTGAGAGACTGTTTGTTTAATGACTTCAGTTCTTTTGCATTTGCCGAGAAGTGTTTTACTTCCAATTATGTGGTCGATTTTAGAATAAGTGCCATGTGGCACTGAGAAGAATGTATGTTTTGTTGATTTCAGGTAGACAGTTCGGTAGACGTCTACTAGGTCCACTTGATCCAGAGCTGATTTCAAGTCCTGAATATCCTTGTTAATTTTCTGTCTTGTTTTTCTGTCTAATACTGACATTGGGGTGTTAAAGTCTCCCACTATTATTGTGTGGGAGTCTAAGTCTCTTTGTAGGTCTCTAAGAACTTGTTTTATGAATCTGGGTGCTCCTGTATTGAGTGCATATATATTTAGAATAGTTAGCTCTTCTTGTTGAATTTTTCCCCTTACCATTACGTAATGCCATTCTTTGTCTTTTTTGATCTCTGTTGGTCTAAAGTCTATTTTGTCAGAGACTAGGATTGCAACCCCTGCTTTTTTTTTCTTTCAATTTGCTTGGTAAATTTTCTTCTATCCCTTTATTTTGAGCCTATGTGTGTCTCTGCACGTGAGATGCGTCTCCTGAATATAGCACACTGATGGGTCTTGACTCTATCCAGCTTGCCAATCTGTGTCTTTTAATTGGGGCCTTTAGCCCATTTACATTTAAGGTTAGTATTGTTATGTGTGAATTTGATAATTTGATCCTGTCATCATGCTGCTATTTGATGATTTTGCACACTAGTTGATGCAGTTTCTTCATAGTGTCATTGGTCTTTACAATTTGGTATGTTTTTGCAGTGGCTGGTACGAGTTTTTCCTTTCCATATTTAGTGCTTCTTTCAGGAGCTCTTCCAGGGCAGGCCTGGTAGTATCAAAATCCCTCAGCATTTGCTTGTCTGAAAAGGATTTTATTTCTCCTTCACTTAAAAAGCTTAGTTTTGCTGGATATGAAATTCTGGGTTGAAAATTCTTTTCTTTAAGAATGTTGAATATTGGCCCCCAATCTCTTCTGGCTTGTAGAGTTTCTGCTGAGAGGTCCACTGTTAGTCTGATGGGCTTCCCTTTGTAGGTGACCTGGCCTTTCTCTCTGGCTGCCCTTAACAGTTTGTCCTCCATTTTGACCTTGGAGAATCTGATTATTATGTGTCTTGGGGTTGATCTTCTCGTGGAGTATCTTAATGGTGTTCTCTGTATTTCCTGATTTGCATGTTGGCCTGTCTTTTAGGTTGGGGAAGTTCTCCCGGATAATATCCCGAAGCATGTTTTCCAGCTTGTTTCCATTTTCCCCATCTCCTTCTGGTACTCCAATGAGTCATAGGTTAGGTCTTTTTATGAAGTCCTATATTTCTTGGAGGCTTTGTTCATTCCTTTTCATTCTTTTTTCTCTAGTCTTGTCTGCATGCCTTATTTCAGCAAGGTGGCCTTCAAACTCTGATATCTTTTCTTCTGCTTGGTTGATTCGGCTGTTGATATTTGTGTATGCTTCATGAAATTCTCGTGCTGTATTTTTCAGCTTCATCAAGTCATTAATATTCCTCTCTAAACTGATTATTCTTGTTAGCAGTTCCTCAACCTTTTATGAAGGTTCTTAGCTTCTTTGCATTGGGTTAGAACATGCTTCTTTAGCCCAGCATAGTTTTTATTACCCATCTTCTGAAGCCTGCTTCTGTCAATTCATCCATCTGATCCTCCATCTAGTTCTGCACCCTTGATGGAGCGATGTTGCAATCATTTGGAGGAGAAGAGGCACTCTGACCTTTTGGATTTTCAGCATATTTTTATTGATTCTTTCTCATCTTCATGAGTTTGTCCAGTTTTGGTATTCAAGGCTGCTGACCCTTGGATGGGGTTTTTGTGAGTGCTTTTTTTGTTGTCATTGATGCTGTTGTTGTTGCTTCCTGCTTGTTTTTCTTTCAACAGTCAGGTCCCTCTTCTGTAGGGCTGCTGCACTTTGCTGGGTGTTCACTTCAGGCCCTATTCATCTGATTATTTCCCACACCTGGAGATGACACTCCAGGAGGCTAGAGAACAGCAAAGATGAGTGCCTACTCCTTCTTCTGGGACCTCTGACCTCAAGGAGCACCAACCTGATGCTAGTAGGATTATTCCTGTACAACCCCTATTGAAGGGTCTCACCCATTTGGCTGGCATAGGGAACAGGACTCATTTTACAAAGCACTTTGTCCCTTGGTGGAGGGTGTGTGCCTTGTTGGGAGAAAACCCACTCATCTGGGCTGCCTGGATTCCTCAGAGCTACCAGGAGGAAAGGCGAAGCCTGCTGGTCCACAGAGGCTGCAGCCACCCCTCCCCTTAGGGGCTTAGGACTAGGGAGATCCAGCTTCTGTCCCTGAGCCTCTAGTTGGAGTCATTGGAGTTCCTCCAGGGAAGCCCCACCCAGTGAGGAAGGATGGGTCAGGGTCAAGCCTGAAGAGGCATTCTGGTGGAAGACTGCCACAGCCAGTGTGTTGGGCTGTGGGGAACAAGTCTTGTGACCAAGCCATCCAGCCTCTCTGGCTCCAGCAGGGGAAAAGCACAGTCTGGAGCTATAGAGATGGATGCTGCCCTTCCCTCGCCCAGGGAGCTTAGTACGTTAGGCAGTTGCGAGTCCTAGTGCTGGCTGCTGCTCCTCTCCCAAGGAGCTCAAACAGCTTAGACAGTAGGCAGCTGCGGTGCTGATCGACCCTGCCCTCGGGAGTTTGGTAGGCTTAAGCAGATTCCAGTTGAGAGACTGTTGGCTAAGTTTATGTTTACTCCATAGACTCTCAAAATGTTCTTAAAATAATATATTTTTCATTCTTACCAGTGATGTGTAAGAACTCCTGTTACTCAATATTCTTGGCAGTATTTTGTATTTTCAGTATTTTGCATTTTATCCATTTTAATGTGTATCTAGTGATATTTTCTTGTGGCTTTATTTTCCATTTTCCTTGTGACTAATGATACTGAGCCTCTTTCACATGTTTATTGGTTATTGTAAAGCAGGTTCGCTGTGCAGGTTGTCTGAGTCCAGTAAGAAAAATCATACTTATACACAACAAGTTACATTAAATGGGTTTATTGCTTACAGATAGGCAGCGAAAACAACAGAATCCTAGAATTTATTGTAAGCCAGTTTTCCAAGGCTCAGGAAATCTGCCTGGAATAGATGGAGCCTCTACTGTACATGTCCCAGTTGCATGGCAGCTGAAAGACCTTGACAAGCAGCCCATTCTTGGTTTTATATCCCAGGGCAATGTGAGATTCAAGGCTAAAGCATTGAAGGACTCTCTGTTTCCAGGGGAGTCTCTTAGTTGGCTTGGGGTGGGATAACAAAATAGCTTAGACTGGGTAATTTATAAACTACAGAAAATTATTGCTTATTGTTGTGAAGATGGGGAAGTCCAAAATCAAGGCACCAGCAGTTTCAGTGTCTTCTGAGGGCTTGCTCTCCACTTCCAAGATGGCACCTTCTTGCTGTGTTCTCACAAGTAGAAGGTACAATTGGAAGGTTCCCTCAAGTCTCTTTTGTAAGGGTACTAATTCCATTCATGAGCATGGAACCCTCTTGACCTAATCACCTCCTCAAGGCCCCACCTCTTAATACACTGCAGTGGAGATGAGATTTCAACATGAGTTTTGGAGGGACATGAACATTCAAACCCTATTGGGGGTACTGGAACAGAACCTGGGCTATTCCAGTCAGTCCCTTCCTATCTCAAGATTTTCTGTTTCCAGCACATTATATAGTTATTCTTGAGAACTACAAGCAAAAATGAGAATGGATTGGATTGGTCCAGGGCCACCCAGAGAATTGTCCTAAGGTTTTATGTATATATGTATATATATATATATATATATATATATATATATATATATATATACACACACACACACACACACACACACACATGTGTGTGTATATATGTATATATGTGTATATATGTATGTATATATATATATATGTACATGTGTATAAATAAATGTGTGTGTGTGTGTGTGTGTGTGTGTATGTATACAGTCAGCCCTCTGCTTTCCCAGATGCAGAACATGGATTCTGCATCCATGGATTCAACCAACTTCAGATAAAAAATGTTTGAAAAAATTGCATCTATATTGAACATGCACAGAATATTTTTATTGTCATCATTCCTTAACAATACAGCATAATAACCATCTACATAGCACTTACATTGTATTAGGTATTATAAGTAATCTGGAGATAATTTAAAGTAGCTAGGAGCATGTGCATAAGTTATATGTAACTACTACACCATTTTATATAAGTGTCTTGAACATCACAGATTTTGCTATCCTCAGTCCCCCATGGATACCAAGGGGCAACTGTGTATTTCTTTTTAATTATTTGTTAGAATTTTTGTTCATTGTTCATTGAATTACTTGTTTTCTTATTACTGAGTTGTAAGAATTCTTTATACTTTGGATGTAAGTTCTCTGTTGGATGCCTGTTTACAGACAATTTCTCCCAGTCTGTGGCTTGACTTTCATTTTATAAAAGCTGTATTTATTGAAGTTTGTTTCATCATTTTTTTGGTTTGTTTTGTGCTTTTCATATCCTGCTTAAAAAATCTTTGCCTACTCAAGGGAAGACTTTCTCTTGTTTTCCCCCTGAAAAGTTCACAGTTTTAGCTTTTACATTTAGGTGGATCCATTTTGAACACATTTTTGTGTGTAGTGTAAGGTAAATCCAACGTTCTTTGTTTTTCATATAGATATCAAGTTGTGCAAGAACCATTTGATGAAAGAAAACTACCTTTTTACTATTGAATTACTTTGGAATATTTGTTGGAAAATCATTTGTCCATATATTGGTTCTTTCTGGATTTTCTATTCTGTTTCATTGCTCTATATGTTTAGCCTTACTCTAAAACCACATTTAATTATTATAGTTTTATAGGAAGTCTTAAATGTAGGTCTCCAAAACTTTGTCATTTTTTCCCAAAATTATTTTGATAGTCTAGGTTTATTCTATTTTCATACATATATTTAAATCAACTTGTCAATTTCATTTTTAAAAAGGACCTGCTGGGATTTGATTGGGATTATACTGAATTTCTAGACAATTTGAGAGAATTGATACCTTAACAATATTGAGTCTTCTAATCTATGAACATGGTATGCCTCTTCACTTATTTACTGTTCTTTCATTTCTCTAAGCACTTTTTTGTGGTTTTCAATATAGAAGTTTTGCGCATGTTTTGTTAATAATATGTTTTTTTAAGTTTTAGTTATCCTTGTCTGCTAATTCTTTAATCTCTGTCATTTCAAGATCTTGGAGTATTGACTGATTTTTTCTTCTAGTTTAGATTCACATTTACATACTTGTTGATGTGTTTAATAATTTTTTGACTAGACATAGACAACAGGACATTATGCACATTCTGTTAATTAGTACTAGGTTGTTTTTATTTCTTTAAAGAACCTTGTTAGCGTGAGTCTAGAATAGATGTTTACTCCGTGTAGTCAACAGAGACATTCCACTCTGGCTAGTTTGAGCTCAAATGTCTGCTAGCTCTATACAGGCTCTGGGAATTGTTTAGGTCACAATCTTCTAGTTGTTCATTGCCCAGTCTTGTGGATTTTACCCTAAATATAGTTGGCTTATTGCTTAGTTACTGACTCAGAGGATCCTTATACAAATTTTTCCTCTGCAGTAGTCTACCTTGAATATGTAAGCTTCTTCAGACTCCCTTAACTCTGGTCTTCATCTCCTTAACTTATTGAGATCGTCATTTTCTGTTTCGAAATTCCCTTTCCTGCATTCTGGTTCAGAGAATGCTTCTAGGCAGAAAGCTGGGATGAACATAATATTCAAACACCTTATTTGTTTCCTTCCTTTTGGGGATCATAGTTCTGTGCTATTTTCCAATGTCCAAACCAGCTGTTTCATATGGTTTGTCGAATTTTGAGTTTTTTACAGGAAGTTAGTGTCAGTTACTCCAACATGGCCAAAAGTGGAAGTCTGTTAATGAATTTTTGTTCCTTTTGCTAGTTTTTGATCACATGTTTACTTGCTTGATGGATGGAGAGTGTGTAATATAGTTCATTTAGCTATAAGTACATGGACTTTGTTTCTTGGTTAAATCTTCCATCTCTCTTCCTTCCTTCTCCTTCTCTACCCCGAGAAAGACATTAGCAATAAAACTTTTAAAACAGGAGTCCAGAGAGGCTCAGATAAGAAATGTAACCACAGATTATTTTTCTCCATCTGCTTTTCAATTTATATAGAACAGAGGGACCAAGTATAAAAATCATTAAACTTTTAAAATTTCCATTGATCAGTTTGAATTTATAAGAATAAATAGCTTTATGTTCCACTTAAAAATTTAAAAAATTACTCTACCATGGTGTATTGCAGTCAACTTTGCTATCTTCTTAGAAAAACATGTCTCAGAGTTTAGATGGAATTTACAAAGGAAAATTACCCATCAATATTAAAGCATAATAATAACACTGTTTTTTATTGACTACAGTAATATATATATATATATATATATATAATACCATTCGTTTACATGTATGTATGGAGAGACATTTACACACTGACAAGATATGCAGAAATGTAACTTTTTATTTCTGTAACATTCCCAATTATTTCCAACTAATCCCTAATCCCAGTAAAAGCAGAAATACTTGCTACTTTAAGGTTACCTGGTTTAAAGCTTAGTCTTTTTGAAAAAAAGTATTCAGGATAAATATTCACTTTTTCTGTCTGCTCTTTTCTCTAGGAAATAATTTGGAAGTGTGTAGGATAGGCTAGAAAGGTTAGAGATGACAAGTAGGATGTTTATTAGTATAAAGTTATTATAGAACAGGGGCCTAAACCAAGTTAGTGGGAGTGGAAAGGAGATGATAAATATGAGACAAAGATGCCATCTCAGAAAGGTTGATGACCACATCCCCAGGTCACCCAGCCTCAGTCATTCTGTCTCCAACATACGCGCCATTGGGCTTGGCCTTTCTACATATCTGTTCTAAAAACTGACAAATGGGGTTACACCTCTTCTGTCACTTTATGTTGGACAATCTCAATAATAGGCAATTTAGTAAATTATTATAGCAGCAAAGCTTTTTAAGATTTCATCTGTGTATAATGGTCACACTATTCACTCTTAACAGCGGGGCACCAGAGGCTTTAGGCAACCTAAGCACCATAGTAAAGCTGTCGTGCCACCTTGTGGTGTTTCAGATGGTTACAGACTGATGATTTTCCCCTAGCATTTATCTGGTTATAAAATTGATTTTCTCTTTTTCAAATTAGGCATTTTATCTTTTTGAAAAGTAAATTTTATTTTTAATAATTGACTTAAAATGATCAATAGCTGTAGCTTTTAGTGCTTTTAAAAGGACATTGTATGCAAATATAATAACTTCTTTCAAGTCAAGTTTTTGCTTGATACTAATTCTGGATTGTGTCTCTACAAAATTGTCACAATATGTTTAATTTTCAAATGCTATAGATTTTAGGCCATTGCTAGGTATGTTTATGTAATGCAATGCTGATTGCTCTTACTTTATGGGGCTTCACTTTAAGGTCTTTGTATAAAATAATGCATTTAAAACTCAACAAAGATATATATTGATTCTAATTAAAGGAAATTATGAAAAATGTAAAGATCTATATATATTACCTATTTTCCTCATTGTCTCACTTATTAGATATGGAAGAAATATTTCAAATTTAGACATAAAAAATTATCTTTATAACTCCAAGAAATTAATAAGGAACTTTTAATTTACTTAAAAAGATGATATTCAATGTGCCTGAGTGGGTTATGTATGTTAAGAGAGAGAGAGAGAGAGAGAGAGGGAGAGAGAAATGACATAAATAAATTTTAAAAATATGAAGATTAATGTATATTCTTCAGCTGAGATTATTTGATAATTATAGAAATTACTGTAACATCTTGGGATGTTATGAGTGCCAGATACTTTCTAGTCACCATGATAATTTCCTGCAAGGTCCATGGATTAATGTAAAATTTTGTGACATGCCAGCACTTACACTTTTCCCTTTTTCAGGAATCAATAATATAAAACTTATATTTAATGAAAGACAACACCTGAAAACTATCTTTTCAAGCAAGTTATGTCATTCACTTTTTCACTTCACTTTTTCTGTCACTTCTTCTGTCTGCTCATGTCATTCTTGTGATTTCTTTTTCCTTTCTTGAATATTTGGCATGTGATTTTTGGAGTGGCAGGTGAAGGCAGAGTGTATTCTATATAGGGTATTTTTTTTCTCAGTACATTTTTAAAATTTCAACTTTTATTTTAGGTTCAAGGGATGCATGTTTAGGTTTGTTACAATGGTATATTGTGTGAAACTGAGGTTTAGAGTATGAATGATTCCATCACCCAGGTAGTGAGCCAGGCACCCAACAGGTAGTTTTTTCATTCTTGTCTCCCTCTCTCCCTCTCTCTCTAGTAGTTCCCAGTGTCTGTTTTTCCCATCTTTATGTCTATGTGTATTCAATGATTAGATCCCACTTATATGTGAGAACACGCGGTTTTTGGTTTTCTGTTCCTGTGTAATTCACTTAGGATGATGGCCTCCAGATGCACCCATGCTGCTGCAAAGGACATGATTTCTTTCTTTTTTTGTGTGGCTACATAGTATTCCATGGTGTATATGTACCACATTTTCTTTATCTAGTCCACCTTTGATGGACACCTTGGTTGATTCCATGTCTTTGCTATTGTGAATAGTGCTATGATGAACATACAAATGCATGTGGTCTTTTTGGTAGAACTATTTATTTTCCTTTGGGTGTATAGCTAGTAATAGGATTACTGGGTTGAATGGTAGTTCTGTTTTAAGTTCTTTGAGAAATCTACAAACTGCTTCCACAGTTGGCTGAACTAATTTACATCCCCACCAACAATGTATAAGCATTGTCTTTTCTCTGCAACCTTGCCAATATCAGTTGTTGTTTTTTTTTGCATTTTAATAATAGCCCTTCTGACTGGTGAGATGGTATCTCACTCTGGTTTTTATTTGCATTTTTCTGATGATTATTAGTGATGTGGAGCATTTTTTCATGTTTTTTGGCCTTATGTATGTCTTCTTTTGAGAAATGAGTAAAATTTTTGAAGCATTGATCAAATCACATTTTTTGTTGTATTTGTCTTCTCACTTAGCTAAGCCAAAACAGATCAGCCAGCAGGGGTCAGGCTTTTATAGTGTATGGGTTTGAACTTTCCATCTCTCACAGTATCTTTTAGGAACCTGCAGGTTTCTTGATTACACCATTAGCATTGTACTTTTCAGAAATGAATGCTTACCAGTTAATTTTTTAACTAGAACCAAACCAAATTAATGTAGAATTGTGAGACTCTGTAGAAGCTTTCTGAGACAAAATTATTTGTTTAAATTTTGACCGGGCATGGTGGCTCACACCTATAATCCCAGCACTTTGAGTGGTGGAGGTGGGAGGGTTGCTTGCGCCTGGGAGTTCCAGACCAACCTGGGCAACATAGCAAGACCCCATATCTATTAAAAAATATAAAATTAAAAATAAAATTAATGCCAATCTGCTACTAAAAAATAAATATCATTCTTTAAAAATCTTTTATTTGGTATTTCTTCTAGTAATCACTGATGAGCTCATCAACATTTTGCATTAGGTTATCTATGTGTATGAAAATGAATAAGTGTGAGATCTATTTTAGGATGCTGAAAAGTAAAGGAAACATGTAATGCATTTGTTCTGAATATGACTAACTGTGTCTTTTAAATTCAGGACCTGGCCTTTCATTATCAAAAGTCCCAAGCAATATAAAAACCTTTCTTTCATGGATGCTATGAATAAGTTTAAATGGACTAAAAAGGAAGGTCTCTCCTTCAACAAGCTGGTCCTCAGCCTGCCAGTGAATGTGAGATGTTCCAAGACAGACAATGCTGAGTGGTCGGTAAGCTCTTTTTAACCTCTGACAACCCAGATGACACATTTTATCTGAATCTATTACAGGAAAACCTAAGGAGAAGACAAATATCCATAAATCCAGGGGTCCAGTTGCCTTCTAATGTCTGATAATTTTTGTTCAATGATTACTTGGATTGACTGAAAACTCCTCATTCTACCCCCTTTCAAGAGAAAAATTAGTTCTAAAACTAAGGTTGGGATAGAGCAGGAACAGGCCGGAATGAGTGCTGCAAAAAGCAATAGAGCCTGCTTTGTATTCTTTTCCAAAGGAGTGCCTGGCCCTCTTTTCTGTTTCCTCCTTAACCCTAGGTTTCTGACTCCCCCAGTGTGTGACTCCTTTGGTAACCACTCCTGCCCCCTTTATCCCCTGCAGAAGTGTGGGCAGCTGAGCGGCCTGGTCACTGTGCTGCCTTAAATCAGATGTTCATTTGCATTGTTTGTGCTTCCATTTTCAGATTCAAGGAATGACAGCATTACCTCCAGATATAGAAAGACCCTATAAAGCAGAACCTTTGGTGTGTGGCACGTCTTCTTCCTCTTCCCTGCACAGAGATTTCTCCATCAACTTGCTTGTTTGCCTTCTGCTACTCAGCTGCACGCTGAGCACCAAGAGCTTGTGATCAAAATTCTGTTGGACTTGACAATGTTTTCTATGATCTGAACCTGTCATTTGAAGTACAGGTTAAAGACTGTGTCCACTTTGGGCATGAAGAGTGTGGAGACTTTTCTTCCCCATTTTCCCTCCCTCCTTTTTCCTTTCCATGTTACATGAGAGACATCAATCAGGTTCTCTTCTCTTTCTTAGAAATATCTGATGTTATATATACATGGTCAATAAAATAAAACTGGCCTGACTTAAGATAACCATTTTAAAAAATTGGGCTGTCATGTGGGAATAAAAGAATTCTTTCTTTCCTACTACATTCTGTTTTATTTAAATACTCATTGTTGCTATTTCACTTTTTGACTTGACTTTTATATTTCTTTAAAAAATTCCTTCCTTTTAAAAAATATAAAAGGGACTACTGTTCATTCCAGTTTTCTTCTTCTTTGTTGTTCTTCTAGTGTGACTTTTCAAGTGTAACAGCCATTCTTCCTGACTTTAATATTGTCCAGTTCTGGTCTTTTCTGTGAATTACCACTGGGCCCCTTACCTCAATGCTTTTTGTTGATGCCCACTCTGGTTCCCTTGTTTATCTGAGTCTGTTGGTACCCCAAATGACCCCACACCCATCTTAAAGTACTTTTTTTCACCTTCCCTGTTTAGTACTGGCCAGATGAGTTTTTTCTAGAGCTCTGTCACTATCTGAAAAGAAAGAGGCTATGGGAAACATAGAAATGGTATGTATTAATAACTGATCATAGGCTGAGGAGAAAAAATGTAGCTGGCTGCAAACCCAGTGCTGTGAGGTGACTTATATGAGGTTCCAGATCAAAGACAGGCCGTGTGAGCCAGTCCAGGAGGGTGTAAGTTCTGAATGGTTCCTTGCTGACTTTGGGTGACACATGTACCACATACTGGCTCAGTTTAAGTCATGGTTCTATTGTAGATTTATTTTTATATTAGTTAATAAATGACTTTAAATTGTCACCAATTGAAAATCTTGTCACTCTTTTGGTTTTCTTTATATAGCTCAGCCAAATCTTGTTTTATGTCCTGTCCTCATCTCTTAAGCTAAATCTGTTTGGATCATATTAATAAACTAAATGAAATTACACTTTTGTGTGGTATTTTATACATTGTTTAAGAAAAGTAAGTGATTCAGTACTAGTATTAACAGTAAAAGTCAATTCAGAATGTTGCATTTTCCATTCCATTTTGAAGCCCTTTTTGCCCCATAATGTCTTCAACACAAAACGTATTGCCTTTTAAATAAATATGTTTCAGAGTATTTCCTTCTTGATTCTTAGAACTTGTACATTTGATGAAATGTTTTTAATATTTTTGAGGCATATTTTTGAGTTTACTTTCTTTTTATTTTATAAGTGCTATTTCACATTCTATGATTTTCCATTCAAATATTTATATGAGAAATATAATTCCAAATGCTCCCTATTTGAAATTTTATGTTGATTTTTACTTCAGAATTTCTGAATTTGAGGTATCAAAGTCAAATGATTTCCTCCTGAGATTCTGTAATATTATATTTGTTCTTACCAAGAACAAATATTCTGTAATATTATATTTGTTCTTGGTAAGGAAGGTGAACATACCAGCTAGACGAGGGTAAACAGCTTTGGAAGCTTAATTTATGGAGCCAGGCCAGGGAATCTCTTCCATTGATGTTACTAAGAAGAAAGTTGACATTATTCTTCTGGAAATTCTCATGAATATATGTGATTTCAAGGAATAGACTCTATTTCAAATTGGGATAGGTTATCTGTTGTAAGTTCTATAGAATTCTGATTGTATTCTAAGTTATTTGGTCTTATGTTGAGCACACCTTCCTGAACAGCCGGGCTTTTTATTACTCCTTTTTCAGAGAGGCTTTTAATTGCTTTCCTAGATTAAATAGCATCACCTGACACCTAGGCTGTCAGGCACAAGTCCCCGAGACTTTGGGGAGAATGGGGTCTCCATGTATGATGGTCTCTGGTTGGATCCTTAGGTTCAGAGAGTGTGGAGAAGACATACCTGGTGAAACCAACATTCATCAGTGCCATGTAAAATTGAGGGTATCCTGGGTGATCTTTTTTTTTTTCTGAAGGGGGCTCAGGCAGAATCAAAGGAGTCCTAGCAGTGATAAGAGTGATGTAGTCAATAGAGGTAGACATATTAAGAGCTTCAGACTTTGTCCTAATGGCTCCAGAGGCCAATGATGGGTGGCAAACAAAAGGACATTTGGAAGCAGTATGTAAAGGCTATTGCTCAGCCAAACTCATTATTGGGTGTAAAAGTCATTTCAATTTTTAATATAAGTATTGGTGATTTAACAACTTTGAAATTAAAACTTTTTTATATCCCTAAGTATTTTCTTACATCTAGGTCATAATAAGTGGAATTACAGAAATAATCATTGCGTATTTCAAGAATTTTGATGAAATATTGTCAGATAACTTTAACTTTTTCTCAAATGGTTTGGAAAAATTATCTATCCATCTATCTATCTATCATCTATCTATCTATGTGGTATCTGGCTATGTATCTACAGAGAGAGACATGTAAAATGATAATAATGGGTGAGTCTGGTTGGAGAACATAAGATTTCTTTGTACTATTGTTGCAATTTTTTAAGTTTGAAATTATTTCAGAATAAAAAGCTAGAAATGCAGAAAACATCATGAAGAATCCAGCTACAGCACAGTGATCCAGGTAGGTTTTCTTCCCTTTGCAGTATTCCTACATTTTGAGGTGGTAAAGAGAGAAACTAGATGGTGCTTACTCCTCAGATACCCCTGAGAGAGGGCAGAGATGACTGCAAGTTTGTCAGTTCTGACTAAAGATAGGATGTGCTTCCAGTTTGGAAGGAAAAAAAAAAGAAAAAAGGAACCACAAAACAAAAAACAGAGGGCTTGAGGGACCCAGGGAGTGAGGAAAAATCCAAAAAACTAAAAAAAAAAAAAAAAAAAAAAAAGGAAGAGGTCTTGCAGGCTGGAAATCACTTAAAAATAATATATTTATTTTGCTCTCCCCCTGATTATAAACCTAATGTGTAATGCCCATTTGCTAAAGAAAACTTAGAAAAGTATGATAATTTTTTAAATAATAAAATCTGTTAATCCTATTGACCAAAGAATAAATAAAACCTGTTAATAAATAAAATCTGTTAATTCTATTTCCCACTTCTAACTTTTACATTGCATATGCTTCTAGTATATGTCTGCAAAGGTGTATATCTGTGTATATTCATATATAGATGGAGATACAGATGTTAGGTAACACTAGCTTCTGAAACAAATTCCAAAATATCAATACTTTAACACAATGAAGTTTATTTTTCATCAATTAATTGCTCAATGTGTGTTCATCTGGTCATTGGCTTTCCTTCTTGTGGTGATTCCGGGACCCAGGATCCTGTGGCCTTATCATTCCTAGGGCTCAGGGTCATTTGCATTCCGCCTGCTAATGGAGAAGGACCTGACCTAGAAGGGGCAGAAATCACTTCCACTTTCACCACGTTGGTTAAAATAAGTCACATGGCCTCATTGAAATGCAAGAGGGGCTAAGAATGTCATCTATCTTTGGGTACCTGGAGAATGACAACACTACAGAAAGGAAGACATCTCTGCTGCAATATATGTTTTTAGTAAAATTGACTTTCATCTACTCAAATGATTCCAAGATTTTTGAGTTTTAAAAACAATGATCAAACCAACATAGGGTTGTCAACTTATGTTTGGCAAAATAGGATACTAAACAGAATGGTTACTATTTATTTAATAAATTAACAAATTGTATTGAGCCTATGTTGAGCCATGCTCTGTACTACAGCGTTGGGCTTACAATTGTGATGAAGCCCATAGCTGAGTACATTAAACCTCTTATCACCAACATTTCATTTTACAAATTGGAAGCATTCAAAATAAATATCAGTTCTTCAAATTGAATAAATTTAGCTTTACAGAAAGCTTACATCATCATCATGGACCATCCTTTCTCCATAGATTATGTGGACTATGAACATAGTTTATATCATATTGAACATCTTAGCCCTACAAGATTTTAATTGACAGTTGTATCTAAATCCAACATAGTCAGACTGGTACTTTATGAGTAGAAAATGGTCAGTTGAACAGGCTCATGGCAGCATCCATTACTGCCCAGGCCAGAGCTGTGATCCATGGAAACTATGAAGAGTCATGGAACATTGTTACAACTTAAAACAGGCTTATTGCATAACGTCTCTGTCTTAAATATAATAATGTGCATTTGAAAGTCCAAGAAGAGTTATATAGTATGAAACATTTCTCAAACTCATTTCACCAAACCCCTGTTGTGGTGGAGCAATGTTCCCAAAGGAACAAACTCTGGGGCACACAACTTTCTGAGCAGAGCATGTCCAGGTTTCTTTAACAGGTTCTTGGAAACTTCCAAACTGTTCATGGGCAACTGTAAAACAGTCCAACAGACATAAGCCTTTCACTTGGGTTCATGGTCTATTCCTTATTTGCCGTGTTATTTTGCCAATAAACAAACACACCCTCATTTTTTTTTTTTTTTTTTGAGAGAGAGAGAAATCCTCCCACCACAGCCGCCTGAGTAGCTGGGACCACAGGTGCGCACCACCATGTTTGGCTATTTTTATTTTTTTCTGTTTTTGGTAAAGACAGGGTCTCACCATGTTGCCCAGGCTTGTCTCAAACTCCTGAGCTCAAGCAATCTATCCTCTTTGGCCTCCCAAAGTGCTGGGATTATAGGCTTGAGCCATTGTGCCCGGCCCTCTGTTTTTTATTAATCTAGAGTGGTACAACTTACAGAAAAAATGAAAAACAATTTACCATTTTCTCAGGGAATATGCTAAAATGAATTATTTGACATCAATAAGGTATTTCAGAAATGTTGACAAAGCTGCATATCTTTGGAACATTTCAGACCTATAGATAGAGACTACCTTTATTTCCTAAGTAATTTTATTCCTTAAGAGAATGCTAAATTTCAAAATCCTGCCTTATTTCCCAACAATGAAAGCAGAAAAATTAAAAAACAAAATTCATCAGATGAGTTATAAGTGACTCTCTTTGACCAGTCACAGCTTTTGCCCTTTCTAAAGGTTTTCCATCACAAAGAGCAAAATATTTCCAGTGACTTTTTTGGTCATCATGATGTTGCTAAATTGCTTTACCATAAGGAAAACCTTACGTTAAAAAGGCAACTTTTAATGAAAGTTGTTTTATAGAGTTCCCTTCATTGTCCTTTGATTAACAATAGCATGAGGACTCTGTGGCCTCAATCTAAGGTTTATTTAATAAAGACATTTCTTTTCCAACTTCTTTAATATTTGTTGTGGAATTGATATAATGTGAAAAAAGGAATTTGGGGGGAATAATATACAAATGTAGAATGAAAGCCTGAATTACCCAAGTTTCCCTCTTATTTTTTACTAATCCATTAAATATTACTAATCAAAATAATGCCATACATTTTTATAATGTTTTGGAATTTGCAAAGTGTTTTCACAATATTCTCATTAATGCTTAAAACTGCTTTTACAAGTGAATAGTTATATTCAGAAAAGGTAAGTAGACAGCATGTTGTACTGTGGTAATTATGGGAGACCTAATTTCCAATTGCTTTACTTTAAACTATGTGGACATAAACTATATCCAAAATGACTTAGTAAATTTCTCTTTTCCCATCAGTAAAGTAGTGATAATAATTTCTAATCTTAAGAAGTTGCTTGTGGATTAAATATGGTAATAAAGATACAGCATCTGACACATTGAGCTCACTCAATATCAGTTTTCTTCTTTCCTTTGCAAGACCCCATGTTTAGGATGCACAATTCCTGGCAACAGAGGCAGGTTTCCTATTTTATTTTCTATACCATTTTCCGGATATAATCAATTGAAATTTGGTTTTAACTGAATCAGTTTTTCAAAGTGAATGACACTTAATCAAATGAATATTAGGTCTGAGTGAATTTGGCAATCATTCTCAAAAAGAAAAAAAAATCAATGACTAGCTACTTGTCATTTCTCATGTTTGTCAAAAGGAAAGACATTATTCTTTGCTCTTTTTCCTCCTGGAAATAATCTGCTGTCATGAAACTAATAAAGTTAAAATGAACCAATCTACCTTTCTCGTGTTTTTTATGATTTGCAAAAATGGAGTTCTAGTTTTTTATGAGGAAAGCTTTACAATTTTGGCCTATTTTTCCTTGCTTCATGAGACTTTTCCTTCCACATTTGGTTCATGTGTCTTCACCTCACTTTGACTATTTCATAAGTTGTCTTCTCTTCTTAGAATATATTTAAAAGACAGACTTTTTGAAATAAATCTATCAAATAAAACTATATTACTATTAACTGAAAATAAGGAATAATATGGGAAATAAAGGGAAGAGGGGGATTTTGTGTATTAAACAAAGGATGTGTTTCTCCCCTAAAGCCATTAGATGGCTTACTGCATATCTGGTATAAATCCTGCCAATGTTGGCTTGGAGGTATTAGACTTCTCAAAGAACCTGCCCTGGCCCTTCCCAGCCTACATACTTATTTCCCTATTGCCTTTATTTTCTTGCTAATTCTAAATTCAAATTACCTTAAGCTTCTTAAAGATTTTTAAATCCTCCATTTTTAAGGTTAACACAGATTTCCTAATGTCTGCTCTTTGCTTAAGTGACATGTGGTTGTACAGATGGGTTCTGCAGGAAGTCCATATGCAGCCTTTAAATAATTTTAAAATAATTCTTATTGAGGGTTAAGCTCTAAGATCAACCTTAAGTCTCCTAACCTTTTACTGTAATGATTCTGAGTCTCTTTTGAAATTTTCCAAATTGTTAGTTTGTTGTAGCTTGCATTTTATACTTCACCTTCTGTTTTGAGATTACTGTATTTAAATCTTTAACTTCTTGTTCTTTTATCTTCAATTTTTTGTTTTTAAATTTAATTTCCATCCTTAATTCTAATCTAATCAGTTTAAGCATTTTTTGCTAATCTTTTAATTGTTTAGCCCATTAGTTATTTTAAGAAGATATACTTCTTTATTTTAATAACAGCTTGAGGAAGTGCCTAAGCCAATTGTGAGCAGTGGTGAGAATGCACTTTGTAGACAGAAAAAGTGAAGGATTTTTTTTCCCTTAGAACTCTCTGCATTTACATCACTGGCTCCCTGTAAAGAATTTCCCAGGCCAAATGAGGATTCTGCAATGAACTTGCCTAGTCATTTGCTAATCTTGCTAGAGTTAGAAGCACCGTCATTCAGATGGGATACTGGAATTGCAAGAATGGAATTGCTTTCCATAGACCATTTAGTCCTCATATGAAGAACCGTGTTCTTTAATACTCCGTTATCTCCAAATGACAAAACCATAGGGTTTGGAGTAAACTATGACAATTTCCATTCCCTAGTCAGGAGCTGTCTTTGTGCAGTGCACTTGGAGAAATGAGCCATGCGGTGTACTAAGCCTTCTCTGCAAGTTGCCAGCTTTCTTCTCTTATTTGGTGATTGCTAATTAGATACAGAACTTTTCCCTTTCCTTCTTTTAAAATCTTCCTTTTTTTTTTATGCTTAACAGAGATTTCCTATAGTCTGTTCTTTGCTTAATTGACATGTGGTTGTACATATGGGTTCTGCAGGAAGTCCATATGCAGCTTTTAAATAATTTTAATTTGTCATCAATCATTCACCCTTGAACCAGTCTGCCGCATACTTGAAATACGCGAGTGAACAAGAAAGCTAATGATGAAATCTAGTGAAGAAAACAGAGACTGTAGTTACAAATTTTTTTAAAGTCTCTTATTTCTGAGTCCTCTTTACTTAGCTGACATAGCATCAGTTCTGATGGCCATAGGGCATAATTTCTTTTCACATATAGTATACATATTTACTTTTCATAATCTTTGGCATATATGTTGTGTTCAATTAAGTATTGTATTTGCCCTCAATGTTAGTGGTATTTTTAGAACTATCATATTTTCTATATTATAGAAAATATAGAAAAGATATAAATTTTTCTATATTTAGAAATATTAGTTATTTTAAGAAGATATACTCTTTAATAACAACTTGAGAAGTGCTTAAGCTGATTGTGAGCAGTGGAGAGAATGCAATTTGTAGAAAAAAAAGGGAAGAATTAAAAAAATTTTGTTTAAGTGGAAGAATTCTTCTAAATATAGAAGAATTTATTAACATCCAATAGTTTAAAAGAACTTTCTTTAAGTAAGATATGTTTGCATCTCCAATAAGAATATTATTTTATGTTATTTGGATTGATTCAACTCTACCTAATGTATAAATTATTCTTCTGAGCACTCTGCCTGCGGGAGTGAAAGGGAAAGGTGGGATCAGTGAGCATAGGGTCTTTAAAGAAGGAGAATCTTGGTTCTGTACTGTAGCTAATTTTGCATATCTACAGAAAAACACTTGGAATTGTTATACAATGCTTAGTCTCCAGGTAATAGTACCTTTGGTACTTACTCTTATGTGAAGAACTGACATTAAATCTTTGTCTTACTTCAATACAATGAACAAAGGATTGATTTAAAGTTGATCCCAGTACAATGAAGAAGCTAGAATAGAATGTTAATTAAAAATCATCTTAAAATCGTTATTTAAAAATGTATGTGTATTAGACTATCTAATGTGATTTAATTGAAAAGCTTTCACATTTCTCTTTGTAACCCCTGTAAAGTTTTCAGCACAGTCAATTGCATGTAGTGATTTTATTATAAATATTAGTTGAATTGCTATGAAATCGTGTAGTTTTAGATAATCTCCAAGGATGTTTTTTAAAATTTCTTTTAAACAGTAGATTGCCAAGAGCCCAATAGGCTAAGTGGGGCTTAGCATAAATATGCTTTTTATAGCTCTTAAAAATATGAATTTAGAGTGTTTTGTATCAACGTGATATAGAGCATGTAATGTCAGATTAAATAAATCAAGCTTTTCCATATAAACCCCTTTCATGGGCCATCTTATTGCTGGTCGAAAAACACAGTAAACAGAACTATAAGACTAGCTTGAGGCTAGGTCTTATAGGCAGGGCTTACTTTGTTAAAATTGATAACCATTCATGTGATTTAGCTTCATGAACTCAGAAGCCTACAGGATAGATGATAAACCAGTGCTAATTTCAGGCTGCTACCTGAAATTCCAAAAATAGATCATCATTATTTGGTAATGGGAAAGGTAACACATTACATCTTAGTGTTATTTCTTCCTGAGAGAGAAGAAATACAATGGGAATGTAGTGAAGACAGGAAGGCTGGAGGCAATGAACTGGTTGGCATACTCCAGGGAAAGAATGAACAAGACTACCTGCAAAGGCGATGGGTGCTAAAAGGAGTTTAAGACAACTTCCTCTCCCTTTTGCTGCGCTAGCACTATATATGTGCATAAACTACACATCCAAGATTTTCAAGATAATTTGCATTCAATGATTCTCTCCTGGTATCCATAAAAGCAGCAAAATATTTATTCCAGTGTAAAATGAGAGTCCATGGATTAACAAGTGGAAAAACAGAATTCAAATTTTAAAATGCCCCTCTCCCCTACCCCCATACACAAGAGAAACATTTTCTTTCAGTCTTCTGCAACTAGAGATGGACTTGATTAAGCAACAAGATTATGGGATAAGAGATAAGAGATGTTCCTTTTCCCTTTTGGTGGTAGGTGTGACTTTACCAAAGAATAGAAGAGGTGACATATCATTGAGATACTTATTTGGTTTTAAAGAACATAAGTCCCATTGTGTGGGCAGATGCCCAGGCAGCTACAGAAACACATCATTCCTGTAGGGCCCAGCAGTCTGGTCTCACAGACAGAGCAGCAGCCTAGAGTGTGAGCAAACACTGTGGACCCACACCCACAGATTCCTCACCCGTCTTTCTTTCTTCCTTGTTTCCTCCCCACACTCCATTTCTACTGCTCCATTTCTCTGTTCATTTCCTTGTCTTTTTTTGTACTCTTTCAGCTAGACAGTACATATTTATTGAATGTCAGTGTTTGCCAGGCCATAAATAAGACACATTTTCTGACCTTCTAGAACTGACAGCCTCACTGGAGAGAAACACAATGAACAATAATAACACAACTACTACTATACATATATCAGAATGACTAAAATAAAAAAAAAACTGGAAAATGCTGATGAGGATGTGAAGTAATAATTGGTAGATTTCTCGCCATTGCAGGTGGGAATACAAAATAGTACAGCCACTTTGAAATAAGGTTTGCAGTACCTTATAAAGTTAAGCATATATTTACTGTACAACACAGCCATCATACTCCTGAGTATTTACACTAGAGAAGTGAAACCTTATGTTCACATATAAACCTTTATGAATCCTCATAGCAGCTTTTAAAATAATAGCTGAAAGATGGTAACCAACCAGATGTTCTTCAATGGATGAACGGATAAACAAACTGGAGTACACGCAACCAATGAAATATTACTCAGCAATAAAAATGAATGAACCATTGACACACATGACAATTTGGATAGTTCTCAATGGCATTACACTGAATGAAAAAGACAATCTCAATAGGTTGCATAAGGTATGATTCTATTTATATAATATTATCACAGTGACAAAATATAGCCATGGAGAACATATGAGTAGTTGCCAGGGACTAGGTTGGGCTAAGGTTTGCTTTATAAAGAAATAAAATGAGGAAGTATCTTTGTGGTAGTGTCTTTTGCCCTGTTGAACCACAGCTGGCATCTCCCCAAAAGCAATGCCAGGTGATTTCCCACAAGGTAGTGCCCCAAACTGTCCAGACAGGGGGCTGGTTGGGGTTCCAAAGAGAGAAGCACTAAACGCTGAGTGATCAGTGCAAGGCATTTATTAAGGGAACATGCTTACATATGGCGAGAGAAAGGGAGTGTTCTGCCTAGGTACGTCTGCAGCAAGAAGGTCAGGGTAGGGAGTTCATATGAGATTTAAAGGAATTTGGCTCAGAGCCAGGGCCAGTTTCTTTGGGCAACAACCTAGATACATTTCAGTGCCTGAAGTCAGTACCTGAAAATGTTCAAGGCTCTGATTTAGGTTCAAACTTGCTGGGAAAAACCTACAGCTGTCTGTCTCACAGAGAAGTCAAGGCACTCTGTGTTTTTTTATATTTTTAAATAGAGACAGGGTCTCGCTCTATCACCAAGGCTGGAGTGAAGTGGCACAATCATAGCCCACTGCAGCCTCGACTCAACCTCCTGGGTTCATGTGATCCTCCTACCTCAGCCTCCTGAGTAGCTGGGACTACAGGTGAATGTCACTATGCCCATCAATTTAAAAAAAATGTGTAGAGATAGGGTCTTACTATGTTGCTCAGGCTGGTCTAGAACTCCCGGCCTCAAGTAATCTTCCTGCCTCAGCATCCCAAAGTGCTGGGATTATAGGCATGAGCCACAGTGCCTGACTCATTCTGTGATTTTTGATCAGGACACAGAAAGAAATCAGGGGAACTGGAGGACCCTACATAGTGGAAGAGTTCTATATCTTGATTGTGGTGCTAGTTACATGACTGTGTTTTAGGCGATAACATTTCATAGAACTACATAACCTGCACTGCCGCCCGCCCCCACCACAATAGTACATGCAAATACTAATGAAATCAAAATATGGTCTGTAATTTAATTTTATTGTACCAATGTCAGTTTAATTGCTTTTAAGATGTTATCATGAGGAGAAGCCAGGAGAAGGATATGCAAGTGTTATCTGTGTTAATTTTTCAACTTATTGTGAGAAACTGTTCCAAAATAAAAAGTATACATGCATATTTTTTAAATAATGAAAGTAAAAATCATTCGCTATGTATACGCTGGGAAAAAGTCACACAAATAAATAATTTATTAGAATTATGATCTGTTCTCAGTGGAAAAGCACAAGGTGTTAGGAGGGTGTTTCATTTCAAGATGAGAGTTAGGAAACATAATCTAGAACGTTAAGTTAGCTCGGCTCCAGCTCAGGGTCAGCTGCGGTCACGGTGAGGACAGAAGCTGCAGGTGTCTTTTTATCAGTGGAGCCCTTTGAGCTGCCTTTCCTGCTTTTGACCAACCTTGGCTGGAGCTTCGAGGGTCACTCCAGATTCCCTAAGGCTGCTCCTGCATCCCAGTGTCACTGCTAGAGTTGATGGAACTTCTAAACAACAGTTTTCCAAAGAAAGGCCACGCCTTCTGAGTTTCTACAGAAATTGTCTTTCTTACCAACTTAAGCATCATTTGAAGAATTCTGTCAGTATATACTGGGACAAAGGAGTAACAATGTTTTCTCTTGGTGGCTGGAATCAACAATATAAACTGCTGCTCTCCAATTTAGGAGCTTCATTTCCTTTAGTAGATGCTATAAAATGTGATTATATTCTAATAAAATAAAGTTTTATTTTCATCTGTCTTACAGTTATGAACAGGCTGCCACTTGTTCATAACAAAATAACCTTCATGTACTAAGTTCATATTGAATAGTGCTATATATTTTTCAATCCTTTTAACTGATTTCTGTCTTTGTATTTAAAGTGAATTTCTTTTGGGCAGTATATAGTTGGGTCTTGATTTTTTTAAAAGATAATCTGGTAACTTGTTTCTTAATAGGGGGTATTTAGACCATTTATATTTAATACAATTATTGATATTGTTGGGTTAAAATTTATAATCTTGTTTTCTATTTGTTATGTTTGTCCTTTGTTCTCTTTTCTTTCTTTTTCTGCTTTATTTTGGATTGAGTGTTATGTATAGTTCCATTTTATTTCCTTTGTTGGCTGGCTGTGACTCTTAGTAGTGATATTTTAGTGGTTGTTGACAGGTTTAGAATGTGTACCTTTAACGTATCACAGTCTACCTACAAGTGATATTTTACTGTTTTATACACAAAAACTTACAACAGTAAATCCCATTTCTTCCCTTCAGAGCTTTTTGCTATTTTTGTCGTATATTTTACTTCTTCATGTGTTATAAACCCCATGACACATATTTTTGCTTTAAGGTGTATTATCTGTAAACAAATTTAAATAATATGCAAAAGCCTTTATTTTAATCCATGCAATTAGCAACCATGTGATGATCTTCATCCCTTTGTGCATATCCAGGTTTCTGTCTGGTATCATTTTCCTTCTGCTTGTCAGACTTCCTTTAACATTTCTTGTAGTGAAAGTCCACTAGTAATACATTCTTTTGGCTTTTGTATTCTAAAAAATCTTTACTTCACCTTATTTTTGAAAAATATATTTGCCAGGTAGCAAATTCTAGACACAGTTTTTTCTTTCAGTGTTTTAAAGATGTTACTCTTTTGTATTGTTTCTGATAAAAATATTTTGTTATCATTATCTTTATTCTTTTGCATGTAATGGGTATTTTCTCTGCTTTCTATTGACCATTAGTATCAAACAATTGGATTATGATATGCTCTGTTGTAACTTTTTTCATGTTTCTTGTGCTCGAGGTTCCCAGATCTTGGTTTTATGGTTTTTCATTATATTTGGAAAATTTCAGCTATGATTTTTTTCAAATTGTTTTTCTAACCCTATCCTTCTCCTTCAGAGATTCCAATTAATACATTTGGCACCTTGACATTGTTTCATAGTTAATTGATTTTTTATTTATTTGTTTTCTTTGTCTTTTTTCTCACTGAGTTTCGTTTTGCATAGTCTTTATAGCTGCCTTTAAATTCAATCTTTTCACCAGGAAATATCCCCATCCAGCTTGTTTTTCATCAAAAGCATTGTAATTTTTATCTTTAGAAATTTTAACTGAATTTTTCAATATCGTCTGTGTTTCTCTTACCCAGGCCCAATCTTTCTGCTAGTGTCTTTAACATATGAAATATGGTTATAATAACTATTATAATGCCCTTGTCTACTAATTCGATCACCTTGACATCTTTAGGTCAGTTTCAACTGACTGACTTTTTTTCTCTCATTATGGACTCTATTTTCCTGCTTCTTTGCAAAAATTATTTGCAGTAATTTTTGACTGAATGCCAGATATTTAAAGATTTACCATGTTGGTTGCCAGATGTTTTTATATTAATATAAATATTCTTGAACTTTATTCTGGAACACTCCTAAGTTACTTGGAAAAGGTTTAATCCTCAAATCTGCTTTTATGCTTTGTTGGTGAAAATCGCAGCATTTAGTCTAGGGTTGATTGTTTCCCACTACTGAAGCAAAATTCGTCTCAGTATTCTACCTGATAAATTGTGAGATTTCCACTCTGGCTGTTGTGAACAGGCGCTAGCATTATTCCCAGCTTGTGTGACCTCCAGGCACTGTTCCCTCTAGTCCTTTCAAGTGGTTTTCTCCCTGGCTTCCGCATGAAATGATTCGTAGTCAACTGAATACTTAATGGGGAAAACTCCTGGAATTTTCTCTCCGTGCGTCTCTCTCCTCTCTCATACTCTTCCTGCAAATCCTAGCAGCCTTGACTTTCCCATAATCTCAGCTCTGTCTCCTCATTTCAGACTTCTAGGTGCCAATGTGTAGCATTCTAAATTAACATTCATGAAACTGATAAGCTTACGTGTCAAAAAGCTCATATGGCCTAATATCTGAAATGACTTGGTTTCCACTTAAATTTTTCCTCTTTTCATAAATGTAGGGAAAAGTTTATCTACCTGGTTAATGGGGTTCCTTGGGCCCATGGCAGGAATACAAAGATTCCACCCATTTGACGGGGCCTGGTTTAAAAGCAACTCTAAGACCAGGAGAATGTGCAGAGCCAAAGAAGAGCAGAAAGCCAAAGGCTAAGCCAGATTGGTCCTAGCCATAGGAAGCCGGATACCCAAGCAGAAATGGCCAGCAGATGTCCTTTTCTCAAGGAGACTGTCCCGGGCACTCTTCCTCTTCCCTGATAGCATCAGGCACTCACATTTTTCATAGGTTTCATCTCTCTGTATCCCCTCTATATTTTCTATGGCCTCTGGCCTATAAATTTTACGAAGACATCAATTACATCTATCTTGTTTATTGTCGTCTCACTCGGTCCTAACATACTACCAGGTTCAGAGAAGGTGCTCAACAGACATTTGTTGAAAAAATGCATCTCCTTCATGAATTATTAGAAGAAAAGTCAAATTGCTTCTGAGACCAATCTCATTGACCTTCTCTGTTGCATTCAACAGAATGATTGCTGCAAACTTCTTTCTGCTTCATACTTTTCTCTCCTGGTTATGTTGTCTCTCATCATTGTTTCCCAATCTTTCAGTTTTTCTCAAACCCTGTCCACTCCTTATATCTGGGCTGGCAAACTCAGTAACTGTGGTGGCCAAGAAGGTGATGTGAGCAAGCATTCTTGTTGATTTTAAGAAAATTTGAAATAAAGGAATCCTTAGCCAAATGGGAGAATACAAGTCTCAAGTAGAGGCTTCAATATATTTTTTAACTTAAACAATTCTGAGCTGGCCATAAATATGTTTTTTGCAATTCAGCAGCTTCCAGGCTTAAATGTCAGTGCTCTTCAGCATTTCATTTTCTCCTGAGGGTTCAACATTATTTGTATCTTGATAATTCCTGGCCTCCAAACTGGACTAGACATAGCAACTTGGAGTTATGCATTCATTTCAAATGTATTATATCCCCAACAGAACTCATCTTACTCTATAATTCTTTGTTCTTATCTATTTCCTGCTTTAGTGAATTGGCACCACAGTGTTCTCATTCACATAGCCATAAACTTGGAATTATCATAGATTTCATTCATTTATCCAGTCCTCACAATCTATCTGTCCCTGTGTCTTAAATGCTTCCTGCCATACTCACTGTTAGAGGTTTAACTCAAGTTCTTCTTATCTCTCATCTGTTCTTTTACCGTATTTTCCATTTCAGTGACCCCAAAACCTGGAAGTGAGGGAGAATTACCTGGCGTATTTTGTAAAAATAAATATTCCCAGTCCCCACCTCATACCCATTGAAGCATGAGAGTAGAGGATGAACCTAGAGCATTCCCAAATGATTAACTAACCAATGTGGTGGGTTTTTAAAGATACTCATCAGCCGGGCATGGTGGCAGGCACCTGCAGTCCCAGTTACTTGGGAGGCTGAGGCAGGAGAATGGCGTGAACCCAGGAGGCAGAGCTTGCAGTGAGCCAAGATCGCACCACTGCACTCCAGCCTGGGCAACAGAGTGAGACTCCGTCTCAAAAAAAAAAAAAAGATACTCATCAGTAGTCTGTTTTGTTTGTTTGTTTGTTTGTTTGTTTTTGAGATGGAGTTTCACTCTTGTTGTCCAGGCTGGAGTGCAGTGGCATAATCTCGGCTCACTGCAACCTCCGCCTCCCGGGTTCAAGTGATTCTCCTGCCTCAGCCTCCCAAGTAGCTGGGATTACAGGGGCATGCCACCATGCCTGGCTAATTTCTGCATTTTTAGTAGAGACAGGGTTTTGCCATGTTGCCCAGGCTGGTCTTGAACTCTTGATGTCAGGTGATCCACCCACCTGGGCCTCCCAAAGCGCTGGGATTACAGTCATGAGCCACCGCGCCCAGCCCTCATCAGTAGTTTTATTGTGACATCGTATCAGTATGCATTCCTTACATAAGCCCACTGACGCCCAGGCTGCTCTCTTCTTTTGTCTTTCTAGAAAGTGCAGCACTCTAATGTGACAAAGAGAGACCGCGGCTCCAGTTTCTGCAGTACAGCCCAGAAATGTCTCAAGCTCACGAGACTGTACAAGTCAAAATGCAAATTGAGAGCCAGTATTATGAGTTAGAAAATTATCCAGCTAAGCTCTTCATAATTGAAAACCTAACTGCAACATGAGTAATACAATTATATTCCTTAAAAATTTATCTTTTTCATGGCTTGGACAGGTGGATTGTTATGGATGGATTGCTTAAAATAAAGCTTTCCTTTAGTTTTGCTGAGAGAATTTTAACCTAGTAGTGGAAACAAGTGACAAGGTGCAGCTGAGAATTCTCTACATTGAATGGAGACTCTGCTCAGGGACCGGTGAAAATCCCCCAGATACAAAGAAAATAGCTCTCTGTTTCGTTGAACCAACACTTGATCATCTCTAACAGGAAAACATTCTCTAAAAGAAGAAAATTTTTATAAGTAGAGGGAAAAAAAGAAAACTAAGCTGTTACAAAATTTCTCCATAAAGCTTCTGCTTATGTAAAATATATATATATATATACTTTCAAAGTGACAGTGCTGATTGTCAACTCCAGGTTTTGGGACCGAAGTTGTCTGCGGGTTCCCTGCGGCAGCGCAGCTATAATTGATGAAGAGGCGCCACCGTGTGGCATGGACGAAAAATGACTCGAAGTGGTGACAAACCAGTAAATAGTTGTCACCTTTGTTTTCTTGCCTTTGGAACTATTGAACTCATTACGACTTCCCCGTTTCATCTCCATCCAAATGCAATAGATGCTTGGTGTAAACATTCCTTTTTCAGCCCCTGGAATCTTCTGGGATAAGACAGGACACAGAGCTGTTTCTCAAAGTGAGAATGTTTGCTTCTTTCGGAGTGAATTAGGAGCACAGTGCCCTCTTCTGGTAGATCTGGCACTTTGCAAAGAGAGTCGTAAATTCTTTCCTAAAACAACCCAAAGTAAGACTTAAAAGAAGGACTTCAATATTGCCATATGGTTGGGTGGACATTTGAAGATCTGCATAGGAATCTCAAATGCAATACTAATGGGATTTACTATTATTATTACATAATAAAGACAAGAAATGTTATCTTACTACAGCTTTTTAAAGGAAATTTGTTAGGAAGTATTGCTTTTGGACCCAAACAGTGTTTCCTTCACAGTGTCTTGTGTACATTCGTGGAATATATTGAAAAAAGTGACATGGCCACATATTTCTATTCACTTCAAACTGAAACAACTAAACAAACAATAAAATGCACCCAAATTCATTATTCATGTCCATTTGTAAGAAACGCTGCTAAATTAAAATTTTCAGTCTCAAGAAACTGAATGCTTGGCAAGTGTCTGGCATAATGGAAACACATTGGCACCATTGATTTTTTAAATAAATAGGAAGCTTCGCATTATATTATCTGTCTTCAAGAATTCAGATATGGTCCTTCTCATGAAATAGATGGGTTAGGCAATGAAAGCTGCGCACATTAATTTCTATATTTTAAGTATGCTTAAAGGAAGTTTATTACACTAGAAGGTAAAGCCCTTGTTTTCCAGGAATGCACTGACTACTGACTAAAGAAGCAGACAACTACCTACTATATTTTATTTTTTAAAAAATGAATCAGATTGTTCAACAAAGTGAATTTATCTAATAATAAACTACATGTTAATTTAGTTTTCCCCAAAGGAGATATACTTCTATGGCTAATTTTGTTATTTTCTCAACTTTTACAATAAAGAGAGTATAAATGAAAATGTAACTAATATAAAATTGTTTGCATGTTATGGCCATCCTATGACGCTTATTCCTGCCTTCTGAATAGTTATATAAGGTAGAATTTTGAGATCATAAGACATCCAGAGATGAGAAGTTTCCTTTTTCATTTAATTACCTTAGTACACAATCTTCAGAACAAAGTAGGTGACATTGACTTCTACACTAGGGGACTGCTGTTAGCCATTCTGCAGTGTTCTGGGAGCTATTTAGGACCTGGAAACTGGCAGACCAATTCTGGGAGGATCAGATTCTGCAAGACAAAATACACATAGGAAATTGCTAGAAGAGAGGGTTTTGAATGTTCCCAACACAAAGAAATGATAAATATTTGAGGGGATGGAGTGCTAATTACCCTGATTTTTATCATTACACATTGTATACATGTATCAAAATATCACGCTATACTCTATAAATATGTAAAATTATTATATGCCAATTAAAAATAACAGTTAAAAATTACCCATAGGATTTTGCTTCCTCAAGTTGAGGACTCTGAGGTTGAATTTAAGGCACACCTCACATAAGAATAATTTAACTTAGGGCCATGCATGGTGTCTCACACCTGTAATCCCGGAAGTTTGGGAGTCTGAGCTGGGTGGATCAACTGAGGTCAGGAGTTGGAGACCAGCCTGGCCAACATGGTGCCCAGTTTCTACCAAAAAAATTCAAAAAATTAGCCGAGCACAGTGGTGCACGCCTGTAGTCCCAGCTACTTGGGAGGCTGATGCAGGAGAATTACTTGAACCTGGGAGACAGCGGTTGCAGTGAGCTGAGATTGTGCCACTGCACTCCAACCTGGGTGACAAAGCAAGACTGTCTCCCCACAGGCCACCCCCCGCCCCCCAAAAAAGAATACTTTAATTCAGAAAGAATAAAGCATGCCAAGAGTTAAATTTGCCCTTTTCCACAGAACAGATGGTGCCTGTTTCTGGGACACAAAGCCAGACAAGAGTTTCTTAATGTGTTTTTCTCTTTGGTTTTAATTTGAAGGTTCTAGAAAGATGGTAGTTTGAAACTTTCTCCCACACTGGTCAGGTTTAATACCTGACTTTCCATTATTCCTTTCATGCAGTGAATCTGATACTCTCCTATAAGCTCAGCATATTCCAGGTACTTAGAGAACGGTAGAGCAAGGGGAGGAAATATTCAATCTGTTTTTCAAGATTTATAGTCTGGTCAAAGCAATGTCTCCATATAAGAAGCAATGAGGCACAGTAAAAAATGAAATACATTGGCTGTCCTGCAAGCCAGGGGAAGGAATGGAGTTCTACCCAGTGAGTGTTTTCCAAGGCCACACTTTTCACGTCCATTTTCTCTTTCAACCCTGAAAAGTCTGTAAGGAATTTCCAGACATACAAGTGTATGATGTGAAAGGTCACATACCAGTCAGGCAGAGAATCTGGAATAATAATAACAAAGATTCTAATGATATAATGCAATAGGGTTTGGCTGTGTCCCCACCCAAATCTCACCTTGAATTGTAATAATTCACATGTGTCAAGGGCAGGGCCAGGTGGAGATAACTGAATCATGGGGGCAGTTTCCCCCATACTGTTCTCATGGTGATGAATAAGTCTCATGAGTTCTGATGGTTTTATAAATGGGAGTTCCCCTGCACAAGCTTTTTCCTACTGCCACGTAAGACGTGGCTTTGCTCCTCCTTGCCTTCCACCATGATTGTGAGGCCTCCCCAGCCATGTGGAAGTGTGAGTCCATTAAACCTCTTTCCTTTATAAGTTGCCCAGTCTTGGGTATGTCTTTATTAGCAGCATGAGAACAGACTAATACATTGTGATAATAACTAGGAGACAGACTTTATTGAGGTTAATTTACATGACATTTACTATACTATATAACCATCCTATGAGGTAGGTACAATTATTTTTAATGTTGTAGATGAGAACACTGAAGTTTAGTGAGATTAGAAAATTTCTCTTTATTCCTTCCTCCAAAATAATAAAGAATACTCAGTGAGGATTTAGACTCTGTTCCATCTGAGCATTAGATCCATGTTCTTGGGTCTCTGCTAGGATGCTCTCTTGTCTGGACACTGAAGCCCACAAGTCAGACACTACTGCACCATCTTCAACATTTCTTCTCCGACAGCATGAACCATTATGCCAATAAGAGTTCGGGGGAAATCCTAGAGGCTGAAAAGTTATTTGGATCAAGACACAATATCTTCAGGTGCTTTCTGTTCCAAACCAAATATCTCTCAAAGGTTTAATTCTTTAGCTAGTGTTTCCCACTGGTCACCAGAAAAGAGATCCCTGGCCAAATAAAGTTTGCAACATTGCAACAGTTCAGCAACATTAAAAAGACGGTGTTATTTGTTGTTTTTAATTTTAGGAATTTTCAGTATCATTAAATAGTGATAGCACTATAAACTGTAATACTACTTAATTGTAATACTACTACTTAATTCTAATACTACTTGTTAACATTTGTTGCACATATGTGATACAGCAGGCATTTTGCAAAACATTTAATATAGGGCACCTAATTTAGTGCTCACAAAAATAATAAGAGGAAGAAACTGTTATTAGCCCCCATGTTATGAATGAGAAAATGGAGGCAGAGAAGTTAAGTAGCTTGTCCAGGGGAAGAACTACCTGTGATCATTATAAATCTCCATATGGCCTGGTGTAAGCTTCAGTTCACAGTTCAAATTTCCCAAGCATATTTGAATTTTGAACCCTATTTGCTACAGTGAATCATGAGATTAGTTTCTTCAGGAGATACTTCGATAAATGCCACTGTTAACAAGTAATACTAATATCGAGAAGCACCCTGTTGCCAGCCCAGTACTGAATGCCTTGAATAGAATATTTAATTACTCCTGGGATAAGAGTATAATCTTTTTTAGGATGAAAAAACAAAGTCTCAAAGCAGGTAAGAGATTTGCCCAAGATTAGGAGGCAAGTGAGGAACAGCGCTCCCCAGGCTGTGCCTCTGAGCCCATGTCACTTTCTCTCCTGCCACATCGCTCTACCGGCAGCCATATTGTTGTGCTTTGGCCCAACTTCCTGCTTTCTAGGAAGCGGAATATTGATTTGAAGAGATCCAGAAAGAGACTAGAGCCCTGGAGAGGAAGGATCACAGAGCATGGGAATGTTTTGTCAGCAGAAGGCAAGACTCTCTGTGGGTCTGCATGGGACACAGGAGAGAGGCTGGTAATGGAGAGGGGAGGGCACCAGGGCCAGTCTTGACCAGACGGCAGGAAATCACCTCAGGCCAAAGGGATTGTGGGTGAGGGGAGGAGATCCAAAGTGAAAAGTTTGTGCTGGGGCTTGGAGTCAGCCTGGGGTAAGTGAGGAAATTCCTTAGAGGTCTAACATGACTTTAACAACCTCTCTGAGGAGACCAAATGCCATTCTTAGGGAGCCTGCAGGACCGCAACTGCTATCCCGTGGGGCAAACTTCCTGCCTGCCGGCCCCAGCTGCACCAGGCTGTGTGGGAGAGGGGGTGCCTCTGAACTGGTCTCAGAGGATCCGGCTCCTTCACTGCGTTCTCCCTGAAGAAAGCTTATTGGAAAGGAAGGCACCTTTGTCCTAGAAGGGCAATATTAGGAGGACCTATAGATAACAGACACAAACACTGGGAGGCTTTATTTCCGTGTTAGCTTTCCTAGGACTCAGGGTGCAAACACCAGATAGCTAGCGCCCGTAGAGGAAAAATTCACAAAAAGAACCTTTCTATTTGTGGTTCACACCTGGAATTACTGGAGTAAAAAGCTCTGTTCACTGAAATTTCCACTATTGGCTCATTACTAATGAGTTACACATTTAAGACACAACACGTATAAATCCTTCAAGATGCCAAAGACAACTTGCCCCAGGGATAGCAAGGAAAGCAGTGTGCTGAGGAAGGAACGGGGAGCTCTGCTGACGGTGTTACCTCCCTAGCCAGGACTTGAGGAACTTCAGTTAATTTTAGCACATTTGCTAGTAGGAAACACTGTGTGTCGGGGGCACCTCTCCTGTCCAGGCTGGAATGTGGCTCCGGAGAGGAGAGGAGACCCACTCATTTGGTCTGGCTGGCTGGTGAAGAAAAGGAACAGAATGTGCTTCTTCTGCAGCCGCTTGGACCCTCCTGCCACGGCACTAACTGTTCAGGGTCTTTTCCAGTACTATTAATATTCTGGAAAATTCCCTGGCTTATAAAATTGGAGAGGTAAAAACTTTTTCCTTTTCTTACAGAACTATGGAAGAGCAGGAGTAAATCACGTCATGACCACGTTTCTCAAACTGGGCATTACAAACCCTCACAGTGATTGTGGTAGAATAGAGACCACCATTATAAAACAGTGAGAGGGACTTTGGACAACTGAACTGACTTCCTTCAGCTGTATAACCAGTTCAAGAGATAGGTTTTCCTAGCTGGCTGGAGCTCCACAGCTGAGTCTAATCTATACTCTTCAGGAGAAATTAGTTCTTTAATTAGCGATGTCTGCTATGGGTGTTGGTGCCAATGGTGTGATGGCAATCATGTTATTTAGCAAACTTAATTTTAAACCATCCTGTTGAAAAGAAGCCTTTCCTAATGCTTAGGAAGACTTTGAGGTCACCCCAAATTTGTAAGGAGAAACATAAACAGAACAGGACAAAGATTAAGAGATTTTGAAATTTACTCCCATATGATGTATTAAGAGGAAAACAGAGTACTGAAAAAGCTTTTTAGGAAGTGATGCCATATAAATTTTATTCAAAAGCATTTACATGAACATATTTTAATTGCAGATGGATGTACAATGGCCATTATATGTATTATAGTTGACAGATTTTTCAAAACAAAAATATTTTTATTGGTAGTATTCCATCTATAATATTAGATTCACTACTGAATATGATGTAAACTTCTTCAGTGATGTAGTTACTTATCATCAGCTGGTGACAAAATGTTACATTCTAAGTTGATTATTCTGCTCTACCTTTTTTGTCTCATTAAACTTTGTTTTAATAGGTCTCAAAATTCTGTGATAGATTTTTAGTCAAGGTGTTTCCGTTAAAAAGTAATGATTTTAAGAACTAATAAAATTGCCACATGAAAACAAAAACAAAATGGTCTACAAAACATTCTTTCCTTCTGAGGTTTTATGATGCATTGTTTATTAACCAGTCTTTTACTGTTAAACTTAAGTGGCTAATTGAAACAAACAGTTCTGAGATGGTTCTTCCACCATTGATTAAGACTAGGGTGCTGACGTGAGAGGATCACTTGAGCTCAGGAGTTTGAGACCATCCTGGGCAACACAGCAAGACCTCATCTCTACCAAAAAAAAAAAAAAATTAGCTTGGTGTGATGGCACAGGTTTGTGGTCCCAGCTGTTTGGGAGGCTGAGATGGGAGGATCGCCTGAGCCCAGGAGGTTGAGGCTGCAGTGAGCCGTGATGGTGCCACTGCACTCCAGCCTCGGTGACAGAGCAAGACGCCATCTCAAAAAAAAAAAAAAAAGACTAGGGTGAAAAGTATTAGAGATACTGTTCATTTAGCCTTCTGAACTTCCCAGGCAGACTCAGTGACTTTGCCAGCTCCAGCAGCCACTGCTCTAATGACACTTCAGCAGCTGTCTATCTCATATCATGAACAGCAAAATGACCTGGAGGAGCATAGTCAGAGAAGCTCTCAACACACCTAGGCTTGATAGGAACCATATCAACGATAGTTTTCACCCAATTTCGAGAATTTAAGAACCATCTTCCAGTTTCTTACAAGAACATCAGTCAACCTTTTCCTTCAGCTCAGCAAACTTGCAAGCAATGTGCGCCGTGTGACAATCCAGTACAGGGGCATACACAGCCAGCGTGATTCACCCTGGAGGATGCAGGATAATCACCGGAGCAGTGAAGCCTGCTGCTTCCACAGGTGGGTGGTTTTGCTTTCATCAGTGATGTTGCCACGACGAACAGCTTTGCCAGACACATTCTTGACATTAAAGCCCACATTGTCTCCAGGAGGAGCCCACTCAAAGCTTCATGGTGCATTTTAACGGACATTACTTCAGTTGTGATGTTGACTGGAGCAGAGTGTTTACGCTACTGGTTTGAGAACACCAGTGTCCACTTGGCCCACAGGGATAGTGCCAATATCCCAAATTTTGTAGACATCCTGGAGGGGCAGACGCAAGGGCTTGTCAATTGGATGAGTTGGTGGTAGGAAGGAGTCCAGAGCTTCAAGCAGCATGGTTCCATAGGCATTGCCATCTTTACCCTAAACTTTCTATCCCTTAAACCAAGGCCTGTGATCACATGGCTCCAGCATGTTGCTACCATCCCAACCAGAAATTGGCACAAATGCCTCAGTGTAAGGGCTGTGGCCCATTTTCTTAATGTAAGTGCTGACTTCCTTAGCAATTTCTTCATGTCTCTTCTGCTATAGGGTGGCTCAGTGAAATCCATTTTGTAAACAACAACAATTACTTGTTACACATCTGGCATGCAAGCCAGAAGGGTGTGCTCAGGGGTCTGCCCATTCTCAGAGATACCAACTTCAAATTCACCAATGTCAACAGCGACAATCAAGGCAGCGCATTCTACCTGGGATGTGCCTGTAATAATGTTTTTGATAAAGTCTTGTGATGGTCACATAGCACTTGCTGGTCTCAAATTTCCACAGAGAAGTATCAATTGTGACACCACGTTCACACTCAGCTTTCTGCTTATACAAGGCCCAGGCATACTTGAAGGAGCCCTTTCCCATCTCAGCAGACTTCTTATCACATTTTGCAGAGGGTCTCTTGTCAGTCCCACCACATGTTTAGATCAGTAGGGGTGGACTTGCCCAAATCTACCAGCCCAATGATGACAATATTGATGTGAGTCTTTTCCTTTCCCATTTTGGCTTTTAGGGGTGGATTTCACAACATCTGTGTTCCTGTAGCCAAGGAAAAGCTTAACATTGCTTTGGAAAGCAGCGTCTTTTCTGACCTATTTTACTTGTACTTGAAATTTATCTTTTAGAAAAAAATGACTTACATCTAATATTCTGATATAGTATGATTTTTAAAATAGCTTTATTGAGATATAATTCATATATCATATGATTCACCAATTAAATGTGCAATCTAATACTTTTGGTATGAAAAAATATACATTTTTGAAAGCCAATACATCAGGGTTTTTTTTAACCTTAAAACAACATGTGCTATAAAACAAAACAACTTCCTCTTCCCACCTCCTCTTTTCTATTCCAAGAAGAAACAAAGAAACAAAATATGTTTTCTGCAGGAAGGTGTGTGTGTGTGAGACTGTGCATGCATGTGTGTGTCCTCATTAGAGGAAAAACAGAAACTGTCCATTTCTATCAACTATTCAGAAACAAAAAAGGATAAGCTTCACAAGCAGGAGCTTGGAGAAATAAGGAGCAATATTATTCTAGAAACCATCTTTTCTGTTTGTTTTTCAAGATCTGGAGAGGTCCTGCATTTGCTGCCTGACATCCCACTCCACATGGTCTTCCAGAAGGAGCCACAAAAGGTAGGAAGTTGGAAGCCAGCCTTGAAAAGGGAAAGGAAAGGACCCAGCAAGGAAGGAAAACTAGTGGCCAGTGATCAGCTGTGTTTACCCACACTGAGCTTATAAATACAACCTAGGCAATACCTCGTGATTTGGGTGAATTGCCAGGTGCACTTGGATAAAGAGAAAACTCAGGAACACAGGAATAAGAAAGGCCAATGTTTGCTCTTAATATCTGGCTGTTAAAGCAATTTACGCAAATCACACTGGGCTGAGTAAGAAGAGACCAACCAGCTGAGCAACAGCATAGGAGGGAAATTGTCTCAAGACATGGAAGGAGTTTTCACATCCTGTTAAACTTGAGGCTAGTGTTATTTTTTGCAGTAAAGCTATGGAAAATACTGGAAGGTTTGGGCAGGGAGTCTGAAAACAAAAATCATGCTGCTTGTAATTGTATGTCTGCCTCTTTGCCAGCTGATGTAGACGAGAAACCGCCCAGCTGTAGATCATTTCCTCTTGCTTGAATACCCATTTGCAATGATTGATTTTAAAGGTCACAGGAGTGCTTGCCAGCACATTTTTATATAAGGAGTCCAGCCTTCTGTTTTGACATTAGTCAGATGCATATGTGGCACCTGAGGAACAAGGAGGAGACAAAGGATCAGGTTCCCTTTTGGATCCATCACTGTCAAGATGGAAACTCTTGCATGTCTGAGTGCCTTATTTTGGCCCAGACACCCCCAAACTGATGGGGAAAAAAAAAACACCTCTGTAATATTTTTATACCGTAGTCTCAAAATTTTACCCTTTAAATTTTTTCACTCTTCTAAAACTTTTCCTTTTTCTTCCTTCCCTTTCCTGTATCCTTCCCTAAATATTTTCTACATCCTTACTATGCATGTCACGTCCTATGCAGCTACTGGGTATGTATGTAGGAATACCAAATAGTTTTGCATCAGGATGTTTACAAATCTAGTGAAGTTTTGAAAACAAATAATAGCAACACGATCCACCAAGAGACTCACGTACAAGGTACCATGTGTCCAGATTAACAACCTACAAAACATTAAAAGTCCCCACTAATTACTAATTTAATGAAATTATTTCTGCTATCTATCTATAGCTATCTATTGCTATATCTATCTGATTAATAAGTTATGGAAGCTTTTTCTTTTTAGCTTTTCTTTCTTTATAAAAAGTTCACTTATTCTTAGAAGGCTTCCTTGACTGATTTCAACCAACATTTATTAAATGCTTATTAGGGGCCAGCCAGGCAGAGTACTAGGATTCGAGGGTTACAAAAATGCATAGAAAAGCTCCTAACTAAAAATAGCTTATAGTCTTAACAGGTGAGACAGATTCTCAAAGCAATACTATAATGCAGGTAAGTAAGTTCTGCAAGTTATGTGTGAAGTACTTACTATGAGAGCACTGAGCCAAAAGAGATGGCTTTTCTCTGATGGACTTCCTGAGAGATGAGCGGATCAGATGAAGTCACAAAGAGGGGAAGACATTTGAGCTAATGCTTGAGAATCATTAAGAGTTCACCAGACCATCTGGTGGCACTGTGTTTATTTCAGACTTTTACCAAAGTTTAGGTGCAACCCAGTGGGTTTTTACAGCTACAGAATGCAAACATTTCAAAATTGATTATTGCCCATCCTTGTTCTTGGGTCTCTTCATTGCCCTGGTAAGTCCGGTCACGTTAATCAGTCCCTGCGCCTTTATCGAGGCCTTTCCTAGCTTACCCATCTCCTCCATTTATCTAACCCATGACCTAATGGTGTCTTGCAAGTTACCTTTCCACCATCCACTCACTTCTGAGCCTACGTTTCATCTCCAAAAGACCTGTTAATTTGTTCTTTCTCAAAAAAGAATCACCTGCTCTGGGTCTTATCCTATAGCAGAGGCTTTGTAATTTCAGCCTTTCCTTTTCTCCAACAGCTTCTATGACTGGAAGGGAATGGAATAAAGATTTTTTATTCCACTACTAATTATTCAAATACCTATTCCATCCCTAGGCAGTAGAAGTCACCATGGTCAGCTTTCATTTGTAATAATTTTCATCCCTGTGAATAACACTTGACTCCTGACCTCAAAGAGGTCAGGTATTTCTAGGTACTTTATACTAGCATTGCTTGTTCTTACTTATTTATAACTCGTCACATCCCTACAATAAAACATAAATGCAGTGACTGCATACTGTTAATTGGCCAGATTATCTCATGCCAATTTCTCTTACTATTAGATACCAGTTAGTTATAAATGCTGCTGAGCACCTTAATTTTTTAATGAAAAAGCTTTTAAAATAGTAATTGAGTGTTTTGAGCTACCATTTTCTTTTTTCTTTCTTTGTTTCTTCTTTCTTTTTTCTTTCTTTTTTTTTTTGAAACAGAGTCTCACTCCGTCACCCCAGCTGGAGTGCAGGAGTGCAGTGGTGCAGTCTCAGCTCACTGCAACCTCTGCCTCCCAAGTTCAAGCAATTCTCAAGCCTCAGCCTCCAGAGCACCTGGGATTACAGGTGCATACCACCATGCTTGACTAATTTTTATATTTTTGGTAGAGACAGGGTTTCACCTTGTTGGCCAGGCTGGTCTCGAATTCCTGACCTCAAGTGATCTGCCCACCTCGGCTTCCCAAAGTGCCCGGATTACAGGTGTGAGCCACAACGCCCAGCCTGAGCTACTATTTTTTAGGCGATCAAGCCCAGTCTCAACTGCAAGAGACTGAAAATGTGGAACTAATTACAAAACAAAGTAAGTTAATTAAGTAGGGACATAAACATTTAAATGGGATTGGGGTCTATGTTTGACGGTTTGCAACTGGTCAAGTTATATAGTTATAGCAACAAATTCTGCTGTTGCCTTTGTGGTTTAGAATGACTGGACTAAAAATACCCAATTGTTTTTAAGTTCTAAAAAGCAGGCCAAATCCCACTTTAGGGACTCTGTGTTTTCTGACGTTTTCTAAATTTTCTCTTTGAAGGTAGAGAAAATATTGCTTTCTGAGAAAAGGTATGTTCTTGGAACAACTGCATAAAGCTAAAAATAGTGGGAATTGAACATAAGAATGCTCACAGAGAAGTGAGCCAAGCTGTAGATTCTGGTTGTTATATTTGACTAAGAAAGTCTCCAAAAAAGGAAGAAAACAAAATCCTAATAGGTTATATTAAAAATCCAATTGATGTTATTTGAAAAGCAGCTGTCTTTTACGGGGTAAGATTTACTCCCTTTAAAACAATCCATTTTGTTTCATTTATTTTTCTGAGAACTCAGTATGATTCAATTGGCTTAAGATATTACACATTATTGGCTGGATAACTAAATTTAGTTTTGTAGTCATAAAATAGAAATCATAACATTCTACTACAAAGTATAGATTAGCTTCCTTCATGGTTTTTAAAAACGTCTGGTTTCTTTTTAGTTTATAAATGTAAAGCATTGAGGTTTCAAAGAGGAAGTGAAAACTGCCAACTGAAAATGGCTAGTGATCCATCTAAACCCAATGCAATGGCCTTTGGAACATACTATTTGGATATTAAAGAGAGAATAACATTTTTATATATCTGTTGGGAAACAACATCTCTACAACCATATGTTTTAATGATGAGCCTGGAGAGATATTATTTTTTAAAAATTCTTCATTTAAGCCCCCATATCCTTTAATTTTAATTTTTATAGTAAATGACACTATAACAACACTCTGGCTTTTTTTTTTTTGAGACAGTCTTGCTCTGTCGCCCAGGCTGGAGTGCAGTGGTGCAATCTCAGCTCACCGTAACCTTCGCCTCCCAGGTCCAAGTGATTCTCCTGCCTCAGCTTCCTTAGTAGCCGGGATTACAGGTGCACATTACCACACCTGGCTAATTTTTTTTATTTTTAGTAGAGTTGGGGTTTCACCAACATGTTGGCCAGGCTGGTTTCAAACTCCTGACCTCAAGTGATCTACCCTCCTTGGCCTCCCAAAGTGCAGGGATTACAGGTATGAGCCACTGTGCCCTGCCCAACACTCTAGCTTTGAGTGTCTAAATTAGTCTTCAGGCTAATTCACTGGAGGTCATTCATCTTTGTACAGTAGTAATAGAATTGGCAGTTCTCTTAGCTTTCTTTGTTGATAGCTTCTGAGCTCAGAAATAAATTTTCTTTGCTATGGTAAGAAATAGATTGTGAGAGTCCATAGAAATGAGGCATGATATTTGGCTCAGAAATTCAAAATATGTTGCACGTTCTTTTGTGGATTGACCTTTCATTTATATAATGGACTGAGGGATTTTCAGTAATTCCACAAAATTATTATTCATGCTCTTAATCCTGCCCCCATTCTAACACCTGACCATGATTTTGGGGTCACCTTATTTTTTGAGAACATACAATGCTTAAATTTTGGGTGAGGCTTCAAAGTTAGTACTAAATATATCATCAGACAATACTGCCACACCGGTAAAAAAGCCATGTGAGAAATGCATCAGCTATAAGAGATTGATAATGTACTTTCAAACCTGGGCTTCAGACAGCTAGTGAAGAAGTCATTTTTAAAGTATTCAAAAGATAGCTCAGGGGGTTATGTAAGTTCAAAGTGTAGCTTCACATACATAATAAATACTTTTGGCCAATCTCTAAATGATGTGGATATAAATATTATCAAAGGCTGATTTGTTCCCTGAGCAATCTCAGTTTCAATGATGGAAGTATTTTATAGATTGCGAATGCTCTTGCTCCTGGAACATATATTATTTCTCACATATTAAGATGCACCCTCTCTTACCCCATATTCAAGAATCAATTCAAAATACATTAAAGATGTAAACATTAGAACTGAAACTACGAAAGTATTAAAAAAAACATATGGAGATACTTCTACAATTTTGGTCTGAGCAATGATTTATTAGATATAATCCCAAAGCACTAGCAACCAAAGCAAAAACAGGCAAATGAGATTGCATCAAACTAAAAAGCTTCTGCACAGCAAGAGAAACAGTGGAGTGAAGAGACAACCCACAGACTGGGAAGAATATTTGCAAATCATATATCTGATAAGGGGCTAATATCCAAAATATATAAGGACCTCAAACTACTCAATAACAAGAAAACACATAATCCAATTAAACAATGGGCAAAGGACCTGAATAGACATTTATCCAAAGAAGACATACAAATGACAAACAGGTACATAAAAAGTGTTCAGCACCTCTAATCATTAGGGAAATGCAAGTTAAAACCACATTGAGATATAATCTCACATATGTTAGAAAGGCTATCATAAAAAAAAGAAAGACAACAAGCATTGGGAGGATCTAGAGAAAAAGAAAGCCTTGTACACTGTTGGTAGTAAATTAGTACAGCCATTTTGAAAAATAGTATGGGGGTTCTTCAAAAAACTAAAAATAAACTACCATGTAATCCAGTAATCCTGGTTCTGCATATGTATGCAAAGGAATGGGAGTCAGTATGTTGAAGGGATGTCTGTACTGCCATGGTCATGGCAACATTATTCACAATACCCAAGATATGCAAATGAACTCAGTGTCCATCAATGGATGAGTGGGAAAAGAAATACTATTCAGCCTTAAAAAGAAGGAAATTCTGTCATTTATGACAACATGGATAAATCTAGAGAACATTATGTTACATGAAATAAGCCAGGCACAGAAAAACTAATACTGCATGATAACAGTTATATGTGGAATCTTAAGAAGTCTAGCTCCTAGAAGTAGACAGTGATGGTTACCAGAGGCTGGAGGTAGGGTGGATGAACACAGATAAGGGAAGTGTTAGTCAAAGGGTACAAAGTTTCAGTTAGACAGAAGGAATAAGTTCTAGTGATCTATTGTACAGTATGGTGACTATAGTTAATAATGATGTATTGTACCTTTCAAAAGTGCTAAAAGAGTAGATGTTAAATGTTCTCACTACAAAGAAATAAGTATATGAGGCAATGAATTTTTTATTAGTCTGATTTAATCATTCCACAATGTATATATGTATTATAACACCACATTGTACTCCATAAATCTATACAATTATTATTTGTCAATTAAAAATAAACATTAAAAAATACACCCACTCTTGCGGTCCTAAATCAGGTGCAATGAGCATTAGCTAAGGAGATGAAAAATATCAGATTCTCATTACATTCCTGTGAAAGGCAGATAATATACAGCATAAACCCATTTTAACCAGAAAGGTAATATAACCATTACTTCATTGAATGCACATTAACTGAGGGCTTAACAGGTGTCAGAGAAATTCCAGATGTTGGACATATAGAGACAGAACCCTTGTTTTAAGAAGGGCTAAACAAAATCTGTGCAGAGTCTAGTGCAGAGATTATATAAACTGGTAACCCAGGGTTAGAAGTAGGTGGCAGAGGCCGGGTGCGGTGGCTCACGCCTGTAATCCCAGCACTTTGGGAGGCCGAGGCAGGTGGATCACGAGGTCAGGAGATCGAGACCATCCTGGCTAACACGGTGAAACCCAGTCTCTACTAAAAATACAAAAAAAATTAGCCGGGCGTGGTGGCGGGCACCTGTAGTCCCAGCTACTGGGGAGGCTGAGGCAGGAGAATGGTGTGAATCCAGGAGGCGGAGCGTGCAGTGAGCTGAGATTGTGCCACTGCACTCCAGCCTGGGAGACAGAGCAAGACTTCATCTCAAAAAATTAAAAAGTAGGTGGCAGAAATGTTTGTTTTGATCTGCAGAGTTTAAATATATATATGTCAAAATACAGATACTTTTCTCTCCAATTCTGGATATTTAGAATTTTCTTGAAAATCTGACATTGGGTTATTGCCTAGGCAGACATGCATTTTTCAGTCACTCCCACTTTATGGTAAATACGCCAACCCACTTTGTTCACTTGTATGTAATAGTAATGCAAAGGAGAGAATGAGAGAGTCTGTAGGACTTGATAATTTTCGGGATGTGCAAGATGGTGGGGAATACGGTAAGCAGAATTTTAAGATGGTCCATATGACCTTGGCGCCCTGGTGCTATTCCTGTGATTATGTTACCTTGTGTGGCAAAGGGGAGGTTATCCAGATGCTCCTAATCTAATCATACAAGCCCTTTGAAAGCAGAGTTGTCTCTGGTTGGGAGCAGAAGGGAGATTTGATGAGAGATTTGAAGCATGAGAAGTATTCAACCTCTTGTGAGAAGCACTTCACATTGCTGGTTGAAGACAGAAAGGGTAAGCTGAGGATTACCTCCAGAAGCTCGAAAAGACTCCCAGCTACCAGTCAGCAAGAAAAAAGGCGATCTTAATCCAGCAACGGCAAGAAACTGAATTCAGCCAACAGCCTGAATAAGGTTTGATGGTGATTCTTCCCTGAGAGCCTCCAAATAAGAGCCCAGCCCAGCTAGTACCTTAATTTCAGCCTTGAGAAACTCTAAGCAGGGAACCCAGTTGAGCTCACCTGGGCTTTTGAGCTGGAGAACTGAAGTAATAGATGGGTGTTGCTCTAGGCTACTAAGGTTATACTAATTTATTACAAAAGTAATAAAAAAAATCCAAGCAAGGAAATAGCTAAGGTCAACTTGGGTCGCTAGAAATGTGCAAGTATCTATAAGTAAAATAGTTAATATAAGAAACGGAATCAGAATGAAAAATATGACTGAATTTAGTTTCTGATTCAGCTCCTTGGATGGGCCATCAAGTTTCATTCATTCATTCTTTTATTCACTCAGAAAGCATTTGTAGTGCACACACTGCAGGCTAGGCCTTGGGTTTGTAAAGATACTGATGAAATTGACCTAGATTCAATGTCTGGTCAGTAATAAGCAGTCAATATATGTTGAACTGAGTGGAACTGTATTAAAAGCCTTTGAGAATCTTCAGTCTGGTGACTTAAAATTCTTAAGCTATGTAGTAAATAAATGCCTGTATCTTCATAGCCCTAGCCGCTTCATGGACATGCTCTGTTTTGATCACTTTATTATCATTGTTGTATATTTTTTGTATATAAATTTGTATATTTTCTACATACATTTATTTACCTTGTTTACTACTGAACATATAAATAACATAGTTTAATTCCCCTTTCCTCAATGTAGGTATGATTTTGTGTGTGTCTTTGAAAATCACAAATACCATTCTTACAGTTGACCACTAAATTAATGGACTAGATAGACAAGGGTCCCTTGTCTGCAGCTTGTTCCTCTGCCTGAAATCCATAGCAGATATTAGGCCATGGGTCACTGTCTCTTATAGTGTTTCTTGTCTGTGCTCTCCAGTCACCAAACAGAATATGAATACCTTGAAGAGGCTCTTTCTCACTCACAGCTGTTTACTCACCAATGCCTAGTGAATAGTAGGGTGTCAATAATTGTATGTGTACAGATTAACTTGCTAATCAAATATGGCAAATAATTTTACCATAAACACATAGAAAAGGTGTTAAAAACTAGAAATAGACACAAGTACTAAGACAATACTTTAATCTCTTTGTTTTGGTGCAGTAGACTTAGAATATTTACAGCAGGTTCATTAATCTGTCCATCCACTAATCCATCCACTAATCCATCCATCCATCCATCCATCCATCCATCCATCCATCCATCCATGCAAACATTCAGCATGTCTTAAGCGCCAGCCATATGTGGACACTCTTCTCTTCCTTTTATTTACTGATTGTGTGACCTTAGACAAGTCACAACCTGCTTGAATACTTTTTCTTTCCTATAAAGTAATGGCAATGATTCCTATCTATTCTTTGCCCTTGAAGTCTAAATGAAATATTCATTTGTATGTGTGGAAGAAAATGCTTTGAAAAAAAGTTCTTTGAAAACTGTGAGTTTATCTACAAAAGTAAGATATTAGCATTATGACTAACATAATTATCACCAGGAATGACCACATTCATATAAATGAGGGCCAGGAAAATAAGAAAATTTATTCACTTACATACAAATAGATCTTCCTATGGTTCTCATATGTCCTCAGGAAAATGGAGGCTAAATATAATGTCTTTGTATTTTTTGCATGGGGTTTGAGAGAACAAATCATGTGCTGTGTGATGGATAGCAACACATCATGCATTCATTCATTCATTTTACAAACATTAATTGTTCCAAACTATATGCAAAGCTCTTTGCTAGGCACCTTATGTGAAATAAAGTGTTTCGAGAAGGTAACTTAAGGATAAGTCTGTGTTGTTCCAAGTTAAAAAAAATCAATTAATCAAATTATTTCAAATATTTTAATATCCCTAATCATTTTAACAAAATCTGGATTATTGTCTTGTTCCCACTTTTAATCCCGGGTGTTGGCGTCATGTAATGCTGACTGTAGGTAATATTTTTAGAACACTCCATCTGCGTCAGTAAATGTGAGTACTTTACTTGCATTATATAATTTAATATTTGCAACAAACCTAAAGACATATCTTTCAATTTTACATATTGGAAAACTTATATGATGTGACCCTGAGGCCAGTCTCTTGGCCCCTATTTTGTACTACCTCAGCTTTTGTTGTCTGAATGCTTAGACACATTATGTTACATAAAGATTAGTAGCTCAATGATATAATGTGTTAGTGATGATTGTTCTCTGGATGGGGCTCAGGTCCTAACTTGATCATAGAGATTCAAAAAAGCTAGAATCCTGTAGGCACAGGCAGCTTTCCATGTTGTCTCTCTCATGTAACATATTTTCTCAGAATAAAAAAATTGATCTGTTTTACATGGAAAATATAGTTATACTTCCAAAAAGCTGAGAAATATTTCAAAGCATGTCAAGCCAAAGCCTGCAGCAAACCCCTTCTTTGACATCACACAATGACAGCTGTCCCAACATGTCTGTCTCTCTTGTGCTCAACAACAGTGATGTGGATCATGTAACACCACATGCTTGGGAGGCATGCCAGATTCCAAAGGCTCCTGCATCTTTCCCAACATTTACCCCTCAAGTACAGATACAAGAGTCATATAAGAAATGGTCAGTGTGGATGAGGTGGGTGGATCACTTGAGGTCAGGAGTTGTAGACTAGCCTGGCCAACATGCTGAAGCCCCATCTCTACTAAAAATACAAAAATTAGCTGGGCATGGTAGCGTACGCCTGTAATCCCAGCTACTCAGGAGGCTGAGGCAGGAGAATCACTTGAACCCACGAGGCAGAAGTTGCAGTGAGCTGAGATCACGCCACTGCACTGCAGCCTGGGCGACAGAGCAAGACTCCATCTCAAAAAAAAAAAAGAGAGAGAGAGAGAGACAAAAAGAAATGGTCAGTGTGTCATAATTCAAATGAGAGAGAATTTTTACTTATAAGAGGGAAATTCTCCTTAGCTGAATATTATAAAAATCAGATGTGATGTTCTACTTTACATTAAGTAGACTTTTCATTGACATCCATGACTGAGAGAGTAGAACATATAAGAGTCACAGGGAAGATAGACTTTGCTGGAAATGAGATGAGCTGAGAGGAGTGTTATCCATCAAGAGCTTCATTCTGAGCCTGCTCCAGTTGTTTCCAGTACAGACTAAAGGACTGAGCCTGCAGTTGTTACAAGCACAAGAATAAAATAGGTTTGGAAAACTCATTCATAACCAATGTGTAGTCTAATGATCTGCTGAAATATGCCTGTGTGGCTGGCAAGAAAGCCAAAAGTAGCCCTGTCGTTTCATTCATTGAGTCATCTAGAAGTGCTGGACAAAGTGATTTGGTATATTTACCTTTATGATTAGAACTGTTGTGTCTCCAAGATCTTCTCCTTCTATACAGAAATCTGTGTATTACAACCTAGAACAATGCAGCAAGGTAAGTCTAGATTTAGAAGGGGACCATTACTGTCACTGTCCTATTTCCTGTCATTGGTATGATTTCAAGATGCCAAGAATCTCTTTCCCTGTTGGAGGAAAGTCCAATAAACTGGAGATCAGAGGACCTTGACTCATCCCACACCGCTACCAATAAGCCATGTGTAACCTGTTATGTTTCTTCATCTCCTCCAGTAATGAATGAGAGTTTGGAAATTTTCTTCCAAATCTAGAAATCTCTGTTATTTTCTCTGAAGCTTACATTGCTTTTTATCCATGGACACTTTCATGCCTTTAGCTATTTGTTCAAATCCCTTTTATCTTGAACCTGATTCAAATGCTGTAATAAGTCTTCAAACACCCATGCTCTTGTACAAAGACTTTAGTGTTCAACTAGGACACACCATATATTTTTCAAGTTACTGAATCTTTGGAAACAAAGCAGGGTCTGGGAGATATCAAATGTGTATAGGATTTTTATTGGAAGGGAGAGGAATAATAGCAGACCTGTGATTGTTACAGACTATTTGAAGAGGTCTGTGTGTCCAAAGCAGAAGTGCAGCTAATTTCCTTGTGCTTCCTATTATTACTGTTGTCTATATTTTAAGCTATCATTGTTTTGTTGATTCGATGGTAATTCTGTTTTAAGTTTTTTGAAGTAAAAACGAAGTTTATGTTATAGAAGTTCATTGTTAATCGGTAAGACAAAACTAAGAACATAAATACCAATGATGATAAGTCATCCTTAACAAGAATCCATACTACTGAAGTACAAAATAGTATATATTCAACCATTTAATGGGATGAGGAAAATTTTAGTTATTTACCATTTTTAAAAAAGCTTAATTAGAAAAGGAAGAGCTACATGAAGTATATTAGTCCATTTTCACACTGCTATAAAGAACTGCCTGAGACTGAGTAATTTATAAAGGAAAGAGGTTTAACTGACTCACAGTTCAGCATGGCTGGGGAGGCCTCAGGAAACTTACAATCACGGTGGAAGGCAAAGGAGAAGCAAGGCACCTTCTTCACAAGGTGGCACGAATGAGAATGAACTCAGCAGGAGCTACCAAACACTTATAAAGCCATCAGATTTTGTGATAATTCACTCACTGTCACGAGAACAGCATGGGGGTCACTGTCCCCATGACTCGATTACCTCCACCAGGTCTTTCCCTTGACACGTAGGGATTATGGGGATTATAGGGATTACAATTCAAAATGAGATTTTGGGTGGGGATATAGCCAAACCATATTATGAAGACTTTTGGAAGTACTTCTGAGTAAAAGAAACAAACAAAAATCCCAAGTTTTTAGATGTGCCACAAGGTGGTGTGAAGAGTCCAGTTTAGCTTGGTTGTTTCATAGCAAGGAGAGAATAATGGAGATTAAAAGGGTAAAGTGCAGCCTCAGAGGAGGTAAAGCAGAGAAGTGGTGCAGTGGAGGTGGGAGCTGGGAGTAGGAGGTGTTTGTAAGTTAAGAAATTGGGATGGACTTGTAGTATTTTCTTCAGAGGCTGAGTTCCTCCCTTTCTTCAAAACAACAATGCTCCTCCTGGCATCTCTTCCTCTTTAACTGATAGGAATCCCTTTTTTGTTTTTCTAAAGTGTCTTGAAAGATGACTTTTATTTTTAGAAGTAACCACACAATACATACACCCTACAGCGTGCAACTTTTCTTCTTCAGCCATAAAACATTTTTGAGTTAAGAATTTATGACTATTTTTACAGAATGTGAACTGTTCGAGGACTAAAATCTATAAGCAATGATTCATACAGACTGCCTATCACTGATAAGTATTATACCTTTAATTCACATTTCTCTCTCCTTAACTTGAGAGAATTGAAAGAGTATGAAAAAGTGTAGTTGTATCGAAAGGATATCCCACAGGCTTTAGCTTGATGTAGTTGGAAGAGCATCCTTATTGAGTGTTTCAACATTTTCCATCTGGGCTGTCAACATGTGTTGCCCGAGCAGGGCAAAATTGGAGAAAACAAACCTGGAAAATCCCCTTCAGGGTATTGATTTTCCTTTTCCCAGAGAAAGGTTTGGGCATGAAAGGAAAGCCCTGCTGTTCTTACTGAAAGTCACATTCTTTGGAGTGGTTGGTTTTTCTACTGGTTTGCAAATCTGAGAGTAAGCCAGTCCAAAAAAGCACTTAGAAAACTTTATTTTCATGGTAAACATTATGCATGCCCAGGGCAAGTTCTCCTCTGTAAGATTATCATTACAGGGGCATTCCTCAAGAAGCAATTTATATATCACTTTTGAGTGAAAGAGCTGCCAAATATATAAATATTCATTTATTCTCAGTTCCATACTAGTTTCTGATTGGTCTTAAATGCCAGTGCTTTAGGAGCAGGTAATGGATACTATAGTTCTTGCCCTTTCCTGAGTTTTTCTCCCACTGGGAAAATGAGCCAGTATCCTCATGACTGCTTATGTGGTAGGTACAGCAACATAAGCACCAAAAGAAAAGTAGATCAAAGTTCCCCTGGTATTTTAAAGAGAGGGTTCATTACGTTTAGGAAAAGGTCTTTGCAGGAAGCAGAATTATAGATGGGACATGAATATTGAGCACCTGTAGTGACTCAATTTAACACTGAGATTCACAATCCTGTTTGCAATAAGCAATGTTAACAAAAACCAGCATTAGCTGAGTCTTTAGTGTGTGCTAGGCATCACTGTATGGACTCTACATATTTAATCTTCACAGAAGCCCCATGAGTTAGGTGCTACTATTATCTTTATTTTACAGATAAGACAACCATGGAATACAAGGGTTAAATGACTTGCCTAAAAGGCACACAGCTGCTAAGTGGCTGAGTCAGGATTTGCAAACAGCCAGGCCTGGTCTCTTATCCACTGTGTGATACAAGCTCTCATTTGAATGCTGTAGATAAACATAATTGTACAGGTATAAAATAAACAAACTCATTGCATCATCACCTAATCTACTAAGGAACTCATCTGTTTGGCAACCTTATGTATTTGAAATACAGTTATAAACCAGGTGGGGGAAAAACAGCTTGTGAGCGGATAAAATACACACCAAATCAAAGCACCAAAGAACAGGTACAGTATTCTTGGGAGGGTATAGCTGACCCTTACCTCAACTGTATTTGCCATTAATTAGCACATACACTGCATGTACCTGTTATTATTGTATTACACAATTTCTCTGTTGTTACTGTAGACAAAAGTGGTTTCCAAATCCAAGGAAATTCAGATCTGCTTTCATTGACATCTATATTCACAGCAGGGAATGAGTTTACATCGGGTCACTTAATGCAAGAGCCCAAATTCTTATCAATTTTAATGAACCCTAGAAAAAACATAGCCTTGCACCAGAGTTCATTAAGAAATGTTCATGCTGGTGACAATAAATCATGAAAAAAATATCAAACCACTTTTGACTATTGGTTCAAGAAGAAGAGAGCATAAAATGCTGTATGGAAAGATCTCTGTTCAAATTAGCTAATCATTTTCAAACCGATAAGTAGTACTTTGGGGAGAAAATACCCTCTTAGAACCAAAACTCATCTATCCATAGCAATATTCTTTGAAGGGTCCAAAAAGTTGAAGTTGAATATATTTTTCTACTTTTGTAAGATAGTGTGACTCCTGAAACAAAAATGCTGAGTGCCATGGCCTCGCATGGGTAGAGTTGATGCCTGTTGGGCACACAGTACCATCACACAGAGTGGGGCTGTGAGCAGGAAGGGGTCCTTCAGGGTGGGTGCAGCTTTCAAGACCCAGTCTGGAAGCAGGACCAATGGAAATTGGTTTTTCTGTCTACAGAACTTTCACGTAGCCTATTTTACCATAATAGATGTAAAAAAATTGAATATGATTCACATATTAGCAAATAAAGGTGCATAAATTATTTTTCAGTTAAGGGCTAGGGGTCCAGAAGTATCTCACCAACATCTGATAAAGTTTTAACTAAAATGCTGACTCTTTAAATAATGGACCAGAAGTCTTTGCCTGAGACACAAAAATATATAGGCACCTTTCCCTTCTTTACTTTAAAAACAGCCCTCCTAACAGCCCTCCTTTTTTACTTTAAAAACAGCACTCTGTTCAATAGAACTGTTGATTTTAGTAGTTTATCTGCTGTTGCATAGGAATCAAAACATGGAAGACATCCCCTGAGTATCCTGCCTTATCTCACATACTTATTCTGTACTCTCAGTTTTGTAAAATTAGCACTTCTTTACTGATAACATCAATTGCATCAAAACATCAGCTAAAATCAGTTTTATCCTGCTTTTTTTCATAATAACTTTATCCAGCTTTAAAAACAACAGTTAAATGATATCATCCCAGGGAGCCTCCATGGTAAAACTAGAATGAGCAAGAACCTCTTATTACTATATTCATTTGTATATGATGAGACCACCTTGCTATTAAGCTGAATATTATGCCTAGAATACATAGTAAGCCTTTTTGCTCTGGAGAAGAGATCCATGTCAACAAACACTAAGAACCTAGTATGTATCCATCCCTATACCATGCACAGAGAATATACTATTGAGGAAAAGAGAAAAGATGGATCTCAAGCAACTCAGATTCTAACAAGGAGGCAGACACAAAACTGTCTAACAAACAACATGGAAAGTGCTATAGAAGCACACTAGTGCCAGGAAGGAAGGGGTGCAGGTGCGCAGAGGGAAGTGTGTTACCCTCTGGGCAGGGCGTGGAGAGGGAGAGAGGGGAAAGGATGGAGCAATGGTTGGAGAAGATGGTATAGCTGTTAAGATTCCTAGCTCTGGAATCGTTCAACAGACCTGCACTGCAAGTGAAGCTCTACTATTTATTAGTTAGTGGGCCTTGGGCAAATTATTTATCTCTTTGTGCCTTTTCTGTAAAATGGGAATAATAGCAGGACTTTCCTACTTGGGTTGTTTTGAGTATTACTTGAGATCATGTATGGAAAATAGTAGTCCAGTGCCAGCAGACAGTTGCCCTTGATAAATGCTAGCCAAAAATGAAGAAGAAAGAGGGCTAATCTGGTAGGGGAGAGACACCTGAGGTTGGTTAAAGGATGGCTAGCCAGAAAGGGGACACAAGGTTGAAAAGTACGTGGAGGTATTATTTGGAAAAAACAAAGTGTACATAGGAACTTGGGTATAGAGTGTATCATGGATGTGAGGAGTAATAGAGTGGGGACGAATTAATACTACAGGTGAAAAACAAAGTTTGGTACATTGCCACCCCCCTCACAATTAGGAGAGAGAAAATATTATGAAAAAGAGAATAACTTATGTGCTAGAATATGTATAATACCTAAATACCTAGCACTGTCTGGATATAAAATTTGTACTTACATGAAATAAGAATTGGGTTTACTCCAGTGTAGCAACTATAAACCTCAGGCCACCATGAGGGCTGCTCATGAGACCTATCACCAGCATCTGACATGGTGGATTGTCTCTTTCACACCTACTTCACGTGGGTTCCAGGATACCACACTCTCTTGGTATTCTTCTTACTCCACTGTTTGTTAGTTGGGTCTGAGTCTCTTTATTAAACAAGCTGGTGACAAAACGTTACTGATAGCTGACTCTATAAGAATCTACCAAAATAATCACTATGGATTTTGAACACGTTCTCCTGGTCCCTTCAGAACTTCCCTGCTGAACTGCCTACATATAGCTTTCTTCCCTCTCATTGATTACTCTGCCGTCACTGGTACCATCCATGAATTGTCTTGCCTGTTGTCCTCTGTACTCTAGAACAGCATCTCTCTTCTTTCAATGTTACCTGTGGTCTTCTGTCATGCCAAACCAAGCTGTATTAGATGGAATTACAAAAAGCAAAATGATTAGAGGATGAAGATGTACCATGGAATGCAGATGCAGAACCATTAATTTCCCATGGGGTAGGCTTTTCACACGGGATCAATGTGATTGAGAAACTAGCGGTGGACTGTAGCTGGACAAGCTCAAAGATTAGCCACAATTTTGGCTGGTGTATATCTTCCATAGTGAAGTCACTTACTGGGATATTAGCAGATTTATGATGATAACTAAAATGACTACTATTAGACATCTATTATATACAAGGCAGCAAATTTCTTTTTTATTTGCTTGCTTTGCATAACTTAGCACTCCCAGTGATCTCTGGATTTGGAGGTTAAGATGCCTAGTTTCATAGAAAAATATTTCTTGGCACCCGGAAAGCTTCTAGTTAATTGCTTTTAGACAGAGATCTTTGAAGTCATTTAAGGGGTTGGACTAGTTTCCTATTGTTGCTGTAAAAAATTACCATGAACTTTCGTGGCTTAAAACAAGACAAGTTTACTATCTTAAAGTTCTGGAGCTCAAAAGCCTGAAATAGGTCTTCTGGGCTAAAACTAAGGTGTTGGCAGAGCTTGGTTCCTTCTGGAAGCTCTAGAGTCTGGAAGCTCTAGAGGACAATCTATTTCCTTGCCTTTTCCACATTCCAGAAGCCTCCTGCATTCCTTGGCTCATGCCTCCTTGCTCCACTTTGAAGTACATTACTCCACCCTCTGCCTCTGCCATTCTCCTCTCTCTGCCTTTGGTTCTCATGTCTCCTTCTTATGTTAATTCTTGTGACTACAATGGGCCCACCAGGATAATCTCCTGCTCAAGATCCTTAACTTAATCATATTTGTAAAGTTCTTTTTGCCATATAAAGTAGCATATTCACAAGTTCTGGGGATTAGGACATGGAAATCTTTGGGGGGAGGCATTGTTTTGTGTATGACAGTGTCTTATAATGAAACATTAAAATATAGTTTTCAGTAGACCAGTACTACCTGATAGAAACCATGAGAAAGCAGAAGCTTCCCATAGTTAAACTTTCATTGAGCAGCAACTCTGTGCCAAGCTTTATATTACTTGTTGAGAATGTAAAACAATAATTGCAATAACAAACAATAACACAGCTACCAATGTGGGAAGTACTTGTAGGTGCCAAGATATGTTGAGATAAATTACCCCTACATCTCACAAGAATACTAAAAGGTTTCTGACCTCGTTTTGAATTAATTACTTCTATAAAGACCCTCTCTCCAAATAATGTCACAATACTGAGGATTAGGAATCTAACATAAGAATTCTAGGGGACACAATTCAACCCAAAACAGACGTTAATACCAACATCCCCACTTCACAGCTAAACCACTGTGAGCATATTTGGCTCTCTTCTCTTAAACCCTCATCTCTTTTGATGACATACTTTAGCTAATTAAGGGCAGCTGTCTGCTGGCACAGTGGAGTAGGAAGAACACCAAGATATTCTCTAATTTTACTATTGCATAAAATAAGGCTCTTAATGGGTAAAGAAGCAATTAACTGCAGGGCAGGAATTTGAATATGGATCTTGTCATTTCAAATCGTAGGCCCTTTGAACTAAAATATATTGCCTATTTTCCCCACTCCTCTTTTTCCTCAAGATACTTGAGAGCTTTTCCTATGTCAATGTTCATAAAGTACTACTTGTTTTCATTCATTCAGCAACTCACTGTGCATAGAGAGGTAGATTCCCCAGATCTGCCCTCTGTCCTCAGGGAAGTTAATTCTCTTGTCTTCTTCCCTTTCTTTAATTTACTAGAAGTCTAAAATATAAATATATCTTTCATGTTTTTGGAACATTTGAATGCTAAAATCATTTTGTCCAAAAAGAAAGTAAAAAAGTTTTATAATTGCTCATGAGTGAAGCCCTGAGTATATTGTGGTATAAGTTTTATTGTTCATTTTATTGTATACATTTCATTGTATATTCAGAAAATAGTTTATTTTCTGAACTAGAAAGAGATCTCCCTGGACAGATCCAGTGGGGTTAGTTCAGCAAGATGTGTCTGTACAAGAACATTAGAATTCCATTGAGATGGAATTTCCTTCTCATGCAATGGATGAAGACTTTGTAAGTGAATTAGCATGATTTGTACATAATAAAGAAACGGATTATTTCTAGAGCCTAGGATTTATAACCGCTACATTTAAATAGTTAACTGATATTGACCAAGGAGGTGGTGTATGCTCAGAAAAGTCCTGGGCACTCTGACACACAACTAAGCAAATAATTTATTATCTTTTACTTGATGTTTGATATTCTAGATGGAAGTTGACATGGTAATGCACTGAAAGGATGCAGGATTTTTCTTGGTCACTTTGCCAGCCAGGAGACTCCAGCCAGGGACACTGCTGTCTGGGCCTCCCTCAGTCACACTACCTGTTACAAGAAGTGCTCCATGCACTCGGTCTGCCAGGGCCGAGTCTGGCTTGCACACTGGCTCAGCTCGTGACTGGCCGGGCATGCCCCAGCCTGCCTCTGTTATAGCATGTACTCATGTTCAGTGGTTCCTAAGCTCTTGTCCCACTTCCAAGAAGAATGAGGATATGCTGACAATTGAAGGTAGAGGAGGGCAGAGAAGAATTTTGTTGAGCAATGGCACAGCTCTCAGCAGAGAGGGGGTGTGGGGATGATCTCTCCCACAGTGTGGCTTGGTCCAGGGCCTTAATGGGTTCAGAATAGGGTAGTATATGCTGATAGGTTTGTGAGTATGCAAAAAAAGTTAAAGGCACCACTCAAAAGTGGGTATGACAATGTAAAAACCAATTAGGAAAGGGTAGGTATATGTGAAATAGGTGAAGGTTGGGGATCAATCACAGGAAAGCACAACAAACAGGAAGTTTGACTTGTAGCTTGGCTTTCAGGCTTTAAACTGTCTTTGGCTTGGAGATGGGGTTTCACTGGGGACCTGCCCCTACCTGCCTAGGCATTTGTCTGCCTCCTGCTGCTATCAAAACTGTGATTTCACTTTAATTGGAATTGTACTTCCTTGTCTTAAAAACAAATAAACAAAAAAACTCAAAACCCAAAAACCCTGGTGCCTGACCATCTGAATTATAAAAATTGAGGAGGAAATTATTTTTCAATCAACTGAGTTCACTGGAGTATTATTTGTTCCACATTAGCTAATGTATGTCATCAAAAGAGATGGAGGGTTTTAGAGAAAAGAACCAAATGTGCTCAAAGGGGTTCAGCTGTGAAGTGGGGATTTTGGTATTAATGTCTGTTATGGGTTGAATTGTGTCCCCCCAAATTATGATGTTAAATTCCTAATCCTCAGTATTAGATTGTGACCTTATTTGGAGAGAAGGTCTTTATAGAAGTAATTAATTCAAAATGAGGTCATTACAGTGGGATCTAATCAAATGGGACTAGTGCCCTTATGAGAAGACAAAATTCTGACACAAACACAGGGAGAATGCCATGTGAACGAACATCAAGGCAGAGTTAGGCGTGATGTGTCTGCAAGACAAAGAATTACAAAGGTTTCAGCAAAACCACCAGAAGCGGACACAGGCATGGAACAGATTCTTCCTTACAGCCAGAGAAGGAGCTAGTTCAACTGGGACCTTGGAGTTGGACTTTTAGCCTCCAGAACTGTGAGATAAGACATTTCTGCTGTTTAAGCCATTCAGAATACCATGTGTAGTACTTGGTTACAACAGCCCTACCAAACCAATATAATAGGTGAATCCTTTAGTAAGGAACTACTGATTTAAGAAAATCCTGATAAGTTTCCATAACCCTGTTCCAAATCATTCTAATCCAGCATTTAAAAACTGTCTCCTGCTTTGCTGTCAAATTTTATGGTTACCATCCCATCCTCTGGCAAAACTCTAGGCCTTGGATTTTCAGATATAAGTCCTAGTGGTATACAAAGCCACTGAATGTTCTCTGTGTACTACTAAAATCACTTTACTTAGCTGTACTGGTCTTAGTGATATAAGCCTTGGAACCCAGGCAAACTATAGCAACTGCAAAACATTAACATGTGTAAACAGATTGTATCTTTAAAAAGGCTAACAGCAAAACAAATGCTAATTGGGCTGTTAAATTTCAGAGCAACTAAAATTTTATACTTAATCTGCAGATTATAATAATGATATCACTGTTTTCTTTACAAAACAATCTATTATTCCATCGAAGTAGCCAAATCCGTTAATGACTTTAAGAAGGAACATACGGATTAGGGTGATTCAATATTTTCATATGGGAAAATTTTGTTCATCTGAGAATAAAATATTAATGGCACATAAATAAGATTTTCTAAATCTTGCTAGTGGAAACAACTTGAGCCATTTTACCTAATTTTTGAAGATAATTTGATTCATTGGATGGTATTCAAGATGCATGCTATACAGGACAAGAGAGCTTTAAAAATGCAAAAATTAAATTCCAAAAGTTACATTTAAAGTAAATTGACTTCTCTATAATCCATATAACATAATCATAATCATGATAAGCATGGGAAAAATTAGAAAATGAATAAGATACTACCTAGCTTTAAGAAATGTTTGGTTTATTGGAAGCGATGAACTATTGTATTCAGAGTTATAATTCAGAGAAATCAGTGCTACAGTAGGACGGAGAATGGGTATGTTAGGGTTTCCCAAACCATAGTCCAATCTATTATAAATTCAGTATTCTTTCTTTTAGCATGGAGGATGCCAAGTGGTTAAGAAAAGTCTTTAGAATGTTAACTGTTAGGATCCTTGGTCTGGGAAAATTTGAGAAACATCTCCCATAATGTGTGTCAAAGATTAAATTATGCATTTCCTGCTATCTGCTAATTCTGCCCTTGCAATGATTTCTCCTAGTCTCACTGACTCTTCTTATAAGGCAAGAAGAACCGGTATCATATCAGGCTATTCAAGCTGGACATCAGTTCAAACTTGGCGACAGCTCTGAATTTCTTCCAGAAAAGGCTGTATGGATTAAGGAGTTTCATTACTGAAGTATACAGAACAGAACTCTAAACTCTGTATAAACTTAGAGGTTAATCATTGTCATATATAATTCAGTATGTCTACCTTGTGAGAAGTTTCAGTATCACAAGAATTAAGTCAGTTCTTTACCATTTCAGCTTTGATACGTACATGAAACCCAACCTTCTCCTCTTGTTCCTACTGTGCTGCCACAGTTGTTTATGCTACAGAACTGGGAGTCATTCTAGTTTCTTGTTGGGAGACAGTTTTTCATGGGTATCTCCAATTTCTGCAAGTCTTGCAAGCAAGACACATTGTTGTAAATTATCTTTACAAGAATATCTATAGAATGAAGAGCCATGATGATAGAGTTGGTATCTTTCTCTGTAGCAAAGTGGAAATTTGCTTTCAGTCTTGGAAGATAGAGAGAGTATATCCCTCTAGAGAAAAGGACAGGCATGCTTAATGGCCATGATGAAAGTTTTGGGTTCCCTAAACTCAGGGTTCTTTTTCTGTAATAAAATCTACTGTGTGAGCAAGTGTCACCCAGCTTTTTTTTTTTTTTTTTTTGTAATGCCCTGTGGACATGGAGCCTTAGGAAACTGGCATAAAAAATGCAGATACTCTGGCTGCTGCTATTGCTATGAGTAATAAATTATATTTTGTCTCTGATCCAGGAGATTTCTGTCTGCTGTCAGCATCCATAAAACTGTAGAAGGCTAAATTGTTAATCTGCAGGTAGAGTATAGACTAACTGTAGTTCTTAACATTTCCCTCACTCATGTATACATGCCTCTCTCATACTAGACATAGAACTTTATATTTTCCCGTCAGAGCTTTAGAGTTCCTCTTTTTTTGAAGCCCAATTTCTGTAGCTACTTAATAGCATCCCTGAGGTCCTCTCGCTCGTATTGCCTCGCTTTTCTTCTTAATGGTCCTCAATGTCGCTGCCCAAATGATCTTTCTAAGATAAAAACTGTGCATCATTCTCCTGATAAAATGTTGGGTTGGCTTCCCCAGGAAGGTGACAAAAATTCATGGATCACAAATTCTACAGAGTGGCATCAAAGTTTCATGAACACCTCCCCTAACCTAATTCTTCCACTTAACTCCTGGTATCCCCAAAGTATGTACAATATTCCAATCTTAGCAAACTATGGATTCTTCAAATTCCCACTCCTACATTCATGCTTTTGCATATCCCATGGTGGTGAGTGGGAACAGCCCACCACACTTTCCACCCCATCCAGGCCTGGTAAATCTTTTTCATCATTCAGGACTCAACTACCATTCTATTCTAAAAAGAAATTACTCCTGACACCCACTTCCCAATCTGACTTAGATATATACCTCTTACTCTTATTGCACCTTAAACACATTTCCAGAATTAGATTTATAGAATTGTGTCATAGCTATTGGTTTCCGCATCCGTATTATCTGCTAAGGGAGAAAGTCATGCCTTCCCTCCTTGTATCCTCTGTGTATCACACAGTTCCCAGAAAAATGTAGGTGCACATTGATCCTTTCGTAGATGCATTACTGAGTACACACTGATGACTGTTGCAAAATGTAAGCCTGTTCTGGAAAGAGACACATACTCAAGTTAGTAATATGAGGGCTTTTGATGAAGTTGTCTTCAGTATATACAAAATGTAGATCAACATTTCACTTACCTGTTGATTATGATCATTACTGACACATCATTATACAAGAATTATAAAATATCATCAACGAATTAGCTGTTCAATAATTTCTTGAGCTCTGTTGACACAGCTGGCCTTGGTCAATGTTATTAACTTTATGCCGGTCAGTTTAAAAGCACTCAAAACAGCCATTGCAACAACTCTACATGAATGAACCAAGTTTAATAGTAAAAATAGGATCTTCCTGAGTTCCTCTTGTGGGAAGCCTGAGAACTGCATCTGAGAAGTATACGATAAAAACACCCAAATTTTGCTATTTCCCGTTGGAAGAATATCAACTGTCAGAAAGGAGGAGCGCTCTGTAGCTGCTTCCTAGTGGATCTAAACACATCCCTTTGCTTCCTCTCCCAAAGTTTATACTGCTTTCCCAGGAACAGCAAATCAAAGGAAGCAGGAGCATATCTTACATGGGGCAGGAGGGCCAGATGAGGAAAAGCAAAAACAAGAGAACAGGGAGAGTTATGACTTTGGACCCCAGAGAAACAGCACATGCCCTTCCTCACACACTCTCTCTCCTGTGTATATTTTCATAGCTTCTCAGTTTCAGTTCACTTAGCAGTCCCAGGAACCAATGCCAAGTGGGAAGATGTGACTCAGTGAAGAACTCTGAAATGTGACATGGCTTGGCCTCACTGCTTCAACCTAGGAGGCAGCTTCACTCACTTCGAAAGGCACATCATCTCAGATATCAGCCCGCAGGCACACACTACCTGGTACCCCTCAAACTTGGGTACCAGGAGGAACCTGTGATTAGCCAGTGTCACCTCATCAAAGTGCAAAGAAAAGGGGCTGGCAGCAGTCACTCAAAGGAGGGAAATCCAACCAAGATTCCTACCTGAAATCAAAGGCCTGTTCTATGGAGCAGGGGTGGACATGGGGACAGACACTTCCTCTGTGAGACAGCTTTGAAGTTGCCCTTTAGAAAACATGCCTCTTCTCCAAGCTCTGCACACACACTGGGCTGCCACCCACAATTCTACCTCTACCACCCAGAAGAAACCCCCAGGTGGCATGGCTTTTCCTCACACTGAGAACGAAGAGGAGGGCAGTAAGGATGCCCGTGACCTCCCGGCACCGGGCACTGTGGAGCTGGTTTCCCGCTGCCGCAGAGAGCTGGTGGGAAGGGTCTGTGCCGAGTTTGAACTGGCATATTTCTAAAGTCTTTTTTGTAATGAAATATTTATGACAGGAAATCAGGTTAGACATTCCTGAAGCTAGCAAGAGTTTAAGAACACACTGTCCTATCCTTCCCGGACACGTAAATGCAGTTAATTTTTTGCAGGAAGACTCAAGTACCTCATTCCTTTACATTTAACCTGAGCCATCGAAGGAATGCAAACACTGATGTGGAGCCAGGCCTCTGGTAAGGGATCACCGTATGCGGGCCGCACAAGGAAATCCCGACTGCCGCCAGAATTGATACTGCAGAGTGAGCTATGAATAGAAAATTTGTGCATGATTATGAATATGGATAAAATACATCACTCATGGCCAGGGAACGGCAGGCAAGATTGAAAACACATATTTTGGATCACAGAATATTTTCAAAAATATGTTTAAAAGAAAATAAACACAGATTGTGTGTGTTCATTTACTGCTTGAAGGACCTTTGGGGGCAAGAGACATCAACAACTTTTCCTTCCAAACCATTTGGTTTTCCTTGTGCTTTTGAGCACCGAGCTGGACCCTCTGGGAAGGAAGAGGGTTCTTGTAGAGTGCAGGGTAAGCAGTTTTGCTGGCAGGCATTGTACCCCTTTCCTGTGGAAGACAAGCAGTTGAGTCTTTGAGTATGCCTGGGAAGGACCATGTGGCTTGGGGAGATGTGCTCAGCTCATTCCTATTAGCATTTGTTTACTCCTCCTCCAGCCTTGGAAGGATTCTGCTGGCTTCTGCATTTTGTGCTCTCATCTTTTTACTTCTAGATTATTCATGAACATTAAGATTGCATCTATACTGTTAAGCATTCAGATGAAAACAAAATTCGCCATTTTGTGTTACAAAAAAAGGGCTGGCCTCTGGCAAAATTAAGAAAGAGGAAAATGTCATTTTGAAATGTCATCCCACTTTGATAACTATACTCCACCACATCAAGTCCCTCCCTCCTCTTACAGGAGCCCGAGTCTTCTTACTGTTATCTTCATATGCCCAGAGTCACTCATTTCCATAGCACCCAAAAATGCGCTGTCTGGATACTCCTGTCTCCTTTACTCTTCTTTCCCTTCAATTAATCTCATGTGCTCTCCTTCTCAATGCCTTGGGACCCTGTGTTCTAATGTAATATATTTAATTAATCTGATAATGCAGCAGATTATTCTGTGGTTGATTCCAAGTAACATGTTCCATTTAATAGGAATACTCACATTTTTTCATTTCCTCTCCTGCTCACTACCTCATCCTGAGAATCTCCCTAACTCACAGCATTTACTGGAAGCAACCTGAGCCGCAAGACACACTGCTAAATTTGATTGGGTCATGCATTGACACCTGACCAAAAGAAGAGTAATCTGTAGTCTGACCAGCACCCTATGATATCATCTGATGCAAAAAGACTGCCCAAATGGAGACATATTGTGTACTAATTTTACTATTTCTCAGGGGTCTTAAATAAGAAGTCTACCAATTATTATCATCTGAATTGAGAGGTCATAATGTGGAACACTAAGGGTAGAAGGTTTAGGTTCCAGTTCCCAGGTTCAGTGCACATGAGACCCAGCTATGCTGTTTTCTGCTATAGGTTATCATGGTACCCTGGCCTTGTTCTGGAGCTTTCCTCTCAAGCAAGACAGCAGAGATGAGAACAAGAAGTGTCTCCTGGGGATTATGCCTTAATTCCAGGAAGGATTCTGTCTTGTTCATGTCAACCATTGGATTAACTAAGAGTTCTCAGAGTAATTGAACAAGGGAAAAACATCTATGACAACTCCCCGAGTTAAATAAATCTGTTCCTATGTTGATGAAAACTTGAATAAGTCAGTTTGTGACTCATGGACTGAAACAAGAAATCTACTTATCACTTCCTAACCCTTCAATAATTATAGCCCCATATTCTATTATACTCAATGTTGACTATAAATTAACTTTATGTAAAAATGAGATGTTCCTTTTTTGACTTAAGCCAATTACCTCTGCATGAGATAGCCTCCAGAATATAGAGATACTATCTTTTAACTTGTTTTGTATGTCTTGTGGCCTAGTGGTTATTCCTATAAGTGTTGAGTAAGCATTATTTGAAGGTGGTCATGCCCATGCTAATGTTGACGTGTGTGACGATGATGTGGATAGACTTTACATTTAAGATGGGTCATGTGTAATTGCAGCATAACACTAACTGATGTTCTATTGTCTATTTTCTCTCTTACTAGGAAGGAAGATCCACGTAGACAGTGGCTTGTTTGTCACTGTTACATCCCTAATGCCCAGAACAGTGTCTTTAATGTAGTAGATGCTTAATAAATATTTGTTAAATGAAAGAATGTGTAAAGATTAAAACAAAACAAACAAACAAACAAAAAAACACTTGGGTTGGGTGCGGTGGCTCATGCCTGTAATCCCAACACTTTTGGGAGGCCAAGAGGGGTGGATCATGAGGTCAGGAGATGGAGACCATCCTGGCCAACACGGTGAAACCCCGTCTCTACTAAAAATACAAAAATTAGCTGGGCATGGTGGTGGGCACCTGTAATCCCAGCTACTCGGGAGGCTGAGGCAGGAGAATCACTTAAACACAGGAGGCGGATGTTGCAGTGAGCCGAGATTGCACCACAGCACTCCAGCCTGGCGACAGAGCTAGACTCTGCCTCAAAAAAAAAAAAAAAAAAAAAAAAAAAACTTGAAGGGGAAGCCATTTCCTCTTCCATAATCCAAATTTCAGTGTTTGGCCTATTGCAGACTGTGTTTTTCTCCATGCTATGCCAGACCCACTTCTTTTTGACATTAGTTCGTGACTGCTGTTACCCCAGATTTTAATGAATGGTTGACCTACTTGGTACAATATTTTTTTTGATAATGTGGTATTTTTGGAAGGCACATACCTGATAATATTTCTTATTCTTGACACTGATGTGGTAACTACAAAAACACACCCCAAATATATGCTCTTGTTATTAAGTAATTTGTCAGTGTTTGAATAGGGCGCAAGGGAGGATGTTTTGGTAGTATTTAGGAGTAGAAAAAGTAAAATCAACTGTCCATGTTCCTCCCTCAGATCTACCTTGTAATTTTATAAATAAATATTGTACATTCACACACATACACACACACACACACACACACACACAAAACACACACATGGCATATAAAAATAAATAGATAGGAGAAACTGGCTTGTACCTCAGTTTAAGAAGGCTAACATTTCTACAAAAATCTTTGGAAAGCTGAGGGAGAATTATCTTCCAAATTGCTTCAAGGTTACTTGGAAAGTATGTTTATATGAAAAATGGCTTAAATACTGAATTCACATCAATTTTCTATGAGTTTAGTTTTTCTAGGAGAGAAAAACCAGTCCAGTAATGATTTATAAGAAGATTTTCCTATTTTGTTTTACTGTTATTTTTGCCTGAGGGAATGTTTCTTGAGAATCACAAAATTTAGTAGACTTCACTTGTTTTGCAGCAATCCCAGAAAAGAAATAAAGAGCTGATATATATGATCGTTGCAACAAATCAGTATTATGGAATATCATTGTTTCTCTCCATTGTTTGGAAAAGTATTTAGAAGTAAGAGGAGAAGCATTATTTGAAGCTGTGAGTAATAAGTAAGTGAGAATTATTTAAGTTATTTTACTTGTTTGTACAACTGATGTGCATATGTTATGTGTCTTCTGCAAATATTTGCAGCATGGACTCTATCATCTTTGTGGCTGTGAATATCTCCAGACATTTCATGACCAGCTCACCTTAAAGCTTTTTGGCATCAAAACGTATCAATCAATACGTTATCAATTGTGACAAATTCTTATCAAATATCATATTTACTCTTTGTTGGTAGAAAATAAAATTTTCTAAAAAACAAAGAAAGCCAAAACTTCCAATTTCAAATGCACAACATTCAGGAAACATGAAGTGCATGACTGCCATTTGACTTCAGTCATCTCAGGGACTGCAATGTTCAGCCAGGGGAGAAATGGCTGCCTAACTGCTAACCATAACCATCTTGACCTGTTTATTAACTTCTTAGTGTTATTATTTGTTACTTTTCTTTTACTTTCTGTGCTTTCTTCATTAAGTTCTGTTCCATATTTGTAAATGGATCAGATAACCAAACTACCATTAAGAAAATGAAAGTAGAAAGTTGTAAAGGGAATTAATCCTCTTATACATTTTCAAGACAATAACCAAACAATCTTTTAAAAATTTAATATGACAGAACCAAAGCTTCCTGTATAATCACTAGACTATACACTTCATAGTGGTAGAAAGAATGGAAATCTTGTTTACTGCAGAATACCAAGGGCCTAGCACAGTGCCTAGCATGTAAAAATTGCACAACATAGACTTGTTGATAGACTGGAACATAAGGAATATGTTCTGGCAGAAAAGTCAATTCAGAAATATATTCTTAGCCAGGGTGAGTGCCAAGCACAAGCAGTGCTAACCAGAAAAAAGTGCCCTTTAGGGAAATGATGAAAAGCACATACATAATTCAGAGAAGTAAACACCTTAAAAATTTTTAGTAGAAGCTTCTATGTCCAACACCATTTGAAGAATTTTACAAATTAGAAGTCAGTGTTGGCCAGGTACAGGCTCACTCCTGTAATCCAGCACTTTGGGAGGCCAAGGTGGGCAGATCACGAGGTCAAGAGATTGAGACCATCCTGGCCAACATGGTGAAACCCTGTCTCTACTAAAAATACAGAAGTTAGCTGGGCACGGTGGTGCACGCCTGTAGTCCCAGCTACTCCGGAGGCTGAGGCAGGAGAATCACTTGAACCCAGGAGGCAGAGATTGCAGTGAGCGGAGATCACACCATTGTACTCTGGCCTGGTGACAGAGCGAGACTCCGTCTCAAAAAAAAAAAAAAAAAAAAAAAAAAAAGAAGTTAGTGTTTTGAATAAACCCAGAGCCTGAACAATTATTTACAGCTTTTCAAATGTGCAAGCAGATTTTTCCTCTTTAATTTCCAGAAAAGGCCTGAAGAATCAGCATCATTGCAGGGACTATTCTTATGACCCCACTCTCAAGGAATAGACAAAGAAGCATCATGAAGCAGAGCAGCCACAGTGACAAGAACAAAGCCAAATACACAAATATAGGTTGCAGACACAAAAGGCCAAGGATTTATGTAAATCAATATGAAATGGAACAACTTTGGGGTCATCAACATCTAATCATAATTGATATGGGCTTACTTTTTTTTACAATTTGAAATTTTCATATACAGTAATAGAACTCAGATGTAAGATAGAAAGTAAAAGATAAGATTGATGAGCTTTAATTGTACAGCAATGGTGCTTCCTTGGAGGGTTTGGGCAGGGAATGGAGATGGTAAGATGAGTTTTGAAAAGTTTGAGAAGAAATACAGGGAGGATACTCACAGCATTTCTCTCCCCCAGTTTATAAATAGAACATTATCCGTTACCTAAGAAGACCTCTGAGAGCCCTTCCAGAATGCTATGTCCTTTCCTCTTCAAGCAGAAGTAACTACTGAGCTGCATTTATGGCTGCTGTTACTTAAATCTGGGCAGGGGTTTGTGATAGCCCCAGTCAATGTAGTATGGGGAAATGATGCTATGTGGCTACTGAGGCTAGGTCATGAAAAGGAGGTAGCTTCTACTTGGCTCTTTCTCTCAGGATGCTTGCCCTGGGAACCCAGGCTTCATTTGTGAAGAAGCCAGGCCACGTGCAGAGGCCACGTGCAGGCTGAAATCTTCTGCTAACCTACCGGCTGAGACCAGCAGGAAGCAGCCGACCTGGGACTGAAAGAGTCTCCATATGACTCTACATCACAGTCCGTCTTCCAACTGAGGCCCCTGACATCATGGAACAGTGTCCTTCCTTTCCTCCTGCAAATTCATGACCCACAGAAATTATGAGAGATAATGAGTGGCAATTTCTGTTTTAACTTCTCTGTTTTGGGGTAATTTGTCATGCATCAACAGATAACGAATGCTCCACTTTACCATATGGTTTTTCTCCTTTTCTAATACATGGCTAAGTTTTGCATGCTTTTGAATTTTATATGAATAACATCATACTTGATCTATTCACCTGAAATTTTTTTTCATTCACAGTTATATTCTTGAGATATATATATATTGGTATATAGCTAAATTTATTTATTTTCACAGCTACACAGTAATCTCTCATTTTGTGAAACCAAAGTTATTGATTGGTTAATACTGAAGATTACAGAAACTTTTTTTTTCAGTGTCTTTGGTATTAAAAACAGCACATTCTTGTATGTGTTTGATGGTGGTGATGCGCAAATGCAAGAGTTCTCTAGGGTATAGATGTTATCTATGATGTTTATGAAATTTGATTTAAGGCCCAATATGGGTCAATTTTCAGAAATTTTGCTTTGAAAGTATAAGTATCCTCTATTTGTTGTGTGAAGTATTTTGTATGCTTTTATGACACCATTTATGTTAATAGAGTTCTTCAAATATATTCTTTCTGATTTATTTCTTACTATCAATTGCTGACAAGAGTGTATTAAAGTCTGCTGTTTTGGAAATCTTATCTATTTCTCCTTGTACTTCTGTCATTTTTTGGTTTATATTATTAGGTGAAATTAAGTTTAGCATTAATATCTCTTCTTTATTAATGAATTACTTTATCCTTATTCAAGAAATATTCACAAGGTCCATATCGCTTGATGTTGATGTAGCTTTATCAGCTTTATTGTAATTAGTTTTTCCTAGTATATATTTTGTCTTTATATTATCATTGTGGTTATTATATATAGCTGGATTTAGTTTCTAATGCAACCTGAAAATATTTATATTGGAGCATTTACTTAACATGTAGTTTTTATTATTATTTAAATGTTTGGATTCATTTCTACTTTCTTATTTTGTATTTTATATTTGCCTTGAATGTATCATATTTCTGTTTTTTATCATGTTTTCTGAACTCCAGAAAGATTTATTATTATTATTTTATAAGGTAAATCAGTATTTTTAGATTTACATATATATTTGCTTGCATTTTAATCATTATTTTTCCTTACATATTTACATCTGGGATCATTGTCTTTCTTCTTGAATTACATCTTACGACTTTTGAATGTGAAGGAGATTCTGTTAGTGGGAAGTTGTCTTAGATTTTGCTTGCCTAAAAATTTATTTTTTTCATCTTCATCCTTGAATTATTTGTGAAGTTTTTGTAACTTTCTGCTAATATTTGTTTTTTTCTCAGCATATTGGGGATTTTGTTACACTCTCTTCTGACTTTTAATTTTGCTATTTTTTAAGTTGGCTCCAATCTAACTGGCATTCATTTATATAGTTTCTTTTATTTCTAGCTAGATTTTTAAAATAAGTTTCATTGAGGTATAATTTAGATATCTTACAATTCACCAAGTGTATGCACACAATTGTCTCTTAACTAGGATCGAAATATTTTCACTGCTTTTTTTTTCATAATTTTACTCTGATATATTTAGATGAGGTTTTCTTTTTTATTTATCCTGTTGGAATTCATTTGACTAATGGGATTCTTCATCTGTGGGTTGGAGCTATTCTTTATTTCTGAAAAATTATCAGCCATTATTCCTTCAAATATTTCTCCTCCACCACTAATTCTATGACTCTAATTTAATATGTGTTAGACCTTCTCACTTTATCTTCCATGACTCTTAAACTTTTTTCAGATATTCTACTTCTTCCTTCTATATGTTGTTTCCATAATTTTTTTCAAGTCTCTCTTAAAATCCATTAAACACCAATGTTAAAACTGACTATTGAGTGTTTAATGTCCATTTTTGGTGCTTTTCTAGAAGTTTAATTTTTACTTTTGGAAATTGTGCTTCACAGTTATTTTATACTATCTTGGATCATATTTTGCATTGCCTTTTTTACATCACTTTTAGAACATGAAGCACATTATTTTGTATTATAGTCTGTAATTTTTACTGGCATGAGTCTGCTATCTATCATTGTGCCTGGCTCACACACATTATGACTTGCGTCCTTCTGTATTTTATTATTTTTGATTCATATTTCTTGGAGTATTAGGTGAAGGAATTAATTGGGGTCTGAGTTTCAAGAGTTCATCCAGAGAAAGTCTGGATTTGCTTTTGCAAGGTGCCTAGTGACATTGCCAACCTGGTACCATTTTACAGTTTTAACTTGAGGATTCCCAAAACTACCTCGTTGGTGTAAAAGTGGTTTGCAAAACCATGTAAACTGCAACTTATGACAACAAATTTTCAGGGAAAATGTTCTGTCTCTCTATGTAGCACGAAGGTTTGCACAGGTGTTTTTCTGTGCAGTCCCCAGAGTAAATTTAAACGGTCTTATTTCTAGTTCAGCCTTCCACTGAAGGCGTAAGCTTTGGGATTCTATTTTTGTGTAGAGTGGGAGAGTACATTCTGGTCTATAATTTGAATAGGACCTGGGTTTTATCTCCTGTCCTCTGTGCACATGAAGCCATGAAATTAAGCTCAAAACCACCGGATTTTAACAAATACCTTCAAGATAAAAGCAGCATTCAGCTTACTCCTCTAGTTTATATTTTATCTATGTTTTGACCTCTAATTATCCTTTAATTTATAGCCAAATTATTGATCATTTGTCTTACCCAACATTTTATTAATAATTTTTTACAGCAGGAAGTTGATCAGAAAGTCTAGTCCACCATACTGCCATAATCAATAGTTGTGTTTCATGTTTTTTTAAAAATGAAAATATTAAATGTGACATCACGAAGATGTATCATTTTTTCACTAGTTTTTCTATGCCTATATGTCAATATATCTCATCTCTTATATGTATTCCCTTTATGCAGAGGTAAATTACTTAACCCTTATGTCTAATTTAAACTGGGAATAATTCTGGTATCTGTTTTATAAGTTTGTTTTGCAGGTTAAATTGGCAAATGTACATAAAATAGTATAGTGCTTGGCATGGCATTTAATGCTGACAAAAGCCTGGCTATTATCATTTTTATTTCTATACTCTATTGAGAAAAAAAAGACTTCTGTGGCTAATACACTCTCTGTAAAAGGTTAGAAAGCCCTACTCAAAGACCTGTACCTGCTTACTAATCTGAAACTAACAGAAGTCTGCAAAAGATTTGAAAGAGACTTTGCTAATAAAATACCAGAAATTTCTATCAATGGTTTAAGTGAGAAGACAGTGAACACATGTAATGTGCATTCCTAATCAAGTAGCAATAGCAATGATAAAAGAAAAAAATCAGAGTATTCCAAGAAAAAATGAAATAAAGAAATAGGTGGAAGCAATTAATGCTGGATTGTTGACACTGTTTTCCAGAACTGTTGTTTCGTGAGCTATGGTGCTTATGATTTGTAGGCAGCTGTACATTTCATATAAAGGACTTTGCTAATACTCATGTACACTTTAATGTAGACATCCTTAACTTCTTTGCTTCATATCTTTTCTGAATTTAGACTATTGTTATCCCTTATGTTCTGAGAAGTGAGGGATTTGAGCAGGTGATTTGTAAAGAATTCTAAACCATGAGATTATGTCACTAAAACATAACTATGCTCATTGATGGGTAGAGAACTAATTTGGGGGGGCATTTGAACTTGGGCTTTCAGAACAGTAAGTTCATAAAAATCAGGAACAGAGATAATCAATATTCTGAAGGTGGCAAAGTATCTAATAAAGAGACTAAAGTTATCTGGGTGCTCTGTTGTCATTTGCTGCCTCTGCTTTTGCGAATGTTGATGATAATAAAGATTAAGAAAGTCTTTATCTCCTGGATAACCTGGATCATTGGGATTTTTTTTTAAAGACTGATTTCTTTGGCATCTTATTTTCCTAATTTTTAAAATGAATCTTCAATGAATGAAAGGTGATTTAGGGACGATATCTCTGGAAGCAGGATGCTGTTTATTCACAGACTGGGGACAAACCTGTGTGGCTTGCATTTTCAGCTTCCCACAGTGTTATGGAAACAGAAGTTAGCTTTGGCCTGGAAAAACGGCTCTCTGTCATTCTCTGGATGTGTGCATCTTCAGGGAACAGGCTGCCAAAACAAACAGGCACCATCAGATTCCTTTCCACCTCCCACGGAAGAGTGGCCTTATTGAGGATGAGCTCTAGAATGGTGAGAAAGGATTTATTCACCCATCACTGCCTTTGCCCTCCCCAAATTCTTAGACCCCTCACTTGAACCCTGCGGGGGATGCAGACAATCAGCATAGGAATGCTTTTGTAAACACTGTTTTTCAGACAGTCCTTCATCAATGAAAAAATGAGGACAGCCTGGACCCTTCCTCTGCCTGTGCTGTTGTTGACTGGCTCAGGAAAAAAAATGGAAAGTTGCCATTTGAAATCTCACCTTGCTGTTAAACATGGCTTTTATAGACCTACATATACATACAAATATATTTAATCTAAAGTTACTCATTAGTGGCATCAGAGATTTGTCCTTGCTGTTCAATAAGAGAAGGTGTCATAATGTTACAAGCTGGGAAAGATCTTAGAGTTAATTAATCCAACTCCTCTTTGTATATACAAAACATACCTTGCTTGTGACCCAATGATTCATAACCACTCAAAAAATGCTCACTATGTGAAATTTCTTGAATATTCCCATAAATTTGCTTGCCATTCCCGAATCCTTTTAAAAACAGTTCTTTGAAAGGGCAATAGGTCCAAGTGACCTTTTAAAACTTACAGTGAGAAATTCATTATTGATGGATGCTTATTGTGAGACCAATGAGAAGATACTTTAAATTGGGGGAAAGAAAAGTACATTATTAAGTGTCAGCAATATAAGTGCCATTATTATAATCATCTGATCCTAAGAGTATCTTTTGAGGTAATGTTTTCAAACTAATGAGCCAAAAGCAAATATTTCTTTTATGGCCTGGTGTGTTCTAAGCCTTAAACTTGGTATCTTGAAGGACGTGAGAAAAATGAAAGGCAGTTATTGCTCACTGAGAGCTGGCAGAGATGAAGATATTGCAAGCCATTTGTGAATTGGGGAACATAATTGCATAGCAGAGTACCAAAATTGCATAGCACATATCAACAGCAGATCTGGATGAAAAGGTAGATCAAGGATAATTGAGGGAAAATCTTCACAAAAAAGATGAGATTGGAGTTTGATTATGATTATAAAGAGAAATCTTTTGGTTTTGCTCCATTTAGTGTGGTCATCAGCACAAAGAACCTCTTATGAGTTGACATTAAAGAGCTATTACTGACCATTTCACTGAATGACATAACAGGCAAAGGAATCTACGGATTTTCCAGACCACACACCCTTTAGTAAATAATTGGATCTTCTGGTCTCTAAGTGGTACTGTTTCAATTATCAGATCTGTTTTCTAAGTTAAAATACAGTGCCTGGTAGAAAGAAATGTAGGTTTAGAAACACTGACACAACAGGGAATACACATGATATGACTTTTTCAATTGCAGTATTTTGTAGCATTTAGCCCCCGATATCCTAAGTGTGTTTTTCAGATTTTCCTATGTTAAGTCTCTTAGCAATAGTTAGGAGATAGAAGAAAAGTATTTTGCAACTTATTGGTGATATCACAAGAAGAACAGCAAAACCAAATTTACAGAACAAAATGTCTTGGCTGAAGCTTGTTCAGCAGCATAGCATAGTGTATAAGGGAAAGCTATGATTGCCCCATCATGTAAAAGTATTTATAAAATTATGCCACACACACATAATTATATATACAAATCAGCATACTAACCACTTGACCCAACAGATTTTCAACTCGTCTCAGATATTCCGTTAGTTCACTCAAAGATTGTATTCATCACTTTTGCTGAAATGAAAAGATATATAATTTACTAAAGCCAGAGCTAATTTTACAGTATGTACAAACACATACATACATATAAATAGCATATATTTAATTATAACATATGTATATATATGCACATACATATATAAATTAACATAAAGCTATAGCTTACACATACATACACACACACACATAAATAGCCTATACATCTATTTATAGCACATATACACATTTTTTTGAAACGTAAGTCAGTGTTGACTTAAACACACCTTAAAGACATTTTTGTTACAGAATTTGCTATTAAAGCAAATGTTTTCATAACATTGTTTTCATAGCAATGGTTTCAGGGGTCAGAAGAAATCTCTAACTTATTTTGCAAATGAGATGAACAGAATCTAAAAGTCTGGGTGCATCTATTAAGATCTATATGACCTTCAGATCAAGTGTATGTAGGATATGCAGATGTGTATCAATTAGAAGAGAAATTGTTTTCTAGGCCTTCATAAGAATCTTTTATTGTAATTATGTGGTTAGTATAAACAGGCTTTTGTTTTGATTTTTCTAGGAATCTGCTTTACAACTTTAAATGCAAACAAATGACATGATCAGTTTACATCTCTAAGAATAATTTTGATATAGGATGTGGTTTTCCTGGGTAGGTCAAAAATATTCCATCTCCACAATAAATACACAGACTTGTTTCTACTTGATCGATGACTCGAGTAATTAAAAATCCTGTGTATAAGACCAGCACTGTTACCAAGTTCCAATTTAGGAAAATATCTCTCAGAGATGAGCATTTTTCCTTCAGGGAATAGTTTAGTCACTTGGATCAGGTACCTTATATTAATTCATCACTAGCCATTTTAAAAATGATTTACAACCACTGCAAGAATTACTGTTCAATAATAACTTATGCTAACTACCTCAAAAATACAAATTCATTATAAGACTTCCTCAAGAAACAGACCCCTGGTTTCTAAAGTTGCAAAGAATATTTAAGCATCTTTAAGTACATGGTTTGATGATCTTAACTTCTTTAAATATTTGAAAGAGTATAGTGCAGTGTATGTATTCAGCTCATTTGTAGATATTAACTCAGGTATTTGTTAAGCAAACAAAGAAAATAAATATCACCTAAGATAATTATGTGTTTTTTAAAAGGTATGATTTAAAAACTTTTAACAGACTTGTAAAACTTTTCAATAATTTAAAAATTTTACTAAAATGTAGCCATTTGGAATTTACAAGTAGCTGGTAAAAATCCTCCTAGGAAAATGTCCTGTTGTTGAAGATGGCATCAAGAAAAGACAGACAAAAATCCTTTCCTCATAGAGTTTGCATTCTAGGAAGGCGAGAGCACAGACCATGTGTGAGCGTAGTTCTATCACAAAACCATGGTCCTGAAATTTAGCAGTTTGAATACTTTTTTTTTTTCCAAAGATAAACATAGGACAGTCATGATATTAAATTATTTTAAATTCTTTTTAGGCATTCCAAAGAACATGATTTTGAAAAAAATCTTAAGATCAAAGTTTTATTATTTTGTTTTTTTCCCAGCCCAAAATAAGAAACGAATGAAAGAAACTGTAGTAACTGCCTGCCTATCAGAGCTCCGCATCTCATTTTTTGGCTCCACAGCTAGGCCTGCACTGTGCTCTTATTTGTCCTTTCATCAGTGTTTACGGTCTTTATTTAGATTTGCTGTTTTTAGTGCTTCGGGAGACAGATGTGGGAGGATTGCTTTAAGTCAGAAGTTTGGGACCAGCCTGGGCAACATAGTGAGACTCCATCTCTATGAAAAATTTAAATATTAATTGGATGTGGTCTTGTGTGCACCTGCAGTCATACCTACTCAGGAGGCTGAGGTGGGAGGATCACTTGAGTGACCATGCCACTGCACTCCAGCCTGGATGACAAGGCAAGATTCAGCCCCTAAAAAAAAAAAAAAGGCTTTGCTGTTTTGGTTGACAACTCAGAATTATGTTAAATAATCAAGCAATTTATTAGTTATTTCTGTTAAATTACCTAATCATTTTGACCACTATGTGAACCAATGAATTTCTTGCTCATAAATTAGTTTGTCGTGTTCAGAACACATTAGTCAGGCAGTCTATGAGAATACTGTCTTGCTTCACTGAACTCTGGGACATCAAAATAAAGTTGCTCCTCAACAAATTTGAGTTACTTATTGCTGCCCCATCTGTTAATAGGAGTAAAAAGACTATTGTTGAAGAATTGGCTATTAACAGTTCCAAATCCATTGCAGAGGCCAGTGGTCAAACAAACTTGAGCCCCTTTACATAGGATAACTGCGTCTGTGAATCTCTCTTTATGTATCTGGGGTTAATTTGGTGCTAGGATCGCTCCACCTGCTGAAAAAAAAAAAAAGAATCCAAGCTGTGATACCACACACCTCCTTGACCCCAGGTTTAGTCATAGGTCCCTATTACAGTCAGATTTTCCCTTCTAATAGTTCTAGAATAAGTTACTATGTCTACTACTACTACTACTGGTAGACATAGTCCCCTAGACCTTAAAATGAGCTAACTTTTATGCAAAGGCCAATCTCAGGGAAAGAACTCTCCCATGCCCTCCCTTGATGTGCAGATCCCACCAGGTGGACCGCGGGTCTAACTCTTTGCCCAATGAAGGACATAAGCAATTTGAAGGAGGATTGAGGAGGCCACAAATATTCTAGAGATATGGAAATTTTCTCAGAACCAAGTAAGACTTTCTAAATATCCCCTGTAATCTGGAGAGTCTAAGGTCAATTAAATATTCCCAGGTCTAGAAGATGACCCAAGACCCAGGCTTCTGCTTAGATGTTAATTTCATGGTTCAGGCATGAGTAGTTCTGGATGCCTATCAAAGTTCTGCAACTATTTATGAAAACTTTGCCATGAAATTTGCTCTTCTATGCCCTTCATTTATAAAATACTTGCATGGTTTTTATGGAGATTTGTCGGCTAATGAATAAATTTTAAAAGTGCTTGGCTTTGTACTCACTAATAATTGGCATATTACTAATCAATTTAGGCACAATTTTATTTTGTGCCAGGCTTTCAGCTCCAGAGTGAATGTTATCTAAAGCCATGTATTTCAAACTATTCATGATACAAAGCTAGGTAGTAATAATTATGAAATAATTTACATTAATACAGTAGAATAGACTAGAACATATTCAAGAGCACCACGTAATTATAAGCATGTGTATTATTCCCTGAAAAATTTGTTTCAGATTATATATGTGGAATCTGATATAAAATATGTTTCTTAATATGAGTCATATGCTACAAGCTAGAAAAACACTGATTAAAAGTTTACTCTTTTAAATCATTTTGTTTAATCTGATAGAAACTAACCTGTGCTCTTGGTGGAAAGGAGAGGTCCATCATGCAAAATACTGAATATCCTAGCAGCTTTTATTCTGATCTTGTTAACATGAATTTGCCAGTAGTTTAGTGATTTTAAAAAATGGATGAGCCTCTAGGTGGGAATTATATTAAGTGATTTAGCTTTGCACTAGCCAATGGTTTAACAAGATTGGCCCAGAGTCTGTAAGTTTATTGCTTAAAATCAGTTATCTTGTGCCAAATGTACCCTTCCAAGAAGAAAGCATTATGACATAAATCACATTGATTCCCTGAGATTGTAGCCAGACTGCATTGTTGTAATGATAGTACAGATATACGGTTGGTGAAAAATATCTTTTAAAAAATGAGCAGATAAAAATCGATTCTTCTTCCTTTCTGTGCTCAGAAATCTGTTGCATATAATGTAACAATACTGCTTTATAAAATTAGCTTCACCTGTCTTGCGTTAACTATATCCAGCAGATGAAAGGAATTCCTAATGAAATGGTTAAAACCAATTGAATAAACATTCTTGGTAACTAATGACAACAGTCCAAGAATATAGGGACCTGATTCTTTCATTTTCCCAGCTCCAGGGAATTAAAGTCTCACATAACATGGGTTTCTCTCAGTGTTTTCCACTCCAACAGAAGTTTCCTTTGTAAGACTTCTGCAAATAGCATACCGATGGGTAAAGAAACAGCTTTTTAAAAATCTGTTCTGTTTTTCCCCCAGATTTTTCAAATATATTAACTTTGGTTTCAACTCATCTTTCCCACAGAAAAAGTGGGGGGGAAAGTGCTTGTTTTCATCTGGCCTGGGCTGCAATGTTTTCCTTCAGAACAGAGAGAAGTTGAGAGGGCATCTGTCTGGGTCACAAAGACAGATCTCAGCTGTATTTTCCAATGTGCAGGTAGGTGGTCTCAGTGTCTTTGGCAGAATACAGAAGTCAGATAATAAAATGACTCCAGGGACAGAGTACCCTTGTCAACCTGCCATCAAAGACTGTAGTTTCTCCTCTGCTAGCATGACAGGGTTGTTCTCTTCAATGTTGCAAACCTTCAGAAAACCCCAAACTTTGTAGAGTAAGGAATTCCAAATGAGTCCCTCCTTGAAAAAAACAGAAAAGAAAAAAATTCTTTAAGACATGTGTAGACCACATCAGTGATACATGAACCACAGCTGAATTTTATAAATGTCTTGTGAACAACACAAGACATTTATAAATGTCACATGGGACATATCAGTGACCCATAGCTATGGTAAACAGCTGTTGAGAGAATCATATGCCAACCACAGAAAAGACATGCAAAACACTAGATCTACACAAGCTAGGTTGACTAATGCAACTGATAAGGTGTAAAATTCTGCCAATCATTCCATTCATAGGCGTGAAGCCATGAAACCTTATGATCAATTAAATCAGATCTATCATACTATTTTGCAGAAATCTTCTATAACATTTATATATTTAGAGATTCCTGATTATGCAAATTGTGGCCAATGACATGTTAGTGGCTTGGGGAAGGTACTAGATAGCCTTAACTAGCTAGTTCTATGTGAAATAACCAAGTTATTTCATATTCATTAGCATATCCATATGAGAATACATTTCTTTCATCCTATTTACTTTAGCTTCATTTCCATATGCTATTTTTTAAATATATGGCAAAAAGAGAAAGCAAACAAACCAGACACTGAATTCTCAGTTACTTAGGCATTGCAGATTTAAATGGTCCTTAAAGGATACAAAAGAACCGAGTGGGAATCAGGGATGGATATATAAAGAAATGGTACTTTTCCAAAGTCTAGAAGAAGAGATTGAAAGATGACACAAATAACATTTTTAAATGCTTATATTAGAGGTATGCCTAAGTCATATTTCTTATGAAAGCATTTATAGTCTAGTAGAAGCATCCAGGCAGAGTAGAATTCCCTGGGTTAAATAACTCCAAGAGCACAAAACATTACCTTCTACTTTTAAGTATGAGATCACTAGTCAAATATATAATTTTTATAGCACATTATTGCTATTATTTGCATCTTCAAAGTCATTTTTTACTTCCACAATATATTCTTACTTCATTCATGTTATGATTAAACTTAGTTATGACAATTATTGAAATTTAAATACAACCTAGAAGTCTTAACCACTACTATTTTATACTTGCACTAGCAATTTAGTTCTATGTATTATTGCATGAATAGCATGAAGTTAATGAAGAATAGGTTATGATTTCAATCCTTGGGCAATCTAATTAACTTTCCAAGGTCACAGAAAGCAGCCTTGTCCCAAGCAGCCCTTCACAAGTATAGGCCTTTTGCCCTACAGTAGATTGGATAGATAGGAAATAGGGGCAGAGTTCCATCTCTAATGCTGCACACCACTGGAACCCTAGGACTTAAGAGTCAGTGAGTTCTACAAAAGAACATTTTGTTTTCATTTCAATAATTATCAATCATCAAATGGGTCAGAAATACTGAACCAAAAAGCACAGATGCCATATATGCCTAGGTAATGTAGAACTGAAGAAAGCTTTAGATAGCAAGCAAAAATATAAGTATTACATGAATTTCTGAAAATCTCAGTATTGGGAGATGAAGAGTTTTTCTCTGGGCCTCCATATTATATATAATTGCTATTTTTACTGTATACTGTTTTGTCTCATTTGTTCTTCAAAGTTTCCAGTGATAAACCTCCCATTACTTTCCTTGATGGGGATTCCATGATCTGAGAAATCTCATCAATAAGAAGTTTATCCCAGTGTGGTTCTTGTGTTTTTAACCAGACATTTTTGAGGTATTAATGTAGTCCAACTATTTCTGTGTTAACCACATAAATTTTATGGGAGTCCGTCCATTTATTTTTATTTAGGGAGGAACCTGTCAGGAATTTCTTTTACCACAGAACAGATACTTTTTGTGATTATTATTTGTTTTTTGTAGAATACAGATGAAGTTTTTGATGTGTTAGAAGTCCAACAGAGCTAAGAATTTAAAGGTCATACTTATGGAAGAGAAAATAATTTCTATCTTGGCAGTTGACAAAATGAAAAAAGAGTTATGAGTTTGGGTTTCATGGTTTACTGCTATTTGCATAGCTACTTCAATTATTTCAACTGTATTGATTGGTAGATTTGGTAAATAAATTAATCAATTCACTGAAAACTTATTCCTACTGGTGTTTAATTCCTCAGAGATGAAACAGTCATTTGGTAGAATTTTCCCCCACTTTTCTGTCATTTTTTGAAAAAAATGGAGATAAGAATTAATCTTTGGTGGTGAGGAAAAGTCAAACCAAAAATGGAAAGCATCCTAATTATATTTTGATTAGGTTATTGAGCATAGAGCTCAAATATAAAGATAGTAGGGCAGGAAATATCATTGATAGCTCTTTGCATAGGAGTACTGGAATAGTATAGAGAAGACAATATTACTCCTGTTATTTAATTATAAAGGGAAAAGATTAAAATGAAGGAAAAGATAATTTAAAAAATAAATTTCTTTCATCATAATTTTCTCTGGCCTCATATAACCTCTGTTCTTGTCATATTCATCTCATTACACACCTGCAGATATCATATTAATTTATAATTATCCATTCTGTTTTTTGTCCTTTCTGCCAGAAGTGCTTTCACTTTCCTCTCAATTGGTCAATATCTAACCCACTTTTCAAGTCCTGTATCCTTCATAATAACTTCTCTGACTACTGTTACACATCTAATCTCAACTTTCACTGTTGTGAGCCAGATTTCTTAAACATAGAAGAATTGAATCATTTGTTTGTCTTAAGACTCCAATTAGATTGCAAGTGCTTTGTGAGCCAGGGCCTTGGTTATCTCACAATAAACTAGCTCACTATTTCCAAGAGGCATTCAAAAAATATGCATGTGATAAAAATGCAAGGGGAGGCATGCTAACAAATGAAAAGACCTAGAGCAGAAAGGCTCTGGGAGTGAATAAAGAAACTAAAGTTGTGGGTCAAATGAAAGTACAGCTTAAATAGATAATAACACAAAATGTCTCAAGAAAAATTATGAGACATGCAAATAAACTGGGTTATGTGATCCAAAATCCAAAAAAGAATCAGTCAATTAAAGTGGACTCACAGGTATCATAGATATCGGATTACTTGACAAGGCCTTTAAAAGGTAATTATGACGAATATGTTAAAGAGTTTTACGGGAAAAAGGAAACAAGATGCATGAGCAAATGAGATAATTCATCAGAAGATTGAAACCTACAATACCAGAAATAAAGATTTTATTTCAAGGGCTTAATAGTAGACTGAACACAGCTGAGCAAATGGTCAGTGAACTTAAAGACAAGTGAACGGAATTTATCCACACTGAAGCACAAAGAAAGAAATGCAAAAAAAAAAAAAAATAGAAAGAAAAGAAAAGAAATGAGACAAAAAACTGATTGGTGTGTGAGATCTGTGGCTCTCAGCAGATTCATATTTAGTGAACTACAAGCAAGGGAAATATAGCAGAAACCCAAACTAAGTACACCATAGTCAAACTACTGAACATGAATGATAAAGTCCTGTTTGAATATATAACACTCAAGAAAATATCAATAAGAGTGAAGACCGAGTTCGCATTAGAAAAATAGAGCCCAGAATACAGAATAACTTTAAAGGAATGAAAATAAAAATAGGACCAAAAAAATCAAAGCTGAGAGAATTTATTTTCAGCAAATCTGAACTACAACAAAAGCCAGAAGTTTTTCAAATAGAAGGGAAAGTGATCACTTACGGAAGCCCAGATTGTCAGAAAGAAATAAAGAGCCACTGAAAGGAGATCACTCACAATTAATAAGAAAAATGGTAAACAAAAACAACTCTCCATTTTTAATATAGCTCTGAGACATCTTGAAACTACAAGGCACAAAAAAGGAGAAAAGGCTACCAAAATAATGAAGGTCAGATAAGAGTATATGAAGATACAAGGAAATGAGTAATTGCAGAATTCAGCAAAAGCTGATAGAGCATGCTTTTCCATAGCAAGTAGTACATATGATAGTTTTAAAATAAAAATCTCCTACTTATGATTATGAGAATGGGCTGCATGAACTGCTGGAAGGAGCTTTGATGGACCCTATTTGAGACTATGTCTTAGGAGCTGGGAAGGCTGAGATGAATAGGAATCACAAAAGTCACACTGGCTATCTATTTCCAACTTGGTGCCTGTATTAGTCCATTCTCATGCTGCTATAAACCACTGCCAGAGACTCGGTAATTTATAAAGGAAAGTGGTTTAATTGACTCACAGTTCAGCATGGCTGGGAAGCATATCCTCAGGACACTTGCAATCATGGCAGAAGGGGAAGAAAACATCTCCTTCTTCACATGATGGCAGGAAGGAGAAGTGCTGAGCAAAAGAGGGAAAAGCCCCTTGTAAAACCATCAGATCTTGTGAGAACTCACTTGTTATCACGAGAACAGCAGCATGGGGCTAACCAAACCCCATGATTCAATTACCTCCCACTGGGTCATTCCCATGATACATGAGGATTATGGGAACTACAATTCAATTTGAGATTTGGGTAGGGACAGAACCAAGCTTTATCATTCCACCCCTGGGCCCTCCCAAATCTCATGTCCTCACATTTCAAAACACAATCATGCCTTCCCAAAAGTCCCCCAAAGTCTTAACTTATTCCTGCATTACCCGGAAAGTCCATGTCCAAAGTCTCATCTGAGACAAGGCAAGTCCCTTCCTCCTATGAGCCTGTAAAAATCAAAAACAAGTTACTTACTTCCCAGATACAATAGAGTTACAGGCATTGAGTAAATATACCTGTTCCAAATGGGAGAAATTGGCCAAGAAGAAGGGGATACAGGCCCCATGCAGTTCAATATCTAGCAGGGCAGTCAAATCTTAAAGCTCCAAAATGATCTCCTTTGACTTCATGTCTCGTATCCCAGTCATGCTGATGCAAGAGGTGGGCTCCCATGTCCTTGGGCAGCTGAGCCTTTTCGATTTTGCAGGGTACAGCCCCCCTCCTGGCTGCTTTCACAGACTGGCATTGAGTGTCTGTGTCTTTTCCAGGCACACGGTACAAGCTGTCAGTGGATCTACCATCCCGGTGTTTGGAGGATGGTGGACCTATTTTCACAGCTCCACTAGGCAGTGTCCCAGTAGGGACTCTGTGTCGGGGCTCCCACTCCACATTTCCCTTCTGCACTGCCCTAGCAGAGGTTCTTCATGATGGCTCTGCCCCTAAGGCACACTTCTGCCTGGACATCCAGGCATTTCCATACATCCTCTGAAATCTGGGCAGAGGTTCCCAAACCTCAATTCTTGACTTCTGTGAACCCACAGGCTCAACACCACCTAGACACTGCCAGGGCTTGGGGCTTGCACCCTCTGAATCCATGGCCCAAGCTGTACCTTGGCCCCTTTTAGCCATCGCTGGGATGCAGGGCACCAAGTCCCAAGACTGCACAAAGCAGCAAGGCCCTGGACACAGCCCATGAAACATTTTTTCCTTCTAGGCCTCCAGACTGGGCCTGTGATCTGCCATAAAGACCTCTGACATGCCCCGGAGACATTTTCCTGATTGTCTTGGTGGTCAATATTTGGCTCCTTATTACTTATGCAAACTTCTGCAGCTGGCTTGAGTTTCTCCTCAGAAAATGGGTTTTTCTTTTCTATCACATCGTCAGGCTGCAAATTTTCTGAACTTTATGTTCTGCTTCCCTTTTAAATGTAAGTTCCAATTCCAATCCATATATTTGTGAATACATAAAACTGAATGCTTTTAACAGCACCCAAGTCACCTCTTAACTCTTTGGTGCTTAGAAATTTCCTCTGCCAGGTACTCTAAATCATCTCTTTCAAGTTTAAAGTTCTACACATCTCTAGGGCAGCGGCAAAATGCTGCCAGTCTCTTTGCTAAAACATAGCAACCGTCACCTTTCTTCCAGTTCCTAACAAGTTCCTCATCTCCATCTAAGATCACCTCAGCCTGGACTTCATTGTCCATATCACTATCAGCAATTTGGTCAACGCCATTCAACAAATATCTAGGAAGTTCAAAACTTTCCCACATCTTCCTGTCTTCTTCTGAGCCCTCCAAACTGTTCTAACCTCTGCCCATTACCCAGTTCCAAAGCCACTTCCACATTTTTGGGTATCTTTATAGCAACACCCCACTGTCTGTGGTACCAATCTACTGTATTAGTCTGTTCTCACACTGCTATAGAGGACTGCCCAAGACTGGAAAATTTATAAAGGAAAGAGGTTTAATTGACTCACAGTTCCATATGGCTGGGAAAGCCTCAGGAAACTTACGATCATGGCAGAAGGGGAAGCAACCACGTCCTTCTTCACATGATGACAGGAAGGAGAAGTGCTGAGCAAAAGGAGGTAAAGCCCCTTGTAAAACCATCAGATCTCATGAGAATTCACTATCATGAGAACAGCAGCATGGGGGTAACTGACCCCATGATTCAATTACCTCCCACCAGGTCCCTCCCACCACATGTAGGGATTATGGGAACTATAATTCAAGATGAGATTTGGGTGGGGACACAGCCAAGCCGTATCGGTGTCCTATAACTTAATCTCAATATAGCAGGCAAACTAATCCATTAGTCTGATCACCAACATCCACCTGTTTCCCTATAGGCTGATCTTAATATAGCATCCAGAGGAATCCATTGAAAACAAGCCAGATAGTGTTATATCCCCATTCAGAATTCACCAGTGGCTTCCCTTCTCACTGAATCCAAATCTAAAGGTCTTACAAAAGTTTACAAGGCCCTGTATGATCGGATCATCACAGCCTCTCTGCAGCTTTCCCCACCCTTCCCTCATTCAAGTGACCCTAGTACTCCTGCTGTTCCTCAAACACACCAGGCATTCTCCTGGCATGGCCTTTTATTCCAGTTGTTCTCTTTAACTGAAAATCTCTTGTCGCAGATATCAGTAATGCTGGCACCTTTTCCAAAGTCATCTTGGAATCTAAAAGAGTCTAACTTATAGAAGTAGAAAAAAGAATAGTGGTTACCAGAGGCTGGGCAGGGAGAGAGGTGGATGGGGAAAGGGGAGATGTTGGTTAATGGGTGCAAAGTTTCAATTAGATAAGAGGAATAAGTTCTGGTGTTCTATTGCATAACATGATGACTATGTTTAACAGTAACATATTTTACATTTTAAAATTGCTAAAAGAATTTTAAATGTTCCGCCACAAAGAAATGATAAATATTTAGGTTATGGAAATGCTCATTAGCATGCCTTGATCACTCCATAATGTACACATGTATCAAAACATCACATTGTAACCCATAAATATATACCATTATTTTTAATTAAAAATAAAATAAAACCTTAAAAAACCCAGTCACCTTTTCTTAAATTCACTCTATTGATGAGGCCTTCCTTGACAGATCTATTGCATTTTCCTTGCACTCTGACACTCCATATTTGCCTTTCCCATTTTTTGTTCTGCATAGTATTTAATACCATCTGTCACACTATATGTTTTATTTATTTATTTTTTTAGTTTGTCTTTTTTTATTGGAATTAAGCTCCATGTTTAGTTTACTCCTGTTTCTCCAGTGCTTCAAAAAGTACTTGGCACATAGAAGGTAATACATGAATAATTGTTGAGTAAATCAATAAAATAAGAGAGTATAATTGTTGCATAAAGGAAAGGAAAACTTATGAAGAGATTTGTGAGTGATTCAATGAAAATTCTGCTCAGGGAAAATTTAAAAAAAAAAACAGAACCCTCTCCTCAAAATCTCTTTAAAAACTGTTCATTTTTTAGTTTTCTGAGCTTCGAGCTCCTTATCTGTAAATTGAGAATAATAAAATACATATATTATGGGATGTTACAAAGCCTAAATAAAAAGAAAGACTAAAGCATGAAGTAAAGTTCCTGGCATGGAGGTGGCAGAGTATCTTTAATACATATCACTTCTCATACCACTTTTACTTACTGTTGTCTAGGGAAAACCTAAAATTATCTCAAGAGCAACACCTGGGATGGCATTATTCTTCTCTTAAATGAAAGTATGCCCAAAAGTGGAAAAAAGGCCCAACTCACCCACTCACCAACCAACCAAACAAAAACAGATGTTAGTAAAATAGAAAGTCTGAGACTTCTTTTATGCTTTTCAAAGTTTTTGTTGCTCCTGCTTTTGAAAAATCAGTTTGTCTTTATCCAAATTCTACAAGATAGAAATGTATGAAATTACTTACATTTATGTAACTTCTGTGTAGATGTGTTTGCAATACATTTATAAGCTTATCTCCATATATGTAGGCATACTTCATACATGTAGCCATATCTCCATACGTGTAACTATGCTGGAGTCAAATTTGGGAAAGCAAAGGCAGGCTCAAAGAGATATATTAAGTGAAACTATGCTGGAGCCCTTCTTCAGCACAACTGTACTCAAATAATTATATATCTGGTTTCATTAAAGGGTTTTCACTTTATTCTTTTTCTTATCTCTTCCAATTTTGGCCATTTCTCGCCATATTTTTCTTGTTATCCAAAAGATTGACCCCTTGCTGCCATTTTTTTTTAAGTGGAAGAAGAAAATAAGCACCTCCCTCCTAACTCCGTTTTTTTTTAATCATTTTATTCCGGGTTAACTTTTTATCCTTTTGCTGGAAGTAAGAATGCTGTATTTGACTTGGAGAAATATATACATTGGGAAAAATAAGGCCATTTTTGGCTGTGGTTATTTGGGAATACTTTCTATTTCTTTTTGTGTCACTTAGAATGCAAATCAAATCTTTTGGAATGTTAGTCTATCTCAATGAACATATATATAGTGATTTGGGACACAGGATTTATAAAGCATTATGCCTCCTCTTCAAGGGAATTTTACTTTCTCTGTGGTTCAGGAGTTTGAGTATCTGGGTCTCATTGTGAAATAAGTAAAATGCCAAATGGATGCATAAGAAACATTAGCAGTTGGCTCATGCCTGTAATCCCAGCACTTTGAGAGGCTGAGGCGGATGGATCACCTGAGGTCAGGAGCTCAAGACCAGCCTGGCCAACATGGCAAAACCTTGTCTCTACAAAAAATGCAAAAGTTAGCTGGGTGTGGTGGCACAGGCCTGTAATCCTAGCTACTCAGGAGGCTGAGGCAGGTGAATCCTTGAACCTGGAAGTCGGAGGTTGCAGTGAGCCGAGATTATGCCACTGCACTCCAGCCCGGGTGACAGAGCGAGACTCTGTCTCAGAAAAAAAGAAAAAAAAATAGCGGGTAATTCCTGCTGACACTAGCTATGTGAATCTGAGTGATGTAGTTAAGCTTTCTAGGCCTTGGCTTTAAATTAAGGAGTTTTGACTACATGCATGAGACTACAGGAATATGTTGTAAGAAAAATAAATCTTGAAATGGGTTGACAGTAAACTGGAATTTCATTCCCTAAAGAATGCAACAGAGAAAGCAATGTTTGGGAGCTGCTCTGATACCATTTATCCATTTAACTCAGAAACTATAATACCATTTATCCCAGAGTGGCTACTAAGACTCAAAGTAATAGAAGACCACTGAGGTAGGACTTAGGAGAAATTATAAGGAACCGCCAAGAGTTTAGAAGACCAGCTGAAGCTCTTATCTGAGAAGGACAGAGTCGGCACCTGGGTACCTTTAGACTTTTCCTTGGAGATTCTTTATCAGAGCAGATGCTTCTCCAAGCTTATTTCACTTTTCAGGTGATTCTGGGAACTCAAAGTGACATAAGAGTGAGGGCCATTTTATTTTGTGTGTGTGTGTGTGTGTGTGTGTGTGTGTGTGTCTGTATTTCATTTGCTCTGATCTTTTATCCATTTTGTAAAAATCTCTGCCCATTACATCTTTTGGGTCATTTGGCTTGATTCATTACCTTACACAACATCTGCATCTTGTAAAATTTTCCTAGTTGTGTATTTTCAGTTTAAACGTGTTCTTGACAGTTTTACTGTTACAAAATGAACTTGTTTGTGCTAGCATTTGCCAATTCACAGATGTCTTATTTATAGGATAAGAGAGGGCATTTGTCTTCATTTAGAAAATAGATCATGAGTCTTCATAGTCCTTATATTCTTCTTATCCATAAAAGCTATGAGCATAGCACTGATCCAAATCTATTTAAACTTTGATTGGTCAAAACCCAGAACAATGGAATTAAACAAATATTTGGAAAAGAACTTCTCACTGCCCAGATCTATTTCTCAATCCTCCATGTATTTTAATAATTTAGGTGGCCAAGTGGCTTATGCAGGGCACACTGCTGAGATGTATTTGGTGAGATATATTTTGTGTGGCTGCCTTTATTGGAAGCTGATTGTCAAATGGTATAACAGGTGAGGGGCTTTTTCCTAGTGAAGCCAGAGATCAGTGTTTACTTATATAAGAGACACATTCAGTAATTCAATGGGTCATGTCTATTTATTGCCTACCATATTTACCAGGCATTGTTGCTTTTGAGAGTAGAGTGATAATCAATTCAGACATGATCTTTGTTTTCACTAAGCCCAAACAAAATAAGCAGACAATTATAGCACCATATGTAAAGTGCTAGGATAAGGCAGTACCCGGAGGGATACCTAACCCAGACAATAGGGTCCGAAAAGACTTCTCAAAAGGTGTGAAATCTATATTGAGACCTAGAAAGTGAATAAATGGAAGTTAAGTGTTGTGGTTAACTACTTTGGTATAACAACCCTCAAACATAGTGACATAGAGCAATTGTTTTACTATATTTTACAGTTTCATGGGTTAGGAATTTGCACCGGGCTTGACTGGGAGATGCTGGTGCTCCATGTGATTTTTATACAGTGGGTTGTGTTCTAAGCCCTAATGCTCAACTGGAGAATTCTTTCTTTCTTAGTGGCTCAAGGCTCATGGAGAGCACTCTGAGATGAAGATGGAATCTCTGAGACCTTCTCTGACCAAGGCTCAGATATCACACAGCATGACTTCCTCAGTATTTCAGTGGTTTCAAGAGAGTCATAGAGAAAGCCCAGATTCAAGGAAAAAGGATACACAAGGTTGTGAATAGAACAATGTTCACAATAGAATGTTCTGTGGCAATTAAATACATGATGTTTGTCTCCTTTTCTCTTTATCAATAGAAATTATATTTGTCTTCGGGAGTTGCTCTTTTTAAGGTTTTCCCAAATATGCCTAGACATTTTTCTCCTAACAAAGTTGCAACAGTTTCCAGTTTCCCAGAGGGAGGAAGAAATCATAGAAGTCATTGGCCATGATCTGTTGGCATTGGAAACTTGTCCTAGTTGTGAGAAATCTTTTAATTATTTAAGCCAAGTTTAACTTATAAAATAAACACTCTTATGACATGAAAAGCCTCATACAGTCTGTATATGACACCATTACTAATGTAATGAGCTAATGTTAACTGGCCTCTATCATCACTCCACACCATGTTACCTTTTTGCATAATATAAAGTCCTTTTCTGAATTTGAGGCAAACCTCTAATCTCATTAATTTATTCTGTTGACTAATCTCCTGTATTTTCCTCCTGGTGATTGATGCCAAGGGAAAACTGGCCAAAGATCTGTGGAGGCTAATAGGATGACTTTTCATATACCATGATATTAAAAAAAAACCTAATCTGGAAAAATTAACATGAGATCAACCTATTTTTATTGCTAACGAAAGTAAAGGGGTGGTGTTGCCTTGATTTTCAATATTTTGAAATTTTTAAGTAGGTATAAAAAAACCCCTTTTGCCACACATTTTAGGCCCTTGAAACAAACAACTTCTAGGCTGTAAAACAAAACTATATACAGTTTTGTAAAATGTTAATTTTTAATTTTTGCGGGTACATAGTGGTTGTATCTATTTATGATTTACATGAGATATTTTGATACAGGCATGCAATGCATCATAATCACATCATGGTAAATGGAGTATCCATCACCTCAAGCATTTTTCCTCTATGTACAAACAATCCAATTATACTCTTTTAGTTATTTTAAAATGTACAATTAAATTAGTTTTTACTATATTCATCCAGTCGTGCTAGCAAATACTAGGTCTTATTCATTCTTTCTATTTTTTGTACCCATTAGCCTTTCAAACTTCCTTCTCAGCTCCTGACTACCCTTCCTCTGGTAACCGTCCTTCTACTCTCTAGCTCCACGAGTTCCATTGAAAAACTATGCACAGTTTTGATTGTGCCATAAATGGCCTAATTGAAAACAAAGACTTTTATTTCTTCCTGTTCTGGGTGGACCCCTGTTCTGAGTTGCTTACACATTAAGTCCGTAGTTTATAGAAGATCTTCTCCCCTGATAGGCCAAACGTTTTTCTCTTGGGTGATTTTGTAAAAAGTTTAAATATGTCAGAATATAAAATTTTGAGGCCATCCTTACTCTCCTGTGTTCTCATCTTTTTTCTTTTTTGCAGCAGGGAAATAGCTTCACAGACTTTTGACAGTGTACTCAAACTATGTATTTCAATATGTCTACTTCAAGATTATGTATCTTCTATCGGATTATTTACTTGTCAAGTTTGATATACGTGATTAGAAAATAACAGTACTATTATGATTAGTATCATTTCTCACTACAATTAAGAAAATAACATGTACATATTTTGATTTTAGAATAATAGTAATATTTAATATTATTATACTGACCACTAGATGGAGACAAGCCCTCCTCGCTTCACTCATGATAGTTTTCTCATGGTTGAGTAGAAACCTGCAACAAAAGAGTCAGCTTATTACAGTACTGGATGTTCAGAATTATAACAGATATATTATTACAAGCTTTTATTACTGTCAGCATCATAAGTCTCAGAAGCTGTTTAATCTGAGGAATGTGTACTCTGTTTATACAAAGCATTTTCTGTTATCACTGGGAGTCATTTCCAAACTAAATAGTAATGACATTATAAAAGCAAATTTTTTTCTCAATAACTTATCAGTACATTCAAAGTTCACAGGTTTTGTTTCTTGCACTTTTTTAAAATTGCTTTTTTGAAACATTAAAAGAGTTGCTCTTTCACTGAGTTCTTAAGGAGACATTTGGTGTTCAACTTTCATGCAAGTTATTTGTTTTGACATAAAATATAAAGCAAACATTTAGAAAAAACTAACATAAATTCATACTCTATTGCTTAGGTAATGTTTATCACCTAAGAGAGATTGATTTAATAAAATATAGAGTCTACACATTACTTTATACTTTAGCATCCTCCTAAGGTAAGATGTTAACATCTTAACAAGATGAGAATTTGTGCATTCTGTCCAGTGGTCCTCATATTTGCTCACATGTTCTCTTTTACGTATCTCAAAGACCAGTTTTTTCCATTTTTTTTTAAGAGTAAGATTTCCTGTGTATTGTAAAAAATGAAATAAAATAATTTTAGGACACTGTTCTATCACTGTTTTTAATATTCCAATGAAATCTAAAGCCATATGATAGATATATATATTTATATATAATATAATAAATATAAGTATGAAGCAAATATCATATAATATAAATATAAAGCCATATGATATATATATGATCATATAGCTATATGATCTTTAGCATCATCTATTTTTAAAATGCATTATCAAGATTTTCATTTTAATATTTCTTTTTTACCCCTTGGACTCATGTTTTTCATTCTATTTTTCTTCACAGAATATTATCCAAATGTAACATATTTTATGCTTAAAAGTCTTATTAAACACACTATAATATTTTTCTGGTACAAAATTTTGTATCTCTGCCATTAAGTTATATATGCATTTATTTGTTTTTTGTCCATCTTTACCTACCAGAATACAGACTCCATACTGGCAGAAATTTGTTTTCTGTTTTGTTGCTGTTAAATTCTAATCATTTGAAACAGGGCTCAGTCCAGAGCAGACATTGACTAAATTTTTTTTAATGAATGAAGATGAAATTTAAAAGTTTTCAATTTTTGTATGATGAAGAGTCTCTATGTTGTAAATATTTCATCCTAGATTGCATTTTCATGGCAATTATTAACATAAACCTTTTAATTAATATAAAATATGTTAAACTGTTGATAATTACTAAGACAAAAGTAAAGTGTTGTCAGAAATGCAGTTTTTAATGAGATGAATGGAGCTTTTCATGTTTTCATTAAGTCACATATCCGTGGATGAATATTGTTTATTGCTGGATAGAGCTCAGTATCAATTCTATTTCAACTTTTTATTTTCATAGATGTAAATACTAAAACAAGTTAATCATATAATCACGACTCTTTCAAATGCTCCTTAGATGCCAACTATCATATAGTTATTTGTCATTGACAGAATTGCAATGATTCATTGGATAATGGGTTGATTAGGTTCTTCTTCAATTTTATTGAAAGTAGAGCATATAACTACCTTATTGGCAAGACGGTGTTACCCAGAGGCACCATTGTTTCCAAATGTCCATTTAACTTCTTAGACATATATACCTCTAGATGTACTTTCGTTAAAAAAAAAAAAAAAGAAAAAGAAAAGTGGACAATCACAAAGAGAGGGGTAATAGTGAAAGAAAAGGAGGGACGACATTGGCTTCAGTTCCATCAGAGTTTCTTGGGTCCTCACGCAAATTACGTGAAGGAAGCATACAAATGAAATTAGAGACCTAGAAATGTATTGCCTTAAAGCTATACCTCCTACTATTTATTTTTTGTGAATACACAGATTACGTTAATTTATAGGTTATAGTTCCAGGCTACCATTTAATTTCACTGTGGCAGCCTGAGTCCCAGTACTTTGAGCTGACACAGCTAAAGCAGAGTAATACCCTATCTGACAGTGGTGGAAACTGTGCCAGTCTTAAATACCCCACAATAATGATAGGAAAGCTGTTCCAGTTGGGCAAATAAACTGATACATGCAGCATTAAATGATAATGCGCTCATCTAACAGAATAATCTTCCCATCTGATGATCATGACTGGTCATAGGTCAATGCAGGGACAGTTGTGTTTTCCAAAAGATTAGTCATCTGAGCCAGAATAGGATCTCTATTTAGTATAAGAACTATAATTTACTGAAAAATTGTGGAGATGCTTGCTCAATTAAACACATTATTTCTAGTCTTCATGGTCATCTAACCTAGTAAGACACGTATTGTTATCTCCATCTGCTAATTAAAATATGAGGATAAAAGATGTTGAGTAACTTGCCTAAGGTCATATAAGAAGCGATAAGTAGCACAGTGGTCACATAAAGAGCACATATTGCAATGTCCACCCCAAATAATAATAACAATAAGAAACATTTATTAAGCATTTACTATTGTTAAGCTCAGTGTTCCAGCTGCTGAGCATGAAGGATGAAGCACCAAGAAGCTTTGCTAGGAAACAGCAGAGCCAAGATTCAACACACGCAGCCTGAGTCCAGAGCACAAATTTTTTTTTTTTTTTTTTTTTTTTTTTTTTTGAGACAGGGTCTCGCTCTGTCACCTAGGCTGGAGTACACTGGCATGATCGCTCACTGCAACCTCTGCCTCCCGGGTTCAAGCTATTCTTGTGCCTCAGCCTCCTGGGTAGCTGGGACTACAGGTGTGCACTACCACGCCAGGCTAATTTTGTATTTTTAGTAGAGACAGTGTTTCACCATGGTGGCCAGGCTGGTCTCAAACACCTGACCTCAAGTGATCCACCTGTCTCGGCCTCCCAAAGGATTACGGGTGTGAGCCACCATGCTGGGCCAGAGCCCAAACTCTTATTAACTCCCATATGGCACCTAGGAAAGTCAATCATTAAAATTCATAACTACATTAAAACAACAGAAAGGGAACATCTCACTGACTAGAACCTAGGGGGAATGCCTGAAATATAGAAAGCAAATTGAAGCAGAGCAGCATTAGGCAGATAATGGGAGCAGATGCTGGAGAGGAGGTGGATGCTGAGGAGACAGAGGCAGTGGTCATCCTCAGGGTAATTAATTGGGTATCATAGCAAGAGCATCTAGGAAACAGACTCCCAGTATGTTACTTCTTGGCCAGCCAGGATGTCTGCATCGTCAGGCACTAGCATGTGGGAGTTTGGGTCTGAGAAATAAGGCAGAATTCCAAGTGGTTGGCAAGACTGAGAAGTGGAGTGTACTCACATCCAGGAGACCTGCTGCTGATGCGCTTGGTCCAGTAGCACATTCTGCACCCTCAAGAACATCTCTCAAACACACTGCTGCACAAATTCCAGCAGCTCATTAGAATCCTTAACCCTTACCTGGGTTATGCAAATATGCAGCAGACAATCTAATCAGAAATTTCAGCCATAAAATGAAGAGCACAATCAAGAATCATCAAACATTTAAGAATACAGTAAAAGGGGGCCGACATATTTAAGTACAGTAAACACATTATGAATATCTGAAAAACCCAGAATGCTGCAAGAAACATTTAACTCATAAAAAATAATTAAACAGAGATCATAAAAATTAAAGCTAAATCAATTCAGTGCTGGTAGATGAAACAAAATGGGTCGCTTGTTCATAACTGTTGAAGATATTTAATGATAAGTACATGGGTTTTACTATTTCTTTCTATTTTAACATACATCTGAAATTTTCAATAATAAAAGACTGAAATCATATATTTAAAAAGCCAAATAGAAAAATCAATACGGTAGAAATTAAGCCAAGGGATTCTTACTGAACCTACCACAAAAGATAAAGAGAATGAACATATCAAAGAAAAATTAAATGACAGGAAAGGCAGATCTTGCAGTTGTAACATCGTCTTGTAGGAGTAACCTGAGTGATGGGCCACAATATACAATCATGTACCCTATAATAACATTTCGACCAACAACCAATGACATATACGACAGTGGTACCAGAAGATTATAATACTGTATTTTTACTATACTATGTACTATGGAGTACAATGTGATATTATGATACTTGTACAAAATGTGGAATGATTAAATCAAGGTAATTAACATATCCATCACCTCAAATATTTATCATTTTTTGTGGGAGAATATTTGAAATTTACTCAGTGATTTCGAAATACACAGTACATTATTAATAACTATAGCCACCATGTTGCACAATAGATCACACACACAAAAATTATCATTCCTTCCTAAAATGAAACTGGGTATCTTTTGATCAACGTCCTCCTGTTCCCCTCCTACTCAGTCTTTAGGAACCACCATTCTACTCTCTGCTTCCATGAATTTAGTTGTTCTAGATTCCACGTATAAGTGAGAATACGCAGCATTTGTCTTTTTTTTTTTTTTTTTTTTTTTTTTTTAACACAGATGTCCTTTTCACACCCCGGCTTTCTCAATTATACTGATCCTTATTTTCTGTATTTCTGTTGGCATCCTTTGCATAGCCATAACCTAAAGATTTATATTTAAATGTTGTTTTTCTAAAGAAAACATTTTATTTCCTCATTCACATACATTGTGGTTTAAAGGATATTTTAGCTTATCAAGTAAATGACGTGTCCCTTACTATTAGAAATCACTTTTAAAAAAATTTGCAATCACAGGCACCCAAAGTCAGTGGCTATTTTCAATTGGCAGTGGATTCGAGCTCTAGCTCTCTTTTTTATGCCCTGTCATCCCGCTCAAGTGGTTAATGATCAACAGATATCTACAGAATATTGGAGAAGCATAACAGGAATCATTAAGGCAAATATTTTACCATTTCGTATGGGTTATTTCCCCTCAAGTTCTTTCTCTTTTATGTAAAGGTTTTTGTATATCAATTTTTCATAAGAAGGAATAAGTAGTTTTCTTAACCTTTTGAATATTATTACCAATAATTTATCAGAAAGGTAAATATAAATTATTTCAGATTTTACTGTATTCTTGATTGTTCCTGGAATGGAACTATCTTTATTTTCTGGAAAACCACACTTAAAAAAAAAAAAAAGAAAAGAAAAACATTTGTCCCCTCTTGTTAGCCTCCTGCCAGGGGCTGTGGCTCTATAGAAAACTGTGGTCTCTTGAGACCAGGTAATGAGCAGAGCCACCTTCTGTCTTCATGTCTGGATCTGCAAATTCCTAATCATACCTTGGAGCAGAAGCCTCAGACTGACATTGAATAAGCTGGGTCTTGACTTTAGTGGAGGAAGTGGCAAACTATCACATAAGAAGACATGGTGACACAGTGGTAAAGGGAGAAAGAAAACAAGATCCTCCCTCTCTAAAATGAGACTGAAAATAAAACTGTTTAATAAGTAATATGTAAAGGGAAAGATAAATGAATTTATTGGAAAATAAAAGTGCTTGGAAATTAAATGAATATAGATTTAATTCAAGAAAATAGAAAAAGAGTGGAATAAGCTGAAAGAAAGAAGAAAGGATGTTACATATGTAAAAGCAAAAATTCATAAAATGAAAACAAAGGAACAATAGTATCAGGAACTAAAATCTGGTTCTTTTTACAAGACTGATAAAGTGGAAAAAAGATATAAATAAATAACAAATGAAATGATAATAGGACATGATTATAGATCCAATGGCAACTTTTGAAATCATTTATGAATATTATTAATAACTTTCATCCAATACATTTTAATATTTAGATACAATGCATAATTTATAGAAGAATTACCAAAAATTATGTTGGGAAGGAATAGAAAACTTAAAAAATAATAACTATTAAACCTTGGCACAATTAAAGCTATTATTTCAGTATTCTAGAGTGTCCCGACCCCTTTCTCCAACATTAAGGCTAGAAAATTTAATAAGTGAGCTTTATAAAGCTTTCAAGGAACAAATAACTTCTACTATGTATATATTGTGAAAGAAATGAACATTATCCAACTGGTTCTATTAGATTAATTTATGCTTATTATCAAAGCCAAAAAAGATAGTACAAGAAAAGTCAACTACATGGACAAATCTTGTTGTGAACCCAGAGAGGAAAATTTAAATAAAGTATTAGGAAATTAAATGTAACATTTATTGAGGATATATGAATAAGTTAAAAGAAGAAAGTTGTATAAGGAACTTAATATTGTTGAAAGAAAATTTAAGAGAATATGCTCATGACTCATGACTGAAGAGGATTTCACCATAGATAAATTGGAGTATATGAATTTTAAGAACCTTTATTCAGCCAGAAATAAAAAACATGCTATGAACAAAGTTTTGAAAAATCTACAGTTTGGAGTATGCATTTACAACTGTGATATCCAACAAAGGATTACTCTGCAGAAATAAGGAATAAGTTCTACAAATATAGCAGAACCAAGTGATGGATTTGGATAGAATCCAATAGCTAAAATCCAGTAAGTACTATGAAAAAAGATGCTAGTAAAAAAATTAAAATTTAAAAAATACACATCAGATTAACAAAAGTATATCTATTGTTGACAATACCCAGTGTTGGATAAGATCTGAAGCCTAGTGGAAATGTAAATTGCCACATGCATTTTGAAGAGTAGTTTGGTTATATTAAACAGAGATGAAAACTGAAGAATCTCTTATTTATGTATTCAAAGAGATATTTATGAAAATGTTCATAGCATCGTTGAGTAATAGCAAAAAAAGAGGATAACATTACACATATAAATTGTGGAAGAAATCTTGTAATAGATATGGCACAGCAGTGAAAATGAATGAACTGCAGCTGCATATATCAACTTGATTGGGTTTTTTCCCAAGATGGCAGATTAGAAGCTTTCGGCATGACTCAGCCCCTTGGAAATAGCAATATAGTAGATAAAAAGCAACTTTATGAGTTTTAATTCAAGAAGGAAAACAGAAACCCACCAGAATCATGAAGGACACCCCAGATCCCAGGGAGGAGAATGCTAGCAAACAGCCTCTGTGATGGTGTCTGGCTGATAAAAGTCAGTGAAGCCCAAGTATGTGAGAGAGGCAGAGAGCCTCCCTCTGTGCGCTATCTTTCCCCCAGAGATCTGAGCAACCCAGGCCAAGAAAGAGCACTTTGTTTCTCCCAGGCCCTGGAGCTAACTTGGGGAGAGACTTGGAGATGCTGTGAGAGAAAGACATGGTCTTTTCCCAGACCTGGGACTGAGAGGATGCCATTTTTAATTTGGGAACATACAAATTCAGCCACTCTTAGCTGACCCAACAGCATGGTCATGCAGGCATTTTAATCTCAGGCCAGAGATTGGAGCGCCTGCTATGGAGCAGCATAGGGGCTTCCACAACCAGGAGTGTGGAAAGTGTCCCAGCAGTAGGTTTTTGAATTGTGTTCTTTCCTATCACAAGCCTGGGGCCGGAGGAGAGCTGCTACAGCTGCAATTTCTCCCAAGCAGCAAGACTTGCAGCCAAGAGCAGCTTGGGGACCTGGAACTGATCTGTGTGTGCCATTTCTGGGTGTCCCAGGCTGCTCCCCTGAGATCATGGTGCCGCAGGGCCCTCTCCACTCTATGCCCAGGCAGATTTCCTGGCATTCAAAACACTTATTTGCCTGGCTCAGCAGCTTTAGCTGCACCATCTTTCCTGGGCATGGATTATGGTACAGTGAGGACCTCTCTGCTCCATGTCCATGCAGATCTCCAGGGATTTGCAGCACACACTCACCTAGACCAGCAGTCTGAGGTGCCCCACACTTCCTGTGCAGAGATTCTAGTTCAGGGGGCACCGCTATGCTACACACCCAGGCACACAGCCCTCCAGGCATTCAGAGTACCTGCTTGCCTGATCCAGAAGCCTGAGTTGTCCCATCCCTCCTGTGCAGAGACCTTATGCAGCGAAAGCCCTCTCCACTCCACTCCTGAGCAGATCTCCAGACATTCAGGGGCACCCACTCACCCGGATCAGCAGCCTGAGCTGCCCCACCCTGCCTGTGCAGAGATTCTTGTGTGGGGAGGCCCTCTCTGCTTCATGACCAGAGAGATCTTCAGGAATTTAGAGACACCTGTTCTGCTTCACCAGCCTGAGCCACCCTGCCCTTTCTGAGTATAGATTATGGTGTAGTGGGGCTCTTTCTGCTCTACACCCAGGTAGATCTCCAGGCATTTGGAGCACCAGATGGCCCAAATCAGCAACTTGTGCCACCCCACCCTGCCAGTATGGAGATTCTGGTGCAGGGGGTCTGTCTCTACTACACACTCAAGCAGATCTCTAGACATTCAGAGCACCTGCTTGCCTGGTCCATGATCCTGAGTTGCCGCACCCCTCCATGCAAAGAGTTTAATGAAGGGGATGCCCTCTATGTGCTCCACACCCAGGCAGATCTCCAGGCATCTGGAGCACACACTCTCCTGGGTTAGTAGTTTAGGACATTCCACATTCCTGTGTGGAGAACTTGGAGACAGGAAGGTTTTCCAGTTCCATGGCTAGGCACACCTCTAGGCATTTGATGACCATGCACTGGATTCTCCCATGCTGCCAGTGCGTGTGCCTGCCATCAGGTGACCTGTAGGTGGACCTGCCCAGGCTGGCCCCACCCTTTGTGGTTCCCACACCCTGGGGCTGAGCAGGGAGATCACAGCACTGTGCATTCTATGAATCAGCCCATTGCCTGAGGCAACAGAGAGCTTCTGACAGTAAATAGGGATCAAGTATATTCCTAACCATGTTGGCTGTAGCTGGCTCTTACCTATAAGGACCATCTACTGGCTTATAGGTGAAACTGCACAGCCCAAAATAAAACCTAACAAAGAAGTGCCACAGAAGCAAAGCCAAAAGGTCCTACCCTGTATTCTCTATAGTTGCACCCGCAAGGAGGGGGGAAAGGGAAAGAGAAAGAAAAAAACATAATATTATAGGAAAAGAAAGAAAAAAGAAAAAGTCCTACTCGCATGAAAATAATTACAAAAATTAGAAGTGCCAGTGTCTCTCAATGAGAAAGAACCAGCACAAGAATACTGGCACCATCAAAAAGCTGAATGTAGTGACACCACCAAGGGATCGCACTCTCTCTCCAGCAATGGTCCCTAATGAAAATGGAAACTCAGAAATGACAGAAAAAGAATTCGAAGTATCAATTGCAAGGAAGCTCAGTGAGATCCAAGATGGGCTGAAAGTCAATACAAAGAAACTGCTAAAGCAATCCAGGAAATGAAGGGAGAGATAAACATTTTATTTAAAAAGTCAATCCAAGCTTCCAGAATTGAACACTTAAGAAATTTCAAAATACAATGGAAACTTTTATCAATAGACTGGAATAAGCAGAAGAAAGAATTTCAGAGCTTGAGTACTGGTTTTTCAAAGTAACACAGTCAGACAAAATTTTTTTTAAAAAGAATTTTTAAAATGAACAAAGTTTTCAAGAAATATGGGATTATGCAAATGACCAAACCCATGAATTATTGGCATACCTGAGAGAGAAGAAAAAATAAACAATCTGGAAAACACATTTGAGGGAATAATTCAAGAAAAATTTCCTAATCTTGCTGGAGAGGTAGACATCCGGACACAAGAAATCCAGAAAATACCTGTGAGATAATATACAAAATGAACATCACCAAGGCATAGAGTCACCAGATTGTCCAAGATCAATGCTAAAGAAAAAATCTTAAAGGATGCTAGAGAAAAAGTTTAGATCACATATGAAAGGAACCCCATCAGGCTAACAGCTGACTTCTCAGCAGAAACCTTACAAGCCAGGAGAGATTGGGGGGCTATCTTCAGCATTCTAAAAGAAAAGAAATTTCAACAAATAATTTCATATCTCAACAGACTAAGCTGCATAAGGAGTTTTTCCAGAAAATCAAGTGCTAAGAACTCATTACCACTAGACTGACATTACAAGAAATACTTAAGGGAGTTCTAAACACGGAAATGAAAGAACAATACCTGCTACAACAAAAACACATTTAAGTACATAGCACTCAGACTTTGTAAAGCAACCACACAATAGAAACTGCAAAGCAACCAGCTAACAATGTTATGATAGCGTGAAAACCTCACATAACAATATTAACCTTGAATTTAACTGGTTTAAACTCTACAGTTGAAAGGCACACAGTGGCAATTTGGATTAAAATACAAGACCCACCCATCTGCTGTCTTCAAGAGACCCATCTCGCATGTAATAATACGCATAGGCTCAAAGTAAAGGATTAGAGAAAGATCTATCATGCACATGGAAAACAAAAAAGAGCAGGGGTCACTATTTTTATATCTGATGAAACAGACTTTAAACCAACAACAGTGAAACAACAACAACAACAACAAAAACCAAAGAAGGGCATTACATAATAATAAAGGATTGAATTCAACAAGACTTAACTATACTAAATATATATGTACCCAACATTGGAGCAGTCAGATTCATAAAACAAGTATTTATAGACCTATGAAAAGACTTAGACAGCCACACAATAATAGTGGGGAACTTTAACACCCCACTGACAGCATTAGATCATCAAAGAAGAAAAATAGCAGAGAGATTCTGGGCTTAAACTTGATGCTTTACCAATTGGAACTAATAGACATCTACATAATACTCTACCTAACAACCACAGAATATATATTCTTCTCATCTGCACACAGAACATATTCCAAGACTGATTACATGCTCAGCCATAATGTACCTCTCAATAAATTAAAAGAAAATTGAAATCATACCAACCACACTTTTGGACCACAATGGAATAAAAAATAGAAATCAATACTAAGAAGATCTCTAAAAACCACACAATTACATGGAAATTAAACAACTTGCTTCTGAATGACTTTTGGGTAAACAATCATATTAAGGCAGAAATAAAAAAATTATCTGAAGTAATTGAAAACAGAGACACAACATACCAAAATCTCTGGGATGCAGCAAAAGCAGTGTAAAGAGGACAGTCTATAGTGCTAAATGCCTACCTTAAAAAGCTAGAAAGATCTGAAAATAAAGATCTAACATCACACCTGCAGGAACCAGGAAAACAAGAACAAACTAACTCCAAAGCTAGCTTATGAAAAGAAATAACTAAAATTAAATCAGAAATAAATGAATTTGAGACCCAGAAATTCATACAAAAAAGAACAACGAATCCAAAAGTTGGTTCTTTCAAAGGATGAATAAGATTGATAGACCACTAAATAGATTAACAAAGAAAAAAAAAGAGAGAAAATCCAAAAAAGCACAATCAGAAATGACAAAGGTGATATTACAGTTGATCCCCACAGAAACACAAAGATCCTCAGAGACTATCTGAACCCCTCTGTTACACAAACTAGAAAATCTAGAGGAAATGGATAAGTTCCTAAAAACCCACATTCTCCCAAGACTGAATCAGGAAGAAATTGAAACACTGAAAAGATGAATATCAAGTTCCAAAATTGAATCAGTAATAATACACCTACCAACAAAAAAAAGACCCAGACCAGAGAGATTTTACAGCAGAATTCTACCAGACATACAAAGAAGAGCTGGTACCCACTCTACTGAAACTATCCCCAAAAAAATTAAAGAGGAAGGACTCCTTTCTAACTCATTTTATATAGCCAGCATCACCCTGATACCAACACCTGGCAAAGATACAATGAATAAAGAAACTAAAGGCCAACATCCCAGATAAACATAGATGTAAAAATTCTCAACAAAATACTAGCAAAGTGAATTCAACAACATATCAAAAAGTTAATTCACCATGATCAAGTAGGCTTTATTCCTGGGGTGCAAGTTTCATTCAGCATACACAAATCAGTAAATACAGTTCACTACATAAATAGAATTAAAAACAAAAACCAAAAGATCATCTCAATAGATGTGGAAAAAGCTTTCAATAAAATGCAACATCCCTTCATGATGAAAATCCCTAAGAAACTAGGTATCAAAGTAACATACCTCAAAATAACAAGAGCCATTTATGAGAAACCCACAGCTGACATCATGCTGAACAGGCAAAAAGTGGAAGCATTCCCTTTGTGAAATGGAATGAGACAAAAATGCCTACTTTCACCACTCCCATTCAACGTAGTACTGGAATGCTAACCAGAGCAATCAAGCAAGAGAAAGAAATAAAAGGCACCCAAATAGGGAAAGAAGTCAAGCTATCTCTCTTCATGGATGACCTGATTCTACACCTAGTAAGCCCTAGAGATTCCACCAAAATGTTCCTGGAACTGATACACAACTTCAGTAAATTTTAAGGATACAAAATCAATGTACGAAATTCAGTGGCATTTGTACACACCAATAATGTGCAAGCTGAAAGCCAAATCAAAAATACAATCCCGTTTACAGTAGCCAAAAAAAAAAATACCTAGGAGTACATCTCACCAAGGAGGTGAAAGATCTTTACACCAAGAAGAACAAAGCACTGCTAGAAGAAATAACTTATGTCAAATAAATGGAAAAATATTCCATGCTCATGGATTGAAAGAATCAACATAATGTAAATGGTTATTCTGCCCAAAGCAATCTATAGATTCAACTCTATTCCTGTCAACCTACCAATGTAATTTTTCATAAAACTAGAAAAAAAAACTATTCTAAAATTTATATGGAGCCAAAAAAGAGCCCAAATAGCCAAAGCAGCCCTAAGCAAAAAGAACAAAGCCAGAGGCATCACATTACCGGTTTCAAACTATACTATAAAGCTACAGTAACAGACCCATAGATCAACGGAACAGAAAAGAGAACCTAGAAATAAAGTCACACACCTGCAGCTATCTAATCTTTGACAAAATAAACAAAAACAAAAACAATAGGGAAAGGACTCCCTATTCAATCAACGATGCTGGGATAGCTGACTAGTCATATGCTGAAGAATGAAACTGGACTCCTACCTTTCACCATATACAAAAAGCTGCTCAAAATGAATTAAACATTTCATTGTAAGACCTCAAACTGTAAGAATCCTAGAAGAAAACCTAAGAAACATCAGTCTGGGCATTGGCCTTGGGAAAGAATGTATGATTAAGTCCTCCACAGCAATTACACAAAAATGAAAATTGACAAGTGGAACCTAATTAGACTAAAGAGCTTCTGCACAGCAAAAGTAACCATCAACAGAGTAAACAAGCAACTTACAGAATGGGAGAAAATATTCACAAACTATGCTTCCAGTGAAGACCTAGTGTCCAGAATCTGTAAGAAACTAAACAGTTGAATAAGCAAAAAATAAATAACCCCATAAAAATGTTTAAAAGACATAGACATTTCTCAAAAGAAGACATACAAGCAGCCAACAAACATATGAAAAAATGTTTCATATCATTAATCATCAGAAAAATGCAAATCAAAACCACAATGGATACTATCTCACACCAGTCAAAATGGCTGTTAATAAAAAGCCTAAAAAAACAACAGATGCTGGCAAGGCTGCAGAGAAAGGGAACACTTATACACTGTTGGTGGGAACGTAAATTAGTTCAGCAACTGTGTAAAGCAGTTTAGAGATTTCTCAAAGAAATTAAAACAGAACTACCATATGACCGAGCAATCGCATTACTGGATATACGTGTCCACAAGAAAATAAATCATTCTACCAAAAAGACAGATGCACTCGCATGTTGATTGCAACACTATTCACAATAGCAAAGACATGGAATCAGCCTAAGTGCCCATCAGTGGTGGCTGGGATAAAGAAAATGTGGTACATATTCACCATAGAATACTATGCAGCCATAAAAAAGAACAAAATCATGTCCTTTGTGGCAGCATGGATGCAGCTGGAGGTCATTATCCCAAATGAATTGATGCAGGAATAGAATACCAAATACTGCCTCTTCTCAGTTACAAGTGGGAGCTAAATATTGGTTACTCATGAACATAAAGATGGCAACAACAGAAACTGGGGACTACTGGGGTGGCAGAGAAGCAGTGAAAAACTAACTATTGGGTATTATGCTGAGTACCTGGGTGATGGGATCATTTGTACCTCAAACCTCAGCATCACACAATATATCAAGTAGCTAACCTGCACATACCCTCCCTGAATTTAAAATAAAAGTTGAAAAGAAAATTTAATTAAATCTCAATTACAATATTAAGAAAATACATTACCAAAAAATACATACAATATGATACCATTTGTGTAAAATATGAAAACATGCCAAGCAGTGTTGGACATTGTGCTATAATAATGTTATAACAATGTAAACATGCATGAGAAAAATAAATAATCAAATTCAGGTTGGTGATTATCTTGCAGAAGTTAGAGAGGGAGGAAGGAAAACATAAGACATGAGAGAGGTAGAGAGGGAACCCCAATCATATTTGTAATAAGTATTGCTTTAAAGAAAACCCTAAAAGTTGAAGCAAGTATGGCAAACTGGTAGAACTTGATAGAGCTGGGTAGCTGGGTCTTGGTTCCAGATACTTAATTGTCACATATTTGAAATATTCCTTTTCTTTCTTTCTTTCTTTTTTTTTAATTGAGACCGAGTTTCACTCTTGTCGCCCAGGCTGGAGTGCAGTGGTGTGATTTTGGCTCACTGCAACCTCTGCTTCCCAACTTCAAGTGATTCTCCTGCCTCAGCCTCCCGAGTAGCTGGCATTATAGGCATGCACCACCATGGCCGGCTAATTTTTGTATTTTTAGTAGAGATGGGATTTCACCACATTGGTCAGCCTGGTCTCAAACTCCTAACCTCAGGTGATCTGCCTACCTCACCCTCCAGAAGCGCTGGCATGAGGCACCGCACCCAGCCTGAAATATTTCTTGATAACCAAAGTAAGGGCATTAAAAACACAAGAAATCAGAAACCATCTTTTTAAAAACAGGTTTGGGAAAGTGTTTTATATAGGGTGGAGTTGGATTAAAAGATCCAATTTGCTGCTTCAAACTCTGGGACCCTCATTTAAGGAAATGATGTCCTTTTCTTAATATCAGTCTCCTGGCTAGTTCAGGCCCATTTTCCCTGACCATATGAATTTTTCCAAATGGGATCTTTCAGCAGTATGCTTTTCAGCAATAAGGATACAGGGGTTTTATGGGATCAGAATCTTTAGACAGTATGATCATTAAGAGAAGGTTAAACTGAAAAGTCAGAAGAAGAGAAAAATTTCACAGAATTCAAATGTAAGATTAGACATATGTTAAGGAACAAACAAGCCACATATATACATCTTATGTGATTGGGGGGAAATGTTTGTATTGCTTTTTTAGCTGTTTCTGGAAGACTCTTAAAAGTCCTCTTTATAGTCTCATTTGAGCATTTTGTTTTCTTCTTTTCTGGGCATGGTTAACAAATTAAAGAGCCTATTTCCTTTCCACAGCTGTGCGTCATTGCCTTAGGGACTATTATGGGAACGGATTCTAAAGGAGTTACTTCTGCTGTCCAGCAGCAAGAGCTCTTAATATAAACAAGGCTGTAAGCTACCCACATATTGAACAGATGTCTGCGAGCATTCCTGCTGGCTACTCTGTCCTGTGGGATGTCCACTGTGTATTCCCTGATAGCAGACCCCTGACCTATGAAGTAATGTTGCCCTGAAGACACTGGATGCAAAGACAGGTCTGAAGTAAATTCAGTGAATTTGCTTCCTTACGCAGCCCTTAGAAAGTGATGGCTGCAGTATCTGGGAGTTGTGGGAGATTGGATTGTATTTTATATCTATAGATATTTGTTAATTTTTACTATTTTCATGAAAATGAGAAACTCTAAAACTAAGGCATTTTGGAAAGCTAATATTTTCCAGTAGGGATAAATACATATTTTAAAGTTCCAAATGATTAAATGGCTTAGATGGGTGCATTTTACCAAAGGCCTATTCATAAAATGAGAATTGGATTAAGATTGTTTAAAATTAATGCAATAATGAAGCTGATGCTGACTTTCTTTCTAATGTACTAAAATAACCAGTCTGACTTCAAATATCTGTATTTATTTTATTTGCTAGACATCCTCACCTTATTAAAAAGGAATTTTCTTAGCAAGACTTATTTGGAGAATTGAGCAAGTGAGATTTTAGGAAATGGGACAAGAGCTAGAGCAAGATAATGTTCTAGAATATGCAAAGACAAAGGGAACTATGCAGGTGCTTCGATTATCTGAGATGTTTCCAGCCTGCTGAGAATGGACCTGATTGTATACCAAAGTCAGGCTTTCATTCTAACTGACTTTGGGCAATGAAAGTATGTTAGTAAATGGCTTTGGCATATGGTCATCTCAGGCTGAGATCACTGATCTCACAGTCCTGAACTTTTAGAGTTGAAGGAGTTTTTAATATTGATAAGGAACTGTGGCCCACGCAGGACCACACATCATGATGGTGTAAGTATCATTTAACCTTATCTTTACCTTTAATTTTTGCGTTCTAAAGGTACTTGATTGTTATAAAAGTCTAAAAATATTATTTACATATATACATACACATATATACATATAAATGTATATATTTAAACAATATATAAATGTATGTATTTATATATTTAAACATATGTATATAAACACTACTCATGAACAGATTTTGACAAAAAAGAAGAAAAAATCAAACTTGAATCCAACCAAGACTCTAGATCTTATTAATAATTTATGATAAATTTAAGGGAAAGAAAAATATGTCAGATTACATCATGAGGTTGCAATCAGCAAAATTTAGACAGTGCAAACTCTACTGGTTAAGGAGTTGTGTTTCTTCCACACACAAACATAGTTATGAAAAGGGAAGCTTTAAATGAAAAGAAATGTAACAGACCTACCAATCTAATGTCAATCTTAATTATAAAACTGTGGAGAGGGGTGTGTGTGTATGAAACAAACAGGTAAATATAAACAATAATTCATTTTTTATGCTATTAAGTAACCATTGTTAAAATTATTTTCTTTTTTAAAAAAATTATTTCAGTTTTTTGAGATATAATTGGCAAGTAAATTTGTATAAGTTTAAGATATACAACATGATGATTTGATATTATATATTGTCAAATGGTTACCACAATCAACACATCTATCACCTCACCTAGTTACCATTGTGTGTGTGTTTGTGTGTGTGTGTGTGTGTGTGTGTGTGTGTGGTGAGAACATTAAAAATCTATTTGCTCAGCAGATTTCAAGTATACAATATGGAATTTTCAACTATGGTAATATTAAAAGTTTCTTGGTATAATAATGACATTATAGCTTTTTGAGGGAGTTCTTATCTTTAAGAGATACAAACTATAATATTTACACATAAAATGATAGATGGCTGAGATCTACTTCAAAATATTCTGACTGGCATGGGGTAGCGTGGATGGGGTATAGATAAAACAAAACTGAACATTTTGATAATTATTGAAAGTGAGTAATAGACTCACTGGGTTCCTTAAACTAGTCTTTCAACATGTGTGTTATATTTGAAAATTTCCATAATAAAAAGTTAGAAAAATTTACTGAACACTAAGCTAAAATTCCCATGAAGGCCAGAATTGCGTCTATCTTATTTACCCTTTCATCCCTAGAACATAGCATAGTAGATATATATAATAGCATCTCAATGTAGTCAGAATTTATTAACCAACAATATTTGATATTTTATACTTGAATCTAAAGAGTTTCATTTGCCTTCATGAGGCCTCTGAGAAGTAGGATTCACTATACCTTAAGAAGTAGTGGAAGAACAGGGCTCAAAGAATAAACTCAGTCTATGTGCTGTATTAATTTATTTATGCCCCTAACATTTCTTGATTTAAGTGATCCTTTCAATCTGAGTCTGTCATATACCCTATTACAGAGGTCTTCCAAAAACTCTTCTAGAGTTATTTTAAGGTCTAAGGTCTACTTTATCCTAACTTCCAAAATTCCCAGCAAGTTAATTGATATGTTTTGGTTCTGTGTCCCCACCCAAATCTCATCTTGAATTACAATCCCCACGTGTTGGTGGAGGAGCCTGGTGGGAGGTGATTGAATCATGGGAGTGGACATCCCCCCTTGCTGATCTAGTGTTAGTGAGTTCTCATGAGATCTGGTTGTTTGAAAGTGTGTGGCACATGCGCCCTCACTCTCTCTCTCTGGCTCTGCCATGGTAAGACGTGCTTGCTTCTCTTTCACCTTCCAACATGATTGTTAACTTTCCTGAGGCCTCCCAGTCATGCGTCCTGTTGAGCCTGTGGAACTGAGCCGATTAAACCACTTTCCTTCCTAACTTACCCAGTCTCAGGTAGTTCTTTACAGGAGTGTGAGAACAGACTAATACATTAATTGAATAAACTTTTGTTTAGAAATTCAGTATAAAAGATATTCTGCCCTGTGATTGGGGTAAAGCAAAGGAAATATTTAGTCCTCGAGAAGCTAACTTCTATGGTGTGGATTAGGAGCCTACTCTCTATATAGAAACTGACCCTAACATGTTTAGGAGTTGCTTTGCTCATGAGCTATGAGGGACGTTATTTTTTTTCTTCTTCATCTTACTGTCTTGAAACAAAGTCAGAGCAGCTGAACTATAGTGGGGTTATTGGTTATTTGAGTCAGCTGCTGCACTCACATGCTATTACTCTAAGCTATGAGCCCCGATATGATTGAAGGGAGAGTTTTTGTCACTGATGTCATCCTGGCTTTGGTTGTGGAGCTTTCTTTAAAATTTCACTTTGCGTGATAGGCATACTTAATCCTATGCAAAGATAAATCTAAATAGTGCTGGATAGTGAACATACATTATCATTTTTTGGCGTCTTTTTGTTGGTGGTGGTTTTTGTTTTGTTTTGACCACTGTCTAAGGCAGAAATCTAGTCCAAATTATGACAGACTTCTGACTCATCATTTGGAAAATGGCCTTCCATTTGCCAAAGGTTTATTCAGATGTTTTTATTGTATTATGATTATTATTTCTACTTTTTTTCCCTAGAATCTGAAGTTTTTAAGATTAAACCTACAAAATAGAAGGTTATCCTTTAACTATTAAAAAGGGAAAAAATAAAAACCCCAAGAATGTGATTATAATTTAGACTAGCCATGAGAATTAATGACTCCAACCCACACTCAACACAAAATTTTATTAGTCTACAGTTTGTACTGTATGCTCTTACATTTCAGTCCGTCATGCCCTAAAAATGTGCTTTTCCACTTGGATAAATAATTGAAAATCACCCAATGTCTAAGGCTAGTTTGCTTCTGATTTCCACTGTGAGGCTATACAACTTTTGGGAACATGTGATCAGTGCCGAACAAGGGCAAAAGTTTACCAACTATAGCTCCTTTAGTGTGAGTGTTGGTGTTTGGGCTCTGTTTCCCACAGAGAATTTTATCCTTAAATGGAGTGTGTCTATTTTTTATTTTACAAGTCCAAGTAACAATTTCATTTTAGTCAACAGCACAATTTTTTATATATATTTTACTGGTTCTGAGTGTTACTTTTGAGCAGACTTTCACATGAATTCACAAAAGTTAATATATTAAAAATAAAACACATATAATAAAAAATAGGCAAAGATGTTCAGAATCATGATATAGGGATGTTCCAGTTGGTTCTATCACTGGGTACACTAGCTATTTAACAATTCACTACCAGATACCAGTTCTCCTCCTTGTTCCCATACAATTCACCAAAATCAAAGACTTCTACACACACACAAACACACACACACACACAGACACACACACAACAAACCTTCTTTTAAAGCCATATCCATTAGAAAGCCCAAATGTGTCATGATCAGCTAATTTCATTGATCAAGTCCAGCCCATTAGGAGGAAACAGGCAATATCTTTGCATGTCTATTTTAAACTTAATAAAAATACAAATTTCACTGAAAGCACTAAAGTGCAATATCTTGGGGTATGTAAAGAACAGGCAGGGCATGGGCCCCATAAACACCACCTGCTCTTCTCCAGAGCTGCTGTGATAAGGAGATCCTAGCTACAGGCTGTCAGTCTGGAAACTTTTTTTCGGTGAACACTTCGGTGTGCCAGTTCCTGGCCAGCAAATGTCAGTTGCTGAGTCAAACCTGAGGCATGCAGAGAAGGCCATCTTCTTAAGTGCCGGTACTGGGCACCTCTGACAAGAATGGCTTGGGCATCTAAGCATCTCAGGGTCTTCCTTCAATTCTACTGATGATTGAAATATATTTTGATCCCTTTGTAGGTTTAGTTTATTTACTTTTCAAGATCAATATTTTTCCCCAGCAAACTGATAGACATGATCTTTTAACATAAAAGTAAATTTCACTTTTTAAAGATACTATTGATAAATTACTAGATTTTTTGAGACAGATGTAAATGGAGATTTTCCAGCTCCAGCAGCAGGCTTAAGGAAAAGTAAAACTATGGTACATAAGGAATATACAATTGTGAACAAAAATTGAAGTATACTTAAGGATGATAAAAAAGTTTACTAGTATATATTTACAAAGTTGATAATGTCTAATTAACAAATGCAGTATTCAAAATTCAAAGACAGAAAGTAATAAACTATGACACAAATGAAGCATTGTAGTAAAAACTAGCAAGTTTAAAACTGAGATTAGCTTAGCTGATACAGGACGGTCTTTGACCAATCCTGCTGATACGCAGGAAAGGACATAACCTCAGCAGCCCCATAGCCTGGACTTTCATTCATTGCCATTAAGAATAACATGAATGTTTTAGTGATCTGTGGCCACTGAAAATCTAACAGTTCCCTCTGGCTCTCAGGGTAGACAATCTGGATCTGCTAATACTTCCACTGATAACTGACTGTATGTCTCTTCCCAAAAGAAAAAAAATGGATTTGAGTATTTCAATGGGCAGAGTTTCAGTATCTGGCCATCTCTTTAGCCTCTGGAAAGTTTACAGATAGCCACTTTGGGTGAGCTCTCCATGTTGAGTTGGTTCAACTGGGCCCTGTAAGACAGAATCACATGGGTCAAAACTCAGTAGATTATAACTAAGAAACCACTCTTTGAAGGTACAGAGGTATGGCTAGACTTCTGAAGCTTTTTAGAAGAATGTATTGTAAATTGCAAACTACATAGGAGTATGGGCTATCTGGCACAAGAAAAATAGAAAAATATTTTATTATGTAGATACCCACAAAGGCCATCATCATGTACTTATGAATAAAATCTTTTATTCTTTGTTATGTTTAGAAATTTTATAATAAACATTTGCTATTCAAAATAAAAATTATCACTACTGCTCTTCTCAACAACTAAAACATAATAGATACATTTTTACTCATTTGACAAATATTTATTATATGCTTATTATATGATAAACATTGCTAGTTGCAGAGGATACAAGAGAGAAAATACAGACAAAGTTTATGGTTTTGGAGAAGATATGCACATTGACAAATTTAACAGTATTATGCAGGCTATGATAGAGGAAAGATAATAATATTTTTGGGTTATAGACAGGCATTTAACTGTAACCTGTGTAATCTTGCAGGGTGGGGGCTACCTGCAGATAATTACATATAGGCCAAAACCACCTAGAACTGAGTATAAAGGAGAAACAAATGCAGAATGATGTCCAAGTTTCTCTTTCTGCCTTGAGGGACCAGATGAATGATGGTGCTATTCATTGAGGGAAAATAAATCCAGGAGGAAAAGCGAGATTGAGAGGAAGATTAGGCCAGGTGCAGTGGCTCATGTCTACAATCCCAACACTTCAAAGGTGAGAGGATCACTTGAGGCCAGGAATTCAAGACCAGCCTGGGAAACATAGCAAGACCTCCCTCTCTCCAAAAAATTTAAAAAACTGAAGAAGGTCCTGCATTCAGTTTTGAAGATGTTCTTGAAGTATTTGAGAAACCTTCAAGTGGATTGGAACAATAGGTAGAGAGAGATACGGTTCTGAATCTGAAGAGATGGAGCTATGCTGGAGATAAAGCTGTGAGATTCATCAGCCTATAAAAGATACTTGAAGTCATGGGAGTGAATCAGCTCACCCAGGGATAGTGAGAAGAATCAGAAAAGGCTTAAAAGGCAAAACCCAGGCCGGGCGCAGTGGCTCACGCCTGTAATCCCAGCACTTTGGGAGGCCGAGGCGGGCGAATCACGAGGTCAGGAGACCAAGACCATCCCGGCTAACATGGTGAAACCCCGTCTCTACTAAAAATACAAAAAATTAGCTGGGTGTGGTGGCGGGCGCCTGTAGGCCCAGCTACTCGGGAGGCTGAGGCAGGAGAATGGCATGAAGGCGGTGCTTGCAGTGAGCCAAGATCGCGCCACTGCACTCCAGTCTGGGCGACAGAGCGAGACTCCATCTCAAAAAAAAAAAAAAAAAAAAAAAAACAAGGCAAAACCCTGAGAAACAGAGAAACATCATTATGTGCAGGTAAATGGAGGAAGGGAAACACAAAGAGACAGAAAAAGATTGGCCAGAGATGAGAAAGGATGGGAAAACCAAGGAGATAACAAGGGAAGTTGAACAATGGAAGTAGAAGGCATATGACAGTGAATTGAGATTTTATTAGACAATAAGCAAGTGTCAGAATGTATGAACTTAATTTTTAAAAAACTATTTGTCTGTCAAAAGGGAGGAAAGAGATAAGGTAGTAACTGGAGATTGAGAAGAATCTTAAAAGTGGAAGAAGCTTGTACACAATTAAAATGTTAATGGAAAAAACTCCCGTATAGAGTGAGGAACTTTAGATACAGCACACAGGCAAACAATCAATACAGCAAAATTCCTGAAGGCAGGGAGGAGCTGGAATTCAGATAATAAATGGAGAAATTAGCTTCAGATGGACGAGAAGCATCTCTTTCATTGTAAAGCAGAAAGAATGTTTAAAAAGACAATAGACTGGTTTGTGAATAGCTGCATATGTGATTTTGGTAGCGGGAAGTTCCTATTTTTCTAATGATATGGACAGGAGACAGGGAAATACTGGGTAGAAGAGGGTGGTTCCCTGGCAAAGGCCCCACCCTCAAGCCTGGATTCCCATAGGCCTAACTGAGAACAGGCATTCCTGTTTTCATGCCCAAAGCGTTGCCTTTTGGCCCACCACACCCCCTATCCTGTAACCATATAAACCCTGAACCCCAGGCTCCAGAATCAGAAGATGAGGAGACAAGCAGACAAATGGCAGCACAGCATGGCAGAGAAAGAGAGAAGAGAAGGAGCGACTGAGCACTGAGAGGAGTCTGACCACTGGCCAAACTCCAGGGGAAGATCATCTTCCCACTCCATCCCCCTTCCAGCTCCCCGTCCATCCCATTGAGAGCCTCTTCAACTACTCACTAAAAGCCCTGCATTCATCCTCCAAGTCTGTGTGACACCTGATTCTTCCAGGATGCTGGACAAGAGCTCAGGATACAGAAAGCTGCCACACTGGCCGTCTGTCCTTGCTGAAAGGCAGAGGGTCCACTGAGCTGGCTAATACTTAAGCCATCCACGGATGGCAAGGCTGAATGGGCACACTATAACACATGTCCACGTGGGCTCCTGCACCTGTCCAGTTGCATGCTCCCCCTCCTGTAAGAGGTTTGAGCAACAGCAGCCACCAAACAGACAAGCCACACCTCCATCTCACACCCTGCAAGGAGGGGGTCAGGGAACTCTCTTGTTTCAGTAACAGTTTTTGTTTTATATCATGATTGTCACTTATAGATCTTACTATATGCTATTGTTTTTATTCAACACAATTCATATAACTAAATGATTTTTCTCTTTCTACATAGTTTTTTTTTAGAATTTAGCATATTTAAAACATTGCTTTGAAATATAAAGTACCCAGGTATACAGATATTTTGCACCACATCAACAGTTTCATTTTTATTTCTAACTTGCATAGTTTCTGGCTTCACAGTGAAACATTAACTGGGCACCAGAATTTCCATTTACGTATAGGTCTTTTGGCTAATATCAAATGTATAGAAAATCATTCTAAATTTTAAATATTAGCTCTATTTTTCAGACGTAGTTGGCAATCTATATAAATAGCTTCAGGAATGCAGCTTAAGCTGTATTAGTAGTTTAAGAAATAAGATAACCAGACATACAGGCAAAATGCTTGCAAAAGAATATTTTTGTTTGCATCATTTTTCATACTGACAAAATTTGGATACAAAGTAAAATTCAAACAAGGAGAAAATGCATGAATGTATTATGATTAATAAAATACCTACAATTTAAAATATTATTCACAAAGGACTTAACAAATATTTATGACAATCATTGATAAAAACAGTGTAACATTAATAAATACAATATGACTTTTGTTATGTTAATGTAAACATGCATTGAAAAAATAGATTATTTGATACATTGCTACTATTGTGGTTTGTATTTTGTTGTTCCATTTATCTGTGCTTTCTTTTTTTGTTTGTTTGTTTGTTTTTGTTTGTTTGTCGAGACAGAGTCTTGCTCCGTCACCAGGCTGGAGTGCAGTGGCATGATCTTGGCTCACTGCAACCTCCACCTCCCAGATTCAAGGGATCCTCCTGCCTCAGCCTCCCTAGTAGCTGGGACTACAGGCACCCACCACCACACCCTGCTAATGTTTCTTTTTGTATCTTTAGTAGAGACAGGGTTTCACCATGTTGGCCAGGATTGTCTCGATCTCTTGACCTCATGATCTGCCCGCCTTGGCCCCACAAAGTCCTGGGATTACAGGTGTGAGCCACTATGCCCAGCCTTATCTGTGCTTTCTAAAATGGAAATATAAACATATTAGAAGCAGTAAAAATTAAATTATATTATGAGAAATATATTCTTGGATTGTTATATTTTGAGGAACATGTGGTTAAATTATTTCTAATTACTAAACTTTCAGATGATATGCACATCTTGAAATGTCTATTCTTTTATGTATCAGATCTGATATTTACCTACTTTCCATATTAATTCTGTTATAAAAATGCTTCATTTTCTAAATTTGCCCTTTTTTGCTGAGAGTTAAAACATTTATATTTAATAAAGAAAGTACGGGTTAAATGCAAAGGCCAAAAAAAAAGGGCCAATACTATTTAATTTAGAATTTGTTGTATTTAACATGGATCATCTCCCTCTTCCTTTCCTCTGGATCTTTCCAGCTGAAGCTTCTCACTCAGTCTGTGCTGTAAGTCAGAGCACGGTATGTACTGTACCTGTACTGGAGCATTTTATTATTTGTTAGAATTTTTCCTAGTGCTAGGTCATTTTGGGCAGGAAGTCATTGCCAGTTAGAAAGAAGCAGAAGGAAAAGCAAAAATAATGTACTCTAAAAAGGGTGGTATTTGCAAGTTACACATAACTGTTATTTTAAACCATCAAGAACTGGGTTTGGTGGTGGCAGCCACATCTACCCTGGAGGGTGTCATTGAAGAGAACTAGGTATTACAGGAGCCACAAGCAGACTGTGCAATTAGGGTTATGTGAAAGGATTGGGTAATCCTGCAATAGTTACTGTTACATAACGCGTCAGTCGCTGCCCAGGGATATGAGCGGTAACTGAATATTATAGCGGGAACTGTTAGCATTGATGCTGCCAAGGGTCACTAACTGTTTCCATTATAAACTTTATTTTGTAGTTGGCTTATAACCCAGACAGTTGAATTTACATCAGGTGGAAACCTGGCATTTAAATTAGAAGCCTAGAGGCACTATTTTTTTTTTTCAGTAAGAAAATTTTGAGCTAGGAGGTACTAGAGAGAACATCTAGTCCAACAACTATTTTACAAATAAGATAGAGGTACATATTTAAAATAGAAAGAGAGACATATTTAGTAGCATGCAGTTACCTAGAGGCAGAACCAAACCTAGGACACAGGCTTTTCTGCCCTCCAGATTAAAAAACAAACACAAAAACAAAAAGGCTCTTTCTCCCATCCTGTGCTAATTTAATTTATTTTTAATATATGGAGGTGCCAGAGGAATGTTGACTATCTTACAGTCAAGAGGTGTCCCTCTTAAAGTATGAAGTGACTTGCCCAGGGAAATACAACATGTGGAACAGGGAAATACAACAGAAAAGAACACAGGCCGTCTTCTGTCGCCATTTGGCATTTTTATATCCTTTCCTGCAGTCCTGTCAGCTGTCTATTCAGTTTATTCATTGATTATCAGAAAAGAAATGATGGTTAAGCCATTGATACATGGGGCTAGTTTACTGCTTCTCATAACCAAAAAATGAATCATAAATTGAGCTGGAAAAGAAAGAAGGGCTATGAAGCCAGCATCATGTTTCTGTAAAACCGCAATTCGTTGAAAGGTGAGTTCAATCAGTTAACCACGCAGTCTCCATGATATCAAAAGTGTACTGGATTAATTTTCTTTGATAAATTCTAACAATTAGTTTGTGAATATTAGATAAAGTCAGAACTTTTGATGTAAATGAAGTGATGACATTTTCTTGAGCTATGTATTACATCAGTTGGTTGGAAGTATAAATTATCAATACATCATGACATCCTGCATAGTTGGCTTTCCTGAAATCTAACCCAGAAGAACATCCTCTGTCAACTGTACCATAGCTCAGTATTTAAAAGAGACCTGCTCTTCCAGACCTGAAAGAATATTCTATCATGACGGTAGAAAGTTCATACCAAAATCACATTTGAATTTTAAAACCTATGCTGTGACCAGTATACAGCTAGTATTCCCCCTCCTCTCTCTATTTTCACCTGTGTTGACACCCAAGATCATGGAACTTTTTTTGAACATGTCTTTTTCCTTTACCGGGTGGTAAGTTCCTTTGAGTATAGGGACTATGCATTGTTTTTCTGATTCACATTCTCTCTTCCATCTACCACAGTTGTACTGAGCCATAGTGCTCTATATACACAATCAAAATTTATGTTGTTTGTTATATTATTTTCTCAGAGATATACTTCTGCAGAGCCTAGGATTATATTCACATCTCCTATGGAAGAATGTGATGATAAAGTGTACTAAGCCCAGTTTAAAACAGGAGAAATAAACATGCAGAGGAGCCTTAGACTTTGACTTTTGCTTACAATAAGTCAGAAATGAGTCGGAATATACTAATTAGAATTCCCAGTGTATAATTCGATACACCTAACCCAATCAAGAAAATTTGTCTATTGTTTGTATTTTATGCTATTTGTAACCTCTATTTCCCAAATTAAGATGTTGCATTATGTTTGTATTTTGTTTATACTTTGTTTGTGGTCATTATTATTCTGTAGCTTTATGACATTGACAGCTTGAAATTCCTACAAACCATGAAAACCATACTGAGGAAGTGGGTGGTAATTGGCAAAAGGAAAGCATAATACGGAGAGAGTTAGTCAAAGGCTGTTGTAATAATTTGGCTCTGTTAGAGGGTTCATTTGTTTTGCATTTCTTGTCCAATGTATTATAACGTTATTGAAGATGACTTCATAGGTCAAGTGTCACTTAGGAAACCTCGTATTTTTATTTAGCATGAAGAGATCCAAAGTTGCCAGAAAGTCAATATTTATCAGGGTCACTTCATCTAATATTTTTATTTTCTCCATAACCTAATCCCCATTTCAGGAGTTGACAACTTTAGTCAGTGGTTTAGTTATCCTCTTTTTGTCAGAAATGGTGTGTGCTACCAACCTAACTTCTTGTTGCTAAGAATGAGAGTAGGCCGAGGTGCATTTTCCACTGAATCACATGTCTCTGTGGTTTAAAAGCACAGATATTAGTTGACCTCTTGCCATTGCTGTCAGGTTTCAGTGGTGTTTGGGATTCTATTTTAGGAGTTTGGGACCGAAAAGTGAACATTTAAATCTTTTATGGAGCACTTGTCCTTAAGAAAAATCCATGTGCAGACACTGAAATTGCATATTAACAAAAAATGCATTACAAGGATTTTGACATGCAAATGAAATTCTCTGTGCTATTTGATTTTAAAGCCATTAAAAAGGAATACTGTTTTGAGATGAAAACTATGTGGAATCCTTGTAAATCTAAAGTCAACCCTGCAGGAAGTTGGAAAAACTGACTCATCACCCCAAATGACCTTTCTATCTCTCGTGTATACCTACCCAAAAAAGCCTTGCTGTTCTATAATCACAGAAGTGTTAGAGCATGCATGAACTCCATGTTCACCACACTTCCAGCCCACATAAAATTCCAACTGGTGACTTCTAGGAACGAATATGATTTCTACAATGCTGAGAAATAATTCTATAATGAAGTTTGTCTTTTGATAGAGATTTAGTGATATTGCTCAATTTAACCCTTCCACTGGACACGTACACATGGATATACTAACATATTTATTATGTGTAAGATGAATATATTTGCTGTATTTTTTATTCAAGTATTACTGATGCCACCTTACAGCTTATTTATTATTAATGCTACCTTAGTAGTTTAACATCCAAAACACTTTCAATACTTCATTTGTTTTCATTCCTTTGTGGTTTTGCTCCTCATTCTGGGAGATTTTCCTTGATGTGTCTTTATTTTCCAGATCACTAACCAGGTATAATACCAGGATTATTTTATTCTCAGCCCCTTTATGAATAATTTTATTTTCATAATCATGGTTTTAAAATATTTTATTTGTAGAAGCATAGTTTTAAATTCTAAGAAATCTTCTGGTTTTCTGATTGTTCTTTTTTCATAGTAGCATGTTTTTGTTTTATTGATAAAATATTCTCTGGATCATGTTGAGGATAATGATTGTTTTAAATTCTCCTTTCATAAAAATAATCCTTTTCTCCCCTATGGTATTAGTTTCCCTTTTTTTTTTTTTTTCTTTTTTTTTTTTTTGAGACCAAGTCTCACTGTTGCCCAGGCTGGAGTGCAGTGGTGTCATCTTGGCTCACTGCAACCTCTGCCTCCCAGTTTCAAGTGATTCTCCTGCTTCAGCTTCTCAAGTAGCTGAGACTAAAGGCACGTGCCACCATGCCTGACTAATTTTTGTATATATTTTTAGTAGAGACCAGGTTTTACCATGTTGACCAGGCTGGTCTCAAACTTCTGACCTCAAGTGAATCGCCCACCTTGGCCTCCCAAAGTGTTGCAATTACAGGTGTGAGCCACCATGCCCGGCCAGTTTCCTTCTTTATTTTTGTACATTTTCTCCCAATACTTGATGATAGATGTATACATAAGTTTGTGTATGTGAAAGAGGAACATAAGAGAAGGAGGAAAAAACACGAGGGAACAGAATGTTGATTTCTCCATTGAATAGGTTCATTAATCCTCCCAAAATCTGCATTGTGGTATTGAAAACCACAGTATGTGGGAGAGAGGAAGTTGTGACTCATACTTATGGATGCAGTCTAAAGTGAGGCTCAATTTGACCTCCTAAATCTGTGTACTTTGATTCAGCAATTCCATTTCTAGAAGTCTATATTAAGGGACTAGTCAAGGTTATATGTACCAAGGATTAGGTTTGAGAATGTTCATCACAGTCACAACAATGCAAGAATAATAGAATGCAACATCAAAACTGATATGCTGGATAAATTTAAGTTATGGTGATTCAGATAATAGAAAATAATGTAGCCCTTAGACATTATGTCTTAAGGTACTATTTTAAAAAGGAAAGAAAGGCTCACATGATAGTATTGGCAGAAAGAGAAAATGCCTAATAGTCTAAACAATGTGATTCTATTTAGAAAAATAAGACAAGGGAAATGTGTGTGTGTGTCCTAAAATGAAATATGCCAAAGTATTAACCATGATTATCACTGATAGTGAGAACATTATAATTTCTGTGTTTTGTCTTAGTGTAATATAATTCCTCTTATTTGTAATACATAACTTCTAAAGTTTCCTTTTTTTTTTTTTTTTTTTTTTTTTGAAACGGAGTCTTGCCCTGTCTCCCAGGCTGGAGTGCAGTGGCGTGATCTCTGCTCACTGCAACCTCCACCTCCTGGGTTGAAATGATTCTCCTGCCTCAGCCTCCTGAGTAGCTGGGATTACAGGTGCCCGCCACCCCACCCAGCTAATTTTTTTTTTTTTTTGTATTTTTAGTAGAGATGGGGTTTCACCATGTTTGCCAGGCTGATTTCAAACTCCTGACCTCAGGTGATCCAACCGCCTCGGCCTCCCAAAGTGCTGGGATTACAGGCATGAGCCACTGTGCCTGGCCCTAAAGTTTTCTTTGTATATAGTTAACGCATATAAACTATATGTAACATATATATAAATTATGAAGGATAATAGTGAAATAAATAGAAACAAAACATTTCCAGATTCATGAACTGGAATACTGCCAACCATTTTGAAACTACTTATACATACTTCTTTAGTTCTTTGTATTTCATTTTCCTGTCCCAAGAGGTAAGCACTCTCCAGAATACTGAGTTTATGCTTCCTTTGTTTTGTTTGTCTTCCAAAATATATTCCTTAACAGTATAGTTTAATTGTTTTTGTTTTGGAACCTCATAACATTGAATGATATCATGTGTAACCTTTTGCCACTTTTTTCCCCACATGTTTTTCAAAATTTCATCACTTTCACTCCTGTATAATATTACATTATGTGACTATGCTTGAACGCAAATGACCATGAACAGAAAATATAACTATGAAATATACAATTAATATTAACTAATAATTAGTTATATTTTCTGTTCATGGTCATTTGCGTTCAAGTATTTTTTATTATATGAATACCATTACCTAAATCACTGTGCCTGTGTCAAGACACAGGACACATGTGAAAAGATTTCTCTAGCTGATAACCTGCAATGGAACAGCTGGGGCACGTATTGTGTGCTTATTACTTTTATATTTCAAGGTTAAAGTGTTTTCCAATTACTCTCCTAACACCAGTGGACAAGAATTTCTATAGCTCACACCCTTGTTAATGGCAGTCATTGTCATACTTAAGTTTTGCCCATCTAGTGGATATAAAACTGTCCCATTATACTGTTAAATTGCATTACCGCATTGTTAATGATTAAAACATCTTCCATATACTTTTGGTCATCTAGTCTTTCTCCTCTGGAAAAAAAAATGCCTTTTGATGCTTTTCTGTTAGGTCGTTGGTCTATTCTTATAGCCACTAAGAGTTTTATTAGAAGATATTAGGAGATATTTGGTTTTTTTATCTTTTGTTAATATATGGCTGATATATTTTTCTAATTTGTGGCTTGTATTTTACTTGTTGTGATTTCTTATAATTAATGGTAATTCTTCATTTTAATGAGTCAAAGTTATTAAATTTGTATTTTTTAGTGGGTACTTTTTGTGTCTTGTTGAAGAAATCTTTTCCTAGCCCCATGACTATAAAGAAACTCTCCTTGTTTTCTTCTAAAATTGGGTAATCTACCTTTTCAAATTTAAGAATTTAATCAATCTGAAATTGATTTGTGGAAATTGTGTATGATAAGGTTCTAGTTTCATATTCTTTGAAATGAATAATCCACTCAACCAGCATCATATATTGAGTGGTCCCAACTTTCCCATTGATCTGCCTTCTCAATCACAGCATTTCCATATGTGTATGGGTCTATTTGTATTTTCTCATTTCTATTATCAGTATCCTTTTTGTTTGCAAACCAATACCACACTGGCATTGCCATGGCTTTTTAAAAAGTCTTGCTGTCTCCTGGGGAAATCGCACACTATTTTTATCTCAGGGATCTCTTAACTAATCTTGGGCTTTTCTTTTCTTTCATCAATATCAGAATCGGATTCTCAAGTTTCTTTAAAAAATTCTATGAAATTCAAATTAAAATTGCATGTATGCTATTTGGTGATATTGACTTCCTTGTAATAGCAAGTCTTCCTTGAAAGTGGCAAAATTTAAACTTATTTATGTCTCTTTTAATGTCTCAATAATATTGAAAAGTTTCCTCCATGAACTCTTTATATTTTTGGTACATATGTTTTTACACATCTTATATTTTGTGTTAATATAATAAATGGTGTTTATTTTAAAATGCTATTTCCAACTCTTTATTCCAAGTATACAGTTTCTGTATATTAATTTTTTTCAGCACTTGGCTATATTGTCTTACTAATTCTATGGATTCCTTTGAGTTTTTCTATCTGTCAATTAAAAAGATTTTAGTTGTTTTCCCAAACCTCAGAATTTTTATTTCTTTTTGTCTTATTTGACTGTCTTAGAATTCCATGCTGAATGGGAGTGCTGTTCTTGTTTCTGATTTTTTTCCCAGTTCTATTTTTTGTGTATTTCAATAGGTTTTTGGGGAATAGGTGGTGTTTGGTTACATGAATAAGTTCTTTAGTGGTGATTACTGAGATTTTGGTGCACCCATCACTGAGGCAGTGTACACTGTATCCAATGTGTATTTATCCCTCACTCACTCCCACCCACTCCCTGAATATATATATATATATATATATACACATATATACATCTATATACATATATACATGTGTGTGTATACATATATATCACAATTTGTTTATCTGCTCATTGATTGATGGGGCATTTGGGCTGGTTTCATATTTTTGCAATTGCAAATTGTGCTGCTGTAAACATGCGTGTGCAAGTATCTTTTCGGTATAATGACTTCTTTTCCTCTAGGTAAATATCCAGTCATGGCATTGCTGGATCAAATGAGTTCTACTTTTAGTTCTTTAAAGAACCTCCACACTGTTTTTCATAGTAGTTGTACTAGTTTACATTTCTACCAGCAGTGTAAAAATGCTCCCTTTTCACCACATCCATGGCAACATCTATTATTTTATAATTTTTTTTATTATGGCCAGTCTTGCAGGAGTAAGGTGGTATTGCATTGTGGATTTGATTTGCATTTCCATGATCATTAGGGATGTTGATGATTTTTTCATACTTTTTTTTGCCACTTGTATATCTTCTTTTGAGAATTATCTCCTTCATGTCCTTAGCCCACTTTTTGATGGGATTGTTTGTTTTCTTCTTGCTGATTTGTTTGAGTTCCTTGTAGGTTCTGGGTATTAATCCTTTGTCAGGTGTATAGATTGTGAAGATTTTCTCCCATTCTGCAGGTTGTCTGTTTACTCTACTGATTTTTTCCATTGCTGTGCAGAAGCTTTTTAGTTTAATTAAGTCCCATCTATTTATCTTTGTTTATGTTACATTTGCTTTTGGTTTCTTGGTCATGAAGTCTTTGCCTAAGCCAACGTCTAGAAGGGCTTTTCTGATTTTATCTTCTAGAATTTTTGTGGTTTCAGATCTTAGATTTAAGACTTTGATCCATCTTGAGTTGATTTTTGTATACAGTTATACAACTAGATAAACTAGATAAAAATCTGGTTTCATTCTCCCACATGTGGCTAGCCAATTATCCCAGCACCATTTGTTGAACAGGGTGTTTTTTTCCCCACTTTATGTTTTTGTTTGCTTTATCAAGATCAGTTGACTGTAAGTATATGGCTTTATTTCTGGGTTCTCTATTCTGTTCCATTGTTCTATGTGCCTATTTTTATGCCGGTACCATGCTGTTTTGGTGACTGTGGCCTTATAGTATAGTTTGAAGTTGGATAATGTAATGCCTCCAGATTTGTTCTTTTTGCTTAGTCTTGCTTTTGCTATGCAGGCTCTTTTTTGGTTCCATATGAATTTTAGGATTGTCTTTTTTTTCTAGTTCTGTGAAGAATGATGGTGATATTTGGATGGAAATTGCATTGAATTTGTAGATTGCTTTTGGCAGTATGATCATTTTCACAATATTGATTCTACCCTTCCATTAGCATGGGATGTGTTTCCATTCGTTTGTGTCATCTATGATTTCTTTCAGCGGTGTTTTTTAGTTTTACTTGTAGCAGTCTTTCACTCCTTGGTTGGGTATATTCCTAAGTTTTTTTGTTTTGTTTTGTTTTGTTTTGTTTTGTTTTGTTTGCAGCTATTGTAAAAAAGTTGAGATCTGGATTTTATTCTCAGCTTGGTCACTGTTGGTGTATAGCAGAGCTACTGATTTATGTATATTAATTTTGTGTCCTGAAACTTTGCTGAATTCATTGATCAGTTCTAGGAGCTTTTTGGACGAGTCTTCAGGGTTTTCTAGCTATATGATCGTATCATCAGCAAACAGTAACCGTTTGACTTCCTCTTTACTGATTTGGATGTATTTCTTTCTCTTTTGTCTGATTGCTCTGGCTAGAACTTCCAGTAGTACTATGTTGAATAGAAGTGGTGAAAGTGGGCATCCTTGTCTTGTTCCAGTTCTCAGGGGGAATGTTTTCAACTTTTTCCCATTCAGTATAATGTTGGCTGTGGGTTTGTCATAGATGGCTTTTCTTAGGTTAAGGTATGTCCCTTCTATGCCAATTTTGCTGAAAGTTTTAATCACAGTTGGATGCCGGATTTTGTCAAATGCTTTTTCTGAGTCTATTGAGACAATCATGTGATTTTTGTTTTTAATTCTGTTTATGTGGTGTATCACATTTATTGACTTGCATATGTCATATGTTAAACCATCCCTGAATCCCTGGTATGAAACCCTCTTGATCATGGTGGATTATCTGATTATCTTTTTGATATGTTGTTGGATTCGGTTAGCTAGTATTTTGTTAAGGGCTTTTGCATGTATGTTCATCAGGGATACTGATCTGTAGTTTTCTTTTTTGTAATGACCTTTCCTAGTTTTGATATTAGGATGATACTGGCTTAATAGCATGATTTGGGTGGGGGCGGATACCCTCTTTCTCTGTCTTGTGGAATAGTGTCAATAGGATTGGTACCAATTCTTCTTAGAATGTCTGGTAGAATTCATCTGTGAATCCATCTGGTCCTGAACTTTTCTTTGTTGACAGTTTTTTTAATACCATCTCAATCTCGCTGCTTATTTTTCTGTTCAGAGTTTCTATTTCTTCCTGGTTGAATCTAAGATAGTTGCATATTTCCAGGAATTTATCCATCTCCTCTAGGTTTTCTAGTTTATGTGCATAAAGGTGTTCACAGCAGCCTTGAATGATCTTTTGCATTTCTGTGGTATTGATTGTAATGTCTCCTGTTTTGTTTCTAATTGAGCTTATTTGGATCTTCGCTCTTCTTTTCTTGGTTAATCTCTCTAACTGTCTATCAATTTTGTTGATCCTTTTAAAGAACCAGCTTTTTGTTTCATTTATCTTTGTTTTTGTTTTGTTTCAATTTCATTTAGTTCTGCTCTGATCTTGGTTATTTCTTTTCATCTGCTGGGTTGGGGCTTGATTTGTTCTTGTTTCTCCAGTTCCTTGAGGTATAAGCTTAGGTTGTCTCTTTGTATTCTCAGATTTTTTCATATAGGCAATTAAGGCTATCAACTTTCCTCTTAGCACCACCTTTGCTCTAACCCAGAGGTTTTGATAAGTTGTGTCACTATTATTGTTCAGTTCAAAGAATTTTTTAATTTCCATCTTGATTTCATGGGTGACCCAATGAACATTTTGTGGCCTATCATATGGTCTATCTCAGAGAATGTTAAGTATGCTGATGAATAGAATGTATATTCTGCAATTGTTGGGTAGAATGTTCTGTAAATATCTGTTAAGTCCATTTGTTCTAAGGTATAGTTTAAATCTATTGTTTGTTGATTTTCCATCTTGATGACCTGTCTAGTGCTGTTAGTGGAGTATTAAAGTGCCCCAGTATTATTGTGTTGCTGTCTATCTAATTTCTTAGGTGTACTAGTAATTGTCTTATAAATTTGGGAGCTCCAATGTTAGGTGCATATATATTTAGGAATGTGATAAATATCACATATTGGACTAGTCCTTTTATCATTATATAATGTCCCTCTTTATCTTTTTTAACCACTGTTGCTTTAAAGTTTGTTTTGTCTGATATAAGAGTAGCTACTTCTGCTCACTTTTGGAGTCCATCTGCATCTTTTTCCACCCCTTTAGCTTAAGTTTATGTGAGTCCTTATGTGTTAGGTGAGTCTCCTGAAGACAGCAGATACTTGGTTGGTGAACTCTTATTCCTTCTGCCATTCTGTTTATTTTAAGTGGAGCATTTAGGCCATTTGTATTCAATGTTAGTATCGAGATGGGTGGTACTATTCTATTCATCATGCTATTTGTTGCCTGGATATCTTTTTTCCCCCATTATGTTTTTGTTTTATAGGTCCTGTGAAATTCATGCTTTAAGGAGGTTCTATTTTTGTGTACTTCAAGGATTTGTTTCAAGTTTTAGAGCTCCTTTTAGCAGTTCTTGTAGTGCTGGCTTGGTAGTGGCAAACTCTCTCAGCATTTGTTTGTTTGAAAAATATGGTATCTTTCCTTCACTTATGAAGCTTAGTTTTGCTAGACACAAAATTCTTGACTGATCATTATTTTGTTTAAGAAGGCTAAAGATGTGGCCCCAATCCCTTCTAGTTTGTAGGGTTTCTGCTGAGAAATCTGCTGTTAAACTGATAGATTTTCCTTTATAGGTTACCTGATGCTTTTCCCTCACAGCTCCTAAGATTCTTTCCTTCATCTTGACTTTAGATAACCTGATGAGTATGTGCCTAGGTAATGATCTTTTTGCAATAGATTTATCAGTGTTCTTTGAGCTTCTTGTATTTGGATGACTAGATTGCTAGCAAGGCTGGGGAAGTTTTCTTCAGGATGACAAGATCTCTAGCAAGGCTGGGGAAGTTTTTCTTCAATTATTCCTCAAATATGGTTTCCAAACTTTTATATTTCTCTTCTTCCTCAGAAACACCACTTATTCTTAGGTTTGGTCATTTAACATAATCCCAAACTCCTTGGAGGCTTTGTTCATTTTTTTAATCCTTTTTTATTTGTCTTTGTTAGATTGAGCTAATTTGAAAGCCTTGTCTTCAAACTCTGAAGTTCTTTCTTCTACTTATTCAATTCTATCACTGAGATTTTCCAGTGTATTTTGCATTTCTCTGAGTCCTTCATTTCCAGATATTGTGATTGCTTTCTTCTGCTTCTTTTTTTTTTTTTTTTTTTTTTTTTGAGATTGAGTTTTGCTCTTGTTGCCCAGGCTGGAGTGCAATGGCATGATCTTGACTAACTGCAACCTCTGCCTCAAGGATTCAAACAATTCTCCTGCCTCAGCCTCCCAAGAAGCTGGGATTACCATGTGCCACCACGCCCAACTAATTTTGTATTTTTAGTAGATACGAGGTTTGACCATGTTGGCCAGGCTGGTCTCGAACTCCTGATCTCAGGTGATCCAACTGCCTAATTTTCCCAAAGTGCTGGGATTACAGGTGTGAGCCACTGTGCCTGGCCTGTTTTTTATTTATGCTATCTATTTCACTGAAAAATTTTTCCTTCATATCTTGTATCATTTTTTTTATTTCATTAAGTTGGACTTCACCTTTCTCTGGTGCCTGCTTGATTAACTTAATAATTGACCTTCTGAATTCTTTTTCTGGTAATTCAGAGATTTCTTCTTGGTTTTGATCCATTGCTGTGAGCTAATGTGATCTTTGGGGGATGTTAAGGAACCTTATTTTGTCATATTGCCAGAATTGTTTTTCTGGCTCCTTCTCTTTTGTGTAGACAAATCTGGGGCTCAAGGGCTGCTGTTCAGATTCTTTTGTCCCATGGGGTGCTCCCTTGATGTGGTGCTCTCCCCCTTCCCCTAGGGATGTGGCTTTCTGAGAGCCAAACTGCAGTGATTGCTATTTCTCTTCTGGACTCAGCCACCCAGAGAAGCTGCTGGGCTCCAGGCTAGAAGTGGTGAGTGTCTGCTCAGAGTCCTGTGATGTGAACCATCTTTGGGTCTCTCAGCCGTAGGTACAAGCACCTGCTCCAGTGGAGATGGCAGGGGAGTGAAGTGGACTCTCTGAGGGTCCTTGGCTGCAGTTTTGTTTATTTCACTAGTTTTGTGTTCACTGGCCTCCAGCCAGGAGATGGTACTTTCAGGAGAGCATCAGCTGCAGTAGTATAGAGAGGATCAGGCAGTGGGTGAGGCTATAGAGCTCCCAAGAGATTATGTCCTTTGTCTTTGGCTACCAGGGTAGGCAGAGAAAAACCATCAGGTGAGTGCAAGGTTAGGTGTGTCTGAGCTCAGGCTTTCCTTGGGCAGTGCTTCCTCTGGCTGTTGTGGGGGATCAAAGTGTGGTTCCCCAGCTGATGGAGTTGTTTCCACAGGGATTATGGCTGCCTCTGCTGCCTCATGCAGGTTGCCAGGGAAGTGGGGAAAAGCAGGCAGTCACAGACCTCACCCAGCTCCCACGCAGCCCAAATGATTGGTCTCCCTCCCACCATGTCCCGTCAACAGCACCAAGTTTATTTCCAGGCAGCAGGTGAGCAAGGCTGAGAACTTGCCCCAGGCTACCCACCTCCCAGCTGAGAAAGCAAGCAGGGTTTCAGGTCTTGCCTCTCTGCCTGCCATGGCCTCTGTGCTGTGTCTGTACTTCCAATTCACCCCTCCCCCAGGTTCTGTCCAGGAAACTTTGCCTTCTGTCAAAATGTTTACAAAGTTAAGCTGGAAGTTTTATTCTCCCCGTGGTCTTTTCCTAGGTCCTCTGGCAGCCCTCCCCAAGGACCCCTGACAGGGAGAGCTCACAGGGCTTTCCTTGCTGTTGTTTCTAACCCTGTATTTTGCTCAGCTCTCTAAATTTGTCTCAGCTCCAGGTAAGGTCAAATCCTTCTCCCATGATATGGACCTTCAGGCTCCCCACTGAGGGTGTGTATTCCGACACCCATGATCCCACTTTCACACTTTGGGCACTCATAGTTTTTCAGCTGTCTCCAGGGGCCTGCAGCAGCACTCCGCTTCCTTCAAAGGATCTGTGAATTCTCTCAGCTTTCCTGGTATGTTCTTGTGGTAGTTCTTGGAGCAAAAGTTCATGATGTGAGTCTCCACACGCTGCTCTGTCAATCCAAGTGGGAGCTGCAAGTTAGTCCTGCCTCCTGTCTGCCATTTTTTTCCTCCCCTTGTTTCTAATTTTAAAGGGAGCACTTTTACTATTTTGCCTCAAAGGTTGATGTTTGATGTAGATTTTCTGTTGAAGATTTTTATCAGATTATGGAAATCCTCTTTTATTTCTAGTTTACTAAAAGTGATTTTAAGATTATAAATAATTCTTGAATTTTAGCTATTATTTTCTCTATTTACCGAGATGATTATATGTCTCACTTTTTCTATAGAGTAATTAGATGTATAGATTTTTCTGAGATATTTAGCAATATTGAATTTCTTGATCATAATATCATTATAGATTAAGATTCCCAAAATATTCTTTTGTCAGAATATTGTTTAGAATATTTGTATATATGTTCATGTCCTTTGTTTTCCTTTCTCATATTTGCTTGTTAAGTATAGTTGGCAGAATAATGGCCCCAAAAAGTTGGCCACATTCTAATCTTTGGAAACTGGGAACACGCTATGTTACTGGCAAGAGGGGTCTTTATGGATGTGATTAATGAGCTATGTATTTTGAGACTGGAAGTTTAAAAGCAAAGAACATTTCTGATATATCATAATAATGTGTGATCCTAATTGCTGAGACCAGCTCAGTCGGGGAGACCCTAACCCAGCAGCGCTAGAGGAATTAAAGACACACACACAGAAATATAGAGGTGTGAAGTGGGAAATCAGGGGTCTCACAGCCTTCAGAGCTGAGAGCCCCAAACAGAGATTTACCCACATATTTATTAACAGCAAGCCAGTCATTAGCATTGTTTCTATAGATATTTGATTAACTAAAAGTATCCCTTATGGGAAACGAAGGGATGGGCCGAATTAAAGAAATAGGTTGGGCTAGTTAACTGCAGCAGGAGCATGTCCTTAAGGCACAGATCGCTCATGCTATTGTTTGTGGCTTAAGAATGCCTTTAAGTGTTTTCCACCCTGGGCGGGCCAGGTGTTCCTTGCCCTCATTCCTGTAAACCCACAACCTTCCAGCTTGGGCATTAGGGACATTATGAACATGTTACAGTGCTGCAGAGATTTTGTTTATGGCCAGTTTTGGGGCCAGTTTATGGCCAGATTTTGGGAGCTCGCTCCCAACACCTAATGTCTCAAAATGTAGTCACTCATATCAAGTAGCATTGAACCCACAGTAAAGTAGTCTCCCTCTTCTCAAGTGATAAATATATATGTAATGGACTGAGGTGATAATTCCTGCTGTTGCCTGATATCACTCAAGACCTGAAATGAACCAGTAGAAAGGGGAAAGTCGTAAGATGTTGAAAATAGACACATCTCTGAAGGATTATAAAAGCAGCCAGGACAAAGCCTTGTTCAAGATGCCTTTGGAGGCCTGTGAGAACTCTGAGGACTTCTCACAACTTTAGGTGGCTGCCGCTTGAGGCTTTGCCCTAGAGAGGCAGTGATGCCCCAACTGACCAGCTTCCAAAGGACTCCAGACCCACTAGAATAGGCTCCTGGGCCATCACTGTGGTTCATTACCTCCCATCTTTTATTACTACCTTTAGGTTGAATATAAATTACATGATTGATGACATGTAAGGCCTCACAATAAATTGTGCACTCAAGCATACATATATATTTTTTTAAAAGATGTAAAATACATATAATTATATGTCAATATATAACTGTATTATAATTAAAATTATGAAATTATATTAATTATTACAATAAGTATATATAACTATAACATACAATTATATACAACTATAAAATGTATATATATATAACTCTTCTGCCTCTGGTGGGAGTTAGCACACTTAATTCACATAGCAGTCTCCCAGTTGTGGAGAACCAGAGAGTATGAAGACTCAGCCCACTGTTGCTGGCTTTGAAGATGAAAGAAGAAGACTATGAGCCGAGGAATGTGGGCAGTTTCTAAAAAACAATTCTACCCTAAGCTACAGGAAGGAAGATAGCTCTACTGACACCATAATCTTAGTCTAGTGAGATCAGGAGACTTCTGGCTTCTAGAGGTATATATAAGATGATAAATGTGTATTGTTTTAAACAATTAAGTTTGTGGTAAATTGTTACAGCAGCAATAATATACTTGTTTTTGTTATTAAGATCATACTTGGCTTTTAAAACGAAATGGAATTCTTTACCTCCTACTTCCATTTTCTGGAAGAATGTTTACAAGGCTGGAATGATATAATACATTAGCAAAAATTAGTAAATCTTTTTCTTTGAATTATTTGGCCTGCTGTTGGCTTTGTAAAATATTTTTTAACAAAAACTCTGGTTAAATTTTAAATTGCTGTAAGATTATTCTTAATATTCTAAAGTTAATCTTACTCTTGTAAGATACTTCTTTTCTTATGTGACTTTTGTTCAGGAACTTCTAATTTTCCTACATCCAAATGTAAAGTTTCATCGTATTCTGATCTTCTTTAATTTCTGCCTTATCTTTAGTTATGTTCTCTTTTCTATTCCTAATACTATTTATTTGACTCTATCTCCCTTTTATTTGTTCTGACCAGTTAACCAGTAGTTTGCCTATTTTGAACATAATTTTTTCCAATTTTTTTGCTTTTGTGTATCTATGTTTTTTTATGAGTCACTTTATTTTGTGCTGAAGAACATACCTTAGAAGGTACTTTACTGAAGTTGTGCTGGTGATGAAAGCTCCAAGTTCTTGTTTATGTTCACGTCTTTATTGTGCCCTTATTATTGAAAGAGAATTTGACTGGTTACACAACTCTAGGTTGACAATTTTATCATTTCACTGTGTCCTGGCTTCGGTTGCTGCTGTTGAGACACCTACTGTTAAATTCAATTGCTTCTTTTTGGGTGATTTGTTTGTTTTCTTAGTCTACTTTGAAGAGTTTTGCTTTGGAGTTCTAGAGCTTTAGTGGAAGGTACAGGGTTATGGATTCATTTTTATTTATTCAATTTGGTATGTGTTGTGCTTCTTCTATACGCAGATTATCTTTCATCACTTCTGGAAAATTCTTTGTCATTACCTTTCAAAAGCTGGCTCTGCTCCATAACTTTTATTCTCCTCTCAAACTCTGTGATATGGTTTGACTCTGTGTCCCTAACCAAAGATCATGTCGAATTATCATTCTCAATGTTGGGAGAAAGATCTGATGGGAGGTGATTGGATCATGGGGAGTGGATTTCTCCCTTGCTGTTCTTGTGATAGTGAGTGAATTCTCATGAGATCTGGTTGTTTAAAAGTGTGTAACATGGCTAGGCACAGTGGCTCACGCCTGTAATCCCAGCATTTTGGGAAGTCAAAGCGAGTGGATCACGAGGTCAGGAGATCAAGGCCATCCTGGCCAACATGATGAAACCCCGTCTCTGCTAAAAATACAAAAATTAGCTAGGTGTGGTGGCATGTACCTGTAATCCCAGCTACTCGGGACGCTGAGGCAGGAGAATTGCTTTAACCAGGGAGTCGGAGGTTGCAGTGAGCCAAGATCATGCCATTGCACTCCAGCCTGGCAACAAAGAGAGACTCTGTCTCAAAAAATAAAAATAAAAAAAGTGTGTAGCACTTTCCCCTTTGCTCTCTCTCTCTCTGCTCTTCCATGTGACAATTATGCCTGCTTCTCCTTTGCTTTCCACTGTGATTGTGAGTTTCCTGATGCCTCCCCAGCCAAGCCTCTTGTACAGCCTGCTGAACTGTGAGTCAATTAAACCTCTTTTCTCCATAAATTACCCAGTCTCAGGTATGTCTTTATAGTGGTGTGAGAACAAACTAATACAGAAAATTGGTACCAGAGAAGTGGGGCATTGCTATAAAGATACCTGAAAATGTGGAAGTGACTTTGGAACTGGGTAATGGGCAGAGGTTCAAAAGTTTGGAGGGATCAGAAGAAGACAGGAAGATGAGGGAAAGCTTGGAACTTCCTAGAGACTTGTTGAATGGTTTTGACCAAAATACTGATAGTGATGTGAATAGTGAAGTCCTGGCTGAAGTGATCTCAGATGAAGATGGGGAACTTATTGGAAACTGGAGAAAAGGTCACTCTTGCTATGCTTTAGCAAAGAGATGGTGGCATTTTGCCCCTGCCCTAGAGATCTGTGGAACTTTGAACTTGAGAGAGATGATTTAGGGTATCTGGTGGAAGAAATTTCTAAGCAGTAAAGTATTCAAGATATGACCTAGTGGTTTCTAAAAGAGTACAGTCATATGTGTTCACATAGAGATGGCCTGAAAGTGGAACTTATGTTTAAAAGGGAAGCAGAGCATGAAAGTTTGGAAAATTTGCAGCCTGACCATGTGGTATTAAAGAAAAACCCATTTTCTGGAGAGGAATTCAAGACTGCAGAAATTTGCATAATTAAAGAGCTGAATGTTCACAGCCCAGACAATGGGAAAAATGCCTCCCGGGCATTTCAGAGACCTTCACGGTATTCCCTCTCCTTACAGGCCTGGAGGTCTAGGAGGAAAAAATGGTTTTCTGGGCCAGGCCCAGGGCCCTGCTGCTTTGTGAAGCCTTGGGACCTGGCACCCTGCATCCCAGCCACTCCAGCACTAGCTGTGGCTAAACAGGGCCAAGGTACAGCTTAGGCCATTACTTCAGAGGGTGCAAGCCCCAAACCTTGGTGGCTTCCACATGGTGTTGGGCCTGTGGGTACGCAGAGGGCAAGATTTGAGGTTTGGGAGCCTCAGCCTAGATTTCAGAGGGTGTATGGAAATGTCCAAATGTCCAGACAAAAGTCTGCTGCAGGTCCAGAGCCCTCATGGAGAACCTCTGCTAGGGCAATGCAAAGGGGAAATGTGGGATTGGAGCCCCAAACAAAGTCCCCACTGGGGCACTGCCTAGTGGAGCTGTGAGAAGAGGGCTACCATCCTCCAGACCTCAGAATGCTAGATCTAGCAACAGCTTGCACTGTGCAGCTGGAAAAGCTGCAGACACTCAATGCCAGCCTGTGAAGACAGCCACAGGGGCTCTACCCTGCAGAGCCACAGGGAAGAGTTGCCCGAGGCCTTAGGAGCCCACCCCTTGCATCAGTGTGGCATGGATGTGAGAGATGGAGTTAAAAATTCTTTTGGAGCTTTAAGTTTTAATTATTGCCCCACTGGGTTTCACACTTGCATGGTGCCTGTAGCCCCTTTGTTTTGGCAAATTTCTCCCTCTTGGAATTGGGGGCATTTATTCAATGCCTGTAACTCCACTGTATCTTGGAAGTAACTAACTTGTTTTTGATTTTACAGGCTCATAGGTGGAAGGGGCTTGCCTTGTCTCAGATGAGACTTTGGACTTGTAGTTTTGAGTTAATTCTGGGATGAGTTAAGACTCTGGGGGACTGTTGAGAAGGCATGATTGTGTTTTGAAATGTGAGAAGGACATGAGATTTGGAAGTGGCCAGGGGTGGACTGATATGGTTTGGCTCTGTGTCCTCACCTAAATCTCAGGTCAAATTGTAATTCCCAATTTTGAGGGGAGAGACCTGGTGGGAGCTGATTAGGTCATGGGGGCAGATTTCCTCCTTGCTGTTCTCATGATAGTGAGTTAGTTCTCATCATGAGATCTGGTTGTTTTAAAGTGTGTAGCACTTCCCCCTTCCGTCTCTCTCTCCTGCTCCACCATGTGAAGACCTGCTTGCATCCCCTTTGCATTCTGCCATGATTATAAGTTTCCTGAGGCCTCCTCAGCCATGCCTCCTGTACAGCCTGCAGAACTGTGAGTCAATTAAACCATTTTTCTCTGTAAATTACCCAGTCTCAGATATGTCTTTACAGCAGTGTGAGAATTGACAAATACACTCCGATAAGACAAGGTTTAGATTCTCATTTTCCAACTTCCTTATCTATTAACCACTCTTTAGTAATTTTTTTGTCTTTGTGTTGCATTTCTAATTTTCTTTCTGATGAAACTTTCAGTTTACTTACTGACTTCATGTTAATCTAATCACCCACCAAATTTTTAATTTTAAAGAGTTTATTTTCATTTTTTAAAGTTGTATTTTTTTAAATCTGTCTGGTAGTTTAAAATATTTTTACCTTCTGTTTTTAAAATATTTGATACATATGTCCTACATCTAACAATTTCAATATCTATAGTCCTTGAGATTCGTATCTATTGCTTGTTGATTTTATTGAATCTCACCAATGATGGCCAATTTCCTTTTGCTGTAATCTTTGATCAGAGTTTATATTTGACTGACATAAATAAATAAAAACACCAAGGACCTGAATTTCCTCCAGAGTGGATTAATACCATAATACTCTTTCTCATTCAGTAGAAATGACTAGAAATTTACAAGCAGTAATGTCCAGTGCTGACACAGTTTGCTAAAGGAGAAAAACTTGAATAGTTATTGATTGTTAAAACTGAACATGTTAAATCATGAGGTTTGTTGTGATTATACAGTATAAAACAGTATATAATATAAACCAGATTACATAGTAGTATAATGTTTAATAAAGGTTCTTGGTGTGTTTTTCATGCTTCTAAGTAAATTCAAGCTACTACCATGGAAGTTGCAGAGCAAATCAGTGAAGTACTAGAGTAAGGTAATTATTTCATGACTGGTGAGTCACTACAATCTCATACCAGAAACATAATTAAAAACAAGAGTATATAGTGTTTTACAGAAAACACTAACAAGTGTGCTTTCTTATTTTTAAAAGTCGTGAATTTGGGATTTACAAGCAAAAAGTCCTTGGAGTCTTTTAATAACACAAAAACTCTGTCCTTTTTGAATAAAATTAGACAAAAACTCAAATTTCATGATGAGAAGATACAGGTGAAATGCAGATTTTTCTTAAATTTTATGGAAACAGGCATTAAACTATTTCCCAACCTTTTTCTTATCCATCTGATAAGATGCAATGGCTATATGAGAGCTTTGTCTTTTCAAAGCAGCTGCATCAACTGTCTTACTATTATATTTAATGTGTTTTATTAAACTTCTAATTAAGTTCTGTAGTGTCTGCCTTCAGTTACTTTCCTAGGAATGATTAGGTTAAAGAATATAGGGCTTGTCAGGTATTTTTTTTCACAACAAGAAGTAAGTCACTCTTGGGCATACTTCTTTGAAATGTTCTTAATAGGTTCTCAGTAGAGAAAACTTGCAAAATATGTTAAAATTAAACATGTCTACTTCTACCTAATAATCCAACCTGATAAATTATCCAATAGAAATAAATACCACATTTGGATTATTCCATCAGCTAATACTGGTTTTTAATAAAAGAATACCCACCAATGGTGGGGGACATAGTATTTGAATACATGTAAGTACATTCAAACCACAGAATGTGTTCAGAAACACTTCTCTCACATTTTGACACATCTTGAGAAAAGATGCACTGACTGTCTTTTCTTCTGGATTGTCTTTTAAAGGATGTTTGTGTAATGAATAACCTTGAGTGACAGAGATAGTGTCTCTCCCTAGAACAAAGAGCAGGAATGCTTGCTGTCTTGTATAAAAAATATCATGTCTCCCTCTGGATCAAAGGACAGAGACACTTACTGCTCATTATAAAATATTCATATTCCCTATGTAGAGAGTTCCTCTCCTGGAGTGTAAACCACTACATACGTGGGCTATATCTGGGCCCATCTGGGTCACCTTCACAGGGTTGTGGAGCAAAGAGAACCCGCAAAAATAAGCTGATGTTCATGCTGCTTACCAGGCCGTAATAAAGTCATTTGTTTTGACTTAGGAGTTTCATGCCATTTTTTAAATCCATAAAGCTGTGGCAGACTAGCTCATTATCTTGCAGTTAGAGAACATGTCAGGTCCTTCACAATTCTTAACAGTTTTGGTGACAATAATGGAAGCTGACTTAGGTGTGGCTTTCAGGAAGAGAAAAGACAAGAGTCCTGCAGGCCAGGTTTGGGAATATGACAAGGCTCTCTGCGACCTGATACCAAATGCTGGGCAAAAGAAAGGGAGCACAGTAAGGGTCCCCTACTGTCCTTCCTGATAATGAATCTTTAAAGGATAAGCTGTAATAGACAGGACTGAAACAAACTGCCCAAATGGCACCTTGGTTTTTGCTCACTCTCCTCTGGGAGGGTGGATGAGCAAATGTTACTATGACAATGGGGCAGCAAGCCCTCCAGCCCCAGCCAAAAGGCAATGAGGCCATGGCTGATGAACCAAAGAGTCCCCAAAGCAGAAATAAATGATGTCAGCAGTGGAGACCTTGCCATTCAATACAGAGCTTTGGGAAGATTAAAATCATTAAATGTTCTTTTGGTTGAGCCATAAGCCAGCACCTGCTCAAAACCAGCTCAAATTGAGTGAAATGCCTTACTTAATGGCATAGAGCCCCTTTCTCTTTTGATATGCTCTGATTACTCTCTTCCCTTCTACCCTGACTTCAGCTGCTTTAAAGAGAAGTCTCCCTGCCCCCCAGAAAGACCAAAGGCCATATTCATCAATCTCATTATGCTGGAACTCTGTTGGATAAAACTGCCCAACTCATCATCTTACCCAATACTGTGTGGGGAGCAGGCACTAGATTCAAGGAATGGAGTTTGGGCCAGGTTCACAGTGAAGAAGGGAAATTAATGTGACTTTGTACGTTGAGGAATTTTGGACCAGTTCAGTGTACTGTTGTAACTTCTACATCTGAATGTACTTCCTCATCCCAAAAGTGCCAAGGGGATTCTCCTGATCACAGAAGAGCTGCATGCAAAGTGCTAATGCACAACTTCAATACACCTCTGAGCTCAAGTCTTTGTGACAAGTCTTAGTCAGTTAGGGTCCGGGCAAATAAAGCCAACCTCTACCTTGAGGGGCCCTTGGGATATGGGGTTAACTTCTCTGACATGGCTACTTAAAAAAAAAAAGTAGCTAGTAACTTGCTGGGCTCTTGGCAAAGCTAAATACCTGACCCATAGAAACCTTGTGACTCTCTTGCCTGGTGTTCCCATTTTTTTGGGTGGGCCCTTTATTGGGTGGGACTCGATGACTAACAAAGTAAGAAAGGCCCAATAAGCCTCACTTGTCAAATAAAATGATATATTCAAAAGCAAGCTCCCAGCAGCATCTTAGCATTAAATGAGACATGACAGCTTGCCTTCTCAGGGAAACTGTATCCTCCATTCTGCTTCTGAAAGCAATGTCACTGGCTCAGTGGGGACCTCAATGCCTGGTCTGGTTCCCTGATGGTGAACATCTATGTATATAATGTTTTCATCTAAGTAATTCAATTACTAGTAATTTGTAAAACAGCATATTCATATGTGTGCCTAAAGTAATGTTTACCAGAATGTTTACTGCAACATTGTTTTTGACAGCAAATGACAAGGAAATACTTAAAAATCTCTCATTGAGGAACTCTCTAAAGAAATCACTTGTAGTTCCATACAAACTATGGCTAATTGTCCCAATAAAAATAGTGTTAACAATTTCTATCTTTACGAACAGTGACTATTTTCTCTGTGTTTGTAAAGTGTGAATAAAAGCATGTTTCATTACCTTTGCCATTTATTGACCAGCTATATACAACATAACAAATGACAGTTGCTTGCTTAGCAAAGGCAACTTGAAGGCAAACCCCTTAGTCTCCTCCCTCAATGTCCCAACTCTCCAGTCCCACAAGACTGTCCCTATACAAATTCTGGGACTTATACTGATTTCAAGATTTATTGTTACATGAAAAAGCAAGGATCTGAAAAATGTAAAATTTATCATTTTCCTGTAAAAATGGCATATATACAGATGTTTGCATGTACTCCTCTGAAAGTAAACACAAGACACTGGTAATAGGGCTGCCTCTACAGAAGAGGATAGGGGAACCCTGGATGTCTTTGGTGAAAGTAAGACTAATTTTCATTGCTATAGATTAAGGCTCACACTTAGATTAAGAACTATTATCTCTGGGTGGTAAAAATCCAAAGGACTATTCATTTATTTATTGCCTGTTACTCATTTTGTATTATTTCTACAATGAACTGAAATTCACTTCAAACAGAAAAAGTTAAAAATATTTTGAAAGGAGTTGTCCAGCAAGAATATAGCAGAAGAAAGGAAATATCTGTATTTTGGCAGCTAGAAAAGGAACATAAATTGTTGTAATCCCTGGTGATTAAAAAAATACAATCCTTAATGTAAACCTAGGTGCTGACATTAAAATAGGAAAGAGATAAAAATGACATAAAACTAGAAAGGCAAGTGACTGGCAGAAAAAATAAATCCAGATGCAAAATTACTTACCAGAAAAATTCTCAGATTATATAATCAAACAAAAATTCAAATAATATCTTGCTTTTATTATTTATTTTTATGTCTTCCTATATGCAAGGATATATTCAATCAAACAAACAGTATTATAACAAGAAATTCTCAGTTCCATTCATTAGATTTCAATAGCTGAGTTTCTCCCAGAATCCTATCTGGAATAACCTCAGTCATTACCATACCATACAGACAGATAGATTTCCCTGGGGCTTTTGGTGGGGATTCTTTTATTCTGACAGCACTTTGAAGGATTTGAGATGGAGAACGCTGTGCCGTTGCCTTTGCACATCTTCCAGACAGTGGAGAATGCGTTTAGGGGCAGCAGATTGGAGTTCATCTTTTGGGGGCCTGTGAAAATATTTTTGGCCTTTGTAGATTGGTTGAACTAAAAGGGAAAAAAAAATACCTTAAATCATTGGATTGGTATACACTACCAATACTCTACTCATGTTAGAAGTAACACACACACAAATTAGTTTATGTAACTCCAAGAATGTAAGGTAGATGTTTCATCTTTTAGGAAAACAGCACCTCCTAAAACAATTATTTTATTTCATTCTTGGGGTTGTTGCTAATGGCAACAGAAAGAATGCACTGGAGTGTCATAATAATCCTCCATTAAATCCCTACTGTTTAAATTTTAATGCTATAATTCAAGAGCTGACAAAAGCCCATTGAGTTTGTCTATGGGGAGGAAAACAGGCAGGCCCATTTTCTCAGGGGTGATGCTATAGCAACATGGAATGAATTTGGGGTCAGGGAACAAGCAGTCTCCAAGCTTTGTTTGCATTTCCTGACTAAAAGTAGAATCTAACATTATAAATTTTACCCAAATAAGTATTTATTTTGAATAGCAGGAAGATAGCTCACTTTGTACTGCTGTTTACATTGAAAACAGAGAGAAGGTAACAAAACCAGAACTGGAAGAAAGACATGCCGACAAACATGTTATGAAATGACTATTGAAGTGACCACTTTAGAAACCCCTAGAGCCTCTCTGCGTTTGCTTGACACCCAACCCCTCTCCCGTGGACAAGCAATGCTTTAGAACATGGAAAAGTATTAAATTTGCAAAATGCCTTTTTAAAAGAGAGAGACAAAGGAAGTCTGATCAACAATTCCTGAATGTGACCCCTTACAGTCATGCAAGACATGGCAAAGACGGGTGTTGTTGATTTTGTCTAGCTCTTTATAATGGCACTTTTGTTTTAGTGGGAGAATTTATTTCTACCAGAATAAACAAATACACCTGAATCACAATTGCCTATTGTGCAGCAGAAGGCCAAGAAAAACCCTACCCAATTCCCACTAGTTTCTGCTGCCAACTTTTCTTTCCTCAGGCATCTGTGTTTTCACTTTTGGTTTGAGTGTTGAATATTAGCATATTGAGTCAGTGTTCAATAGCATAAAATATTACATTTTGGGTGGTTATCCAATAAGATCTATCTAGTTATAGACTCTATTTATATGGCTTGCAATATACAAAAAAGAAGACTGTTAGGTTTTCAAATGCTAAGTCATAGGTGAAAATATAAATATCTGTAAACCTTGTAGCTCAACAAAACTCAAAGCTGTTTCTTCTTTTTTATTTCCTCTCTCAGACCCTTGCTGTCTCACCTTGACAATGAAAAACTCTCACCCCTCCCAAACCTCTGATGACCTCTAGTACCCATCCTTTATAATTCATCCTAAATATAATGGCAATATTAATTATCCTCTTAATAACAAAATCCCTCTTCTATTAAAAATCTTTGATGTTTTAAAATAAAATTCACACTTCTACATATTTACTCTGCTATTACAAGTAAGTCAAACTGTATAACTTGTTGTTCCATTTATATATCTTGCTTACACTTTTCTCACGGTATATTTACTTAGATGCTGTGTAGAATTTCCTCATCAATATTCTATTCATCTTTCAAACCCAGTTTATATGTCACCTTTTCCATAAAGTTTTTCTAGATCACTCCTTCTGGAAAAGATTTCTTTCCTTTTCTCACTCTAAGCTCACATGGTCCCTGTAGAATTATCTTTGGGTCATTATTTCATATTTTCTAATGAACTCTGTTACTATTATCCCACAAGGACAGAGACTATATATTTAGTTATTTTTCTTTCACTCATTTTACTCTTAGAAAGAAAAGTTTTTTAATAAAAGTATTCTCTAAGCTGTATTGCTTACCTGGTTTTGCCTCCTAGAAACACAAAGCAGATTACATTCAAGTTATAATTATTATCAACAAAAGGATTTGTAGAATAAAACTTAAAGCTATAGAATAAAAAATATTAAGTGATATGTTATGATCAAGTACTAGTGCCTTAAATAAAAGAATGGTTTAGCATAAAAAGAAAAATAAAGGATGGGTTATTCTGCATAGACAACCCTAATATCTGAGTAGTTTATCATAACAATTAAGTATGTGCTCATGTTACTCATTCAATGAACACTGGCAATAAGACTTTGCTCATCACAGTCACTAAGGGATCCAGACTGACAGAAGAGACATCTCTATACATATTTACATAGTCACTGTGTCAGAAAAAGGGAAATTGGTGACACATACCATGCTACCTCTGAAAATTTCTTCCCAGAAGTAGCACATTTTTTCTGTTCATACTTTATACATCAGAGCAAGTCACATGGCCAACCTCACTTCCAGGGGACAAAGAAGTGAAATTCCACATGTGTTCAGACACAGAGACAATTTGAAATACGTGGAGAATAGCACTAGTAATTATTTTTCCACATTTTCCCCCCCAGTAGTTAGGGGAAAAAATAAATTTCAAAATCTATATCAAAATAGCAAAATACTCAAAATTAGGAAACTCCCTGAAATCATTTGAACATATATTTCAATAACCTTAACAAACAGCATCCTTAATCATGAAATTTGAGACTTTTTTTTTCTCTTAAGATACATTAAATACAAGGATAAATTAAATACAAGGATATTATCATTGCTACTGAACCATATAGGCTGCAAGTCATGGCCAGCATAAGATGTAAGAAAGAAAATAAGGTAGATGGTTTGGAAAATAATAGACCAAAATTGCCATTTCTATAGGTATGATATGAATTGTTGATATGGCTTACCTTTTGAATTTTTAGAATTTTCTATTATAGTTATTAAAAATTATGATCAAATTTTCCATAAAAATTACTTTAAAATTTTAAAGTAGAATATTAACAACCTGTGAAATAATGGCAAAAGAATGAAAGTTTGTAATTAGAGTACTAGAAAAAGAAAAAGAGAGAGTATGAAGCAGAAAAATTACTTAACCAAATAATGGTTAGAAATTTTCAAACTTTATTTAAAAACCCACACATAATTTCAGGAATCTAAGCAAAAAACAAGCAATGGACATTATATTAAACTGCTGAAAATCAGAATTAAACAGAACATTTGAAAAGCAAGAGAAGAAAAGACATATTACACATTAAATGCAGAGGACCAATAATAAGAAACAAGGCTGACCTCTCATCAGAAACAATGAAAATGAGAAGACAATGGAACAACATCTTTAAACTAAATGAAAGACAACTATATAACTTGTCAACCTAGAAAAGTGTTAATCAGCAGATATGTATTACAGGAAATGCTACAGGAAGTTCTTTTGGCTTCTGGTTCTTTGGCTCAGAGTAAATGGTACCGGATGGAAATTTGGTTATATAAGAAGCAATGAAAGATTAAGTATGTGACCGGTTTCATGAAAATAAATTGAACAAATTAGATGAAAAGGACAAGCTTTTTTTGAGAAGCCATAACAAATCAAATTAACAAAAATGAAAGAAAAATATTGAATAATATTATTAAATAAATAGAATTCATGATTATAAACCTTTTCTCAATGAAAATGATGGTGTATACTGGTGAATTTTATTAAACATTTAAAAAGTTATATGCTTTTTAACTTTAAATACATAACATACTTCTGATATTTTTTATAGGAATTTGCATTTAAGGAAATAGTCTACCTTTACTTGTTGAATGGAGATACATAGATCTCAGGTCTGCTAAAAAAATTCACTAACAATTTCAACCAGGATATTGCATTGTTGAGGTTATCCATTTGTTGTTCAGTTAGTACTTGACATTAGCCTTTAACCTCAGCCAGTCTCCCCCCTGGCATAGGCTGATATATGAGAAAAGAAATGGTCCAGGCACGGTGGCTCACACCTGTAATCCCAGCACTTTGGGAGTTCAAGGCGGGTGGATCGCAAGGTCAGGAGTTCGGGACCACCTGAGCAACATGGTGAAACCCCCGTTCTCTACTGAAAGTACAAATATTAGCCGGGCGTGGTGGCACACACTTGTAATCCCTGCTTCTCAGGAGGCTGAGGCAGGAGAATTGTTTGAACCCAGGAGGCGGAGGTTGCAGTGAGCTGAGATGACGCCATTGCACTCCAGCCTGGGTGACAGAGTAAGACTCCATCTCAAAAAAATAATAATAATAAATAAATAAAATAAGAGAAATGTAAACTTGGCCCAACTATTGGACAAAAAAAAATCAAAGTTACAGCCTTCCTGATGGTTATGTGATTGATGTTAACATTGATATAAATAAAGTCTGTTTCTGAAAAGAGAAGAAAGAAAAGAAGTGCTGGCAAATTTGAGCCCAGGTCAAGTGAGTTTGTATTTCATACCCAAATACTTCAAGCCAAATATTTGGTGGACTCAAACTACTTATATTTCCTATCATCCTTTTTATCACAGGGTATTTGTTGTAGATAGAAAAGACATAAGAAAGGACAGACTTTGATGTGTTTTTCTTTCTAGTTCTAAGAATTGCTATTTTGTCTTCTAGCAGAACACCTTCCCAAACATAAGATAATTGGCCAAAGTAGAGAAGAGAACGAATGGTGTATATCTATGAACAGACAAATTTTCAGTGGAAGAAGGGAAGTTCTGGCAAGCTTCAGCAGCATACTTTCACTAAATCTTTAAGTGCACGGACTATAGTGTATGTAATAATGTTGCAGGTCAGGTGACTCTGAGATCATGCTTAGTTTACAGAAATTTGGGGGGAAATTGCTGTCAGGATCAACAATTGGGGAATGGGAGGAAAGTAGAATTAGGCCAAAGAAGAAGTTGGACTGCAACATAGTAATAAGAACTAACTAAGGAAACTCAAGGAGAGCCCTGAGGTTAGAACAGTCCTTTAGATGGGGAAAGGAGACCAGACCATCATACCCCACATCAATCAGACTTCAGGTGCAGCCTGCGCTCTGGAGGAGGAAAGATCTTGGGCAATGTGCCTCTTTTCAGAAGAGGGCAACTTCCAAAAAGGTCTGATGGCTGAGAGCTCAACCATCAATGCTCCCAGAAGTTGAGTGAATTTGTCCTTCCTTCCTGAAGGGGGAATCTGAGCAGTGTAGCAGAGCATTCTGTACTGTCCATTCTTGCACACCTTGAGTCCTCTTGCTTCACCTAAGTTCTGAAAGCTGTATCTTCAGGACTCTGAGGGATTTCTTTCCTGCAGTAAGCTTCCTAGGGGAAAGTTAATGGAGAAATGCTATGTCTCATTGATGCAGTTGGGCTTGAGGCTACATCTGTGATAATTTATTGTCCTCTTCCTCTACACTCTATCCTAGAATCACTTCTCCCACAGCTAGCACCTGGTCTTGGTGGCTTACCTGGTTGGATGACCCAAACCCATATCTCTGATTGTCTAAACATCTGGTCCTCAAGCCCTTATTAGATTGTGGCTACTGTATTTGTCAATTTATCATGAAAACTGGGCAAAGAATTGCCATGAGATAATCAAGTACCAAATATGTTCCTCCCCTGTCCCAGTGTGTCATAACAGCCTTTCTCCTGATGATCAGCTCAATTGCTTCTATCAATATGGTATTCCCCCCTTGCCAACTTGTCCCTTGGCATATGGAGTCTGAAGTGCCCAGGCCAAAATCATAGCTTATGTTTCACTGATAGATATTCCCCATGGTAGGAACGAAGACCACTAAACACATGGAGTTCAGAATTTCAGAAAAAGGAAGCAGAAACTCCCTATGTGTCATTGCTATTTTCTTTTTTTAAAAAATGTTACTTTATTTTAGTTCTGGGATGCATGTGCAGAATGTGCAGGTTTGCTACATAGGTATACATGTGCCATGGTTGTTTGCTGCACCTATCAACCTGTCATCTAGGTTTTAAGCCCTGCATGCTTTAGGTATTTGTCCTAATGCTCTCCCTCCCCTTATGCCCCACCCCCCAACAGGCCCCGGTGTGTGGTGTTCCCTTCCCTGTGTCCATGTGTTCTCATTTTTCAACTCCCATTTATGAGTGAGAACATGCAATGGTTAGTTTTCTGTTCCCGTGTTGGTTTGCTGGGAATAATGGCTTCCGGCTTCATCAATGTCCCTGCAAAGGACATGAGCTCATCGTTTTTTATGGCTTCATAGTATTCCCTGGGGTATATTTGCCACATTTTCTTTATCCAGGCTATCCTTGATAGGCATTTGGGTTGGTTCTAAGTTTTTGCTGTTGTAAATAGTGCTTCAATAAATATATGTGTGCATGTGTATTTATAGTAGAATGATTTATAATCCTTTGGGTATATACCCAGTAATGGGATTGCTGGGTCAAATGGTATTTCTGGTTCTAGATCCTTGAGGAATCACCACACTGTCTTCCACAATGGTTGAACTAATTTACATTCCCACCGACAGTGTAAAAGCATTCCTATTTCTCCACAGCCTTGCCAGCATCTGTTGTTTCCTGACTTTTTAATAATCGCCATTCTAACTGGCGTGAGATGGTATCTCATTGTGGTTCTGCCCCAAAACTCCTTAAGCTGATAAGCAACTTCAGAAAAGTATCAGGATACAAAATCAACATGCAAAAATCACAAGCATTCCTATACACCAACAATAGACAAGCAGAGCCAAATCATGAGTGAATTCCCATTTACAATTGCTACAAAGAGAATAAAATACCTAAGAATACAACTTACAAGAGATGTGAAGGACCTCTTCAAGGACAACAACAAACCACTGCTCAAGGAAGTAAGAGAGGACACAAACAAATGGAAAAAAATTCCATGCTCATGGATAGGAAAAATCAATATTGTGAAGATGGCCATATTGCTATTTTCAACTCTTCATGCCTGCCACCATGTGTAACCAATGGAGCACCACATATCTAAATAATGGAGCACAGTACCATACAATGGTCATGAGACTTGAGTATAGACTGTATCTTGGAATATGATTTCTTATCCTTATATGGTATCATTTTCAAGCTTCTGCCTCACCTATGCCTTCTATGAACTACTTTATTGCTCTTCAATGGCAGCCTCTTTTGGATGGTGTAGTTTTTAATAGGAACAGTCGATCTTATAATCATCCAGCCACTGTTGCACCTCTTTTCCTGTAAAGTGAGTTTCTTTTACAACAAAGGAAACAATCAACAGAATGAAGAGACAACCTATGGAATAGAAGTAAATATTTGTAAACTACATATCTGATAAGGAGTTAATATCAAAAGTATATAAGGGACCCAACTCAACAGCAAGAAAAAAATCTGATTAAAAAATGGGCAAAGAACCTTAGTAGACATTCCTCAAAAGAGAGATACAAATGGTTGACAAGTAATACTCAACATCACTAATTACCAGGGAGATGCAAATTAAAACCACAATGACATATCAGCTCACACCTTTTAGGATGTGTATCAAAAAAAGAGACAAGTATTAGTGAGGATGTGGAGAAAAGCAAATACTTTTACACTGTTTACAGCAATGTACATCAATACAGCCATTATGGAAAACAGAATAGAGGTTGCTCTTAGTCCAGAATTTCTGAACAGTGGCATATTGACATTTTGGGGTGGATTATTTATTGAGGGAGGCTGTCCTGTCCACTACAGGATATTTAGCAGCAACTCTCTAGCCACTAGATGTCAGTAATATCCTCCCGTTTCCGACAATCACAAATGTCTCCAGACATTGCCAAAGGTCTTGGGGGTGGGATATGGGAGATAAGGAATTGCCCATGGTTAAGAACCACTGTGTTAGTGTGAGGCAATGCTATATGAGATCTCCTGTTGATGGACTAAACTCTCTGCAATCCCACGGCTAATGGTGCTGTTTGAGGTTCTTTGACATAAAACACAGACCATACCTGGAATATGTATAAATTCAAAAAGCATTAATTCGAAATGAATTAATGCTTCCATCCTTTGAGGATGGAAGAAGTCCAATGAATTTAACTTGCCACCAGGTTGGCTGGTTGATCTCCTGAAGAGATAGTGCTGTATTGGGGGCTTAGTGTTGGTCTCTGTTGCTACTTCTGGGACATTTGGCAGTGACAGAAGTTATAACAACTTCAGTAAATTGGTGGGGCCCATGCAAAACCTGCATCCCTTACACCATGCTTACTCTGTTCATGTGCTTATTGTCCAAACACTGAAGTCTCTGATGACAGAGTATGGCTGATATTGACTGGCTGACACTTTGTCTACTCCAATTACCTGGTTGTTTAATGTCTCTTCTAGGGTAGGTATATTCTCCCTTAGACATTAGCTGCACTACAAAGATCTTCAGACTTTGTGCCCACTCTCACTAGTTCATTCATATACCATGACTCCAGACTGCTCCTGATCTTCCCATCTTTCAAGACTGAATGCAAAAAAAAAAAAAAAGGAAAACATCTCATCAATATTTTCATGCTGATTACATGTTGAATGACAATATTTAGATATATTGGATCAAAAAATATGCTACTAAAATTTATTTCACCTGTGTTTTTTACTTTTTTATTTTATACTGTTTTGCTTTCTTTTTAAAAAATTTTTATGGGTACATAATAGTTGTACATATTTGTAGGGAACATGTAATATTTTAGTACAAGCAAATAATGTGTAATGATCCAATCAGGGTCATTGGGATATCTATCACCTCAAATATATATCATTTTTTTGTGTAAGGAACATCCCAATTCCACTTGTTTTGTTGTTTTGAAATATACAATAAATTATTAACTATAATTACCCTGTTGTGCAAGTGAACACTAGCTCTTATTCCTTCTATCTAATTGTATGTTTGTACCTATTGCCCATTCCCTTTTTATCTCCTGTTCCCAACTATCCTTTCAAACCTCTAATAATCATTATTCTTATTCTCTATCTCCATGAGCTTTTTTTTCAGCTCCCACATATGAATGAGAACGTGTGATATTTGTCTTTCTGTTTCTGGCTTATCTCATTTAGCATAATGTCCACAAGTTTCATCCATGTTGTTGTAAGTGACAGGATTCCATTCTTTTTTTATTGCTGAATAGTATCCCATTGTATATATGTACCATATTTTATCTATTCATCTGTTGATAGACATTAAGTTGATTCCATATCTTGGCTACTGTGAATAGCCCTGCAATAAACAGGAGAGTGTCGATATCTCTTCCACATACTGATTGCCTTTCTTTTGAATATATACCTAGCAGTGCAATTGCTAGATCATATGATAGTTCTATTTTTAGTTTTTTGAAGAACCTCCATACTGCACTCCATAGTGTCTGTACTAATTTACATCCCCACCATCAGTGTTCAAGGGTTCCCCTTTCTCCACATCCTCACCAGCATCTAGATACACACACATACACAAAATGGAAAGATATTCCATGTTCATGGATTGGAAGAATCAATATTGTTAAAATGTCCACACTACTCAAAGCAATCTACAGATTTAAGGCAATCCTTATTAAAATACCAATGACATTCTTCACAGACACAGAAAAAATAATCTTTACATTTATATGGAACCATAAAAGAAAACCAGAATAGCCAGAGTAGAGAACTCAGAAATAAATCCATGCACTTATAGTCAACTAATTTTTGGCAAAGGTGCCAATAACATACACTGGGGAAAAAGACAGTCTCTTCAATAAATGGTGCTGGGAAAACTGGATATCCATATACAAAAGAATGAAACTAGACCCCTGTTTGTCACTATATACAAAAATCAAATCAAAATAGATTAAAGAATTAAATCTAAGACCTGAAACTATGAAACTACTAGAAGAAAACATTGGGTAAATTCTCCAGGACATTGGTCTGGGCAAGGATTTCTTGAGTAAGTTCTCAAAAGCACAAGCAATCAAAGCAAAAATGGACAAACGAGATCATATTATGCCAAAAAGCTTCTGCACAGCAAAGGAAACAAAGTGGAGAGACAACCTACAGAATGGAAAAAAAAATTTGCAAACTACTCATCTGCAAGTAATTAACAACCAGAATATATAAGGAACTCAACTCAATAGCAGAAAAACTAATAACCTAATTAAAAAATAGTCAAATGATCTGAATAGATATTTCTCAAAAGAAGACATACAAATGCTAGCAGATATATGAAAAAAAGGCTCAACATCACTAATAATCAGAGAAACGCAAATTAAAGCTACAATAAGATACCATCTCACCCTAGTTAAAATAGTTTTTGAGTTTCTTACATATTTTAGATACTCATTCTTTTTGAATATGTGGTTTGAAATTTTTTTCCCAGTCAGTAGCCTAATTTTAGAGCATCTTATCGGGGTCTTCTTCAAAGCAAAAGTTTTTAAAATTTTGATAAAGTCAAATTTATTACTATTTTTTTTTCTTTTTGAATCATACTTTTGGTATCAAGTCTGACAGCTCTCTGCCTAGGCCTAGATTCCTAAGATTTTCTCTTTTCTCTTATGTTTTTTTTCTAAAGCTTTTATAGTTTTACATTTTACAATAAGTCTATTATCCATTTTGACTTACATTTTATATAATGTGTGAAGGTTAGATTGAGGTTTATTTATTTATAATGTTAGTTGTAAATGCTCTTTATCAAGTTGAGGAAGTTTCCCTCTATTCCTCATTTTCTGAAAGTTTTTATTATGAATGGGTGGTAAATTTTTGTCAAATGCCTTTTCTGTATCACTTGATGTAATCGTGTGATTTTTCTTCTTTAGCCTATTAATACGATGGACTACTTTGATTAATATCAAAATATTGTAACAATATTGTGTCTCTGAAATAAACTTTGCATGGTCATGGTGTGTAATTATTTTATATATTGCTGAATTCTATTTGCTAATATTTTGTTAATAATTTTTATATTTACATTCATGAAAGACACAGTTCTAGTTTTTTTATTTTTATACTGTTTCATCTTGTTTTAGTATCAGGATAATATTAGCTTCACAAAACTAATTGGGAGGTATTTCCTCCTCTTCTACTGGCTAGAAAAGATTGTGTAGAATTAGCATTACTTTTTGTTTAAACATTTGTATGATTGATTTTTAAATTATAAATTCAATTTCCTTACTAGTTAGTTTTAGGACTAGTTAAATTATCTGTTTAATATTTGGTGAGTTGTTGTAGCCTGTGCTTTTTGAACACTGGTACACTTCTAAGTCATCCAATTTATGTGTGTAGGTCATTTGTAATATTCCCTTATAAGCCTTTTGAGGTTGTTAAGGTCTTTACAATTTGTGTTGCCTTTCTTTTTCTCTGTCAGTCTTATTTTGTCAATCTCTCTTACCAGTCAAACTGCTGTCAATTTTATGAACCATTTCAAAGGACCAGCTTTTCATTTCATTGGTTTTTCTTTTAAACTTTATTTATTTCTGCTATCATCATTATTATTGCCTTTCTTCTGCTGGCTTTGAGTTCATTTTGCTCTTCTTTTTTTGAGATTCTTGAAGTAGGAGCTTAGATGACTAATATAACACATTACCTCCTTTCTAATGGAAATATTTAGTATTACAATTTCCCCCTCAGAACTGTTTTAACTATGCCCCTAATAGTTAAATATGTTGTATTTTTTAATTTCATTCTATTCCATTTATTTTTTATTTTCCTTAAGAATTCCTCTTTGATCCCTGGACTATTTAGAAATGTGTAGTTTATTTTGCAAGTGGTTAGAAATGTTTCTGATATCTTTTTGCTGCTGGTATCCAGGTTGATTCCATTGTGATCAGAGGATACACTTTATGTAATTTCAATTATTATAAATGTGTTGTCTTTTGTTTTATTGCCTAGGATACAGTCTATATTGATATATATTCCCTGAGTGCTTGAAAAGAATGTGTAATCTGCTGTTGGGGGGGCAGTATTCTACAAATGTTCATTTGAGTCTGTGGATTGATGGTGTTGTTGATTCTTCTATATCCTTGCTGAATTTTTGTTCAGTTCTGTCAGTTGCTGAGAAAGGGATGTTGAAACCTTGAAGTATAATTGTAGTCTTGTCTATTTCTCTTTTAAGGTCTATCCGTTTTGTAGATGTATGTCTACTCCATCTTCTCAGAAGTAGAAATCTTCTCTTATTGACAATTTTGATTGAACTTTCCTAACTCCTTCTATGAGCATTTTCATTTTAAAGATATTATTTGAAATCAGATTCATTAACTTTATTACTTGAGAATAAAATGGTCTCCTTATACATCTGTTTGAAGAGAAAGAAAATCATCTTAATTACAATCAAGTTTAGCCTGTTATCCTTGAAGGATTCTACTGGATGAGTGATGCATAGTCATGGACAAGTCCCCCAGCCCATGTATATATAGCATCTTCTGACCTAAAGATAATGGCAAATGATAATCAGCCAATATATAAGACATGTACATTACCAGCTGGCTTTTCAGCCAATGTTTTTCACAAGAAAATAAAATGAAAAACAGAAAATATTTCTCTTGTGAAATTTATAAAGGACCGAATGGTTGGCAAAGAGAACATGAGTCCTAATGCCAACCACATCAGTATCTTTTGGGAAAGGGTTTGTGCCATGTCACAAAAATTCTCTAGTATGTTCACCTGAGAAACACAAAAGTCCTAGTGCTCTGGGAAGAACCACCTTAAAAGACATATCTTTAATGCAATTACATAAGTTTTGACTAATTTTAATAGCAAGAAATATGTCTTTATTCAGTATAAAAGAACAATCCTGAGCACAGTAAACAAACCAAAAGTTGTAGACCAGCTCCACAAGATTTTCTGTTAAAAGTCCTTTTCTAATTCTACAATTGTTTTATTACTGCAGAATACAGTTTTAAGAAATTATGAGAGAATACCTGAAATTGGAGAAAATCCGTTTATTTTTAAATTTTGAAAGCATTTATTATTTTATTATATAAAACAGAATAACATGATTCTGCACAGATATCTAAGTGACCTTACAGCAAGCTACAGAACTGAAAAGCTCTGATAAGTGATTTGTTTTGGGATTCTGAGTCTCAGTTGCTGACTTGAACCTACGCTGTATATTCAGTATTGTGCTTTAGAATGACACTGTGGCCCTGATAGAAGGAAGGGAGGAAGAGAAAAAAAGAAGGTAGTAAGGAAGGAAGAAAGAAAGAAGGGTAGAAGGGCAGAAATAAAGTAGAAGGAAGAAAGGAAGGAAGGAAGGAAGAAAGGAGGGAAGGAAGGAAGGAAAGAAAAGTTCAAATATTTTAAATAACCAGCATTTGTAGGGAAAGGCCATTGTTTTTTTATAAATATGTCTCACTGGCTCTGATTTAAGGAACATGCAAAATCAATAAAATAAAAAGGACTGGACAATTTTGTTTTTTTCAGCCTTTCTAAGCTTCCTTCCCATTCATTTCGTAATAACACCTCTGTTTTCCTTTGGAGATTTATGCTTCCTAGTGGATCAAGTGGGAGAGCCCATTACCCAAGCTGGGCCAATCAGTTACTTGCAACACAGACTGTTAAAAACTTTAATAATATACAACAATATTTGTTTCCCCTAAAATATTGTTGATCAGCCACATTTGACTAGAATATAAAAAGTCCATAATCATTTTGAATAGCTCATCTGAATCTCCGGATTGACTGATGCTTCATGCCTTTCAAGTATTCAAGTTCCCATATGATTATGGGAGCTATGATTATGATTCCATATTAATTTCAATACCCACAAGGATGTTTACTGCTTCAAAAATGACTTTCTCCTTAAAAATGCAACAAGAGTGGTCAAGACATATGTCCTCTCAGAGCAGTTAATGAAATTGGTTTGCCTTAAATGGCACAGGTTGAAACTTCATAGACAAACCACTGTCAAATCTCTTCACTGGATACTTTAAATAGGTAGGCTGTTCATGAGTCTTTGGTATAACATAATTTGCACTATGTTGGAGGAGAATGTTTGTGGTTTTCAGTACATGGCTTTATAACACCTTTCAAAAAAACTTCTAAGAAATCACATCCACAGAAGATGTTATTTGAAGGTACCAGAAGGCATCAACCTTTGACTAGAGGGAAAATATTTCTCTTGAAGAAGAATAATAAATAGAAAAATATGCAAATTCTAATAGATTGAAGGTGATTTCTACAGTTTCTACTGAAAACTGGATTGTGGCAATTGAAAAATCAGATGGGTGTAGATTCGAGATGAAAATTCTAGAAATGTTCATGTTTTTAAAAAAGTTTTAGAACTAAGTTGACTGAGTGGGATGATGTGAAAAGTTGGGTTCAGAGAAAATATACTCAGTTACTTGGTGAATAATCTCACATGAGGCTTTACCATGATGAATTAATGCCTACCACAAGCTGGGAATTTAAAGCAACATCTGAAAGAGAAACGTGCCTTTGCCTGGGAGAACCTAACACAGATAAACCTGTGAAAGAGATGATCTCTAGCCTACCTTTACTTTCATTCTTCTGTCAATACCACAAACTGGCTCTTATTCTCCTCATCAGACAGAATAATCACCTTGCCCCCGGCCGGATCCTGCCTTTTTTGGATCACCAAGGCAAGCACTTCTGTCTGAAATGAAATGTAAAAGTGAAACACCTGATTTGTGACATCTACCAATGCAAATACATTTTAAAATAGCTATCTAGTTCTCTCTCTCTCCATATATATATATATATATATATAGATAGATAGATATATAGATAGATAGATAGATATAGATATATACAGTTTTTGTACATAAAAAATACTTTTCAATGAGTCACCAGAAGAAGAGATGAACTGACAAACAGTTTTAGGATGATATATTATTTAAACCATATAGATAAAAATATGAAGCTTTCATTAGTAAATGGTAAAAAAACATAATTAAAACACAGGTCTTTGGAAACTTGTTCTGCCTTAACACACTGCTACCTCAAAATAAATATATAAATCAATAATACAGAAATAAAAGTCATGAAAATATTGATATTCATTGAGTTTCAAACATCGATGAAGATTTTAAATCACATATTCTCCAAACAAAAAGGTAATGACTAATTAACAGGGTTTTTTAATGGTATGTTTTTGCTTGATTTATTTTTATATTCCTGTTTAGTTGTACTAATAGTTGTACATAGTTGTACTAATGTAGCACCATATAATTTTAGATTCTAAACTTTTCCATTTAACTTTATAATAAACACATACCATAGTTTTAAAACTTTTGTAAATATGCATGGGTGGTATTTCATTGAATTGGATGTTCCATAATTTTAAAAATGTTTTCTATTTTTGGTATAATTTTGGAGCGCAGTCCTCCAGGTTTAAATATTTTGTACTGATGCCTGAAAATAAAATAATTTTGACCTGCACCTCTTGTGACTTTAGGAATACAGTGTTCGTTATAGTTAAACTCCATCTTCTCGAGAAGAATCTTGAGAAGAAAACCTCAATGGCAAAGTGTGAACAAGCAAAAGAACTGCCAATAATGGGAAAAAGCCATCCCTATGATGTTGCAGTTCTCGGAGCCAAGGAATAAGTCTTGGATATTTTGGGATTGGTTTGCTCAAATATCGGATTTGAGGAACTCTTCAGGCTCACATTTTTCCTGGATTAGCCTGACTTTGACTCTTTATCCTTATATAGAAAGGCCTGAACTGGTCATATTTTAAAAAGAAATGAAGAAAAGATTTTTCAGGTTAAATCAAATTTTATGTTTCTGTTTCTCCCAAATTATTTTCAGATGCAAGAAAAAGCAAACCACACAGACGAACTGCACACTGCAATGAAGTTGGAATGCAAGACTTCATCAGAAGGGAGGGAACAAACTGGATAATTCAACCGCAAAATATGTGAACCACAAACGAGTAAATACACAAGTAGACACAACACACACACGCACACACACACACACACACATACACACGTCTGCTTTTTACCCAGGAATTTTCATCAATGGAGTTTTAAAAAAGCATATATATCCCCCAGCAAAAGCATATGGAAAATTTCACATTTCTATGTTTAAATGCTTGGCTTTACACGTATTGTGAATATTCTTTTAGAAAAGCACGAAAAAATGGAAACAAGTTTTTTTTTATCAGGCCATAAACAGCAGATTAAAGTTGAAAATAAATCACTATGCCTAAAGTCTTCCTTTAAGACCCAGGCCTAAAATGTTTCCCTAAAATATATGAGTTTCCTGCATGAATCATTTTTGTTATCCTCTATTATACGTGCTCATTTGTGTACAGGGCAAAACATTTTTACCAAATAAATCAATGTTAGGGATAAAGAAACCCATAGGTTGTCTTCTCCTTGGGTCTGACAATTAAGTAAAAGAGCAAGGTGACTAAAACATAATATTCTAATATCAAATGTAATCTTTTTGCCAGTTGTCATAAATTTTTTAAAAAATATATTTGGTTATGTATAAATTATAGACTTTTAGCCAAATTTTGACAGTTTAATTTTCAAATAATTAAAATGTTCACTGGGCTATGAAATCTCATTTAGGAACCTTTATGGTAAAATAAAAACTTAGTATGACTTCTAAATCCCTTGGGGAAGTACTAATGTCCTACATTTCTAAAATGGTTTATAGTTTTCAAAGACCTTATGCTCTAAGATTATATAATTGATTCCATTAATTTCTTCCTTATTCTTTTTTTTTTTTTTTTTTTTTTGAGATGGAGTCTCGCTCTGTCACCCAGGCTGAAGTGCAGTGGTGCAATCTCGGCTCACGGCAAGCTCTGCCTCCCGGGTTCACGCCATTCTCCTGCCTCAGCCTCGATTAGCTGGGACTACATGTGCCTGCCACCACGCCCGGCTAATTTTTTGTATTTTTAGTAGAGACAGGGTTTCACCACTTCCTTATTCTTTATATGTGTCTGGTACTATAGTAGGTGTCAGGGATTTCTACATCCATAACACAAAGCATATCTATGAAAGGTGTTCATTCATATAGAGGAAGAAGATAATTTAAAAGACGATTAGGCACTTTTACTTCTGAAAATATAGTAGGATCGTTGTTTATAAAAAACCCTTCCAGTAAACAATGCCTAAAAATACTGAATGAAGTTTTGTAAAATAATACATTTTTGTGTTATTTGTCTGATAAACAAGTCAAAAAAATCTTGATGGGCAGAAATGAAAAAAGGTGTGACTCCAGAAAGTAGACAAGTTCAAAAGCCATTGTTTGCCCTAAGGACATCTGCCATTCCTGGTAGCCCAGAACTGCATGGACAGAGTAGAAACAAAGCCTGGTCTGTGCAAGGGAAAATGGAAAAGCAAAGAAACAGCCTCAAATCAAAAGTCTCCAAAAGGTGACATCCCTAGTTGATGAACTAAGAAAGGATGTTCTCAGGAGATTGAGACCATGCAAGCAAATGTGAATGAGAATGACCGGAAAAGAAAAGTCAACCTGATGATTCCAGCTCAAAATGTTGCAGATTTTGGAAAGACACATATATACTTTGAAGTAAATATCAGCCTCATCTTTCAAAAAGAGTAAGAACATAGTAAGATGATGAAGAATAAGAGATTTTTCAGAAATCACTAGGTAGATTTGAAAAAAGAACCAAATGATCAGTCTGGAAATAAAGGCATTCTTGAGAATATAATATAGGGAGAAAGAGATTGAAAATAGGAAAGATAGTTAAGCAAAACAGAAGGTAGAGAAGGTAATTGAAGTTTCAGAAGTAGAAAGAGAGAGAGAGAATGGGAACAAGGAAATACTCAAAGAGTTAGTGATGTGGGATTTTCTAGCATTGTTATGGACTGCAATCTTTAGTTTCAGGAAATCCAACAAATGCTAATATAAAGTAGAATAAAACACACACACACACACACACACACACACACACACACACTTTTAGACACATTGCAATCAAACAGCAGAACACCAAAGACAAAAAGATCTTAAAAAGAGACACAAGATAAAATAACTTTAAACAAATGAAAATTAAACTGAAGTAGACTTCCCATTAACAACAATGGATGCCAGAATAATATCTTCACAGCTCTGAAAGAAAATTTATGTCAAGCTAGAATCTTATACTCAGTAAAATTATCTTTTGAGAATGAGGATGAGATAAAGACATTTTTCATGCACCCAGGAAACAGTATAGAATGCTGGAATTCGAGACATAAATGAAATTATTTTTTTTAAATCCCTTATATTTGCTTTATGCTTTATAATCACAACATACTTTCACTTTTTTTCTCATCTAGCCATATTAATGTGGTGATGCTATTGCCTCAAATAAGAGTTTATGTTTTTCTAAAGTTGGAAGAACATTTTATTAATTAATTATTTAAAATAACAAAAATAATATGTAATCTGTTCAGCTGACTTGGAAAACATTGAAAAGCGTGTAGAGGGGAAATAATCAAAACCATCCAATATCTCATTCCTCAAAGGTAACTACTGGTAATATTTCATTCCCAAACCTTTCTATAATTTTCTGTGTATGTATCTTTTGATAACTTACTTTTTTCCTTGAAAGTAGATCATAAGAATACTACTCTGCCAGTCATTTTTTTCTAATTACATTTTTAATGGATAAGTAGCCTTTTGTCATATGAATGCTGCTTAATCATTAAATCAGTTACTACTTAGCCATTGTGGTATTTGGATAATTGTGCAGCACATATTTCCTTTCCTCCCTTCTGACTATAGAAGACTTTCTGTTTATACTGAGCTTGGCCATGGAACTTAATTTGACCAATGGAAGTTAATGGATTTTGTGCAGAGATCTTAATTGTGCTTACCCCAATTAGTTTGTCTCTGGTGCTTTGATGATTCACCATAGGTAGTTGCCGTCCTTTAAGCTTGGGTCCCCAAATAAGCATACATGGAACAAACCTGAACCCAAATTGGGCCTTGGTGCCAAGCCCCACCACTGCAGAGCTGCCCATTTGTGCCTCGTTGAGGTAGGCTAATCTTTGTTGATTTGCAGACCCACGAGCATTGGAATAAATGCTTGCTGTAGCAAACCATGGTGTTTGGAGATGGGTTTTTTTGTTTGTTTTATGAGATGGAGTCTCACTCTGTTGCCCAGGCTGGAATGCAGTGGTGCGATCTCGTCTCACTGCAACCTTCGCCTCCCAGCTTCAACGGATTATCCTGCCTCAGCAGAACTACAGGCACGCGCCACTACACCCAGCTAATTTTTGTATTTACAGTAGAAACGAGGTTTCACCATGTTGGCCAGGATGGTCTCGATCTCCTGACCTCGTGATCCACATGCCTTGGCCTCCCAAACTGCTGAGATTACAGGTGTGAGCCACCATGCCTGGCCTGGAGATGGTTTTTTACATGTATTGATGTGACAGTAACTGATGAATACAACTGGAATTGGACACTGAGGTTGTATTCTAGTTTTGCTATTATGAATAGTGCTTCATTGAACATGTCACTATAGCTTTTTAAAAAATTATCATTAGTCCCTTTCCACAGAGGAAGAATCTGAGGTTAGGTTGAAGTTTTGTCACCCAATGGCACAAACCTATTAAATGACAACACTGTAATTTGAATCTGAGTCTGTCTAAAGCCAAAGGCCATGTTCTTTTAAGATGCTACATTACTTGTCACTAAAACATGTACACTTTTTAAATGATAAAATATGTCTGGCAATTTATAATAACATAAAAATGGCTTTGACTGGCACTGTAAGTATTAACTGCTTTTTGTCTCATTTTCATGGTCTTTTAAAATAAATATTGTATTGCAGTCATCCTACAAGAGACACTAAACTTTACACATATTGTTTAAAGCAACCTTAGTTTGGTACAATATTTTTTCTTAAAGCAGGCATTAAATCAGACTGTAATTTGTAACAGAAATTTTAGATTCAACATGAGAATGAGCACCTTGCTAAAACTTGGATTTCTTGGTTTGCTTTTGAAAATAGTCATCTTTTTTATAACATTACTGTAGGTTTATTTATATTTTACAAATATAACAGTAAGCTAATACTTGAAAGAGTGTGCAGTATCTTAAAACTGAGTACTTCTTATTAGGAATAAGTAATGTTCACATTATTTATGTGGGACAGAGTCATAAGATAATAATATACATCTTGTGAAGAAGCAGACAGGCAAATTAATAGCTGCCAAAAGAACCACAGTTTCTGCTTATGTTTGATAAATTAAACATGTTGATATAGAACTAATGATATGTATATAAGTAAAGAATACCATTCATTTATTTATGTTCAGCTAATATCTAACTTGACATCATGTAACCACCCCCAAAAACTGATTAGATTTAGTTAGAATAATTCCAATAGACAAAAGAGCATTATTCTCATGAGCCCTCTAGCAAATCATATCTCTGACTTTGACGTCCATGGATATTATAGCCAAAGCAAGGGATTATAGTAGTATGATCAATTTGCAAATACAGTAGTTTCTCTACATGGTCTTTATATTACCTGGCTCTACATATATGCATATAATACTTTGATTAGCTGTGTTCAGTCACACAAAGACAAGCCAAGTTAATTGAAATAAAAAATACAGATCAGCTTTGTCTTTCACAAGCAAAGCTGCCTATGATAACAGCTAATAAATCACTTCCAAATTTTAACATACATTTAAGTGTGTACCCCATATCTTTGCATATGTACTCAAATGATAACACAAGATGGAATGGAATGTAGAATGAGAGAGGCAAAAGCAAGTTTCTAGAAGCTAGGAGACAAAGTCATTTTCTAGTTGGATATGAAATATCCAACTTTTCAATTGTCTTGAAGGAGGCTTTTCACGTCTTTGCAGTTGTCTTGAAGATGAGTGTGGTGATAATAGGCTGGGACAGTGGTGGAAATGTGGAATAAAGGTATGATGGACAGAAGTAAGCCTATTTTAGATAACATGCAAAATTCTGAGAGTTATGAGAGGTCAATACAGGAAAGTAGATAGGATGTCCAGGATGGGTGATTGTGTGTGTGTGTGTGTGTGTGTGTGTGTGTGAAGAAAGAGACCTGAAGGGCATCTTTCCATATAATACTTAAAATAGTGCAATATATGAAGGCTTATATATACAGGAAAAAAATTCTTGAATTTCTTTCTCTTCCTAGAGTAAAATTGCTTGTGTCTCATGCATGCCAACATTATGACACAGTGTTAATTGGCATCAGTGAAACAAGGCAAAAGGGTCTTAATCTTCAGGCTCCTCACATCAGCATATTCCATTAAAGAGTTCAGTTCAATATGGCAACATCTCCTGCCATATTAGTCTTCTTTGCTGTTATGTATTAGGGACATGTGGGGCCAGTATGGGATGTGTAGATGTATCCAACTCCTCCCTGAAACAGCTCAGGCAAAAGGGTGTAGGCCTGGGTTCTGACCAACTATTTCTCAGGCCCTAGGAACTGCTTAAAAATCCCAGTTTACTCACTGAGCATCCAAGACCATGGATGTCTGTGGCATTTCCCTTCACCCCAGGGAGTCTCAGGTCTTTTTGGCCTGCAAATTGCTCAGCCATAAAATGATGTCATAATGAATGCACCAATGAAACACTGCCAGCTGAGGCTCACAAGGACAGAACCAAAATGACAGCACTGTCGAATGCTTCCATGCATTCCCAGACTCGTTTTTGGATAGTCTCATTAGCCAGATGTGAACTTAATCCACTCTAGTCAGCTAACTTTGGGATGACTCTCCTCCCACATTGCTGACCATAATTATTTCCTGCTGTAAGAATACTACTCTTACTGAATGTGACTCTTAGTTTGCTTTCTGCATCTTGGCTGCCATGTCAGGTTATATAAAATCGTATTTTTCAAAGTATAAAATGGATATGCTCTATATAAATGTAAGGTATTAATTAGCATCTCCAAAATCCTTGCTCTGCTGAATGTTTATCTAAAGAGAGACTTCTTTTTCAGTGTTTATGAAATGGTATTTAGTGTCTCTCACACAGCCCAAAGAAGCTACTTTAATGTAGCTGAAAACCACATGCCCAATCACATCCTACTCCATTTAACACATAAATATAGGGTGAGAAAGAGTCCACTCCAAGCAGCAATAAGCACACGGTGCTCACCCCAAAAGTCCTCTCCTCCCCACCTTATTCAACAATAAAAGACCTACCCTTCCTCCTTTCTCAACAATAAAACAGCAAGGGAGTGTTATGTCGCAGTACATTCAGGCTGCTAGAACAAAGTACCTTAGACTGAGTGGATTATAAAGAAAAGAAATTTATTTCTCACAGTTCTGCAGGCTAGGAAATCCAAGATCAAAGTGTTGGCAGATTCAGTGTCTGGCGAGGGCCCACGACCTGCTTCATAGCTGGCCGTCTTCTTGCTCATGTGTCTTCTTATGATTGAAGAAATGAGGGATCTTTCTGGTTTTTCTTTATAAGGCAATGAATCTTATTCTTGAGGGCTTCATCCTCATGACCTTATCATGTCCCGAAGGCCCCACCTCCTAATACTATCTCCTTGGGGGTTAGAATTTCAACATATGAATATTGGGGGAACAAACATTTAGAACAGAGCAGTGTAGAACAAACGATGGTTCCTTCTTGAGCAGTCTTGAGACCCAAGAAGAATAAAAACTTTATCTCCACAAGAAATTTACATTAGTAAATGTAAACACCTTTTGTCACTTTAGAGTACTACTTAAAGATTTGCTAAGGTTTCACTTCAATGAAGGAATTCAATGCATCCTGCTATTACAAATCTAGGTTAAGGTAAAAAGTAATTGTTTCTGATGGTCAGTGGCTAAATAAGCCATTTCAGGCTGAAACTGTGTTCTTCTGTGTTGTTTCTTACTCCAAAATAGTTTCTTATAAACTTCTCTGTGACACACTAAGCAACAACACTTACAAACTCAATATACTCTCATGGGCATATGTAGATTTTCACATCACCCACGACATTTCTTTTATCAAGTGCTTCAGTGATTCAGAATCTCCACCATTGTTAATGGCTCATCAGTATCAGTCTCCCACACTTAGCTGAGACAGAAGCTACTGGTGATGTACAATTCCTGAGCAGTCTGCTGCAACTCCATTCTCTCCTGCAAAGCACAAGAGAATGCAAGCGACAGTCTTAGTCCATTTGTGCTGCTATAACAAAATACCTTAGACTGGGTAATTTATACACAAGAGAATTTACTGCTCACAGTTTTGGAGGCTGGGAAGTCCATGATCAACGCACCACAGATTCAGTGTCTGATGAGGGCTTCCTCTCTGTTTCAAAGATGCACTCTCTAACTGCATCTTTACATTGTGGGAAAGGTGAACAAGCTCCCCCAGGCCTCTTTTATAATGGCAACAATATTCTCACCCATGAGAGCTCTGCCCTCATAACCTAATCACATTCCAAAGGTCCCACCTTTTACGACACTCACCTTGGAGGTTAGATTTTAGCATATGAATTTTGGAAGGACACATTCAGACCACAGCACTGAGAGAAATACTACCACTAGAATAAACTTTAAATCATTTTAATTGATATTATAAAAACTAACTCATTCACAACTCAGTACTCTAAGAATTATTAGAACCAATACACTTTATGGTCATTGATTTAAACAACTCGATGCCAGGACAGGAAGTTGAAAAGCGCTACTCTAAAAGGGGACAACAACGTGCGAAAAAGCATGTGGACTTTTAAAGGATTGTCATGTTCAGTTTGCGATTGGAATTCTGGTTGCTAAGAGGTTCAGGCATTGTTGTGAATGTCTCAGTCTCATTCCACACTCCACTCAATCTTTACAGGGAAGTCTCTGTGTGGGATGAAGAAGTCAAGAGATACAGGAGAGATAACAGAATTACACTCAAGTCTGATAATGCCATACAATTTCATTGGAAACTGCAAAGATTGAGGGAAGTTGAAGTATTCACTCTGTGTGGTGTTCATTCAGCCAGATCCTATTAAGCCTGAGCATCACAAATGCTCATGGGAAATTGAGAAAACTATAGTTTATAGAAGTAAACGGATCATTAACCAGAAATGTAAGAAATAGCTGATGGTCCCTGTGGACACATGATCTTTGGGGATCTGTGACTCTTTTTTGTTGAAACATTATTTTGGCTTGTGATATTTTGCTTGTGGGCATTTTGGGCTTGAGCATAAACAGTGGTGATGGTAGAAGAGGGAAATTAGTGTAGGTAAAGAGAGAGAAGGAAAAGACTGAAGGAGAGAAAGGGGAGAGAGAAAAGAAACTTGGAGGTAGTGTGGGAAAAAGAGGAGTTACCATTTATTATACACATTTCCTAAGAACTTGAACTGTACGATCTTTCGTTTAGTATTCACAAGATTTTCTGAAATAGATGGGGTTTTTTAATAGAGGAAAAAAACTTAGAAGAACATTCTTGTCCAAAGCCACCAAGCTACTAAGCTGGGACACAAACCCTGATCTCTCTGTTGCTGGAGCCCTGTGTTCTAACTGCTGCATTGCTCAGGTTCCTGGGCCTTTTGGAGGGTCTTCCTCTCTTTGAGGATGGAGTTGGGTGTTGGCAAATTGTTTAAGAAGAACTCCTTGGGTCTGGAGAGCTCAGAGGAACCAGAAGTGAGAAAGTTGGGAACTGACTCCAGGCTGATCTTTTTGGGGAGGAAGTGAGAAGAACTGGGAGATAACATGGTGGTTTCCATTTCCTTCCAGGGTGTTCTGAAGGTTCACCAAGATAAGGAAGAAGGCAAGGACTCAGGAGAGCACTATGTAGGAATGAAGATTTGCATTTGGCTGTAGCTTTCCTTGTGTCATGGATCTTAGGAGGAAAGTGTTTTAATATGGAAACAGAAGGATTACAGAACTCTCAGACTTTGAGAATTCTTGATTTAACTGATCAGTCTCATTTTTTTCAGACACTCAGAATAGTTTTGGTATATAGTTTTGTGTTTATTTCTATTCAGACTGCAATTGGCTGTAATGAAGTCCAATAAGTAGGAACAACTGTTTGAAGAATTGGAAACAGGGGAGGGTTTTGAAATCACGTTCATCTTCATATCATCATCATCATTATCATTCTTAGGTAGTGGATTTTTCTTCTTTCTCTCCCTCTCTCTTCCTCCCCCAATTTCTCTCTCTCTCTCCCCCCCAACTCACTTTCTTTCTTTCTCTCTCTCCTTCTATCCCCATCCTCTCTTTCAGTAACTTCAGATCTAAAGATTAATCAGATTTGTGAATTTTTAGTGAATTAGCACCATTATGGTTTAAGTCATGCAGACTGGACCTTGCTAGCTACTTTTTTCTCTGCCACAGACTCCTGTGTAAAAGCTGATCAGAGTATATATGCGCACTGGAACCAGTTCCAGTGATTGAACCGTGGTAAGTATTAACAAACTTTTCCACACCGCTTTGTGACACCACAGAATAAATTCTCAGAGAAGTAATTACTCTGAGCAGCCACAACACAACTTCTGACTACAACCACATAGTCGTTGCAATCTTTTAGTGCATACAACAGGTTTAATAATCTTGGCAATACAACTTTTGAAAAAATGGGTGGATGGTGTTTTTACTAATTGCTGAAACACCACAGAGTATCTTATACTTAAAGCTAATGATAAATACTCCAGCAAATACTATAGTTTCTATAAGATTCTTGATATTGACACTGAGTAGATACACGTATTTGCTTTCACTTCTAAACAAATAGTCAAAATAATTTAGGCCTGTGCTTCTCCAATATTATCATATCAGGAGATTTTGTTACATTGCAGATTTTGATCCAGGTGGTCTGAATGGGGCCTGAGATTCTGCCTTTTTAGCAGGCTCTCAGAGAGTGCTGCTGCTGCTGTTCTAGGGCTCAACCTCTGCAAAGCTGGGGCTCTAGAGGGCAGATGATGTGTGCTGTAGAGCTCAGCCTTGGGACACATTCTCATGGATATTTAACGGTGTGCTCCTTCACAGTGGTCCTGTCCCAACATAAGAAACAGATGCAGCAGGATTTGATGTCAGTTTAAAATTCATAATTTCAATATTGTGCCAAACAATCCAAATTCAAAAAGGAGACCAGTCTAGGGTAAAAAAACCAACTGGTTGCCAGAGTCACATATATATTTTTTGTGCATTTTCTAGAGTCCATGTATAGAACCTGACTACAAATAGTCTTTTTAAACTAATGTGCACAGTAGCTCTTCATCCCACTTGTATGAGAACACATCAAAATGGCAATCTGAGGGTGTAATCATCTATTTTTAATACCAATGTTTTCAGGACCCATTTAATTAAAACAAACAAAAAAGATTTCCTTTCTTTGAACCCACAAGTCTGATAAGCAGCCAGTGCCATTTCTTGGTGTAATCTTAGTAAAACACATTCCACATCCCAAGAAGTTTTTATGAAACCATTCAAATAATTTCAAACATTCTCTTCATTCTATTGTCCTGTTATTTAATACACACACAGACACACACAGTCAAAGCACATGCCCAGTTGTGCACACATAAATGGGCACATACAAGTGGGCATGCACAAGCCTGCACATTGTCTAAAGGTATTTGTTATACAAACATCACAATATCATTACTTTTCTTTATCTTGGATTCAGGCACACTACATTTTTTAGTGTACATTCAATAATATGCTGATAGTGAATTCAGCTTTTATATAATCTATGGATTAAATTTTTCCAGGAACTTCCAATTTTACTCCAATATGATTCCAGTATTCTGAGAGAAGGTTATTCCAACTAGAATGTGCTGAAGGGATGGATGTGGCTTCCATGCAGGGCATATTTCAGCTTTTTCCAAATAACATTCTTGTAGAGATTACAGGATAATCTGGAAGCCAGACCCAGCCAATTAAAACAGTAATTGAAATGGCTGAAAATGTTTTCCTTGGCAATTTTTTGTTATTTTGCTTCATTTTGGGTTTCCTTGAATAACAAAAAAACTAGGGTCAATCATAAGACTCCTAATTTATTTTCTTGGTTATCTTTTCTCATCGAACAGAAAAGGGCTGCTGTGGAGCTTAAATTAAAACCTGAAAACTGTGGTATGGGGTGGTATGAAGGCAGGCATGAGAAAACATGAAATGATTCTTAAGCTAACACAAGTAAATCTCCTCTGAGCATAGAAGATGTGGGAGTTTCTGTTTTAGGTGGTAAGAGTGAAATGGGGCGGGGGATTCAAAAGGAAATATAATAAAAAATACAGAAGAGGCTTTCTTGTAAAATATAGGTTTAATTTTTTTGAGATTAATAGGTACTTGAAAGTTGAGACTTATAATTTTAAGACATCTAACATGAAGAACTAAAAATCATTTATGTACCATAACTCTCTTCCACTGAAATCAGTTGTGTACTATTGAATGATTGATCATGTCTGGGGTGAGAGAGTATCTGATGATTTTTAGTATTTGCCAATTTCCATAGTGTAAACATTTTTATCACGGCTGATTTCAGTCTGCCGATCTGGCATTGATGAACATAGAGCTGGAAATAGATAGGCACCATCAATTTTGCAAGGCTCTGCAAACTGCTCCAGCACACTTCTGACTAAAGTCATCACTTTACAAAAGAAGACAGATATGAAAAAGCAATCGCAATTGATAGCAAGTAAAAATATCAATAGAGGAAATTAATAGGCAAAGATAAGCATCTCACAAATTAATTAATCTAAGTTCTGCTGATTAAAATGGCAAAACTTGAGAAAACCCAAATTATGTAACTGATTTAAAAAGAAAAATACTTTTCCACGTCATTCCATGATGTAGCTTCTTTCCTTTAAGGCTCTACTTTTAAGTCAATTCCTCTATGAACCCCCTCTGAAGAAATCTGAAAGTAGTCATTGTAACCATGTTAGCATCCTCTTGGAATTATGATGACTTCAAAATATCTTAATACTACTGTATCTAACTCCACACATTGGAATCCCTTGGGAGCTTCCATAAAGTACCAATTCCTTGGTCCCACACAGGACCAACTAAATTAGAAATCTTGGGTAGAGCTCAGCATCTATAATTTTGGAAAGCTCTCCATGTACTTAATTTGCAACCAGGGTCGAGAACAACTACACTATATATTTATTTGTCTGTATTTTCATTAAAAGTGCTCTGAAGCAGGGTTATGTTCCATTCTCTTAAAGTATGGCCCTGTAGCTGGGCCATATATAAAATTTTTTTCTTCCTTTATTCATTTTCCCATCTGCATTGTACTGGCAAATGTGGTGAATCAATAAAGACTTTTGGTTAAGTTTTAAAAGGACTAGAAATACAATGTCGTTTCTATGGATTGTAGATTGAACTTATGTTTATTCTTATTTTCTTATTTTTAGGTTTCAAACCAAGCTCAGAAATTTTTGAGAGGGATCTCAGTCACCAGCAGCATGTACTAATTAATAATGATTTTCAATTATTCCACACAACACATGTGGAACAACTCAACCTTTGACTTAGAAATGGAAACTAATTTTAAATTTGATTTAGTGAATAATTAACTCATGAGATTTATCTACATTATGCTAATATGAATATCTTTATGCAAAACCAACAAAGGAAGCAAAAATTCACTCATTTAAATAATGTAAAAAATATATATATATTAACAATATAGGTGAGGTTTTAGCTTTTTCCTGGAAGGACAAACCATACAATGCTATAGCATGCATGTTTATAGGATTAATTAATTTACATTCTTCTTACTCCAAAACAATCTTAGGCTATTTAGAAATGATTCTACCCTATTTTCCCATGCACAGTCATCATCATTAGTAGCTGTATTGATCAAAGTTCTATCTGTGAATCTTGGAAAGCCACGCTTCATGTGTAGAAATCTATGCCACCCTTAGGCAATGCAACAGAGCCAAGAATAGCAAGAAGCACAACAAATAGCAGCTGTGGCTCTTTGCATGTGTGGTACCATTTAGGCTAATGCCCAGGATAGCATATCATTTGTCCAAAAGGTGCAGCTGCACCAGCTGGCAGACTGTTGAAGGCGGCAAAAACACAGAAGGCAGAAACTGGCACCGATCCTTGCCTCTCCCCAAACCCACTCAAGTTCTTGCAGCACTACTCTGTGCAATGTTCACAAAGAGTCATGGCCAGCATTTGGGCAAAACATGCAATATGACTTGGCTGAAGAGCAGGTGTCATCATTTGACTCAGTCACTGGTAGATGCATCTGAAATTAAGTGTATTAGTTCACCACTGCTGCATAACAAACCACCCCAAAGCACAGGGGGCTTTAAACAGCAATTACTTATTGCTTACACCTATGTGGGAAGGATGGGGTTCAGATGATCTAGGTTGGACTTGGCTGGTGGCTTTTTTTTCTCACTGTGATTCTGTGAATTGACCAATGCATCTCTAGCCTATGTGTATTCATTCTGGGGCTCAGGCTGAAGGGGCAGGAGCGACCTAAAAGGAATCTTCTCATGTCAGTGACACAAATGCAAAGGTGCAAGTGGAAATACACTTACAGAGCTTTTAAGGCCTAGGCTTAGAACTGGCATATTGTCACTTCTGCTCATATGCTATTGATCAAAACATGTCACATGGCCAAGTTCATATTTAAGCAGGGAAGAACCACACTTTTCACATGAAGAGACCATGGAAAAGGCTTAGATAGGTTCAGGGACACATAAAGAGAATTAAGTTCAACATATTTATCTGACATATAAACCCATTACTTTTTACAGAAAAGAGGGATGATTATGATGACAACGGCAATAGTAATAATAGTAGCTATCTTGTACTATGCATTTGCAATGGTCCAGGCACTCTTCCAAACTCTAGATAGATAGATAGATAGATAGATACATACATACATACATACATACATCATACATACATACATACATAGCTAGGTAGATAGATAGGCAGATGAAGTTCCATGTAATTCTCACAATAATCTTATGAAATAAGTATTACTGTATCCTCCTCTTATAGACAAGGCAACTGAGGTAGAGAGGGGACTTATAAGAAATATAATGGATTATTATTATTATTATTATTATTATTATTATTATTTTGAGACAGGATCTCTCTGTCACCCAGACTGGAGTGCAGTGGTGCAATCATGGCTCACTACAGTCTTGACTTCCCAGGCCCAAGCAATCCTCCCACTTCATCCTCCTGAGTAGCTGGGACCACAGGCGTGCACCACCATGCCTGGCAATTTTTCGTGTGTGATTTTTGGGTAGACAGGGTTTTGCCATGTTGCCCAGGCTGGTCTTGAACTCCTGGGCTCAAGTGATCTGCCCACCTTGGGCTCCCAAAGTGCTGAGATTACAGGCATGAGCCACCATGACTGGCCAATACGGGACAATTATTAAATTAAAAGAACAATATGTGCTCATTTTCTTAACCTATGGTACAGGAATATTATGTGAATTATGTTCTGTAACTTAAGGATTGCCTCCCATGATATTTACTGTGTTGGGAGTAGAAATAGACAATCTGGATGAGCATGCCATGGTCATCAAGGAAGAGAGACATGAACATGATGTGCTCATCTCTGGGGTTTACCTACAGAATGTGCACATCAGTAGAACTTAGTAGCAGTGACCACCAAAACAAACTGGTAGACTTTTGAGGAGGAATTCAATTTGCTTTCTATTTCTTTCAGGTTTGAGGCTTATGGAAATCTGTACATGGAGGAACCTGTGGGGTTTGAAAATGGAAATCCTTTGCTCGTTTATAATTTAGAGCACGTTGGGAAAGATGAATTCTACAGAAAGGGGAGAAGCAGAAGCTGTCATTTCCTTTTTAGCAGTAGTGGGCAATGTGGGGAATGGAACAGACAACAGATACGGGATTTTACAGCAGCTTCTGGGAAATTTGCTGAAAACCTGCCCCAGTGCCACAGCTGTGGCTGAGATCAAGAGTCATAGGGTAGTTTCTTATGATTCTTGCAACTTCCTGAATTCCTCAAAGGTTACAGTGGCTTTGTCTGGCCCTCACTCCTCAAATGGACTTTTTTGGTGCCTAATTCCCTATGTTTAAGTCTCCTCCTGTTTGAAGTCTCTAGTTGACTACTCTAGTTGATGAAATGAAACCTGTTTCAGGTGATGAGTGTTGAAAGCTTGTAAACAGGGATACATTCAAACAATGATGATACATTTGCTCAAAAGAGAATGATTATCTTAAAGATATCCTCCAAAGTAAAAAATTGATCAACAGAAAATGATATCTTAATAACAATAATCTAGATGTAAAGGATCTGTTAACAAAGATTAGGATATGGGCTTGGCAGACAAGTTGTCAAGTGGAAGAAGGTGTACTTCACAACTAGAGAAGGTCACTTAAAAACCCCACTTTTTAAAGGTATAACTGACAAAAAATAACAGCACATATTGAATGTATACAACTTTAGTTTGGAGATAAGTACACATCTGTGAAATCATCACCACAATCTATGCAATAAACTTATCCATTGTCTCCGAAAGTTTTCTCTCACCCTCTTTATTATTTGTGATAAGAACACTTAACATAAGATCTATCCTCTTACCAAATTTTTAAGTATATAATACAGTACTTGTAACTATAGACACTACACTATACAGTAGATCTCCAGGGCTTGTTCATTGTATATAACAGAAACTTTGTGCACTTGGAGCAATAACTTCCCATTTCTCTCACCACCCCCTCCAACTCCCGGTAACCATCATTCTATTCTCTATTACTATGAGTTTGACTATTTTAGATTCCACATATAACTTAAATCATACAATATTTGTCTTTCTGTGCCTGGCTTGTTTCACTAGCATGATGTCTTCCAGGTTCATCCATGTTGTCACCAAAGGCAGTATTACTTCTTTTCTAAGGTTAAATAATATTCCATTGTATATATATATCACATTTCTTTATCCATTCATCAGTCGATGGACATTTAGATTGATTACATGTCTTGGCTATTGTGAATAATGCCACAGTGAACGTGAGAGTTCAATTACCTTTTAGAGATCTTGCTTTCAATTCTTTTGGATCAATAACAGAAGTGGGATTGCTGAATCATATGATAGTTCTATTTTTAATTTATTGAGGAGCCTCCATGCTGTTTTGCATAGCGGCCGAAGCAGCTGCACCCATTTACATGCCCCCTAACAGTGTACAAGAGTTCTCTTCTCTCCAGATCCTCGCCAACACTTTTTATCTTTTGCTTTTTGGATAACAGCCATTCTAATGGGTGTGAGATTCATTGTGGTTTTCATTTGCATTTCTCTGATGACTAGTGATGTTGAACATCTTTTCATATGTCTCTTGGCCATTTGTAGAAAATGCTATTCTTGAATTCATTTTCAAAATATACATTGAAGTCTGTTTTTGTAAAACTTAACAATAATCATCAAATTAAAAACTAGATGTGTCAGTCTCAAATCATTTAATAATATTCAATCAAGAATAAAAAATTTAGAAAGCAAAACTCATTAGTTCTTTTATTTACTCAGCAATTATTTCTTGAAAAGCTGTAAGTGCTAAGCAGTACTTAGATGCTGGGGGAAGTAACAGAGAGCAAAAGATTTGAAGACAAATCCTTGCCTTCATGGAGCTTGGTTTTAGAGTTTGATATAGACAATAAAGATGTTAAGTACTAAGATGCTTATATAGTACTTTAAAAAGAAGATCATTATGGCTGGGTGCAGTGGCTTGCCTGTAATCCCAGCACTTTGGGAGGCCGAGGCGGGTGGATCACCTGAGGTCAGGAGTTTGAGACCAGCCTGACCAACATGGAGAAACCCCATCTCACCTAAAAATACAAAATTACCCAGGCATGGTGGCACATGCCTGTAATCCCAACTACTCAGGTGGCTGAGGCAGGAGAATCCCTTGAACCTGGGGGCAGAGATTGCGGTGAACCAAGATCATGCCATTGCACTCCAGACTGGGCGACAAGAGCAAAACTCCATCTCAAAAAAAAAAAAAAAAAGAAGAAGATCATTACTATGAAAGATAAAATGGATATGAGGAATTCTGGGGTGTTAAGTTTGCAATTTTAAATAGGACAGTCAAGGTAGGCCTTATTGAGAAAGTGATATTTGAGTCAAGACTTAAACTAAGCAAAATGCGAGCCATGGAGATAACAAAAACAAGATTTTTCCAGGCATTGGAAATTGTTTTTGCAAAGAAGCTGAGGCTGGGATGTGCCTGGCATGTTTGGGGAAGAACAAGGAAACCAGTGTTGCTTAGGTGCAGAGTTTCTGTGGAAGAAAAGAAAAAAAAACTCGGAGGAAATAACTTATTTAAGAGTTAAATTGAACAGTTAGCTAAATAGCAACAGAGGAAGATCTCAGTGTTTCCAGTTATTTGGCTTTTCTTTTTTTTTAACACCTTATTAATTTACTTAGCTAATGAATTAGCCAGGTAGGAAGGTAGGTGGGTGGGTAGGTAGGTAGGTAGATAGGTAGCTAGCTAGTTTTAAGGAGGTAATACATGCACACCGTATACAATTCCGAATTTCCAGTGGTCTGAAGGAGTGTGCACAGTGAAAAGTCAGCCTCTTTGATGCACTTACACAGTGTCTCCCTACCCACAAGGATCCAATGTCACTAGTTCTCCTATGTATCTTTCCAGAGACATTCCATGACTCTTTCTAATATTCACTGCCAATTGAGGCAATTTGGAAAAGCAGAGTGTGTCACTGAGATCTCGACAAAGTTCGCTTTCATAGACGCACCTGCATCTTTGTACAGTAATTACAGACCCCGAAAGAGGAGGTCAGCCCAGATGGTGCTCATTTCATATGGGTGGGGTGGGGCCTATCTTGTGAAGTCACCAAGTCACCTCATGAAGAAGTGACATGGGTGTGGCCACTATTTATTCTGACAGCTATTTTTGTTCTCATATCCAGAGGAAGATTCCGTGGCTGTCGTTTCTTGTCATTTTCCCCCAAGTATAAGGAGTGATTTCACTGCATGCATGAAAACAGGTGTAATGAAATTTAAAAAGAAATGGTAGGCAAAAATAAATAAATGCAATAATAAAGTGAATAATAAATGGAAAATTTCTGTGTTTCACCAATCAATATGGACCAGGGACAATGCGTTCTTTGTTTGATAAAAGTTAGAAATCCAAGTTTTTCCTCAAGTGCAGCCAAACTACATGTAATATATACTTTAGGCATTCGGGCATTTCCCTTATAGGTAAACAAACAGCAAGCCATAAAATCTTCTGTATTTCTTTGATGTTACAGACAGTCTTCTGTTTTATCATGGGCTGCAAGTCTGATTCTGTTCTGTGAGATGTCTTGCATAATTTTCTAGTAGTATCAAAAAAAAGTGCCATACAATCAGAGTCTACCTCTCCAACGATAGTAAGATAAAGGATGTTGATTTCTTCAGGAACATTCCTATGGCCCTAGCATTGTCATCACTCAACAGCCTGTCTCTATAATGACTACTATATTTTCTAAGACACCATCTCTGGAATTAAAGTGTATCTTTAGCTTTGTACTGGTGTTTCCAGTCCTTGAATTCCCCCAACTTGATTTTTCTTAGCCTAAAAAATGACCTAAATTTCCTTTTCTTTTATGTTCTACCTCTTTTTTGCCTCACCTAACACATGTAAACCACCATAAAAGTTGAGTAGTAGCTCTCCTGTTTTTCCCCTTAAGTTTTTTACTTACTCCAATACACATTTATTCTAGAAGGACATTTTGGTTCCAGCATATCCTCAAGTTAATGATATCATAATGTATGCTTCTGACTCAGTTTGAAAATCCAAATAGATTAATGACAGTAAAGACTTTTGAGAAAGTAAATAAATATATTAAGGATGCTTGAGAGACAAGTAATATAAATACAGTCCCCCAAAACAAGTAAAGAGAAAGCTGTGATTCAGTGATAGCAACTTTTACCTGATTCTTACCTTGTTCTCCCACTGTACTGCCTGCTCCAGGCTTCTTTTCCCAGCATAATCTATCCAGACCACTTGTGTTTAGTATCCAAGTGTAGCTCTCCTTTGTTCCAGGCTGAGGTCCAGGATATAAAGCTGATGCAGTCACAGGTTCTAGTGGGTTAAATAATACTTGGGCACTGCTGGATGCCAACTAGCACAGTTTTCTGGAGATGATGTCTTAACTGGAAGAATGGAATCCATTAGTTGGAATTTCAGTTGCTGACTGATCAGCAGAAGAAATATGTGGGATAAGAATGTCTTCTGCAGCCCCTTAAGTCAAACCAGATAGGAAACTGCCTCCTCAGACTGCACGAGGAGTCTACTGAAATTCTGATTTTCTTAAATGTACAGCAAAGAAGTTTAAAACACCAAAATAGGGCACAAGAGAGTTATTGTAATATTAGTATCAACTTTAGGTGAGAATTTAGTCATTAAATATAATTTACTTCCTATTTATTAAAAATGCTGGCTTCCTGAAGTCATTCATAAGGAAATGAATCTGTGAGGCATAACTTGTGATCACAGCGGGGGGGTGAGGAAGTCCTTCAGATGCAGCTTCGTGGGGAAAGCGTGAGGAACAACTCAACTGGCTTCCTATGTGAAATAGACAGATTTGTCTCTAAGACGTTTAAAAAAGAAGAAGAAATAATAATTTATAACTTAGAAATTAAAACTGTTGAATGCCTCATCTAAGATGAGGCAGCACTATCCATTTCAAGGATTATAAAATGAGAGAAGTATGATTTGTAGAAATGAAATAGAACTTTTTCTAAGGGAAGCTTATAAACTTGAGACTACATATCAGACAAGTTCACAAGTTTGGGGAAAAGGGGTACATGTGTAAGCCTCTCATGTTGGGCTAAGAAAAGGAAAAAGTTGTTGGGTCTTGAGTTTAATTTTTAAATGTTTTGGTGAGTAGAAATGAGCTCATATAAATAACATTTCCTCTTTTGTGCTTTGCCTAAACTATTCTTGTAAATTGTGATCTTTAGCCACACCAATCCCCAGAGTTCCTCAGATTTCTGCTTCAGTGCTGCTCATGTCATAAACAGAATTCTTATAAAAGCATTTTTAGAATGTAAAATCTGCAGTGGTCCAGAGATGAAGCTATGTTTTAAATAGACCTATATTATTAGTGAAAATATGGTGTAGTACAGCACACAGCACAGAGAGCCTGAGGGGTCCTGGTCCTAGGCCCAGCTCTTCTGCTGGCCATGTGGCAATGAATGCTTTGTGTCTCCGATTTTTCACTGGTGAAAGAAGAGGGATGAAATGAATGGCTCCTCAGTTATCTTCCAACACTGAGAATCTGCCTTTGTTATGTAAGAGTAGCCGGGCTTTCACTCAGGCCTGATCATGAATAACAATCTTAATAGTGGTGAGTAATGCACAGAGTCACTTTTCCACAACTAGGAGAATCTTGGGTCTTGAAGAAAACCTAGGAAATCATATCACCTTGTCCTCCATTGCCAGTGAGGGCTGCATCTTCATCCTTCAAATACGCTCTTTCAGGCTAATCTAAACAACTCTTCCCAAGGGGCAAACTTCACAACTTCTATGTCCTTAATGGCAGAAGTTCTTCCTTATGTTTGGTCTGAATCTCCCTGCTGAATTTGCAATTTATTTTCATTTGTCCTATCCTTAGCAGAGAGGGAGCACAACTGGGGCACACATTCAAGTGCTATCTATTATTAATCTGAGCCATAGTAAATTTGTTTGTACTAGAGTTTCTGGGGTCTTACATTGCATTCCAGTGAGATGATAGAACCTGATCCCTTGATGGAATGTTCTTTTTGAGGTCTAAAATGACTGAACGATAAAGGCTAACAGGCTGGCAGGAATCCTGAGCAGTTCTTGATAGTGGTCACAGGAAAGGGCATTGTTTCTTTGGCTGTCCAGTCTCCTAGCAACCTAGTGTACAGCGGCTCTTGACATAGGGCTCTCTGAAACCCCACATTTAGAACTATTAAACTATTTCTTCTAAAATTAAATATGTGCTCAGGCAACTGTATTTTAAAAATCTGATAAAAAGGTAATTTTTCCAATAGCACCTGGTGCTTAGTAGAGATAGGGAAAACTGATGAAAGGGAACATAATTATACCATCTAGCCCTACCCACTGCTTTCTGAAAGGTGAGCTCTTATTATGCCCATTTTACAGACAAGGCAGATGGACACACACTGAGAAACGAACAATGCTAACAATATCAACAGTTTAAGAGGGAAACGTTTAGGATTTGGAAAAGCAAATGAAAGCAGGTTTACCTTGCTGACACTCAAAAAGTAATAAGAGCTCCCTATTCACTTTCTGCCTCCTCCTAGTCATGTGGGTGTCCTGTGAGAGGCACAGAAGAGGAAAAAAGTGGTATTCCCTGGGGATGGACTTTCCCAGCCTCCTCCAGAGCAGTCCAGGTTTGTGAATCAATGCAGGAGGTGGGGGTGGGAGTGGGAGGGGTTGGCCAGGCAAGGCTTTCCCTTTACCCACACAGGCTGTGATTAAGAAGGCATCCATCTGTCAACAGAGGCTCTCAGCTGTATTTCCAGCCCAGCTTCCTCCCAACTGACTCATTCAGTGATGCCACAATCTAATGTTTATGACCTAACAGATGATCACCATGGAAGTAGCACAAACCTTGGACTGTTGAGGAGCAAAACCAGCGTAGAGGAGCTGGACCGTTTAGGAAAAGAAAAAATGAAGACCCTTATTCATAGAGACCACATGTTAAGACTGAACATCCCACTCCTCATGTGGGCATTTCCACCCATTACTAAAATTGATATTTGGATGCCTTCGTGCCTGTTGGAGAACCCAAATAAGGATTTCAGGTGACTGAGTACAAACAGATAGCATGGCATTTAGAAACAGACAGCAAGAAGTAGAAGGGAAAATGTGTGTGCAGCAATTTAACGAGGTTTGGATTACAAATTCAGTTTCCTTATCTTTTTGCCAGCATGTGGCAACAGTTCTAAAGGAGACAGAAAATGCATTGAATGCCAGGAGAAAGATGAAGATCCCCCCAAACTCAACTTTATAAACAGTCCTGGTGGAATATTCACAATGTGGAAGTCAGGATAAACTGGCTATTCCACCCGCCACTGCCCCCCAGGAAAAGAAAAGCCTAAATGAATAAGAAAGCCAACGGAAATAAGTGCTTTTTAGTAAAGATCATCGCATTTGGTGCTGTGAGTGGCAGGAAGCGTTGGCACAGACTTGGGAGCTACATGAGGACTCCGGTGGCGTGGTCAGGGTGAAGTGAGCCTGACTTCCTGGCCTGGCCTCCCCAGACTAATAATCAAAAAGAGCTGCCCTTCCCCAGCCCTAAACAGCCCTGTGTGAACACAGTGTCTCCTAGTAGTGCCTGTGGCTTACAAGTAATGTGAGAGTCTTTTTATAACTGTTGAGGTTTAACGTAAAAGGAAGCTCAGAATCAGCGGTAAAGGGAGGGGAATGTTGTGAACTACAGACCATCTGAAATGGGGAAAATCATAAATACCAGAGTGTCTGATTATTTGAATGTCTCTTGAAGTCAAATAATGAACCTTCTTCATGTTCTGCTTTTCTGGACTTGGCTCCCTCTGACAAATTTGCAGGCATCAGGGTCTGTCTGGAATTCCTTCCAAGTTGGAGGGATATTTTTTCCCTTGACATTTTGCAGCTGAGACAGCCGGAGCAGGAAGCTGAGGAGCGTAACATTACCAAATATGTCCTTTCTCCTGCCCGTAAGTTCTATTTCCACAGGAAAAGAAGGCAGATGCTGGCCAATGAGAACTGGCCAGTAGAAATGCAGCCACAGCAGGCGGCCTCTACTGGAAGTGAGGAAATTGATCAGATGCCATTTTTCACAAAAATGGAAACTGTTCTAGGTACCACCAATTAAAATTTGTGCTACGCTGGAGGAAGAAGTTTGACAGGTTCCTACAAGTTGCCCAGCTATTTCAGGGGAATTCTTTATCACTCTATTGGTCTCATTTTCTCAACACCCCTGGAGTGGGAATTAGAGAGTTGGCCTTGGCTGCTGACACACTGTGCTTTTGACCAGATCATTTCTCCTAGGATGTGGGGGAAGCTTCAGATGCTTTATTGCTAAAATGAAGGTTTGGATGTGATGAGCTCCCAGATCCCCTCTGGGTTACCAAGACTGTGGTCTCCAAGCTTCTTCAATCGTGTGTTTCAACCACTAAAATAAATCCAAATATTTGTCCAGATGCTTTTCTTTATGGGTCTAAGACACTAATCTCAAACTATCGTATCTACATGGTCTAGGAAAGAACATAAGTGAGCAAAATAGCTGCAGATTGCATACTCTTTGCTTGCATATTAAATACAGTCAGTTCTCCATATCCGCAGTTCCACACTAGCAGATTCAATTAACCTTGCATTGAAAATATTTTTGAAAACAATAATACAACAATAAAAAATAATACAATTAAAAAAATAAGATAGCCATTTACATGCCATTTACATTGTATTAGGTATTATAAGTAATCTAGAGGCGATTTAAAATATAGGGAGGATGCGTGTACCTTACATGCAAATACTACATTTATACAAGGAACTTGAACAATCTGTGTCTTAGAACCAATCCCTTCCTCAAACCTCACCCTTATCCCCACCCTGCTGATACCAAGGGCCTGCTGAATGTAAGAAAATTCTTTTTTTTTTTTTGAAACATAGTCTCACTCTGTCACCCAGGCTGGAGTGCAGTGGTGTGATCTCAGCTCACTGCAACCTCTGCCTCCTGGGTTCAAGAAATTCTCTGCCTCAGCCTCCTGAGTATCTGGGATTACAGGTGTCCACCACTACGCCCGGTTAATTTTTGTCTTTTTAGTAGAGACGGGGTTTCACCATCTTGGCCAGGCTGGTCTCGAACTCCTGACCTCGTGATCCACCCGCCTTGGCTTCCCAAAGAGCTGAGATTACAGGCATGAGCCACCGCACCTGGCCAGAAAATTCATTTTTTAAACATAATCTTCTTGTTTCATCTTTATTTATCCTACTTTTAAAAGAGAACGCTTACTGAGAAAGTTCTTTACTGAGGAAAATAACAACCTATGCATGTTTTAAATGGCCAGCAATGCTTAATGTTGAGTCAAGAACACTTTGGGGAATGGTAGAAATAGGAGTAATCTGGAGCATGGACACCCCATTGGTCCTAATGTGGAAACTGCTTCTCCAGTGGGTCACCTTCAAGCAGAAATGGAGGCCTACTGCTGTTCAATTGTGATTTTTCAAGAGAAATGGGAAACTCTATTTTAACGTGAAATTGAGTTAATTTCAAATATTTTGTCTCAAAAATTTTAGAGTCAAGATTTGAGGACAAGTGTATGATGGCAACGGGCCACACTCAGCCAATGAGTAGCTCCTTGGTGATCTCTGATCTAATATTCAGCTGATTTAGCTAGCCCTATAATTTTTTTGTGTGATAATATTGGAACTTTGCAGTCAGACCTCCATACTCCAGTCAGGGTAATTATGTATGTGTAAGGCAGAAAAACATGAAATATTTCATTAATATCACAGTGTTTTTCTTTGGAGCCACTTCTTGAATCTTCTTAAAGCTGCTCCATCAGACTAGTGATCTATGTTGTTCAGTCATGAAAGTAAGGAAAATATTCCATTGCTCTTGATATAGTTGTCACTTTTGCATATGAAAATCTCACAGAAAAAAATGTATTTTAAACAACATTAGATAAGATTGGCAAACTTTTTTTGTAAGGGTTCAAGCAGTAAATATTTAGGCTTTGTGGACCATATGGTCTCTGTTGCAACTGTGCGTGACTGTGCAAAATCAACCATAGACAATCCATACACCAATGGGCCTGGCTGAATTCCAATAAAACTTTATTTATGCAAACAGATTGTAGGCCAGATTTGGCCCACAGGCTGTAGTTTGCCAACTCCTGTATTAGATCATAAGCTCTTCTAAGTTGTAACCTGTACCTCATTCAACTCTGTATTTTCAGGCTACACAATCCTGGCACAGGGGAAGCACTCCATTAACATTTAAAAAAATAAATTGAAGGTTGTTGAACCTAGCAGTTTATGACAATCATAATTAACTTCCCATTTACATGATTGAAACTTATAGTAGTGTTTATAGGTTGTGTTCACTCTGAGACTTACATCAGCATTTGAACCTCCTCAGAGAGTTTGTGGCTTAATCTCACTGTTCAAAATGAGGGAAGGAGGTGCCCAACCAGACTCATGCAGCAACCTAATGGCTTGCTTACACCTCATTCTGAGACTGATGGATCAAAGATCAGGAGCCACAAAAGGACCCTCATGATTTTACAGAGAGGCTCCTTTACAAATCTTTACCTCCACTCTTCCTTTGACAATTTAAATGACCCCAAACCAAGCATCTATGGAGTCCTTACACTGCTGCACAATGGTTTTCAAAATGCTGGTTATGACACAGTGCACATATACTAAAACATTTCCCAAAGCAATCCTCATCCTTATGAAGGGTAATTCACTGGGATATTTTCCCTTTGCTTATATTTTATTTATTTTTTAGTGCTGATCATAACTCTCTAAATTGATTTTAGAGAAATTTTTCTAAGTAAAAATGAGATCAGAAGTCACCAAGCTGCTGTCCATTGGCTGGGTAGGGCCCTTGTCAGCATCCTATGCTTGGCTCTAAAATTTATGAGCCAAAGTTTTATTTTCAAAATGTCACTGGATGTGACATTTTGTTTGAAAACCAAAGAAGCAGGCTCAGTTCTGTCCTTTGGGGATTTACAATTAAACTGGAGACATAAGACACAGATATCCGATGTCTATGGAATACCTCCTGAGATCTGTTAGGAGACAGGTCATAGTATTTGTGCCACCTGGAGTTCTTCACTGGTGATAGCTGGCATTTTGACAATCATAGATAAGCAGTGTCATTGGTCTGGGCTGGAGCCTTGCACATGGAAACCTGTCTAAAGAAGAGAGAAAGAGAGAGAACTGAATTGGGATGAGGACCCACTTTAGAGAAAAAAAAAATCCAAGTAAAAAGGCATCAGAAATGGTTTTTTTTCACCCAATTGCATTCCCATGGTGAATGAGGAGAACCCAAACTGAAATCAAGATTTATTGGCTGGAACAGTGTGTGAGAGGATTAGAGGAGAATGAGAGCTCAACCTGCTTGACTTCCAAAAGTCAAAATGGAGTTACTGGAGGAAATGGTCTGGAGAAGAGCTTAGTTTTTTTAAATGAAAGTAACTCTGTGGAGAAAGGAGAAGATAAAATTTCTCCAACGCTCCAGCCAAGACCAGTGAGGCCAATCTAGACATGCAGTTATTTTTTAAAATTAAGTATTTTCTTTTTGGTTAATAAGTTTGTCAAACCTGGCACAGTTTTGGAAAGATAATGGGGAAAAGAGCTGAGATAGTTTGGGGTGGATAATGCGGAAGAGAGCTGAGATAGAAACTTGGGTAGCCAAATGGTCAAGCAAATTAATTAGTTTTGATAGCCATATCCAAGTTATGGGCAAAATATACTAACTGACCACCATTTGGCAGTAGGTGTGGGGAGGTAAGGAATGAAGGGATTGGATTTGGCAGAAAGGCCCCATAATCAAACACATAAAAGCAACCATATGGATTTTCATCAACATAAAGAAATTAGCCAACTGCAAATTCTGATAGAAAACCTCTGAAAGTGAGAACCAAACTATGTAGGAAAAAAATTATATGAATAGAAAGACCTATAAAATAGTTTGGGACACATAAATTAATGTTAAAGACATGTCTATTGAGAATCAGAAACAAAGGACTGCATAAAATGACTTAAGAGAAAGGGAGATAAGGTGGAGGGAAAATAGGAGGTTTAATATTAAAACCTGGAAGAGGAGAAAATATTAATTTTCATTATTGTTATAGACTAAATGTTTGTATGCCCCCCAAAAATTTACAAGTTGAACCCCTAACCCCCAATGTGATGATATTAGGAGAGGGAGCCTTTGGTAGGTGATTAGATCATGAGAGTCAAGTAATGGATGAGATTAGGGCTCTCGTAAGAGAGACATCAACGAACTCCCCCTCTCCCCTCCTGCCATGTAGGATACAATGAGAACATGGATGTCTATGACCAGAAGGGGGCCCTTGCCAGATGCCAAATCTACCAGTGCCTTGACTTTGGACTTCCCAGCCTTCAGAGCTGTGCAAAATAAATTTCCTTTGTTTATAAGCCACCTGGTCTATGGTATTCTGTTATAGCAGCCTAAATGGGCTAAGATAATTACTATGCAGAATTCTAATTTTATGGAAAGAAAAATCATAACAACAATGAATATCTTATTTAAAGATTATTTTCACTTTTACAACTCTACAATGGGATTTTCATTTCAAAGGGCTTTATGAAATACACAAGTAAAAGAAATAAGAAAACAATAATGAAGCCAAGTGATAATATTCTCTATTACATGAATGATGGCATCATAGATATCAGGAGTCTGGTTTTGCAACACTTAAGGGAGGGTGTCTATAATTATCTCCCAATGATGTGAACCTTCACCTAATTTTCCTCAAAATATAATTAATTTTAAAGCAATTTTAAGAAATCTTGGATGTTATAAGTCCAGTGCTATTATGTCCATCAAAAACCCAACTCCATTATTTTGTTGACATGCTAAGTTTCACATAGCATTTTAATGAAAAAAAAAGCCATATTTTTAAAGTGATACGTCATATCATATACTCTCTCTTACAGTTTAGATTTCATTCTCCAAAAGGTTTCTCCTAAGTCTCTGCCATATATTAGGAATAAATGGAATCTTTTGTAGTGATCTTCTCAAAGTTATGGTTTTAAAGACAAGACTTATTGAGCTTGATCTCAAAGTGCTAGTCAAGATTTCTTAACTTTTCTTCAGAAGAGAAGGTGTAGGTCTTTATCCCAAGACTAGTTGAGAAATAATTGAGAATAAAAACAAGTGGCATTCCAGGTGCAAATCATTGTGGACTTATAGGAAGAAAAAGGGAGAGAAGGGGATGCCTCCTGGAACCTGAAGCAAGTGTCTTATAATGAGACACATAGTGTCTGATTGCTCATTCAAATATTCAATCATCTCAGTAGTAAAAGGAGAAGTAGCAGGAGACTTGGACTCACAATCCCAGCTGCTGGACTCTCCCTTAGGGTGGGGTCCCCTTTTTGTCATTTGCCCTTAAGGACAACCACCATCTTCTCTCTATTCTGGGCAACTTGCTTGAATAGATGGCTTTTACTTAATATTACAGAAAAATTTTCCAGGGCACTACATCAGTTCCCAATGCAGACTTACATTTTTTTGTTATTTCCCTCCTCTCTCACTGTGTTAGTTCATTTGCAGAAGAAAATTCATTATAAACATATATATCTAATATAGATACTTGTGTATAGTATGTGTATACATGTAAACACACTCATTTGACATCCTATTTTATCCCCACACACAATTCATAAAACAATATTTCTAGAGTCCTGTTCAATGAGAGGTAGAGTTATTACAAGGTATTTTAATACTTTGTAATATAATATTGTTTAACATAATATTGTAATATAAGAAGTGACCTGCAAAAAGTATTTCCCCTAAGCCTTTCTCTATATAGGACCAGCATTTATTCTGCACATGTTCTATATTGCAACTTACAACATAGAAATTGCAGTGACAACAATTTGTAGGAGGTAGAACATAAAAATGACTGATTTTTCCAAGAAAAGAAAATATTCTTTAGACAGGAAATGACGTTACCAGCTCCTAAGGCACCTAACAATATTTTCTGGGTGAATAAGTAGATATTGTCAGGTTGGGAGGACACCACTTTTTTTCTTTGTTGAAATGTCAGTACTAGTAAGCCAAGTCATCCAGCTCTGGTAACTTGGATAGTGCTGGGTCAGGTCAGGCCTGGGACTCAAGGTGGCAGGGCAATTTCACTCAGGTAAGAGTGAAATTAGAGGTTAACATACCATATGTCTTAATATTTAAGTTACTAATCAAGCTAACACACTATAAAAACATGTTTGATTCTCTTCCTTGACATATATACTTTCAAAATGACAGAATTGGAAGCATGTATAAATCTATGGTTTTTATGTGACTGAAGACCAGAAAACTATTGAAGACCGTTGCATTAATTTTTATTGTGCATTTCTAGCTGCTTTGTTGAAGTCCCATGGTATTGGCATGCCTAATAAAAGAGGTAAACAGATTTAACAGTAATATGAATTTTTAATATTGTGGAATGCTCTACAGCCACGTTATATGATGGTTGTGGATACTACACTAGTTTGTGCGTATTTCTGGAGCCACCAATTGGAACATGAAGAGAAGTAAGAAAACTTCCTTTTTGAGTAAGAAAATGGCTCAGCACTACTTGGAAACAAGACTTTGTTATGAAAGAATGAATTGCATTCATATTATTAGAGAGGAGGAATTTGACAAGTTACTTAATATTTTCTTGTTCTCTTACCTAAGGGCTTCTGCTGTTCAAATCTTGCCTCTACTCCAAAACAGTTTCTCTCTTCTACATCAGCAACAGCACAGACACAATCACTTTTTCTAGGATACAGGGCATGAGATAGGCAGAAGCATTTCCCTGGAGCCTGAGCCATTTTAGTCACGAGAGCAGTGGTTAGGGTTATAGGTCATGCTGTGCCAGTGCTGAGGACTGGATCCACAGTAAGGGCACTCATGTGTTTTTTACTAAAAGTATTTGTCATGTGTTTGTGATATGCAGTTAATGGCAGGGGCCTCTCTTATGTGCAAGTAAAGGTAGTACTAGGTCTAGGTTTTTTGTCAAGTGCTTTCTAGATGTTCAGAATCCAAAAAGCCTTAAGGCATGAACAGCTTTCAAAGAAAGATGTCAGTATTATGGAGTTCTTTGGCAGGCTAAGATTTGATAATTCTATGTACTATGTTGTATTGCCAAGGTGGCCATTGCCATACGGGAATAGAGCTGTAGATCACTTATAGCAAAAGAGTTGCACCGATGTTTTTTTTTCCTCATGGACATGATCAAGTCTGTGGCAGGCGAAATCAGGTCTCCTCCAGTGTTTTGTTTTTGTTTTCTTATGAGAATTTCTGATCCAATTGAATTTGGCAACTCCTTGATCTTGACCCCTGTTTTTCTTGCTCTCATGTCTCTATGTCTTTTTACCTAAAAAACACTCTGTCACCACTGGTTTAATTTCAGTTTAATTACAAGTCTTTTCAATTTCTGATCCATCAAAGGTTTGGTCTTCACTAAGCATGCATTTCCCACTCCAGACTCCAAACACTGTACAGGCTTTGAACAATGGGTATCTGTTCCCTCCTGTCAGGTTTCCAGAAATAGGCTTTAGAGAGCTGCCATGTGTTTCTCTTTCTTTACACTCCAGCAAGAACCCCTCCGTGACTTACATACACAGAAAGCCAAAGGCCCTGAATGGTTATTTATTCTTGCTAGCTGGATGACCCTGCACGTGGCTCTCAGCATGGGTGAGGATTAGAGAACTTTGGAGAGGTGCGTCATGTAATTTAAGTACAAACAAAACTGCATGAATTTGCGCTTTGCTTAGATCATGCAAGGAAGTTCAGGGTTAACCATGAAACCCAACTCAGCTTCCTATCTTTGTTTTTCCTCATGTACACTCAAATGGGAGAAGGATCAGGTATGATCCTTCTCAGAGACTGGTCATTTTGAAGAGCTTACAACATAGCATTCAGCCCTTAGAATGGACACTCTGAATATTTTAGCACATGACGCCTGATGTCCTGATTAGATCAATTTGCTACACTTGCTTTAGATAAATAAAGATGGACAAAGTTTTACCCCAATCATGAATTGTATGTGAGCTCTAGGAATTGTTCGTCTTACAGCTTCCCTGTCATCTGGTTGTTTTCTGCCCAGTTTTGTGGAGTTTTATCCTACGCATGCAATTCAGTATTCAGCAACAGGCTCAAGGGATCCCAATGCAGAAATGTGGGTGTCTTTCTCTCATAGCATTCTCCTCTCTGGTGGTTTGCTCTGCAAATTTCTGCTGTCTCTGCCTCCCTGAAGTCCAGTCTCTACTCCTCTACTCTGCAAGACTGAAGTTCTCTCTTTGAGGTCTTGCTACATGCACCATGTAGCAAATGCCTTCAGGCAGGAAACAAGTACATTCACTGAGCTCACCTCCTTTGTCTCCCTTCTCTCAGATGTCACAGTTCTGGCTGCCCATTGTCCAGTGCCTGTTTCCAATGATACAGGTTTTACTCTGCTTTCTAGTTATTTACAGTAAAATGGTAAATGTGCTACCAGGTACTTTTTTATGGATGGAAGTAGGAGTCTCCAGTCATAAGTTATGATTTAATGATATTAAAACCAAGATAAAGACGATCTATGTGTTTACCAAATACATTTTCTGTTTTCCTAGACTTCACTTTCCATGCTAGATACAAAAAGTTAGAGCTTAGTTCTGGGGTAAAAATTGTCTTAATCTTATAATGAGTCATAATCAAGAGAAACACTTCTTTGTTCTTGGATATTGTCTTAAAGATGTGAAATCTGGAATTGCTGAAGTCAGCTTGCAACTAATCTACAGAAGAGGTACATATGCCAAGGATGGCCACATGGAAACATATAAAGTACCTATGTTCTTGATGATTACATAGAGCCAGTGAATTAACCAGTTAAGAAATATCCTAACTTCAGACTTCTTATTATATGAGATAATAAATTCCTTACAATTAGAGCTAGTGGAGTCAGGATTGTCTGTTACTTACACCCAGACACATTGTAACAGATAAATTCCTTCTTATGAGTAAGTTAGTAGGTGACTTTGAAAGCCCTTAACTGAAATGAGGGGGAAAGGACAATTTTGAGGATTTGGAGAAAAAGTGAGGAGTTCACTTTGGACATGTTGAGTTTGAGTTACTTACAGATCATTGATATGGTTTGACTCTATGTTCCCCCCAAATCTCACTTTGAATTGTAATCCCCAGATGTCAAGGGAGGCCACTGGTGTGAGGTGATTGAATCATGCAGGTGATTTTCCCCATGCTATTCTCATGATAGTGAGGGTGTTCTCATGAGATCTGGTGGTTTAAAAGTAGCTGTTTCCCCTGCGTCTCTCTCTCTCTCTCTCCTGCCACCTTGTGAAGAAGGTGCTTGCTTCTCCTTTACCTTCTTCCATGACTGTAAGTTTCCTGAGGCTTCCCCAGCCATGCAGAACTGTGAGTCAGTTAAACCTCTTTTATTTATAAATTAGCCATTCTCAGAGGGTATCTTTATATCAGTGTGAAAACAGACAAATACAATCATCCAGTGGGATGTCAATAGGCAACCTGGATATGTATATAACCAGCAGATGAAAATGTTCTGTAGATTTTGGGATCATCAGTGTATGGTTTTTGAAGCTATGGTTATAGAGACTATTACTTAGCAGAATAAGCAAGGATGAAGATGTTCATCAAATGTGGTCTCAAGGAGAATGTATTCATCTCATTGTAGAGGGTAACCTAATTTTATCTTGCTATTTCCTTTCAGACATCTGCAAAAGGCTGGGTTAGGATCTGTGATGAATCTGGAGGCCCGGCCTAGTAAAAAGGTCAGGAGCACACACTGATGACAATGGAAAAGCCACGCTGGACCCCGTGGAAACACAGATGGTCCCTAAAAATCAATGCAGCCTGGTCACGTATGCAACAGTGTTGTCTACTTCTTGTTTTTAAGGAAATATATAAAACAGTCCAAAACAAAGCCATAAAGATTACAGTGCCTTATAATCAGGAAAAATTGTATAAATAGAAACCTATGTAGTTTATCAATATAACTCATAGTTCTTAAAGAGAGTTTGACAAGTTTATGCAATAAATCAAAACTGCAACAGTTTATTCTCCTAGGAATTTACCCCCTAGTTAGTAGATTATAAAACTTTCTAATATTAAAGAAGCATAACCCAAAATTGCAGTCATAAGAACATTGATTTGGTGATTCCTTAATGATCTTTCTTCATAGAATCATGAATGTCTTCAAAACAGCCAGACGCAGAACACCTTTATGTCACATTACCAAATTTTTAAAGAAATAAAGTTTCAGTTTGTGTTCAAATAGGTTTAGAGAAAGATTATTTTCCTAAACTAAATTGGGTGGAACGATCTCCTTTGACAGTCAAGCACAAACTAAAGTATTAAAATAAGCTTTGACGTATGTTAGCGACTATATATAGACTCAACCAATCATGTTAAAGGCTAGAGTAATTTGATATTTATTAATTACCTTAAAATACAACGAAAAGATAAGTAACATTAGAAGCAAATATACTTGGATATGTAAATGTAGGCACTATTTTTCTTTAGAAGTGAAGATTATGTGTAAAGTTACAAGGACTTGAGAGAATGTATATAAAATATTTGCTCCAGGGCCTGGCACCTACTAATACTGAATAAATGAGAACCATCGCTGTTGTGACATCATCATTCCAGCTAGGCCAGTCCCACTGCATCATTGTAGTATTATTAAAAACACTGTAAAATTTTATTTGTTTTCACCTAAGACTTGTACAGTGTAATTATTTGTCTATAAAGACAAATCATATCAGTGGTCTATTTAAGTTTAGGAAGTGGTAGATAAAGTTTATCAAACAAAACCGCCCTCCCTCAAAAGTCCCAGTAATAAGAATGAGTCAGGAAATGTTGAGGCTAAGGACTGAAGTAGCTCTCTTTTAAGATGTTACAGTCACGATTGTGAAGGTTCTCCCACCTTCCCAGCCTCACCTCCGCCATGCCATCTTGGCCACCCCTTCCCTCTCTGGAGGTATTGGGAATCCCAGAAAGAGCCAGAGGAAGCTAGCTCTACTTGTCTGCTCATTAACCAATCCAATCTAGCTCTCTCTTTCCAAAGAGTATTAAATAACTTACCATCCCTTCAGACTAATTATTATTCCTTCTTTCAGACCTTTTGTACAATTAACTCTAAAGCTCTCTCCTTATCCTTTCCCTGTTTAATTGCAGTTCTAAGCTAGATATTCTTTTGCTGATAATAGCCTGGAAATTCTAAAATGGCTTTAGGATATGCCTTAGTTAGGGTTGCAGGGATCATGTTATTACTACTCTACCTTATTTTAATGTCCAGGTTTAATTTTTCCTTGAGGGTCCCTCACAAGGTTTGATAAAGGTTCAGTAATGCTTAGGGTTTTACCAATCACATTTATTGAATGAATGTTGACCATGCTAATCTCAGTCTCCCTGAGGCTCTAATCTTTCTGAACATCTGTTAAATTTGGTGTTCTACCATGCTCAGTTCTAGGCTCTCTTAGCTCTTTCATTATATAGTCTCTCTAGATGATCTTATCTTTCCACGTTTCCATTATGATCTATATGCTGATGGCTTCCAATATATTTCCAGTCCAGTCCTGTATTGAGAGCACAAAGTACATATCTCCAATTATCTAACTGCTCTTGAATATCCCACAGACATCTTGTCCCTGAACCCAAGAGCCTAATCCTCTCCATTTCTCCTATTTGTAATGGAATCATTTAATTAGCCCAACAGTAGTCCAAGCCACAGAGAAAAATGTCACTTCTGTTTCTCCTCACACATCCAATCAATACAGTATTTTTAAAATCTTACTGCTTAAGCCTTTCTACTTCTGTATAATACCACTGTGTTTTTTCCTGTTTTGGGTCACTACCATCTCTTACCTAGAATCCTTAAAGAGCCTCGTAACTGGCCTCACTGCCCCTAATCTTGTCTTTCTTCTACCTCTACACTCAAATCAGGATGATCTTTCCAAACAAAAACCTGTGATATACAATAACAGAAAGTGGAGTAGAAAAATATGGGATTAATGCCACCTATTGAGCAGTGATACTAAGGAGTTTATTAGAGTTTTAAAAATACATTTGGTCATTTAGAAGTCCAGGAAAAAAAAAATAGCTGACATTTGCTGAGGGCTTTTCTTACAACTATCTGTAAAGTTGACAAAGATGATGATGATGATGATATGAGGATGAAATAAAAAGATGACTTATATGTTCTTAACTCATGCAAGCAGACCAGTGTGGAAGTAAATAAATTGAAAGCAGTGGGTTTAAGCTAAAGGAAACCAGTCTATCTTTAGGGCTGGCCCCAGCAGGGGTAAAGAAACCAGAACAAATGTGTGTCCAAACCTAGGCAGCATTCAGACAGATGTCAATACTGCAGGACTCCTGACCTCCTAGGTGACTAGAACAGCAGAAGAGTACACAGGAGCAAATGGGGACAACATTCTTGTCCTGGGTGTCCGATCAATTTGGAGAAGGACTGCATGCAATACCAGTGTGTATTGAAAAGATAGGTGGAGGCATCAGGGTCATAGCAAAGCAGGCTGGCATTCAGGGTAGGACCACACCTAGAGTATAGGTGGGCACGTTGAGAATAGAGCTATAATCAAAATACCCGTGCAAAGCTGAGGGTGAATCTTGAGCAGATAACTCTCTTCAGACACACTGAATACAGGCCGACTGGAGAAAAGATGGACCTTGTCTAATGGTGTCTGCAGCTGGATAGAAATGAATGGAATAGAGACTGATGAAGAAACAAATAAATCCACTCTTAAGTTCAGCAAATACTCCTGGAACGCCTACAGCATGAAAGACACTTTGGTGACTTTATGGGCATCGCAATTATGCAAAGTCAGGAGAAAATGCCTAATTCTCCCATAATGTTGGTACCACTGCCTTCTGTAAAGAAAGGCATGAATAATGCCACCATTTCCAGGCACAGAGACCACAGTTATATAAACAAGCATCCATCCTTTCAGGGAAGTCAAAGGATGTGCCAGAGCTCTCACTTCTGTTTACATGGGGAGAAGACTTCATCTCCCATGCAGGGAAAACAATTTTGATTTTGCCAATGCCCCTGGAAGGTAAGAGAGTAAAAGCTATGTATGAATTAATACAAGACAGTTTTCTTTCCAACGTTACAGGACCAAGAATGGAGTGAGGAAAAGAGAAAAGAGAAATGGAGGCAACTTTGCAAGAGGGTAAGATCTCAGAGCACCAAGACAAAGTATACTCTCTAAAGTCAGTGATACTATGTAGACTTCTACGTCATTAGATTAGGCCTGCCTGGAGTAAATTTTTAAATGTGCCATTTTTAAGTTACCTAAATGAGTAAAGGTGGTCTTTTTATTTTTACTCTATTTATATTGCATACACAAATTTTCTTAGAGAAAATTTCAGAAATGATACCTTCTTTCAAACTGATGGCCAATATGCTATCACCAGTTCAATTTTCTGTATTTAGACACTAATTAGAATGTTTTCAGGGAATCTGCAATAAACCTAAGAAAATAATTAAAGTTTACTGATGATCAGGTCAATTTATATTCTATCTGGCTGTCTTGTTTTTAAACTCATGCATATTAAAGGTATGATATGAGTGTGAATTTACTGAAGCACAAATCAAAACCTGGGATTTGTGTTGTAATTGTGTGCATTAATAGACTAGCCAAAACTTGCAATAACTTTCTGCTAAGCATATCAAGTAGTCCTAAGTAGTTGATACATCTACTTTCAAGCTTCTGCAGATATTCTCAGCTTATGAGTAATTGTGTTTCCCATGCAAGTAAGAAAAAACGAAGATTGCTTGCTTCAGAATAATGATAACCTATTACAATAACCCAGAAAACCAAGGTATCAGAAACCTGATGAGATCATTTATTCCATCATCTCCTATTATGCACCCACACCACCACAGCAATGTCCTCACTTAGCTCTTGGTTTTCTCAGAGGGCTTATTCTTCAGAAGTACTTGTCTTTTGTTTTGCTGCAGACTACTTTGTTTTTGGCTTTAATAGTCCTCCCTGCTTATTTTCTGTGGAGACCCAGGTTCCAGTGCTCATTTGGGCATCTGACAACAAGTAGGGTATTACATTTTAGAATCCAAAGAAATAAAATTCTTTCTGTTTTGCTAAATGATAAAGAACAAAGAAACAAATATCCAGGCCATTTAAAAAATATAGACTTTCACAGATATGAGGTTCCTCTAAATAAAGCCTTCTCATTGTTATTCATATTCATTTTTGAAACACAGACTAGAATGTCTCAAAAAGTTTTCCAAGAATGTTATCTTTTACACTCAACTCAAGAGTTCATTGCCAATTCCAAAGCTCACGAAGTTTATTTTACAAAAATACGCTCTGCATGAATGGGGCATATGAATCAAAGCAATTATGTATTAATTAGCCATGTTGCCCACGTGTATGTTTCTTTCCTTCCTTGCTTTAACTCACTTGTATGCATCAAAAAGAATGAAATTTGAAAAGGAAACACAAGATTTCAATTGATGGACTATTACGATACAAATGGTTCACTGACAGTAGCCTTGGTTTACTTTCTGTTTCTGTTCCGATTCTTCCCCACAAATCTTTGACATTAGCAAAACTTTCTTCTACAAATTATTCTTAATGAAAACCTTCACACTCTTATGCTTTATCAGATTATGTCAATTCATCTCCTGAAGCTCTGAGAGACTGTTGTATTTACTGGCAAATATCCTTTGTAAATCGCCTACTCTTTCCCTCTCACCAGCTGCATCACCTGAGGCAAGAGGACATGAGAAAATTGTGTACTAGTCACATTCCACAGTGACACATCTTCATCTGTCAGCTCTTGGCTTCGGTGTCTTGGGAAATTCTGACATGAGGAAATATTTCAAAGAAGTGGTATTGCCCCCAGAATGAAGCCTAGTTCTAGTTGTTTCGAAGGTATTAAAATGTTTCCCATCTGTTCTGTAATCATATCATTTTTAAGCACCCTCCATATTCTATCCAGGCTTCCAGCTGAACTCTGGGAATACAAATATGAATACCACGAATAGAACAGAGTCCTTGATCTCAAGATGTGCAAATTCTAGTAAACAGAGACACAAGGAAGATAATTCAATATATGTTGCTGATATTATGTATTCATTCACACAAATGTGTTGAGAACCTCCTTTGCCAGGCATTGTGTTAATCATGACCGTAGAAGGGAACTCAGAGGAGAGGCCCTTCGCCCCGATAGAGACGGGCAAGAAAAGTTCATGGTCAAAAGCACAGTAATGTGAAATGTCATAGACAATGCAGGGATCCATAAGCTATTTGCTATTTTTAGAACATAAAATGCTAGGATTAGAAAAATGACAGACAAATTTGAAGTTGTGTGAAGGAGAAAGAACTAGGCTGGGAAGGATCCAAAGGCACTCGGCTTCCTAAGGCCCCTTTCACCAGAAGGAATGTATTAGATTGGTGTAAAAGTAATTGCAGGTTATGCCATTAAAAGTAATGGTAAAAACTGCAATTACTTTTACACTAACCTAATAGAACAGCTGAAGATATTCTCTTAGCGAAGTATTATAAACTCATTAGGCTAATTTATAACTACTGTCTAGAATTTGATTAAAAGATTCCCATCATGAACCAAACAGATAAAGGATGCTAAATTTATGTGACAGAAATAAAGAGGGAGGTTAGTTTGACTGAAGAGTGGAATTTTTCACAGACATACAACACACACATTCACACACACACAAACTCTAGCATAGCAATTTATTTGTATTAGCTAAAAAAATTTACTTAATATTCAGTGTGTCTAAAGCCACTACCCAAATCATGATTACCCTGAAAGGGAGTGAAAACAGTCAAACTATCTTCAATTTGACTCTTGCTCACTCACTTTCCATATATTCTTCCTAGTCTCTGTGACTTCTGAGACTAGATACCTTTATTATTGGTTGCGGAAAAGACAGAGAAGTATTACCGCTATATTGCTCACTTTTTCCTAATCCCTTTCTCGCTGTCCTACAAGGAGCTGGAGAAAAACCTATTCTCTGATGTGAATTACATACAAACTATTCACATTTGACCACATCCGCTGGGAAAACTCACTAACCAATCCCAAGGAATGTACAAATGCAGGTTCCAAAACACAGGCTGACTGATCATTCTGGCCGTCTAAATTGGGAGCTAATTAAATGTTTTCACTGGAAGTCTCTTCTCACTGCAGCAGAACAGAGCCATTCTGAAGCAAACACTTTAGTGAAACACTTCTTTGGGAGAATCCAGCTCAGCTACAAGAAACAACCACTTCTAGCTGGTGGCACGATCTATTCCTACTTGATTTCTCCCCCAGTGTATACATGTAAGTGAAATAACACTTATGCACATGTAACCGCAGAGAAAAGATGACATTATATCTCATTGATGTCAAAGTGATCGGCAACAGTTTGTTATTACCTATGCAGGATTTGGATCCAGTCCACTAAGGCTGATGAAAGATTATATAAATAATTTGTATAAAAGAGCTTTCAGAGCAGCACTTAAACATGTTGGGTATCACTTGAATGCAGTAAAGAGTGGGAAGCTAAGTCATTCATTTCATTTCCATTAGTAATTAGATATTGCTTGAAGCATTTTTCCTGCTTGGCAATCTCCTAAAGAAATATACTGTTTGAGGCGGTGGAGCTCTAACTCTCTCCAAATGAGGAGCCTAAATTTGGACTTAACAGCCCAGGCTTCTTGTGAGGGGCAGCTGGACTTAGACTGGCCTATGTGGATCTAAGAAGGAAGGCTGACAAGAAATCCTGAAGGCCGGAAAGGGAAGTTGCTAAGTGTCTCCAAGTGAGAAGTCTCTACTTGGACTCAGCCCAAACTTCTTTAGAAAGTCAGAAGCTTTTAGCACCACAAAGTCTTACATGTTATTAATTATTAGGGACCATCATTCAATCATTTTGGATGCAAAAATTAGTAGCATTTTGGGAGGCTGAGGCGGGCAGATCACTTGAGGTCAGGAGTTCAAGACCAGCCTGGCCAGCATGGTGAAACCCTGTCTCTACTAAAAATACACAATTAGCCAGGCGTGGTGGCACATGCCTGTAATCCCAGCTAATCGGGAGGCTGAGGCAGGAGAATTGCTTGAACCCGGAAGGCAGAAGTTGCGGTGAGCCGAGATTGCGCCATTGCATTCTAGCCTAGGCAACAAGAGCAAAACTCCATCTCAAAACCAAAAAAAAAAAAAAAAAAGGAGTTGTAAATCAGAAAAGGTAAAAAAAAAAAAGTCCATTTTTCAAAAGATTCAAATGGGCACATTACAAAAGTGATTATCTAAATATCCAAGAAACATATGACTATTTGATTGCCTCGTTAGTAATCATGGAAATGCAAAAAAGCTTTTATGCTACGATAAGAAACCTAGACTTTATCCTCTGGGCCATGGTAAGCCATTGAATAATTTTGACAGTAAACCAATTAAAAAAAAACTCAGAAAATAGAAATAGACCCACAGAGGATCCAAATATTGATACTCGCACTTATATAGAAATGTAAAGAGCCAAGAATAGCCAGAATATTCCTGAATAAGAGGAATACAGTTGGAGGACTTACTTTACCAGATATGAAGACATATTTTAAAGCAATAGTAGTAAAAGCAAAGTGTAATAATAGACAAATAGACCAATGAACACGCTACAGTCTGCAGAAATAAACTCACACACATATGGACACTATGGCTTTGATAAAGGTGGCACTGTACAGCAGAGGGGAATATACTGTCTCTCAGTAAGTGATACTGGGACATCTGGATATGCATACAGGGGGGGAAAAAAAGAAACGACTCCTACATTACATCGTACACAAAAATCAATTCTAGGTATATTGCAGAGATCAATGTGAAAGGTAAAACATTAAAGCTTATAGAAGAAAACGTATGAAAATATCTTCATGATTTGGGGACAGGCAAAGATTTCTTAAATAGGATCTACAAAGCACTAGCCTTAAAGGAAACAATTGATGAACTGAATTACATGAAAATTCTAAACACAGATTATTAAGAGAGCACAAAGGTATACATACCTGCATATCTGCATCTATATCAATATCTATCTATCCCACAAGATCTTATATCTGGAATATATAAACAACTCTTACAAGTCAGAGAAAAGGTAGTGTGTTCAAATTTTTAGTTGAATAGGCACATTACAAAAATGAATATTTAAGAAACGTATGAATATTTGATTACCTCATTAGTAACCAGGGAAATGCAAAGTAAAACTACAGTGAGATAGCATTAGACTGCCCCCATATTATGCAAACTTAAATACCAAATGTAGACAAGGTTATAATACCAAATGTAGACAAGGTTATAATACCAAATGTAGACAAGGTTATAATACCAAATGTAGACAAGGTTATAATACCAAATGTAGACAAGATTATAATACCAGATGCAGACAAGGTTATAGAGCCACTAGAATGCTCTCAAACACTGATGGTAGAAGCATAAATTGATACAACCAGCTTGGAGACTCTGGTAATCACCAAACTGGACGTAAATGTACACTGTGAATTAACAATTTCACTACTAGGTAGATTCCTAGTTTCTAGTTTTCTCAACAGAAATGCATATATATCTGCACCAAAATAAACCTTTAGAGCATCATTATTTGTAATGGCCCCAGACTGGAAATTTCCCAATTCCCATTCTACCACCTATTCTAACAATAGAATGACTAAATAAATAATAGTATATTCATATAATGAAATACCACACAGTAATAATAATGAATATTCTGTAACCACATGCAAAAAAAACAGGAATAGTTTTACAAATATGAAGCCGGGCAAAAAAAAAAAGAGTATATTCCACATGATATCATTTCACAAAATTAAAAGCAGGCAAAACTAATTTATGTTGTATTCAAGATAGTATTATCCTTGGGGGTAAGTAGGTACTGGAAGATGACCAAAAAGGAAGTTTTATGGGTGCTGATAATATTCAGCTTTTTATCTGAGTAGTGGTTATGCAGGTATATTCAGTTGAGAAAATTAATCAAGCTGTATACATATACATCCTTTTCTGTATATTTTACTTCAACATAAAGGTTAAAAAACACCTAAAACAGCCAGGCAAGTAAAGTACATAAGTGAATCATATTGGGTATAAGTAAAGTACTGACAATATTTCTTACTATTGTTTGTTCTTAACAGCATCTTAGTCTTTTTTGACAGACATACTTGCATATTACACATCCAAGACTACTTTTTACTTTAAAATATGTACCAACAGCATTGCTGAATCAAACATAATACTAAGTGGAAGAAGTCAGATGTGGAATTACCATATAATTCCTTGTATACACAGTTCAGAGTCAGGCAATACTATCTGTGGCATTAAAAGGCAGCTTGAGTAGTGTTTGTAATGGGACACAGTAGGGAATTTTAGGATGCTGGTAATATTCTCTTGATTGGGTGGTGATTACAAGAGGTTTTTTTCACCTTGTTGACTCATGTGTGGTGGCTCATACCTGTAATCCCAGCACTTTGGAAGGCTGGAATGGGAGGATTGCTTGAGCCCAGGAGTTCGAGATCAGCCTTGGCAATACAGTAAAACTTTGTCTCTACTATAAGAGTAAGGGTTCATAAATATTAGACCTTTATTAGGCTACATATTTATGGTTTATGTACCCTTCTGTATGCCAATAAATATCACATTAAAACACAATTATGGAATATACCTTGTAAGAGAGTTGGAAAAGGATATAACATCACTTTTTTCTCATCATTTAGAACTGAGAAAAAAGTTGGCAGAAAGTAAAGGCAGAGCAACTGACCTGCTTAAAAGAATCCTTCTAGGGCTGGGTGCAGTGGCTCACACCTGTAATCCCAGAAATTTGGAAGGCCAAGGCAGGAGGATCACTTGAGCCCAGAAATTTGAGACCAGCCTGGCCAACATGGTAAAACTCCATGTCTACTACAATTACAAAAATTAGCCAGGCGTGATGGTGCATGCTTGTAATCCCAGCTACTCAGGAGGTTAAGGCACAAAGATAGCTTGAACCCGGTGGGTGGAGGCTGCAGAGAGCTGAGATAGAGCCACTGCACTCCAGCCTGGGCAACAGAGTGAGACCCTGCCTCAAAAAAAAATAAAAATAAAAAAAAAAAGAATCCTTCCAGGCCCATGTTGTTGCGGGAAGTCAGGGACCCCAAACAGAGGGATCGGCTGAAGCCATGGCAGAAGAACCTAAATTGTGAAGATTTCATGGACATTTATTAGTTCCTAAAGTTAATACTTTTATAATTACTTACGCCTGTCTTTACAGCAATCTCTGAACATAAATTGTGAAGATTTCATGGACATTTATCACTTCTCCAATCAATACTTTTATAATTTCCTATGCCTGTCTTTACTTTAATCTCTTAATCCTGTCATCTTCATAAACTGAGGATGTATGTCGCCTCAGGACCCGGTGATGATTGTGTTATCTGTACAAATTGTTTGTAAAGCATGTGTGTTTGAACAATATGAAATCTGGGCACCTTCAAAAGAACAGAATAACAACGATTTTCAGGGAACAAGGGAGATGACCATAAGGTCTGACTGCCTGCAGGGCCGGGCAGAACAGAGTCATATTTCTCTTCTTACAGAAAGCGAATAGGAGAAATATTGCTGAATTATTTTCTCAGCAAGGAATAGCCCTGGGAAAAGAATGCATTTCCAGGGGGAGGTCTCTAAAATGGCCGCTCTAGAAGTTTCTGTCTTATGCAGTTGAAGATAAGGGAGGAAATATGCCCTGGTCTCCTGCAGCACCCTCAGGCTTGCTAGGATTAGGAAATTCCAGCCTGGCGAATTCTAGTCAGACCAGTTGTCAGCTCTCGAACCCTGTTTCCTGTTAAGATGTTTATCAATGACAATTCATGCCCAGCGGGACATGGAACCTCAACAGTAATTCTAATTTTGCCCTGGCCTTGTGATCTTGCTCTGCCCTTCTGCCCTTGTGATATTTTATTGCCTTTGAAGCATGTGATCTCTGTGACCTATTCCCTATGCATACACTCCCTCCTCTTTTGAAATCCCTAATAAAAACTTGCTGGTTTTGTGGCTCAAGGGGCATCATGGAATCTGCTGATATGTGATGTCACCCCCAGAGGCCCAGCTGTAAAATTTCTCTCTTTTGTACTCTTTCTCTTTATTTGTCAGACCGGCTGACACTTAGGGAAAATAGAAAAGAAACTACGCTGAAATATTGGAGGCTGGTTCCCCCGATACCATGTTATATCTATCATGCCTGTTCAAGGTCATCCACTGACACTTGACCAGGTGGACTTTAATAGAATGCACTCCCACTCACAATGGCAGAGTATCAGCCCAACTCCATTTTTCTGAAGGAAATTCTGAGTTGTAAAGAACCTTTGAAAAATATCTATACATAGAATAAACTCAAACTTTTACAATTAGGATTTTTTTCTAATTATTTGCAATCTGTTTCAAAACACTGAAAACATGTTAGTGTGTACCCAAACAATTTTGTTTTCTAGCTGAACTTTCATCTTCAGAATCAGCTGTATAATATGGGCAAAGTTGCCAATATACTCTAAACATTTTGCTATAAGACTACAGCCTGAAATTCCAAAGAAGTGTATATTGCAGCCTGGTTTGATTGATTTTTATTCTTTTTCTAAACGAATGCTTTTCTTCTTGTTTGCTTGCTTTCTCCTTTGAGGGAGACTTGTAACTTGCCTCTAACTAAGCGTGCCCAGCACGAATTGTTACTCATAAGATTAGTCTATGTGCTGTTCTTGCTTTTCGGCAGTCCGCAGCGTGGCAGAATCTTTTGGAACTATGCTTCACATAACCACAGATAATTTCCTTGCTTTGCCTCCTTGTGCTTGTCCTTCAGAGTGTGACAGCTGCCTAGTTGCCACCAGCCTATATCCTTCTCATATACCCACCCTAGAAGACAGTGCAACTAAGCTAGGGCAAGATACAGGGACAATGCACTTTTTGAAGCCCAAAGTTGACAGTTGAGGCCTTCTTTTTAAATTACTTTTAGTGGCCAGGTTCTGTGGCTCAAGCCTATAATCCCAGAACTTCGGGAGGCTGAGGCGGGAGGATCATCTGAGGTCAGGAGTTTGAAACCAGCCTGACCAACATGATGAAACCCCATCTCTACTAAAAATACAAAAGTTCACTAGGCATGTTGGCGGGTGCCTGTAATCCTAGCTACTTGGGAGGCTAAGACACGAGAATCCCTTGAACCTGAGAGGCAGAGGTTTCAGTGAGCTGAGATGGTGCCACTGCACTCCAGCCTGGGCAACAGAGCAAGACTCTGTCTCAAAAAATAAATAAATAAAAAGTAAATTACTTTTTGTGTATCACTTATAAGTAATTTTCATGAGGCCTTTGCATAAAGGCTTCTTGTGAGCACAGCAAATCAAGCAATTGCACTGGTGCATGCTTCAAATACCTTGCCTGCTAGTTACTTGTGTCTGATGTCTCTTCTCTGGCAGGAGGGGGCCAACCAAGGACTGGAAGAGTTGAAAGGATAAAACCAAAATAGCCATGATCACAAGTCATGTCCTGGAAGGATGTTAGAAGTTGAAGCTGGGGGCAAATCTGAAAGATGTTCTCAATCCAAGTGATGAGACAGAGAAAGGATGCTGAGACACGTAGATGACTCATAAAAAGGGAAATTAGAAATGAGGGGCGGGGAGGTACACAATCAGAAGTGGTCTTTAGTTGATAATAGGTTGCTGCAAAAGTAATTGCTGGTTTTGCTTTTTTTTTTTTTTTTTTTTTCACCAACCTAAATAGCCTACAATGAGTTAGCATGACCTAAGAATTAAAACATTGATGTCTGGTCTCCACCCAGACACACTAAATGAGATTCTTCAGAATGAGGGCCTAGAATCAATCTTCTTTGTAGCTTCCCAGATATTTCTGGTGCAGCTGGTCAGTGGAGCAACATTTGGGAACCACTGCTCTGGAAAAACCTGAGGACAGAATGGATCTCTCACTAGCTTTTTGCAAAACTCCAGCAAAAGTTGAGTAGGAGATAATGCTGTTTAAAGGGGCTGGAGGTAGTTGAACAGGTTGTTAGTTATTCAGTAAAATGGCTTCCAGGAAGAATATTTGCTTCTCACACTGAAGAAGGGAAGCCAGTTTAGTGCAAACCTCCTGTTATAGGAATTAATCCAGAATGATGTCTGACTTGGGAACCTTCTTAATAGATCATTTCCTCTCCATGGTAATATCAGATACATTTAGACAGCAAAAGGGAATGGCAGTATGCTAGCCCATCATAAGCTGAATAATTGATTTTATTTTGTTACTGTCACTGAAGGTGATAATATTAGCATCTTCAACTAAAAAGAGAGAGGAAAAGAAACTAGTGTCAGGGGCAGCTGAGCTTATATCAGCTTATGGGGAGATAAACAGAAAGCCCAATCAGGCGCTCCAATGGTCAATAAAGAGGAAGTAAATAAGTGTTTAATTCAGGGACAGAAGAAAGCACCAAGACTTGTTGAGATAGCAGAGTCTTCCGCAAATCCCAAACGCCTCTCTTTGTGTTGACAAAACAACACAAAGTGCCTGAAGCAGGACGCTAGGCTTGTTTACAGAGTGAGCCTGTGTGTCCTTGGCTCTCTTGCTTCCACAGCTGGCATTGTGTCTGTACTATTGTCCCATTCACTAAAACCAGAATTGAGGGAACTGAGGTAAGCCATTGCCCAGAGTGTTTCCTCAGTTCTTGAGGAATGTTTACTGAGGTGTGGTGTTTTTCAAAGTCTTTAATAAGTAGTACGCCATGTCCTCCGTACCTTTATTTTTCTAAATGTGTGGGGAGAACACTGTTTTCTGCTCCTTTGCCAGCATTCCAAAACATTTCTTGTTGCTGTGAATTCCATGCCATCTTCTGAAAGTGGACAGCATGACCAGTGCTTTGTACTGCAAGGCTATATTCAGGTTTTCCAAATAAGAGAAACTTGACTTTGTAGACAACCCAAAAACTAAGGCCCATCAATGGTGTAAAATGGAAATCTTGAAAGCAGCAACATGTATAAGAAGAGTACAATTCATTTTTGCCTTCGGGACTGTAGGACAGAAACAAACAAAAAAAATTTTCTTTAATATCTTCTTCATGTCATTTTGATTCATCCTGAAATCAATTGCCATCATTTAGGCAGACCACAAAACATTGTATTAGAAAGCAAATTTTAGGTTTAATGATATAAATATTTGTTTTTCTAATGTAAGCACTGAAACTTTTACTGATTTTACCACTGTGTACTAACCTCTGTTTAAATGTTCTCTTTTTGCAGAATAACTAGCCTAGTATGAAATTTTTACTCTTTGCCTACTAAGAAAATAAGGAAGTGCATTTATTTCATTTGGATGACAAGTAGACTATAAGACATAGGAGGAGAGAAGGAAAACTATTTTATTTTTATCTCTGTAAGTTAAGAGATGGAGGTTTATTAAAAATATGCAGGGAAGACATTTTTCAACTAACCAAAGAGCAGTTTTCAGACTCTACCAAAATGCTCCCCAACTTTGAAGGATATGAGAAATTCTGACCTCTGTGAACCAAGGGTGCCCATGTTTTGAGAAGGACTACTTTGTACTCAGTTTGGAGGTTCCTTTCAGAGCATCTCACACATGCATTTGTGTGTCATACTCCAAAATGGGGTGATATGGTACACTGCAATTTGCATGTTAGTAAGAATTAAAGTCAGAGCTGGACATGATGGCCCACTCCTGTAATCCAGCACTTTGGAAAGCCAAGGGGGGTGGATCACTTGAGTCCAGGAGTTCAAGACCAGCCTGGCCACCATGGCGAAACCCTGTCTCTAATAAAAATACAAAAATTAGCCAGGTGTGGTGGCACATGCTTGTAATCCCAGCTACTCAGGAGGCTGAGGCATGAGAATCATCTAAACCCGGGAGGTGGAAGTTGGAGTGAGCCAAGATCACACCACTGTATTCCAGCCCGGGTGACAGGGAAAGACTTTATCTCAAAAAAAAAAAAAAAAAAAAAATACAGCTGGGAAAAACATGAAAGGGAAGGACACAAACAATTTCTGTAGGAACTATTGTAGTCGAGGGGTTGGAGGCTTCATCAGACCTCGAAGTGTCTTTTTAGAAATCAAAGATTGAGCACTGATTTTTTGAAAGGATCCAATGGAAAGTGGATAATAAATAGCAAATTAAAGAAATTGCCTTAAAACAGGAAGACTGTAACTTTAGATCTTAAATATCAAAATGTGAAAATAAAGAAGAGAATTGTCTGTGATGAAAAAACGTACTTTACAATTTTTCAAAAATTAGAGAATTAGGATAGATACAGAGATTTCAGGAAGGTAGTTTGTTATGTAAAAAGGATGCATTTGGCTGGGCACGGTGGCCCATGCCTGTAATCCCAGAACTTTGGAAGGCTGAGGCAGGCGGATCACAAAGTCAGGAGTTTGAGACCAGCCTGGCCAACATGGTGAAACCCCATCTCTAGTAAAGATACAAAAAATTAGCCAGGTGTGGTGGCGGGCACCTGTAATCCCAGCTACTCAGGAGGCTGAGGCAGGAGAATCGCTTGAACCTGGGAGGCAGAGGTTGCAGTGAGCCAAGATCGCACCATAGCACTCCAGCCTGGGCAATATAGCAAGGCTCCATCTCAAGAAAAAAAAAAAAAAAGAAAGAAAGAAAAAAGAAAAAAGGACACATTCATTAGAAAGGCAAAACATTTTAAATGGCTCTATTTTTTGTAAGAGTTTAAAAATATACTCCTATATTAAATTAGCATCAGCAAGGCCATTTTATCTGTTAGTCACTGGAGACCAGTGTCAATGGATTGTAAGATTTTTAAAGTATTGGCTCCAAACCACAAATGCAAGCTGCAAAATGGAAATTAATAAATGTTTAATTAGCTATCTACAAAAATAACATCAACTAGTCAGCTGCAACTCTACTCTTATAATTGCAATATAAATTATATTTAATGTAGGATATGGGTGGATTTTAATTTGTTTGATATGTTATACATGTGGGGTAGCCAAAAATAAGAGCACAAGGGCTCAAAACAGCCCTGAATAACATCCATATGATCAAAATGGAAATCTGTGTTTTCCTAGAGACACTGGAAGTTAAATAATAAAAAGTAGGAGAATTGGAAATGTCAGTGTTAAGTACCAAAGCAGCAGGCAGGCCTGGGAGAAAATACTGCTACTCTCTTACCCTCAGAACAACCAATGCTGGCTGAAATCTTCACCTCCATTCATCCAGATGAAGGCACTGTTGTATATATCTCTTGATATCTCTTTCTTTTCTTTTTTTTTTTTTTTTTTGCTTTTAAAAGCATGTTTTCTCTAAAATAGGTAAATATGCCATTAACATTTCATTGTGAATCCAGTTAGAAAGTCAATTAGCTACTATTCCCTGAGAGGTGATATCCCAAGGGTGGGTTGAGTGGTGGGGAGTGGGTGTGAATTTTAAATGTGAAGAAAGACCTAGTTCAGAGCAAGACAGGACTGACAGGGATGTAATAATTAGGAATGACTAGGATATGAATATATTACGTGGACAAGTTTAATTTGGGACTAACCCTGGATTTAGGTATCTTCACCTGATCTTCCTGACTAAAGAAAAATGATCCACTTTTTATTAACCACTTATCACCCAACAAATATTGTGATACATCAGCTGATACCCTACCAACATAATCTACATTCAAGGGACATGATGGAGAAAGGCCAAAATGCTTTCCTTAAAGGACTTTCTTCTCTCCGTTGCCCTTCTCTCTCCACCTCTGTATTAGTGCATTTTTCCACTGCTGATAAAGACATATCTGAGACTGGGTAATCTTAAAGAACCAGAGGTTTAAGGGACTCACAGTACCATGAGGCTCGGGAGGTCTCACAATCATGGCGGAAGAGCAAGGGAAGTCTTACATGGCAGCAGGCAAGAGAGAGCTTGTGCAGGGAAACTCCCCTTTATAAAACCATCAGATCTCATAAGACTTATTCACTATCACGAGAACAGCATGGGAAAGACCTGCCCCCATGATTCAATTACTTCCCACTGGGTCCCTTGCATGACACATGGGAATTGTGGGAGCTACAATTCAGGATGAGATTTGGGTGGGGACACAGCAAACCATATCAGCCACTCCACATAAACAGTTAATCTTTAGAAATTAAGCCAAAAGTTATGTAACTTGCTGGATCAGGAGCTGTAAAGCCAGCTAGAACCTTGCAATGTTAAATCATACAGACTACCATGAAACAAATCATTTTTAGGTTTTTATTCATTATTCATGGAGTTGCTTCTGAACCTCTTAACCAAGACAGAAAAAAAAATTAACCTAGGAGGTAAAGTAGGAATTAAAAGAGCCATGTATACAAAGCAGAGGTATGGGATACAGGGAAGAAAGCTGCTTAATTAACTTAACAAAATTAATTTTGATATACCAATAACTCCTTGTGTTTGACTCTTTACATAACTGTCCTCAACATGAAACTGCTCTGTTGATCTGAAAAGAAATCAAGATTGAGGTTGACAGGCATTTTAAATTTATTTTTCATTCTTGACTTTGAAAAGTTGATTACTTGGACAAGCTTTCTCCTGTCACCCTTAAGTTTTCAGAAGCAGTTCTTCAATTAAACTTTATTCATAAAAACCCCAAACCTGTCATTTCTCTTGGATGAATGAAGCTTTACGGTTTTCACTGGGAGAACACAGGGAAAATATTATTTTTTATATATAGTTTATGAAAATTTACTTAGTTTTAAATAAAATGAATACCTACCTGTTATAAACAAGTCAAATGGCATAGAAGGGAAAAGTGAAAATAAAAGTTTCCCTGCCCCCAGTTTCTTCATCTTTTTAATCCTACCCCCTAAATGTACACAATTATTTCTTATGTTCTGTACCTTTATTTTCCATTGTTAAAGTGACAACAGAGACTTCTGCTTCTGATAAAGGAGGAATGCAGCCATACCCTATATAGATTAGTACAGAGGTTTTTCTTTCATACCCAATACTTTTTCTCTGAGTTGCATTTTTCTCCAGATGCTGAGGTACATCCTGTAACATGCAGTGTTTGTCTATAGGTAACATAGTCATCTCTTTTGACTTAGCAACTGGGAATCAATCCCACAGGAATCCTGACATCTTTGCAAAAGATATGTGCAAGACAGTGGGGCATTATCCAAAACACTGAAATTTTGGAAGCAACCTTGAATGTCCTACAATAGGTACAAGGCACATCTTCACTAAGCAGTCATGAAAATGATGAGATAAATTTATATGTGCTGACAGGGAAATATATTTTGATGAAAAACCAAGGAAAAAAAATCTATTAAACGCCAAAAGCAAATTACTGAATGTATTGTATGATTACACACATATACAACACACACATGCAAAATGAACCTATTTTATTATTGTTATTCCCAAACTTTTCTATGCATTTACATACATATGTAACATAAATACCGCATATATTATGAAATGAATACCAGAAGATAAAGGTAGTTAATCTTAGTACTAGGAAGGGTTGTTATATATATATTACACTCTTCTGATGAACCTGAGAGTGGCTTTCTTTTGTCCTCTAAGATTCATGAGGGCAGGGATTTTTATGTCTTTTTATTCACTGCTGATCCTTGCATCTGGAACATGGTGGGCTCTCAATCAAAATGTGTTGAATGAATGAGCAATCTTGTTCCTCCCACATTAGAAAAACTGTATATGTTAATACTTGATAGATTAGGCCCAAAACAAAGAGGAAAAAAATAGGACTCTAGCTATAAAAAGAAATTTTATTTAAAAAATTCTATACAAAGAAATTTAAAGAGGTCAGAATGGTGACGAGATGGAGGGACCAACCTGCAGGGAGAGGAGGAGGAGGAGGAGGAGGGGAAACCTAGGGGAGAGACTGTTCAGAGGAGGAGAGCAGAGAGCTGGTATGCAGCACCCTCCTTTCTGGGTCTAAGCTCCATTTTCCAAAGGGAAGACTTTCTATTAATAGGTTCTGAGTTCACATTCTTACAATACTAAGAATAGCAAAAAAGAGAATGCCATAGTATTAGCAACTAGATTTAGAAAGATGACTTTGACTTTGCAGGACAATTTCAATATTGACAAAAAAACACGAAACAAAAACAAACAGTGGCCCCGAGAACCATGGTTTATATTTATATATGATCATTGATTCCAGCTGTTAGTGATCACTTCCTTCTTCCTCTTTTAATGCCAGATGACTATCTTTCGTTTTTGAGGAAAGGACCTATGGCTGAATTATAATTGAAGAATTTATGACTTAAATTGGTTTAATTAAAATATATAGAAAGGGGCAGATATATATATGAATGAAACTCACCATAATATATTTCTGTTTTCTCTAATGGTTATTGATTTAAAGTTTAATCTATTATTTATGAACAGATTCAACGTTCATCATTCGTGAGGCATGAGGCTTCTCATAAGTCACTCTGTACTATGACTAATTAAACTTATAGAGTAGAAATCCATATTTGTGTGATCTCTTAGGGCTCTTTGGAGTTACTTAGTTAATGATTGCTTAACTTTTTGAATCATAAGTTTTTATTCTCAGTAAACTCAGAGGTACAGGGCCTATGTGACACCAAATAGTCTCACAAAGCCACACAGTATTAAAGAATAAAAAGCTTACACTTTATAAAGACTAGCTACATTTAGTTATATTTAGCTACTAAGATATACAAAAACTAAAGAAACAATATATTAGACATAGATTCTCTATGACTAAATGGAGTATATGTTCCATTTACCTGGGACAGTTGCTACCGACTCCCATTGTCCTGGCACAGTTCTTAAAAGAGCCCCCTTCGGAGTCTGTCCAAGTTTGAAAATAAGTTATATGGTTACCCTGTACTAAGGAAAGAAAATGGTTGGCCTTAGGCCAAGTTTCTGTCTTTTCTTCGTGTTAGTCAATTTCCATTTCATATCAAATTCTCAGAAGCCAGAATTCCAGGAGAATGATTGAAAGGATATCTGAACCTCCCTTAGGATATTGAGGAACACACACTAATTTGGACTACAACAAGGTCCCAGCTGTGATACGGCAAAAACTCTCAGAACTCTTTGAGGTTGCACTTCTGTAGAAGAGACAGTTGCTTGCTGTTTGGGTTTCATATTGAAATAAGACAGTATGTGCTTCTCTCTCTGCCTCCCTTAAGCTCCCCTCATTAGGACAAACAGCATTATAACAAGGAAGCTGCTGTTTTGCTCCCTACAAATCTTAATGGATAAACTAAAATTCCAGTGCAGTGTAATAATTTGAGCTTTTTCTTGAGATAGCTTTTGATGTCCACAACAAAATTGACCCAATACTTTGATAAATGTAGAGTCTAAAAAACTTCAGTCCTATGTAGCTTTCAGCTTATCCCTCTAGTATTTCTTGTTCTATCACTGAATGAGCTCACTTATCTGATATTCTTAAGAACCTCTTGACATTCCCAGGCTTTTCTTCTATTTTGTAATCATTTTCTAGTTCCAATTTGTTATTTTTATGTTATTAATTAAAACACTTCAATTAAGTCAGGGGCATCTATTTAAAGGCAAGAAGGAAGTTAACTGAATTGGAATGCACCATAAATAATAGCTTTGCATTTTTAAAGAGTGGTGGTAGTAGTGATGGATACTTTTTTGGATTTTTACATTTTACTTTGTCTGCTTAAGCTATGGCTATTATCATGGCTCTCTGATACAGTGTGCTGGGAAGCAATCTCTTCCTTTTCACAAGCATCAGTAAGCAGCTATTTTGTACAAATATTTAGACATTCTTTGAGTTAAAATGGCATTGTTGTATTAATACCCTTGTAGAATGTTAATCTTGGTATTTTAGATTTCAATCATAATTTGTTAAAAAAAATTAACTCCTACTTTATTTCCCTTTACAAATATGTTCTGCATTTATTTGATTACAAGTGTCTTCATGTATAATTCTGACTTCAAATGGACCAAATTCTCCCCTGCCCACATTCTTCCTGGCTATTGGAAGCATCTTGCCTCTGCAGCCTTTGTATGGTCATGTTTGATAATCTCACCTCTACAGCGAGCCTGGCTGCTGGCCATCTGTGCCTGAGCTTCCCCTTCTGTGTGGCCCTTCTGTTCTCTTCCCTCCACTGATCCTAAACTCATAGGTGAATATGACAGTTTGATATCCCTCCTCAAAGCTGTAATAACAAGGTGCCCAAATATGACCCAGCTTGAATAACAACACTTTGTTTTAATGTGAGGTCTTCTCAGAAGAGCTTCCCATACATCCTTGTACTGGTTAATTACCCCACAGAAGCCAGTCTAATAGGGAAGGAGAGATGGTGACAGCTTAGCAACAACGGTCATAGCCCTGCCCTTAGGGGAGCTGTTGTGTAGAAATGTCCTCTCAGTCCAGATCTTGAGGCACAATTCCCAGGCTTCTGTCTTCATTTTGGTATTGCTGATTTCTTTTGTCTTTAATTTGAAACTGGAACCTTAAGCCCTGGCTATATTCTCAAATTCTACACTGGACTGACAATAAGTCTACAAACTGCCCCCAGCCATCTCCTCAGACTCAAAACCTTACTGCCTTATCCACACTGGCCTGCTATTACAGACCTCTGATTTCCATTTATATTCAAGACTCACACCAATGAAAAGAATGCTTTCTGTTTCTAGAATCTTCCATCTGCTTCAATCTCTAGCATAATCTTCTCAAGCCATTTATGACTCCTGAAGCTCTTAAACTTGCTCTTTTTGTGCAGACTTCTCCCATGGCAGCCTCCAGTATTATCCTAAAATATGGATATGGGAAAAAAGAAAAATTAGAAAATGCCTAATTCTCATTATTCTTTTCTCTGCCTACTAATCTCTGGTGGCTCCCTCAAATGATCAGCAAATGGATTGCTTTGGTAGACAAGATTCCTTAGAATCTTATTCCAAACAAACTTTTCAATAGCATTTGATAACTATCCCAATGTGTCCATGCATCCTAAGTCCTAATTAAGCAAGACAACTAAAATGACTCCCCCAACTTAGCAGGGGTTTCAATATCTTCATGCTATTACTTGTCTCTTTCATTGGTCTGGAAATGCTTTCTTCTCATGTTTTATCTTGCAAACTCTATTCACTCTCTACAGGCCCACTGAATTATCATCTTTTTTAGAAAGCCTTCCCCAGTCCATCTAGAAGGTAAAAACTGCTTACTTGTTACTTACTACAGTGCATTAATTATTAGTGTTCTTATGATTTCTCAAGCCTTTGTTACTGGAGAGGAAATATCATGACTACAAGAGGCAACTCTATCTGTTGAAATTAAAAGTTGGCTGGGGATAAATAAAAGTATGGTCAGACTGATTATAAGGATCTAAAATGTGCAAACAGCTCCTCTTAAATCTTTTATTTTGCTTTCATTGCTTTTGTGAATTTGTTAGGAAGATAATCTTCGTTTTCCTAATTTAAGTTTCCACATAAAAGTATTCCTTAAAAATAAAGAGCCTTTTGACTGCTGTAGACCTAACTATTAGCTTAGCTTCTATACCCCCTAACCAGGTACTTAGGAAAGTTCCAGGTTACTCAGTAAAGATGATTCCCCCTTTATCAGTCCTAATTGAGTTTATTCAATTTCTTTAATATATTCATTAGCCGGCCAGGCAAGGTGGCTCACGCCTGTAATCCCAGCATTTTGGGAGGTCAAGGTGGGTAGATCACTTGAGCTCAGGAGTTTGAGACCAGCCTGGTCAACATAGTGAAACCCTGTATCTACAAAACAAAACAAAACAAAACACCAACAAACAAAAATTAGCCGGGTGTGGTGGCATACACCTATAATCCCAGCTACTTGGGAGGCAGAGGCATGAGAATCGCTTGAACATGAAAGGCGGAGGTTGTAGTGTGCCAAGATTGTCCCACTGCACTCCAGCCTGAGTGACAGAGCGAGACTCTGACTCAAAAATATACAAATGTATGTGTGTGTACATATATATATATATATTTATATATATATGTATTTATATATATACTCACATTTAGAGCTACCCCTAAAGAATAATAACTCGTGTTCTAAATTTAGCACACTTACACACCTGGGGAGAGCATAAACTAATCAATGGGTTGTCAATGTGAGAACTGGTGTTACTGATTAAAGGGTTATTGAGAACTTTCTAGAATTAAAAAAAAAAAAAAACATGAGTTCTGAGATTTAAAGTGTTCAAAAAGTAAAATGTTTGGTCAAGAGAAATAAATTCACATTTGGTTACATTGCAAGGAAACTAAATACACTGCATCAAAGATAAATATATATACATATATATGTATATATATTCATTAGTCTCAAGTCAGAATAATCCTGAGTTCAAGAGACATAGACACACTGTTAGTAAAAAATGAAGAGGTAATCTGCTTTTAAGGAGGGAGTTATCCATGCCCCTTGGGAAGCACTTGGAAAACACTTTGCAGTTGTTCTACCTAAATTCCATCGTGAGAGTGGTCACTTCTCGACTGTACAATTCACTCTGCCAGATTTAACACCAGCAAATGACTAACTGGAAGTCTGATCGTTAAGTTAGACACATGGCTTCCAAGGAACTATGACGGGAAGTCTCCATGTAAACATGAGAGGCAACCATGTGCCTTTTCCATGTAAAATTGGATTTCATTTCTTAGGGAATGAAAATCACAACGGTAATTACTACTCACATCTTCCACCACACCTCCCAACATCACCCTGTTGTTTTCTTCAGAGGCATGGCATTTTCAAATGAACAGTTTTCTACCTATAACAACGTAATCTTGATTTCTCTCCATGCCCTCAACATTGTTTAATTTATATATTTAATCTGCTCCTTTTTTTTTCCTGAGTTCAGATCTTGAGTCTGACATAAGTTCATAATATGATTAATTGTACCCCAGAATACTATGACTTCATTCTAGGAATAACAAAACATAAGTTGCAAAATCTGAAAAGCTTGTTTTGTATGCCATCATCTTAATTAGGTACAAAAATTTGTATGTAATTTGAAACATATTATTGGGAGGGAGAGATTTAAAAATCAGACATTGTATTGCTTAACTATTGTTATATAAAAATAGCTCCAAAACTCAGTGACTTAACACAACAAGAAATTATACTTTTTCATAATTCTGAGTGTTGCCTTGATTCTGCTGATATTTTCTGTGGCTGCGTTCTGCTGGAGGGTTGGCTGGGATTACGTCAGGAAGGCTAGACCATGAGTCCTTGTAAGATAGTGATCTCAGGGTTTCAACAGGGCCATCCCCAGTGCACAAGCTTATATTCAGCCTCTGCTTATGTCACATTTGCTGATATCCTATTGGACAAAGCAAATCACATGACCAAGCCTAGAGTCAGTGTGGAAAGGACTACATAAGAGCTTGGATACTGAGAGGCATTGTGTATCAGGACCGTTATTGTAACAACCTACACAAATAAGACAGCATGAGAGCATTTTTTAGTTTAGTTTTTTTGTTTTGTCTTGTTTAAAGACAGGGTCCTGCTCTGTCACCCAGGCTGAAGTACAGTGGAATGGCCAGAGGCTCACTACAGCTTGAAACTCCTGGGCTCAAGCAATCCTCCTGCCTCTGCCTCATGAGTAGCTGGGGCTACAGGCATGTGCTACCATTTGCCACCAAAATTAACTATTGGCTAATTTTTTAAAAAACTTCTAATAGAGATAGGATCTTGCTATTTTGCACAGGCTGGTCTTGAACTCCTGGCTTCCAGCGATCTTCCTGCTTTGGCCTCACAAAGTGCTAGTATTACAAGCATGAGCCACCATGTGAGGCCAAGAGCATATTTTATTCTTACATTTGGAGATACCCCTAAAGAATAATAACTTGTGTTCTAAATTTAGCACACTTACACACCTGGGGAGAGCATAATCAATGGATTGTCAATATGAGAACTAGTATTACTGATTAAAAGGTTATTAATAGAGAGCTTTCTAGGATTAAAAAAAGACATGAGTTCTGAGATTGAAAGTATACAAAAAGCAAAATGAAATGTGTGGTCAATTGAAATAAATTCACATTTAGGTACATTGCAAGGAAACTAAATACAGTGCATCAAGGATAAATATACATTTTTTTTTAAAACAAAGACTAATTATAAATGAAAAACATTCATAAGACAAAACAAATCTTATGGTAACAATAGCTTGTAGAACCAAGTGGAGTGATATCTTCCAGTTACTGGGGTTAAATAACTTTCCATTAGAATTCTGTGCTTAATTAAATTATCATTTCAGAATATGAACAAATCTTTAAAAGTTTAGATGATAAAAGCTTAAGAGTATTTTCTACTTTAACAATTATAGATACAATTCTATATAATAGTTAATAAGAAATGATATGGAATTGGGATTGTATGAATAGTCAAAGCATATTATGCATTTTTAAGTATAGATAAATATTTTGAATAACTTTACTTTGTTAGAAAAAAATGTATATTTAAGTAAGTAAAATAAAATGTAGTAGGTGTTCACTAAATGAAAAGAAATATAATCTATACTTCCAAATCAGCAAAGAAAATAAAGGCGAATTTTGACAGTGGTAGCCTTTATTTCCTTTGCTGATTTGGAAGGGCAAGAGGGTGTTGATGAGGTGCTGAGAGGGTGTTGTAGTCAGGATAGTCTAGATTGTGCTGATAAACAAACAACCCCAAAATATTAGTGGCTTAAAACAATGAAGTCTGCTACCAAAGCCAACTGTTCTCAATGCAATGGCTTGACATTTCACCTCCACATTAACATGTCCTTAAAGACCATAGTAACAAAGGAGGAAAGCTTTGGAGACTCTTCCATTTTAGTATTGGCAATTGTACATGAAAGTTACGTATGTGACATCTACTCATATTTTATTGGCTAAAGCCATTTATCAAGCCAGACCCAAGCCCAAGGAGCAGAGAAATCCAATCCCATCTATACTAGAAGAAAAACAATAATAACTATTGGTGAGTAGCACTAATGTGTATCACAGAGGGAAATGCTTACATAGGGGAGTTATACATGTAATTATTTTTTTCCTTTAAAAATTGAAGCAAAAAACAATGCCATCCCCATAAAGCTACCAATGACTTTCTTCACAGAATTGGAAAAAACTACTTTAAAGTTCATATGGAACCAAAAGAGAGCCCGCATCGCCAAGTCAATCCTAAGCCAAAAGAACAAAGCTGGAGGCATCACGCTACCTGACTTCAAACTATACTACAAGGCTACAGTAACCAAAACAGCATGGTACTGGTACCAAAACAGAGATATAGATCAATGGAACAGAACAGAGCCCTCAGAAATAAAGTCGCATATCTACAACTATCTGATCTTTAACAAACCTGAGAAAAACAAGCAATGGGGAAAGGATTCCCTATTTAATAAATGGTGCTTGGAAAACTGGCTAGTCATATGTAGAAAGCTGAAATTGGATCCCTTCCTTACACCTTATACAAAAATTAATTCAAGACGGATTAAAGACTTAAACGTTAGACCTAAAACCATAAAAACCCTAGAAGAAAACCTAGGCATTACCATTCAGCACATAGGCATGGGCAAGGACTTCATGTCTAAAACACCAAAAGCAATGGCAACAAAAGCCAAAATTGACAAATGGGATCTAATTAAACTAAAGAGCTTCTGCACAGCAAAAGAAACTACCATCAGAGTGAACAGGCAACCTACAAAATGGGAGAAAATTTTCACAACCTACTCATCTGACAAAGGGCTAATATCCAGAGTCTACAATGAACTCAAACAAGTTTACAAGAAAAAAACAAACAACCACATCAAAAAGTGGGCAAAGGACATGAACAGACACTTCTCAAAAGAAGACATTTATGCAGCCAAAAAACACATGAAAAAATGCTCACCATCACTGGCCATCAGAGAAATGCAAGTCAAAACCACAATGAGATACCATCTCACACCAGTTAGAATGGCAATCATTAAAAAGTCAGCAAACAACAGGTGCTGGAGAGGATGTGGAGAAATAGAAACACTTTTACACTATTGGTGGGACTCTAAACTAGTTCCACCATTGCGGAAGTCAGTGTGGCGATTCCTCAGGGATCTAGAACTAGAAATTCCATTTGACCCAGCCATCCCATTACTGGGTATATACCCAAAGGACTATAAATCATGCTGCCATAAAGACACATGCAGACGTATGTTTATTGTGGCAGTATTCACAATAGCAAAGACTTGGAACCAACCCAAATGTCCAACAATGGTAGACTGGATTAAGAAAATGTGGCACATATACACCATGGAATACTATGCAGCCATAAAAAATGATGAGTTCATGTCCTTTGTAGGGACATGGATGAAATTGGAAATCATCATTCTCAGTAAACTATCGCAAGAACAAAAAACCAAACACTGCATATTCTCACTCATAGGTGGGAATTGAACAATGAGAACACATGGACACAGGAAGGGGAACATCACACTCTGGGGACTGTTGTGGAGTGGGGGGAGCAGGGAGGGATAGCTTTAGGAGATATACCTAATGCTAAATGACGAGTTAATGGGTGCAGCACACCAGCATGGCACATGTATATATATGTAACTAACCTGCACATTGTGCACATGTACCCTAAAACTTAAAGTATAATAATAATAAAATAAAATAAAATAATAAATAAAAAAATTTAAAAAAAAAACATAACATTAAAAAAAATTCTTAAAAGTTAGCATTTGTTGAAATATGACCAACACATGAATGATTGTTATATTATTTGTGGCACATCTCTATATTATTTTATATAATATTAAAAATCAAATGTCCTTAGTTATGACAATAAGAATTTTATATTTTAGCTTTATTACTTATAATTCTATGTTTGCAGCCGTACATAAGCAATGCTGTCCTAATAATTAAGCTCATAGTGTTGACTAATCAGCACTTTGCCTTAGTCTTTTACCTATTCCTTGCTGATGGAGCACATCAAAGCATTTGGCTATATAAGTGTTGTTCTTACCTTAGCAATTCTATAAGAGATATTTAATTTTAAAGCGTCTTTCCAAAAATACAAGAGAAAATAAAACAAACAAGAATCCCTTATAAATCCAGGTAATTATGTAATTATTTGTATAACACTGAAAAAACATTTGTTTTAGAGTTAGATAATACTGAATTTGAATCCCTAGTTAAGTAGCTGCATGATTAGGGCAAATTTTTCTAACCTTTCTTAAGTTTCAATGTCCTCTACTGTAAAAATAGTGACTATAATGCTTATTTCTAATAATGTTATGGGGATCAAATGGCATGATGTAATTAAAAGCACCTGACACATAGTAAATGTTTAATTATTTGGTAATTCAATCAGATGCAATTATTATTTTAAATAAATCCTAGAAGTAAGAAATGAAATAAAACTATTCTAGATTAGCCTTTTGAAAAAAAATGCCATCAGTGACGGTAATAACAAAGGAGTGAATCCCCACACCTTCTATAGCCACTTACTCCTGCTGCTGAACCTGCTTCCCAAAAGATATAGGTAAAAAGAATAGCACAGCAAAATGCAACTATTATCAGTAATGACCTCTGCTCCGAATCCTTATCTGATTAATCTTTATCATGATGAAATAGATTGAAATATTTGTGAGTTTTGAGAGCTAATTTTGCTCTTTCCCCCTGAGATTTATAACAAAATCATTTTCTTTATTGTGAATCTGGTGCAAAATCTATTGTCTTTCCCAAAAGTCGGTAGTTAAGACTTAAAAAATATATATTTTCTTGATATCTTTGGTTTCAGTAGTTTGACTATAATGTTGCTAGGTTTTCATTCTATTTATCTTGTATGGGTTTTGCTAAGGTTCTTCAGTATGTGATTTGATAGTTTTCATCAAATTTATGAACTTTTCAACTATTAATTCTTCAAATTTGTTTTCTGCCCCACTCTGTCATCTCCCTCCAATGACAGATGCCTAATAGTGTTCCACAGGTCATGGAGGCTTGGTGAATTTATTAAATGTTTTTTCTCAGAGTTCTTTAGATTGAATAATTCTACAGATATGTTTTCAAGTTCAATGACAATTTTCTACCTTCTCCAATCTGCTGTTAAGTCCACCCAGGGAACTTTTAATTGTGCTTTTTAATTCTAGAATTCTCATCTGTTTCTTTTTTATAGGTCTCAATTTTGTGCTTAGATACCCTATCTGTACACTCATTAAGATTATCTTTACATTTAAGTCTTTAAACATTATCTACAATAGTTTTTAAACATTATCTATAATAGTTTTTTAATATTCTTATATGTGTTTAGAATGATATCTAACTCATCTTTGTTTTAATCAAATTTATTTTTTCTTGTTTATTTGTCGCATTTTCTTGTTTCTTTTTAAGTCAAGTAACTGTTTATAATATGGTGGACATATAATTATAACTTGTGGGAGGCTGGATTATGTTGTATTTCTTTAAAGGGGAATGCCTTTTATTCTGACAGGTAATTAAATTACTAGAAGGACTTTTTGCTCTCCTTAAGTTTGGTCTTACTCTTTATAATCATAGGTCTATTTTGGTTTGATCCTTAGTCTTAGAATGAGACCCTTACCACAACATGTGGTCCTTACTCAAAAGGTATGGCTTTTCTAAGATCTCAATTAAATTCTCAAGGCAATAAGGACTCTATTCTGGCTGAATTGGAGCTTCAGTGTTTCCCAGCACAAAGCAACCTCTGGTATCTCCATTCCTCTCTCAGCCCCTTAGCAGCTACTCTACTAGGTCTTACACACACAGCCCAGCCCTTGGTTAAGGATCCAGAGTGAACCTCCATGCATATTTCTATCCTCTCCACCTCCCATTTCACACACACAAGGCTCAGTTCTCTTCTGGTTTCCTGCTCTGCAAATTTAGCTGTGTCAAGAGCCCAGAACTCTGATCTCTGCCTCCTCAATTTAGTTAGACTGCCATTCTACTTGGGCTCTGTCTTTTGTGCCATCATAAGAAAAGTATCCCCAGGCCAAAAGGTAGGGTGAATGTCAGAGCTCACCTCATGTGCTTTCCTTCTGTTAATTATCAGAATCCTGTGCTGCTTGAAATGCATGAGATCAGTTGCCTATATATTGTCCAGTTTTATAGTTGCTTATGGTAGGAAAGCAAATATAGTAACAGGTACTTCATTATGGCCAGTAGAAGTCTTTTGAGTCCTTTTCCTATTCCACTGCTAGCATGAGACAGAAGATAGTCCATAGCTTGTTTTTCTTCAGGTCCATATTTTCTTTGCATGGGCTTCATTCTAACCTTGTTTTGCCTTTCTGAGTTTAGCACTCTCTGGAGGAGGTAAAAGAAAGTAAAATACAATAAACTCTCTGAGTCCTAGTATTTTGTGACTGAATCTCTTAACCTGTTAGAGAAACATGAACATTTTATGGGACAAAATATGCTACATTTTTTTCTTCAGCTATAACCTCTTGATATTTTGTGCAGTGGATTTTTTAATGGATAATTAAGGTTGGCTACTTTGTAATCAAAGTACCCAAGTAAACAAGTACCCAAAGTACCCAAAGTAACCAAGTCATATTTACATAGATATTTGTTATATGGAAAGCCCCTTAGTCACTTTAGGCTGCCATACGAAATACCATAGACTGGGTGGCTTAAATAAGAGAAATTAATTTTCTCACAGTTGTAGAGACTAGATAGTCCAAGATCAAGGTCTGGCAGAATGAGAGCTGTTTCTCACCTATTTCAGGTGAGAGCTGTTTCTATCTTGTAAATGGTGGACTTCTCCCTGTGTCCCCACATGCAAGAGAGAGAAAGAAAGAGAGAGAGAATGCAAGCACCCAAGCATAAGCTCCCAGTGTCCCTTCTTACAAGGGCACGAATCCCATTGTGGGGGCCCCATCATCATGAGTTTATTTAAACCTAATTATTTCTCAAAAGCCCCACCTCCAAATGCCATCACACTGAGGGGGTGGGGCTTCAACATATGGATTTGGGAAGTACACAGTTCACCCCATATCAAGTCTTCACACTGGCACATCATGAAAGTTTTCTTCCATGATATATAACATAAGAGAGAAAAGGGTTTATATGAAGATCTCTCCTGTGATAAAGGTATGTTTGTACTTTTTCCAGTTTCATTAGTTTCATGTCTAAAAATAACTGCTCCTTAAATAATATTCACCTACAATGGGAAAAATTAGTCTCAAACATGAAAAAAAAATCATTTTTAAAAGGCTTGAGGGAAATGTGGCAAGAATCCCAAGAGAAAAAAATATTCTACAGAAATGTCTACAAAGACTAGGCATACATTTTTGAGGTCTTGTATCCTGCGGGTATTTGTAGAAGAGGAAAGTTTCTCTAACCTCCTTAGTCAGGCATTTATAGAGCATCTCAATCCCTGCATTTAGATGCTGATGAGACCCACCTGCTAGCAGCAGGCGCTTCAACAGGATGGCCAGAAATCCCAAGAAAATAATCAAGATGGAAAAAAAATAAGCCATCCTCAGCTTCTGAATAAGAAACTGGCTCACAGTCACACACAAAGCCATAGACTAAATAGAAATTTCCCATCCTAAAAATGAAATGTGTGCAGAATTCTTGGTGAGCGATATTCAATACTGCATCCACATTATATTATCACTATTTGCAAAACTACTCTGAGTTTTTTTTTGTTTGTTTGTTTTGTTTTTGCAGAAACATGCTTCCTTCTTTGTGATATTGCCGCTGGGTGAAGGGGAAGAATCTCCAGAGAGGCAATGTGACACCTGACACCAAAACTGTACACGACGTTAATACTAGAAAAACTATCTTCTTAGTTCAGTAATAAGACACTCGTTTCACAAAAAGAATCAGGAGTTTTCTGACTCAATTTTTACTTTAGTAGGAGAAATCTTAGAACACTCTTATCAGAGTGAGCTCTAAGATGTAAGAAAAACCTAGATGTTTGGAGAAAATTTAGTTACTTTGTGTGTGCTTCTGTGTGTTTCTTTACTTTGGGTTTCTGTGTGGATAGAAAAGAGGAATAGACAGTATTCTTCATTTATAAATTGAACCTACTCATTCTTATTTCTAGTGGTGATTATCTATATTTATACTCTCAAGTTCTGTTGTAAATAAGGGCAAAAAAGAGGGCTGGGTAAACTCAAGGCCCACAAACAAAACTATGCACTAGCAATTGGCCCGGGCAGTAATAATTGAATCCAAAAATGTAGGATAAGTTTTGAGTATATGTCTATATAAGTCATTATTGTGTTAAATTAAAATATTGCAAGGTAGAGTGTCTTTTTATCATTGTGCCATTTAGTAGCAATGTGTGCATCTAGACTCTGACTGAAGTTCTGAGTGACCAAGGATAAATAATTTATCCCTCTCTGCTCCATTTCTTTAGCTGTAAAATGAGAAGGAGAATGACAGAAACATGAAAAGAAATTGCAGAATGTGGAGTCGGGACAATTGAGCTGACATTCAAAACAACCTCACTCTTGAGGTAGAACACCTTCTGTGTAAGTGCAACTGAACATAACGAACAATTTCTGTGGCATCAGCCCTGCACTAAAGCTGATATTAGGGGCAATTCTGGAGAAGAGATGTTCAAAGCTCTATTCCAGAAAGCATACCATATTTATTTTCTTCATGAGATAAATCTTTTCTTATATCACACTGACAATTATCAGAGTAATTTGTATTACATATTATTACATTTTTACTTTAATATTTCACTTTATTCATTTTAATATCAATTGGCTGCTGCTGCTTTCATGACAAATAATGTTTAAATGGGAGGATGGTACTTGTGTGTGTGCGTGTTTTATTTTATATTATATGCTATCATATGTTTAATTGAGATTTAATTCACATACCATAAAACTCACTCATTTAAAGTGTACAATTCAATGGCTTTTAGTATAGTCACAGAGTTGTACAGCCATCAACACAACCAAGTATAAAACATTTTTCCCTGTGATTTGAATTACATGCGCCTTTTACATAGACAATGCCTGATCTTCAATTGAAGGGCTCTATAAGAGAACCATAGAATTTCAGAGCTAGAAAGGATGTGTAGGCTATGTATTCCAGTAATATTGCTTACATAAATTTCACAGCCAGGAAATGGCAGATTCCTGGCTCCCGGTCCTTAGCCTAGCACTCCTTCTTTCACCAAAGATAATAGTCTTTCACATGAATCACTGGTGTTTGCCAGTTAATGACAGCCTATTTTGTTCTGAGCTCCCTTCATAAAGAACATAGCATAGTTTGTCTTCCAAGATTTGTCATTAAAATGAAAGAAAGCCTAACCAAACAAAACTTGATATGCTTAGCATATGATCAGCAGAATGATAAAGTTATATACGAAGTGTTTTTACAGTACAATGAAATATATCACTTCTATTTCATGTATTAGAGCCTAGTGGTCAGAAGCATATATTCTGGAGTTATAAATGTCTGTGGCTCTGCCACTTATTAGTTGTATGATCTTTTTGAGCCTTAACTTTCACATTTAAAGTGGAAATAATAATAATAATAGTACTCCCCTTACAAGGTTAATAAGATCAAGTGAGATAATCAGTATGCATACTGAGGTCAGTGCCTGGCTACTAGTGCAACACATGTGCCATTAGTATACTTTCTTTCTTTTTTTTCTTTTTTTAAGAAATGGGGCCTCACTCTGTCACTAAGGCTGATGTGCCTTAGACTCACTGCAGCCTTGAACACGTAGTCTCAAGGTATCCTCCTGCCTCAGCCTCTCAAGCACCTGGAACTACAGGCATACACCATCATGTCTGGCTAGGTTTTTAAATTTTTGTCAGAGATGAAGTCTCACTATGCTGCCCAGGCTGGTCTCGAACTCCTGGGTTCAAGTGATTCTTCCACCTCTGCCTCCCGAAGCACTGGGATTACAGGCATGAGCCATCATGCCTGGGCTTATTATTTTCTGATACGTATATATCTCTTTATATATTTTAACACTGTCAATTAAAACAAACTTCCTCGAGTTAATGTTTAAAGTCACTATAGGATCTTAAATTGTTGCAGCATTTTAAAGTTTACCAAAGCAAATTTACATGTATTATTTCATTTGATCCACTCAAAAATCTGCTAAGATAAAACCCAGGATAACCAAAGGGTTGATCTAGCTTTTCCTTTCTCCTTCATTCTGAACATGTTTGCTGTATCAAGTTACCAAAAAGGAGAGTTTAGGAAAACAGACTGAAGACCCAAATTCATAACACAGACTGATATAGATTTAATAATTATTTTCTAATGTAGGTCTGATGGCTTAGCAGTGTGAATTAGAAGAAAAGTTTCTTTCTGTCATGCCCAGGCATGAAGAAGAGATGCAAGCACTAGAAAGCACCATCCTCCATACTGAAGTTCTGGGACACTGAGGGCCACGTGGACATGACTTTGTTTCTACAGGAAAGCCAGAATATCAACTTAAATAAATACTTTTATAGAAAAAAGTGTATTTCTCATATACAATTTCAGCTAGAAAGGCATATTCCAGAGTTTAAAAAATTTGCTATTAAACAGCCAATTCTCATAGTATTAAAAGCCAGTGTAATTGAAAGAGGACATCTCAATGCTAGACAAATAAATAATACAAGGGAAAGACTGTCACCTCCCATCAATCATCTTTTTTTACTACCTAAACTTGTATCTTTGTCTATTTTACACGGCACCAGCACCACCCTCTCTTTAATTTGAATGGCTATTTTTATCCCTAAAAATGCCCGGTTACTTTATTCTTCCTGGGGCTGTCCCAAGCCTGGGTACTTGCACCACCAAGACACCGTGGCTTATCTGTGGCTGCTGCATAGCTACAGGGGCTGCAGAATTGGGAGGTCTAGGGACTGCCAAAGGATTGGACACATTGCAGCACCACCACGTGACATGCTTTCCATTTGTAATTCTGTTACTGATTTGCGTTTCCCAATGAAAGGCATCCTTGCACTCAGAGACAGGAAGCTATAAGAAGTGATTTCAATTCTGTTATAATTGGCCAGGTTATGGGGCAAGGTATTTTAGTTTCTGTCTTGTTCTCTTCCTTTGCTAAAGAGGAGCTTGGACTGAGGATTTTTTAGTTTCCTACCCTGGTCATGCATTCTATGATTTTGTGTAGTTTATCGTTAGTTATCCAGTAACTTACAATGTTGTCTTGTGTTTGGAGTTTCATGGTTGTCTTGTTGGTTTCTTTTTGTTTGGTTTTGGTACTTCTGTCCTCACAATCCTAAGGAACACAGTATTAGGCAGAAGCTTCCCTCATGTCTTTAAACAAGCAGGCCAGTCTGGGTGCGCTTACAAAAGGCACAGACCCTATTGCACAGCAATCATGTTTTCTAAGGTCAGAGTGAAAGCTAGAAGACAATTGGCTGGGAGATGTTGCCTGGGAAAATTCGCAGAGTCCTCTCACATACTTTTACATTATCCTCCAAAGTGCCTCAAGTTCTATTTATTCTTACAGCACTGAAATAACCCCAGCATACCTCTGAAACAGTGCAAGAAAGAGTCTCTTTTTGACTTCGCCATGTATGGTTTCAATCTGACAGTTTCCATTTTCATATCACATGCTGTTCCTGCATTGGGTTCTCACAGGCCTGACATATAGCCATGTCTCCCCCAAAAGGGTAAGGGATGCTTGCTGGGAAGAGGCACATAGAAATTCCATCCAATTACTTGAGGGTTTTATTCTTAACATAGCACTGAATAGTTTAATATCTCTTCTTTCCTGTTATAAATAGGTTCTGATGCCTATCACTGTAGCTCACTGAGAAAGAATGCAAACAGTCCCAGGAATGAAATACTCAGGAAGGCTGTTCTGCTTGGTAGGAGGTATTTTATTTTAAATGACAACATTTTCCTCTCAGACACAGAGAAAGCCTTACATTTTTGACCTGTGAGTTTCTCCTCTTTAGGAATGACATGATGTTTCATATGAGAAAAAGGCAAAAGAAACAAAGAAGGAGGAAGTGACATCAGTAATAATAACGTGCTAAAATAATATCTTTCTTTCCTCAGCTTTTTTTTTTTTCAAGTTGGAGTCTTGCTCTGTCACCCAGGCTAGAGTCCAGTGGCACGATCTCGGCTCACTGCAACCTCTGCCTCCCGGGTTCAAGCGATTCTCCTGCCTCAGCCTCCTGAGTAGCTGGTATTACAGGTTCCTGCCACCACACCCAGCTAATTTTTGTATTTTTAGTAGAGACAGGGTTTCACTATGTTGGCCAGGCTGGTCTCGAACTCCTGACCTCGTGATTTGCCCTTCTCAGCCACCCAAAGTGTTGGGATTATAGGCGTGAGCCACCGCACCCGGCCTCCTCAGCTGGTCTTCAAAGGAGCATTCGTTACTGTGACCAAATCTGTGTGTTCATGCTGCATTCTCCCGGAGCAAATATCATCCATGTGAAGGTCTGTTCAGAAGGACACCTAGAAAGGGCCAACAACATGAAGCAAGTGGAAGCACATTATAAAAGGCATGAATTTGAATCCATAGCATTGATAAAAAATCTCAGGAAGAGGGTTGCGCCGAGAGGCTCATGCCTGTAATCCTGAAACTTTGGGAGGCCAAGGTGGGTGGATCACCTGAGGTCAGGAGTTCAAGACCAGCCTAGCCAACATGGTGAAACCCTGTCTCTACTAAAAATACAAAAATTAGCCGGGCGTGCTGGCTCATGCCTGTAGTCTCAGCTACTCGGGTGTCTGAGGCAGGAGAATCGCTTGAACCTGGGAGGCAGAGGTTGCAGTGAGCTGAGATTGTGCCACTGCACTCCAGCCTAGGCAACAGAGTGAGAATCGGTCTCAAAAAAAAATCATCACAGGAACATAGTTTCAGAAGATAGACTTGTTCTTTTTCTCCTATACAAGGAAATGTAGATGTGAGAAATGATCTGTATGTATTATTACCTAAACAGATTTTTTTGTTGAATGGATACCAACCAATGCAGCATGTAAGAAACAAATACATGAAGACAGCTACAATTATAAAATTTCCTGGTTTAATTATCGTAAGTTATCAGATATTTGTAGAGGGGATAATGAGGTTTTGATTTCTGAGTGTAGAAATATTTCTCATTCCTGCTACAAGATAAGGAGAAGGCCCCTGATAAAATTTTATGTCTCTTGATTGTAGTAACAAAATATGATTCTAAAGAGTTTCTATGTCCTTTAAAGTCAGATAAAACTTACCTTTCCCCAAGATTGCCATATCTCAAACTCAGCTGCACATGACAGTAATCTCCAGTTTTTGCATGACTGCAATTCTTTTTTTGACCTGAGTCCCTAGTTCTGCCATTAGAAGGTTGTAAGCTGTGTGCATTTCTGAATGTATACCATTTTAGTAATTCTGGATCTTTTGAAGCATGTTAGAATAAAGAAAGTATTCAGAGCTGATGATATATAGAAATATCTAAACACACAAAAATGATGTTAAATGATGTTTGATTTTGAACAGTATGATAAAGAGTTTTGAATTATAGGCTGGCCCATATTTATAGTAAAAATCAGATTTCTAATGATACCCCCCAAATAGCTATGTCTGTAATCTGTAACAAATGACATTTTTCTTGAAATCATAAATAGGAAATTATTTGAACACTTATCCTAAGAGTTTTTCAGTTGGCTCTTGGTCTAAGAAACATAAACCTATCCAAAATCAGGGAAATATAAGTGCAGTAGTAGTATTGGAGTCTTGAAACATTCCAAAAAAGCAACATACTAAGTTTGTTTTGCTAGTTCAATCTGACTGTGTCAATCAAACCCTAATGACTTGCACACACAAAGGTTTTATTTCAGGCACTTGAAATTTTTACATAAAGTTAATAGAGTATCTAAACAAAGTTGTTTTTAAATTGAATCTTCTAAACTGCTTTTACTTTCCTCTTTCCTTTCAATGACAGCATCCATGTTATTAATAATTATCATCCTCACCCAGGTCTAGCAGATACACAAAGTGGCTATTAAAATGCTTATAAAGTTGACTCTGCTCCTATAACAAGCATATACACATGACTATTTTCCCCTAATCTCAATATACTCTTCAAATAATTTCTATTGAAGTGAGCTCATTTCTGTTTCATGGCATTTGGGATGTTTAGCATGACCCTCATCAATCCAGCCCTAAGAGGTCATTTTTCTCCTGGCCAATTAATTACTCAGTAAGGCTGTGCCATCTGCAACCAAAATATCCAAATAAAATAAACATTTTGAGAATTACATACAATGTGGTTAATCATTGTACTCATGATATTGACTCATGTACCTATAAAGTCTAAATCTAAAGAATAGAAATTCTTTATCAAAAGCCATCTTGACCCACGTGTCTTTAAAAAATACAATGGAAATTCGAAGAGCAGAATAATTAGAAAGCAGAAAATGTAAAGGCAGAGTTTCAAAGTGACCCAGATCCATACTGGAGGTCAGTCTACCTTTACAGTTTCCTCATACAAAAAATAGAAAGAGAAGGCAGCCAGGCGCGGTGGCTCATGCCTATAATCCTAGCACTTTGGGAGGCTGAGGTGGGTGGATTACGAGGTCAGGAGATCGAGACCATCCTGGCTAACACGGTGAAACCCCACCTCTACTAAAAATACAAAAAAAATTAGCTGAGCATGGTGACACCCGCCTGTAGTCCCAGCTACTTGGGAGGCTGAGGCAGGAGAATTGCTTGAACTTGGGCGACAGAATGAGACTCTGTCTCAAAAGAAAAAGAAAAATAGAAAGAGACACCTTTAGTCCATTTTCCCTTGTCAAAGTAGACAGAGATCATTTAAAATCTGGAACTCTTTAGGTTTTAAATCAAGAAACCAAATACCTACAACATGGTACCTTATGATAGATGAGAAGTACAGTAAGTCATGTTAGAAGGTGCGGTGTATAAAGCCATGTGGGGATCTGAATAATAGACTGACCTTTCTAATTAATATTAAAGCAGTTCGGCTGCTAAACAAATGGAAATAACTGAAAATAGTCATACTACCAAGTTACAAGCAAAAGCTATTAAAATATGCTTTTCCCCCACATATACAGACATTTCAAATGGATGTAACTGCACAGAGAGGTATGAGCCAGTAAAAAGCAGACAATAATTAGTAAGTTGTCTTATATAAAAATTAGAACAATCTTGAAAGCTTGCACTTTATACTTGGGAAGGATGAGCTTTGATCTTAATTTCAGTTAAAAGCCACTATTACAGGTACTATTTCCTTTTATTTGTTTAAACTTTTAAAAACCAATGTCAGCAATTTCACATTCTCTCTTATACCTGGAAAAGTGCTGGTTGAAACTTACAGGTTATCTTTCAGTCCTTTACTCATTTCACTTTTTATCTCTAAATGAAAAGTTGGGAAAATAGTCTCTCCACTAAGAGTATCTTCAGTATACTCCTTGTTTATCTATTTCATCGTGGCTATATAGTTTCCTGGGTTTCAGACATACCACAATGTAAAAGTTGTGAAAACCCTTTAACATACAGACTGTGCTTTTTGCATGCCGAGAAGGGAAACCATACAAAGAGTGTTTCCAAAAGAAGTGTTGATGTCTCGGGGAAGAATGTGGAGGAAGTTTCCAAACAGGAAGACAAAATGTCCTTTCAGACAACTTAGGATATCATTTGGTAAAGACATAGCATGAAGATATGAAAGGTCATAAGAAGTTTGACAAATATTTTTAATTTTTGGAGAAGACAAAATGAGAAAAAAATGAGTATAAACGGTATCAGTGAAGAGGTCTATAAAACATTAAAAAATAAACCTTTATTATTTTCTCATAAGCAATATTGCTGAGTATCCTTTTATGTGCTTAGCATTTTATTTGGTTTTGCAGGGGACTCAGAGGTTTTGACACAATCACTTCCCTCAAAGAGTTTACATGTGTACATAAAATTAATAAAACAGGGCAAGGAGAGATGAAATAAGGTTGTGACTGTGACACTAATAATATGTGTACTAGGACTCAGCAAAAGAACAAATAGGAAGTCAAGAGTTGTCAGGGAATTAGACATGGCGAAGGAAAGACTTGAGCTGGACCCTGAACGTAAGTAGAAGCTGATTGCAGAAGATTGAGAAAGGGTTGGGGAGGGGTTATACAAAGGGGAAGACTGGAATTTCCAAAGCCCATACAGAACCCAACATGGTGAATAAGAAGAGATTACTGAGGGTACTGGTGTGCATGGAGAAAGGCCACATGTTGGGAAATGAAAGGATATTATGTTGGAAGGGTAGAGTGAAGTTATATATAATCCAAACAGGACTAAAACCCTATGTGATAAGTGATGAAGGGCCACTGTGCTTTCTTTAATACAACTTAGGCCATGAGTAAGAAAAGCATTTTTTTGAAATTTTTACAGGACTCTTAAAATGTTTCAACAACTGGGACTTGTTCAGGAAAATGTTCTAAGTATTTATAACCTAAATCCTAAATTTTTGTAGATAAATGTGATTATTTTTACCTAGGCCTGTATCTTATTCTAGTAGCACAAATTTTGCTGCCTAATTCTGTAGGATACTTTATGGTATTCCATAAAACCTACTGGAGAATTATTCTATGCATACTTCTATAGAGGTTAAAGTTCATCTAAGGCCATACCACCCTGAACGCACCCAGTATCGTCTGATCTTGGAAGAATTTAGTTATATATAGATTCAACATAAATATACTTATTCAGTCTGTCATTCATTAATTAATTCATTCCACATTTACTTAGCACTCTGTCTCCCTCTCTTTCTGCCAAGTATTCTACTTAGTACAGAGGATGTAAAGAAAAAAAATTAGTTCTTGACTTCTATGAGTCTGGTGGGAGATTATAAACAGATAAAAAACTGAGTATAATCTAAGTAAAAGTTCACTGTAGCACCTATTTTTTTTCTTTTTTTTTTTGAGATGGAGTCTCTCTGTCGCCCAGGCTGGAGTACAGTGGCACTATCTCGGCTAACTGCAAACTCTGCCTTCCAGGTTCACGCCATTCTCCTGCCTCAGCCTCCCGAGTAGCTGGGACTACAGGCGCCCGCCACCATGCCCGGCTAATTTTTTTTTTTTTTTGTATTTTTAGTAGAGACAGGGTTTCACCGTAGTCTCGATCTCCTGACCTCGTGATCCGCCCACCTTGGCCTCCCAAAGAGCTGGGATTACAGGCGTGAGCCACCGCGCCCGGCCTGCAGCACCTATTTTAATAAGGAAGAGAGTTTTGTTTTCAGTAGCTTCTTATCAGAGATCAAATACAAAACACATAACATTCCAGGATGTCACAAGAGTCACATTTCTGTAAAAGCTTCTACTCAATGCTGCTTATCATAATGTCACAATGTCAGAATGCACAGATGGCTTGTTTGACCTGGAAGGCTCTGTACAGGTGGTGATGGTGGGCTGAGTGTCTAGAAGGAATGCAGGTGCCCTAGATACCTGGCCCAATCTTGGAAAACAATGATAACAATGGGGTTTGTACCTTTCTGCCCCCAGAAACTCTTGGAAAATACCTGCTGCAGCAACTGTGGGACCACTGTTAGCCTTAGTTCTACCAAAGGAGAGTACCTCTAAACAAGGAAAGAAATTATGCAGTGTCATTCCTTTAGGCCATCTATACCCTCACATAGTCTCATTAAATAGAGTAACTTGTGAAGAGATGGAGTATTTCAAGGGCCTCCCACCCTCAAATTATCTTGCCATGTGGTTACTGAATGGACTCAAATCATTCAATTAGAGATAAAATAAAAGCCTTGAATTATTCCAGTGAACTCAAATTTATTCCTTCAGAGATAAAACCAAAGGCTTGAATGAAGATGCTTGGTTGATATAATGCAGATGACTGAAATTCATCTGCATCAACCTAATGTGGAATCCATCTGCCACACTATAAAGGCTGGCATCGAATTCTCTTCTGGTTATACAAGAGGAGAAGGTTAGAAAGCAATTGGGAATAATGTAGCAAGAAAGGTCAAGAATGTGGAAGGTGAGGGCCATGAAAAGGAATACAAATTCCATCAACTTTATGGTTTGGTTTGGGATGAGTGTGTACCTCTGAGTATGTGTAAGTCAATGCTGTTTATAAGCTGATTGCAGTATGCTGCTGGAGTCCCACCAGTTAAGTAAGAATCATGTCACATGGCAGAAATCAACCCTGTTTGACATGATTATAAATATTTTATTTGCCCTTTTAACAAAGAATGTTATCCCCTCATGATTCCAGAAGAAGAATAGAGTAATATGTAAAGGTGGGACCTCTCAGGAGGACCATTTGGTTTCAAATCCTGGATATTCCTCTTTTGAGCTGTGTGATCTTGAGGACATAACTTGAGCAGTTTGTACTCAGGTTCTCGTCAACAAAGAGGATGAGAATGACACCTAACTCAGAGGGTTGCTGCGATGCTTAAATGCAACAATACAGAGGGGGCTCTTTATGCAATAAAAAGCTCTAAATTCATATTAGTTAATATTGTTTTTGCATAGGACTGAAAACATCCAAAGTCATTTAATCGAGACAACAGTAGGCATATTCTGGCAAAAAGGAAGACTGAGAAACTTAGGATAATTGCACATTTACATTGTGCTCTGCAGGCTATTCTAAAATATTTGGCACTTTTACAAGAGCCATGGAATATGATATCATCAGCATCTAACCCGGGGAATCTGCAGAATGGGCCGGCACCACAGGAACTGTTTTTGTGAACTACCAGAAAGAGCTTCTTAAATATTTCTAACAAGGTGACCGAATAGAAAATGGCACACGTAGGGTCTTGGGTTGAGGTATAGCCCAAGGGGATCTGTGGCAGGTGGAAATTTCTTTTACGTCTCCTTTGTGCACATTTTGTTTTCCATATCAAAATATATTGGCTTAAATATATAGAGTGTTCACAAAAAATTCTAATTCTAACAAGATGAATTCTCCAGGAAGTTCCACGTTGTTCATCCGGGAGTATCAACTACTAGGGCAACCTAGCATGAATTCTTGAGGATTCAGTGACTTCAATTTGAGAAGCACAAAAACAGGAGATACATTACGTGTGTGACAAGTTAGTGGGTGCAGCGCACCAGCATGGTACATGTATACATATGTAACTAAGCTGCACATTGTGCACATGTACCCTAAAACTTAAAGCATAATAATAATAAATTTAAAACAAAAAACAGGAGATACAAACAGAATTTTATTTAACCTACTGCCACTGAAATAGGTCATACAAATTATTTAACACATAGTTGTGATTTAAGACAAAAACAGGAAAGATAAACCTTGAATATTCTGGTTCTCTGATAATTTCCATGCTTATCAACAATTTGAAAATAATGTGATTGAGTATTTTCATCACTCAAAAAAATTTAATTTTTAATGAAAATTAAAAAATTTCATTTTTTAAATTTATTCAGAGGGTATATGTGATTCTCAATGTAAAGTCATCATATTGATCCTCAATTAATGCCTCAGGTTGTCCAAGTTACTCTTATTGAAGTTGTCACATTTTTGTACAAAGAACATCTTACAGTATGTATTTTTTAATATGTAGTAATTTATTTCTTCTTTAATGTTCTTTACTTGATCATTTTTGGCCATGGAAAAGACAGGAAGATATAGGAAATACCTAAAAGAAATAAACAAATCCAGTTAAGGTTTGACATTCTTCTATAAAACAGAAAAAAAAGTCCAGTGGGTAGCCAATAATAGCATAAAACTCTGGCTTGCCATATTCAAACAGAAAAAATGCTAATTAACAAAATACTGATTTTAATAATGTATGCATTCATCCAGTTCTTTTAATGAACCTTCATCACACTTCTCAATGAAAAACTTTAAATATCTGTTTCAATTCGTTAGATGCTTTCCAATTCCTTATAGACTTAGGTAGGGTGTGCAGTATCTCTTTTGGGGCACATAAAAGTTCTTCGATGATTATTACCAGTCATTCTAAAATACCAAAATGGACTAGTTTAATTATGTGGAAGTTAATTTATAGATATCATATTGCAGTGACAGGAATAAAAAATAATCTCTCTCCATAGAAACCAAATACAACAAGGAAATTCTAATTGAATCACATGTGTTACATGGACATGAGCCATTTCACACCACTTCCACTACTATCACTTCTGCTATATCAGTAGTCATGACCACCATCAACTCTTGCCTAGATTATTGCAGCAATCTCTTCCTTGGCCTCCACTGATCAACTACCGTCCATTCTCAGCATAGCTGCCAGATCACTTCTTATAACAATGTCATGTCTCCTTAAAAAAAAATTCTTGTCCGGGCGCAGTGGCTCAGGCCTGTAATCCCAGCACTTTGGGAGGCTGAGGTGGGTGGATATCTTGAGGTCAGGAGTTCAAGACCAGCCTTGCCAAAGTGCTGAAACTCCGTCTCTACTAAAAATACAAAATAGCCAAGTGTGGTGGCGCACGCCTGTAATCCCAGCTACTTGGGAGGACGAGGCAGGAGAATCACTCGAACCCAGGAGGCAGAGGTTGCAGTGAGCTGAGATCGCACCACTGCACTCTAGCCTGGGCGACAGAGCAAGACTCTGTCAAAAAAAAAAATTCTTAATGCTTATTAGAATTCTAAAATACACTGTTCAGCAATCTATATTTATATAATATGGATAACCAAATGGTGACATATAAAAATAAAATGAAAAATGTTTTACTTAAAGGAGATATAAGAATAAATTTTCATTGCTCCATGTTGTTGAAGCTGAGGTTATACAAATATAAATTATAGGGTTTACTACTTTTTTAAACTATTATTTTAAGTACAGGGGTACATGTGCAGGTTTGTCTTTTAACAATATCTGTCGTATTTAAATACTACCCTTGTGCCTCATTCAAAGGAGCCTAATTTTCACAACAGCCCCCAATGCTCCCTACCTTGTCTGTATTCCTGTTCCCATCCTGACCTCATCTTACTGCTCTTGCCCTTGCTAATCCACTGGGACCACTAACTGCACTCCTGCCATGAGCACACTAGCTGCATTGCTGCTTCTGGTTACACATGCTGCTCCTTCTTCCTAGAAAACACTTCCCCCACAAACTTATTCAACTAAAGTACCTGCTGTAATTTCACTCTCACTTTGACATTCTTTCTAACACATCTAAAGAAAAATTTCACTCCATATATATCTGATACTCATTTGCCTACTTCATTTCTTTTTGATAGTGTTTATCACTCTCCAACACACTATATGATTTACCTATTATGTGTAATATCTTACCCGGTCAAATGTAAGCTCCTGACAGCAGGGATTTTTTAACAGTTTTTATCTCCACTATAGTACCTATACCTGCAACAACAGCTAATCCAATAGATACTCATAATAAGGTTGTCAGATAAAATACAGGAAGGCTAATTAGCTTTGAATTTCAGATAAAGAGTGGATAAATTTTTAGTATAAATATGTCCCACGGTATGTCCCATGTAATATTTGGACCATACTTGTACTAAAAAAAAAATCTATTTGTTGTTTACCTGGAATTCAAATTTAACTGGTGTCATGTAATTTTACTTGCTAAATCTGTCAATCCTAACTCAAAAACATTTGTCAAATGAATGAATAAAAATTTTGGAGGGTGGAAAGCAGAAGGAATAAGGTAAATAATATGGCAAGTTATAGAAATTAAATACTAATTGTCAACAGAGCTGGGGTAAAGGAGGAGAGGAATGAGGAAGCCAAAAAGGAAAAAGCTGATTCATGACATGGACCCTCAAAACTATAAAGAGTTAAAAGCATCGGCTGGGCTCAGTGGCTCACGCCTGTAATCCCAACACTTTGGGAGGCCAAGGCAGGCGGATCATGAGGTCAGGAGATTGAGACCATCCCAGCTAACATGATGAAACCCCATCTCTACTAAAAATACAAAAAATTAGCTGGGGTTGGTGGTGCATGCTTGTAATCCCAGCTTACTTGGGAGTCTGAGGCAGGAGCATCACTTGAATCAGGGAGTCAGAGGGTGCAGTGAGCTGAGATCGCGCCACTTCACTCCAATCTGGCAACAGAGCAAGACTCTGTCTGGAAAAAAAAAAAAAAAAATGGCATCAAATACTCAGAAGTGGCAGTACAAAAATGCATGGGGGCAGGGACCTGGTGCAGCAGCTCCTATAATCCCAGCACCTTGGGAGGCCAAGGCAGGCAAATCACTGGAGTCAGGAGTTCCAGACCAGCCTAGGCAACATGGAGAAACCCCATCTTTACAAAAAACACAGAAACTAGTTGGGCATGGCAGCACACACCTGTAGTACCAGCTACTCTGGAGGCTGAAGTGGGAGGGTAGCTTAAACCCAGGAGTTCAAGGTTGTGGTGAGCTATGGTAATGTCACTGCATCTTAGCCTGGGCAACAGAGCCAGACCCTGTCTCAAAAAAAAAAAATGCATGGGGACGGGGTGTGAGGAACTATAAACAGGAAGATTAGATACAAGTCTTTTAAGGAAATAGTTAGACTAGTTAGACATTTAAAACCACCCCCATGTTGACAAGACAGATGACTGCTCCACCTTACTCCAGCACAAGACTACAGTTGTACCTTTTGGGTGTAAGGAACAGTAAAGGTACAAAAGACAAAACAATTGAGCAGAAATTTTGATAACATGTAACCACAATCCATTATAAAAGCTCTAAGCAAACTAGCAATACTGCAAATACTTGTCTAAGAAAAAACCTACAGCAAACATAATGCTTACTGGTGAAATGTTGAAAGCTTACGCCAGATTTTGGAAACAAAACTAAGATGTTTTCTAAAACCAACTATACTCACTACCTTGTTAATTAATGAAAGGAAACAGAATAAAACACATAAGAACTAGAAAATATGATTGTGAATGTAAAAAATCCAAATATTTACAGATAAAATGATAGAATTAATAAGTGGATTTAACAAAGTTGCAGGATATAAAAATCATTTGTATTTATATATGCTAGCAAAGCCAGTTGAAAATGTAATTTTAAAAAGATAACATTTATAAGAAATAAAATTAAATACACAAGAATAAATCTAAAAAACATGTATAAGACCTCCATACAATACTACAAAACATTTCTGGGAGAAATTTAAAAGATTTCAGTAAATCCTTATGGATTGGAAGAATTGATACTGCAAAAGTTTCAATATCCTTAAATTAATTTACAAATTCAGTAAACTCTTAATAAATAATTTTGACCTGTGAAAGGAAAATAAGTCTTGGGGCTCCAAAATCACTAAGCTAAAGTGAAAAGTCAGGCTGGGAACTGCTTAGGGCAAACCTGCCTCCCATTTTATTCAGTCATCCCTCTGCTCACTGAGATAGATGCGTATCTGATTGCCTCCTTTGGAAAGCTAATCGGACACTCAAAATAATGCAACCATCTGTCTGTCACTACCTGTGACCTGGAAGCCCCCTCCCTGCTTCAAGTTGTCTCACCTTTCTGGTTGATACCAATGTATATCTTACATATATTGATTGATGTCTCATGTCTTCCTAAAATGTATAAAACCAAGCTGTGCCCTGATCATCTTAGCCACAAGTCATCAGGACCTTCTGAGGCTGTGTCATGAGCGTCTGTCCTCAACATCGGCAAAATAAACTTTCTAAATTAACTGAGCTCTGTCCCAGATATTCGGGATTCACACACCCAAAATGAAAATCTGGTACTAAATTTACATGAAACCACAAAGGGCCAAGAATAGTTAAGCAATTCTTGAAGAATAACAAAATAGGAAAACTCAAAATGCCAGATTTCAAGATTTATCTTGAGGTTACAGTAAATAAGACAGTGTGGTATTGATGCAGGACCAAGTAGAAACAATGGAACAGAGAGAGAATGTTGAAACAACTGGGCCAAATGTATGATCTCCTGATTTACAACAGTACAGAAAAATCAATTCCATGTGAGCTGTGATGTGTAAATACAAAAGGCAAAGCAATAATATTCAAGAAGATAACATGAAAGAATATCTTCATAAATTGAGAAGGGACAGATTTCTTAAACAGGACAAAAAAAGCAGTCACAATGAAGAAAAACAATTAAAAAAATAAAACTTCTTTAAAATTAAACTTCATTTATAAATGTACCATTCAAACAGTGAAAAGTCACAGCATGAGAGAAGATATTGACAATATTTGATGAAGACCTCATGGCCAGAATAGAAAAAGAACTCCTAAAAAATAAAAAGATAACTCAAATAAGTTTTCTCACTAAACTAGTTATCCTCCACTAAAGACGATAGTCAAATAGGCAATAAACATAAAGGTACAAAATAACCAATAGGGAGATGCCAATTAAACAGTAAGTTGCCGCTGCTCACTCATCAGAATGGCTAATAGTAAAACAAATAAGCAAACACAATGGATAATAAAAAATGTTGATAAGGATGTGGAACAACTCCAACTTTCCCACATTGTTGATGGGAATTTAAATTAGGACAACTACTTTGAAAAACTGCCAAAGATTATATTTATTACCCTAGCATTTCCAGTAATAGCTATATACCAAACATAAATGAATACACAGATTCACTAAGAGACATGATGGAAATGTTCACATTATTTGTGAAAGCCCCAAATTAGAAATAACCCAGTTGTCCATCAACAAATAGAATGGATAAATAAATTACAGTATGTTCATAAAATACAAAGAAAAAAAAACTATTACTGAGCACAAAACCATGGCTAAATTTCATAAATAAATGTGATGCCGTGCAGAAAAAAAGTTTGTATTTTGAATATTTTTCCTCTATTTGAATTATATTTAAGCAAACAGTTTCCAAATGAAAGAGCATTGTGGAAAAAGAGAGTAAAAAGGAAAATAAGTCTCCAGAGTCCAAGAAGGAAGCAGTTAACAGAGGGATAAATGAGGATTGAAATTAAATCTGCCCTGAGGGCATTTTCTGATCCCTGGAACCTAGAGAACTGAGTTTTAACTTAGATACTTGCAAGGTGGTGAGTTAAAATGGAGATCTTGTGGATAAAGTTGAATCTTCCAGGACAGGAGGCAGGAGAGAGCATCTAGAAAATATGTAGCTCTTAGAAAAGAGAAGTATCAAGAAAACTTTTTAGTCTTTATTTATCTGGATTTGGGGAAAAGGTATTCAAGGCTACAGGTTTTAAGATCAAACTTTAGATGACCTGTGGGGTCTGAGAAAGCCCAAGATAAGGAATTAAATCATTAGTAGATAAATAATGTCTCAGGATGCTTGCCTGAAGCAAACAATATCTTACCTGGAGGAATACACACTCCCAGTTCAGGTGTCACAAAATTATCACAGATTAAGTTCTGAAGAGGAGCTCAAAATACAAAATTGCAAAAAATCACAAAGAAACAAGCTACCATAGACTCTCAATGTCATTTTTTCTACTTAGAATAAACTTTAAGTGAAGAAAATTCGTCTGTGGCTCACACCTGCAATCCTAGCACTTTGGGAGGCTGAGGCGGGAGGATCATGAGGTCAGGAGATCAAGACCATCCTGGCTAATATGGTGAAACCTCATCTCTACTAAAAATACAAAAAATTAGCCGGGTGTGGTGGCGGGCACCTGTAGTCCCAGTTACTCTGGAGGCTGAGGCAGGAGAATGGCGTGAACCCGGGAGGCAGAGCTTGCAGTGAGCCGAGATCACGCCACTGCACTTCAGCCTGGGTGACAGAGAGAGACTCCATCTCAAAAAAAAATAAAATAAAATAAAATAAAATAAAAAATAAAGTAAATTCCAACTATTGATATACAAATCTTTAATGATGTAGGTGGTAATTATTGCATGGTATGCTTTTAAGTGATTTATGGGAAATGAATTTCTTTTCATAGCTAGACATGAAAAAGATGAATAAAATATAAAGGAAATTGACACAGTCATAACTGAGAAATTCTAATATATGGATCCTATTTATTAGGTGTGTGAAGTTTGGAAGACCTTGATATGCTATAGCTGACAAGACCAATACCTGGCCAAATGAAAAGGCAAGTTCATTAGGAAAGTGACCAACCCATAAAAGGTAAAACCATGTATTCTTGGTTCCCATACACATCTTAACTCTATAGACTATTATAAAGACTTATAAAGGACTTAAAAACATAATAAATAATTGTGAATGTCTGTGCAATATCAGTACTCAATATGGAAAGCCACTCTGCATAAGCCTTTTCCCTGTTTTATGCAAATAGGCTTGCAAACATCTGAACTAACAGAAAGTAAAAAAAAAAAGTACCAGTCAAGTTGCTTAGATGCTAGAAATAAACATGTATAAACTGTTCTCTGTTCAGCATGAATAACCATAGACACACACAATGCAACACAGAAAGCTAAAACTGTGCATTATAAAGATAGCAGGACTTTTGAAAAGGCCAAACAGCTGTGAAGTACACTTAGCCACGGGTCAGAGCCTATTTTATACTGGGAGGTTTTCATGTTTTTGTTCCACTAATAATTCAAGACTGGACTTGTCTTATACCCACACTTTGTATTGTATTAGTAACACATAAAACATAACCAAAAGTAACATCATTCTAAATAAAACAAATGACAATTTTTTTATTTTCCAAAATTTGAAGATGTTTGAGGCAATAACTTTCAACTCAGGAATATTATTGGTTTCTATGTAAACTCAAAATTATTCCTGAAAACTCTAATTTCCTTTTGTTTCCAATTTTTAAGTCTTTTCAATGCTTTTAAGTCTATACCAAAATATTTTATACATAGCAAAGAATATGACATTTAATGCAAAATAGGATGAAGGAATTTCTCTTGAAATTCTAATTCTTAAAAACTAAAACTGAAAGTTCATTAAAAAATCCGTTTTGAGGAATTGTCGACCCAATTCAAACCTTCTCTACTTTGACTTAGTACTAGATTAAGATTATTGCATTCTAAGATCAGGTGGCCTCTGCCAAGTTCTTACCCATTGCTTTACAGATTAATGTTAATTTCATAATTGTAAGACTGGATAAGTCATGAAGAATTCTATTTCTGGGAATTACTCCAGCAAGACCTGGGGAACATCCACACATTCATGTAGACAAATTATTTTATACTACTTTTTTAGAGAGAGTGCACTATTATCTAGGTATATGGACATAATATACAATTGATAGATAGATATATATCTTTTATTTGCTCTCTTATTGGGCCAGAACTCTAACAACCCTCTGCCATCACTATCCAGCCCTATAGACGGAGATCCCAGGTAGGTCTCATGAAATCTTGTCCTACACAAGCCAAGCTAATCCCAAACCAAAGATGCATAGTGAATCCTCACAAAGAGTTTCGGTGTACACCCTCCATACAGCTTCGTCTTCTCTGACCCTGCTTTACAAATTCCAGCTACTTCAGGCAGCCTGAATCACTAATCTCTGCCTCAAAAGTTCATCAAGACTGGGACTCTATTTGGACTTTCCACCCTTGAAAAGGGTTCAAAAAACCTTCCCTGGCAGGAGGCGGGTGGAAACTAAGGAAACAGTAGGCTTTTCAATGAACTTACCTTTTCGTGGTGTTGCTCTTCTATACTGAGTGTTCTACTCTTATTATTTTCTGTTCTTATCTTTATTGTTTCCTTCATTCTTTATACTTTAGGTTAGTTTTTCTGTATTGTAAGACTACATATAATTCTTAGCAGTTCAGAGTCATTTCTTTGGCTGTATCTGATTGTTTATGTGAAAAGTCATATTGGCACCAATTGGATATACTATGCCTTGAATGACCGCAGTGACAACACCTATTTATTTTTGTATTTTTAGTGCCTAACAAGTGCCTAGAACATAAGCCCCCAAATAACGTTTGTGTTTTTAAGGATCTAGAAAAATACATTTCAATATGATTAATCTTTGGAAAAATGCAAAGCATTTGGTTCATGTTGCAAAATCTACACACAATATAGTCTTTAAAAAATCACTGGGCACTGGAAGTGGTGGCTTATGCATATAATCTCAGCACTTTGGGAGGCCAAGGCCAGAGGATTGCTTGAAGCCAGGAATTCAAGACCAGCCTGGGCAACATAGCAAGACCTCATCTCTACAAAATTAAAATTAGAATAAAAAATAAAATTAAACAATCACCACGTTGTCCAAAGGATGTATGAAATAGAATAAGCATCAATTTTAGTCAACTTTCAAATCATTGTCCATATCAATAGATAAAAGCAGCAGTGTTAAATTTTTCTTTTACAATATCTCCAATTTTCTCTGAAGTATCTCTAAAATTCTTAAAAAACAAAACAGCTACACAGTGCATTTTAGATATTTTTTTTTCCTCCTAGCCTTCCTCCTGATTTCACTTGGATCTATGGGCAATATCTGATAAATTGGCTCCCACAAGTAACTTTAAATAATATTAAAAAATGAAATAGTTTATTTTATAAATAGGTCATTAAATATCTGCCATCATAATAGTGTATTATTAAATATTACTAACAACCAGATTTTTATTTTTACAAGAAGGCTTCTGTAAATTTACCCCAAATGTTATCTGTCTATGGCTCAGGTCATCCTTACATAAAGTATAATGTAAAAATAAAATTATTCCATTTTAATTTTTAAAATACTCTGAAGGGAGAAAATTGAAAACATAGACCACAGGCCCTAGGTCTCAAATATCTTCTCTTGACAATTTCATTTCCAAGTCCTTTCATCCTTTACCTGTTAATGAACTTTTGGATATCCATGTAATGGAGAGGAGTAATCATATCGAGCATTCAAAGTTCTGAATGCTTTGAGAACTGTAAACACTTAAGAGGCAAAGATATGGCTCTTTCTCTATTCAACACTGAAATTAATACATGAGTATTTAGACCTCAGTTTTACCTTCTACTTATGTTGTGATTGAAATATCCCTGGACTGAATTAAAATCAGTCTGCATTAATTAAATGACAACAAAATGTTGAGGGCCTTCGTCTTGGTGACAGGCATTGTATAGATGCATTTCCTTAAGCACCCAGAATCATGCCTGGTAGCACGCACAAATCATTCTAGGGTCCATTTACATTTACACACATTACTCACAAAGAATACAATGCATATATACTTTGGATCAGATAACCTACAGGACTAAAGATGTGTGATTTCAAACTGTGTTAGGAAGGGCCACCATGAGGGATCATCAAGTGCAAGCTAAACAAGATTGGTCTTTGGATCTCTTCTGAAGTCTGTAATGAGATTTCACTGATGCTGAAATAACGTTTTAAACCTCATGTTCCACTCAATATAGTTTTCTTGGAAAAGCATTATAAAAATACCACCTTCCAGTCTTACTTGCTTCTGTGTTTACGTAAACTGTTTTTATCCCAGTTTGTAACCAAGGCTGCACATAAAAGAAAGAAGGAAATCCATTATGAGTCTGAAACAGGAAATTCTACATGTGTTCTAAATCATCTAACTGTAGAAACAGCTACATCGTTACTGAGCAGCCACCACGGTAGCCCTGGGAGTGAACAAACATCTCTCTGGGGCCCTGATGCCTCACAGAAGAGACCTAGAGAGAGCAGCTCAGAGATGAGTTGCTGAAATTTGAAAATGTAATTGGGTTGTTTTTTTTTTAATTTAATGGGTTTTAATTTGGTCTGACAAATGTTTCTTTTCCAATTATGAATATAGAATTTGACAAACAAAAGCTCAAGCCAGGCATGGTGGCTCACACCTGTAATCCCAGCACTTTGGGAGGCCGAGGCGGGCGGATCATGAGGTTGAGAGATCGAGACCATCCTGGCCAACATGGTGAAACCCTGTCTCTACTAAAAATTCAATAGTTAGCTCGGCGTGGTGGTGTGTGCCTGTAATACCAGCTAGTCGGGAGGCTGAGGCAGGACAACCGCTTGAACCCGGGAGGCGGAGGTTGCAGTGAGCCGAGATCGTGCCACCGCACTCCAGCCTGGCGATAGAGCAAGACTCCATAAAAAAAAAAAAAAATTTACAAATCTTTGTTCAAATATGGTGTTTTTTTATTCTATGATTCTGCTCTTTAAAAATATGTAATGTATTTATAAATTTAGATTATAATATTAATATGAAATTGAATATTATAAGGATAGAGAAAAATATCCAGTAAAATACTTCTACAGTAGGATTAGCTAATGTAGAAAAGAATAGTCTTCACAAAGAAAAAGAGGTTTAAGATAAAAGAACAATGATTTGAACAGGAATATTAAGTGATTTTTAAATTAATTTTTTCATCATTCTTTTCTAGGTCATCTATAAATAGCATGTATAAATAACACTTAAAAGATTCTAATTAAATATGATGATCTAGCCCAATTTCCCCTCTAAATTTAGAAAGAAATATTCCACATGACAGCAGCTACCACCAATCAGTCGTCTTCCATCTTTGCAATCCCAGCACCCCACACTACAGCAATTTATTTCATCTCTGCCTCCCACTTGCCAAAACCAAGTGGTAGTCATTTTCCCATCTCAAAACTCCATGCACCTTTGTTCTCATCTCTCATCTAGTGTGTTGTGCTTTGTTTTTAAGCAAAGAATGAATTTGACCAAGAAACACAGAAACTCTACAGGGGTAAGAATACACTAACTGAAGGGTCTACATAAAAAGATCTGGGCTACACCATCTATTAGTCTTTTGCTCAGATATGTGGAAGACCCATACTGACATATGGGTCACCATAAGGAAGGATGGATGGTATAAGGAAGATGGCCAGCTGTTGCCACAATAATTAAGTAGACTCTGTCTACTATTTTCTATTAAACACTTCACCTCAGCAAAAGCAGCAAGATTGAAGCCTTATTTCTAAATAAGATCAGTTCTAGGCAAAAAACAAAAACAAAAAACAAAAAAAAAAACAGTGGTCAAAATCGTGGTCTTCTGCCATTTTTTTGTCTGTGTCTCCTTTCTCCAGTCAACCCTTCACCATAATCACACCACCACAAGGGTCTCTCACTGGGTACCCCTTGAAGATCATCATATCCAGCCAGAAGTCCACTTCCCCAAACCTTCCCTGCATCCTCTCTACACTCACTGAACTCTAAACCGCTGCCTCATGGGCAACTTGTTTGTTAATTTGATAAAAAGAACTTCAGGTGAAAGCTTGCTAAAGATGAGCTCATGTTTTGTCCATTCATAGTAACATACCATACCCACTCACAAGGTGTAATCCAGATGAGTGACTCATTGTATGTGGGCTTCGAATTACATGATAAGAACATATATTTTTAGCAATTTAAAGTCTTACTGTAGTATGATCTATAGTTTCTATAATTCAGTCCTTTTAAACAAGAGCCCAAAGGCCATTACTGCTCCTTCTGCTGCTCTCCAAGGAGCAGGAGCATTTAGTGTAAAAGGGAGACCTGCTTAGGCTCTACCTACTCAGATGTGGGATAAAGACCAGAACCATACAGAATGGCTACACAAAGATTTTGCCAATACTTCAGGAAATGAAAAAATGACAAGGGCAAAAATTGTTGAATCCCAACTCAGTAAGATCTAAAATCTTTAAAATGAGTTTGCAAAACTTTTGTGCAACACATGGAAGAATCTATTTCAGAAGACTTCTAGAACAATTAAGAAGGACGGTCAGGAAAAGATTACCTATTGGAGCAACTTTTTAATACCAGTAAATTTAGTTTGCCTTAGTAGCAGATGCCTTCACGACCTTATACGAATTGTGATATTTAAGTGAATGAACATACACACCATTTTTATTGCTGTTCCTACAAACTTCTACTTTGTTTTAAGTTCTCAGTCTTACCATCCGTAGTTTTATACACCACAGTCCTTTTCACAAGCGTGCCACAGCCACACAGGTTTAGGGAAGATTACTTATTTCCAGACAGGTCTATATCCCAGCCCCACCTAATCACTCCACTCAGCAAATACCTGGACTGTCTACGTGAAGTCTAGACGGGCTTCCAAGGGGCAGCTGAGAAAATGCAAAATTGCTCTCAGTTAGCATGCTGCAACTAAACCCACCATCTTCCTCCCTGGCTTATGAAAAAAATGCCCTTTCTCCAACTGTATACCATTCCTCACTCTTAAAATATTTTGTTTTTTGTTAAGTAGGAGAAGAAATACAACCTATTCTTAATAATTAAATGTGAGTATTGTGCTATTACATTTTCCAGGCAGATCTACAAACATTCCACCCTTTCATTTTTCTGAACAACACTATTAAGTTAGATATTATTCTTATTTTATAAGTGAGCCTTCCATCCCGCAGCTAGAGTTGAGGTTAGGGTCGGGCCTTCAGATTCAGTGCCTTTTCCATTATGTTCTTCCGCTCTCCCTTATTGAAATGTTTGTTGCTCTGTACATATTTTGCTATATAAGTTTTAATTACAACATCTGAATAGTAGGAAGGCACTCTGTTTCTTTTTTTACAGCACATAGCATAGTTTTAACTAATATTTCTAAATAAAATGTGTATTTGCCAAAATCAGTGACATATTTCTTTTAGATAAGAAATATTTCTATAGATTAGCCAGTGAAATTCATTAACAAGTTTTCAAGCAAAGGAAGCAAAAAAGAAAGTGGACCTTTTCAGTGCTATCCAGAGGCAAGGACATAGTCTGTCTTAACTCTTTTGATCTTCATGGCAACACCATGAGTGAGTTATTATATTTTATACATGAGAAACCTGAGTTTCAAAGAAGTGTCTTACCCAATTCACGAAATACGTGGCGGAAATGGGATTTAAACTTAAGTCTCTCTGACTCCAAAGCTCATAGCCTTCCCACTAAGCCATCATACCTTTCTACAGGGTGGCCTCTCTGGTAAACTCTACGAGAAGGAAATTTACTTTGCACAAAAAATTCAGTCTAAGCCTATCCTGATTAAAAGGTCGTGGTCTGTCCCTGTTCAGACAGTAAATTCCAGACAAAGTGCATGTGCACTGAGCACTAACTGTGTGTTTCATCCTGGAGATTCTCTGCAATAACAAGAGTTCCTTTGGGGAAAGTTCAGTTCTTTAGCCACCCTGGCACAGTCTGGGATGACTCAGGTCAGACTACAAAGGCTCCAAACAATCCCTTCTAAACAAGATCTTAAGAATGTCAATGACTAAGGTACAATTGTTCTCAGATGACCTTGGGTGGGGGCCATGATCACTCACAGTATGAAAAATTAAGTGATATGAGATGGGGAAAGTTAAGGTGAGGAGTTTTACTGCTTTCAGGATCCAAAAAGAAATTTTTAAAATGTGCCAACAGACTACAGCATAACCTGATAAATAGCAATCCTCTCTCAAATCTTACTTTTTCCTCTTTTGTTGAAGAAAATGGAAGATAAGACTTGAGTGAAGTTACCCTCTAAAGCCCTACAGGAAGTGTTTATTTTGTCTTATGTATAAAACCATAACTAGTATCCAAAAGAACTTGATGTCCCTGTTAAGAATGAAAAAGACCACGGTAAACAGCTGGCGGGAGCTGATAGCATGTCGCACCATGTGCATTCTTTACCAGCCCCTTGAATTGCTCATTTCAAAAAGGAGAAAACATTTCCTGCCTCAGTGCATAACAGGGAAAGGCGAATGGTCTGGAATGACCTCACAAGATTTAAGCAGTTTGCCAAAGAACTTAAACAGAATTTGCTCAAAGCTTCGATCAACTGAACATTTGCCATACTATTTCAAAAATGTCTGCATTCACAAGAAAGAAATGTCTGCATTCAGAAGAAAGAAAAATCCTCACCATGAGACATATTCTCAGTAAGAAATCATTACAACCACTGAAAATGTTTTCATTGTTAATATGTACAAGTGATAATATCAGAATTTTTGGTGTTTCTTCAATTTCCCTTACTCCTATCCAACTATAACTTTGTGAAAGCAAAGACTATAATTTACTAATGTATGGGTTCTTTGTAGAATTTAACATATTTATGCATTTACTCCCTCAACAAACAATTGTGCTTAACATTGTACAAACACTGGAGATACAAAGACATTTGATGTATAGATCAAATGTTTCTTGAGCATTTGCTGTGTTTCTGGCACTGAGCTAGAAAATGGGCTTATAACTGTGAACTAGACAGTCAACTGTCCTATCTTCATGGAGCTATCAGTCCAGTTCAGTGGGTCATAATCCTGGCTGTGAATCAGAATCACCAGGGAGCTTTTTAAATAGACCGCTGACCGTGCCTGACCTAACACCAATTAAATCAAAGTCAAGACATGATTACAATATACTATGATAAACGTAATGATTGAGAAAAATAAAGAGATATTTTGAGAGCACATAGAAAGTACATACAACCCAGATTCAGGGCTAAGTAGAATGTTTTAAATAATGATTTATCAGTTAGCCTAGGAAATAAAGGGAAGTAAGGGAGATGGAAGCGTTCTGGACAAAAGGTGTATGAGATTCAAAGGCAGAGAGGCCCATTTCTGGGGTAGTACAGTGATGTCACTGCTTCTGATGTCATATAGCATGCAAGGAGAGAAAGACCACCAAAGAGACAGGATAAGTATGTAGGGGCCAGAGCAAGAAAACCCCAGATTCTCATACTGAGGAGGAGGTATTTATTCCTGAAATAATTAAAGCTTTGGAGGAAATTTAAACAAGAAATGTATGTGATACGACCCATTATTTTACTTTCTTTACCCTCAGGCCACGGACACGTATATTTTGCAGATCTAGAAGCAATAATACAGTAATCCCAAATTGAATCATCTCTTAATCCCTGAAGAAAATCAATCATTTGATCCGCTAAAGCGATCTGTCATTATTCCACTTAAATTCATGCCCGGCTTTTTCTGTTTCCCTTCCAGCAAAATCAATCATTTGTCTTGCTCCTAAGACTTTCTCAAGCCCAATCCCTGAGTGATGCTGGGGACACTTAACACCCTTGTTCCCAGGAAGAGGAGAAAGCACTGGGGTATGGAAAGCATAATTTGAGCTTTGTGCACAGTCCTCCAGTGGAAAGGGAAACTAAGTATCCCAAAGTTGTTTTTAAAGCATTTTGTCAGCTTGCTTACCTGATAAGGCAAGAAAGTGGATCATTTATTTTCCTGGGAAATTATGGTAATTTAAACTTTTTCTTCAGAGTGTCCTATAATTGCCTTCTGGGTTTCATGAAGCCCAAAACATGTTTTTGTTATTTATATCCCCTTATTTTTCCCCACTATTCATAAAGCAGTGAAAAACAGTTCTTACAAATAAGGGAAAATTCAAGTACAGTACCTGCTTGTGTGACTCAATATTTTAATTTGATTTAAAAATCAATAATTTATTTTAACTAAATGACAGACATTTTATTCCTATGTACAAAGAACTCAGAAATTCCACCCTACCTCCCACATCCCGTTTGGTCACAAGAGAGATAATGGCTGCATTGACAAGAACTATTTCCAGTTCCTGTCAAGGGTCATTTCAGAAAGAAAGCTCAAGCAAAAGCCTCACACTATTATTTTTATTTTAGAACATTTAAAAATAAATAACCAGTTATTGGTCTCAAGGGTCTTCCTGTTTCTGCAAATGAAAACCTTGGGAGAAAGTAGTTTTATGCTGGTGAAGCATCAGGTTGGTCAGATTAAAAGGGACCAAAGAGAACAGCCCAAACCCAAATCCTATTCCTCTGGAGCTACAAGTGAGATGCTGGGTTTTTTTCCCATTCGGTTTTCCTAGTGGCCTTATGGGGTCAATCATATGAGATGAATACTCACATGAGACAAATTTAGGTTTTAATTTCCTTTTAAGAGGAGCCAGACAACAGCATGCCACATCTTTTGACATCAGTACTAATAGCAGATACGAGTTGATGCCTTACTCTGTTCTAGGCACCATGCCACATGTTTTACATACCTCTTTTTATTTAGCTTATACAATAAACCCATCCCAAGACCCTTATGTACATCCCACTGATAGGAAAAGAGACACAGCCAATAAATGGCACAAAAGAGATTAGAATCCGTTTTTTAGACACAAAATTGAAAGCTCACAACCACTATGTATTTGTTTCTCTGTCATTAAACTGATTTTCCATGCAAATCATTGTCGTTCAGTATTCATATGATGCATATGTGACAAAGGCCCCAAGTAATGAACTGCTGCTCTCTGACTCATTACATACACATTTATGGTCTTTAGCTATGTATCACAAAGCTGCGGAACAGTATTTACATCTTCAGTGAGGCTCCAGCAGTTAACCATGAGCCAGCTGCAGGTCACCTGGCCTTACAAAACAATTCAAAGTTATATGCTCGTGTAGCTCTTTCCAGCCAGGAAATGGAAATAGAGTATTATTGATGGTATATTTGTTTTAGATTTGTTAGCCCTGAGATAGATTAATTGTCTGCTGAAATATTTATTCTTTTCTTCCTTGATAGTATCATTCCTGCTACTCTTGATACAGTCAGCATATTACCACTGAAAATTACTTTTTGTTCTCTTAATTCTACCTTCTGCTATTCTAACCCAGTGGTTAAAAATAAAAAAAAAAAAGTAAAAAACAAAACTGTCATTTTTTCATTCTATTGTTCATTCTGACATTTCTAGTTCAAGTCAATGTTGGCAATCATTCTTAATAGCCTCAATAATAACCCTTATTCAAGGATTTGAGAAAACAATGTGTGGAATCAGAGGAGCAATGTGTGGTATAGGGGGAGCAGTCTGTATTTTAGAGTAAGACTGGTTTAAACACTGGTGCCTATGCTTAACCTCTACAGTCCATGAGATTCTTATTTGTAAAACTTGAAAATTACTGCTTACTATGAAGAGTTGTTAAAAGGATTAAATATAAGGTATCTGAGGGCCAATAATTTTACATGTTTAAAATAAATGACACTTTATAAATGACAATACTTACAGTCCTATCCTTAAAGGCTGTTTTAAAACTATTTTCTTTTAAGAAATAGATTTTAAAAATTAAACAATGTCAAATACATTAGTGTCCAGTACAATAATAAAATCCTTTTAAGCAGGAACCTTAAGTGATAGCTTTATCTCTGCCATATTCATCTAGTCCAGTCCTGATAAACATCACAAGGAATAAGTGGGTAGGGTATAGAGTTTTAAAAATATAATTAAGAGCCTCCTTTTATGAAAATGTTTCTGTGACTATGAATTCCATGAAGATACTTTTTAAAACTTCATTTTTTTCTTACATCATTTCTGACTATTGTGTGTAAAATCTTTTACATCATCGTCATGAGAGTGCCAGCAAATGTTCATGAACATCACAGCGGGCTCGACTATGAACTTCTGGGTGAAGAGGCATCATGGTATCGTGGTCATGACACATGAATGGAAATCACACTTGAGTCTGAATTCTAGCTCTGACATATAAAGTGGTTTGATCTTCCTGAACTGTTTCCTTATCCATATGCTGTAAATATGATAGCTATAGTTGCCAGTATTAAGGACAATGATGCTGATGAAGGTGTACACATAGTAGGTGCTCAATAAATGTGTTTTTTCCTCTAATCTCTCTATTTGTCTTGACATACCTATTATTTGCACTTATTAGGTTAATTTGATTGAATCAATATTGTATAAATATATGAGATAAAAACACTTTACAAAATCCAGCTAAGCACAATAACCTTTTATTATAGGTAAGAAAATATGCCTCTTCTCACTTCATTTTCCAACTGGTCTATGAGTGCAGATATGCACACATGCATCTGTGGACACACGTCACAGACACATGCTGACATGCAAATTGCTTAATCTTGTTCCAGTTAATAACAAAAAGCAGAGCCTGGCAGCAGCACTGCAAACACACTTTTGTTTAGTGCTCCCCAGTGCCCCAGATAGCTGAGTGAAATACTTTATGGTTTAGTTGTTGCTGGACAGCAAAGCCATTTCGAGTGTTGCAGTGGGAACTGCAGTTTTCCAGTGGACATATAATCAGCCATGTCAGAAAATAAGAAGCCCTTATCTAACTCACAATTCAAAAGATATTGTGATATCCTCCTGAGGTCAATATCTGGTTACATGATTCCCAACAGAAATATAAAATTCTTATGATTAAGAATGATTAAGAAAGCAATGTACAATGTAGAAGAATCGCCAGATTTCATAGGCCACTCCAGACCCATTCTGCTTTCTGTGGGAAAAAACAAAAACAAAGTAAATTCTTTTATATCTTTCTCAGACAGGAAACTTCATGATGAGAAAGTTAAAAAAAAATTGTAAGGAAAAAGCAAAACAAGAAATTTCAGTGATGCAACTTATTTATTCTTAAAGCTATTTCCCTGATCTACCGTTACACTGGAAACCATTAGCAGGTGCCTTAAATTTCCAACAGTTTTGAATGTGTGAATCTTGTTAGGTTGCCAAATAATTAACTTTGTTTATTAATTACCAGTTTCAGGATCTTTAGCAATAAATTTTGCTGGTAATGAAGAACCCCTTACTACACACATGCACACACACACACACACACACACACACACACACACCCCTGGGGGACCTTTTACAGCATGAGGCTATTAATAGGCAGATAGCCTCTGTTTTATGAGACTCTGCCACCAAATTGATGATGCTGACCCACTGCTCTTTCATATTACGCTAGTAAATACTTGAAATGGAAATCTTGGGATCATAGATGAAACATCACAAGGTAAAAACATTGCAAGGTTAAAAACTTCATGTGTCTCAATTAGAAATTATTCTGCTTGGTTGATATTTTCCATTTGAAACTTTTTTTTAAGGAGTCCTGGTTTCTCTGAGGTTTTGCTCAGGAGGCTAAAATGTTATGTCTAACAGTAAGCTGCTTTAATTCTTCTTCCTTTCTGTTTCACAGTTGAAACAGAGAATTTGCATTGTGAGGCATATCCCGGCCTTCCCCTGAAGATAAACAAAATGTTGAATCCTCCAAAAGTTGACTATGTGATCTATGCCACTGGAGGCAAACTATAAGTAATATATTACATGTTGAATCTGCTTAAGAGAGAACTAAAAGTATAATTGAACAGCTTGAGAGGTTGTTTAAAAGTATTGTTTATTCCCTAATGAAAATTTAGCCCAGGCCACAAGTCATTATTACTCCAAAGATCAAGGACTTGAAGATTAAGCCCCACTTTTGCTGACAGAGGTCTTCTCACAGCAGAATCGAGAATGTTGGTGGGGAAGTCTACACAGTAATTTCCTATACTGCAAATAACTCAGTAGAGAAACAGTTTGTCCCAACAAGATCACCATTACATTTTTTAAGAAGAGCAAAAAATATTAATAAAATAGTTAATAAAAATGGAGTGCCTCAGATTATCAGGATTGTTTGAGAAACTTGATCGTGTAATATTTTACATAAAGAGTCAGTTTGCATTTTGGGGGCCTTTTCAAAGACTGAATTCATTTTCCCTTTATTTCATGTCATGCCACCCTATCTTTATTTAAGGTACTTAACCAAACTTTATCTCATTCATCACTTCAGAGAGCAGCAATTGGGGCTGGGCTCAGCTGAGGAGTTCTGGTCAGAGCTAGACTCACTTATGCATCTGCAATCAGTTTCTGGTGGTCAAGTGCTGGCTGGTCAAGGATGGCATGGTGGGCAGAGTAGTGACCACTCTTCCCCTTTACATACACACACACACACACATAGATGCACGCGCACACACACACACACAGTCCACATTCTAATCCCTAGAATCTGTGGATATACTACCTTACATGGAAAAGGGGGGTTAACATTGCAGATGAGATTAAGGTTGCTAATCAGTTGATCTGAAAATAACATTACTCTGGATTATTTGGGTGGGCTCAATGCAATAGTAAGGTCCTTAGAAGTGCCAGAGAGAGTCAGAAGAGGACAGAGTGATATGATGTGAGAAAGACTCCACCTGCTTCTGCTGGCTTTGAAGAGAAAGGAAGAGGTTATAAAATCAAGGAATGTGGGCAGCCTGTAGAAGCTAGAAAAGATTAAAAAATAAAAAAGGGGTTCTCCCCTAGAACCTCCCTCTGAAAAAGAACACAACCCAGGTGACACATGATTTTAGCCCAGTGAGACGTGTGTTGGACTTCTGCCTTACAGAACTGTAAGATGATAAACTGTAAGATGATAAATTAGTGGTGGTTTTAGTCACTAAATTTGTAGTAGTTTGTTATAGCAGCCATAGAAAACTGACACTGATTATTTCATCTAGGACAGTTCGTCTCTGCTCCACATGGTCTCTCAACTTCCAGGGCAGGAGGGGGCCTGTTTGCATGAAAAGTGAGCAGGTTCCAAAAGAATGAATAGACAGAATGGAAGACTTGTTGTTATCTAAGTCCAGAATTGGCACACCATCATTTATGCCATGTTCTATTGGCAGAAATTCACATGGCCTATCAAGATTTAAGGAGAGGGGAAATAAACCCCACCCCTTACTGAAAGGAACTACTAAGTAGCTCAAATAAAAGAGGGAAGCATTGAGTAGAGTTTTGCAAGAAATCTACCACAAAGACTAAAACGTTCACATGCAGTTCACATCTCACTTTTATTAGTTTTTAGGAATTGAGTTTAAAATTTGAACAACAGGATTATCTTGAAGATAAGAATAGTATACTCTATACTTTGAAAACAATGTATCAGTTTTGAATTGCAGTAACCTTTCTTTAAAAGTTTACTAGTATTTTTTTTTTTCATTTAAATTTACACTATTCAGGTTGTTCAGTTTATCCCGTCATCTAAAGCAGTGTTGTCCAACAGCAATAGGATGGGAGTCACATATGTAATTTTAAAATTTTGGTAGCCACATTTTAGGAAGTAAAAAGAAAGATTATTCTACTCTCTAACTCCATGGGTTTATTTTTTAGCTCTTGCATCTGAGTAAGAACATGCAATATTTGCCTTTCTGTGCCTGGCTTATTTCACTTAATGTCCTCCAGTTCCATCCATGTTTTTGCAAATGACAAGATTTCATTCTTTTTTTATGGCTGAGTAATATTTCATTGTGTATATGTACCACACATTTTCTTTATCCCTTCATTCATCAACAGACATTTAGGTTGATTTCACATTTTGGCTATTGTGAATAGTGCTGCAATAAACATAGGAGTTCAGATATCTCTTTGACATACTGAGTTCCTTTCGTTTGTGTATATACCCAGCAATGAGATTGCTAGATCATATGGTAGTTCCATTTTTAGTATTTTGAGGAACCTCCATACTGTTTTCCATAGTGGCCAGTACTAATTTACACTCCTACCAACCGTGTAGAAGCATTCCCATTTCTCAACATACTCACTGGCATCTGTTGTTTTTCGACTTTTTGATAAAAGTTGTTTTCACTAGGGTGAAATGATATTTCACCATGATTTTGATTTACATTTCCCTGATGATTAATGTTGTTGAGCATTCTTTCATATGTCTCTTGGCCATTTGCACGTCTTCTTTTGAGAAATATGTGTTTGGACCTTTTGCCTATTTTTTAATCAGATTATTTGGTTTTGCTATTGAGTTGCTTGAGTTCCTTGGGGTTGGTTAATGGCTACAAAAACATAATTAAATAGAAGGAGTAAGATCTAGTGTTCAGTGGAACAATAAGGCAGCTACAGTTAAAAATAATTTATTGCATATTTCAAAATAAACATAGGAGAAGTGGAATTTGAATTTCCTAACACAAATAAATGATATATATTTGAGGTGATAGCTATCCCAGTTACCCTGATTAGATCACTACACTTTATCTGCTTGTATCAAAATATCACATGTACCCCATTAACATGTACAACTATTATGTATCCATGAAAATTTTTAAAAAATAAAAAGGAAAAATTTATTTTAAAAAAGTAAAAAGAAACAGGTGAAATAAATTTTAATAGCATATTTTTATTTAACTCAAAATATCTAAATAAATATTGTCATTTAACATGTAATCAGCATGAAAATATTGATGAGATGTTTGACATTGTTTTCTTCATGTTCAGTCTTCAAAATCCAGTATGCGTTGTATGCCTCTAGCACATCTCAACTTGCATCAGACTCATTTCAAGTGCTCAGTAGTCCCACGTGGCTAGTTGCTAGACAGAGTGTAAAAGATTCAAGGAAAGTTGCAGGCAAAATTACAAGTTGCTCTTAATGCTCTTCTCTCTTTTCTCGATTTAGACACCTTCCTGCTTCCCGTTTCGGGCCCCCCAGTGTTTTGCTGTCCATACCCTGCTTCCAGGAAAGCAGAACAGCACATGGTGTGGAAGTGCATTCTGATTCAGACAATCCTGGATGTGAAATCCAAAATACCATTTACTAGACTTTGTAACATAATGTAATCTGAGCTTCAGATTGCTCATCAATACCTATCTCACTACTCATCACAGAGTTTTTTTTTAAATCCAAGTGCACTGATAGACAGAAAGACATTTAGCACAGTGCTTGGCACAATAAAGGCACTGTAAAGAAGCTACTACTAGTTTTGCTTTTTAAATCATGTCTGCCAGATGAAAACAATGCCCAGTATTAAAAACTGGATTGCTTTTGGAGTTTCAGGAACCAGTCACAAGCTCTAGTGGGTATTCATTTAGGGGAGGATAATGAATCAGGGATTTAAACAGATGATGGAGGAAAGGTGTGCTAGAGAGCAAGATTTCCTGTGAGATGCCTGACACTCCTAAATCCTTCTCTCCTGATAGTATAAAGGGAAAATTAAGAAATCATATTTCGCTGGGCATGGTGGCTTGCACCTGTAATCCCAGCAATTTGGGAGGTCAAAGCAGGCAGATTGCTTGAGCCCAGGAGTTTGAGACCAGCCTGGGCAACATGGCAAAACCCTGTTTCTACAAAAAATAAAGAGATTAATCAAGCATGATGGTGTTTGCTTGTGGTCCCACCTACTTGGGAGGCTGAGGTGGGAGAATCACCTGAACCTGGGAAGGTCAAGGCTACTGTGAGCTGTGATCGTGCCACTGCACTCCAGCCTGGTGACAGAGTGAGAGACTCTGTCTCAAAAAAAAAAAAATCATATTTCAAGACTTCATTCAAGATAAAATCATTTCCAGTTATTCTATTATGATAACATTTTAAAAATCAGAATGTGAATATGGAGTAAACCATAAATTTGGTTTTCATTTTTCTTTCAAGCCAAGAAGCAACTGATTTTCCAAAACTAGACAGACTGTAATCTGCTTAAATATGGAAATGAAAATCGGGACAAAGGACAAATTCATTGATGATTTACAGTTGTTTGGAGCCCTTACAGTTTTTCCCACAAGCTAGACAAATCTTAATACAGTTACATGATACCAGCGTAGTTCATACTGTCTTAATGAATCACTGCCCCTCCAAAATGAAGAAAAATATACAATTATTAGCTTCCCAGAAACTTAACAAAATGTTGGCAAATTCAATGAAATATTCACTTTGTGAGTCAGTCAGGGTGTTCTCTGATATTTCCAAGGTGTACAGAAGCAGTAGCAAACATATTATCTTTGGCCTTCAGCCCATGTGACTGGGCACCATGCAGGTATCTGACAAATGAGAGAGGACACAGATGAGGAGTAAGAGAGATGTGTTCATGAGCTAACTGGGTGGTTGGTTGGACACTGGAACATCCTTTAAGTCACCAGGTGTATTAGTCTCCTCAGGATGCTATAACAAAGTACCACAAACTTGGTGGCTTAAAAACAACAGGAATTTATTGTCTTACAGCTTTGGATGCTAGAAGGTACAAAACCAGGGTATCAGCTTGGGTATATGCACCCTCTGAAACCTATAAGAAAATCCTTCCTCGCCTCTTCCTAGCTTCTGGTGGCTTGCAGCTGCGTAACTCCAATCTCTACCTTTGTCATCACACGGCATTCTCCCTGTGTATATTTTCACACGGCCATCTTCTTATAAGGACTCCAGTCATACTGAATTAGGAACCAATCCTACTCAAGTATGACCTCTTCTAAACTACAGGCATACCTCAAAGATACTGCGGGTTTGGTTCCAGACCACCACAATAAAGTGAATATTGCAATAAAACAAGTCACACAATTTTTTGGGTTTCCAGGTGTGTATAAAAGTTATGTTTGCACTATGCTGCAGTCTATTAAGTATGCAATAGCATTATGTCTAAGAAAACCAATGTACATACTTTAATTTAAAAATACTTAATTGCTAAAATGTGCTTATCATCATCTGAGACTTCAGCGGGTGGTAATCTTTTTGCTGGTCTTACCTCTATGTTGATGGATGCTGACTGATTAGGGTAGTGGTTGCTGAAAGTTGGAGTGACTGTGGTAATTTCTTAAAATAAGACAACAATGAAGCTTGCTTCATCAATAACCTGCACACCAAGTTTGCCACTGTTCATGAAAGACTTCTCTGCAGCATGGGATGCTGTTTGATAGCATTTACCCAGAGTAGAACTTTCAAAATTGCAGTCAGTCCTCTCAAACCCTACCACTGCTTTATCAACTAAGTTTATGTAATATTCTAAATCCCTTGTTGTCATTTCAACAATGTTCACACCATCTTCACCAGGAGTAGATTCCATCTCAAGAAACCACTTTCTTTGCTCATCCATAAGAAGCAACTCCTCATCCATTAAAGTTTTACCATGAGATTGCAGCAATTCAGTCACATCTTCAGGCTCCACTTCCAATTCCAGTTATTCTGCTATTTCCATTACATCTGCAGTTAGTTACTTCATCTACTGAAGTCTTGAATCTTTCAAAGTCATCTATGAGGGTTGGAACAAACTTCTTCCAAACTCCTGTTAATGTTGACATTTTGACCTTCTCTCATGAATCATGAACGTTCTAAATGGCATCTAAAATGAATTCATTCCAGAGGTTTGCAATTTACTTTTTCCAGATCCATCAGAGGAATCACTATGGCAGCTATTGCCTTACAAAATGAATATCTTAAATATTAAGACTCAAAAGTCAATATTTCTCCTTGATCCATCAGCTGCAAAATGGATGTTGTTAGTAGGCATGAAAACAACATTAATCTCCTTGTACATCTCCATCAGAGCTCTTGGGTGACCAGGTGCATTCTCAATAAGCAGTAATATTTTGAAAGAAATCTTTTTTCTGGGCAGTATTTAAAATATTCAGTAAACTATGTTGTGTGAACATTGCACTATGATCTAAGTTTTATCATTCAAGTTATAGAACACAAGTAGAGTACACTTAGCATAATTCATGAGGACCCCAGGGTTTTCAGAATGGTAAATGAGTACTGGCCTCAACTTCAAGTCACCAGATGCATTATTCCCTAATGACAGAGTCAGATTGCCCCTTGATGTTTTGAAGCCAGGCACTGACTTCTCTTCTCTAGCTATGTATGAGATGGTATCTTCTTGCAATGGAAAGCTGTTTCCTTTACACTGAAAATCTGTTGTCTAGTATAGCCACCTTCATCAATGATCTTAGCTAGATCTTCTGGATAACTTGCTGCAGCTTCTACATTAGCACTTGCTGCTTCACTTTGCACTTTTATGTTACAGAGACAGCTTCTTTCTTTAAACCTTATGAACCAACCTCTGCTAGCTTCCAAATTTTTTTCTGCAGCTTCTTCACCTTTCTCAGCCTTCATAGAACTGAAGAGAGTTAGGACCTTGCTCTGAATTAGGCTTTGGCTTAAAGGAAGGTTGTGGCTGGTTTGATCATCTATCCAGACCCCTAAAACTTTCTCCATATCATCAATAAGGCTTTTTCACTGTCTTATCTTTCATGTGTTCACTGGAGTAGCACCTTCAATTTCCTTCAATAATTTTTCTTTTGCATTCACAACTTGGTTCACTGTTTGGCACAAGAGGCCTAGCTCTTGGCCTCTCTTGGCTTTGTACATGCCTTCCTCACTTAGCTTAATCATTTCTAGCTTTTGTTCGAAAGTGAGAGACATGAGACTCTTCCTTGCACTTGAACACTTAGAAGCCACTGTAGTATCACTAATTGGTCTAGTTTTAATATTGTTGTGTCTCAGAGAATCAGGAGGCCCAAGGAGAGGGAGCGAGATGGGGAGCTGGTCACTGGAGCAGTGAGAATACACAAGATTTATTGATTAAGTTTGCCATGTTTTGTGGGCATGGTTTGTGGCACTCCAAAACAATTACAGTGGTAACATCAAAGGTCACTGATGACAGATCACCATAACAGATATAATAACAATGAAAAAAATTTGAAATATTGCAAGAATAACCGAAATGTGACACAGAGACATGAAATGAGCAGATGCAGTTGGAAAAATGGTGCCGATATACTTGCTTTATCGCAAGGTTGCCACAAACTTTCAATTTGTAAAAAATGCAATATCTGTGACGTTCAATAAGGCAAAGGTCAATAAAACAAAGTATGTCTGCAATTATATCTGCAATGCCCCTATCTCCAAATAAGGCTACACTTTGAGGTACTGGGGATTAGAACATATATATATGAGAGGGGACACGATCCCACCTACAATCCCACAATCCCACTGGGATTTGAACAAAATGATTGAGAAACAATATTGTATAGTGGTTTAAACATGGACTCTCGAATGCTTATCAGCTTGGATGAACACAGGTGAATTCCAGTCCTAGGTTCGCTGCTTAGCTGTGTGACTTCAAGCAAGTTCTTTTAATCCAGATGCCTCCATTTTTTCTAACTATACAATGGAGGTCACAGTAGAAACTAACTTACAAGGTTACAGTGAGGATGAAGTAAATATATAAAATGCTAAACAGTGCCTACCACATAGGAATATTATAAAAGTGGTTGCTAATTATTACTATTGTTATTTTTCTTGTGTATTGCAGCATAGCTACTCACAACTATTCCTATCCAAATCTGAAGTTCTATTCCTCACAGAGGCAGCTATGCTAATATTCTGTTTTGTCTTGTTTTTGGTCTTTATTGTATAGTTATTTTTCTTTTGAAATTAAATGACTCTTCTGTCTCTTATGCTTAGGGCATGTAAACAGATAAACTTTCTGAAGAGGAATTTGGCCACACATATCAAAAGCTATAAAAAAAATGTTTACAGCATTGGATCCAGTCATTGTATTTCTATGAATTTATGCTAAATAGATAATTTGAGGACAAAATTCTGTTACTTGGGTTTTTTTTAAATAATAGTCATGATTATAATAACAAAAAGTTATAAAAAAGCTATTTTTGTAATAATTGACTTTTGAAAATCATGATAGCTTAATGTGATTGCATACTATTCCATTTTAAATTTTTGAGATCATCTTTAACAAGAAACTATATTCACCATATATTGTTGAATAAAATAAGGACAAAACACTGCCTAAAGCGGCAATGCTCAACAGAATTTCTGCAATGATGACAATGTTTTATATCCATGATAACTAAAACAGTAATCACTAGACATGTGGTAAACAAACATTTGCCTGGTGCACTAAAGAACTTTGTTTTAAACTTTATTTCATCCAGGCGTGGTGCCTTATGCCTGTAATCCCAGCACTTTGGGAGGCCGAGGTGGGTAGATCACGAGATCAGGAGATCAAGACCATCCTGGCCAACATAGTAAAACCCCGTCTCTACTAAAAGTACAAAAATTAGCTAGGCATGGTGGCGCATGCCTGTAGTCCCAGCTACTCGGGAGGCTGAGGCAGGAGAATCATTTGAACCTGGGAGGTGGAGGTTGCAGGGATCCAAGATCGTGCCATTACACTCCAGCCTCAGTGACAGAGCGAGACTCCATCTCAAAAAACAAACAAAAAAAAGCGCCCCCCACCCAAAAAAAACACTTTATTTCATGTTTATTAATTTAAATTTAAATAGTCAGATGTGTCTCATGACTACCATAATAAACAGTGAGGGTCTGTGGTGTCTTTTGTTTGTTGATTCCTCTGCCCCTTTTCTCTTCACCTTTCTTTAAAGCCTCATCTTTCTCTGTGGCTCCCTCCAGACCCCACCTTGCCAGTGATGCTCACTATTCTCTATTTTTTTTTTTTACTAAGCATCACAGATAACCAACCTAATAAATGAATCTAATTCAAACCATAATGAAACTTAATGTGCTACTAGCTTTGTAAATACTTGGAGTACTTGGAATTTAAGCAAAATTTGACCTACTGCCAAAATAGTCTCATGAAAATTTCATGCATGCAACTGAATATGGGGACAGTAAATTATTTTTGATGATCCAATAGAAGACCTTCCATCCTTCCTTATTTTTTTTTTTTTTTTTTGAGACAGAGTCTTGCTCTGTCACCCAGGCTGGAGTGCAATGGTGTGATCTCAGCTCACTACAAACTCTGCCTCCCGGGTTCAAGCGATTCTCCTGCCTCAGCCTCCTGAGTAGCTGGGATTACAGGTACGCGTCACCACACCTAGCTAATTTTTGCATTTTTAGTGGAGACAGGGTTTCACCACATTGGTCAGGCCGTTCTAGAACTCCTGACCTCGTGATCTGCCCACCTCGGCCTCCCAAAGTGCTGGGATTACAGGCGGAAGCCACTGCGCCTGGACCCATCCTTACATTTTTAAACATCCAGTATTTCCCTGAGGGCAAGCCATTCCACGTATTTAGTGAGGACACTGAAGTGCTGAAATACGAAGAAAGAATGGAGCAACTGCAGCTTTGCCGAGTTTATTAGCTCTAGTGGCCTTGTTATGGATTTTGTAGTAGTTCTACATAATAGGATCAAGTCATCTATGAACACAGATAGTTTTACTTCTTCCTTTCCCATTTGAATCCTTTCATTTCTTTTTCTTATCTAATTGCTCTGGCTAGAACTTCCAGAACTACATTGGATTGCAGTGATAACACTAGGGTCCTGTTCTGTTCCTGATTTTATGGGGAAAGTTTTAAGATTTTTGCTATTGAGTATGATATTAGCTGTGGGGTTTTAAAAAATAAATACCCTTTACCATGTTGAGGAATTTCCTTTATATTCCTAGTTTTCTGAGAGGTTTTTTTTTTTTTTTTAAATAATAAAAGGGTGTTGCACTTTGACAATATGAATTACTTCCAGGTAATTAATATTCTGCAAACAGCACCTAGCATTGAGCTTTGCACAGTCAATAATTTAATAAGTGTTTGCTGAGTTAGACTGATTGAAAACAGCAAACACCAAAAACCTGGAATCACATGTTAAGAGACATTCTTTGAATAAATTATCCTTAGAGATTTATTTGGAAAGGTTGGCTTTTTTTTCCATTCAACACAAGCCATAGAATTCCCATAAGAGTAAAAAAAAAAAAAAAAAAAAAATAGAGATGACCTCTTACGCTAAATAAATTTTAAAATATGAGAAGCGTTAACTCTAACACCTAGTACCATTAGCAAATATAATTAAGAACACTCTGAATTTAAACAGGCTCAGTCATATGAGGGGAAGCCTATCTCAGGCCTTCTATAGAGAGGAGCATTTGCAGCCTCCGTAGACTATGCCAAATATAAAAGTTTCCTTGACAGCTCGATGTCAAATTTGAATATCTAAGGGTTTCCTCTAATTAGATCACATGACATATATTTTTAAAGTCTATCAACGGCCGAGTAGCATTTTGCAGAGGGACTCTGTGGCTTCCACTAGAAGTCTGTATTTTTCCTCCTAGGTGCATCTGTGGTCTCTCTTGCTAGGTATGATGGCCTCAGGTATGCTATTTTCCTTTCAGGCATCCTAACTGGACCTTGCTGATGAAAAACAAAAAAATTCACAGGGAACATGCAGTACAAAATAATATTTGTCACTGATGTGGTAGAAATAGAAAATTACACAAACAATTTGGGAATTATAGGTTCATCACCGCTGGGGTAAAAAGTTATAGACCATTTCTCACCCTCAATTATCCATTGGTTCCCTGTTGTGCCTAAGCCAAATACTTGGTTTCTTTGCATGCTTCTCTAACTTCTACTCGCCAAGATCTAACACTCTAGAAGGCCAGCCAGGAATGACACTGGCCAGGTTCTTGGTGAATACCTTTGAGGGCAATAATATATGTTTACATGTAACTCACAATTAATCACTAAACTTCCTTTTGGAAAAAAAAAACATGTTTGGGGGTATATTTTACTGTCTGAGGGGCAAGAAATAATAGGATGGGAAGACAGAAGCAGCAAGTAAGGGGGGATGATTGAAAACATTTGACTTGGCTTAAAATAAAAGTACATATTTCACACATATTTTTAAACCAACCCCAAAAAACAGCCTGACTTCGAACATGCTGAACAGGAAGCCATTTACTGTTGGAATGCTTGCTGAGGCCATCCAAAACACACACGTTTTTAATACCCCTGGGCTATCTAAAAAGGGTTAGGGTGAAAATATTTAATTTATATGTGCAATCCAGCTTCCTGTTTTATTTTTTTCTTCCTTGCCAACTCTGTTTTTCAAACTTTGTGAAAAATGATAGGAAACCCATTTCATTTTTCTCCCCGCCCTTTATTGACCCAGCTGTAAAGCCTGCCTCAATTTATAGGTCCTACCTGGCTTGAAGACCAAAGAAAGAGAAAGGTAAAGGCGGATGTTAAACTCTTCTGGTTACTGTGGCTAAAACGGAATCTGGGTGGGGGAAAGCTTGCCATGGTGTCGATATCAAGGGCAGGGGCTGTGGAAAAGGAGCTCACCTTAGCTTTCAAAATGTGTGCATTCAGTAGTATGTGTTCAAAAAGGGTAAAAGGAAGCCTATGAAGAAGAGGGAGAAAAGAAACAATTTTCTGAGTATCAGATGAGTGACTGGAAACACCTGAATCCTATTAAATTTCAGAGTCTTGGTTATCAAAAGGAATTTTAAAATATTTGGGAGGAGAAAAAAGATTCAAGTAATTAAGAATTATAATTCAAGCAAAAGATTTCCCAAAACTTCATTTAACTGTATTGGAGTGCTTTACACTTGGTTTAACATTGAAAGTATGTTCTTTTAGAATAAAATGATTTCCAGATGCATGTACTTTACATAGAATACCTGTTACACAGTATTATATTTTGATTCCTTAGTATTATATCTTGATTCCTTGAGAATGCTGAGTCAGTGTTCAATAAAACACTTGAAAGAAAATCTGAAACCAAATGGAAATCCAGCAAGTCTGAAGTTCAGATTTCAAAATTCTTGAACCCAATCTAATTTTCCCAGAAAGCTGACCACACTCTATGGAAATCCATCATAGGAAGGGTTTTCTAATTGAGCGGTTTCTTTCCAATACTTCAAGAGATGGGGGGAAACCTGTAAACACTTGAACTCAAGTAAGTATTTCCACACTGCCTCTTGATGCTGTGGGTTTTTTTCTTTTAAAAGAATTTTTTTTACATTTAGGAGGCACGCGTGCAGTTTTCTTACATGGATATATTGCATACTGGTGATGTCTGGGCTCTAGTGTAGCCGTCACTGAATAGTGAACACTGTACCCAGTAAATAATTTTTCAACCCTCATCCTGTTCCCACCTTCCCACCTTTTAGAGTCTCCAATGTCTATTATTCTACTGTATATGTCCATGTTTAGCTCCCATTTACAAGTGAGAACATGCGGTGTTTGAATTTCTGTTTCTGCATTATTTCACTTGGGATAAAGGCCTCCAGTTCCATCCATGTTACTGTGGAAGACATTATTTCATTCTTTTTTGTGGCTGAGTAGTATTCCATGGTATGTGTGTGTGTGTGTGTGTATCACACACACATATATATATATGTATATATATATATGTATATATATAAACCACTTTTATATTGTCATGGAAATATTCAACTTTATAGTAACACAGCACCTTATATCTTTATTAAGCCAGCTTTCAAGGCTTATAATCAATAAATGTGATAGCATCAATTTGCACTTTTGCATTTGGAAAAAAGTCAGACTTTCTATTAGCCTACAAATACTATATGGCCACAGATGCACACTGTAGTCGATGCTGTGCAGTTCCATTTGAGACCACATTACTGATTCTTATCCTTGTAATATATTTTCACCATGGCTTCTTTTAAGGAAGGTGACACAAATGTAAATTTCTGATGTATTTTCAAGGGGAACTAACATGGATTATCAGTCTTGCTGCACAGTCTCAGCTCTGTGCCAGCCATCTATTATAATAATAAGACTGCTGCTATGAAACCCCCTGGAACAATTTTTACCATAAAATTATATCTCTTGGAATTATGGCCCATTGCGGTATTGTATCCAATCACCTGTGAATTGTGCCAACCAGTGGTATGTTGCTAAACCAGGTCTCTGGGTGAGACTGATTTGCTGATTTCTATGGTGTAAGTGCTCCCATTATGGTCAATTTCAAGGTACCAATTTGATACCACTGAACACAGGTACAAACTGGATCTAGCATACCATTGAAACCAACCCATCCAAGACCCAACAGCATGTATCAGAAGGGGATACCCTCCCTTTCAGGTACACCTGCATTCTAGACACCTCATGTTCTTTCTGTGTCTGGTGACCAACAAGCCAAAGAATCTTGAAGCCTGAGGCACTGGGATCAACTCTGGGTGGGCAGGTTCTCCACTCTACCTTGGAGAGTTTGGTCAACCTTTCTGACCTGTTCTGCTCCTATTTCTCCCACCCTGGATCTCCTTCTGTCATTGGCTCTGTCATCCAGTGATGCTCTCGTGGACCCCAGAGATGGGTGACAAGGGTCCTGCTTTCTTTCTTTGCTTACATTATACTCTTGCCCACTGGTGTTAAAATCTAACTCAATTTCCCTTATTCTTAAACCACCTTCTCCAGTTAATGACTCCAATTGCAGTTGACTCAGGCTTTGGCTACTGCAAAAAGCCCCCAAACCCTTTCCCCTGCCATTCCCCTCAGACAAGCTCCTCTAAACCCAGAGATTGGTGCTTGCTTGTGTTAGATTGGCATTTTTGCTACTCTTCCTGAATTTGTTTTTTTATAGGTTGCAATCTCATAGTTGAGACAGAAGGATCTACAGCTTGTCCTGTCTCCATTCTTTCCTTCTGCTAAGCCCAGTCCCTTCGGGCTCCCCGCTATTGCCTCATGGCAGTGTAACCTTCTGGAAGCCAGTCCTAATCAGCACTGAGTAGGACTGAATATTTTTTTCTGCCTAACATATTCACTCCTGATAGTTTCAAATATAAAGGTCACTTTAAGGTCAAGAAATTACTCAAACTCTTCCATGTGTAACGATAATTTTAATACGATTTTTATTGGGTAACAAAAATTACCATGATTAGAAGAATTTTATAACTAATTTATATTTTTGGTTCATGACAGCCCCCTCGTACATTTGAAAAGTAGTCCATTTATAACTAAATTAAACAATGCATCTGTTGCCTAGCATGGTACCAGTGCATAACAGTACAGAATATGTCAGTTCTGGTTATTATTGCTGATGTTGTTCTTATTTCAAACATAGGACCTCATATCCAGACCACTAAATGATCTTGTCTCTACTCTTGTCACTCCATAACCCATGCAGCAGCAGGAGTAATCACTCTAAGACCCGAATTGGATCAAATCATAAAACACAAGTTTGTTTAAGCCTTCCAATGTTTTCCTTTAAATAAGAATAAAATACCAACACTTTGCCTAAGCTTACAAAGGCCTGCATAATCTGGCCCTTACCTTTCTGGCTTTCTTTCTGATCCTCAGATCAAGCGTCCAACTTCCATAGGACCAATGCCCTTAGTCTCTTCCACCTGGCATCCTCTCCCCGCAAGATTTGCTCATGGAAGTCTCCTCTTTAGTCATCAAATATCGGTTGAAATGATATCACTTCAGAGAGGCCTTCCCTGACCACACGATTTAAACAGCCATCCACTTGCTTTCTATTACTTTATTTTAATCCTCTGCACAGCAATTTTATCCTTATCTGCTATTTGCTTATTTATTTATTTATCGAATACCTTCCCAACCAAAACATAAACAGAGATCCTATCTTATTTACCATTGCATTCTTGTAGCACTGGATTTGTAAAACATCTACTTTATTCAGCCACAAAAAAATATAAATGATATGCATTTATTGTGGCAGATTCTTTGCAACAAATTCTTGAGCTTGCATCATCCTTGACCCACTATATTAAATGATACATTTTCTGAAATCTAACAAATCACAATCCTCACTCAACTATTTGAAACTGAAGGCAATGATAATAATATCTATGTTCCACAATTTGCCGGTTAGTTCCTATGGCAAGTCTGATGAATTACTATTTCCCACAGTGAACAGCCATTTGATCTACCTTTACCTAGACCCCAATCTTGAAATAACCAGGAATCACTGGATAAGTGCCTCGTTATATAAAAGAGAAGTTATACACTATTAAACCTGGTTCTCTGAAACCTGGAATTTTAGCATTTTAAGTACTTGTATCACAAAAAAATAGATGGATTCATTTCCAGTTATTGCAGTAAAAGGAACAGGTTACAATGGAGACTGAAAGCTGCTTTATATAAACAAACCCTTCTAAGTCATCGTGGAGAGTCTTCTAAGGGACACTCAACCTAGTAGCATTGAGGCTGAAGTCATGGAAGTTCTTGGGCAAACCATATAAAAAGCCTAGTCATTTTATGGCAAGTATTTTTGCTGAAACTACTTTCACAAAGGAAGCAAGTTCCTCTCCAGCATTATGTCTGTATACAGTTGACCCTTGAACAACACAGATTTGAACTGCATGGCCCACTTATACATGAATTTTCTTCAATGAATACATTAGAAAAATTTTGGGAGATTTGTGACAATTTGTAAAAGCTGCTATGAACTACGTAGCTTAGAAATATCAGAAAAATTGAGAAAAAGTTAAATATGCCGTGAACACATAAAAAATATGTAGCTACCATTTTATCATTTGCTATCATAAAATACACAAAAATCTATTATAAAACGTTAAAGCTTATCAAAACGTATGCACAAAAACAGACCGTATCAGGTGCCATTTGCAATTGTGGGAAATGTAAACAAATGCAATATTAAATCATTACTGCATAAAATTAACTGTGGTCTATACTGTACTACTGTAATAATTTCATAGCCACCTTCCATCGCTACTGCAATGAGCTCAAATGTCACATTATACTCTTAAAGCACCATGTGACGTTAATCATCTCCACACAAGCAATTTGTCTCTCTAGTAAATGGTGAATTGCAGTCCAGACAGATCGCTCACAGTCTTTACATATTTGTCATCATGCTTAGTTCAATACCATAATCCTTGACTAACACCATGGGACCCACATGAAGTGATGCTGGAAGTGCTGCCCAGAAGCAGAGAAAAGTCATGACATCACAAGAAAAGGTTAAATTGCTTGATAGGAATTGAAATTGAGGTCTGCAGCTGTGGTTGCTGCCATTTCAGACAGAGGATTCATCTTGTAAACAGATAATGTAACCTTAAGGAATGAATAAATACAGTACAGTGCAATTCTTGCATTGCTATAAAGAAACATCCAAGGCTGTGTTATTTATAAAGAAACGAGGTTTAATTGGCTCACAGTTCTGCAGGCTGTTCAGGAATCATGGCGTGGCATCTGCTCAGCTTCTTGGGAGGCCTCAGGGAGCTTTTACTCATAGTGCAAGGCAAAGGGGGAGCAAACATCTCACACGGTGAGAACAGGAGTAGGAGAGAGCACAGGGTCTGGAGATCATGTGAACTCAGAGCAAGAGCTCTCTTATCACCAAGGGGATGGCCCAAGCCATTCGTGAGGGATCCGTTCCCATGATCCAAACACCTCCCACCAGGCCCCACCTCCAGCATTGGGGATTACAATTCAACAAGAGGTTTGGGCAGGGATAAATATCCAAACTATATCAGCTGTATATGTATTTCCTCCTCATGATTTTCTTAATAACATTTTCTATTCTCTACTCTACTTTATTGTTAGAATACAGTATAAAATACATATAATATACAAAACGTGTGTTAATCAACTGTTTACCAATAAGACTTCTGGTCAACAGTAGGCTATTAGTACTTATGATTTTGAGACATCAAAAGTTATACATGGATTTTTGACTGTGTGGGGGTCAATACCCCTAACTCCCACATTTTTCAAGAGTCAACTGCCATTAGCAGGGAAAATATTTTTTTTTTTTTTTTTTTGAGATGGAGTCTCGTTCTGTCACCAGACTGGAGCACAGTGGCGCCATCTCGGCTCACTGCAACCTCTGACTCCCTGGTTCAAGCGATTCTCCTGCTTCAGTCTCCTGAGTAGCTGGGATTACAGGCATATGCCACCATCCCAGCTAATTTTTGTATTTTTAATAGAGACGTGGTTTCACCATGTTGTCCATGATGGTCTCAATCTCCTGACCTCATGATCCGCCCGCCTCGGCCTCCCAAAGTGCTGGGATTACAGGTGTGAGCCACCACACCCAGCCTGAGAAAAGAAATTTTAACAACTAATAATATCAGTTCATAAATAAATATTAATTATTCAACTGAAGTTTGACTGTTGCAGACATACAGACCAAGAATTTAACCACAGTGACTGCCGAACAGTGACAATCGTGACTGACACTTTGGCAATAATGACTAATCCAGTACGGACTGGCAAGGAATAGAGAAACATGATGGAAACCAGAGTAAAAGAGAGAAGAGGTCCAGACAAAATGAGAGCATGGATGCTTGAGCAGTGTCTAAGTAGTGTCGCCAAAATGTGAAACCAACTGTAGCTTTATTCATATATTGTTTGTAATTGCTATATATGTGAAATAACTAATATGGTGTGATAAATATTTACAGAACTCAATATAAGCCATTCCATACATGTGTTTGAATCTTAACTAGTTATTTCATTCTTAAAGACTAATTATTGAGAGGATAACTTGAATCAATTGAAAACATTCTACCTTTCTAGTCATTTATTCAGTGAGATAAAATAGTTTACAATCCTTACAGCAGACTTCCTTTTAAGGTGTTCCTCAAATAAAGAAAAGGAAAGAGTGGTTTCGTATGCTCATACAGGTTTTGGAAACACCATATGAAATAATGTTAAAATGTTGGTAATAAGATGCTTTCATAGCTAATGTGCAAACTGTACCTCCAAGGGTAATGGATGCCACTTCCAGATGGCCATGGACTCATTTCTTCGCAAAATACCTATTAACACCTGAGAAACATTATATGGGAAATATATGCCTAAAATTGTGCCTAAAAGCCTCATACTTGTCCCTCTATTAGGAAAAAAAGAATAACAATAGGATTCTTAGTCTTCCACCTATGGGAAACTACAATCCACGACAAAACAAGCTAGGATGTACCAGAAAGCTTTTCCAGAAATTCCTCAGACTTCTGCTCAGAGCTCATTAGCCTGAACTTGGGCACATGACCATACACAGGGAATTCTATTTCCCAGCATATACAGTTGAGGAAGGTATAGGGAAAGAAGGTTAAGAACAGGTCTGGGGACTTCACAGCTATGGTTTCCGACATAAAGGGAAGTACCTTGACTTGTACTCACAGATATTAAAGTGCACTACAGAAATTACAATATTAAAACAGTATGGTACCAAAGAAAAATAAACATGCCAGAAACAGAACATAATACGTAGTTCAGAAATAACATCTAGAACATTTTAATATATTTAGCATATCACAGAGAAGACTACATTTATACAGAAAGGAAGGGTTATTAAATAGATATTTCTGTGAAAATGGTTAGCTATTTGAAGGATACATAACATCAGTCCTTACTTCAAATTATAGTCAATATACGATATACATTACAGATTGGCTAAAAAGTTTAATGTTCAAAAAAGCCTAGAGGAAAATGTGGATAAGGAGATACTGCAGTTTCAGACTTACTAAGCATAAAAGCTATAGAAAAAAATACAAAGATAAAAAGATGGTAAATTTGTCCTTAAAAAATAATTCATGGATCACAAAAAGCATCCGCCTCCTCCAAAATTTAAAATCAAAAATTTGGGGAAAACAGTTGCCAAAAATATGACAGATTTCAAGTTGAAATATTAATATGTCAATAATTTCCACAAACAAGAGAAAGAAAGTGAATGGACAACTTACAGGGGAAAAGTGTATAACAATATATTTTTTAAAAACTTCTAAAATCATAGTCAAAGAAATACAAATTTAAATTCAAACATACAGCCTAGTATAAAATGTTTTAAATAAAAATTCTTAGTACTGTCAACAGTGTGGTGAAATAGACAAACTTATAAGTTGGAAGCAGGAAGGTCAAATCTTGCAATCTTTCTCTAATTCTGCTTCTAAGAAAATTATCCTAAGGAAATACTCAGATGGAAAAAAAGACAAATATAAAAACTTTCATCATGGTTTTTTTTTAATAAGAAAAATCAGAAACAGTCTATTTAACATCATATTAATCATGGTAATAATGGCCGTTGCTTACTTTGTGCCAGGCACTGTGCTAAATGTTTTTAAAAATGACCACATATTAACCCACTTAATCCTTACAACCTTATAAACCTTATTTTCAATCTCATTTTAGAGCTGAGGAAATGACAGTAAGGAGAGGTCAAGTAACTTGCCCAAAGGCACCCAGCTGGCGAGCAGCAGAGCTGGTTTGCAAACCTAGGCTGTGTCACTCCATATTCCAGTCTTAACCCCTACACATACCACTTCATGCATCTGTCCATATCATGGCACATGATATAGTCATTAAACTGTTTCCAAACACTAATAATCTGAGAATATGCTTACGTTATAGTTGGGGAGGGAGAGGAATCATGATATAAAAATATATGTATGGCATTATCCCAATTTTGCTAAGAAGCAAAATACATACAAGTAGAAAAAATTAGAAGGAAACACATATAAAGGTCAAAGTGATTTTCCCTGCTTGGTAAGAAATTTTTAATTTTTTTTTCTTTATATTTTATGTACTTTACAAAGTTGTAATGAAGACATGTCACTATTACAACCAGTGAAGAATAATAGGAGTCAATTTAAAAAGAGAATCAGAAAGTATCGATAGAATATTTTTTGTAAGTGGATGTAGCTAAGTAGGTTAAAAGTAAGATGAAAGTAGATGAAAAGTAGAAAGAAGAAAGTAATATTTTTTGTAAGTAGATGTAACTAAGTAGGTTAAAGTAAGTTGAAAGTAATGGCAAAAACTGCAGTCACATTTGCATCAACCTAATATAAGTGGGTACAAAATTCTACATGTAACTAGAATAATTTATATCCTCTTGCCTTAATTGCCTTTCTCATTGCATTCTCAAGCTAGTACTAATAAGCCTTAACTATACATACAGCAATATGAGAGCTGCAGCTATGTCTTAAAAGCTGCCTCAGTTACGGAATTCCTTCCCCATTTATGTATCTGAAACATGGCTTTTAGCACATTCTTCGCAGTACTGCTGAAGACTTCTTTCAAGAGCACTGCACTGCCATTGCTGAAACAAAAACCTCCAGAGTTTCAGAACTTTCATTTATTGAGAGAAAGAAAAATTATTTATGAAGAAAATTTCCTTCCTTCCTTCCTTCCTCCCTCCCTCCCTCCCTCACTCCCTCCCCTTCTCTCTCTCTCTCCCCCTCTCCTTTTCTTTCTTTCTCTTTCTTTCTTTCTTTCTTTCTTTCTTTCTTTCTTTCTTTCTTTCTTTCTTTCTTTCTTTCTTTCTTTCTTTCTCTCTCTCTCTCTCTTTCTTTCTTCTTTCCTCCCTTCTTGGCAAAGACATTAAAACATTCCTGTTCATAGCCATTGCTACACTTCTTTCAACTATAACCTATCACCATGTTAAAAGAGCCAAGTTGGCTTCTCAGTTTGTTCCATAGAATTCAGATTCAGCTTGAGCCTCTAAACCAATTGAAAATCTTGTTGTGTAGAATTAGCTTTTCTTTGAGGTCCAAAACTGTTAGAGAAAGATGAAATACACACACACATATACATATAAACTACCTCTTCCTATATAAAAATTGAACACACTTCTACATATATTATCTAACTTTATCTTCACAATAGCCCTTTGAGGAACTAAAGATGCAAATCCTTAGGCAATTGGGAGGCTTTCAAAATAAAGTTAGAATATATATATATATATATATATATATATATATATATATATATCTCAAAAGCCCCTAAATATTAAAGCTATTCACATACCACTGAGTTTCAAAGGCTAAAAGCTGACCACAAGGAATAAAAAGCAATGCACAAGTAAACAAATGCAGGAATTATGGTCAAGGCAGATTGCTATTTGGGGTCTGGCTAAAAGAACTGCAATAAAGCTTTGCTATAACGATCTTCTCATCCTACTGGGGGGTGGGTGCTTTTTTTTTATACATCCTGAATGCAAATAATTTTTTTCAGAAGCTCTTTTTGTCCTTGTCTTTGTCAAACCCCAATTCACTTAAAAATTACCCTCCAGCCACTGGATCACTGGACAAGAGTTTTTAAATTTGTCAACCAGCTAATCACAGGAGTTGGTCTGTGGGGACCCAGACATGACGGTACCACCAAGGGAGGCTACAAGTGTCAATAACAAGTTAGCCAGTGATGGCCTGCAGTCTGCCTGGAAGCCAAACAGAAATAACAGTGCTAATTTTAACTTCATCTGATTGGGAATACAGAAAGTGGCTTCAAGTTTCTCTCCTTCCCACCTGGAAAGAAAGAACTAGCTGGGCACATGAATGAGGAAGCAATGGCACAGGTAGATGATTCCAGTGTTACTGTGAACTCAGATCTAATTCAGCCACTTTCTCTCCACAAATTTCAATGGTTTTTCTATTCCATGAGCAATAAAGTTCAAATCACTTGATCTGTCCTGAAAGACCCTCCACACTCGCCTTTCACTTCTTTCCCAAATTGATCTCTCTACCCTAGGTGCACTCCCTCCACTTTTATTGGAGGAACATAACAACAGTAATTCTGAACATTAATTGAGCTCCTACTGTATGCCAGGCAGCGTACTAAATACTTAACATCTGTTACCTCATCCAAGTCTCACAACAATCCTGTATTGTTCCTCTTATTATCATTCCTATTACAAATAAAAAGTACACAGAAGTAGAAAATTTTACATTTCTTTATCCTCCAGTCTACTATAGCTTTGGTTGTTTTTTGTTTTGTTTCATTTTAGATTATATTCATTTAATTGTTATTTTCTTCTTTTACTTATTGTTTGTAGTTGTTTTGGGCTATCATCACAACCTGCTTTGTATGATAGCTACTTGCTCAGTAGACACTTGAGTGTAGAGAGGGATGTCTCTTAAACCGACATCCAGGCATCTTTGGGGTCCCTAGGTCTCTTTCAGGGGCTCTGTGAGGTCAAAACTATTTTCATAATTCTACTAAGGGTTTATTTGCCTCTACCATGTGCAATACCACAAAAAACTTATTGCAGAAGCAGATAGAATACTACCGCCTCCCCTTAAACTAGGCTTTAAAATATTTTCAGAATATAAAACAATCCCACTTTCTCACTTATTTTTTGCTTTTGAAAATATAGTTATTTCTATAAAGGGTTATATATTATATTTGCATTGTAATGAGTTTAATTTTTTTTTTTTTCTAGATGGAGTTTCGCTCTTGTTGCCCAGGCTGGAGTGCAATGGTGTGATCTCGGCTCACTGCAACCTCCGCCTCCCGGGTTCAAGCGATTCTCCTGCCTCAGCCTCCCAAGTAGCGGGGATTATAGGCATGTGCCACCATGCCCAGCTAATTTTGTGTTTTTAGTAGAGATGGGGTTTCTCCATGTTGGTCAGGCTGGTCTCGATCTCCCAACCTCAGGTGATCCGCCCACTTCAGCCTCCCAAAGTGTTGGGATTACAGGCCTGAGCCTCGGTGCCTAGCCAAGTTTATTCTTAAATAGATTAACATAAACATTACACATTTTGTTCAGATTCAGTCTTTAATATGGTAAATGTAGATATGCATAACTCACGTAAACAAAAGCTCACAAATCCCAAGTTTCACAAATATTTTCCTCCAAAATATCATTTTCATTGACAGTCATAGATTGTCTTTCCCTAAAGTAACCTAAAGGAACATTTTTCACCCAAAGTTTTTAATAAGATGTATAGTGTATACAACTCTTCAACAAAGTGGCTCCCACACACATCAATCTGCCATTCAAATAGGTGCTTCAGTAAAATTACAGATTAGTACACATCATGATCCTTCAATCAAAGGAATGTGTATGTTCTCGCTTCTCTTACTAATACAGAAAACAGATCCATCATTATTCTTTTTTGTGTCCCCACATGGTATTTAGTTCTGAACCTAGTATGGTACTGAACCACATTGTACCTAGTTCTGAACTGAATAGGTGATGAACGAATGTTATTAAAAGTGTTTTGTCTAAAAGGACAAATTACCTTGAATTATTATAAACCATTTTTTAAATGTTCATTTTCTCATAAATAATTGACATGTTAATTATAAGATTTCCATTTCACATCATTCAAGTAGTTCTGCTATTTGTTACAGTTATCATATGAGTTTATTTCAATGCCATCTCATTTAAAACATATTATAATTCAGACTTCATGATAATGGCCTAATGACCTTGTCACAAACAATAATAATATTTCAATATAACTATATAGTTATATAAACTATAGTTAAATAATAACCAAAAATTACTACAGAGATAATATTATATTATGCCCTGCAATGTCCTTAAAAGGGCAAAATTATTATTTTGGATTAGATGAGTAAAGATCAGGCAAGCCATACTTGAGAAGCAGTGGAGACAAAAATTCAAATGAAGATGTTTATCTGGACCTCCCGAGTTGTCTAAATTGGCCTGGAAGGGTCCAGAAGTATTTTCTTCTGGGCTGGCCAGAATCCCCATGAGAAGAGCCCACTAATATGAGTTGGTTCTTCTCAGTCTGACCCTAAAGAGTGATGAAATGGAACTCTAGGAAGTAGGAAAGGGAAATCTTGATAATACAAGTGTACTGAACTTGACGCATTTCAAATGTGGCTATTTTCACCAATAAACTTGAACATCTTAGGTTATTATCTAGAAACATCAAAAAATATTTTTTCCTACAGGAAATGTTGCATGAACCAATTAAAGGAGTACACTGAGAACAAATAACCAAACCAAGATCTTACCTAGCAACCCCTTTTGTTTGACTGCTGTGTTATTTACCATGTGTCAAAAAGTGAGATTTTTATTTTTAAGAATATGAATTTAGATTCAATTTCCTGGTTCTCCTCGTGATGTGAATTTGCCTTTGCAACCTTTCCTTGACTTATTTTCTCTCATTAATTCAACAAGTATATATTGGAAAAACAGCTGCATGCCAGGAATTACGGATTCAGAAGTGAACAGGACAGACAGGGTCCCTGACCTCACAGAGTTTACATACTATAGGGAGAGTCTGAGCCCACACGAATATTCATATTCAAACTGTAATAGATGTCAACAAGGAAAATATCAGCTATTTTAGTAGAGTATAACAGAACTTAATTATAACAGAATAGAAATGATATGTGTATTAATATTAATCCACCACTCTTTTGTTTATCCTATCAATCACCAGATAAATGTCACAAAATAAACAGCATACATAACTTTAATACATATACCACTATTAGATGTGGTCATCCATTTGCATGATCCGTCTCATAAAACTGCATACACATATATAAATATGAAATCTCTTTTTTGTAGCAGGTGTTTACATTACTACATAAAGATATGGACATAATGTGTAGGTTTTGATGTTGGTGATGCTATGTTAATAATAATTATTATCAATCTATCCTTCTCTCTTCCGCTTGACTTTTTACCTCAAGCACAGAATTCATTATGTTTCACTATTCAAAAAACTTCGGTTGTGAATTTTCTTATTTTTTTGACTGCAATGAAGAGGAATACTATGACATCATTGCTGAAACATACTTTCAAACCATATCCATTATCAAATCAAATGTTCACCTATTCCACAGGACTTTTCTTAGTATTAAGACCCTTGACTTTCAGAGTTTAGAGAACTTTATTATGGCCTTTCAATGCCAAAAAGTAAGGTTTTATGAAAACTAGTATTAATGACGATTCCACAACACTTAGAATAAAGCCTATAATTACACTGAACTTTTTTCAAATTAGATGCATGATTCACTTTCTGACCAAAAGGACTAGACTTGACACATTTGTCATTACTCTGAAGCTGGCTTTGGGAAATAAGCCTTATTACTATATAAAAAATTAATTATCTATTTTGATAATTGACTCATGATCTAATATGAAAAAATGACAGCAGTCAACAACAAAAGAAATGATACAACTCAAAAATGAGCAAAGGACTCAAATAGACATTTCTCTGAAGATACACATATAGCCATTAAGCATATGAAAGGATGCTCAACATCAATAAATATTAGGAAAAGGCAAATCAAAACCACAATGAGATACCACTTTATACCCATTAGGATAGCTATTATAAAAAAGAAACAGAAAACAAGCATTGGTGTGGATGTGGAGAAATTAGAGCCCAGGTACATTGCAGGTGGAAATGGAAAATGGTGCAGCCTCTGTGGAAAATAGTATGGTGGGTCTGAAAAAACTCAACATAGAATTACCATTTGATGCCTGGCGCAGTGGCTCACGCCTGTAATCCCAGCACTTTGGGAGGCTGAGGTGGGTGGATCACGAGGTCAAGAGATGGAGACCTTCCTGGCCAACATGATGAAACCCCGCCTCTACTAAAAATACAAAAAATTAGCTTGGCATTGTGGCACACACCTGTAGTCCCAGCTACCCAGGAGGCCGAGGCAGGAGGATTGCTTGAACCCCAGAGGTGGAGGTTGCAGTGAGCTGAGATTGTGCCACTGCACTCCAGCCTAGTGACAGAGCAAGAAAGACTCCTTTTCAAAAAAAAAAAGAATTACCATTTGATACAGCAATTCAATTTCTGGGTATATACACAAAAGAACAGTAAGCAGGAACTCAAGTAGATATTTGTGCACCAATGTTCATAGCAGCATTATTCACAGTAGCTAAAAGGTGGAAACAACGCAAATACCCATCAGTGGATAAGTGAATAAACAAAATGTGATCTATACCTACAATGAAATATTATTCGGCCTTTGAGGAGAATGAAATTCTAATACATGTTACAATATGGATGAACCTTAAAGACATGTGCCCTGAAATACATGAAAGTGAAATGTTTTATATAACCCTACTTCACGAATGGGCTTCTGTAATAGTAGAGACAGTATTCCTTTATTATTGTATTTTTTTTTTGGATTTTTAAATGAGACTTGTGTCTTATTTACATAAGTGAAATAAGCCAGACACAAAAGGATAAATATTGTTATGTTTTCAGTTATTTGAGGTACCCAGAATAGTCAAATACACAGAGACGGAAAGTAGAACAGTGGTTATTAGGAACTGAGGGGAGGGGGAACTGGGGAGTCATTGTTCAGTGGGTACAGAATTTCAGTTTGAGATGATGAAAAAGTTCTAGACATAGATAGTGGTGACAGTTACACATCAATGTGAATGTACCTAACGCTAATGAAATTTTGGAAATGCAAATCAAAACCACAATTAAATATGATTTTACATCCATTAGGATGGCTAAAAACAGAAAACAAGTGTTAGTATGGATGTGGAGAAATTGGGGCCTTGTACATCAATGTGAGTGTACTTAATGCCACTGAACTGTACACTTAAAATGGTTAAAATGGTAAATTTTATGACGTTATGTATATTTATTACAATTAAAAAATTTAAATGATAGCAAAATTGATGAAGAACAAGGGGATAAAAAAAAATATGTTAGCTATTTGGAAGCAACCTATTTTCATTCCATTGTTCATTATCAGGCATTAGACACAGCCTCTGCGTGTATGTTATTGATGAGCATAACAGACTCCCTAATAGGTTTTTGTAAGGGCTTTTCTACAATACATTATTTTAATTGTCAAGAAATTGGAGAGTTTTTTATGTTTAACCAAAGAGTACATGGGTCCTTGGACATTAGAACCTACTTTACAGAACAGAAGTAGGACTTCAGAAACTTAATTGCTCAAATCTTTTTTTGCATTTGGAAGTCTCACTCCTTTTGGACAGCCAGATTTTACTGTAGTCTTTTTCATAATTCATCTTGTGTGCAATAAACCATATCTGTTTATCTTAAGTTCTTCCTCCTGGGATGAAATACCAGCAAAACTGTAGACTTTTATAATAGGCTCAACATTAAATACAATGTGTTTTTTTTCTACATGTTAAAGTACTGGCTTCATAGTAGATATGACCTTACCAAGGAGAAAATATTTTCCATTTGGATAAGCTCTCAAATTGGATGAAAGGGAAACAGTTTTGGATTTCCCAAAAACTAAAGAAAGAGGTCAATTTCTTAAGGAATTTGCAAAACAATTTTGCTAATCAACACAAATTAACCTATTTTTATTATGAAAGTGTCTACTTATATCTATTTAAAGTAATAATTCAAAATAATGGCAAAAAAAATGCCACCTTGGTACTAGTAATTGATTGTTATTAATAATACAGCAGGCATGAGTCTCATTTAAAAACCTAAAAAATAATAATAGAAAAGGAATACTGTCTCTACTTTTAGAGAAGACCATAAGTGGAGTAGGACTGTATAAAGCATTTCACTTTTTTTTTTTGAGACAGAGTCTCAGTCTGTCACCCAGGCTGGAGTGCAGTGTTGCGCTCTCAGCTCACTGCAACCTCCATCTCCCGAGTTCAAGTGATTCTCCTGCGTCAGTCTCCTGACTAGCTGGAATTACAAGCGTGATCCCTACTAATTATTGTATTTTTAGTAGAGATGGAGTTTTCACCATGCTGGCCAGGCTGGTCTTGAACTCCTGACCTCAAGTGATCTGCTCACCCCAGCCTCCCGAAGTGCTGGGATTACAGGCCTGAGCCACCACGCCTGGCTGCATTTCACTTTTATGTTTTTCAAGTCACACAGACCGCTCAAGGAGGTCTTAAACCTGTAGGAATAAATAAAGAATCTCTTGGTCAAAATTTGATAGCTCTTGCACCTTAATTTTAAGTGTAACAGAAAAGCATTGAAGTCAAAAGCATTATCCACCAATGCCTTCATAATGAAAATGAGGAAAAAAAGGAATGTCTGACTATGTGAGTGTCAAAGTGGAGAGAGAAGTCCATAGAATTATTTTCAAGAAAATATATACATCTTCATTTGGCAGTCCACACTGAGAATGGGACACCTGAGAATTCAATGGGAAAATATATTATTAGCATGTGAAATCTCAAACCCAATCCATTTCTTACAAATACCTATATTGCTTAATGTCAGTGTACTTATTCTAGTGCCTGATCCTCAGTAATGCAGAGATCAAAGGAAAAGTATTAAAATGTGTTTTATCACATTCCACACAATACGATATGACTTCATTAACGATAATTTCTCTAAAGCCAAAGAGACATTTTTCCTATATATAGAATGGGACCTAGGACTTATTTTCCCAGATTTTTATGTTCTTTTTTATTTGGGCCAATGAATATAATATAAACTAATTGAGCAAAATTACAGAAATGTACTAACAGTTTTATTATCAATGGTATTGAAACAGGACTACATTGCTACTCCATACCCAGGTCGCCAGCCGTCTCAGATTGGAAATGACCCATTTTCAGTAATTAAGATAAAAATGAGCTTTGATTTCAAGCATTCCCCATGTGTTTATGCAGTCTTAGATTTTGATACAACTTTGGGGAAAATCCTATGAGATTTTTTCTAAATCAACTCACATTCAAAAGATATGTTTTTTTAAAAGACTGTATTTTATGCTGCTACTCATGATTAGCACATAGCACAGTTATAGACAGAAATGGGGAGGACATAGTTTGACTTTAATGCCTCGTAATTATGTCCTTGTAGTCCCCTTTCCCTTAAGCCTTAGTCCAAATTAATTTCTTTTTAAAAATAATTCCCACTTTTATTTTAGATTCAAGGGTACATGTACAGGTTTGTTACATAGATGTATTGTGTGAAGCTGAGGTTTGCAATGCAAATGATTGCATTACCTAGGTAGTGAGCATAATACCCAATAACCCAATAGTTAGTCAACCCTTGCCTCCCTCTCTCCCCTGCTATTAGTCTCCAATGTCTATTGTTGCCATCTTTATGTCCACGAGTGCCCAATGTTTAGCTCCCACTTATAAATGAGAACAGGTGGTATTTGGTCTTCTGTTCCTGCATTAATTCACTTAGGATAACAACCTCCAGCTGCAGCCATGTTGCTGCAAAGGACATGATTTCATCCTCTTTATGGATGCACAGTATTCCATTGTGTATATATACCACATTTTCTTTATCCAATCCACCATCGACGGGCACCTAGGTTGATTCCCTGTCTTTGCTATTGTGATAATGCTGAAATGAACATACAAGTGCATGTGTCTTTTTGGTAGAATTATTTATTTTCTTTTGGATATATACCCAGTAATGGGATTGCTGGGTTGATTGGTAGTTCTAAGTTCTTTGAGAAATCTCTTGCTTTCCACAGTGGCTGAACTAATTTACATTCCCATCAACAGTGTATCAGCGTTCCCTTTTCTCCACAGCCTCACCAGCATCTGTTGTTTTTTGACTTAGTCAAAATGAATTTCTAAAACTTAACTTCCAGGCAATTATATTCTGAATGAAAGGGAATCTTCCGGTACCCTTCAGTCAGCTAAGGAACATATTGTTATCTATTCAGATTTCTGGATTGCAGATATTAGGAATATTTTTCATGATATGTATTTGGACCAGAGAGAAAAATCAGAGATACTAATTTATTTATTTAGATCATAGAGCAACCCCAGTACAGACCTTCATTTTCCTTTTGAATGTATGAATCATGACTTAAGTCCCAGTTCTAAACACAGCATGAATATAAAAGGGCTGCCTAAGTCCAATGACCTCTTAGCATCAACATATTAGGACCAACTAACTTGTTTTATCTGTTAAGTTTTTCACTATATGAATGAGAGTGGTTGAAGCAGAATTCACATGAATCATCTCTGGAATCAACATAGTATGATAATTTGCCTGTAGTCAATCACAGCAAGGATGTGAACCGAAAACCCCTAAGGGAAGCAATCACAAAAAAGGAGTTTTCCTAGCAGGGATGTCCAAGAGAGAGAATACAGCCATGGGTTCTTAGTTTCTGTCTCTGGTTGGGCCAGTAAAGCCCCTTCCTCATCTCTCTCTTCCGCTTATCACTAAAGACAGAAACTAAAATCCATGGCTTCAGGCTGCTAAAGTCTAAAATAAAACAAAACAGAACAGCAATAACAACAAAATAAAGTAGTTTGGACAAGCTTGCTACAGGGTATGAAAACTCTGAGCTTCATCGTTAGTGACTATGCTGCTCCCCGCTGCAAGGAACATAATGTGCCGCCATCCTCCTGCAGCTGGAAGATCAAGTTCCTGGCACAAGGTTCTGCACCTCACTTTGAAGGAAGCCTTTTCACAGGATTCAGCCCCCATGATGGTGTAGGCAGGAGAGAGACCAAGAACACCCACATCTACACAGCAAGGCAACTAATGGACTTTTGCATGTTACTATCTACATGTCCTTGCCTTTAACCACTACCTAAAAGGGAGCTTTTGTTTGGATAAAGTAAATGAGTTTATGTTGGATAATTCTTTTTATATTGAATAATCCCATAATAACTGTAAGTAATCTGAAAAGGCACTCTCTGTTCAGTTTTTACTTATTATGTGAAAACCAGTAGAATAAATGTAGTATGGCTCATGGTAAATTTTGAGGCTCCTGTAGCTTTGAAAATACCCAGGGCACTTCAATCTGACTTTCCCAATATCACAGGCATAGCAGAGCGCATGCTAAAATCCAGGCTATTTACTTTCCAGCTCAGCTCTTTTTCTATTCCATAACATGCATCCCATAAAAATATTCCCTCATGACCAAATCAAATTACATAAATTACAAACTCATAATTTTTGTTGGAATTCAGTGGGTGAAAATATTTCCTAGAAGACAAAGATTGAGACTTTTCCATGATTCTTTTACATTGGCATCCTAATTTTATTTAAAATATTATGTGAGAAATATAAAAATTAAGTAACATTTTTAAATTATTTTCTTGACAGACCCAACCAAAACTTCAGTGGTGAAAAGTACTGAGCTGAAATGGTGAAGAATATTACATGGGCTTTTACATAAAATCACACATCCTTAATACTAAGTTATATTTTAATGTCTTGGAATCAGAATTTGTCTTAAAATCAATGTGTTCACTGTCACACTCAAAAATTTACTTAAATCAATGATAGATCTTACAGCCAATGTAAACACAATAATCTGCTAAGCCATTACATTTTGAACCTAACTATAAAATGAATGAAGCCTCCTATCTGAGATCCTAGGAAAGTCTATGTAATTGAGATTCTTGTTTTATCCTATAACTGTTGGCACAGAGTTTAAATCTTTCATTTTTCTTTTTATTAATCAATACCCTCTTTGGCAATGTTCTTTCCAGTCATCGAAGAAAGTTGAGGTGGTCAATGCAGAATATATGTCTCCCATGTTTTTCACCACAAGTTTCTTTTCTTTTTTCTGTTATAATTCTAATGTTGATTTGCAGAGTTACAGAAAATGTCCCTCAGAGTCCCAATGGAGAAAGGCTATTGATTTCTCTCCTCAGCACACTCTGGCTTCATCCCCTTTTGGAGTTCAAAGCTAGCCTGGCCCCTAGACATACTCAGAAACTATGAAATATTAGGTTGGTGCAAAAGTAATTGTGATTTTTTATTCCTGGCAATGTTCAATGTCGAAGCCAGGAAGGAACACCATAAATTCCCCAAGGCTGAGAAAGCAGAAAACACTCATTTTCCTCAGGCAGAAGAGAATTCTCAAGCAATCACCATCACAGTTATGCAAACTGTCTTTTCTCTGGAATAGAATGATGCCATAAGTCTTACCTGTTTAGTAAGGTATTTCCCTGAATGTAAACAGGACTCTGAAGCCATCCAGCCGTCTTTCTCTAGCTATACTTGCTTTAACCTTTCTACACAGACCCTGTTGTCAAGTCCTTGTTAATAATACCCTGGATTAATCTTAAGTTCTCTACCTCTTTTGGGGGGCACTCTATGTAAAATAGTATTTGGGAAACATTAAAGTTTGTGGGTTCTACCAAAGCTGTTTCTTGGTAAGCGGGGTTTGGATTCTTATTTCCAAATGCCACCTCCCTGAAAGCTGAAGTAAAACCACCCATTCAGCTGGATACAGTCAGTCCCCTTCCCCCACTAAAATAGTCCTCAATGCTTTTCTCTGCATCCCAACCCGTTCCTTCCACAATTATCTCCAGGCCTACAGGGAGTGCCCTGCACCTGTAGCTTCTGTCATACCCTCATCTCTCTCTCTCTCTGGGTTGAGTTCATGTGACATGTCTAATGGTGGCATAAAATGAAGAAATGCAAAGAGGGAAGAAATGTGAGCTCAATGAATTATTTCTCGACCCTTCCCTGCTCCCCATGCTGCCTTTTCTGCAGCGTTACCATTGGGCCTTCCCTGCTGTGCCCAGGCCAGTCCTTTCTCTCCCCGCCTGCCCTGCTCATGAAAAGCAGCGCCTACACATCAGTCTACTTCTCCATCCCATTTCCGCATGCACCCACAACCTCAGCAAGATGCAACCCTGTTTCCCCTTCAGGACCTACATAACAAAAGCAAAAACAACCAAAACAGAGATGAGGGGGACTATCAAAGAAATTTTGTATGTCTGTTTTGTCTCACACAGTTCTAAAGCAAAAACAAAAACAAAAGCAAAATAAACAAAAAACTCGGAATAAGACTGAGGAAATCTTATGAGAACATTTTCACACACACACAAATTGTCCTAAACATCATGGTAAGTTTTATAATTCTATTAGTAGAATATTCCATATCAGGAGAATGATGTACTTGAAAGGCCCTTCTGCATGAGATTGAGGACCTTATTTTAAAACTTCATTTTTCACTTGGCAGAACACCTGGATACGCTCTGAAGCCAGGTTCAGCTTAATTCTTGACTCTCCTATTTGCTATCAGTGTGACCTTGGAAAATTTATTTAATCTTCTTATGACTCAGTGTTTAATAATCTGAGAATGATGATACCTACCTAATATGGTTATTAAAGAGGAACAAGTAAATTAATACACATTAAGCACTTAGAACAATACTTGGCACAGTAAGCATGCAGCAAATGTTATTACAATTATTATTATATAACACTATTTCCTATTTTTAATTTTAATTTTAAGTTCTGGGGTAGATGTGCAGGTTGTGCAGGTTTATTACATAGGTAAACATGTGCCATGGTTGTTTGCTGCCCCTATCAACCCATCACCTAGGTATTAAGCCCAACATGCATTAGCTATTTTTCCCAATGCTCTCCCTCCTTTCACCCCACCCCATGACAGGCCCCAGTGTGTGTTTTTCCACTCCCTGTATCCATGTGTTCTCATTGTTCAGTTCCCGCTTTGTTCAGTTTAGTTCAGTGTTTGGTTTTCTGTTGCTGTGTTAGTTTGCTGATAATAGTGGCTTCCAGCTCCGTCCATGTTCCTGCAAAGGACATGATCTCTTTCTTTTTTATGGCTGCATAGTATTCCATGGTGTATATGTACCTCATTTTCTTTAACCGGTCTATCATTGATGGGCATTTAGGTTGATTCCATGTCTTTGCTATTGTAAATAGTGCTGCAATGAACATACGCTTGCATGTATCTTTGTAATAGAATGATTTATATTCCTTTGTTATATATCCATTAAAAGGATTGCTGGGTCAAATGGTGGTTTTGGTTCCGGATCTTTGAGGAATCTCCACACTGTCTTGCACAATGGTTGAACTAATTTACATTCCCACCAACAGTAACATATTATTTCTAACTAGGTTGCAAATTTCCAAACATCCTTATGAACTACAATCTGTGTAGAAGTTAGGGACTCTTGTTAATTCCTTTGAGAGGAAATTTTAGGATGTTGTTCAAATTTGTGTTGAGTGGAATGATAGACTGTTCTCTTTATGTACAACTAATAAATAGTAAAAGGAAGTAGTCTGATTGAAAAAGCTAGGATGTAAATTTGACACAAGACATCCTTAGGGGCTGAAACATGGAATTGGCACTTCGGAGATTACATGTAGTATTTTCTTCTGGAAATATTAAGAAAGGAACAGTTAATTCTTTTTTCTGGGTGCCTTAAAATTCACCAGCTTAAAAGTAGACTATTAAGTGAATCTTATGAGGTTCCCTTGAGTCCTCTTCCTCAATTTTGATACAGGTATTCATGATCAGGCTCTTAGGAGGTATCTCTATGGCCCTTTTTGTTTGAGGCCTCATGAAGGCTTCCATTCGGCTCACCCCTCCCTCTACCTAATATAAGTTTCCAGGGAATTAATAGCATTTCAACACAAGAAATGACTGATAGTTTCCAGGGCCTCTTGTGGTTACTATAATGTTGTTATAGCAGGACAGGGCCAGGCCTACTGCAGCTAGATGGCAGCGAGGAGACCACTGTAGTATGTTAATTGGGATACAGCGAATAATCCCTTACATGGCGTAGTTTCTGTGTGTGCTAAGGGGCCTTTGTCCCAGCCTGTTAGTTACAAATGGTAGGAGACTGCATTAACTCCATGCAGTTTCATGGCCCCTGTGACTTAATGAGTTTCTGTGGTGGCCGGATTGACTACCCCCCACCACTGGCCCTCTGCTGTGCCATATCAGGGAGCATCAAAGAGCCAGTCTATTCACTTGTATCCTTGTCTGTTAAATATCCAAAAAAGTGCTGAACTAAAGAGAATAAACTTGAACAAGGGGAAGTTCTTCTAACCCAAACTGACTCTTTGTTAGTCTACCCTACTTCGCTTACCATTGGGTGTTAAGAATCGGTTTCATGTTATGCCAATACAACCAGATAGCTTCATGAAAGTCTATTTAGGTTTGGAAAATAACATGTATGCCAGGCCCCTTGCCATTTCAATAATACCCAAACAACATTAACATGATGAAAGCTAGCAAAAGCAAGCTATTATGCTTTCATCATCCAGAATCCTAGTGTGATGTGTAGAAACCCTTCTTTTTCTCCAATAACACCAAGATTAAGCAAATGCAAACTTGGTTATCAGAAACAATTCTCCCTTTTTAACTTGAGGACCTCTTTAATTTTTAAAGCTATTTTCTGCATCCACACAAAAAGCTTTCTCCCTACCCTTAACGTATTGGGTATGAAGCAGTAACGATGTGCCAAATTCTGTGAAAGACATAGTATCTTTCAGCATTGCCTACTGAGTTTATAATCTACAATACAGCTGGATGCTAGAAGCTGTCACCTGAGATTTTCCTACATTTGGAGGTGGTCCAATGAAAAAATCCTTCCCATCAATATTGTTAGGGTCAGCAATACCTCCTTGAGAACTCTTGTTCAAGTGACATTTTACCATTCCAGTGATAGCGTTAAGGGAATATCACACAGAAAAAGCAATCCCAAGAATGCCACAGATTCCAAGAGAATTGGAGTGCCTGCCTATTTACCACCTGACAATCACAGCCTGGAAGCCCAGAGCCTGTCCCTTTGGTCATGCCTTGGACCTAATTTAATCTCCTATGTCCTTGAAATTAACCCATGAAAAGGGCATTATGCTCACAATGCGCAGAGCAGATCTGAATTAAATTTCTTTGAGACCTAAAGCGGAAAACTCTGAACCCCTTCTCCTTTCCCCACTCTCACTCTTTCCCCTTTCTAAATTGCCAGAATAATGACAAAAACTGCTTTTCTCGGTATTATTTCATGTTGTCCCCCTGCCCTCCCCACATCCCCCCAATCTAAAACACTAGGGTCTCTGGCCTCAAGGGTGCTAGTCTGTCACCTTAGAAACTGTTTCCTTACAAGGCCATGGAATGGCAGAGGGCATGCCTTCGCTGCATACTTTGGCAACCATGAATTGCTGAGTGCTGCTCTCATGAATGGGAGTCTTTCACTGCCATCTGGACATGCTCACAGGTATAAACATTTTTTTTTTCATGAAGAGGTCCAGAGAATACACATTGCATCAGTAGGCCTCCTGAATGACAAACAAAGCCATCTCATATGTTGGGACAGCTATAATCACATCAGAGTTGATATAACATAGGTCTGTCTCTAATGGCATTGCTTCCAGACAAGGTCAAATTAAATGTTCAATTTAGACATTCTTCAGCTTTGTCAGGCAAGCAATGTGAATTAGAAAGAGGTATGGAGAGGGAGGTAGAAAGAGGCTGTCACTATGATATGGAAGACCACTGAGTTTTGCCCAAGTATAAATATGCTACCTTAAAGAGTCAAGAAGAGACCATTCACGCCTCACTAGCAATTCTCTAGGTGGAAGACCAAAAGAAAGGATTCTTTCCCTTGGCTTGGCAAAATAAGACTGGGACTTACTTCATTCAAAGGCATTTTTATGGTCTTCATAAACAAACATTACAGATGAAATTCTTAACATATTTATAAGAACATAGACTTTGTACTTGTTTGGGGGTGGCAGAGGGGAGAATGTGACAAGGGCTCTATTATGTTTTCCTGTAAACAAAGTTGCCATGAACTTGGAATTCGATCATATCCAGCTTTAAATTTTATTCTTCAATGTGTCTACTGTTTTGCTTGGACGTATTACTGCCCTTTGGCATAAAACTTTTAAATAATTTACTAAAATTTTTTTAGTAATTTTTCTACTCTTACAGATATAAGTAGTTGACATCTCTGTCAATTTTTTTCAGGTATGAGGTCTTTTACATGTCTCTAGTTCATTCATACACACATAGGGACAGAAGCAAAATATAGAATTCCTGCCATACTCAGCTATATAACAACAACAGAATTCTCCCCATGAACTAAGACTTTTCATTGAAAGAGATGAAGGAGAGAAATCTTAGGCAAACAACAACAACAACAACAAAACAGATAATAAGCCAGGCACAGTGGCTCATGCCTGTAAACCCAGCACTTTGGAAGGCAGAGGCAGGCAGATCACAAGGTCAAGAGATCAAGACCATGCTGGCCAATATGGTGAAATTCCATCTCTACTAAAAATACAAAAATCAGCTGGGTGTGGTGGTGCACACCTGTAGTCTCAGCTACTTGGGAGGCTGAGGCAGGAGAATCACTTGAACCTGGGAGGCGGAGGTTGCAGTGAGCCGAGATTGCGTCACTGCACTACAGCCTGGCGACAAAGTGAGACTCTGTCTCAAAAACAACAACTACAACAACAACAACAAAAACAGATACTAATATTCCTAATATGACAAAAAGGGCAACATGAAAGAGCCAAGAACTGTGGGCAGGGAACAAGTAGGTGTCAGTTTTCAGAATTTTGCCATTTGTGAAAAAGATGAGTCTTCTAAAAATCTTTACAGACTGACGAAAGGAGCAGGGAGATGGCCAGGTAAATTTTTACAAAAATTATATCACACCTAATATTTCTGCCACAACCACTGATGAATCTGGTCTGGTCTCAAACATGACTTGGAATGGACCTGGGAAGTTTGTAACAATATACCCCCTTGTCATAATAAGAAGTGGTATTTTTTCCTTGCTTGATGATAAAGCTTTCCAGTTCAGTAAAAATCTTTGTTGACCAGATATAAAAATGTTCCTTTCCAGCTGTTAAATTGACCCTGGGCTTTTTCCTCTCCCTCCCTCCTCTGCCTTTTGCCTTTAAAAGTTCAGGATGTCTCAAACAGCAACTGTTACATTCTGTCTAGCAAGCCTGGATTGTGGACAGTGATCTAACCTCCTGGAAAAAACATGGAGTTCACCCAAAAACTGAGAGAGACATTTCTCGCCCCAGCCGCCAGCTCATAGGTTTCAAAGCTCTGGGACAGACCTCATGAACATCTTGGGGCTTTAACGTGTAAGCTGGCAGCGCCAACTCAAACACAGAAAGCACTTCAGCAGGTATAAACAGCAGCCACACACCAGGCCAGGCTCAGAGGAAGGCGGGTGGGGGAAACCAGTCAGCAGCCCTTGCCTGCATCACTCTCCCTCAGCCTTCTGTGTCTGAGGACACACGGAGAAAAATTGGACACACCCCCTTTGGATGACAAATTAAGAGAATCAGAAGTCTCAGACTAAATGATTAAATGAATATAAAAATACCTTTCCTCTTGAAAAGCAAGAGATCTTGCTAGTGTGTACACACACACACACACACACACACACACAGAGAAGCATCTTTGCAGCAGTAACTCACCTATAATCATTTTGAATTGCTTGAAAGCAGCAAAATTAGCCTTTCACAGGAAATGTAGAAAATAAAGACACTTCTTTCTCCTTTGGGGACTTTGCTCCTTTTCTTCTCATATTCTCAGTGTTTGCCCTTTCCTCCGGGCCTACCACACTGTTTTAAGCATGCTTGGCTTTCCATATATTGATATTTATTGCTGGCCTCAGTTTTCAATGCTGACACTGGCACTAAATCTCAGTGCTTCTAGATCAATGTGTCTCATTGTACATTTAGAGAACAAAAGAGAATGTCCCCACCACTGAGGGAGCAGGCCATGAAGCTTATAGGATATAAATTGACTGGACTTACCTGGGAGCACTCCCTCTGCCCTCTGAGATTTTAAAGCAAGACAATTAACCATTACAGGTGCTATTCATTTTCATACAAACCATTTTCTAACAAGAAGGAAGTACATTCCCTTCCCCAAGAGAGTTTGTTGACTAATATAGCTTCTTAGAATATTTATTTTTAAGCTTATATTTCTTTATACTTTTACCCTATTTTGTATTTAGTTGAAGTTCACTTAATAAACTTTTAAAAATAACTTTCAAATTGTTTTTCATTCATTTACTCAACTAGCATTTATTGAGTGCCCACTAAATGCACTACGTTGCTCTTACAGATATAAGTAATTTACATCCCTATCGTCAATAAACACAGCCCCTAATTGGAAAAACGGTCTTTGAAATTATACATTATAAAGTTTGCCATACAAAACCCCTAAATCACTTGAATATTATATTCTCTAATCACCACTAAAATATTTATGGAAGCACATACTGCACTCTGAACTCTTCCCTTAATTTTATGGAGGTACAAGTCACAGAAAGCATGCTCCCTGCTACAAAAGGACTCACAATCTATCCGATTAAGGCATATTTCACCTGTTTCCTGCTTTATACGTTAAAACTAAGACATATATGAAATGAACATCTCTTTAAAAGCCACAGACTCACAATATCATAGACTGTTATACCTAATAACAATTGACAGGGTAGGCATATAGATATATGCCAGCCAAATTCTTAATGATAGAGTGAGATCTCTCCAAATCCATGAAAAACTATGCAGAACAATTCAAAATCATTTTAGTCATAAGCTCTGACTGGAGCTAAGTAGAAGAAATGTGTCCAATTGGTGGTGATTGACTTCTGCTTTTCTAAGTTATGAAAATCCAAAGATGTATAAAGCACTTCATAATGAGTTCATCTGTTTCTATTTTAAATCTTTTTATTAATTTAGTAGAAACTTGACTCTTACATCACTAAGAAGCCATACTTCGAAATAAAGTGATCTTTATATTGGTTTTGAACACTTCTGAATGACTTCTCAAATCTAGATGAAGCTATTTGGCCCTTAAAATAAAAATACTTAGTGTAATGAGATTGTTTCCCTATTCATGGATATATGGAGCTAATTAACTTTATAAAACTATGGAAGAAAGATTTTTTTTCTTTTTGATTTATCTGTAAGTTGAGAAAATTTCAAGCTTAATGGAATCACCCATTTGCTATATCATTGATTTAGTTATATTGTGGATCCAGCTTTAAAAATTCCCTAAGTGTCATTTTAGCAAAATTAAATGCACCATATGAACTACATTTTGCTAACAGATCCTGTGCTCTCAACTAAGAGCAAGAAGATAGGAAGAGTACAACGGTTTCTTGCTATTTTTACTTGACTTTCTGTTGCTTAAGTCCTCTGGGATCTCAGAGGGCAATCTAGATTTATTGAGTCTATACCGCAGCAGACATTTTAGAGCCCATGACACATATCATCTCTTGCATGTGTTATTATCTTCCTATTTCAGACGCAGAAAGAGATTCAAAGAGGTTATGTATCATTCTCAATGTCAAACTGCTAGTTAGGTGATAGAGCCAGGATTCCAACCTGGTTATTCCAAGATCTGATGTCTTTCCAACACATTGTGTTCAGTTCTTTATTCCAGACTTTGATATATCCACATGTCATGTTTGTACTAAAACATACATAATTTGTACCTTTGTGTAGTATAATAAGAATTCTTAATTGGCCATCAACAGAAAAACACCACATTAAAAATGAAATATTAAAGTCAATCTCATTAACAGGAAAAAGACAGGGACGTATATTATCAAAACTGCTATTCAACATTATTCAGGAGATTGTGGATAAAACAAAAAGTAATAAAAGAAGAACACATATACATACATACTGGAAAGAAAAGATAAGTTGTACATTCATATGTACACATGATTATACATCAAGGAAATTCATAAGAATCAAAAAATTTATTTTAGAAAGTTATTAATGTTTAAAATAAATATGTGTAACTATCACCATTTGTCTTTTTATATCAGCAATAATTAGTTATTTGAGCCACTAACTGGAAAATTCCCATTCATGTCATTAAAAACAATTTAAATGGTCTATAAATAAGTGTAGCATGAATGGGGTAAAACTAATATGAAAAAACAAGAACTATAAGACATTAATGACTTATACACAAAAAGACATGAATAAATGGAGATAATCATGTTCTGCATGTGTATATCATGGTAAAACTCCTCACTATCATAATGATGTAAATTACCTCAAAATTAGTGTATAAATTGAATGCATCCCCAATAAGATTATAGATGATACTTGACAGATTCTCAACTTCATGTAAAAATGAAATATGTAAGAAAAGTAGAGATTTAAAAACAATTTTTTTAAATCCATGGTAATGAAAATAGTATGATATTAACACAGAAGTAGTCAAATAGATTCAGAACAGGATATATACAAATGTAGCCAGGACTAAAAGATAGTTTGATATATGATAAAGAGGATATTTAAGTTCAATGAGAAAAAGGATGGAACTAGCTATTCCAACAACATTTGGGGGAAAATATAGCCTTCATTTGCCAAAAGAAAAAATGAGTGAAAAATATGATCAAATAATTCACACACGCTGTAAGACAAATGTTGAAAAATAGTTATATAGTAGCCTTAACATGTGCACACAAAAAAATTTTAAATGTCAAAGAACTTTATGTAAAATTAAAGAATATAAAATTACTAAAAGAGAATGAAGTAAATATATTTATAACTATAATGTAGGGAAGCCTTCCTGCCTAAGATATATTAAAAAGCAATAAAAATAAGATAAATATTAAAAAAGAAAAGAGTGGTCAATTTGACTGTATCAACTCTAAAACTTCAAAATATAGCCATACAAACAAGGGCACATACCAAGTTAAAAGAAAATTGACAGCATGCAGAAAAATATTTTAATTGTATGTATTACAGACAAAATATTAATATTTAAACTGCATTGTGAACAGATCATCTGGATCAAATCAGTAAGAAAAAACTAAAACAATGACAAAAATAGAAAAATGAGCAAAGCTTATAAACTGGCTTTTCACAGACATGGAAATACAAATGGCCAAATGAATAAGTAAAGCTGTTCAACCATCCCGAAACTATTAAAATACAAATAAAACAATCAGGAGATTTTTTTTTTTGCTCCAAATGGGAATAAATTTTAATGATAAACTTTATGAGTTTGTAGGGAGATAGGAAAATGTCTGTGATTGCCTCTTAGGAATATAAATTGATACTGATTTTCTGGAGGATAATTTGACAATAGCTTTAAATTTTAAATGTGTATATCTTTAAACCAAGCAATTTGCTTTCGGTAGGTTTTAGAGAAATGTGAACCAAAACAAGTATGTATCAAGAGTTTCATGATGATGTTGTAATGCTGAAAAATGGTAATTCTCTAAGGATCCATCAAAAGGGAAATCATTAGATAAATAAAATATATCTATGCAATGAAATCCCTTGTAACAAATAAAAAGAATGAAGAGGGTCTACTTCTATGAACATGGATAGATCTCAAAATAGGGACATTAAAGGAAAATACATGCCATTCACCATTCAAGTTTTTACAAAAGGAAGTTAAAAATAAGAATAAATCAGATCAGTAGTAAAGTGTAAAGAAAGATGTGTATGAGTATATATATACACATATATATACATATCTATGTATATGTGTATGTGTGTATATATACACACACATATATATGTGTGTATATATACACACATATATGTGTGTATATATGTATACATATATGTATACATAGATATGTATATGTGTGTATAAACATGTTTATACGTGTGTATATGTGTATATACATATGTATGTGTATACTTATACATGTATACATGTATGCACGCATACATATACGTGTATGCACATATGTGTATATGTATATATATCTCAGATCTGATAAAAGAACTAGAACTTTTGAAAAAAGGGGCCAATCTTAGTATTATTTGGCTCTTTTATAAAAGGATATATCCTATGTATATACTGTTAAGAAAGGTTTAATGTTGATTGTCTGCAAATTAACTAAAAGTCCAATGCAATACCAAATTCCATTTCTTTTTAGAACCTGACAATTGATCATCTAAGGAAAAAAAGCTGAAACGTAGCCAATGCCTTTTTGTAATACAGTAATGAGGGAAAAATCATTAACACAGTATGGTATTAGTATAGAAAAAGGCTGGTAGAGCAAAGGAATACAATAAGAAGTCTGTAAACAGGTACATGCATATTAGTTGAGAACCTCTGGTTACTAAGTCTAATTTGCCTAAGCAAGACAAAAAGGTACATCAAAGAAACAAATAAAAAACATAAAAAACAATCCATATGCACCCATGTTCATCGCGACATTATTCATAATAACCAAAAGCTGAAAGCAACCCAATTGTCCCCTGACAGATGAATGGATAAACAAAAAGTGATATATATGTACAATGAAATGTTATTCAACCTCAGAAAGGAGAGAACTTCTGACACACGCTACAACGTGGATAAATTTTGAAGACATTGTGCTAACCAAAACAAGTCAGTCACAAAAGGACAAATATTGTATGAATCCAGTGATATGAGGTACCTAGTAGTCAAATTAATAGAGACGAAAAGTAGAATGGTGGCTGCCAGGGACGACAGGAGGAGAGAAACATGAAATTATTGTTCAATGGGAATGAAGTTTTGGTTTGGGAAGATGAAACAGTTCTTCCGGGATTACTAAATAACTGGAATCAAGATGGCCCACACAACCAGGTTTCTTTCCGTTGCATTTCTCTGTAAACTTGTTTTATTTACTTTTACTAGACACTGCATTTTCCCATTTAATAGAAAGTACAGATGTCAAATAGCCCCTGAGTTTTATACTACGTGATCACCTGGTTTACAGCAAAGGTGCCACTATAGCATGTTTCAATAAAGGGTGCAGAGTCAATTGGATATCTGCATGAAGGAAATTTGAGTAGACCACATAAAATTAAGATGGATTGTCAATCTAACAAGAAAAAGTGAAACAATAAAGCTTCTAGTAAAAAACACAACCTTAGGTAGTTCAACATTTCTTAAGCAAGTCACAAAAGGTAATAATTATAAAGGAAAAGTTTGAAAAAAACAGATGAACTTATTTATTGAAAGACACGATTAAGAGAAAAAATATTTCTAACTGTAAGTATGAGACATCACATATATCAAGGAGCACATACCCAGAAAAAGAAAGAACTCCTATAAATAAATAAAGAAAAGACAACCCAATTTTTAAAATAGGCAAAAGACTTGAAAAGGTGTTTCACAAAAAAGAACATCCAAATTATTGATAATCATATGAAAAGGTGCTAAACTTCCCTAATAATCAGGAAAATACATTGCAAACTACAATGATATACCTCTACGCAACCATCAGAATGACCAAATTTTTTAAAATAAATAATACCAAGAATTGGCAAGAATATACAACTGGTACTACCCCCCATTGCTGACATAGTGATAAACTGGCACAATTCCTTTAGAAAACTGGCAGTATCTTTCACAGTTGAATGGACACCTATTCTATGAACCAGCAATTCTACTGTGAGTTAAATGTCCAACAGAAATGTGTACATGTATATACCGAAAGACGTGTGGAAGAATCATAATAGTGTTATTTGTAATAAACATATAAAACAAACATACAAAATGCCCATTCACAATGAATAATTTACAATATATTCCTGCAGTAGGATACAGGAAGATGAATGAACTATTGATACCTGCAACAACAGGGATGGTTATAATCATCCAATACATGCAAAATGTTGAGTGAAAGAAGCCAGACTATAAATGAATACAAGACTAAACGATGGTGCCATAAGTAGGATAGCACTTAACTTTGGAGAGGAAGAAGCAAATTAGGACAAGGTAGGAACCCAAAGGAGGCCCCCAGAGTGATGGATATGATATGTACTCTGCCTTGATCTGAGTGTTGGTTACACAACTGGTTTCACTTTGTTGAGCCAGTACCTATAATGTGCATGTACTTTTTCTATATGTCTGTGATGCTTCTATTGAAAAGTTTAATTTAAATGGTGTTGGAAAACAAATATTCTTTACTCCTTGATGATGGGAGTATAACTTGAGAGGACCTCTTTGGAGGGCAATTTGATATTTAACAACCCAGTAATTTCATTTCTAGAAGTTTGTCATATGGACATATTCACTAGCAACAAAGAAAATAAAGAGAATAATACATTTATAACATTTTGAAGCACTTGTTGTCATATATTTTTTCAGAATTTTACATGTACTAGTGTATTTTTTAATTCCAATAAACCTATGAGACAGGTGATGATGTGTACAGAAATGTAAATAGCAGTATTACTTCCAATAATAAAAACTGGAAATCTTAATAATCCCCAATAATGAAATAAATTAATTATTATCTCATTCATACAGTAAAATGAATAAACTACACATATATTAAAATAGGTTGATAATTTATTAATAAAATTTAAAACACAGGGCTAAAATGATCATTTTAGAGCTCATTTTGTTTTAAAAACTAAAGATGAATATACACACAGAAATAAACCTGCAAAGCTACAAGCTAAACTCTAAGTCTGGTTATCCCTGGGAGGTGGGATTGTGAGGAGGACGTATTCTTTGTAGTTCATGCATTTCTCTATTGATGGAATGTTTTACGTAAGCAATGCATTATATTCATAATTAGGAATAAAATGTAAAGCTATTTCCCATTTTTTTAAAAAAGTAATGATAATAATGATGCACTTAATTTGTCCATTCTTCAGCTAAAACACCAAACAATATGGAATAAATTCAAGAAACTAGCTTATTTTAAAATATATCCAGAAACATATTTTATATATTAAAACGAGATTAAATGGAATATACCTCAAAATGCCTGCATCTAAATCCCTTTGCATTTTTTTTTTTTTGGCCAACTCTCGAGTGATCTTTAAATCCATTTTATCTTAACACCAGCCAACATCAAAAAAAGGTATGGTAATGAGTATCTTTATATTCTCTTTATGAGAAAACTATGTCTATATTTCCTGCCTCTTTGTTTTGGTGATACTGAATGGAAACTTTAATTCACAAGATTTGAAAGTAAACTTTGTAAAATGACACAAGTGTAAAAACCATTAGTGGCAACAACATTTGCTAAATACTGACATCTGACTGTGTGATAGATCAAGTTTAGCTGCTTGGGCTATCTAATTAGAAAAATGAAGGTATATGGAAGAAAAATAAGAAGTCCTTGGCACCCAGGTCAATAGAATAACTTGTAATAGAACTGTTTTTCAGCGTTACCTAACTAAAAAAGAATGTTTTCAAGAGTTGGAGTTTAAAATATGCTGGCCAAATTGCAAGGCATAAACAGTGTATTTATATGCACACAAACAACTTAGGAAAATTCATAGCCAGGAGAAGTGCATTTTAAACCAAAGTGTTTAAAATCTCTTTTTCTCTTTCTCTTTCATTATGGACTTCTGATTAAACAACTCTTCAAGAAGATAAATTGCAAGCCTTCTAGTATTCATGCCTAAAAGTTGAGAAGACACTGGCAAGAAGGAGGAAAAAAAAAAAAAAAAAGAAAGAAACAAAAATAAACAAGCGACCTGAAGGAACTGTGAGCGTTCAAAGCTTGGCATTAGATTTGGCAACAGGTGAATTTTCTTTGGAGGGTATTAATTTTGTAAGTCAAAGCTATTAAAATCCAACTTCCCTTTCAGGTCTGGAAGGCATAATGCACAGATCTCTTGCTCCAGCTCTCCCTAGGGACTGCATTTTATCCAATTAGTCCCAACCCCTTCACTGGCTCATATTTTAAGTACAAAGTCTGCTGGCCAAGACCATTCATTTAGTCTTGCCACATACTGTGAGGAAGTCTATGTCAATGTTAATCTGGCCTTCCCGGATAAGGATACATGCCCTTACCAAATGTACAAACCTACAGTTTCCAAAAATGTCTCATGATACTTTTAAATCTCGGGAAAAAGTAAAACCTTTAAAAAGGGTTTAATACCCTTTTTCTTCACAACTCTGTTGGAAACAGATTGTTATTCATTTATAAATTATTCACTATCCTTTATTTTCAGCTTACTCTTTCAAGATGTATGACACCAAGAATTCTTTGACCACGCTGGATTCAATCCATCACACTTCCTTCATATATAGATTCTCCTATTTTTTCTCCTAAAGGATTGTTCCATACATTCTCCATTTTTCCTCTTGAACTTCTATTCATCCTATAATCTCTGCTGTCAGTCCCATTGAAATGGGTGACTCTATGAGCCTGTCTGATGTTAGCTCTTTTACTTTTGCCCCAGCTTCCATCCTCTCTTGCTCAAGTCTGTCCTCTCTCTTCTATATTGTTCATTTTTTCCCATTCTACCTGCTATTATTTAAAAGCAAACATCCCATTCCCTCCATCTCACTTCAAAGAGACTTCACCTCACCCCTTCACAGAAGCTGCCTTGGTAAAGAGCCCTAAGAACCTCCACATTGCCAAATCCAATGGTCATTCCTTAATCCTCATTTAGTTGGTCAGTTGTCAATGTTTGACACAGTCCCTGCTTCCTCCTGGAAATATTTTTTCTCACTTTCAGTAGCCATAAGACAGAGCTACTTTTCTGATTTTCCTCCTACCTGATTTTCCACTTCTCAGTGTCCTTTTCAGGTTCTATAACCTCTCCTAACTAGTAGTTCCCCACAACACAGTCCTTGGTCTTCCTCTCTGAGTTTACTCACTCTCTGGTTAATCTCACCCAGACTCATGGCTTTAAATATCATCTATTTGCTGAGCTCTCCCAGATTTATATTTTCAACCTGACCTCTTCTTTGATCTCTGGACTTAAATATCCAGCCATGCATTCAACACCTCCAGTGGGATATCTAATAGGCATTACAAATTTAACTGGTATAAACTAAGCTTCTCCCCACCTTGCCAAGAACTGCTCTTCCCGTCGTCTTTTTCACTACAATACATGACAACTCCATCTGTCCACTGGCTCAGGCCAATAAATCCTAGAGTCTCCCTTTGCTCCTCCTTCTATCACCTTCTCTCCACCCTATTTTGAATTCATCAGAAAGCCTTACTGACTGTAGTTTCAAAATATATGCAGAATCTGACCAGTGTTTACCACCTCCACTGCTACTACCCTGGTCCACACCACTATCACTTTCATTTGGATTGCAACAAACACTTAACTGGTCTTCCTATTTCCACTATTGTTTCTTCACTCATTTTACTCTCAACACAGCTGACAGACTGATTCTTTTAAAACATACCATGTCATGTCAACTCCTCTGCTCAAATTGGCTACTTTTGTCACTCAAAATGAATGACAAAGTCCTTATAGTGATCAGAAGAGCTTATTTGTCCTGTCCCTTTCAACATCCAAGTTTTCTCTCTTACCTCCTCTTCTACTATTTCACCCTTCCCTGACTCTGCTCCAGCCACATTGGGCTACTTGCTGTTTCTGGAATAAGCCAGGCTTATTCCCACTTCAGGCTATTACCTCTGCCAGGAGTACTGTTTATCTAAGATAGAAACATTGCTCATGGCCAGGCGCAGTGGCTCATGTCTGTAATCCCAGCACTTTGTGAGGCCGAGGCAGGCAGATTGCCTGAGGTCAGGAGTTTGAGACCAGGACGGCTAACATGGTGAAACCCCGTCTCTACTAAAAATACAAAACTTACCCAGGCATGGTGGCACACACGTGTAGTCCCAGCTACTCAGGAGGCTGAGGCAGGAGACTCGCTTGAACCTGGGAGATGGAGGTTGCAGTGAGTCAAGATTGCACCCCTGCACTCCAGCCTGGGCAACAGAACAAGACTCTGTCTCCACAGACACACACACACACAAATCAAATCTTCACTCAGTGAGACCACTCGTTACTGAGGTAACTCAGCCCTCCAAACTCTCCTACCTGCCCTTCTCAGCTTTTCTTTACAACATTTATCATCACATATGTTTTATAGTTTATGTACAATGTTAAGTTCCATGAAGACAGGAATATTAGTTCATTTTGTTCACTGCTGCATTCCCAGCACTTGAAATAGTGCCTGAGACACAGTAAATACAGTCAGCTTGTGGCCAGGAAATGTGCTAGTTGCTAGATACAGTACTGTTTTACTCCTGTAACCACATTGTCCTTTTTCTGCTGCTATAACAGAATACCACAGACTGGGTAATTTACAAAGAAAAAAGTTTATTTCTCACTGTTCTGGATGCAGGAAAGTCCAAGAGCATGGCAATAGCATCTGGCAAAGGTCATCCCATAGAGCATGGGTGAAAGGCAGGAGTACACAAGAGAGAGGAGATGGGGCAGAACCTCACCCTTTTATCAGAAATCCACTGCTGTGATAACTAACTCTCTCCTGAGATAATGGCATTAATCCATTCATGAGGGCAGATCCTGCATGAGATTAACCCCTTTTAAAGGCCCCACTGCCCAATACTGTTATATTGGCAATTCCATTTCAATATGACTTTTGAAGGGGACATTCAAACCATTGCACACATCATCATTTCTCTGAAGTCAAAAATTCCCACTCAGATATCTCTGAAAAAAAAAATTTATTTCAGAAAACATACCAAGTAAAATATTTATTATTACCACACTTATGTCCCAGAAACATGCCAGGTTAACTCCTTTTGCTGATATCCTCCTAAATCTGCCTGACAGTATAAACCTGAGCATCTTTTCTTAAAAGTGTATTTCCTAATAAAACTCATTAGAAGAAAACAAGTTCTCTGCCTACTTTAAAATTAAGTCATGCTGGAAGCGGTGGCTCACGCCTGTAATCCCAGCACTTTGGGAGGCCGAGGCGGGCGGATCATGAGGTCAGGAGATCAAGACCATCCTGGCTAACATGGTGAAACCCAGTCTCTACTAAAAATACAAAAAACTTAGCCAGGTGTGGTGGCGGGCACCTGTAGTCCTAGCTACTCAGGAGGCTGAGGCAGGAGAATGGTGTGAACCTGGGAGGCAGAGCTTGCAGTGAGCCAAGATCGTGCCACTGCACTCCAGCCTGGGTGACAGAGTGAGACTCCATCTGAAAAAAATAAAATAAAATAAAATAAAATAAAATAAAATAAAATAAAATAACATTAAGTCAAAGAGGTACTCTATAAACAAACTCAATAATAATGCCACTTTATTAATTTTTCACTGTGTATAACTTGGATTTTTTCTGATTTTTGGCACCAGGATTCCTGTATTCTGTGAACTTCTTGGCAAAAATTACATGTCATGTTTTTTAGAGAGAATTCATTACATACACTAGACTTGTCTGATTAAGTTTTAAAATTTGAAGAAAACATCATTTATAACGAAAGCAGAAGAAATTTAAGAGAACCAACAGCAAAGAATTATTTAATAAGCTACTTTTTATTTTTTCTCATTCTAGTCTCATCTCTTTAAATAAAGCACTGTTAAAACTATCTGTTGTTGAAACAACAGGATTTGGCTGGTGACTTCCAGACCACCTTGTGGCTGAAACAGCAATGTGTTCATCAATATGTTCATCATCTACTTCTTCTGTGTCTATGTAAACAATAGATGACACTGGCATTCCCTTTGCACTTGGGTGTGGCCGTATGACTGGCTCATCATGTGTGATTTTGTCCTGTGATTCAGGATGAAGCATTAAGAAACCTCTTATGTGATTCTCTCTGTTCACTCATTTTTTAGCTGAATGTGAAGGGAGCTTGAGTCCTTGAAGGACCACAAGATAGACTGATCACTGATCAGGAACATCTACTTTGGATCTGGTATATCAGCAATAAATATACTTTTATTGTGTTAAGCCATTAGGATTTGGGAGTTTATTGTGGCAATCATTGTTACTTATTTTAAGTAAAATACTACTAGAAATTGGGCCCCCAGAGGTAACTGGTTCATAGTCCTATCATTGGTATATCCTCCAGATGTCTGGCAGGAGCACATGTAAAATAAACATACCACGTAGCATCAAGAAAAGCTGCCTTTCATCTGTATTATGCAATGACTACCACAGCATGGCAGAAGTAAATTAAGGCTTCCCAGAACCAAGAAATGTTCTTAAACATAAGTTGAAATGATTGGAATGCAGTTCAGTGAATAAGAACCTTTCTTTACTCTTTAAATCAAAGTTAAGCTTAATTTCTGCCTCCCGCCCTTTGGTCTCAATAGTAATGAATTTAATAAGAATTTTTGAAACTATTTTCCCCAGTCAGAAAAATCTTCCAAAAAGTTCTCTAAACATCCCCAACATACCATGATCTATTTCCCCTTAAAACTATAAAATAAATCTATTCATATATATTTTTTGAATGTCTACTAGACCCAAAGCACTGAGATAATCCTGTGGAGAAAGAAAAGTACAATATATGATGCCTACTCCTATTCTTAAGCTTAACTTTCCTATTTCAATCCCTCCATAATTCAAACAGTGCTTTATAAAATATGAACATATGTGTCTATGATGATCAAGAAAGAATAGTTGGGATTATACTTGGAAGTAGAAGACTACAGATGAGACAGAAATCAACAATGGAGAAGTGAGAACAGAAGGAGTGGACTAATGAGGACGGGGAGGTAGGACCAGCTATTAACCAGATTTTGTTTTCTGGTTTTGAGAGGTAGAGGTTTTCCCACAGTTATACAGGTGTTGCCTAGTGCCATGGCTCCTGAACACTCCAGTCTTGACATTCCTAGACAGATATTACCTATGGTTGTGGCTGTTGAACTATACTCCAACCTAGGCGCTTCTTAGACTAAGGCTGAGTTTACAAGGATGAGGATTCTAGGAACAGGTCTAAGGGACAAGAGCAGCCCTGGACCAGGGCCTAGAGGTGGCCTGGGTTAGAAAATGGCCTGTAAAGTAATTCAGGCCCAAGTGTTCTTAGAAGACAGACATGGAGCCCAGCTTCTGAATCTTTTGTGATTGCCAACGGCACTAAACAGATAGAGGTCTGCATTCTTGTTCTGCCGCTTGTGAGCTGGTGATGTTATTTGTATATCACTTTGCTTCTCTGAACCTCCAGTTTCCTCACCTGTAAGACGGGAATGCTTACAGGACATATTTCATAGGGTTATTACAGGAATTGAGATGACATATGTAAAGGACTCAGCATAGTGTTTGGCACATAGTAAGCACTCCCCAAATGGTTATTATTTAAATGCCTCATATGCATAATATCCAAGGTTCTAAGAGAAGATCTTTTAATTTCATCCATCCTTTCAACCAACCAGTAAATTTTAAAAACCACCACCACCACAACAAAAACACTCGATTATCTGAATGACCTGATTATGGACACATATGAAGAATGCTCTGAAAATATATATATAATTTTTTTTTAGACAGAGTGTCACTCTGTCGCCCAGGCTGGAGTGCAATGGCACAATCTCGGCTCATTGCAACCTCTGCTTCCTGGGTTCAAGTGATTCTCTCACCTTAGCCTCCTGAGTAGCTGGGACTACAGGCGAGCACCACCACACCCGGCTAATTTTAGTATTTTTAGTAGTGACAGGGTTTCACCATGTTGGCCAGGCTGGCCTTGAACTCCTGACCTCAAGTGATCCACCCGCCTCGGCCTCCCAAAGTGCTGGGATTATAGGCATGAGCCCGCCCAGCCTGAAAATATTTTTGAATACAATAAGACAGGCTTTAAAGATTTAACAAAAGATCTTCATGAAGATTTCCCCAAACTGTATGGCAGACTGAAGAAAAAATTGTTTGCCTACCACTTTATGGTCGTTACCAAATAACCTGACTGATATGGTTTGAATGTTTGTCCCTTCCAAATCTTATGTTGAAATATGATCCCCTGTGTTGGAGGTGAAGCCCAGTAAGAGACGTTGGATTATGGGGACGGATCCCTCATGAATGGCTTAGCGCCATCTTGGTGAAGAGTGAGTTCTTTCTCTGGTAGTTCACGTGAGAGCTGTTTTTTGTTTGTTTGTTTGTTTGTTTAAGTGTGGCACCTTCCCCATTTCTTTCCTGCTCCTGTTCTCATCATGTGACCTGCCTGCTCCTCCACCTTCTTGAGGCCCTCTCCAGAAGCAGATACCAGTACCACGCTTCCTCTACAGCCTGCAGAACCGTGAGCCAAAATAAATCACTTTTCTTTATAAATTATCCAGTCTCAGGTATTCCTTTATAGCAATGCAAGAACAAACTAACACACTGACTCTGAATATCAGCCCTGCTTATCTTGCCACACATCCAAAAAGGAATTGCTGGTAACAAAAGGAAGTGAACTTAGAACTCTTAGTACTTACTTCTCATTTACAACCTAATGCTGAACTTCCCTTTTGCTTTTACTAGAGAACACTTACATTATAAAGCCTATGAGGTACATTCTCATTGCTATAAATGTACATGACTTTAAAAAATAAATAAATAGAAGCTTAAAGTACAGTTAGTTCTCAATTATTCATGTACAAAATAGGGTCTTTGTGAGTTAAACACATCAGATAAATAAAATAAATATCTGAAATAAAATAAAAGACTTTCTACATTCAGTAGGCACCCAGTTTCTCCTACCCACAAAGGCAGACTGAGATCACTCAAAATACAGTTGCATTTTACTGGATTCTAAATAAAACCAAAAAGATAGCCTTCTGTCACACAAATCCCCTAAAATACATTGGCTATTTGACCTTGAATGAGATATTTGCATTCTCTGGTCTCATTTTCCTCCTCTGAACAGTAAGGAAGTGCAACTAAGCAGTTTCTGAAGTTCTTTCCAGATGCAATATTTTGACATTCTCCCTTGAAACTGATATCTCCCATTAGCAGTGACTCGTAGGGACTTCCAAGATAGTCTAGCCAAACCTTAGCCAATGCTGGAAGCCCCACTACAACATCTGATTGACCATCTCCATTGACAAGAAATTTACTACCTCCTAAGATAGTCCAATCAAATTTCCAGCAGCTATTTTCAATAGTAGGTTCTTCCTTAGACTAAGCTAAAATCTACCTGTATGAGGCAGGGTTCTCCAGAGAAAGAAAACCAATAATATATATACTATGAAAAACTGGCTCATGTGATTATGGAGGCTCAGAAATCTCAGTCTGCAGTCTGCAAACTGAAAACTCAGGAAAGCCAATGGTGTAATTCTAGTCTGAGTGTTACAGGAAAGGGGTCCCAATCCAGACCTCAAGAGAGGGTTGTTGGGTCTCGCACAAGAAAGAATTCAGTAAAGCAAGTGTAAAGTGAAAGCAAGTTTATTAGGAAAGTAAAGGAATAAAAGAATGGCTACTCCATAGACAGAGCAGCCCCAAGGGCTGCTGGTTGTCCATTTTTATGGTTATTTCTTGATGATATGCTAAACAAGGAATGGATTATTCATGCTTCCCCTTTTTAGAACAGACAAGGTAACTTCCTTTTGTTGTCATGGCATTTGTAAACTGTCATGGCACTGGTGGGAGTGTAGCAGTAAGGACAACCAGAGGTCACTCTTGTGGCCATCTAGGTTTTAGTGGGTTTTGGCTGGCTTCTTTACTGCAATCTGTTTTATCAACAAGGTCTTTATGACCTGTATCTTGCGCCAATGTTGGAAGTAAATGCTTGGTGCCGCAAAATGAAAATAGCACTCAGGCAAAAGTTTTCTCAGCAAGGCAATTTACTTCTATAGAAGGGTGCGGCTCACTGGTGGAGCAATGGCGAGAGCACACTGGACAAGGGAAGGGAAGGGGTTCTTATTCCTAATGCAGCTAGTCCCTACTGCTGTGTCTTTCCCCTATTGGCTAGGGTTGGACCGCACAATCTAAACTGACCCAACTGGCTAATGTTTGAAATTGAACACAGCTATCTAGGCAGGAAGGGAAAGGCTTTCTGTAACAGGGCACAAGGCATGTCTAGGCTTGTCAGGGCATATCAGGGCGCAGCAAGGGTGGGAAGGGTTGTTTACAGCACTGGCAACTATAGAAACTAGAGAAACAAAGAACCGGAAGAACAGGGAATTAAAACCTTTTGAAGAGGAATTTATCATCTCTATCACCAACCTCCTATCTCATCCTGTGACTTAGAATGGCTTAACTGTCTAGGAATGCAGCCCAGTAGGTCTCAGACTCATTTTACCCAGCTCCTGTTCAAGATGGAGTTGCTCTGGTTCACATGCCTCTGACATGAGTCCAGAGAACTAGAAAACCAGTGGAGCCAATGGCGTAAATCCTAGTCCCAGGGCAGGAAAAGATAAGATGTGATGTCCCAGCTGGAGCAAATGGTCAAGAAGAGACAAATTTCCCCCTTTTCTACCTTTTTATTCCTTTTTATTATACTCAGACCCTCAACAGATTGCATGATCCCCTCCCCAAACTACTTTACTGAGTCTACCCATTCAGATGCTAATTTTATATAGAGAGAGCCTCATAGACACACCCAGAAATAATGTTTAATCTGGGCACCATGTGGCATAGTCAAGCTGATACAAAAAATTTAACTATGTCTGAAATGTTTGCATATAGATCATGAAAACTGAATATTCTATGTTTAAACCAAAAATAAAAATAAAAGCCCCTCAGCCATCAGAATGGACCCTCCTCTCAGCAAGGGCATTCTACAGTTAATCTGAAAAAACTAGTTTAGGCCATGATGGGAAGAGGGAGCAAGACATGCCTCATTATATACTCTTCCCTTTTGGAATTACTGGTAGAGCAGACTCTTTAAGTCTGATAAGAAACATTTATGTCTGGACTTTCTGAAGCCTGCTACCTGGAGGCCTCATCTGCATGATAAACTCTTTGTCTTTACAACCCCATATTCTAACCCAGACATTCCTTTCTTTAGATAATAACTCTTTCAACCAATTGCTAATCAGAAAATCTTTAAATCACCTATGGCCTGGAAGCCCCTGCTTCAAGTTGCCCCACCTTTCTGGACTGAACAAATATACCTCTTACATGCATTGATTGATGTCTTCTGTCTTCCTAAAATGTATAAAACCAAGCTGTGCCCCAACCACCTTGGACACATGTGGTCAGGACCTCCTGAAGCTGTGTCAGAGGTATATCCTTAACCTTGATCGAATAAACTTTCTAAACTGATTGAGACCTGTCTCGCATACTTTTGGTTGACAAATGTAATTATACCTCTCTACATCAGGACTACAATACTGAATATAACAATCTCTTCATCAAGGATTAAAATAAAGTGTATAATGTAATTTAAATTTTTTATATCGGTATAGCTGAAGGGCAAGAACTTCATTTCTTGAAATGTTGCAGTCAACTACATCCTGTACACATCTACATTCTACTTTCTACACTGAGCTTCATTCCAACAAGCATGAGAACAACTGTCCAGATGTTCTGAAACATATTCACGTTTATTACCTCCATGCAAATGTCTGCATTTTCATGTGGTTTTTGTAGACATGCTTTAAGAATAATTAAAGTTATTTGATACATGCATATATTTATAAAGGGTGATATTCTAATACTTAGATCATCAGATTTATTCAGACACAGCATTGTTAACCGGACAGGGGTCCAGATCCAGACCCCGACCCCAAAAGAGGGTTCTTGGATCTCGTGCAAGAAAAAATTCAGAGTGAATCCACAGCGCAAAACAAAAGCAAGTTTATCAAGAAAATAAAGTGGTGAAACAACAGCTACTCCATCGACAGAGTAGGGTGTTCCCAAAAGTAAGAGGAAAAATGCTTCCACCCTAAGTACAATACTCGTTTATTGATAAGATTAAAAAAAGATTATGGGAGATGTGTTACTGCTACAAGAGTTTGTGATAAAGGATTAATTTTCTTAATTGCTATATTTTGCAAGAATCGATATTATTATCTTTAAAGCAAAATTAGGAATGCTTCTGTTCTCAAGATATTGCGATATCAGGACACTCCTAAGTCTGGATCTGTTTAGTAAATGTTATCAATCTGTTCCCTAAATTGTAGGCATATAGAGATTAGGAATACCTAACTTTCTGGGAATGCAGCCCAGCACGTCCCAGCCTCATTTTCCCTGCCCTCACTCAAGATGGAGTTGCTGTGGTTAAAACGCCTCTGACAGCATTGCTAGTAGGGCTTAATAATATGTTTGAAATTTTATCACATTAAAAATGTGTGGGAGAGCTCTCAAAGGTTTTAAGCTAACAAGTTAGATTTAGTTAAACTCTTTGAATAATAACATATTCATTTTTGTTTGCTTTTATTTGCCATAGCTATAGGCACCCAAGATACTCTACAAATGTTGGAACCCAAATACTTCTTCATTGTAATCATAAACTAATCACTTTTCTAAGCATGGGGATTTATCTGATTGCTTCTATACTTTCAAATCAACATTAACTTATAGTCTCTTAAAAAATCTGTAACAGCAGACCAACTTACTGAATATCTTGGTTCTAGGAATGTGCACAGACTGAGCACAGCCATATGCAGAATTAAGCATCACATTTTTGTAGACTATTCATAAAGTGAAGAGTTTCATTTGTACTCATAAATGATACTGGGAATAGACCTTAACACTACTGTGTTTTTAAATAAGCTTGATCTAAAACCATATCAAGAAGTTTAGAAGTATGCATGGTGCCTCACAGGTAAAAGGTGCTGCCCTAGGCAAAGCGACAAAATAAACTTTGCTGTGAATATTGTGCTTCAGCTTTCTCATTTGCAAAACAGAAGTAACACCACCAAACTGTGTAGCCTCCAGAGAAGAGTAAGTGTGAAAGAATATTGAAAACCCTAAAGAGTACCACATAGGCATAAAGATGTTAGAATAGTTGCAATTACTGTTGCGTTCATATAAGTTTCCATTCTCATTTTAATATTAACCAAATTGTCTAAATATCTTATTTAAAAGAAAAATTTAAGCTAGAATTTTCTTCAGGACAAATTTTCTCAAGACATTTTAGAATTTCCTGCTTATTTTACTGCTAGCCAAAAGTACTGCAAAAACACCCACTCTTGTAATTCCTTCACACCTCTGTTTCCAATCCTGGCCAGATCCTCAAACACAAAAAAAGATGTGTTAAGATAGTCAGGGGAAAAGTTCAGTGGATGCTACTGAACCTTTAAAACAAACTTTGAAACAAAAGTGATGGAAGTTATTTTTTGGTACTTAGTTTGCAGTTCTTCCATCAACGACTAATATGATAAACCTGCTCTAATTTCTAGAGTTTTGATGATTAAGCATTTCAGTTGCTCATCATGCTTTCCATATATTATATTTGTAATCCTAATATCCAGAACTAAAATTCTCTATCTGTCTAAGGCAACAGAACATGTAGCAGCATTCAAACCCCATCACACTTGAAAACAAGTTCACGGCTACATACATAATATTCAGTAACTTGATAATAACTTGTTTTATTTATATCCTTTAACACTTACTCTAGTAACAATACTCAGGAAAGTATGGAAAGGAAATAAAGGTCATCATGTTTTGATGGGATAATCTCAATGTCAAATGATTTCCCTCTGGTTTCCCTCAAGCTCTTGGGAGTGGTTATGGAGTTTAGGTCAGCTTTTTTCAGCTAAAGAAAGATACAGAGCTTTATAAAATAAGACAAAGAGTAGAACAGGGAATAACACTAGGAAAAAATAATATTTTTATGGTGAAAAATTGCCACAAACAAAATGGAAACTAACAGGCATATTAATTTTAGGGTGTTTTGATGACATCATTCTTTTAAAGGCCATTAGAAGTCAGTGAGTTATTTAAAGGATAAGGTTAGAAGGGCTTAGGGGAACTAAAACCCTACAATTTCCAGGAAACACAAAGCATGTGTCTACCCTAATAACTTTAAGTGTATAATTAAAAGAAGAAAGCTTTAATGCTTTTCTAGTCATGGTGGACTCCTGTGCTTTTTTTTTTTAAACCCAAAAGAAGAAAAACAACAACAGTGAAACTAAAACCACCAAGTTCAATTCCGTGGGCCATATCCTAAAAATAGGTCAGACTCAGACTTACAAAGTAAGAAAGAAAAAAAAAAAACAAAACAGAAGATCTGAACTGCTTTTCAAAGTTGTCTGAATTTAATGCCAAGTCCACGTGGTGCCCTGGTTTTTAGGGGCCTCTCGTGAGCTGCGCTGGGCTCTGTACAGCCACCAGAGATTGAGCACATGACATTGGGATGTGACAGAAGAAAAAGTTATTAAAAAGCATACATGTTTCATTCTTTATGCTATTATTTAAACATACAATTTCAATTGTTACAGAAAAATGTCATAGCTGCATTTTAGAGTTTTCTATGTTAGTTCTCCATAAGTTCACACAGAAGATGGTGAAATAAAAATGTAACAGTTCATACTCTGTATTTTGAATACTGTTTTCAGTATGTTTTTCTTCATGTCTATAATGAACATGGTTTAAAAAAATTAAAAGTTTGTATTTGTGTACATCTGTATCCACACAGAATGATAAAATAAAAAACACATTAAGATTGTAATTCAGGACTTTTCTTCATTATCACTTCCTCTTTCATAAATGCCCTCTATAGTCTGGAATATACTCCAAGACAATAGACTTACCTTGGAGTAGTTTTCCCTATGAATTACTTCAGTCACAATTTTCTTAAAGATGATACATCTATTGAGATCAAGAGATTGGAGTCAAATGCTTGTTCTACATGTGTTTACCTTCTAGATTCACCTTTAGCAATTAGATGATTAGGTGTGGATGCTCACTGAGTACATGGCACAGATGTAGATGTTTATTCCATCATTTCAGGTAGATCATTGAAATCGGTAGATCAATAGATCATTGAGCTCAATAAGCATCTAGGCCTGTGCCATGTGCCACGTTGGACACTAAGATGAATAAGAACATCAGCATGTATTAGTGAAAAGACTTAAAATAGTTCACATGTCATGCTTGGCTCATTGCCTGACAAAGAATAAGCCCTGTTAGCCGCGGCTATGACGTCAATGCCAGTGAAGACGGCTCTAAATGCAAAGCATCCCCAAAACTCTGTGCTTTCCGTTTTCAAAAGCACATTGTGCTATTAATTCTGTTTTTAATAACAAGCTTTCTACCTACTGTTTATAATGCAGGGCCAGGAGAAGAGGATTAGACAAATATACAAAAACCTACAACACAATATGTAATGTGATTAGGGAGATATATACAAAGTATTATGGTTGCTCAAAATAGAGTGTCGAAATGAGGAAAGACTGTCTTCTTGGGAGTTGATACCAGAACTGGGATTTGAAAGATGGTAAACAGCTCAACAAAGAGTTCAGCTACGTATTAACAGAATACATCAAGGGAGTTAGTTGTCAGGCCAGATAGTGGCCAGTTTTGAATGCTAAGCTAAGAACTTATTTTAGATTTTATTCACCAAGGACTAAGGATCCACTAAAGATATTTGAAGAAGGGAGTAAAATATACATATACATACATATTTCCAGGCATATATGAGTGTATGTATGTTGGTAGGTATGTATATATTTATGTATCTCAAAGTACAAGACTACTCCAAAATTCTGTTTTCCTAGGTGGTTAATAATTTACTCTTGACATTGGATATAAAAACTCAAGTCTTTCTGGTCATTAAGCAGTCATGAAGAGCACTCTGGGGAGATAATGGTCTGGCTGCAGCAGGCAAGCTAGAAAAACTAGGGGTGTACACGAGGCTCCACTGATGTTGGGTTCTGTGTCCCAGTCTGTGGTAGGTGGGAGCACAGGCCTGCGGCAGGGCAGCTGGACTATGACCTGGACCCTGAAGCACCTGAGGAAGACTGACTCGTGACACCTGTTCATACCCTCCAGGCAGGTTGGAAGCTGCTTGCTTATGTCCCACAAGGGAGGACTAATTTATTCTCAAGTACTTGCATAGGAAGGGTGATACAACAAGACTGAAATACTACCCATCCTAGAGGCTGAGAGACAGCGCCTGGTTAGACCTGGAGGTGGTGTGGGAGCAGAAAGGCATCTTGTCTGCACCTTAAGAGTTGCATGATTCCTTCTCTACTTGTTGGTTTATTAGTTCCCTAGGACTGCTGTAATAAACTGGGTGGGTTAAAACAACAGAAATTTATTCTCTCACAGTCCTAAAGGTCAGGGTCCAAAATCAACATGCTGGTGGGGCCATGCTCTGTCTGAAGGCTCTAGCAGTGAGGATCCTTCCTGCCTCTTCTAGCTTCTGGTGATTGTTGACAATTCTTGGCATTCCTTGGCTTGTAGCTACACCACTCCAATCTCTGCCTCCCTCTTCACGTCGCTTTCTCTGCGTGTGTCTGTGCCCAAATTTCCCCCTCTTATGAAGGTATCCATTATTAGATTAATCCAATATGACCTCATCTTAACTTAATTATATCTGCAAAGACCTTATTTGCAAATAAGATCACAGTCACAGGTTCTGGGGCTTAAAACTTTAACATATCTTTTTAGAGGACACAATTCAACCCTAATAATTGCCTTGTTGAACACTAAAGACAAAATGCTGTGTCTCTCAGCATTCAAAGGCTGTCTCTGGTTCAATATCTCTGGACCTGCCCCCTCGTGACTCTGTGTATCCTTACCTAATAGTGCCTGGGAGATACTAAGGATACAGAGCCACAAGAGAGCAGGATTCCAGGACATAGGGGTACAAGGCTCCACATGTGCCTGAAAAAATGGATCTCCAATCTCCCAATGGTCCTGAGTTCCCCCCACTACAAACTGTCCAAGAGTTCAGTCTCAAGAAGGAAGGAAGCCATAGTCAGAAGTGATGATCCATTTGAAACGGCGGGACCTTTAGGACAATTCTGTCCTGCTTTAAAGCTCTGTTTACTTCAGTCCCTCAGGAAGTTCTCTCCCAGGCATTTTTCAGACCCAGCCGAACAGTTCTCAGAAGCTTATGTAGGTGTGCATAGGTGAGGGCTCTGATAAGAGGAGGATGCTCTCCTGCAAGGGACAATGTGGTTACGCTATTTGTCTTGAGGTAGCCAAAATAAATGCAGCAGAAAAGAGTGTTAGGACCATTACCGACCTGGGCAGAAATAGAAATGCTGACAAATTTCTACTTTTTTCTTTTATTTAATACAAAATCTATAAAACAGCAACTGAAATTATAAATTTTTCTCTAAACTAAAAAGGAAAAATAGTCAGGTTTTCTAGAGTTTTTGAGTTGCCAGCTCAGAATCACTTAGAATCTCAACATGTTAGACATGTGAGTAAGAGTATTACAGGTACCGAGTTTATTCTCAGGACATGTTTATGTTCACATTGACCCAGGATAAGAACTAGTGACAGCTGATGGAATTTGTCAAAATTGTAGTATTTTTTTGTTTGTTACCTTAGGTAAATAAATTACAATGAATTCTTTCTTTAGTGCCTTATAAATATAATTTACTTCAAGTCTGCTTATCTTACTAATTTCTAAACTCCAGGAAGATTGGGCCTCTATTTGATTTGCTTCTATGTCCCTAGAACAATGCCCATTATATAATAGAGGTTCAATAAATGTTTTGGAAATGATTATAGGCCAAAAGCATTGCAGAAGAAAAGCCTTACAAGGTTTAAGGACTACACTTACAGGGAAATGGAAAGGAAGATCCAGTGAGTCATTCCGCAGTCATGGATCATGTCATGAAATGAATATGAATCACAATCAGCCTCCAGGATTATTGAGCTGGGAAATTGTTAGCTTTGAAGCTTGGCAGGCATGGAGTTGACTTGATCCATACCCCACACAAAATTAAGTCCCCAAATCCAATGTACAGCACTAATTTAGAACATAAGCATCTAAAATATTGCTCATATCTTGAATTCAAATCCAAAGTTGTTTTTTTTAAAAAAAAGTAGTAAAATCTCTACTCATATGGGTTTACAGAAAATCCTTGTTTAAAAAAAACCTAATTAAACAAATTACAAATGAATTCACTGTACTACAGCCCAGCGGCATTTGTATACAGTTGCAAAGCATTCGTATGATTTCATTTTTCAGTTTTGTAGTTTTCTAGTACTTCCTGGGCCTCTCCTGGGAAAAGATTACTGCATCTTCTAATTCAGGGGTCTATGGAAGATATGGACATACTAATTTTTCTTAGTTTTATTCTTTAAAATTAGTAGGTATGTGGGTGTTCACTGTACATTTCTTCTATATGTTTAAAAATTTCCATAATAACATTTTGAGGAAAACTGTTTAAATTAGAAACAGTAGGACATAGGTTATTAATTACCATTATCTGAATAGACAGCAAGTACTTAACATGTTTGGATATTAATAAAATTACTATATTGAGATATACATACGTATGTACTTTTACAACTTTGGAGCAAATAATTTCTCTGTAACAAAAGACTCTGTCATGCACCAGAAGGCACTGGGTTGAAACAGATGATTTCTCCATATCATTTCCTGATTAGTACTAATAGACACAGCTGGAGTACAAAACTCTAACTGCCTTAAATCACTCACCCATGTATACATATATGTGTGTGTACCTGTGTGTGTGTGTGTATGTTGAACCATGAGAATTTGCTACTTTTGTAGGTCACAAACTATATATCAGCAGTTTCCTATGGTCCAACCTAATATGTACAGAGGCCCAATCTTCATGGAGTTTAGAAATTAGTAAGGTAAACAGACTTGAAGTAAATAATTTTTACAACTTACTAAACAAAGAATTCATTATAATTTATTTACCTAAGGTGATAAACAAAAAAAATTACAATTTTGATAAATTCCATCAGCTGTCACTAGTTCTTATCCTGGGTCAATGTGAACATAAACATGTCCTAATAGAGTTCAACTTGGTATCCGTAACACTCTCACTCATGTGTCTAACATGTTGAGATTCCGTTATACAACTCAAGACTGTCTTTATTTGACACTGACTTGGCATCCACTTTTTGCCAGGTACCATCTCCATTTTTAGAGATATAAAGAGGAACAGGCTCTGCACTAGACAGCCTATAATGTAATCTCTCTCTCCCAAGGTGTACAGTCTAACAGCAATGTTTATAATGTGCCAAGAAAACAGAGACGATGGACCATTCATTCTGACTGAGTGACTGAGGAGAGCTTTATTGCAGATGTGATAGGAATCTACCAGGAGACAAGGGAAAGGCTGCTGGGGCCCTAAGGCATCCCCATGCATGGCATGGAGGTATGAAAGGACTCGGCCCAGCACAGTGGCTCATGCCTGTAATCCTAGCACTTTGGAAGGCCAAGGTAGGCAGATCACTTGAGGTCAGGAGTTCAAAACTACCCTGGCCAACATGGTGAAATCCCATCTCTACTAAAAATACAAAAAACATAGCCAGGCATGGTGGCACACACGTATAATCCCAGCTATTGGGAGGCTGAGGCAGGAGAATCTCTTAAACCCGAGAGGCAGAGGTTGCAGTAAGCTTAGAGTGTGCCACTGCACTTCAGCCCGGGAGTCAGAGTGAGACTCTGTCTCAAAAAAAAAAAAAAAGAAAGGACTCTTTCTGCCAGGGAACGGTGAGAGGTGCAGGGTGAGAAGCAGGTGTTACTTTGGTTTACTGAGTTGTCAGCTCAGAATCACTTAGAATCTCAACATGTTAGACATATGAGTGAGAGTATTACAGGTACCAAGTTTAACTCTATTCTCAGGACACGTTTATGTTCACATTGACCCAGGATAAGAACTAGTGAAAGCCGACGAAATTTATCAAAATTGTAATTTTTTTTTGTTTATTACGTTAGGTAAATAAATTATAATGAATTATTTGTTTAGTAAGTTATAAAAATTATTTACTTCAAGATTGTTTGTCTTACTAATTTCTAAACTCCAGGAAGATTGGGCCTCTGTTTGATTTGCTTCTACATCCCTAGTACAATAGGAAGTAGATTAGGAACTGAGGCAGCAGGTATAGATTGGGTGATATTCTGGAAGCCATGCCAAGGAGTTTAAGATTTTATTTATAACTTTATTTATAAAGTCATGATCAGCTTTGGTTTTCAAAAAGATTGATTTTAGAAAGATAACTCTTTCTCGTGATGATGTGGAAGAAAGACTAAAACAGGAAGAAGTAGGCCTCCACTTTGCCAGATAGGACATTGTTACAATAGTCCAAATAAATGTCAGTAGGAGGGTGGAAAAGAGAGGCTGGATTCAGAGATATTTCTGCAATGGAACTGACAGAATCTGGTAACCTTATTTGGTAACAGACCAAATATGTCTGTCACCAAATTTGGGGACTTTTAGGTCATTATTACCTTTTTCTGCCTCATTTTCTTTCTCATTTCCTCTTCACACTCCACTTATATCCATGTTAGATCTTCTGATATTGTCCAACAAGTAACAGAGTTTCTGTTCATTTTTGTTTTAATTCCCTTTTCTCTTTATTATTTAGAATAAGGAATTGCTATTATCTGCCTTCAAGTTTACGAGAGCTGTTCTCTGCCATCTTCAATCTGCTCTTAAGCCCAAGCAGTGATTTTCTTCCTTTCAGATATTATATTTTTCCATTCTATAATTTCCATTTGGTTAGAGCTTCTGTTTCTATGTTGAGAGTCCCTCTACCGATTTATTGTGATCATATTGCTCTTTATATTTTTATATAGTTATAACAGCTGCTTTAGAATCTTACCTGTTAATTCCAATTTCTCAGAGTCTCTATTGATTAACTTTTCTCTTAAATATGGCTATCACTTGCCTGCTTTCTTCATATATTTAGTAATTTTGTTTTGCACCCTGAATCCTGTAGAGAATATGTTCTATTTCACTGAAGAATATTGATGTTTTGCTTGTTTGTTTTAGCAGGGAAAAAACTTGGAATATGTGAACTCCAAACTCGGTTTCTCTTTGGTAGCCAGCAGCTGAAATCTCTGTTCAATTCCCTTAACCTTAGGTGGGTACTACCTACCACACATTGCATATTTCAGAGGTCAACCAGTTATCTGGACAGAGTTAACATGCAGAATTTTTGGCTCTTCCTCTGCGTTCTTCTCCTTTCTGAGATATTTACTCTCATTATCCAGTCACTATGGTAGCCCTGAGTACAGTGCTGGCTGGAGCCTGCCCTCAGGTCAGAAGCACTAAATAGATGAAACTCACCTAGTAGGGTTTTCTTCTTCCAAATATCAATTCTTGTCCAGTTCATGCTTGCTTTTGTTTTCCTTCAGTAGCTTCAGAGAGTTGTTTTATATATATATATAAATTTACATACACACACTGAGATACATACACACTATGTGTATAATAATGTGTATATTGTTTGTGTGTGTGTACAATTGTTAACACTGGGATGGTTGGGCTGATAGGGGTTATTCTTCTACTACTAGAGGGGGAACCCATATTGATTATATATATTTGCTGTTTAGAAAGTAATTAGAAAACAATTTATAAATAATAAGGTCCTGAAATGAAAATAAAATATATTAAGAAAAAATCCAATAGAAAAATGCACAAAAGAATGAACAAATATTTCATGGGGGAAAAGAGAAATGGCAAATAAATATATAAAAAGATGATCAACTTGGTAATAGCCAAGTAACTTTAATTATTATAACAATAATTCATACCCATTTTGACAAAATTAAGACAACAAACAAAATCAATATTTAAAATCCATTGGAATTCTTGTGCACTGCTTGTGGTAATATAAAACTGTACATAGAAAAATAACAATGTTATCTTACAAAGTTGATCATTTGCATACATTGTGACCCAGCAATTATATCACAGAATATATACAACCTAGAAAACCTCCTTATTTGTGCATCAGGAGAAATGTCCTAGAATTTTCAGGGAGGCAGATTTTAAGATAACAAAAAAATCTGGAAAACAAAATATCAATTTATAAAATAATGGAAAAAAAATTTGACATTTTCACAAAAGTTAATATTATACAGCAATGAAGATGAGTGACTTACAATTACAGACATTAATATGTATTACCTTAAAAACAATATCAGGATAAAAAACTAAATACTGTATTATTTACATTCATATGGCTATGTGATAAAACTATTTTCTAAAGGTAATGATCAATGAAAATTCAGCATAGAGGTTACATCTAGAGGAAACAAGGGATAGATAGATAAGTAAGAATAAAAAGATATTAGTATTTTTCTAATTCTTTTTTTTTTTTTTGAGATGGAGTTTTGCTCTTGTCACCCAGGCTGGAGTGCAGTGGCATAATCTAGCTCACTGCAACCTCCGCTCCCCGGGTTCAAGTTATTCTCCTGCCTCAGCCTCCCGAGTAGCTGGCATTACAGGCACCCACCACCACACCCAGCTAATTTTTGTATTTTTGGTAGAGTCAGGGTTTCACTATGTTGGCCAGGCTGGTCTCGAGCTCCTGGCCTCAGGTGATCTGCCCATCTCAGCCTCCCAAAGTGCTGGGATTACAGGTGTGAGCCACCGTGCCCAGCCATATTTTTCTAATTCTTAAGGAGGCGATAGACTTGCAAATGCACTGGAGTTCGAGACCAGCCTGGTCAACATGGTGAAACCCTGTCTCTACTAAAAAGACAAAAAAAGAAAAAAAAAATTAGCCAGGCATGGTTGTGGACGGACACCTGTAATCCCAGCTACTGGGGAAGCTGAGGCAGGAGAATCGTTTGAACCTGGAAGGTGGAGGTTGCAGTGAGCCGAGATCGTGCCACTGCACTCTAGCCTGGGCAACAAGAGGAAAACTTCATCTCAAAAAAAAAAAAAAAAAAAAAAAAAAAATATATATATATATATATATATATATATATATATATATGTCATAAACTATTAATGTTTACTTATAGTCTTTTGTATGTATAAAATAATACATTAAAATGTAAGAGAGGCAGAAAATGTGGGGAGCTTAGAAAAAGATAGATAATAGTCTAGTAGCAGAAATGATATCTTGCTGCCATGTTTTCTGTGGAAGTTTAATGCAGCTAAACATATTTTTTGTAAATCCTAACTAGTATAACATTTAAGTAATTAAGCAATCAAATATATTTTAGAATTAGTATATTTTGGAGCAATAAGGCCTTCAAAAGTCATACTTGTGTTAAAAATGATGTTCTTAGCATTCATAAGCTGATAATTTGTATAAAACATATTTTTGATGAAATAATTCTGACCTCAATTTTATGTACAGATATCTTTGCACTTATAACTTAGTTTTCTAGCTATTATTTAAATAGACCTTCCTTTTGCTTTACAAGCTAGTTTGATGGTACTGTACACCAAGTAACTGTTGTCATTGAAACAAAATATTAAAATATTCTCACATAAGTTTTAAATCTCCTTCCCCAATATTTTGTCTAAACTGAAATGTGCTTTTTCTTTTCAAAGTATGAGTTCTTTCAATATAAACAACTATTTCAGAAGGAAATAATGTATAGTTAATGCTAGATATAAAAGATATTCTAAAATTCTATGGACTTCTGAACATCAGATGTTGAACAAAAGCTATTTGGGATCATATTGTAGATTTCCCCAAAAAACCACTGAGCCTTTTGCTAGTGATGTTATAGAGTTCATCTTGAGAGTACCTGGGAATATTTAGGAAAATAGTCCCAATTTGGAATATAATTAAATTCTTAGTCATTAAGGTAAAGAACATACCAGACAACAATGTGTGAGGCAGGCTTTCCTAGACCAAGGACAGAGAGTAAATTGTAAATCCATAAAGATTTCCAGGGGACAAAAAAATTTCCTTATTTTTTTCTTCTACTTATCAAGTATATTTAAGTTCTAACATGTCAGTTTTGCCAATCTGATGATACTGGAACATTAAAAAATAAAAGTATAAAGGGATTAAGAGGCTGGGCATGGTGGCTCACGCCTGTAATCCCAGGACTTTGGGAGGCCGAGATGGGTGGATTACCTGAGGTCAGGAGTTAGAGACCAGCCTGGCCAACATGGTAAAACCCTGCCTCTACTAAAAATACAAAAAATTAGCTGAGTGTGGTGGCACATGCCTGTAATCCCAGCTACTCGGGAAGCTGAGGCAGGAGAATCGCTTGAACCCAGGAGGCGGAGGTTGCAGTGAGCCAAGATCACACCATTGCACTCCAATTTGGGCAACAAGAGTGAAACTCCATCTCAAAAAAAAAAAATTAATTAATTAATTAATTAATTAAAAAATAATAATAAAGTGATTAAGAGCCGGTACGATGCTTATGTGGAGTACAGCTGAGATGCCTCCTATTTAAGTGTGGTCTGCATACGAGCTGGAAGCTTGGTAAAAATGCAGAAGCCTGGGCCCACTCAGATTTATGGAGCCAGAATCTTTATTCCAAAAAACCCTCAGCTGACTCATGTGCACATTAAATTAAGGAATCAATAATATAGGTTAAATTTATTTCAAGTAAGTTTACATAAAAATCATTTGCTTTTCTTCAGGTCGGAAAATTCCACAGAAATTCACGTGAATAATGAGGCAAGCCTAGACTAGAGAAGTGTTGCTATTTTTTTCAACTCTCTATTCTAATAACAACAAAAAATTCTATTATTATATCTCCTCTTCTGGATATTGTTTTCGTAAACTGGGAAAGCCAGAAAGGCAGGTGTTTCCCTTAGGTTGAAGGACATATACAAGATCTTCAAAGACAAATACCAAGCTGGAATTATTGTTCTGTAAAAAACCTTTCCTGTTTTTTTCTTTTAATAAAAAGACAGAAAACAAAATACCTTATCCCAGTAGATATTAATCTTTTAATTTATGAAGGTTGACCTAAAAAGAATTGGAAACACGCAGTTAAGATGTTGCCATTAACAAAAGCCAAAATAGACAAGTGGGATCTAATTAAACTAAAGAGCTTCTGCATGGCAAAGGAAACTACCATCAGAGAGAACAGGCAACTTACAGAATGGGAGAAAAAATTTGCAATCTACCCATCTAACCAAGGGCTAATAACCAGAATTTACAAAGAACTTAAACAAATTTACAAGAAAAAAGCAAACAACCCCATCAAAAAGTGGGCAAAGGATATGAACAGACACTTCTCAAAAGAAGACATTTATGCAGCCAACAGACACATGAAAAAAATGTTCATCATCACTGGTCATCAGAGAAATGCAAATCAAAACCACAATGAGATACCATCTCACACCAGTTAGAATGGCAATCATTAGAAAGTCAGGAAACAACAGATGCTGGAGAGGATGTGGAGAAACAGGAACGCTTTTACACTGTTGGTGGGAGTGTAAATTAGTTCAACCATTGTGGAAGACCGTGTGGCGATTCCTCAAGGATCTAGAAATAGAAATACCATTTGACCCACCAATCCCATTACTGGATATATACCCAAAGGATTATAAATCATGCTACTATAAAGACATATGCACACGTATGTTTATTGTGGCACTATTCACAATAGCAAAGACTTCGAACCAACCCAAATGCCCATCAATGATAGACTGGATTAGGAAAATGTGGCACATATACACCATGGAATACTATGCAGCCATAAAAAAGGATGAATTCATGTCCTTTGTGGGGACATGGATGAAGCTGGAAACCATCATTCTCAGCAAACTATCACAAGGACAGAAAACCACACACTGCATGTTCTCACTCATAGGTGGGAATTGAACAATGAGAACACTTGGACACAGAGTGGGGAACATCACACACCAGGGCCTGTCATGGGATGGGGGGCTGGGGGAGGGATAGCATTAGGATAAATACCTAATGTAAATGATGAGTTAATGGGTGCAGCAAACCAACATGGCACATGTATACCTATGTAACAAACCTGCACATTGTTCACATGTACCCTAGAACTTAAAGTATAATAAAAAAATGAAAATAAAAGTAAAAAGACGTTACCATTAAAGTTTACAAATAGCAAAAAATTAAGTTTTGAAAAATACTTAGAAACTAGCCTTTTCCTTATTCCCCAGATGTAATCCATCAGCAAGCCCTGTCAGTTCTTTTAATAGCTCCATAGTATATCTCCAATTGATTTCCATTTCCCCTGAAACCCCTCTTGCCCAAATCAGCTTCATCTCTCATCTGTACCACAGCTTCAGCCTCCTCACTAGTCTCCCTGCATCCCCTCATGATAGAAAAATATTCAATTGGGAATACAAGGTAAATTCCTTAATCTGATAAAATATATTTTTTTTTAAATCTGCAGTGAGCTGAGTACAGTGGCTTGCACCTGTAATCCCAGCTACTTAGGAGGCTGAAGCATGAGGGTCTCTTGAGCCAAGGAGCTCAAGGTTGCCGTGAGCTATGTTCATGCCACTGCATTCCAGTTTGGGAGATAGAGCAAGACCACATCTCTAAAAATAAACCAAAAGACAAAAAACAAACAAACCAAAAAAAAAAAAAAAACCTTACAGTAAACATCATAATTAATATTTGGTGAAATAGAAAGAATCCACTCTGCCTTGAATATAAAAGACACACAAAAATATTTTTTGTTAAATTGACAAGCCAAATCAGAGAGTTGAGAAGTCACAACAGAGATGTTACAACATAAATAGTTGACATATACAGGGTGATGAATAATTTAATAGGTGTTTCAAAAATGATTATTGCATTATTTCATTAAAAACACCCCAGAATTATAATCATTCTCCCTAAGAATCAGACTGGTTCAAATTTTGTTCATTTAAATTTTGCCCAGTAAATTTTGCAAAATTTAAGGCAGGGCAATAATAACTATGGAGACTTGCAATTTGCATATTTGTATTATTTTCCCCTTTCTCTTGAATTTCTACTCTTAGACACATCTTACTAAGAATTTAATTCTATCCTCCTAGTTGTATTGTACCACCTCTTTTTTTTTTTTTTTTTTTTGCCTGTTTCCTTTTAAATTATAAGTCGATAGTGGAATTAGCCTCTGAATAAATAAGTAAAATATCAAATAAAAAATGGCTAAGATAGGACCTAGCTAATAAGGTCATTCTTTTTAAAGCCTCGATTTACCTTATTTTAAGAAAAAAATACCTAAATAACACCAAATCCTAAAAGACATTGTTCTTTGCTACATAAAAATGTTATTTTCTTTTTGAGAAGAAAATAAAAGCCTCTCTCAAAATGTAGATATTTAAATAACAGACAAGAATTCCTTTTAGGCTTTACTTTGGTAGACATAGTGGAAGGAACAGAGATTATCTATGAAAAAAGTTACTTCCTAAAGTAATATAACAGTTGGTTATTAACATAGGACATTATCCACCTGTATTAAGGTCCTGGGTTATTTAAATCATAATGAACCTTTCTCTGCAACTTGAACTTTATAATCCACATGACAAGTAGAAATAATGGTATTTTGCATTCTTAAATCATATTCTAAAATAGAGCAAAAATTTGTGCACATTCTGCTAACCTTTAAAATGACTTCTTTTTTTCTATCAGGATGATTCTCAAAGCATAAAAAAGAGCAACTAAGCTATGAGCTTCTTGGGGGAAGAAGCTGTGTTAGTCAACTGGCACATAATAGTCACGTAATAGATTTGTCCAGTGAATAAATCAGCTTTAATTTTATTTTAAAATAGAAACACTAAAACATGATTGTTGCAAGATAAAATTATCTTAGATAATAATTGCTACTAGAATATATTTCCAAATTGCCTGACAAAAATAAATAAAACATCCAGGCTAAAGCAAGAGGATCCCTTAAACCCAGGAGTTCCAGTCCAGCCTGGGGAACAGAGCTAGACACACCCTACCTGTAAAATAATAAATAAAACATCAGATGGTGGCACTAATTGTCGAAATTTTACCCTGGTTTAGTCACTCTACATTTGTTACTTTATTTAATCCTTACAAAAAGCCCACCAAGTCAGATACCATTAGTATCCAAATTTTACATTTGAGAGAGAATGGAGGCTGAGTTACATGACTTGCCTAAGTCACCCAGCTACTAAATGACAGAGTAAGAATTTGAACTCAATCTGTCTTCAAGGTTTATTCTTTTAACCAATATGCTTTCCTATCTTCAGTGTTTTTTTTGTTTTGTTTTGGTTTGGTTTGGTTTTTGGGACGAAGTCTCGCTCTGTCACCCAGGCTGGAGTGCAGTGGCACGAGCTCAGCTCACTGCAACCTCTGCCTCCCAGGTTCAAGCGATTCTCCTGCCTCAGCCTCCTGAGTAGCTAGGATTACAGGCACACACCACCACAGCTGGTTAATTTTTGTATTTTTAGTAGAAACAGGGTTTCACCATGTTGGTCAGGCTGGTCTCAAACTCCTGACCTTGTGATCCGCCCAACTAGGCCTCCCAAAGTGCTGGGATTACAGACGTGAGCCGCCATGCCCGGCTCCTATCTTGAGTTTTTTAAAACTACTTTTCATTTACTGTGTGTAGTCTTTGAAAACCAGTAAGAGAAAAAAGGCAGTAGACAGACTCCTACTTCCTAAAAGGAGATACTAGACATAATGAAAGTGCTTGTAATGGCACATATTTAGAGCCAAGATGGTGGTTTTCAATAAAACTGAGAAAGGGTGGATTGCTTTCCCACAGAAATTGTGGAAACATACATGCTATCCAACCTTAGAATTGTAAAATTGTTCATGTTTTTGATCTTAGGACCAAAGGAAAAACTACAAATTCCACTGTTTGGAACATTTAATGGAAGAGTTTTAAAGGAAATCATTATTATAATCATGGTACCCACCAGTACTGTGAGAATCCAAGCTCTGTCAACATTTTCTTTATAAATTCACTGTTAGGACTTCCTAACTCATCAAGTATTATTCAGCTCGAGCTAAAAAATCTGAAATGTAAGATCTTAAATTGTGAGTGATATTATTCCAAGAATTAAGGAGGAAAATGGATATCATGTGATTCAGACACAATAGAAAAATGTTTGGCTTGTGCAGCATTTTAACAGGTATTAGCTGTCTGTTACTTTGTTTTTCTTGCTTTGGAGAAAGTTTTTGGGGTGGGGGGGTTGACTTGGAATGGAAAGTTAATTTTAAAAGTTAACATGTTATATACAGTTTCATAAACTCTTAAAAAAGAAACCTAGGTGTTGTCTTCACTTTCAGAGTCTGCACAGGGGCTTGGAATCTCACAAAGAGAGATTACTTTTAAGAATTCTGGCACTTTGCTTTTAGTTTAAACCATAAAAAACTGAAAGAACAGCCATTTCTAATCCTGCCCAGTACATTCCAGCTAAATGGAAGCAAGAAGACATGGAATAAAAAGAACTATTCAGTCATTTCAGAACTTCAACAAATATTGAGTTAAATATCTTTTCCAATAAGGGTTAAAGCTTAAAGGCTCTGATTCCTCTTAATATACTTCCTTTATCTCTATATTTTATACTCCTTGATATTACTTTTTTTCATCTTCCTTCTTTCAGATAACTTGCTTTTAATACAAAAATCAAAGATTAAAAAAAGTGTAACAAGTCATAGCTTATGAAGGCAAGTAAACTCAATTTATTTAACAACTCTATCTGGAATCATAGTTACTTCACCACGTATCATGTTTGATAACCATAAATGGTGTGTAGGATCACATTAGATAGCTATCCCAAGAGAACAAATGAAATAGTGTAATCCATTCAGTTCACTATGGCCAATCTACATAGTCACAAAATACGGGAGAGAACAAAAAGATTAAGTTCCTCACTGATGTTGGAAAATAACACAACAAATTGCCCAAGGCTACTCTACTTGCCTGGAGTACAATTAATGTTACCTTATCTGGCTTCTCTGGCTAATGCAGTCAATTAGATTTTTACCTTGATGAATCTATAAAATACACATAGTCTACATGAAGTTCTAAGTTTAAATTCCCTCTGTCTCCCAGGATTACGAAAAGTCAGCTGAATAATTTTTAGGATGCAATGTAATTTAAATTCATTTTTTGGCAGGTCCTGATATTCCCTACCAAAAGAGTCATCAGGCTATTTTACCTAACCCAGAATTTCTGCTTCTGGATTTATTTTAGATAGTAAATCTCTTCATCAAACATTCATTTAATGAGTAAAGCCTTATGATAATAGACTTGCTATGGTTTGAATGTTTGTCCCTTCTGAAACTCATGTTGAAACCTAATTCCCAATGTGGCAGTATCAAAGGTGGGCCCTTTAATAAGAGATTGGCAGAGCTCTCATGAAGGGAGTGATCCATTCATGGACTAATGGATTAATGGGTTAGTAGACTAATGAGCTACTATTAGTCCCATGGTCCCCACTCATGGGAGTGGGACCATGCCTTTATTAGAAGAAGAAGAGATATCTGAGCTAGCACACTCAGCCCCTTTGCCATGGTGCCCTGTGCCATCTCAGGATTCTGCAGTACAAAGAACCTAACCAGATGTAGTCCCTTGACCTTAGATTTGTCAGCCTTCACAACTGTAAGAAATAAATTCCTTTTCTTTTTAAATTACCCAGTTTCAGATACTCTGTAATAAGCAACAGAAATGGACTAAGACAAGACCCATTTTAAATAAACTATACAATAAATAAGTAAAGTCCTGAAACTATGAAAATCATGGCTCTTTCCACTATTAGGCATTCTTTCTTATGATTCACACAATTTTATGCATCTTTTTTTGGCTACAAGTTCATCCTCATATTAAGTAAAAATGGTTTAAAAGTAAACTGATTGATGTGTCAGCATAATCCAAATACGGCTGACATCATCGTATAAGTAAGTATTGTGCTAAAATCCTGAAGTTAGAAGGTTTATTGTGAGTAAGAAGCCAAAAGTTCAGACATTCACCCAAAGTTGATCCAAACCTTTTGGGTTGGAAATATTTCAAAATTGGGCTTTCCCACAAAATGGCCTGTATTTCCTGTTTTGGCTAAGCTGGAAATGCAACAGAAACAATACTTCTTATGGCATGTCATTGCTTCTACTTTTGGTCTGAAAACACCAAGCAGAGACTATGAGTGTGATGAATCAAAAGAATAAAAGTTGAGTGGAGAGATGTCCTGGGCTAAGAAAGAGTTAATGGGAACAAAATTTCCTAACTTGACCACCAGTTAACCATAGCTTGGATGCCCAGTGTGCTATGAGTCACTAGCAACTGGCTCCAAAATAACACAAGAATATCTTAGGCTAGCTCATTACTGGAGTATATTGTTTAAAATATTTCCAGAAAAAAATTAAGCAGAAACAGTTACTTAATGGATAAAATGGTATTCATGTAAATTCCTTTTTACAGAATAATCTGGAAATGAGATGCACAAACAACTTGCCAGGGAGTCTGACAATGCTATTCATAACCTTCACTTAGAGATTTTAGGCAAAAATCACAGCTACCTTCAACAGCGTTGATAATAATAACGCTTCATGGGAAGAGTGTGGAATTGCTAAAAACACAACACACTGAAGTCTCAAAAGTTAAGTCTCAAAAGTTTTATAGATTGTGAATATAGGGGTATATTTTGCATCTTCCAAAAGGCCACTTAATGCTTCCTCTAACTTAATTTCTTAAAAAAGAGTCTTTAAACTTCTTACTTTATTAACTTAAACCACTAATGCTCAACCATTTGGTTAATATAGTTATAGGATCTGTACAATATTGATTGTGCATACGCAAATAAGAAACCAAATTTGGGAGCTATTATTCTTTTTTACTTGATTGCTCCATAATAAATGAGGATGGACAAGGCCCTTAACGTTGCAATATGGAAATGCCCTCTTCTGTAACCTGGAAATATTACTTGTCCCCTAATAAATAAGTCCCAAAGATGAAGTACACCTCCTAAAATAAATAAATAAACAAACACATGAGAAAAAGAAAAGCTGTTTAGGATTTGAGGCCAGGACAAGAGCCTTAATAGTATAATACATTGATACTAACCTATAAAGGAAATTTGTGAGTCCCTGCAAAGAAGAGTGAAAACTTAGAAAATAATGAAATGAGACAGCAGGACAGAGACACAGATCTAGGTGTCACTGGCCTTCTCATCCATCCCTTCCTGGAGGTCTGTCCATCCTAGCAAAAGGAGCAGGCCCAGCAGCGTGGTGGTCAGAGCAGGGTCTTGGGGTTCTGAAGCATGGTGGTGCAGAGGTCCAGACAAGGCAAAGCAAAGGAGTGGAGGATCTGTAGCTCAGAACTAGCCCAAGGCAAGTTCTCCACCAAGATCACAGCAAGAACCAAGCAGGCCAAAAGTTAGTAAATTCTAGAATAAGCGAAGAATGCCAGAATCAGAAAGATAACGAAGGGGCCTAGACCAAAGGTGGGAGTAATAATGACCGTTCTAGAATGTGCTTTAGGTGGGTGCAGAGAATGGAGAGGTGCCCTATAGGCTGGGGCAAAAATCTGGCTGTGGTGTGCATTGTTTGGTTTCTTTGTTTTTCTTTTGCTGTTTTGGCAATCACCATTTTGCCACACTTCCTGCCTCTCCCTTGGTTTACACCCTTTATACTTCATCTGTGTGTTACTTAAGTATCCCCATGAGTTTGTACCCCAGGTCTGTATAACACTTGACATGAAAAACAGATTAATCAAATGCACATATGCTATGTTTATAATTCATTTATATGGCTGGGTTAATAATTTAGTAATTTCAGCTAATGGTTTAGAAAAAAGATAAAGTCATAATGCATTTCTTGTTCTGCAGCAGTCAGGCTTCCTTCCTGGAGCCACGCTGTTGGCAGACTGAAACAGGCATGATCTATGCTGTGGGACCACATTCAGTTGATGGTAAAGCCTAGAATAGCGTTATTGGACTTTAATCTAGCAAACTATGCGTGTTTGTTTGTGAAACTTTGACTCCATGACAAAGACTGTATTTGATTTAGGACTTGCTTCAGTGAGGCAATCCTGAGAAAACAAAACTCAAATTACACAGAAGCAAAATAAATACATAAAGAGTGGCTCTCCTAATTTATAAATTAAATGACAAGGAAACCTTTGTATAGTGAGCTATTTACTGGGGGCAAAGACCATGTCTTATTCATATTTTATTTCCCAGCATCTAAGCATCGTGTCTGGCACATGGTAGGCACTCTATAAACGTTCACTGAACTGAACTGAATTGCATCGCTTCATATCCCTACTGCTCGACCCCTTTCATCAGGTTAACAGCTGCACTTAACCTTGGCTCAGCCTTCGCTACCTCAGAAAGACCCTCCCTGACCTCATGTATTTGATCAATTCCCACTAATACTCATAAATATAATATCATGCATTCTCCTTCAAAGCACCCATCACAGCTATAATTTTACACTTACAACCATGTGTCACATGAGTATGTTTTGATCAATGATAGACCATATATGTGACAGTGGTCTCATAAGATTATAGTGAAGCTTTTATACTGTATTTTTACTGTACCTTTTTTATGTTTAGATACACAGATACTTATCATTGTGTTAAAATTGCCTGCAGTATTCAATACAGTAACATGCTGTGCAGGTTTACAGCCTAGGAGCAAAGGCTATACTGTGTAGCTTAGGTGTGTAGTTGGCTATAGCATCTAAGTAAAAACATTATGATGTTCTCACAATGACAAAATTGCCTAATGATTCATTTCTCGGAATGTATCTCCCTTGCTAAAGTGATGCATGGCAGTACTTACAAAGCTATTTGATATAAGCAATACAAACCATAACAAATACATTCCAAGGAGGCAAGGGCTGTGTCTTTTGGTTTTTGTTCATGAGGTAGATATTGTTTTTGTTGGCACTCAGTAAATTTTTGTTAAAGCAATGAAACAAGAACCCATGGTTTCCTCTCATTCTAATAATACTCACAAAGCCTCAAAGAATATGAGATAAATTATCCAGCACATATGCACATTATAGTTGGAGCTAGGAAAGCAAGGTTTTGTGACGCAGAACATCCAGATGGGAAGAAATTGATAAAGAAATGGAAAAACACAAATATCATTCATTATGGTCAGACATTATTCTCCATCCTGGAGTGTATCATGGAAATGTTTGTAGAGAAACGTTTATTCTGCCGGGCACAGTGGCCTGTGCTTGTAATCCCAGCACTTTGGGAGGCTGAGGTTGGAGGTTCACTTGAGGCCAGGAATATGGGACCAGCCTGGACAACATAGCAAGACCTCATCTCTACAAAAAATAAAAATAAAAAATAGGCCGGGCATGGTGTGCATGCCTGTAGTCTTAGCTACTCAAGAGGCTGAGGCAAGAGGATCACTTGTGCTCAGGAGGTCAAGGCTGCAGTGATCTATGACTGCACCACTGCACTCTACCTGGGCAACAGAGCAAGACTCTGTCTCTAAAAAGAGAGAAATGTGTATTCTTTTGTAGACATTGTAGATGTTTTATTAAAACACACACACACATGGCCGGGTGTGGTGGCTCATGCCTGTAATCCCAGCACTTTGAGAGGCTGAGGCAGGTGGATCACAAGGTCAGGAGTTCAAGACCAGCCTGGCCAATATGGTGAAACCCCATCTCTACTAAAAATACAAAAATTAGCCGGGCATGGGGCGGGCACCTGTAGTCCCAGCTACTCAGGAGGCTGAGGCAGGAGAATCGCTTGAACCTGGGAGGCAGAGGTTGCAGTGAGCCAAGATCATGCCACTGCACACCAGCCTGGGTGACAGAGCGAGACTTCTTCTCAAGAAAAAAAAAAACACAAACACACACACACACAACAATCCATTAAGTTTAACCTAAAGAATCTTTTTACTAAAGGTTAAAAACTTTCAAATATGAATTTCATACGGCTCAACGTAATATTTACTCACATGTAAGCAGTTTTTCTATCGCATTGCTCTCTGTACCTTGGGAGTGAAATAGAGAGATACAGATCTAAGTCCAAAACACAATACTAAAAATTATGATATCTGGGGATTAATGAGGTTATTTTTGGTTAAAGAAAAATAAAGGGCAGAAACTGAAAGTTAATCATGTTTAATCTAATACAGGAAACTTTATAATAAGCCAATATATCCAATTATTCCAGTCAACAAGCTTAATAAGTAAAATTCCAGAATGGTTAAGGAAAAACAAGAACATCCAAGAGAGCTGTTGCTTTCATTTAATTTGACCCTTTTTATGAAGCAACTACCGTGTGTCAGGTAGCATACTTAGCACAAAGGCAGCAGCAGAGAAAGACACAGACACAGACATAACTTACAACAGTGAAAGGTTCCTCAGCCTGTACCTTGCACCCTTCCTGGCTCTTCTGTCTTTTCCCAATCCCTGGGGTAAACATCTGGCCTCAAGCAGGGCCACGAGGAATGCTCTCCTTCCCCTAAAAGGAAGGAATTTTTAGAGACAGTGCTATTCACCGTCAGGTTTTGATAAATATTTGTAGAAAAAATGAAAGAATTAATTCATTAATCATCCAATTGCTCTGAGAGGGAGATCTGTGAATGAGGAGTTGAACCAAAATATCGATGGCTTGCTTTCAATAAAAGTTTGGTTTGTCCAGGTTAGCTCTGATTCTAAGCTTTCAAGTGTATTAGTTGATGACCCATCTGTAATCTGAAACAAAGAAGACATTTTTATGGTTGATTTAATTCAGATTTACCCAAAATAAAAACTTCCCTGTTCGTTTTTAATCATGTAATATGTTCAGCAGATTACAAGGTGGTGGGATCTCAGTTCTGTCACTAAGTGACTTTGAGAAAATTACGTAACCTCTCTGTGTCCTTTTATTTATCCAATAATGTTAATAATCACACAGTAATTTTGCAAGGATTATATGAGGCAGTACATTCAAAGCACTTGGCCCAGTACTAGGCGTATAGTAAGCACCCAGGCAACATTGGTATTATGATTATTATCATTGTATTACTTGTAGCACTATTATTCCTGTTCCCATGTATTCTTATTGGGCATTCAAGATTCTAGTTAGATTGAAGAGCTCTGCTGAAAGGTCCCCTGAAATACCTGGTACCTTCACTCAATCTTTCTAAGAATACTTTTTGAGCTTCTGCAAGGTATCAAGGTTGACCAGCTCCCCAATTCAAATGGGTGACTTACTGGGGGCTCAGAAGGAAGAGGGCAGAAGAGTAAGTGAAGCACATATGTACAGGACAAAACTAAGCTACAAAACTTGAGAAGAGTAAACCTAAGTAATTAGTCTGATGGGATCAGGTACAGAAATAACATCAGAATCACTGGGCTGTGTAAAGTCTTAGAAAATCACCTTAACCTTTAACAAGAAGACAGCCTAAGCTTGGAGAACTTTCTTATCCATAATTGGGCCTTAGTTAATCTATAATGCAAAAGAAAAATGCCCACTCTTCAATGAGCATAAATCTCATCAGAGATGATTTGTTGTGCTATTGGCTCATTACAATAAAAAATTAAGAGACAACATGGTTACATTGGCAAGAATCATCATCCAAACATGACTGGAAGTCTATCCAGCAATGGAAGTTTAGCACTGGGTTAGGAATAAAAATTCAGCCTAGGGAGGAACAGTGAGAATAATTTCCAAATGTGCTGAGTAATAAAATGGAAAAGTAAAAGCAGCTCCTCATACTAAATTCTTATATCCCAGGTTGCTCATGGCTGATCTTAAAGGAACTGAAGTCAGCAGTGGAGGATCCGTAATGAATTATCTGAAGGCTCCCAAATTGTCTGCAGTATCATTACTTGCTGACTGTTTTTCACCAACTACCTATCTAGTTTCCACAGACAAGGGCTCATTGTAAAATGTCAGAATTATCCTGCTAGAAATGCAAAAGACTCAGAAAACTTCATACGCATGGACTCTAAATGTTTCATGGGTTTTGTTTTTGTTTTTGTTTACATTAAGCTACAGATGGGGTGGAGAGATGCCCTGTGATCTGTCAGGAACTGCCTGCAAAAACTACTTGCCAGCTAATAATTAGCATTTTTTCATGGGTGCTGGAAAAAGAAGTGACATTCCTGGGAGAAAGACCATCGACTTTATTACTCTTAGCAACAGCAGTAGCTAGCATTTCAGCAGTTTCTTGCACCAGTTCGACTACCTGCACACATAGTAAGCATTATAGGAGAGAGACTCCAAGCTTACAGAACCTGAATTTTTTATGGTGAATAGCAAGCATGCCTGCCCTTTGCTCTAGAGAGAGGCACTATCTCCATCTTCCAAGGCTGTTCACTGTACAAACATTTTTGAAATGACAGAATGAAATAATGTCAGTTAGTTCCTCTGCTCATAAGACATGTAGAAATGTGAGAAGCCCGTGGAGAATTGTCTACCAGCATGACCTTGACACTGAGCACTCACAGCAAACATGTTTCTATTGTGCTTGGCATCATGCTGCTAGATGGTTTAAATGACTCCGGATCGCCAAGGTCCTTATCTGGACAAACCACTATTGCACAGTCCAAAAATATTTTTCCGAGTTTCTCAAGCCATCTATAGGTATTCATTTCCTCTTTTTTAAGGTCAGTAAAATTTCTGAAACTTTTGTCTTTTACCATTTTCCAGAATAATTTGGGGATTCCCATTACAAAATACTTCTGCAATGTAGAACATCTCTATTTCACTAGCATTAAGATAGTATTCCAAAATATGGTCCATAACTATCACGGGTTTGAGGTAGACATAGGCTTAGTGTAGACCATGAAAGCATTTCAATAATGATGCTTCCTGCATCTCCCTCAAGTAAACCTGTTAACTCAAGTTACTATTTACTCAAGTAAACCTGTTAACACTGACATGTTAACATGGTATGAATCCTAGCTTTAATGCTTACTAGTTTTTACTTGGATGATTAACTTCTTCCTCTACCTTAGTCTCCTCATTGTGAAATGGGATAACAATATTCACTCTTCCTACCTTACACAATTTTTGAGAAAGTCAAATGACATAACATTTATGAAAGCATTTTATAATCAAGAAAAGATCTTAAAGGTGCTTTAATACTCTAATAAGTATCTCCTGCAGCTTGCTTGTGCCTCAGGGATGCCAAACCTAATCTTTTCATGCCCTGAGAAGCTGGGTTATTATAGTGTATCAGGCATAGTTGTAGGGTAATCAGTTGTTTGCAATTAGATTCATGTGTTATTGATGTCCAGGGGACATATATTTACCATCAAGGATTTAGGGGGAGGTTGTAAGGTAAAATGAGTAGAGAGTTGGAGGGAATATAATGTTATTTCTAGGTCAGAGGCCATTTCTGGATATGTAAAATAGCCAATGTTTTATGATACCACATATTGGCTTTTGGTGAAGTTTTAGCTGAGATTCAGTGAATAGGAAAGAGATAAAGCATCCTTTTGTTACAGTCATCGTAAGTATGCATTATGCCATATTTTCATCGATTTCTTAAGGAACCAATAAGGCTATTATCAGAATATATTATTTTTCCCCAGCAGTGTCAAGATGGGTCTACAACACACAAAAGTCTCAAGAAAAATAGTTTAAGGCCTATAAAAGATGCACTGCGGCTGGTGAAATGGTTCTCATGCTGGAAATTACAAAGACTGGGATCAAAAATTCTCGTTTCTGCCTAACTTCCCATCATGAAAAACCCTACAGACTTTTAATATAGTAAAATGGCAAGAAACACAAACATCAACAGATGGAAAGCAAAAAAGACAGGAGAAGGGGAAGGGGGTCAGGATCTGTCACTGATCCAAATAGTTTTAAAATGAAAATGAAAACCAGAATAAGAATTTAAAATGAACTAAAACGTGGGAATACTAATATATTATTTTGACACTGTACTGTTTCCTTTAGGAAGAAAGCTTGATCCAGATTATGTTTACTCCTCAGAATCTTGTACTCAATTCTCTTTTCAGAAGTTGTCCAATTTTGGCAAAGATAGTATTTAGAGGAAACATATTTTTCCATTAAAATTAAAGTTTAAAAATAATATCTCTCAATTCTCTAAGTTCCCTTGAACACTCAAAAGGCTTTGAATCAGCACAGGGATTAGATTTATCTAAGTATGTTTCTAATAGCACCAAATGGTCTAGAAAGAAAGTGATTCTTAGAGCTAAATATGAAGTCTCTTTCCAAAGAAGAGTGAGTCCAGAAGTCAGTTTGTATACCACATGTCTTTTATGTTCTATTCTGTTTTTACATCCAAAATTCTTAACATTGAATAATGTATTTTTCTTTTTTCTTTTTTTTTTTTTTTAAGATGGAGTCACACTCTGTCGCCCAGGCTGGAGTGCAATGGCACAATCTTGGCTCACTGCAACCTCTGCCTCCTGGGTTCAAGCGATTCTCCTGCCTCAGCCTCCCTAGTTGCTGGGATTACAGGCGTGTGCCACCACACCCAGCTAATTTTTGTATTATTAGTAGAGACAGGGTTTCACCATGTTGACCAGGCTGGTCTCAAACTCCTGACCTCAGGTGATTCACCTGCCTCAGCCTCCCAAAGTGCTGGTATTACAGTCATGAGCCACTGCGTCCGGCCTAAATAATGTATTTTTCAATTCTAGGGTATCCATTTGATTATATTATATAGATTCCAGTTCTCTGTAGTTCTCCATCTTTTCATCCACTTTGTCTATGATTTTCTCTATTTTCTTGATTACATTAATCATAGTTTTTTTTAAATCCCTATTTAATAATTGTAATATCTAAATCTTCTTTGGGTTTACTGTCTTTTTTTTCTCTTGGGTTTCAGTCATTTCTTCCTGTTTTATAGCATGCCTTGCAATTTTTTATTGAATGCTGAATATTATGGATGGAAAAATTGTGAGGCTCTGAATAATATCTTCCTTCAAAGAGGATTAAATTTTCTTCTGGAAGTCAGAAAACAATTACTGGTGGATCACCTTGATCCTGTCTAAGCCTGATCTAAAGCTCTGTTAGGGCTTGTCTATTTCAGTTTTCCTACTAGAGTATGGTTCCTACTCCTAGGGCTTGGCAGACAGGGTCTCCACTGAAAGCCTGAGGTTGTTTACCAATGCCCCCACTACCTTGGAAGCACTTGAATTCCTATGTCTCCCCCAGCACCATGAGGCTGCAAAATATCTCAGATAAGCTATTTGGCCGTCCAAATGTTCTTTTAACCTGGGTTTTTGGGGGTCTTGCTCATTTATATGCAGATATTTGGGCTACTTTTCTGAGGTTTCCACATCTCTAGAATTTTGCTCTTCTAGTCCTAGCCACTTCTGTTGTCCAAAATTCTGACTTCTTTCTCCTTAGTCCATTGTAACTTAAAGGAAAATTTTCACGATGTCTGGAGCCCTTGATATCCTGCAAATGAAGGAGGGGGATGTCCTCAAGTTTCTTGCAGCAGAGACCCAATTAGGTGGCACCAACCTTAACTTCCAATAACAGAATACCATCTTTTTCCTATACTTCATTCACCTGTGCTGTGATTTAGAAAATGCCCTCACGGAAGCAGCCAGAGAAAACATAGACTCAACTTTTGTGCTTCTCTTCTCTCAAAGATCATAATTATGCCCTAATTATGTTGGTTGTTCTCCAATGCCTTCAATTTATTGTTTTACATGTTCTGTACTGCTTTTATAATTGTTTGCTGTAGAGAAGTTTGTCCAAGTGACCCCATCATGGAAACTGAAGTCTTCAATATAAACTTCATTACATAGAATGCTTAGAGGCTGAGTTGAGCTTTCACGCAGAAGCAAGCATAAATATATGTATCATGATACAGGCATCAAAAGAGAATCAGGTACCCTTGATACAAATTATCAAGTTAAATACCTCTTCCTAGTAGAAGTGGGGAAGAACAAAAAAATCTGGATTGTTAAGGGCTCTAAAGATAGATTCTTTACTAGGAAGGGTATAGGATGCAATCAATAGGGCAGATGTAGCAGAGTATATTTATTCAATAACTTGCCCTTCCACTGTCTGTGGGTCTTTGAGCAAGGTACCCATTGCCTATGGAGTCAGCTTCCTCACCTATAAAAGGAAAGATGGGTTCCTTTCACTCTGTAGAGACTTGAGTCCTGCAGAAGTGGTGAGCCCAGCTCTAGTCCCCTCCCTTGCAACAACGAGAGCTCATGCAACAACTAGAGCTCTCTGTGCAAGCGTAGAAACTTGGAAAGCATAAGACTACATGATTCCAAAGATTTTTTTACAACTCTACAAGTCTCTACTTCTATGTATATGTTTAACTAGATAAGAAAAAAAGAAACTGTCAACTTTTATAACCAGAACCAAAAATGAAACCATTTTAATGGTGCTTAGTTTTTGCAGATTTCCTACACAAATTCCCAAGACCCTCATAACTTTTAACTCATATACTTGGTGAATATTTAATCCATGTTTTAAATTCATTTACCAAGAATTTATCACAATGATTATTTTCTAAGAACTAATGACACATTTAAAAAGACTTCTTAGTCTATTTAATAAATAAGTTTTACCATAAAGTCTATGTTTCAAAGCAAGGTCATTTAACTTAGTAACTAAGCTGCTAATTAACCTGGCTTATGAGGTTTCTACTAAGTGAAAACATTATTCTTCTGTTTCTCATTAAATGGCCCTTATCATGAGTTAATAACATTTACAAGATAGATCATTAGAGCACTGAGATGTTCTTCTCCATCGATTCCCAAATTTTTTAGTATTTTAATTTGGTATAGTAAATATTGAATCTCCCTTGATAATATTAACTATTAAATATAATAATACCTAACATCTGGGGGGCACTACTATATTCATCAACAATATTCTAACACTTAAAACTACATTTCACTGAATTCTCAAGACAACCCCCAAAAGAAGGTTCTCCTACGTTCCCCATATTCCAGAGAGACAACTGAGACACAAGCTATTACTACAGTGAGGGGCAGAACCACCCTTACCAAGACCGCTGACTCCAGAGCCCAGACTTGGAACTACTGTGCTCACAGTTGCATATCTACAACTACTATAGGCAAAAACCACAGCTGTAAGTTGGAATTCAATTTATTATTTTCCATTTATTTTTATTGTATTCAGAGTATATTTCTCCACTATAAAAAAGACAGGATGATGTAATGAGAAAAGAAAAGAAAAAGAAATGCAACAGAGACAGAGCTAAGTCAAGGGTCATGGTACTTAGCACTAGTTCTGCCACTAACTAGCTATGGGGCTTGGGACAAGTCTTTACATATATATTCCAAGCCTTAAGGAGGGAAAAAAAAACCCTCTCTACTTTTATCATATAAAATTTATAAGGGCTTTAGGGAATTATGTCAATTGCATTATTAATCATCAAATACTGGTGTGATTTATTATCGCTGGAGAAATAACTGTAAATAACATTAATGCTTTAATTTCTATTATACTGTCCTAAACTGAGCTTTTTAAAAAAGAAAGAAAAAACTATTCTAAGACAGTTTAGAAATGGTTTCTGTTGTTTCAAGGGACTTTTCCTATAGATAAGAGTAAAATTATGTTTCCCATATAATCATTCTTCTTAATTACACTGCAGCTTCCTAAAGATGAACCACACCAAATAAACTCTAGAGACCATATTTAGAAGACAGGGTAATTTGCAAACACCATTTTAAATTTATTCATCTTATAGGACAACATGTGCCTTATCTCTTGTTTTCAGGAAAAAGGAAACTGAAATTAAATGTACTTATATTTGCTATATTTATGTCCAATAAAAATCTAGTTCACAAGGGAAATACTAAAACGGTCAGACTTGGTTAGTATGTGATCACATGCTTGAATTTCCACAAGTATTGCTTATGTCTTTCACACCTTACTTTTTTCAGATCAGGAAGACAGTTTCTGTCTGTCACTTCTTTATCCTATTACCTGAAACCAAAGTACATGGTGTTACTTTCACAAGCTACAAAGAAAACTCTTACTACTAAATTGGTTAGTTTTAGGTTCAAAGTGGAAATGATCTTAACCTTTTATTCAGGACTTGCCAGATAACATTATCCACTAGCATCTATAAATGTAGAAATTTTATAATCATTTAGGTCAACTTCGTTTTAATAAGTCATCCCAATAAAATATGTGTGTTAAATACTTCAAACTACCTTCCTTTTGGGTTGGGGAAAAAACAGACATTTGACCTTATTTTTCATTTTTTTTTTCAGTTTTTGATAAGGTATGAGCATTAAGAATTAGTCCATAAGTCAAATGAGTATAAAATTAAAAAGGAAAAGCCACTAATTTTAGTGAATTTTCACTTTGGTTTACTTTCAGTTTAATGTCCTAGTTTTTTTTTTTTTTAATACACTCACAAAACATTGACTCTGTATTTAGTTTTCCGCACTCATCTTCCAATTCAATTGTTAGTTCTGCTGCTTATCTGATATAGCAATCCTTCACCTTCATAACATTTGGAGAGTTGCAGAATTCTCTACTTTGAAACGCTCTCAATGAAAGTGACTCCACTACCTCTTTCCATATGTAAACACACCACATAAAAGACATTTACCTAAATGATTCTGCAGAATTTAAGAGCAGTGAAGCTCAAAGTTTGTATTTATGCATAACTTCTAATATTCTAATTAGGAATAAAGGGAAGATAAATCTGAAAAGGATGCCTTATTGAGTCTGCAAAGTTCTGCTTTAATTCCCCACCATTTGCCACCCCTTGTGACTGAATTTCCAAGAGTTACATGGAGTAGGACATAATTCTACATGTTAGAAAAAAGAATGCTATATCTCCATGCTTTTGAGGTACCAGTTGACTCAAGAGCAGCTTGACCCAACCAAGTTAAATTCAAGTCAGTTCATAGTTATAAATATGCAAAACACTCTACTAGGCATATGGAGAAAATAAGCACAAGCTGGGCCTGAGGAGTTTCTAGGGAAAATAATACACTTCATAAAATCTTCTTGTGACACAAAAATCCATTTGTGCTAAAAGTAATTAGTCTCCCCTCTCATTTTGTGTTTTATAACTTCTCTTCCAAATAGGGTTCTGAGAATGGAATATTATTGCTATTAATCAATCCAAGACAAATGAATTATCTCTAGCCTCTGACTGTATAAAGGATTCTCCCACAGTAGCTACTTTTGCCTTATATGTAAATTCTACATATTATTAGAACATTCTGGTGGGAATTGAAAACCCACAATCAGATAAATAAGGATTTGGTAATAGATCCCATTGTATTTGTTACAAACAACATTGGTAAGTTTTTGAAAAATACTTCAAAACTAATCAGTCCCTATTTCTAATCTCAAGGTCACAATAATCAATTACTTAGTTCTAGGAATTCTAAAAAGAAGTTTTTTGAGTGTTAAGATGGGCATTTAAATGGATAGTTATTAACTTAAATTTTGAATGAACATCATGCCTTCATTAACATAATTTTTTAAATTCTACTTTAAGTTCTGGGATACATGTGCAGAACATGCAGGTTTGTCACATAGGTATACATGTGCCATGGAACATAATTATTTTTAATTTGGCTTTGTAAATTTAGAGCCGAGGGTGTAATATGAAAGTAATGTGATAGTAAGCCTTTATGCTGGTTTAAAGGAAAGTGTCATGAACATTTCACGACTTTCATAATTCCTTCCAAGTAGACAAGAAAAATTGTAAGTCTTTCTTATTATGCAACCAACAAAAAAAGTACACTCTATTGATACAATGGTTATTTAAAAAATTAACAAAAAAAATCCTGAATTTAGCCTTTCCACTTCATATTTTCATGAAATTCTAACTTACTGTAATGATCTTAAATCTATGTTGTAATGAAGTATGTTTTTTTCTTTTTAAGAATCACATACTCATTCATGTATTCATTTATCTAACGATAGGTAGGTCTTTAAGCACTTTAGAAAGCATGGTGCTTTGTTCCTTTTGATATATCATATTACCTGACAAATATGGATAGTTCACCATATCCTCTTATCTTTACAAAAGGCTGTGTGGTATCTGGAAAACCTATGGAATTTGGGGAGTTAGAGCTACCTGGCTTCACCACTTATTGGCTCTGTGATGTGGATGTGATACCTAAATAATCTTTGCAACCCTCATCCCCATCTATAAAAAGGAAGCGACCCTGAAGGGTTGTGTGAAGATGTGACTTAACCTATGTAATCAGTCCAGCACAGGTCATCAATCAATGGTGCCACTATTGTTATTATTCACATATGTGAGGGCCGCTCCTATAAACTGACGTAAGGGTGTGGACCTGTATTGCAGCAACTCCCTTCTTCCTCCAGAGCACATGGACGGCCAAAGGGAAAGTGTGTATAAAAACAGAAGACATCCACCAACCCCCAACAGCTGCTTCCTAGACTGTACATGAGGGGTCGCTGGGAAAGTAGCATGGTATGGTGGAAAGTCTGCAGTCAGTGGGGCTCCTCTGCCCACTATGGCACACAAAAGACTGTGTCACTGAAATCTGCCTGCCTTTGTGCACTCTAAAAATGAGTGGTTGTATTTCTTCAATTGACCAGTATTTGGACCGAACGATCTCTAGAGTCCCTGCTGTCCTGCCGCTCTCACAGTCAGTGCACACTGACAAGGCTGCCTATAAAGTTTCAATGAAAATATGAGACACACAGTAAAAGTCTGCCACAATAAAAAAAAAACCTATACAATAGGAATAGTTCATTAATGATAATGTACATGCTATCTTATATTATAATTTACATTGCATTTTTGTGACTTTCCGTTTTTATTTCTTTTTAATGCATCTTTTGTCTCTAAACTGACATAATTCTAGTATTTATTTTTTCAGTTAATTTTCTGAACACAGTACTTAAAAGCCAAATTGCCAGTTTAAAGCCAGATATCTGACAACACCATCATTAGAGATTACATTTGTTCTACAAACACTCAACAAACTCTCAAGGGATGAGGCATTGAGGTTGGCACTGAAGACATGGAGATGAATGATTCAATTCTGCTCTTCTGAAGCTCTCATCTGGTGAGGTATACAGACAAATCCCCACACAGTCAGAGAAAGGCTGTGGAAACATAAGCACCTAGCTGAGTCTGGAGAGCCACAAAAAGAAAGTGACATGGGCACTGAGAGTTGATGAACGGGTAAAAGTTGGCCAGACTCTACAAAGATATAAAGACATGAAACTCTTGGTAAAAATCACATTAGTGGGTGGCTGGGGGTAGATAAAGGCATTGGTTAATGAGCACAATCATACAGTTAGGTAGAAGAAACACATTCTAGTGTATGATAGCAGAGCAGGGTGATTATAGTTAACAACAATGTAATATACATTTCAAAATAGATACAAGAGAGGACTTGAAATGTTTCCAACATATAAAATGATAAATACTCGAGGTGACAGACACCCCAAGTGTTGGACATCACCTCAAGTATTGATCATTTTATATGTTAAATATTTTGTTAAATATATGTCATATTTTGTTACATGCGTAGACTGTGTAATGATCCTGACTTGATCATTACACTATCTACGCATGTAACAAAATATCACATGTACACCACAAATATTTGTATCAATTAAAAAAATCACCATTAGTCTTCACATTAGCAGTGTCCAGTGAATGCACCCATTACTAAGTGAATGAATGAATGAATGAATGAACTAATGATAAATTTGTGAGCTAGCCTCTCAAGTAACAGCTTTAGCTATGTTTTTTTCTCATCAATATAAATATTTCCACTACTTCATAGTGACTGGATGTCCACTGCATACCAAGCATCATTGTAGGAATCATGGAGAATCATAAAAGAGGGTCCCTGAATTCAATACGCATTTACTGTGCCTTGTATTTTTTCCATATGCCTGGCATTTTGCAGGTTGTGGAAGAAAAAAATACATACATACTGTTTATTAAAGCAAGAGGAGAAACAGAAGCCTAACAAAAATTACAGTATTACTAATTCTTAGTTTTGAGGCTCTCTTCATTTTACCCTGTAAGTCAGTAAATGTCTTCTTAACATTTGCTAATCCCTGAATTAGTATAGAGCAATATGTATGTTAGAGATGTGTGTGTGTGTGTGTGTGTGTGTATTTCAAAAAACTAAAGGACTGGAAATGAAAGCAACGTATTCAACATTAGAATAAAAGAAAGAAGAAAAAATTAGGATTCTGGCTCTTACAACGCAGTCCCTTCCTTAATCTTTCAATCCCCATGTTGACCCAGGTCAAAATGGCCCATTTACTCTCTTCCATGTGCCACGGCATCCCCAAAGTCAGGACTGTTGTCCCCACTACTAAGGTCTGAAATGCCCATGCTGCTCCTCTCTTCTTCATCCTTTGGCCCAGCTATGTCCACAAAAAACGTCAGGCTGGGTTTTTTCAGGTTGGTTATTTCTTCCTTTGTGGAACACTTAGTGCTAAATCCTTCTATTTCCACTTAATGACCGACCTCTGCTGACTCACCGACACTTGAGAAAGAGCTCTCAAGCCTCATGGTGTGTGGTTCTATCATCATCTGTGCCTCAAAGTGCCTCAGAAATTCTAATTTCAGGGTCATGACATATTGCGTTACACCAATCCTTCAGAGTTTTCTGTGTCCTGTGGTTCTCAAGTTACACAATTGCGAGGACCACTGGTTGAACTTTTAGTCTATATACGTCTTGCTTCTGCAAATAGATCATAACCTCCTTGTAAGCAAGAACCAGGTATCTTTTTACATCTCGCTGTGTTTAACACAATGTTAGAAACAGACCAAATGCTCAAAATATTTGTGACTTATTTATTTCATTGAGAGGTAAACAATAATAAATGACTCACTGATTTTTAATTTGGGACAGTTGAATACATTTATTAGTCTGGAAGCATTTCACACTAAGATCCTCTTATGCCTAAGGTTAGGCAACTTTGACAGCCGCATTGATTTTTAATATTCTATCAGCCAGTCAATCAGCAACTTTTCCTAAACACCTACTAGTGTTACTAGCCAATTTTCTAGAGAATTATTTACTTTAGTAAATTACGGTTAGAATAAAATAAACATGGTATTTCCTGATATTCTGAAGAACACAAACTTACCAGGTATGAATACATAAGCCTCAGAAATTTTATTTATATAATCAATAAATACAAAATATTTACCTATGAATTGATATAAATAGCTATTTTATAAATTATCATAGTTTCTAAGACCTTAGTAATTATGCAGTTTTAGCCAAATTTTATAATATTTTAAAGTTCAAGCTAGTCCCCAAACTTTACATAAAAAATTCATTCAGTGGTAGATCTGTTTGTACCAGATGCTATGTGAGAGTTATTCACAAATACTCAGAAGTCAACTTCCAAGAAAAACCTTAAATTACCTAAAAACTTAAGAAAAAAAATGGTAGCAATTTGCCAGTAAGCCCTCCGATGATCTTTGATATCTTTAAATCAGAAGAGTTTCTATACCCTTTCCCTTTCAGAATTTTAGAGATTTTAGAAAGTCTTTGCCCCAAAATGTCATTAAAATGTTATCATTTTCTACATATTCCATTATGTTAAAAAAGGTTGAAAAGCATTGCTCTACCCTAATACTATAATAGAATTAGAAAATTATATAAATAGTTACATCAGAAAATATCAATATGAAAATAAAATTATGCCTCTCTCACACTGGTGAAGTCTGTATCAGCTAGGACATTTTATGGTACAATATCGAGAACTTTTTAAAATAGGGTTAGGGGAACATATTGGCTCATGAAATTGATAAATTGAGAGATGGAGTAACTTTAGGCAAGGCTTGATTTAGTACCAAAAATAAGGTTTTCTTCTGTGCTTATGCTCTGTATTTCACTGCAGTACTTTCATTCTTAAACTCCACACATTCGTCTCCCAGCAACCACAGGTGCTCCCAGAATGTCCAGAGCATCCCCAGACCTCACATCTTCACACTACCTCCCTCAGCTGCTTATTCAGATAGTTTATGCTGATCGTTTGGTATTCCAAGGATACACACACATGCACACACACACGTGTACACGTATATATAATAAATATATATAAATTTACATATATAATTTATATATATAAAGATATATATATATCTCTTATTTCCAAGATGTCAATTAGACAGTAGAATAAACTTGGAGATGAAGACTAGAATTTTCTTTAAAATGAAATGGAACGTATTTTAAAATACCAAGGGCATCACATCCAGTAACGATAAAATTACAAAATTTTTGTTTCACTGTGAATGTGTATGTGTGAGTATATATTTACTGGATCAAACAGAAAAAAAGCTTCCTACTAGAGTCAAAAGTTTATTAGGGTTGGGCATGACAGCTCACGCCTGTAACCCCAACTCTTTGTGAGTCTGAGGCAAGATGATCACTTGAGGCCAGGAATTTGAGACTAGCCTGGGCAACATACCGAGACACCGTCTCTACAAAAAGAAATTAAAAATTAACCAGGTGTGATGGTGCATTCCTGTAGTCCTAGCTACTTTGGAGGCTGAGATGGAAGAATTGTTTGAGCCCAGGAGGTCGAGGCTGCATGAACCATAACCACTGCACTCCAGCCTAGGCAACAGAGTGAGACCCTGTTTCAAGAAAAAAAAAAATAGTTTATGTGATTGAACATACTTAGCCACTGCTCCAAGTGCTGGAGAGCAATCGTGAGCAACTTATAAAGCCATGAAACAGCATGATAAAATGTGTAAGTTATTCAAATGCACTGGTAAAACCAAAGAATAGGGCAGGAGCCCTGGAACTGATAGATAAGAATGGAGAACATAGAAGCCAGACAAAGGCTCTTATCTTAGAGGTAATGGGAGCCACACAAAGGTTTGGTTTTAAGCAGGTGAATAAGCACTGTAGATTGATAGATTTCTCAGGCAGCAGTGGAGAGAATGAATTGGAGGGCAATAGTGTGAGTTAAAAGACCAGTTAATAGCAGAAAGACTAATTCAGTGGTCCAAGCAAAAGATGTTGAGGGTATGATGTGTTAGGAAGTTATCATGAGAGGTAGAGTCCACAGAGCTTTATGAATCATCAAATATAAGGACTGAAAGAGAAAAAAGAATACAAGACAACATACAAGCCTCAGTATGGAGTGACTGGGAAGACAGTGTTCTAATCACTAAGATGGGTTCACATCTAAAGGCAAAAGATTTTGAAGTAGAGATGAGTAACAAATTTAGTTTTTACTATGCTTACTTAACATCTGAATAGGACATTCAGATTAATGTGTTGTTAATAGCACAAATGAACTCAGAACCGAGTTTCCGGTTGGGATCCAGACAGCAGGCAACCATCAACAATGTGACAGGAGAAGAATATGTAAGAAGAGGACTAGGGACAAAAGACTACAGGTCACTCACATCATAGGGGTAGGCAGAGGGAAATGAGTCTGCAAAGGAGAACAAAGGAAATGGTCAAAGAGATGGACAGAATGGGATTCAACTAAATACCTACAGAGAGATCAAATTGTATGAGAGCTGGAAAGAATCCACTGGATTTGGCAACAAAGAGGTTATTTGGTGATAATTTGCAGTGCCATGGTCAGGAGCTTTATTACAATGGGTTGAATGGTAATATGAAGGTGTGTATTTGGAGACAGTAAACACAGGGGATTTGTGTGTCACTGTGTGAGTATGTGTGTGTTTTAGGAGCTTCAGTGCAAAAACAAGCAATGAAAAGAGGCTGTTAAGACAATGGGAGGGTTGTTTTATTTCATTTGTTTTGGGGTTTTTCTTTATTATGTGAGAGAAATGTAGCCATGTTTATAGGTTGGGAAGAAGAAGCTGCTAGAGAAAAACAAATTGAAAGACAGGAGAAAATGAAAAGAAAAGAGAGCACATGGTTCCATAAGAGATGTAGTGCCACAGGTTCCAAAGAGCACATGGTTCCATAGGTGACATGGTCCCATAGGTTCCAAGGAGCACATGGTTCCATAGGTGACTTGGTTCCATAGGTTCCAAAGAACACATGGTTCCATAGGAGACATGGTTCCACAGGTTCCAAGGAGCACATGGTTCCATAGGAGACATGGTTCCACAGGTTACAAAGAGCACATGGTTTCATAGGAGACATGGTTCCATAGGTTTCAAGGAGCACATGGTTCCATATGTGACATGGTTCCATAGGAGACTTATGCTTTTGGATCTAAAGCCCAAGTGGAGGTCTGTCTGAACCAGCACTATTCTGTCAAACTTTCTGCAAAGATAAAAATGTTCTCCATGCCATCCAAACAATAACCGTTAGCTGTACATGGCTACTGAGTATTTGAAATGCAACCAGTACAACTGAAAAACTGAATTTTAACATTGGTTAATTTAAATGAAATAGCCCTATGTGGCTAGTGGCTGTAGAACTGAACACTGCAGCTCAAACTAAAGAAGCGAATAGGAAGCTGAGAGCCCATCAATCCTGGAGACAAAGGCTGGAGGTTTTCACACCTGGTAGTCTCATGTAGAAAGGAAGGCTGATCAGCAGGGAGGCAGAGGAAGGGTTGACAGGGTAGGACCTTGGAGGGAAGCAGTTAGGCTTGGAAGGGACACAAAGGAAAGGATGGCAAAGAACTGACCAGAGCAACTAAAAGCACAACATAGTAGAACCGAGGACACATCTGAGACTAGAGACCACAAATGTATGGCAGACACTATAGGAACAACTAAGGCAGGCACTGGCTTGAAGAAAGGTCATGAGGCCAAAGGCCAGAAGTGTAACAAGGGGCTGTTGGCATAAAACAGTATGCCATGGAGAGAGAGGAAGCAAAACCGTGTGTCCAGGAGAAAAGGAAGGGGCAAGAGACCAAAGTCACGATCAGGTCAAAACATTGATGTGAAGAATAAATGAGCAAGAGAGGCCGGGGGCGGTGGCTCACGCCTGTAATCCCAGCACTTTGGGAGACCGAGGTGGGCAGATCATGAGGTCAGGAGATGGAGACCATCCTGGCTAACACGGTGAAACCCCGTCTCTACTAAAAGTACAAAAAACTTAGCCAGGCGTGGTGGCGGGCGCCTGTAGTCCCAGCTGCTCGGGAGGCTGAGGCAGGAGAATGGCGTGAACCCAGGAGGTGGAGCTTGCAGTGAGCCGAGATCGCCCAACTGCACTCCAGCCTGGGCGACAGAGCGAGACTCCGTCTCAAAAAAAAAAGAATAAATGAGCAAGAGAGAGCAGGAGAGGACAGAAATGTAGGGCTGTATTAGTCTGTACTCACATTGCTATAAAGAACTACGTGAGACTGGATAATCTATAAAGAAGAGAGGTTTAATTGGTTCATGGTTCTGCAGGCCGTAAAGGAAGCATGACTGGGGAGGTCTCGGGAAACTTGCAATCACAGCGGAAAGCAAAGAGGAAAGAGACACGTCCTACATGGCTGGAGCAGGAAGAAAAGAACAAAGGGGGACACTTTTAAACAAGCAGATTTCATGAGAACTCTCTCATGAGACAGCACCAGGGTGATGGTGCTAAACCTTCAGAAACCACCCCTATGATCCAATCACCTCCCACCAGCTCCACCTCCAACACTGGGGATTACAATCTTACATGAGATTTGGTGGGGACACAGAGCCAAACCATATCAAGGACCCAAGGGGATTGCAGAAGTTCTATGAAATGGCAGGGTGTATGGCAAATCCTGACTAGCTTAGAAGAGACAGGCAAGAGGAGCTTAGAAGTGAGTTTGGATAGTGATTTGGGTGGATATTGGGGTAACTTACGATGGTGGCAGGACTTTGAGCGTGAAAACCCGAAAAAATATATATATATATATATATATGAGATACTATACACACACATTATATATACACACATACATATATACAGTATATATTATAGGAAAGCTGACCAATTATCTGCAAAGATGATCCACTCCCAAAGGGAAAGTTCAGGTTGGTACCATGATCAAACCCCCCAACTTTTAAGAACGTCCATTTGGTTTCTCTAGGAACTTTTGTTGTATTTCTTTTTCTTCAAAGAGGCAGAGAAAATAACCATGTTTTTGACTGTCAGTGTTATAATATTAGGTCACAGCTTTTGTAGCTATTAAATGCAATTGTATTATTCAAAGGGACATTTCATTTTCCACTTGCACAGCTCTCTCTATTTTGGAATTGTCTCCTCTAGTTATTGAACTTAATAAGCTTAAATGCCCCCATATGTACAGAAAGGGTTCAGTATTATCCATATTGTGAGGCTGTATGACATCATTGTATCCAAGCCCTTTCATGGTCATTTTACACAGACTAGCACTTTCTCACTTTCTTTCTCTCTCTCCCTCTCTCTTTCACGTCATGACTTTAATGGCAAAAACTAGAAACTTACATTTTCTCCCTTCTCCTACAGCATTAATATTACCCACATGCATGTGCACGCCCACACATTCACCCATGGGGACATTTTCCAGACACAGCTTTTGCAACTATCACAAAATTAATAAATCCTATATTAAACGGTGCCCAATTTTTTACTATAAATATTTCTACTTTCACATAGGTATTAATCTAATCTGTTTAGATGTTTCAGATATGGACGTTTCTAATAATAATGATAATTGGTACCAAATTACTTAAACTGTATTTCTTGCTGCTTTCAAGAACTTATACTCCCCCCTGTGGCAATTTGATGACAAAAACAAAAACAAAACAGAAAAAAACAGGATCCTGAAGACAGAATCACAATTCATAAATCATTCACAAGTTCAAAATAACGGTATGTTTCTTGCTAGAAAAAGGCTGTCAATACAAACTGTCATGACATTCTTTTTTTTTAAGTGTAATCTGCATAATACATGACCGTGAAAACTACTGAGCTAAGTGCTAATACGTAGTAAATGTGCTAAGGCAGAAATTTAGTATCTAAAAATATTCAGAGATGAACTAAAAGGACAGTTTTATTTTACTTTAATGAACATTTATTGAGTGTTTAGTCTCTGACAAGCATTGTTCTAGATGTTTTAGGATTTTTTGGTATTTAACCCTTGCAAAATGTCCCAACAATTCTATGAAATCTTATGAAGTGGGTACCATTATTATCTCCAGGTTAACAGAAGCAGAGACTTAGAGAGATTAAGTAGTTTGCTTAATGTCATGCATTAAGCCATATTAACATTTAATCATATTATTAAATAGAGAAATAGAGAAAAAAAATCTCTCCTGAAATGGTGAAAAAGAGAAATACAAAGTACAGCAAATTTTATATTCAGATCAATTTGATGATATATCTATTTCTAAAACATTCTAAATCAAGATAAAAATTAGGACTCACTCAATCCAAAATGGTGGCTAATTTTATGAAATGCTTTAAACTATAAAATTAGCTTACTTTAAGTGACAAAATTTCACACTAGAATGTCAAGCTACAATTGTTAAAAATCTTGTTTAATCAATTAAATATGAGCCAAGTTTATTTTGGCAGGTTTTATTCTTACGATCTTGAAAACAAAGCATAAACACCAAAGTTTTTTTTTTTTAAATGATGTACTAGTGTCTTCCCCACCTCACTGCACCTTTGCTTTTCTAGGCCTAGCTTGGTGGAATATTGGGCTGCCAGAAACAGTACAACAGGAGTATTTCCCTACCACCAGCAATGCCAGGAAAAATAAGGAAGTCCAAGTAAAATGACCCCCTGCAACACTTTAGTAAAGGATGCCAGGTGATGTAGCTATGACATAAATACATTTGGTGAGTGGCTTCTGCCTTGTGGCCTCCTGCCCTCACATGCAGGGTCTAAGAATTCTCCTCGTCCTTGGCGCTTACGGTAGACAAAATGGCTTCCAGATGGCCGTTTCTGCTCAACATAAGGTCATTTTCCCTTCTTGGAAAGTTGGATATGATGCATGAGAAATACAGGAGTTTGGACTTCTCGAGTTCACTTTAGATGAAGGCCAGGCTTCAGTGTGTAAAATGAGAACACATGAGAGAAAAGTGGTAACACCACACTGTGGGTCCCCCCTCTCGGGGAGGCTTCAGAAGCTGACAAGGAAAAACCAGCTTGACCCATGAGGGATGGGCCTGCCTCGAAAGCGATCAAAGCCAACCAGGGAGGATACATTTGACTGTGGCAGTGCTCAGCCCTACTGCAAAGCAACATTGGTTCAAAGTCCATCTGAAACTGGACTGGAAGTTTGCTTGCTTACCTTCTGAGCTGAAAGCAAATAGTAGGAGCCTCAGCAATCAGTCAAATACGGAAACAGCAGGGAAAACCACAATCAAGAAGAACCAACATAGAGACGTTAGAAATGATGAAAATGCCACAAAAGATTCAATTGGACAAAATAAGTTTTTATCATCTGTATATGAGAAATAGCTTAATAGTGATATTATTTCCAGACATGAGCAAGTCAATGGTTATATGAAATGTAATCCTGTAGTTGTTAACTTTCACACACATGTGCAGGTCAATAAGAAAATTCCCTCATCATAACCCCACCATTCCTAGACAACCCTCTCTCTCTGCCATGTGTAGTTATGACAAATCGCATTCCATTAACAACATGAAACTAGTTATGATTCCAATCAAATCCTTCCATGGTTAAAGGAGAGAGGGAGAAAGCTGTAAACCTGAAAGGCAAAGCATATTCAGTTTGAGGAAAGTGCATTTTCAGTTAAGGCAAGTTCATAAAATAAATATCAATAACATGGCAGGACATGTTTATTAGGGGATACTCGTGAAAAACCTATGTTGATAGTAGACATTGCTTCAGTGCTGATGGTTTGTCCCAGACTCTGTCATGATATTTATCCCTAAGGGTAGCTTATCAGTGAATGATACAATTATTCAAGAAGACCTTCATGATGTCTATGGTTGGTCCCAGTCTCAGCCGAAACAAGACTGCATAGGGTTAGACTGAACGCTTTCAGTGTGGGCTGAGGCTGACATCAGAGCAGAGCACACCCTGATATTAAGCCTCCCAAAGCATACCCATCATCTTATTCATTTTTTCCTTTTTTAGCTGCATCAGTTAGTTAGCGGATAAGAAGAACATATCTGTCTACATAGCAACATCACCAAAATCTTAATTGTTAAAAAAAAAAAAAAAAAGCAAATCTAAGCCCAAATTTCTCTACTAATACAGGTCAGTAAACATTTTCTTTCTACTTCATGTTTATCTCAGACCACGGCACAATACAATAGTGACTGCCAGTTAGCCCACAGGTGTTTATATGCCTTCTAGGGTGTGTCCTTTAAGAGTTTAAGATCTGAGATAACTATCTTAAGGACACACAGTGTTTAGAGATCACCATATATAGAATGGAAAGAAAAGAAGCCGTGAAGTTTGGAAGGAAAGGCAAGGGGTGTTCTCTTTAGAAGAACTGAATTTAAATTCACTTGTCCCTTCTCCACCTCTAACCAGGCTTGTGTATGTTAGCATTATTGGACCTCAATTTCCTCACCTGCAATATGGGTAGAATAATACCTAATGCGATTGTTATGATAATGAAGTAAGATGGTAACCGTGAAAGGGCTTTGTAAATTAAAAATTTCTACATAAACAAAAGAGAATGCAGTCAAAATTTTGAGTATCTATTTTAGGCACCCAGATAGAGTTCTAAGAAGCGTTCCCGCTAAATTGTTCAGATAAAATTGGCATCGTGCATTCTAACATCAAATTAAACAATGCATTAGTTGACTTTTACTTCAAATCTGATGATGTCAGGATTTTAAATAGAATGTGGTTTTTCTTCATATGTGGTGAAAGTTCTGACTTAGAAGATAAGATACCTTCTCAAAAAGCCTTATCCAGGTGCTCAGATTTTAATATATGATTCCCATAGGCATGGTTATTTAAAGATTTACACACAGGAAAATAGTTTAGAAACTCTTTGGATGATTCAAACAACTTGGTTTTTAGCATTCTAGAACATACTGGCTACCAAGTTTGCTTTTAATTTGAAAACTTGTCACCATCATGGTAGCACAGTTCACATTACAAAATGAAATGAAAGAAAACTGTCAACCCAAATATATGTAAAGTGTTAAAGTCTGTAGCATCACATTAAGTAAAATACCACCTTGGTTTCCAAGAAATACAAATCTAAAGAAAATGTGATGGACACAAGCAATCATAATTTTTTGGTTGTTTCTTTATCATTTGCATACCATATTCTTATTAGTGATAAGTTACACATTTTTCACTGAAGAAAGGAAGACTGTTAGGAACTCCCTAACTCTCCCCATCCTCCACAAATCAATGAAAACTATGAACATATAATGAAGATGAAGGGAGTAGATGCTATCAGGTGACAAAAATAAGCTGAGCATAGAATTTTGTTTTAGGTATCCTGAAAACTATGATTAAAATGCATGCCCACATTATCATCGAAGTGACAATATAAGGTATATAAGAAGCATAAGACAAATTTAAAAGTTTCATCTGTGGCCCGGCGCAGGGGCTTACGCCTGTAATCCCAGCACTTTGGGAGGCTGAGATGGGCTGATCTCTTGAGCTCAGGAGTTCGAGACCAGCCTGGGCAACATGGCAAAACCCCATCTCTACAAAAAAAAAAAAAAAAATTCTTTTAATTAGCTGGATATGGTGGTGCACACCTGTAGTCCCAGCTATCCCAGCTACTTGGGAGGCTGAGGCAGGAAGATCACTTGAGCCCAGGAGGCAGAGGTTGCAGTGAGCCAAGATCATGGCACTACATTCCACCCTGGGAGACAGAGCCAGACCCTATTTCAAAAAGAAAAAAAGTTTTCATTTGTTAAATGTCTCTATCAATCCTGAATATCTAATCTAATAAAATAAATAAATAAATAAGAGGTAGGATTTGATTTTCTCTGAGCTCTCACCTAGTTTTAACACTCTAAAACCCATGCAGAGCTGGACACTGTTATAAAATCAAACTGTGACAGGCTTTTACAGTCAATCTGAGTTGGGCTTAGTTTTGAGAGCCACTGAAGAATGGAAGAGAAGGGCAATTTTAAAACTCTAATACCTTTATGAAAGTGCTTTCATAAATATTGTCTCCTTGAGCTGCACATTAACTGTGAACAGGTGGGAAATTTCAGGCTCAGAGAGAGTAGGTGTCTTCCCTGAGGTCACTGGCAAGCAAATGGCAGGTATGGAGCTCACACCTTCACCTCCTAGCCAGTCCCCTAGGCTCCACCTAATGGTATTCCAGGGAGTTTGAAGTTGTGAGAAGGGACCTCAGGCCTCTTGGCTAGAGGTGGGAGCACATTTCCAGGGATGAATGATGGGGTCTGGCTTAATCTGCACCCCTTTCCCACCCCGCAGCAGAATCCCTAGGAATACATTCATGTATATTTCACACTAGTCCTTTCAAAATATTTATCCTTTCACTTACTTCTATTATTTGAGATAAGATAGCTAGTCCCAATTCTCTCTTCCTCCTAAACCTATTGATTGGGTGTCCCCAAATCACACATCTTAAGAAATGCTTATTTCCTCTGTTTTTCATTCCCACTCACTTAAATATCACCTTAAGTATCACCAAGGGGATGCTTCACATTTAGCCCTGATGAAGCAAGGGGCTGTAAATACTCCTGGTTGCTAAACGGTGATGAATTTGAGATTCTAACCTGTCGAGGACAGTGTAAGAGACCACCAGGCTCATTCCTACCTAGCAGCATCCTCATCTGACACTATCTTAGATGAACAAAAGCTGACTAGAGGCAACACAGGATTCTAAGTAAACTACTTTAAAAAAAAAAAGAGTCAAATTAACAAAATAAGTGAAACAAACAGTAAGTTGAAGGGATATCATCTTACAAAACAAAACTTCCTTTCTCACCCCTCTGGCCTCCAACTCTATGGACAAGCGAGGAACAGGCAAACATAAAACACAAACCACATGCAACGGCCTTGACTGCCTTCTGACAAATACCTTTGCATTAGAAAATATCCTAAGAAAGTCAGAGAACTAATTATAAGGAGGAAAAGGCATGAAGGTAATGAATGTAATTTAGATAGTAAACATCCGCGTTTATCTTCCCCGCCATGAACTCCCAGCAAGTACGCCCTCTCCTTAACCTTCATCTTAAGCAAACAGGAGGTCATGTCAGCCAAACCAGGGTCCCTGAAGATTTCAGAATAATATTTATTACTATTTTACAAAAGGCTTCTGGGATACCATTTTTTTTTGTAGAATTAATTTACATGATTGAATTTGAGGCACGCTAGAAACATCAGAAACCTCCCCCTGACCCACCATAAGGACAAATCGCTCACTGTCCAGATGCCCATATACGGCCAGACTTCCTCCTATAAGTCTGACAGCTCCGTGTATGCATTGCGTATGGGTCTTGGCTCTGAGTCACATTCCTCCGGCATGTTTCCCTGGGAGCTTTGATTTCCGCTTTGAGGGCTGGCACTGACTCCTACTTGCTCTTATAAGAAAATGTCTACAACTAAAAGTTGAAAATGTGCAAGATTCCTTCTTTAAGTACACAAACACTCCAACTCTGGCCACTTTTCTGTAGTCCTGCCAGGTTTTCTCTGTGTCTGATACCTGATCAAGAAACCTTTTTTTTTTAGGGAGGAAAAAACAACAAAAAACTTAAGGGAAGGAATGTAATACATCCACAGCTGAACATCTTACAAGACTTAACCAAACGACCAGTACAAATGATGCCCTAGTAGACACACACACATACCTTATATAGCTTGGTAAACAGGACTCAGTGGCCAGCTTAGTTAATTCCTCATTTTACCACGAGGAAAAAATGCTCTCTAAAAAGCATTTGCTAGATAAATACTTGCTTACAAGTCAAAATTAGTGCATCTTAACCATTTTGCACACAAATTCAAAGATCTTTTTCTCCCAACTCTGACCTGCTGTCAATCAAAGGGGCTGGGGTAAGTCAAAGTTGGATGAAGTTATAAGAAGCCACTATTTCCCACTTTACCGCCCAGGCACACACAAACATTTGCTGAGTCATTGATAATAGTGCAAGAATTCAGATCCCATGGCATGAATTATGGATGGAGTATCAGCCTTTCCCTTTGAGTTTCCTGGCATTTGATGGTCCATATCACAATAAAAACATACTTCTGAGTCTGTGAATGTCTTGGGTGTCTTCTCTCATTCTCTCTCTCTCTGGGTGTGTGTGCATGTATGTGTCTGTCTGTCTCTGTGTCACTCTCTTAATAATAGTCTTTTAACTCCTTCAAAAAGAGTTTTGATCATAAAGCCTCAATCTAACCTGATAATGCACAGAAACTTTTTCTTTCCTGAGATTTCATATGTTCTATATATTTCAATATGCTTATTTCCTCTTAAGCAACATTAAAATCATCTATTTGGAACTGACTATAGATTTTTTTGAGACTTCGAGGGACTATGAGAATTTTATAGTAAAACCAAATTCTTTCTTTTGACATTTTTAACAACAGAGCAGAATGGTAATATACTTATTATACACAGAGATTGAAAAAAAATCAAGAAAATCTGAAAAAAATAAAGCACCAATTCCCTGGAATTTTCATCTACTCAGCCCTCACTGAACCCTATTAAATTAAAAAAATTATGATTACTTTCATTTTTTAAACAGAAATGGGAATATGGCTCCTACGTGTGACTTCCCTGAGATCTGCGAAAGGCAGTTCCAAGAATACAACCTAGGCCATCTAACTATAACCCAGTACAACAATTTATCCCCTCCATGAATGAGTCTCCCTGCTGCAGGCATGAAGATGGTGGTAGCTTTCAGACTCTCCTGAGGATTCAGAAATTCCCCAACCCTTCTCCCACCTACCTCACTCTGCAAGCTAGGAGAGCTCACCACCAAGCCCACATCCCACCTTAGGTGAGACTCGCACTGCACATCCCTACCCTTCCCCAGCCACCACACCTTTCCAACCATTAGAGGTAGATGTAATTGGGGGTTTAGGTCTTGAAAGGTTTCACTGTGGCTTCCCACATATTTTGGACTTTTAAAATCATCCACAAGGGAAGAAAAAGTTGAGGGCCAAGTTGCCTTTAATACACATGTGGCTATTAAGTTAACTTGGAATGTTCCTTCTTTAAATAGGAACTCTTAGGCCTCTTCTTTTTGAGGAATGCTTGGAAAGGACATTAAATAACAATGACGAAAATTCTTCCTGAGCTTCAGAGGGCACCCCCACCCCTTTGCTGGCCATTCACACTATTGACATGCAACTACACTCTATAACATGTGGCTGGCTTAACGAGGTAATCGTGCACAGATGATATGCTCTATGCTGAAGTTGGAGTGGTTATATTTCTTCTTGGCTATTTTTCAACAGACTGTACTGAAACTTTAAAAATTTGATCAGTTTAAACAGGCTGTTTTCAAATGATAAATCTATAATGCATTGTTTCTAAAGCCGATCTTTGCACCACAAACAGATATGCTTATCTTGAACCCATGCTCTGAAGCATCAACAACTTAAAGGAATCTACTCATTGGTAACACCAATGTCAAATGATGCGGCATTACAGAATACAAAAATGGTATGGCCCTAGAATCACTCTCTTTATATAAAATGGGAACTGGAGGTATTAACAAAAAAGCCACTAAACAACATAGATTCCAAATGAAAGCACAGTGAATTAGTTGGGTCTTTAGTGAAGCTAAGTAGCACTATATTAAGAAATGGAGATATGCTTAGGTTTATTGGCCATATTCAACATCTGCACACACCCAGGGAGAATAAAGCCTATTCTTTCCTTGTCCTGACCTCACTCCCTCAGGCTGCATGTTCCTTGGGTAATGAGAAGTCACAATCACTATTCATAGATGTGTGGGGAGTCACTAAAAATATATTATTCACTGTCAATCTTAGTTTATATCCAGATACAACAGGGTACACTGCTCTTGTAATGGAATCAGACTTCTTATTTTAACAAGACAAACCAAATCCAATCCACATTTGAAGATTATAGGTTTTAATATAAGAAAATGCACTCATTTCTCAAAGACCCTAGTGAAGCTGTGTTTAAATGCTCCTAGGTGAACCCCCTTTGCATCCCAGTGTTCCCACCCTGACACCCAGAGCCCCTACCTACCCAACACAGAATCATTTGCTCTGATAGAACAATGGATCCCTTTTTCTGGAAACATTGATGGCCACTCCTCCCTTGTCCTTGCCTATATAAAACTCCTACATATATTAAGAGAAAACTAAGCAAGAGTTTTGGAAATCTGCCCCAGGAGACTGCATCCTGAGTCACACGCGTCTTTGTTCTCTTTCTTGTCCCAAAACCGTTACCTCAAGTGACAAATGATCAAATCTCAAATATAGAATTCAGGGTTTTACAGGTAGGCATCTTGAGGATTTCAAATGGTTAAAAGCAACTCACTCCTTTTCTACTCTTTGGAGAGTTTCAAGAGCCTATAGCCTCTAAAACGCAAATCATTGCTAAGGGTTGGGGGGGAGAAACCTTTTCGAATTTTTTAGGAATTCCTGCTGTTTGCCTCTTCAGCTACCTACTTCCTAAAAAGGATGTATGTCAGTGGACAGAACAGGGCAAACTTATTCGAAAAAGAAATAAGAAATAATTGCCAGTGTGTTTATAAATGATATGAATCAGGAGTGGTGCGAAGAGGATAGGGAAAAAAAAATTCTATTTGGTGCTGGAAATACTGCGCTTTTTTTTTTCCTTTTTTTTTTTTTCTGTGAGCTGGAGTGTGCCAGCTTTTTCAGACGGAGGAATGCTGAGTGTCAAGGGGTCAGGATCAATCCGGTGTGAGTTGATGAGGCAGGAAGGTGGGGAGGAATGCGAGGAATGTCCCTGTTTGTGTAGGACTCCATTCAGCTCATTGGCGAGCCGCGGCCGCCCGGAGCGTATAAAAGCCTCGGGCCGCCCGCCCCAAACTCACACAACAACTCTTCCCCGCTGAGAGGAGACAGCCAGTGCGACTCCACCCTCCAGCTCGACGGCAGCCGCCCCGGCCGACAGCCCCGAGACGACAGCCCGGCGCGTCCCGGTCCCCACCTCCGACCACCGCCAGCGCTCCAGGCCCCGCCGCTCCCCGCTCGCCGCCACCGCGCCCTCCGCTCCGCCCGCAGTGCCAACCATGACCGCCGCCAGTATGGGCCCCGTCCGCGTCGCCTTCGTGGTCCTCCTCGCCCTCTGCAGCCGGGTAAGCGCCGGGAGCCCCCGCTGCGGCCGGCGGCTGCCAGGGAGGGACTCGGGGCCGGCCGGGGAGGGCGTGCGCGCCGACCGAGCGCCGCTGACCGCCCTGTCCTCCCTGCAGCCGGCCGTCGGCCAGAACTGCAGCGGGCCGTGCCGGTGCCCGGACGAGCCGGCGCCGCGCTGCCCGGCGGGCGTGAGCCTCGTGCTGGACGGCTGCGGCTGCTGCCGCGTCTGCGCCAAGCAGCTGGGCGAGCTGTGCACCGAGCGCGACCCATGCGACCCGCACAAGGGCCTATTCTGTCACTTCGGCTCCCCGGCCAACCGCAAGATCGGCGTGTGCACCGGTAAGACCCGCAGCCCCCACCGCTAGGTGTCCGGCCGCCTCCTCCCTCACGCCCACCCGCCCGCTGGAAAAAGAAACCGCTCGGACTGAGTTTCTTTCTCCAGCTGCTGCCAGCCCGCCCCCTGCAGCCCAGATCCCAACTCGCATCCCTGACGCTCTGGATGTGAGAGTGCCCCAATGCCTGACCTCTGCATCCCCCACCCCTCTCTTCCCTTCCTCTTCTCCAGCCAAAGATGGTGCTCCCTGCATCTTCGGTGGTACGGTGTACCGCAGCGGAGAGTCCTTCCAGAGCAGCTGCAAGTACCAGTGCACGTGCCTGGACGGGGCGGTGGGCTGCATGCCCCTGTGCAGCATGGACGTTCGTCTGCCCAGCCCTGACTGCCCCTTCCCGAGGAGGGTCAAGCTGCCCGGGAAATGCTGCGAGGAGTGGGTGTGTGACGAGCCCAAGGACCAAACCGTGGTTGGGCCTGCCCTCGCGGGTGAGTCGAGTCTTCCTCTAAGTCAGGGTCGTGATTCTCTCCCAGGGAGGGAGTCCTAACTGTGCCGACCGAACGGGGGAAATACCTTATCCAGGCGTTTTACATGGTGTTTGTGTGCTCTGCTCTCGCAGCTTACCGACTGGAAGACACGTTTGGCCCAGACCCAACTATGATTAGAGCCAACTGCCTGGTCCAGACCACAGAGTGGAGCGCCTGTTCCAAGACCTGTGGGATGGGCATCTCCACCCGGGTTACCAATGACAACGCCTCCTGCAGGCTAGAGAAGCAGAGCCGCCTGTGCATGGTCAGGCCTTGCGAAGCTGACCTGGAAGAGAACATTAAGGTACATGTTCTGCTCCTATTAACTATTTTTCACAGGAAAAACAGTGGATAGGACCCAACTTAGGGCTCTTGCCACGCTTGTTAGTATAAGCCCGTTATCTCCAAAACTATCTAACCATTGAGCTGTTTTGCTGGAATGAGAGCTTGTGTAATAGCAACCACCAGTTTTCCACTACGAAATCTTCCACAGGGTTAGTTAATTCAAGACATTCCAAGAGAGGCTCTGGCTATTTTTGGACATAGCAAATGAGACTCAAACTTCCTCCCCTCAAAATATAAACAGAAGTCAGACAACAGAAGACTAAAACACAGAGGGTTGAAGAAAGCCACTCCTCTTGTAGAGTCGCTGATTTTTTTTTTTCCTCTCTCTTTTCCCTTGTCTTCCTTAGAAGGGCAAAAAGTGCATCCGTACTCCCAAAATCTCCAAGCCTATCAAGTTTGAGCTTTCTGGCTGCACCAGCATGAAGACATACCGAGCTAAATTCTGTGGAGTATGTACCGACGGCCGATGCTGCACCCCCCACAGAACCACCACCCTGCCGGTGGAGTTCAAGTGCCCTGACGGCGAGGTCATGAAGAAGAACATGATGTTCATCAAGACCTGTGCCTGCCATTACAACTGTCCCGGAGACAATGACATCTTTGAATCGCTGTACTACAGGAAGATGTACGGAGACATGGCATGAAGCCAGAGAGTGAGAGACATTAACTCATTAGACTGGAACTTGAACTGATTCACATCTCATTTTTCCGTAAAAATGATTTCAGTAGCACAAGTTATTTAAATCTGTTTTTCTAACTGGGGGAAAAGATTCCCACCCAATTCAAAACATTGTGCCATGTCAAACAAATAGTCTATCAACCCCAGACACTGGTTTGAAGAATGTTAAGACTTGACAGTGGAACTACATTAGTACACAGCACCAGAATGTATATTAAGGTGTGGCTTTAGGAGCAGTGGGAGGGTACCAGCAGAAAGGTTAGTATCATCAGATAGCATCTTATACGAGTAATATGCCTGCTATTTGAAGTGTAATTGAGAAGGAAAATTTTAGCGTGCTCACTGACCTGCCTGTAGCCCCAGTGACAGCTAGGATGTGCATTCTCCAGCCATCAAGAGACTGAGTCAAGTTGTTCCTTAAGTCAGAACAGCAGACTCAGCTCTGACATTCTGATTCGAATGACACTGTTCAGGAATCGGAATCCTGTCGATTAGACTGGACAGCTTGTGGCAAGTGAATTTGCCTGTAACAAGCCAGATTTTTTAAAATTTATATTGTAAATATTGTGTGTGTGTGTGTGTGTGTATATATATATATATGTACAGTTATCTAAGTTAATTTAAAGTTGTTTGTGCCTTTTTATTTTTGTTTTTAATGCTTTGATATTTCAATGTTAGCCTCAATTTCTGAACACCATAGGTAGAATGTAAAGCTTGTCTGATCGTTCAAAGCATGAAATGGATACTTATATGGAAATTCTGCTCAGATAGAATGACAGTCCGTCAAAACAGATTGTTTGCAAAGGGGAGGCATCAGTGTCCTTGGCAGGCTGATTTCTAGGTAGGAAATGTGGTAGCCTCACTTTTAATGAACAAATGGCCTTTATTAAAAACTGAGTGACTCTATATAGCTGATCAGTTTTTTCACCTGGAAGCATTTGTTTCTACTTTGATATGACTGTTTTTCGGACAGTTTATTTGTTGAGAGTGTGACCAAAAGTTACATGTTTGCACCTTTCTAGTTGAAAATAAAGTGTATATTTTTTCTATAAAGGGCTTGGTTATTCATTTATCCTTCTAAACATTTCTGAGTTTTCTTGAGCATAAATAGGAAGTTCTTATTAATCATAAGATAATTCACCAATAATTTTCTAAATATCTTTAATTATTCTATACATTAATAAATTGATTATTCCATAGAATTTTTATGTAAACATACTTCACACTGAATCAAGTATCACAGACTTGCAGGCATACACACCACATTGACTATACAGCCATTTTTTTTGTTATCTTCACAGAACTTTATAGACACTTTAAATTCAATTCTCTCTAGATTACTTCAGTCTCCATTAACCCTGTTGTATTACACTTGGTCCTTTTGGCATTTGTACCTCTCTGGCCGTTATAGGTTAGTTTCCAACCCTTCACATCACAAACTAGTCTATGTGCCTTGCACGTGGAAAATGTTTACATTTTTTAAAAATTTTATGCTCTAGGTCTGTTTCTGAACTTCATTACCTTACTGTTAAATCTGAAAATTATGAAATGAAATCCTCATTTAAATGGAGCTATTTCATAAGTCTTGTTTTGTATAATTCCGTTTTTGGTTGCCATGATAACCAATGACAAACAGATGGCATAAATAGAAAAGGGAGGATGAGCAAATCTTCCATTCATTAACATTAATAGAAATTTGTTTTGAAAGTAATTCCTCCATTTGCCCAAGTCTTTAGCTTTATCAGACTTCCAGATTAATGCATCCTACCTTACCAAGTGGTTTATACATGAGAAAATGGAATTGTTCAAGAAGCCTCATGTGGAAACAATATTGTACCTACCCAGGTAGGTTTTTACTAAAGAGTGAACCAAAGTGAATGGTAAACAAAAGCAATACACCAAAGGCAACTAGAATCTTCTCCACATGAGGATAGCTGAGGATTCTAGGGGAAAAAAAAATTGCAGACAGACTAACTTTTCCCAAGGTAATTAGCAACGTTGTAGTGCCAATGTCATTTGGACAGACAAAAATACACCTGAAAATAAAGACTAGCTCTACAAACAACTGTCCACACCACAAACCAAAGGGAAAACTTCCCGTGTTCAGAATGTGAAAATTTATGGTCAAAACTCTGGGCTTTAAGGATACACCCACATCTGTATATAGCAGTGCTGCCAGGAGCAGCACCCCACCTCCCCAAATAAATGCGCATGTACACATACACATAGGCACACACACAGAGTACACTGTTAGTTCACACTTCCTTTCTGTCAATTAATTCCTAACTGCAAAGATGAAGGGCCATGCATGATAAACGAGACTGACTACTGAATTAGAGCATTCTGGAAATATAGAAGCAGCAGGAAAAGCATAGATTTCACATTTTCCAAATACCCACATTAAAGAAAAAAAAAAGAGTCACTAGATTGCAAAACAAAAATCCCACAGGCAATGTTTCTACAAAAATTAGATGGCAATGCACACTTTCACCCCCCAAATATCGGAGGTAGGGGGTGCCAAATCATCAACCACCGTAAGATCTGCACCGTGTCAGCACATGTGTGAGAAAAGCAGAGAAACAACAAGGTATCTGATGCTTCTGAGAACACGAGAGCTCTCAAACAGCCAGCAGGTAGTCACTAGATATATAGAAGGCCAGGCTGACAGCAGCTGTTGAATCTAGTAGGGGTTTGGCCTAGCACTCCAACAAAGCTTACAAGCCAGGGCTGCCTCCCAGGAGAAGATCCTCATACTCCTGGAAGTGGAATCTAAATTGAGCAGGTCACCAGACAGATGTTTCTCAAAAGAAGACACACAAATGGCCAACAAGTATATGAAAAAATGTTCAACATTACTAACCATCAGGGAAATGCAAATCAAAACCACAATGAGCTATCACTTCACACCTGTTAAAATGGCTACTATCAAAAAAACAAAAGATAACAAAACTGTCAGCAAGGATGTGGAGGAAAAAAAACCCTGTGCATTGTTGGCAGGAATGTAAATTAGTACGGCCATTATGAAAAACAGAAAGTTCCATAAAAAATTAAGAATACAATTACTATATGATATAGCAATCCCATTACTGGGTATACACTCAATGAAAAAGAAGTCAGTATGTTGAAAAGATATCTGCACCTCCATGTTCATTGCAGCAGTATCCACAATAGCTAAGTTACAGCATCAACCTAAGTGTCCATCAACAGATGGATGGATAAAGAAGATGAGGTATATATACACAATGGAGTACTATTCATTAAAAAAGAAGGGAATCCTGTCATTTGTGGCAACATGGATGAACCTAGAGTACATTATGTTAAGTGAAATAAGCCAGGTTACAGAAAGAGAAATATAGCACTATCTCACTCATATGTGGAATCTAAAAGGTTGACCTCATAGAAGTAGAGAGTAGAATGATGGTTACTAGGGGATTGGGGTTAGGCAGGAAAGTTGGGGAGATGTTAGTCAAAAAATATAAAATTTCACTTAGGCAATAAGAATAAGTTCAAGAGATCTATTTTACAATGTGATGACTCTAGTTAATGATACATTCTATTCTTGAAAAATGCAAAGAGAATGGTTGTAAAGTGTTCTTAGCACAAAAACGCTAACTCTATGAGGTAATGCATATGTTAATTAGCTAGATTTAGTCATGCCACAATGTAAATATACTTCAAAACATCATGTTTTACATGATAAATTAGGACTTTGTCAATATAAAATAAAACAAAATAAAAATTGAGTGGGTCAGGGACAACAGAGACATTGAAGGATTTGGATTAAAATGAGGAGGGAAACAGAGGTTTAAAATCTCAGAAGGTAAACTGCAATATTTTTAATGCTGCATGAAAACAATAAAAGAGGGAGGTCTGTGAATTTAGAAAATTAAACCAAACCTCCTTCCTGAGCAAACTTTAGTAAAACTAATTTTATATAAATTAAGAAAACAAAATTATTGAAGCCAAATCCCTACAAAGTCACTATATTTAAAAAAAGAAAATAAAGAATAGAATAACTTTTCTGCAGATAATAAAAAATGTGAGAAATACATATCTACAAAATATAGAAAAATTATAACCTACTATTTCAAAAGTTTAAGAAAATGATGTTGGACATAAATGATATTAATAGTAAGGAAATGATGACATAAAATAGCAACATAAATCAGAATTAGCAAAACTTAAAAATATAGTTTCAGAAATCAACAGAGATTTAGAAATAAAGGAACTATATCAAACTACAAGGAGCATAAGAGTGAATATACTCTTACAGATAAGAAAACAAGTTTAAATATAAAAGAAGAAATAAACATATTGCAATAAAAAGTAATAAATATTGTGGACAGGCAAAGAAAATCCAATATGTGGAGGGTAGAAATTCTTAAAGAAGAAAAAAAAATCCTAAAAGCTATAAGTCAAAAAAAACTTTACTAGAATAAAAAAGTATTTGAAAGCACAAGTTGAAAGGGTGTGCCATGTGCCTAAACAAATCAACTAACAGCAAAACACATTCTAGTAAAACTGCTGGAGTTTAAAGAAAAGGGAAAAGCTATTTGAACATGAAGACAAAAAGAACATGAGCCTTATAAATAAAAAGAAAATTAGCTCATCGTTAGATTTTTTTTACAGCAATACTTTATGACAGAAAAAAATGGAATAACTTATTTAAGATACTTAAGGAAAGAAAATGAGAGTCAAGAAACTTTTATCCTCTAAAACTGATTTTCAAGAATGACTTGATTCTTGAAATCAAACCTTGAATGACTAGGTTCATCCCTGTTGTCACAAATGACAGGATTCCCTTCTTTTTTAATGAATAGTACTCCATTGTGTATATATACCTCATCTTCTTTACCCATCCATCTGTTGATGGACACTTAGGTTGATTCCATAACTTAGCTATCGTGGATAGTGCTGCAATGAACAGGAAGGACACAGACAAACTGTTAAAAACACACAAGAACTCAGGGCATATTTTTCCTGTGAGCCCTTGCTGAGGAACCTACTAGCAAACAAGCTCAAACAACACAAATGTCTGAGAGATACTAACCTAAGGACTGTAGTGAGAATTGAATATAGCTCACCTTTAGAACTAAGACTGAATGAAGGTTAAAAAGGAGAAAGTACTGTATACAGTGTAAAAAGTAGAACATTTCTGCCTGTTTATTTGCATATATTTATTGGCATATATATTTATTTGCATATATATTAGATAATAAGGAAGTTAACAAATGTCATTAAGATCAAATCAAAAGGATTAGGGAAACAAATTGAAGCCAGGCACAAAAGCATACAGAGTAGGGATATCTGCTCTGACACCATAGAGTACAACCATACAAAGTGGAAGAGAGAATGGAGATAGCATATGCCTTCCCCGCCAAAAACAATTTAACTGCTTTTAGTGATAGTGGTGGTATTAATATTGTTATTCTGGGAATGTTAGGTGTGGAATGTGTAAGAAAGCAAATTAGCCATCATGAATGTTCTAACTCTATCCCCAGCATTCATGAGTACTGAAATTCTCAGTGAGAAAGTCAGAAATTAGAGATATAATGGAAAACTGCTAAGGAAAGTTCTGTAGTCCAGAATTTGAACTGGAAATATAAGCATAAATTCGTGAGGTATTTTGTCTTTTAAAACACACACACACACACACACACACACAATTTTTCCCCCTACATCTGCCTACATAAGAGGCTTAGTTAGAATGACAACTCAAGACCAGTGAATATCACTAGGCCCAGATTTTACACTTGAAATATTACTTTCTACTAAAGAATATTAGGACTTCTTGGAGAATGAGTGATTCCAAGTCTGGGGCAAGAAATGTGTAAGATAAATTCATTTATGTTTAGAACATCTTTTCACATTAGATAATAAGGAAGTTAACAGATGCCATTAAGATCATATAAAAAAAACTCTGGAGACAAATTGAAGAGACTCCAACTAAAGATGACACAATTGAGTTTTAATAAGAATGAGAAAGGCAGTACATTGGGCCTATTGACTATGCTTACATTCATTAATTTATAATGATCGTTAAAGAAGAACAACTGGCCAGGTGTGGTGGCTCACACCTGTAATCCCAGCACTTTGGGAGGCCGAGGTGGGTGGATCACCTGAGGTCAGGAGTTCGAGACCAGCCTGGCCAACATGGCAAAACCCCGTCTCTACTAAAAATACAAAAATTAGCCGGGCGTGGTGGTGCGTACCTGTAGTCCCAGCTACTTGGGAGACTGAGGCACGAGAATCGCTTAAACCCGGGAGGCAGAGGTTGCAGTGAGCCAAGATCACGCCACTGCACTCCAGCCTGGGGGACAGAGAAAGACTCCATCTCAAAAATAATAATAACAATGAATAAAAAATTAAAAAGAAGAACTAATTGGTAATTTTCTGGGAGTGATAAGGAACTAATTCAGTATATACAAAATATAATTTTTTCTGATGACTTCAGTATCGTTTTGTGTGTGTGTGTATTACACATCTCTCAGTGCCTCAGAAGACAGGCTGAATCTTTACCAACCCCCAACATCACCCAAAGATGGCTTTTTTAAAAAAAATAAATCTTTTAGTCAATTGTGCTCATCCATGATGGTTACTTTAAAGTAATTTTCTATTTCTTTTAATAATTTTTAAACTTTTTCAAATTTTTTGAAATGAACATACATTATAAGAAAGAGATTTTTTAAAAAACAAATTTCCATCTCATTAAAAAAACAGCAAGGAATATGTCAAAAAGTGTTCAAGTATTTTATGATTTTCATTTAGATGAAACAATACACAATACATAAATAAGTAAATAACTTAGCTATTCAAACCACTATATCTTAATTAGCCACGTGCCTAGGAGTACATGCAACACACATCGAATCTCTAGGGAATGCCCATATTCATTGTATATTCAGTGTTGTCTTTTACTCTATTTCTCTATACCATAAATAAAATGGTGAACGATTTTCCTCTGTATAACTATTCCTTACCTCATGAATCATACTAATTATATATAGACTGTTTCTAAGACTAAGAACAAAATAAACAAAGTAAAATATATTCTTAAAATACTGTCAGATTCCAAACCTAAATATAGGATTCAAAGCAATAGACATGTAGACCCATCTTCTATATTACATGTTTAAAAGAGAGTCAAAGAAGAGTTAGTAAGAAATGAGGAGCACCATTGATTAATTAGAATTTGCATCGCAAGAATATAAAACTTTTACATTAGGTCAACAAATTCTAACACAATTTTTGTCAGCAAGTTAACATGTATAATTTAGATAACTACAATAACTTTTAGTCTTTGGTATATATTCAAGAGAAGTGAGCAAAAGACATACAAAATTCTCAAAGCAGTTTCATCCATCCAAAAACTGAAAGCAAAAATCTGAATTCTGTAAACAGAAAAATTGATAGAGTATAGAATATTTATATAATGGAACAATATACATCAATTAAAAAGTGCATTTCCCCAAAACATGTTTCTTTGCCATATTTTGAAATGGCCCCGCAAAGTTGTTCTTTGTGAGGGAAAATTTGCACCTCTAAAGAATCTCTATTAATATAGATAGATCTTTTTCTTCCAGACTCTCCCAATCGTAAAGAGATGAACTGAGATCTGAATAGGAAACATTTGTCACTTCTTGCCTCTACAGGCAGCCACTATAAGACCTCAGAAGAACTTGGGTTTCCACAATGTTTATCTTAACCTGAACATTCCCTTTCTATCTATCCCAGGCCTTTTTTTTTTTTTTTTTTTTTTGATACAAAGTCTCTCTCTGTCGCCCAGGCCGGAGTGCAGTGGCGTGATCTCGACTCACTGCAACCTCTGCCTCCCGGGTTCAAGTGATTCTCCTGCCTCAGCCTCCCGAGTAGCTGGGATTACAGGCATGCACTACCACACTAGGCTGATTTTTTGTATTTTTAATAGAGACGGGGTTTCACCATGTTGCCCAGGCTGGTCTTGAACTTCTGAGCTCAGGTGATCCGCCCGCCTCGGCCTCCCAAAGTGCTGGGATTATAGGCGTGAGCCACTGCGCCCAGCCTCTATCCCACGTTTTGAGACAAACTCAACCAATTGTCAACCAGAAAATGTTTAAATTCACCTATAACCTGGAAGCCTCCCCTTCCCCCACCACCCGCTCCACATCTGGACCAAACCAATGTATTTCTTAAACGGATGTGATTGATGTCTCATGCTGCTCTAAAATGTATAAAACCAAGCTGCCCCCAGACCACCTTGGGCACAAGTTCTCAGGACCTCTTGAGGGCTGTGTCATGGGCCATGGTCACTCATATTTGGCTCAGAATAAATCTCTTATATATAAAAAAGAAAAGCACTATTATGGTGAGTGAAAGAAGTCAGGCACAAAAGCATACACACTGCATAATGTCATCTATATGAAATTGAAGAGGAAGCAAAACTAAATAGTGATAAAGGCAGGGTAGTGGTTACTTTGGAGGTGGGGGCATGAGAGAACTTGGCACATATTGTTAAATCTCTATTATATTTCAATTAAAAAGTTTAAAAATTAAATATATTCAAGCACTTTTTTTTTTTTTACTTTAAGTTCTGGGATACATGTGCAGAATGTGCAGATTTGTTACATAGGTATACACGTGCCATGGTGGTTTGCTGCACCTATCAACCCGTCATCTAGATTTTAACTCTGCATACATTAGGTATTTGTCCTAATGTTTTCCCTTTCCTTGGCCCCCACCCCCCAACAGGCCCCCATGTGTGATGTTCCCCTCCCTGTGTCCATGTGTTCTCATTGTTCAACTCCCACTTATGAGTGAGAATATGCGGTGTTTGGTTTTCTGTTCCTGGGTTAGTTTGCTAAGAATGATGGCTTTCAGCTTCATCTATGTCCCTCCAAAGGACATGAACTCATTCTTTTTTATGGATGCATAGTATTCCATGATGTATATGTGCCACATTTTCTTTAGCACTTTTTAAAAAGAATTTTGCCAAAACATTAAAAGTGATTATCTAGGAGTTATCTTTTTCATCTTTATTATATTCCATACTTTCCATATCATTTACAAAGAGTACTTATTCCTTGCAATTAGAAAAAAAAACTTATTTTTAAATATTTAAGATGAGTTCCTGAAAAATAACACATAATGTTCATAACACGTTTCATTGCATAATTAAATTTCTACAGCACCATATAAATGTGAGATTGGAAGGACTATTTAATGAGGATAGAAACTCAAAGATAGAAGTACCTATAAGAAGAAATTCCCTCAAAGTGTACAAATGTCTTAGGGAGTCACTGAATTTCCCTTTTAACATCCAATGTGTACTCATGTCAATTTTTATTTAAATCTGAGAGGATGGCTTGCTGTCTTTCAACATTCACATTTTCATTAACATATCAGCAGGCTTATTCATTAAGTCATAGTTCCAAAATAAAACTAATGAATAGAAACTGTTGAAACTATATATATGTATATATATAGTTATATATATATACAACTATATATATAAAACTATATATAGTTATATATGTATATATATATTTTATATACATATATAACTATATATATTTTTTATATACATATATATAACTATATATATATATATAAAACGGGACTCAATCAACATCATTTAACTATAGAGCATGACAAGATTTTAAGGTTTCTGGAATCCCATGAGGAAAATAACATCTCACTATGTATGTTCCACTTCAGCAATAAGGGTTATCAACACATTACATCATGTGTGTGTGCACTACAGCAGGATACTGACAGGCAAATAAATAGAAAATACCACTTTTATGAAAAACAAATATAGCTCTTATTTACTCTGCCTTTACCTAGTTAAAAGAAAAATACAAAAACTAATAAAACCAAAAACTAGAGACACTAGTTCATGAAATATACTGGAACAGGGCAGGAGAAGCCAAAAGAAGGGAAGAGATAACACTTTCAGTCATTTTTACTCACATGTGAATAAATATTTTAAAGCAAATTCAGCTTCTTTTTTTAAGTTACTCTGCGTAGACTCACTTTCATACAAGAAACTAGGTTTGATGAATGTCACTTAGGGCATGTAGGTCCCTTCCCTGCAAAAGCTGGGCTATAAATAAATACTGTAGTAATTACATTTTTGGTCCAAGATACAATAAAGATAAAGAGAATGATAATAATAAGTCCCATGAATCTAACTGATTGAGGACCATTTTGTATTCATTGTCTTGTATTGTCAAATAACCTGCAGTCTATCATCATCTTTATAAAAACAATACACAAAAACATGTAAAGTGTTCCAATATAACTGCTCCTGTGCTCCATGAAAAAGTTGGAATTTAGAAAATACAGACATGTAACACAAACCATATGTAATCCAAGAGTCAAAAAAGCAATTTGAATCAGGAAATTTTGATCAACATTTTGAACTTAAAAATCTTCATTTTTAACTGTTTTCCATTTTTCAATCCAAGTATATACTTGGGATGGAAGCCCTTTAAAATAGAAACACTTAGCATTAAAAATGAAAAGATAAACTGCCATTCTTTTAGTCTTTTTAAAAATGTTCTTTTATGTCTTTCCAGAGGGATTTATTTTTAAATGAGAATAGGCCCAACTCCTTATTTTTCTCCCCAATCTGAATTCCTCCCTAGCTAAATTCTTTCTGATCTGTGTCATCCTTGTTCAGTATTTGTTATACCCTCTCTAGGGAGGTATCATCAAACTCTAAAAATGACATTAAATCCAAGGGCTTAGGAAATATTTTCTACAACATAAGCCTGGTTTGTATGTGATTTTTTTTGCATTTTATTTGTTTGTTTTTAACCTTTAACCGTAATTTGGGCCGATGACTCCCAGTGTGAAGATTATCTTATGTCACTCATAATTTTAAACTCAGGATTATTAGGCAAGCTTGCGTACTTATGTTAAGGAGCCCTGGGAGGTCTGGGCTATTTGCCAGGACTCTGTTTACATAGATGCCTCAATATCAATAGCCGGATGTGGTTAGAGAAAGGAGGCTTGTGGAGCATTAGCCAATGCCATGCTTCCCTTGCTTTTGCTATTTGGGGGAAGAAGTTATGTGCTTTCTAGTGTGACCTTTGGAAGACAACTAATAGGGAGGACAGGAGCTCTGCCTGAGCACTGGGAATGTACATTCCTGTGTTTGGCCTTGGTGAACAGCAAAAGAAAGTGGGAAAGACAACTAGGAATGGGACCCTGGATGATATGACACATACTCGTAGTTCACTCATAACATTTCTAGTTGGCTTTCATCCTTTTTAGTTTGAGTCTGTCAATTTTCTATCTGTGTTATTAGTCTTTCTGTTGTACTGTCCCTAACATGGTAGTTTAGTGACCACCCATATGCAGAAGTTGCTCAGCTAACCGAATTACATGGAGGACCCCCTTGATGAGAAAACACTCACCAATATTTCAAGCCTGAAGTCCAGAACACCTGTCAATGGGACTCTTCTACCGGAGGTATGAATAGTAGCCGATGGAGATAATAAAGGACTTTGAAAAAACAGTGTGGCATTCTAACTGAACCCCAGGGCTTCGTAAGGAGCCTATTGAGACCTGGCTTGGGGGTGCTGCTAGAAATCAAATGCTCCCTCTAGCTATTGGAGAAATCCAGACGTTTTGTAGAGAAGATGTTTGGGATTGAGGTCCTTTAAAGTTGAACATTTTAGGATTCACTGAATGAGATTCTAGGGGAATGGAAGTCATTAATCACTTGGAGCAGCATTCACCAGCAGGAAGATCTGCAGGGAGGTGCTGCTTGTGGTAAGGACCCAGGCCAATAGGAGTGGCTGCTAGAAGCTGCTGCTATGGAAACCCATGCTAATTACTGTTGGAAGGAGCAACCAATGGAACCTGCCATGGCCAGGAGCAACAGCCAAGAGGCTCTACTGGGAGATGTTTGAAAGCACCATTGGGTGTATCTAAAAGAGCTCGGTCAGGGGATCATCTGCTTGAAGAATCTTTAGGGTGGAGGGTGTTGTTTTGGTTCTGTTGAAACATGCTTAGGTGAATCATCTTTGATTTTGGAGAAAAAGAAAAAGACTATCGGTCTTATTACCCTCCACACTAAGACAGCATCATAATTTCCCTCAAAACCAGCTTCTCTGTGTGATTCTGCATTTCTATTGCCTGTAGTACTAATAATCTACTTGTTACCCAGATAGAAACACCCCATTGTCAATGAATCCTCCATTTCCCTTTTTCAGTTTTAATAAAAGTTAGATTTTATTTCAGTACAAATCTATCTTGAGGAAAATATAAATTATAAAAGACCATAGACATTCTTTCAATAAAGGCAATTAACTGATTAATTCAAACACCTGTGGTATTGGGTTGCCATTAGTAGTACCAGTAGTCAAATTTTTTAAAAGCCAGATTAAAATAGAGATTTTATTCAAAAAGGCCACAGTTGACCCTTGAAGAACATGGGTTTGAACTGCACAAATCCACTTATACATGAATTTTTTTCAATAATAGTTACGCCAAGGGACAGCAAGACCAACTCCTACTCTTTTCTCTTCTCCTCAGCCTGCCCATCATGAAGACAATGAGGATAAAGACCTTTCTGATGATCTATTCCCATTTAATAAGTAATAAATATATTTTCTCTTCCATATAATGTTCTTAATGGCATTTTTTCATTTTATTTTCTCTTACTTTACTATAAGAATTCAGTGTCAAATATATATAACACACAAATATGTGTTAATCTATTGTTTGTGTTATTGGTAAAGCTTCCAGTCAACAGTCGGCTAGTAGTAGTTAAGTTTATGGTGAGTCAAAAATTTTACGTGAATTTTTAACTGCACAAGGGGTCAGCACCCCTAACCCCTGTGTTTTTCAAGGACCAACTGCATTGCAATATGGGGAAGAGAACTTTGAAATAGGGAGAATACTCTATTGCAGAAGTGGCAAAGTCTAAAGGTCGAACAGAAAAAGACCTTTCTTTTATAAGGAGAAGTAAATAGGGCTAGCAGGAAGTTTGTGAAAGAGTGGGGCAAGCGAATGGAGGTAGGCAGATGGCATGAGAGTGGCTTTGACAGTAAATTTTTATTCTCTTTGGTCACTGGATTCTTGGAGTAAGTCATTGAGAAGATATTCTGTAACTTAGCACTTGCTTAAAAGCTTGGGAATAAGATAAAGTTCTGGGACCTGTAGGGAGAAGCCTGACTAGCATTTGATCAAGCCAAGTCAATGGGTAAGTAATGAGTAATTGTGAGGGCTTGGGCATAGCACAGCTCATGGTTTTAATGCATGTATAGATATACACAGACATAAATATAGAATGGGTTTATATATGCACTTAGCTGTATGTGTATTTTCTGTCAACTGAGCTGTCATCATCCTAGGTGCTGTGACACCCCAGAACAATTAACATATGTAGAACCCAAATTTTAATAATGTCCAATAAAAGGAACTAGGGCTTTTTGGAAAAATGGCTGATTTCATGGCTCAGGCAGAGAAAATGCAAGATAAACCTGCAAAAACTTGTGGCACCAGCAAGTAAGAAATTGCTGAAAAAAATGTTAGGTTCATACTGAAAAGACAACTTGAAGGAGCTCGCAATAATTAAACCTGAGACAATTTAAGCAAAAAATATATATAATAGTAATGAGTCACAAGTATCAGAATAACTCCATTTCTTTTTCACCAACACTCAAATATTTGAACTTCAATTTAGAGATTTGTTTATATAAAAAGTGGTCCCAGATACAGTCATGGGCCCCCTGTCCCTCCACCCACACATGTTTTGGGGAGTTTTATCTCCCAAAATATTGGAGAAAAATTTCCTTGCTCTTCCAGCAGTGGGAGGAGGAAAGTAACCATTTTGAAATACATCTGGGTACTCTTCTTAGCAGGGCCTACCCTCGGGAGAAAGTATTTTACTAGAGTTTAACCTATGCGTGTTTTGTCAGAGTCTAATCTGTTTAACATGGGTTTCTTACAGACAATAATTAGTTGGGTCTTGATTTTTTGTTTGTTTGTTTTTCTTTGAGACAGGTTCTCCCTATGTTGTACAGGCTGGTCATGAACTCCTAGGCTTTATATCCTCCGCACACAGTATCCCAGGTAGCTGGGGTTACACAAGTGCACCACCACGGCTGGTGTGTTTTTAATATACTCTGACAAGCTCTGTCTTTTAATTGGCATATTTAGACCACTGACATCTACAGTGATTATTGATATAGTTGGCTTAACATCTACCATATTTGTTACTGTTTTCTATGTGTTGCTCTTGTTCTTTGTTTCTTCTTGTGTTCCACAGGGCTTTTGTCTTTTGTGGCATTAACTGAGCATTTTACATGATTCCATTTTCTCTCCTTTCTTAGCATATCAATTCTACTTTTTTAAAAACTTTTTTAACGGTTGCTCTAGAATTTGCAATACACATTTACAACAAACCCAAGTTCACTTTCTTTCTTTTTTTTTTTTTTCTTGAGACAGAATCTCGCTCTGTCACCCAGGCTGGAGTGCAGTGGTGCATTCTCGGCTCACTGCAACCTCTGCCTCCCGCGTTCAAGCAATTCTCCTGCCTCAGCCTCCTGAGTAGCTGGGACTACAGGCACCTGCCACCACACCCTGCTCATTTTTGTATTTTTAGTAGAGACAGGGTTTCACCATATTGGCCAGGCTGGTCTCGAGCTCCTGACCTTGTGATGCACCCACTTCAGCCTCCCAAAGTGCTGGGATTACAGGCTTGAGCCACTGCACCTGGCCCAGCCAGGTTCACTTTCATATAACACTGTACAGCTTCATAGATAGTACAAGTACTTTGCAATAACAAGTAATCCAAATTCCTCCCTCCTGTCCCTTGTATCATTGTTGTCATTCATTTCACTTATACATAAGCATGCATATATATATATATATTTATATGTATACACACAGAGATATACATAAACGTACATAACTGCTCTAAAATATAGCGTTTATTAGTTAAAAAGTAGTCAAGTAGTCTCAGGCTGTAGTACCAACAAAGCAACTGGTGGGAGGAAATGCAAATCATCTCTGGAGGAACACACCCTCATCTCATATCCCACCTCCTTCCTCTTGTACATCTAGTTCCTAAGGGTTGAAGGGAGCTCCTGGAGGGATGCAGAAGCAGGTTTCTCTTACATATCCGGTCACATGTAGCTGGGAAGGAAGGCATCCCTGGTTTCACTTGGGCTGATGCGGCTGCTGCTAACGGCTCCTACCAATGGGACTGTGAAAATGTTGGGCCTAGTTTCCTTGGGTTGGTGATCAACTTTCTTCCTGCCTCTTCAATAATTGGGAAACCCTTCCCACAGGGACAGTCATGCCTCTCTTTAGCCCCACAATCTATCCAGACAGCCAAGTGTGGTTTCCTAAGGGGGGCTGATCACTGGCTAGTCCTATCACTCCTGCCCTTCTTCTAACCCCTCATATGCTTCAGTTAGCAGTGGATACCGAAGTCTTCTTTCCTTTTTTCTCAGAGAGCTTCCTGAAAGTGAGACTGAGTTGGGCTTTCCCCATCTTATTCCCAGGCATGAGGTCCCTTCTTGCCCTGATGGTGGAAGTTACCACTGCAGGCCATCCTATCTTCAGAAATGTCTAGACAAGAAGCAATTGCCAATCTCTATTCACATATTCACATAACTCCAAACTCAGAAAATCTAAATCACCTCCAACTTTCCATCTCCATAATTCTCATTACAGCCCTCACTATTTTTGACGGCAATGTGTGTATGAGTCGGCTCATTAGTTTTCCTGTTCCACCCTCATTCTCCTTCTTAATTACTGATGCCTGATTAATATCTCTGGTCCCATAAGTTTGTTGCTCAAAAAAAAAATTAAATGGCTTCTTAACTATTATCAAGATAAATACCGACTTTTCTGTATGGTATCGAAGATTTTCTGCAAAATAGCCTCGAAGGAACGACAAGAATCTCAAATTACTCTTGGACATACCTTTTATGCAAAAACCAAGCTGGACTTACTCATATTTCCTAAATAGTTTCCACATGTAACTTCACTTAATCTAGTCTCTCTGCCTGAAAAATTCTTCCCTTGATCTTCTCATAATGCATGTGTGTATATGTATATATATAAGCACATATATATTTATATCTAAGTCAACTTCACTCATCATTTAAAGCCCTTCCCAGAAGTCACTTTTTGAATGATTTTTTAATACTACCCTGAATCCCATAACCTCCTAGCAGCCCTCTTTCCTTTCAGATGCCCTAACAAATACTGTTCATAACTTTATTTTATCATTTATATCAGTTTTGCCCATATTCTAGTTTTTTGCTGTCCATAGTAGCTGATAGACAAATGTGGCTATTACACTTAAATGAATTAAAATTAAGTACAGTGTAAAAGTCAGCCTCTCTGTCACAGTAGCAATATTTCAAACACTCAGTAGTGACATGCGGCTAGTGGCTTCCATACTAGACAGCACAGATATAGAACATTTCCATCATCACCAAAAGTGACATTTGAAAGCACTGTTCTGGTTGTTTATTGAAGTTACTTTATTCCTCCTCCTTTCAGCTCCAGTTAAAAAGGAGACAGTGTTCAGAGATGAGGCTGGGAGGGTTGAGGAAGTCTAGGTCATAGGGACCTTGTAAACTCTGCTGAGGTTTAGTTTTAAACATAAGGAAGCTGTGCGTGGTGGCTCACGCCTGTAATCCCAGCACTTTGGGAGGCCAAGGAGGGCAGATCACCTGAGCTCAGGAGTTTGAGACCAGCCTGGCTGACATGGTAAAACCCCCTCTCTACTAAAAATACAAAAATTAGCCAGGTGTGGAGATGCATGCCTGTAGTCCCAGCTACTAGGGAGGCTGAGGTAGAAGAACCGCTTGAACCTGGGAGGCAGAGGTTGCAGTGAGCCGAAATCATGCCACTGCACTCCAGTCTGGGTGACAGAGGAAGACTCCATCTCAATAAATAAATAAATAGCATAATGAGAGGTCACGGGAGGATTTAGATGTTAGAAAGATCATTCTGGCTGCTGAATTGAGAAAGGACAGTAGAGGAGCAAGAGGGAGGAGGGAGACTGGGGAGGCTACTGGAGAAGTCCAGGAGAGGCGCATGGTGACACGGGTGGGAGCTGTGTTGGTGGACGTAGATGGAGTGGTCAGATTCAGTGCATATTCTGCACATGGGACTTGCTGATAGGTTGGCTGAGGGATATTAACAGGAAAATGAGTATATCACCCCAGCTTTTTGCCTAAATGAATGGACAAACTGTGGTGCTGTTATCTGGCATTGGAAAGACTAGGGAAGAAGTAGATTAGTTTTTCTGAGGAGAGAGGTTTTATATTTTAGCATGTGAAAGTGTTATATCTAGAAGCAAATTATTTGATTCTGGGGCTGCTACTGTCTATAGGCTTGCTACCATGAAGGCTGTCACCTTTCCTCCTGGATCCCAAGCATTTGCAAAAGCCACCACCTGGACTCTCAGTAGACCATTTTAATTTGAGGTCAGGAGAACTTTGGAAGAAAAAGAGCCTCCTAAAGTCATCTGTTATGACTCTTATTACAAAGAGAGAGAAAAGCTAAAGACCCAGAGAAGCAGGGATATCTATATTATTCTATGCATGTGGTGGACATCTGTTGCTTATTTTTATAGCCTGACTTCCAGTCTGATAACTGTACTTAATCTCGCTCTAGTGCAGGGGTTGGCAAACTCTGGCCTGTCATCTGAATCTGGCCTGCTCTCTGATTTTGTAAACAAAGTTTTCTTGGTACACGGTCATGCCCTTTTTTAAAAAAATGTAGTATCCATGGCTGCTTTTGAGCTACAGTGGCAGAATTGAGTGACAGACTGTATAGCCCACAAAGGCTAAAAATATTTACTATGGGGCCCTTTTCAAGAAAAAAAATTGCTGATCTTTGCTCTGGTGGATTATTCCCCCAAGTTTCAGCCCATGTACTTTGGGTAAAGCTGACCCCACTCATAGCCTCTCAGGCTTGCCTGGGCTAAATCAGTCTGCACATTGACTCCCACTGTCATGAGTGATAGGTTCAGAGGTAACTGTTAGCCTCTGCTTGTCTAAACCATGAAAGCTCAAGAGTTTTATTGGGACTTCTGTGACAAAGATTGTAACTTTTTGTGCTGGTTCTGAGTCCAGAAAAATCTAGCTCTGGAAGTGCCAATAGCCACCTTGGAACAGCTTATCTGAGGCTGAAGGTAACACAAAGGAGAAAGAAGAGTTATACAGAGATACAGAAAGTACTAAATCCTGGTGATGTGTCTTCAGCTTCTTTATCCTTCTCTGTCACAGTAGCAATAATTCAAGCACTCAGTAGTGACATGTGGCTAGTGGCTTCCATACTAGACAGCACAAATATAGAACATTCCCAACACCAAAAGTGAGATTTGAAAGCACTGTTCTGGTTGTTTATTATCACATTTTTTTTTTTTTTTTTTTGAGACAGAGTCTAGCTCTGTTGCTCAGGCTGGAGTACAGTGGCATGATCTCGGCTCACTGCAACTTCTGCCTCCCGGGTTCAAGCAATTCTCATGCCTCAGCCTCCCCAGCAGCTAGGATTACAGGCGCCCGCCACCACGCCCAAATAATTTTTGTATTTTTAGTAGAGACGGGGTTTCACCATGTTGGCCAGGCTGATCTTGAACTCCTGAGGTCAAATGATCAGCCCACCTTGGCATCCCAAAGTGCTGTGATCACAGGCGTGAGCCACTACGTCTGGCCTGTTCTGGTTGTTTATTGAAATTACTTTATGCCTCCTCCACATGGGATAATATGGAAATGTTCAGAATAGTGCAATAATCCCGAGCTTCCAAAGAAAGACACTCTCTCTGTTTAAAGGTTCATTGCCTGGTCAGACGGTTGCGCTAAGAACACTTAAAAGTAGCATTCAATCAATCAATCAATCAGTCAATCAAACCAGAAACAACAACAGCAACAACAAAATCTAAGCAGTTTCTACTTTTCTATAACTAATAAAAGGTTATGTTCTTCTGAGTCAAGTTACTTCATTTAAGCTCAGAGAAGAAAGAACAGATTCACACCATATGGAAATAAGCAGTGTGTTAAATGAAGCCGTTGGGAACTGAATTGATTTATTTAATGCTGATTTTCCATCAAGTGCAGAAAGTACCTTGCAAAGAATTCCTAACACTAGCAAAATTGGCAACAAGAATATTTCACACTTGTAATTGAAAAATGCAAATTGCCTACCTCAGTAAATCCCAGGAGGTGTCATTAGGGACTAATAAGTAACATTATTGGACACTCAAATACCTCTATAACTTCACTCCCAGCATTCTGACATGGAAACTTGTGACATCGTACAAGGATTAACTTTATGTTAACTCTCTAATTCTGTTAAAGTGCTAGTTACTGTAAGGTATGCACAACACTATTCTAGGAGAGTGGAACATACTGGTTTTGGTTTTTGTTTTTTTTAACGGATTAATGCAAAAAGCCCCATTTTTCAAATTGAATCAACAGAAGAATTACTAGGGAGCTTTCCTCCTGAACAACTCTATTAATCAGTGTTCCTGTAGAAACAAACAGCCCCCAAATCACAGTGGCTTGTAACAACAAATGTTTATTTTTTTGCACAATTACATGTTGGCAGTTGTACTTCTGTTGCTGTGGCTTTGCTCTTTGCACCTTCTCATTCCAGGAACCAAGCTAAAAGAGTAGCCCCTACTGGGGACATATCATCATTCTTGAGGCAGAGGGAAGAAAGTAAGAGGCAGAGCCAAATCACACAACTCCCCTTCAAGCTGCTGCTTGGCTGTGGCATTATACACTTCCAATGGCTGAAGCAAGTTACACGGCCAACCTGACCTGGTGCAGGAAGTGTATGCTGCCAAAGGGGGGTGCTCTACAAGGAACATGGCAAGGGGTGAAAATGCATGATTATCTCACTGGGCCGAGAATGAATCCTTGGAACAGCAATGCAATCTACCACAAGATCAAATTTGTACAACCACCTTAAGTGTATCCTTCCCCCAAGAGACTATACCAAATTTCATCTTTTTAAATTTTAAATTGACACAGTGTTTTGCTATGCTGCCCAGGCTGATCTCAAACACCTGGGCTCAAGTAATCTTCCTGCCTTGGCCTCCCAGATTGCTGGATTACAAGGGTGAGCCACTGCTCCTGGCCACACCAAATTTTATAAGGATAAGTATTTGATCCTATGTTCAATTCTACTCTTATGTAGAATTGAACAGCCTATTCTTCCACCGTGTACAAAGACCTAACCCATGTTCTCTTTTTTCCAGACTATATGACCAACCCACTAGGTAGCATCATCTGTAATCCTCCCAGGAATATCTGCATATTCAAATAAATGAAAGAATGGAAAGGCTAATGAAGCTGCCAAAATTCTTCTCTTTTTTTTAGATGGAATTTTGCTCTTGTCCCCAGGCGCTGGAGTGCAATGGCACCATCTCGGCTCACTGCAACCTCTGCCTCCCAGGCTCAAGCGATTCTCCTGCCTCAGCATCCTGAGTACCTGGGATTACAGGCATGCACCACGCCCGGCTAGTTTTTGTATTTTTAGTAGAGACAGGGTTTCACCATGTTGGCCAGGCTGGTCTCAAACTCCAGACCTCAAGTGATTTGTCAGCCTTGGCCTCCCAAATTGCTAGGATTACAGGAGTGAGCCACCGCACCCGGCACTGCCAAAATTCTTACTGCTAGAAATTCATATGTTCCGCTGACTCTTTTTGACACACCATGCTAGCTACAATGTGCAATTGTCCTGTCTGGGAAATGGAAAGGCCAGGTATCGTCTGGGTGGAAAGGGGTTTTCAGTGTCATTTTACGGCCTTAATAAGCTCTGAGAATTCTTACTATGGAAGTTCCTCTCTACAGCATATTAAAAAATCAAAACAAAACCCTATCCCACATTAAATATAATTCAGGACTGTAATTTTTTTGAAAGGATGTTTATAATTTTGCTTTTGAAATTATTTGCCTCCAAGTGGCATTTGACTTATGATTCGCTATGATTTGTTAGCTATCATCACCATGTATACTTCAGAATTCTTTCAAAGTAAGAAATCCCAACTTCCAAAATTATTTTCGAATGTAATGAAATTAGTATGCATCCTAAATTTTACAATTAATACAGCTGACATAGTGTTATAGGAGCTTCACTCCTGAGGCCAGCGAGACCACGAACCCACCGGGAGGAATGAACAACTCCAGAGGGGAGGAACGAACAACTCCAGATGCTCCGCCTTGAGAGCTGTAACACAGCCAGGTGCGGTGGCTCACGCCTGTAATCCCAGCACTTTGGGAGGCCAAGGCGGGCGGATCACCAGGTCAGGAGATAGAGACCATCCTGGCTAACACCCCGTCTCTACTAAAAATACAAAAAAATTAGCCAGGCATGGTGGCGGTCACCTGTAATCCCAGCTACTAGGGAGGCTGAGGCAGGAGAACGGCCTCAGCTCAGGAGGCGGAGCTTGCGGTGAGCCGAGATCGCGCCACTGCACTCCAGCCTGGGTGACAGAGCGAGACAGAGTCTCAAAAAAAAAAAAAAAAAAAAAAGAGCTGTAACACTCACCGCGAAGGTCTGCAGCTTCACTCCTGAAGCCAGCAAGACCACGAACCCACCACAAGGAAGAAACTCCTAAGACGTCCGAACATCAGAAGGAACAAACTCTGGACACACCATATTTAAGAATTGTAACACTCACCGCGAGGGTCCGCGGCTTCCTTCTTGAAGTCAGTGAGACCAAGAACCCACCAATTCCAGACACAGCAGGACAAGCTGGCAGGAACCGGAAAAGCCATCCTCTAGGTCTATACGTGAAAATGCAATTTGAGGTGCTACGGAAATCCTTTACCACTGCACTATGCAGAGCCGTCGCCACTAGCCACACATTGCTACTGAGCGTTTGAAATGTGTCTAGTGCAACTAAGGAACTAACTTTTAAACTTTATTTAATTTGAATTTATTTAACTTTAAAAAGCAATATTCTGTTCAGTTATTGAAAAAGTTTAATGTATGACTAGAATAATTCAAGTATATGACTCTGTTTTCAGTCATAAATTTTATAAAATCTCTACACAAATCAGATATTTTCAATGGAAATTTAGTGTCCAAGTTGAGATGTGCTTTCAAAGACTAAGTATAAAAAAGTGTAAAATATATCAATTTTATAATGATTATACATTGAAATAACAACATTGTATCGGGCTTAAATAAAATATATCACTTTTACTATGTGGCATTAACATATTATTAATATAGTACTAAATATATTAATAGATTAATTTAATATATTTAAATATAAATATACTAAATATTTGTATATTTTATGTAAAATATATAACTATATAAATGTATAAAGTAATATATTTAAGAATATATTAATGTATCATTGAAACTAATTTTACCTGTTTCTTTTTATTTTTTTAAATGGGACTCCTGAAAAATTTTCAATTATATATATGACTCATGTATTTCTTCTTTTTTTTTTTTTTTTTTAAGACAGAGTTTTGTTCTTGCTGCCCAGACTGGAGTACAACGGTGTGATATCGGCTCACCACAACCTCCACCTCCCGGGTTCAAGCCATTCTCCTGCCTCAGCCTCCTGAGTAGCTGGGATTACAGGTGCCTGCCACCACACCCAGCTAATTTATTTTGTGTTTTTAGTAGAGATGGAGTTTCACCATGTTGGCCAGGCTGGTCTTGAACTCTTGACCTCAGGTGATCTGCCTGTCTTGGCCTCCCCAAGTGCTGGGATTACAGGCATGAGCCACCACGCCCAGCCTGACTCATGCATTCCTATTGAACAGTACTACACTATTACATGTTGGTGTGTATATCCATTTAAATTGTTCAATAAATATAATTTTAATGGTTAAATACTGTACAAACTATTTGATAACCATTTTTTCCACTTCTCAATATGTCAAGAACATCTTGCCATAGCAATAGATAATCATCTACAACCTTGCAAAGACTAAAATGAATGAGAGATCCTTATTTGCCAGCATGAACTTACTGCTGAGCAAATTATTTGTGTTGGACCTCCATTCCTTAATTAGAACACCTCCTAAAATACTGAGGGCAGAGCAGAGAGGTAGCAGGTAGGGGAGCCCTGGACCATGCAATGAGATGTGTTTCCAAGAATCTAAGTACAGACTTGGATGAAAGGAGTATTTAAGAGCTAAACTTTTCATATTACATCTGCCCTAGTTGTAGTAACAATAAGAGACAATCATCTGTCAATAGCTTTTGTGGGCTATTCTGTCATTCAGGCTTATGCTCAAGCAATAATACCATTTTTAGGAGGTGACTATATAGTTGACAAACCATACAGCACCCACAGACTGCCTCTAAGCAACCAATACAAAACAGATTGATGAGACTTGCTGTACTTAAAGTCTTGTAAGAGAACAGGGAGTAATAAAGTCTCAAAATAGATTCTCTAATAAGAAAATTTTTCCTTAAATGTCAACTTTTGAATTTCAGCTCAACTATAGCAAATCTGTACTCCTCATACTTAAAGAATAATTATTCTTAGATGGAAATATACTGTATTTGATATATTGAATATACTGGCACAAAAAGGCTAAATTATTTCACAAGTTTTCAGATCCCAAAGGAATAGTTAATGGCACCAATACTCCTTGCACACTAAAAATTGTCTAGAGACAATATTCATCATCAACACTACTTCTCAGAGATGCAACATGGTTTTGGGAAAAAATTAGAGGTTTCTAGTGTTTCAACAACCTGCATTTAAATCCTGGATTCACATTTACCAGTTGTGTGATCTTAGAATGTAATTTAACCTTCCTAAACCTTTCCCCATCTTAAAAGGAAGCAGTAATAAATGCACTGTATGTCAACGTAAATATCAACATTTAGTATTTCATTCATTGGATCCTTTGAAGCATTTATTTTGTGCTAGGTACATAGTAGCTCATATATAAGTGCTAAGTAAAATTCTTTCTCTTTTCTTTTCCCCTTTATGTTACTTAAACATCTAACCCAGCTACACTGGAGAACACACAGGTAAAAGAGCAGAGATAGGAAGAAAATAAAAATAAAACATGACACCCTGCCATAAAAGACTAATAGGATTATATACAGTTTGGGTTTTTTTCCCCCTCATTTCGCTTGCCCCTAATGATTTTGTTTCAAAAGACATTGCAATGGAAGTCCACTGCAATAGAGTCATTTGCTCTTTCTTTTGTATTACACTGACATCGTGTGGCCATCTGAAGACGTCTCTAGAAATTGACAACTGTCATTCCCAGATTTTTAACCTTCAGCTGCAGAGATGCCATATGAGTAGTTGAATCTCTACATTTAAGAACCAAATGACAAAACAAGTCCCTTTTGGAGGCTTTAAACATATTATATACATAGATAATTCTAAGAATTCAGATTAGCTGAATAATTTGACATATTATTCTGTTATGGTTTAGATAGTTAATAAAATATTTATTTTTTGTTTGTTTTAGGGAGAAAGGTCTCATCCTGCCACCCAGACTGGAGTGCAATAGCATGATCATAGGTCACCACAGCACCAAATTTCTGGGCTTAAGCTATCCTCCTGCCTCAGCCTCTGAACTAGCTAGGACTACAGTCACATACCATCATGCCTGGCTAATTTTTTTTTTTTTTTTTGGTTGAGACAGGGTCTTGCTATGTTGCCCTGGACTGGTCTCAAACTCCTGGCCTCAAGCAATCCTCAAGCCTCAGCCTCCCAAAGTGCTGGGATTATAGATGCGAGCCACTGTTGTCAGTCCATTAGTCTTGATTTACACTTTAGTAATTTTCTTTTGTGATTTGGAGACAAAACTTTACAAACATTTTTGTAGGCCTTTAAAACTTTATATCCATAAGCACTGTATCTGGAGCACCTAATAGATGAAATATTGTTTTATGACAGGGCTTCCCAAGTCATCAGAATCCTTGGCATAGGATTTGTTAAAACAAAGATTGGTGGTCTCCATCCTCAGAGTTTTTGACTCTGTAGGTCTGAGGTGGGATCTGAAAATTTGCATTTCTAACAAATTTCCTGGTGATGCTGATACTCCTGGTCCCAGCACTACATTTGAGAACCACTGGTGTTGTGTTTGCAACTGCTAGGATTCAGAGCAGACCATGAGTGAGGTGAATTCCACTTAGAGGAGCAAGGGTATGTGCAGCTGTATAGAAGATATTTGATTTTTACCTCAAACTGCTTACCATGTGGCAAGAGGTACTGTCCGAAAGACATGGTGGTGCTGCAGTGGGCAGTGGAGTTCCAGTTTTTCTATTAATTTGTAGAAATCCCCTGGGAAGGTCATTGCCTCTCTCTGGGGTTCGGTGCTGCCTGCACAGAGTGAGTTTTGAGGATCAAAAAATTATGAGATAGCAGGGCACTGTATCCATGAGAGTTAATACTTTATCAGTATTAAGTGAGAAATCAAAATAATGTGGAAGCATAATATTCTTTATATGCAGTCTAAACACTAATGCAATGCAAGAGAGCAGGAAAACCTAAGTGAGAAAGAAGTGGTTTGGCACACCATTAGCTAAGGCTAAAAAGGCCCTCAGGACCAGCTACTCTCCCATAGCTTCAGAATACAATTGCTAAAAACCTGGAGTGAACTGAAGACTGTAACCTTATTTTACAAATGAGAGTACCAGCACGGATGAAATTGCAGTTGCAAACTGGCCTCTGAACCTAGCAAGACCCATGTCCAACAGCGACACCTTGTGGCAATGACTTAGATAGCTGCACTGAGGGACAGCTGACTCCAATGCTCTCTGTCTGGGGCTTGGAAGAGGACCAACTCCCTTTATATTGAATAATCCTGAGGAATTCTTCAATAATTTGGGGGAGAAAGTAAGACCTCAAAAGAGAGACACTGGATTCTTGCATAAAGAATAAAATCCAGGCATCTGGATTTTTTTAAATTACACAGAAAAATTGTGACCAGATTTGTATATTAAAAATCAGTAATATGGGTCATGTGTGTAATATAATATTTGTTTCTGCTGTGGGAGAGTCAAGCAGGACTCAGTCTTCTGTATCTAGATCTGTAAAGGGCTCCAATAATGAGAGAAGGAGCAGCTGTCACTGGTCCTACTCTGTTGTTAAATATATCTATGGGTGCTAAGGACTACTTGAATGAATAACCTCAGGTGTTAAGAATTTGCTAGATGGATTTATGTTTCTGAGCTGTAGATAAACTGAACATTCTCCCACTACAAACCTAGAAATTGTGGGTAAAATATAGCCAACATTATTTTAAATGCATTGTTGAGCTCTCAAGAAAAAAGAGGAATTCTACAGGGCCTTCAAATAATAATAAATTTAAAACTATGAGTGCCAAATAACACGGAGGCCACCTTGGAAGGGAGGAGAGTTTCCAGTCCCAGTAACCAAAAGTCTGCAGTTTTAGCACCCATATGAGCACAGAATGTAAAACGCTGAACCCAGCTGATGAAGCTGAAACTACAACCATCACCCCATGACCATCCCCCAATAAAGCCAGAACACTTACTGAACCAAAACTTCATTGAAGGGGTGGGTTAGAAAAAATCCACTCACTAGCACAAGGAGAAACAGTTTGATCTGTTTGGATAGGAAAACAATTTTCCTCACCATTTATATCTGTGAGTCTTCCCATAAAACTCCTTGAGGTTTGAAACAGTACTACCTATATGGTCTGAGAACCCCCAAGCCAGGAGATTAATAGTTAGTCCCAATATACAAATATCTCGGGTATCTGACTGAAGCAAACTGGAAACCTCTTCAGAGGGGCATAGTTCCAAGTCAGGTTGTAGAGGATTTCTACAGATGAAGTCTAAGATGAGTTCGCAATTCAAAATTACAAAACATAATTTAAAATGATCATCCATGAGAGAATGTTGGGATACAAAAGCAAGAATAATAGACCACAACCCACAAGTTAACAGAAAGGAGGAGCAGAACATCAGTTAGGGATGGGGATGGGATAAGGAATAGGTCTCCACTCCATGCAAGTGGAAATGACTGCTAGTGGCTCTCCTGAGCTCTGTGTTGAGAATGTTCTGAGGCCATGTCCAGGCTCCATGGGAAAGCTTCATTGTCATATTTAGTGTTCTCTTCCTATTAGAAAAGTGTGTTTATTTTTCTCTCTTTCTTTGTCAATCTTCTCAGACAAATGAAAACAATTTACTTTACCCAAAGCACTAAAAAGAAAAAAAAAATCGACACACATATTTATCTATTTGTCTTCCCTCCCTGCCCTCACCAGCACCTGTGACTGTTCTTGACACATAGAAGGCGCTCACCTGATTTTTAATTTTTATGGGTACATAGTAGGTGTATATATTGATGAGGTACATGAGATGTTTTGGTACAGGCATTCAATGGTAACTAAGTGCAGAATGGAGAATGGGTTATCCATCCCCTTAAGCATTTATCTATTGAGTTACAAATCATCCAATTACACTCTTTAAGCTATTTTAAAACATACAATTAAGTTATTATTGACTATAGTTACCCTATTATGCTATCATATAGTAGGTCTTATTCATTCTTTCTATTTTTTGTACCCATTAACCATCTCCACCTCCCCGCCAGCCCCCCACTACCATTCCCAGCCTCTGCTAGCCATTCTTCTACTCTCTATGTTCATTAGTTCAATTGTTTTGATTTTTAGATCCCACAAATAAATGAAAACATGCAATGTTTGTCTTTCTGTGCCTGACTTATTTCATATAATATAATGATCTCCAGTTTCATTCATGTTGTTTCAAACAACTGGATCTCATTCTTTTTTATGGCTAAATAGTATTCCCTCATGTATCTGTACCATATTTTCTTTATCCATTCATCTGTTGATGGACACTTAGGTTGCTCTCAAATCTTAGCTATTGTAAACAGTGCTGCAACAAACATAGGCATGCAAATATCTCAATATACTGATTTCCTTTCTTTTGCATATATATATCCAGCAAAAGTGGGATTGCTGGATCATATGGTAACTCAATTTCTAGATTTTTGAGGAAACTGCAATCTGTTCTCCACACTGTTTGCACTAATTTACATTCCCATCAACAGTATACAAGGGTTCCCTTTTCTCTACGTCACCACCAGCATTTTTTATTGCCTGTCTTTTAGATATAGGCCATTTTAACTGGGGTGACATGATATCTGATTATAGTTTTGACTTGTATTTATCTGATGATCAATGTTGAGCACATTTTCATATGCATGTTTGCCATTTATATGTCTTTTTATAACTTTTATTTTAAGTCCGGGGTACATGTGTAGGTTTGTTACATTGGTAAACTTGTGTTATGGGGATTTATTGTATAGATTGTTTAGTCACTCAAGTATTAAACCTAGTACCCATTAGCTATTATTCCTGATGCTCTCCCTCCTCCTATCCCCTACACTTCGACAGGCCCCAGTAAATGTTGTTCCTTCACATGTGTCCATGTGTTCCCATCACTTATAAGTAAGAACATGCAGTATTTGGTTTTCTGTTCCTGCCTTTGTTTGCTAAGGGTATTGGCCTCCAGTTCCATCCACGTACCTGAAAAGGATGTGGATGGAAAAAAATGATCTCATTTTTTTTTATGGCTGTGAAATACCATAGTATTCCATGGTGTATATGCACCACATTTTCTTTATCCAGTCTATCATTGATGGGTATTTAGATTGATATGTCTTTGCTATTATAAATAGTGCTGCAATGAACATACAAGTGCAGGTGTCTTTATAATTGAACAATTTATTTTTCTTTGGGTATATACCCAGTAGTAGCATTGCTAGGTAGAATTATATTTCTGTTTTCAGATCTTTGAGGAATCACCACACTGTCAACCACAATGATTGAACTAATTTATACTCCCACCAACAGTGCATAAGCATTGCCTTTTCTCCACAACCTTGCCAGCATCTGTTATTTTTTGACTTTTTAATAACAGCCATCAGCCATTCTGACTAGTGTGAGATGGTATCTCATTGTGGTTTTGATTTGCATTTCTCTAATGATTGGTGGTGTTGAGCCTTTTTCATGTTTGTTGGCTGCATGTATGTCTTCTTTTGAAAAGTGTCTGTTCATATGCTTTGCCCACTTTTTAATGGGGTTGTTTTTGGAAATTTGTTTAAGTTTCTTATAGATGCTGAATATTAGATCTTTGTTGGATGTATAGTTTGCAGATACTGTCATTCTGTAGGTTGTCTGTTCACTCTGTTTGTATTTTCTTTGCTGTGCAGGAGCTCTTTAGTTTTATTTAGAACCCACTTTTCAATTTTTGCTTTTGTTTCAATTGCTTTTGGTGTCTTTGTCATGAAATTTTTGCCTGTTCCTATATCCAAGATGGTATTGCCTAGGTTGTCTTCTATTGTTGTTATAGTTTTGGGTTTTACATTTAAGTCTTTCATCCATTTTGAGTTGATTTTTGTGTACAGTATAAGGAAGGGGTCCAGTTTTAATCTTCAGCATATGGCTAGCCAGTTATTCCAGCATCATTTAATGAATACAGAATCATTTCCCTATTGCTTGTTTTTATCAGGTTTGTCGAAGATCAGATAGTTGTAGGTGTGTGAAATAGAGAACCATTTCTGGGTTCTCTATTCTGTTTCATTGGTCTATGTGTCTGTTTTTGTACCAGTACCACGCTGTTTTGGTTACTGTAGTCCTGTAGTATAGTTTGAAGTTGGGTAGCATGATGCTTCCAGCTTTGTTCTTTTTGCTTAGGATTTCCTTGGCTATTCAGGCTCTTTTTTGGTTCCATATGAACTTTAAAATAGTTTTCTCTAGTTTTGTGAAGAATATCAATGGTAGTTTAATAGGAATAGCATTGAATCTATAAATTGCTTTGGGCAGTATGGCCATTTTTATGATATTGATTCTTCCTATCCATGAGCATTGCATGCTCTTCCATTTGCTTGTATCATATTTGATTATTTTGAGCAGTGTTTCATAGTTCTCCTCGTAGAGATCTTTCACCTCTATGCTGAAGACTGGGTGCAGGCTCCTGTTGGATGTGGTGTTGGCTTGGGGGCAGGGCACTGGCGTGAGCAGGTCTGGACACCTTCTCTGTGCCCCACAAGCAGGAGTGATCACTCAGGGTGCGAGCAGGGTCCACTGTTCTCTGCACAGTGTTAGCACAAGGGCCAGGTGTTGAGGTGGGCGTTGCGGGGGAGCTGGCTTGCTCTGTGCCCACCAAGGCTCTGTCTTCAATGACAGCCAGACGGGGCAGGGGGGCAGACTACACTCCCATGCACTGGCAGGGCAAGGAAGGCAAAACCTACCTGTGCAGACTTGTGCCAGCAAAGACACGTGAGGAGTTTCCTGGGCCTAGGGAAGCTGCAGTGTGGGGAGGGGGTGGATGGGCTGGTGTGTGGCCTAGGGGCAGCCTTGCTGGAGCTCTCCACCAGTCAGATACTATCTGCCAGCACAGAAGCTATGGCGTGGCCTCCAGGGCACCCAAGACTGCCCTGCAAGCAGGTCTGGCCAGGCTGGGACCCCAGAAAGGCCAGCAGACCAAGGGGTGCTCAGGTCGAATCAGCCCTGTCTGATGGACAAGACCACCCTGCAGAGATCAGGATGGACAGTTCCCCTAGGGCTAAAGTCTCCTATGGGAGCAAGTCAGGCCTGGGGAGATGGCTCTCCCTGGCTGTGCTCCACTGCAGGTGCTCCCACATCAAATCGTCCTGGCTCCACATCAGCTTGCTTGCCCTCCCACGACTTCTCTAAGGAGCTCTTCTTGCCAACTTGAGTGTCCATGGTGATCAAGGGATCTTCTCTTGCCGGGGTTCCAGAGGCCCGTGGAGAGAGCAGGTTGCTCCTTGCCAGTTCAAGTCACCCATTCTCCTGGAGCTGTTGTGGTCCAAAAATCAGTCCCAGTGAGCAGTATCCCCAGGCAGTGTTCCCAGGTTTCTTCCCCTCCAGCCCAGCTTCTGTGTCTTCCCTCCATCCACTCTCAGTGCCTTGCCTCTGAGGATCTGTTAGAAGCATGCCAGTTATCTGGGTCCCTCTGTGGGAGCTGTTCCACCTGGCTGTGTCTATTGGGCTATGTCTAGCCAGCTATATTGCATTCCCCCACTTGCCCCCATATCTGTATGTCTTCTTTTGAGAAATGTCTATTTAGATCCTTTGCCCTGTATTTTAATCAAATTATTAGATTTTTTCCTATAGAGTTGTTTGAGCTCCTTATATATTCTGGTTATTAATCCCTTGCCAGATGGTGTTTGGTAGATCAGCTTTCATGAAACAAACCTTCTCTTCCTCTTTGCTAAGCTACCTGTCTTCCTGAAATCCTCGGCCTGAGTAGTGACACCAGCTGGTTAGAGGCATCAAAGGCAGCAATCAGCCCTCAGAGGACAGTCCCAGTGGGGCACAGGAAGTCAGCTAATGAAAGGGCTGGCCACCGAACCTCCTCATATGCCACTTAAAAGCCACTATTTTTACTCTTTGCAAGATATTTTCCACTTCAAAGCTGCTGCCTTTCCCCCCTTGATATACCCTTACTTCCCAATTAAATTTTCAGGCATGCTTTCTTCCAGTTTCAAGCCAAAATTCCTTCTGAAAAGCCATCTCTCCAAACATGGTTTTATGAGGAAAGCTAACAGACCTGAACTGTGGGGTGTTGAGGGCACCTTTGATATGGCCCAGAGCACAGACAGCCCTGTCTCCTCCAGGGTGCACTGCTAAACAGACAACTACTTTAAATAGACAGAACTCCACCTCTGCCAGCCTTGCCCTCCTCCCTTTCACAAGCCACATCCGAAATCTCTATCATCCACACTCCTCTGTTTGGCCTGGACAACAGAGTGACTTTGACAAGGCTCTCAGAATATTCTTCATGAACGCCAGCATTCCTCTTTGTGGTCTGGTTAACCACAGTAGATGAGTTTAGTTTCCCCTTTTCACAGAATTTTAGAAGTTGGTGGACAGATGCAAGACTGTAGAGATCTGATTACTTAGAGTGGCAGAATCAGAAGGAAAAGGAGAAAACAGCTTCACAGAGAAAATGGCATTTGAGCAAGACCCTAAAGGAAACGTGAAAGGCCGCCCATGAGGAGGGAAGAGTACACACAAAGATGGAGAGAGAAGATGTGAGGTGGATATGGGGCAAACCAAGGGCGACAGCTTGAGAAAAATCTAGCAAATACCATGAAGATGAATAATTAAAAGGTAATGTTAATAGGCTGGTTGGGGTCAGATCATGGAACAAAAAAGAATTGGAAAGTTATTCTGTGGTAAAAACAGAAACCACAACCATTTAATGAGCATCTATCTACCATGTGCCAAAATCTACCATAGCCACTGAGGTTACCATGAAGTCTCAGACACGGGCCTCAAAGTCCCCTCTAGGAACACAGAGGCTAATGTCTAGCCACCAGGTTCTTGTGAAACACATGTTATAAAATAAGAGTATTTTACCCTGTGACAGAAACAAAGTGCTTTAGGAAACCAGAGGCAAGGGAAGAAGAGGTGATGGTGGGAGAGTGGCCAAGTTCAGTGTCACTGCAGAGGAAGAACAGTTTGGACTGAGCTTTGTGAAGTGAGATAATGAGAGGTTTGGGGATTGATGGTGTATTAGTCTCTTTTCACATTGCTATAAATAACTACCTGAGACTGGGTAATTTATGAAGAAAAGAGGTTTAATTGACTCACAGTTCCACAGACTTAACAGGAAACATGACTGAGAGGCCTCAGGAAACTTACTGTATTAGTCTGTTTTCACACTGCTAATAAAGACATACCCAAGATTGGGCAATTTATAAAGAAAGGAGGTTTAATTGGCTTAGAGTTCCATGTGGCTGGGGAGGCCTCACAATCATGGCAGAAGGCAAAAAACACATCTTACATGGTGGTAGACAAGAGAGAATGAGAGCCAATCAAAAGTGGAAACCCCTTATAAAATCATCAGATCTCATGAGGCTTATTCACTACCTCAAGAACAGTAAGGAGGAAACCGCCCCATGATTCAGCTATCTCCCACTGGGTCCCTCCCACAACTTGTGGGAATTATGGGAGCTACAATTCAAGATGAGATTTGGGTGAGGACACAGTCAAACCTAATCACTTACAGTCATGGCGGAAGGTGAAGGGGAAGCAAGCACCTCTTCACATGGTGGCATGAGAGAGAGAGCTAAGGGGGAAGTGCCACACACTTTTAAATCATCAGATCTCATGAGAACTCACTCAGTATGATGAGAACAGCAAGGGGGAAATCCACCCCATGCTCCAAGTACCTCCCAACAGGCCCCTCCTCCAAATCGACATGAGATTTGGGCAGGGACACAAATCCAAACCGTATCAGATGGGATATATAGGCAGGAAAAGAGATGTTGTTCAGGGAGAAAGCAAGTGTGCTTAGATCAGTGTAATATTAATAAATATTGAATAAACAGCTGGAGGTGAGGGGAGATCTTTGTTAGTAGAATTACACGACTTCTATTGTAAATGCTTCCATTGTGGATACTTTCAAACTACCAATGTGAAGTTAACCAGCTTGCAAAACCTCTGACAATTTATCAATGGACTCTTCTAAGTAGGTGAAGGCTGGCCCCTGCACACCACTGCTTGGTTTGAATATGCTGAATTCGAGGTGACTAGTAAGAATTACAGGTCTGTTGATCCACTGAGAAGCTGAGCCAAAGCAGGGTCTTCAAAGACTCAATGGTCTGCTGTATTTGGGGAAGATGGCACTGAGTAGGTAGCCTCCAGGTCTTATGCCCCTATTCAACTGAAGCAGCTCTGCTGTAAAATCTGTTTACGCTCAAACAGTATGCACCGCTTCACCATTTTAGAGGCACCCAATAAAACAGTATTACAGTTGATATCTAAATTGAAAGCTAAATTCAGATTCGCAGAATGTTGAAGAGTTAATCCTTCCAAGTAGCCCTGAGTATACTCCAAAGTCTCTTACGCTGATGCTTGTTACCATATGTCTCGTAATCGCTTACTGCCACCTGCTGGGCAAAGAGATGTAGCACTCAAGGACAAATTGTATCTCAAGAACAAATTTAACCCTAAGCAGCTGTAACATCCAGTTCTTGGTCCTCCGGTGTCACTACAGTTGTTAAGACAGAAGCTGTTAAAAAATGACAGTCTAGGCAGTTCAGAGAAATGTCCCCAGTGGCAGCTGCAGCCATCGCCAGTCATTCTGAGAGCTTTCACGTGACTGGTGAAGGTCCCATTGATTGGCCCAGACTTCAGTGACCCCTGAGGTACAAGGGAAGGCATTTCTCCCCATATGATGCTCCTCTCAGTGTTCAAAGATCCCAATGGATACTCCAACACCCAAGCCAACATCTTGATTCCCCCAAAATTCCCATGGCATCTGCATATCTAGTTCATGGGCACTCCTTACTTACATCAAATATCCCTAACATTTCCTAAACTAAAAATATCCAAGGATGATACTTCACTGAGCTCTAATATTTAAAAGACTTTGCATTGTCTATTATACAAAAACATAATTACAAGAGCTAAATATAGTTGCTGACTTACTTTTCTTACTTCACAAGGAAAGAGGACTTCATTATGAGAAGAAAGAAAAAACACTCAAAAGAAGGCACAAAAGATATTTTAAAGTTATTGATGGGCTAATTATTAATGTGATCACCACTTTTCATATGATAACAACAAGGTGAAATTTACAGTTATTTATGAATATGCTAATATGGGTATTAAAAATTTTTACCAGGAGTGAAAATTTTTCTTTGTATTATTTATTATTTTTTCTAGGTGTGTGTGTGTTTTAATAACTACTACTTAGCATGACTCTTTTGTGAGTCACCTGCTCAACGTCACATGTGCTATGGTTTAAATGTGTATCCCAAAAGGCATGTATTGGAAACTTAATCCCTAATGCAACAGTGTTAAGAGGTGAGACCATTAAAGAGGTAGTTAGGCCAGGAGGGCTCCACCTTCAAGAGTGGATCAAGGCCATTATCTAGGGAGTTGGTTTGTTATAAAAGGACAAGGTTAGTTCATTCCTCTCTCACTTGCCCTCTCTTGCCCTTCACCTTCCTCTATGGGATGACATAGCACAAAAGCCCTCATTAGCACTGGCACCATGATATTGGACTTTTCAGCCTCCAGAAATGTGAGCCAATAAAAATTTCTGTTTTTTATTAAAAATTAAAATAAAATAACTACTATTTAATACAAAAATGGAAACTTCGTAAACATAACAACTAACATTCTGATTTAACTTGATTGAGAAAAATTAAATAAAGTGGAGTTTCTTGAGCCTTAGAGTGGTGGACAAATTCAGATGTTACATTTGTTTCTAAAAACAGAGCATACTAATATCAACCCCCCCTTCCCAAAAAAATACCCTACAGCTAACATCATTCTTCACGACGAAAGACAATACGTTCTTGCTAGAATCAGGAACAAGGCGAAAATGTCCACTTACCACCGCTTTTCAGCATGGTATTAGAAGTTCTAGCCAGTGCAATAAAGCAAGGAAAGGAAATAAAAGGTATGCATATTGGAAAGAGAAAAATAAAACTGTCCCTTTTTGTAGAGAGCATGATTGTCTATCTACAAAAGTCCCAAGGAATCCACCAAAACACCCTCCTAGAACAAAAACTAATTGTATTTCTACATACTAGCAATGGAAATGTGGAAGGTAAAATTTTAGATACAGTAGCATTTACAATTGCTAAAAATATTCTTGAGTGTGAATCTAATAAAAACAAGCCAAAAACTACGAAATAGCAATGAAAGAAATCAAAAATCTAAATGAATGGAGAGACATACTGTGGTCATGGATCAGACAACTCAACACTGTTAAGATGTCAGTTCTCCCCAAATTGATACATAAGTTTATTGCAATTACCAGCACAATCCCAGCAAGAAATTTTGTTGATAAGGACAAAGACAAGATTATTCTAAAATTTATATGGTGCTGGGCACAGTGGCTCTTACTTGTAATCCCAACACTTTGGGAGACCAAGCTGGGAGGGTGCTTGAGCCCAGGAGTTCAAGACTAGCCTTGGCAAAGTAGGAAGACCCTGTTTGTTTGTTTGTTTGTTTGTTTGTTTGTTTGTTTGTTTGTTTAGAGACGGAGTCTCAATGTCTCCCAGGCTGGAGTGCAGTGGCGCCATCTCGGCTTGCTGCAACCTCCCACCTCCCGAGTTCAAGCAATTCTCCTGCCTCAGCCTCCCGAGTAGCTGGGACTACAGGTGCATGCCGCCATGCTCTACTAATTTTTTGTATTTTAGTAGAAACGGGGTTTCACCATGTTGCCCAGGCTGGTCTTGAATTCCTGAGTTCAGAAAATCCGCCCGCCTTGGCCTCCCAAATTGCTAGGATTACAGGGAACTGCGCCCGGAGTAAGACCCTGTTTCTAAGAATTAAAAAAAAAAAAAAAAAATTAGCCGGGTGTGGTGGTCCACACCTGTGGTCCCAGTCACTCAGGAGACTGAGACAGGAGAATCTCCTGATCCTGGGAGGCTGAGGCTGCACTGAACAGTGATCATGCCACCGCAGTCCAGCCTGGGTGATAGAGTGAGAACTTGTTTCAAAAATAAAATAAGATAAAATGTATATGGAAAGGCAAAGGAACTAGAATAGCTAAAAACAATTTTGAAAAAGATGAATCAAGTGGGAAGACTCACTCTACCCAATTTCAAGACTTACTTTGCCGACACAGTAAACAGGTTACATGGTACTGATGGAGGGACAGTGACATAAATCAATAGAACAGGATAAAGAACCCAGAAGTACACCTAAGAAAATACACTGAACTGAGTCTTAACAAAGGTCAAAAAGCATTGCAATGGAGGAAAGATAGCCTTTTCAATATACGGTCCTGCAGCTATTGTATATTCATAAGTAAAAATGTGAACCTTGACCTAAATCTCACACATTATATAAAAATTAACTCAAATTTTTGAATCATAGATTTTAAAGTAAAATGTAAACTATAAAACTTTAGAAGAAATCATAGACAAACATTTTCAGGACCTGGGGTTTGACGAAGAGTTCTTAGACATGACACCAAAAGCATGCTTCATAAAAGAAAAAAAAAATGATAAATTAAACTTCATCCAAATTAAAAGTGTTTGTCCTGCAGAAGACCCAGTAAAGATGTGAAAATACAAGCCGCAGACTAAGAGGAAATATTTGCAAACCACATATCTGATAAAGGAGTCATGTCTAGAATTCATAAACACTCTCAATCTGCAACAGTAAAAAGTTAAACTATTCACTTAGAAAATGGCAAAAGACGTGATGAAGTATTTCACCAGAAAGCATACATAAATGTCAAATAAGCACATGAAAACATATGCAACACCTAATCCAATTGTGAAATGCAAATTAGGATCACTATGAGCTATCACTGCATGCCTATTAAATCAAATCAATGAAAAATAATGACAATAATGAAAAATAATGCCTGTAAGAATATGGAAACACTAGATGTTTCACACATCGCGGGTGGTGATGTTAAGTGTTATGGCCACTCTGAAAAACTGTTTGGCAGTTTCTCAAAAAGAAATAAACATTCACTTACTAATCAACCTAGCAATCATCCTCCTGGACATTTAACTCAGAGAAATGCAACTTTAAGTCCATAAAAGAACCTGCATATAGTTGTTCATAGCAGTGTTATATGTAACAGATAAGAACTGGAAATAACTGAAAATGTCCTACAATAGGTGAGTGATTCAGCAAACTGTGTACCTCCAAACTAGAAATATAACTCGGCAGTAAAAAAGCAATAAACTATTGATACACAGCAACTTGGCTTGATTACAGGAAAGTGCACTAATTGGGGGGAATAAAGCCAATCTCAAAGGGTCACATACTGAATGATTTCATTTATATAACATTGAAGCTACAAGCTATTACAGGTTACAAGCTTAGTTTATTCTCTGCATTAGATTTGCATGATTTACTTCTCTGTGTCTCTTTATTAGATGTCATCTCCAGTGCCAATGTCATCCTTTAATAGATGAACAGTTGCCAGGGTTTAACGATGCTAGAGGGAGGAGGTTAGTAGTATTGTAAAGCGGTAGCCCTGGAAGATCCCTGTGGTAATGAAATAGTTATATATCTTGATTGAAGTGGTGCTTATCAAATCTAAACATATGGTAAAAGGACATAGAATTATGCACATGCTTTTTATCATTGTCAATCAACTCCTTGGTTTTGATGATGTAATCACTGGGGAAACCAGGTAAAGGATACACAGAACCTCTGTACTATCCATCTCTGCAATTTCCTGTGAATTTGTAATTATTTCAAAATGAAAGTCTTTTTTAAAAAAAAATCCAACTCACAAGAATAGAGAGAGGATGCGCTTTGACAATTAATATATTTGTGTGCTATGCATGATCGAATTACCTCTTCTTGGTAAATTCAAAGGGCAGGAAGTCCGGGCGTGGTGGTTCATGCCTGTAATCCCAGCTACTCAGGAGACTGAGGCAGGAGAATCGCTTGAACCCAGGAGCGGGAGGTTTGCAGTGACCCGACGTGCCACTGCACTCCAGCCTGGGCAACAGAGCGAGACTCAGTCTCAAAAAAAAAAAAAAAAAAGAAATAATTAATTTAAAAAAAAGACAGGAATCCAATATATTAATTATACTCCTGCTGAATCTCTTTACTGCTTTCTTTATGCCGTAATTCTTATACTGTAGTACACAGATGGTTTCTATTACACTTACAACTCTTTACTAAATTTGATTTAATGATTTACATGTCTATATCCCTCTATCAGATATCAAACCTGGGTCCACACCAATGTCATCTTTGAAATCCCAGTGTTTGGCACAACAATGCATATTAAGAGTTAAATACAGGTTGGTGAATGAATGAGCTATAGTCAAATAAGTTGTACATTCATTTTAAGAAGTGGAAGAATTGGATTTAATCATTCCACAATGTATACACATATCGAAACTTTACATTGTACACCATAAATATATACAATCTGTCATTTGTCAATTAAAATATTTAAAAGAAATAAATGGAAGAATGTAAAAGTGAATAACTTCAGATAATAGCTATGGGAGTTTGGTGTCTTTCTAGGAAATATTTTGATGAATGAAAGCACCTACATTTTAATGACAAGAGCATCTTACTGAGAACGTTCTCTCTCTAGCTGTCCTGGTTCCTTCCCCAAACTGAACAATTCCAAGACTTGCCAGCAGGGGGAGAGCAACTCTTTAGAGATGGCCTCTAACTATATGCTACTCTGCAGCTGTAGGAGTTTCCTATGTTCAATTTTATCTGATGTATAGAGTTAACAATGTTTCTAAAGTGACAACTGTATTTATTGTTGTTGTTTTTAGTATTGCTGTGAAACATAGTCATAACAAACTTGTAAATTCTCCATCTACAATCAGGATTTACCATTTATGCTGTCAACACGTCCTCTTCTTCCTCCTCATTAAAAAAAAAAAATTGTGGTTAACCACAATTTTTAAAAAACCCACATAACATAAAATTTACCATGTTAAACACTTGTAATTATGTGGTTTAGTGGTGTTAACACATTGTTGTGCAACAGATCCCTAGAAAACAGATCTCTTGTAAAAGTGAAAATCTACACCCATTAAACAACTCTCCATTCTCCCAGCTCCTCGTAAGCACCATTCCACTTTCCATTCTAGAAATTTGAGATCTTTGGATGCCTTATATAAGTGGAATCATACATTGTCTTTCTTGTGAATGGCTGATTTTACTTAGCATAATGTCCTCAAGGTTCATCTATGTTGTAGCATATGTGAGATCTTCCTTCTTTTTTAAGGCTGAATAATATTCCATAAATATCCCACATTTTATGTATTCATTTATCTGTCAATGGCCACTTGGGTTGTCTCCACCCCCTGGCTACTGTGAACAATGCTGTGAACATGGGTATGCATCTACTACGTCCTTTGAAGTATGGAATCAATATGCACACCCAAACGACTTTTGCCCCAATTCTTTTTTTTTTTTTTTTTGAGACAGTTTCACTCTTTTTGCCCAGGCTGGAGTGCAGTGGTGTGATCTTGTCTCACTGCAACCTCCTCCTCCCAAGTTCAAGCGATTCTCCTGCCTAAGCCTCCCAAGTAGTTGGGATTACAGGCATGTGCCACCACACCCGGCTAATTTTGTATTTTTAGTACAGATGGGGTTTCTCCATGTTGGTCAGGCTGGTCTCGAACTCCCAACCTCAGATGATCCACCCACCTCGGCCTCCCAAAGTGCTGGGATTACAGGCAAGAGCCACCATGCCCAGCCTCCAATTCTTTATTTTTTTGAGACAGGGTCTCACTCTGTTGCCCAAACTGGAGTACAGTGGTATGATCATGGCTCACTGCAGCCTCAAACTGCTGGGCTCAAGGGATCCTCCCACCTCAGCCTCCTGAGTAACTGGGACTACAGGTGCACACCACTATGTATGGCTAATTTGCTTTTGTATCTTTTGTAGACATGGAGTCTTGCTTTCGGGCTTAGGCTGTGTCTCAATTATTAACTTCACAAACAACTGATGGAAAGAGGTAAAACTGGACCTATTATTCTCTGAAATGTTAGATTTATGTCAATTGTATTTCACAAAGTGTAGACCACTAGCCTCAGAATTACCTAATGTGTATTTATAAGGAAGAGCTACAGACTGTCGTGAGAGTGATGGGCAGGATTCTACCTGTCAGTAGGGTTTACTGAGTTTTATAGACAGTAATGGTAGAGAACCACAGCCTCAAGCCAAGTTTCCCCAAGCAAACCATAATTAGGTTCATCCAATCAAAGGGAGAGAGGCCAAAGTGGGTTTAAAATGACACATTGTATTATAAGAATGAGCATAGCAGAAGAGTGGCTTATACTCCCTCTTAATTAGAGAAACATCTAAACCTCCTGAAATAAACAGGAGATTCTGAATGTGACAAGCAGAGCCAGAATTGTCTCTGAACTCTGCCCCCCAGCTTTTCAGAACCCTGATTTTTCTCACTAATTCCCTCAAATATGAGGAAAAGCAAATTGACTATATAGGTTTACCTATTCCTTTTCCTGACTACTTTGGGATGGAAATCAGTTGTCTTATTTAGCTAATGCTGCATAACAAATCATATGTCGATTTATTGGCTTTTCACAATTTCCTATTTTTCACGATTCTGTGGCTTGTCTGGGCTCATATAGGTTGTTTTTCTTATGGGCTTTTCTGGGGTCACTTGTGCCGCAGCAGTCATCTGGTAGCTCTATTGGGACTGGAGAGCATAAAATGGCCTTACTCTCTCATATGAGAACTTGGTGCTGGCTGTGAGCCTGGACCTCTCTACTGGATAGTCTCTCATCATTCAAGTAGTTTAACCTGAGCTTTTTTTCATAGTGGTAGGAGCTCCATTTTCGGAACCTAAAGCAGAAGCTGCAAACCTCCTAAGGATGCCTTATAAAATGCAAAATGTCACTTCTGCCACATTCTATTTGCCAAAGCTAGTCCCAAGGCTAGCCTACATTCAGAGGATGTGGAAACAGGCTCTGCCTGTTGATGGGGGAGCAGCAAAGTCACTTTGAAAAGGAGCATGCAGAATGGAAAGATAAAACAATCGCTACAGAAAATGGTAACATGATGGGAAAACTGGTGAAACAAGGAAAGGGAAAACAAGGACAGGTACAGTGGCATGCACCTGTAGTCCCAGCTACTTGGGAGGCTGAAGCAGGAGGATTACTTGAGCACAGGAAAAAAGTAATAGAAAACAGAGTTGACAGAGATGTGTTATCTCCTCGGTAGGTGATAAATAAATGGGCCAAAGTATAAGAGCACTCAACACAGGAATTATTTATACCTCAAATGAAGAGGAACTTCATATGAGACACAATTCCGGAAGAGGAAAACAGCTCAGATACCATGGAAAGTCTGAGGACAACCTCAATCCATCTTTTCTTCTACCCCTAACTTTCATGCACGTCCCTGTGAAGAGACCACCAAACAGGCTTTGTGTGAGCAATAAAGCTTTTAATCACCTGGGTGCAGGCAGGCTGAGTCCGAAAAGAGAGTCAGCGAAGGGAGATAAGGGTGGGGCCGTTTTATAGGATTTGGGTAGGTAAAGGAAAATTACAGTCAAAGGGGGGTTGTTCTCTGGCGGGCAGGAGTGGGGGTCGCAAGGTGCTCAGTGGGGGTGCTTTTTGAGCCAGGATGAGCCAGGAAAAGGACTTTCACAAGGTAATGTCATCACTTCAGGCAAGGACCGGCCATTTACACTTCTTTTGTGGTGGAATGTCATCAGTTAAGGTGGGGCAGGGCATATTCACTTCTTTTGTGATTCTTCAGTTACTTCAGGCCATCTGGGTGTATATGTGCAAATCACAGGGGATGCGATGGCTTGGCTTGGGCTCAGAGGCCTGACATTCCTGCCTTCTTATATTAATAAGAAAAACAAAACAAAATAGTGTTGAAGTGTTGGGGCGGTGAAAATTTTTGGGGGGTGGTATGGAGAGAGAATGGGCGATGTTTCTGAGGGCTGCTTCAAGCGGGATTAGGGGCGGCGTGGGAACCTAGAGTGGGAGAGATTAAGCTGAAGGGAGGTCTTGTGGTAAGGGGTGTTATTGTGGGGTTGTTAGAAGAAACATTTGTCGTGTAGAATGATTGGTGATGGCCTAGATACGGTTTTGGATGAATTGAAAAACTAAATGGAATAACAGAAGGAGAAAAACAGGTATAAAAGGTCTAAGAATTGGGATGACTCAGGATATCTGATTAGAGAGTGCCTAAGGAGATTCAGCATAGTCCTGCCAGCAAAGATTATTTATTTACTTCAAGAGTTAAGAGTGGCAGTTTGGGGATAGCACCAGGAGATATCAGCTGTGATGGCTTGGAAGAATAGTGTAAACAAGAGCAGGGCATGTATGAGTAGTTGAGAACAGTGAATAGGAGTATGACTAGACAGAAGATAGCAGGGATGACAAGTTTTTTTGGGGCACAGTCTAAGTTGGTCTGGTGTCTGGAATGAGACTGGGCCTAATAAAAAGGAGCATCTATACAGGAGCTCAAATGGGCTGTACCCTGTAGCATTCTGAGGACAGGCCTGAATTCTGAGAAGGGAAAGTGGTAAAAGTATTGTCCAGTCCTTTTTAAGTTGGTGGCTGAGCTTGGTGAGGTGTGTTTTTAACAGACCGTTTAGTCCATTCTACTTTTCTTGAAGACGGAGGACCGTAAGGGATATAAAGGTTTCACTGAATACTAAGAGCCTGAAAAGCTGCTTGGCTGATTTGACTAATAAAGGCTGGTCTGTTATCAGACTGTATTGAGGTGGGAAGGCTAAACTGAGGAATTATGTCTGACAGAAGGGAAGAAATGACTGCGGTGGCCTTCTCAGACCCTACAAGAAAGGCCTGTACCTATCCAGTGAAAGTGTCTACCTAGACTAAGAGGTATTTTAGTTATCTGACTCGGGGCATGTTGAGTAAAGCTAATTTGCCAGTCCTGGGTGGGAGCAAATCCTCGAGCTTGATGTGTAGGGAAGGGAGGGGGCCTGAATAATCCCTGAGGAGTAGTAGAATAGCAGATGGAACACTGAGAAGTTATTTCCTTGAGGATAGATTTCCTCGATGGAAAGGAAATGAGAGGTTCTAAGAGGCGGGCTAGTGGCTTGTACTATAGCATAACCTGCTTTTGCTGGTGTGTGGCGATTAGGCCTGGTGGAACCGCCATCAATAAATCAAGCGTGATCAGGGTGAGGAACAGGAAAGAAGGAAATTTGGGGAAATGTGAATGTCAGGTGGATCAGAGAGATACAGTCATGGGGGTCAGGTGTGGTATCAGGAATAATGTGGGAGGCCGGATTGAAGTCTGGGCCAGGAACAATGATAATTGTGGGACTTAACAAAGAGTGAGTACAGCTGAAGGAGCCGGGGAGCAGAAAGTATATGCGTCAGGTATGAGGAAGAAAATAGATTTTGGAAGTTATGAGAACTGTAGAGAGTGAGTTGAGCATAGTTTATGATTTTGAGGGCCTCTAAAATTATTAAAGCAGCAGCAGCCGCTGAACGCAGACATGAGGGCTAGGCTAAAACAGTAAGGTCAAGTTGTTTGGACAGAAAGGCTACAGGGTGCGGTCCTGGCTCTTGTGTAAGAATTCTGACTGCACTAACCATGCCTAGGAAGGAAAGGAGTTGTTGTTTTATAGAAGGTGCTGGGGTTTGAGAGATCAGTCGGACACGATTGGCAGGGAGAGCACATGTGTTTTTATGAGAATTATGCCGAGATAGGTAACAGATGAGGAAGAAATTTGGGCTTGATTGAAGTAATGGGGGCTGTCTGTGAAGCTTTGTGGCAGTACAGCCTAGGTAATTTGCTGGGCTTGATGGGTGTCAGGGTCAGTCCAAGTGAAAGCGAAGAGAGGCTGGGATTAAGGATGCAAAGGAATAGTAAAGAAAGCATGTTTGAGATCTAGAACGGAATAATGGGTTGTAGAGGCAGGTATTGAGAATAGGAGAGTATATGGGTTTGGCACCATAGGGTGGATAGGCAAAACAATTTGGTTGATAAGGCGCAGATCCTGAACTAACTTGTAAGGCTTGTCTGGTTTTAGGACAGGTAAAATGGGGGAATTGTAAGGAGAGTTTATAGGCTTTAAAAGGCCATGCTGTAGCAGGCGAGTGATAACAGGCTTTAATCTTTTTAAAGCGTGCTTCGGGATGGGATATTGGCGTTGAGTGGGGTAAGGGTGATTAGGTTTTAATGAGATGGTAAGGGGTGCATGATTGGTCGCCAAGGAGGGAGTAGAGGTATCTTATACTTGTGGGTTAAGGTGGGGGGATACAAGAGGAGGACGCAAAGGAGGCTTTGGAATGAGAAGAAGAGCGGCAATGAGATATAGCTGTAGTCCAGGAATAGTCAGGGAAGCAGATAATTTAATTAAAGTGTCTCAGCCTAATAAGGGAACTGGGCAGGTGGGGATAACTAAAAAGGAGTGCTTAAAAGAGTATTGTCTAAGTTGGCACCAGAGTTGGGGAGTTTTAAGAGGTTTAGAAGCCTGGCTGTCAATACCCACAACAGTTATGGAGGCAAGGGAAACAGGCCCTTGAAAAGAAGGTAATGTGGAGTGGGTAGCCTCCATATTGATTAAGGGGACAGGCTTACCTTCCACTGTGAGAGTTACCCGAAGCTCGGCATCCGTGATGGTTTAGGGGGCTTCCAAGGCAATCGGGCAGTGTCAGTCTTCAGCCGCTAAGCCAAGAAGATCTGGGAAGGAGTCAGTCAGAGAGCCTTGGGCCAGAGTTCCAGGGGCTCTGGGAGTGGCTGCCAGGTGAGTTGAACAGTCCGATTTCCAGTGGGGTCCCACACAGATGGGACGCGGCTTAGGAGGAATCCCGGGCTGCGGGCATTCCTTGGCCCAGTGGCCAGATTGCCGGCACGTGTAGTAAGCTCCTGTGGGAGGAGGTTCTGGAGGAATGCCTGGCCTCTGCGGTTCAGGCATTTGGAAGTTCTTGTGTGCTGGAGATGTGGCTGGGGTTTGTCTCACCGTGGAGGCAAGGAATTGCAACTTTTTTCTATTATCGTACACCTTGAAGGCGAGGTTAATTAAATCCTGTTGTGAGGTTTGAGGGCCGGAATTTAATTTTTGGAGTTTTATTTAATGTTTTATTAATGTCGGGTAATAAAATGTATTTTGAGAATAAGACGGCCTTTTGACCTTTTAGGGTCTAGGGCTGTAAAGTGTCTCAGGGTTGCTGCCAAACAAGCCATGAACTGGGCTGGATTTTTATATTTGATGAAAAAGAGCCTAAACGCTATCTGATTTGGGATAAAGAAAAAGGAGCATTAACCTTGACTATGCCTTTAGCTCTAGCCACCTTTTTAAGAGTAAATTGCTGGGCAGGAGGGGGAGGGCTAATCACGGAACGAAACTATAAGCCGGACCAGGTGTGAGGAGGGGAGGTGATAAAAAGATTATAGGGTGGAGGAGCGGAGGCTGAGGAAGAATTGGGACCTAGCTCGGCATGATGAGGAGCAGTCTGGGGAGGAAGGGAGAGGTCAGATGGGTCTGTAGAAAAGGAAGATTAGAAAGACTCAGTGACGCTTGGGGTTGGTACTGAGGGGACATGCGGGAGGGAAAGAAGGAAGATTTGGGACGAGTTGCACTGGGCACAGAGACTAGGAAAGGAGTGATGTGTAAAAGAATGCCTGGACATCAGGCACCTCAGACCGTTTGCCTATTTTACGACAAGAATTATTTAGATCTTGCAGCAAGGAAAAATTCAAAGTGCCATTTTCTGGCTATTTGGAACTACTGTCGAGTTTGTATTGGGGTCAAGTGGCATTGCAGAAGAAAATAAGGCATTTAGGTTTTAGGTCAGGTGTGAGTTGAAGAGGTTTTAAGTTTTTGAGAACACAGGCCAAGGGAGTAGAAGGAGGAATAGAGAGTGGAAGTTTGCCCATAGTGAAAGAAGCAAGCCTAGAGAAAAGGAGGGAAGGGGTTCGGGGGATCTTACCTTCCAGAAAAGTGGGAAAAGGGGTTGGGGCACAGAGATAAGAGGTTGGAGCATGGAAATAAGGGATGAGGTACAGAAGGGGTCGGGGCACGGAAATAAGGGATTGGGGTGCAGAGATAAGAGGTCGGGGCGTGGAAATAAGGGATTGGGGTGCAGAGATATAAGAGGTTGGGGCACAGAAATAAGGGATTGGGGCACAGAGATACGAGGCTGGGGTACTTGCCCCTCCTCTAGAAAAGCGGGACTTGCCACTAAGGGTGAAGGAGAAGGGGTTGAGGGGTACTTGCCCCTCCCCCAGAAAAACAGAGAAGGGGTAGAGACAAGGAGAGAAGGGGTTGGGGTACTTGCCCTGTCCCCCAGAAAAGCAGAGAAGGGGTAGGGACAAGGAGAGAAGGGGTTGGGGTACTTGCCCCTTCCCCAGAAAAGCGGGACTTGCCGCTACGGGTGAAGGACCAAGGCAGGCGTCCCTGCGTGGTCTGACACCTTTGAAACGTGGGTGAATAATCAGAGAGGCGCCCCTGCAATGATTAAACACCAAGGGAAGGCTGCCTTCCCAGTCCGTGACCGGCGCCTGAGTTTTGGGTCCACGGATAAAACGTGTCTCCTTTGTCTCTCCCAGAAAATGAAAGGAATTGAAATTAAGAGAAGGGAGAGATTGAAGAGTAGAAAGGAGAAAGTGGTTGAGGGACAGTGAGAGAGGTTGGAGAAGAGAGTAAGAAGAGGCCACTTACCTGATTTAAAATTGGTGAGATGTTCCTTGGGCTGGTCGGTCTGAGGACCTGAGGTTGTAGGTGGATCTTTCTCACGGAGCAAAGAACAGGAAGACAGGGGATTGATCTCCCAAGGGAGGTCCCCCGATCCGAGTCATGGCACCAAATTTCATGCGCGTCCGTGTGAAGAGACCACCAAACAGGCTTTGTGTGAGAGCAGTAAAGCTGTTTATTTCACCTGGGTGCAGGTGGGCTGAGTCCGAAAAGAGAGTCAGCGAAGGGAGATAAGGGTGGGGCCGTTTTATAGGATTTGGGTAAGTAAAGGAAAATTACAGTCAAAGGGGGTTTGTTCTCTGGCGGGCAGGAGTGGGGGGTCACAAGTTGCTCAGTGGGGGAGCTTTTTGAGCCAGGATGAGCCAGGAAAAGGACTTTCACAAGGTAATGTCATCACTTCAGGCAAGGACCGGCCATTTACACTTCTTTTGTGGTGGAATGTCATCACTTAAGGTGGGGCAGGGCATATTCACTTCTTTTGTGATTCTTCAGTTACTTCAGGCCATCTGGGTGTATACGTGCAAGTCACAGCGGATGCAATGGCTTGGCTTGGGCTCAGAGGCCTGACACTAACCTTCCTTTTGGCTTCAGAAAAGTTGATAAGCTACAAAATGTTCCTCCCTGACACTGTAAAGGAAGAAACAAATAACTCAGACACAATTTGGAAGATGGTCACCTATCCATCTCAGAGTAAAATAGAATGTCGATCTTGAATAACATAAAAAGAAATGGCATTAAACTCAGTAAATATGCTATAGGTTTAAAACAATAAAACAAAGAAAGGAAGAGAGGAAACAAGGAAGGATGGAATAAAAGAAGGAAGGAGGGAAGAAAGAAATAGAGGGAGAGAGGAAGGTAGAAAGGAAAGGCTCATTCCACCTGCTCCACTTAGAAGAAAATACAGGTGATAAAATTGAGAATAAACACTGAAAAAATGTTTCATGTTATATAACAGGTTGATAGGAAGGAATACAAATCCAATAAATAAAAAGAAGCTCAAAGAAGAAACAATAAAACAATAGAAAGAGATTTTAAAACAGGGAATAGCAGGTCCCAAAAAATAAAAATATAGAAATAATAAACTAGAAATAGCAGGTAATATAATAAGCATTGATAAAAAATGAAAGCAAGGGGACATATAGGAATGTTTGAGATAATCACAGTGATGAAAAATATTTTTAAAAGAGATTAATGCAATAATCAAGAAGCTAACAAAGAAGGCAGAACGTTAACTGTCATGGGTTGCATGGATGCTTGTTAATTTCTTCCTTATACTTCACAGTATTTTTTTTTAATTTTCAAAATAAAAATAAAATCTGCCATTAGAAAATCTCTATTGTTTTTAAAAGGGAGGTTATGGGAGGTGGGGAGGTGTTAGGAGGCAGTAAGAAACTGACATATAAAAAAGGGACAGCTTAGTAAGGAAATAAAGACAGAAAATATAAACCAAGTACTATTAGTCCTGTCCCACAGTAAAGAGAAGCCTAAGAGAGCCAGAGGCAACAAAAGGAATGGGGTAAAGACAATAGAAAAATGGAAGGACAAGAGCATATTCAAGAAGAGAGATGGAAGCAGTACAGAGGTGGGAATTACAGGTGTGTTTGTGGGGGGGGGCTGTGTGTGTGTGTGATTTGAGAAACAAAGCCTTGTAGGAAGTGAGGCATCAGGTCTGAAAGAAAAAGAGTTACACTTCCTCTATGAGGGACTAGAAAGAATGTCAACAGGTGTGAACTCAAATGCTTGAAAGTGGAAAGGAAGATGATACAAAACAAATGTCTTGTGCAGTGCAGCAGAATTCAAGCCAGAATAACTGGTTTAGAATGCAACTACTGATGGAATAGAACTTAATGAAAGAACAGGAACATTTTCAATGTGCTTTCAGAGGAGACAATATACAGTATTGTTTAAATATATGAACTTTGCCAAGTCCTGGGTTCAAATTCTTGCTTGGATAATGTAAATCATTTAGCACAATGTCTGGAACAAAACCCAGTAAATGATAGCTATGATTATTTTTATATTTGTATTTGATCTATTTCAGAGATGTCTTGGTTATCACAATATTGCTGATTCATTGGGTCTATGAAAATTTATGTTCCATATTTCAGTTTCACTGTCAACTATCCATCAGACACCTGATGGATGGGATAATTTTGTTTACCTCTAATTCACTTCACTACTAACTTAGCCAATGCTAAACTCCATTGCCCTGAATTTCAAAGATAGGAGGGAGGGTGAGAAAATGTCTCTCCTCTTTGGTAAAGTGTGTGAAAGTTGCCCAAAATCTATTTGTTCCAGATGCCCCAGTGTGTTTGCTACTGGGGTAGTAACACCAGTAGCACTGATGTGCTTTTCCTCATAGCAGAAGGTGTTACCTGGAGTTGAGGGATGTGAGAACCAAGAGGCACTACCCTGTGTCTCCACCTTTGCCAGTGAATGTTTATGATAGCTTGTCACTGGAGAAACACTATGTGCTTTGTAGAGAGGTTTTCATTTGAGATGTCAAAACTGAAAAGTTCACGCTTTCCCTTCAGTTCACCAGGCAGCAGACTTTCCACAGGACAGATTAACTGAAACAATTGTGAATGGCTCTTGAAAAGTATTCTTATTCTTTTATTATTATTTTTAAAAATTCTGCTTTGTGCACTGGGAAGAGATCTATAAATAAACTCTTTCAAAAAATTTCCCATTGAAAGTATCTTCTAGCACTTGAAAACTACGGAGGCAAAGAATAATTACTGTGAAATTGTCCTCTGGCTGTATTTCTGTAACTTGTTATTCCTTAGCTGTCTTAAGTGGATGTTTGGTATGACTGTACCTTTGGTTTTCATTCATCTGGACATTTTTTACTGAGCAACTCCGATGTGCCAGACATTATGCTAGAAATAACAGATGGTTTTGGAGACATGACTGATATGGTTTGGATGGTTTTTTCCCCTCCAAATCTCATGTTGAAATGTGATATTCGATGCCAGAGTTGGGCCTGGTGGGAGGTGTTTTGGTCATGGGGGTGGATCCCTCATGAATGGCTCTGTCCTTGTGCTAATGAATTCTCACCTTAAGAGTTCACACAAGACCTAGTGTTTAAAAGAGCCTGACACCTCCTCCCTCTCTCTCTTGCTCCTTCTCTTTCCATGTGACATGCTGGCTCACCCTTTGCCTTCTGCCATGATTGGAAGCTTTCTGGGGCCTCACAAGAAGCCAAGCAGATGCTGGTGCCATGCTTACATAGCCTGCAGAACTGTGAAGCAAATAAACCTCTTTTCTTTTTAGATTACCAAGTTGTGGGTATTCCTGTATGGCAATGCAAACAGACAAACACAATGACGATAAACATATGAAAAGGAAACTATCTTTGTAAGAAATATATGCCAACTTGGTGTGGGTCTGTGTCCCTACCCAACTCTCATGTCAAATTGCAATTCTCACTGTTAGAGGAGGGGCCGGAGGGGAGGTGACTGGATCATGGGGGTAGACTTCCCCTTGTTCTCATGATAATAAGTGAGTTCTTATGAGATCTGGTTTGAAAGTATGTAGCCCATCCCCTTATGCTCTTGCTCTCTCCTGCTGGCCATGTGAATACGTGCTTCCTTCCCCTTCACCTTCTGCCATGATTGTAAGTTTTCTGAGGTCTCTCAAGAAGCAGAAGCCTGTGCAGCCTGCAGAACTGTGGGCCAATTAAACAACCTCTTTTCTTTATAAATTACCCAGTCTCAGGTATATCTTTATAGCAGTGTGAGAATGGACTAATACAGATGCTAAAATGCCGAATGAGAGTTACAGTCACTGAAAAAAACAATCCCACAGTATTGAGCTCTCACCCTGTGAAACTGCCTTTGCAAAGATTATGACAGTGAGAGAAATCTAACGTGGCTGACTCTGTCTTGCTTCTAGCCTCACAGGCTGGCTGTCTTCACTCAATCCAGTGAAGCAAATTTGTGACTTCCTCAATTGTCTCTATAGATAATGTCACTATTGTAGAACCTAAGATTGATATTTTGATACATTTTTCTGATTTTTGCATTCTGGCAATTGACTTCACCTGGACCCATGACTCATGACTTAACCAATCCTGTGGTCTCCCACTCAGAGGTGGACTCAATGCATGAGGACTGTTTTCACACCCCTATAATTGCCTCCCCAACCAATCAGCAGTACCCATTCCCCAGTCCCATGCCTACTAAGCTATCCTTGAAAAACCCTAACCTCTGAGCCATGTAGCTAGATTAACATTAACTAAATGCTTTCTTTACTACAATGTCACAATCTCAGTGAATTGGTTTTGTCTAGTCAGTGGGCAGGAAGAACCCATCAGGTGATTACACTTGTGAAACAGCACACTTGGGACACATAAATCTCATCAGGGTTACAGTTTTCAGGAATATGCTCAAAGTATACAGTCTAAGCAAATGTAACTGATGTTAACCTAAAAGAAAAAACTGAAGGAAACTTAATATAAGCAGAGTTTATTTGGGCCAGTTTTGAGAATTGTAACCCAGAGGGATGGATTCAAGTTTGCCCTGAATGTGTGCTCCAATTAGCAGCAGTTACAAGTGAGTTTTTAAAGGAAAAAAGAGGCAGTTCCTAAATTGTTTACCAAGAAGTTACATCAACGTAACATAAGCTTGCTATACATTGTTACAACATAACTTGCTATACATTGTTCTTTGCATCACAAACTCCAGGCATGTGAGGATAATGAGTGAGGCAGCTAATAAGGAATGAAATGACTTTAAACAACTGCCCCTAGGCATGGCGGGAGGTGGGTGGTAAGAATAAAGTCTCACACTCACATCTCTCTGGGCCTAATAAATTCTACATGCCTCACACAGCTCAGGCTGCCCTGAGCTATTTTTCTTTTCTTACAGGATCACAGGCTGGGAAATGTTTAGGTGGCGCAGCTTCTCTGGGCTTCCCAGTTTCCTTAAGAGGTTGGTGTTCTCTGTAGGATAAGATCCCGCCAGGTCCCTGGAAACCCCAAGTGGAAGCTAACAATCCTCTTATACCTATAACCACACCACTTTGAAATTATTTTATTTCGTGTTAAGCTTGCAAAGACTGCTTTTAGCAAGTTGTGTATTTGGATTTGGAGTCTGGGTCCTGGGTAAAATTTCTTAATAGGCCACGGTGCCATCTACCAACACTGTGTATGGGTTATGGAATAATCAACTGCATTACACATCTGTAGTTGTATTGCAACCATAATACATAACAAGAACTAGACTGAGGGCATGTACTGTCTGTTACCACCAATGTTGGGAAAGTCTGACCACATAAACAATGGATCCTAAGGATATGGCTTTGGGCTGGACCTTGAAATAAAGGTAAAACATTGACAAGAGAGCACCAAGGGGGCAGGCATTCCACCTGCCCTGTTCTCCAACTTACCCCTAATGCCTGACACAGAGTAAGCTCAGCTTTGAAATCTACTGTCAACCCTGAGCTGGGAAAATCTATTCCAGTGCCAATATCTTAAAGTGTGCTGTTGAGTAAACCTGTAGAGATAGCTTATGAACAAGTACACAGACAAAAGACCCATAGATTTACCATCTTGTTTCTGTTTGGACCTTAGTACAAGTGGTTAACTCTCCAGACAGTAACATTGTGTCAAGATATAGAATATAACAGAGAATCCAAAATTGTAGGTGTCATAAGAATTTTTTTTTTTTTTTTTTTTTTTTTTTTTTTTTGCGATGGAGTCTTGCTCTGTCACCCAGGCTGGAGTGCAGTGGCGCCATCTCGGCTCAGTGCAAGCTCCGCCTCCCGGGTTCATGCCATTCTCCTGCCTCAGCCTCCCGAGCAGCTGGGACTACAGGCACCTGCCACCACGCCTGGCTAATTTTGTGTGTGTGTGTGTGTGTGTGTGTGTGTGTGTGTGTGTGTGTGTGTGTTTAGTAGAGATGGGGTTTCACCATATTAGCCAGGATGGTCTTGATCTCCTGACCTCGTGATCCACCCGCCTTGGCCTCCCAAAGTGCTGGGATTACAGGCGTGAGCCACCGTGCCCAGCCAGTGATTTTTTAAACTATAAAAATTTGAACAAGATCCATTCATTGGACTGAGAAAATTTCAGTCTAATTTAAAATCCTTTAGAATTTTTAGTTAAGTTATAAACTTTCGGTTCAGAGATCCCTGTTTTATTTCCTTTATGTCACAGCCAGCATAATGCCATCTAAGTAAATGCATACATTTTTTAACAGTGAAAAATATCTAAACATTGTGGGGCAAAATTATGAGACACTGTATGAGACACTGTAAAAAATTTATTTCCTATATATTTCTTCAATTATTTTGTATCTCTACTATGTGAAAGCCAAAGTATATTCCATTCTGAGTTCTGAATTTCTGATATATCATTTAAAATGTCATTTTAATTAAAATCCTAAAACTATCCCTTGAATCGAGAAGTTACAGGCAAGTAAAAAGTTAAATTTAAAACAACAGCATTGAGTAGGATGAAAGAGGCTTCTTTTATATTCCTTCCTTTTGACATCCCATGAGTATAATGCCTCTTCCAAGGATTCTTCCATTTCTAGTAGATTAAAATGTATTTCACATATCTGTTTTCTGGTATGAATATGATTTCTAGTAAACATTTTTTTGTTCAATCACTATAATGGAGAGGATAAATACAAAAATTTCACATTAAAAGAATCTATAGAAGTTCCAAGTCTGGTTCCAGACCATTCTAAATACTAAAGAATATATATGCCTGTCATTTGTTTTTACCTGGAAGTATGACTAAATATAATTAAAATACCAAGAACAAGGATATAGGTCACAGATCAGAAGTGTTTACTCTATGAACCTGAAATGAACTTTGGATTCTTTTGCCTTTCAGCATTACAGCTGTGGTTAACTGTCAACAACCCTCGGACTCAGTTTCATGTCTGCAGAGAAGCACCATCGCCCATGATCCTACCCATCCTCCACACACAAAGCCACAAAGGAAAGCAGCCAGAGTTCTGTACGTATGTTTTATTTGAACATCCACATTTCTTAGCTTAGAGACAATTATATTCCGTACACTTTTCTTCTCTCTCTCTTACAATATTTAGACTGGCCAAAAACCAGGGAAAATGTCCTTGGACTGCAGTCATTATAAAATTTTACTTAATGCTTATGAAAGCACTCATGTGAAAAGCTTCAGCATGAAGTGTAATCACCACATTCAGTTTCAAAGTTCAAATGCCCATTCCTATGATGGGTAAACACCTACCATAGCGCAAAGAAGGAGAGTGATTGTGGGTAATGACAGAGGAGGAAAAGTGAAGGGGGTAACAGCTTCTCCCAGAGGAGGGGGTGGTCCCTGTTCCATGCCCATCTTGTCTCCTTAAACAGGAACAGCCAACAGGCCTACCAGTCCTTGTACTCTATGCAGCTACTTCCCCTGCTGGAAATGAGCAGCTGCCTTCTTCTCCCTAAGGTTTGTCCTCTTTTATCTGATTCTTGGAAACGTTTTTTTAAGTTTTGCCAGGTTCTTTGTTCTTTCATGAATGAACTGATGGAAATTTTCTATGGAAGTTACTTACCTCACTTAAGAAGCACACAGCAGCTCTCGCCTATAATCCTAGCACTTTGGGAGGCCAAGGCGGGGGGATTGTCTGAGCTCAGGAGATCAAGACCAGCCTGAGCAACACAGTGAAACCCCATCTCCACTAAAATACAAAAAGCCAGGTGTGGCATGCGCCTATAATCCCAGCTACTCAGGAGGCTGAGGCAGGAGAATTGCTAGAACCCCGGAGGTGGAGGTTGCAGTGAGCCGAGATCATGCCACTGCAGTCTAGCCTGGGCCACAGAGCGAGACTCTGTCTCAAAAAAAAAAAAAAGGACTGATGTGAGGCATGACAGTAGAAATCAGGATAGGCTGGAGGCAGTGGCTCGAGCCTGTAATCCCAGCACTTTGGGAGGCCGAGGCGGGCAGATCACAAGGTCAGGAGATCGAGACCATCCTGGCTAACACGGTGAAACTCCATTCTCTACTAAAAATACAAAAAATTAGCCAGGCGTGACGGCAGGTGCCTGTAGTCCCAGTTACTCGGGAGGCTGAGCCAGGAGAATGGCGTGAACCTGGGAGGCGGAGCTTGCAGTGAGCCAAGATCTTGCCACTGCACTCCAGCCTGGGTGACAGAGCATCTCAAAAAAAAAAAAAAAAAAAAAAAAAAAAAAGAAATCAAGATAAATAAAGGTTTCACTTTGCATTTGAAAAGCTAAGAACAGCCTTTATTGGAGAAAGTAGGATAAAGACATTTCCATATATGTTCATGGGAATTTACCATTCAAATTTACCATTCAAACTGGGGGAGTAGAGATCAGTCACTTTTGCCATCTTATCTGTTTAAAACTCTTTCAAGAAAAGAAAAGAAAGGAGGAGTCTCTTTCAAGAAAAGAAAAAAAGGAATACTGTGTAAGAACCACAGAAAAAAAGCTAAGTAGGAGCAGATGTGGGTGCTCTTTCCTTAACAGTCAGCATAGAATGTAGAGACTGACATTTTCTTTAAGAACAGATTATTATAACTAAGCAAGAAAAAGTATGTGTACATAAGTTGGTCACAGTGACACTTGTAGAAAATATAAGTAGCTGTAAATGGGAAAATGTCAAAAATGTTCCATCCAAGGAATGTTAGAAGGTCCCTTCTTTGCCTTGCTCATCTGAAAAGTTCCAATTCACCCTACAAGCCTTAGCCCCAAGGCTGGGAAGCCACTGCCTCTACTACCAAGAAGCATCCAGTGTCTCTTTTGTGCAGCCTGGCACCCCTCCTGTGGCTTCATGATAACATCTATCACTCTTTAGGGATCATTTACACTTCTGCTGTCTCTTCTCCCTAAGACAGAGAAAATTGTCACTTGTTCTTTTTTGTATTCTTGGCGTCCAGCAAAGGGAACAGACATCTATCCATTTAATTAAGCTCTGCTAAGATGCTTTGAGTTAAATTGTGTATGTTTGTGTGCTGGAAAAATATGTAAAAATCAGTGAGACACTTCTACAAAGGCAGAGTAGACATCCTTCTGCTAAATGCATATAAAAATCCTGGATATTATATTAAAACACAGCAAGACTCTGAATAGTAGACAGAAAATAGGCTAGGAACATTGGGGCCCAAGTAACAACACTGTGATGAGTTCCCTACATTTTCTTTTCAGCTCATATATTTCCAACTTGGAGCTGAAAAAGTCAGCAACCTGGAAATGTCAATAAATGCAGGGGAAAAAAAAGCCCTAAGAGAGTCCTGCTCTCTCCTGCCAAAGGACCAGAAAAGGGTAGCCAAGCAAGGGTAAAAAAGGCTGTACTCCAACCAAACACCATGGAAAAACACCATGGCCCCACCCATACCAGCAAATGCTGAGTGGGGAGTCCAGACTTACACTCTCACCAAGCTGTAAAGAGGTGCCCCAACTCCCTGACTTTTGTATTCTTGGTATCCAGCAAAGGGAACAGGCATCTATCCATTTAATTAAGCTCTGCTAAGATGCTTTGAGTTAAATTGTGTATGTTTGTGTGCTGGAAGAATACAACTCCAGAGTGGTGTCGGAGAAGGCTGTGTAGGCTACTGGGAATTTCATTCCCACCTGGTGTAATGAAGCTCTTCCTGGTCACTCTGTCCCATAGCATTAGTGGAGATTCCCAGGGTGCACCAAAAGGTGCCGCTGCACATTCCAGCCAGGGAAGAATCAATAAAGACCTAATGGGAAACTGAATTCTCACCTTGCCCAGTAGTAATGAGGGGACCCTGTTACTCAGTATAAAGGGAGGCTGACTGGGGAACCTGGACTCCTAGCCACACCTGGTAATAATGAAGCAGTGCTCCCAATTCCCCTGCTGTGGTGGTATCTGAGAAAGTTGGCTAAAGCAGAAGGTTTAAATAAGACCCATAGTCTCATAACATAATACCTAAAAATATCCAGGTTTCAATAAAAAATCATTCCACACACCAAGAAACAGGAAAATGTTTCCGAATGGAAAAAAGACCATCAGTAGATGCAAACAATGAGGTGACAGATGTTGGAATTATCTGATAAGGATTTTACAGCAGCCATCATAAAAATTCTTCAACAAGCAAGTATAAATGCACTTGAAACAAATGAAAACGTAGAAAGTCTCAGCAAAGAGACAGAAATTCTCAGCAAATAGAAGATATAAAGAAAAACTGAATGGAAATTTTAGAAATAAAACATACAATAACTAAAATATAAAAATCAGGAATAAATGGGCTCAACAGCAGAACAGATTAGACAGAATAAAGAATCAGTGAGCTTCGAGACAGAAGAATAAAATTACCTAATCTGAACAACAGAGAGAAGCAGGCTGAAAAAAATATCATATACAGAGCTTCAGGAAACTGCAGGACTGAAAAAAAAAAAAAAAAAAAGCAACTTCCTAAATTATTAAATAATTTTGAGTTGTAAATTGTATTTTCCAAAAGTCTTTGCAGCTGGCCCTTAGGCCGTTGAAGAATGGTCACACGAAGGACATATAAAAATCTTTGGTGTACTGATATTATACCTCAATTGGACCTATGTAGCCTAAAAGTTAATGCAGTCTTTGAAGGTTCACAGGTAGGGATAAAAAGCTACAGTCAAGGTAGTAAAGAAATCAAGTTCATTGTGTCATTTATCATGTCCACCAAGAAGATGTGAGGTGATTGGTGGCATGTTCTCTTCAATCTGTGGAACTTCAAAATGAACCACTCAACAGAGAATGGCTCTGCTGCTGGTAGGGTAAGTCTTGTGCACAGAAAGAAACATTCTAAGCATCTCAATAAAAAATGGCACCTTGCATGCACTGACTGGTGCTCTGAAGTTTTGCCAAGATAAGGTACAATTTTAACCGTCTATAGGGCCACATTTGAAGCCATTTTAAACCTATGTTAATTACCAGTGAGCAGGATAGGAATATTTTTCTTTTTTAAATACAAATACAAAGTAAGATTTTATAATAGGTAAGTATATTCAAAGATCGTCCCTCAAAGTTGAACTCATTTGAACCATTAAATCTAAAGAAATCCAATCAAAAAATTAAAAAGAAAACACATAAGATTAATAACTTGGATTTTGAGGGGATATACAGCAAAGATTGAAACAAGGTCTCAGAAGTATTTTGGCTTCTGTTAATTTTTTTTTTGATTACAATGAAAAGAAATGAAACTCCAAGTTAAAAGATATCCAGAACCACTTTAAAATTCTCATAAAGATAGTCACATAACATGGGCTACCCCAACCCTACTATAAGTCTACTGTTTGCCCAATGCCATCAAGGTTTATTACCAATAGTAAGAAAGATTCAAATATCTGGTATCCAGACAATGTTCACAGCTACTTCTCCTTTAAGAGAAGCAGAAAGGCAGTTTTAGGTGTGGTCTGTCTTTATTCCCCCGAACTTGATCAATGTATACAATGCTTACACATTCAAATATGTGCAAGATTCAACAGGAACACTCTCCACTGCTGTGCTGAGTACGCAAGTTTCCCTGAGATGTCCGCATCACCGAGGGCTCCGTTCTAACTCTGGTCGACAGTTTCTGAACAATGCAATAGTGTAGCTAGAGGACTATATAAAATATAAGGTTCTCTCAAAAAGATTCATGGTGTTTGGGGATAAAAAACATATCAGTCTTCTTGGCTAAAGGTTGGCAAATGTGTTTTCAACTTTAAAATGTCTGAAACTGGCTCTTTTCTTTGTTGATAGAAGCTGAGTCCAGTGATGTGCTCAACATCTGTGATCCGTGCTCTGTGTAACATTAACAATTCTTCAACCCATGAGGAGTCATGCTTCCCATGCTAGGAGAATAGGAAATATAAAAGAAAAGTTACCAAGAGAACACTCAGTTCACTTCTATAAGTGCTCCATCTCCCCAGTTTAATCATTTACGAGATTTCAGCTCTGAAGTGGAACGTGCCACATGATTTGTTAGGCATCATCTCTCCTCTTGAGTAGCTTTCCTTCTAATACATACCATGCATGTTTGTTTAATTAGATGCTTCAAGTTTGGGGAAAAGAAACTATACCTGGAACAGATGGTCCTGCATTACATAGGTTTAAGAAACTTCAATGGCGTGGGGTTAAAAAAAGGGGGAAAACAGAAATTACATGGCATGGGAAAGAATATCTGAATAATGTAAAGAATCACTCAGAATGCCTATTATTAAAAAGTCAAAAAACAACAGACGCTAGCTAGTAAGGTTGTGGAGAAAAAGGAATGCTTTTACACTGTTGGTGGGAGTGTAAATTAGTGCAACCACTGTGGAAGACAGTGTGGCAATTCCTCAAAGACCTAGAGGCAGAAATACCACTGGACCCAGCAATCCCATTACTGGGTACATACCCACAGGAATATAAATCATTCTATTATACAGATACACGCACGCATATGTTCAGTGCAGCACTATTCACAATAGGAGAGACATGGAATCAACTTAAGTGCCCAACAATGATAGACTGGATCAAGAAAATGTGGTACATACACACCATGGAATACTATGGTGTATATGGTCAATGATAGACTAAATTAAGAAAATGTGGTACATGTATACCATGGAATACTATGCAGCCATAAAAGATCATGTCCTGTGCAGGGACATGGATGGAGCTGGAGGCCATTATCCTTAGCAAACTAATGCAGAAACAGAAAATCGAAACCTCATGTTCTCAATTATAAGAGGGAGCTGAAGGATGAGAACACATAAACACGTGTGGGGGAAGAAAATACACTGGGGCCTGTTGGAGGGCAGGGGGTGGGAGGAGGGAGAGCATCAGAAAGAATAGCTAATGGATGCTGGGCTTAATACCTGGGTGACGGGATGATCTGTGCAGCAAACCACCATGGCACACATTTACCTATGCAACAAACCTGCACATCCTGCACATGTACCCCTGAACTTAAAAGTTGAAAATTTTTTTAAAAGAGGCTGGTTCTGTGACAATCGTATCAGGTAAACTAAGGAAAGTTATTTAACATATAAGTCTTGATTCCTTTATCTGTATCCTCCTCATCGGGTTATTTTGAGGATCAAACGTAATGATGTGTGCAAATGTACTACACAAATACTAGTTTTTATGAGAATGTGTTACCTACAAAGATGCATGAAGAAGCCCACGTGGGCCAAAGCCACATGCTAAGAATGGTGGAGCAGAAAGAGGGAAAAGTTCTGGGTCCCTAATGGTGCAGTTGACCCAAAGCGCCATCCCAGGACTGTGTGCAGCTGGACTTGCTGTTCCATGAGGAATCCCTGACTTGCTTAAGCCACTGCAAAGGGGTTTCTGTTATTTGCTGCAGAACCCTACTCTAATTGATACATTCAATGACAATATAATCTCTCAAACGAAATAATGAAGCAGGGAATAGCTGCATGTTTCCAACAATGCCCACAAAACTGACAACTTTCAGTGGAGTCAGATAATCATCAGGCAACCAACTAAAATCTTGCTATTCTGTATTTAATTCTAAAGAATAAAGGGAAAAATAATGAGAAATGTGTTCTATAGGAACAAGTAATTCTGAAAGTTTATCATAGAAACAATTAAGGAGAGACATATCTTCATGAATTTTAACGATATATAGAAAGACTACTACCATCAGGGATGGCAAACGGATCATTGTATTCTACTCTTGGGCCCAGAGAAGAGCTCACTATTTTGTTCACTGCTGTGTCCTCAGTACCTAGAGCACCTGATTATAAATATCAAAGGAATGAATGGTGAATCAAAGTAGTAGTGAATGAATGAGTGGATACAGCACTCTTTCCTGCTGAGCTCATACTGGGTCTCAAGATCCTAACTCCAGGTACCTACCACCCATTCATTGGGACTGGTATGAAAGCTACATCTTTTTGCAGATTCAGGTTTAGACTTACTTGGTGTCACTTCAATGAAAAAAAAAAAAAAAGGAAATGTAGGAAGTACTCTGAAAGAAATATATTTTGGCTCACCATAAGAGAAAACTTAAAAATTGCTAAAATGGGCCGGGCACAGTGGCTCATGACTGTAACCCCCGCACTTTGGGAGGCTAAGGCCAGCAGATCACCTGAGGTCAGGAGGTAGAGAACAGCCTGGCCAACACGGCGAAACCCCATCTCCACTAAAAATACAAAAATTAGCTGGGCATGGGTGGCAGGTGCCTGTAATCCCAGCTATTCGGGAGGCTGAGGCAGGAGAATCGCTTGAGCCCGGGAAGCGGAGGTTGCAGGGAGCCGAGATCACGCCACTGCCTTCCAGCCTGGGTGACAGAGCAAGACTCCAAAAAAAAAAAAAAAAAAAGGCCAGGCACGGTGGCTCACGCCTGTAATCCCAGCATTTTGGAAGGACAAGGCGGGTGGATCACAAGGTCAGGAGATTGAGACCATCCTGGCTAACACGGTGAAACCCCATCTCTACTAAAAAAAAAAAAAAAAAAAAATTAGCCGGGTGTGGTGGCGGGCGCCTGTAGTCCCAGCTACTCGGGAGGCTGAGGCAGGAGAATGGCGTGAGCCCAGAAGGCGGAGCTTGCAGTGAGCCGAGATCATGCCACTGCACTCCAGCCTGGAAGCCAAAGTGAGACTCTGTCTCAAAAAAAAAAAAAAAAATTAGCTGGGTGTGGTGGCGGGCGCCTGTAGTCCCAGCTACTCGGGAGGCTGAGGCAGGAGAATGGTGTGAACCCAGAAGGCGGAGCTTGCGGTGAGCCGAGATCATGCCACTGCACTCCAGCCTGGGAGCCAAAGTGAGACTCTGTCTCAAAAAAAAAAAAAAAATTGCTAAAATGTTATGCAGTCTTGATGTCCCAATCTACAATGTAGATTTTTAAAATTCTGAGCAAATAAGATAATATAAAACAATTATTCCCAAACACACTGGGATGACAATACGATAAGAAAGGAAAAGATTTTTTATAATTAAGTGATACACAGAAAATTTGAAATGTTGTCTAACAACTTTAATTTATAACAGTGCTGACACTTTGAAATTATACATCCAGTTTTAAAAAAAGAGAAAATCCATACCTCAGATAAACCTAGACTTTAGTGGTTAAGCCATACAAAGTTTGATTCTGATCTGATTTTTAGTATCTTTACCAGACAAAGGGGCCAGGCAGGGTGGCTCACACCTGCAATCTCAGCACTTTGGGAGGCCAAGACAGGAGGATCATAAGAGGCCAGGAGTTCAAGACCAGCCTGGGCAACATAGAAAGACCCTATCTCTAAAAAAAAAAAAAAAAAAAAGAAAAAAGTAAAAGCAGACAAGGGTAGTCTTCCCCAAAGATATGTCATCTTAAAAGATCAAATTTAAAAGCATCCTATAATTTCGAAGTCCATGTGTACTCAGTTGTGCTTTCTCTCACTGTAATGTCAGATGGGTGACATAAACAAATATGCATATGTCTAGATTTTCAACATGCAAAGTAAATATACAAAAGCTACTTACCACACAGCTCTCGCTGTTATCAGTCCTGTGAGGCAAAATGAAAGCTAAGGTGTCTAGGTTTTCACAGTGCAAAGGCGTCTGAGATGTATCTTTACAGCTTGTTAGCACAATAAAGAAGTGAGTTGGAATCAAAATTTCTTGGTTACGGATGACTCTTCTTTTTCTGTAAAACATGCCAATATTCATTTTAAGAAAGAAATAACTATCTTCCTTTTGATGAATATTTCAGTAGAGCATGCTTTTAATACATATAAAAATCAAATTCAAACAAATAATTAAATATAAGAAGCTAGTAATCACAATACCTCAACATACTCTGCCAGATTGAGAGCAATAATTAGAAGACAGGCAGATAAACACACTCCAAATAATTTTTATTTTCTGTAGAAGTTTATTGACTTTTAGAATTCTTTTAGTTCTACCTAAAGACATTGAAATTGAAACACTAAAGAAAAGAAAATGTCATTTTTGAACACCTATGACCAAGAGTGTAAACCATTATTGATAGTCTTAACTTCTAGGCGATTATAGACAAATAGTGGGCAGAGAAAGAACTGGTTAGGAATTTTCTATTCCAGCCCCTTCAGAGAGGACATGTTGTCATGAATTGTTTGTTCTAACTGGATTTTCTTCCTTAATAACTTAATTTTTTAAACTGAAGTATATTATCAAAGATGTCCCAAACATCTTTACCTCATAGTCATTCTCCTATTTTAAGGCTGTGTTTGTTTTTTCAACATCTTTCAAAATTTAAGGCAGTGGAATCATTGTTTTCAAATATGACCTTATGTAGAAACATAATCTATAAAACAGATTTAAACAGAGGGCTCTGGGTGAAGCCGTGGGTAGGAAGCATATGCAGTTCTCTTCTGTATCCTCTCCAGTGCTACAGCTTCTAAGGCAGCTTTATGCCTCAAGGGAAAGTAAAAAACTGTAACTTTGCAAATTGATGTGCTTTCTGATGTATTTTGTAAGTCACATATATCTAAGTCAGCCTGGGAGAGTAGGAAAGTTCTGAGAGGGGCTGAATCTCAGTGGAATCTCAGTCTTTTTCCTACGGACTTAACAGCAAAATTGCTTCCCAAACTGCTGTAATTATTGTTTCAATAAAGATCAACCAGTTTCCAAGATGTTCTTTCCCTCTCTTTTTTAAAAAAGCACCACTGATGGTTTCCTTCAGACGGTTGCTTTTTATCATGCCCCTCCAGCCACAGTTGGGTAAAAGCCATAACATTCACCCAAGGCCACCAGACTCCAAGCACTGCAGCTTTATAACCCTATTCATTCCTAGACTCAGGATATCTGTAGCCACACCATAGAGTTCTTCATCTTCTGACTCACAATATATTAAGATCATATCTTAACAATCAGCCACACAGAGATCTTAAATGAGTTCAGCATTTAAACTGAGTGCAAAAATTATTCAACTGAACTGAATGGGTGAGAAACACTACTTTTTTACCTAAAAATATTTTACTGAACATTGAGCAAAACATCAAAATTAATCAGATATTTCAAGAGGCTTCCTGTGTAGTCAGAAGTGTCATACACATAAACATACGACACTGGATAAAAAAGGTTCTGTTGACTCAACTGGATGGTAATCCCATTTCTACTGGATGGTAATTCCTATTTTTAAGAGTAATGAAATATGTTCTTACTGCCTCAGATTCTCTAAGGAATCACAACGTCCATCATAATCAAAGTCAAACACAGGACCACTGACGACATTGACACCATTTCTTTCTTCAGCATACTTTCGCAGTAGGGTGTCATGAAAGTAGCGCCATATAACTGAAACAAGATAGAAGCCAGTGTAGTTTCAAAAGAACAAGGGACCATGTTGACGTGTGAAATAAATTAACACCATGATTCAAAATTAGCATTTATAGTAAATAAAGATAAAGTCAAGTTTGGCTTCAGTCTTCGTTTTGTTTTGTTTTTTGTTTAGAGACAGAGTCGTGCTATATCACCCAGGCTGGAGTGCAGTGGCACAATCATAGCTCACTGCAGCCTCAAACTCCTGGGGTCAAGAGATGCTCCTGCCTCAGTCTCCAGAATAGCTAGGACTACAGGTGCACATCACCATGCCCAGCTAATTAAAATTTTTTGTAGAGACTAGACACCAGATCTCACTGTTTCCCAGGCTGATCTTGAACTCCTGGCCTCAAGCAGTCCTTCTGAGTTGGACTCCCCAAAGGGCTGGGACTGCAAGCATGAGCCACCACACCCAGCCTTGGCTCTAATCTTAGTGTGAGGCCAAAAATTCATTGTTCAGCTTTGGCCTTTGAAAGGACTCACAGACAAACGTTGAACCCAACTCTCTTTGAGACATCCCTGAACAAGTACATCATGTTGAAATTGTGATCATATGTCATCATTAAGCATAGCAACATCGCAAACACAAACAAGGCATATTATTCCGATTTCCTATTAATATCTGAATATTAACTTTGAAATATTCACAAGTATTCTAGATATAAATTAGACTAAAAACTCCTTATATGCTTATATTTTGATATTCTATACATCAATTTAAGTAACTAAATTTTTATTCCTGTAAAAGTCAAATGCTGCAATAGTTAATGATGATGTAAAATCTATTCATTTGAAAACATAGACAATTATCAAGAACTTCCAAAAAGTTAAATAAGGAAGCCGAATGAAAGTTAATATAAGTGTTAGCAGACTGTATTAGCTGGATAACTTTAGGAAGCGCATCACATACTTTCTCACCAAAACTGTTTGCAAACAATTATACAATTAGAATACATGATAATTCTAATAATTTGTAGAATTTTTGTGTACTAGTATTCTCAAAGTTAAACCTTTAAGAATGTATTTGGTATTAATTCATTTAATTTAGACCATAAGTCCTATTACATATGAATTATGCCTATATGTGCACAAATTCATTAAAATTATCAAATATAGAGTTAACATTATTTACCTTGAAAACTCTGGTACATTGGCACTATATTTGTAGTAAGCAAAGCTTCAGAATATATTCCACTTGAATTTTTATTTAGTTCTACAAAGAGAAAAGAGGACAACTTTTTCATTCTTCACAAATAACATAGGAAATTATAGTTTCTCATGGTTAGGGGAGCATTTTTAAAAATTAGCTGAGTACCATCTTAAACCTGTAAAACTTTCCCAAGTACAGGGTCAAGGGAAAATGTAATGTGTTTGGTCAAGTCCTTTACAAAAATAAAATATTTAAGAAGTCTTTTCAAGATGAGCATGTCAACGAAACATAAACTTTAATAACAAGAGCCCCAAATTAAACATATTCAAACGTTATTGCCCTCATTTCAACTAAAAGGAATTGTGTTGACAATCTTCTTTCCTTACACTTTTTCACAGTGAAAAGAAAAAAGAGAACATCTGGCTCCAGAACAACACCTGCTACCCAGAAAAAACATCACAGGATGTCTGTCTCGAAACACCATACAAGGCTTCTCTGTATGAATTTGAGGCTTGGACCTGGTCTATTTTTATAATGCAATAGCCAAGTTCTGACTTCAGACACATACTCTGGGAACTGAACTGGATGCTGACGGTAGTTGAGCACCTGGAGCTTTCTGATTTTTGCCTTTTAAGGCTGGCCCCAAAATGGCTTCTCATCAACATACAAATTTGCCATTTCAAAAAATAGAATACTTAGCTTCAAAAAAGCCATTCCCTAGAGATTCTGGATCAGTGAAAAAGCAAGCATATGTAAGCCTCTACCTTTACCTACTTCTCTGACAAACGCATTTTCTTTTTAAACAACAAAGTTATTTATCCTAACAAAGTTATCTTCCTAAGAACCTTGATATATTCTTCCAACTTGATATATATATTCCACCTTCACAATATTCTCAAATTGTTTAAAAGAAATGCAGAAAGGAACCATGAAGTGTTCTGCTTACCATATCTGCACTACATCAACTACCCTCCCAACAAAAAGAAAATTTTATAAAATTCAAGTTTTAGATGATTAAAATTTTTCCCTTGGTAGTTCTAGACCAAATCCACAATTTTTCACCAATAAATAAACAAAGCTATATATATATAGCTATATATATATAAAATAGTAATATATATACTTTATATATATTATATATATAATATATATATAAAATAGGTAATATTTATATATATATAATAGGTAATATATATATTACCCTATAATGTATGGTAGGATTTATAAACAAGAAAGAAAACAAAAAGGAGAAAAGGGAAGGTCAGGAGAGGAAAAAACTTACGTGGTGGGGAGAGGAACCCGTAACTCACTTTGGTGTTATTTTTATAAAATGAACATTTATGGACAGGACTAAGAGGAATTCTAAAGTCCTGGTACAGACAGTTGGAGAAGTCTTCCGTAGAGAAACTGTCCTGAAGAACGAAAATGAGAAGAACTCTCAGATATCAGGCACAGAGAAGAAAATTGCTTTATTAATATTTAAAGGTGAACTACATCATAAAATTATGAAGCTCTAGCTGTCAGCTCATGTCCTTCCCTATTTTCCTACTAGTATATTCATCTTTTTTTCTAACTAAAGTGTAAAAATGCTTTACAATATTAAAGATATTAATTGTCATATTTATGCAAATATTTTCAGATTCTGCTATGCTAATATGAAATAATGTTTAGAATGATTTTATCTACACAATTTTAAATATTTATTTATTTATTTATTTATTTATTATTATTATTTTTTTAAGATGGAGTCTCACTCTGTCACCCAGACTAGAGGGCAGCGGCGCAATCTCGGCTCACCGCAACTCTGCCCCCCAGGTTCAAGCGATTCTCCTGCCTCAGCTTCCCGAGTAGCTGGGACTACAGGCATCTGCCACCACGCCTGGCTAATTTTTGTGTTTTTGGTAGAGATGGGGTTTCACCATGTTGGCAAGGCTGGTCTTGAGCTCCTGACCTCAGGTGATCCATCCGCTGCAGCCCCCTCAAAGTGCTGGGATTACAGGTGTGACCCACCACGCCTGGCTAATTTTTTGTATTTTTAGTAGAGACAGGGTTTCACCATGTTAGCCAGGATGGTCTCGAACTCCTGACCTCGTGATCTGCCCTCCTCAGCCCCCCAAAGTGTTGGGATTACAGGCGTGAGCCACCGCGCTGGTCAATTTTAAGCTTTTATATAGTAAAATGTTGATTTTTAGAGATCTGAGTCTATCTTCCATAGTCAACTACACTGCCAAAAGTTGCTGGAGCAAAGGAGGACAGTCACCGAACAGCAATGTAAAAACCTCAAGCATCGCAATGACTGTAAAGTTATGCATTTTAATTACATAAGAAAACTGAAAATGGAATCAAGGAACCCATAATTAAGGTATAAATATTAATAAATAGGATGGGGTGCCTATGAAAAATGGTGTAGACTGATCAATTACAAAGTCAAAAATTTTTTTAAGTGTTTGGTGTTTGAAGACAGTATTGAAAAATTTTAAAAATCAAAGTTCAAGAAATTTTATATAAATATATGTGTGTATTATATATTTGTAACATAGAAATTATATATAAACAGACATATCCCTATCTTTTTATTTGGTTGTCTCACTGATTAGTAAAAATCATTTTATTTTTTAAATCAAACTGCTGCCCTCCACTATGCTCTCTCAAATCCCTTTGTCGTTCCCTTAGGGCATCCTGTACCTTGCCAGTCACTTTCAGTTTCAGCCCAGTTTAAAATTTCAATTCCACGTAAGATCAAAATCTCATCTTCCCCCTTCTCTCTTTCCAGCACCATCTCCTTCACCATTCCTCCTTCTACCAGAGCACCCAGGGGGCCATGGGTGAGGGGGAAGGCTGCTCTTATTCTGGGATATTTGCCCTCACTCCTTTCAAGGCCTAACTCCTCTGGTGTTGGTGGTGGGCAGGATTCTGGCCTCTCCCTGGTTTGGGCTCGTGTCTTCCTATAGATGGTACGTGCAATGATGTTACTGAGCTTTAATGGCTTTGCCAAACAGTGAGGGCCCCCTTAGATTTGGACAGCTGAGGGAAATACTTGTCCTCACACAGCCATGTATTTAGAAATGGGTAACTGTGACTGATCCTAAGGCTGATTTCATGCAATTATAAATTGGAATCATAAAATATTAAAACTGGGGTCGGGGAGGAAAAGAGAATTCTTTTCTTTCTTTCTTTCTTTTTTTTTTTTGAGATGGAGTCTCACTCTGTCACCCAGGCTAGAGTACAGTGGCGCCATCTTGGCTCACTGCAAGCTCCACCACCTCCCGGGTTCACACCATTCTCCTGCCTCAGCCTCCTGAGTAGCTGGGACTACAGGCGCCCGCCACCACGCCCGGCTAATTTTTTTATATTTTTAGTAGAGATGGAGTTTCACCGTGTTAGCCAGGATGGTCTCGATCTCCTGACCTCGTGATCTGCCCGCCTCGGCCTCCCAAAGTGCTGAGATTACAGGCATGAGCCACTGCGCACAGCCCAAAAGAGAATCTTTACTGCACGACCCTCATTTCACAGAAGAAATTTGGTCTGAGTTCTCAAAGTCATGCAGCTGCTCAGTGGCAGAGCTTGAACTGGAACTGAATTTTTCTGACTCCCTCTTCAGTGTTCCTCTAATGCGGGAACTGAGTATAAAGCCAAGGTGAACAGTGAGAAACTATGCATTTAATGTTCTGCTTAATCATTAATTTGAAATGGCCACACATAAAGAGGTGACAAATACTTGCATTTCTGTCCACGGTATAGGATGTCCAAAGGGGCATTAAGATGTCTTGGCTGTATCCACTCATAAACTGGTGCTGGGAAAGAAGACAGATGGTGTTTTCCTTCTGGAGAACTCTAGGTCTTCCATAGGGTAAAGTTTCATGCTTAATAATCTTCTCTTGGGTCACAGGATGAAAATAAATGTAGTTAGTGTGCATTATATGATAATATATAGTGTGATACACTCATCTAATCCTTTCCTCTACTTAATTATATTGAAGATTTACTTTTAACTATTAAAAAAACTGATTACAAAGGGTAGAAGCATAAACAATTAAGAAGACAAGTGAGGTTCACTGTTATTTTTGCCTATAAAGATTCTGAAATCAATGTAATATCAAGATACCATGAGGACACTATATGAAATTGCTAAATATTCCAGTTAATTCAAAGTTATATTACCAAAAATTCTTAAGCACTATTTTAATTACTTATTCTTTAGGACACACTCCAGAAAGCAAATTTTTTTAATGATATGTGTACTTGGAAAGCAGAAGTTCAGAATTGAAATTATGAGACTAAACTAAATAAAACAATAACAATATAGATATTATTTATTGCCCTTTTTCCAAATGTCAAGGGCTTGGTACACATCATATAACTAATTTTTACATTTCCCTATGAATTAAGGTTATATGCCCATTTTACAGATAAGGAAACAGCAGCTGACAGGGAATACTATTTCCATGAACATATAGTACCTAAGCTCATATTCAAACTTGGATCTACTCAATTCTGAAAGTGCCATCATTCACCACAATACTTTGCCACCTTGGAGATATCAAAGATTTTCCTAACTCCAGCATTTACCTAGGGATTTTATAGAGACAAACTTACATCAGAACTAATGCAGAATTTACCTCTTTATTCTAGTAGAAAAAAAATGTGTGCCAAGTAACTTAAGGCTGAGAGAGTGTATTATAGTGACTCCAAACATTCAAGTCATAAGTGAAAAATTTCATCAGTTGTCTGTGTATCCTTGATTTTTGGTCAAAAGTGATGCAGAAATAACTTTAGATCAATAAATCAATATATAACCTTGTATGATTAAGAACCAGGTGAGATAGAAACTTAGGTATTTCAAATGGGAATCTCAGTCTCTATTATCAACTTACAGAAATCATCAAAAATTTTTGAACACCTCCATCATGTTCACAAGGTGTGATTCAGCTTCCACTAAATACATTACATACAATATCCACTGCAAAATATCTCCTTTCCTTATGCCTAATAGTCTAAACTGTCAAGCAAAGAAACCTCTATGTTTCATCAGGTGGTCCTCCAGAACTCCCTTTATTTTATTGGTTATTCTCAAATAATACCCCCAAGCCAGTTCTCTGCATTTCACACTGATGAGAAAATGCCTGCTTCACATTCCGAGCTTGAGTGTGTAGCATGCCTTACCTTCTGCCACAGTCAGATTGAACTGTGTTTGAAAATCCTCAATCGGCAAAATCTAAAAAAGGTTATAAAACTATTTTTAAGGACTGAGAGACATGTTTTAAATTTTGTAACATAGAACCGCTATAGATTGATTATTCCAACATAGAACAAAGATCATTTATGATAGTCTTGTATTAGTGGATTTTTTTTTCTCTTTCAAGGCAAGAGTGTTGCTCTTTCACCCAGGCTGGTGTGCAGTGGTGCAATCATGACTCAGTGCAGCCTTGGCCTACTGGGCTCAAGCAATCCTCCCACCTCAGGCTCCCAAGTAAATGGGACTCCAGGCATATGTCACCATGCCCAGCTAATTTTTTTAGTTTTTTGTACAGACAGGGTCTCACTATGTTGCCCAGTCTGGTCTTGAACTCCTGGTCTCAAGCAATCCTCTCACCTCGGCCTCCCAAAGTACTGGGATTACAGGTGTGGTACACCATGCCTGGACAGAAGTTACATTTTTGATGAAAAGGACAGAAGGAGAGGAATGACAGTTGCAAAAGACAAAATTGTTAGTATAAGCATCACACCAGTAATTAAAAAATAAGAATATGATTGCTGCTTTATAATTCTCATCTATATACCCCAACAGTCTTTCTTCTATTCTAACTCAAGTCTAAAACAAAATGTAAAGCATGAAATAAACTACTCTCCAAATTGCTATATATATATATATATATATATATATATATATTTTTTTTTTTTTTTTTTTTTTTTTTTTTGAGAAAGGGTCTTGCCCTGTTGCCCAGGCTGGAATGCGATGGTGTGATCTTGGCTCACTGCAACCTCCGCCTCCCAGGTTCAAACAATTCTCCTGCCTCAGCCTCCCAAGTAGCTGGGATTACAGGTGCCCTCATGGATGTTATCAATTTTGTTCATAACTTGTCTAGTATTTTTATCTTTTTATAATAATGACATATTAACATGGAAGTAAAAAAGGACAGTGTAATATATTCATTTCATACCAAGAAATCTTTTTTCTCCCTACATTTAAACAATCTGAATTGTATTTTTAAAAAGGTACATTGTGATTGGTTTACTATGTGCTCATCACCTCACTGCTAGAGTTAACAGCACAGATTCCCTAATTCAGGATGCTCAAGAACTGAACTAGACTTCTCCACACCCGTACCCAAGTCAACTAACTAGACTTCACCACACCTGCACCCAAGTCAAGTCACAGCTCCAAGGAATTAAAAATAGAGTGGAAAATGCAAAAACTAGAAAGAGAAAAGATATATCACAAAAGATCTACATGCGCCCCCTAGAATTAAAACATATGTTTACCTACCCCCACTCCTAAATTCTAATTTGATTATTAAGTATTTTTACAGCACATGCTATGCAGAGGGTGCTATCAAACCATACATACTGGACCAAACTTCTTGACGATACTTACCGAAGGGTTACATGAGCAGCCAAGGTTATCTCTGGGGTTTCTTGTGAAGGGGCACTGTACCAGGGGGTGCACTTCTTTGGGATGCTTTGGCGTATAAACAGGATTCTTTAGAAGGTGGTTAAGACTTCCATGAGTTCCGTTATTAGGAGCCGGTGTCAAATTCAGTAAATCTGCATAATTTCAAGATGGTAGAGTTACTTAGATGTTTCAAATCAAACAAATAGTAGACTTGTGCCATGATCTTTACTTTTTTAAAACCAAATACATGAGTCATTTACTCTTTAACTAAAATAAAAGTATAAAACTCTCTTGGGTTTTAGAGTATTTAAGACTAGGTTATTTTTAATAGAAATACTGATATGTATGCTGTATTTCACTACAAAATTTCTGATATTTAAAGCATACAATAACTACAGTCACAACCTGTTGAATGCATATTTTTGCCAATCATGGTACTAACATATTTTCTTATTTATTCCCCAAAACAATTTTATAAGTTATCATCAATATTTGGTAGATGAGTAATCAAAGTGTTTTACCCAAGTCTCAAAGTTACTAACTAAATGATCTAGAATTCAAAACCAGCTTTGTCTGAGTCTAAGACTCATGCTCTTAAATGTAATAACAGCAAATACTTATGTAGTAAGCACTTACTATATGCCAGCTGCTGTTTTAAGTATTTTAGGATACATTAACTCATTTAAACTATATAGACTCCCACTAAAAGAATTATACTTAAGACATATTTAAGGTTTTGCAGATGCCTAGGACCATTATCAGAATAAGAAACTAATATTTAAAACACACAATGCTTCAACACAAAAGGACTACTTCAGAAGGTACAAAGTAAACCAAGAATCTCCCTAATGGGTCCTCCTTCATTTCTGCAACCTTGACACTGACCTATATTCAACCATTATGGCTACCAGAAGTTCCAAAAGTTTTGTCCACCTTTCACTGCCCTCAATCTCCTTTTTCTGGCTTCTATCACTGCTCTGAGTCAAGAATCAAATCACTAAGCCGAGGGCCTAGCAAAGTGCTGGGCAGTGGGGGTGTGCAGACCACCCTGCTGTGAGTGGTGTACTTTAACCAGCAAGCAGCCTAGTGGAACAAACAGATAAGTAATAAGATGACATGTTCCCCACATTTCTTCAGTGAGTCTGAGAGTCAGGAAGAAGGTAAAAATCTGTCTTGCCTCACCATCATCTCCACAAAGTTGCCTACAATGTGACCTGCTTTTGATAATCCTATTTCAGGTCTATTTTCAGAAGGGAAAAAAGGCACCTGTTCACACTTACCACACATTAAGTTATAGACTTCAATGTTTTCAAAGGTGTCAGCCTCAATGCCATGCTTGAATCCAGGTCCATAGCCAACAAAGAGGGCCTAGATGGCCAGAAAAGGAAGTTTATCAGTGCATTTCAGCTGTCTACAAGTTGGTCCCAAAAATTCTGTTATCCACATTGTACATATACAAACTGGTTATGATAAGATAAGAGGAAAACTACCACGCTCAGTGGACTTTGTGGGAAATATAGTTTTAACCCTATCACACACATAATCTAAGGACATCTAGGATAGGTCTCTTAGTTTTACTACAATTCTTGGTTTGACAATCAGAACAGAATGAATGATAACATTTTTTTTTCATCTATGACATGCAATATAAACCTCATCCTGCCCACCTTACACAGTGATGCAGGGATCAAATTAAATAATTATTGTAAGTTTATTTTGAAAATGTTAAAGTGCTGGGTAAATGTAAGATATTATCCTTCTCAGAACATAAGTCTGATACTTTCTTATCTATTATAGCACTGGTTTTCTTCAACTGTAAAGCAATACTCTCAACAGAGCACAAAAATTTGAAAAATAATTATTAGAAATATAATAGGAGATATGTCATATGTTTATGAAACATGAATATAAAATTTTATTAATTTTTTAACTTTATGAATTTAGGGGTATGAGTACAGTTATGTTACATGGATATATTGCACAGTGGTGAAGTCTGAGCTTTTAGTGTTACCCATCACCAGAATAGTGTACATTGTACCCAATAAGTGGTATTTCATCCCTCACACTCCTCCTGCCCTCCCACCTTTGGGGAGTCTCCAATGTTTATTATTCCACTCTGTATGTCCGTGTTTGCCTACTGTTTAGCTACCACTTACAAGTGAACATGTGATTTTTAGCTTTTTGTTTGAGTTATTTCACTAAGGATAATGGCCCCCAATTCCATCCATGTTGCTGCAAAGGACATGATTTCATTCCTTTTTATGGCTGAGTAGTATTTCATGGTATGTGTGTGTGTGTGTGTATATATATATATATCTCACACATTTTTAATCCAATCATCCATTTATAAATATTTAGGTTGATTCCATGACTACTTCTGTGAATAGTGCTGCGATAAACATACGAGTGCAGGTGTCTTTGATAAACTGATTATTTTTTTTCCTTTGGGTAGATACCCAGTAGTGGGATTGCTAGATTAGGGGTAGTTTCATTTTTATTTCTTTGAGAAATCTCTATACAGTGATCCATAGAGGTTGTACTAATTTACATTCCCTTTGACAGTGTATAAGTGTTCCCTTTTCTCCACATCCTTACTACATCTGTTGTTTTTTGACTTTTTAGTAATAGCCAATGAATATAAAACTTTAACAAAATTCTTTAATGTTCAAAGAAAAATAGCTTTATGAAAGTATGTTCCATTAATTCTCATTCAAGACATATAATCACAGTATGTTTTCAAGTCTAAAACTTTGCATATCATTTTTTCTTTAGATTTAATCCAATTAAGTATAATAGGTTTACTCACTTGCATATTTGAAAATACATTGTCAGAGCCATGAAATCCACTTCCACAATATTTCCTTTCTGAGGGATTCCTAATGTTGACATATATGAATTAAAAATGTAAAGTCCTTTCATAAAACATAATTGATAATCATAACATTATTTTCATTGATTAAAAAGTATGTAACTATTTTGTTAAACCAACACAACGGTAAATAAAACCACCTGGCTTTGAAAAGCATTAAGAAGTCACCTCTATCTTTTATTTCATGGACAAATTAACTATAAGCAATATAGTAGACAGAAGAAAAACCACTAGCATCAAGACAGAAGTGGTTTTGAACATTGGCTGTGTGATTAACTACTTGTGAGTTTAGATAGATTTAACTGTCTTCTTTGATTTCAATTTCTCATGTCGGTTATTTGTAAAAATTCAATGATATAGCCTAAAGAAATGCTTGCAACATGGTGTTTAGATATTTACTAAATATTAGTTCTCTCATGAAGATAGGACCATTTCTCCTTTCATATATATATATATTTTTTGAAAACTAAAAGCCCAGCTCTCCAATAAGAGTGGAGACAGTATAATTCTGTTTACTGAATTTTGGTTCACTGCTTAGGTTTTGCTTGACAGGGGTATGTATCATGACTAGCTTCTTGGCAACCACCAAAACAGTTAATGAACAAGTTGTGAGATATTAACACTATTAACCATCCAAATAATTTGCCAAACACACCAATAAACTAAAGTTTATTGATGGATTAGTATAAGAAGAATGAAAAAACAACGTGTATAATGAAGATAGTTACTCATTATTATAAAGTGCTTTTACCAACTGTTGGCTAGGCTTTGGAGGCACAATTAGACATACTGTAATGTGCAGGAGACATGCAATGGCAAGCAGTAACAAATGTAGATTGTAAGAAGTAATCAATATGTATATGAAAAGCCAGAACAATGGTTCTTAGCCAAGGATGGTCTGGGTGATCCTTCCTCCCCATGGGACTTTTGGCAACGCTGACGGACATTTTTGGTTGTCACATTACAGAAGAAGTGCTACTTTCATCTAGTGGGGAGAAGTAAAGGATCCTTGTCAAATATCCCACAATGTGCAGGACAGCTCTCCACAACAAAGAATTATCTAACTCAAACATCCATAGGCCGACATTAGAAATCCTGGGTTAGAGTGAAGAGAATCATACTTATACAGTTTTCACATAACAATATTGTTAGAAAGGGCCCAATGGTTACCCTGAATCACTAACCGATCAGACTAAGTTTACCTGGGAGACTGTCAGAACTTACAATGCAAGTTGCCACTGAGGGTCCAAATAGAATGTCAAGGGCTCAATTCTATCACTCTTAGCAAAGTGCAAACGCTTAGGTAAGAAATGTTTCAGGTAAGGTTTGAAGTGCTGGTTTGGTTCCCGGCACTGAAATTGCAAACAGCAAAGAAAAACTATTATTTCCCTAATATCTAAAAAAGTGTCAACTTTTTTAGGGAAAGATATTTATTAGGGAAAGATATTTCCCTAATATCTATAAAAAGTGTCAACTTTTCTTGAAATTGCTTTCTAACTTCATATGAAATTTTTTTTCACAAACATTTCATCAGCTGGCCCAATAAGTCAGATGAAAAAACAGCTAAATAAACCACTTATATAATGTACAAGGTAAATCTTCCAAACTACTTGAAATATTTAGAGGAAATCATAATTATTACTGCATAAAAGCCCCAGAACTCAGTGTCACTAGATTATATTCAAGTTACCACTAATGGTTCTATTTTCAAACATCCTTGTAAGTGCAATTGTAAGAGTTTTCTTGCAGACTTAAAATGTATGAGTATAAAATGTAGTATAGATAACTCAGCACTAGTACAGAAACTTAATTTTTTAAGGCATAAAAAAAGACTGGAAGGAAATATATCATAACGCTAATGGTGTTTATGGTGGTACAGCTACAGGGTTTTTCCTTCTACTTTAAAAATTATTTCTTGTAAATAGTTTTAAAATTATTTCTTCTTCTCATATAAATTTTATAATGCCAATAGACAAATTCTTAAAAATTTTTCAAACCTGGATTATTGGGATACGACCTTAAAGATCTTTAAACTACACAGCATTTCCATGTTGGCCCAGATTACTAAAATATTCTAATCCTTCAATCCCAATAATAGATGCTGAAACTTTTCTCTCAATATATATTATACAAAAGTAAAAATAACTAGATAATGGAAAATAAAGATACTCACAGAAAGATTTCGGGCAATGCCTTCATAGTTAACTGGAGGGGAACAAACATAAGAATTAATAGTTGATTGTATACTATAATTAAAACATAATACAAAAATATAGAATGTCAGATCCAAACTCTGCATTTAAATACCAAGGCAGGTTTTAAAGAGTTCATTTAAGTCATTACATTGTAGCCACTGAAAGGAATTAGACAGACCTTTAGGGATCACCCTGTAATGACACCCATGATATAGTGTCATATTGTTAAAGGGAAAGACAAGTTACAGAACATCTACCTATCCATCCATCTCTTAACCCACATATCCATTCATCCACCTAACTATCCATCCACCTGTCCAACCATCTTTCCATCCAGTTAGTAACCAATATCCATCATCCATCCATCCCTCAAAATATCTATCCATCTAGATCTGGTATGGTTTCACTGGGTAAAAATAAAAACTGTATGTGTTTTGTAAGGCTGTTTTGTACATCTTGTTCCCTAGGAAATACTCAACAACAAAAATAATTATTCAAATATCTCAATTATCCAGGAAGACATAATCCAAGCTTAACAACGGTTGTTTCTAGAGAGGGGAAATGAGTTGTCAAGTAGGAGGACTTCAGGTGGGAAGCTGTTTCTTTTTACTTTGTATACTTCAATATTCAATGATAGTTCTAGAATTTTCAAATAAGAGGGGTATGAGGAAACTTCAAAGAGAAGGCAAGTAGACTAGTTTAAAAACTGCATTTGCATAGTATGCCCATGGATTTACATAGGGTACTTTCTACTACAAATCAATAACTGTCTAGCTTCCTAGATTTTATTTTAGCCAAACATTACATAAATTTGAGAAAATTATCCAGATAAGAGTATACATTTTATATACATATATTTTATATATTTATGTAAAGTGACATACATATATAGTTTTTGCTTTAATTTGGGAAACTTGAGGGCCTAAGATAAGGGTATGGTACAGCTTAGCTATCCCATCCCAAACATCTCTGGAGACTGCTATTGCCTGTAGAGCTTTTTTTTTTTAGATGGAGTCTCTCTCTGTCACCAGGCTGGAGTGCAGTGGCGCAATCTCAGCTCACTGCAACCTCTGCCTCCCAGGTTCAAGCAATTCTCCTGCCTCAGCCTTCCCAGTAGCTGAGATTGCAGGCACATGCCACCACGCTCAGATAATTTTTGTATTTTTCATAGAGACGGGTTTCACCACGTTGGCCAGGATGGTCTTGATCTCTTAACCTTATGATCCGCCCGCCTCGGCCTCCCAAAGTGCTGGAATAACAGGCGTGAGCCACCATCGTGTCCAGTCTATCTGTATAGTTTTTATAACAGGTTTTATAACAGTCATGTACTACTTTTCTAAATTAAAAAAATACGAATTAAAACTTGGTATTAGGCATATGCAGCCTGTGCTTTGTGACACTGTGTAAATCTATCTGCATAACCATTTTCCTGCAGTGAAATCTATTTTCTTCATTAATAGTCAATAGTATCTATCTATTGAAACATATCTTACCAAATAGACCAACCTAACCCAATTCCGGTAATTGTCAGAAAAGCTTATTCTCTTTCTGTTTCAAAGTTAACTAACTATATCATATCAAAAAGACAAACAAAATTTGCTCTACACATCTGAAAGTTATCATGGATGGTAATCAAAAAGAGAGGGAGGTAACAGAGGTGGAAACAGTTATGAAATACACTTGACTGGCAAAAGAATAAATATTTTAAAACATCTTTTGGCAGTTTATGTTCCACATGTGGTCAAGAGATGTGAAATTCATTCTTCCCTATGTAAAAGATACATTCTTTATTGTTTCTGAAATGGTTTAAGGGAGGACAGGAATCAATTGCCTATAGAATTAATCATTTCTGCCAGCACTCCTCCTCACAACAGAATATTAATCCCAAACTAAGTAATTTTAATGGAGTGTCATTAATTAATTAAACTTGAATAAATGTAGTTGGATTTCTCTCTTAAACATTTTTTCTAGTATAATCTTTATCCTGACACACAAGTAAAACACACACTTCAACATAAAATTGCACTAAGCTCATCAAATATTATGCTTAGTCCATGAATAACCAATAGGTAAGTTGTGTTCTCGCATCCAGTCCCATAAAATCCATTTGTGTACAAAAGCTCTGCATTGGAGATTTAATCATAAAAAAATTAACTGTGATTCCCTTTAGTTTAGCGATATAATGATTTAAAGGAAGGTATTCTTTTTTTTTTTTTTTTTTTTTTAGACCAAGTCTCACTCAGTTGCCCAGGCTGGAGTACAGTGGCATGATCTTAGCTCACTGTAACCTCCGCCTCCTGGGTTCAAGCGATTCTTGTACCTCAGCCTCCAGAGCAGCTGGGATTACAGGCAGCTGCCACCAAGCCAGGCTAATTTTTGTATTTTTAGTATAGATATAGTATAGTATCGTATATGTATTTTTAGGGTTTCACCATGTTGGCCAGGCTGGTCTCGAACTCCTGACCTCAGGTGATCCACCCACTTTGGCCTCCCAAAGTGCTGCGATTACAGGCATGAGCCACTGTGCCCGGCCTAAAGGAAGGTATTCTTAATATGACCATATTCAAAGTTATCACAGAGATATACTTACATGAATAGTATTTATCTGGGACATCAGAGGGTCTCAATCGAGCTGCAGGTCCATAGATAACTTTAATATTTTTAACATCCCCCAAATATTTATTCAGATATATGTATTTCTTACAACTGCCTTGTTCCATGCCTAGGAGAAAAAAAAAATCCCAAAACATGCTGTAACTTTAACAAAAAATTTAATATGCAGAGCAGAACTTCTTTCACTTCCAAGGTTAAATTCGTTAAACATGGGTGTAGCACTCATATTAGTTGAAGATCTGATAGGTAAGACAGAATTTCAGCTGTACCTATCACTTCACTTTTTTCAAAATCTTTTCCGTCACCCAAATTTTGGTTAATGTTTCTTCTTATTTATATATTACAATATCATTATGTGAGCAAAGAAGAATGTCTTATCACATTTTTAGACCGAATGTGAAAGCCCAGTTATTTGCCCCAAACCACCTAGGATATTAACTGGGAGTGTATGTGTATGATTCACTCTCATTCCAAGACTGGTACTTCTTTGCATGTAACTTCTTAGGACTGCTTCTAAACACAGATTTCTATAATTATTTCTGAAGCAAAAAACAAGAACAAAAACAAAAAGAACCTATTTTCTATTTTCCATAGGCACGCTGCTCCTATAGTCCCCAAACTGTACACAAGCGTGTTACAAAGATCACAGTAAGTAAAAGTGAAAATATTATCAAAATTAATATATCATGCTTCTAAAGTCAGATTTATCAAGCTAAAGAAAATTGAAGGCTGGGCACGATGGCTAATGCCTGTAATCCCACTACTTTGGAAGGCAGCAGTGGGAGCTTGAGAGCAAGAGTTTGAGACCAGCCTGCTCAACATAGCAAGATCCCATGTCTACCAAAAAAAATTTTTTTTAATTAGCCAGGTGTGGTGGCACATGCCAGTAGTTCCAGCTACTCAGGAGGCTGAGGTAGGAGAATCACTTGAGCCCAGGAAGTTGAGGCTGCAGTGAGCTGTGATCATGCTACTGCACTCCAGCCTGGCTAACAGAATGAGACTGTCTCAAAAACAACAACAAAAAAAGGAAATTGAAGCTATAATAATCAGTTCCAACTAAATCTAAAATTGTAGAGTTACACAAATTTAATGTTGAAAATATATATTTTTTAGCTATTCAAATTCTTGGTGTATTGTGCTTGATAGGCACTTAGGTTTCTGTGAATTCTGTGTTTCACTTATATTTTATATTTAATGTATTTTTTTCCTAAAGACTGTCCATAAGAAACTACATTTTTAAAAAAGAATTAACTACAACATTCAGAAAAAATTGGGAAACCATCAAGTAAACTTTCTTCAGCCCTTTATCCTGAAGAGTAAATAATGCAAATTCAGATTACCATGATCTGAAATAAGGATGAGGTTCAGGCATCTGTGCAAGTTCAGCTCTTTCAGACCATCCATCAGCATACCAACCATACCATCAACCCTCTGCAAGGCTTTGATGACCTAAGAATGGGAAGCAACAACCTCATGTGATACCTTCCACACTAATGGCTATTTATACATAAAGCTATCTCTGTTAAAAAAAAAAAAAAAGAAAGAAACAAAGAAAGAAAGAAAGACAGACAGATAGATAGATAAGGGCCAGTGGATGCAACTACAATGAGCTGATTCACATTAGACTAAGACAGGTCAGGGTCAGAGATACAAAGAACAGTAAATAACTGCAGATCATTAACAATGCAAGAGTCCTAATTCTATACACGTTCAATTTTAAGTTTTGGGAATGAGATTAGCTGATCTATTCCTGAGGTCAGAATGCTACTACTTAGATTAGACCCAACTTAAGCCAAAATAATAATAGCTCAAATCTACAGTGTTTGGCCAGAAACCAATATGTTCTTAATTACCACTTCATTTTCCACAATTCATTTCTTCTTATACTTTCTGATCATTCAAATGGTCACTGTATAAATATGTTTCCTAATTTTCAAAAATGTTCAAATTATTCATGAAATGCTTCTTATAATTCAATGTATTTAATTTTCTAAATTAGAACTCATAGGAATATAACCCATTATTTCCTTACAAACTGCATGTATTTTACATATGAATATCACAAGAACACAGAATGACAAATGATATTGGCAAACTGCTTTCTGGCACTTATTTTATCCTCTCTCCTTGCAAAACCATTTGAGAAAAATTTTTGTGCAGTTTTGTGTATTTTCTGTAATGTGTGGAATCAGCTTAATCTTCATTCATTGTCAGTATTATTTCACTATAATATGAGATAAGCTCTTTCACTGTAACATGAAACAAGACAACGTCTTTCATTCAAAGTTATCCAAGCAACATGAACTGGAATTTTTAAGTATTAAGATAAAGTGGGTTTTGGTGTGCCAGTAATGTTGGAGTTCACAGAGTTTGCAAATTGATGGATATGATTTGAAAAGTAATGGGCTCAACCTTAAATGAAGATGACTCAGAAAAGCAAGTGCTTTGGCACACTGTTAGTGAATTAGAAAAGGCAGCAATGATTTTCAAATGTATGTAACCTTATAAACAAGTATAAAATGATCCTGGGATTTTTCTGTAGCCAAATTGACCCAGACACAAGTCTTGGGTATCAGTGACTTTAGTGAAAGAGTAAAAATCACACTAGCATGTAGCCAATTGTTCAAATCAAGACAACAGCTACAAGAAACTTTTCCCTTTGACCAATTATGACATGTCCACATTGCTGGCATGCATCTTCCTTATCCTCCCTCTAAGCAGGAGTATTTCTGCCAAGTTGAAGGACAGAATGAAAGGAAGGCACAATGGAGTTACTAACTACAGTGGAGCTGCTGGAGATGGATTTTGATGGAAAGAATACAAAGGGTAAAAACAGACCTAGGTGAGGGTCAACTTCCTTCTCTCTTCACTCTCTTTTATCCAAGGTGATAGTGATCCAAGCAGTACCTACTTTTTAAGAGGGGCAAATCTAGCGCAGACCCAGGGAAAGGGAAATGAAGGGAAGATGGTTTAGGCAGCTGTTGTAAATTCAAGTGAGAAAAATAAGGATGCTTTTTTGCCTCCCTTCCTTCCTCTGCTGTTGCTGAATTAGGCAAGCAGCACCCTCAAAAACAGGGACCATGACAGACATGTCAGGCCAGGCTTTAGTCTGAACGCTGTGCTGAAGAGTCCTTAAGGCTCACCGACTATCCAACCTGGGCTACCTGGGCGGGAGAACTGATAGGAATTTGGGAGTGAAGCCCTAGAAAATTAAGAAAGAGTGTTTTTTTTAATAGTCTATGACCCCTTGGAATCACAGGGGGCACAAGATCACTACACAAGGATTCTGACAGGAGGGATCCTGGCAATACCTCTTTTCACTTTTTTCATGACCCAAAATAGTCAAGATCCTTACTTTTTACTTCCTTTCATATCTTAGGTCACCAACAAAATATATATCAGAAGGAAAGTCAACTTAGAGGTACAAGGAAATATGCTCAAATCATTTTCTTTTTCTCTTTTTTTTTTTTTTGAGACAGAGTCCCGCTCTGTGCCCAGGCTGGAGTACAGTGGTGCGATCTCGGCTCACTGAAACCTCCCCATCCTGGGTTCAAGCGATTCTCTTGCCTCAGCCTCCTGAGTAGCTGGGATTATAGGCACACACCACCAGGCCCGGCTAATTTTTTTGTATTTTTAGTAGAGACAGGGTTTTGCCATGTTGGCCAGGCTGGCCTCAAATTCCTGACCTCAGGTGATCCACCTGCCTCAGCCTCCCAAAGTGCTGGGATTACAGGCGTTAGCCATGGTGCCGAGCCTTCAGATCCTTTTCTGTTCTAATGCTTCCTGTGTTCCAAAATACTAGGTTGGTGCAAAAGTAATTGTGTTTTTTTGCCATTAAAATGGTAACAAAAATGATATGGCCACGTGAAAACTGAAAGCAGTGTTTGCTGTTTTAAAGTGCTACACAGATTAAAAACATAGCTAGGCGCTGGCTAAGTTCCTGAAAGGGTGTCAGGTCAAACGAGATGTTACACTGAAAGTGTTAGTCCATGAGCTGTTTCGTACCTCTAGTTTCCTAGGAAATATTCAACAAAATCACGTATTCAAATATCGCTACACTTTTGATAAAATCTCCCATCCTTCTATGGGACCTCTGTTGTAAGCATGGTCTCAGGTGGCCAAAGACCTATCTCCTAAGGAAGAGAGTTCATAGGAGGCTTCCTCTGCTATTTGACTTATTACCCTGTATTTTCACACTGGAGGTTTAGCTGTTTATAACATTCTCAAAAAGCACTTAGTATTTAGGCCAAGGTAAGGGGCGATGGAGTGGATAAAGGCTTTCAAATTGAAAATATAGAAGCTAATTGATCATCAGTTTAATTTAGCACTGTGGAAAACACAGGCTAAACAATTCTCCCAACTCTTATTTTGTTTAAAGTGCATCCTTATATTTAGTAATATTGTGTATAATACTTGCTTTTTCCAGAAATGATAGAATCTTATAAAATGGTCTAGCAGCCTCCTTCAAAGCGAGGTTCAGTTTGATGACTGGGTTTAATGAAATAATTACTGATAAAAATGTACTTACTTCACTGCTGACTGGTCCATATGAATGACCTGAAGAATCTGGTTCTTCTAAATACAGAGTGTAAAAGTGTGGTCTAAATCAAACAGTATCAAAATGTAATATTTTACGAACACATTGAAAAACAGAATGGAAAAAATAATTCATCAATTGATAGGGATTAAATTTTATAACACTGGTGTAACAGTTCTACTGAGAAATAATTTACAGCTTTGAAATTCTTCAAAATGTGGTATGATCATTTACTAAAGAATTTATTTCGATATAAAACATCATAGCAAATAGCAAAGTTTTGTTGTAGTCTATTTTAAAATAGTATATCATTTCTACAAAACGAAGTATTTACAATAGAAATTAATTGCCTACAGACCTTTCATCTTTAGGAAGCTGTAGCCACTGAAGAACAGCTAAAATCCTTTCTTCAAATGGTACTGAACTAAAATGAAGAACAAACAAAAATAAAAGATGGCTGACAATTGTTTGGGTGTAAAATATAGTTTTTTTCATTGAAAATGTCATTAAGAGCTACTAAATGCTATTTCGCATCTATTGTGTTTGAAATCAAGGGTTTTATTTGAAAACTTTATTTTCCCAATGAAAGAATGAAAGTTAGGTTTTACACAGATAAAAATTGCAATTGGATTTAAAACTTTGCTTGCTATCCTCTACTTGAGGATAATATTCATGGACCTGAAAACAGTAACTGCATACCACATGAATAACTCATATGTTAATATACTTTGCAAAGCATACATCATGAAGCACTCACTCACTGATGACTCAGCACAGCTGTGAAGCAGGCCCCTGAGGAGCAGACAGCAGTTCTCTACGCAGTATTTCCTGAGCAGAATTGAATATGCCTTCCTCTGGACACAGGCTTTGTTTACACACCTCTAATCAGAGTTCTTGCCCCACCCCAAGTACAATTAGTTGTATACTCTACTAAATCTTAAAAAGCCAAGAGATCATATACTATTAATCTTTGAATCCCCCATGCTTAGTACACAAACTCTTCTTTGTTTTTTTTGAGACAGAGTCTCACTCTGTCACCAGGCTGGAGTGCAGTGGCGCGGTCTCAGTTCACTGCAATCTCCACCTCCCGGGTTCAAACAATTCCCCTGCCTCAGCCTCCCGAGTAGCTGGGACTACAGGCGTGCACCACCACGCCTGGCAATTTTTTTTTTTTTTTTTGTATTTTAGTAGAGACAGGGTTTCACCGTGTTAGCCAGGTGATCTCCTGACCTCGTGATCCGCCTGCCTCAGCCTTCCAAAGTGCTGGGATTACAGGTGTGAGCCACCACGCCCAGCCCATAAACTCTTAATTACTGTCCATGGAATAAAAACAGTGGCAAATAAGAAGGTGGAGAAGAGGCATTGCACTGTGCTCCTGGGAACCATAAAGAACACTAACTAGCATAAGATCACAAGGAAAATTGCTAAGCATTTCGTGTCTGGGATTTAAGATATTTTCTGTTCACCCTTCTAAATGCATTGTTGTATTGATTTTGTGACCGAAATTTTATAATTTAAAAATAAATAAAATTATTTCGGTAATCTTGCTCAAATCGGCCAAAGAGGTTCTTCCATTAAAAAGTTTTTGTATTTTCTCAATGCATCATGGATTTCAAATATCACAGAGAGGTTATTCTAATCAGTTTCTTACATTAGAAAGCATATTTACTAATTTAGAAATGGAAATCCAGAGGTACCATTAATATCTTCTTTTTAATAATATTTGCAAACGCAATAGATGCTAAATAGCAGAGATCATTCCTATCTGTATCCTCTTTAATACACTCATCTTTTCCTTCTCTTGGTTCTGAAACCATCTTTGCAAAAATTGTAACAGCAAATTATGACAGTGAAAGAGATCACACCTAACCAATTCCATCTTGCTTCTAACCTTTAAGCTGTCCTTGTTCATTTCTGAGCATAGGCTGAAATAACCTTGGGAAGGAATTTAGTTGATAGTTTAACTCTGAAACAAAGTTGGTAATAGCCCTTCCCCACCGCCCAGAAAAAAAAAACACACACACAGAAAAAAAAACAACTTCTTGCCTGAGGACTGGTCTACCTTTGTAGGACTAACAAATTAGCTACAAGATCAGAAATTATAGTTTAGGGGCCATGCGGCCTCCAGCTGTAAGAGTCTGAACCTCCCCAAATTGCTCCTGGGAATAACATCACTAGTGTAAAATCTCAGATGAGCGCTTGAGATATTTACCAGACCATGCCCTGCAATCCATGTATCAGCTGACACCACCCAGCCTGGTCATCTGGCTCAACCAGTTTTGCAATCCCAGGAACAGGAGATAGCAAGAAAAACTCACTTGATCCCCTATAATTCCATCCCCAATCCAACGCATCAGCATTCCCCACTTCCCGAACTCCTGTCTGCCAAATTATCCTTAAAAACTTGGATCCCAAAATGCTCGGGGAGACTGATTTGAGTAATAATAAAACTCCAGTCTCCCACACAGCTGGCTCTGCATGAATTACAATTTCTCCATTGCAATTCTCCTGTCTTGATAAACCCAATCTGTCTAGGAAGTGTGCAAGATGAACCTGTTGGGCAGTTACAGTTCTTTTTCTTTCTAGAGTTAAGATGTGCAGTACTCCCACTCCCAGATCTCTACCTCCACCATGACCTCATTTTTCATGTCTGCCCGAAGATCTGAACTAAACACGTTATCGGTGTTTCTCAAAAGGCTCTAGAAAACACTTGTCTAGTCTTTTTTTGTTTGTTGTTTTTTTTTGTTTTTGTTGTTTTTTGATAGGGAGTTTCGCTCTTGTCGCCCAGGCTGGAGTGCAATGACGTGATCTCGGCTCACTGCAACCTCCGCCTCACAGGTTCAAGTGATTCTCCTGCCTCAGCCTTGTGAGTAGCTGGGATTACAGGCGCCCGCCATCACGCCTGGCTAATTTTTGTATTTTTAGTAGAGACGGGGTTTTACCACTTTGGTCAGGCTGGTCTCAAACTCCTGACCTCAGGTGACCCCTCGCCTCAGCCTCCCAAAGTGCTGGGATTACAGGAGTGAGCCACCACAGCTGGCCCACTTGTCTAGTTTTACTGTCCATTTACCATCTATCTAAACTCTTTGAGAAAGAGTTCTTCAGTTCTCATTTTTCAGCCAACATATCACTCAAATGCTAAAGCTCAGGATTCAATAAAAAGGAGATTACATAAGAATAAGCTGTTCTATATTACAGATCCTAGAAAAAATTCATTTCACATACCCATTATACATTTTATAGATGTCTGGGAAAATTCCGTTAATTTCCACATCTGATCCTGGCCAGAAAAATGTGCCAGACTTGAGGCCTTGATACTTAGCTGTGACCCAAATCTGGAGCAGAAAATGAAGGAAAATTAAGAAATCATGCAAACATTCATCTCTTAGGAAAGTATGTATTCATACCACACCAATGCATTCCTCTCTAGTGCTAGAATGCTTTTAAGGTCAACAAGCTTCAGCACTTAGATGACAATAATCATGTAATATGACTCTTAAGCAGCAACAACATATTAAATAGTCAGAGATTAACTCCTGTAGCTTTTGGAGCTATTCCCCTAATTAACAGTTGTCTCTTAAAAGAAAAAAAATTCACGAATATACATGTCTTTAACTTGCTGAGATATCTGTGTATGTAACTAACATTTATTAAGCACTTATTATTGCCAATCATGGTTCTAAATAGTATTCCTACAAGCATGCTACATTATTAATTCACATAATCCTCACAATAATCCTACAAAGTAGTAAACAATATTATCTACATTATAGATATGATAAAACAGAGGCAGAAACAGAATGATTTGTCCAAAGTCACACAGCTTTAAATGTCAGAGCTAAAATTTGAATTCATAACCTGCAAACTAACTATTATGCTCTTTGTCCTTCTAAGAGGAATATCATGATTATTTAAATAGACCTTATATAATTATTGTGGCAATTTTTAAAAAATTTTTTTAAATTGTGGCAATTTAAAAAAGTAAATTGGAGAATTGGAGAATTTTAAAAATTAAAAAGGAGAACACAGCTTGGAAAGTAAATTGGAGATCACAATTGGAAAGAAGCTCCTAAATTAGCACAGGCAAATAAAACCAAGACGTTCAAAAACAACGTAGTTTTGTGTAGATCAAAGCTATTACCCCCATACTACTGCTATATGCTACTGGTAGAAGAAGAATTGATCAGAAAAGAAAAATTGCCCAGCACAACCCAAATCCACCTCTGAAATAAACTACTCTCCTTTTACGCAATTATACAAGTTATGTTTAGGATTATCAGCATTCATCTCCATTTACAAAAGAATGGCCACAGACACACTAAATGAAATCAGTTATTAAAAGCTCTAGAGAATCTGGTTATTTTACTCTGATTGAAATAGATGAGAATAATTAACTATTTTAGTAGAAAAACAAAGAACTCACTGGTTCTCCTTTGTACCACTCAGGATTAAATTTCTCTTTACTTTTAAGTGAAAAGGAAGCATTCATTTTGGGATCATACATTTTATTGTCGATTATGCCATGAGATTCTGGATACAATCCCTAAAAAAGATAAAACAGATTATATGCAAGTTGTGTTTACTTAATGTTAAATACATTCACAGAAAAAAATCATCAAAAAGAAACCGATAACTGAAGCTACATGGAATTATAATAAGTTTAAGGAAAGAAAAACAAAAAAATCAGGTAATGGCAAAACGCAACCTCTTAAGATTTTATGTAGTATTTGTGATTTAAATTATGTAATAGGAGAAAATAAGTCAGTAATACTAAGGATAAAGATCTATATAAAAAAGGCAGCCTCAGCCAGACCCAGTGGCTCACACTTATAATCTCAGCACTTTGGGAGGCTGAGGCAGGCGGATCACGAGGTCAAGAGATGGAGACCATTTGCCAACATGGTGAAACCCTGCAGGGAGCTGAAGGCCCGTGGGACATGACCAACTCAGCATTCCATGGAGGCTATATGGTCAAACAGCAAACTGTTTTTCATGAATGCAGGATGTGGGCAAACTCACACTGCCCTGCCACCAAAAGGTTTGCTGAGGGCCTCACTCCCTGGCCAGGCTCCTTGAAGTTATCTACTGAGAAATCTAGCCTATTGTTAAAAGAATGTAGTCTCGCAAGCCTGCTGTGAACCAAAAGGCCAACTGACAATTAGCCGACAACCACCGCCCTCTACTCGCTATCTCTTTTGCCTAATAAATATGGAGGGCTGTGTAAAGCTCAGGGCCCTTGTCCACTAGAGGCAAGGTACCCCCTGACCCCTTCTTCCAAATATACTCTTTTGTCTTTGTCTTTTATTCCCACATTCCCCCCATCCGCCCCTAGGTCCGGGCAGGCTACAAAACCCCGACTCTACTAAAAACACAAAAATTAGCCGGGCGTGGTGGTGTGCACCTGTAGTCCCAGCTACTTGGGAGGCTGAGGCAGGAGAATTACTTGAACCCGGGAGGTGGAGGTTGCAGTGAGCCGAGATCGCACCACCACACTCCAGTCTGGCAACAGCACAAGAGTCCATCTCAAAAAAACAAAAAAAAAAAAGGTAGCCTCTGAAATTTTGAAAACAATGCTGTTGTCTTTTTAAATTGCTGAGTAAAGCATTTCTGCAGAACAAATTCCTTTTTTGGCGAGGTCCCAGAGTAGCTTGGATCAATATAAGCTAACATACTAATTTTCTGGCTTCAATTCTAAAGCTTAGTGAGTTCTACTGTTTTATTTGACTCAAATTAAATCTGGAAACACTGAAACAAAAACAGGATTGTAATCCTATTTGGAGTCAGGCAAAGTGGCTTGCTTAAATTCATCATCAAGATGATTAGAAAGACAAGTTGTGAACACAGGAGTTTGGGAAGGTTTTTTGGCTCAAATAAAGTAAGCCTCAAAACTAGGATACAAGAATCAGAGAATATTAACACTGAAAGGAAACCAGGAAATCGTTTCTTGAGGTCTTGAGTCATCTCTTTTCACAGATGAGAAAATGGAGACTCAGCCAGTAAAGTGACCTTTCCAAAGCCACAGCTAGTTTGTGGCAGAGCAAAGATCAGAACCTGGGTTTCCTTACTTAACTACCTATTGGAAAATAAGTTGTTTTTCTTTTATCTTAAATCTATTCCCTCAAAAAATGTTACAATCCCATCTCACTTCTTCAAACAGATAGAAGTTGAAATGCAGAGCTTACGGTGACAATGCTGTAGTGATTGGGGAAAGTTTTTGTTGGATATACCGGTCTCATGTTTTTAGTATATGTTCCACATTTTTCTAGAAGGGAAAAAAATAAACATTGTTATTAAATACATCTGACAATTGGCTTACCTCATTTAGCAGTGGTACCACAGCAGTCTAAATCACGTAAAAAAAATTAGCCCAGGAGGGATTTTAATCAGATAAAAATTCAGGATGAATTATAAAGCAACACTGTGGATACAAATCCAATCTTAAAGATGACTTCATTTTTCTCTTAGTCAGAAAAACATTAAAATAATTAAGCCAATTACCCATAACATCACTTCATTCAAGATGAACAAGTTATAATAAAATGATGCTTGTAAGTTCTTTGATACTACTTAGTGGTCAAATACCTAAATCATAAGAGGTAGAATAAGAAAACTGAACTAAGTCTATAAATTAAAACAAGGATGAAGGAGTAGCTGGGAAGACAGGGTCCCAGGCCATAAATCTAGAAGCAGCTAACCCTGGACAAACTCAGCTGCTTTAAAGACAAAAGGCATCTTGTGGCTTCAAGTCCAAGAAAGTGCAGAAGTCCGACTATTCCTGATGCCCTGCTGATCTAGTTCTGGTGCCTCATTCTTTTTCTCCTGCCTCTACTATTGAGGAGGGAACACATAACTAATGATTCCAGCGTTCAATACTCCATTTGCCTAAAAAAGTCCCTCAAATTGGCATGTGTCTATATATCTCACTGCCTTCCATCAGTTCAGAATTACAGGCTACATTCCCTAATTATTCAAAGCTAGGGCTTGGGCTCATGGTTTAATGATTTATTTTAAACTTCATATACAGGTACCTCCACCTCTTAACTCTAAACTCACGATGCCACATTTGGCACCATGGAGACAAGCTCTCCTGATAATGGTAACAAAGGGCTGTATTTATTTATTTATTTTAATTATACTTTAAGTTTTAGGGTACATGTGCACATTGTGCAGGTTAGTTACATATGTATACATGTGTCATGCTGGTGCGCTGCACCCACTAACTCGTCATCTAGCATTAGGTATATCTCCCAATGCTATCGCTCCCCCCTCACCCCACCCCACAACAGTCCCCAGAGTGTGATATTCCCCTTCCTGTGTCCATGTGATCTCATTGTTCAATTCCCACCTATGAGTGAGAATATGTGGTGTTTGGTTTTTTGTTCTTGCGATAGTTTACTGAGAATGATGATTTCCAATTTCATCCATGTCCCTACAAAGGACATGAACTCATCATTTTTTATGGCTGCATAGGATTCCATGGTGTATATGTGCCACATTTTCTTAATCCAGTCTATCATTGTTGGACATTTGGGTTGGTTCCAAGTCTTTGCTATTGTGAATAGTGCCGCAATAAACATATGTGTGCATGTGTCTTTATAGCAGCATGATTTATAGTCCTTTGGGTATATACCCAGTAATGGGATGGCTGGGTCAAATGGTATTTCTAGTTCTAGATCCCTGAGGAATGGCCACACTGACTTCCACAATGGTTGAACTAGTTTACAGTCCCACCAACAGTGTAAAAGTGTTCCTATTTCTCCACATCCTCTCCAGCACCTGTTGTTTCCTGACTTTTTAATGATTGCCATTCTAACTGGTGTGAGATGGTATCTCATAGTGGTTTTGATTTGCCCAAGGTAATTTACAGATTCAATGCCATCCCCATCAAGCTACCAATGACTTTCTTCACAGAATTGGAAAAAACTACTTTAAAGTTCATATGGAACCAAAAAAGAGCCCGCATCGCCAAGTCAATCCTAAGCCAAAAGAACAAAGCTGGAAGCATCACACTACCTGACTTCGAACTATACTACAAGGCTACAGTAACCAAAACAGCATGGTACTGGTACCAAAACAGAGATATAGATCAATGGAACAGAACAGAGCCCTCAGAAATAATGCCACATACCTACAACTATCTGATCTTTGACAAACCTGAGAAAAACAAGCAATGGGGAAAGGATTCCCTATTTAATAAATGGTGCTGGGAAAACTGGCTAGCCATATGTAGAAAGCTGAAACTGGATCCCTTCCTTACACCTTATACAAAAATCAATTCAAGATGGATTAAAGATTTAAACGTTAGACCTAAAACCATAAAAACCCTAGAAGAAAACCTAGGCATTGCCATTCAGGACACAGGCATGGGCAAGGACTTCATGTCCAAAACACCAAAAGCAATGGCAACAAAAGACAAAATTGACAAATGGGATCTAATTAAACTAAAGAGCTTCTGCACAGCAAAAGAAACTACCATCAGAGTGAACAGGTAACCTACAAAATGGGAGAAAATTTTCGCAACCTACTCATCTGACAAAGGGCTAATATCCAGAATCTACAATGAACTCAAACAAATTTACAAGAAAAAAACAAACAACCCCATCAAAAAGTGGGCGAAGGACATGAACAGACACTTCTCAAAAGAAGACATTTATGCAGCCAAAAAACACATGAAAAAATGCTCATCATCACTGGCCAACAAAGGGCTGTATTTAAACTTCAAAGGCCACAGGCCTGCTGGGAAGAACACAGCTTTGTCCATGCAAAGCTAAAGACTTTTTATGCAAAACATTAAAACAAAACAAAACTATCTTCTTCCATGTAGAAATTAAAAACTAAAAATTTTTAAAACTCTCCCAAAATTATTTTGGCACTTCATAAGACAAGCATAATGACGTACATATGAATTTACAAAGAGTGATGTTAATGTTTAAAGCACCTCACATACTCAAATCTGGTAAGCAATATTTTAGAATTCCAGAAAAAAAGCTAAAGTAATTGTATTTACTTACATCTATTTTAGTCCAGTATTACATTGTAGCTGCTTAAAGGTTGTTAACGTGATTTAAAACTTTGGCATCAATATTAAGAAAACACCATTATACTATTTTATGGGGAATTTATAGAAAAATCACTTAATTAAGGCCTGATTGGGATTTAAAAAAAAAAAAAAAGGAAGAGTCCAATTCAATCCAAAGGATAATACAGAATAACTGACAAATATTCTATGTCTGTACTCGTAATATCTCAGAAATACCTTTAGTTTTTGAAATTCTATTTCTGAAATAAAATATCTGTAAAATAAGGCCAGGCATGGTGGCTCACGCCTGTAATCCTAGCACTTTGGAAGGCCAAGGTGGGTGGATTGCTTGAGCCCAGGAGTTAGAGACCAGCCTGAGCAACATGGCAAAACCCTGTCTCTACTAAAAACACAAAAATTAGCCAGGCATGGTGTCATGTGCTTGAAATCCCAGCTACTTGGGAGGCTGTGGCACGAGAATCACTTGAACCTGGGAGGCAGAGGTTGCAGTGAGCCAAGATCACACCACTGCACTCCAGCCTGGGCGACAGAGTGAGACTCAGTCTCAAAAATAATAATATTTGTAAAATAAATAAACAAGGGACTTTTTCACAAGGAATTCAAAATTCTGAGAAAGAATAAATACATATAAAAATGGCCAAAGGTTAAAATTCGAAGATAACTATATTAACTTATTTTTTTGAAGGGCAGCTTCAGAGTAATCACACTATTAAAGATAAGCGCCTTACACAAGGTTCAACTACTTTGCCATAGAAAAGTTTAGTGAAACAGTTAGGTTCTGCCAGTACTTTTCCAAGAAAGACTGCCTGCCTAGTCAATCTCACTGAAATGGTGATATTCCAGCAGTAAACTCTGAAGTTACTCACTTAGTTTGCTAATAACAGGAAGAAGTCCACCCCAAGTGTGTAAATATTCTGCCCTGAATCCATCCAAAGAAAATAAGAGGGTAGGAGGCGTTTCAAACCTGGGTAATGAAAAAGAAAAAAAAATGTTTAAAGAAGCAAAGACAAGACATATCCAATGAAGATGTACCCCCTTCTTGGCACAGGTCCAGTGAAGATTTTCCACTAAGGTCTGTGTGATCTTAAGAAAACTAACTAACAAAGTCGGCAAGCATACTTATAAAGTACGTTTTACATGCATTTATATTTATATACAAGCTCTATCATTTCGTAATACATATATATCATCACATAGTATATATTAAGCATTCATATCATTTTGAGCCACCATACAGAAACATCATTCATGGTTCCTGCTGTTCCAAAAGCTACACCAATTGCTACTAAAATATAATATTGTTTTCCCAATTTGCAGGAAAATAAACAATAAAAAACAACAGCATATAATATTTCCATAAATATTCTTCCTGAACCACCACTTTCTGATATGGACTCTAATACAGTAAATAGTACTTCATATAGTATATACATTACACACTATTTTATTATTTAATTTATTTTATTATTTTATTTTTGAGACAGAGTCTCACTCTGTTCCTCAGGCTGCCGTGCAGTGGCGCTATCACAGCTCACTGCAGCTTCAACCTCCTGGGCTCAAATGATCCTTCTGCCTCACCCTCCCAAGTAGCTGGGACTACAAACACGCACCACCATGCCTGGCTAATTTATTTATTTATTTATTTTTTGTAGACATGAGGTCTCACTATGTTGCCCAGGCTGGTCTCGAACTCCTAGGCTCAAGCAATCTTCCCACCTCGGCCTCCCAAAGTGTTAGGATTACAGGTGTGAGCCACCCACCAAGCCTATATACTGTATTTAGTTTTTAGGCTTAATATATTTAAAAGATATAAATACTTAATACAAAAGTTTGAGAGATACTATATTTAAATATATAAACAACAAAGAAATAATTCAAAGCTGGGAATGATCAATGAGGTTTCAACAACACATACATACATATACAAACAGTTAACGTGTAGTGTGGAAATTTCAAAAAGGAGGCCAAAAACCACAGAGGATGCTAATATACTTGACAAACGAGAATAGCTATGGACAATGGCCATGTGGCTACCCCAAAACGGCCATGGCTCAGAAATTTTTCAGCATCTAGTGATACATGGTAGGTGGTAGGGAACTTCTATAACACTGGATAACTGTTAGACTTCCCACTGAAAGTTTACTCAGTAAATTTAAAACTTGACAGGAAATACCTTACCTTGCCTTTTCAACTCTGCCTCCTCCCACCTTACCCTCACACACAAACACAAAAGCAACCCCACAAGGAGAACATTTTTATACAATTTTCACTAGCTACTATCTGTAACATAGCTCCACTGAGAGACTCTGTAGAACCAGTGTATATAGTCTTAACGGTCCATACAAAACTAGTTTTATTCAATCAACAGAAATCATAAAAGCAGGTTAGTGGGCCATCACGTAAACATACTGGTAAATTATCCAGTGTAATAATAAGTGTCCTAAGTTACAATCTTCTTGTAAAGAAAGGGTTATGTTTTCCACTAAAAGATTCAATATTACAACTGAAAAATTATAAGCAATATTTAGAAGAAAAAGAAAGATTTGAAATTCACTAAGTCTAACATTCCCAGTATTCCTTGGATTTAAAAGACAGTTTAGGGTACATGAAAATTTTCCTTAAAAAAAGGCTCTTCTGTTGAAATTATTTGGTTGAGGTTTAGTTTTGGCTGCTGTTGCTACTGCTTATTTAAATCAAAAGTACTTTTCCTTCCAAAAGAAAAAAAAGAAGACATATAACAAAAATTACATACATGAACAAAATGAACTAAAATACAGCTTAAAAATTTTAATAGTCTGGGAAAACTATCATTTTAAAGAGGTAAAAATACATTTCTGAAGATGAGTAATTCAAATGTATGAGATGGTAGACCTCAAATGGAACAAAGATAAATACACTTAACACCTTTATAAAATCTTCACCCTTTAAATTCCACACATACTCTTTTTGATGGTGTCATATATGGAAGACCCTGTACAAAATATCTGAAGGACAAAAAAACCAAATATGAATTATTTTAAAAAAATGTATCATCTCTCACAAATAGGTTGTTATCCCAAAAATGTATAAATGGACCAAAATACAAAAAAAAAAAGAAGCTAAATTTTCTACAAGTTTAGCAGCTCTAAAAACTCCAAATAAAAGTAAAGATCCTTCCTTCCTGAAAAGGAAAATGCAAATATTTTTATCTAGCATTCTTCAATACCAAAGACTAAATATTCATGGCCTCTCTTTTTTCTATAAACTTCCAGAATAGGGATAACTCCATAATCATCTCTGTTCCACCATTGCCAAACACAAGATCTGGCTAAAAATACAGGTTGGGCATCCCAAATCTGAAAATCTGACATCTCAAATGCTTCAAAATCCAAAACTTTTGAGCACTGACATGATGCTCAAAGGAAATGCTCACTGGAGCATTTGGGATTTTCAGATTTGAGATGCCCAAACTGGTATAACTCAAATATTGCAAAATCCAAAAAAGTCCAAAATCCAAAACAGTTCTCATACCAAACATTTTGGATAAAGGATACTCAACCTGTAATGTTTAATAAACCAGTGATTTTATTATTTTTATCATCTTAATTTGGAAAGAAAAAAATGATGCTGTACTTCTAAAAAAGAAAAAATTAATACCTCAGAATATAATCTTACCCTGCTGGGCACTGTGGCTCATTAATGCTCTCACATGGTTCTTCTACCCAACTTTTCTCACCTAAAATATTTTCAAGAAAATAAAATGAACACACTTAACAGTAATAATAATTGTGATGCTTGTGAGACACATTAAGACAGATTCCAAAAACAAAGTATGTGAACAGATTGATAGATAACACAGGACATGACTCTGGAGGTGTATAATCAATAAAGAGAATTATTGTGCTTCAAAATAAGAGTTAGTTGATATCAGGAATTAAAAATGGATGCACAATTGTAAGACTAAAACATACTACTGTATTTGTGAGAACTTGAAGGTATCTTTTCCATTTTCAAATTCTTAATATTTTCAGCCAAAATTTACAACCCTCCCCTTCTATCCACTCATCAAAATCCTTGGTATTTTGGTGTCTTAGTTCTCTCTCATATAGAGTCAGGTTCTGTCAAGAAATTTGAAAAAAAAATAATAATAATACCTGGACAAGACATCATAATAGTATCACCTTACAAAATGCCCTCGAATCTTTCTAAACAATTTCACATCGACTCTCTCAATGCACAGCAGACAGTGTCCCCATTTACTAGGAGGGAAGCCGGGACATAAAAGTCAGCCAGGACTGTAAGAGGGATCTTTCCACAAATACAACATCAAGTGTGCTGCTATTATCAAAATAACATGAGAGGGTGGTGGCAGGGGAATGAGTGGTTATAGATAAAATATTATTGGCCGTGTGCACATAATCATAATTATGAAGCTGGGTGATGGGTATAATGTTCATTACATACTCTCTCTCCCCATGTGTATGTTTAAAAGTTTCTTTAATAAAAAGTTTTAAAATTATTTTTTTCAGCTAATATAGTTGGCCAATAGCCATGACTCCTAATATAAAAGATAACACCTATGTAAAGCCCCGCTAAGACGCTGGAAGATACCAGGCTGCTGCAGAGCCCAACGAGCACCTGACCTTGACACACAGAACTGTAGTTGATGCAGCAGTCGCCCTTGTCCTTGCAGTCATCTGAACAGGCACAGAGGCTTCTGGTCAACCTTTTCTCACCACACCTGAATTTGTTGCAAGTCCATATATGTTCTAGAAACAAACATCAGCAAAATGTGTTTTATGTCTCAAATTCAACATGTCCAAAGTGAACACAGAATTGCTGTCTTCCTGAGTATGATCCATGAGCAACAATGAACAATTTCACAGCTCTTAGTCACTCACAGAATCTGCCACTACCATGGCCACTCTGAACTAATGGGGTAAAATATGTAGGAACCAATTATTATTATTTCACTAAAAGTCCAGAATTTTGTCATTTTCAAATTTAGATGCACCTTACCATATGCAATTCATATGTAGACCTGGCTTCTTCTACCTGCTAAAATTTAATCTAAGTCTGACTCTCAGGTCAAGGTGAGAGGATTGCTTGAGGCCAGGAGTTTGGGATCAACCTGGGCAATGTAGTGAGACCTCATCTCTACAAACATTTTAAAAATTAGCTGGGCATAATGGTGTGAGCCTGTAGTTCCAGCTACTTGGGAGGCTGAGGCAGGAGGATCTCTTGAGCCCAGGAGTTCAAGGTTGCAACGAGCCATGGTCGAGCAACGGCTCTCCAGCCTGGGTGACAGAACAAGTCCCTGTCTTTAAAAAATAAATACTAATGAAAAATAAATAAATCTCTCTCATTTAAAAATTATTCCATGTCATATGCAGAGAATTCCAAATCTAACTAAGAAAATTTTCATATTCTGATAGTTTTATTTTGAAAAATATAGGTGGACATATAAGATCTCTTGCCGTCAAAGAACCATAATGAAAATATTTCTATATTTCAAGCAGGCTTTTAGAATTTGAATGCAAATTAGATTACAAAGGCTTTCAGCATACATTAAAAATAGACAAAGTTCTGCTATCCATAAAATGTTTAACAGAGAAATTCTGTAAATTTTTTTCTCTTAAGGAACTGTTGAAAGAAAATATAAAAGCTAATGTCAAAACGTGTATGTATGCTAAACTAAAAAAAATTCAAATGAATTAGGTAAATCACATACCTGAAAGACACAGAACTTTCCTTGATCTTTTCCTAATGACCATAACTCCACTTTTTTCCCTGCTCATCCTTACCTGGTTCTATGCACGTCTCCTGGTAATCTAAACAGCAGTTTCCAAGCTCAACACAGGCAGCATCACAGCGACAGTTCCCAAATGTTCTCTCGAAACAGCGACCTTTGCAACTTTTAACTGAAAAAATTGAACGATAAGTCAGATGTTTCTAATCATTATATAATTCAAAGTAAACATCAACGAATACAACTAAGTTAGGTGTACACTAGGTTCAAATACTACTTTAGAAAATACAGATGGGGTAATAAAGTAAGGCAAAAATCTTTTCACAAATACACACAAAAAGTGATACAAACAGAAAGTAACCTTATGTGCCTGGTTTGTGATTTTTATCTCCTGATGTAGGAAAGAAAGATAACTTTTTAATGATTATTATTACAAACGTTACTGGGTCTGATAAGACTTAAATAACCATGGTGTGATAAAATAAAAGTCAGAATAAAGGCTTGTTCTGAATACTTTGTGCTATGAAAAAGTTGGCTTAAGCAGGCATGGGGTTCCCTAAAATTTCAAAATGTGGGAAAAATTTTTTTTAGAAGTGGTTAAGAATATTTTAGAAAGGAAAAGATTACCTAGCCTGCCTCACTCTCAATCCTGGTGTAAAGAAGTAGTGGGTTTGTTCAGAACATGCTCCCTGGCATAGCTCTTCCCTCCCTGACCTGAAACACCCATTTCACCTTTAGATCCAGACTGGCTCCCTCTAAAAAGCTTTCCTAACTCCCCAGCTAGGCCTGATTTCCATTTTTTTAAGCTCATATAAAACCTTGTCCTTCCCCTCAATTACTTAATTCCACACGTAACTAGGTTATTTGGTTAATATCCCAGTTAGACGGCAAACCAAGACCACATCTGGCTTTGCCCAGCATACTGTCTCCCTAAAACCCAGCCAGGTGCATGCCATATAGTTGAGATTAGCACATTTTTGCTAAATGAATAAATGGTAGACATGGGAGGAAAGTACTTTTCATGACAGTTTTTTACTGTTGAAGTTCATTACTAGATACCTTGAATAAGCCAGGTTTCACTGGAGAGCTAGAAAATTAGGACAATGAGAAAAAAAGAAAAAAAGGAACACATGGAAAATAAGGGACATCCAACAACAACAAAAAAGAAATAATCTTAGTTCTTGACTTTAATGGTGTTCTGACCCAAAAAGACACTGCCATGGAATTTACCTCTCATTTGACACTGGGAAATCAGGCAATTTTAAGAAGATGAAGTAACAATAATAATTTCTAGTGTCAGAAATACGAACTTTCCTGACCTGGAGTGGGGGTCAGGGAAGTCTATTGGAATAATAGCTATTACTTGGAGCTCATTAATATGCACCTAATAATTTTTAAAAATATGATGCATACTATGTTGGGCTTGGATTAAAATTGTTATTTTTCATTTTTAATTTGTATGTGTCAACTCAGGAGTGAATCACTTCATGCTAAAAGATGACATAGGTAAACACTAAAGTCTGTAACTGTTTACTTCAGTTAAACTTAGATACATGTGTTCTGAATAGTTTACTGATACATAAAATTACTACTTTTCAACAGTACATGATAGCTTAATAATCACTAAAAATTTTTTAAATAATTAATATTACAATCACAGAATAGCCAAACAGAAGAACCTGTTCAATTTTCAAAGCTGAATTCTCTAGAATGACCATCAATGATTTTATTGCGAGAGGATGGGGGGGGAACTACCTCAAAGACAAGATAATAACCACTACGATTTACTGTGATCCAGTTTAATTATTTATTATAATCTTGTCAATGCTGGATAGATTTCTGCAATTGATGGAAAGAAAAATATATCTAGAAGTTTAAAAAAATATCATTGTGGCTTTGAAACAACCAATGTCTGCAATTTTAGAACCTTAAGAGCACATACTGACAGGTTTCTGGTTGCCCAGGGATGGTAACTGTCACCTAGTAACCTACAGGGTTGCTTCAGCAACTAACTCCTTAGGGTAAAAGAGCAGTAAAGAATGTCCTCTGAGTCCCTGGAGGAAGTCAGGGAGCATGGGCTCCAGGACAACAGCATCAGAACCCCCGGCCATGTTTTGTAAGTAGAACTTTATATGACTAATATAATACAAGAACTTCAGGAAAAAGGCTCAAGCCAGCGTTGAATTGACAATATCTATGGAGTACCCATAGGAATAGGAGATAATGTTTACCTCAATCACATTCTTAATAAGGCTGTGCACACACATACACACACACACACACACACACACACACACACACACACCTAATTACCTTCTTTGGCACAGCTTGGTTTCAACCCAAATATACAACCAAGTATTGTTGTTAACACACATACTGACAATACCTGTAGGGAGAAAAGAGAAAATTACATGGTTTCTTTTTTAAAAAATATTTTATCTTATTTTTTATTTTTAGAGATAGTGTCTTACTCTGTTACCCAGGCTAGGGTACAGTGGCATGATCATAGTTCACTGTAACCTCGAAATCCTGGCATCAAGGGATCCTCCTGCCTCAGCCTCCCAAAGTGGGGGGATTATAGGCAAGAGCCACTAGGCCTGGCCTTATATAGTTTTAAAATCCTTTTATTTCTCCAAATGTTTTATTGCTTTAAATGTTTCTAAACTTTTTGGTGCTGTTCTTTTTTCCAGTCTGGGGCTAGTCACGTAGATGTGTTCACTTTTTGAAAATTCCAACTATACACTTGTGATTTGTATACATTTCTGTATTTTATACTTTAATAAAAAGTTTACTCAAATGTCAACCAACCATTCTATACCATCCAATGTTAATGTAATTAGAAACTCTCCTAGTTAGTATAAATGAATTAGTCATAAAAATTATAATTATTAAGGGAAAGAGAGAGAAAACTATTTACAGAGTCTGGATTTCCTATGTATCAATCCATTAAAGGCAATATGTGGAATATTATATGCCTCTTTTAACAGTTCTACACAAACCCAAACCTAACATCCTCACATGTACTGTGGTACCTTGTGGGAACGAGCCCTGAAGAGGGTCAGCTGACAACCTCCTGGACCAAGTGTTACCACAAACTAGTTGTGTGATTTCAGGCAGGTCACTTAAGCTTTCTAGATACCAGTTTATTCATCTATAAAATTTAAGGGTTGGACTACGTGATCTCTAAACATCTTTCCAGTGCTAACACTTTGCCACTTTCCCATTCTCCACTCTTCTGGTCTTTGACATTTTAAAATAAGTGGACACACCCTACAACCCCTAAGAACCATGACAGAACTTCTGTGAGTTAGAAGACAAAGGAGCGGAATAACCCACAAAACAATCCTCAATTTTTTTTAGTGTGACAAAGTTTCCTTGAAAGCTCCCTGGAATGTCAGATTACAGGGCACCTCAATAAAATATTAATTGAGTACCAATGATGCGCAAAGACTGTTATACACTGAAGGAAAAAATAAGAGATAGCTCAAGGGGTTTCTACTTGGGTAGGAGAAGTTAAAAACAGCACATCAGTGGCCCATATTTGGTAGGCCCTACAAACCGCCTGCAAAGTTCTACAGTTGTTTAAAGAAGGAGAAAGGTTGGGGTGGTTAGGGAGAGGGAGATCAGAAAGAGTTTCCTAGAGCAAGCTTTTGGCATGGCTCTGAATGGGGGGGAAATGATGGCGTGATGTTGCCAGGTGGAACTGGAGGAAGGAAAGAGAGGACAGAACACAGCAAACTTCTAGGAGAAAGGGCAGCATAAAGAAGGGTTCCACGAAGGCAGGCACATGGAAGGTGGCAGATAAATAATGAACAGCCTATCTTAGCTGAAACCAAGAAAATGCAAACGGGAATGGACAATGGGTGGAGGTATGGAAAGATGGTGTAGTATTTCCGGAAAGCTAAGGTGAAGAGATAATAGAGACAGGAGGAATGGGTGAATAGGACCAAGTAGATGGTTGGTGGAGGCTTTTATAAGAATTCATTCCTTCAGATGAAGAGTATTGAGTACGGACTATGTACTGGACATTCAGTAATAAAACAGACATGACCTCTGCTCTCGAGGTGCCTACTGTCAAGTGACTGCAAAGACTTAAGAGGAAGTGAATGGTAAGGAAAGTGAGGCAGCAGGTCTTACTTACTTCAAAATAAAATGGATAAAAGAAAGGAAGAGTTTTTGCAAAGAAAGCAAAAGGTTAGCCTTCTTTAAGGATGCAAAAACATGTGTTTTTCTTTGTGTGTGTGTGTATATTCCTTAAAATAAGGAGGTATCAGAGGAAGAGCTTGAGCAAGTCAACAAGGGCAAATAAGCAGAACAAGGTATCAGAAGAGAATAGTAATGGATTCTCCTAAACTTCTGATGGTGGTGTAAACTGACACAACTATATGGAAAGATAATCTCTAAAAATATCTATCAAAAACATCACAAACGGCCAGGCACTTTGAGAGGCTGAGGTGGGGGGATCACTTCAGGCCAGGAGTTTGAGACCAGCCTGGTCAACATGGTGAAACCCCATCTCTACTAAAAATACAAAAAATTAGCCCAGCATGGTGATGCACGCCTATAATCCCTGCTGCTCGGGGGCGCTTAGACAGGAGAATCGCTTGAACCCGGGAGGCGGAGGTTGCAGTGAGCACAGATCGCACCACTGCACTCCAGCCTGGGCGACAGAGCAAGATGCTCAAAAAAAATTAAAAAAAAAAAAAAAAACAAGCCAAAACAACAACAAAAACTGTTTTACTGTCAATTATAAATGTATAAGAAAATAAAACATAGTAAAACATCTATATTTAGTGTATTATAATTTAAAACATTAAAAACATGAAGAATTGGCCAGGCACGGTGGCTCATGCCTATAATCCCAGCACGCTGGGAGGCCAAGGCAGGTGGATCACGAGGTCAGGAGTTAAAGACCAGCCTGGCCAAGATGGTGAAACCCCGTCTCTACCAAAAATACAAAAATTAGCCAGGTGCAGTGGTAGGCTCCTGTAATCCCAGCTACTTGGGAGGCTGAGGCAGAGGTTGCAGTGAGCCAAGATCGCACCACTGCACTCCAGCCTGGGCGACACAGTGAAACTCTGTCTCAAGGAAAAAAAAAAAAAAAAAAAAAAAAAAAAACCATGAAGAATTGAAATTGTATTTATCTGTAAACTTATCTAGAATAGTCCAAACAGTACTTACCTTCTTCTCATCTATCACATAACTCACAATACAGAGTGAGAATATTTTCTGTGCCTTGGAGAATTGTCATATTCCATATTCCTTTCTAAGTTTAGATCAGTTTCCAATGTTTTCACATAAGCTTTGCACCTTCAACATTATGAAATGTCTCCAAGAGGAAGTTTTGTGGCAGTGTCACTCCCTCTGGGATATCTTCATTCTTTTTCTCACAACCACTCTCCTCATTTATGTCAAAAAATTCAGCTTCACTAGACTCCTCTGGCTTCATATCTGGAGTCTATTGCACCATGGCAGTGTTAGCATTCCCACGGTTAGCTGTTTCTTCCATAACTCCATTTACTTTGACTTCAATTTCACTTCCAGCATTATTACCTCCTTTCTTTTCTTTACTTTCATTCTTCATCAGTTCATTCACTTTTTCAATTATCCACTTTTTGAAAACGTCATATAGGTTTACCTCTGAGAGGCAAAGCAACAACACAACTACATGCTTTTGCTGTCTGTGCATGAACTGACTAAAAGATGCCTATGGGCTAATCACTGGCAGATTTTGAAAGAAATGATGCAATTGGTCACTGACCATAACTTGCACTTGCTATTTGCACAGTGATTTGTGGACTGATGAGCTAGCAGCAAAGTTTGTACTTTACGCAATTACTCACAGTTAATATATCTTGGTAAATGAAATTTGAACTATGTTGTTGGGAGCTGGTTTTATTTAATTAAACTGTGGTAACTGAAATTTGTGCATGTCAGAGAATCATGCAAAGCTAGTACTAACTGTACTCTCACAAGTGGCCAAAATAGTTGTCCAAGGTGTTTATTTCAAAACTGTATTCATAAAACAAATGAACAAAAAAACTAGGAACAACCTAAGCTCATTTTAAGGAAGCTGGTTGAACAAGTCATATTTTACTTATACAATAAAATACTCTCAGAGGGTTAGGCTCAGAGATAGGCATGTCAGAAGGCTGAGAGGAAGATATACACACACACACAAAAACACCACATACACACACAAAACAAACTAAGGTATAGCAACAGGAAGCTAGAAACAGCTGATGAGGAACCTCTTCAATCTTCTTGGCCAAGTAAGAAGCATCTGGGTGGGAGTGTGGAAGGAATAGAGAGGGCTTAGGGCATCCCATGTGAAAGATGGCAACAAACCAGTGGCGACAACAAAGACTGTCAACGAGGGAAGAGTAAAAAGACCCTCCAGCTCTGGGAGCCCAGCTTAATCTGAAATCATGGAATATAACAAACTTGAATGGCCTGAAATTCTAAGAGTGGAAGTGGGAAAATGGGGGAAAAAAAAAAAAAAGACGACATGCCCTGGGAGAGGGAAAGGTGGGGAAAACAGAATACAAAAGGGGATAAGAGAATTAAGGCATGGGTGGAATGGCTGAAAGGGGCAGGACAAATTGGATATGAGTATATGAGTAGAAGAACTAGATGGACAGGAAAACTACTATGGAAAGACTAGGTGGTAAGCAAGCATTTAAATGGTAACCATTGGTTTAAAATACACATGGTTTATATATAGCTCTTTATCCTCTTGTTAAGTAGCTGAAGACACATGCTGACTTTTAAAAATCACCTCTTCATTATTAAAAAGAAGTTCTTGATTTACCTTTTATAAGATGAGGCATAGCATAGAACTGAAACAAAAGTATGACAATAGAAATGATCATTTCTCATTGACAGTCACATCCATAAAAGATGAAATTTAGAATATCTACTACTTTGTTACAAAACACCTAATCAGAATGATTTTTAGTAGGAAATTCCCCTTCAATAATTTTCAGAGCTGTGAAACCTAATTTAGTTTGAATTTTCCTGTCAAAGCAGTTTAACTCATCAATATCATAATCTACCATCCATTTTAATCTCCATAACAATTTAGGTATTTTTCAAATTTTAATATTTTCTAAGAAACCATAGAAATACATCTTATCTTAGAAAACAAGAAACTGGGAGACAGAAAGTAAAAGCAAAGTTTTTGGAATATTTGGAGTTTCCTGCTTCTTTAGTTAACTAAATCATTAGTTCTTAGACATTTAGTGAGTCAAAAGAAATACTAAAAAAAAAATTTTTTTCCCTCACCAATTCCCTCAAATACAATGGCATTAATATCATGTGTATTATTCTTTCTGTATCAGGCATTCATTGAAATACGAGTGTCCACAATGTGCAGTCCCTGTACTAAAGACCAGAGATACAAATAAAACAACTCCTACCCTTACAGAGAAACAAAGGAAGTTGGCCGGGGGAAGCATTAGAACGAATGATTGCAATGGACTTCAGTAGAAACATGTAAAAAATGCTAACATACTAACAACACAGTGGAGAGCAGAAAAGAAGAAAAGGGTTTCAAAAGGCTTTACAAAGAGAGATTTGGAGAAAAAGGGACCTCTCCCTCTGTCAGTAAACAAAGGTTTGAGTATCTGCAAGATGCAATGTATTTAGATTCTGTGGGGAAATACAAAAAAAAAAAATAATTTGCAGTGAAGTCCTAATGTCAGAGTTTATAAATCTAATAAAGGCAACAACAACTCTGGAATGATGCCATAGGCTGATGATAAAGATATGACATAGTTAGAAGCAACCTAAGAAATGACATAGTGGTGACCATATATACGCCATGGTGCTTCATGCAAAGCCACAGAGGTAGGAAAGACAACACCAGCCTGGGAAGGAGAAAATAACAACAACAATCATGGCTGTCACTTCTCTAGTAATTCCTACGTGCCGGGCACTTTTCTAAGAGTTTTATATTAAATCATTTAATCCAAACTATAACATCACAAGACAGATTACGATTAACACAGTTTAAGGAAGGTGAGCTACAGAGGTTAGTAACTTGCCAAGGACCGGGGGTTGATAAGCATCCACAGCAAGATTTGAACCTAGGCAGGCAGAGTGTAAAGGAGGCAGGTAGGAGTGGGAAGGGAAGGGGCTGGAGGGAAAAGGGAGGGAACAAATGGGTCCTGAGGCAGCCTGCGGGCGGTCAGTGGAGTGTGTTCAGGCGCTGAAATATGAAAGTGACAGGACTGGATTTAATAATCCCAGAACGATCCCTTGGGATCATTGTGGAAGGCTATGTTATGAGTCCGGTGGGAAATGAGGTCTTGGACTTGCTAGACCCTCCTCACCGAGGAGATGCTAGCACCATGTTTCTCTAGGTCTTCCCTCACCCCTAGTTACTGCAGCTCTTACCATGCTCCATAAGATTTGTCTGTCTCTGACTAGACTGTGAGTTCCCGAGAGGCATGGATTTATTTATTCAACCCTGTGTTTTCCACATCTAGCATGGTGCCTTGCACAAAGTAAACATTCAACAAATAATCGTTAAGCTGAACATCAGCAAGCTGTGATTTAATTAAACATAAATGGGGAGAAACCATAAATCCCCTAATTTTCCTCATCTAAGCTGACAGAGTCAGTTTGTTAAGTGACATTGTGTCTGCATTACATAAAAGATACCTACAACAAATATACACACAAAATTTTGTTTAGGAAATGGTAGATTGCTGGATGTGGTATTCCAATGTGTCAGACGGTATGAAAGTGCCATTTGAAATGAATCAGCTGACTACATTGCCTATCAGTCCTCTGATCTTTGACCAAAGTTGCATGCTTTCTGAAAAAGAACTGTGAGGATTCAGACCAGCCTGGTGCTGGGAGTCTTCACGGGATTTCGTTTGCTGGAGGATGGGGATTCGATCCTATTGAGTAAATCCAGTGCCAAGAAACTTCTACAAGATATTCAAAGGGAGATTCAAAGACAACACATTCCTGAAGAACTTTGGAGCATTACAAAAGCTCAAAGCAGAAGTTAGAATCTCTTCTAAAAAAAGTTCCTAAGTCCACTCAAGCAGTTGTTCATGCATGCTTGGTCTCTTATGCACTCAGTATCATTTTAGTTACGCTAGATTTATCTGAAGAAGATCCTCTGAAACTGCAGTGAAACTTGATGTGAAGCCCTTTACATAACTAGTCACATGAAAATCAGGAAAAGGGACATCCAGCACTGAACAAGCACATCACATAGGGACAAATCTCACAATCTCTCAGTGAAACACTAAAACTAAAGAAATTGACACCTGCCTGGTAGAAAGAGCTTCAAGTTCAAAATGACTTTGGTTCAAATTCCACCTTTCAATTCATTATTCAGCATTGAACAAATATTTCTTGAGATCCTACTACATCTCAAGCACTGACCTAGTGCGGGAGAGACACCTGTGCACAAAACAACTGCAGTGGTCTCAGGCGGCTTGCATTCTTCTGACTTCTAGACAACCAGCAGCTGTGAAAGTAGGGAATGTTTCAAATCCTCACTAAGCCTCATTTTTAAATCTATGACGTGGTGATAATACCCACCTCACAAAGTTGGCAGGAGCCTTCGGCGGAATGTACAAAACATGCCTAGATTGGTGACGAGGGCATAGGGTTACTGAATAAATGGTAGTTCCTACTAGAAGTATCCAATCACTGAAAGGACTGGGCCCACTACGGATTCTTCCAAAGGGATAGTACAACTTTACCAATGTTTGTCAACTGTACGACAGCCTAGTTCCTATTTTCTTAAATGCCATAAACCAGTGCATTAACATTTTTCCTTTTTTTGTTTTAGTTCTACAGTAATCTGTTTTCAACAGTAGCTGAAGACCATGCAGGAGCAAGGAATCTGAGAAGAAATACAACAAATTATTTTGCAGGAAATGATGGCACTAGACATTTTAGTTATAGGTATACAGTGGCCTTCCAGCCCATGCTACTGAAAAGGGAATCCATGTAAACACCAATTTGTATTAATATATTAGAGATTTCTACAGATTCATATCTATCTGCACTTTTAATATATTGCAGCCCTAGACTGATTCAAGCATTTTGGGTACAAGTAGCTGTGAAAAATCCTAAAACAAATGCCATAAAACATCTATATTATTTGCACTTCTGGGAGTTTATACTAAGGTTAAGAAAGTATGTACAAATATTTAGATGTAAATATATACATTACAGTACTATGTATAAGAAAAAATAGACATACACATAATGTCCAAGAGTAGGAAAATAGCTAAAGAAATATAGACCATTTATATAACTGTTATACAGCCTTCTGTATATAACTGTATATAACTGTATATAACTGTATATATGGCTGTATATAACTGTTATACAGCCATGATTTAGAAGAATATTTAATTGACATGGAAAAATGACACATTATTGGGTATAAAGAACAGATGATAAAACAGAATGGGTAATATGGTCCCAATTTTTGGTTATACATAAATCTACACTTGATGGATGGGCTTACAAGTTATTTTGTCATCTTCTTAGTGTTTATATTTATTTTCCAAAGTTTCTCCAATGGACCCATGTACTTTTGGAATCAGTACACAGGACAACCACAGGACTAATGTGGGTATTAGTGACCCAGAGTAAACTCTTCCTCATTCTGGCATTTTAGGGGTTCTCAGCATAACAGTAAGCTCCTTCTCTGCCTATTTACCTTAAGCAAACTTCAATAAACAAATTCTGCCTGAATACTCAAAGCTCCATGAAATCTACCTAATCTCTCATCCTTAAATATAAATGAACCACCATGATTCACCAGTCATTGGAGGTAAGCCTAAGACAAAAGTCTAAGATCAACACAGAATGGTAAAGGGGAGAGGGGAATAGAAAAAAAAAATAGAAATAAAAAGACATCTTATTAAGTATATTCAATGGGATTCAAAAAGACATATACAAAACTTCACATCAAAGAGTCCTAATATCAAGTATCCAAAATAATAAATCATAGAAGAAGGCTCATACCGATTCACATCACTGCAAAATTCCAGGACAACGACAGTAAAAAGATCTTCAAGTGAAAGGCCATGCTAACTTCATAAACTAGGCTGTAAGGATGGTAAGATTAGAGTTCGTTTCTCCTTGGAGGTTTAGAAGAACTCAGTGGAGAACATATCTGGGCCTAGAAAAATCTGTGTAAGAAGTTTATTAATTTGTGGTTCAATCTCTTCATGGGCTAGAGAATTACTTAGATTTTCTAATTGTTCTTGAGTAATTTTGATAAGTTGTATTTTTTCTTGTAATTTTTCATTTCACCTACCTTTTCAAACATATGGTTATAAAGTTGTTTATAATAACCCTTTGTTATACTTTCAATGCCTGCAGCATCTCTATTTGTGTTCTTTTTCATTCTTGATATGATTTGTACTGCCACCCTTTTTTGTCTGTTTTTTACTTAATCAGGCTAACCAGGAGTAATCTTATCTTTTCTTTTGTATGCTTATTGTTATTTTATTAATTTCTGGTCTTACTCTTATTTTTCTTTCCTTCCATATCTAGGCTTAATGTTCTGGGTTTCGGGTTTTTTTTTTTCTTACTGTTAATATGGATGCTTAGATTATAGCTTTTCAGACTTTTCTTTTAATATTACTATCTAACTTGTAAACCCCTTTAGACATCATTGTTTTATAAGTTCATTTAAACTTACCAAATATTTACCACTTTCTTTATGCATTTTTTCTTCTCAGCTTTCATCTGGAATCATCAGCCTAAAGTACATCTTTTAGATTCTTCCTGATAGCAGACTCTCTCAGTATTCGTTAGTCTGCACATGTCTTTGGTTTATTCTTGTTTTTGAAAGATATTTCTACTGGATATGCAAATTCCAGTTTGGCAATTATTTTCTTTTGGCACAGTGATGATATCATTACACTACCTTATGCTTTAATCATCACCACTGAGAATCCAGTCATCAGACTATCATCCTTTTGAAGTGAATCTGTCTTATTTTCTCTAATAGCTTTAAACTTTTTTATTTTCAACTTTGTGTTCTACAATGTTATTCTGTTGTCAACATATATTTATTTTATCTATTCTACTTAAGATTCAATAAGCTACCTGAATCTAAAGATTGGTGTCTTTCATGAGTTCTTGAATTGTCATTTATTCAAATACTGTTCAAAATAAGAAATAAGGCAAGATAGATAATAGTAACAGAAAACAGTATATTATTTTAAAAAAGATCTAGAAAGTAAAAAAATAAAATTTCTAGAAATGAAAAATAAAATGAATAAAATTAACTCAATGATTTAAGAGCAAAAGAGACATGGTAGAAGACACTAAAGATTAAATATTAATGCCTGCCTATGTGATGCCTGGGAACATCTACTATGATAATTGTCTTAGAGCAGAATGCCCTACATCCTCATAATTATGTCAGCTTGGCAATTATGGGAATAGTAATATTTATTATCTCATTAACAGGTTTCAAGATTCACAGAAATCATTATAGGAATACCTATCAACTTACAGCTGGCATAGGTTGAAAATGACAATGATAGAAGGAAGGGGAAGTAGTAAAGAAGTAATGGAAGAGTTATTTTATAAACTTTGGTTTGTTTGTTTGGTTGGCTGGTTGGGTTTTTTTTTTTTTTTTTTTTTTTGAGACAGAGTCTCACACTGTCACCCAGGCTGGAGTACAGTGATGAGAGCTCACTGCAACCTCCGCCTCCCAGGTTCAAACGATTCTCCTGCTTCAGCCTCCCGAGTGGCTGGGACTACAGGCATGCGCCACCACACCCGGCTAAGTTTTGTATTTTTAGTAGAGACGGGGTTTCACCATGTTGGCCAGGATGGTCTCAAACTCCTGACCTCAGGTGATCTGCCCGCCTTGGCCTCCCAAAGTGCTGGGATTACAGGCATGAGCCATCGTGTCTGGCCTTTATAAACTTTTAAGTAATTTATCAAACTACACACACACACACACACACACACACACACACACACACACAATGACAACAGGAACCCCAAATAAGCTAGAAAACTCACTCTTGTTCTTGGTGGACAAGGTCATTTATTACCAAACCACTGCTTGTAAAGATTGACAAGAAGCAATCAGTAGGCTAATGGCAACATAACAGAGGGGAACCCTACTGGTTTCCTTTGCCTCTGCACAGATCCACACATAAGGTAGTACTTGTCACTACCTGCTCAAGCCCAGCTGCTAAAGCACGTCTAGGACCTCTCTGCATGAGCTCTAAGCAAGCTAAGGTCACAAGCACTTTCCCTAAAAAGGGATTCCTGCTTCTATGGATAAAAACAATCTCTGCCCTATGGATGCCAGTACCGCACTTTCCATAAACATAAAAGGAAGAATATTGGCTTTAAAATGAGTAATGTTAAGACAGGAGTCCACAAAAACATGCTTCAAAGACTTATCACAGCAATTTTGTTTGACTTTCCAAGAATCCACCATCAACCCATTTTTTTACAATAATGATTAATGAAATTGCTGGACGTATGCCATCATGTCAAACAGTACTTGCTTCTAATTTGTGTCAGTGTCATGAATCTCGTGCATTTAAAAAAACGCCAAGTTCTTCTATTATTTGGTAAGTGGGGAAAATCAGTAGCAGGCTGAGTTTAATAGATTTTATCTAAGTGGATTCTAATTGTGAATAAAGAGAACAATAAGATTTTGTCTAAGTGGATGCTAACTGTGAATAAAGAGAACAGTATTCATTAAAACACACACACACACACACACACTCGGCTGGGTGTGGTGACTCACACATGTAATCCCAGCACTTTGGGAGGCTGAGGCGGGCAGATCACCTGAGGTCAGGAGTTCAAGACCAGCCTGACCAACATGGTGAAACCCTGTCTCTACTAAAAATACAAAAAATTAGCCAGGCATGGCAGTGGGTGCCTGTAATCCCAGCTACTAGGGAGGCTGAGGCAGGAGAATCGCTTGAACCCAGGAGGCAGAGGTTGCAGTAAACTGAGATCACTCCATTGCACTCCAGCCTGGGCAGCAAGAACAAAACTCCATCTCAAAAAAAAAAAAGAAAACCACACACTCTTTTTGGGGATCTTTTGTGCTTTCTGTCACATCTTTCTTTTAAAAGAACAGAAGACAAGAGAAATAAAGTCAGAGAAGGTTGAGAAGTTTTACGATTACGACACGAAATGGAAATCCTTAAGTGGTGCCCATATGTCACTTAGGGGATCTGGGCCTTTAACCTTTCTTTAAATGAAAAATTAAGATAATCACAAGTATATTTTTTTAATTTTCAAGTATGATATGATGTACATGAAAGAGAACACAATCCCCTAAATCTAATATAATGTTAGGAGTCACTGGTAATAGAAAATTGCAGCTCAAAACAATTACTTTAAATGATGAGAACACATGGACACATGAGGGGGGAACAACACACACTGGGCCTGTCAGGGGTGCAGGGAGGGAAAGCATCAGGAAGAATAGCTAATGGATGCTGGGCTTAATACCTGGGTGATGGGATGATCTGTACGGGAAACCACCATGGCACATGTTCACCTATGAAACAAACCTGCACATTCTGCACATGTACCACTGAATTTAAAATAGAAGTTGAAGAAAAAAATAATAAAAATAAAAATAAACAATTATTTTAGATAAACATAGTATAGATTTGGTTGGACTAGTATCTTGGGAAAATAAAACTATCAGATTCTTCTCCAAACTAAAATTAGTAATCCAGAAAAAGATATTTTAGTACGCCTGATATTTAAGCAAATAATCATTACATCATTCCTCTTTTTAATTAATTATCCTGATAAATAAGCATTTGAAGAACAGACTCAAAGAAAACTCCTATCAGTAACTCATGGGAGCTGGTAATGACAATTGACAAAATAATTTTTTTAGAAGGAAAGGTTAAAATGAAACATCAAATTAAAAGACTGGCTTAAGAAAGCAGGAATGATTCATATTTTACCACTTAAACTGTAAGTAAATTACACATTAAAATTCCAGCCATATTCAATTAAAAATATAAGTTTGGTGAAATCGTGACCATAATCACAAAGAGACCAGTAACTCTCAATGGTTTCATATCTGAATTAAGACATGTATTACTTTTGGAGCTTTGTGATCTTGAGAAAGTTACATTATTTATGTCCCTTTATCAATAAACAAAAAGAGTTGGACTAAATATTTTCTATGGTCCCTAATAAATGTAAAATGTCTACAAATTTACTTCTCTCTGGAAACTAATCATACCTTTATTTGAATAACCCCTGACCCTACATCCTGTACCCTCTTCTCTTAAAGACTATTACCTCAGCTGGGCGCGGTGGCTCACGCCTGTAATCCCAGCTCTTTGGGAGGCCAAGGAGGGCAGATCACGAAGTCAGGAGTTCGAGACCAGCCTGGCCAACATGGTGAAACCCCGTCTCTACTAAAATGGTGAAACCCCGTCTCTACTAAAAATACAAAAAAAAAATTAGCTGGGCGTAGTGGCACACGCCTGTAATCCTAGCAACTCAGGGGCCTAAGGCAGGAGAACTGCTTGAACCCAGGAGGCGGAGGTTGCAATGGGCTGAGATCACGCCACTGCACTCCAGCGTGGGCGACAGAGTGAGACTCCATCTCAGAAAAAAAAAAAAAAAAAAGACTATTACCTCAAATATGTACATGCATAAGATTCTTGGTTGAACACAGGCTATTAGAATGAGAAGCTTGTCTTGAGATGCTCCTGTAACACCAGCCCAGGAGCCTTACTTCCCCAGGCAAAGCAGAAAAGGGGCCAGAAACTCACCTGCAGCAGGCCCTTTATATTTGAAATCTTTCCTGGGTTTCTGCAAGCCCTCCAGACAGCTGATATTTCTAGGGCAATTATTCTCCTCTTCTGTCATGCTCATTCATTTTTGTTTCAATAAGTACCAAACATTTTCAAAGAAAAAGATAAAATTTAACCAGCACCTATAACTTCTGCCTCAGTGGGCAAATCACTTCTTTACTAAGATCTCACCAAGTGCTTTCACAGGTCATTTCTCTCTGAAGTTAAAGGTCAAAGAATAAAACATCCATCTCATAGTATAAAGTAATGGTTTCATTGAGCTTTCATGTTCACCTTCACTCCATGACTTGTAGACCGTCATTGTATCTTGAGACACAAGCATTTCATCAATAAGGAGAGTGACAGAAAACACCTCAACTGCACAGCAGAATCACTCTTTAAAAGGCTAAAGGGTCCCTCCTCAGATACAGCCTCCAGCCACTGGAACTTCTATTTAGATTCACAGATAGTTAACCCCCAGAAGTAATCATAGAATTATTAAATATCCACTCCTCTGTTCTTGGTCTGATGGTTTTAACTGTCTCCTGTCTTCAGTAGGACTGTCACTGTCGCAAAATGCTGTTTTTGTGGTCTTTATCTATTGTACTGATTTACTTCAGCATCTTAAGAAAAGCAATCTATTGAGAAAAAAGATCTTGAAGTGCTTAGTAAACAAAATTTCTCTCTCTTTCCTGATAACAAAATACAATGGCAAATGGAGCAAATGTTTAAAGGTATAAAATAAAATCACCAGAAGAAAAGATGAGCAAATATTTTTACAATTTTGCTTTACAAGTATGACACAAAATCCAAAAATGATAATGGAAAAGTTGATACATTTGAGTTCATAAAAATTGGAAATTCCTGTAAAGCCAAAAAAACAAAAATCCACCACATTGGGATGGGGGAACAAGGATAAGACATTTTTGGTACATGACAATAGATAATAGGGTATAAAAATCAAGTAGAAAAAAAATCCAATTTTTAAAAATACCAAAAGTAATAAACCAACTATTTAAAGAAAATAGCTAATAAAAATATAAAACATTCATTTTCATTAAAAAAAATCAAAGAACTACAAATCAATGAGTCCCTTTCCTACCCAACAAAATGAACAAACATTAAAAAGACTGATAATCACAAGCTCTGACAAGCACATAAGGAGAAATAGATTCTTTCACACTGCCTTCACAGAAGTGTAAGTTCCTTTCTAAAAGGTCATTTCAATGAATCTACCTAAATTCAAAGTGTGCATATTTACCACTCTTGCAATTCCATTTCTATTATCTGCTAGAAATAATCACATAAGCACACAAAGATATGCACACAGAGATATTTATTGTAGCAGTGTTTGGAATTGCAAAAACTTGCAAATAACCTAAATTTCTGTTTATAAATCATGGAGCAAATATAATTTGGTAAATCCAAACAACATAAAATACTATCCAATTATTTTAAACTTATGTAGACCCATCACTGGAATACTTGCTCTTAAAGCCTTCAGCCTCCATGTAAGCAGTTACCCTTACACGGAGGCCACCATGCTATGAGGAATCCCAACCATTCCGTGCACAGAGACCACATGGGGAGGCCCTAAGACTGCAAGAAGAGACAGAAAGATGCCTGGCCAGCCCCTAAATGCCCCAGCCCTTGCTGTTCCAACTCTAAGTCACCATCTAACTGCAGCTGCATGAAAGACCCTGATTCACACAGGTCCAGTCAAGCCTTTCGTGGACTCCTGACACACCAAAAACTATGAGAGATTTTTGAGTTTACAGAGCTGATGACCAGGTGCTGAACAGAGATGAATTTATCAAGTTGGTCACACAAACCAAGATGGCTCCCTGCCCACCTGAGGAAGCATGCTTGCCTTTCTCCTTCTCCCAGATCTTATGCCTAAATCATTCCCAAGGTAAAGTGCACATCTGGCCAGCTTCATTCTGAGGGAATAACCTGGTTATTTATCACTTCATTGGAGAAAGGGAGATGTCTGAAAACTAATCCACACATATAGTGCAATGGAGGCATGGGTGGTGTGATGCCCACCTCTGGGAAATGCACAGAGTTCAGGCACAAAGGTTTATGTAAGTCCACTCCTAATTTGCAGGGTGGAGAAACTGACTTTTGATTATACACACTAGTTTTATGGTTATATAATATTAAGAAATCTGTAAGGAAAAAAAAAAACAAGTCAAGAGAACCTAAAAGCCTGGAACATCCTGTAGGGCCAGAAAGTAAGGAAGTGCTAAACACTTACAAACACACACACGTCAAAGGGTCACAGAAATTAACTGCCAAGTGGCCATGGCTGGAACAAGTTAAGCAAAAACATGAAAAACAGAGTACTGGGTTATAATTCAAAGTATAAAATAGACATTAATGACTCCATACTGAAAAAGACTGAATAAATAAATATAAGGGGGAGAACAAATTTCCAATTCAGAAGAATTCCAAATAATTTATGCAGATACTCCACCATCAAGGAGGTGGAATGTAACTCTCTACCAAAGGTACAGTATGGAAAGGGACAAAAAAGAGTATCTTTACAGCAAAGAAACCTGAAAAAGACTACCTCAGCCGGGTAGTCAAGGTTAACATCATCAATGACAAGACCTATTAATAGCATTAATAGCAGATACTCTTGAAATGATGAGTTAAGAATGGCACTTTACCATCTGTCATGTGCTTCCCAAAAATACGTCAGTCAAGTATAATCATGAGAAAAACATTAGACAAATCCCAGTTGAAGGACATTCCACAAAATACATGACTCATACTCTTTAAAACTGTCAAGGTCATCAAAAACAAGGAAAGTCTGAGACGCTTCGCCAAGAAAAGCCTAAGGAGGCCTGACAACTCAGTGTAATGTGGTATTCCTGGATGGGGTACTGGAACAAAAAAACAAAAAAAGACATTAGGGAAAAAACAAGTAATTCTGAATAAAGTATGGACTTTAGTTAATAATCATGTATCACTGTTGATTCATGAGCTGTAACAAATGGACCTTACTAATGTAAGATGTTAATGACAGAGGAATTGGGCATGGAGTATATGGAACTCTGCACAAGCTTCACAGCTTTTCTGTAAATCTAGAACTATTCTCAAACAGTATGTTTATTGAAAGGAAAAAGAAAAAAGAGAAAACAGAAACAGGCATGAATCCATATTATTCTACCAAAAAAATTCCATTTCATTTTTAAAATTTTTTGATCTATTTTCTTTTCTTTTTTTTTTTTTTTTTTTTTTTGAGAGATGGGCTGTCACACTGTTGCCCAGGCTGGAGTGCAGTGGCATGATCTTGGCTCACTGCAACCTCCACCTCCCAGGCTCAAGTGATCCTCCCATCTCAGCCTCTCGAGTAGCTGGGACTACAGGTACATGCCACTATGCCCAGCTAATTTTCCGTATTTTTGGTAGAGACAGTGGTTTCATCATGTTGCCACGGCTGGTCTTGAACTCCTGAGCTCAAGCAATCCACCCACCTCGGCCTTCCAGAATGCTGGGATTACAGGCGTGAGCCACCCAGCCTGGCCCTATTTTTTTTATTATTGTTTTAAATGCATTTACACACTCAAACCCATATACATATATAACTGAGAAATGATTCTATATACAATTTTTGTTTCATCTTTTTGCATGTAATACTATTTTGTAAACATTTTCTTATCTTATCAATAAATCTTTTAAAATATACATATTTTAATTTAGGTAGATCAACAGGCTGGGACATGGAAATATGTAAATCATAAACAGAATTAAGTTAAAAAGGCAAACTGAACTTTCACTTTTTACATTTCATCAATGTATGATTTTTTTAAATCAACAATGTGCAGACAGTGCTTTCACATCCTTTCCCTGCCTGTGATGGGCACTGTGGTCAGGTGCCTGGACTCCCCTTCAGAGATAAAGGCACCACTGCTCCTCCAGCTGCTGGGAGTGGTCACCTATAGGGAGTGTCTCAGCTAAAGACAGCCGCTTTGCCCAAAGTCTCTCCTCCTTCCTGGGGCAGCTTGCCCCCTCCTGGACCACTCTAGAGGGTCTCCCACTAGTTTAAGAAGGTCCGTAGAGTGGGCATAGCCTCCAATGAGCATCACATCCACTGAGCATTGCAGCTCACCTTCACCCTCTGCACAGCCCTACTTTCTTGCGTTGCCTTCCACAGGTGCACAGCCTCCAAAGAGCATCACACCCAATGAGCACTGCAGCTCACAGTCATCCTCTGTATGACCCCAATTCCTTGTCTTGCCTTCCACAGGTGCTGATCTCAAGAACATACTCTAATGAAATCCCAGGCATGCTCATTTCCATCTAATAGTCTGTTTCCCAAGAAACCCAAGTTGTGTTACTGCCTTTTCTTTTGATCCGCCAACTCAGAGAAGTAACTTTGACTACTACACTTCCCAGACTCCCAGACTCCAAGCATCAGACCAGGAGAGGCCAACAGGAAAGAGAACATTGGAGGGTGGGAGGAAAGGAGAAATCAGAATGTATCTACCTTGTCCTCCCTGCTCCGGGTGGGACCCCTGCAGTGGCTGCATCTGCCCAGGGTCCCAGCTGCTACAGCGAAGCCCTAGCTCCCAAGCTCTGGTTTCATCACCTTTTTCTTTTGCCCTTCCTGCTCTCCAGGTGGTAGCGGCTTCCTTCTGTTACTCTTCTCAGGGTTGCCTAAGGGTCCTACCATTCCCTGTTTGACCGTTAGCTCTTCTAACACTTTTGGTATTTGTTTCCTATATTAAATTATTTTGATTAAGTTACTGAGTATGAGCTTTGTTTTTCTAATTGGACTCAAACAGTAAATAATCAGACCAAGACAGATAAATACATGGATGGATGGATAGATAGACAGACAGACATCCCAAGGCACAATCTAAACTAAATTTAATATAGGCAAAGAACTCTCCATTTTGAGGGTTATCTTGTTTTCTAATTCTCAAATCCCTTTGATGCAAAAACATATTTTAATTAGATCTTTCTTCAGTTGGTTTAAAAAAAGAAAAGAAAAATTGTCCCCCAATCCTGAAAATAGTTGGTCTCTTTTGCAGCAACTATCAAGAAAGATATGTCGTTAAATAAAAGTAGTATTAAATTACTTTAGAAAAGAATTGTAAAGTTTAGTTCAGCTCATAAGATAGGAAAGGGAGGAAAGCAGTTTTATTAATGGTGCAGAACAGCTCTTTCTGCCCTCAGGCAGAGGACCCAACAGATGGACTGCAAGGAAAAGCCTCATGAATCTTATCCAAAAAACATAGTTTTTCCTGCCTAGGCAAGAATCTTGCCTATGCAGATAGTGGGTCAGAGATGAAAAACAAAGGGTGGAAAGAACATAATGTGCAGTTAAGTTTCTGTAATTTATTTGCTGTTTTTTTCTGAAATAATTTTTGGAACATACTCATTCGGGCACCTTGTGTTTATCCTTGAAAGATGGGCTCAGTAGAAACAAACAAAAAGACAACTAAACAGAGGATTTCTAGTAATTCTTCCTGTGGACAGGAAATGGGAGATATAAACCACCACTTAATTTCTGTAAAGGCCTAGTATTTTATTCAATCACAATCACAGTGACAACTTAAAGACAGAATTTTAAAATTGGTAATGGAGGGGAATGTGTGGGCCTGGGGCCCGGGACTGGAGTCACACAGGGCTCCGGTTTGTTTTCCAGCTGCCTGCTGGACCTCTCTACCTGGATGGCCCACAGGTACTGAAACCCCCGTGTTTTCAATACCACACTCATTAGCCTCATCCATCATTGACCCTGTGGCCAAAGACAGGAAATTTTTCAATTTGAGACTAATTGCAGGGTTCCAGTTGGCCAGCATTCATAGGAATGAAGACAAACACAGAGATGGTATGTCTAAGAAACTTCAAAAGGTATAGATCACCTGATTGAAGCATTTCTGATTTATTTAATATTTTTTCATTATATTTCTGTCCTCCTACAAGGGAAAGTCATGATTACACTAACCGAGCTAAAATGTTTACTAGCAGACACCCAGTCATCTTATCACATCTTAAAATCATGGTAGGATGTCTTCTGGTATTACATCATGCTGATCATGTGGACATGCTGGCTGGAGCTCTCCAGCTGACACAGAGCAGGGTTCTGTGCTGTCTTCTTACAAAGTGGAATTTGACAATCATTGCACCATGCCTTGGAACATCCTGAAAGCCAGCATAAACACATCCTCTAATCCCGGGACATCAGTTTCCGATCCCACTCGGAATCCAGAACGACCTCCACTGACAGCAGGACTCCTACATCAACGCTGTCTGTTACGAGAAACAGCTCCATTGGTTTGCAACGTTCTTCCCCTACCTGGTGCTCTTGCACACACTGTTCTTTGCAGCCTGCAGCAACTTATGGCTTCACTACCCCAGGTACCAGCTCCAAGCTTGAGCATTTTGTGGCCATCCTTTATAAGTGCTTCGATTCTCCACGGACCACCTGCACCCTGTCAGAAACAGTGGCCGAGCAGTCAGTGAGGCCTCTGAAACTCTCCGAGTCCAAGATTTTGCTTTCGTCCTCAGGGTGTTCAACTGACATAGATTCCAGAAAGCAGTCATTGCCCCACCTGCAGCGGGCTTTGGAGTCAGCTGGTATAGAAAGCCCAACTTCCAGTGGCCTGGACAAGAAGGAGGGGCAAGAGGCCACAGCCATCTTTGAAAAAGTGAGAAGATTCCGCATGCACGTAGAGCAGAAGGACATCATTTATAGTGTGTATCTGAAGCAGATAATAGTCAAAGTCATTTTGTGCTCATCATAACTTATGTTCCATATTTTTTAACCTACATCACTCTTTAAATTGACTGTTCAGTTGACATGTAGGCTTTTACAGGATATAAGCCTACCAGTGTGTCTATTCCTTCGCAGAAATCTTGAAGTTTCTGGCTTCATTTTATACCATTTTGGATGTACTCTACAGTCTGACCTCCTCCTACAGGCTGTGGTGGATGCTGAGGAGATCCATGAAGCAATATTCCTTTGAGGTGTTAAGAGAAAAAAGCAACTATAGTGACATCCCTGATGTCAAGAATGACTTTGCCTTCATCCTTCATCTGGCTAATCAGTATGATCCTTTTTATTCCAGACGCTTCTCCATATTCCTATCAGAGGTCAGTGAGAACAAACTGAAACAGATCAACCTCAGTAATGAATGGACAGTTGAGAAACTGAAAAACATTAGCTTGTGGAAAATGTCCAAGACAAGATAGAACTGCATCTTTTTATGCTCAACAGTCTTCCAGACAAATGTCTTTGAGTTCACCGAAATGGAGGTGCTAAGCCTGGAGCAGACCCTGGAGGTGAAGCTGCCGTCTGCCGTCTCACAGCTGGTCAACCTCAAAGATGTGGACCATTCATCTCTGGTAGTAGACCATCCTGCACTGGCTTTTTGGAGCAGAATTTTAAAATCCTCTGCCTGAAGCATCCTGAAATGGGAAAAATCCCATGCTGGGTATTTCACCTGAAGAATCTGAAGGAACCTTATCTTTCCCCTATGTGAGAAACTTTTCTGCCCCACACAGGGAGGCTGTGTTCTCCCTCAACAGTTCAGTACTGTGCAGTTAGACGGCTTTCAGGACTTAAAATATCCAAGGACCCTCTACTTGCAGAGTAGCCTCTCCCAGATCCCACAAGTCATTGCAGACCTCTTGCCTTCACTGAAGAATTGTCCCTTGATAATGAGGGAAGCAAACTGGCTGTGCTGAACAACTTGAAAATGATGGTCAATAAGAAAAGCCTAGAACTGATCAGCTGTGACCTGGAATGCATTCCATACTCCATTTTCAGCCTGAATAATTTGCATGAGTTAGACCTAAAGGAAAATAACCTTAAAACTGTGGAAGAGATCATTGGCTGTCAGCATCTTCAGAATCTTTCCTGCTTAAACTTATGGCACAATAACATTACTTACATTCCTGGATAAACTGGGGCATTATCTAACCTAGAGCAGCTCTTTTGGGGTCCTATTAATATTGAGAATCTGCCCTAGCAGCTTTTCCTATGCAGCAAACTACATTATTTGAATCTAAGCTATAACCACTTGACCTTCATTCCAGAAGAAATCCAGTATCTGAGTAATTTGCAGTACTGTGCTGTAACCAACAACAACAGTGAGATGCTACCAGATGGGCTGTTTCAGTGCAAAAAGCTGCAATGTTTACCTTTGGGGAAAAGTAGCTTGATGAATTTGTCCCCTCATGTGGGTCAGCTGTCAAACCTTACTCATCTGGAGTTCATTGGAAATTACCTGGAAACACTTCCTCCTGAACTGGAAGGATATCAGTCCCTAAAGCAGAGCTGTCTGATTGTTGAAGAGAATTTGCTCAATACTCTTCCTCTTCCTGTAACAGAATATTTACAGACGTGCTTAGACAAATGTTGACCTAATGAAGAGACTCATGTTTCAAAATCATTTTTGAAAGTATGCTCCAGGGCTTTAAATAAGAAGTAAAATTTTCTAAGTTAATAAAGATGAAAAATGGGTGACTATTATGAAAAAAATTAGTAATTAATATATGAGCTTATAATTAGAAAGGGAACACAATTTTAGAAATGTGTCACCTCTTCATGTATATATTTAGGCTTAAATCAACTTAATCATATTCAATAATCATTTGGATAAGGAATCTTAAAATAATATTTATAAGAACGTTGATATCTTAACTCTTTTAATTTGTCTTCTAGTAAATGTTTCTTGAACAAGTACTATGTACATTTTCATCATTGTTAATTGGAGAACTATCAAGGTATTTTTTAAAAACTATAATATCACAATTTTTACATGCTATCCAAGTGAAGTTTTTAAGATGCTAAAAATGTTCCACAGATCTGTACTGTCAATATGAAAGTGACTAGCCGTGCGCCATTGCATAGCACTACGGATGTGGCAAGAGTGATTGAGGAAATAAACTTTTTGCTTCATTAAAGTTTAATTAGATGAAATTTTAATTTAAATAGCCACATGTAGCTAGTGGTTATCATCCTGGAGTGAACACATCTACGGACTCAAAATCTAGCAGGAATAAAAAAAGTTACGAAGTGGTCAATTAACAACAACAACAACAAAAAGACAGTGTGCTCTTCTATTTTCAGGCTCCCTTTGATTTGTTAGTGTCACTAAAGCTATTATAGTTTTCAGGGTCCCGTTGATTTGTTTGTGCCACTAAAGCTATTATAAAATGATTTTTCCAAAAGTAAATCAGAACTTGTCACTAAGAACAAAAATAAAAAAGAAACCAAACAGAAAAATATTTCAGTGATTTCCAATTGCTTTCAATTGCTTTTGTTTGTTTGTTTTTTTTTTGAGACACAGTCTCGCTCTGTCACCCAGGCTGGAGTGCAGTGGCGCCATCTCAGCTCACTGCAACCTCCACCTCCCGGGTTCAAGCAATTCTGGTGCCTCAGCCTCCCGAGTAGCTGGGATTACAGGTGTGTGCCACGACAACAGGCTAATTTTTGTATTTTTGGTAGACATGGGGTTTCACCATGTTGCCCAGGCTGGTCTTGAACTCTTGGCTCAAGTGATCTGCCGGCCTCAGCCTCCCAAAGTGCTGGGATTACAGGCGTGAGCCACTGCACCCGGCCTCCAATTGCTCTTAAAACAAAAACCGGCTGGGCACGGTGGCTCATACTTGTAATCCCAGCACTTTGGGAGGCCGAGGTGGGTGAATCATGAGGTCTGGAGTTTGAGACCAGCCTGGCCAACACAGTGAAACCCCGTCTCTACTAAAAATACAAAAAGTTAGCTGGGCATGGTGACGAGCACCTATAATCCCAGCTACTCGGGAGGCTGAGGCAGGAGAATCGCTTGAACCTGGGAGGCAGAGGTTGCAGTGAGCCGAGATGGCGCCACTGCACTACAGCCTGGATGACAGAGAGAGACTCCGTCTCAAACAACAACAACAACAACAACAACAACAAATCCTGCCTGGAGATGGCTCTGGCAACATTTCCCACCTCATCCCCATTACACTCCACTCAGCGCTGCACACCAGCCATCCTGGCCTCCTCCAAGCTCTGGGATGGGCCGTGTTGTCTCCTCTCCCAGGGCCTTTCCCCTGCTGCTGCCTTTTCTCATAATCCTCTTCTGCTCGCCTGTCACTTCCTAAGAAATGCCTTCTCAGACCTCCTGGACAAGGCTAATTCCCCCTCGCTATGTACACAGCTTCTGGGCTGCACTTATTTCAGCTGCAACTTGAGATAATCTTGTATAATTCTTCGATAAATATCTGGTCCCTTCAGATAAAACCTAAAAAACAGACAGTAAGTAAACTTTCCCTTTGACCATTTAGCCCCCAGCCTCTTGCACCAGACTGCCCACACAGTAAAAACTCTACATATTTGTTAAATAAGTTACAAACCATAGCAATAACAATATTGAACCCCGATCTACCATCTAGTATCAGGCACTCTTCTCATTAGTTTATAAATATGAATCCACCTAACCCTCAAAACAAACCTGTGAGGTACTACTACTATTATCCCCATTTAATAGGCAAGGAAGCTATGACACAGAGAAGTTAAGGGACCTGCCCAAAGACCCAAAAGCAATTATTGGCAGAGATGCGATTTACACTCCAGCACTCTGGCTCCAGGGTCTGGCCTTACTCACTAAGCTCTATGGCCTCAACAGGATCCAGTAGCAATTGAGTGGTTCTGGGACAGGGAGATGGGGCCAAAGAGCATCTAAAGAATGTTTCATTTGAGAGGACACATTGAGTTGGGTCTTGGTGGGTGCCTGATGTTGGGTGAGAAAAGGAGAGGTTAAAAAATCACGGTGGGGTAGAAAACAGATATAATCTGTACAAAGTGTATTTGGAGAACTGTACAAGGCTGAGCTGAATGTCATAGAAGGCGTGCTTCAGAGGTGTGGAATGCTGAAGAGAGATATGCATCTTCAGTCCTTTTTTGACTCTCTAAATGGGCAAAGTGCCATCACAGCAGCAGTTGACTGAAACATATCTGAGCCCTACAATCTCCTTAATACAAAGTATGCACATAATATTGCATGTACTATACATCATATAGGATACTGAGTCCCACTGAGGTATGGGAGCTAGGCCAGACACTCCCAAGCCAACAGATTTGCTCCCTCCTACCTCACAGAACTGTACCCATTAAAGGAGATAAGTCTTTAGCATAGGGCCGGACAAATAGTAAACACAAATAGATATGTATGTATTTAACAAACACACATAGCACTTACTACCAGCAAGGGTCTACTCTAAGTGGTTGACAAATATTAACTCATAAATGACTGAACACATATGTCACAGACTCAGCACTGCTACGAATGGATGAAACTATTCATGGTGAGCCCTACATTGATTAACGTCTACTGTTATCCCGCGTGTGGGAAATAAAAACTAGTCTCGGCTTAGGAGTATATATTTTCTCATTGTGTGCTGTGGCAGTCCCAGAAAAATTCTGAGCAGAAACATAATGCAGAGAAGCTATTATTTTAGAAAAACTAGTAATTTAACCATGAAAAAGAGACATAAGCAATAGAGATGGAGCTGAGGAATGAATAAAACAGAAAACAAACATGTACCAAAAAGCTAGAAATTCTTGGGGACTGAGAATGTCTAAAGTATGCATAGAAATAGTTTCAAAGATTACCTACTGAATTGAGGATACTAAAATAAAAGTCTCAAAATCCTACTTATGAAAAGTACATTAGAAAGCTGTCTATCAATGGTAAACTTTCATAATGGAATATAAATGAAAAAAGGCAACAGAATAATATGCACAAAGTGATCTCATCTTTGTTTTTTTTTTTTTAAAAGTGATATGTACACATAGAAAAGTCCTGGAGGGGAAAAAACCCAAAAGCAATTTTCATTTTCTTCTTTATACTTTTTTATATTTTCTGAATTTTTTGCAATAGATAGTATTTTTATAGCAATGGGGAAAATATTGTAAGCTCTCAAAACAAATATTTTGGAACTAGAAGGAACCCATCTAATCCAACTCCTCATATTACGGTTAAGGAAACTGAAAGTCAAAGAAAGAAAGTAATTGTTCAAAGGTCACATAGCAAATGATTCATGTGATTCCCGTTTAGACCCTTTACATGAACCCTGTCTCTGAAGACCTTTGCTTGAATCATTCCATAATACTCAATATTCTTTTTCTTTGAAAGTTTCTAAGAGATAACAAATGTATAAATACTTATATATGTCAATATTCTTCACATTTACCTCCTTTGTGCTGATTAGTAAGGTATTCAAATAAATCGTGTCCAAGTAGAGTTGTTTCCTGCTTATTTCCCCGACTAATCCAAAAGTAGATAAGACCAACAGAGTCTACTCATAATGCTCCTAAACCACACTGTTCCCACATGAATATTTCATTCACCTGTTTCCTAGTATCCCAGAGATTATAATCGAAATGGTGCTGGGTGGCAGTTTATAGGAAGCTAGTGTGTTTGGATGATGAAGTATTATGGAATAAACTCTGGGCCAAGGACATTTAACCTGATTTTACATCACCTGAAAAAGCGTTGGTATAAGATTCCTTTGTTTTGGTTTTGTGTCAAGTATACTGTTGATTGTTGAGAGGGGACTGCAGTGGAAACTTGGAATTGGATAGTTCCATTGATCGTGCGATGGAAAGCACCATCTACATGATATTTTGATAGATGGATGGCTGAATTGGAAAAACATCTGAATGTTATCAGGTAACAGCAAAGACAGAAGATTGGCAACGCTAAGGGCAATAAAGAGCAATTAAAGGACAAGCCAGTGCAGAGTAAAAGAAGGCAATTAAATTATAAGCAACACACGAGAGCACAGGCAGGTTCCTGAAAGACAGAGATGGTATATGCAAAGGGAGGAGACTGTGCCATGTTCTGTATGTGCAAGAGCAATGGGGCTACTTGTATCCATGTGCCACTGAGGTTCATGGAAGGAAAGGGGCCAAATGCAACCAGCGGTAGCACCAATTCAACCTAATGCAACCACAGTTGAGGTCATGGAGGCCCATTGAGTTTTTTCATTTTGTTTTAGGTTTCTAATCACAACATCATGTATGAAGTCAGTGGCACAGCGAGGGTTAATTAGAATTCTCAGCTACAGAAATTCCAGATGTGGTGCCTTCTGTGCTGTCTCATAGCCTTATGGAGTGCTGATATTCAAACTTAATTGTTCAGACAAACCTCTGAGGATCTATGAAAATGCAGATCTTGGTTTAGTAGGTCTGGGGTGGGGCCCAAGATTCTGCATTTCTTACAAATTCTAAGAGGATAATGCTGATATGTCAGTCTGCAGACCACACTTTGGGTAGTTAAGGATGTAAAGTGCCTTCTGAGTAAGGTAAAATAAAAAATTCTCAGTCACATTGAAGCTTATCAACAATAACAAGAAAAAACCACTTATTCAGGGCATATTATGCACCATTTTGTACACATTATATAATTTACTTCTCCTAACACACTCTAATATGATTTTGTCTCTATGCTACAGTTGTGGTACTATTTAGGAAACTTTTTTGTCTGTATTCAAACAGCTAGTAACCGTAGCAGGATTTAAACCTGATTTTGTCTGACTCCAAAACTATTCACCAATAAACTACAGAGATGAGATTAACAGAATTATTGATTTTGTGATCTTGGAAAGTCTCCAAACTTTCTCTGAGCCATGATTTTTTCATCTCTAACATGGGGATGGATAACAGCAGAGCTGTGGTTTGGACTAATGAGGTAGGAGATGTAGAAGTATTTTGAAATTTATAAAAGAATGTAAGGATACAATCATTGTAACTAGGTTAATTTTCACTCTCCTCTCCCTAGTTCTTGAGAGTTTGTTTGGAGGTTCTAGCAGGGGAGTGCACCTATTCATATACCCTTGACCAAAGACTGGTTCTCATCTATGGGAGATGGTCATCTTCTTCAACCGAGCGCACATCTTCGGGAGGGACACACGTGGAGTAGTGAGGGAGGAAGGGGACACCCGCCTAGCCAGCCAGATAGCCAAATCAGCCCTGGCGATCAATGGGGTGATAGAAGTCACAGCCAGATCGCCCTCACATCCCCTAGTTCTGAAAAATATTACTGAAAATATTACTGGATGTACACCTATTTCCTAAATATTTGTAAATATATTCACGAAATTTTTCTTATCAGGATCCCATTATACTTCTAAAAGTTACTAACAACCCTAAGATGCCTTTTCAGATGATTATGGACATTCTTCTTTAAAACCACACCAAAATTCTAAAAGTAGTAATCTCTTAAACTATGACCAGTCGCTCCGAAGCAGGGAAGGGGGGCAAGATGGTTTACATCGCAAATGGACAAGTGCTGGACAGCTGGAGTCAGTCTCCATGGAGATTATCTTTGATAACAGATTTCTTATGGGGAACAGCTGAGTTTGTGGTTTTGCTTTTCAAAACTCTGCTTCAGCAAGATGCGAAAAAAAAAAAAAAGAAGCTATGGAAACTCATCTGATTCCAGATATGATGATGGAAGAGGGCCACTGGGAAACTCTCCCCAGAGAATTGGTCGAATCAATCATTTGCGTGGCCCCAGTCCTCCTCCAATGGCTGGTGGATGAGGAAGGTAAATGTCTGCTCTATGAAGCAGACAACTGGACATGCATATTCATAGCAGAAAGAAACCATCAAGAAGTGGGGGGCTGGCCATGCTGGAGCAGTAGACAAATGTGTGTGTCTAAATAGGGACTGCTCTGTGTTCTCACAGATGAATGAGGTAATGCTGGGAATTCCCTCTGCAGGGAACTGGCTGACTGACATGCAGTTCCACAAATGCACGTTTGTCTCATTATCTTTTTTGTATAGTTTATTAAAGTATTAATATAGTTTCAATAAGTAAGTATTTTTAGGTTGCAAAATGAACTCATCTTTATATTAAATTCACAAAAAAACTGAATCTGAAGAATATAACTAAAAGGCTGTGTATTTAACATTTAGTGTCACCTTTTCAACTTCTGAAATACTGTTCATTGGTAATTTGTTCTCATTTATAAATCACATTGTATTCATTTCGATAGAATGCATATATCTGTGCTCTTGAATTAATTTTTATCTTATATTTGTCTTTTGAAAGAAGTAAATTATGGCATAAAAATGGAAAAGGTATTACTGAACTTTACATACTGTTACATTAAAATCCATTAGTCTATCTTGCACTTTGAATGGAAATTATACCAATGCATAATTTTGTAACATCATCCACTCATCCTTTGGAAAATATTGGTTCACTAAGTTCTATCATTCTTCCAAATGTTAACGCATGTCATTAAACAACATGAAAAAAAACCACATTCCTCGCTATCTTCATCAATTTTGTGTAAGGATCAGGAAGCTGTTACACTCAAATGGCAAATACAAGTTTTTCAAAATTCTAATTTTTGCTTGGAAGCTCAGATTTTATCATAGACAGCTGATAGCTTCATAGGTTTTCCTTGAAGGGACAAGCTAACATCACTCATTTTTGAGAAAATATGTCAAATAAATAAGTCTAAATAAAAAGCTTGTCAGTTCTTTCAAATAAAAATGGTGTTCTTTGAAAAAAAATTAGTTCAGCTTGCAACTTAAACAACCGCACAGCTGCTTTTCCTCTAGAAAACAGTACTTCAGTATGCAGCAGATATGCTACATGCATACTTCCAATTGTGTCACATAGAATATCAAAAAGACAGGTAATCTAGGTTTCAGATTATTAAATCTGCTTCATCAAGGACATTTTTTTTTTTTTTGAGACAGAGTCTCGCTGTGTCACCCAGGCTGGAGTGCAGTGGCACGATCTCGGCTCACTGCAACCTCCGCCTCCTGGGTCCATGCCATTCTCCTGCCTCAGCCTCCCAAGGAGCTGGGACTACAGGCGCCCACCACCATGCCCGGCTAATTTTTTCTGTATTTTTAGTAGAGACGGCATTTCACCGTGTTAGCCAGGATGGTCTCGATCTCCTGACCTCGTGATCCACCCGCCTCGGCCTCCCAAAGTGCAAGGATTACAAATGTGAGCCACCGCGACCAGCCTCATCAAGGACATTTTTATTGCTTCATCTAAGCAATAAAACATCTAAGGTGTTCTTTTTAGTGAAATGGCTTTTTTTTTATTGCAAGTGCATGACTACTTGTACAATTGGTGTCATTGCAATGACGTCTGCTAAGGTGCCATCACTCCTTTAATACCACGGTGTAAAAGTCAACACAGTGAAAGGGCAAATAATGTCTTAATCTACTGAGTTTCTTTTCAATTCTCTCTCTCTAACCATAAGAGAGCATCAAGATCCCCCAGATGCTTGCTAACGTCAAAAAAAGCTTTCTAAGCAGGAGGGGGATCGGGAAACACATCTTTAGGAACAAGCTAGTTTCTCAAAAATATTCACCTGAAAACCAAGATAGTGATTTTTTTTTAAGACTCTCAAATCACACCTGTTATAGGATGTTTGCCAGCTAAGTCTGTGCAAAGTCCTGAAATACGGTGAGAAAATGGTCAATCCATAAATGAGAAACACTTGTGACAATTCGCTGTGACAATTTACTTCCTCCAAAATGATTTTCTTATGCATATTATACATATATATAAAATATGGAGATATGTACATACACACGTGTGTGTGTGTGTGTGTGTGTGTGTGTGTGTATGGAGAGAGAGAAAGAAAGAGAGACAGAGAGAGATTGAGAGAGAGAGAGAGATAGACATGGGGTTTCATTATATTGCCCAGGCTGATCTTAAATTATGGCCTCAAGTGATTCTCCTGCCTCGGTCTCCTTTAGAGGCATGAGCCACCACACATCCCAAAATCACTTTCTATCAAAACTCTCTATTTTTCTATTCTACTACATTTCAAAATAAGCCAAGAAGGAAACTCAAACTAAGAAGAAAAGCACAATTTCCCAAAAGTATACCTACTTTGGAAGCTCCCAGAAACAGCTGATTGTTGACTTCACACTAATAAAGTGCACTAATTTTGGCTTCCACCCAGGAAAATCTCATCACTGAACTACCAAAGACACATATATATCTCAATATAGAGGCAAGCTTTAGCATCACCACACCAGAAATTTCTTAGGTTCTAATTACACATTGTTATACTGAAGCAGGCAAAGGAGAGTTGGAAACCCAACAGCAGGCCAAGCTTGATGAATAGGATATAACATTTAGCAAATGAATGGGATGGCATTAGCTATTAGTCCGTGATAAAAATCTGTAGATAAAAGTCCTTCCAGTTACCATCATAGTCTATTATGTACTAATGGTGTGGCTTTTGCCTATAAATTTAGCCCATTGTTGCTAGAAGTAGAGTAAATCAACCACCTACATCTGAATAACTTGAGGTGCTTGTTAAAAAGTGAGGATTCTTTGGGTCCATTCCAAATCTATTAAATCATAATCACTGAGATTGGAGCCTAGGAATCTCTGTCTTTAACACTTCCCAGGTGGTTTTTATGCACAATAATGTCTGCATGGAAACCTGACTGAATCCCTGACTGAGCCTCAGATTCCTTATCTGTAAAGCAGAATTGACTGTCATCATACTTTCCTATTTCACAGTTGTTGAGTATTGAGGATCAATCAAAAATATATGGGAAATGCTTTTTAAAGCTGCCAAGTGCTACAAAAATGATTATAACCATCTAAACTTCTACCACCTACACTTCTACCAACACCTCTTCTAAAAACTAAAAGTAAAAAAAGGTAAAAATAATTTTTCAAAGACACTACAGATATCTTAATTCTTGCAACTAAATCTCAGATAACTAGAATACTCAGAAAATAGTCTTCCCGTTAATATTTAACTGAACATTCTGGTCACTCTTTTGAAAAACCTTAAATGTGTTCCTACATTGTCTTTCCTTGGTAAATGCATAACTTAGTTTTTATCCGATGACAAGGGATTTTCGAGCTGGGTCAGAATTCTGAGTATCAGGTTTTGTTGCACAAGATTTATGCTTAGAAGAGTAATCTATGTTCGGCCCTGAGCTCATTTGCTAAAAGGTTTCTTGTTTATTTTTTCTTGTTTGGGGGGTATTTTATGGTTGATGGAGGCATGCTTATTTTAACCAAAAGCAGATCTCTAATTACAAGTTGTATTCCAAATGCTTATTTGTTCCTAAGTTGTCTGGAACTTAAATGCCTCTCCCCATAGTAAGAAAAAAAAAGAAGTTATAAATCATGATAAAGTTCTCTGGCTTGTACAAAAAGGCCACAATATAGATGAAATACATTTGCTGTATCTTAAATGTCACACAAATATTTTACAATGGTAGTCATCAAACTTGAGAGCAAAATTGAATATGAAACTATTTTCATTTACCTTTAACATTGCTACTTAAGATAAAAAGAGTCAGCTGGATGAAGATGAAAAGCTGATACAGCCGGGCGTGGTGGCTCACGCCTGTAATCCCAGCACTTTGGGAGGCCGAGGCGGGCAGATCACTTGAGGTCAGGAGTTCGAGACCAGCCTGGCCAACATGGCAAAACCCTGTCTCTACTAAAAATACAAAAAAAAAAAAAAAAAAAAATTAGCCAGGTGTGGTGGTGTGCGCCTGTAATCCCAGCTACTCAGGAGGCTAAGGCAGGATAATCACTTGAACCCGGGAGGCAGACAGAGGTTGCAGTGAGCCAAGTTCACTCCACTGCACTTCAGCCTGCACTACAAAGTGAAACTCCGTTTCAAAAAAAAAAAAAAGGCTGATAGATAAAAATTTCTGTAAATGCTCTAGAAAGGTTAATGGCCCCCAGTTCTTTATTATACAGAACACATAAGGTCTCTCAATGTGACCACCAAGGATTTTCTTCAGAGTCATGATTAGGATATGATGGGGGCAGGAGATGACAAAACTGAGTGTCCAAAGTTAACTAAACAAGTGAAATAGAAATTAGCAAAGTGCTTTTGAAACAGTAGCTACGTATCCCTGAGAAAGAGACAACATGGAGTGGAAACAGCTGAGCTACAAATGGTGAAAAAGAAATACCAGAACAAGATTCAAGGCAGAAGAAAAGAAGGGACAGAAAGCAATGCTGAAGAAGAGCGAAGAATCACAAAGACTGAATTCAGGGTGTGGCAGCAAAGTTATCAAAACCAAAGAGGCCTTGGTGTAAGTGAAGGAGGCTCTCCTTCATACATGCCGACTGCCACACTTGGAGTGTCTGTACCTGAGAGAATGTTCACTGACTAGATTTCTGATTCTGAATCCACGTTATCACAGAGGCCCCGTCTGCCTTCTTCTTAGGCACCTTCACCTTAGTTGGGTACTTCTGTTCCTTCACTATCTCCTCCATCTCCCTATACCCAAATAAAATTATATCCCAGTTTTAATCTTACCCCTGAATTTATACCCAAGTGTCATCTCTATGTGGATTCCTGACCATCACAGACCCTATGGGTCCCTGCTTGTGTATTTAGTCTTCCCATCTTCCCCTTTTCCAAATCAAAGTGTGGCTCAGTCTAACAAAAAATGCAGTACATTCATTCAAGCAATTAAAAGCTGACATTGAGTGTCAGGTACTATCCTCTGCCTAATAGTAAAAACAACAGTCTTGGGTTCCTAGGAATCCTTTATGTATTTTATTAGAACATGTGAAACAAATACCATAAGGGACACAGAGAACACTTCTCTGGCCTCTTAAGATGCTCTGGTTATTCTGAAATTAAAATGTTCAACTATGGCTGGACAGATAACAAATTTTATAAACCAAAGGAGCAATGTCAACTCCAAGTCTGATTAAGAGCAGAGACTTAGCTTGAACATTCTTCCTTCCATATTCTAGAGTTAAGATAATGGATCATAAGGGAAGGAAAAGGAAGCTAATTGAATTATAATTTTTACACCCAAATCTCAAATAATGCCAGCTTCTGCCTCTTATAAAGAAGTCTTTCACAGCATATACTCAGGGCAACTTGAATCTATGCTCCTGGGTTGTATTCCTCAAACTTGGCCCAAATAAAGCTCTATAATTACATTAATTTTGCCTTGGTTTTTTTTTTCTTTAGGTCAGCAGGATTCACAGTGACTTCCCACCACCACCTGGTGTTTTTCTCTAAAATCAGTGCTTGGTACCAGCATGAACTCATTGCATTCTCCATTTTTGGAAGTCCTACCACATGTTGTGGAGATGAGGTCTCACTCTGTTGCCCAGGTAGGTCGTGAACTCTTGAGCTCAAGCAATCCTCCCACATCAGCCTCCCAAAGTTCTGGGATTTCAGGCATTAGCCTCTATGCTCCGCCAGAAATCTTATCTTGTGTGGTTGAAGCTCATTGAGATTGGATGGATCGGCATTTCCATTGTGCAAACCACACTCAGTCTTCCAGAGTGGAAGAATAAATAAATGGAATCATGAAAAGTTAATTGGCAAAGCTTACAGAAAGCTTTAACCTTCCCTGGCCTAAGGCTCTTCCATTTGCTTAACTTACATTCTACCCTGCTTGGAAAACATCAGCTTTCTCCTTTTGAAATAAGAATGGAAAGATCCATGCACCTGGATGAAGGAGACTACGAACCAGCTCTCCTGAAAAGTTGTAAACTAAAAATAAAATCCAAAGCCCTCGACCAACTGAGTGGACCCACTCTCTGCCAAGGAAACCCCAGAGAAACCTCAAAAACTGAGCTCTCAGTCAAAATAGGAAGAGAGGTCAAACGCACTTAATTCTACTCCCTCCCTTTTGGAGTTGAGGCGTAACAATTGACCAGCATTAATGTTACAATAGAAATAAGACCGCGAAAACGTCTCTGTGGCAATAAGACACCAAGTTATAAACAAGACCTTAAGGGTATGCAAGGGGAGGGTTAAGTCATGTCTGCACACCCATCAATTTTGCTACATAGCATCATGCTTAACTTACAACATCCCTTTTTTTTTTTTGAGACAGAGTCTTGCTCTGTCACCTAGGCTGGAGTGTAATGGTGCAATCTCGGCTCACTGCAACCTCCGCCTCCCAGGTTCAAGCGATTCTCCTGCCTCAGCCTCCCAAGTGGTTGGCACTACAGGCATGTACTACCATGCCCTGCTAATTTTTTTTGTATTTTTACAAAAAAAGAGGTTTCACCCTTTTTTTGAAGGGGTTTCACCATGTTGGTCATTCTGGTCTTGAACTCCTGACCTCAAATGATCCCACCTGCCTCAGCCTCCCAAAGTGCTGGGATTACAGGCATGAGCCATCACACACAGCCACAACAGCCCTTTCTGTTGATTCCAAGTTTTAGACAGAGCCTTACTCCTTTAATCAATTGCAAATTAAAGAATCTCCGAATCACCGGGCAAAGTGGCTCACGCCTATAATCATAGCACTTTGGGAGGCTGAGGTGGGTGAAATTCCTGAGCTCAGGAGTTCAAGACCAGCCTGGGCAACAAAGTGAAACCCTGTCTCTACTAAAATACAAAAAAATTAGCCAGGAGTGGTGGTGTGTGCCTGTAATCCCAGCTACTTGGGAGGCTGAGACAGAAGAATCGCTTGAACCCAGGAGCGGGAGGTTGCAGTGGGCCGAGATTGTGCTATTGCACTCTAGCCTGGGCAACAGAGCAAGACTGTCTCAAAAAAAAAATCTCTGAATATGCTGAATAAATAACCTGTAAGCCCTTGCTTTAAGATATCCCACCTTTTCATATGGAATCAATGTATACCTTTCATGTACTGATTTATGTCTTTGCCAGTAACTCCTGCCTCCCTGAAATATATAAAAACACACAGTAATCCAACTGCCTCAGGTGCACATTCTCAGGACTCCTTGAGAAAGTGTTTCCCCGAGCCACAGTCACTCATCTTGGCTCAGGATAAAGCTCTTTAAAATATTTTACAGAGTTTGGTTTTTCCATTAACAAGGTGATACTCTTCACTATTGTCAAGGCCTTATAAGTTTCTCACTGAAAATTCTAAATTAATTAAGGATTCTTTTAACAGCAAGCTCTTAGGAGACAAAAACATCAAAGATCATGGTCTCCAACCTGGAAGATTTTGTTTAATAGAAAATACCATCAAATAAAGGACTCCTAGCCACGTTAGAAGGGCCAATATCAGGCTACCCTGCCTAAGTGGACATCTTCCTCAGTGGAGATCTTCAACACTTTGTTCTTTAGACCAGGACAAGAAGTGGATTAAAATATTCATTTGGTTACCTTCAGGAATAGGAACACTTTTCATATTTGTATTTCAAGTTGTTTTGTTGATAATTGTCCTTATTTGTGTCATCCTTTTGATTCTTAAATTGATTATGCTTTGTATTTCTAGATGTCTAAAGTCTACCACAAAATTCTATAACAAAAAACTCATCATAATAGCTAGATGCTTAGAAATGACCCAACATACCTCAACTCCAGTGTAAGTGAATGACCTGAAATCCCGCTGCTCTGTCCCCTTATTTTTCAATCCAATCCCTGAATTGTTGCCTACCAATTCAGCCTTGGAACCTCACTAAGTTTTTAAGTGATAGTACTTCTGCCCATCTCATTCCCTCTGACATGGGACAAGACTATCCGGAAATGAGCCTTCCCAGCAATGTGGGACAAACTTACATCCAAAACGTTGATCATCAGTATTTTAAGAAGAGAAAGATTTTTATTAAAAGGAGGAAATGAGAAAGAAAAATTGCTCAGAGCAGTCTGAGATATGCGAACTATGCAAAATTTATCAGGCCCAGAGGGACATGAGCATGGGACTTCAGTCACATCACTGCACCCATTCCCAGGGGCAATTCTTTAAAAGCATTTTGTTCCTGACAGCTGCCTCACCCACTATCTTCATGTTCCTGGAATGTGTGATACAAAGAACAATGTATAGCCAACCAATAGCTCGTTATTGTAACATGAATGCTTGATAAACAACTTAGGAACTGCCTCTTCCTTTTTCCTTTAAAAACCCATTTGTAACTGCTGCTAATAGGAGCATCTACTCAGGGCAACTTGAATCTATGCTCCTGGGTTGCAGTCCTCAAACTTGAGCCAAACGGACTCTCTACATATATATAGATATAGATATAGATATAGATATAGATATAGATATAGATATAGATATAGATATATAGATATAGATATAGATATATGTTTTTTTAAAGAACTCTTTCACTGAAACATGAAAGTAGTCTTCAGTGACCACCACCCATACGCAAGCCCTTTACACATACACAGATACACAGATATATGTATTCATAAGTATAGCAGAAGGTCACAAACAACACAAAAAAAATGCTTTTGAGGAGCTAACTGGAGAAATGTATTGCAATGTAGTTGAGAATTACATGACTGTAAAATCACACCAAGAAACAAGAAGGATATTTAAATACATCTCCAAGTCAACACATCTCGGTGGAAGTCTACACTTCAGTTCAAAACTTCATTTACAACCAAGGAAAGGCATCTAATATTTAACATACCTACTGACACATGTAGAGAATAATACTTGTTTTTCCCTCTTGCTGTTTTCCTCAGTTTGGCTCAGTACCTAGGCACAAGCATTCCAGGGCCCAGGGCCAAAAGCCTCTAAAGCACAGCTTGGTGGCCCTCTCCTAAGATCAACCACCACAATGGGGAGAAGCCAGGGTAGGACAGAATCCTCACTCCTTCATCCACTCTCACACATCTACATCATTTTAGTTTATCTGAGAAAACTGCAGAGTAATGTAAAAATTACATTGCCACTGCAACATGATTGCCTCTGAAAGGCAAGGCAACGCAACTCTTCTATTTATCCTGCTAAATTAAAACAGTGTAGCTGAGGATCATAGTGCTGGGCCTCTCCTAATCCCAACCCCAGGTTGCAATTAGTTCAATCTGTTTCTGCAGCTTTATGAAAAGTGTGCTGAGGTTTAATCTGAAAACAAAAGGAATTCTATAATTGCAGCTCCTTTCTAGAAGACATATCCCAGAGCTCTTTGACGACAATTGTCAGGATGCTTTTGGGGCCTTTTCCATTTGGAAGCCCATTATTTGGGGAAGTTTTTGGGGGGGGGGCGGGGTTGGGGGAAAAAGGTATTGAAGTAGGGAAGGGAAAGAAGAATACGAGTTTGCACTTTCAGTTCAGTAGCTAAATAGCAATTTCAACAATAAAGGGTCTCACCGTGTCACCCAAGCTGAAGTGCAGTGGCACAATCACAGTTCACTGCAGCCTTAACTTTCCCTGGCTCAGCTGAACCTCCCATGTCAGCCTCCCAAGTAGCTGGGACATAGACGCATGCTACCATACCCAGCTAATTTTTGTATCTTTTGTAGAGATGGGTTTCATCATGTTGCCCAGGCTGGTCTCAAACTCCTGGGCTCAAGCAATGGAACCGCCTCAACTTCCCAAAGTGCTGAGATAATAGGTATGAGTCACCGCACCAGGTCTATTTGGTAACATTTGTATGTTAATGTCTCACAGTGTTCCATCAAAAGATATGAAGTAAGAATTCTTTCCAATTCAATAGATGCAAAAGACCCCAATTAATGGATAAAAAAGGTCCATAATAGTCCTACTTGTGGAAGTAAGTCCTAGGACACTTCCATGTCAAATGCCCAGAGTAGCATCATCACACAGAATGCTGTTTGACCAGTTGACTGCAGGTCTCAAAGACTGGACAGCTTATTCCAAAACTAGACCTTTGCTGATATCTGTTGTGGATGTATAAGTAAATGAGCAAGAAAAATTTAAAACCTGAATTTTGCAATTGGAAAACCTGTAAAGGTTTATAGGCATGTAGAAATGGTTTTACACAAGAGTTACACACTGATTCCATATACAATTATCGACTACCTCATCGTGTGTGAAACACCTCAAGGTATTAATACTAAACAATTTAAGTGATCAGGTTGTAAAAGCTAAGGTCTTCCATTAACAAAATTTTTAAAAGGTGACTCAAGAGACTAAGTTCTCATCAATATTGTGTTATTATAGACTCAAAACAGTGTTACAAGATGCAAAATTTTATCTTGAGATGCAAACATCATGTGGCTTGGGGTACTTATTCTGTGAAACTAAGGCTTCTTTTTAAGTACTAAGCATACGGCACCATCTCTTAAGTCTAGGAAGATTGATTCCTCAAAGTATTATAGCATCTCCATGATGTCCCAAATATAGTGAAAATGGAAATGCATACAAAATGAAAGGAGACTTGAAAAATTAGAAATTTTTCTACAAAGCATTATTCAATCATATGTAAGGGGATATATTTTAGGGTACACTATACATAGAAATCTGTGATTTCCATATAATACAATAAAAATGATTCTATTTCCTTGCTGTTTTCAATTTACTTCCCTACCTACATTCTTCAGCTTGATTTTCACAATAATCCCATGCAATGCACAAGGGAGTTGATGTTGTCCCATTTTCACACATTAGAAATTGAGGTTTAGGGACAGTTACGCAAGGCCTCAGCAAATAATAACAGCCAGGAATCCAGGCCTTCTCTCAATCAGCACTTCCCACCATGAATTCAGAATAAAAACCAACCCCCACATTTCATGAAGTTGACTGTGGGTCCTGCAAATGTCATAGCAAAATAGCAGAGGAGTAATAGGTAGCTTTTGTTAGCAACACAAACCGTGTAGCCTCTGGTTAGAAGAGTGGGCAAAGAATCATAAAGGTTTCTTCAGTCACATAATGTGAACATCCATGGAATTTCTGAGCACCTGCAAGGAAATTCCAAAACGGAGCGAAAGGGAAAAAGTGTTCCGTAGAGTTCCTAATAAAACTTAAAGAGCTCCGCTAACTCTTCAACTGCAATCAGTTAACCCAAGTGAAGTCATGTATACTGCGCCCAGAGCCCCCTAAAAGAAGCAACACATTGATGCACCTTCTTAAGACCAACAACTTTCGCGTTTGACATTTTTCTCCTCTAAAAACCCGTACTCTCCTGGGGCAGGGGGTCGAGTATTTCTAAGGATGACCGTTTTGAACAGCCTGCTTTCACAGGCATCCATAATTCAAGTGAGAGTGAACCATCCTGCCCTGGCAAGGTACCTGGCAGGGGCGGCTGTGTAGGGCACTTGCAAAGGCTGCGGAGGAGAGCGCGCGGGCGAAGAAGCACTCCCGGACCATGCCTCTCTCCGGTGCCCGGTGCTGACTGCGCTGAGAGCGCAGGAGCTCGGCGCCGCCCTCCCCGTACTCCCAGCCCTCCCGGGCGCCGGGGCCTGGCCGCGGACCTACCAGCGAGAGTACTTTATAGGTGTTGGGGTCCTTGGCAGTGCGGGCGCGCGCCGCCTTCTCCAGCGGCTCCTCCCCCACGTCCATAGGGGCCAGCAAGGACGCGGCCGCCTGCGGGTCCCCGGGCGCCTCGGCAGCGTGGCTGCGGCCCCGATCGCGGCCGTTCCCCGCCGGGCCCTCCCGGGGAGCGCGCCCGCCCTCGCCGCCGCGGCTCCCGCCCCCCGCGCAGCCGTCGCGCTCCATCGTGGCCCCGGCCGCTCCGGCCCCGCTGCCCGGCCGCGCCTTTAATAGGCCCCGCGCCGCCCGCCCCGCCCCGCCCCTCCCCGCCGCGCCCGCCCCTCGCGGTCAGATCCTTGGCTCCCCGCCCTACACCCGGCTCTCGCAGTCAGGGCAAAGCGACTCAACGCCCCGGATTATTTGGCTTCCTGTCTGATTTCGGGCACTCTGTGTGTCGGTTATTTTGGGTCCCTTACGTGGGCGTGTCTTAAACTTCCCCCCAAGCCGTCCCCTCCCCGCGCCCCGGCCACCCTCCCGACACTTGCAGGAATCGCCCTGCGTGGCCTCGCGGCGCGGGCTGGGCTGGAATTGCAGCGTGTGGTCTGCAGAGGGCATGAGATCATGGGGCCCCAAAATAGAGCGGGGAGGAGGAGAAGGATGCAGCCGCCGATGCCGGTCCGGCTTCTCAAAGGCGGGAGAGAGTGGAGTCTTGGGGTCGACCTGTGAGTTTCTGGATGGAAATGCAAATGAACCATGGAGGAAGGCGACTTTCTGTTTCTCCCCCTCTGCGCCCCGTCCCCCACTACCTACGGTACTCTGAGAGAGAAATCGTCCACTTAAAATACGTGGGTTCACATGTACTGAACACACGTAAGGGATATTTCGATTCCCACGGTTTTATGTGGTTTCTGGAGTCTTCTCGCTATTGTTTGTATGTATATTTGCTTATTTTTCTAGACTTTCTGTATTGAAGGTTTCAGGAGTTGGCGTTGCCCTCTCCTGAGGTTGACACTGATACCTAGCTATATCAAAAGTGTTAATGCAATCTGAAATACTTTGATAAGCCTTATTTTTCAACTAGGACGCTAACAGTGAGCTGATTCTTGGTGGGTTTTGTTTTACCTTTGATTCTGGAACTTGTACATTTTCTGGCTCATCACTTAGCAAAATCACCAGTGTGTAGTGAAGTGAGACAGAGGGAAACCAGTGACTTCGAACTACTTTGCAATACCCAGGACTGACTTCAGGTACCAAGGAAAACAATTAATTTTCAATACATTTTGAATACATGAATATATACAAGTGTTTACAAATGAGAATGAATGTTTAACAAATATAAAATGCATGTTATCCCTTTAAAATAGTCAACTTGGGATGCTCTTCATTTATACTGACTCATCCATCCACCCATCCATTTATTCATCAAGTAATGAATCCTTCAACTCAATCTTTTGGCCTCCAACTATGCATACCATATAAAAAATGAATTAAAATGTATCTTTCCTTAAGTGTGGTGGAAGCGGGGGTGGGGGGGTAGGACCAACTCGTAAACAAAATAATTAAAACCTAAGTCATATATGCAGAATAGAGTCACACATAGGATATTGATACAGGAGATAGAAATTATTTAGGCAGATAGTATGAGCAAAAGAGCCCTCGGCAGAACTTACCTTCTAACAAAAAGCAGCCCAAGAAATCACTTCCTTTCTAACAAAGAGCAACCTGGAAGATTGGGCTGCAAACATAGGTAAGGAAACTGGAAGCTTGCACGGGAGATGCCGGCAGCGGCACAGACAGAAGGGGCTACTGGGGCCAGGCATGTCCACCATGGGGGTTCCACCTCCCCTCTTTTTTACCACATGCACAGTAAGAAGGAAATAAGCAACACGGAGTAGCTACCTGCCTATATAGTAGAAGATTGGGGCCGGGGCTGCCAGACACTTAAGCCCTATGCAGATGACACACCTGGTCCTAACCGGGTTTTCATGCCATATGCACGAAACCGGGTTTTCCCTCCTTATGTAGATCAGACACCGCCTCCCCACTAGCTCATCTATAAAAACCCCTGCATTTCACCACGTATTGCAACCCATTTTTTGGGACCCCTCTCTGTAGCAGAGCTATTCTCCTCCTTTTGCCTATTAAAAATTCTGCTCCAAACCTCACCCTTTGTGTGTGTCCACATATTTGATCTTTGTGGCCGTGAGACCAAGAACCTCGGATGTCACCATAGACAACAAAGCTACTTCAATATTATGAGAGCTTAGTAGAAAGGACAGTTGACATCTGGAAGAAGTAAAAGCCTTCCCTCAAAGCATTATTGAACTTTTTTAAAAAGTTACCTTTGAGTCAGCTCACAAACCACCCAAGAGAAACAGGTTTTCACTGTTTCATAATCACACATATTTTTCTGCCCCAAACTTGGCTCCAAATTTTCCTTTGACTCTTTCCAAAAATCAGATTCAAGGACAAAGATTTGCTCCACTGAGACTGGTCAAATGAGTGTCAAAACCTCTAAAAGCAACTCAACAGAGACATTATCCAAAGTGCCTTTAAACCTGACAAAACAAATGGAAGAAGTGTATTGTCTGCATCTCAAGGCAACGAACCACTTTAAAGACTTAACATTTGGAAAACACAGTGTGCAGTCTCCAGGGTCACAAACATCTTAAGGCCTAGGGAAAGCATTTTTCTGTGGCATTAATTTATTTTTAAGATTTTGTATGACATCCTGGTTTTTCTTTCTTTTTTTTGAAAGCACAATATGCCATGAACCATATTTGACTGAGGCAGCCCTATACACACTGCAAAAGGCAAACCATGTGCCATGTTAAAGGTTGCAGCATCTATTCAACAGGATTGTGTGCCCAGTGTGGGCAGATGGTCAGATTTTTCAAGAGAAGCAGGAAATTTAAATGTTTGTGTGAATTCTCCGGTTGCAAAATGTTGTCTACAAAATTCAGAGAAACAGTTTCTTCAAACAAACAAAATGTAGCACGTTTAAAAGCCAAACAAAATGTAGCACATCTGCAGGACAGACCTGGCACACACGTCACCAGGATGTGGCCTCTGCCTAATGCTCATGCCTCATCTGTGCCAGGTGGGACTTAATATGGGTAATTATAAAAACCCAATTGGAAGTCTAAAATCGGAAGAATAAAAATGAGCCAAGGCCGGGCACGGTGGCTCACGCCTGTAATCTCAGCATTTTGGGAGGCTGACGCGGGTGGTTCACTTGAGGTCAGGTGTCTGAGACCAACCTGGCCAACATGATGAAAACCAGTCTCCACTAAAAATACAAAAATTAGCAGGGCATGGTGGCACATGCCTGTAGTCCCAGCTACTCTGGAGGCTGAGGCAGGAGAATTGCTTGAACCTGGGAGGCGGAGGTTGCAGTGAGCCAAGATCATGCCACTGCACTCCAGCATGGGCAACAGAGAAAGACTCTGTCTCAAAAAAAAAAAAAAAAAAATGAGTCAGATATGCCATTTTCAGGTTTAGCTATAGACATTGCAAAGCCTATAGTGAAATATTGCCTCAGTCTTCTTTATTCTAAATGATCTGAGGGACAGCTTCACCATCACATTCCAAAGTACAATAAGGTCATGAGATATAAAACCACAACACAATTTTTGGGTTAATGCAAAGGTGAACAATGAATGTTTCATCCTTAATCCTAAATCACTCTGTTTTAGTGATTGCATACTCTAATCTGGAATAGCAGTAAAGATGATAATTTAAGATTTTGTGTAAGTTTTCTATTAAGTTTTATTGTAACATAAATATTTAGACATTTCTGTCTTGGTGCTTGAAGCTTTGGTTGTAGATAAGGCCAAAACACCAAACAAAAACAATTTATCAATGTTTAATTATTACTTTGAAATATTACTTTGAAACAACTTTTCTTAGTGATTAAAAAATGAAATATGCTGTAGGGTAATTATTTTAGCAGCTGTTTCAGAGCTTTTCCAGCTTTCTTCTAATTCGCCAGTAAAACAAGAAAGACATCTAGCCAAATCTAAACAGAAAAAAAACCCACAAGCCTCTTTAATCTTTGTGAGGCCTAGGGAAAACATTTTTCTGTGGCATTAATTTATTTTTAAGAATGTGTATGACATCCTGATTTTTCTTTCTTTTTTTGAAAGCACAAAAATATGTCCCCTGGAGCAAGAAGCTTGGATAACTATGTGACCTTGAACAGATTACCAGAAGCCTCTGAGCCTTAGTTTCCTTATTTGTAAAATGCTCTTTCAGATAATATCTCTAAATGCCAACAAAATGTTTGACATTTCAACTTTACACAAACATTTAAATCTATCATTTGCATTTGTAAATCAACCACTCACTACCCCTAAGGGAGAGAATAAAAAGATTTAATTTTCTCCTATATTATGCATGGTTTATATATAATCTCTGGGAAGGTTTGAGACCTGTTATTGGGCCTGCATCTACAAAGAGGGTAAGGAAAGGATTCTTGCTGCTCTGGGATGAAGGAGAGATGCCTACAGGGATCAGTTAGGTAACAAAACGAATAGAGAGAATTCAGAAGTGTAAGATCCAAAGGAGAGTAATAGAACCTGGGAAAATGGAAAACGCATGTACCATCCAAAGAGAGTGTGGGGTTCTAATTAGGGAAAAGGAGTCAGGATGGCGGGACCGAGGGAAAGCAAAAATATAAAGCAGATAAGCTGTAAGTCTGCCTTGCTTTGTGGTCCAGAACATGTAGCCCTCTTGCACAAATAACTCACAATCTTCCTGCACTCAGCTATCATCAGACCCTCGGGTGATTAAAAAAAAATGCAAGCTAATTCACTGCAACCTCGGTGTTATCAGTACTGCACAAAGCCCTCTTCAGCACACAGCACAAGCACCATTCTAGAACATCCCCAGCAAGCCTTCGTCTCCTTGCAGTCAGCTCCTCTCTTGCTGGCCTGCCCATTGTTCCCTTGCAACACATTTTCATACGTGCTCTAATAAATATGACTTTCTTTACCTACAAGTATCTTCATAAATTCTTTTTACCCCCACACCACTGGCCCCAGATTGTCGCTGATTACCTGCTACAGGAAGTTGGTTTCTAGTCCTTCACTTTTTGTTAACCACGGTATCTGCCACTCCTTCATTATCTCTTACACTTCTATTTCAAACAAAATGTAGGGTTGCCAGGTAACCTGAATTTTAAGTTTGATTAAAGTACAATTTACCTATTATCATATCTACCCATTATATGCATACAGTTCAGTGATTTTTAATAATTTATACAGTTGTGCAACTATTAATATGATCCAGTTTTGGAACAATTTCATCACTTCAAAAAGTTTGTTTCTGCACATGTATAATCAAAAACTCCCATTCCAGTCCCAACCAAAGACTTCTCTGCTTTCTGTCTGTAGCTTTGCCTTTTCTAGAAAATTCATTTAAATGGTATTATACTAAGTTGTCTTTTGTGTCTGTCTTCTTTCACTTAGCATAATGTTTTGAAGTTCATCCATGCTGATGCAAATATCAGTAGTCCCTTTTTATACATAGTAGTAATTTATTGTATGGATATATCATATTTTATCTTTTCACCAGTTGCTGGACATTCGTATTATTTCCAGCTTGAGCTATTATAAATAATGCTTCTATGAACATTCATGTACATGTCTTTGTGTGAATCTGCATTTTCATTTCCCTTGGGTAGATAACTGGGAGTTTCATTGTTAAGTCATATGCAAAGCGTATATTTAAATTTTTGAGAAACAGAGAAACTGTTTCCCAATGTGGCTGTACCATTGTACATTCCTGCCAGCAACATGTAAGGAGTCCATATGCCCCTCCTACACTTACTATTCACAGTATATCAGTGGGTAAGGAGTCCACATACTTTGCAATACTTCCTATTCTCAGTCTTTTATAATAGCCATTTGAATAGGTGTTTGGTGGTACCTCAAAGTGGCTTTTATTTGCATTTCCCTAATGACGAATTATGTTGAACACCTTTTCATGTGCTTATCTGTCATCTATATGTCTTCTTTGATGAAATGCCTACTCAAATCTCTTGCCCATTTTTATCAGATTTGTTTCTCATCTGATTATTGAGTTATAAACTTTTTTATATATTTTGGACACAAGTCTTTTATCATATTTATGATTTGCAAATATTTTATCCAATTTCTTTTTCTTAATGTTGTCTTTTAAAAAACAAGTTTTTAAAATTATTTTTATAAAATCCAATTTATCAATATTTTCTCCTATGGAACCTGATTTTGGTATCATATATAGGAAATCTCTGACTCACCCAAAGCCACAGAAGTTTCTCCTATGTTTTCTTCTAAAGTGTTGTAATTTTAGCCCTTATATTTGGGTCTAGGACCATTCTGAGTTAATTTTTGTGTAATGTGTGAGATAAGGGTCTAAATTCATTGTTGTACACATGGATACCCAATGGTTCCAGCACCAATTGTTGAAGACTCATTTCTCCATTGAATTACCTTGGCAGCTATGTCAAAATTTAATTTACCATAAATGTTGAAGTTCATTCCTATGGTGATTGGCCCTATGATGAGCATTTCCCCAACCACACCACACCCCACACCAGCCCCTGGTTACCACCATTCTACTTTCTATGTCTGTAAGTTCAAATTTGTCCACATGTAAGTGAAATCATATGGTATTTGTCTTTAGGTACCTGTCTTATTTCACTTAACATTATTTCTGAACTCTGTTGTGTTTCATTAATTTATGTGTATATGCTTATGCAAATACCACATTTTTTTATTGCTGTGGCTTTATAGTGATTTTTGAAATAAGTTAGCATACCTCCAACTTTGTTTCTTTTCAAAATTATTTTAGCTATTATAGGCCTTTGCATTTCCATACAATGTTAGAATTACATTGTCAATTTCTATCTTAAAAAAGTCTACATTTTTTCATAGGATTATGTTTAACCTATAAATCAAATTGAGAACAATTGCCATCTTAACAATATTTAGTCTTATAATTTATGAATATGGGATATCACTTTATTTATTTAGATTGACTTTAATTTTTTTCAGCAGTGTGTATCCTCACCCTACAGGTCTTGGTTTCTTTTGTCATATTTACTCCTAAATATTTTATGTTTTTGATGATATTATGAATGGAATAATTTTCTTAATTTCACATTATTTGTTCATTATCAATATACTATAATACAATTAGTTTTTTGTATGTTTATCTTGTATCCTGTGACCTTGCTAAACTTGCTTATTAGTTCTAATAGTTTGGTTTGATTTGGTTTGGTAGATTCCTAAGAATTTTCCAAATGCAAGATCATGTCATCTGCAAATAATGACAGGTTTACTTTTTCCCTTCCAATCTATATTTCCTTGGTCTTTAATTTCCTTTTATTATGATGTTTATTTGCCTTTTGTGTCAGCTATAATACTGACCATATAAAATTAGCTCAGAAAGTGTTTCTTTTCCCTTGTCTACTTTCCAAAAGAGTTTGTGTAGGACTGGTATTCAGTCTTCCTTAAGTGTTTGTTAGAATTATTGAGATGAAGCCATTCAGGCCTGGGCTTTCCTCATGGAAAGAATTTTAATTATAAAGCCTATTGTGGCAAGGCATGGTGGCTCATGCCTATAATCCCAGCAATTTGGGAGGCCAAGGCCAGTGAATTGCTTGAGCCTCAGAGTTCAAGACTAGCCTGGGCAACATGATGAAACCCTGTCTCTACAGTAAAAACATAATTAGCTGGGTATGCTGGTACTGCCTGTAGTCCCAGCTATTCAGGAGGCTGAGGTGGGAAAAATCACCTGAGCCCAGGTAGTCAAGGCTACAGTGAGCTGAGATGACACCACTGCACTCCAGCCGGGGTGACAGAGTGAGACCCTGTCTCAAAAAAAAAAAAAAAAAAAAAAAGTTAATTGCTTTACTTGATATAGTATTCTTTTCCTAGGTCAGTTTTTTTGTAATTTCTAGGAATTTTTCCATTCCATCATTTTGTACATAAAGTTGTTCATAATATTGTCTTATGATATTTTTAACTTCTATAATATATATACTTATGCCCCTTCCATTGTTTCTGGTTTTGATGGAGATTTCTGTCTTCTCTCTTTTCATGTTGCCTAGACCAACTAAAAGTTTGTCAGTTTTGTTAACCTTTTCAAAGAACCAACTTTTAGTTTAATGGATTTTTCTATTATTTTTTGTTTTTCATTTCACTGGTTTTTATTCTGTTTTTTATTTTTCTCCCTCTTCTACTTACTTTGTTTGATATGCTAATAATTTTCTAGCTTCTTAAAGTGATAATTTATATGATTGGTTTCAGATCTTTATTCTTTTGTAATGTAAGCATTTAAAACTATACATTTCCTTCTAATATGTAATGTTATATATTAATAGATGTATTAGATAGATATTATATATAATAGATCTGAAATCAATATTATACATATAATATTAGACAGAAATTTATAGCTAGCATATTCTATTCCCAAATAATGTTCTAGGTACTCCAGGAAGGAATGTCAATTCTGCTGTTGTCGAGTAGAATGTTCTGTGTATGCTAATTAGGTCAAGTTGGTCGATAGCACTGTGTAGGTCTATATCCTTAGCAATTTTCTGTTTAGTTTTTTAAAAAGTAATTGCTGAAAGAGGAGTCTTGAAATCTCTAACTATAATTGTTGAGGTGTCTATTTGTCCTTTCAATTAGGTTTATTTTGCTGTTTACTGTTGGGTAGGTATATGTTTGTAATTTTTAAATCTTCCTGATGTATTATCCATTTAATCATTAAGAAGTGTCATCTTTCATCTCTATGCTGATATTTTTTTAGCCTAAATTTTCTAGTGTTCTATTTCTTGTCTTAAAACTGATTTTTTTCTCATTTTAGTTTAGCTTATCCAGCTCTCTTATGGTTACCATTTACATAATATATCTTTTCTTATTCTTTTACTTTAAATCTAAAATCTTGCTTTTGGTTAGTCTGACAATCTCTGCCTTTTAAATTGAGTATTTAATCATTCATATTTAATGTAGTGATTGATGTTCCAATTTATGCCTGCCACTTTGCTATTTGTTATATCTAATTTCTTGTCTCTCTCTTCCTCCTTTACTTCTTTGAATGTATTAAAAATGCTTTTTATTATACCATATTCATTTCTCTGTTGAATTTTAGCTTTTTTAAAAGTTATTTTCTAGTCATTAGTCATTGTTCTAGGAGTTACAATATGTATTTTCCATTTATCACCTACTTCAGATTGAAACTGACTTAATTCTGGTAAAATATAGCAATTTTCATGTAATACATATCTATTTATTCATCCCTCTTTTCTGTTATTACTGTCGTATATTAATCTATATGTCTTGTAAAGTCAGTGTTGCAGTGTTACAATCATAGCTTTAAATAATCTTATGCTTTTTAAAGAAATTAAGATTAGGTATATATATACACACATGTATATGTATATATATCTGCATACACACACTAATTTTTTCCCTGCGTATGAGTCACAATACCTTCTTTGCATGAATTGTAGTTTTAGTTGAAAACTTGACTTTCAAATATATGTTATAACAACTCTGAATTCTGATTATTTTTCTGTTTTTCGTTAGTTTGTTTTTACCAGTGTTGTCACTTTTACAAAGCAGTGTTTTCACACTGCACTATGATTCTATCAAATTAAGTCTATCCCTACAGTGGCTAAAAGCTACAAACTCCCACTGTTGTTATCTAAAGCTCCAGCAGTTTTTCAGGAGTAAAAATGGCCAGCTTGACTGCCTATGATCAATTTACATAACCCTGAAATGGGTGTTGTTGAGAGTATTGTTTATTTTAATACTTTCATTTTGTGGAATGAATTTGCCACTCTTTTAACTTTCATATCTGAAAATCTATCCCAGATTTTTAAATAAGTACTGGAAACTAGATTTTTTTCAATTTTTAAATATTGACAAATGAGTCAGTATTTTTAAAAACACCATGGAAGCCAAAAAAAAAAAAAGTACCTGTGAGACTGACTTATCCTTAGGCTTCTAATTTGCAAACTCTGTCCCTAAGGGTGTACCAGTTATGTCTGCAAAGGATTAAAACTTTTCCTCAGCCTTCATTTGAACTGTAGGCTAGGAATTCCCTATCTATACCAATGTCTACTCTATAAATACTAAATCACATTATCTCAATCCCTTTCTATCCTTTTGGATAACTCAGTGATTGGCGTAGTATAGAAAGAGCCAAAATGTGTTGAGCTGAGTTAAGGTTTAAGATGGTTAAGAAGGGGCTGGATCCTCAATATATAATTGATATGTTGTTCCAAAAGAAAGGGAGTTTCATGCTGGATAGCAAAGATAACAAATGTTCACCAGAATTTCACTGGTTCCTATTTATTGTTGAAATTCTCTAAAATTATGAAGTTTCCATGGGCAGTTTCCTCTGAGACAAATTGCTATAAAGGGCCACTCCTTCTACTTATTGTGGGCATCATGTCTGTTCTTTGGATATTATTCTGAATTTTAGGAAATGTATGGAAAAGACAAAAATCTACACATTTCTAGTCAGATGTGTATATACAATGGTCCAGTGTCCTTATAAGCCTTCATCCCACTGGGTAAGAAGGGATTGAGATGGTAGGGGTAGGGGAGGGGAAATGAGATCATATCATCTCAATACTTTTCAGTATCTTTGTGATAACTCAGTGTTTGGAGATAGATGTGTTCATTATTCCTGTTTTCTCTGCTGCCTTTAATCTTTCCCAGGATTGTGTCTGGATGTTTACTGGCAGGAGGTGGACAGGGTTGTTGTGGCAGTGTGAGATGGGCCTTGCACTGGCTTGCTTCTCTTTGAGTTCTTCATTATGTCCTTGCTGATCAATGTGCTCAGTGTCTGGTCTGATATGGTCCCTGGGAACTTTCCACTTGTATCCTCTGAGATGCCTCTGGCAAATTTCTGACTTGTTTTCTTAGCTTCATCAAGGCTCAGAGGTCTTTTATAGCTAAACTCTACCTCAGTTCATGGTACAGCAGCAGACACCTCTGAATACAGCCACATTCTCCATAAAGCCATGATCTAAGCTCTTTAATTTTGGCTCTCTGGGTTAGGATAACTTTATCTTTAACTGTGAGGTCCACAGTATTACTCCAATGACTCTCAACTCAGGTACCTACCATAGACCCAAATGTCATGGGGTAGCTTCTGGATTGCTCTCTTCCTACAGGAGAGTCAATGAAGCTTCGAAGTGCTACCTTGGATTCTGCTTAGACACGTGGCACAGCTGTTTATTCCTGGAAGTAGCACCTGCGTATTGATGAGGGGAACATTCGTCCAACAGTCTCCTCCTCCATGAGGTCCAATCAAAATGCAGGGTACAAACATCTGTACTTCAGGCTTTCTACCAACCTTACCCAACACTTAGCCCCAAATCTAAGATTTCAGCTTACCATAAAGTAAAGGCATCATAAAGATGTGTAATTGGGAGCTCCCCTTAACTCTTTTCACTCTTTTTCCACACTCCACAGAGTCAAAAGAGTCAACTTTCTCTCATTCCCGGGTAGCAGAGACTTCCTGTACAGCATCTCCTGACTTTTTTCTAACCAGGGTTTATAGTAAACTGAATATTCAAGCCTTTCAGACCGTACTCTTAATAATGCTTGTGGGAGTTTAAGAAGTTTAGAAATAATTTTCTCTCTTAACAGCACCTTGCTTTGCTGGGTAATTAAAGTTATATTTTTGCAGCAGAAAGCTAACAATAATAATTTCTTTTTTTTTGTATATTTGGCATAAAGAAGCCAAGCCTCCCTACGTTATCTCCCTCCCCATGCTCTGAGGCAAATGGATAATTCTGGTTGATTAGGGATCAAATCACACACACAGGAAAACAAAACCAAAGAAACTCTCATCATTCTTTTCAAAAATTTTTACTCACTTATGCCCCTGCTAGTATACGACCATAACATGTATATATAAAAAATCTTAACAATTTAAAAAAATTCACCAATATGGGATGTCAATTTTTTTCTACTGATAAATCATCAAAGCTGGTTATGTACGATCATGGGAAGCAGAAAGCCAAGCCAGAGAGGCAAGAACATGGCCTTCCTTTTCACCTACCTAGGAGAATATTTGCTACAAATAAACTAAGCAAAATAAGCACACAGAGAAAAATAAGACCAAAAAGAAATTAGCAGAGCATTAGGTACCTAAGGGACATATAATTAGCATACGTGTATTAGGATTCTACAAAAACGATGGCTAGAAACAATATCTGAAAGAATAATGGAATAACACTTTTCCATTTTGAAGAAAACTATGAACCAACAGATTCCAGAATTTTAACAAATGCCAAGCAGAATAGACACTGAAAGACCACACCAAGGCATCTCATAGTCAAACTGCTGAAAAAGAGTATTTTTAAAAATCTTAAAAGCAGCTAGACAAAAAGATACATTGTATACAAAGGGTAAAAAGATAAGAATCATGGAAGACTTCTTGTCCGAATGCATTTGAACCAAAAGAAAATGGAGTGATATCTTTAAAGTACAGAGAGAGAGAAAACATTTATCAAACTTTAATTCTTTACCCAGTGATGTAGTTTGGCTCTGTGTCTCCACCCAAATCTCGTGTTGAATTGTAATTCCTAGTGTTGGGGAAGGGACCTGGTAGGAGGTGACTGAATCATGGGGGCAGATTTTCCCCCTTGCTGGTCTCATGACAGTGAGTGAGTTCTCATGAGAACTGATGGCTTAAAAGTGTGTGGCCCCTCCCCCTTCACTCTCTCTGCTGTCGCCATGTGAAGAAGGTGCTTGCTTCCCTTTTGCCCTTCAGCAATGATTGTAAGTTTCCTGAGGCCTGCCTGCTATGCTTCATGTACATCCTGTGGAACTGAGAGTCAATTAAACCTCTTTTCTTCATAAATTATCTAGTTTCAGGTAGTTCTTTGTAGCAGTGTGAGAATGGACTTACACACCCAGTGAAAATGTCTTTAAAAAACAAAGATATAATAAAGACATATTCAGACCAACAAAACAGAGAATATATCCCCGGAATTGCACTATGAAAAATATTAAAGGAGATTCTTCAGGCAGAAGGAAAACGATACCAGGCTAAAATTTAGATCTATAAAAAAGAATAAAAAGTAAGGAAATTATAAATGTTTGAATAAATATGATTTTTCTCATTTTTATCTCTTTAAAGTATAATTCAATTGAGCCAAATGAATGTGAATTTATCATGGGATTTGTAACATACACAAAAGTCAGACACACAGCATAAGAGGGTGAAATGGAATTAGAACTACTCCAGTTAAGCCAGGTGTGGTGACTCATGCTTGTAATCCCAGCACTTTGGGAGGCTGAGGCGGATGGATGGCTTGAGCCCCAGAGTTGAAGACCAGCCTGGGCAACATGGTAAAACCCTGTTTCTACTAAAAATACAAAAAAATTAGCTGGGCATGGTGGCACATGCCTGTAGTCGCAGCTACTTGGGAGGCTGAGGTACAAGAATCACTTGGGCCCAGGAGGCGGAGGTTGCAGTGAGCAAGGATCATGCCACTGCACTCAAGCCTGGGCAACAGAGCAAGACTCTGTCACAAAAAAAAAAAAAAAAAAGGAGAGAGAGATGAACAAATTAAATTCAGATAAGCAAAGGGAAGAAAATAATACAAGAAAAGTGCAGAAATTAATGAAATTGAAAGCAAAAAAAACAGCAGAGAAATCAATAATATCAAAAGATTTGTGTTTGTTTGAGATAGGATCTTACTCTGTCACCCAGGCTGAAGTGCAGTGGACAGATCATGGCTGCAGCCTTGACTTCCTGGGCTCAAGCAATTCTCCCACCTCAGCCTCCCAAGTAGCTGGGACCAAAGGCGCTCACCACCATGCCCTGCTAATTAAAAAAAAAAAAAAAAAAAAATTGTAGAGGTGGGGTCCCACTATGTTGCCCAGGCTGATCACAAACTCCTGGGCTCAAGTGTCATTCACCCACCTCGGCCTGTAAAGTGCTGGGATTACAGGCCTGAGCCCCTATGCCCAGCAAAAGATGTTTCTTTGAAAAGCTTAATAAAATTGATAAACTTCTAATCATACCCATCAGGAAAAAAAGAAGTCACAAATTCCCAATGTTGTGAATGAAACAGGTGACACAAACACTACAGATCCTACAGATTTGGGACTTCAACATAACTTTTTGGGGAACACAATTCAAACCACAACTACTGAATGAGGTTAAGACATGGTGGATGTGATAAACTGGGAGAAAAGAAAAGAGGTCATGATAATGTCAAAGAACAAGAGTAGTAGAAAGGAGGGTGGTTGAAGGAATAAGTGGCTCTAGTGAGAAACTGGAATATTGAATGCCTATATATAGGTCAATACCTGTTGAATAGTACACCTAAAATCAAAACATTTTGTGTATATAAAATATACCTCACTAATGGAAAATTTTTAAAATAAAAAATGAATTATTGCAAACAGGGACTTCTGGGAAAAGAGGATGGATCTACCATACACACTTATATTCACTTTCTTGATTTTTTTTTTTTTTTTTTAGAGACAGTATCTTTCTGTTGTCACCCAGACTCTTGAGTGCAGTGGTACAATCATATCCTCAATACAGCCTTCAAATCCTGGGCTCAGGTGATGCTCCCACCCTAGCCTGCCAAGTAGTTGGAACTACAGGTGAAAGCCAATGCACCTGGCTAATTTTTTAATTTTTGGTAGAGACAGGGTTTTGCTTTGTTGCCCTAGCTTCAAGCAATCCTCCTGCCTTGGCCTCCCGATGTGCTGGGATAACAGGTATGAGCCACCATGCCAGACCTGGTTTTTTTTTAAAAGACATAGATCCATAAAGACAAAGAGGGTGATTAATAGAATATTAGATGGACAAACAAATGGACACTTGGTAATTGCTTTAGGAGACCCAAGAAAGTTTAACCCTAAAACAGAAGTGGAGACAGTCAAAATGCAACCAGGGGCCAGGCCCAGTGGCTCACACCTGTAATCCCAGCACTTTTGGAGGCCGAGGTGGGCAAACCACGAGGTCAGGAGTTTGAGACCAGCCTGGCCGACATGGTGAAACACTGTCTCTACTAAAAATACAAAAATTAGCTGGGTGTAGTGGCAGGCGCGTTTAATCCCAGCTACTCGGAAGGCTGAGGCAGGGGAATTGCTTGAACCTGGGAGGCAGAGGTTACAGTGAGCCGAGATCGTGCCACTGCTCTCCTGCCTGGGTGAGAGTGAGACTCCATCTCACACACACACACAAAAAAGATGCAACCAGGTTGAGCTGCACCAGGTAGTTCTGTTAGAGGATGAAGGTAGGACTAGAAAACAAGAGAGTTGGTTGAAAATCTGTTTAAGAAGCTGTTAGAAGGCCAGATTATTTTTCTGCCTCCATGCAGCTGGTGACTGTGTCTCTTCCCTTTTATCAAGAGAAAACTGGAGGTGAGGTCTAGTCGATGAAGAAAATAAAACCAGAGCCCTTGGACTCTAGGATTCCAGAACAGAGAAGCAAAACATTACCATATTAATATAATTAATTAACATATCATTACCATAATAATATGGAAAATCAATTGCAAATGTTTATACTGAATAATAATATATCCGTCCTTTGAACACACTGTATACCAAGGACTGTATTAGAAACAATAGGGATAAAGAAAAGAAAAAAAGAGTGGCCCATTCTTACAAGAAACTTCTAGCCCAGTGGGGAGGACAGAGAAATATATTAATAGTTAATTGCAATTCAGTGTGTTAACAGCTATGAAAGAAAATACAATGTATTGGAGTCCGTCGGAAAGGTACCAATTCCAAATTAAGAGCCATAGTCCTTTTGACCATCATTGTTTACACCTATCCTGTGTCCACTTTGGAAAACCTATTCTCCTGACAGCCACTAGAAGGGGAAGTCCCACAGATCCTGGGACATGGCACTGCCCCATGACTAATTTGAACAGAGAGGGAGGCCTCACAGAAATCCAGCAACCCATTGACTCAGCTGGGACTGAGGTTTCCTTGGCTTGGTTTGAGGTTTTCTGTTGCTTGAGAATTCTGCAGCAGACATAGCTGGAAGATCATGACGTATTAGGCTGGCGCAAAAGCAACCGTGGTTTTTACAGTTAAAAGTAATGACAAAAACCGCGATTACTTTTGTGCCAACCTAATAGAAAAAGGGGCTTAGGGAGACCATGCTGTGCTGTGCGCAAGGTGAGTCAGCAGAGGAATCTGCCATACACAGAAAGGCAAGCACGGAGCGAGCTTTTGGAAAGAAACGGAGACAGGAGGGAACATGAAGTGACCTGATTGTCGGGCCCTAGCCCCCACCTGCGTGGCTCTACTCTCCCTCACCTACTGTCTTTGGGTTTTAAATATTTCTTTATTCTTAAAACAATGTCCCTCCTTTTTGTCATGATCTAATTTTAGTTGGTTTCTTTTATTACATACAAAAAGTACTGGGGTCATAGAAGACTTCCTAAAGAAAGTGATGCCTGAGCGAATCTTGAAGGACCCCCCAAGATTTAGGCAAAGAATAAGAGAGAAGATAATATTTCAGGATGAAGAAGCCACATACACAGATTCATAGGCATGACAGTGTTGCTTCTTCCAAGACCTGCAGTGCAAGCACTCGAATGCACTGAAGCTCATCACAGCTGGACAGAGAGAGGCCAGAAATGTTCAGCTGACATCTAGGCACTGAATGAATGAGGTGATTAAGTTAGCGCTTCGCCCACCCGTATCTTGGAAAATTCTTTTCTACAAGTCAGAAAAAGATAAATAAGATTACTAGAAAGTTTGGCAAGCCAATTAAAGACAGGATGAGTTGTGATACTTGGTTCCAGGAGAAAGATTTACAGGAATAATACTATGTGTAAATATTCTATGTACAAAATTATTCCAATGGGAGAAAACAGCCTCCAAAAATATCTTCATTGTCTCTGAACTATAAGTAAAATCATTTTAAGAAATTAATGTAAGATGAATGGAATGGTAATTACGTACAAGTTGCAAATTTTCCATGTAGATCTAAAATCAAGTAATTCTGAGAACTTGCTATCAACAAACTGAGGATCAAATATTAAGATTGACTTTATTATAGCATAAAAACATTAAATATAAAGAAATCTCCCATACTATTTGGATTCTCATACTTTTTCTTTAGAAAGTGTTTAAACTGCAGCCGGACGCAGTGGCTCATGCCTGTAATCCCAGCACTATGGGAGGCCGAGGCAGGCGGATCACGAGGTCAGAAGATTGAGACCTTCCTGGCTAACACAGTGAAACCCCATCTCTACTAAAAGTACAAAAAAATTAGCTGGGCATGGTGGCGGGTGCCTGTAGTCCCAGCTGCTGGGGAGGCTGAGGCAGGAGAATGGTGTGAAACCGGGAGGCAGGGCTTGCAGTGAGCCAAGATGGTGCCACTGCACTCCAGCCTGGGTGACAGAGCAAGACTCTGTCTCAAAAAAAAAAAAAAAAAAAGAAACGAAGTGTTTAAACTGCAATAATTTTATTAAAATATATTCAAATTAAAATGAAATTTGAAGATTGAAAAATGTTTCAATAACTTTGTTTACTATTGGTAATGTATTTCCTGACTAGGAAAAAAATGAACATTAAAAATTAACTCTTTTAGTAAATCGATTTAGAAAATCAAGGCAAAAAAATATATATACGTATAAATACATATATGTGTACATGTACACATATATATGTACATGTACATATATATGTGTACATGTACATATATGTGTGTCCATATATGTGTATGTGTACATATATGTGTCCATATATGTGTATGTGTACATATATGTGTCCATATATGTGTATGTGTACATATATGTGTGTACATATATGTGTATGTGTATGTGTACATATATATGTGTACCTATATGTGTATATATGTGTACATATATATGTGTATATATACGTATATATGTGTACATATATATGTGTATATATACGTATATATGTGTACATATATATGTGTATATATACGTATATATGTGTACATATATATGTGTATATATACGTATATATGTGTACATATATATGTGTATATATACGTATATGTGTACATATATATGTGTATATATACGTATATATGTACTGGAGTGCAGTGGCGCAATCTCCACTCACTGCAACCTCTGTCTCCTGGGTTCAAGCAATTCTCCTGCCTCAGCCTCCTGAGTAGCTGGGATTATAGGCATGTGCCACCATGCTCAGCTAATTTTTGTATTTTTAGTAAAGACAGGGTTTCACTAGGTTGGCCAGGCTGGTCTCAAACTCCTGACCTCAGGTCATCCACCTGCCTTGGCCTCCCAAAGTGCCAGGATTACAGGCATGAGCCACTGTGCCCGGCCGACTTCCAGTTTCTGAAAGCATAATCACATCTTCCACAAACTGGAACACTCAACAAATTGATCTGATCAGGAATGGGAACTAACAATAATGATAGCTATCATTTTATTAAGTGCCACCATGTGGTAACCATGGTGCTGGGAACTTTAGCCATTCATTTATTTTTCACCTCTTTGTTCATTGATTTTTTAAGAAAATTCATTTATTCACCAAATATTTAACAGAGTTCTTACAATGAGGCAAGCATTATTCTAGGCACAGTACCCAAGAGTAAGAGAACATCAGGCTCCTCAAGTTTAGTCTAGTGAAGAGACATAGATATGAATCAAATGAAGTGCAGAGAATTATAATTGTAAAAGTTGTAATAAATACTCTGGTGAAAAAGGACCAGGGGCAAGGAGAACATATAACTGGATGTATGTAGCTGAACCAATCTGTAGCAGGAGTAGGATGTGGTCAAAGAAGTGTTCCCTGAGAAAGTGATGCTTGAACCAAGATTTGAGTGAAAAGTAGGGCTTAGAACTAAAGGAAGTGGAAATAAGACCACAGACCTAGATAATTTTGAAACATGAATTTTGGTGGTCGTGTAAAATGTGTATATAGGAGGAAATGAGACAGATTGGCCATGAGTCACCAACTGAAGACTATTCATACATCAGTTCTTAAGCCACCAATTTTATGGGTTCCCTTTTATAGATGAGAATAATTCAAGGTCCCTCAACACTGCCAGATACAGTTTTATAAATCAGAGAGGAGGAAGGCATTTGAACTCATAAGTAAACCAACTTCAAAGGGCTAATAAATGAAAATATACACTTGAAAAGTGATTTGGGTATTTGCATTTGAAAATTAGGGAGAGAAGCAGTAAATTAAGTCATATACATTTGAAAATAAATTCAAATATATATTTTGAAACAGTGGAAGTTGCAGCAAATTTTAAAAGTTATACATTTGAAAGGAGATTGGAAAAGAAAGCAAGACACAGAATGATTTTGAGGAAGGAAATCAGTAAAGATATTTTTTGTTTTGATTTAACTTCAGTTCTGAGATACTGTAAGTAGCAAGTATTCTATTGAGGGCTGTAATAGGGAAATGAATGTCTTTTGTTTTTTCTCCTCAAACATAAAAAGTTGAACTTGTGTAGACATTTCATAGGAATAAGTTCTGTGCAAATGGAAAAAGTGAAATATAAAGATGCATTTTGATTATTTTTACACTTTCTTCAGAATAGAGATATTTGAATCTTGTGAATCACAAACTGTAAAAGGCAGCAAGTTTTTATTTTAGTAAATTATTATGTATCTTTGAAAACGGGGATGGAAACTCTGTAGGTCACAATGTGAGGCTGTTATCAGTCTGTCCACAAGGAAGCAGTAAGCTCCTCAGCTCAGAGTTAAGGCTGCCACAAGAGATGAATGGGCAGCTCAGCTCTCCAGCAGTTGCTGTATTATAAACACAGTGAAATAATCACAGAGACAAAAAGGACTTTAAGGATTCACTCAAGTATGCTCTTTGGCAGTAAGCTGTGACTAGGGCCCACTGGGAAACAGCTGCTGATGACAGCCCAGTCTGGCAGCCCCTGCGAGAGGTGGAGTTGCTTTTGCGGAGCAAATTTGGGCTTCAAGCTAATCATGATTCAAGCGGGCATTGAAAAAAACAATCACAGGTGCCTCATAGAGAGCCTTGTTGCCATGCGACTCTATTATGTCAAGAAAATAAATAATGATAAATAATAAGATCATACCAGCTGCCACTTATTGGACATTTAAAATATGCTAGGCACTGAGCTATGTGATTGCAGATTGTCTCCACTTGGGACTACTTCACTTGGGCTGACAAAACAGAACCACCTAGAGAGCTGTGCCTCCATCAGTCCTCTGCCTGAGGCAGGGATCACCATCTCTTTTCATGAGAAACCTAAAAGGTTTCCAGTCCTTTCGTTACAGTCCATTTTACCAATGAACTACATTTTAAACCAATGCCCTTTGTATAGAGTTGGATATGAGGTTGTTTCCAATCTTGTAACTCCTAAGAATGTTACAGAGAATATCTTTGCACATACCGTATTTCCCAGTGTGACTACATCTGTAGGATTCACACTTACAAGTGAAAATGCTGGGTCACTTTTTTAAGTCTCTAAAGATCCTTGCAAATAGTCCTCTACGTAGGGTGAATGGATTTACTCTCCCACAAGCAATGCATGACAGATCCTGTCCCACCCCCACAACTTCTCAATATATAGTGATGACAATAATAGCAGCCACATGTTGGTATCTACTACTTTCTAGGCGCTATTCTAAATGATTTATATACATTAAGTCACTTAATCCTCACAGAACTCTAAGAGATAAGTACTATTATTTCATTACCACTTTATAGATGAGGAAACTGAGGCAAATAGAGATTAATACATTTGCCCAAGGTGACACAACTAGTCACGCAGGCAGGCTTTTAATTTAGGGTTCGTGCTTTTAAATCTATGGTTATACTGCTCAAGTTTTATTTTTGCAATCTGATGGATGAAAAGAGGGTACCTCATTGAAGGGTCTATTTGTATTTCTCAGATAATAAGATTGACATTCTTTATGTAATGATTTGCTCTGCCCCCTTCTGGGAATTGGCCATTCCTTTTTGTTTGTTCATTTTTCTACCAGGCTCCTGGGCTTTTACTTATTGACTCATCATACAGTCAAGGCCTTTTGATTTTACTCATGACTTTTGCTCCTAAGTGTTTATTTTTTCTATGCAATATTTTGTTTTTATGTAGTCACATTTATTGATCTTTTCTGGTTTCAGGTTTTTATGTCATACTTAAAATTCTTTCTTCTAAGTTGTTTGTCATTTTTAATTCTAGATATGGGTTTTATTTTACAAACAGCTACCTATTTTTTCTAAAACCATCTGTTGAATATCTTTTTCCTACCTGTTCCAGTCATCACAGCTGCATAACAAACCACCCCAAAATTAGTGGCATAACTGAAAAACCATTAGATAGTCGCATGCCACATAATGGTGTTTTGGTGGATGATGGACCACATATCCAACAGTTGTCCTAGAAGATTATAATGCCCTGTTTTCACTGTACATTTTCTAAGTTTGGATACTCAAATATTTGCCATTATGTTACAGTTGCCTACAGTATTCTGTACACTAACATGCTGTATAGGTTTGTACACACCTAGGTGTGTAATAGGTTGTGCCATCTAGATTTGTGTAAGTACACTCTATGATGTTCGCACAACAATGAAATCACCTAAAGACCCATTTCTCTGAATATCCCCATCATTAAGCAGCACATGATTGTATTATGCTCACAAGTTCTGTGGGTCAGGAATTTAGAAGTGTCACAGCAGGTAAGGCTGTCTCTACTCCACGATATCTGGAGTCCTCAGCTGGGAATACTTGAGGGCTGGGGTGATGGGGATGGAATTATCTGAAGACTTTCTCACTCATTGGTTGATACAGGCTATTACCTAAGACCTGAGCTGGGGCTATCAGCCACAATGCTTATTTGTGGTCTCTCTATGTGTCTGCTTGGGCTTCCTCAAAACATGGTGCCTGGGTTCACTTCCTCCCAAGAGTCAAGTGATAGGTACCACATTTAGACCTAGCCTCTAAAGTCACATAGTGTCACCTCCACATTTGTCACAAAGCCCATGCAAAGTCAAGAAAATGAAACACAAAGTTAACTTGTAGGAGTGAGAAGTGTCAAAATCAGATCATACAAAGAAAATTGCAAGCATCTTTGGAAAATATTATATATTTCTTTTATCATGTACTGAATTGTATTTGTGCTGAAGACTATTTTGAGGTTCTCTACTGACATATTTACATAACTGAACCACATTGTTTAATTATTACAGCCTTGTAACATATTTAATGTATGCTACATCTACTCTTCCTTCATTATAATTCTTTTCCCGAAGTGTTTCTAGCAAGTTTTACCTTTTCGTTTTTCCTTATGAACTTAGAATAAACTGACATAATTAAAATATCATGTTAGTATTTTGATTTGGATCACCTTAAATACATAAATTAACAAAAATAATTTTTATCTTTTTGATTTATCACCTTTGGAATATGGTAAGAAACAAACTCATTATTCTGAGAATTGATACATAAATGGAATAAATAAAGCATTTATCTTATTCTTCCTATTTGAATAGTACCTCAGGATAACCAAATAATTGATGAGAGACTATTATTCTTTGTATCAAAATTCAGCTAATAAATAACAAAAGAGTGATAGAATTGGAATACCATCTGTTTACAACCCCTAATGCAATAACAGATCTGGGCAATGATCATCTGTGACTGTTGAAACCGTTAGGTGAAAGCCTGATATGTGACATTAAAATGGATGTAGACCAAGCTGTTAAGAGCTTTGTTGACTATTCCTTTTTCATACTCCTGAAATCCTTGGGTTATATCGTCCTTTCCTTCTTTCCTGATTATTCTCTTGTGTTCTTCTGATCACCGCCGATTATTAACAGATATCACTTATATCTTGCCCACAGAATTTCTTCATACTCTAACTCCTACCATGATCATGGGCAATGCTAATGTTCATGGTCATGATGTTCCTTTACCTGCTAAATCTGAGAATCTTTCTGCTCACTCTTCTCAGCAGGTCACGGCTCCACTCTGGATCTAATATCCACCTGGAACTGCCTACCCTCTGAAAATATAAACTTCAATACTCTAGTTTCTGACCAGAGCCACTTATTCTTTCAGCCAACCTGCATTTCCACTACTCCTGTTCTTTAACATGATCTTGAATTCTTTTCTTTTATCCCAGTCTATCACATCCAACATCCATCATGTCTCTTTTTTTTTAAGAGACAGGGATCTCCCTATGTTGCCCAGGCTGGCCTCAAACTCCTGGCTCAACTGATCCTTCTGCCTCAGCCTCCCATGTAGCTGGGACAGGCATTCACTGCCATGCCGGGCTCCATCATGTCTTAACCTCATGACCTATGCAGTAGTTATGGTTTAAATTGTGTCCCCCAAAAAGATGTGTTGAAATCCTAACCCCAAGTACATTTGAATAGGACCTTATTTGGAAATTGAATCTTTACAGATGGGATTAGTTAAGTTAATGAAGTCATGCTGTGTTAGGGTGGGCTCTAATCCAGTGACTGCTGTCCTTATAAAAGAAGGGAAATTTGGACACAGACACAAGTCGGACATGCACAGAGGGAAAATGATATGAAGACACAGAGGAAGAACTCCAAGTGTAGATGGAGGTTGGGACTATGCAGCTGCAAGCCAAGCCACACCCAGGATTGCTGGGAGCCACCAGAAGCTAGGAACTAGCAGGAAAGAATTCTCCCCTAGAGCCTCCAGAGAGAGCATGGCCCTTCTGACAGCTTCATTTTGAACTTCCAGCACCCAAAACAGTGACAGAATAAACATCTATCATTTTAAGATACCCAGTTTTTGGTACTTTGCTATCACAGCCCTAGAAAACTAATATAGCAGCCCAGACCCTCTATCTAGGCTCCTAAGCATGAAAACTCACATACTCCGAGAATGGATGTCATCAGAATCCCATGGCCTTCAACTTAGCTGGATCTTTAATACCATTCAACTGTATTTGAAGATATTTCTGGTCTCTTCAGTTTCTCTTTTTTGACTATAGCTGTGCTGATCTTTCTCAACTCTCTTCAAGGCACATTGATATGGTTTGGCTGTGTCCCCATCCAAATCTCATCTTGAATTATAGTTCCCATAACCCCCATGTGTTGTGGAAGGGACCCAGTGGGAGGTGATTGAATTGTGGGGGCAGATACTCCCATACTGCTGCTGTCATGATAGTGAGTTCTCACAAGATCTGATGGTTTTATAAGGGGCTTTTCCCCCTTTGCTCAGCACTTCTCCTTCCCGCTGCCATGTGAAGAAAGACGTGTTTGCTTCCCCTTCCACCATGATTGTAAGTTTCCTGAGGCCTCCCCAGCCATGCTGAACTGTGAGTCAATTAAACCTCTTTCCTGTATAAATTATCGCAGCCTCAGGTATGTCTTTATTGGCAGTGCAAGAATGGACTAACACACACATGAAGCTACTACTACCCACTTCCACATAAAAATCCCTGCTGCAATTGGGGCTACTGTCTGCCAAGGTCTGTCTGGTTTATGTAGGGGCCATGCGTTTCATTTGCCAGTAAATTAAAGAACATAAAAGGGGCTACCACCCAGGCATCCTTTGGATCTTTAAGGGTGGCACTAACTTCTGCAATTCCCTTGGTGTGTGAAATTGCTTTAGGTGTACTATATTGCGGTGGAGGCAGTTTCAGAGACTTCCACCTGGGCTTCCCACTGTATGATAGCTTTTACTGCACAGGTGAAAAACTCCAAATGAGTATTCTGACAACTACCAAGTATGTCCACTCCTATCATGCATTCAGAGACTGGGGAACTGGACACTTTGTCAATCCATGGGCTCCAGGTGAGTTGGACACGAGCCAGGATTCCACCATTGCTTGGCCTCCCATATACCCCTACTCTGCTAGAGTGGCCATGATGGGGCTTCAAGTCTTTGGCTGTCAATATCAAGGAAGACTTTAGGTTCAACAGTTCTCAAAATGTCAAGGTATATCCATTTCTTCAGAATATAGTTGCCTGTGTAAATGGCTGTAGATCCCTTTGAGAAGGAACGAGGAAGAATCATTAATATATCCACTTGCTGTGGTGTTATAGTGATCCATCCTTATGGGGACCAAGCCACTCCATTAGTCAATGAATTTTGGGTCTGAAAATTGGCTTAGGTCTGGAATCTAAACTGGAGACAGTGACATTTTAATTTCTGTATTCAACCTCCTGATTATCCATTCTTGATTTCTTTTGTAGTTTAGATGGAATGATACCCTTATTGTCTGCCCACTTATCTTGCCCTGGGAATACCATGCACTGTTAACCATATTCATAGCTCTTGGTGGCTCAGGCTCTTAAGATTGCCATTCCACAGTGTGGGTCATTATCATAATTGCACCCACCTGGCTTCTGAAGCTTCAGTGCCACCACCTGGCTTCCATTATTACAACAGCTTTCTGGGATCCCAGTTCTGTAAAGCTTCTCCTATCCTCAGCCCTGAACTCCAGCGAAGAACATCACTGAACTCCACAACTCTGGCTGGCATCCTCTCACTAGTATATTCCTTATGGGTCTGGCAAACTGCTTCCTTGGCATTCCCACAGAATATAGCCAGTTGGTGAACTTTTTGGCCTTACATTGTATATCCTGCCACTGCAGCCTGCCTGCTACCATGAGCCTCTTGATCCCCTTGCTCAACTTTGTACCGTGGAGTTGTGGAATTTCAAATAAAGTGAGCGTGAGCCATCATTTTCCCAAAGTTTTCAAAGCCAGCCTAGCAATGCATTAGCATCATCTTCAGTGGATCCTGCCAGTGTTAAATCCTGTGTTAAGGAAGAGGGCTGCCATATTGATAAATTCTTTATTGTATTGAATATTGTCTATGATATTCAATTCCCCTTAATTCAGCACACCCAGAATCCAGTTCCGTAATTTCTCCCCAGAGACTCTGGCATATGGGAACTGTATCCTGTGTCTCATTTGGTCTAAGTCCTTTTTCTCCCCTCGCAGGCCCAATGCTCACACAACTCAGCTGTGTTGTCACTTGACCCTACTTATTGGTCTGGCTGACAGGGGACAGGGAGCTACATCCAGAGGTGGGCATGTGTTTTTTTTTTTTTTTTTTTAAGGTCTCAGCTCATCTTCAAGGTGGTGGGTACTAGTCTTGAAAAAGGAAGAGTGGGCCCAGTTCTGCAGGTTTGGAGTCCTGTTTTCTAGCAGAGAATAGGTAGCTTTTGAAGGGTATTCAAAAGCTGAGATGTCTTTGTCTGAGATATGGGGCCCGGACCCCTGGCAGAACAAGACATTGTGTGATACTTCATATGATAAGTCGTTCCTTAATTCTTTGGTCATTTCTGGGAACAGCATGAAGCTATATTTTTGACCTTTTGAAGCAACAGCAGGGAAAGTTGTTACTTGTATTACCTTACGCTTTCAGTGTTTCACATCCCTTTTCATTCTTCTCATGATATCACTTCCTATCACATGCCAAATACATCCTAAGTACTTCTGTGTCCATCTGTTTCTGTGGAACCCCAGAGCAGTCATAAAACATATTTAAAAATCGTTGTTTATTAGGCTCCAGAGTGTTTGGAAATCTGTTTCCTAAATATATTTATTCACACAAGTTCCTCCTTTGGTTACAGATATTTTGTTAGATTTGTGTTTGAGGAGTGGGTGAAAAGAAGGGGAGTGGTAGCAGGAAAGAAGGAAAGAGTATGGTTAGGTTGTGCCCAGGATCCATGAATCCTAAATGGACTGCATCCAAAATGAATTATTTCGGGGGCTTCTGCAGCTGTTTGTAAATACAGGTAGTTAAGGAAGTAGCATGATATGGTGAAAAAAGGATTTGGAATCAGAATGCCTTTACTGAAGTCCTAGTTTCTCTATGGAAAGTGGGATGACTGTAGTCAAGTCATTTGACTTCTTTCTGTTGTGGTTTCCACATTTGAAAAAATGAGAATAATAATACTACCTGCCCTGCCAATTTCAAAAAGAGCTATTTGAAATATTAATTAAGATTCTGGACATGCCTTTCCATCTGGTGGCAACCATCAGGTAAGCCAAGGTGGGTGCATACAAGTACATCCGGGAGCTATGGAGAAAGAAACTGTCTGATGTCATGCACTTTCTTCTGAGGGTCCGCTGCTCAGCTGAGTACCACCAGCTGTCTGCTTTCCACAGGGCTCCCCACCCCACCTGCCCTGATAAAAGCACGCCGACTGGGCTACAAGGCCAAGCAAGATTGTAGGATTCGTGTTCGCCGTGGTGGCTGAAAACGTCCAGTTCCGAAGGGTGTAACTTACGGCAAGCCTGTCCATCATGGTGTTAACCAGCTAAACTTTGCTCGAAGCCTTCAGTCCTTTGTAGAGGAGCGAGCTGGACGCCACTTTGGGGCTCTAAGAATCCTCAATTCTTACTGGGCTGGTGAAGGTTCCACATACAAATTTTTTGAGGTTATCCTCATCGATCCATTCCATAAAGCTATGAGAAGAAATCCTGACACCCGACGGATCACCAAAAACCAGTCCACAAGCACAGGGAGATGCGCAGGCTGACATCTGCAGGCTGAAAGAGCCGGGGCCTTGGAAGGGCCATAAGCTCCACCACACTACTGGTGGTTTCGCTGGGCAGCTACTCCCTAGCTCCGCCGTTACCGCGAATACAAGTAAAGTTTGTACAATTCATACCTAATAAACAATTTAGGACAGGAAAAAGAAAAGATTCTGGACATGAACACTTTGTAAATTTTAAGGGACCATTTAGGTTGGTGATGATCTTCCTGTTGCAATTAGCATTGAATAGTTATAAACTAAAGGCAAACTATTCCTAAAGGGTGAATTTGCCACTTGAAGTGATGGTTTCTTTCCTATAAAATTTCTTGCGTTTTATTTTTTAATATTTCAAACTAAATAAATATTGTCAAATGAAACCTGGAAATATTTTATGTTTTAAATTAATAATCATTTCTAGTTTCATACCATGAATATTGAAAAAAAGTTTTTATATCCTCAAAAAAAAAAATCTACAGGGTATAACCACAGAGAAGGCAAACTGGTTTTTCCTATGCTCCTAAGCACATTCTACCCAGAGGGATAGCTGTATAAGTTTGTAGACATATCTGAGGATCCAAAGTAAACTTCTAAATATACAGAACTCCATTCAAGAAAATGATACTTTATTTTAAAGTAAAATTTGAGTTTAAAAATAAAAGTGTTTTTTAACAAGTTCCGTGCTGAGATAAACAGGCCTGCCCTCTCTCCACCTCTCCCCACTATAATTATCTTCGTTCCCCCAAAAATCACATAAGGTTTCTTTCTTGCTTAACATTACTTCTTTCTGCCTCATCCCGGCCTATTCTCACTTCCTTTGGGTCTGTTGCTCCCAGGTGACATGTAGTTTTCAGGTAATAAGCAATATTTAACTATCCTTTCTTAAGGAAGATTCTGGATATTACTTGATTCCCTTTCCTCACTTTCAATATCTCCTGTATCTGCTGTTTCTTTCTTTCCAAAAATGTATTATTATTATTATTATTATTATATAATATACATAAAGTAATTAGACCCAATAATAGTTATTATTATTAGGAATAACTATTTTGCTGATTTAAAATTACTCTTTAACTAATAGTAGAAAGAAATCCTTGAAAGATATTATCCTACTAAAGAAACAGCACGTTGAAATAATTCTCTTGGATATATAACAAGCTTGCAATGAAAAACAAGCTTATAAAAATATAATCCCTTGGCTTGCCTAGCATCCTACCTGCCCTGCCAAAGAAAAGAAAATGTGCTTACCAAATCAAATTATTCCAGTTGGTTGTTCTTCTTAACCAAATCACTGGCATAACTGCCAAATCCATTCCCTTGGGCGGCCTGCCACACACTCCTAATAGAACCAAATGGAACCAAAACACTGGACATGTTAACAAAGGTGAAACCAAGACAGAACAGGGAACTGGACAAATCCATTGTTCCCCTAAGCCCAGGGGGAAGAGGGCCCCTGCTGAGATCACCCACATTTGAGACCTATGATCCTCTGTGGGGGATGTTAGACTTTCAAAGAGGCATGTGTTTTCTTTTTGTTTGTTTGTTTGCTTGCTTTTATGAAACAGAGTTTCGCTCTTATGATCCAGGCTGGAGTGTAATGGCTCAATCTCGGCTAACTGCAAACTCCACCTCCTGGGTTCAAGCCATTTTCCCACCTCAGTCTCCCAAGTAGCTGGGATTACAGGCACCCGCCATCATGCCTGACTATTTTTTGTATTTCTAGTAGAGATGGGGTTTCACCATATTGACCAGGCTGGTCTCGAACTCCCAACCTCAGGGGATCCGCCCGCCTCGGCCTCCCAAACTGCTGGGATTACAGGTGTGAGCCACTGCGTCCGGCCACATGTGTGTTTTGGAAACAAAACATATTCAATATTGTGATAAAAGTATATAGTTGGAAAGCCAAATAAAAGTGCTTATTTTGAAATTTCAAATCATTTATTTTATTTTATTTTTTCCCAAGGAGGGCATGGATTTTGAAATATTGAGAAATGCTATCCAGATTTTTTTTTTCTTTCTACTTCTTATGAGAACTTGCCTGATGTTCTTGGCAGAGCTAAGGTCTGTATTGACGGTGTCAAAACCCATCAGAAAGTTAAAATCATGTATGCTACCAGCTTCACAGGGTGCAAGGGGGAGAAACCCAGCCTCCATAGGATCCATGGCCCAAGGCACAGAAGCTGATGGCATTTGCCTCTACCCTTCTCATCCTCAGTCTGTCTGTTTATGGAAACTGTAATTTCAATGCCCATGGTGGCACATGAAGCTCAAGTCATGTGCCTAGAGGGAGCAGAGGGAGCTCTGGATAAGTCTGGATACAAGGAGAGTTGCCATCCCAGGACAGAGTGATTTTCCACACCAATTTCCTGAGAAAGAAGAAGGAAAGAGAGGGATGAAGGGGAAGGGAAACTTGGCCACATTTATCACTGTGGGCTCATTTAAGCCTTTTGCTAAGTAAACATAGAAAAATACAGTGAAACCAGACTTCATTACTATATCCAGAAAGTATTTTACATGATTAACTGCTTTTTAGTCTCCAAATCCTGGAAGGCAGCTCTGCAGAATGCACTAATAGTTCTCAGAAAACCCATAAGAAAGTTAAAAGTACATATGTTAGTGGTGTCAGGAAATATTAATGCATACGTGTTGTAATGGTTTTTATTGTTTTTTAAAAATTATTTATTTATTTATTTTTTGAGACAGAGCCTTGCTCTGTTGCCCAGGCTGGAATGCAGTGGCACTATCTTGGCTCACCACAACCTCCACCTCCCGGGTTCAAGCGATTAACCTACTTCAGCTTCCCTCATAGCTGGGACTACAGGCATGCACCACCACACCTGGCTAATTTTTTTATTTTTAGTAGAGACAGGGTTTTACCATGTTGGCCAGGCTGGTCTGGAATTCCTGACCTCACGTGTTCCACCAGCCTTGGTCTTTCAAAGTGCTGGGATTACAGGTATGAGCCACTGCACCTGGACAAAAATTCTTTATTTTAAATATTTGTGGGTACATCATGTTGTAATGTTGGTCATTCCATACAGAGGAATAAAGATGGAAGTCTTTACCATCTTTATCAGAGTAATCATTTGGTAATTGACAAAAAGGATAAAGAATTGGCCAGTTTCTATACCTGAGATTTACTGAATATTTGAAGTTATTATTGGAATCAGTGGTGATTTCTGAGAAGTGAAGGCTAAAGATTTTATGGTCCCTGCATTCTCTACTCAAAAACAGAGCACTTGCTTTACGCAGACTTGTCTTTCAAAGACCCTGAGGATCCCCAGCTTGAGAAAGTACAGATTTGAGGGCGGAAGTCTCCCTAGCCGAGGCCACAATCATATCTATGCACACAATAGCCTAGACTCTGATTTCAGAAACAAAGTTACTAGGTTCCACAGTCCCGCCATTAACCAGCAGATGCTGAAATTACATAATTACTATATTAGGAATGCCTTTGCTTGGCCTAACACTTTACTATAAAATGCAAATATACTTAAGAGGGATGATAGAATATATTTCATCTAGTATTTGTATTTTAATGGAAAGAAGTTTATGACAACTCAGGAGCCAGTTCTGATAAGCACAGGGAGACAGGATGAGGGCACTGAGCATCTGAAATGACTGTGACGTAAGAGGGCACACACAGAGGGCCCCGTGGACTATGGAATCATTTTGCTCATTTATTCCCCAGCCTTACTTTATTGCACTCTAGCCCTGACAGCATTCTTCTCTTGGGATAGCATAAGTTATCTGGATAAAAGAAAGAGACAGAAACTTGTAAAACAAAACAAAACAAAACAAAAGGTAAACCAAGACTCCCCATGTGATGAGGCAAGTGGAACAAGCTGGAACATCCCTTGGCCAATAGAGAATAAAGAAAACCCACAATAGGAAGGGTGTGGTGGCTCATGCCTGTAATCCCAACACGTTGGGAGGCCAAGACGGGAGGATCACTTAAGGCCAGGAATTCAAGTCATTTCAGATGCTCAGTGCCCTCATCCTCTCTCCTTGTGCTTATCAGAACTAGCTCCTGAGTTGTCATAAACTTCTCTCCGTTAAAATACAAATACTAGATGAAATATATTCTATTGTCCCTCTTAAGATTATTTGCATTTTATAGTAAAGTGTTAGGCCAAGCAAAGGCATTCCTAATATAGTAATTATGTAATTATGTAAAACATGGCGAGACTTCATCTCTATTTTTAAAAAGAGAGAGAGGAATAGAAAACCAAATACCACATGTTCTCACTTATAAGTGGGAATTAAATGATGAAAACACATGGACACATAGAGGGAACAACAAACATGGTGATCTTTCAGAGGGTGGAGGGTGGGAGGAGGGAGAGACTCAGGACAAATAACTAATGGGTTCTAGGATTCATACCTGGGTGATGAAATAATCTGTACACCAAACCCCATGATACAGTTTACCTATGTAACAAACCCGTACTTGTACCCCTGAACTTAAAATGAAAGTTAAAAGAAATAAAAAATTAAAGTAAAAAATAGAGAGAAGGGGACCAAGGAGAAAACCCACAATAAGTGGCTAGGCACCCCTGAAGAAAGGTGGTACAGAAAGCACCTAAGAACACACACAACCTTTGTATGAAATGATGTTACCTATTCCCAAGGAATTCAGGCAGCCCTGATTTCTGCCACGTCCCAGCATTCTCTCTGCCCCTACCCTCCTAAGCCTGTCTTGTCCACACCCTTCCACCACACAGTGTGCTCTGCCCCAGTGACCCTTGAGTTCCTGGGCCATCCTCCTGGGGCACTGCTTTCAGGAAACTGTGCTCTTATTTAGTATCAGCATGGGGGTTACCCAGAAGACCTAACCAGGACTAACAGGTCAGAAATAGGCTGAATCTCACCAGGTCCTTCAAATTCTCACGGTTCTTCAATCTTCCCACCCCATGTCTACCAGCACCATCAAGGCTCGTATGCCCATTTCTTATGGGTGTCCGTCCATGACTTAGACAGATAGAAATTGGGAGCCTACTACATGGCCAGCCCTGGGAATGTAGGTGGGACCAAACAAGACACAAACCCTTGTCTTCCTGGTATTATAGTTTAGTGGGAAATACAGGCAGTAAGTAAGATAAATAAAAAGTAGTAAGCAGTAAGCTGTATGGAGAAACATTAAGCAGGGAGGGGTAGAAGACATGTTAGGGGGAGGTGATTGCAATTTTTAATTACGATGGTTAGGGGAAGTCTCACGGAGAAGGCGACATTCCAGTAAAGACCTGAAGGAGGTGAGGAAGGATATCTGGGGGAGAGTATTACAGGAAAAGGGACCAGCAAGTGCATAGCTGAGGCCAGAACATGCCTGGCCTGTCTGAAAAATGCCCAGAAGGTATATATGGTTGGAGCACAGTTAGTGGGGAGGAGATGAGAGCAGATGAGGTGGAAGAGGTAAAGTGGCTAGGCCACAGAGGCCATTGTGAGTGAGATGGGTGACAATTCTCACCATCATCTCCCTACTATGGCAAAACCCACAGATGCTGAAGCACCTCTGTAGGATGCTCCTCTGGGGAGATGGGAGGATGATATATCCTTTCCTCCAGAAAGAAGTCAAAGGATTTACTATAGACACCTAGATGTTCTACCCTGTTTGGAGCCTCTGTCAGTTTCAGGCATGATCCTTATATGTTTCTTGATCCCCTCAATGGCAGTTACATGATATGTTTGTGTCAGGAAATTGGGTTCGCTCTCAGCTACTACAGAGATACATGTTTATGGGGTTTCATTTGCTCTTGACTTTTCAGCCAATTAATTCAAGAGCAGAGGAAGTATATGGAAAAAATTTACAATGAGAGATATAGGCACTTTTGGCTGGGTGCGGTGACTCACACCTCTAATCCCAGCACTTTGGGAGGCCAAGGCGGGCAGATCACTTGACGTCAGGAGTTCGAGATCAGCCTGGCCAACGTGGTGAAACCCCATCTCTATGAAATATACAAAAATTAGCCGGGCATGATGATGCGTACCTGTAATCCCAGCTACTCGGGAGACTGAGGCAGGATAATCGCTTGAACTAAGGAGGCAGAGGTTGCAGTGAGGCGAGATCATGCCACTGCACTCCAGCCTGGGTGACAGAGTGAGACTCTGTCAAAAAAAAAAAAATGAGAGAGAGAGAGAGAGATAGGCATTTTTGCCTATCAGAGATATACCACTGAGAATATCAAGATAAGATAATGACCTGTGGAAGATAGGAGAGGTGGTTATGAATTCAAAGGGAATACAATTCACCTGCATCTGTCACAGGGCATCCCTGTGACTAGATCAGCTATATTTGTCTCCATACAGAAAAAATGTGTGCTTCTCGATGCAATAGTTATACTTAGATAGTTAAGACTTGCTACCTTTCAAACTATTTTAATCTATTTTATATTTCACAGTATCCAAATGTCATTATACTATTTTAATGAAGAGAAGATTTTTAAGAGTAGGTTAAAATCACACAGATTGAATTCAAGAGCAGAAAACATTTAGCAGAGACTGAAAATCAATGATTCTAACCCCACTCTACCCTTTTCATAATAATAATGATGTTTCATACAATTTCTTTGTATTGAAAGCTACTACTTAGAACACTTATTCTGTGCTGGATACTGTAGTAGGTATGTATTAACTCTTCACATGTATTAACGCATTACAAAATTTCTAAAATATTCTATTTTTATACCATTTTATAAATAAAAAAAATTGATGCTTAGAATGTTAAAGAAATTTGCCCAGAGCTCCCAAGCACTGCCCAGTGTTGCTATGTGTAGCTGCCAAAGGCACACGCTCTCACCCACTTTGCAGAGGGAGGCATGGAAAACACCACCAAAATATACTCAAATATTAAGAAGCAATAAGCAGATGGATATCATTAGATCTGCCTGTCCTTTTTAATCTGGCTTATTCCCTGATGGATTTCTCTGATGAATGAGGGATGTGCTCTCCTTAGAGAGCCAGATGTAGGTTAGGCAAGCTGTAGGGAATCTTGGCTTGTTCAGATTTTCCAGGCCTGTCCATTGACCTGACAATCTTGTAAAAATAGATACAGACACATGATTTCACTTTTTCCATATCCGAGTCCAGTTTCAACCAAGGAGTTCAAATTTTTGTGCTTAGGAGAACATAATGGACATAAGCCAAATGAACGGTGATACTCCCAGCTTGCACTGTTGGTCCTATTCGAATTTATGCAGCACTGCTCCTCTGAGATTTTGTTTTCTCTCCCTTATCTCAGAATGAGATATGCAGAAAAATCTCCATAGTAATGAAGTAAGTAGAATATACACTAAAGGTCTTGGTCACTTCTTTCCTCAACCATAGCAGAGAGAACAGAAATGACCCCAGGGCTCCAGAAAAGCTCCCCACTGGGGACACTAATCAGTCCAAAGGCACATCGTTTACTTTCCTTGTGTTCTGGTCATTCAGGAGTATGAGAAACCAGCTTTGTAAAATTGTGACTGAGACAGTGAAAGAGATCTAACCTAACTGAGTCCATCTTGGTTTTAACCTTTCAGCTGTCTTTGTTCCTTCCTGGGCATAGACTGAGCTAACTTTGGGAGGAACTTAGTTTACAGTTTAAAACAAAGACAATAGCAGCCCTTTCCCAAAACAAAGCTCTTTCTTGCCTGGGGACTAGACTGCCTTTGTAGGACAGTCTACAAGATTAGAAATCATGGTTTAGGAGTCATGCAGCTGGAGCCTACAAAATTCTGAACCTCCCTAAACTCCTCCTAAAATCAGTGCTTGAGATACTTTGCAGACCCTGCACTTGATGGATCAGCTGGCACTGCCAGGTTGACAAACTCGCTCATCTGATCTTATGGCACCAACCCAAGAACAGACTTAGCCCAAGAGGACAGCTTCAACTTTCCATGATTTCATCTGCTACCTAACCAACCAGCACTCCTGGCTCACCGGCTTCCCCCAACCCACTATCTTGTCCTTAACAACTCTGATCCCCAAATGCTTGGGGAGGCTGACTTGAGTAATAATAAAACTCCAGTCTCCCGCAGAGCCAGCTCTGTGTGAATTACTCTTTCTCAATTGCAATTCCCCTGTCTTGATAAATTGACTCTGTCTAGGCAGTGAGCAAGGTGAACCCACTGGGCAATTATACACACACAGGTGCCAAGTATCTCAAAATCCAAACTCCTTATGGTTTTGGTCACAAGATCCTTCACCTCCTTTCCCCCCACCATTTCCATGCACTCTTGTTTCATTGCTATCTACTTAAATCCACAGCATTTACAAAAAAGTGGCTCTCTCTTTACAAGTGTGTGGCATTCAAGGAAAGTTCTCCATTACTTATATGTGATTTTTATAAATCAAATAAATGCTTTTCCATTGGTGTACATTGCTATTCCAGAAATGCCTGCCATGTGAAGGGGCCAATTTATACATTTGTATAAGTAGATATGTGTAATATACATTTATTATCTTTACAAGATATATTAAAAGTCACACGCTTCAATCTTTTTGAAACCTCATATTTATGAAGAACATAATTTCTGACAAAATCATTTTCTAATACTGAATTCAAGTTAGTGAAAACCTCTAGTGAAACAACGTGGTGATGAAATTTGAAGACCCCAAAAACATTTTTTATTTCTAAATATTTTCAGAGCAGCAATCCTCTTATAATAAAGCACTCATTTTTAAAACAAATATCTATTCATTTAACAAATATTTATTGAGTGGTTGGTATGTGGCTTGGGCACCTACTGCCTGCCAGGCAGGATGCTAGGTGATAGAAGTACAAAGACAAAATGAGCAACAACAAAGGCAACCCCTGCCCTCATGGAGTTTGGAGTCTAATGAATCCTGTCATGTGGTAGATCAGAATCAAATAACCACACTGACAAATACAATTATAAGCTAATAAAGACTAGGAAAAATGTCCAATGCTCACCAATAATTCAAACCATTTAAATGTAAATAATTTGCATCAATAAGCTATACTAGGATGCATATAAATTGATAGTAAGTGTCCAACTGGTTATTCAACAATTCCATTTAGATGTCTAATCAGCATCTAAACTTCAGTCAGTATGTCAAGCCAAGCTCCTTTTCTCCTATCCTTTTTATTTTTATTTTTACTTTATTTTTTTAGAGACAGAGTCTCACTCTGTCACCCAGGCTGGAGTGCAGTGGTATGATCATAGCTCACTGAAGCCTCAAACTCCTGGGCTCAAGGAATCTTCCCACCTCAGCCTCCTGAGTAGCTGGGACTATAGGCACAAGAGTAGCTGGGACTATAGGCACAAGTCCCAGCTACTCAGCCAAACTAATTTTGTGCTTTTTGTAGAGATGGGGTCTTTCTATGTTGCCCAGGCTGATCTCAAACTCCTGGGCTCAAGAAATCTTCCCTTCTCGGCCTCCCAAAATGTTAGGATTACAGGTGCAAGGCACCACACCCGGCCTTGTCTTGTCCTTTTCTGTTTTAGTTGTCAATTTTATCCTTTCGGTTGATTAGGACAAACTTCAGTATCATCTTCACTTCTCCTCCTCCTTCAATCCTTATATCCAACCCTTCAGCAAACTGTGGCTCTGTCTTCAAAATACATGCAGAATCTGATCACCTCTCACTCCCACCACTGATACCATTGAGGTCTGGATTGTCACAACATTAAATGGTATTACATCTTGCCTAGATTTTTGCAATAACCTCCTAAATGGCTGGCTTTCTTCCACATTTTCCCTCTTAACAGTCTATTCTCAATGTAGCTGATGCAGTGAGCCTGCTAAAAGCTAAGTCAGAGCATGTCACTCCTCTGTTCAAGATGTTCCCACCTCCCTCCCTTCTGCCTCCCATTAAATTCAGAGTACAGTGTCCTGCGTGTCCCAAACAAGGCCTTATTTCCATTCTGACTTTACCTCCTGCTCCTCTGTCTCTCACTCCCTCTACACTACCATCCTGGCCTCCTTGCTGGTCCTGGGACTTGCCAAGTACATTCCTGCTTCAGAGCCTTTGCTCCCACTGTTCTACTTGCCTGGCAGAGCCAGAGATATGCTTGGCTCACTCCCCCCTCTCCTAAATGACCCCTTTTCAATGACGTTCACCCTACATTTAATAGGATGACCTCTTTCCACCCTCACTGCTCAGTTTCCTGATTCCTCTTAATTTGCTCTCCTTTTCCTTTTTCCCCGGCACTTGGCACTTGTTATCATGTATGTAAATTTATATAAAATTATATTGTTTATTTGTCTCTCTCTCCCACTAGAATCTAAGCTTCATAAGGGTGGGAAACTTTGTCTTCATTCACCGATGTATCTTAGGCACTTAGAACAGTTCTTGGCATATATCATGTGCTCAAGAAATATTTTTCAAATAGATGAATGAAAGTTGGCAGGCAGGGTAGTGGAGTGGAGAGTGCAGGCTTTGAGTAGGCAAACCTGAGTTCGAGTGTTTGCTTGGTACTCTCGAGTTGGGTGAGCTTAGGTGAGTTACTACACACTCTGAAGCCTCAGTTTCCCCAATGTAAAAATGTGAACAGTAGTGTTGTGAGAATTACACGTGAAGCACCTTGTGTGGCTCAGGCACTACAGGTGTAGTTATTATCTGTATCACAATATTTTATGTGAAATAGTTTAAAAAATGCTACATTTTCAAACAATATTCTAGAAATCATAAATACAGTTTTAATATTTAAAAATTATTGCTCACTTTGCCACCCCAGGTACTACTCAAAATGTTAAAGATCATTCACAGAGTCGGTTCTTCTGGATTCTTCTGTAGGAGCTTCAGCAGTTCAGTTAGTTACTAGAATAGGAAGCACCCGGGGTTGAAACCCACAATTCTGTAATAGCAGGGGCTCTTACATCATGAACACCTAAGGACAACAAAATGGTCTCATTAATAGTAGTCAAAATTAGAAGAATAAGAAAGACAGGCCCATTTCTTGGGACAAATAGTATAATATCGGCAGATGAATGAGTGAAAACGAAAAACATTCCATTTTGCTTTTTAGTTTTCTTTCAAGAAGAATGGACTTTAGACGAAGAGTGGCAGAACAAACATCAGTGAGAGGATATAGAAGCGTTTGATGTGTGAGATTGTAGAGAGAAAGTGATGCTTCTCTGAACTGCATGACTCCCACAAATTAAAGTGGTGAACACCCAAGGAAACTTCTCTTGCATCTCGAAGCCACCTCTAATTGCTTTTAGAAGTGAATTGAGGCTGAGAGTGGTGGCTGACACCTGTAATCCCAGTAATTTGGGAGGCCGAGGCGGGGGGATCACTTGTAGCCAGGAGTTCAAGACCAGCCTGGACAGCATGGCGAAACTCCCATGTCTACTAAAAATACAAAAATTAGCCAGGCATGGTGGCGTGCGCTTGTAACCCAAGCTACTCAGGAGGCTGAAGCATGAGAATTGCTTGAACCCGGGAGGCGGAGGTTGCAGTGAGCAGAGATCATGCCATTGCACTCCAGCCTGGGCGACAGAGCAAGACCCTGTCTCAAAAAAAAGGAAGTGAATTGAGACATATTTTCTGAGAGGCAGATGATAGTGGGGCAGCTATCATTAAAAGTTTCTAAGATAAATTGCACATGCTGTAGGTTGGCTTTAAAACATATGTTAAAACCACTCAGAGGGCGTAACAGGAACCCATGTAATTCATGAAGTCCTAGTTTATTCATTCATTCAAAAATCACTTACTGACTGACTACCATGTACCCAGCACTTAGAGGATGCCTTTTCAATGAAAACAAAACAAAACAAAACAAAACCAAAAACTCCACCCTCATGCAAAATAACTGTATTCATTTTTAGTAGCCAATAAATAAAGGCAATGCCATAGCCAGAGTACAGCTGAATCTCCAATAGCATTTGACAAAGGCTTTTGAAAGACACTAATAAAGTGGGTGTCTTCACAACTGATTGAATGGCAGGTCCCTGACCAATGCATGGCAAAACTTGTAGAAGACTCTTCTGGCTTATATATAGATCACTATACACAGAGTGAGCCAAGGAGGTGACTTTGGTCTGATGTTGTGGCAGTCCATCCTCTCACAGCTGTAAAGAAATACCTGAGATTGGGTAACTGATCAAGAAAAGAGGTTTAATTGGCTCATGGTTCTGCAGGCTGTAGAGAAAGCATGATGCTGGCATCTGTCTGGCTTCTGGGGAGGCCTCCAGAAAATTACAGTCATGGCAGAGGGCAAAGATGGGAGCAGAGCAGGAAGAAGACAGAGAGAGGGGAGAGGTGCTACACAGTTTTGTTTTTTTTTTATTGTTGTTGTTGTTTTATTTTTGTTTTGAGATGGAGTTTCGCTCTTGCTGACCAGGCTGGAGTGCAATGGCACGATCTCAGCTCACTGCAACCTCAGCCTCCTGTGTTCAAGTGATTCTCCCACCTCAGCCTCCTGAGTAGCTGGGATTACAGGCATGCACCACTGCGCCTGGCTAATTTTGTATTTTTAGTTGAGACAGGGTTTCTCCATGTTGGTCAAGCTGGTCTTGAAATCCCGACCTCAGGTGATTCCCGCCTCTGCCTCCCAAAGTGCTGGGATTACAGGCGTGAGCCACCACGCCCAGTGGTGCTACACAGTTTTAAACAAAGTGTGATAAGCGATAAGTGGGTTATCTCATGATAAGTCACTCACTCACTATCAAGAGAACAGCACCAGGAGGATGGTGCTAAACCATTCATGAAGGACCACCCCCATGATCCAATCACCTTCAACAGGCCCCACCTCCAACAATGGGGATTACAATGCCACAGGAGATTTGGGCAGGGACACAGATCCAAGCCATATCAGATAGGTAAGAGAAGTCCTATTCAGAGAGGATATAGAGGCCATTCCATTCGGTGGAGGTCTCCTCAAGTGGAGTATTGAATTCAGTTCCTGGAACCACAATTGAGATGAAAAGGAGTATAGTTAAGTTGAAGACAACGACAAAGATGCTGGAATGGGGTACAGAGACCGTCCTGGGAAGAGCAACTGAAAAGAAAACCCCAGGTGCTTGCCCTGAGAGAAAAGAAGATTTGGGGAGTACATAATGTCTGCCTCGGTCTTAGAAAGGGTGCTGTGGGGTGGAGTGGAATGGAAGGAAATGGCTGGACATTTATTGATCATCTCCGAGTCAGGAACTCTTTGAATGTATTATCTCATTTAATCCTTATATTTAGATTTTATTTGTTTGTTTGTTTTGTTTTGTTGAGATGGGGTTTCACTCTTTCGCCCAGGCTGGAGTGCAGTGGCGCGATCTCCACTCACTGCAACCTCCGCCTCCTGGGTTCAAGTGGTTCTCCTGCCTCGGCCTCCCAAGTAGCTGGGACTACAGGCATGTGCCACTATGCCTGGCTGATTTTTGTATTTTTAGTAGAGACAGGGTTTTGCCATGTTGGCCAGGCTGGTCTCGAACTTCTGACCTCAGGTGATCCACCCGTCTCGGCCTCCCAAAGTGTTGGGATTACAGGCGTGAGCCACCATGTCTGGCCATATTTAGCTTTTAAACACTTGGTCTCATGCACACAAACACAAAACATCTCTCCCCAAAGCATGCCAGAAACACTGGCTCTGAATTATCACTCTTGTATTAATTAATTCTTCTTGTTTGTAAAAGTTCTGAGGAGTTAAGGTCAGTCATGATTCAGAAGAGAAAAAACAAATAAGTACTCTATTCTTAAGAGCAAAAGTTTAACTAAGAGGCAGAGGTAGAGAGAAACCGCTCCCTGACATCACAGAGGACTTTGTCATCTGAAAGGACACATAGAGTGCAGCCTAAAATGTCACTTGTAGCTACCCAATCTCATATAAAAGTATACTGATCACATAGTACAAACCTGTGCAAAGGACATAGGAGCTGATTTCATAAATGGGACCTTAGGACTTTAAAATGTCTGGTTCATTTTGGAAATAAGAAAAATTGGTATGCCTATGTGGGAAAGTCAGCTCAATTACTCCAGTTCAGTAAACATTTCTGAATCGGGCTTCTATTCCTTTAAAAGCCATGCTTACCTACAAATTAGTTTTGGTTTATACAGGCCCTCCTTAATAGCAATATTCATGAAGAAAGGAATCCTTTCAGAGAGACCTCAGAAAATATATAAAAAGGTTCTTTGAAAGCTATCACATTTTGAAACTGACTTTTAATGAGTTGCTGCCAGCTGCAGTGAGCAGTTTAAGTAGATTCGATGACTTTTCTTTAATTTTAGTATTTAATAGTTCACTTTTTCTAATTATTCTTAAATAAATATTCTGAGCTTTCTGGTGTTCCCTTTAAAAGGAAACCGCCAGCATAAGAGGCAGAATTCTTTTTGCCTGGTAGCTTTTTAAGCAGATTCTGCACATCTGAAGTTTTATGACTAAAGAGAGCCATAGATAAAAATGTAAGAAAACAGACCGAGAAAAAAGATGCCAAAAACATCACTTTATTAAATAGCTATTTTAAATATCATGTTTTGATTCTTTGAGGGTGAATAGAGTGGTAAATAATAGAACAAGAGTAAAAACAAACAAAAAATACCATTACGGAATAGAAAGGCACTGTGTTTTACTGAAAAAGTCACTGTCCAGATTACCCTGCTTTGGAGGCGGTTGGAAATGGAGAATCACATTCCCAAAGTGATGGATTCCTGTCATGGATGATCCAACTGGTCCTTCCTCCAGCTCTCAAACTGGAGTCAGGTCAGTCCTTAACTTCCTCAAGGCTGCTCTTCGCTAATGCTGCCTTTTATTAAATATTTATTATATGCCAGGCCTGGTTAAGCACTTTAAGTTCAAGATTGGACTTAATCCTCACCATAGTCTCGTGAAGTGGATATTATTTTTATTCCCATTTTACAAAGGCAAAGACTAAGGCTTAGAAATTCTGCCTAAGCCTGGTAAGTGGTGACTCAGTCCCAGAGCCCTAGTTCTTTGCTGTTACACCAAAATGTTTCTCTTCACCAAGGTCCTTCCACCGATGCCAGGTCCATGGATGCCTGAACTCAGTTAGTGATATTCTAACGAAAAGGAAAATGCCAGATAGGAAATAAATCAGCGGGCTCCACAATGTCTGGCCACTAAACCAGAGGAAACCCCTGCCAGGGGTAATAATAAGCCACAGGTGTAAGATCAGGTCTTCCAGCTCATTCCCTGACAGCCAGGGCCGCAGCTCAGCCTGGAAGAAGAGCGTCAGGCTGGCTGAGGAAGCACTGAGAGAGAGGAATCTTGTAGTTTTCTGTTATTTCCATTTGTATTTTTTCCGATTTCTGGGCTTTGAAAATCTGCCAGAAAAGCCTGAGAACAGGCTTAGGAGCCCTTTTGGCAGCACCCTTAGGAGTTGTTAGCCAAATGCTCCAAACTGCTATCCTGATCACTGAGACTTGTCTGTTGGGAGAAGCTCAAAGATATTCTTTCAGCCAAGATAATTAGTTTAGCAAAAGAGAGCCATTGTGGTTTAGAGAGCTCACCATTGATTACTAGGTCGCGATAAGGATTGTTCTCTCCTTTTCTCCCTCATGAGACCTTAGATAGTAGAGTACTTTCGACCTTGTGCAATAGATATCCTCTTTTCCATTGAGGATAATGTGGGCAGGAAGGGGAGGGAGGCAGGAAGAGGTAAATACCCATTGTACCACTTTTCAGCACTCAAGTTTACACCATCAGCCTTCACATAAGCCACAGGCATTTGCCCTTCTGTAGAGTCAGCAGGAAAGCGTGATGTTCCTAAGGCGAGCTATGGCCCTCTTGGAATGCACAGACACTTTTTTGTCCAAATAACTTGATGACAAAAACTAGCCAAACCGATGAAGTTCCTTTTTAAGATATTTTCCTCCTTTCTTACCCTTAGGCATTCCATTCATAGTCATTGCAGGAAATTTAGAAAATACAGGTAAGCAAAAAGAACACAGTTAAATTAAAACCACTCAAAATACCACTATGCAGAGGTCATTACCATTAATATTTTTGTACAGATTCTTCAAAACTTGTTCTATTCAAATATAAACAAACAAAAGTTACCTCTTTTTTAAAAAAATAAAATTGGATCAAATTCTACCTATGGCTTTGTGACTTGCTTTTTACTTAACAACATATCAAAAACAATTTTTCATATAAAAATAGAAATTTATCTTATTTTACTGCTCTATCAATATATGGTGTCATCATGTATTAATCAGCCCCCTATGTCCAACCTTTAGATCATTCCTCGCTTTTCACTATTACTTTAAGCAACATCACAACAAGTATCATTCATGCATTTTTGAGCATTTGCCAATTATTACTTAAAGATAAATTGCCAAAGCTCAAGCCAGCTCATTATTAAAGCTTTGAAACACTGCCCTTGTGAAAGATTGTATTCAGTAGCAGTTTCACCAGAGATGTCGAAAGCACCACAAAGCCCTTTTACAGGAGCAGAGCAAACCAATGAGCCCAAAAATAATCTCAGGAGAAGGAGGAGGCAGTTTCATTGCTTTTCCAGGAGACCCCGCACTGGGATTTTTACAGTTCATGGATGATGACGTAAACAATTGTTACTCTGTTGCCCCCACCCCAAACTTGTAAAATGAGGCAGTAACAGAGGGATTATTATCACCGAAGAGTGGAGAGTCCAGGGGTTTTCTGAGAACTCATTGCTAGTGCTAAGGCAGCAGAGTAAAAGCCAGCCTTGGGTGTAAAATCTTACCTACAGTTGTTGGTAAACGCTGATGCTTCGGAGATGCAGAATTTATTAATCTAACACTTAAATTGCTCTTATGTGCAAGCCACTCTCCTAAGTGCTTTAATTTTGGATTATTTAATTTTCATAATAATGCTATAATAAAGCAGATATCATTTTTATCTTCATTTTCACAAGAAAAGGTTAAGTTCCTTGTTAGAGTTAGCTGTAGAGTCCATGTGTCTAACCACAAAGCAGCATTGCCCATCAGAGGATGTCCCTAATCTGACTAAGAGCATCCTCAACTACCCCTACATACATGGGGTAATAAATATTCAACTTTCCAACCAAGCAGGAAGCACCACTGACCAGTATCGCCATAGTAAACACAATGAAAACCAAACTTTGCACACAAGAAGTCACTTAATACCTGAAATACCTAGAATAAGTATAGATAACAACATGTTCCCTATACCTGGTTTAGCTCTGGTTTCATTTGCCACTTATTAATTTTAACTATTTATTTTCCTGAGAAGATCCAATTTTTTTCTCAATAAATCATAATTGGACTATTTAAGATTTTATACTTTTCAAAGCCCTTGACATCTCATTTAATTCCCCAAACAACCAGTTTGGAAGGTACTGAGGCTCAGAAAAGCTGAGTGACTTGTTTGTGGTCACTTGGTTAGATAAATAACAGAGGCCAGATATGAACACATGTCTTCTAACTGCTACTTCCCACTCCATCATAATCCACTTATCTCTGTAAGTTTGCAACAGGCATTGAAACCAAGCAGAATGTGAGAGAGTGTGCTCATATGTCAAAAGACATAGGTAGGTAGGTAGACACACCACAAACACACACACACACACACCATAACATTGCATGTATTTGGAATTCAACTATCTGGTGAGCTCACCTTCCAGAATTCAAGACCATCTGATCTATTTTTTCTCACTTCATTAGTATCCTAAACACTTGTAGTATTTTACCACGACTCATTTTTACATGACTGTTTCCCTCTCTGAGACTGTAAGCTCCCGCAAGGGCTACACCAAGTCCTCATTGAGCCATGTCTGGTTCAATGTCTGGTATGTAGAAAGGATTCAGTAAATATTCATTGATTGAGTAAATAATGGGATGAATGAATACTTGCATCTAAGAAGGCAGCATAAAATGATTTGACATAGCCAGTGTTCACAGCATGAAGCTCATAGGAGCTTGCTGTAGATTTGTTCTTATACTCTACAACCACAAGTCTATTAATAGTTTTTATTGTATTAAGTAACCTGTTAGATGATTTCCAAATCAACCTGTGTTGGTTTGCTAGGGTTATTATTACAAAATATCACAGACTATGTGGTCTAAGCAATAGAATTTTATTTTCTCACAGTTCTGGAGGCTAGAAGTCCAAAATCAAGGTGTAGCAGGGCTGGTTTCTTCAGGAAGGATCTGTCCCAGGCTTCTCTCTTGGGTTGTAGATGACAGTCTTCTCCCTGAGTCTTCAGGTCATCTTCCCTCTGTAATTGTGTCTAAATTCTCTCTTCTTATAAGGACACCAGTCATATAGGATTACAGCTATCCTAATGACCTCCTGTTAACTTAACTACCTCTGTAAAGACCCTACATTCAAATACAGTCACATTCTGGGGTATTGGGGTTAGGACTTCAACATATGAATTTTGAGTGGAACACAAGTCAGCCCATAACACCATCTCTGTGAGACAAGTGAGAAAAGTGACAGGCAGGGCTGGTATAGGCAGTCACACAACAGCAAAGTGAGAAGTGACATCCAACAACCTGAAACCAGGGGAGTTAACGGGGCCGGGGCAGCGGGGGCAGGGGTGACAGTGAGAACACAATAAAGACCAAGAACAAAATATTTAAAAAAAAAAAAAAAAAACCAGGCCGAATGTGGTGGCTCATTCTTGTAATCCCAGCACTTTGGGAGGCTGAGGCGGGCACATCAATTGAGGCCAGGAGTTCAAGACCAGCCTGGCCCACATGGTGAAGCCCCATCTCTACTAAAAAAATGCAGAAAAAATAAGCCAGGTGTGGTGGCATGGGCCTGTAGTCCCAGCTACTCAGGAGGGTGAGGCACGAGGATCGCTTGAACCCAGGAGAGAGAGGTTGCAGTGAGCTGAGATTGCACCATTGTACTTCAGCCTGGGCGACAGAGTCAGACTCTGTCTCAAAAAGAAAAAAAAGAAAGAAAAAGAAAGAAAGGAAGAAAGAAAGAATGAAAGAGAGAGAGAGGAAGGGAGGGAGGGAGGGAGGAAGGAAGGAAGGAAGGAAGGAAGGAAGGAAGGAAGGAAGGAAGGAAGGATCTACTTAAAAAGACTGAATTCCTAATGGCTCCAGTCGTCCTTCATAACACATCTCAAAGTGAATTACCACAAATCATAGATTTGAAAATGAAAAACTAAAATATCAGATAGTCCAAAAAATAGGTGCAAATAGCAGAAATAGACATATTCTATTCTTTACTTTTTTCTGTTAGTTTTTCTTTGCCACCCACCTTCTAGGACAACTGCTTAAACATCCTGGAAGACTGAATCACCACGTGTAAGGAAATCCAGGAGTACTGGTTTCTTGGAAGTCTTGTAGGTGAGTCATATATCATAGATTTGCCTTTAACAATTTCATTTGGAAAAAAGTTTTCACATTTCCCAAATCTACAGTACGTCTGTTAAGCAGACTTAAAGTTAAACACGATGAAATAGTACATAGCTTGTTAAAGCTGGAAAGTGTTATATTGTGTGCTTTTTATAGCAAAAGATATTTTCACTTCATCATGTTGCCTTTTCGTATTCTTTTTTGAAACCACCACTATCATCAATCGTTGTAGTAATTAGTATTAATAATGCTAACTGCTCTAACAAATCTACCAAAGACAGGTAAGCTTCAAACACAGCCACATAGAGTATTTTGGTTGTGACAGGTTGGTTCTTCCCTTGGCAACCTTAACGCTTTCATGTTTGGAAACTGACCAAGTATGAGGATACATTCTGTTACATGCAGATGACTCTTTTTATGTTGGATACTTCCAAATTATTTCCTGAGTATATTAGGAGATTTGAATTTGGTCTAGATTTCTTGATGTCCCTGAAACCTCTTCATGGGATTCTTCAGAGTAGGCCAGGGTCTGTCTGGATAGCTACAGTTGTTCCAAAGGGTTCAATTCTACTCCCCCTTTGAATAGCCAAGAGTTTCTACATCTGTAAAATAGCATTTACCTCATAGTATAAAGGAAAGGTTAAATGAAATAATGTATGCAGAGCACTTGGTACAGTGCTTGGAAATAGGTACAGATAATAATCAATACACAGACTATGACCCTATACAAGCAGTGCTAGAAGGATACACATCCTGATATTAGTGGTGATTTGTTCTGCTTGATGGTACCATGAATGCTTATTTCTTTTGCCTATCAATATTTCTCTGTTTACAGTAAATATTTATAGCTTTGTAATAAGTAGGATTAAGAGGTTATTTTTAGTCCTTAGGATAATATTTTAAATTCAGTACAAGTGTTTAATTTATCTCTCTTTACCCCTGAGATTTTCCTGTTAACTGGATAAATTTTTGTTAGTGACATAAAAATATAATAATAAAGTACATGGGGAAGAAAATACTTGCCTAGGAAAGTAGTCTTTTTTTTTTTTGCTTCAGCATTCTAAACTTAGAGGGAAAGTATTAACAACAGATAACCTGGTACTCCTAGCAGCATTTTCAATTAAGAGGAAATGGATGACTGCCTGGAAGTCCAATTGACCCACATGAGCCTGAAATCCCCTGGGAGTTTCTCTTCTCACCCTGTGCCCGTTCTGAGGCCAAACTCAGCATTTTGCCACATCTCCCAAATAGATCCAACACCACAGTGACTTGGTTAATAATATCAATTTTACTGAAGAGGAATTCTAGGGGAATTGAGGAAGAGAAATCACATCATCCACCACCCTGCAAAATTAAAAGAAGTGAAGCTTCAAGATTTGCCTCCAAACTCCTTTCTCTCAAAAATCCTGTATATTGTGCTGACATTCAAATCTAGCCTTTGACTTGATTCCTCAGTTACTGAAAAAGAAACCCAGGCATGTAGCCAACAATGCCCGCCACAGACAACATCCATCACCCCCACAGCAAAAACAAACCAGAAAACACAACAATCACTATCTAGTGTTAGTCAAGTCTGACCCCTGAATATGTTTTACCCTCCGTCTAAAGCAATTTATCACAATATTTACAATATTTACCCAGCACAACTGTGTGTGTGTGTGTGTGTGTGTGTGTGTGTGTGTGTGTGAGTAAGGGTGGGAGGTGTGGTTGTGGTGAAATTCTGCAGCAAAGAGAATGTAATTTTTATCAGATGGGTAAATATACAAAAGGGTTATATATCCATAAACACATAGGGATAGATATACAATATGAAAGTGACAGGGACTCTCTCAGCTCTGCTTTCAGCCTCAGCCTGTCCTTTCCCTGAGTTTTGGTTTCTGATGACAATGGTCTGGACAGCCCTGAAGTCCTAAGTGATGGGACTGGGATTTTTGACTTAAGTTCCCTCTGTGTGACAGCCTTCACCTGTATGGCCTCTTAAAATTGAGGATTTTTATTAAAATAGTAGATTTTAGATGCTCTGGCTACCAAGAAAAAAAAGGGCAACTATGTGAGATGATGGATATGTTAATTTGCTTGACTCTAGTAAGCATTTCACTATGTATATGCATATCAAAATATCATGTTGTACACCTTAAATATATACAATCAAATAAATAAAATAATTGTAAATGCCCATGACAGTAGTTTCTGCAAACACATGGACCTCCAATGCAAGTATTTTTAAAAAAACTTTTTGAAAACTCTAAAAAAGCCTTTCCTCTATATACGTTTGTATAACACATTTGATTAAGTTGAATTTTAATTGAAAATACAGAGACAATTTCTACTTCTTCTTCAACAGCAGTGTGTCCTAATAGCATATAAAACTGTCTTGAACATGCGAATAAGACTTATCTGATAGCTGTCATGAATCCAAATTCAAACTTTTTTCCAACTATTTACTCCATCACTCAGCAACCATTTAGTAATTGTCCAGTTACTGTTTCCAAGTATGTGGGCCTTGGCTTGTAAAGTCAAATTGGCGAAAGAGGAAAACCTGCCCTACGAAGTTTCCGTCAAATAAGTCTAAACTCCAGACAAGTCTTGAGTCACTCTGACTCTACTTGGTTATTGAATTATATGGAAACTTTTCTCTACTCATTGGCACTGCTAAAACCTCCAGACAACTGGTTTCCAGTCTTACAGTGTGGTGTGCTGTTTTTCTTTAATTGCCTTTTGAAACACAGGATAGTTTTATTTTCCACTTTCACCTTGCTGTTTTGGGGTTTCAAAATTTATATTTGCATATTATCTAAGTTATTCTTATTTTTAAATAAAGACAAGGAAATTTCAGATTTTAATATTTGATCTCTTTTTTAGCCATTGTTTCTTAAAATATCAGCCATCCTGTCTGAGGCAGGCACATTCCATGGTTGTCCCAGACATACCTAATGAATACAGCTCCCCTGCAGAAAATATGGGAGGGAGGAGAGAGTATTTGCCCTGGAGAGTTCCAGTCTGCCATTTTGCTGATCATTCCATTATCAGCATCTTATCCTCGAAGCTTTACCCACAGCACTTGTGCAAACATTATCTCTCCATATCCCAGAAAAACAAAACTAAGAATTGAACGCATTAATCTCTTGGGAATATATACAATTCAAAAGAGGCATAAAGAATTGGAAGAATTTATCACCTCTCCTATGGGAATAGTTCAGGTCCCAGAAAGAAAAGTTTTCAGAAAGAGCCTTAAATCCAGTTGGTTTCACCCTATTGGCCATCCCATACTCTGCACAGAGGGGGACGATACACTAGACTAAAAACAATATTCTAAATTCTCTGAACCTTACTTGCTGCATCTGTGCCTACTTTCAGAGTTGCTTAAAAAAAGTTGGTTGTGTAAACTTTAAAAAGTAATATCTTATGAGTGCATGTAAAAACTTGTGGAATCTGAGAAAGGTCTGTAGACTTGTTAACAGTATTGTACCAGTGACATGTCCTGGTTTTGATATTTTACCACAGCCATGTAACATGTTACTAGTGGGGGAAGCTAGCTAAAGGGTATACTGGGCTCTTTGTGCTATTTTTTTCAATTTTCTGTGAGTCTATAATAATTTCAAAAATAATAAATGTGATATATACGCTTTAATTTTAAGAGAAATAGTGTCATCAGAAGTTCTGAGGTTAAGGTACAAAACACATGCAATTGACAGTATTCAAGAGTTTTGGACTTACAAAAATGACAATTTCATATGGTATCCTAATACTATAAAATGTGTAAAATGCAGTTATACTTGGGTTTATTGCCAATAGACTTGTTTTTGCTAACTAGAAAACAAACAAAAAACCCCCACAAAATCTGAACACTTTTTTTAGTTGATTGTAATTTTAGAAAATAAATTCCCCTCTATCTAGTTTCTTACCTTTTTTTTTTTTTTTTTTTTTGAGGCACAGTCTTCCTCTGTTCCTCTATTGCCCCAAGTTGGAGTGCAGTGGCAACATCTTGGCTCACTGAAACCTCTGCCTCCCGGGTTCAAACGATTCTAGTGCCTCAGCCTCCTGAGTAGCTGGGATTACAGGAGTGCGCCACCATGCCCAACGAATTTGTGTGTGTGTGTGAGTGTGCATATTTTTAATAGAGATTGGTTTTGCCATGTTGCCCAGGCTGGTCTCAACTCCTGGCCTCAAACGCTGCTGCTGCTTCCGTCTCCCAAAGTGCTGGGATTACAGGCATGAGCCACTGAACACAGCCTACTTTCTTATTCTTGAGATGGATCTTAGGAAATGGTTATAAGAGGTCTGAGAGGAAAAGAAATGTGTTCTAACAGCAGTGCCGGCTTCTACTGCTCCTTGAACACAGTGCATGTCCCTGTGTTGACTGCTTCCCCATATATCAGCCTGGCTAACACTTTGCCTCCTCTAAATCTTTGCTCAGATTTCAGCATCTCAAAGAGGTCTCCCCGGAGTGCTCTGCTTAATATTTCTTGCAACCTACACTTCACAACATCACTACATTCAATTTTTCTTTCTTTCTTTCTTTCTTTGGAGACAAGGTCTCGCTGTGGTACCCAGGCTGGAGTGCAGTGGCACAATCATGGCACACAGCAGCCTAGACCTCTTGGGCTCAAGTGATCTTCCCACTTCAGCCTCTGGAGCAGCTGGGACTACACAGCTTCTTTTTACTCTTATTTACTTCTCCTTTTCTCTTCTGTGGCATTTAGCACTTTTTGTTTGTTTGTTTTTGCTTTTGTTTTTTGAGACGGAGTCTCCCTCTGTCACCCAGGCTGGAGTGCAATGGCGCGATCACGGCTCACTACAACCTCCACCTCCTGGGTTCAAGTGATTCTCCTGTCTCAGCCTCCAGAGTAGCTGGGATTACAGGCGCACGTCACCACTCCTGGCTAATTTTTTTGTATTTTAGTAGAGACAGGGTTTCACCGTCTTGTCCAGGCCGGTCTCGAACTCTTGGGCTCTGGCAATCAACCCGTCTCGGCCTCCCAAAGTGCTAGGATTACAGGTGTGAGCCACCGCGCCTGGCTGCATTTATCACTTTCTAACACACATAATTTAATTTTCTTATTTGCTATACCTGTTGTTTACTGTGTCTTCCCTGCTAGAATATAAGGCCGTAAGGGGCAAGGATCTTTGTCGAGTTTGTTCCTTGATTATCCAAAGCCCCCAGAACAGTGTCTGTAACATAAAAGGAGCTCAATAAACATTCACTGAATAAATAGATTTAACGAGATCTTGAATAGGCAAGACATGTCTAGTCTTTCAAGACTACAGAATGACTGTATGACTACAGAAGACAGTTGGTTCCAGATTCAGAGATAGCAAGAGAGGAAGACAGTGAGTCATTTGATGAACTCTCTTATATCAAAGTAATCAACTGAAGATTTAATTCTAAATTTCTGCTCTCAATTTGTGGAAAACTTTGCTTAAATGCTGTAAAAGGCTGATGTCAGAATCTGAGGTGAGAGTTGATGATGAAATCTCTGCAAGCTAAGCCCATTTTCTGAGATGAGATTTAGACAGATTTGGAGGATGTATCTACTGCCACGGCCTATTGATCTGAGCCACTGTGGCCAATCTGTTGCAGTTCTTTGTCAATATCCAAAAGTAACAATGCTGACCATGCCATGCTTCCTTTTTTTTAAAATTGTTAATGTGGCCACAGGATAAAAATATCCTGGGACCTAACCAATAAATGGGGATTGTAATAGAGGCCGACCAAATTTAAAGATCGGGGCAACCACAAACCATGATGAAGGATGCTATTAATGTGACTAACTCATCTGGCAGGAAATATGGAAGTCAAACCTCCAAATCATAGGGCAAAGATCAACCTGACACAATCCACAAATTTGAATCACTTGTGTGTAAACCCAAGTGGAGCGGAATTGCCTGGTTAATTCAAAAAGTGTGCTTTATATATGCCTGAGAGAGGATAATGCTACCACATGGCAGCCTCTGATGGACACAGTTTATATCTAGTAAGTTATCAAATCCTTGCAACAACTCTCTAAGGTAGGTATTAAATGATCCCCTTTTTGCAGAAGAGAAAACCAAATTGTAGAGTTTAAGGAACCTGTTCCAGATCACACAGCTAGGAAGACAGGATTTAAACCTTGGTGTCTATAACTTAGGAACCCATGCTCTTATCAATACTCTACTGCCTTCTAACACTCAAATGAGAGCAGATGATTCCTTAGGAGACGATTATAAACAAACTTTGTGGTTATCACTCTAAGGAGACAAGACAGGAGGAAGTCGTTGTGTTAATCATTACACATATTTTCTTAATTTCAGGAATACGAAAACTGTTGTAAAGTCTCAGAGACTGACATTATAAACGTATGAACAATGTTAACAGAATGTTATTTATTTAGTCCTTAAGAAATGGACTTGCTGGCCTCTCCAGCTTTCTCCTAGACCTACGAATGTCTACACCTTAGTAAACACGGTATGTTAGGATAACAGAACCAGCCTAGCTCTAAGTCCAGTGTTGCCCTTTACTATGAGTTGTTATCCAGCTAAGTTTATCCTGTGGGTTTGGGATAAGTCTGAATTGCATGGATTCTCTGTCATTGGAAGGCTGAGGTTTGTTCCTGTCTGGAAGTTTGTTCAAGCGTGAGTCCACTGATTGAAGGAGAGATTGTGGTCTGCTAGGGATGCTGTGTAAAGAGGAAGTCCTTTCTTCAAACAGCCTTGTTTGTGTTTTTGAAAACTGTTAGAGTTTATGTCCTGTTTCCATTCCCATGACCAGCCCTCCCAAAGTAAACAAATGACAAGTGGTGGTGGGAGAGTAGTGGTGATACAGGGGTGGGGACGGGGCGGAGGAAGGAAAGAGATTTCCCTAGGGGAAGAGGATTTTCAAAGAACCCAAATATAATTTGGACATAAACTCAAGTGCCAAAACCAGATGGAGTTTACATCAAGATCAGCCCAATTTGTAAGCATAAACACAGACTCCTAAAATCTTCATTTACTGGTTCTAAAATGACCAAACACTGATGGACTCTCTTAGACTAAATTCCAGCTAAATTAGTGGCTAGAGGTGAATCCTTAGCCCATGAATAGGTGCACCCCTTTATCCAGTTTATCCCCCTCTAGCTACCTGACCCTACCTACCAGCAGGGGAAGCAGGTTTCCACTTGCCCAGAAAATTCATTTGTTTGTGACATTTTCTAGAAGAACAGACCCAGAGCCTTCTTAATCCTGACTATGGCTCTAAATACCCTGAAAGATCAAAAAATGCATAAAAATAAAATTTCAGAATTTAAACTACATCTGGAATATAAGCCAATGTTGAGAATTTCCCTTCTTTCCAAGTCTGCTCCCAAGATCTTAGCTGACCTCACTTGCGTTAGAAAGTCCCCTTTCTACCAACAAGAATTCATTGTAATCCTTGATTCAGTAACATTGGAATTCACAAAAATATCCCTCTTATATGCCTGTCTCCCAAAATACATACAATTGAAAATTGCAGTAATATGTGGTTCCCTCTATTCAAAAGCAAGCAGTTCTGTTGTATTAAATGCTCATCTACATGAAAAGCACTTGTCAAAAATTTGGCTTATTACATATTTCATTGTTATCAGAATAAAAAGGAAAGGGAATTACATTGCTTGGGATAGTTCTATCACCTGAAAGTCAAAAAACAACTTGAGTCAGGTGATGATTGGTGCTGGAAGCTGACATTATGGATTCTTAACAACACCTGCATGATTCTACATTAATTCTCAGCTACACATGTCTTGGGTAATTTGTAAAAACTTAAGGCATTTATTGAAATGTCAAGCAGTAATTTCCTTTTGCTCTGATAAGTTACACTTTCCACTAGAATAAATTTTCTAAATATTCAAGACACAAGTATTTTCTGAAAAATTTGAAATTCCCCTGAGGAAAAAACACTGAACCAAAGTAACATGAATTGACATTTCCCCAAATCCCATATTAAAACACTGCATTTCAAAGAAGAGATATACCCAAGAGTCATGTATTAATAGGATATAGTCATTGTAATCATTGCTTGTGGGATTATGTGTGATTTAAATATTTGCATATATAAATATAGATATATATACACATTTCGGATAGTCTTACAATGAATATGTATTACTTTTATAATTAAGAAAAATAAATTATTTTCAGTGAATTAAAATTTTAAGTACACCAATTTAAGAATTACGGTTGTGCCAATATAGGACTTTTATTTTTTCTAAAATGAAACCACAATATATGTTTACCCACTTCTAGGAACTTGCCCAGAAGATACACTTTCAATAATGCAAAACTGCATATATATAATATTCATTGCTGGATATTTGTAGTTACAAAATGTTGGAAACAACCTAAAAGCTTTTACATAAGAGACTGATGTAATGAAATGATACATCTACACAATGGAGTACTATGCAGCAATAAACTAGGATGAGGAAGACCTATGTGTATGGAGTGACTTCTGGGATATACTGTCAAGTTTTTCAAAAAGTGTGAAAGAAACCCAGGCGTGGTGTAATCCCAACACTTTGGGAGGCCGAGGCAGGAGAATTGTTTGAGCTCAGGGGAGTTTGAGATCAGCCTGGGCAACATGGTGAGGCTTTGTCTCGACACAAAATTAAAAAAAAAACAATTAGCCAAGTGTGATGGCACATGCCTGTGGTTCCAGTTACTCGGGGGGCTGAGGCAGGAGGATTGCTTGAGCCTAGGAGGTCGAGGCTGCAGTGAGTCCTATTTGAGCCACTGAACTCCAGGCTGGACAACAGAGCAAGACCCTGTCTCAAAAAAAATAAATAAAAAATAAAAAAGATATTAAAAAAAAAAGTTCAAAAGGAATATATAGTATGCCTCTTTTGCATAAAAAAGGAAAATAAGAAAAATATATCTATCTGCCTATTTTTGCAAAAACAAATACAGAAATGATTAACCAGAAACAAATGATGTTGGTCGTAAACACAGGGTGGATGGAAAAAGAAAGAGTGGAGGGAGGACACTTCTTCTGAGTGTCACTTTTCATCTAATTTTGGCTTTTAAAATCGTTAATATTTTATACACTAAAACAAATAAACGTGACTCAACAAGGTTGGGGAAACTCCTTAACAGAATATAAATAGAAACAAATGAGCAGTACTATATTTCAAATGAATAATGTAACTACACTGAAGGGGGAAAAACAAGTCCAAATAATTCTGGAACAATATTCTGACCAAGTTCTTAGCCTAGAAACACTTCTTGCATTCTACTTGGTAGATTTCCTTCTTTAAGTGGTGTTAGTCTGCAATTCTTACTCTCCGTGTATTGGAGCATATGAATAAATATATTGACGATTTTGGGAACCAAATTTCTCACTATTGGAGAAGGAAGATACAATTATAAAATAGAAAGTTGTTAGAAAAACTATGCAATATTGGATTATAATTGAATTCATGGTTTTTATTCATGTGGTGTTAACTTTAAAAAAATCACAAATCTGTGAGTTTGGAAAAGACTTTATTTTTTGTAAATGGTTACAGCCTGCAAAATGGTCACCCCACAGGATGGGAAATATTCCTCTAGCTAAGACCAGACAAGCACTTCAAAGCAGGAAAGATTGGAGTAGTAGTTTTATGCTGAAGAGGCTGGCTAAAAATACATATTTAACAGGTTATGGGAGAAGCTGTAAATATTCATGAAGGTGGTCCTGACACATGTGTATTGAGCAAATCTGCATGTAACATATAACCCATGTTCACTTGTGGGTGGAGACTTAACATTCAAAAGTATTACAGTTATGTCTACGGCCATACCACCTTGAATGCACCCGTTCTTGTCAAATGTATTACAGTTGGGCCCTATACATCGAAAGATCTTTTCAGGTTACAAAGTCACACAAGTGAGCAACCTCTGTAAACCAGTCAGAACCAGTCCGTGGTCGGTGGTCTCCCTATCAGAAGAAAGTTACTGAAATCAGGCCCTTGTCCAATCAAAGCTGTAGTTATAGCTGGTGGAACAGTGGTTCTGTTAGTCAGTGTCAGTGAGACGAGTTGTCATTGTTTTAATATTGCTTATCTCAAAGCCTGTGCTTGAGAGAAAAAACAAAACAAACAAACCAGAAAAACCCTTGTGGCAGTTAGAACAGTTTATTCTAGGCTGGGCGAGGTGGCTCACGACAGTAATCCCAGCACTTTGGGAGGCCAAGGCGGGTGGATCACGAGGTCAGGAGCTCGAGACCAGCCTGGCCCACCATGGTGGAACCCTGTCTCTACTAAAAATACAAAAATTAGCCAGGTGTAATGTCATGTGCCTGTAATCCCAGCTATTCAGGAGGCTGAGGCAGGAGAATTGCTTGAACCCGGGAGGCAGAGGTTGCCGTGAGCTGAGATCGCACCACTGCCTTCCAGCCTAGGCGACAGAGAGAGACTCCATCTCTAAATAAATAAATAAATAAATAAATAAATAAATAAATAAATAGAGCAGTTTATTCTTTAAGTGTAGGGTGCATGACTTCATCCTTGCCTGGCATGGCCTTTGGTCTTGTATATAATTTGGTATCTTATTGCCACAGAGTCTGTTCTGTCAGTCTTACCATATCTATTTCAACATTAATGCTGGTCAATTGTGTCTAAACCATGAAAGAGAGTGGGTAGAATGAGGCATGTCTGACCTCCCCTCTCTCCTGGCTGTGGCCAGAAACTCAGTTTTAAGGTTTTTCTGGGGTCCTGTTGGCCACAGAGGGTCTGTTCTATCAGTGGAAGACTTAGGATTTTACTTTAAGTTTACAGTATTTATGAACACAATGATAGATATAGGCAAAGAGACATAGATATAGATTCCACTTTTGTTGACTGAAGATGCCTAGATGTTATGATACCCCAGAAGCAATTAGGGCACCAGTGCCCACTAAATGGAACCAGGGCATTTTGGAGGAAGAATTGATTCCAGAGTTAGTGCAGGGAAAGTACAAAATAATCCTGAATTTTTTTTTCTGTACTAGAAAATAAGAAAGTCCTCAAAAAATAATGGGGTATATACAAATGACCCAGGACCCCACTTAAAGAAGCTCCTGTTGACCAACTCTGGGACTATTTGAGTACTGACATAAGTAATGATCTTAATGTATTCTAATCTGTTGGAATAAAAAAAATGAGTCTGTACAAACAATAATAAATAAATAAATAACAAAATAAGTGAGAGAACACTTTTGCTTATAGTAGAATGCTGATAAACGTAAAATAATGGAGTCTCTAAGAATCACTCCCTTTGCAACTATCATCGTAAAAATTGAATCAGGGAAAGATTATTAACGGATACTGAAGCTGTTGGGTAAAAATTTAATGAGAAACAGGATATGTGTAGGGTCTCCATATCCTTCTACAAATAACTTATAAATTGCTAAGGGAAAAATACTGTCTCTACAGAAGAGAAACTTATGAACACTAACATCACCAACTGATCAAATCTGGCATGGATTAATGATGGCACAAATGAACATCATGTGCTTCTAAATATGAAGCACTGAGGACAAATGTCACTAATGTAATGTCCCTGCCAAAAATGCACTGTGTTAATCCAGTCATCTGGAAATGCCAGACAAACCCATTTGAGGGACGGTCTACAAAATAAATGACCTGGACTCCTCAAAAGTATCAACATTATTTGTTAAATGCTGAGGAATTGTTGCACCTTATAAGAGACCAAAGAGAAAAAAGTAATACAATGAATGATTCTCTTTCAGATCCTAGACCAAAAAAGAAAATATCATTAAAGAATTGTTGAAAATATGAAAAAAATTGATAGGTTCATAAATTAGATTATTTATAGCATTGTACCAACATTAAACTTACTGTGAGTTAATGTCCTTGATCTTTGCACACTAAAGTACTCAGGGTTAATGGGCATAATGACTACAATGTACTCTCAGAAGTACAGTGAGAAAAATAAAACTATATATAAATGTACATACTGAGAATGTTAATTGATGTAGCTGGGTACGGGTTATAAAGAGTTCTTTATACTATTCTTTTTTTAATAGAAACAGGGTCTCACTATGTTGCCCAGGCTGGTCTTGAACTCCTGATCTCAAGTAATTTGCCCACTTCGGCCTCCCAAATGTGCTAGGATTACAGGTGTGAGCCACAGTGCCTGGCCTATACTATTCTTGCAAACTTTGTGTACATATAAAATCCTTTCTAAATAATATTTTAAAGTGTAACTAACTTTATTGTTTACATTTTCAGATTTTTAAAAATAAAACAAGTTCATTGTAAATATAGGCTACATACTGAAAGTTATTAAGTAGATACACCAAATCCTCTATAATTTCATGATCCATTAAATCACTAGTATTCATTCATTCAAACTGGCTTTACATATACATATTTCTTTTTTAATGGAATAATGAATACGCAAAAGGAAGGTATAATATTGCACAATCTCTGTGTAAAAAATGAAATTTTATTAGCCGGGTGTGGTTGCGGGGACCTGTAATCCCAGCTACTCGGGAGGCTGAGTCAGGAGAATCGCTTGAATACGGGAGGTGGAGGTTGCAGTGAGCTGAGATCACGCCACTGCACTCCAGCCTGGTGACAGAATGAAACTCCATCTCAAAAAAAATACATAGTTTTAATTTTTCTCTTTTTATTTTTATGTCAACAACTTAGCCACTTTCAGACCAACTCAGAAGTAATGAGGAAATCCAGGGTTATTAAACTCATTTCAGGGTTGTAAACACCCACCATTTGTCTTCCTATTGTGAGTTCTAAATTCCAGGTGATCTTATTTAGTTTCCAGGCCATGGTGGGGCAGGAGAACACTGATTGGAAAAATTGTCTCTATATGAAGAGTATTAACATTGTTGCTATGTATCCGGAAATAATTTCCTATTTGTGTCTTAACTTGCAGCCTCTCTGTATTGCACATTTTGCACTGCATAAATTTTTTACCTAAATTCTACATGTGAAGAAACTATGTTAAAAAAAATCCAGTGGGAATAAACTAACATCTTAATTGGTTGTAATTAATAACCATAATTCAGTTGAAATTCTAATAGAAATAGAAAGCAATTGAATTTGTTTTCCTTGAAGTTCAGGTCACAAGATTTTTCATTAGCTACAAAGCCTGTGTCCCTGGATGAACTGATCTTTATATCAGAGAAATATCTGGAAAATTGCCAGTCTAGCAACCCCAAAATCTGACCAATAGCATTGACCCTGAAATAATTGCTGGGATCTCTTTGGTTCATAACTCTATTTTGAAAATGAAAGAAATACATATAGGAGTTAAAAAAAAAAACTTCAGGCAATACAAAGAGCAAAAAATAAAAATGTTATCTTTTTTACTATTAATTTCTGCTTCCCCCAGCCCAGATTTTATTATATGAAACAGGGGCTGACAAACTACAGCCCAGGGACCCAATCTAGCCCTCCACTTGTTTTTGTAAATAAAGTTTTATTGGAACATAGGTGATATGGTTTGGCTCTGTGTCCCCACCTGAATCTCATCTCGAATTGTAATCCCCACATGCCGAGGGAGGGAAGTGTTTGGATCATGCGGGCAGTTTTTCCCATGCTGTTCTCGTAATAGTGAGTGAGTTCTCATGAGATCTGATTGTTTTATAAGTGTCTGGCATTTTATCTGCTCACACTCACTCTGTCCTGTCTCTGCTTAGACTCACTCCGTCCTGTCGCCTTGTGAAGAAAGTGCTTGCTTCCCCTTCTCCTTCTGCCATGATTGTAAGTTTCCTGAGGCTTCCCCAGCCATGCGAAACTGTGAATCAATTAAACCTCTTTTCTTTATAAACTACCCAGTCTCAGGTATTTCTTTATAGCCATGTGAAAGCAGACTAATAGAACAACCACTCTTACTCCTTTTTTGTATTATCTATGGCTGCTTTCTTGATGCCACAGCAGAGTAAGTAGTTTTAAGAGAGACTGTATGGCCTAAAAAATTTACCATCTAGTCCCTTATGGAAAAGTTTACCGACCCCTGAAAAATGACAGTAGACTACACACATTGTTCTACCACTTGCTTTCTCACTTAATAATAGTGATACATTCAAGATATATATAGATCTACTTCTGTCTTTATAGTGATGGAACAGTATTTGTTTAAACAGATTCCATAATTTGTTTAACCAGTCTTTTAGGTTGTTTTCTGGTTTTTGCTATCATAAAAGATGTCATTTTCATGCATTTGTGCCAAGCACATCTGTTGGGACAGTTTTTACAGGTGAAATTAACAGCGCAAAAGTTCTGTGCATTTTTAATTTTAATCAGCATTGCCAGTCAAATACAAAAAGTTTTGTGACAAAACTGATTTAGAGTTGATTCAGTTCCCAAGTGAGACATACTTCTTTTGTTCTCCCTTTTGTTTAGATAATTCTGGGCAGAAAAATATATTCAAAGATTCTGAGTAAGATAAAACAAGTAATAAGGAAGGTATAATCTGTCATGAGATTAGAGTTTAAGAAACCAACAAAAAAGGGAAGGTGTAATATAGCATCATCTCTGTGTGAAAAATATAACTTTAAAATAATACATATTCATAGAATTGAAAAAAGAGAAAAAGGAATAATAAAAATTATGGCTTTTAGGGGACTTAAGGAAAAATAGAAAACTTTATTTTACAATTCTCCAGAAAAAAATCACTTATATTTTGCCAAAATTACTTTATACAGTAAATTATATATTAAGTAGACATTATTAAGTTAAATAGTGGTTTCAAATGTTGGTAAATATGTCTTTAGTTGCAAAATTTCAGAGACAGGCTGCACTTTATCCTGATAGAAGTCAAGCCCAGTGAGAAGTTCTACATCACGGACCCGGGCAATGTGAGCTGTAAATCTTTCTTCAACCCAAAGAGCTTCTGGTTTACCTTCCTGAAAAAGAAAAGCACAACACTTTTTTTTTCACAAGGCAGTATTTTTCATGAACAGAAATATTTTTATTGCTTAGAAGTTGTCTTTTTGCCGATGATTTTTACCTCCTTAAATCTTAATTTGATACAGCTAAATTTAGTTTTTAAAAATAAAAAGAAAACACAAGTACAAAGTATACTATAACTAACATAGAACACCGTTGTCAAAATTTATCTATTTTTATGTTTACTTCAGATGTAATTTTTTTAATGAAATTAAATATTGCAGATGAAGTTAAGTCCCCAGGGCTCCTCTGTTCAGAACTAAACATCTTTATATCAGGGTGAATCCAGTCTGTTTTTTCAAACTTTTACTGTACATCACTATACAATATGTAGTACTGATGAGTTTTTAAACTTATGTTAATATTATAAGTGGTATTCTACAATTTTTTTCATTCGGTATTAACGTTTGTAATCTATAGTGATATATCTAGGTCTTGTTAAGTGACTTGTTCTTAGCTGTGGTTTGTGATATTTCCTCATTTAAATGCAAAACAATTAAATTTTGCGTTACATATTGATAAAATTTTTGTTACTATAAATAATGCTATAATAAATAACTTGGTATATGCCTCCTGTGTTCAAGAGCATGAGTTTCTAGGATATATTAATAAAATTGTTGGGCCATAGAGTACATTCAAATTTTTTTTTTTTTGACATTGTCACTCTGTCACCCAGGCTGGAGTGCAATGGTGTGATCTTGGCTCACTGCACTCCAGCCTCAGCCTCCCAAGTAGCTGGGATTACAGGCACCCGCCGCCACACCCAGCTAATTTTTTAATATTTTTAGTAGAGATGGGGTTTCACCATGTTGGCCAGGGTGGTCTTAAACTCCTGATCTCGGGTGATCCACCCACCTTGGCCTCCCAAAGTGCTGGGATTATAGGCATGAGCCACCGCACCCGGCCGAGTACATTCAATTTTAACTTTATCAGATATTAAACCTAGCACTCCTCAAAGTCTTCGTACCAATTTACAGTTCTATAGGCAGTGAAAGATAATTCCCATTTCCCCACATCTTTGCCAAACCGTGGGTGTAAAATAGTGTTTTATGTCTGTTTATATTTTATTATGCTGACTATTGTTTATTTATGCATCTTTTCAGTTATTTCTTGACCTTTTTATTTTGGATTTTTTTTACAATATGAAAGTTAGTTCAATAATTTAGAAACATGGGTTTCTATGACATTCTTTATTCTTTATTATAAAGAATAATTTTCTGGTATTCATATGATATTGCTAAAGTTCAGTTAACTTTTCACATAATAAGAAAGTTTCAAAGTTTATTTAATCAGATTACTGTGTTTTCATGATTCTCATTTGACTTCGATGCAGTGGTTTACTTGTTTAAGTATGCAGGCTTAATACAGATAGCCACTATCTGAGCCAGAGGAAGAGTAAGAGGAAATACTTTTTGTTCCTAACCATTAAAGCACTTGTGTCAGATTCACAATGCGAGCTAATATTAAAAAAAAAAAAATGCGCCATGTTAGAGTTATTTCTTTCAATGGGAATCTAATTAGAAGTTTTTCTCTTCTGCCTTTACTATTGCACATTTCAGCAGCACCTAATATCTTTGATCACTTTTTTTTCCATAACATTTTCTCCCATTTGGTTTATACGACTCTACTCTCTCCTGACTTACTTGGCATCCATCCAACTAAATGTTTACCCAGCACCTGACAGTCTTCCCTTTTTTAAATTTGCAGGGAAATGACCACAAAGCATAACACAAAACTATACTTATGCAGAGACGATACTTCAGCTATTTAACCTGAGTAAGTCGCTGGCACCAACTAATCTGAACAGAAGCCAGCTGTAGACAACTGCTCTCGCTGCACTAGTCCATGCCAACAGAATAGGCTATACAGTTTTATGAGCTATATTTAAATATACTTTGATATTTATATGTGTGTGTGTGTGTGTGTGTGTGTGTGTGTGTATAAATGACCTGTTACAGAATTAAGAGTATTGTATATCCCCAAAATACAACTCATTTTTTGAGGCAATATTGATTTCAGCATTTTTCTGCCCTATCCACGTTCTTATTCTCTCTCCTTAGCCACTTACAGTCCAGTGATTGCTGTTATCATGCTAATGCAACTACTTTGTCAATGATGACCTCACTGAATGGGTTGTCCTCAGGCTTTTCAATTAGTTAGCTACCCCAGGCTTCTGAAGTTCCTCCTTTGTTATCCATAACTCTACTGTTTACTTGTTTGATAATACCTTCTGTTTCCTCAGATGACTATACTTCCTGGAAGCATATTTTCCTCAATTTGATTTGGGATCTTTTCTTTCCACTTTCTCCCCTTTGGCAATTGTATTTCACACCAATGATTTAATCCCAAATCTAGATCTGCAGTTCTGATTTCTCCTCCAAGTTCCATACCTACATTTTCCATATCTGCTGAGTAACTTACAATGAAAGTCACTTGGACTAATGGCTACATTCTCATTTATCTGACAGAATTTTACAGTACAAAGATGACAGGAGGAGGGAAAAGGAAAAAGGAGGGAAGAAAAGATGAAAGGAACAAGGAAAGGACAAAATAAATAAGGAAATATGATCTAATTCCTTACACCAAGTGTGGGATAAAATTGTGAATCTATCATTCCTATAGCTTGATCTCAGTTCCCTGGAACCTCTTAATAGTAGGAGTACTTCTGTACATTGTGTAATTCAAATATTTAAAGTACAGAGTTTCCATACAATGCAATGTTTAAAGCCAGCCATCTATTTTATCAGGTGCATCAAAGCACAATTACCTATCCAAATGCTATTGGAAATATTGGCTGGTTTAGACTTACTAAGAAACAGTTTGTGAATGTACTACACTTTCTGGATGATTTGCATATAGGAGATTCAATTTCACTCTCTATTGACTTTATTTTATTTTATTTTATTTTATTTTATTTTGAGACAGAGTCTTGTTCTGTTGCCCAGGCTGGAGTGCAGTGGCCTGATCTCCACTCACTGCAACTTCTACTTCCCAGTTTCAAGAAATTCTCCTGCCTCAGCCTCCTGAGTAGCTGGGATGACAGGCATGCACCATCACACCTGGCTAATTTTTGTATTTTTAGTATAGATGGGGTCTCTAGTAAAAGGCTGGTCTCGACCTCCTGACCTCAGGTGATGTGCCTGCCTCGGCCTCCCAAAGTGCTGTGATTACAGGTGAGCCACTATGCCTGGCCTCTGTCGACTTTAGAATGTAACTTCATCCTAAGATATGATTCCTTTATAATAGCCACCATTTTTTATATTGGGAAGTCTTAGGGTTTTATATAGATTATTTTGTTTAATCTTTACAAACTTCATAAAAGGAGGTGAATATTTTATACTTATTAGATATAATAGATGAGGAAACTAACATATTTGCCCAAAGAAACGAAGTCATTCACTGAACCCAGGAGGTCCAACTCCAAAATCCATGCATTTAAGTTCTGTTTTATACTATTTCTCATATATCCTCCTAAATATTCAACTAGTCTGTCAAACTGAAGACCACCAAGAGCAAATCCATCCTTCTCAAAACAAAAGATAATCTATCGTATACATTTCCTGGTCAGTCATGCCCTGGATTTTTAGTCATCTTTGCCTCTCTCTCATCTTGCCTTTCCCTTCCCCATATCTAATTGACAGCTACTCTTATTAACTTTGCAATCTCTTTTATAATCATAGCTTGGCTTAAGTTTTCTTTATACTCATTGCATTTTGTCTAATAATTATCTATACAGATGTCACATTCTTATTACTATACTGCAAATTCCTCAAAATCTTGGATATGTCCAATTTATTACTGATGATGTCCTATTCAATAGAGATGATGCTCTGTTAACTTTGGAGAGATCACTTCTACTTTGAATAATCAAGGAAAGCTTCATATTATTTGCACTTTACCTTGACGCCCAGATGGAATTTTTAGCAGATGGAAAAGAATGAAATTCTAGAGGAGAGAAGAACATAGGCAACAGTGATGAGGTAAGCAAACTCAAGATGTGTTCAAGTAATTTCAAGGACTCCAATTGACCTGGAACTTATAGCCTGTAAGGTCAACTGAGGGTAAATTGTGAAGAGACTTAAGTACAGGCTGGAAGTTGTTTTTGTTTGTTTCTTTGTATTTTTGTTGTTGTTGTTGTTGTTGTTCAGGATAATCAGAAGTTTTGGGGTGAGAGGCTATGACAAAATATAAACTAAATTTTAAGATGAGTAAGTTGGTAGTAGTGCACACTGACAAATGAGAAGAGGAGAGGAGACCACAAATCTACTTAAGATTCATTTTCAAGAGTCCTAATAGAAGGTCAAAAGGGCCCAGACCAGGGATAGCAAATATTTTTTTCTTTGTGTACTCATTGTAATCACTCCATCATATCTACCTAGAACCTCTGTAATAACGAACTGTTTAATCCAGATTTCATGGTAAAGAGTACCACATCGTATCAGTCATTGATGTCTGTCATTGGAAAAGGAAGTAAAGAATAATGGCTTACCCTTGTCTCAACCAAACAAAATGCTGACAGAAAAAGTAGGAAGGGATTCAATTCAACAACATCTCCTGATAGTTTCCTGTTCAGAAACTCTTCTTCCTCATTTTAAGAATAGTGAGTGGCTCACTATTCAGCCTCTAAACTTGGCCACCTTCTTTAGACAATTTAAACACTCAAGTAAAATCGTATCTACATGACCCAACTGAAATGTCACCCTCCCTGTCAAGAAGTAATTCTCCTTTGAAATACTACTACAGCAGTTTATCTGTCCCTCTCTTACATCACTTATCTCTTTCTTCTAATATTTTACTGGATTTCTAATTGTGAGCACCTCCTATAGTGCACAGCATGGTGAAGGCACTCATGCATTGAACACCTGAAAGAATATAGATGAATCCCAATCTGGCCTAGATCCCAAGCTTCAATTCTCAGGCTCTAATTGCCTATGGGACTTTCCACATCAATGCCCATTTCCACAAACTTAAAATGCCTATCCTTAGCTTATCCTATCTACCTGCCAAAAAGTTCTCATTCCCAACCTTCCTCTTTCTGCCTTTTTCCTAATTACTAACATTCAAATCTGATTCATCTTTGAGTTTCCTTTTGGGGTGGGGGCTCTTGTATCCAATCAGTTACTAAATCCTCTTCATTCTTCATACCCACCCTCCATGGAAGACTCTTTGTAGTCTTCTCAATATACTCAAATTCTATCCATCTTTCAGGGCACAGCCCTACTTACACCTTATTTTATGAAATCTTTATTGATCATTCCAGCCAAATGTGATTTTAATTTCAAATATTAAATCCTTTTAACATTAATTGTCAATTGATCCCAACTTTGCAACCTCTTTTACTTTTTAGTTTTTAGAATAATTCTTGTATTATTGACTGACTAAATTGTGTGCCTATATCTCATATATAAACTGAAGTTGTATATGAACTCTTTAAAAGCAGGGACAATGTGTTCCTCCTTTGTGCATTCTAAAGAGTTTCTATCATGATACTATGTGCTTAATAGGTACTCAATATGTTTGTTGAATGACTTCAGTAAAACCTAAGTTCCAGGATACATATTTTTTCTATAAGGAATTTATATGCAAGTCGAATTAACTACTTACATATAATCTGCCTTGATCCAAAAAGGATTTTGAGGTAGCCTAATAATGATGTTTAAAAAAAGAATGTTACTTGCACTGTGTGTGTGTGTTTGTGTGTGTGTGTGTATAATCAATTTCACACCTCATGGTTCAAGTTGATGGAATTTTTACATGTATATACTCATTCAGAAACATTAATTTAGTGCTAACATTGGGAAGAACTTTAAGATTTGTGGCCAGAATAAAAATAAGTTCTGGTGGTTCTATTACACAGTAGAGTGGCTGCAGTTAATAACAATGTATTGTATATTTCAAGATAGCTAGAAGAGAGGACTTTGAGTGCTATTACCACAAAGAAATAAATGTTTAAAGTGGTAGATATGTTAATTATCCTGATTTGATCATTATACAAAGTATGCACGCATTCAAACATCTCACTATCCTCATAAATACATACAATTGTCATGTTATAAATAAAAAAAGAAAAAAGAGATTAACAAGATTTCACCTCTTTCATTATTAGTGAATGTGAATAAAACGTATATAAATAAAATACATGGGGTATATATATGTTCAACTATGCAGATATATGTTTAAATTGATATTAATTACATAGAGATCAATAGCCTAAGGAAAAGCCTAAAAATGAAGTCATTTGTGTTATAACTTTTCCCATGAAACACCTAAAAAAAATGTTTTAGTCAGAGCCACTTTTATGAGAACCCAAATGAGCTCTGACTCATTTTCTCGGGTCCTGGACCCTCCCAAAGCATACTCACAGGACAGCTCTCCACGTTGGTAGGTCGGTGAGGGATGATAAAGGGTAGGACATCCAGCCACCCAGGGCAGTTTTCCGGTGTGTGGCTCTTGTTTTTACAACTGGTCAGCACCACAAAGTAGTGTGTTGGGATGGGAACATCAGTGTTGGCTAAATGTCTTACAAACATAATTGAAAACATGTTTTGATGTTATTATACTTTTGTTTCTAAAGGTGATAAGTGTGTTTACATAGTTTTTTTCATATACATGTAAAATAATAATTCTTATAATTCTAAGTTTGACAGCATTTTACTATATGCTAGGTACTTTTTAAATAACTTACATACAAAGTTTTAAGTGCAAAATCTGACTCCACCAAAGGAATACAAGCTGGTATAAATATGTAAATATATATATGAAAAACACTATGTAAAGACACACACACATATATATATATATTTACTTCTAATGGTACTTTGGATTTTTTTTTTTAATAGAGATGGGTTCTCACTTTGTTGCCCAAGCTGGTCTTAAACTCCTGGGCTCAAATGATCCTCCCACCTCGGCCTCTCAACGTGTTGGCATGACAGGCGTGAGCCACTGCACCAGGCCAATAAATGTCTTTATATAGTTTTAAAGAAATGCCAAAGTAAAAATATAGTAAAAGAAAGTAATAAATAAAAAGCACAAGGTCTTACATATTTTTTGCTCCCATCAGCCAGAATAGAGATTACAGTAGAAGTCCAAGCTTGGTCATTCTAACATGAAAAAATGTTAGAATACAAAAAAAAAAAAAAAAAAAAAAAAGCAGAGCATGATATTCTGCCTCCTGCATTTCCTCGTTTTGTTGACTTCATACTTCACAGTAGTGTTTACTAATACAGCAGAAGCTGAGAATGAAGGAGCCCAGATTCCACCTCCAGCCGTGCACTTCCACAAAATGTTTGGACTTTCATTCACCCTCTAATTCTGTCATTTACCGAGTTTCGAGTTTCCTCAGCTTTCCAAGGAAGTGATTCTGTGCTATCAACTTCACAGTGTAGACATGGGGATAAATCCATACAACTGATGTGACAGTACTTCGGTTTCAGATAACGAACATGAAAGTGCTTTCAAAAGTTTTAAGTGCAAAGTCTGACTCCACCAAAGGAATACAAGCTGGTATAAATAGAAATGTATTACTGTGATTTAGAACATGGACTCAGAGCCAGGCTGTCTGGGTTCATATTCTGGCTTTACCACTTATTAGTTGCAGAATTTAGATAAGTTGTTTAACCCCAGTTTCCTTAACTCTAACTGGGGGCTAATGGAACCTAACTAGGGTATCTTTGCAGTTTAACTGATGTATATGTGAGTTCTTTATAAAGTACCTAGCATATAGAAAATGCTGTCAAAGTTTGAATTATTAGAATTAATAAATTGTGAAAGGTAGAGTCAATACTGAAATATTGATTCAGTATTCATTCAACACTGAAATAAGGACATGGTGAACAAAATAGAAAAAGGCCACACACTTGGTAGTCATAAATGTTACTTTATCAGAAGGTATAGGTAGAAATCATTGCTTTACATAATCTAGGCTTAGACAGTACAATTGTTTAGTTTGGTCCTTCATATGTTTTGATAATAAAGAGAAATGGTAGATGAAACTTCTCTAAAACTCTATTACTGTGCTCTGCATTCAAAACTAATTCTTAGCAACCTGTTATGACCAGGCTTAATACTAAAATGTACAGTTTAGTTAGGACTAGTTCTCTGCATGAAATTTACCTACATTGTCTCCTGGGAAGTGCTTTTATGAACTGTTCACTATTCTTGTAAAATTTACCTTAGTCTTTACTTGACTTTTCACTATTCTTGTAAAATTTACCTTAGCCTTTACTCGACTTTTTTTTCATTTACTGTTGGATTGGTTTTATACTCATTGATAGTACATCAAGTTTTGTCTACCTCCTTAGCCTTTACAAAATTTCATGTTATCTTTGCCCATTAATTCAGCAATTTTCCAAATAAAATTTTGCTAAACTTTTCCAGGAAGTGTTTTCTTTGCCCATTAGTTTAAATTTTTTGCAATATAAGCTTTCCTAAATATTTAGATAGACTAGATTGAAAATAGTCAACAATAACATTTGTCTGTGAATGTATTATGTAATATTTAAAATACTGAGCTTTACTTAAAATATTGGAATTTCCCCTCATGAGACCCTATTGATAAATCAAAAAGTCAAATCACTTACTTGGTAATTTCATCTGGAGCATCAAAATGGCCATCATAATTATAATCAAATATTGGTCCACTAACCACATTTACTCCATTTCTTTCTGTGGCATGTTTTATAAGAAGAACACTGTGGAAGTAGTCCCACATTTCTAAAAATAAAATCATAAAGTGTTTAAAATGTCCACTTCAGTGAAATATGACACTATTTTCTATTATAGACAAGTACATTTAAATAACATGAAATTCTGCCTTAATAATTGCCAGTGATGATTGGGTAATTCTCCAGAATAGGCTTCACAAGCAAAAATAAACAGCCACATTGATGATAGCTTTTTGTTTTTGTAGTTATTGTCTTGAAATTACAGTTAAATATGCCTTCAAATTTCTCCCTAGGGCTGAGTTGCTTATGGGACAGCGAGTGTTAAAAATGATCAGAACACACATGTTGCCTTATTAATTATTACTCTGGGGATAAACATTTACATTTGATTTACTTTTAGTGAGTGGCAGTAATCAAATTAAGGCTTAAAAACAAATTATCAGAATTCTAGCAACAAGTCACTCAAAGTCAAAGTAAGTTGAAAAGAAACTATGTGAGGGATCCTTCCTATACCTATATTTAAACCATTAGAACAAAATGACCCTTAATATCAGGAACAAATTGCAATTAAAAAAATATGTGTTTAGTTTGGAAGTTCAAGGAGTCACTTAACTATTTTAAAATTAATACTCTAAATTCATACTTACTTCTGAATTCTTCATACATAGGTACCAAATTGCTAGTAATTAAAGCATCATATTGGCTATCTGATGTTCTATTGCTGGCTGCAAAACAAATGGATCTTATTAGATCTAGCTATAAGAGAAAATATGACATACTGCACAACAGGCATACTACTATTACATATTAATATAAATTTATTAACAGTCAAAGCACAGAAGTAGTACTTTCTAACAGAGGTTGTTAATAATGCAGGCAGTTTTATGCCTGTAGTGGGTTGAAGTGTGATCCAAAAAAGATACATCCAAGTCCTAACCATTCCTTTCATCCCTGTGAATATAAACTTATTTGGAAATAGGTCTTTGCAGATGTAGCTAGGAGTCTCTAGATGAGATTATCCTGGATTTAGGGTGGACTGTAAATCCAGTGACTAGTGTCTTAATAAGGAGAAGGAGATTTGGGAAGAGGAGAAACACAGGGGAGAAGGTCTTGTGAAGATGGAGGCAGAGGTTTGAGTGATACCAGTACACGCCAAGCAATGCCTGGAGCCACCAGAAGCTGGGAGAGACAAGGAAGGATTTTCCCCTAGAGCCTTCAAAAAGAACATGGCTGTCAACACCTTGACTTTAGCCTTCTGACCTCCAGAACTGTGAGATAATACATTTTTGTTTTAAGTCAACCTTTTTTGGTAATTTGTTCCAGCAGCCCTAGGAAACAAACAGAATGCCAGATATAAATGGGTAGTTATTGGATGTGCACAAAATAATAATGTTATTATAGATAGCTGTCTTCCAAAATAAAATTTTCTGAAGAAAATGAGTTTTTACTTGATAGAGACTGATATGGTTTGGCTGTGTCCCCCCCAATCTCATCTTGAATTGTAGCTCCTATAATTCCCACGTGCTGTGGGAGGGACCCTGTGGGAGGTAATTGAATCATGGGGGCAGGTCTTTCCCATGCCGTTCACGTGATAGTGAATAAGTCTCACGAGATCTGATAGTTTTATAAAGAGGAGTTCCCCTGCACACGCTGTCTCTTGCCTGCAGCCATGTAAGATATCTCTTTGCTCTTCCTTTGTCTTCCCTAATGATTGTGAGGCATCGCCAGGCATGTGGAACTGTGAGTCCATTAAACCCCTTTTCTTTATAAATTATCCAGTCTCAGGTATGCCTTTATTAGCAGTATGAGAACTGACTAATAGAGACTGCTGAAGGGAACACCACAAATCATGGGCTCTGAGGATTTATGGCTGTGCTGTCTAGCACAGTGAGTGTTCAGCGAGGGTGCTCTGGAAGCAGACAGCCCAAGTGGGAACCCCAGCTCCGCTGCTCACAGCTGCACTCCTCGGGCAAAGTGCTGCATCCCTCTGTGCTTCATTTGTCTCATGGCATCTATCTCATAGAATTATTGTGAGGATTAAAAGCTGCAAACCTGTAAATGTTTATTCAAATCCTTTTTCATTTGATTTCATTTTGGTAAGAACACTTAACATGAAATCTACTCTGTTAACAATTTTTTAAGTATATAGTATAGTACTGTTGACTCTACGTACAATACTGTACAGAAGATCCCCAGAGCTTATTTGTCTTGCTTAACTGAAACTTTACGCCCATTAATTAGGAACTCCCCATTTCTCCCTCCCCCAGCCCCCAGCAACCACCATTTCACTCTCTGATTCTATGAATTTGACTATTTTAGATTCTGTAATATATAAGAACATGAATGAAACTTGAGGACATTGAGTGAAATAAGGCAGTCACAGAAACACATATAGTGCACAATTCCACTTATATGAATTTTCTATTATAATACTTTTTATACTTAAACTGTACTTGGATATCTTAACTAATTATTTTTTTTAATTACTATTAAGGCAGAGTCTGGCCATTTTACCCAGGTTGATCTCGAACTCCTGGACTCAAGCGATCCTCCTGCCTCAGCCTCCCGAGTAGGTGGGATTACAGGCATGCACCATCCTGCCTGGGTAACTAATTATTCAATGAGAGGCCAATAAGTAGGCACCAAAAGACAAGAAGAAACAAGTAGCTCTTTTTTCTTCAGATTTCATATGGTGTTTGTAGTTCTCAGACTCCACAAAAAGCCTCTTCTACCTTTTTAACTAAGCCCTGAAAGTTGGAAAGTCAATCAACATAACATTACCTCTGTTTTAGAGGAAAATAAGAACGTGCTAGTAATAGAACTTCTATTTTTAACAAATAATTGGAATTTATACTGGAGAGTTAGAAGAGAGTTTAATTTTATCCTTGATTTTTTTTTTTTAACTGACAAGATCTCACTATGTTGCCCAGTCTGGTCTCAAACTCCTGAGCCTGTGATCTTCCTGCCTCGACCTTCCAAAGTGCTGGGATTATGACCATGAGCCACCGTGTCTGGCCGTATCCTTAATTTTTTGAGACAAGTTGTTTAATTATTAATTTTATTCCTTGTCAGGCAAACATTGATGTATTAACTAATATCTTATGGCCTAACAGATACAATTTTATACACAAATTTCAAATATTTTATTAATAAAATGTTGCAACTTTTTTTTTTTTTTTTGAGACAGAGTCTCACTCTGTCACCCAGGCTGGAGTCAGTGGCTCAATCTCGGCCCACTGCACCTCCACCTACCGGGTTCAAGCCATTCTCATTCCTCAGCCTCCTGAATAGCTGGTATTACAGGTGCGCACCAGCAAACCCAGCTAATTTTTCTATTTTTAGTAGAGACGGGACAGGGTTTCACCATGTTGGCCAGGCTGTTCTCGAACTCCTGATCTCAGGTGATCCACCCACTTTGGCCTCCCAAAGTGCTGGGATTACAGACGTGAGCCACCGCACCCAGCCTGTTGCAAATTTTTAATGTTTATCACAGGGCTTACATAAATTTGGTACCCCCTGATTGTATCTAGATACATAAAATTTATCAGTTAATTTATCCTAACTCAGGAGTTTTAAATTGATAACGCTACTTGCTTTCATTAAACCTTTTTGCCCATTATACATTTCGGAATCTTTAAATTACAAATCTCTAAGAAGGTGAAATTGTTGAAAATCTCATAGGCAAGTTAATAAAAATGACGTTTCCTGTTGCACAGGGAAGTGGCTTGAGTTTTAGGAAAATCACACTAGCTTTGGCAGGTTCCCAAGAGAGATTCTTTCTGAAAACAACAACAACAACAACAACAAAAACTTAAATTTCATTTGGCTACTTCACCTGCAGTTTAAAACTGTTAGCCCTACAGCATGAGCGACAGGCCAAAATTCCAGCCTGATTTCTTTTTTTATTTTATTTTATTTTACTAGGTGACCTTCTCTGTATCATTCCTATTTTAGTACATGTTCTGCCAAAGCGAGCACCCAGCCTGATTTCTTTTCACGGGCACAGCTGTATTCTCCAGGTGGACCTTAGCTTGGGCAGGAGTCAGAAGAAATGGGTTTTTAGATGTTTGTGTCCTTCTGCAAAGAATCTCCAGTTTTAAAATTAAACTTAAACCTGCCGAACTCTCTAAACATCTGGGCCAGATGAGAGCTGCTGTGTGGGTCCCACTGCAAAATGTCTTAGTCTTTATTACAGCCGCTGTGCTGCTCTGGCCAGCCACAACCACTGGAAGCCTCTCAGGCAGCTAGCTTACCCAAGCAGGTAGTTTTGGTGGGGAGTATATGTTTAAGGCACATGCCCACATCCAGCTGATGAGAGCTTTCTAAGCTACTGCTCTAAAAAAGAGTTCTACTAACCAGGAGGATAGAGGAAGCCGTGGGTGATATTCTTGTCTGCTAAATAGAAGGAACATTTTTGGCTCTCAGAAGGAGGAACCCTGACATCAGCCCGCAGACAGTCTGGGACAGTGGGAGGCAGAGGCGATGTGTCTCCCTGTTCAAAGAGAGAGAGAAAAAAATTACGCCCACAATTGCGGCTCACCCATTGCCTTATATGGTTTGTCACTTCCCTAGAATGTTTTTCATTTAAGCTTTTCCTATTTTCTTAGTGAATCAGGTCTACGCAAGCAATGAGAATGGATGTCTTCAGCAGTGTTTTCTTCTGTGGTTCCCTTCTGGTTAAGGACATCGGGAGGGCAAATCAAATACACCTTGGAAAAAAATATTTGCACAGTGAAACCTGAATTGAGAGCAGAGGAATAATGGGAACTATTCCTAAAAACTAAAATCCTTTTCAAGATCTAACTTTTATGTGGTGATGTATATTGTACTTTTAAATAAAAATTGAAAGTAAAATGTATTTACTTTTAAAATATTGATATAAACTAAGTATTGATATATTATTCTTCAGCTGTTCAAGAACTTTTTATCAACCTAAGATTAATTCAAAGAAGGTGTAGTTGTCTAAACAAATTAGTTTTGAATATAAATAAATTTACAGCCATGCTTCATTCATCATGAAATATAAGAATTTTTAAAATAATTTCTTAGGCCAGGCCGGGCTCAGTGGCTCATGCTTGTAATCCCAGCACTTTGAGAGGCCGAGGCAGGCAGATCACGAGGTCAGCAGTTCAAGACCAGCCTAGCCAACATGGTGAACCCCGTCTCTACTAAAAATACATCAATTAGCCAGGTATGGTGGCGGGCACCTGTAATCCCAGCTACTCTGGAGGCTGAGGCAGGAGAATCGCTTGAACCGGGAGGCGGAGGTGAGCTGAGACTGGGCCATTGCACTCCAGCTTGGGTGACAGAGTGAGACTCCATCTGAAAATAATAATAATAATAATAATAATAATAATAATAATAATAATGTCTTAGGCCAGGCTTGGTGGCTCATGCCAGTAGTCCCAGCACTTTAGAAGGTTGAGGCGGGTGGATCACTGGAGGTCAAGAGTCCGAGGTTCAACATAGTGAAACCCCATCTCTACTAAAAATACAAAAATCAGCCAGGTGTGGTGGTGGGTGCCTGTAATCCCAGCTACTCGGGAGGCTGAGGCATGAGAATTGCTTGAACCTGGGAGGTGGAGGTTGCAGTCAGCTGAGATCGTGCCACTGCACTCCAGCCTGGGCAACGGAGAGAGACTCCGTCTTAAAAAATAATAATAATTTCTTTGTAGCCCTATTTAAAGACTAGTACAATAATTTATTTACCAAGAGGACATCCTGTAAATGTGCTGCCTAACTCGAGTATTTAAGGTAATACTATATTATGTGGTCATCATATTTTGATTAGCATATAATCATGGGTAAGTGAACATTTTGCTATTTGTTTATTTTTCTCAGACATTTTGATTTGTATGCTCTCTACTGCCCATAATGGATATCTTTCTTAATAAAATTTGAAATAATTTATAAAAAAATGAAGATTAAGTTAAATTAGGATGACCTTCCTTTATTCACTGCATTGTGCTGAAAGCAAAATTAGCTATGTTGTCTGAAACCTCTGAGTTCAATTCACAAAGGAAGAGGCAACATACACTGTATGCTGTCTTTGTAGCCAGGAGAGCACCATGCTGAGGTATAGAACAAGTAGGAGCTGAAGATGAGAAAAGTCCAGAAAAAGCAAAGCAGAGACTGTACTCCCTAACATACTACAAAGCTCCAGCTAGAAAACTTCTCAAATTGATTAAACACATACATTTATCTTGCTCCCTTCTAAAATTCCATTAAGAAGACAGTAATAATGAAAACACACAAGAGATGACAGGGAACATTCAGAAGCTGGAAATCAGATAAATAATAACGTGATTTAGTAGACCAGTAAACACTGACTACCAAGAGCTTATGTTTGGGAAAAGCACCAAGGAAGTCCTACTGTAGAACCCCAGAAGGGTAGAACTTGGAGTCCTAAAGACAGGAGTTCGCATAAGGCTGGAAATAGAGGATAGATTGAAAAAGTCTGCAAAAAGGGATAGACAGTATGTTTACTCTCTGGAGAGTTTAAACCAGAGGGATGATCAGACTAAAAGACACAAGGCACAGCCAAGAGCAGGTGCACCATACTGAAAGAAATGAGATTAAACAAAACTCTATTGCTGAATGATAAGATTCCCCAATCTCATTGCCCATTTAGCCTGAAAATTGTATATGCTGAGTCAGATTAGAAGTATCCTCTCTTTGGAAAACAACCAGCCTGAAAAGAAACTAGATACTGTCAGTTTGGAGTCCTCAACAAAATGGCTGGTTCTCTTCCTGATCAACCTATAGTGAAGCTTATAGACTGGAAAGACCCAGCCATATAGTTTAGTGCCTAACTCTTAAAATAGAAGCTGACAGCCAAGGACCACTAGACACTGGGGAATAAGGGAGAAGAAAAAGAGACAATGCAGAAGCCAGAAGAAAACTCTTTTCTCAGAGAGCTGAGAGTATATATGGCATCCATAAAGAAGGAACAGAGGCAATGTTTAAAAAGAGAAAAGGTAACAGAAAGAGCTCTTGGGATTTCAAAATACGACAGCCAAAAGAAAACACTCAATAAGATCTAGAGGATGAAGTTGCAGACGTGACTCAAAAGGTGGAATTAAAGACAAAGAGATGGGAAAAATAGGAAAAATTCAAACACATTAGAGAATCAGCCCAGGAAGTCTAATTTTTTTTTTTTTTTTTTGAGATGGAGTCTCACTATCTGGCCCAGGCTGGAGTGCAATGGCACAATCTTGGCTCACTGCTACCTCTGCCTCCTGGGTTCAACTGATTCTCCTGCCTCAGCTTCCCAAGTAGCTGGGATTACAGGCATGCGCCACCACGCCCAGCTAATTTTTGTATTTTTAGTAGAAACAGGGTTTTGCCATGTTGGCCAGGCTGGTCTCAAACGCCTGACCTCAGGTGATCCATCCACTCAGCGTCCCAAAGTGCTGGGATTACAGGCGTGAGCCACTGCGCTTGACCTGTCTTACTAATTTTGAAGAAAAATTATTTCTAAAATTCTGAAACCAGCTAAAACACCAATTAAGTGTATAGGCAGAGTAAAAACATGTTGAGACACAAAAACTCTCAAGAATGTATCTTCCCCTTTTTCTTTCTCAGGAAGCTCCTGAGTGATATAGTCCACCAAAACAAGAAGTAAACCAAGAAATACGAAGACGTTTGTGCTAAATGTGTTGGATGAGTTCTCACCATTTATTTCACTCTCCTTCAGGTGGCAGAGTCTGGAAAGCTAAAAGCATTTGTTTATATTCTTTCAAAAACATATCATAGTATACAGTTCTGAGTGACCAGGTTTCTCCACTTGGTATAAGGGCTACGTAAGTATGTTGTAAAATTAGAAAATAAGGAATGGTGACTGCTGACCAAGTTGGCCCCATAGACCGCTGGTATATTGTGAGTTTGATATTTCCTAACACACATCTTTATCGTTGTACTCAAACATTTCACATTAGTAAGTTTTACTTGAAGAAATATACAGTATATAAATGTAGCCCTAAATGCATTTTCCATAATGTAAGGAAATTGAGATGCTTATATTTAACAGTTAAAATTATAAAAATGTTAACGAAGAAAGTTTATTGTAATTTTTAATGAGGCTGTGGCTGTAAAAGTTGTGCTTAAACAACTTAGTTGGTCAAAATATTTACCATGTTCTCAAAGTAGCTTAGACTTTGTGCTGGGGGAAATGAACTGGGATAGCTTCAGCCAGAAAGTACTAAAAAAAAAAAGTCACATTTTCTGCTAACCGAAAATCTTGAGATTTATTTCTTACATACCAAACTTGAACCCTCAAATAAAAGTGCATCAGTACTAGGAATGAGGATGTGGCCTCCTTTATCCAGGCGAGATTATGCAATAGGCAGCCCATTAGAAGGATGGAGGGGAGGTACAGGAAGGTCCTTTCTATAATAAAAAAGGCTTTAGTGAACCACCACCACCACCACCCCGCCTCCAACACATAAACAGCTTCAATCCTGCCATCCTATCAGAGTTCCCTGGAATTTTTGAAGCAACGGAATAGAAAGTCAGGAAAGCAATAAATATAATTCAGACACTCAGATAAAATATGAACTTTTTAGCTCTCAAAATCTTACTGGAGAAGTAAATGATGAGTATAGACAGGAACGTGAGCTGCTTGTACTTTTAGTCTGGCATTGAAACAAAGTAGAACCTGAACAGAGGATAAAATTATTTCTATTGAAGTTACAGATGCTTCTTACCTGTAGGCTGAATGTACAAGCTAAAACCTACTTGTTTGAAGATTAGATAGTTACAATTTTGCCTTACGGTAAGGATAATAACTATGTATGTTTTTAATTATTTGGTTGTATGATTTATTTTCTACAGGGAAAAATAATTCTTTCATAGTTCAAAAATGTTTGCAACACACAATAATGCCCCTGTTTCAAAGACTCACAAAATAATCTTTAGAAACAAGAAAAAAGGCTTTTTAACATGGAATGATATGTGTGTAGATTGACAGATAGATAGACATATAGCTATAGATAGGTAAATAGAGCGAGAGATACATAGATACATAGGGAGACAGAGAGGCATTTTTCAAAGTACACTAGATTTCTACTCTGAAAAGTTATTTGATTTCATATTAAATTCTGAAATACCTATTTTAAACAGTAATCACAATTCTTGCTCTTATTTTCAATTTATCACCTAGCAACAGGAACACTAGTGCATATCTTCCTTCTGAACAGGCCCAGAAGCAAAATCTATGTATGGTCTGACTAACCTTAATGGTTTTGAATCAGCTGTTCTACGACCATGATTTCAAATCACAACTACTTCCCCAGAACTCTTCTGAGATACAACAAAAATTACAAAACCCACCAAAACCACAGAAAAACAAAAGCTCTATAAATCTTAAAGGCTAAGACCAATTGGGTCCATGTTCCAAAAAGTGCTTATTTAAGCCTGATTTTTTGAAACACAGAGCTGATTTACAACATTTTTATGTGAATCCCAAAACATCCTTGTATGTAATTTTCTTGAACCACAACACACTAACAGAGTAATTTCTGAATTAGAAAGCAGAAAATTGCTAGAATTCCATCCTGTCACAGGGAAGGAGAAATACACAAGTACTTCTGTGGGATCAGTGAAAGGACAGGAACTTTTGGTAACAAGGAAGCTAGTTTTAAAACAATAACAAAGAAGAATTGTATTAAACTCCTAGTCTGAGCCCACTTAGAATCTCTCCGCCTTTGGTTTCCGCCAAAGCTCATAAAAATTCAAGAATGCAAGACAGCAGGGGAAAAGTACTAAAAACATAAACATTCCCTTTAATGCCACACAACCCCTCATACCTGGAATTTTCAAAATAGAAAATTAAATAATAGGACTGACCCTGAGTATGCCACTCCTCTCGAAAACAATAACAAAATAGAAGTTATTTTGTGGAATGTTGTGTGTTGAAGAAAATCACGAACTGAACACTGTGCATATTAAGAAAGTAATGTTGCACCAACCGTCCATATGAACTCAGGTAACTGTTGGTAAAATATTTGCCCACACTGGCAAACAAACATTAGTACTGTTACCAGTGACCACAATCGAACCATTGACAGCAACAGAGCTGGCTTTCAGAATATACAAAGTTTTAATTAGTAGTAGGAAAATATGCTTATCTTTCTCCAAAAATTTTGAATTGGAACAGGAAGAGTAGGTAAACCTATGCAATCAATTATTTCCTTTCCATAAAAGAGGTGGTACTCTTAGCAAAAACATTAATAGCTATAAGTTTGTCATCAGTCTCTGGATCTAAAATACTAAGATTTTCTCTACAGAAACAGCTCCCTGATTATTTACCCATGTGGTGGGTGGTATAGCTTTGTCTTTAAAAGTCTAAAAATAATGATTGTGGTTAATTCATTCAATGCGTTTCATTCAATAAGCACTTACTGGACAATTCTATTGTGCTGAGGATGCATTAAATAAAATCATCCCTGCCCCAGAGAAGTGTTTGGACTGACTTTAGGCATACTTTAAAGTTTTGTTGCTGTTTTTTTTTTTTTTTTTTTTTTTGAGATGGACTTTCACTGTTGTTGCTCAGGCTGGAGTGTAATGGCGCGATCTTGGCTCACTGCAACCTCCACCTCCCGGGTTCAAGCGATTCTCCTGCCTCAGCCTCCCAAGTAGCGGGGATTGCAGGCATATGCCACCCCGCCTGCCTAATTTTGTGTTTTTAGTAGAGATGAGGTTTCACCATGTTGGTCAAGCTAGTCTCAAACTCTTGACCTCAGGTAATCCACCTGCCTCGGCCTCCCAAAGTGCTGGGATTACAGGCATAAGCCACTGTGCCTGGCCCTAAGTTTTGTTTTAATTTACATTTTCCTTATTGCATATTCCTGAATTGTGATTCAATTGCTTGGCTCCTATCCTTTGTTCATGTAGTAACTAAGATGCTTGTCATTCTGTTGTTGATTGGTGGAAATTTATTAGCTATTCTGAATCTAATTACTGTTCTGGATACTCATAACTTGTTTCTTATATGCAATGCAGATATATTGTTCCATCTACAACTTTGTTATTTTGTCATACATTAATGTTTATGTAGTCTAATCAATTTCCTCTGCATTTTTAATGTTGTTCTTCTTGTCTCCTGAGAAAGCCTTCTCTATCACAAGATCATAAAGATATGCACAAAGGGAATATGGACTTGCGGTTCCTATTTAGGTCTACAAATCCACCAGAAATTTAATTTTGTGTGTGGTGTGAGGTAGGGATCTACTGTTTTCTTCCTGAAGGGTAGTTGACTGTCCTGGTACTACTTAGTGCAAGAGAATATGCCAGACAGTGAAGAGGGAAGGGGCTTTAAACAAGTGGACCTCAACCTCAGCCTGGAGATCTGTGACATAATGCATTTGTCCCATGTAAGTCTAGTCTGACTTACTGGAGTGCCAGATCCTTCAGAGAAGAACTATGCCTATTCACCTTGTATATTTGGTGCCTACTATAACACACAACAAATAGTAAAGTACTTGTTAAATAATCAAATAAATACAAAGCCCTTTATAATCTAGTTATCATCACCTTCTACATGCACCCATGATGTACATGGGGAATCTTAAATGAATAGTATTCCTCTGTACTTCCTGTTGCTTCTGTTTAAAATGTCCTTTTCTACCTGCCTTACCAATTGGCCAATTGGCCTGTAAACATTTTCCATTTTCTCCAGGTAAAACACAATGTGTTCCTCTTTTGCACCCGTGTAGCACCTATAACAACCTTTATCTAATACTTGCACATTGTCTTGCAAGCTACAGGCCAGTGAGTTCCCTCCCTTTGAATCTCTGCTGCAAAACAAAATTCAACTCTTAGAATATGAAAGGATTATAAATATTTCTTGCCTGCATGGATCAATGGACTCAGGAACTTACCAACTGGGGGACTGTGTATGAACTCCACATGGGCATCCTCATAGCTTTTCCAAATCCACTGACATATTCCCTGTGGTAAAGGAGACAGTGGTCCACGTTCTTCTGCAGTACCCTAGGCCTCCCAAATGGCAAATTTACTTTCACTGTTGCTGTTACTAAAATTAAAATAACATAAAATAAAAAGGTTCATGAAATTAGCAAATGCTTCTTTGCATGTAATAACTACCCATATAATAACTACCACTCTCTTATGGCTTATTATATGACAAGTACTCTAACAAATATTTTACATATTTAACCTCTTTCAATTCTTACAACAATCCAATGTATAATTATTAAAAATAATAATAATAATATTGGTGTTATTACTCCATTTTACAGATTATAAAACTAAGGTTTACATAAGTAAGTTGGCCAAGCAAGAGCCTAAGCAAGGATCTGAAGCCTGCCCTCTGTGATTCCTTACATTTTACAGCTCAGAGGATATACATGAAGAGGTAAAACCTTCAAAGTCAAAAGTACATACTTTGTAACAAAGATGACCTAGTCTAGTAATTGTCATAGGGAAGATGTTGGAATTTTATAAACTTATGTCTTATAATCAGAATGTTTATGTGTCTCTAAAACGTATACATTGAAATCCTAATCCCAAAGGTGATGGTATTAGGAGGTGGGACCTTTAGGAGGTGATTAAGGCATGATATAAGACCCCCATGAGCAGGATTAGGGCTTTCATCAAAGACACCCTAGGGACACCTTCACTCCTTCCACTATACGAGCTCAGAGTGAGAAGAAGGCCCTTTATGAGGAATCAGGCCATCATCAGAAACCAAATCTGCTGGCAACTTGATCTTGGGTTTCCCAGCCTCCAGAACTATGAGAAGTAAATTTCTGTTGTTTATAAGCTACCCAGTCTATGGCATCTTGTTATATTAGGTTGGAGCAAAAGTAATTGTGGTTTTTGCCATTACTTTTGAGACCAAGTCTTGCTGTGTCACCCAAGCTGGAGTGGAGTGGCATGATCTCAGCTCACTGCAACCTCCATCTCCTGGGTTCAAGTGATTCTCCTACCTCAGCCTCCTCCTGAGTAACTGGGATTACAAGGGTGCACCATCATGCCCAACTAATTTTTTTTTTTTTTTTTTTGTATTTTTAGTAGAGACGGGGTTTCACCATGTTGGCCAGGCTGGTCTTGAACTCCTCACCTCAAGTGATCTGTCTGCCTCAGCCTCCCAAAGTGCTGGGATTACAGGTGTGAGCCACCATGCCCTGCTGTTTTTTGCCATTACTTTTAATAGAAAAAAACACAATTAATTTTGCACCAACCTAATAGCAATTGGAATGGACTAAAACAACATTCTAATGTATTTATTTACTTTTACTTGCATGCTTCTTAAAAATCCATCAATTAGTGATGGATAAAAAACCTGCAGGCTATTCATGCCATGGAATAACACTTGGCAGATTATAAGATTATCAAAACAACTAGTACATTTACTAAGCTCTTAACTGTAAACCAGGCACATATATTAACTCATGTAATCTTCACAGCAACTGTATAAAGTAGGTATCCCCTTATAAGCGATGAAACTGAAACAGAGTGAGTTTAATACAAGAATACTTAAAAGATAACAGGTAATAATAATATTGCTACAGGCCAGGCACAATTGTAAATTCTTTCCATGTATTAACTTTTTAAATTTTTACAACTACATGAGGTGAGTACGGTTATTACAGATGAGAAGACTGAGGCACAGGGAGGCTAAGTGATTTGCCCCAGCTCACACAGCCAGGAAGCACCAGAGGTAGGACTCAAACCCAGGCAGCTCAGTCTGCTTACATCTAAGGAAAGGAAACAGAGGACTGCAGATGAGTCACAACCTCTTCAAGGAATTCGTTTTGTTCCTGGAACCACTGGAACTACCCCATGCTTGTACTGTTGTCATTATATCTGTTGTGAGTTTTTTTTTTTTTACCTTTTGTATATTGGCAATAAAATCTTTATGTTCAGGAACCTCTGTCAGCTTATTTTGGAGAGTCCTAAAAGGGCCACATTGTGTTTTGTTAGGTCTAAATATCAAAGACTTAACATGTTTTCTATTGACTTACTTTCTTCTTGGGTGAGATTTAGCATCTGATTCACTTGTTCCAGCTGAGTACTCTGCAAGATAATGAGGGATGGGAAAGGGGAGGAAATAAGTCAAAGCAACAATATGTGTTTTAAGGGGTAATCAAGATTGTTTCTGTAGTAATCGATTAAATGTTATACTGCCAAAGAAGCTAGCCTAACTTAAGATTCTGATTCTGCCACTATTCAGAAATATAGAGACACTACTGCTCCCTATTGTGTGTGTGTGTGTGTGTGTGTGTGTGAGAGAGAGAGAGAGAGAGAGAGAGAATTTGCAAAAAGATAATTGATAATGGGGCAAAGCATTCTGATTACTGCTGGAATCAATGACTAAGTTGGGTGACAACATCCCAGTGCTCCTTAAGCTTTAATATGCATACAATCACTTGAGGGTTTTGTTAAAATACGGATTCTGGTTCAGTAAACCTAGGGTAGGGCTTGAGATTCTGCATCTCTAACCAATTTGCAAGTGATGCAGATGGTGGTCCTGAGACCACACTCTGAATAGCAAGAGGCATTCTTTACATAGAACTTGGGGTTTGCAGCCAGATAGAACAAGCTTCTCTGGCCTCGAACAATTTATCTAACTTCTCTGAGCATGTTTTATCTCTAAAATGAGAAATAATATACCTAGTAAGTAATGTTATTATTATTTTTTAATGGCAGTTTGATTGAGGTTATCAGGAGCAGTCGGTAGGAAACCCACACCCTTACTCTGATCTTTGCTGTGGATTTGATCTTCATTGAGAAGTTTGCTAAGCTTTTGTCCTGTAAAGCCCCTTTGGTTGGTTATTTATTTCTGTGGTATAATGCTATTTTGAAGAATAGAGATTGTGATGTCTTCACCTACTTCTGACTATAAGGAAAAATTCTTACCTGAGGCAGCAGGTGTTTTTATTTAGTTCTACAAACACATTTGGAACTTGGCATCAAATGACCCTTGACATTAATTTTAGCTTTAAGGACTCCTGATAACGGGGCTCCAATTTCACTCTGAAATCCCAACCCCATCCAGGCGCTCTGATTCTCACAAGTAGGCTTGGTCCTTATATTTTGAGCTGCTGTTATGACTCCTTGCCCTTGGGGCCTCTCCTAGCACTAAAACCTCACCTTATTGAAAGTCTCCTGGGATCTGAAGTCCTGCTCTTGAACTCATCCAAGGGCCTAATCTACTAAAAAGACCTTCCCAGTGTCAACTGTCAGCCAGATTCTTCCCTGCTACCCAAAGGAACACCCCGCAGCACCTACCCTAGTGGGTATGTCAAACAGCAGGCTGCAATCCCTACACCCTCCTAGTTCTTTCTGCTCTAAATAACCAGGCATGAACATCTGATTCATAAACCGCAGGAAGAATGGTTTATAAGGAAAGTTGGAGAGAGCTCGAAGATTACTGTATTGAATGGTGAAGGACAGTTAGTTTATAATGACATTAACAATTACCAAACAGTGCTTTCCAGTTTATAAAGCATATTTCCCTACTTAATCTTACAATGTATGCATTCTCACTTCTCGTTTCCAGGTAAGGTTCAGAGAAACCACATATATTTACTAAGTAAATATCCAAGGCGGAACACAAACCTGGTTGTTGCTACCCCAGTTGTCAGCTACCCAGGTTAAGAATAGCTTGCCCCTTTACGTTCTTATGGATGCATGAAGTTGTTACTTACATTTTGTAGGTGAGGGCAGAAACAGTCAAGAGACTCTGTGGGCAATGGATTAGCAAAGCCACAAACAGAAAACTTTGACACCTCCTCTGCATGGGATGGCTCATAAAAAGGCACCTTCAGAAGATGGTTTAAACTACCATGGGTTCCATTGTTTGGTGCTGGTTGAATGCGTAGAAGATCTGTTTTTTGAAAAAATTAGTTCAAAGTAGCTTTACACTGGAAAGCAACAACTCCTCTGTGGGAGATGGGAAGAAACAAACACCTACTCTTTCACTCCCTTTAATAAATTCTGCTGTAACGAAGCTATGTACTCTATATGCCATTCAGTTTACTGACTTTCTTCTCCATGGTTTCAATCACTAGTCTTGCTAAAGAATAGAACTAGCCAGGTGCGGCAGTGCACCTGTAGTCCCAGCTACTCAAGAAGCTGAGGCAAGAGGCTTGCTTGAGCCTGGGAGTTTGAGGCCAGCTTAGGCGACATACTGAAACTCCATCTCTTGAAACAAATGAGGAATAGGAACAGTTGCTGCAGATGAGCCAGAGGAACTTTCATGAATGGTTTCTGTTTCTCCAAAGAAAAGCTTCCTTAAATCACCACTTTGTTTCGTAAGCATATCATGATTTTCTAGCATAAAAAGCTATATTCTTAATAAAAGCAAGTTTCAATAAATAATTTATAATCTTCCTTGTAGTACATTTATTCTCTAAAGATAGACACTTTTAAAAAATGGAACTAGTGAATTTTGCTTAATATTAGGAGAGCTTTTCTTCATTTTTTTCTATGAAAATACATAATACAAAATGTATTTGTATGTTTCATAGAAACATACAATTTGCATGTTTGTATGTTTCTATGAAACATACAAATATTTCACCAACATAGCCTTTTAAGTAATTCCTGCTGACTGCCTGCTACCTAACAGATCTCTCCTGGAACTGCAGTCCTATGTAGTTCCTTTTAACCAGTTCTGCAAAGGGCCAACAGTCCAGACCATAAACCTAGCCATGTGGAACAAGAATGTAAGTTGTTAAGCCTACAACACACCATTTTAAAAACTGAATACCTTTTGGTCTCTAAGTCACATTCAATTACCACAAACCAGTGACAACATTAAGAGAGAGAGTTGTAAGCATGTTTATGTCCAAATTTCTAAAGCTAACAGCGAAATTGCAGCTTACTCATTGCCTTGCTAGGTAAATAAATGATTTGTTAATACAATGGCCTGCAACAAGCACGTAGGTAGGAAGGTAGGTTAGGCTTCCTAAAATCCTAATGCTTTAAGGTTTTTTAACATTGAGTATAATAACAAGTGTCTATCCAGCTAGGACTTTTTTCCCATGTTTTTATGCCAGAGAGCTTCTCTCTGTAATTACAAGAAAATGTTTGTGTTTTTAGGTAAGTTTGTCTTGCTTTGAAAAGTTGGAAGTATTATTTACCTAAGTTTTATTAAATTAAATTATCATCTAGTAACTAACTAATAGAAAAGGTTGGTCTTCTGAGATCTAAAGTTTATCATTACTGGCTGGGCATGGTAGCTCATGCCCGTAATCTTAGCACTTTGAGACGCCAAGGTGGGCAGATCACTTGAGGTCAAGAGTTTGAGACCAGCCTGGCCAACATGGTGAAACACCATCTCTACAAAAAATACAAAAAAAAGTAGCCGGGCCTGGTGGTTCACACCTGTAATCCCAGCTACTTGGGAAGCTGAGACAGGAGAATAACTTGAACCTGGGAGGCGGAGGTTCCAGTGAGCCAGGATCACACCACTGCACTCCAGCCTGGGTGACAGAGCAAGACTCCATCTCAAAAATGAAAATAAAGTTTATCATTACTAGTAAAACAAAAAGAATTCACTCTTATAGCTGAATAATTCTGAATAATGAATAATTCTTCCTTATCTTTTTTACTTTCTGCCTTCTCACTACAGAGCATCCAGCCTCTGGGATTCAGTTTGCTACCAATTTCAAATCACATATATTTAAAACTATCCATATTTTGTTGGCGAACTTATTTAAATATACTTACCACACATTAGGTTATAGACTTCAATATTTTCAAATGGTTCAACTTCAGTCTTCTCTTTAAAACTGGGTCCATGTGCCAGAAAGATAGCCTAGGTCATAATAGTCAGATTATTATTATTAGATGTCATCCAAATTCAAAAACAAATATAGGAAGAGACAAAATTTTCCTTCTGTAACTACTCTCCTATTTGTATTAGGCCTCTGTAAGGAATTTTTTTTTAGTTTTGAAAATGATTTTCATATTTTTCCACCTGCAATGTTGTACCAATCCCAACCAAATATAATCAGTGCTGTATTTACTTCTGTCTCTACCCACCTCCATAGCACCTCATGTGCCAATAAAGTAGGAGAATACAAACAATGGCACACAACCAATATCAGCATAATTCTGCAATATGGGCACAATATTTAGTAGAAATTTAATCATATAACATCATATTATCTTTTCATATTGTTTCATATCATTAATCAAATATGTTAATCGAATATGTTAACATGACACAAAATGTTAACTTTTTTTTTTAGATGAAGTCTAACTTCCTGTTCCACTTACACTTCTCTCTTTTACTTTTGGGATAAAAAGACCTCAATATTTTGGTTTACATTGAATTAATTAATGTTAACTTGATTATATTATTTATAACAGATCAAATTATTTTAGACTTAAACAATTAGAAGAAAAATATCAAACACAGATAAGCAATTATGTTTTGGTAACAGGTGTGGGTGTATATATACATACATATATTAAGACAATGATCAAAGAATTGGAAGCATAGATTTTTCTTGCAATAATTAATTTAACTATTACATAGTACCCCAATTAATAGTAAAGCTCTTTCTCCAGAGATCGTTTTCAAATATTTACAAAAAGATGTAACTCACCATGACAATGTTATAATAAAAGGAAACATATTCATAAAAGGCCTAATACATTTTTTTTTCTATTTGGAAAGGAATGTGTGTGTGTGTGTGTGTGTGTGTGTGTGTGTGTGTGTTACAAATGGAAGTAGATGAGATAACCAGGTTGCAAAGCTTTACCTATGGGGGATTATCAGCTGCATTCTACTCATAGACTCAGGCACACTCCCAATTTTGGCCCTTTTCAGTGGCTGTTTCTCCTGCCTGGGACACTTGGCTCCTGAATATTTGTAAGGCGAATTCTTTTACCTTTTTCAAATCTCTGCTCAATGTCAACTCAATGACTCTTACTCTTTCCACCCTATTTAAAGTTTCTTACTGCCCCCCAGGGTACCCCAAAATACTCCCAATTTCTCCCTTACTCTCCTTTACTTTTTCTTTATTTCCCACAGCATTTACCTTCTGACATAACAAATAATGTATTATTTTATTATTCCTACTGTCTGTATCCCCCTCTTAGAATAAAAGCTTCGTGAGGGCAGGATCTTAATCTGTTTTGTTCACAGATGTATTCAAGAACCTTGAACATTGCCTATAATAAAATAGGTGTGCAATAAATATCTGTTTTAAAAAAGCAGTAACTAGGCTTAACATCTGAGTAATGAAATAATCTGTATGACAAACCCCCATGACAGATGTTTACCTATGTAACAAACCTGCACATTCTGTACATGTACCCCTGAACTTAAAATAAAAGTTAAAAAAAAAAGCAGTAAGTTACCTCCATGCTCCTAAACTCATTGTTATAACCATGGTTGCCTCCTCCACAATTTGTATTTGATTTACTCCTATAAAGAAAAAATATTATTACACACTGATCAATATATTGATATGAGACCATAGTGTAAGATTTAACTAATTTTATATAGTTTCTGTAAATTTTATAAGTAAATTTTTTTATCAACAACAGAATAATATATTTTTCTATCAACAACAGAATAAATTTTTATATCAATAATGAATAAATATATTTATTTTCATGCTCAAATTCATAACCATAATGGAACAAACAGAAGGGTACGAGAGAAGAAAGGAAAATTCCAGGATCTATAAATAGAATTCAAAAGTCTCTGACTGATAGATACTGACTAAGGCTAGTAATAAAGGTACATATTTTAAAAAAAAATGAATTTGTCTTCAAGCTCATGGGTGTACCTTTACACATCAATGACTATATGCTGAAGAATAGTTTGGTTAATATGTTATTTTAGCATTTCAATGCTTTAGGAATAAATCTTTGCAACTGGGGAAAAATATCAATTTCTGTTTTCCAGTGAAGATGTCTAGGAAAATAATATGAAAGCATGAATAAAGAATAGGCAGGGCAAGTTAATTATAATCCAGTCATGCGTTGCTTAAGGGCAGGAATATGTTCTGAGAAATGCATTCTTATGCAAGTTTATCATTGTGGAAACATCACAGAGTACACTTACACAAGCCTGGATGGTACAGCCTTCTACGCACCTGGGCTATGTGGTCTAACCTATTGCTCCTAGCTACAAACCTGTACAGCATGCTACTGTACTGAATACCACAGGCAGCTGTAACACAATGGTAAGGATTTGTGTATCTAAGCACATGTAAACATAGAAAAGTTATAGTAGAACTATAGTATTATAATCTTATGGGACCACCATCACACAAGCAGTTCATTGTTGGCCAAAATGTTGTTATACAACACATAACTGTACTTGGTAAAAAGAAGCTAGTATATTCTGTAAATTCAGAGATTATTATTATAATTATGTTTACCTTTGTGATTTTCTTCCATAGGCTGTAGCTTTATTATTTGAATAAATTTTCAAATTTAATTAATTAGTTTTTGCCTACATTTTAATACTGTTTTGAATTGAGCAGTATTAACAATTTTATAAGTAGCTGTTTTTCATACTTGGAAAATAGCGATAAATGAACCTAGATCTTTTAAAGCAACAATGTTATACTGAGTCAAATTTGATCTCTGAAGGGAACAAAGGACTCCTATTTCCAAAGGCTGGCCCTAAAAGATTCTCTCATTTTCTTCCCCACCCTCACCTCTCACCCCAAGGGCAAATACACACACACACACACACACACACACACACACACACACACACACACACACACACCCCCCGCAGGGTTTCTGTTTGTTTTTACAAACTCGACTCGACTAACAACAGGACAGTAATTTAGTGTCTTTAAAAAATCAACATTAAAAAAATTCATAACTGACTCTAATTCAGTTTAAATAGAAAATAAAAATAAATCACAAATTAAAAAATAAATCACAAATCTGACCAGGCCACACTCACTCAACTCTACCCAGTAGAGGGAAGAAAAGAGAGGCCAGGTAAGTACCTGGAATGGGGAAAGCAAGACAAGTCCTGATTCAGAAGGAAATTAAGTTTGATATCCTAAGGATGTCACTTCATTTCCTTATCTTAGTTAATGCCAATAAAATTGCTGGCATATGACAACTATAGGTTTTATTTATTTATTTATTTATTTTTGAGACTGAGTCTCGCTCTGTCGCCCAGGCTGGAGTGAAGTGGCGTGATCTTGGCTCACTGCAACCTCTGCCTCCTGGGTTCAAGCGATTCTCCTGCCTCAGCCTCCCGAGTAGCTGGGACTACAGGCATGTGCCACCACATCCAGCTAATATTTTTGTGTTTTTAGTGGAGAGAGGGTTTTGCCATGTTGGCCAGGCTAGTCTGGAACTCCTAACCTCAAGTGTTCCACCCATCTCAGCCTCCCAAAGTGCTGGGATTACAGGCATGAGCCACCACACCCGGCCTCTATTTTTTTAATTATAAATAAATAAATGTTTTTATTCTTACTGCATAGATATTTGGTTTCCCAATATTAATGGAATTATTTAGTAGGAGGTAATTAAGTTTTAAATTCTGTGTGGAAAGCTAGAATGTTCATTAATGAAAGAAAGAAAAAGGTTTTTTGACTAAGTTTTTTGGTAAATTTTCTAATGCTCGTACTATGGTTATTTTTCTATTTTCAGAAAAATCTAGTTTTTTAAAATATTTCCATCTCCTAATCCAGCTCAATTTAAAAACTATAGTAAATATTGCAAAATTTCATTCAGAAGCAAAATATTAAAATATTGTTTGAAAACTCTCTTTTCTATTTATTTCCAAGTAAAAACTTTGGAAATTTGCTCTCTACCTCCTCATGTTCATGTCTAATCATTAATTTAGCTTTGGAAGTTACATATGGAACAATGATAGCTGGCACTTGGAAAATGAGTTGATTCTATCTGTCATAAGTTAGCTCAACTTCCAAGTCCCATATGAAATATTTTGGAACAAATTCTCCATTATCTTCCCCATGTCTAATTAACACAGTTGAAATCAAGGCTGGGGTTCTCTACCACAGCTGGGTAATGACACAGGTGGGAGATGAATAAGACTTCTCTCCTGATGCCAGATCAGTTGCCAAGTCTGTCTTCCTGTGCGGTATCTCCATTCTACACATAAGCAGATCGCCAAGCATTTAAAGCACTTGCTCACATGGGCTGGCAGCCTGGGTTACCCAGAATGCGCTTATGGGTAACAGCAGGTTGCAGCCAGTGGGGCTGGGTATATACTTGATTCTTGTTTACCGAGAAAACACTGGGTGGGGCTGGACCTGGCAAGCCCATCTACAGGTCCCCCAACAATAAGCACTAGCACCAACTCTGAGGGAGAGTCCAGTGGGCAGCCACCAAGTGTCCAGCGGCGTGCCTCGGCGTGGAAGTTGGCCCCAAATTCTCTGCATAAGGGTGCCAGAGGAAGCCTAATCTCTTACTCCAGGAGAGTGGCTGCTCCAAATGCCTGGAGATCTGCCTGGTTGTGGAGTGGAGAGGGTCTCCTTACACCAATATCCCTGCACAGGAAGGATGGGGTGGCTCAGGCTACTGCTCCAGGTGAGCAGATGCTCCAAATACCTGGAAATCTGTGGAGCAGAGAGGGTCCCACTACACCGCAATCTCTGCACCAGAAGAACGGAGCAGCTCAGATTGCTGATTCATGCTGATGGGCACTCTGAATCCCTGGATGTCTGCCTGGGCATGAAGTGGAGATGGTCCCCTTGCACAAGGATCTCTGCACAGGAAGGAAGGGGCAACCCAGGCTGCCAGCCCATGTGAGCAAGTGCTTTAAATGCTTGGCGATCTGCTTATGTGTAGAATGGAGAAGGCCCTGCTACACCACAGTCTCAAGGAAGTAGGCTGGGTCACCCAAAAATAACACACACAGACCAGTTCTAGTTCATCAAGCTGGCGCTGGCTAAAAGTCTCATTGTCCAGGAGAAACCACAGCCATAGCAGCTCTCCTCTTGCCCAAGGCCTGTGACTGGGGAAAACACAATTCCAGTGCCTACTGTTGAGATGTTTTCCACAGTTCTAGCTGTGGAGGACCCTACCCTGATCCAGAGCAGGTGCTCCAATCTCTATCAATAATGTTTGATATGAGTTGGCCCATACTCAACTGAAAATAAGAAAAATTTTTATGTGCAAGGATAGTCTCTGAGGTTGAGCATTTTTGTTCAGTGATGAGGCATTTGAATTACCAACATGCTTAATGCTATGGAAATCTATGGAACCCATTTCTTTAAGAAATGGATTCATATCTTAATAAAGAACAACTTTTTTATTGTTTAATTGCCGAAACAAGATGTCAACCTATTACCCTAAGTAACCAGTTCAATCATAGCCATTCACATCATCTAGTACCAAGTGATATTTTTCACGGAAATGAACATGTGGAGGAAAAGTCCTTGACTGGAAAAAAAATTGATATATATAATCATTACAGAGCTGTATATTTATATAAGACTAACTGTGAGATGAATGGAGAAAGCTCTGAGATTCACTGTTGAGTAGCTTATAATTTCCAAGTCCTCTGCTAGACATGAAAACTATTTAGTGTAGAACAAAAATATGATGCTGTATCTCACAACTCCTATATAAATGTTTCCATTCCTACTTTATTTCTGCTTTCATTTTCACGGTGCATCTACAGTCTCTCTTCCAGCCTCCCATTTGTATTTTACAACATGCATAATTACAGATTTATTCTTTAATTATTTCATTTTCATATGATTTTTATATCTCTTGAAAGATTTCTTTGAAACTTCTGTCTTTTTTATTTTCCAGAGAAGCAGAGTATTTTTAGGCAATAATATTTTACCTTATGATGGCTTTCAACTATTAAAAGAAAAAAGGAAAGTAGTAAAATAAATAAATGCAGAGAGTCACCAACTTACAATGATTTCACTTAAGATTTTCAACTGTACAATGGTGGGAAAGTGATATTCATTCAGTAGAAACCATATTTCAAGTACTCATGCTACCATGATGTTTTTCCTTTTCAGTACAGTATTCAATAAATTACATGAAATATTCAACAGCTTACTATAATATAGGCTTTGTGTAAGATGATTTTGCCCAACTGTAGGCTAATGTTAGTGTTCTAAGCATGGTTCAGGTGGGCTAGGCTAAGCTATGATGTTTGGTAGGTTAGGTTTATTAAACATATCTTCAAGCCAGGTATAGTGGTGTGTGCCTATAGTCAGTCCCAGCTCTTCAGGAAGCTGAGGCAGGAGGATTGTTTGAGCTCAAAGACTTTGAGAATATAGTGTACTATGACTACACCTGAGAATAGCCACTGCACTCCAGCCTGGGCAACAGGACAACAGTCTATATTTTTTTAAAAAAAGCATCATCAACTTATAATATTACCAACTTATGATGGGTTTATTGGAACATAATCCTATCATAAGTTGAAGTGTATCTTTATATAGTAGAATGTAGTAACATACTACAGACTTATTTTCTCAAAGCATAAAAATAAACCACACTAATGATCATCCATGGGAGAGGGACACCTAGACAATGTCCTGCAAAACGAGAAATACTGGTAAGACATACTTTACATTCCAGACTGAGTCTCTTTCACCATGAAATAAAATCATTAAGAAATTTTTAGTAATATTTTAATTATTATATTTTAATTAAAAATTTAGGTATAGAAAGAAGGTTGTATAGCTTTACATTAAAAATAAATTAGTATGTGACTTGGCTACTTGACACCAAATAGCTTGTGTCAGATTCACCCTCCCACCATAAAAAACTATACAATCTGGCCAAAATATAGAAAAAAATTCTTGGCAGGTGTATTAGTCTGTTCTCATGCTGCTAATAAAGACATACCCAAGACTGGGTAATTTATAAAAGAAAGAGGTTTAGTGAACTCACAGTTCCACATGGCTGGGGAGAACTCACAATCATGATAGAAGGCAAAGGAAAAGCAAAGGCACATCTTACATGGCAGACAAGAGAGAGGGCATGTGCAGGGAAGCTCCCCTTTGTAAAACCATCAGATCTCATGAGACTTATTCACTATCACAACAACAGCATGGGAAAGACCCACCCCCATGATTCAATTACCTCTCACCAGCTGCTGAGCATGGTTCAGGTGGGCTGGCTACATGTGGGAATTATGCAAGCTACAATTCAAGATGGGATCTGCGTAAGGACACAGCCAAACCATATCAGCAGGCATTGAAGAACATTGTTGTAGCAAGTCAGGTATGAGATCTTTCAGGAAGGTGAGGCACATGAGGTTAGTACCACATTTGCCAGGATTTTCCAGAAAGGCATCTTCCTGACCTTGGTACAGGAAAATGGGACCCAACCAGGGGTTAGTGGTCTTGGGAACCAAAAGAAGCAATGAATAGAGTTCAAAGCTGCTAAATTGGTTAGGAATTGGGGGTCAATGTACCATATGGGAGAGAGAAAGAACCTAGAAATGGGTGTATACATGCCATTTTGGTCCTTCTGTGACTCCTTAGCTATGTGACAGTTGGCTAAGAAGAGGGGAGACCTTGGAGAAAGAAACTGCTGGGATACAGAAAGCATAAGAGATCATCAGGGACTAAAAACTTCTTGGAAAGCTACTGGAGTTCAGATCCAGCCAAATGGGGAAATGTTGGCAAACAACTGAGAAACTCAGTTGGGACTCTAAAAATTCTCTTAGGAGAGGTGCAGTATCCCAGGAGTGAGGCATATGTTCTAAGAGGAAAATAAAATATAATTATCATAACACAGCTTAAAACTAGGTCTTGAGAGCAGCAAGATGATCTGCAAGTAATTACAAATTCTGCCCAGAAAAAAAATTCAAAATTCTTGAGTAGTTCTATATCATATTATCCATAAATTCAGCATACTTTAAAAAAAGTACCAAATATACAAAAAAGCAAGTAAAACAGACTGATAAGAAATAAATCAGTTATTAAAAACAAACTCATAGATAATCCAGATATTGGAGTTAACAGATAGGGCATCATAACATCTATGGTGAATATAAAGGAAAGAAAGAAAAAATGAAAGACAAAACAGGTTGTGTCAGATTTCTTTCTGGAAGCTTTAAAATGCTCACTTTATTTTCATAGATTCTAATTTCCTAAATTATGTTTGATGTTTCAAGCAAAAATCATAGCATTGTCTAGTGTTATTCTAAATGGATGTAAGACCATTATACTACAAATTTGATAGAGTAAAGAGACATAATATGACAGAAGGTTGCTATACTTCACTCAGACTGGAATAAAGATGATACCAATTGACTGTGATAATGTTTATATAAATGAATATACACTAAGCTGTAAAATGCAACCACTAAGCTATAAAATGCAACCAAAAAAACTATAAAAAAGAAGATACACTATAAACACTATAAATAACAAAATGGAATTCTAAAACAAATGTTCAAGTAACCCACATGAAGTCATGAAAAATAAGCAGAGAAACAAGAATTGATAGAGAAAACAAAAAATGTCAGGCTTACGCATTAAAGTATCAATAATTCATTTAATTATGAATGGTCTACCAAGAGATAGATAATAGAAGAGTGTATTTAAAAGTATGACCCTTTCTTATATGTTTCTTGTATGCTGTGTACAAGAAACTCACTTGAATTTTACCAATACAGGGCAGGCCAAATTAACAGGATGAAAAAAGATATATTACACAAACATTAATGAAAGGAAAGCAAGAGTGTCTGTATGCATATCAGATAAAGCAAAGAAAACTACCAAAACCAGAGATTATGTAATGATCAAAGGTTTAATCCATGAAGAAGACAGCAATTTTAAAAGTGTATTCACCAAAAAATAAAGCTTCAAAATATGTGATGTGAAAACTGCCAGAACTAAGGCGGGCCGGGCTCAGACCAGCGCTGCCTCAGGATGTAAAGTGTAACAAGAGGGCCAGGGGAGGTGGTGGGGGACAACATGGGCCTGTGAGGCCTGTGGGTGCCCGCGTTCCCCAGCTCCCCCCGCAGCCCGCTCCACAGTGGTCCGCTCCGGTTGGTTGTCACGTGCGCATTCGGGTTCCAGACCCAAGGCTGCGTGTTCTCCACCGCTTGTTGTGGCCAGTGTTACTGCGGTGACCGCCAGAGCAGCCTCGACGCTATGGAGGAGCCTGGTGCTACCCCTCAGCCCTACCTGGGGCTGGTCCTGGAGGAGCTAGGCAGAGTTGTGGCAGCACTACCTGAGAGTATGAGACCAGATGAGAATCCTTATGGTTTTCCATCGGAACTGGTGGTATGTGCAGCTGTTATTGGATTTTTTGTTGTTCTCCTTTTTTTGTGGAGAAGTTTTAGATCGGTTAGGAGTCGGCTTTATGTGGGAAGAGAGCAAAAACTTGGTGCAACGCTTTCTGGACTAATTGAAGAAAAATGTAAACTACTTGAAAAGTTTAGCCTTATTCAAAAAGAGTATGAAGGCTATGAAGTAGAGTCATCTTTAGAGGATGCCAGCTTTGAGAAGGCGGCAGCAGAAGAAGCACGAAGTTTGGAGGCAACCTGTGAAAAGCTGAGCAGGTCCAATTCTGAACTTGAGGATGAAATCCTCTGTCTAGAAAAAGACTTAAAAGAAGAGAAATCTAAACATTCTCAACAAGATGAATTGATGGCGGATATTTCAAAAAGTATACAGTCTCTAGAAGATGAGTCAAAATCCCTCAAATCACAAATAGCTGAAGCCAAAATCATCTGCAAGACATTTAAAATGAGTGAAGAACGACGGGCTATAGCAATAAAAGATGCTTTGAATGAAAATTCTCAACTTCAGACAAGCCATAAACAGCTTTTTCAGCAAGAAGCTGAAGTATGGAAAGGACAAGTGAGTGAACTTAATAAACAGAAAATAACATTTGAAGACTCCAAAGTACACGCAGAACAAGTTCTGAATGATAAAGAAAATCACATCAAGACCCTGACTGGACACTTGCCAATGATGAAAGATCAGGCTGCTGTGCTTGAAGAAGACACAACGGATGATGATAACCTGGAATTAAAAGTGAACAGTCAATGGGAAAATGGTGCTAACTTAGATGATCCTCCGAAAGGAGCTTTGAAGAAACTGATTCATGCTGCTAAGTTAAATGTTTCTTTAAAAAGCTTAGAAGGAGAAAGAAACCACATTATTATTCAGTTATCTGAAGTGGACAAAACAAAGGAAGAGCTTACAGAGCATATTAAAAATCTTCAGACTCAACAAGCATCTTTGCAATCAGAAAACATATATTTTGAAAGTGAGAATCAGAAGCTTCAACAGAAACTTAAAATAATGACTGAATTCTATCAAGAAAATGAAATGAAACTCTACAGGAAATTAACAGTGGAGGAAAATTACCGAATAGAGGAAGAAGAGAAGCTTTCTAGAGTGGAAGAAAAGATCAGCCATGCCACTGAAGAGCTGGAGACCTATAGAAAGCTAGCCAAAGATCTTGAAGAAGAATTGGAGAGAACTGTTCATTTTTATCAAAAGCAGGTTATTTCCTACGAGAAAAGAGGACATGATAATTGGTTGGCAGCTCGGACTGCTGAAAGAAACCTCAGTGATTTAAGGAAAGAAAATGCTCACAACAAACAAAAATTAACTGAAAGAGAGTTGAAATTTGAACTTTTAGAAAAAGATCCTAATGCACTCGATGTTTCAAATACAGCATTTGGCAGAGAGCATTCCCCATGTAGTCCCTCACCATTGGGTCGGCCTTCATCTGAAACGAGAGCTTTTCCCTCTCCTCAAACTTTGTTGGAGGATCCACTCAGACTCTCACCTGTGCTTCCAGGGGGAGGAGGAAGAGGCCCAAGCAGCCCAGGGAATCCCCTGGACCATCAGATTACCAATGAAAGAGGAGAACCAAGCTATGACAGGTTAATCGATCCTCACAGGGCTCCTTCTGACACTGGGTCCCTGTCATCTCCGGTGGAACAGGACCGTAGGATGATGTTTCCTCCACCAGGGCAATCATATCCTGATTCAACTCTTCCTCCACAAAGGGAAGACAGATTTTATTCTAATTCTGAAAGACTGTCTGGACCAGCAGAACCCAGAAGTTTTAAAATGACTTCTTTGGATAAAATGGATAGGTCAATGCCTTCAGAAATGGAATCCAGTAGAAATGATGCCAAAGATGATCTTGGTAATTTAAATGTGCCTGATTCATCTCTCCCTGCTGAAAATGAAGCAACTGGCCCTGGCCTTATTCCTCCACCTCTTGCTCCAATCAGCGGTCCATTGTTTCCAGTGGATACAAGGGGCCCATTCATGAGAAGAGGACCTCCTTTCCCCCCACCTCCTCCAGGAACCATGTTTGGAGCTTCTCGAGGTTATTTTCCACCAAGGGATTTCCCAGGTCCACCACATGCTCCATTTGCAATGAGAAACATCTATCCACCGAGGGGTTTACCTCCTTACCTTCATCCGAGACCTGGATTTTACCCCAACCCCACATTCTGAAGGTAGAAGCGAGTTCCCTTCAGGATTGATTCCGCCTTCAAAGGAGCCTGCTACTGGACATCCAGAACCACAGCAAGACACCTGACAATATTGTTGCTTTCTTCAAAAGTAATTTTGACTGATCTCATTTTCAGTTTAAGTAACTGCTGTTACTTAAGTGATTGCACTTTTCTCAAATTGAAGTTTAATGGAATAATAGTTCTCAGGATAGTATTTTGTAAATAAAGATGGTTTGAATATGAATCTTATGAGTAAATCATTTCCATTTTATTATATTCTAGATCATATAACTTTTAACTTGGTGAACTAATCCACTCTTAGAGAAACAATAGTGGGAGTTTTATATATGTAATCTTGCAGGTGAGGAGGCTTTAAATTCTAAAGGTTGTGGTGTCTTCATGCCAAGAACTGTATTCACTGTGGTTGTAGATAAATGTGAAAGTAACTTTATGCTTAATTTAATAAATTTTCATTGATTTTTTTAAAAAAAGAAAACTGAAAGGAGATATAGATGAATCCACAATTATAGTTAGAAATTTCCTCATGCCTTTTTCAATAATTGATAGAACTAGACAGAAAATCAGCAAGGAGTGTTGGCTTTGGCAGCACTTTCTAAAATCAGAATGATGCCAACAAGATTAAAACGGTTCTTGAATATAGATTACACAAAATTTTGTGAAGCATTTCATGTTTTTAAAAAGAGGAAAAAAAAGAAAATCAACAAGAATATAAAACAACTCAAAATGCCATTAACCAAAAGAATCTATTTGGCATTTACAGAATATTCCACACAGTAACAGCAGAATACACATATTTTTTTTGAGTGCTGACGAAACACCTGGCAAGATAGAGCTGTCCTAGGCCCTAAAACTCGCCACAACAAATTTAAAAGAGATAGTAATCATCCAGAGCAGATGAAAACCAGAAATCATTGTAGGGAATCCAATTGGAAATCAGCATAAGAAAGATATGAAAATCCCTAAACATTTGGAAATTTAAAAACACACTTCACAATAATCTATCAGTCAAAGAAGTCTCAAGGAAAAATTTAAAAATACATTGAACTGGATAAACATGAAACTGTGACATATCAAAGTACTGAGAAGGAAACTTAGAGCAATAAATGCACGCATTAGTAAAGAGGAAAAGTCTCTAGTGAGCAATAGATTTCCACCTCAGGAACCTAGAAAAAGAAGAGCAGAATAAACTCAAAGCAAGTAGAGGGTGGGGATTAATGAAGATAAGAACAGAAAACACTTACATTTACAAGAGAAAAACAATGGTTAAATCAATGAAACAAAGAGATAGCTATGTTAAAAGATTAATAAAATTTAGCAAACTCAAGCATAAATTAAAAGGAAAAAACAAATTTCAAATATCATAATGAAACAGGCGATATCACTACAGACATAAACACACATAACAAAGGACTATCAAGGAATATTACAAACAACTCCACACACATAAATTAGACAATAGACAAAATGGACAAAATGCAGTGTTCCTCCTGCAACACAAACTAACTCAACTCACCAGGCATGAATAGATCATTTGAATAACTCTATAACCATTAAGAAAATAGAATTCATAATTTTAAAACTACCAATAAATAAATATTTATGCTTAGATGGTTTAACTGGAGAATTCTAACATGTTTTTAAAAAGTTAACACCAATTCTACACAATCTTTTCCAGAAAACAGTAAAAGAGAGAGCATTTCCCAATTTATTTTTTGAAGCTATTATTACAGTGATACCAAAACCAGGAGAGAGAGAGAGAGTGTGTGTGTGTCACACACACACACATATATACATATATATATATAAAGATATGTATAACTTACTTGATAAATAGAGTTCTATAGTATATTTTTCAAAATTTACCCATGTCCAGCGGGGGATTGTTTCCAGAAAAACAAACCTGATTAAATCTCAAAAAGTCAATCAAAATAATCCACCATGTTAACAAACAAAAGAAGGAAAGTTAGATTATATCAGTTGATGCATAATAAACATTTAACACATTTCGATATCCATTCATGATAAAAGCTCTCTATAAAGCAGGAATAGAGGAAACTTCATCCACTTGATAAAAAGCATCTACAAAAAGCTAACATTATACAATCACGTGTTGTTTAATGATGCGGATACGTTCTGAGAAATGTGCGGTCAAGTGATTCTGACATTGTGTGAACATCCAGAAAGGACTTCACGGGTAAGAGCATGCATGAGGCTGTCGTCTCCTATGATAGCAATGCCTTCTTCTGGAATACCTCTTGATGGACTTGCCTGAGACTGTTTAGCAGTTAACTTTTTTTAATAAGTAAAAGGAGTGCACTCTAAAATAATGACAAAGGCCAGGCACAGTGGCTCACACCTGTAATCTCAGTACTTTGGGATGCTGAGGTAGGCAGATCATCTGCAGTCAGGAGTTCAAGAAAACGCTGACCAACATGGTGAAACCCCATCTCTACCAAGAATATAAAAAATTAGCCAAGCATGATGTTGCACACCTATAATCTCAGCTACTTGGGATGCTGAGACACAAGAATCACTTCAACCCAGGAGGCAGAGGTTTCAGTGAACTGAGATTGCACCACTGCACTCCAGCCTGGGCAACAGAACAAGACTCCACCTCCAAAATAAAATAAAATAAAATAATGACAAAAAGTTTAGTAGAGTGTAGTAAATGCATAGCAAAATACATAGTTGTTTGCTTTTAACCATGCTGGGAGTGCAGTAGGATTGTTTACAGCAGCAATCCCACAAACATGTAAGTAATGCATTGTGCTACAATATTATTACGGCTATGACATCAGTTGGCAATATGATTTTTTCACCCCCATTATAATCTTGTGGGACCACTCTCATATATGCAGTCCATCACCGACCAAAGTGTTATGTAGGACATAGCTATACTAACATCATATTTAGTGGTGAAAAACTGAATGGTTCCTCTCTAAAATCAAGAATAAAGGAACTATGTCTGCTTTTATCACCCTTATGCAAAACAGTGCTAGAAGTTATACACTGCAATAAGACAAGAAAATAATTAAAGGACATACAGATCAGAATGGAAAAAATAGAACAGTCCCTACTTACAACAGACATGACTTTCTACATAGAAATCCAAATAAATCTATTTTACAAACCTCCTTAAATTAAGAAGTGAGTCCATTAAGGTCACAGAATTTAAGATAAACACAATCAAATTAATTCTATTTCTATATACAGACATAACTCATTTTATCGTTCTGCAATTTATTGTGCTTCATAGATATTGCATTTCCATTGTGTTAAAATTTTGTGGCTAACCTGCCTCAAGCAAGTCTATCTGCACCATTTTTCCAACAGCATGATCTCATTTTGTGTCCTAGGTCAAATTTTAATAATCTGTACAGTATTTTAAATGGGTTTATTATTATTGTCTGCTATGATGATCTGTGATAGGTGATCTTTGATGTTACTATTGTAATTATTTTAGGGCAGCATAAGCACGTCCACATAAGACAGCAAACTTAATTGATAAATGTTGTGTGTGTTCTGACTGCTCCACCGACAGGCCATTTCCCTCTCTCTCTTCCTCTTCTGGCCTCCCTAGTCCCTGAGACACAACAATGTTGAAGCTAAGCCAATTAACCACCCTATAATGTCCTCTAAATGTTCAAGTGAACGTCATTAAATTAAAAGCTAGAAATTATTAAGCTAAGTGAGAAAGGCATGCCAAGTAAGTATAAATCCGGAGTTGTCCAACTTGAGCTGAAGTGCTATTAGATCTACCAAGTCATAAGACTGAATGGTCACTGCAACCATCTATCCTATAATGGATGCAATATGTTTTAGGGCAAGAGAAAATGCAAAAGACAAAAGTAGGCTGAATGAACAGTTGGCCCAGATCCCTATATCACTGATGCCTCTCTCTCAGCTTATACATACAGTCTCCTAGGTCCTTCCAACCAGCTGATACCTTAGTAAACAAGCCAGGCCTAATGCAAGGGCACTTTGGCTAGGTATATTGGCACAATATGTCAACCACTCAGATGTGGGACCTCAAATATAATCCATGAGGGTAAACCTACTCTGATAAGTAGAATACATAGATTCATCCCCATCCATAGAAAGGGTTCAGAAAACAGGAGCTGGCCCTGTGCTTTTACAGAGCTTTATCCTTCCCATAAGGGCAGGACCAGATATTATCAAAAAAAAAAAAGAAAATTTTCAAAAGTAAATTTTGCTCAATCCTTATGCCTTATCCATTCTTCTTCTAGACAGGTCAATGAGCCCCACAGATTATTTAAAATGAATCTCCAACATCTACAGATTGGTGCTTAAAAATAAAGTGTCTGAGTTTCTATGTAAAATGACCTAATGATTAAGACCTTGGAATTCAAGTTTATTCTCCCAACAGCTTTTGGGTATTTGGGAAAGCAGACTACACTAAAAGAAATGACTGCAGGAATTAATGTCAAGGTTTTATTTTAACCGCCAAACAAACCTAGACATGGATCTTTGCATCTCCCAAGTGTTTTCTGAATGTTTGGGGAAGGAATAGCATAAATATTCATGAAACTCTAACAAATTCACATATTTTGGTAGCTGTGATAGCCACGTGGTCCCAGGATATTACTTTAGATAATATATGTATCCTTTCAGTTACAAAGGCATTTTCTGTTCTTGCCTTAGTCTCATTCTCTTTATCACTGTGGCTTCCTCAGAGACAGAATGAGACAGAAGCTCAGTTCTCTGCCCCTAGAAGAATAACAGTGGTTGGGTTCTTCATGTCTCTATGGAAATCATGCTGGTGCAAGTGAAGCCTATTTTCTCATGCGTCACACAAAGCTCTCATGATAATTGGAAGGTACTCTGTGGAGGTGATGACTTAATAACACCTTCCCTTCTCAAAAGCACTTGAAGAAGCAAGATCCTTCCTTGGCAGTTCTCAGATGGGCAGCAGAGTTCCCAGCACCATCAGTAAACTCAGCCACACTGTAGAAATGTTTGCCTTTTCTATATGAAGATTATCTAGGTTCTTACACAGCAGTCATCTCTAGACACCTGGATTTCCTAACTGCCTTTGTGAGTTCTGCTCAAATATAATTTAAGGTCATTTTCATTGCTTGTTTGCTTTTACCGTCACACTTTAATATCATGCAAAAGTACATTTCTACTCTCTTAATGCTCAAATTTTGCTCACCAATAGTTTTAGATAATAGGATAATATGACTAAAATATATTAATAGATATCAGCATATTATCTATCAGTATATTAATATATTAAAGCAATCAATATGTTAATGGTTATTTTGGCTGGTAGCTTTTTTTAAGTTCAAGAAATATCTGTGTGCAACTGACTCTGGTAAATGTTCAACGTTAACAAAAAAGACCAGCACTTTTTTTCTTTAAAATTTTTTTTTCATATAATTACTATTTTAAAAATTTTTTTAAAGAGATGAGGTCTCTATGCTGCCCAGGCTGGTTTCAAATGCCTGGGTTCCAGCGAACCTCCTTCCTCAGCCTCCCAAAGTGCTTAGATTACAGGCATGAGACACCAAGCATAGCCCAGCACTTAATTTTTAAAAAGGCTTAAAGTGTCACATACAGAAGCTCATTAAGTTAACAAGTGTACAGATGCTTGTTTACTTATTACGCACAATCTTACGAGGCCACACAATCTGAGCAATGATTAGGAGCTCAAAGTTTAGATCCAATCTCAGGACAACATGAAATAAATGACAAGAAATCAATAAATAACTAAATTATTTTATTTTTTCAACATGAGCATAATACTTATCCTTGGAATGGTGGTAGGAAAAATCCAATGCAAATGAAATACTTTTTAGTCGGTTTTGCAGGATTAAATTTATAATTTTATGGACATTTAAATGGAGGATTATTGCTCATCCTTCCTATCTCCAAGACAATATAATTTTACATAAAAAATGAGAATAAAATTTAAGCAAAAATGACAATATCATGCTTATGCTAACATTTTAATTGTGGGATCAAGGAGGCCTGAGTTCAATCAGAGAATTCAGAGACTCTTTCTGCAGCATTCCTCATAAATTCATCGAACTATTGCCAATCACCTGCATAGACAATGCTTAAAACTGTGTATTCTAGAGTGTTTATCAATAGTAAGCCCAAATCCAACAAAAGTTACTGATCCTGTTTTCGTGTTTAGATAATGACACAGTGCAAATCTATTCAGTCATTCACATAAATGCTCATCTAAACATTGTGGGAAAGTAAATAACAAAAAATAATGTTCTGGGCTAAAAAATAAGTCTTTACACTTGGATAAGAAAAGATTTTGTGAGATATATGCTGTGGAGGTGATGATCAGTGCAAGAGTGGAAAGTTTAAGAGGTGAATGACCACTGGTGTATTTGGCTGATGGTATGTCGAACCTTAGTATAGCCCGCCCTTAATTAAACCTTCCACTTTAAGATTAAACTTAATGTGGTTTTAAGACTTTGACATGTGTATCAGTTAGTGTTCATTGTTTCTGAAACATAACAGAGAAAAACTCTGAATAATACGACCAAGGAAAAGAAGAATTTATTTGAAGGATATGAGATAGCTCACTGAATCAAACAAAAACTGTGTACTACATTGACATGTGACATTCATCCCTGAAAGGCCTGAGCCAAATTTTTTTTAAAAAAAGACCAAAAGGATATATTAATATGTGACATGTTTATTTTTAAATTTTAGCCTTTATTAAAAAATTAACGTAATAAAAAAGAAACCTATGTATACGTGTGCACGCGTTTTTTTTTTCTTTTCTTTTTTTTTTTTTTCTGGAGACAGAGTCTGGCTCTGTCACCCAGGCTGGAGTGCAGTGTTGCGATCTCGGCTCACTGCAAGCTCCGCCTCCTGGGATCAAGCAATTCTCCTGCCTCAGCCTCCCGAGTAGCTGGGACTACAGGTACACGCCGCCACGCCGGGCTAATTTTTTGTATTTTTAGTAGAAATGGGGTTTCACCGTGTTGTCAATGCTGGTCTCGAACTCCTGAGCTCAGGCAATCCGCCCGCCTCGGCCTCCCAAAGTGCTGGGATTACAGGCGTGAGCTACCGCACCCGGCCTGCATATATTTTTTAAACATTTATTTTAGCGTTACCAAATTGTCTTGAAGCATTCATTTAAAAACACAAAAACTCACTGCAGCTGTCTGAACACTTTTCTACTTCACCAAAGAGTGCCGAACAAGTTAAAATGAATCTGTTTTTAAACACTTCTCCTAAACCATGAGCATTAACTTGATTTCCTCTGTCATAGGGATATGGGAGACAATATAACATCCATCAGAGAGTTCCTCCTACTGGGATTTCCCGTTGGCCCAAGGATTCAGATGCTCCTCTTTGGGCTCTTCTCCCTGTTCTACGTCTTCACCCTGCTGGGGAACGGGACCATACTGGGGCTCATCTCACTGGACTCCAGACTGCACGCCCCCATGTACTTCTTCCTCTCACACCTGGCGGTCGTCGACATCGCCTACGCCTGCAACACGGTGCCCCGGATGCTGGTGAACCTCCTGCATCCAGCCAAGCCCATCTCCTTTGCGGGCCGCATGATGCAGACCTTTCTGTTTTCCACTTTTGCTGTCACAGAATGTCTCCTCCTGGTGGTGATGTCCTATGATCTGTACGTGGCCATCTGCCACCCCCTCCGATATTTGGCCATCATGACCTGGAGAGTCTGCATCACCCTCGCGGTGACTTCCTGGACCACTGGAGTCCTTTTATCCTTGATTCATCTTGTGTTACTTCTACCTTTACCCTTCTGTAGGCCCCAGAAAATTTATCACTTTTTTTGTGAAATCTTGGCTGTTCTCAAACTTGCCTGTGCAGATACCCACATCAATGAGAACATGGTCTTGGCCGGAGCAATTTCTGGGCTGGTGGGACCCTTGTCCACAATTGTAGTTTCATATATGTGCATCCTCTGTGCTATCCTTCAGATCCAATCAAGGGAAGTTCAGAGGAAAGCCTTCCGCACCTGCTTCTCCCACCTCTGTGTGATTGGACTCGTTTATGGCACAGCCATTATCATGTATGTTGGACCCAGATATGGGAACCCCAAGGAGCAGAAGAAATATCTCCTGCTGTTTCACAGCCTCTTTAATCCCATGCTCAATCCCCTTATCTGTAGTCTTAGGAACTCAGAAGTGAAGAATACTTTGAAGAGAGTGCTGGGAGTAGAAAGGGCTTTATGAAAAGGATTATGGCATTGTGACTGACAGTGACCTAGGAAGTTACATCATTGAGCGGTTCTTAACCCATCTCTGCACTGGTGGGACCTCTGCCCTCAATGGACATGAGAATTATCTGAGACATTTATTTAAAATGGAGCTATCTCCTGCCCTACCTTTAAATGACTGATTTCAGCAGATGTGGGATGAAATTCTAGAAATTGATCTCTTCAAGTTGTGCTGCAGCCACTCCACACCAGGACAATACCCCTTACAATATCCTCATTAGCTTTTGATCCAGTCCCATACCTCCCATAATGTTTTCCTCAAAACACTGGTCCCTTCAGAGGACTTTAAAAATAAGTTCTATAGTCAAATAAGTTTGAGACTTACTTCACATCAGATGCCTCTGTCTAGGGATCACAATTCATATTAGCATAGTGAATGCTGTAAATATTTCTCTAGGAAAGAATAATTCTATACCAGCTTTAAGCCAGTGTTTTCTAAACTTATGTGAGCACATAAAATTTCCTTTGTAATACTTAGTAACAGTTTCCTGGAACAGGAGATCTTGATATTAATTGACTCATTGTGAATACTTCCTACAGCCCCCTTCTAGGGCAGAATGATTTCTTTTTTCCTTGCAAAGTGAGCCTCTAAAGAGATGTAGTTCTGAGCATTATGCCTCGATCAGTCTGTAAAAATCCGGGTTCTGTTTGGATACAGACCGTGAGGGACCCTGTCTCTACTGTTCAATGGTAGATCATCTAAAGAAAATAAATGCAATCCTGTCCTTCATCATGGATCGGCATTCCTGCTATAGAAGCTTCAGGAGATGACCTCATTCAACCTCACAATCTTCTAAATTTGAGATTTTTAAGAAATATGATTCAGTATACATCTTCCTGTGTTTGCCGCTGAATGAAATCAATCTAATTTTTCTAATTCAGGGTTTTCAAGATAAACCCAGATTTCTCAAGAAAGAAAAATCTAGAAAGATTTCAAAATCCACCACCTACACACTTAAAAGTTGTAGCAGCTTCTTATGCCATGGGAAACATGTCATTTTGAGATGATGTTTTTTCTAGGTTTAAGTTTGGTCTTAAACATTTATATTTAATTTCTCATTGTCTTAGTTCAAAGAATTTACTTTTATATTTTAAAATAACTTTTTACACAATAACTCAGTGTCATATCATGTTAGATATAAAACTATGTCCTAAAACTATTTTATCCTTTTTTTTTTTTTTTTTTTTTGAGACAGTCTTGCTCTATAGCCCAGGCTGGAGTGCAGTGGTGCAATCTCGGCTCACCGCAACCTCTGCCTCCTGGGTTGAAACAATTCTCCTGCCTCAGCCTCCTAAGTAGCTGGGACTACAGGCATGTGCCACCACGCATAGCTAATTTTCAGTAGAGACAGGGTTTGTATTTTTAGTAGAGACAGGGTTTCACCGTGTTGGCCAGGCTGGTCTCAAACTCCTGACCTCAGTTGATTCACCTGCCTCGGCCTCCCAAAGTGCTAGGATTACAGGCATGAGCCATCCTGCCCAGCCTATTTTATACTGCTTATACTATTTATATAGTATAAAAATAGTTTTAAAACTATTTTATGGTATACTTTTTATAAAGTAAAAAGTATACTGTAGTATAATTTTTATACTATATACCATATTATATTTTTATAAAGTTGTTTCCATTTGCTACTAACTTTTTCTTTTGTATGTCAGTTTCCTGATTTCTACATTTCCTGCAGGTCACCTGGAACATCAAAAGAAAAAGAAAAGCTGTAATATTGATGGGTGGCCTACTGTGCAACAAGATTTTCATATAGTGTTTTTGGTGTTATATGGATGTTTCTTCTCGCAGTGGATGTGTAGAGTCAGAGCACAGATGGGCATACTCTCAAACCTTAATAACTGTGCCACATTGCCCTTTGAGTTTATTCTAAACCTTAGCAAGTCAGAGATCACACTGTATGGAACTAACTTCTATCTAAATTGCATGATTGATTGATAGGAGATTTCCAAATAACATTTGGACTGCCTTACATCCAGTAAAAGAACTCAGCAAAATACAAATAAATATGATAATATCTTAGACAGCAAATCTTCTCATCCCACAAGAGGCAGGAAACTGCTAGAGGAAGCTGCCTTGGAGAGGATTCTTTCCTCCCCTCCCGAAAGGAGCTGAACTCAAAATCTCTCCATTTCACAATAGACATTGGAGAACATTTTCAACAGTGGATTTGCACCGGTGTTTTGTGTCCTAGAAAAACGTTCCCTTCAGGTAGGTTCTAATAAGCCCCTTGAACAATTTCCCAAATTGATCATCCTGCCTTCAGAACTTCTGAATCTTCCCTTCAAAACACATACACACGCACACACACACACCCACACACATACCCCTAATCTTATTTAACACTGCTGGAAATAAAAATCTATGTTCTAATGAGAACAAACATCAGACAGAATATGATAAAAGCAAGACTATCCTAGAAACTGTGGCTTCTAAGTTAACCATAATACCTTCCCGGTGATGCACTATATAGTTTCACCATCCCCATGGCTTCATGGGCTCCCTTGGGGCTGAATGGGTCACTACATACCTTTCTAACAGGCTTCCCTGTTTCACACTAGACTAGGGGTCCCCAACCCCTGGGCCATGGACCCACACCTGTCTGTGGCCTGTTAGGAACCAGGCCACACAACAGGAGGTGAGTGGTGGGTCAGTAAGCATTACCACCTGAGCTCCGCCTCCTGTCAGATCAGCAGTGGCATTAGATTCTCATAGGAGGGTGAATCCTATTGTGAACTGCCCATGCAAGGAATATAAGTTGTATGCTCCTTACGAAAATCTAACGCCTGATGACCAATCACTGTCTCCCATCGCCCCCAGATAGGACCATCTAGTTGCAGGAAAACAAGCTCAGGGCTCCCACTGATTCTACAGTATAACGAGTTGTATAATTATTTCATTATCTATTACAGTGTAATAATAACTGAAATAAAGTGCACAATAAACGTCATGCGCTTGAATCATTCTGAAACCACCCCCCCTTCCCGCCCCCACCCTGGAAAAACTGTCTTCTATGAAACCGGTCCCTGGTGCCAAAAGGGTTGGGGACCACTGCGCTAGACCATCCTCGTCCATGTAGCATCTTGAAGGACCTCTCCAAAAGCAAATATCCCTATATTCACCTCAAGCCACCTGTATCTACCAACAGCCTACTTTCTTCAAGATCAAAGTCACACTCCTTAGTCATTTCAGACAAGGTCCTTTGTACACATGATGGCTTCATACACTCAGTGCTCCAGCAATGCAGAACTACTTGCAACTGCAGGAATCTAGTTCTTCCATCTGGAAACCTGCCTCCTTCTCTTTACCCTTCCTTGCCCTAGAGCTACTGCTGGCTTTAAAAAGGTGCTCAGGCCGGCACGGTGGCTCACGCCTGTAATCCCGGCACTGGGAGACCAAGGAGGGCGGATCATGAGGTCAGGAGATTGAGACCATCCTGGCTAACATGGTGAAACCTCGTCTCTACTAGAAATACAAAAAATTAGCTGGGTGTGGTGGTGGGTGCCTGTAGTCCCAGCTACTCAGGAGGCTGAGGCAGGAGAATGGCATGAACCTGGGAGGCGGAGCTTGCAATGAGCCGAGATCGCGCCACTGCACTCCAGCCTGGGCGACAGAGCGAGACTCCATTTCAAAAAAAAAAAAAAAAAAGGTGCTCTGGGTAGATCATTGAGAGAAAAAAAGGTGCCTTTGAAGGACGCGGCCTGGCAGTGTTCAAGGCTTGGCAAGCAGATGGCACTTTTGGCAAAAACAACAACAACAACAACCACAAAAAACGAATCCCCTTCCTCCTGCCAATGCAGCCCCTGTTAAGGCTTGGTGAGCTGAGCAAAGATTCCATTTCCACTCCCACTCACCTTGTTGGCAGGATGCCACTGTACAACCGACAGACTGCACAGGGCAGACCTGCTGTATGGCAACACGTATCCTATCCCATCATAAGTCTTCCAAACCCCGATCAGCAACCACCCCTACCAGGAAGCATTCTCTGATGCTCCTTGACATTCACACCTGGGTCTGTAATTTTTGCTTCCTTGAGCCTTGTACGTGGTTCTAGTGCAATAGTTATCCCATCTGATTATAGCTGTTATCTTCCTACCTGGGCAAAGATCCTTTGGTCAGGTACTTTGTTGGTTATCTCTAGTTCTTAAAAAGGTGCCTGAAATTTATTTGTCAGTTGCTGATCCAAAATTAAAAGCTAACATTCATGTTCTTTTAAAAAAGCACTTAATACTTCTACTATATCAAAACATCAGGTTTCCCCAAATTAGTAAGATCTAACACATTTTAGGTAAAATAAAGATGATGATGATGAAAATGGATTATACAAACTGTTGAAATTTGCTTTAATTGTACAAAGGGGACCTAACCTAATTATCAAATGATGCACATTATTACTAAAAATGATGTACTTTCACTAGAAAATAAGTAGCTGGAGGCTTGTGTTTTAAGAGTTGGAGAGAGTGAACCCAGGATTTAATCAGATTAGATTCTCTTTTTTTTTTGAGACAGAGTCTTGCTCTGTTGCCCAGGCTGGAGTGCAGTGGTGCGATCTTGGCTCACTGCAACCTCCGCCTCCCAGGTTCAAGCAATTATCTTGCCTCAGCCTCCCGAGTAGCTGGGATTACAGGTACACGCCACCATGCCTGGCCAATTTTTGTATTTTTTTAGTAGAGATGGGGTTTCACCATGTTGGCCAGGCTGATCTCAAACTCCTAACCTTGTGATCTGCCCGCCTCAGCCTCCCAAAGAGCTGGGATTACAGGCGTGAGCCACCGTGCCTGGCCCAGATTAGATTCTTCACTTGCTCTCTTGTTAAGGCTGTATTCAAAATTTCCTTTGATGTAAGTTAGTTTACTTTGTATGTTAATGGCAAGAAAATAATAAAACTAGGCTAATCTTGTGTTACAGATGAGAAAAATTAGACTCTAAGATATTAATTTTTCCAAGTTCCCACAACCTAGCTATGTGGGGAGCCTGGCCATGAACTCTTGGGTTGCAGTTCTTTTAACATTTCAGTGCTGGTTTTTAAAAGAATAAACAGCTCACCATTTGAGATTGAGTATTAATACATGATACCCAGAGGTATTTGGGTGGGCGAGCTCTCACTTTACAGCTCTTTCTCCTTCTGTACCAGTGACCTAACTTGTTTGGTGTTAGACTTTTAACAGTAAATATCTGGAGAATGTACCCCAACTTGGACATATATTTATTTATATATTACATACCTAAATTACTAACAGTTGTATGTACTTAATATTAGTAGAGCTTAATTTTGTTCACATATTTAAGGAAAATACTTTCTAGAGAATGTCCTGAGCCACAGTACAGCCACCCATCTACACAAAGGGCTAATAAACTTCGATCCCAAAGAGAGGGGTCAGCACCATCTAGTGAACCAGTGTGAAACTGCACTCTCAGGCCCAACAGGGGTTTCCAGGTTATCTTACAGAATAGGCTTAGCCAAATCCCCAGTTCCTGATCCTGAATGTTGGAGCCTAATTCCCTTGTCCCTTGTCCCTTGTGTTCTTTCATCTCCTTTTCCTTTCTTTTCCTTTCTTTCCTTTTTTTTTTTTTTTGATGGAATCAAATACTAATTTGATCTGTCGCCTAGGCTGGAGTGCAGTGGTGCGATCTTGGCTCACTGCAACCTCCGCCTCCCGGGTTCAAGCAATTCTCCTGCCTCAGCCTCTCCAGTAGCTTGGATTACAGGTGCTACCATGCCTGGCTAATTTTTGTATTTTTATTAATTTTTTGTATTTTTCTTCACGTTGGCCAGGCTGGTCTCGAACTCCTGGCCTCAAGTGACCTGCCCGCATTGGCCTCCCAAAGTGTCATCTCCTTTTTCTTTGTCAAACATATCTCTTAGCCACTGTATTGCCATTGTCATTCTATCCCCCTGGCATTACATTCATACATATTAAATAGGCTAGAAAAATGCCATAAAGTCCAGATACTTTTTACATCTACTTATGCATAAGGAAAAAAGTGCTGGTATGAAATACAAAAATAGGAATTATCAGCTATCACAAAGTGTATATTTATTTGTTTACTGGCTTATTTTCAGTTTTCTCCACTACAGTACATGAGAGCAGGAGACAGATCTGTATCTCAAATGCCTAGAACAGGGCCTGGTGCATACATGGCAAGCATAAAATAAAACGTTGAATCAATGGATTAATTGGTTATTTAAGATGGAGTGAGTCATAATGTCTAATAACAATCACTTGAAATGTAGAACTGCTAAATAGCATGCACAAAGTCAAAAGTGGTTTCTGTTTTCTCTAAGCACATTTAAATTTTGCAAATGTTTCAATAATCAACATAAATTACCATTATAAATAGTAATAAGAAATAAATGTTACAACTAATTCATTAGCTTGGTCTTACAGCCCTATATGTGCTCTTTTATAAAAACCACAAAGATGACAAAGGTCTTAAAGAGTTGTGTAATCAATCACTCATTATCAGGCTGAAAGACAGCTGATATCATCTGTCTGCTGCCTTAATGGACAGCATAGTGGGGGTAGGAAGGTGCTGGCACTTACAGTCCCTGGGCACACTCTTAGCCTTACTCCTCATTCTCATCTATATTGTTAAGATAAGGATGCTAAAATCAGCAATCTAATAACGATCACTTCAAATGCAGAACTGCTAAATAGCATACAAAAAGGCCAGAAAATGTCAATGCTCAGGAAAATTCACAGTGATGATAATAGCAGGGTAAGGTTAAGTAGACTTATAATGACAAATGGTTATTAAAGGCATTATGAGATAAGTAAACAGATACACGAACCTAACAGCCAGCCACTGTTGATCCACAAAGAGATGAACTTTGTCGATTCTGACGTTCTTGGCATAGTGCAGTCGCTTTGGCAAATCAGGAGTCAAATAGGGCTTGAAATGCTGATCAGGTTTTCGGCACTGAAAAGCAAGTAAATATTTCTTTATGATACATAAGATATGCAAATTAATTTTAAAAGTTCATCTTCTACATCAATTTATGAAGCACCTTTTAAAAGTAAGGGGATTTCAGCTTGGCTAATACAATAGGAATATTAAACCTATTATCAATGTAGTCAGATCCCCCTAGTTATTAGTTTTGCCGTTGCAATGATAATCAGGTTGCAATTAAAAATCTGATTTAACCCAGGAGGTGGAGGTTGCAGTGAGCCAAGATCACCCCATTGCACTCCAGCCTGGGCCATAGAGTGAGACTCTCTCAAAAAAATAAAAAATCTGATTTAAATTATGAGTTAATGTTTTCAGTTTTTATTCCTGGGGGTGTGTGTGTGTGTGTGTATATAACCATATATATAATATATAATATATAATATATAACCATATATAATATATAATATATAAACATATATATTATATATAACTATATATCATATATAACCATATATATTATATATAACTGTATCATATATAGTTGTATAATATATAACTATATATCATATATAGTGTATAATATATAACTATATATCATATATAGTGTATAATATATAACTATATATCATATATAGTGTATAATATATAACTATATATCATATATATCACATATCATATATATCATATCATATATACATATCATATCATATATCATATATCATATATAACTACATATTATATCATATATAACCATATATCATATATAACCATATATCATATATCATATATAATATAGCCATATAATATATACTATATATGGTTATATATTATATGTAATATATATAACCATATATTATATATATATTAAACCACTATGAATTACCCTCTTTTTTAACAGAAAATGGACAGACATCTAGATTTAGAGTGATAATGACAACTTTTGAGTCTAAATTACATATAAATATATATACCATATTAGTAGATATGAGTAAAAAAATTAAAAAGTAGTTTAATTGCACAAAAAAGTACTTTCCAACAGACTCAATTTATCTTTTAAATAACCTACATTTGCTTAGTTTTCCGATCAAGTCAATGGCTTTTGAAACCTATTATAGTCTCCCTATTTGTAAAACAATCATGGTTTCCTTACAAATTGGAGTAAAATTTTGTTTCTTTAACAATTATGACTGTATGGCATATTTTAAAATTGTAGAAATGCAAATCACATTGGTATCTATTTATGTAAAAGAAAAATGAGGTAATGAGAAATAGAACTACAAAGGAACTTTCCCTCATGACCATTTTGAGAAACAAGAAGAAAAACCATAAACAAAGGAAACGAAATTTTTCCTATTTCCTCATTTTCTCATTTATTTTAAACCACAATATATCATATATATTAACAAGTGTGTGTCACTATTATCTCAGGGTCAATTTAGATAAGAAAAATAAGAGAAACTATGAAGCACATAATTTACACAAACAAAATTTAAACAAAATATAGACAATGGGAGAGCAAGGAGAGTTTATAGAATGAAAGAAGAAAAACAAAAGTATATATTGCAAACATATTTTTGCCAGTTTTTTCTTGCCTATTTTGGTATATTTTCTAGGCTTCTTATGCTTCTACTGTTTTATTTATCATTACTTCTTTCTTAAGCCAATATTTTTGTAACTTCCAGGCAGGCACAACCTGGCAGCTGCTGAGTATGCAGCTTCCCCCAAGATGCAAGGGACTAACTATAATTTGTCCCTGTGTGTAATTGTCACACTTTCCTGGACTTTGTGTAGCCAGAGTAAATCCAGAGAAAACCGGAGGCTCACTACCTACCTGTGAAGAAGTACCGGTGATTCTTTGCATTTGAGAATTTGGAATGAAGTCTACAGAGTTGAGATACAATTTTTGACTTTTTTTTTTCTCTTTCTTTTTTTTTTTTTGAGACTGAGTCTTGCTCTATCACTCAGGCTGGAGTGCAGCGGTATGATCTCAGCTCACTGCAACCTCTGCTTCCTGGGTTCAAGCAATTCTCCTGCCTCAGTCTCCAGAGTAGCTGGGATTACAGGCATCCACCACCATGCCCGGCTAATTTTTGTATTTTTAGTAGAGAAGATATTTCACCATGTTGGTCAGGCTAGTCTCGAACTCCTGACCTCAAGTGATCCGCCCGCCTCGGCCTCCCAAAGTGCTGGGATTACAGGAATGAGCCACCGCGCCCGGCCGTTTTTGACATTTTATCTCAGAATAAATAGTAGTGATGTCTCTCATGTAGTCAGAGTGCTGCAGAACTTAAAAAGTTGCCACTTCATGCTTGGTTAATTCTGTCCAGAATAAGCTCAATATAGGCCCAGGGAACAGCACTGCTGGGAATACTACCACATGAAATATTTCCTTGGGAAGGATGGACTATGTGAAATGGTAGCCCATTTCTTTGGGCCTTTGTAACTCTAGGTCCAGTCCATATCTGTGATGCCATGCAATGGATTTCCAAAGACTGTGATACTCAATCCCCTTGCACAACTGGGATTATTAGAGATTTGCCCTTCTTCACCAACAGAGCTTCAGCTATAGGGATCATGAGGTGACAAAACAAAAAGAAAACCATATATGGATTTAGAGAGTCCACATGTTGAAAATGCTGAACTATGCATCCACTCAGCATGAACACATTGCAAGTATACACTTCACCAGAAGGGGTGGGCAAGAATGTCCACAGTTTTTACTCAAGATCGGCATACTAGAAGGTGTTGAGAGAAAAACAGAGTGATCATCACTGTAAAGAAATTCTGCTCTAATGGGCATTCTACTTGAAACTTGCAGTGGGTCCCAGATTATATTAACCACTCTTTGCTCAGCGTTTATCGTCAGTCCTTTGCACTCCATCCTCAGAGATTTTACTCCACAGGCATACCTTGGAGATATTTTGAACTCACTTCCAGACCACCACAATAAAGCAAGTCATATGAATTGGTTTCCCAGTGCACATAAATATGTTTACACTATACTGTAATCTTTTAAGTGTGCAACAGCACTATGTCTAAAAACTACATACCTGAATTTTAAATTACTTAATTGCTTAAAATGCCAATGATCCTCTGAGCGTTCAGTGAGTTGTCATCTTTTTTGATCGTAGAGGGCCTTGCTTCAATGTTGATGGCTGCTGACTGATCAAAATGGTGGTTGCTGAAGGCTGGGGTGGCTGTGGTAATTTCTTAAAATGAGACAGAAATGAAGGTGGCTGCATCAGTGGACCCTGCCTTTCACAAAGTATTTCTCTGTAGCATCCGAAACTGTTTTATAACATTTTACCCACAGTAGAACTTCTTTCAAAATTAGAGTCAATCCTCTCAAGTCCTCTCAAAGCTGCTGCTTTAGCCACTAAGTTTATGGAATAATTTAAATCCTTTGTTGTCTTTTCAACAATGTTTATGGCATCTTCACAGGGTTAGATTCCATCTCAAGAAACCGCTTTCTTTACTCATCCGTAAGAAGCAGCTCTTCATCTGTTCCAGTTTTCTCATGAGATTGCAGCAACTCAGTCACAGCTTCAGGCTCCATTTCTGATTCTAGTTCTCTTTCTATTTTTACCACGACTGTAGTTACTTCCTCTGCTGAAGTCATGAACCCTTCAAAGTTATCCAGGAGGGTTGGAATCAACTTCTTCCAAACTCCTATTAATGATGATATTTTGACCTCCCACAAATCACAAATGTTTTTAATGGTATCTAGAATGGTGAATCATTTCCAGAAGGTTTTCACTTTATAATACTTTGCTCAGATCAATCAGAGGAATCCTTATTTATGACAATAGTCTTATGAAATGTATTTCTTAAAGAATAAGACTTGAAAGTTAAAATTGCTCCTTGATCCATGGCCTGCAGAATAGATGTGTTAGCAGACATGAAAATATCCATCTCCTTGTACATCTTCATCAGAACTCTTGGGTGACCTGGTACTTTCTCAATAAACAGCAATCTTTAGAAAGGAACCTTTTTTTCTGAGCAGAAAGTCTCAACAGTGAGTTTAAAATATTCAGGAAACGGATGCTATAAACAGATAAGCTGTCATCAGGCTTTGTTGTTCCATTTACAGAGCACAGGTAGAGTAGATTGAGCATAATTCGTAAGGGCCCTAGGATTTTCAGAATGAACATTGGCTCAATTTCAAGTCACCAGCTGCATTAGCCCCTAAAAAAAGAGTCAGCCTGTCCTTTGAAGTTTTGAAGTCAAGCATTGACTTCTCTTCTCTAGCTATGAAAGTCCTAGATGGCATCTTCTTCCAATGGAAGGCTGTTTCCTCTACATTGAAAATATGTTGCTTAGTGTGGCCATTTTCATCAATGATCTTAGCTAGATCTTCTGGATAACTTGCTGCAGCTTCTATGTCACCACAAATACTTGCTGCTTCACCTTGCACTTTTCTGTTATGGAGAAGGCTTCTTCTTTTTTTCTCTCTCTCTCTTTTAAATAGAGTCTCACTCTGTTGCCCAGGTTGGAGTGCAGTGGCGTGATCTCAGCTCACTGCAACCTCCGCCTTCCGGGTTCAAGCAATTTTCCTGCCTCAGCCTCCCAAGTAGCTGGAATAACAGGTGCCCAAAACCACGCCTGGCTATTTTTTTTTTTTTTTTTTTTTGGATTTTTAGTAGAGACGGGTTTCACCATGTTGGCCAGGCTGGTTTCGATCTCCTGACCTCAAATGATCCACCTGCCTCGGCCTCCCAAAGTGCTAGGATTATAGGCGTCAGCCACCGCACCTGGCCAGAAGACTTCTTTCTTTATATCTCACTAACAAACCCCTGCTAGCTTTAAACTTTTCTTCTGCAACTTCCTCACCCATCTCAGCCTTCATAAAGTTGAAGAAAGAGTTAGCGTCTTGCTCTGAATTAGGTTTTGGCTTAAAAGACTGTTGTGGCTAGTTGATTTTCTATCCAGCCACTAAAACTTTCTCCATGTCAGCAATGAGGCTGTTTCACTTTCTTATTATGTATGTATTCACTAGAATAGCACTTCTCATTTTCTTCAAGAACTTTTCTTTTGTTATGACAATTTGGCTAACTGTTTGATGCAACAGGCCTAGCTTTTGGCCCATCTTAACTTTCAACATGCCTTCCTCATTAAGCTTAATCATTTCTAGCTTTTGCTTTAAAATGAGAAATGTGTCACTATTCCTTTTACTTTAACATTTAGAAGCCATTGTAGCATTACTAATTGGCCTAATTTCAATATTGTTATGCCTCAGGGAATAGAAGAGTCCAGAAGCGAGGAGGGGGACGGGAAACAGCCAGTTTGTGGAGCAATCAGCACGCATGTAATATTTATCTGTTAAGTTTGCCATCTTCTATGAGTAGGATTCATGGTGCCCCAAAACAATTACAATAGTAACATCAAAGGTAACTGATCACATATCACCAGAGCACATATAATAATAATGAAAAATTTGAAGTACTGTGAGAATTAACAAAAGGTGACACAGACACATGAAGCGGGCACATGCTGTTGAAAAAATAGCACTGGATAGACATGCTCAGTGCAGAGCTGCCACAAAACCTTCAATTGGTAAAAAAATGCAACATCTAGAAAGCACAATGCAGTGAAGCAAGGTAAGCCTGTAACTGTATACCCCCATACTCAAATAGTTACAGTCGCATTGCAAACAATAGTGAAGTCATGAATTTCATGTAGTAGATAAATATTTGTGAATATATTTTAAATATATAACTATAAAAACTATTCCATTGTGGTTTTGGTTTACATTTTTCTGAGAATTAGTGAAGCTGAGTATTTTTTAACATGTTTGCTGGCTACTTGTATGTCTTCTTTTGAGAAGTGTCTGTTCATTTGTTTTGCTCACTTTTTAATGGGGTTATTTGTTTTTTGCTTGTTGATTTGTTTAAATTCCCTATAGATTCTGGATATTAGGCCTTTGTTGTAGTTTGTGAATATCTCCTCCCATTCTGTAGGCTGTTTGCTCTGTTGATAGTTTCTTTGGCTATACAGAAGCTCTTAGTTTAATTAGGTCTCACCTATTTTTTGTTTTGTTGTAATTGCTTTTGGGGACTTAGCCAAAAATTATTTGCCAAGACCCATGTCAAGAAGAGTATTTCCTAGGTTGCCTTCCAGGATTTTTATAGTTTGAGGTCTTATATTTAAATCTTTAATCCATTTTGAGTTAATTTTTATATATGGCAAAAGGTAGGGGTCCAGCTTCAATGTTCATGTGGCTGGCTAGTTATCCCAGCACCGTTTATTATGTTATTTCCCAATTGCTTGTTTTTGTCAGCAAATCAAAACCACAATGAGATACCATCTCACACTAGTCAGAATGGCCACCGCTAAAAAGTCAAAAAACAATAGACGCTATGGTGAGGCTGCAGAGAAAGGAACACTTATATACTGTTGATGGAAGTATAAATTAGTCCAGCCACTGTGGAAAGCAGTCTAGAGATTTCTCAAAGAACTTAAAACAGAGATACCATTCTACCCAGCAATCCCATTACTGGGGATATACCCCTCCACCAAAATAAAACATTCTACCAAAAAGACACATAAACTCATATGTGTATTGCTGCATTATTCACAATAGCAAAGACATGGAATCAACCCAGGTGCTCAACAATGGTATATTGGATAAAGAAAATGTGGTACATATACATCATAGAATACTATGCAGCCATAAAAAAAGAATGAAATCATGTCCTTTGCAGCACCATGAATGGAGCTGGAGGCCATAATCCTAAGCAAATTAATGCAGGAACAGAAAACCAAATACTGCATGTTGTCACTTATAAGTGGGAGCTAAACATTGAACACACGTGAACATAAGTATGGGAACAATAGACACTGTGGACTACTAGAGGGAAGAGGAGGTGTATGGGTTAAAAAACTACTTATTGGGTACAATGCTTACTACCAGGATGATAGGTTCCATATTCCAAACCTCAGACTCACACAATATTCCCATGTAACAAATCTGCACATGTACCCTCTGTATCTAACATGAAAGTTGAATTTTTTAAAAAAAGTTAATAAAGGCAAACATTGTAAAGGTAAAATAAATATAAATAAATAAATAACAAAACTATTACAGAAGACCATTCCAGGTCTCTCCAGGAGTAGTGAATTGTACTTCCAAAAATATTGCTTTAAGATATCTGGAAGTTTCTCTACTCATTTACTTACAATTTGGGATGTGGGAACCAATCGAAAGCAGTTGCAATTATACTTAGTGAGTAAAGAGATTATCTTTTTGACTTGTAAAAAAAAGATCTGTAAGAGGTATAATTCACTATCCTCTTATATTAGTCACACAAAAAATGAGAAAGACGATGCTACCTGAAGCTCACTAATGCAACCCTTTTGAATGGGACATCAGCCCTTTCAATATAAGCCAGTATTTAGTGCTACTATTACTGCAAGCTAATTTCTGTGGATGTGTCAGCTCCAAAATGAAAACAACTAAGATAAAAGCAACTAATATGCATATAAAATAATGTTGATGGAAGGTTTAGAAATAAATTCCAAGTAGCTTAGATTTAGAAATATACAATATGAATTTCTCAAAAACCCAGATTAAGGTCATTGCATTAACTTAAATATATGTATTAAGAGTATTGTATACTTACACTGAGGTTTCTAACAATTTCCTCAGAATTAACTGTTTCAAAAGAAAAAGAAATAAATGACATTACAATTGATAACGAACAAATGCAAAGAATGTGAACCACTCAGGTGAATTTGATACATTCACTTATTAATAACTGTGATCTGGTAAAATTATATTAAAAATTATTTCAAGCAAAGAATTATTTTAGCATTTAGAACTGAGTAGGATATATTTCAACCTAACAATATTAGATATTACCATAGACTTTATAGACTGTACTTAAGCATGGGAATTTCCCACTTGTTTCTCTGTGGTCTTCTCAAGAAGTCAGTAGAGGGTCTGATAACCCCAACTTCCTCTCAGAATTAGTGGACTATGGTTATTCACTTTCAGGTTTACCCTTTTTTTCATATAGGTGTCTTCATACTTACAACTAAAAAAGTCATGAGGTATATTATGAGCTCGGATGCGGGGGGCAGGCCCTTCGTACATGTAGAAGAAGTTTATTCTGGGAAAATAATCAGTCATGTATTCCATCTTGTTACAATAAGTCTGGTCCATTCCTGAATAAAAAAATAATCATAATAACCCACTGAATGTATATAAATGGCAACGGTTGATTTCTGTCTTGTCAAATAGAAGACATTTTATGTTACAGATCTCAAACTAAGCTTCACTGAGAATTTACGCAATTCACCCTATTACTCTACTCTGGCAGAAAATTGTGGCAGTGGAGAAGGGTCATGTTTGAGGGAAGAACAGATGGGTATCATAAACAGATCATTTGTTCAATGTATAATAGATTAATGGAAATAACCTTTACCTTTAAAAGTATATTATTTCGGCTGTGCTCCGTGGCTCACACCTGTAATCCTAACACTTTGGGAGGCTGAGGGGGGAACTCACTTGAGGCCAGGAGTTCAAGACCAGCCTAGCCAACATGATAAACCCCATCCCTACCAAAAAATACAAACGTTAGCCAGGCATGGTGGCATGCCCCTATAGTCCCATTTACTCGAGAGGCTAAGGCACGAGAATCATTTGAACCTCGAAGGTGGCAGTTGCAGTGAGCCGAGATTGTGCCACTGCACTCCTGCCTAAGTGACAGAACAAAATTCTGTCTCAAAAAAAAAGTATAAAGTAATTTAAATTTATATAAGGAGTACGTGCTATAAAAAGATTTGGTAGTTAACCTTTTTTATTTGAAGATTTTTCAGACTGCACATGAATTTTTTTTTTTTTTGAGACAGAGTCTTGCTCTGTTGCCCAGGCTATAGTGCAGTGGTGTGATCTCGCTTCACTGCACTGCAGCCTCCACTTCCCGGGTTCAAGTGATTCTCCTGTCTCAGCCTCCCAAGTAGCTGGGGCTACAGGCATGTGCCACCACACCTGGCTAATTTTGTAGTTTTAGTAGAGATGGGGTTTCACCATATTGGCCAGGCTGGTCTCGAACTCCTGACCTCAGGTGATCCACCCACCTCAGCCTCCTAAAGTGCGGGGATTACAGGCCTGAGCCATGGTGCCTGGCTTGCATATAAATTATTATTTTCATTAATTTCTTTTAACAAAATGTACATCAAAAGTTTCCATTTAATTTTAAAACAATAAGGCAAAGTGTTAGAGAACTACCTTAGAAATTTTAAAAATACATTACTATGTTTCCCATTATCTGGATGCTCTAAAATACGACCAAAAGTTCTGCAGACACACTATTTTTCTTCCTCATGCCCCATGGCTGGTCTCTTCACAGATATTGGGGCTTGACTTTAAACGTCCTCCTCAAGAAGACAGTTTGACCACCCTAGCTAGGAAGGATCTACTCCATATCTAGGAAAGTACCTATCATTGAGTAGGCACTTAAAAAAATATCTGTAGAGGACAGGCCCGGTGGCGCACTCCTGTAATCCCAGCACTTTGGGAGGCCGAGGTGGGCGGATCACAAAGTCAGGAGATTGAGACTAACCGGGCTAACACGGTGAAACCCCATCGCTACTAAAAATACAAAAAAATTAGCCAGGCGTGGTGGTGGGCGCCTGTAACCCCAGCTACTCAAGAGGTTGAGGCAGGAGAATGGCATGAACTCGGGAGGCAGAGCTTGCAGTGAGCCAAGATCGGGCCACTGCATTCCAGCCTGGGTGACAGAGCGAGACTCTATCTCAAAAAAAAAAAAAAAAAAACCTGTAGAGTGAGTGCATATGTACTTCAAAACTGTTTGAATGCATTTTGCGTGAGGTGGCAGAGGGTGTCTCCACTGTTTCACTTCCTTTAACATTCAGGTTAACCAAAATCAAGAGTTAACCTCAAGTAGAGAAATGTGAGGTGACAGTAACTTTAAAGATGAAAAGCTATGAATAAACACACATCTATTTACATAACTAAAAAAAAATACACACGGTGTGGCAAAACTTGCCAATTACAGTAAACTGCAGCCAATCTACATAAACGAATCATGGCTGGAAAGAAGGTCCCAAAGCACTTTTTAGATTGAATAAAAACCCAACCACATCCCTGTTAAATATCATTAACTCTACTTTTACAAAACATAGTGTCTGTGGGTAGGTTTTCAGGGGTATCAGAATAATTAAACTAGAAAATTTAATGTAGTCCTCTTTTCATCACATTCTACCACAATTCATTCCTTGCTTCTTCAAGAGACTTTAGGTCTGGAAGTAGAGATTTTAAAATATCACTATTATTTGTGTATGATTTCTGAAGTGATAAATTATAGTCAATGATAAAATAAGAATGTTTTTTAAAAGCATACCATGGTCAGCCAGAAGGATGATATTGACACAGTTGTGCAAATTCCGCTGCTTCAGGCCTTCCATCAACATCCCAAAAGCATGATCTACTACCTGTAAGGCTTTAATTACCTGAAAAATAATTTGGAGTTAAGATTGTCGTAATGAGTTGTCTTAATTAGCCAAACCGTTATCTAATGAAGTAAAAATTAAACACATCTCCATCTCTGAAATTGCTGGTTTTGAAACAGAACCTCAGAGCCCAGCACTAGCACCCATGCTACCATATTCATCAAATACCAATTCCCTAAATTTCTATAAACAAAAATCTAAATCATACTTCCTACAAAGGAAGATAGACTGCTGGCCAATAAATACATGAAACCATGTTGAATGTCAACTAACACTATTCAACTGTAAAAATTTTCATAGCGATGCTCTCAGTTAGAAAGAAGAGTGGACAGATACTTCTAAGACAGCCTAAGGGTCACATACATTCCAGAGGGTCATGTGACAATAGGTTTCCAGGGAGTTAAAAAGAGCATCTGCAACTCAACGATTCTACTTCTGGGCATTTGTCCTAAGTCAACACTTGGAGTACAAATGGAGACTTGCATACAAACACAGTCATCACATTACTGATTTATAATTTAAATGCAAGGAAAAATAATTTATTTATTTATTTATTTTTAGGGACAGGGTCTTACTCTGTTGCCCAGGCTAGAGTACAGTGACACAATCACAGCTCACTGCAGCTTTGATCTTATGGACTAAAGCAATCCTCCTGTCTCAGCCTCCTGAGTAGCTAGCACCACAGGTGGACACCATCATGCCTGGCTAATTCTTTAATTTTTTGTAGAGATTCGATCTCATTAAGTTTCCCAGGCTGTTCTCAAACTCCTGGGCTCAAGTGATCCTCCTGCCTCAGCCTCTCAAAGTGTTGGAATTACAGGTGTGAGCTGACACGCTTGGCCACAAGGAAAAGTAAATGATGACACATTCTTAAGAAGACTTACTCTATATCCATGAAAAGATACTTTTAAAGAACAGTGGGGCAGGGTGTGGTGGCTCATGCCTGTAATCCTAACACTTTGGGAGGCTGAGGCAGGTGGATCACCTGAAGTCAGGAGTTTGAGACAAGCCTGGCCAAAATGGTGAAACCCCATCTCTACTAAAAATGCAAAAATTAGTTGGGCGTGCTGGCAGGCACCTATAATCCCAGCTACTAGGGAAGCTGAGGCAGGAGAATCACTTGAACCCCAGGGGGGCAGTGAGCCAAGATTGCACCACTTCACTCCAGTCTGGGTGAAAGAGTAAAACTCCCTCTCCCCATCCCCCACAAAAAACAATGGCATAGGAAAATAGTCACAAAACAATGTTAAGCAATAAAAATGAAAACCAAACTGTATACATATTGCATAATCCTGATTTTGTTTTGAAATATATTTAGCATTTCTTAGTAAACATGCATACACAGAAAACTATAAGGAAATATATCAAAGTACTATTGACAGTGGTTGTCTCTAAATAGTAGAATTGGAGTTCATTTTTATTTTATTGTTTATACTCACTGCCTTTGTGTTTTTTAATTTTCTACACTTTATGAATATAATCATGGAACTAATATAAAGTTTAAGTAAATTTCACTGATGTAAATTTTCTGTGTTTTTTTTTTTCCAGTGAATAAGAAAGCATAATAGCAATGGATTGGGGAAAGAAATGTCTTATCTCTCAGAGTACTATTATAACAATGATTGCCTCTTCTTTTTCTTTTTTTGAGAAGGAATTTTACAAGCCTGATAGAGTTAAGGTCTTTAGTGCATTATCTCTTGAAATCCTCACAGCAAATATTCATGGAAAGTGCTACCAGAACAGTCAGTTGTAAAGGTCAGGAAACTTGAGGTTTAAAGAAGTTAAGTGACATGTTCACAGTCCTTCAGTTAATAAGGGACAGAGCAGGACTTGAACACAAGCCACTCTCTATCTACAGCTCAATCCATCATCAACTCCAAGATGCTTTCCTGGCCTTCAGTCTTAGTGTGACCTGCACTTTGGTTTGCCAGCGAGAGTTACTGTTTCCACCTGTTGTCATGACATAACGTTCCTTTTACATAGTCATCTGATTCACTCCCCCAACCACACCAAGAACCCCCTCCTCTTCTGTCCTCTGCCAGCACCCTGGCATATGGCTGCCATTGGACTCTTTACAGTTTTGAAATCATCTGTGTACCTGTCTGCCTCTCAAGGAGAGCATGAGTTCTCACAGGAAAGGGATCATGCAACCCAAATCATTACATATTTCTTGAACCCAGATTCTGTCATGAAGTACACACTCCATAGAATGTGAAATGCCAGTTCCCAACTCTCACCCAACCAAAGGAAAGAAACAAGAAATTCCTATAATGGGCAACAATTGAGTAGCTTTGATAAGTTTGAGTGATAAGTTTTCCACTTAGTGAATGGGCCAAAATAAACTAAAATCGCCTTTTTACTGTCAATTTATAAGTCATATTAACTCTGAATAAAGGTATGCGATTAAAACTAACAATAATAATTAAGAAAGTCAGAAAATCTCTACTTCCATTCATTTGCCTCTTCTTCTCAAGTTTTAAGTGACAGTTGGTCCTAACCCTTCTATTTTCTCTCTTTGCTTTCTCCTTAGGCCATCTCCACTTCTGTGCACCATCTATATGCTGCCGATATCCCAGATCTTCACCTCCTTTGAGCTTTAAATCCACATTTATTTGTCTTCTGGACATCCTCATTTGGACATCACAGGCACCTCAATTGCAAAACAAGCATCTCCCCAAACTTACCCTGCTTTAGCAGTCTTATTAATATAAATGGGACCACCTGCTGGCACATGATAGAAACTAGGAAATCAATCTTGATCCCCCAACCCCCTCACCCAACTCACATTAAGTCATGCCAAGTCTATCTCCTAAAAGAATCTCAGTTATATCTTCTTCCATCCACAATGTTTGCCTCTACCTTAGTCCAAATCACTGTTATCTCTTTTCTGGAATGTTGGGAAAGCTAACCTGTCTCTCCCCACTTTCCCCTGCTTCCTCCAACTCATTCCTCTTACACAATAAAAGTGATCTCTAAATACACATAGATCTGGTCCTGTCACCTCCTTTATTACAATGCTTCAATGCTTCTTATTGTACTTTTTCTAGACTGCAAGGACCTGCAAGGCCCTGCAGGATTGGTGCCTGACTCCTTCTCTGGGCTTCCTCTTAGCCCTCTTCCCTGTTACACAATGCTGCAGACATTGGTGGGAGATAATTCTCATAGCTTGTCCAACAGCTCTGGCACAGCAGAACACAAATAAGGGTGAGCTGCTACTATTATTCTTACCATGATCACGCTGTCTACTTGCTGAGCCATCTAGCCATTTGTTTGTCAGACCATTTGTTCATTTTATGTGTTCCTCCTATGTGCACAGCTCTTTCCTCAATAAGACCACTTGCAAATTCTGTTTCCTTTTTGTCACTCAGAGGAGAGTCTCCTAACCAGCCCAAATTTGCACCCTACTCTAGACTAGATTGAGACTGCCTAGATAGATCTCTTGGGGGACTCCGATCTTTTCCTTTGCAGCACTTTTCAAAATTATACTTAAAATGTACTTGGGTTTTGAACTAGACCACTGAATGGAAAAAAAAAAAAAAAAAAAGGACATGGTACCTAATCTCAAGTCAGCTCCTAAGGTGCAATGAATGCAAATAGAGTGTCCCTTCTCAAAGGACAAATCATATCAAACACGGCTAACAGTTAAAATAGAAAAGAATGGCTGGGTGCAGTGGTTCATGCCTGTAATCCCAACACTTTGGGAGGCTGAGGCAGGTGGATCACCTGAGGTCAGGAGTTCAAGACCATCCTGGCCAAAATGGTGAAACCCTGTCTCTACTAAAAATACAAAAATTAGCCTAGCGTGGTGGCGCATGCCTGTAGTCCCAGCTACTCAAGAGGCTGAGACAGGAGAACTGCTTGAATCCGGGACATGGAGGTTGCAGAGAGCTGAGATTGCGCCACTGCATTCCAGCCTGGGTGACAGAGCAAGACTCCATCTCAAAAAAGGAAAGAAAGAAAGAAGAAAAGAAAGAAAGAAAGAAAGAAAGAAAGAAAGAAAGAAAGAAAGAAAGAAAGAAAGAAAGAAGGAAGGAAGGAAGGAAGGAAGGAAGCAAGGAAGGAAGGAAGGAAGGAAGGAAGGAAGGAAGGAAGGAAAGAAAGAAAGAAAGAAAGAAAGAAAGAAAGAAAGAAAGAAAGAAAGAAAGAGAGAAAGAAAGAAAGGGAAAAGAAGGCATGGTGAATATATTTTAGATAGTTCACGCTTAGAGTAACCTGAAAAGGCATACAATTCTGTGATACAGTCTAGCGCTGTGCAGGAATACAACAGAGGCCCAAGGCTTAAAAGTGGTGAGGCTTGAGTAAGTCCCTATACTAGGAATCATTTTGGCCTAATAGGAAGGAATTTAAAAAAAGCTTTTCTGAGAAATTGCAAAGGCATGCTGCCAGAGCGAATATGCTTGCATTCCAATTGAGGACAATTGTCAACGAGTTTCCATGGGGTGGGGAAATGCCACATTCATGGCAGCCTTTGCATCTTTCCACTGTGTCCAAGACAATAGAGGCTTTAGCGGAGTTTAGAAGACAGAATGGCTTGTTTTGTTAAACGCAATATTTAAGGACTATGTTTGTGTAGTAAAATCATAACAGAATGGCCTAGATAATGAATAAACTCATATTAGAGAGTCCACTTCAATGACAATGGGAGCCTAGAAGGGAAACAACTCTGCCTGAGGCAATAACATGTTAAATCCAATTATAAGGAACTTATAACTGAACTGTCGGGGAGTAGACAGCCGGATATACCACAGTGGACTTGCAGGTGACTTAGCCTGAAATGCACCACATTAGTATGAATTGGCTTGTATAGTATCTAGCCTTGATGTTTTCATTATATGCAACAACAGTGCCACATCTAATATTCAATGAGGGCTTTTCAAATGATTCAATATATAGTTAATAAGGCAGTTGTCCTTTCTAGAATTTCAACTATTTTATGGTTAAGTAGGCAGTTGAACCATGGCATCCCTTTTATACCTTTAACTATTTTGATCTTCTTGTGTATGTATCAAATACATTTGTGCTCAGTAGAAGTTAAAGAATACTATCTTGTTTTGTGGGTTAGGGTTAGATGATTTTACATTTTTTTTTTTCTTTTAAGAAAACAACAACTTACTCTGGCACTGACTGGTCCACCTGCATGTCCAGAGGAATCAGGTTCTTCAAAATACATGGTATAAAACCTGGGTCTAGGGGTAAAATTGAAACAGAAATATATTATCAATTTGCTATAAACATACAGGCTGGATTGGGGGATTTTGTAGATCTTGGGCTTGCTAGCCATTGCCTTTTCTTTCTCTCTAACCTCCTCCTCCTTGTTCAGACCCAGTAGTTCTACTTGGCTCCAGCAAGGATAGGTTTCCTAACGGGAAATAAATAAGACCTTCCCAGATACAAGCAGTGGTACGCCCCTATTGTGAAACTCTGTTTTGTTCTTGCAGTTAAGACCACTCTTGGTGTGTCCCAGTCCTTTCTGTTTCCTGGTTTCTGACTTTTTGCTGATTCTTGGTTCTGTTATACCAAGTTCTTTCTTCTGGTGTCTGGTTTCTGATGCACTGTTTACCTGGAGCTCCTGATTAGCCTTCCCTCACTCCAATCTGTGGGTATGGGCTTGATGGAGCACCTTGTGCTCTTGGAGTCTATCCTTATAACTGAGTGTCAGGCCTGCTCCCAGCTCTGCTCCATTCCATATCTGGCTCTGGTTCTGTGATATTTGCCTCTGATCTCTGGTGCTGGCTCTATCTCTGTTGTTCAATAATGTCAACCACATTTTCGAAAACAAAAAGTTACTAGCTCCCAGGAATAATTTCTTTTTTTATTTTTGAGAGAGATATCACTGTGTCACCCAGGCTGGAGGGCAGTGGCATGATCATACTCACTGCAGCCTCAAACTTCTGGGCTCAAGTGATCATTCCACCTCAGCCTCCCAAGTAGTTAGGACTACAACTGCGTACCACCATGCCCAGCTAATTCTTTACATTTTTTTAGAGACAGTATCTCACTGTGTTGTCCAGGTTGGTCCGGGACTCCTGGGCTCAAGTGATCCTCCTGCCTCAACCTCCCAAAGTGCTGAGATTACACGAGTGAGACCCCCTGCCCAGCCAGGAATAATTCATGAAAAGTGTCCATTATAAGGCAATGCCACGTCGTTTCGAAAATAGCCAAAAATTGTAATTTAAAGTAAAAAAAAAAAAACTTCATTTTTTACCCATATATATGCCACTATGCCAGCACTTTTCTGACACTAGACATTACCTTTCAGCTTTGGGCAGGTCCAGCCATTTTAACAGTGTAGAAATCCTCTCTTCAAATGGGACACTTCTGAAAAAATAGGGTAGAAATAATTCTTTAAAATGAATCAAATCAAGAATAACTCCATTACATTCCTATTCAGAAAGTTTAATATCTTCAGCTACCCATTTTGTGTTCCTATATAATCACAATACTGGAAGGTATTCAGTATTATTCAAAGGGATTTCTGTTTATAGATACACTTGCGGCACTATAAAAGAAATGTAGATTGTTTTATTTCACCCCACCCTTCTCTCTTTCAGTTTCTCCTAACTAAAATAAAAGACAATTGATTATGATCCATTCATTCAATTTTTAAAAATGTATGCATATGCATATATTGAACATTTATTGCTGGATACTATTTGTTCATTCAAAACAGAATGTATCAGTGAGGAAACCAAAGATTACATTCTAATGCAGGAAGACAAGTACCAAACAATAGACCTAATATAAAAATAAATTATATAGCGTATTAAAAGGTGATAAATGTTGTGGACCAAAAAAAAAAAAAAACTAGAGCAGAGTAACTGAGATGAAGGTGGTTTGAAATTTTAAATCTTAAGTATAACTGGGGTAAGACAATATTGAGAAGGTAATTTTTCAACAGAGCTGGAAGGCAGGGAAAGAGTAGGCATTCGGATCCATGGAGCAAATCATCTCAGGGAGGGTGAACAGCCAGTGCAATGTCCTGCAGCAGAAGCAAGTCTAGCATGTTGAAGTCCACCAACGAGTTCAGAGTGAGCACCCGAGGGAGTAGCAGAAGGGGAGGTCTGAGAGGTAAGGGGACACCAGAGGTCATGCCACACAGGGCCTTGTAAGCTTTTACTCTGAGTGACACAGGGGGCCATTGAAGTTTTTGGTGCAAAATAATGCCATAATTGGACTTGCATTTTATTTTATTTAATTTTATTTTATTCATTTGAGACGGAGTCGCGCTCTGTCGCCCAGGCTGGACTACACTGCAGGAGCCCCTGATCTCAGCTCACTGCAACCTCCACCTCCTGGGTTCAAGCTATTCTCCCACCTCAGCCTCCAGAGTAGCCAAGATTAGAGGTAATGCGCCACCATGCCCAGCTAATTTTTGTATTTTTTCTTCTGGTAGAGACAGGGTTTCACCATGTTGACCAGGCTGGTCTTGAACTCCTGACCTCAGGTGATCAGCCCATCTCAGCCTCCCAAACTGCTGGGATTACAGGCATGAGCCACCGCACCTGGCTGGACTTGAATTTTAAAGGAATCCCTCTGGTGGGTGGGATGAGACTAGATTATAAAGGATAAGAAGCAGAGATGAGTAAAGAGGCAACTGCAGTTAATACAGGCAAGAGATGACAGCTCGAACCAGAGTGGTAATGCTAGAGGTAATAAAAAGTTCTCAGGCTACATAGATTTTTAATTACAGCCAAAAGCATTTACTGAGAGACTGCTTGAGTGACATAAAGGAAAGGAATCAATGGTGATTCCCAAGATTTTTGGCTTAAACAACTGGATTAATAGAATTGCCACCAAGATTAAGACAGAAAACATCTTGATCATTTCTGCCTAGCTGGGAGAATATCTGAAAGTGCTTCACTACCCGTTGTAAGGCATGTATATGGAAGGAAAGGAGCCATTTATAGCCACTTCTGATCCGGGCCAAAAGTAGGTAGCGGCTTTTAAACCTTGATACATTGCTGTCAGCCACATCTGTAAGAAAATTTAGGATAAGCGAAAGTCAGTAATTACTTTGGGTAGAAATGGTGTACCTTACTAGAAACTAAACAAGATTAATAGTTGCAACATGTATTAAAATTGAAATTTTAATCTTTGTAGTAATTAAAAGATATAATTATCTAAGAATCTGCCTCAAAAATCAAAAACGTAGCAATCAAACTGGTAAAATTGGATGGTTCCTCTCTCCCTTTAAAAGAATTACAACCTGTAATCCCAGCACTTTGGGAGGCCGAGGCAGGAGGATCACGAGGTCAGGAGATAGAGATCATCCCGGCCAACATGGTGAAACCCCATCTCTACTAAAAATACAAAAAAATTAGCTGGGCGTGGTGGTGCGTGCCTGTAGTCCCAGCTACTCGGGAGGCTGAGGCAGAAGTGCTTGAACCTGAGAAGCAGAGGTTACAGTAAGCCGAGATCACACCACTGCACTCCAGCCTGGCGACAGAGCAAGACTCCATCTCAAAAAAAAAGAAAAAAAAAAAGACTTACAAAACAAAATGAGGAAAAACATTAACAGATAATCTTTCTGAGTAACTTCCAGATGGATACATTTATAACCCAATATCCAAGTTTAAACATACCTATTTGAGTTAACAACCATAAATGTTTTAAAAATTCAAGTTACAAATAGTGGTAAAACACCTTTGCACCCTCAGCCCTTAGAAACTAGATGGGTGACATAGAACTTGCTCCACTGAGTGAGAAGAGTGTCCTCCTGTCACACTGAGAAATGGAGGTTACTTCAGTTGCGACGTGTAGAATGCTACATACTGGTTGCCCATGCCACCAGGCTGGATTATTTTGTTCCTTTGAAGAAAGTGAAAAATTCTTGTTGAGATTTACATCATACATATTATTGTCAATGATGCCATGTGACTCTGGATACAAGCCCTAAAATGATAATTTCAAAAAAGATGTAAGATAAAATATTAGTAAAATAGAAATTTAAATTAAAATAGCACACGATCTATTACTCATACCTAAGAAAGGTACTATATACCTTTCAATGTAAAACACCTGGACCTGAACTTACATATCAGGAGATATTGTCATCCCTTGGCTTTCATAGGGCATTAGTTCCATGACCTCCCTCAGGTACCAAAATCAGAAGATGTTTAAGTCCCTGCTAGTAAATGGCTTGGGATTTGCATATAACCTATGCATACCCTCCTATATATTTTAATCATCTCTAGATTACTTATAATAGCTAATGCAATATACATGCTATGTCAATCATTGTTGTATTGTTTAGGGAATAGTGACAAAAAAAAGTCTGTACATGTTCAGTACAGACGCAATTTTTTTCCAAATATTTTCTTTCTTTCTTTCTTTCTGTCTGTCTGTCTGTCTGTCTTTTCTTTCTCTCTTTCTTCCACTTTTATTTTAGGTTTGGGGGTACATGTGAAGGTTTGTTACCTAGGTAAACATGTGTCATAGGGGTTTGTTGTACATATTATTTCATCACCCAGGTATTAAGCCAGCACTCAATAGTTATACTTTCTGCTCCTCTCCCTCCTCCCACCCTCCTGCCTCAAGCAGACCCCAGTGTCTGTTGTTTCCCCTTTGCGTTAATAAGTTCCTATCATTTAGCTCCCACTTATAAGTGAGAATGTGTGGTATATAGTTTGCTAAGGATGATAGTCTCCAGCTCCATTTATGTTCCCACAAAAAACATGAGCTTGCTTTTTTATGGCTGCATAATATTCCATGGTGTATAGGTACCACTTTCTCTATCTAGTCTGTCATTGATGGGCATTTAGGTTGATTCCACCCAAATATTTTCAATCCACAGTTAGTTGAATCCACGGATTCAGAACCCACACATATGGAGGGCCAAGTGTGTATATATATATATTTTTTCTAGTTCTATTATGGTTTACAGCAGCAAATAAGTGACATTAGGCTGATAGCTTGTGCTGATGGTGTTAATATAACTTTTGTGTGCTTAATAACTGTTTAATTAACTGTTTGTTAAAGTTTCCCATATTAGAATAATGGTTAGCCACTGGTTATATTATCAATAATAGCAAGGAATTTACTAGATAGAAGCTTTCTGTATATCAAATATCCTGGCTAAATTGAATTAAAGGGTGCTACCAGCATTTTAAAGGCAGCCTGCCAAGTCTCTATCCATCTTCCCTGCCATCCACCCACCTATCCATCCAATCATTTATTTAATCCAATCCCACATATTTATTTAATCATTCCACACATTTTCATTAAATGCCTATAGATTTTAGGGTCATTATTTTAGAACATTTTTATGTATATGAATATATATGCATATATATGTATAAAAATATATAAATAGTAAATTAATTGCATTTGTGCATAATCCCTATTTTATGTATACATATATGTATATATGGTATATATTTATGTATATATAGTCAATTATTATTATTCGTAGTAGTTATATTCTATAAAGTTGTCATGAACACTAAATTAATGATTACTGAACCATTGCTCCTAGGAAAAATAGAGAGTTAGGTTCCTGAGAGCCTCTGATTACGACATTTTTGTCTTCTGATCAACACATAACCTTCTTTTATGAGTGTTTTTGTTTAAAGTCACATTATTTATGTATATTGTTGGTTCACTATCACTCATACCTCAGCAAAGTTTACCTAACACACATATTTCCTCTGTAAGGCAATTCATAGCCTTCTTGCTCTTAGGAACACCAGAAACCACATCAGCACTATGCAAGGGGACAATTTTAACCAGTGAAATCACCCCCAAAAAAGCATGAGAATATAAAAAGTATGGCATTCAATAGACAGTGAGATTGTGAAAATGGTACTTGTTTATAGTATGACAGCTAAAACAAGAAAGCAGAATGTCTCCTGGTTAGACCTTAGCTAGGAATATAAGCATTGGGCAACTCAACTTTTTGTGCTTCTTTGTGATGGCTGCAAATGACCACAAATGCACTATACTTATTGATTTGGGGGTTACAAATAAATTTTAGTGAGTAAGCAAACCCACAAATACAGAATCTGCAAGTAATGAGAATACATACATACATTTGTGTGGGGGTTAAAATGTAAATGTCATAGTTACTGTTCCATAGTAATAAAAGATTAAAACTCAAAGTAATGAAGACACAAATATCCTTTGAGGCAGCCGATGCCTTAAAATGTGTTATAAATCTATCTATCTTAAATAATTTAATTTTTATTTGAGCTCATTTTAATCATTCTACCTACATCTTTTTATACACTTTTCACACATTCTACCTACATCTTTTTTATATCACTTGCTTTTATTGCTTTATCTAAAGAGATGTAGACAGTGTGAATTCATTTATGAAAAAGAAGTTCTATCAAGTTAATTGTAATGAAAAGACTAGGAAAGAACAAAATTTCCCACATCAAAGTAGTTGTCCCTATATATAGCCTACTGTTCCCAGCAGACCCTCAGATAAACAAAGGGCAATCGAAAGATCAGAGGAAAATGGTATTTCTCACATCAAAGGGTCTGTTTTTGGCTCGACACAGGTGAATTAACCTAATGCTGGACACTTATTCATAGTTCATTCCTCACAGCCCTGGACTGGCCTCATATTGAGCCATTCCTTCACAGCCTGAATTCAGCCATGAACTATCCCCCCATGTGCTTCAGAAGGGTAAGTCACAGAACTCGGTCAGTTCCTGCCCAAACATGTCTGTTTATGTGGTCAGTTCTGGTCTTTGGCCTGTCTTACCACTGGGTCAAGCACTTACCGTGACAATGGTGTAATGATTTGGGAAGGTTTTGGTAGGATACATAGCTCTCATGTATTTTGAATGAATTCCACATGTTTCTGCAACAGAATATGGTGAGAAATTAGGAAGTTGTTTCTTCTTCAGTTTTTTGGATAACTAAAAATCTGAACATGAAAGTCTCTCAGAAAAATAAAAAACAAACTAAAAAGTGGATTAAAGATGGAAAGAGGTTGAAATTCTGGTCTCTAAGCTTCCTCCATTCCAGGGAATGTCAGTCTTTTAGGAGAGGAGTGAGCTAAATCAAGGTGTATAGATTTTTTTCTGGAAGAGCCAGTGATACACATGTTGGGCTTTGCAAAGCTATATGGTCTTTGTTGAAACACCTCCACTCTGCCATTGAGGCCCCAAAGCATCCATAGACAATAAATAAACAAATGAATATGGTCATGTTCCAATAAAACTTTCTTTATGGACATTGAAATTTGCATTTCAGGTAATTTTTACGTGTCATAAAATATTCTTACTTTCTTCCAACCATTTAAAAATGTAAAACAGACTAGGCCCAGAGGCTCACACCTGTAATCTCAGCACTTTGGGAGGCTGAGACGGCAGATCACTTGAGCTCAAGAGTTTGAGGCCAACCTGAGCAACACAATGAAACCCCATTTCTGTATAAAAATTAAAAATTAGCTGGGCATGGTGGCATGCACCTGTGTAGTCCTAGCTACTCGGGAGGCTGAGGTGGGAGGATTGTTTGAGCTCAGGAGATGGAGACGGCAGTGAGCTGTCATCGCACCACTGCACTTCAGCCTGGGTGACAGAATGAAACCCTGTTTCAAATAAATAAATAAATAAATAAATAATTTTTAAAATAAGTAAAACAATTCTCAGTATATATGGCAGGCCATACACAAACGAGTAGAGTGAACCAGTTTTGGCCTATGGGCCACAGCCTGTTGACCCCTGAGCTAAATGTACTCTATATTATACACTGCCAGTTTGTTTGCTTTATATAGCATTGGCATCTAGCTGATAGTTCTTACATGTAAAGTATCTAATATAACAAAAGTCAACACTACTGTCTAGACAAATGAAAAAGGATTTCACTTGTGTAACTGCATAAGCCCATGTCATGTAGTACTGTTTACAAATTAAGCTAACTTTACTGCTTCTTACTTTTAGTACAGTTTCCATTAGACCAGGGAAGTTTCCTGTGATCTGTGTTTCACAAAGTATGACAGCAATTTAGCTTCATTGTTCTGTTGTTTTCAATCTGTGCAATAACCCTGTTTAAAGAGGTCAGAACCACTAGGGCACATTGCTATTTCCTCTGCAGCAGTGAAGTACAAGAAATTTTCCACAGCAAAATTGTGTTGCCTCTACTTCTAAAATAAAGCTTCACCGTTATCAATTCTCTTTAAGTCAAAACAAAACATGAAATTAATTGTCATCCAAAAAGTCACAGGCTTTGCTGCTGAACACAATGAGTGTTTTCTCAAATAGACATGGGGTTGGTCTCCTTCCCAGCCTCTGATTCAGGAATTTCCTCCTTCAGAAACTTCTAGGGCCCCATATCAAGTCCACTACATAGGATTCTCTGATGGGGATTGGAAGGTAGGAGAAGGAAAGGGAGTTCAAAAAAAATCTACTTTTCCTTCTTTCTTTCTTTTTTTTTTTTTTTTTTTTTTTTGAGATGGAGTCTCGCTCTGTCACCCAGGCTAGAGTGCAGTGGCGTGATCTCGGCTCACTGCAACTTCTGCCTCCTGAGTTCAGCCTCCCGAGTAGCTGGGACTACAGGTGCCTGCCACCACGCCCAGGTAATTTTTGTATTTTTTAGTAGAGATGGAGTTTTGTTATGTTAGCCAGGCTTGTCTCGATCTCCTTGCCTCAAGTGATCCACCTGCCTCACCCTCCCAAAGTGCTGGGATTATAGATGTAAGCCCCTGTGCCTGGCTAAAAATTTACATTCTTAACAAGCAGCCCAGGTCATCCTAATGTATTTAAGTTTGAGAACTGCTCCAGGACTTAATTTATAAAACATAAGATTAAAATAACCTTTATTTTTCTTATTTAATCAATACCACCAATAAGTAAATCTTGATCTCAATTAAGGAAAGACATTTAATATTGTTAAGAAGTCATATAACAAGAAAATAAAATAAGATCTAGTCCACTTACACAATTAAAATAATTTAAGTGGGAAAAAATTCATACAATGAACAGATACATAAAGTCAGTTTCTGCTTTAATATCCTTGAAACGGGTGGCAGACTCAAATTCTTAAATGGGTAAAGCTAGAGGATAAAATAAAATGCAAATTAAGCTACCGGTATTGTAAAAGCATGGCACCGTCCTAGTTATATGTCATAAACAAGACACATCTGCTGACTATAGACCCAAGCTACCGTTTTGTATTACCTGCCCTTGAACCACAGCTACTGAAGAAAGTCTACAGAAAGCACAGTCTTCTACCATGGTTTCTTCCAAATATGAATAATTTAAGTTATACTTGAACAGACTACTGGAAAGACACGCAATAAACCAATGAGCAGTTGCTTTTGCAAAGGAAAAGTAGGAAGACCAGGAAAGATGTTTTGTTCATTTATTTTTACTTATACCCTCGAATATTGCCTTAAAATGTTTACGTGTGTATTTTACTTCTAAAAAAACAATTAAAAAAATAAAGTACTAAACAAAATAATCTGAAAATATAAATGAGATAAGCCTATGCAACTAGGTTTATAGTAACTAGGAACTATAAGAAGCAGCAAAGGTCTAAACAGGTGAGTAGGTAAAGCAACCAGAGAATGTACAGATCAAAACTGCAATGTAGGCCGGGCACGGTGCTCACGTCTGTAATCCCAGGATTTTGGGAGGCTGAGGCGGACGGATCTCCTGAGGTCAGGAGTTCAAGACCAGCCTGGCCAACATGGTGAAACCCTGGCTCTAATAAAAATACAAAAATTAGCCCAGTGCAGTGGCGCGTGCCTGTAATCCCAGATCCTCAGGGGGGGGCGAGACAGGAGAATCACTGGAACCCGAGAAGCGGAGGTTACAGTGAGCTGAGATCGTGCCACTGTGCTCCAGCCTCGGCGACAGAGCAAGACTCCATCTCAAAAAAAAAAAAAAAAAAAAAAAACGCAGAGCGAGACTCCGACTCAAAAAAAAACTACAATGTAGTCCTTATGAAATTCTTATAAGACTGGCATAATGAAATATTATTAAGATATCTGTACAAATGGAAAACATAGCAAACTGTTTACCAGTATTCACAGGCTGAAAATAGGTACTTTCATTTTATATGTAACTTAGTAGAATAACCTTGTAGAAAGATTAGCCATAATGTTGGCCTGTATCATTTCTAGCACTCAAAAAAAATAAAGAATAATAAGCTCTGCAGGGGCTTCAGTCTTCCCAGAGTTGCAAGTATGCATTCAATCCCTTGGCACATAAAGAAGAAGGGTCAAAAGAGAGCAAAGAGGAGTGATGTTACCAAGATAACAGAATAGGAAATCTTGGACGACTCTTCCCACAGCAGACACAATCATTCAATAGCCACACATAAATCAATTCCCTTTGTGAGAAACCCAGAAACTACTTGAGAGGCTCCTGCTTACCAGGCAAGTATAACACCAGTTACATCGAAACCAGTAGGAAAAGCAGAACTGTTTCTTTGACATAATACCCATTCCCAGAACGATGCTATATGATCAGGAGAGAACTCTCAACTTTTAGTTTCTCCCCAAGGGGGAAAAAATTGGACCACACATCTAACACTCCAATTTTTCCAGGTGCTATCTGAGAAATTGGCTTCTAACTCACTTGAGTTAGAAGAGATGAGACCCAACATCTATTAGTCCCCTGTGTGCTACAAAGAACAAAGAGGAGATTCTAACGAGCACACAGGCACTCACCACAGCTTCTGCTCTTGGCTCAGCACAGAGAAATCAGGCAATAACCCCAACTCCCAGCTTCTCCCAGGGGAGGAAGAGTTGCACTAAGTGTCCAATGCCCCAACTTTACCAGGGACTGCCCAAAGGACTGGCTTTTTCTGTCTTGTCTGTATTGGAGCGCTAATGGAACCTAGCATACTCTAGTCACCTGGGGGCCAGTGAGAAAAAAACACACCGGTTTGATGTAGCATATTAGTCACCATAGTCCCTCTCCCTGGCACAGCACAGAGAAAAAAAGCAAAATAAAGAAGAAAAAAAAAGCCCCACGACCAAAACAAAACAAAATCCAGACCCCAACTTTTCTCTGGGGAGAGAAAGAATTGGACAAGACATCTAATGATCCAAATTCTCTGGTGACTGCCCAAGGAGCTGGCTTCCTTCCAAGATAAGTTTCACTCATCTTGGAACACCAATGGGACCTAGCATACTCTAGACACTTGGGGCCCCTAACAACAAAGAAACAAGGCTGGACTAGCATGAAGGTTTAAGGGGCCTCCAGAATCGCTGATCAGGCCAACTGGCGAGGGTTTCTCCTATACGAGGCCGGTCCATGAAAACTGAGAAAGGTGACTGTTTTGTCCAACGTGCAGATGTCAACACAGAGAGTAAAGGAAAATGAGTAAATGGGGAAATATGTTCAAAGCAAAGGAACAAGATAAATCTTCAGGAATTGACCTGAATGAAGCAGAGATACAATTTTCCTAACAGACATTTCAAAACAACTGTCATAAAGATGCTCGTTGAGGTGATGAGAACAATGCATGAATAAAGTGAGAATTTCAACAAAGAGAGGCAAACTCAGGCCTTTAAAAATTATTCAGGCAAAGGAGCAAAAAGAAAAAAGAATGGAAAGAAGTGATGAAAGATTAAGAGAACTGTGGGACACCAACATGTGGATTAATATATGCATGATGGGGTTTTCCGGAGAAGAAAAAGAGAAAGAACCAGAAAGTTTATAGAAAGAAATAATGGCTAAAAACTCCCAAATCTAGGGAGGAAAAATGGGCAACCAGATCCAGGAAGCTTGAAGGATTCTAAATAAGATGAACCTAAAGAAATCCACACTAAGACATATTATAATCAAATGTCAAAAGTCAAAGACAATGAATTTTCAAAGCAGCAAAATAAAAGCAACTCACAATATACAAGAGAAGCCCTATAAAACTATCAGCAGGTTTTTTTTTTAAAGCAGAACCCTTACAGAACATTAAACCCAACACAACATGTTTTTCTCAAGTATGCATGGAACATTCTCCAGGATAGATCACATATTAGATCACAGAACAAGTCTTAACATATTTAAAAAATTGGGATCATACCAAGTATTTTCTCCAACTACAATGGAATAACACTAGAAATCTATATTACAGGGAAAACTGAAAAATTTACAAATAATGTAGAAATTATGTAACACACTTTTGAACAACCAATGGGTCAAAGAAGAAATCAAAGGAGAAATTAGAAAATATCTTGAAACAAAATGAACGAACATGAAAATGGAATGCAGCAAAAGCAGCTCTAAGATGGAAGTTATAGTAATAAATGCCTACATTAAGAAAGAAGAACAATTTCAAATAAACAATTTAATTTTGCACCTTAAGGAACAGAAAAAGGAACAAACTAAATCCAAGTTTAGCAGAAAAAAGAAAAGATGCAAGAAGAAATGAAATAGAGAATGGAGAAACAATAGAATAAATCAATGAAACTAAGAGTTGGTTCTTCGAAAAGATAAACAAAATTGACATACTTTTAACTAGACCAAGAAAAAGAGAGAAAACTCAAATAAATAAAATCAGAAAGAGGAGACATTACAATTGATACTGCAGATATAAAAGGTTCTTAAGAGAATACTATGAATAATTATATGCCAACAAACTGAATAACCTACTAGAAATGGATAAATTCATAGAAACATACAATGTACCAAGACTGAATCTTAAATAAATAGAAAGTCCGAATAAATCTATAAACAGTAAGGAGATTGAATCAATAATTAAAATCCTCCCAAGAAAAAGACCAGGACCAGATGGCTTCACTGACAATTTCTTTACCAAAAATTTGAAGAACTAATGCCAATTCTTCTCAAACTCTTCCAAAAAACTGAAGACCAAGAGAATGCTTTCAAATGAATAAGGCTAGCATTACCCTAATATAAAAGCTACACAGATATCACAATAAAATATAATTTCAGGTTAATATTCCTGATGAAAATAGATGCAAAAATATTCAACAAAATACTAGCAAACCAAATTCAACAACACAATGAAAAGATTATACACCATGATCATGTGGGATTTATCCCTGGGGTGCAAGGATGGTTCAACACATGAAAATCAATTAATGTGATATATAGCATTAACAGAATGAGGGATAAAAATTACATGATCATTTCAATAGAAGCAGAAAGAGCATTTGATAAAATTCAACACCCTTTCATGATAAAAGCTCTCAACAAACTAGGAATACAGTCAGTCACGCATTGCTTAAAGACAGGGATACATTCCTAGAAATGTGTTGTTAGACAATTCCATCATTGTGCAAACATAATATGGTGTACTTAAGCAAACCTAGATGGTAAAGCCTACTGTGCACCTAGGCTATATAGTAAAGTCTATTGTACAAATCTGTACAGCATGTTATCCTATTCAATACTGTAAGCAATTGTAACACAGTGGTAATTGTATATTTATCCCTATCTATCTAAATATAGAAAATGTACAGTGAAAATATGATATAATACAGACCACTTATCATGATTGCAAGCCTGGAAGTTGCTCTGAGTAAGTCAGTGAGTGAGTGGTGAGTGAATGTGAAAATCTAGGACACTACTGTAAACTACTATAGACTTGATAAACACTGTACACTTAGGATACACTAAACTTACAAAAATGTATTTTTTTCAATAATCAATTAACCTTAGCTTACTGTAACTTTTCTACTTTAATAACTTTTAATTTTTTTAACTCTTTGACTCTCTTGTAATAACACTGAGTTTAAAACACAAACACATTGCACAGTTGTAAAAAATATTTTCTTTATATCTTTATTCTATAAGCTTTTGTTTTTTAATTTTTTGTTTTTACTTTTTAAATGTTTCTGTCAAAAACTAAGATACAAACTCACACATTAGCCCACACCTACATGGGGTCAAGATCATCAACATCACTGTCTTCTACCTCCACCTCTTGCCCTACTGAAAGGTCTTCAGGGGCAATAATATGCATAGAGCTGTCATCTTCTATGATAACAGTACCTTCTTCTGAAATACCTCCTGAAAAACCTGCCTGAGGCTGTTTTATAGTTAACATTTTTAAATAAGTAGTAGTACACTCTAAAATAATGTACAAAGTATAAGTATAGTATAAGCTTGGCACAGTGGCCAAGCACTTTGGAAGGCACTTTGGAAGGCCAAGGTGGGAGGATCGCCTGAGCCCAGGAGTTTGAGCCAGCCTGGGCAACATAGCAAGACCCCATCTCTTTTGAAAAGAGTATAGTATAGTAAATACATAAACCAGTAACAGTCATTTATTATCATTATCAAGTATGATGTAATGTACATAAATATGTGTACTATTTTATGACTGGCAGTGCAGTAGGTTTGTCTTCACCAGCATCACCACAAAAATATGAATAATGCATTGCACTATGACATTATAATTTCTATGACATCACTAGGTGATAGGATTTTTTTTTTTTTTTGAGACAAGAACTCGCTCTGTTACCCAGGATGGAGTGCAGTGGTGTGATCATAGCTTACTGCAACCTTGAACTCCTAGGCTCAAGGGATCCTTCTGCCTCAGTCTCTTGAGTAGCTGGGACTACTGGCACACCCCATTGTGCTTAGCTACTTTTTTTTTTTTTTTTTTTTGGTAGAGACAGGGTTTCACTTTGTTGCTCAGGCTGATCTTGAATTCCTTGGCTCAAGCAATCCTCCTTCCTTGGCCTTCTGAAGTGCTAGGATTGCAGATATAAGCAACCATGCCCAGCTGGTGATGGGAATTTCTCAACTCCATTATAATGTATGGGACCGCCATTATATATGCAGTCTGTTGTTGATTGAAATGTTGTTATGTGGCACATAGCTATAGAAAAAAAATACTTCAACATAATAAAGATTATATGAAAAGTCTACAGCTAACATCCTATTCAATGGTGAAAATTTTTCCACCTAAGATCAGTAACAAAGCAAGACTGTCCACTCTTCTAGCCTGAGCAATTAGGCAAGAAAAAAAAAAAAGGCAACCACATAGGAAAGAAAGAAGTAAACCTGTCCCTATTTTCAGAAGACATGATACTATCTACTGAAGCTCTAAATATACTGAAAGCTCTAAATAAATTTATTTAGAACTAATAAATGCAGTAAAATTGCAGGATACAAAATCAACATACAAAAATCAGTTGCATTTCTATGTACTAATAATTAACTATTCAATCTCATTTCTAAACATTGAAAATAATGAAATTCTTAGAAATAAATTTAACTAAGAAAGTGAAAGACTTGTATATGAAAACTATAAAATATTGGGAAAAGAAGTTAAGGAAGACGTATAAACAAATGGAAAGACACCTCATGTTCATGGACTGGAAGACTTAATATTGTTAAAATGTTCCTATTACCCAAAACAATCTATAGATTCAATGTAATCTTTATCAAAACCCCAATGACATTTATTACAGAAATAGAAAAAAAATTAAATTCATAACACCCCAGATAACCACGACAATCTTGAAAAAGAACAAAGCTGAAGACATCAAAGCTCCTGATTTCAAAATATATTAAAAATCTTCAGTAATTAAAACAGCATGTTACTGGCATAAAAACAGATGTATAGACCAATGAAAAAGAATAGGGAGCCCAGGCTGGGCACAGTGGCTCACACCTGTAATCCCAGCACTTTGAGAGGCCAAGGCAAGCTTGAGCTCAGTAGTTCAAGACCAGCCTGGACAACATGGCAAAATGCCATCTGTACAAAAATACAAAAATTAGCCAGTCATGGTGGCATGCAGTGCCTGTAGTCTCAACTACTTAGGAGGCTGAGGGGATTGCTTAAGCCTGGGAGGCAGAGGTGGCAGTGAGCTGAGATCACACCATCACACTCTAGCCTGGGTGACAGAGTGAGACCCTATCTCAGAAAAAAAAAAAGAATAGAGATCTCAGAAATAAATCAATAAATCCAAGCCTATATGGTCAACCGATCTTCAAAAAGGGTGCCAAGAAGAATACACAATGGGGAAATAATAGTTGCTCCAACAAATGATGTCAGAAAGTGGATATCCATATGCAGAAAAATGAACTTGAACTCTGATCTTATACCATACACAAAAATCAACTCAAAGTATATTAAAGATTTCAAAGTAAGACCTGAAACTATAAATCTTCTAGAAGGAAACATACGGGAAAATCTGCATGACATTGGTCTTGGCAATGATTTCATGAACATGATGCCAAAAGCCCAGGCAATAAAAGCAAAAATGGACATGTAGGACTATATCAAACCAAAAAGTTTCTGCACAGAAAAGGAAACAATCAATAAAATGAAAAGGCAACATATGAAATGGGGGAAAACACTTTCAAACCATGTATCTGATAGGAAGTTAATTTCGAAAATATATAAGGAACTTCTACAACTTGATAGCAAAAAATACAATAGTCTCATTAAAAAATGAGCTAATGACCTAAATAGATATTTCTTCAAAGAAGAAAGATATTGTGCATCTCTAAAGACATACAAATATCCAATAGGTGTATGAAAGATGCTCAATGTCACTAATCATCAGAAAAATGCATATCAAACCAAAATGAGGCTGGGCACAGTGGCTCACACCTGTAATCAGCACTTTGGGAGGCTGAGATGGGAGGATCACTTGAGCCCAGGAGTTTGAGGCCAGCCTGGGCAACATAGCAAGACCTCATCTCTAACATAATAACAATAATTAAAAATAAAAATTTAAAAATGAGATAGCACGTCACATCTGTTAGGATATCTAGTATCAAAAAAACCCCAAAAACAGGTGTTGATGAAGATATGCAGAAATTGGAACTCTTGTACACTGTTGGTAGAAAGGCAAAACGGCATAGCTGCTATGGAAAATGGCATGGAGGTTTCTCAAAAACGTAAAAATAAAAGTATATGATCCAGCAATTCCACTTTTGAGTATCCAAAAGGGTTGAAATCAGGATCTCAAAGAGATATTAGCACTCCCATGTTCACTGAAGCACTACTCATAAGAGCCAAGATGTGGTAACAATCTATTTCTCTTTAAAAGATAAATAGATTTTTAAGGTGGCATATACATACAATGGAATATTATTTGGCCTTAATAAAAGAGGAAAATCTTGCAACATGTGATAACATGGATGAAACTTGAAGACATACTAAGTGAAATAAGCTAGTCACAGACACGCTAATACTGTATGATTCCACTTATATGAGGTTATCTAAAATAGTTAAAATCATAGAAGCAAAGAATAGGATGGTGGATTCCAGGGGCTGGGTAAGGGGGAAATGTGGAATCGTTAATCAATGGATATGAAGTTTCAGTTTTATAAAATAAGTAAATTCTAGGGATCTGCTGTACAACATTATGCCTATAGATAATAATACTGCATTGTACACTGAAAAATCTGTTAAGAGGATAGATCTCATGTTATGCATTCTTAACAAAATTTAAAAAGCAGACAGCAAATGACATCTGCTATGGCCAGTATAAGAGCTCTGCTGTTCATGAATGCCAACCTTGCAAACTCTAATCTCTAAAACTCTGCATATGTCCCCTGCTGGATCTCTGCTGTCTACCTGCTACTTCTAGTCTTATTTGATCCACAGATTCCCATCTAACTTTTCAGGAAGGCTGTCTTCTAAATAGGCCAAATCACCTCTATCCCACTTGACAGTTTCCTGATCTTGGCCCTGGCCCTTCTTTGTCTGCTGCCACCTGCACTAAGACAAGACAATGTTCTTGCCTCATTAGAGTGTGATTCAGAGAGCCACTTCCTCGTCCACTTAACAGTCACTAATATGACTCACTGCTCTGTGATATTGTTTAGGCTCAGTTTACATGACCATGGTGGCCCAACTCAGGCAGTTTGATGAAACCCTAGAGATGGGGCCCTGGGCTCCCTTAATAGCAAGGCCTGCTGTCACATACCTCACCTCAAGACTAACATAATCCTAATCCTATTTAACCACATCTCTCCTTTTTCAATTTTCCCTCAAAACAGCCTCAGGTGGTCCTGAGAATATGTACCCCTACCTACCACATCTATTCTTAATCAGGCCTCTGAGAAACTAACAGCCCTATTTTGCCTAGGTAGGCCTAGCTGATCATAGCTTCACACATTTGGGGATTGAGATGTTGTCTATATGACTAAAAAATATTTTAAATGTTTTAAAATATTTTAAACATCAAAAGCAGAAAGCTCTTAGTGGCTGAATATTTCATTGATGTCATTTCTAATTCTCAATGGAATGAGCAAATCGAGGAATTTCACTTTAGAAAAGGTTCAGTTCACCCTGGCTAGTCAAATTCCCTTTTGACACCAGATTTGATATCCAGTTTATCAAGACAAATTTAGATAAGAAGATAGAAACTGAGAAGTGTTAGTTAACTTTCTAGGACAAAATAACTCAGCAGAAAAATGACAGGTCCTGGATTTGGAAAACAGTCTCTTTGCTAAAGATCTGCCTCAGGGAATGAGGGAGAAGCTGAAGAAACAATGCACCTTGAGTTGCAGGAAGTAGTGATCTATCTTCCTACAACCATGGCATTTGGGGCTGGAATTAACAGTAGAAATCATCAGATCTAGTCATTTCATTTTACAAATGAGGAAACTGAGGCCCAGAAAAGTCAGTCAACTTACCCAGAGTCAAATAGCTATTTTTAATAACTTGAAGAAAAAGAAAAACAATAAACCAGTAAAAATGACATAAAATTTGAGAACTTTAGGGATATAAAACAGCCTCGGAGGAGGGAGAAGAAAGAGAGGAATTGCAGGGCAGTGAAGAGTGTGCGCCTTGGAGTTAGCTCTCTGATTCTAACTAACTATGCCACTTCTTAGCATTGTATCCTTGGGTACTCAACTTCTTTTAAAAAAAAATTATTATTAAATAGAGATGAGGTCTCACTATGTTGCCCAGGCTGGTCTCAAACTCCTGAGCTCAAGGGATGCTCTAGCCTCCACCTCCCAAAGTGCTAGGATTACAGGCATAAGCTACCACATCCAGCCTCAACTTCTCTTTATTACTACCTTTATTAAATTGTGTGAAGGCCAAGTGTCCTAACACAGAAGTACAACATTATAATAAAGTTGATAATAAAAGAATTATAACAATAACTTAAAACCACCCATTGTATGCCACATATCAAACAGCTATTTTTTGAATGCTACCTGTACATTCTCACAGTAATACTATCAGGTGGGAAGTCACCATTTCACAGATGAAGAGACTGGGTCACTAAAAGGTGAAGGAAAGTTGTCTGAGACCTCACAGCTAGCAAGTAGTAGAGTCAGGTTGTAGGCAGTTTGATTCCAGAACTGGAAATAGATCCTGGACTTGATATCGGCTGAAGTGGTGGGAGGTGCTGGATCTGTCTAAGCCCACCAGGCTCCTTCAGGATCCGGTTCTCGCTATATTCTCCTTGCTAAGGCCCAGAACCTGGGTCTGACAAACATCACTTTCAAGGCAGTACACATGAATAGATTTCCATAGGACAGAAGTTACATTCAAATATAAAGCAAATCAAAATAAACAAACAAAAGGCTGAACATCCCACCAAAATAAAGGTAGGAGAAGCCAGCAAGCGTGAAAATATACTTCCGAATGAAAGTAGAAACCATGTGGTAAAGTCAGAGAGGATCTAGGCTAAGACAAACCACCAGCGTTAAAAGTCAGAAAGAAAGTTGCATCCTCTAGAGATTGACTAACTAGGTGTCTTTATCATTTGCATGCCACTAGTTACAGAAGACTTACTCAGTTTATTGATATTTGGCATTAAAGTATCCCATGTGTATAAATATTCAGCTCTAAATCCATCCATAGAAAACAAGATAACTGGTGGCAGGTCAAACCTGAAAATGGAAAACAAAATTTGTCCATTGTTTTGGATAGCTACATTTACCTCAAAAGCATTGCAATCCTTTTTTAGACCTGTGTTTAAGGTAAAATAATTGGGTAACTTTTGGGCCATAGCCAGACACTGTCATTTTTTATTTTTTTAATTTCTTTTTTTTTTTTTTTGAGACACAGTTTTACTCTGTCACCCAAGCTGGACTGCAGTGGAGCAATCTCAGCTCACTGCCACCTCCACCTCCTGGGTTCAAGTGATTCTCATGCCTCAGCCTCAGAGTAGCTGGGATTACAGTCGTACACCACCACAACCGGATAAATTTTAGTAGAGACAGGGTTTTACCACGTTGGCCAGGCTGGTCTCCCACTCCTGACCTCAAGTGATCCGCCCGCCTTGGCCTCCAAAGTGCTGGGATTACAGGTGTGAGTCACCACGCCTGGCCTAAAATTTTACTTCTGTTATACACACACACATTTCACAGAAGCATAGTTTGATAAATTTTCACTAACTGAACTCCCTGTGTAGTCATCACCCAGATGAAGAAACAGAATATTATCAGGATGCTTGTGCTTCCTGTGGTCACTAAATTCTCCAAACCACACCCCACCAAGGATGATCAGTATCTTGATTTCCAACAGCATAGATTAGCTTTGTCTATTTTTGTACTTACATTTATATGCAAATAAAATCATACAGTGTGCATTTTGTTGAGTCTCAATTCTTTTACTCGACATTATGTTTGAGATTCCTCCATATTGTTGCAAGTAATTATGGATCATTCATTCCCATAGCTATCTAATATTCCAGTGAATGAATAAACCAGAACTTATTCTACTGTCCATAGGCACTTGAGTACTTTCCAATTTGGAAAGTTATTAGGTTTCCGACCTAAGACAGCCTGTGGTTTAACTCCATTTACATAAAATTCTAAAACAGGAATGTATGATGATAGAAATCAGAACAGTGATTGTCTTTGGGAAGTAAGCAATGGGAAGGGACATGAGCTATCTTTCTGGGATGGTGGAAATATTCTATATTGGTAAGTTACATAGCTTAGTGAATTTCCAAATTGCATCATACTATACACTTAAGATAGGACCATTTCATACCATAGTTCATCCTATAGTATGAACTATAGGATACCTCAATTTAAAAATAAAAATGGAAAACTGGGACCGTTTGAACTGCAGTGTACAGAAAATTCATGAAGAAATTAAAGTGGCCTACTGCAATTCGCATGAGAAAATACTTCTTTTTTTCATAAAGTCATTAACATAACTCTGATTAAAAACTTTATATTCATAAATATGCCATTAAAATAACTTGGAAGAGATTAAAGACAGGGTCACTTGTCTCTGGGATCAAGAGTGGAATCCAAACATCCAATGCACCCCTTTTTTAATGGCCAGCTTGCCTGTCCAAGCTAACTAGAGAGTGCATTTTACATTCTGCTGACATGAACATTCTTGTAGCTAAAACACCCTTAATTATTTCCTAAAGATAAATTCATAAAGATCACATTTCCTGGTCTTACAACAAACTTTTTTTTTTTTTTTTGAGACGGAGTCTTGCTTTGTTGCCCAGGCTGGAGTGCAGTGGCCTGATCTCTGCTCACTGTAAGCTCCGCCTCCCAGGTTCACACCATTCTCCTGCGTCAACCTCCCGAGTAGCTGGGACTACAGGCACCTGCCACCACACCCGGCTAATTTTTTGTATTTTTAGTAGAGACGGGGTTTCACCGTGTTAGCCAGGATGGTCTCAATCTCCTGACTTCGTGATCTGCCTGCCTCAGCCTCCCAAAGTGCTGGGATTACAGGCGTGAGCCACCATGCCCGGCCTACGACAAACTTTCAAAGGAGACCAAAATATTGCCACAATTCTTTCCCAACAGTAGATATTAACTTATACAGTACTTTCATAAACAAGACAGGTAGCTAGGACTTTATATACACAAATCATGATGTATTGACTATTTCATGGAGTAAAAGTTGTATCTTTTTTCATTTTTATTTCTCCGATTGCTAAAAAACTTGAACATTGCATCCATATTATTTTTACTGCCTGTGATGAAGCTTGAGTAAGAGCTCACTACATGCCAAGAACTGTCATCTCAGATCTATTATTTCACCAGGATCAGGTAGTTTACCCAAGGTGTCCCCCGCCAGTAGGGGCAGAGCTAGGCTATTGGCTCACATCTGTCTGGTTTAAGAGTCTAAGCTCCTTACTATACTATGATCACTAGCAAAATAGTAAGGCAAACAGGCAAAGAGAACACTAGCATAAATGTCTGGCAAGAGGATTTTATGTAATGTCTTCAGCCACTAAAATTTTTAGCAGCACTTATTATTCATAGTGAGCAGAATCATCATTGTCCATTTTCCATGCAGGGATGGAAGGTATAGGCAGGAATGACTTCAATGGAATAAAGAGAATGAGGGGATTGTAAGAAATGGTCAGTGTCCTTCTGACCACCACCACCACCCCTTTCCTCACCAGGTTCCTTTCTAGTCTTGCCTTGCATCAAGATTGACAAATCAGTCCTGTAATTTCTCTGGGATGCTGCTCCAGCTCTCAAATCCTCAGGTGGACAGTGATTTGCCAGTTTGGAGAAGGCCATTCTAACTAATCATTTGGGCTTAGTCATCTAGGTTTGTTGAGACTCTTTACAAAGACTTTACTGGAAACCTTCCTTCTCACCTAATGTCTCTCTCCTCCCGGTTATCAACAGGTGAGGGAGTCTTGGTGCCTCAAACAATTCTTCCCCTTATTCAGCCCCTTACCCGTTCTTCTGATGAATTGCACAGCATCACGGGCTCAGCCTATGACTTGAGGGAGTGTTATGCCACAGAGACTCTGGGTCCTTACTGCCTGGGTTTGCTTCCTGCTTCCAGCAACCACTAGGAATGCAGCACTGGGCAAGTGATTTCACAGCTTTTGCCTCCATTTCATTCTTTGTAAAATGAGGATGGAGATAATAGAGCCAAAGGGTTTTTATAAGGACTAACATGTAAGATGACTATTGTGTAAAGTACAAATTGGTAAATAATAAGAACTATATGAATGTTAGCTGGTATTAGTATGCTTTTCAGAGATGAATTGACTGTGTAATTTGAACCATGAGAAGAGGCCATGGGCACACCTTAATAGATTCAAGTACCAGGTTCATCTAATAAAGCAAGTGACTATAGAAAAATTTCACTAGAAAAATATTAACGATTTCTTGAGTACCTACTATGTACCATACACTAGAACTAAAATTAACCTACTGTTTGATAGCTCACCAAGCATATTCCCTCGCTTTAGGTCATTTAATTCTCACATGAAATCGTCTGACCCTGGCATTGTTATTATTTCAGTTTCATAGAGGAAGCTCAGAGAAGTGACTAGCGCAAAAGACCTACAGGCAAAATCAGGACTCAAACTCCTCTCATTTTATTCTAATCCTTTACTCTTCCACCCACAAGGTGCAAAGAGAGCAGCTGAATCTGAGCTACAAACCAAAGCAGCATGGGAAAAAAACAGGCACATTATTTATACTCATTTTTAAAATGAAATAACACTATTTAAAAATGCCTCCACTGGGCCAGACACAGCAGGTCTTGCCTGTAATCCCAGCACTTTGGGAGGCCAAGATGGCAGGATCACTTGAGCCCAGAAGTTCGAGACCAGCCTGGGCAACATGGAAAAACACTGTCTCTACAAAAAATAAATGAATTAGCTGAGAATGGTGGCACATGCTTATAGTCCCACCTACTTGAGAGGCTGAGGTGAGGGAATTGTTTGAGGCTAGGAGGTAGCAGCTGCTATGAGTCATGATCACGCCACTGCACTCCAACCTGGGCAACAGAATGAGACCTTGTCTTGAAACAAAAAATGCCTCCACTGGCCAGCACAGTAGTTCATGCCTGTTATCCCACCATTTTGGGAAGCCAAGGCAGGAGGATCAGTTGAGTTCAGGAGTTCGAGTCCAGTCTGGGCAACATAGTGAGCCCCTGTCTGTACAAAAAAAATACAAAAAAATGTTTAGCTGCATGTGGTGGCCCATGCCTGTAGTCTCAAATACTTACGAGGCCGAGATGGGAGGATAGCTTGAGCCCAGGAATTTGAGGCTGCAGTGAGCTATGATCGTGCCACTGCTGCACTCCAGCCTGGTGACAGAGTGAGACCCTATCTCGTAATAATAATAATAATAATAATAATAATAATAATAATAAAACTTAAATTTAAAAACTGCCTCTACCAATTCCTCCTAAAGCCAGGTATTCCTTTCTTTTTCATCCACCCTTCCACCATTCTCCCATTACTTGGCCCAGAAAAGTGTGAAGGGCAGAGGGGTGGATGGAGAAATGGGGAATCCATGCTGGCTTGAAGTGATGCACATTTCCAGGCCCTGGCAGTCAGCGGAGCAGCCCTGATAAACATGTGGAAAAGATGCATGGGAGGGGTGGGGTAGGAGTGTCACCTCACGTGTTCATCACCTATGCCCCCTGACAAAGCTCTCCTCATTCACCCTTCAAGGACCTCCTTTCATTTCAAGGCCTGCACAAACCTCTTTCCCTGCTCTCAAAAGGAAGAAATTTGAGGTGCCAAGATGTTAATAGAAAAGAGTTCTGGCCAGACATGGTGGCTCACAGCTGTAATCCCAACACTTTGGGAGGCCCAGGAGGGAGGCTTGAGGCCAGGAGATCAAGATCAACCTAGCCAACATTGCGAGACCCTATCTTTATTTAAAAAAAGAAGACAGGAATTAAGTTATTTAAAAAAGGAAAAGGAGTTCTGGCAGAAGTAATTTCAAGCTAAGTTTCAATCCTGACCATAAGAACTTTGGAGTATTACCTATTTAATATTCCAATCAATTTGTTAAAGTCATTACTGTGGCTGGGTAGAGTGGCTCATGCCTGGAATCCCAGCATTTTGGGAGGCCAAGGCGAGTAGATAACTTGAACTCAAGAGTTTGAGAGCAGCCTGGGCAACCTAGTGAAACCTCATCTGTACAAAAAAAAAAAAAAAAGAGAGAAAAATAAAAAATTAGCCAAGCATGGTGGCGTGCCTATAGTCCCAGCTACTCAGGAGGCTGAGATGGGGAGGATCACCTGTGTCTGGGAGGTCAAGACTGCAGTGAGCTGTGATTGCACCACCGCGCTCCAGCTTGGAAAACAGAGCAAGACCTTGTCTCAAAGACAAAAACAAAATAAAGTCGTCGTTGTAAGACATGAATATAATAAATTAATATAAAAGGGCTTTGTGAAAAAATAAAGCAAACAAAAGTCCATTAGAACTTGGAAGCCACAAGAAATCTAATCCTTTGTGGACTATTCTGTTTTGAAATGTACATGAATTGGGGGAAATTCCTCTCTGCGTCTCAACTAACTACATTCTTATGTGCACCTTTGTTAAAGGAGGATAAAAATCCCTGTATCAGTCATGCTCACCCTTCTGGGCACTGAGACTGCTGGGCTGTGTCACAGTTTTCTTCCAGCCATGAGGTTTCTCCTGAAAAGCATAAGATCAAAATCTTGATACTTGCTGCAGCACAGACAGAGTAACTAAAGATTCTCCGATGTGTTTTGATTTTTGCAGCCTAGCATGGCTCTAGGAAACTCATGGAGTTCCTCTAAACTCGCAGGGGCAAATGAGTCAACATCCTCCTGCTCACCTTGGCAAACACTCTTATAGTCAGCACAGCAATCTTTCCTCTGCAAACAGTCATCTGAACAAGAGCAAAGGCTGGCCTCTAATCTGGTCTCTCCACAACGAAATTTATTGCACATCCATATTCGAGCTGTAAAACGATACAATTCAGTTCTGAGCATTTAAGCCTGCAGTATAAAATATACAAATTTCATTTATTTATTCCTATATTATAATAACACAATCAAATTCTTGGTTTATCTGTATTAATAAATGAAAATACATAATACCAAATGAGGGGCAAACCACCACTTTTCTTCACTAGCCAGGTGGCAGAGAGAAATGCAGCTTTATAAATCGCAACCCAGGTTTACTTAGCAGGTACACTGTGAGCTTGGAGAAGATCTGAACATGGCTCCTATTCCGACCCAAGAGCAGGAGCTCCCCAAGGTGAAGAATCACTAGCCCTGACTGATTATTGCCACCCAAAAGCAGCTTTGCCCAGCCTTGTCTAAGGACAAGCAGCAAGGAAGAAAAGGTGACAACAGAAGTAACAGGAGCACAGTCATGTCTTTGAGAATGTAGGCAGATCAAGGTACTTCTCAGTGGAAAGTGACAGCAGTGACAGAGCAGCTCCCACTCATGCCTCAGGGGTTCTCCCAGGCTATGGACTTAGGATGAGAACAGTTTCAATAAATCCCATTGCTAAAAACAGCAAGAGGCTGGAGGCAGGTGGCTTGGCACTGCCACCTGCCAGGAAACAGTGACTAAAATCAATGTTAGCCTTGTGCTTAGACAAACATTCTCAATAGGTAACTTTTGTCCACTTCAGTTACATATAGATTTCTTCCTTCCCCAGCATTTCTCATTTACATAGAAACAGAAGATTTTTGGAGATTAAGTAAAGGGAACACAGATCTCTATCTATACTGGGTTATCCTCTCCCTCTTGCCCTTTTCAGGGAACATAATGGAAGGAACTCTACTATTCTAATCTTCACTCTCCTCCAACCACTGGACACCCCCCCACCACCACCTTCCCAGATTATTTAGGGAATTAAACATTGTAAGCTGTCTTTTCCACCTAGAGAACAGCATTTCTCAAGTTGTGCCCTGTGGAATACTGGCATCAGAATGATCAAGAATCACCAGCTTTCCCAGAGAGTTTTATTGCACCTCGACGTTTGAGAACCACTGCAAATGAAACAAACAAGATGTTGAACTTAAGCCATAGTAAAACTCCATTGAAACATATGTAATGATACAGCATTTCATTTACCATAGCCTGTTATTCCTCAACCTCGGTTAAATAAAGTGTGAATTCTGTATTTAGCATTGTTAAGGAGGAAATGATAATAAGACTGTGTATAGGTCTTATAGGTTGAATTGTGTCCTCTAAAAATATGTTGAAGTCCCAACCCCCATTACTTGTGAATGTGACCTTATTTAGAAATGGTTCCAAATTACTTGCCGAGGCTGGGTGGAGTGGCCCACACCTGTAATCCCAGCACTTTGGGATGCCGAGGTAGTGGGATCACTTGAGGCCAGAAGTTCAACACCAGCCTGGCCAACATGGTGAAACCCCGTCTCTACCAAAAATACAAAAATTAGCCAGGCTTGGTAGTGCACTCCTGTAGTCCCAGCTACTTGGGAGGCTGAGGCAGGAGAATCGCTTGAACCCAGGAGGTGGAGGTTGCAGTGAGCCAAGATTGTGCCACTGCAATCCGGCCTGGGCAACAAAGTGAGACTTTGTTTCAAAAAAAAAAAATTACTTGTAAATAATCAAGTAAAATGAGGTCATTAGGGTAGACCTTAATCCTGTATGACTGGTGTTCTTATTAAAAGGGAAAATTTAAACATAGACCCAGACAGAGGAAAGACTATGTGAAGAGACACAGATTATGTGAAGATGAAGGCAGAGCCTGGAGCTGTGCTGCCACAGGCCAAAGATTGCCAGCAGCCACCAGAAGCTAGGAGAGAGGCATGGAGCGGATTCTCTTTTGGAGTCTTCAGGAGGACCCAACCCTGTCAACACCTAGAAGTTGGACTTCCAGTCTCCAAAACTGTAAGAAAACAGACTTCTGTTGGCTAAGCCACCCAGTCTGTGGTACTTTGTCATGGCAGCCTTAGGAAACTAATACACAAGGTATGTAGGTGAAAATTTGGACACAGCCCTGGCATAGTGGTTCATGCCTATAATCCCAGCACTTTGGGAGGCCAAGGTGGGACAACTGCTTGAGCCCAGGAGTTCAAGACCAGCCTAGGCAACATGGTGAGACTCTGTCTCTACAAAAAAATTAAAAACAATTAGCCAGGTGTGGTGGTGCATGCCTGTGGTCCTAGCTACTCAGGAGGCTGAGGTGGAAAGATCAATTGGACCCAGGAGATCAAGTCTGGAGTTGGCCATGATCATGCCACTGCACTCCAGCCTAGGCAACAGAGTGACACTCTGTCTCAAAAAAAAGGAAAGAAAAGAAAAAAATTTGACATGTATTAATAGTAACACAAGCAACATGCTAATAAACTTATTCTCAGAACTCATACTTGATTCCACACAGGTGTCTTCAAAATCCCAGCAGCAATCACCTCGGTCTTTACATGCCACATCACACCGGCAGTTCTCCAGTCCTCTAAATGATGCATCAAAGCACTTCTTCCTGCAGCTGCCTACAAAGTAAAGGAAATAGGGCCCGAACATTTAGGAGCTATTCAATATCTCATACCTAAGCAGTGGAAGCACACAGGAAGTACACAGCACAGACTATGACAGACAACTAGATGATTTTTATGGTGCTGCAGGATCTGCCAATACAATGTAATAAATAATGACACTGATATGGCCAGGTGCCATGGCTCATGCCTGTAATAACAACACTTTGTGAGGCCAAGGCAGAAGAATCACTTGAGGTCAGGAGTTTGAGACCAGTCTGGCTAACATGGCAAAACCCCATCTCTACTAAAAATACAAAACTTAACCAGGTGTGGTGGTGCACGCCTATGGTCCTAGCTACTTGGGAGACTGAGGCAGGAGAATTGCTTGAACCCAGGAGGCAGAGGTTGCAGTGAGCTGAGATTGTGCCACTGAACTCTAGCCTGGGTGACAAAGCAAGACTCTGTCTCAATAATAATAATAATAGTAATGACATTGATATGTACAAGGAGTACATGGGAGCACACAGGGGTGGGACAAAAACTAGCAAGGGGATTAAGGACACCATTGAGTCTTGGGAAAGGATCAAGGTTTTAAAAATCAGTGAAGCTAAGGAAGGCATGTTTGGAGAACAGCAGATGGGTTATGATGGCTAAGGGGTAGAGTTCAAAGGTAGAGGTGGACTAGAGCGAGGAAAGTTGCATATGCCATACTAAGAAGCTTGAAGCCCAACCTTTGGTAACAGGAAGCCATTAAAGAGTAAGCAGAGAGTAATGAACTAGATCTGTGTTTTAGAAAGTCACTCTGGAAAATAGGTGAGTAGGGTAGGGATGGAAACTCCTGAACTAAGCAAGAAATTTTTACCCGCCCCAAAAAAATGATAAGGGCCTGAAGGAAGATAGTAGCAGTAGACATAAGGAAGATGTAAATAGAGCTAAGAGAAATTAAAGTGCAATTAGTTTCAGTTCAGCTTTATATAAAGAGTGAAGAAAAGGCATGAGCCAAGGATGACTTCCAAAATGTAAGGCAAAGGCACTGAAAAAAGGGAAGTTCAGTTTTCCATATATCTAAGCAAATACATATTTAGGAGGGGGTCTGAATATTTGAGTCTGAAGCTCAGGAAAGAGAGACATAAACTAAAGATACTGACTTGGAGTCATCAGCATATTAGGAATAAGAAGCAATGGGAATTCTGTAGTTCTTATTGTGCGAGGAGTGTGTGCCCAGCTAAATATCATTTCTCCTTGCTATGCATTCCCATTGAAAATTATCTATAATTCCCTATGATACTTGCTTTCTGCTTTGCATCCTGAAGGAGTCGTTTGAAGGCAAGGAGGTTATAATAGTGTGTCTAGGAAAGTTCAACTATGCACAACTTGTTTCTATCCCTTGAAAACCAGTGCATAGTTTTAAATTAATTCATTTACTTATTTATTCTATGAATATTTATTTTAGCATCATTATGTTTCAGGCACTGTGCTGGGAATTGCAGATGAAGTGATAAATAATGCAGATATAATTGTAGAGACTTTATATAATAAAAATTTTTAAGTGGTAACTGCAAAGTAACAGTGAATAACACATAGTAATGGGACAACTGGCCAGCTATATAGGGTAAGGAATCTCTTGATATTCTTGCCTCACAACATATACAAAAAAAATTTTAGGTGCTTATCAAAACAGAAATGTCTCAGGAGTGAAGTGGTTAAGGACAGTATTTTAGAATACTCATTTTCAAAATATGCAAGAAAGGTTAAGGACAATGAGGACTGACATAACAGGCACTAAAAGTGATAATTCTCAGAGCATTAGATCTCCTGAATTCATCCTACTATAGTTTGACCCCAAAAAACATCAAGCAGAAGACTCAGATGATTTTCAAAGTACACTGTAAAAAGTTAGTGAACATAAGAAAAATATGATCATTTTTTACTAACAAATCAATGAGATATACAGTTGTTCGTAGTATAAATTCACAACTTTCAGGAAGGTTATTTGACGATATGAAGCAAAAGCTGTAAAATGTGAATTTTAAGGAAAGAGATAAAGAAAGACAGAAAGGCAAAAGGAGTACATGAAAACACAAATACAAAGTTGCTGTTATAAAATTTCTACAAGAATATACAATAATGTGATGATAATCTTAGCTATTTCTGAGGAGGGAAACATGATAGCTATTATACGGCAGTGGAAGAAACCCTTTTAAATAAATAATGAGATTATATTACCCATGCAAAACTAATAATACTTTGAAAAGTCTATCTACAAAGTGGAGAACATTTTCTTTAAAATATTTATCTCCAATATTATGAAACATTAAAAAAATTTATCTTTTAGAAATACACAATGAAATGTTTATAGAAATGAAATAATGTCAAGTATTTGCTTCAAAATAATATGTAGAGGAGGTTATGGAGAAAGGTATAAATAAAACAGTATTGGTCATGAATTGATAGAGTGGGATGATGAATACATAGACATTTATTAAATTAGTATTCCTACTTTTGTATGTTTAAAATCTTAAATTAATTAAAAAAATCTTTACATCCTTTGATTTCAGCCATTTCACTTCCAGACTTTATACTAAAGAAACATACAAAGATCTATGTTGAGAAATATTCTCCATAGTGTTATACATAATTACAAACATATTTTAACTGAAACAGTCTTAATGTACATTAAAGGGAGGATTTATTAAATTATTATATCAACATAAAATAACATTATAAGCATTTCTGGATGCCAGTAGAAGTTATTTTAACACATTATTGTTCATGGTTTTAATGATTTTGAGAAATGCTTACGTTATTATTTGAAAACAGCAAACTACAAAATAGAATACAGTTTTCTCTTTAAAAGTAGCTGGTTGAGGCCTGGTGCAGTGGCTCATGCCTATAATCCCAGCACTTTGGGAGGCCGAGGCAGGCAGATCACCTGAGCTCAGGAGTTTGAGACAAGCCTTGGCAACATGGCGAAACCCCGTCTCTACAAAGCATACAAAAATTAGATGGGTGCAGTGGCACGTGCCTTTAGTCCTAGCTACTCAAGAGGCAAAAAAAAAAAAAAAAAAAGTAGCTGGTTGATAAAACTCATTTACCTCTTCCATCTCCTCAAATTCCACAAAATTTCACAAAAAGAAGAGGAAAACAGTTTATAAAAGTATATGAATACTCTAAATCAAATCGAAGATAGAAGCAGAAAAAGAATTTTGAAACACAGAAATAGCAGAATGAAGGAAGCAACAACTAGGTGCCTAAGAGGAAGGAGTCCTGGAAAAGTTAAAAAAAAAAAAAAAAAAAGCCAAGAGCTTTCCCCTAGGACCCTAGAAGGGAGGTCCCAGGGTGTCGTTAGGTAAGAAAAAAGGTCATTAAGTAAGAGAAACAGGGTGTCATTAGGTAAGAGAAGAGGGGAACAGGCACAAAGCTAAATATAGGAGAATTGGTAAAAGCTTGGATGTGGAGCAGTCACTACTCACCCTGCCTCCCACTCCAGACTAGGAGGCTCATAATCTGGAGGAATAAGGAGTGGCTTTCATCACAGAGACAACAGACATACAGGAGGGTAACTATGATAAGAAAAAACAAGCCTTACTCTGAAAATGAACAGATGGTCCCCAGACATTTGAGGATAGCAGGATAGCAACCTACATGAAAGACAAACACTGAACAAACAACATCAAAGAAAAACTTGATTGAAAAGGAAATAATGCAGGGAGCAAAAGAGTTAAAATAACAACACACACACACACACACACACACACACACACACAGAGTATTGAGAGCCTCAGAAAAGAGAGAAGATACTGCGTCAACAAAATAAGAAAGAGAACTATAATTTTTTTAAAAGACCCCACATTCAGGGTGGTCTTGTAAGTAAAAATATGAGGGAAGTAAAGAAAAATTCAGTAGAGATATGGTAAGCAGAATTGTGGTCCACAAGAAGATTCCAAGTCTTAATTGCTGAGACTTCAAGTCTGTTGTCTTACATGACCAAGGAACTGTGCAGATGTAACTAAGGCTACTAATTAACTGATCTTAGAACAGGGAGGTGAGGCCTTAAAGTGAAAGAGAAAATGGAGTTGATGTTATGAAAGAAATCATATTATAAAATTTCCCAGAATTGAAGAGCGTAAATTATTAGACCATAGTTGCCCACCAAGTTTCCCAGGGCAAAACTCACACTAAGAGATCAATAGGATTAAGAGATATTGAAAGCCTCCACAGAGAGATCATGAGCAACCTACAAAGGATCACTAATCAGAAATTTATTAAAATACCAAATGTATTAAAAGCAACTCTGGATACTATAAGACAGTAAAGTAATACCTTCAGATTTCTAGAAAAACAAAGTATTTCCATCTTAGAATTCAACACCTAGCCAAACTGTCAAGTGTTAGGTTAGAATGATGCGTCTTTACATAGACAAAGATTCAAGTTATCTCTCTCATGCATCCTGTTTTAGGAAGCTATCAAGTTGTTCTTCAACAAAATGAGAAAATGAAACAAGAAGAAAGAGATTTTAAAATCATGGGATCTAACACAATAGATGGGCTAATGGAAATATCAACCATCCACCAGACCAAGAGAGCAACCAACATGGATTAGAGCAACAGGGCAGAGAAATAGAAACTAAAATGAAAGACTTTATTCTATACCCAACTGCACACTGCCAAAAATTAGAGAGCTGAATAATGGCAATGGCTGGTGGAGAGGTAAGTTGAAGGAAGGTAGGGTAGGCTGAGGCAGCCATTCTAGAAAGCAACCTGGGACTACATACCTGAGTTAAGAAGATGAAAACCCTAACTTCCTGAAACTTCATTCCTTGATCTATGGCAAAGCAGTTATCACACAGGTTTATAAGGGAACCTGCAGTATTTATGTGATTGTGAGGAACTAAAGCCAATTTGGGTGCTCAGCACCAAGAGAGGGCATAGGTTGGTTGGCAAGTTGGGTACATGCCAAAGAGTAACACACAGTAGAAGCATGAGAACAGATGTATGCATGGCAATTCTGATGGGTCTCAAAAAGTGCTCAATGAAAAACTAGAAAAAAAATATGTAGATTTAGATACATCACAACCATTTACATAAATGGTCTTTACGTTTTTTCATACACTCTCCCCTTATAAAACCTTTCTGCACTTGGTTTCTAGAACACAATAGTTACCTGGCTTTCCTCTCACATTCCTGGCTACTCCTTCCTAGTTTTCTTTGCTTTTCCCCTTCACCTCCCCAATTCTTTAAGGTTGTTCTACCCCAGTCTCATGGTTTAAATCCCACATATGCTGACAAGCACCACAGTACATGACCAGGCAGGACTTCACCTCTAAAGCTAGCCTCATATGTTCAACTACATTCTTGACTTCTGCGCTTGGACATCCAATAGAACTAGCAAATTTAACAGGTCCAAAACTGAGCTCCTGATTTTTCTCCCCAAACCAGCTCCTTCTACAATCTGCCCCAACTCAGTTATGGAAATTCATGTTTCCAGATGTTCATACAAAAATTCTGGGGTCATTCTTGACTCCTCTTTCTTACTCTAAATCCAGTCTTTCAATAAAATCTATCTACCCCATCAAAATAGATCCAGAATCCAAATACTTCTTACCAGCTACAATGCTACTGCCCTGGTTTAAGACATAAGGCTTACCCAGATTATTGGAATAATCTCCTGATTGGTCTCTCTACTTCTGCTCTCACTCTACTATCTATTCATAACACAGCAGCCCTAGGGATTCTATTAAAAAGCAAACCAGAGCATATCATTCCTCTGCCCAAATCCTGCAATCAGTTCTTGTCACACTCAGAATGAAAGTTGAAGACCAGGCTTTGACATACTAACCTTTACTTGATCGGGTTCCTCTTTATTTAGTAGATCTCATTTTATGACCACCTCCCTCTAGTCCTTTTAGTTCTAGTTCATGGCCTCTTTGTTATTCCTTAAATGGAACATGCCAGGCAAGGTCCTGCCTTTGGCCTTTGCACTTGATAGTCCTTCTGACCTGGAATGTTCCTCCCCAACCTATCCCTATGTTTCTGTCTCACTTCCTTCAGTCATTACTCAAAAGTTATTTCACACACACACACACACACACACACACAGACACACACACACACACACAGACGACCCTGATTCCTTCTTTTGGGCTTTACTTATTTCTTAGCACTTTATCTTATTATATACATATTTTGTTTATTTATATTTTTATTGTCTGTCTTGCATGCTAAAATATAAACTCCTGGAAGGATTTTGTCTCTTGTCTTCACCACTTCATCTCCAGTAATTGTAATAATACCAAGCACATAATGTTCAATCAAAAAATACGTGTAGTCATGACGGTAAATCTGTAAGAACATGCACAAATTTTAAAACTCACATTAGAAAAAATACATATTGCCTATGGAAGGTGAGTTAACTGGAGTGGAAAATGGTGAAAATGACCCAGGGTTGGGGTTTAGGAGAATAGATGCGGTGGAAAAATGAGTAATAAAGAGGATGACTATGTTAAGGATGCTGGCAAAAAGGGGCTGGAGTTAATTACCAATGCCCTGCCAGGGAGAGGGAAGAGCATGCTGCCACATAGGGCTGATCAACTCAGATGAAAGGACGAGGACAAGGAAAAATGACTCCGGGAAGCCAGCCAATGGGTGTACTAAAGTGAATGAAAGAGCTGGAACAAAAGGAGGTTTTGTTCAGACATTAGATATGCCTTCTGCAATCAATTTATGTGATTTAGGGGGTAAAATAGCCAAGAAGTGATGCCCATTTGTGTGTACTAACATCAAAACAATACCACTGAAATGGCCTGTCAACATTTCTTTGATCAAGGACTGGCACTATGGCCCAGAAACACAACAGCCAAGTGACAAGAGAAGATAGTAATCTTCCAGCAATTATTCAACTTTTCAGTTCTACTGTGCTCCTAGGTCATACTAGGGAAGCTGAGTGTTTCTCAAGTAGACACATGACTGGAAAATTATCAGTTAACCTTACTGAGGCTTCCTAATGCTGCAGCAATGAGACTTACTCCACTGGAGTCACACTAGAAGGTTTTAGTCAAATTTAAAAATGGGGCCAGAGCTTTGTGCATTGGCAGTATAGTAGCCAATGAGGTTTATTTGAGGTATGATTATTGCTCATAAAAATTTTACAAAGGCAAAAATAGGGTGAGGGTGCTGGGCACAGTGTCTCACACCAGCAATCCCAATGCTTAAAAGAAGCCAAGGCAGGAGTATCACTTGCATCCAGGAGTTCAAGACCAGCCTGGACAACGTAGTGAGACCCCATGTCTACACAAAATTAAAAAATTAACCACGTGTGGTAGTGCATGCCTGTATACCAGGTACCTGGGGGGCCGAGGTGGGAGGATCACTTGAGCCCAGGAGATCGAGGCTGCGGTAAGCTGTGATCACACCACTGCACTCAGCCTGAGCAACAAAGTGAGACCTTGTCTCAAAAAACAAACAACAAAAAGCGGGGGGACATGAATGATCTAGCAACTGGCTTCATACTTCACCTTAGTAAAAGTAACAAAACAATATGTAAAAAGATTATAGGTAATTCTTTTTATATTGTCATTTGTAAGTGGTGCATTTACTCTCCATAATAATGAAATATAGCAAAAGGAATGTGAGGTATTTTATATTTTGGGACATATTTCTCCTATTTTTCTTTGCTTCTTATAAGAAAAAAATTTTTGAAGATATTATTATGCACTACTTTTCAAGAATTTGGCACTGTCCAATCAAGAACCAGGAGATTTTAGGGGTAGAACAACTCTAGCGTGGTGTCAAGGTACAGGGTGGTGGCAGGAGGTCATGGGAATGAAGCAACAAAGACTTTCAAGACTAAGTGGCTAGATACTTTGTCATCAGATGTTGAAAATGACAGTGGGAGCAGAATGAAAAGGCTGTGATCCACTTACCAAAGTCCATTATAAAGATGAAGAAGGGCCAGGCGCGGCAACTCACACCTGTAATCCCAGCACTTTGGGAAGCTGAGGTGGGTGGATCACTTGAGCCCGGGAGCTCGAGACCAGCCTGGGCAATGTAGTGAAACCCCATCTCTACTAAAACTGCAAAAATTAGCCGGGTGTGGTGGCACACACCTGTGGTCCCAGCTACTTGGGAGGCTCAAGTATGGGAGGATCACCTGAGGGCAGGGAGGAACTGCAGTGAGTGGAGATTGTGCTCCAGCCTGAGAGACAGAGTGAGATCTTGCCAAAAAAAAAAAAAAAAAAAAAAAACCAGGGTGGAGAAAGGTAAGAGAAAAACACTGGAATGATAATGAGTCTCAAATGAGCAGGGTGAAAAAGTAAAGTCCAGAAAGTACAGTGAGCAATGCCAACCTCAGATGTGGACTCCCGATAAGTAGAGTGGGGAAAGGGAGATGTCTAGAAGCAGAATGCTGCATGGAGGACAGAGGAGGCTTGGGATGGGAGATACATTTTAATGAATTAAGGCCAGAAGAGAGAAGAAATAAGGGAATGTTCTGAGAAAAGGCTGAGGGGTATACCTTGCTTTTCCAGTTTCCTGAGTCCAAGCCCCAGGCCTAATCCAAGTGACATGATCACCAGCAAAGCAAGAAGAACCTATTGCAAAAAGGAAAAAGTAACTTTTATAATTTTTTAAAAAATTACAAAGATACAAATAACCACCCTTTCTCAGTATTCTCTCTAAGTACCTGCAGCGTACTAGTTATGCCAGATACCAGATCCAACAATGATCTAGTATCTGGCCTAACTGGAGGTATAGTATTTTATTTAATGCTTGAAATTAAGAAAGAATATTTTGGCAGAATTTAAAGATACCATTTATTACAGATCTTCAAATTCAAACACATTTACCATTCAAATGCAATGAACTTAACTGCAAATTGAGTTAAAGTTAAGAATTAAAACCATAAAACCATTTTTCTGGGCCATTTTTTTTAAACCAGGCACCCATTTGTGATCATTTATTGAAAAGAATTGCAGAACTGTTAAATCCTTAACTGCCTCATTCTAAGGGAGCAGGGCTTTTTTTCCTACTCTATCACAGGATGATAATAATATTTAACATACGTAAAAATACATTGTCCAAATAGTTAACTAGCAAATAATCTGTTTTGGTCTTCCACTCATACAAACCACTTAGGATAATTTGGAAACTGCCTGACCAAAGATTGTTTATGTCATTCATTATCGCTCTGCTGACAAAGCCCTTTGGTGTAACGAACTTTATGCTATGATTAGATTAAACTATGATATAATTAAAAAGAATTCTTCTAGCTGCCCTCTTTCCTCTTCCATGAAGTCCAGAGATAAGCATGCTGGATGACAGGGCTTGAATACTGTATGTTGTCATAAAGAATGGCAGAAAGACACGTAATCAAATTACTTAGGAAAGTATTTTACAATAACCTTTGTTATAGTTTCAGACACAAAAAATAACTTTCACAAAAGAAAAAAACATCAGATTTTGCTTAGATAATTAAGAAGTACATAAATTATTTTTTTGAGGATTGTTTTCATTCTGAAAGTCAACTGGAAAATTAACACATCTAATGTTTACAATGGAAGTGAATTCAACAATTGGGAAGCTATGTTACAATACTAAGAAAACAATTCTTATATGAAGTCTCAAAGTTAGCTCAAGGGTCAGTGACCTTTCAGTACATGTTCATTCAGTGGAGAGGATGGAGAGGAAAAAATGAACATAAGCATTTACTAAATAACACCATTAGCAGTTCCTCCCTTGTCATGGTGCTTAGAAGACACAGTCGACTGAAACTAGAGTGACTACAAAGCAGAAAAACAACGTTGGGGAACTCCTTCTGGTAAACCTCACACATCATAGACTTACAAATTAACATATTTTGGTTTACACCTTATCTGTGGTACTTTTGCTGTTCAAACTTGCTAGAAAAATCAACAACATCTAGCTGTTCTTAAGATGCTTTAAAACTTCACAATATTTAATGTTAGAATCTGTTTCTTCATAATTTTTGTATTTGTTCCATATATTTGTGGCTTGTTTTCTACATTATTCTGTGAGCTCCTTGAGAGTAAAAGGCTTATTTATTTATTATTATTATTATTATTTAGAGTTGGAGGTCTCACTATGTTGACCAGGCTGGTATGGAACTCCTGGCCTCAAGAGCTCCTCTTATCTCGGCCTCCTAAAGTGCTGGGATTATAGGCACTAGCCACTGTGCCCCGCCTAAGAAGTTTATTTTTAAGCCTTTATAATCATTTACTATAAATATGTAATTCCAAAAAAGCTTCTTGATATTGGGGTGCACATGTATCTTAAACTATGTTACACTGTGCACAAAGTGGGGAGAATACTCTGAACATCAAAAACTGCTGAGAGCACATCATTTGGCTTTAACTGGGCTAAACAAAGAGTGCTAGAAACACAGCAGATACCTTCAAAATGTTTAAGTGAAACTTTAGTAAAAGTTTGAAGACATCAGGGTACTTTTGAAACAATGATTTAAAAATATTGAACTTCATTATATATACTCAAAAACCACTAGAGAGATACAAAGAAGGGAAATTAATGATGCACAAATTTTGCTGTGGAAGATTTTATAATTTCCTGAATTGATAAGCTAGGATAAATATAATAAACATGCTTGAAGTCCCAGCTACTCGGGAGGCTGAGATGGGAAGATCATTTGAGCCAAAGTTGGAGCCTGAGTTGCTGCAGCAAGCCATGATCATGCCACTGTCTTCCAGCCTGGGCAACAGAGCGAGAACATGTCTCCAAAAAAAAGAGAGAGAGAAAAAAAAAAAAATATATATATATATATATATTAGCATAAGAGCTATAAAGAGCACTCTGAAATTGAAATTCTCAGAAGGATAAAGAATAAATGGAATATATTGAGGATTTACTTTGTTACTAGGCTTAATACTTACACACATTGTTTTACATTATTTTATTTACTTCTTGAAACAATTCTGGAGAGACAGAGAATAGCGGTGACCTTAAAATATGGGATATAGGGAAAAGCTGCGGCAAGATTGGTGTGAAAAAATAATGCAATTAGTTTTGGTGTAAGGTACTGAGTCAGGAGTCAGGAAGCAGGCATTTGAAACAGGCTAGTGCACTGGGGCACACACATAGTCCCCAGCTACTCAAGAGGCTGAATGAGAGGATCACTTGAGCCCAGGGTTCAAGACCAGCCTGGGCAACATAGCGAGACCCAGTCTCTAAAAATACACATATTACCAAAATAATAAAATTAAAAAAAAAAAGAAATTGTGTGACAGAGGCTGGGCAAAAAGTCAGAGCTGGTGGATTACTTGGAATTCTTGGCTGAGGAAAACACTAGAGGCCAGGTGCAGTGGTTCATGCCTGTAGTCCCAGCACTTTGGGAGGCCGAGGCAGGTAGATCACTTGATCCAGGAGTTTGAGACCAGCCTGGGCAACATGGTGAAACCCAGTCTCTACAAAAAAAAGAAAAGAAAGAAAAAAACTCACAAAAACTTAGCTGAGCCTTGTGGCATGTGCCTGTGGTCCAAGCTACTCAGGAGGCTGAGGCAGGAGGATCACTTGAGCCTGGGAAACAGAGGTTGTGGTGAGGTGAGATCCCAAAGGAGAGAGACCCTGTCTCAAAAATAAAATTAAAATTAAAAAGACTATTAGAGAACATGAGATTTCTTAAGAGATCTTAGATAGGGTTTAGTGAAGCTTGTGTTGTAATTTTCATGAGAATAAAGATAAATTGTTGGCTAAGAATGCAGATAAGGAAAAAAGTCATAAAATGAAAATGTCAATGTCATGGTAGAAGCAAGGGGAGAGAATAATTCAGAATGAGAAAGTACCAGGAAGTTATTGTTGTTATGAACACTCAAGTGGATGAAGGACGAGGAGGACTGACTTTTGAGTCAGGGACTCAGTACAGTAGAAACAAAGCCAGAGCACAAAGGAATGGTTGGGGGCTGAGAAAACTGAAGCAATGAAATGAGCCCTCTTTACCCCAAAAGTTTGATGGCAAAGGGAAAAGAGAGAGTAATAAAATCAAGGAAATGGATAAGCGTATTTCTGGAGTAAAAAGAAAAAGAAAAAAATTTAAAATTAAAAAAAAGAAAAAAGAAAATAAAATCAAGGAAAATTTATTTGGGGGGTGAGGGGGGGTGGCAGATCTTACCACATGAAATGACAAGAGAGAGAAAATAGGCAAAAGAGACTATCTCTAGGAGTGAAGTAAAATAGGATACAATTGTTGGTTCAGCAAATAATAGGGTACAATGATTTTAATTTCTCACTTTCTTGTCTTAAAATACTCATGCAATAAAAAAGTGATTGAGAGGTAGTTATAATCATGCAAAAAATCAGCGCCACAAAGCGTTCTGTCATGGATTCCAACTTTTGAGTTTAACGTAATGTTAACTTGTTGTTACTCAAATTTCTTACGTGTAAAATATGATTTAAGATATTAATTTGCATTAGAGTTTTCATAAGGGATAATACTGAATACAGTTACTTAAAAGTTTACATTTTAATAGCAACACAAAGAAATGTAAATGGGAAATCATATACTTTTAACATTTGTCACAAAACTAGAAAGACTAAAAATAAGAATTGTACTTACAATGCAAGCTATTTTATATTTCTTAAGAGTGTTCTTCTTAACAGGTTGTTCCGTTGCTAAAGTCAACGTAGATTCCATTGTCCTGGTAGCTGCATAGACCTGTTTTATCAGAATAAATTAGTGCTCCTTCTTTAGTCTAGTCTGGCAAAGAGAAACTGTATGAGTTACATAGCTGTGCCTGACTTTTAACTGTTTAGGAAGATCACAGCTCTTCAGTGATTGGGCAATCTGGAGAGAGGAAAAAATGTTGTAATAAGAATCGTGTGAAAAGATTAAAGTTCATTTCTAGTATATTGCAGACAACTGCTCCTTTTTTCCTTATAACTTTTACTAAATACTAGTCAAGACATATATAACAAGAATAACACAATCATCAAATTTTAATGCAATCCGATCTTCTGTTTTCTTTAAAAATAACCCCGAACAAAAAGCCTTGTCACAGAAATTTCAGACTTTCCGCTTTTCTATAAACTTCATAGCAGCTGAAAATCAACATAGCAAAACATGTGCTTTGACAACAGTAGAAATTCTGAAACTCTGCTGAACCAATATAAAGTACTTAGTTCTGTGATAATTATATCTTGCTTTTTACAGTGTTCACAATTTGACAAGTTTTTATACACATTAGCTCAAGTCAAACTTAAAAATATCCCTTATAAACATTTTATTCTTGTTTTTAGATGAGCAAATTAAGGCTCTGATTATTTAAATTAAGTTATTATATATGACTTATTGCTCAAAATTATTTACTAGGTGCCAGAACTAGAACTGATACCCAAGACTTCTAACTCCCCAAATCCAAGCAATTTTCACTAATCAATTTAAATTCACTATTTTCTTATGTATCTAGACTGGTGCATCCTAGCATGTGTACTCCATGCTGAAAAGGGGTTACAGTTTGGTGATGAAAGAAGCTAAATTAATAATAGTGTTGGTCAAAGAGAATTTTAGCAAATAGTGGATGCTAAACTCTTCTAGTTTCAGTGACCCTAAGGCAGTGATTCTCAAAGTTTGGTTCCATGGAACATGAGTTCTATGACAACCCCCTTGGTTAAATAAAGCTTGAATACTCCTCTAATGAAAAGATTATCAAAATCCTGTAGACTGCAGTACACCCTTTGGAAAACACTACTCTAACTAACTAAACTCTTCCAACCCTAAAAGCAGTGAGAAAAAAAATATGAAAAGAATGTATTCTAATATAAATACAATGACTGCATCACTACTCTAACTAAACATGTCTAAATCATAGAATTTAGACACTATTTCTGAAAATCAGGGGGAAGAGGATTGCTTGAGTCCAGGAATTTGAGACCAGCCGGGGCAACATAGGGAGACTCTGTCTCTATAACAACAACAACAAAAATTAGCCAGGCATGGTGGTGCATGCCAATAGTCCCAGCTACTGGAGAGGTTGAGGTGTGAGGATCCCTTGAGGCCAGAGTTTGAGGCTGCAGTGAGCCATGACAGATACACAAACAAGCAGAGACAGATTTCAGACAAAGACAAGAGAGGGGGTGCACTCGGGCAGAACAGACTCAAAACCCACTCAAAACCTGATCTTAACCAAATGCAAAGCAGGTGTATAAGCGAGCCCTATTGCTTCCCTGGCAGTACCAGGCAAATGGCTTAACAAGCCCAGATGGGAAAATAATAGGCTCCTGGCATAAATCTGGTTTTACCCTTTGAGCGCGTCCACCCCGATCTCCGTTATTCCCCAGTAGGGAGAGGGACGTGTGGTTTTGCACATGGGATAGCCCTGGGGAGAGTCTCCAGGAAAACCTCACCCGGCAGCTGCTGGGAATCTCCCGAAGACTGTCTTGTCACAAGGAGTGTGAGTATTCCTTCGTTATCTTGTCATGCTTCAAGGCCCAGGAAGGCCTGGGAAAGAGTCTTGGTGGGCCTTTGTTACTTGTTCTGGACTTTGTGTAAGGGCACTGGCTCTCTCAGCCTTTAATATTTAACCTAACCATTCAGTCAGTGCTGAAACAGTTATTATGGAGGCCTGCCTGTTTGTGAGACCTGGCCTGCCACATGATCACCCCACTGCACTCCAGCCTGGGCAACAAGAGTGAGATCCTGTCTCAAAAGTATAAAAAAATGAAAAAATAAAAATAAATAAAATATAAATCTGCAGCATGAGAGCCACGTTTCCTTTTCTGGCGTTATGGGTTTGTGCTCATCTTTTCCATCACTCCCTTGGTCCAGTATACCCCCACTTCACCAATTCCACCTATATCCCTAACCAGCAAAAGTATCAGCATTAGTTGTTGGTACAGAAGGAATTCATTTTAGAACTAGAAGATGCCATAAAGACAACCAAATCCAGGTTCTTGCAGATTTCTTTCCAGGAATCACATGGAGTATTATGTGCTTAAAAACCAGAATAAAAAAAAATTTGAATAATTTGGGCACCTGACTCTCCACACTGGATGAACTTAGAAGTACTCAGAGAAGTATTTTTTTTTAAGTTTTTATTTTTCTAATTCTGAAGCCCAGGCTCCACTTCAGTTTAATGATCTTCTGTAGTTTTGGCTAAGGCAGCAGTATTTTTAAAATATCCCGGCCGGGAGTGGTGGCTCACACCTGTAATCCCAGCACTTTGAAAGGCTTGGAAGGCTGAGACGGGCGGATTACCTGAGTCAGGAGTTCCAGACCAGCCTAGTCAACATGGTGAAACTCCATGTCTACTAAAAATACAAAAATTAGCCAGGCATGGTGGCTCACACCTATAACCCCAGAATTTAGAAGGCTGAGACAGGTGGATCACCTGGGGTCAGGAGTTTGAGACCAGCCTGGCCAACATGGTGAATCCCCATCTCTACTAAAAATACAAAAATTAGCTGGCCATGGTGGCAGGTGCCTCTAATCTCAGGTACTTGGGAGGCCGAAGCTTGAGAATCGCTTGCGCCTGGGAGGCAGAGGTTGTGGTGATCCAAGATCATGCCACTGCATTCCAGCCTGGGCAACAAAGTGAGACTGTCTCAAAATAAACAAACAAACAAACAAACAAATAAATAAATAAATATCCCTCTTAGTGATTTGATATGCAGCCCAGAGCAGTCTAAACACTTTACATTCAAATTCTTTTCTGCAAACATCCTGTCATTATTCTAATCAGACTTTTGGATTTTACAGATAAGGTCGGAGGACCACCAAAGGGACTTGGTCACTTACGCACAATTCTTTTAGTGATATCTCAGAAGTGAAATACCACCAGGTTCCTTCTTCAAAGTATTTTGCTGTTGAATCATTATGATTTTTTAAAAACAAAGACCAAACCTATGTCATAATTTGTCTCAAATTTAGGGGATTCCTAGGATCTATGGCTTTTATCTAATCATTTGTTATGTGCCTTCCATTTTTATGGGTTTCTGGGTTCTGATTGCCTACTTGCACTCATAGCAGTGCACTGACTCTGCCTTACCTCTAGTTGCTGGGGATCCTACTTTTCCTTCCTGCTGTGATGATTGGCTGTGTGTGTCAATTTGGCTAGGCCATATTATCCTGTTATTTAATCAGACGCTAATCTAGGGTGATGTTGTGATATTTTGTAGATATGGTAACAACTATAATTAATTGACTTTAAAAAAGGAAATTGTCTTCAATAATGTGAGAGCGCGCCTCATCCAATCAGTTGAAGTCCTTACGAGCAAAAACAGGCTTACCAGAGAAAAAATTCACTCCTAAAACAGCAGCATTAGCCTGAGTTGCCGGCCTGCCCGGTCCTACATATTTTGGACATTCCCCACTGCCACAATCAGGTGAGCCTGGGCTTCAGAATTAGAAAAATTAAAAATTAGTGAGGTATTCCCCCAACTTCATGAATTCCACCTATAGGCCTAACCAGCGAAAGCATCAGCATTAGTTGTTGAGCTTAACCTCATTCTTTCAATGTAGGCAAAAGTCCAATGAACTATCCATTGTGCCACAGAGCCTGCTCTTAACCTGGTTCTGACACTCCAATTGCCCTTTCAGATGCTTCTTCCTGGTATTCTCCAAAATGTAACTTGATTCTATACCAGTTTTGTATACCAAGTATATTAGTCCGTTTCCGCAGTGCTATAAAGAACTACCTGAGACTGGGTGATTTATAAAGAAAAGAGCTTCAATTGACTCACAGTTCCACATGGCTGGGGAGGCCTCAGGAAACTTACAATCATGGTGGAAAGCAAAGGAGAAGTAAGAACCTTCTTCACGTGGTGGCGGGAGAAAGAAGAGAATGTGTGCATAGGAGGTACCGTCAAACACTTATAAAACCATCAGATCTCGTGAAAATTCACTATTATGAGAACAGTATGGGGGATACCACCCCCAGAATCCAATCACTTCCCTCCCTCAACATGTGGAGACTACAATTCAAGATGAGATTTGGGTGGGGACACAAAGCCTAACCATATCACCAACATACTACTGACTCTTACTCTGTATCTTTACTAAGTGATTCCTTATGTTCTACACTGCCAGAATTTCACTTCTCTCTTCCTTCATCCTCATCCCTCATCCCTTTTCTCTTTTTTTAATTAAAAAAATTGTGGGTACATAGTGAGTATATCCCTATCCCCTTTCAACCCTGAAAAACACACAAAAAAATCCTAGGTGGGGAAGTCAGGGGGCCTCTGATAAAGGCTTAGCTTGTAAGTGACTGTCTGTGTTACAAATTAAGTGATTCTGGACATTGAATTCTTCATTTTTAAGAATTATCAGAGATTATTAGATTATCTCTAAGTCACTAAATTTTGGATATGATAATAGGGACACATCCTAGTCCTTCAGGTCCTAAGATGAATAAACCTCAAGGAATCTACCTATGTATAATACAAGTAGGTATAGTGAAGATGGTTGGCATTGCCAAGTTGCTAGCCATATTTTTGGCTATAACAATTTCTCTAACTGAACTCTAAACCCCAACCTCTTTTGAGTCTTTCAAGTTCTAGAAACTTATTCCTGGCTGGATGCAGTGGCTCACACCTGTAATCCCAGCACTTTGGGAGGCTGAGGCAGGAGGATCACTTATGTCAGTTTAAGACCCACCAGGGCAACATAGTGAGACCCTGTCTCTACAAAAAATGAAAAATAAAAAATTATCCAGGAGTTATGGTGCATGCCTGTAGTCCTAGCTACTCGGGAGGCTGAGGTGGGAGAATATGGGGAGGATTGCTTGAGCCCAGGAGTTTGGGGCTGTAGTGAGCTATGATGGCACCACTGCATTCCAGCATGAGCAGCAGAGTAAGACCATCATCTCAAAAAAGAAAGAAAAAAAGAAAGAAAGAAACTTAACAGTTCACCTGATCAATAGACACAAGCCAAAACCACACCTTCCATGCAAGTTAGACTTTGGAATAGACTGCCTGTGTCACTTAAATCTGAACCTACACTTTCTAAGTTAACTGGACCTTGAAAGTTTGCCTATTCTTTTCTTCTTTAACTTTAGAACAATCTGTACCTTCTCTTCTTTTCTTCTTCAACTTCAGAACAACCTGTACCTTCTTGGTTCTGAAACTTTACTCTGAACATTAAAATGTTCAGAGTAATTTGTAAGTAAGTTAATGGCTTAGAACGCTTGCATTCTGAGAGGCAGCTACCATTACATCACCCATCAATGTAAACCGTAAACATTCCTCATGTTACAGAAGGTCTCAGTGTCCACAGAATTCTGGCAACAAATGGGTTGTTGTTGTCTCAGAAAAGCCCTAGGGGCCTGCCAACATCAACTTCTTTGTCTCAGGAACCTGCCCTTCCTGGTTCCAGTGCTAGATCTTGGGTGATAGGTGGACAAGCTAGACTGGGAGAGCCCAGAGAAACTAATCGCACTGAGGAGGGTGGTAGAGGTGAGGCGGATGCTAGGCTCAGGTCCAACAGCAAAAGGAAGAAGGAGTCCACAAAGGAAGGGAGACCTCACATAATAACATAATGCCAGAGATAGATGGGCAGGTGACTAACTTCAGGGAGGGCCAGTCATGAGGAAAAAGCAGAAAAACCTACAAGGAGATTGACAAGCACACAAAGCAATCAGAAAGCTAACCAGGTAGGCAGTTGGTATAGGAAGGACAGAAGCTAATCCTCAGCAAGTGGAGATCCAACACTGAAGCTGAATTGAGAACTGGCTGTCTTGGTGAGACTGATGTCAGCAGTGCCAAACCAGGTCTGAGAGGCAATGGTACACACCAGGAGACAAAGCAGACACCCAGCATGGAATAGAGAGCCCAGCTCTAGTCCTCCAAACAATGACTATGGCAAAGTAGAATCAATGGTCACAGTTTGATACCGCTGTTTGCCAGTACCTATGTGTGTGAAAAGATATTTTCTGACTAAATAAGTAAAAATCTCATTACTGATCAGCACAATGAACATCTATAATCAATTTGGAGATGAGAAACCTGATGTGATGACTCCTGTGGTGTAGCAATTGTTTTCTACTGAACGATCAGCATTCCTAAGGTTGTCTCTGGTTCATGGAAGACTGTTTCTCTTACTTTGTCTCAAGTACAGAAATATTCCCTAGTAGTGTTAGATTTCTAGGAGCCCTTTCTTGTTCATTTTGAAACTCAGAAATCTTTGGATTTCCAAACATTTTCCAGGTTTTCATAGGCTCTTCTCATTTTTAGTGTACTCATGAGGGCCTCATTTATGACTCAAATTCTAGAGATGTCTCCAGAAGAGACATTATAAAACAACCATGCTGCCTGGGCTCTCCGAGGTAGAGCTCAGTGTCACAGTGCTCCCACGGTGCCCATCCATGAAGCAGAAGGTACAGGCCACGTACTGTTTACATCTCTGAAACCTGGCATGAACCAAGTTATTTCCCCAAACCTTTAAACTCCTCTCTGCCGTGTCAACTCCGTGGTGGCAGGAACTAGGTCAGTTTGAGCTTACAGTCTTGTTCTAGTGTCTAGCACAGTGGCCAACACCTAGAAGACATTCAATGAACACTTGCTGAATAAATTTTGTAACGGTTTCAGAAATAACATTAGAAGTATAAGCTACCACATACATAAATGTCCAGTGAACCCAACTGTTATAAATTATAATAACTTTACTAGGTATAACTTTGTAGGTGTTCCAAATCTTTCTCTACATCCAGCATTCCAGAAATAGCTATTACCTCAGAGGAAGTCTTGTCCATAAAATAAAGGCACTTCAGATGTTTTTATTCTACCCAAAGTAATGAATAATGACTGAGCACCACCAAGTACCAGACTTTATGCCAGGTGTTAGGAAATGCAGGCATGTTTAATTTCTGTATCTACTCTAAAGAGCTTTAGTCTAGTTGAAGAAGTAGACATTTTAAACCATAATATAGTGTAATCTGTGCAATACTAGTAGTGCTAATAAAGTGCCAGGAGGAAAGAGGAAGAAATACAAATTTTTCTACAGAAAGGGATTTAGAAAGATATCTACGTGAGTTTGCTCAGACTGCTGTGAATAGCATACTATAAACTGGGGTGATTCGAGTCTCAGCAAACTGAACGCTGAGAACTCAGGCTTCTTGTTCCTTTTGGCTGCAAGAAGGTTGGCAGCCAGTCAGAACTTTACCCACTTGTAAGAGATCAGGCTTCTTGTTCCTTTTGGCTGCAAGAAGGTTGGCAGCCAGTCAGAACTTTACCCACTTGTAAGAGATTAGATGTATCTTCCTTGGTGATTCAGACCAGCCTAAGGGGAAAGACCTGATGATACCAACTTTGGGGATTCTCCAAGAAACAATGTCCCCAGAACACACTATAAAGATGCTCAAAGTTGATAAGCCCTGCCCAGCTGCTCAGAGTTTCCAGTTGGCTCTTTAGTCCCCCACTCTAAATCCTGATAGGACAAGGATGGAACAAGAAGCCTGAATTCTCAGCTTTCAGTTTGCTCAGACTCAAATTACCCCCCAGTTTATAGTATGCTGTTCACAGCAATCTAAGCAAACTCCCCTAGGTATCTTTCTAAATTCCTTTCTGTAGAAAAATTTGTATTTCCTCCTTTTCTCCCTGGCACTTTATTAGCATCACTAGTATTGCACATATCACACTCTATTATGGTTTAAAATGTCTATGTCTTCAACTAAGCTAAAGCTCTTTAGAGTAGATACATGGGCCCTAACCTGACTGATGTCCTTCTAGGAAGAGAAAATTACGACACAGACATGTACAAAGGGAAGACCATGTGAAGACACAAGGAGAAGAAGGTCATCTACAAGCCAAGGACAGAGGCCTCTATAGAAACTAACCCTATCAACCTCAACCTCAGACTTCCAGCCTCCAGAATTACAAGAAAAGAAATTTCTGTTGTTTAAGCCACCCAGTCTGTGGTATTTTGTTATGGCAACCCTAGCAAACAATACCCTAAGCCTAACTTTTCAAGTTTTTCTCCAGCAGGAAATCTGAATTATTTCTTTTCAGCTTTTAGTAGCTATTGTGTGGACAACATGGTTGCATGTGCATATTAAAGTTGTTAGAAAACTAAATTTATGCCAGGTCAGACACTTGTATAACAAAACCATGAATGGGGAGTCATCAGCTCATCACTTAGCAGCTACAAAGGAGTAGTTCATGCTTAGCAGTTTGTGGCATTTCACAACCGTCAAAGAAGTGAAAGGCCTTTGGATGTCTATGACTCTCATCAACAATTTTCTTTATGAGGCAAAGAAAGCTGATCATTCAAGACATAACAGATGTTTTAGGGGTTGGTGATGATGGTGGCATATGAAGAAAAACACATACTCTCAACAATATAATAGCAAATAGAATCTAGCAATATATTAAAAAGGATAATATATTATGACCAAGTAGCATTTATACCATAGAAGCAAAATTGGTTTGGCATTCAAAAGTCAATCAATTACATTTGCACTGAGGTTATCATAGCTGAGAAGACACCGTCTCTGTGGCTTCAGCTCCTGGCTGCAGGCCGCTGATGGAGGTCCAGAAGGTCAGCTGCTCACAGACATCAACTTGGTGTCGGCTGCGGCTCCAGCATTTTCCGCAGGCTGCAGCTTCTGGGTTCCAAACTTTTCATTTCTCAGTCTGCAAGCGGGTTAGCCCCGAACAGGAAGCAACTCCTTCTCCAGCCGGGAGGTGGCGGCCTGCGGTCGACGATGCCTCCGGGGTCCTTGGGCTCAAGGTTCCGTTTGGGGGCGCTCTCGTCCGGCTTGCGGGCCGCCCTTCTCCACAGACGGAACCTTCTGGTGGCGCCGCTGGTTTCTGCGGGGTTTGCAAACGGCGCGTACCGGGCCCTTCCCGTCTTCCGTACAGGTTCCTGCTGTTGGCTGGGCTCGGGAGGGAACGCTCCAGGTAAAGCGCTGGGGGAGGAAGCGACGCCGAGGAGCTACGGTTTCCTCCAGAGGTCTCCGCCCCTCTGCCCCTATATTCCCAGAGCTCGAGTCTGATCCGGGCCTTGCCGGGCACCCTGGAAAGGCGGGGGTGATAGTACAGATGGAGACGCAACTGCAGAGCATTTTCGAAGAGGTGGTGGTGAGTGCAGCTGCCGGCCATCCAGGACTACGGCTTGGGGACGGGGAGACGCGGGGGCAGCCGACCAAGGAAACTGGCCTGGGCAACCTCCTCTCACGCCTCCCTTTTTATTCCCTTGTTTTGACACCGAGGTTGTATGCGGGGAAGTTTAGTGATTCTCAAACTGCTGTCAAGTTCATTGTATCCTTTGAAATCGATACAGTGACAGGCCAGACAGGTATTGATAGTTTCAGAGCTGATTAAGGTGACTTGCCCTGTGTTACATTGTAATACTTGGCTAAGGGAGGCGCCTTTTTAAAATTAACATTGTTTACATTTTGTTTTTTTTTTTTTTACAGAAAACGGAAGTTATAGAAGAGGCTTTTCCTGGGTGAGTGTATGCGTGGCAGAGTTTTGTGTTTTTATGTGATTGTGTCTGTCAGATTTTACTTAGTTTCGTGTTGGAAGGTTATAAGATCCACTATTCTGATTGTGTGTAATTACCTTTTTAAAACGAATGACAAATAATGTAATTTTTATTTTTTTAGCATGTTTATGGATACTCCTGAAGATGAGAAAACAAAACTAATTAGCTGTTTGGGGGCCTTCAGACAGTTTTGGGGTGGTCTTTCTCAGGTGAGCGCTTCATTTTTAATACATTCAGCTGATGATTTTTGGCCTCTTCTTTTTTTTTTTTTTTTTCTTTTAACATTTACTTTCATGCTGCTCTTAAGATCTTCCTGAGAAGGGAGAAATAAAATTGTTATCATTTTTTATTCTGGCTTCCATTTGTTTTAATTTGTATATTTCAGTGGAAAACCTGTGTTGAGAAGTCAAGTTGATACTGCACAGTGTGAGATGTTTAAAAAAAAAAACCTCCCCTATGTTAGATTAATTGAGATCATTTTCATCCTATTCGGATTTATTTGGTACACTTGAAAACAGATATGTTAAGCTTTACTTGTCAAGGATACAAATTCCATTTTTCTGCTAAATAAAGGAATTGGCACAGCATTGATACAAAGATGCTACAATAGGAATACCAAGATTCTATAATAAGGATAGGAAAATATTATAGTAAAAATGAGGAGACAAACTGTAAAAGTAACAAAGAACAGCTACCAGAAAATGTATCCGTGAAAAAGACAAAAATGTGTCATCCTCGAAGAGCTCACATTGCAGTAGTGCCTTACCTTCTCATGGTACACTATAGGTAGGGAAATGAGAACTGTTTGCGTGTCAGCCACTGGTGATAAGATTTGCCACTCAGACATGGATCATATAATGCCAATACAGTCATGTTTTAACCTTTTTGTTTAGTTGTTTTCTAATAGGTAATACATTTATATGGTTCAAAATGCACAGGTATAAAAGGGTGGATCCAATAACTAGTCTCTTTCTCTTCTCTTACCTGTTATTTTTTCTGTCTGTAGCCAATATCCTCAGGTTATGTTTTCTTCTAGAAGTATTTTATGCATATAGAAACACTTTTATAGCATGATCATATACCATGTACACTGTTCATTAATTAGCACTTTTTTTCTCCTAATAATAATCTACAGGTAATTCCCTATCAGTCCAAGCGTTACTTGTTCCTTCCTTTCTTACTTTTTTTTTTAAATAGCAGCATAATATTCCATTGTATGGCTGTACCTTCCTCCTTTTAACCAATCTTCTACTGTCTTCTAAGTTTCTTCTTACTTTTTCTAATTTAACCAATGCTGTGATGAATAATATTATGCATGAAAAATAGGATAAATTCCTAGAAATAGTATTGCTGAGTCAAAAGCCTTATCAGTTTGTAATTTTTATAGAAATTATTAAATTTTCCATAAGGGTTATACTAGTTTATGCTTCCACCAGCAGTGTTTGAGATTATCTTTTTCTTTTCTTTTTTTTTTTTTTTTTTGGAGACAGAGTCTCACTCTGTCGCCCAGGCTAGAGTGCAGTGGCGTGATCTTGGCTCACTGCAACCTCTGCCTCTCGGGTTCACGCCGTTCTCCTGCCTCAGCCTCCCGAGTAGCTGGGACTACAGGCACCTGCTATCACGCCCGGCTCATTTTTTGTATTTTTAGTAGAGACGGGGTTTCATCGTGTTAGCCAGGTTGGTCTCGATCTCCCGACCTCATGATCTGCCCACCTCGGCCTCCCAAAGTGCTGGGATTACAGGCATGAGCCACCGCGCCCGGCTGAGAGTATCTTTTTCTTATAACCTCACAATAGAGTGTTAAGCTTTTTGATCTTTGCCAATCAAAAACATGAGAAATTTTATCTCAGTATAATTTTATTTTGCATTTCTCTCAGTGATGTTGAATATCTTTCCAAAATTTAAAAAAAAATTCATTAAACACTTTATGAATTATGATGTGGCCCTCTAATGGAGAGACCAGGAAGAAAATAGGTATTTCCAAATCATTGTTATATGTGCCACAATAGAAGTATGTATGAGAACAGTGGTTGTGGAGAGAAGCAGAACATTATAGGCTCTTTTTGGAGATAATCCTAGAAGACAAACTTTGATACGGGCACAACATTTTGACATCGTATTTAAAGTTTTGCCAGTCTAGAAATGTGACATGTCATTGGATTCATAATGGGCTCTTGTTTGGGATCTTAGGGATTGGATTCACACCTAATTCTCCTAAGCCTGATACATACTGATCCATAATGAATTTTACCCCCAGTGACAGTAATATTTATATATGCCATAAAGGGCACTGTTTACAATGCCTTACAACAATCTGTGTTAAGAGTTTTCTATTGACCGTTAATATGTTAACTAATTAATTACTACTTTTGAAGTTCCCATGTAATAAAAATGGTAGCATTTTATCTATGTAATTACAAAATGTTAAGCTTAATGTGACAAATACTAAATCTGAATTTTTTAATTTTGCTTTTTTTAAAAATTATTTTCATCCACAGATGCTCATAGTGAAGTATTTCTTTCATAGTATTGGTATACTTCCAGTTGTAGTATTAGCTATTGGTTATAAAAATGTAACTTTAGACCCCAAGTAAAATCATTCTCTCATTTTCCAGGAGTCTCATGAACAGTGTATCCAGTGGATTGTTAAGTTTATTCATGGTCAGCATAGTCCTAAAAGAATTTCTTTTCTTTATGACTGCTTAGCAATGGCAGTTGAGACTGGTCTCCTTCCACCCAGGTACGTTTAATGGGTATGAGCAATCTGAAGAATTTTCTTTTCTATATGTGATTGGAAATTGGTTGAGGTTGTTGTTGTAAAAAGGTAAGAGAATGAAGAAGAAGGTGAGGTTTATCAAGTAATCCTTTATATAATACCTCAGGTTTTAGTTTCTAGGAGTAATAGTCTTTGAATTAGGTAATGCTTGTGGGCTCAAAACCAGATGTTTCTGCCCAGGGGCTGAAATTAATCACTTTAATTAGTTTGTAACCCTTTACTTTTGCTGCACAACCTCAACACCTTATGGCTTAAAACAGTAATACTCAGGTTTTAAAATTATTCATGGTTTTAGTGGTTGACTCGGCTTAGGAGACACTTTTTACTCAAGGTCATAATGATTGTGATCAATGTGGCTAGGGCTGGAGCATGGCAAAAGCTTCCCCACTCAGATATCTGGTGGTTGATTCCTGGCTGTCATCTGGAACCTCAGCTGGGATTATTAGCCAGAACCTCCGCAGGCCCTCACCTTGTGGCCTAGACTTTCTCACCTCATGGTGGAGCCTAACAGCAAGTGTGCAAAAGAGGGCTAGGCAGAAATTGTATCACCTTGTCTTCTTGGAAGTCATACTGCATCCTTTTGGCCATAGTCTTAGGTCTGCCCAGATCTAAGGAGTGAGAACGTAGACTTTCCCCCTACCTCTCCTTGGGAGAAATGTCAGTGTCACATTTCAGAAGAAGATGTGGGATCAAAAATCTTGTTGCCATCCTGTTGGAAAAATCCAGTGTACCACAAGGTGATAGATGGTAAACATCTAACCGAAAGCTTTAGATAGACTTCTTTCTAGTAAAATATAACATAATGAATATTATTTCATTCTTACTTTGTTTTTGATCTTTCATACAAGTAAAAAATGTAAAATACTACACAGATTTATAAGTGTGCTTAGTAATCACTTTTATGAAAGACACTTGTGAGGATAAATATAATACAGTGCACAGACTATGGCTGTATTAGTCTGTCTGATGCTGCTAACAAAGATATACCCGAGACTGGGTAACTTATAAAGGAAAGAGGTTTAATTGACTCACAGTTTGGCATGGCTAGGGAGGCCTCAGGAAACTTAGAATAATGGCAAAAGGCACCTCATCACAGGGTGGTGGGAGAGAGAATGAGTGCCCAGTGAAGGGGGAATCCCCATATAAAACCATTAGATCTTGTGAGAACTAACTCACTATCATGAGAACAGTATTGGGGGAACTGTCCCTCATGATTTAAATGGTTTTTCTCATGACACGTGGGGATTATGGGAACTACAATTCAAGATGAGATTTGTGTGAGTACACAGCCAAACCATATTGGCGGCTATTAGAGAACTTGGAAAATTCTGTCTTGTAACTGGAATGGCTATTTCTTTTTTTATAGGCTGGTTTGTGAATCCCTGATAAACTCTGACACTCTTGAGTGGGAAAGAACACAGCTTTGGGCCTTAACATTTAAACTGGTTCGGAAAATAATTGGGGGAGTGGATTACAAGGTATATTTTTCTTATTATAAAAAGTGATTGCTTTCAGATATGATTGATTTTTCGGTGTGCATGTCTTATTTTCAGGTGAGAGAAATGATGTGGAAGCATTTACAAAATCTGTCTATTTCTTGTGGTATATTTCCTGAAAAGATTTAAAGTTACTCAGTTGTTTCCCTGGCTCCGCTACTCCCCTCCCAACATTCTTATAAATACAGGTAGCTGATACATTTTTATGAAGAGCAGGGAAGTCACAAAGCAGAATCCGTGTTCCTTCATGCTGCAAGTATTATGATCCCTTCAAATGAAAGCACAGAGCAGGGGTGTGTGGAACTGAGAAGGGATGTAGGCATCACTGATGAAGGGAGCAAGACCTGGCTTCACTTCTCTTGAACGTGGGTCTTACCTCAATTAATATCTTCAGCACTTTGGGCTCTTGACCAAAAACAACATACACTTTCTAGTTTTGTCTCATAAAACGGCTTAGGGACTCCATAGCTACAAAAGCCATTCTGCATCTTCAGGAGACTTTTGTTATTGTCCTTTTCCCGGGAATTACCAGTGTCTGACCCTGTGCTTTATTTCTGCATTTTCTCTAATCTGAAATGATTTAACAGGTAATGACCTAACAGATAATTATTAGTTTAAATCATGATTTATCACACAGTTAACTCTAAGAAGCTTTTGCTAATTATTTTCTCTTTACTCAGACTTATGCAATTTTCTTATTTGTATGATACTTCATAATTGTTCTTTTAGGTATATGTTCTGTCTTTTACAAGCTTGGTTACGTAGTTCATAGTCAATAAATAAATGTTGAATGAAATTTCTTCTTTATATATCAGATAATGTAACTGGTATTGGATATGTGGAAATGATTAACAGAATAGCCTTGGATATCCTTGAGAGATTAAGGTATGTGATGGATGAGAAGGGAGAATAGGCCAGTCACAGTGGCTTACACCTATAATCCCAGCACAAAAGGGAGTGAGCAGAAACAGTCCTCTACCAAAAAGTTTGATATTGTTACTCAAGTTTTCAGAGTGCATTGAAGTCTTGTTACAATATATTTCTGTCTATATGTATAATTAAGGTTTTTGACCCTTGTAACAACGTAAACCCTTCTAATGTTATGAGGGCCAAAAAAGCTTGACAAACTGTATAATGACTTTCTTTGCTCATTGTATTTTAAGACAGTCTTTAGAACTCTGTTTTGGAACATGACTCTTCTGTTGGGTTAATGTTAGGGACTTAGATTGTAACTGATTCAGAAAATTTAAAGGTGTGACCTTGAAGGAATATATCACCCTGAAACCTTCGGACGTTTTAGCTAACACAGTAGACACTACTTAATTTTAACCCATGTCTTTTTTCTTATATCAGGGTGTTCGAGATCTCTTAAAAGTGATTTTGGAGAAGATTTTGACAATTCCTAATACAGTGAGCTCTGCTGTTGTACAGCAGCTTCTGGCAGCAAGAGAGGTAATTTAGACATGTCTGAAATTCGTGATCATAACCTCAAAAAAGTCTAGCTTTGTTTAGGTCTGTGCTTTTAATACTTACGGTATTTTGTGAGATGCTCTATTTCTTCTACCAAAAAAAAATCACTTCTATTTTAAAAGATGCTAGTTCCCTTATATTTCAAAAGGACATTTTAAATTTTAATTCATGGTTTTAAATTATGAAAACAATGAAATAGAAATTAAAATAGCTTAAACATTACAAGACCTTAGCATATGGACCACTTAAAAGATCTTTGTACTTTGTAACTAGTATCGCAAGAATTGTTACGTTGGTCTGTTGCACTCCTGTTTAAGTGTGCCAATATTTAAAGCATGTGCAAGGTTATTTACTAACCATGAACAATCCATTCCATTGTTTATTAATCTTTATTTTTAGATATTTTTTACATATAAATGTATTCTTTGCTACAGTTGAAACCCAATAAATCCATTAAATAATATCTCTATATTTTATTTTAATTGACAAGTAGCAATTGTCTGTGTGTGTGTATATATATTATATATACTTATTTTTTTATAATGATAACACTTAAAATCTACTCTCTTAGCAATTTTGAAGTATACACTATATCGTTATTAACCATAGTCACCATAATGTCCAGTAGGTCTCTTGAACTTATTCCTCTTGTCAAAGTGAAATTTTGTCCTTTGACCAACATCTCTCCAGAAAGTAACATCTCTACTTTTTAATGTCTTTTTTGTTGTCATTGTCATTGTAGTGTTTAAAACGCTCACATGGGCCAGATGCAGTGGCGCATGTCTGTAATCCCAGTGCTTTGGGAGGCCAAGGCGGGAGGCTCATTTAAGCCCATTGTTAGAGACCAGCCAGGACATCCTGGGGAGACCCTGTCTTTACAAAAAATTAAAAAGTTAGCCGGGCCTGCTGGCATACACCTATAGTCCCAGCTACTCTGGAGGCTGAGGTGGGAACACCACTGGAGCCCCAGAGGTTGAAGATGTAGTGAGCCATGATTACGCCACTGCACTCCAAGCCTGGGCAACAGAGCAAGACCCTGTCTCAAAAAAAAAAAAAAATAATGATAATAAATAAAATAAAGGGCTTATATGTGGGACTAGTCAAGAATGATGTGGCCTTTTTGTTTTTCTTAGGTTATAGCATATATCTTGGAAAGAAATGCCTGCTTATTACCAGCCTATTTTGCAGTCACTGAGATCAGGAAACTGTATCCTGAAGGCAAACTTCCACACTGGGTAAATTTTATATTTCCTGAATTTTTAATAAAAATTTTCGGCTGGGCTTCGTGGCTCACAGCACTTTGGGAGGCAAAGGTGGGAAGATGATTTGAGGACAAGAGTTCAAGACCCAACCTGGGTAACATAACAAGACTCTGTCTCTGCAAAACATTAAAAAACACACGCACACATATTAGCCAGGCATAGTAGCACATGCCTATAGCCCCAGCTACTCAGGAGCTGAGGTGGGAGGATTACTTGAAACCAGGAGTTTGAGGCTGCAGTGAGCTGTGATCACACCACTGTACTCTAGCTTCGGCAAAAGGACGAGACCCTGTCTCACACACAAAAAAGGGTATTTTATAAAAAACAGTTATATTAATCTTATTTTTGTGTGCTTATTTTTTTAATGATGACTTTTATCCTTAGATAATATGTATATTTTTAATCATGATGTATTTCTTTCATTTCCATTTCCATTGAGAATTTATATGCCATGTAATAAAATATGATCAGCTTCATCAAATAGCTAAGGATATGGTGGTGTGACTTGGTTTAATTAAGGGACAGATGAACTGGCGAGTGATTTTTTAGAAGGAAGCAAAAGGGAGCTAACCTTTAAACAGTTATCATGTGCAATCTTTACATATATTATCTCATTTTATATAAATGTTCATATATTTCAGGGGCAGTCTCAATTTTCCTTTTGTACGTATTTATTTGACTTCCCTCTTTCTTTCTCTCTTTAGTTACTTGGAAACCTAGTATCAGACTTTGTGGATACCTTCAGGCCCACAGCAAGGATAAACTCCATTTGTGGTAGGATTATAATTTTAAATATGCCAAATAGTACCTGATTTTTAGTAATCTAATTATTGAACAAAGCTGAGGGATGTTCTCTTAATATGTGCCTTGGTGGCTTGTCATTTTGGTGACTCTCTAAGAGCTTAATATAATGCCTTTCCCTTGTTTTCACTTACTCTGTGTGCCAAGTACAGGGAGGAAAAAGAAACTCTCTGGAATGGGTTTAAGCTTCATTTAAAACCATTCTAGAAGTGGGTTTCTTGGTGATTAGAAAGACATTTTAATACAGCTAGTAAAGCACCATGGAATTTCTAGGCAGCTGGAAGTCTGAACAGACCTGTCCCTCTGTGGCTACAGAACGTGAAAGTGTCAGGCTCACTCAGCCCATTCTAATTCCCACTTTTGCTTTTCCTTTCGCATTTTCCCATGTTTTGTTAGAGTCTCTGAACTTTCTTTTAAAAATAACCATGTGATTTGGCAATTTTTGCAGTGCCCACATATCCTCTTTAATTATTTCTAGAAATCATGGTGACCTCAACTGTGTGGAAATATAGACCATTGTTTATTCAGTGATCAAATATTGAGTACTTCCTATAAGCCAGGTGCTATTCTAGATACTGAAAATACAAATACAATCTAAATAGACACTAGACAGATAATTATCAGGTTTCTAGCTTTTGTAACTGAGTGGATATTGATATCATGTAGTGAATTATGGAAGCAAAGTAGGTTGGAGAAGGATGATGAATTTGAGACATGTTAAGCTTGAGGTGCTTGTAGGACATCCAAGTGACGATATTTGTTAGGCAGTTGGATGTATGAGCTGATAGTCATATGTGACATCTAAGGCCTCTAGGAATATCGTGCATAAAGTTTAATCATGTTGACACTGGACTAGTGGTCTTAAACTTTTTCCTGTAAAGGGCCATGTAGTAAATATTTTAAGCTTCGTAGGCTACAGAATCTGTTGCAGCTACTCAGCTCTGCCATTGGACTGCAAAAGCAGTGGTGTTCCAATAAAACTTTACAAAAACAGGTGCCAGGCTGGATTTGGCCCATGGATTATAGTTGGCTGATCTCTGCCCTAGACATTTAGACAAAATGCGATATTTTCAACTTTGGAAAGCCTGTGCAAATTGATCTTCAACTATCTGAACTAAAAATAAAATTCCCAACCTTCAGTCTCATTGAAACATTTTTATAAGCCATTTTTAAACCAAACCAATGCCTATTTCAGCATATATGTTCATTAAATATTTGTGAAGTGAATGAAGTACTGCTGTGTTCACATTTACTTAAAAACATTTTTGTAATACATACAGGTCGCTGTAGTCTTCTGCCAGTTGTAAATAATTCGGGTGCCATTTGTAATTCATGGAAACTGGATCCTGCTACTCTTCGTTTTCCTTTGAAAGGCCTTTTGCCATATGATAAGGTATGTTGCTAAATATAATGGCACTTTTAGTCCATCTGACAGTCTTCAACCTAGATTATAAGATATGTGATGCTAAATTGTTGCTTCATAATCTGAAGAAGTAAATATTTAATGAAAGATAGTTTATAGTTTATCATGTTATTCTAGTATCTAAATATACCCTGTGGTTTATGCTATTGTGGGTGTTTATGCTCCAGTGGTCCACCTCTGGCAAAGTATTTGGAGGTGAGAAACTGAAATTTTAAATGGCAAACTGAAATTTTAAATTGATTCCTTGATTAAGTCCTCACATTTTAAAAGTAGTAGAGCTTTTTAAATGTGAACTCAGTCTAATTCCAGAATCTACACTCTTAACACCTGTGCTATCAAGTTATTTGTCTTTCCAAATTTGGAAATAGTGTTTTTGTTTACACTTGTAAAACAGAATTTAGAAACTGTCTCCATTCTTCTTAGATTACATTTCCGAGCAGAAAATTACTTCCTTACAATGATACTTAAGACTAATGTGACTATATCTGAAGTCACATTTCTGAGTTTAACCCTAAAGGGACGAGGGTATGCTTTTTCAAATCACTGAAATTTTGATATACCCTTTAAGGGGCACCAGTCCCTCTAAATTGTTGCATTAGTGAGCAGTCTTGCTGACTGAACTGATAATTTTTTGGGCCTAGTTGCTCTTTTTACAACTATATCTACATTGTCAACTCTTGCTATAAGAATGTCTTTGTAAAACAGTCACTTTGGTTATTCTGTTTTTAAATGCCTCAGGAATTCTTTAAAATTAGCACATTGAAGTGAATGCTTATGTACTCAGACCCCTTTCCCAGACATTTTACTGTTAAAATGAAGAAAGGAACAGTAAACAAAGACATTCTGGTAGATGGGGTGAATAGAGAGGGATTACAGGCTGATGGGAATGAATTTAAAAGAAAAAAAAAAAAAGAAATTTAATGCCGTAACTGTTTCTAAGGTTTTTACATCATAGTTACAATAGCATAGTCTTTTAAAGATTATCTTAAAAATCGGTATATGAAGTGTTTTTTTTTTTCTATCTATCCGTCCATCCACCTAAGGGGACATTTAAAAAAATCCAGCTAACATTATGCAAATAGTACTTGAGGTTGATAAGAAGAAAAACTTTCATTGACTCTATCAAAATGCTATGTCCCCAGCGACACAGATAGAAATGAAAACGATGTGCTCTAGAAAGCCGTAAGATGACTTAGAAACCATCTAGCATCATGGAAGAGTTAGAATAAACTAAAATGAAATCCTTCTAAATTAATATATTTAATAAATATAAATTAAATATAAATTAATATTTTTAAATTAATATATTTTAAGTATGGGCAGGCAAAATTAACAAATATAACTAGGCTTATCACTGTTTCATCTACTTCTCAAAAAGTTGATATGCTTTAAGCTAAAAAGCTGTTTTTTGAATCTTACTAGGAAAATAGGGAATTGATTGGTCTATATTCAAGACATTGAATAAATATTCAGCCTGTCATTTGGAAAACTCTGAAAAAGATTTTGTTTTTAATGTCACTTTCTAGCATTATTTTTTGTTTGATTGTTTGTTTCTTAAGTCAGGCTCTCACTCTGTCACCCAGGCTGGAGTATAGTGGCACAATCACAGCTCACCGCACCCTCAACCTTTGGGGCTCAGGTGACCCTCCCCACCTCAGCCTCCTGAGTAGCCGAGACTACAGGCATATGCCACCATGCCCGGCTAGTTTTTTGTGTTTTTTGTAGAGATGGGGTTTTGCCATATTGCCCAGGCTGGCCTCAAACTCATGGGCTCAAGAGATCTTCCCATCTTGGCCTCCCAAAGTGCTGGGATTACAGGCATGAGCCACTATGCCTGGCCTAGTACTATTTATTATAAACTGAATTTGGCTATCAGAAATTCTATACTTACATGCCTAGAAAGACTTCTAGAAAATTGACTTGTTAAGTTTTAACAGAAAGGAAGCAAAGATATTATTAATGATGCTTCTTTATGTCTAGGAAACATGAGCACCTAGGACAAAATCTATATAAATTGACATTAGTGAGATGCTAAAATTTAAAAAATTTAAACCTTCTGCGTTTTCAGGGAAAGGATAGTAGAAAGTGCACTGGGGAAGGGGGATTGGAAGGTCTGGTGCTAGTGTTATCTTTATTGTTACCCTCTGTATGACCTTGGGGCAAGCCACTTCATCTCAGGTGTCAAATGAGGCAAATGAGGGGTGGGAACAGATGAACTGTAAGCACTAAAATCCTATGATTTTTTTCCCACTAGATACTGCCTACTCTGTGAAGGTAACAAGTGCCTTTAGAGGATTTTTTAATCTCATTTCTAATAATTTGGATTAATGTTGACATTGATCTTGAAGCAATGATTTTCTTATTTTCTTTAAAGGATCTGTTTGAACCACAGACTGCTTTGTTGAGATATGTATTGGAGCAGCCTTATTCCAGGGATATGGTCTGCAATATGCTAGGTTTAAATAAGCAGGTACTGTACTATGCTGGAAACCTAGTAAATTCTGCATAGAATCTGCACTATTCTTTTCTCTTTTCTTTGCTATAGCTAACTGAGCAAAACAGTTAAGAACTATTTAGTGACTTTTAAAAATATACATGGTTTTTTAAACAATGTATTATTCCTATCATTTATATATTGCTTTAAGAATGTTTAAATTTAAAAAGAAAAATTTTTAAAGTTGGTTTATTTTGCATTGCTTTTTTTTCTATAAGGCCAGTTTCAAGTATACCTTTTGCCAGAGAAACCTACACATGACTCAACCATAATTTTTGACTTTTTTTGTTGTTTGGGTGTCTATTTTTATATAACCCTTGGTATCTTCAGCGTGGCCTTCTTGCTGATTTTTTTTTTTTTTTTTTTTTTTTTTTTTTTTGGTGTGTGTTTGCTTGTTTTTGGTGGTTTAACATGTGGGAGGGTTTGTGCTGACTCTGGGTTCCTTGAGGCTGGCCTCATAGTCACTGTTTTGTCTTTTCTTTTTTTCTTCCTTTATTTTTGTTCTGTCCTGTCTTGTCCTGCCCATCCTCCAATGCTCTAGACCTTGAACATTGCTCAGGTATGTTCACAACCTTACTGTTGTATTGTGACTAACGATACGCTGGCCGCTTTGTAGCCACTGATTCCATTTAGAGAATACGTGTATGGTCGGGGCTTGAAATTGGCAGGACCATGCTGAGACCAAGGCCACTAAAAAACGATTTCTTCTTGGGATATGAGAGTTATTTTTGGTGGATTGTTTTTGTTTTTGTTTTTTTGGTGTTTGTTATTTTAATATTCTTTTTTCTTTTTTTTTCTTTTTTTTTTTTTTTTTTTGGTAACAAAGAGACAACACCTGGCACTCAATGAAGCCTGTCACTTTTTGATGGTTTATTTTTCCTTCCCACTCCATTTACTTTTTCCTACTTTAGGGCTAAAGCTAGCCTGGTGGAATTTTCAGAGATGGAAAGATTTGTGGTGGCCTTTATCTTTCCAGACTACTAAAACAAATAAAGAAAAATAACAACAACAAAAATACTTATGTTGCTTTGCCTTAAAACAAAAACAAATTAAAAACAACACAAAAAAGAGAAAAAAGGCACTTTAATAGAGATATGCTGCTTTTAAAAGTTGGAGTGGTAAACTTTATACAGGAAAGGCTTTTTTGGAAACATGGGGATTGACTAAGAAATGTCAGACTCTTAGGTGACCCCACACCTGCTTGACAAACACCCTTCTTTGTCAGTCTTTGCCAGAAGTGCCTTCCTCCTAGAGTGAGCTCCTCTCAACTGGAGCTCACCTGTGGTGGGAGAAAAACACTATGGCCAAACTTTATAAATCAAACTCTTAACAGTCCCAAGTCTGTTCCAGGACTTTTCACCTTTGATATTTTAAACAAAATAGTGGTTCCAATTATTTTTGTTAAAAATTTTTGAGCCCAACATATTAAAATAGACCAGCTTTTTGATTTTAAAAAGACGTTCTTGTCTAGGTTATATAAAATAGCGTTACTGTTTGCAATACTATAGTGAAGGTTGTGCCAGTGCTTCCATTTATAAAGCCCTATTTTTAAGGACATATAGCTTGGCCATAAAACTTGCTCAGTGTTGAAACTTTGCATGCCAAACCTCACCCTAATAGCAGTATCTCTTTTATTATTTTAAGTTTTTTCTTCTGAAAAATTTGCCAAGTTTCCTTGTTTGGACAAGCTTTTGTACATGTGAAACTGAAACTGCTTCACACTAGAGTATCTGACAGGTACCTCATATAATCTGTCAATTTAACATCTTAAATACCAAGTCATTAATTCTGATCAACTTTCATTGAATTAGAGGTAAGTATTCAGTTAACTTTGAAAGAATGCTTCATGCTATGTTTTAAAACTAATTTTTACAGTGAACCTTAAGTCATACTGGACTCAATTTTTTTACAGTTTGGTGGATAAATGTACCCATGGTCATTTGAGCTGCAAATACCCTCCCCCAGATATCCTTAGCTATCCTAAGCTTTTTTCTCTTGGGGGCGGGCAGCTCTTCTCAAACTAGAAATTGACAAAACAATTGAGAGTATTTCTGATCTGATCATTTCGGTAACAAGTTTCAACCTAAAAAAAGTTTATGACTAAGACATAAATCCATAAAAAATAAAGTTTATAATGGAAATGCTGACAGAACATTATTAGTATTGGTACCACTGTAGTGTAAACATTGTCAAAAATTCACAATTCATCAGTAATCGTTTTCATAGAAAACTTTTAGTTAGGGGATGTGTAGACAGAAGATAATATGCTCAGTTGACTTGATATTTTTACCTACTGGAAAGTAGACTAGAAAACGAGAACACACAGTATAAGAAGCATATGATTAAAGATAACCAAGTCATCTTATCACATCTTTTATCATTACAGAACTACATCCTACACTATACTTTCTTGTCCTTTCTCTAGCAATGTGATAATTTACTCACAGCTTTTGAAACCTTAAGAGCTGTTCATATTACATTTTCCAGTAGGAATTGAGTTATATTTTATGCTAATATTGGTTACATTCAGCAAGTCATAAATAGCCCAGTTTCATGACCTGCAAGGTGGAGCGTTAGACTTCAACTCACAATGGAAAAATCTTTTTTATGTGCTTACACGAGAGTTTGTATTCTTTCTGCTGAATAAAAGCACTACAAAACAGATACACTCCTCAAGCTCTTACATAGTGTGGTGTGTGAACCCTGGCTACTATGAGACAGTGAAGTATTCATCATTCATTTGATCTTATGTTAATCAGTAAGTTTCTCTTTGAAATTATTCTGATTATGGGTAACTTTCTTGGTTAAAGCAGAGAATATGATTTTGAAAGAGAAAATGACATTGAAAAGAATTTTTCTTCCCAACTTCTCCTGAATAGATATTATTTTAAAATTTATTTACATCACTGAAATAATTTAAAATTAAGCTCACCTAAGTACAGTATGTTAAAATTTCACTGCAAAAGCATTATGAGAACTGTACATGAAAAGCGTCAAGTACCACTCAATATAGGATATGAGATGCTAAGACTGAAAAGCGACATCATTTGCCATTTGAAATAGTGCTGGGAAGGAATTGGGCATAGGTCGAGGGTTAATATTAATGTTTCTATTAATGTCTTTTGCCTGATTTTTAGCTTTTATCAAAGCTGAAAATATTAAATGAAGTTTCAGTATAGTTTGGGCTACTAGGTAGAAATAGAATTGTTAAAATATTGAATGTAAATATTCTTAAAACAGGTTTTAACTAAATAGGCATATAGTTATGATGTACACTAACAAATTTAACTATATATGTCAGTATTTTGAAGACTTAAATTCACCAAAGCTTTCACAAAACAAGATGTGAACAGTCATAGGGATAGCATCCATTGGCTTATGAAATAATCTTAGCCTAGTGATTGACAGTTAACTTTTATTCATAGATTCTGAAACTGCTTTACAAATGTTTGTTCCACTTTGTAAAACCATCTGCTATGTAGTAGAGAGTCTTAATTTTAATGTACCTGTCTTTAAATAATTGAAAACTAAAGCAGTTTATTATTCTGAAGTAGCAACACAGATCATTTTGTATCTCAGACTTTTCTTTTTTTTTTTTTGATGTTACCAAAATTTGCAGATAAAGCAACATATTTAAGCTGTCTTTAAACTTGATTTGAGAAATATCCTTGGTTTTAACCAAAAACACCTGGGAAATTTGTAGTTAATCCTGATAGCTCTTCTGCTACCATCAGGTACCGGAGCATTAGGTACTGTAGATATTCCTGACTTAATTTTTGACAGAAAAGTTAAGGGTAATCTTGAGTCATGGCATATATTGAAAGACCATCAGCTTTAACTGTAAATTTCCTAGTTGTTCTTGCTTTGTCAAAATCGTACTATTTTTGCTTTCCTTTTAAAATCATTAACTGTATGATAATCACTACATGCCTAAAAATATGTAGGTGAAAATCCAGTTTTTTTCTTAAATAGCTAATACTAAAAAAGGAAACTCCAAAGTGACTCAAGTGCTAAAAACTAGTTTTATTTAGTTTGCTCTTTTTTCCTAAAGCAGATTGATGGAAGACCATTATGGATGGAGAAATAGATGACAAATTGGTCAGTTTCCAAACTGGAAGCAAATTCCCATCACTAGTGAAAAATTCCTACTGGAAATCCTGGCTTTACTTCTTTTCACAATTTTTTCTGACTCTGTATACTTTGAATGATCTCACTCTAAATTTGTGTTGTCTGACACATTTCTTAGGTTGTTGGTGGTTGGCAGAACTAGTGAATTTCAAGCCCTGTACACAGTAGTTTTGCATGCTGATTTAAGAAATAGTCTGTAGTGTTGTCTGTTGCACTTTGCTCTGCTTCATAATGATAATTACATTTGGAGGAAAAGTACTGTAGTCTCAACTGGTGGTGTTAATATTGCTATTTGTAAACCTGTAATGTGATTGAACTGTGGTCATGGCATTGTGTTTTTGGAAAAAATATGAAACAACCATTGATGCTTATCATTTGGATAGATGTTTGTTTTATTTGCATGCTTTAAGAAACTACAGCTATATTGGAGCTTACAAGTTTGGAGCTGGCAAAGAGCATGCAAAAGAGGGGATGCTATTCATTATGTCTTGTTTATTTCCAAATTTGTCCCCATTTTGCATTTTTTTCCCTAAATTTGAAAAAATCATATCCCTTTTTCATGGCAAAAGACTGATAATCACATCTAAAGTTTAGGGGGAAAGATCTGTATTAGTAATTGTATTCACTAGAAGGGCTTCCAACTGCCTGCTACTAAGTCATATAACATATTTATAAAGGAAATATGAAAATGGCTTAAACATGGCTTAACATATTTCTTTTGGTAAAAATATATTTTTTAAATCACTTTTAAAAGCACAGATCTTTTTGCCTCTAGAAAGGGAAGTTGCATTCTCATTTTTAGTGTTTAAACTCAATTCTTTTTCTTGTTTTAGATTTTAAAGTGGTCTAATTTAAAATTAAAGCTGCATTATGTTTGGCTTCCAAGAAGGAAGAGCAGAGAGATCAATTTTTTTTCCTCTTGTGGAAGAAGTTTCCATTTCAGTATCAGGACGAATACCACACATTGAAAACAGATGTTGAATAATCTGGTAGCTATTTAGATATACCTCTGTATATAAAGTTAGTGTAAACTTATAGGGGTTACTTTAAAATAAAGAGATTCACATAACTGCTTTATTTGTTCTGTCACAATGTTTGATGCCTGTAAATCCAGGGTTTTCATCTTTTGACTTAGATTGCAAAATTAATACTGCTATCCCTGTTTCATATGCCCTTTAAAATGTTATCTTTTTCCAAAGGATAAATAACAAAATTCTCTACTATGCATTGCCCTTTGTCAAATTGAAACAATGATGTCCATAGTGGAAGTCAAAAGTTAATGGGAAGTCTGTTTTGTAGGAAACCTGAAAACATTTTTTCATGAAGCTTATCCTGTATAATAATATAACATGATGCAGCTTTAATAGACTAAATCTAACCTTGACTTCTTAAGTTCAACTTCATTCCGTGCTTCTCAGCCTCTTGTTACAATTAATGCCCATTAACTGGTAACTTCTGAAACTAACCGAGAGGCTTTTGGAATACTGTATTTAATCTCTGCCCTACAGCACAAGCAGCGCTGCCCTGTGCTGGAGGACCAGTTGGTGGATCTGGTTGTTTATGCCATGGAGCGATCTGAGACCGAGGAGAAGTTTGACGATGGGGGAACAAGCCAACTCCTGTGGCAGCATCTCTCAAGTCAGCTCATTTTCTTTGTGCTTTTCCAGTTTGCAAGTTTTCCACATATGGTGCTTTCTCTTCATCAGAAGGTATGTACTAAATCTTATGGTCGGAGTGACTTCACCTGTTGATTACTGTATTTTAGACTGCTGTGGGCATTCCCTAGTGATTTTAGAACTGACAGAAGTTCTGAGCCCTAATTTCTGTCCTGTTTAGTGCTTTTATAGTTTCTTAACTTTTTACTTTCTTGTCACTGTAAAAACAGGATTCAGTCATTCATTCTATGTATTCTCAGTGCAGGCACCAGCAGATACAAGATGAAAAGGCACTGTAATATCCTCAAGGAGCACCTCACTAGAGGAGGGGATACTTTATATATATATATATACATATATATATATGTATGTGTATATATATATAGAGTACATATATATATGTATGTATATACATACACACACACACAACATGATTATATCTTAATAGTTGTTATAATGAAAGCACATTTCCCTGCAATACAAATAAAAGGTAATAGTCCCTAAGGTTGCAGTGAGCCAAAATCACACGACTGCACTCCAGCCTCGGCGACAGAGCGAGACTCTGTGTCAAAAAAAAAAAAAAAAAAAAAAAAGGAATAGTCTCTATCAGAAATATCAGGGATGGCTGTATCAAAGAGATCTTTAAGCTAACACTTGAAGGACAAATAGAAACTTGCTGAGAGAAAAAGAAAAGTGTTTCCTAGCAATAAAACCATCATTTAGAAAGGGATAGAGATGTGTGAGAACTGGAAATAAAAATATAAAGGGGAAATCGTTGATGAGATAAGGAAGGCAGGAAAGCAAGAGCAGACATGGAGAACTTTGAATGGCCATGTGCCTGTTCTAAGGAGTTTAGATTTTGTTTTGGAGGCAATGCAGAGGAGAATGGCATCATCATATGCAAGTTGGAAAAATGCTAATGTCCACATGGAGAAAGAAGGTGGTGTAGCGATGGACAGGTACAAAGCCAGAAGCAAGGAAATTAGTGAGAGATACTACAGTGGACTAGGTGAAAGATGCTGAAGGCCTAAACCAGGACAGAAAGGAGGAGCCAGAGATCAGGTACACTGACGTGGAATAGGACTAGGTGACTGACAGCGAATACAGAGAGTAGCGGGAGTCTAGGCTTGCTGAGTGGTTCCTACTGTGGGAATGAATAGAAGGGAGGACGATGAATCCAAAAAAGGGAGACAAGTGGAAGACTTAAGTTTGTGGGAAAAGACATTTTTTGTCAAAAATTTTAGACATATTGAATGGGAATAAAAGTTGTTTTACATAACATCTCCACAGCATGAATTATCTTGGGGAAAATTTTTCATAAATATTGTTAAAATCCTTTCAACCACCTTCTCCCAGAAACCACCATTAGTTTCTGTTATAATGTACAGAAAACCAGCCGGGTGGGGTGGCTCACTCCTGTAATCCCAGCACTTTGGGAGGCCGAAGCCGGTGGATTGCTTGAGTTCAGGAGTTCGAGACCAGCCTGGGAAACATGGCAAGACCCCATCTCTATCCTTGTTCTAAAAAGATACATATAAATAAACAAGAAACAAAGTGTACAGAAAATGAGGAAGCATGTTTTATGACAACCAGTCCATGACAATTTCAAATTAAAAAAAAAAAATCCTTTTGGTGTGATAGAGTATTCCCCAGGTTTTGATGAGATTTTTAAAATAAGAATTATCCCATATTAAACTTGATTCTCATGCACACATGATCAACTTAAAGAGGTGGTGTTGTGCATGTTGTATATGACTATGTTCTAAAACATTGCATTTTTATATGCATTAGTTGTTTTGGGGAGCAGGAAATAAGCATATATATAATATTAAAATAATTTAGCAGGTTTTGCATGGTGTGTCTTGAATTGAGACTAAGTAATTACTAAGTGCCAAAGTTAGATGCTGACTTTCTCAGAGCAAGAACCAGGTTTCTCCTTAAAAACAAAAACAAAAAAACAACAAAAACTTCCTGTATTCATCTCTTTAAGTAGCAGTGTATACATGTGTATTTAAACATCTTTTATAGTTAGCAGGGCGAGGACTGATTAAAGGCAGAGATCATCTTATGTGGGTTCTCCTGCAATTCATTTCTGGAAGTATTCAGAAAAATGCACTAGCTGATTTTCTCCCTGTGATGAAGCTCTTCGACTTGCTATACCCAGAAAAAGAAGTAAGCTTTACTGAGTAACTATTCATAACAACATGATGAGTAAATTATGTCTAATTTATGTTTAAGGATTTTAGTGTGATTTTGTGTATTTCTAAAGTTTATGCTAAATCACAATTGAATGTTAAGTGTAGCAAGCTCTTTCTCTACATTCTAGGTAGGTCTACAGTTTTACAAATCACTAAAGCTGTTTTAATCTATATACATCATTGAATGGCCAGATAACAGTCTTTATTAATAGCTATTTTTTCTTTGACAGTTGAGCCTCAGTATGTCCCCTGGGTATTTTATCATATAAGATATTTGAGTAAAATGTGATGTATTTTGATGATTGCCATTTTCTAGAAGTACTTTATCATGAATTGTTGTTGTTGTTGTTGTTGTTGTTAAGGAGTTTCACTGTTGTCACCCAGGCTGGAGTGCAGTGGCGTGATCTCAGCTCACTGCAACCTCCACCTCCTGGGTTGAAGCAATTCTCCTGCCTCAGCCTCCCGAGTAGCTGAGATTACATGCACATGCCAACATGCCCGACTAATTTTTGTATTTTTGGTAGAGACAGGGTTTCGCCGTGTTGGCCAGGCTGGTCTTGAACTCCTGACCTTAGGTGATCTGCCCAGAAAATTTTAAGATGAAACAAGAGTATTTCTTGATGATGGGTATAACATGATGGGGTTACTGTAACCCCACCATGCACTAGCTGTAACCCCACCATGCACTAGCTGTAACCCCACCATGTTATACCCATCATCAAGAAATACTCTTGTTTCATCTTTCCTCCTTATTTTTTTTGTTAATGTTGGACAATTTTCAAGCAAATCCCAGACATCCATATCATTTTACCCATTAATAGTCAATATGTTTAAATGTAATTATTTAGGTTGCGTATTTCTTAGATTTTTATCTGTTCTTAAAAATTATTATGAGACTTTTAGAAAGTCTTGTTTTTAGTTACATTTGTCACTTTAGTAAGATTTCATGATGATGTGTTTTAATTTTTTAAAAGTAAAAATTAAAAATTTATTTTTATTTGAGAATGCTCTGCGATAGTAGGAAAAGCTTGACCAAGCACCTGTGAATATGTGTTACTTAAAGCAAGTAAAAACATATACCAAATAAAGCATCTTGTAATAATTTCAAAATTTTATGGCTGTTAGACCTTCTGATTTGTATTATTGAATTATCGGGGCTAAAGTAAGACATGATATGCTAAAAAGAGTTATATTAGAAATTGATTACTAAAATACACATAATTATTTAATTCTTCTCTTTCTTCTATTGTGTTATTTTTCAAATTGTTATTTTTCAGTATATCCCAGTTCCTGATATTAACAAACCCCAGTCAACCCATGCCTTTGCAATGACCTGTATTTGGATTCATCTCAATAGAAAAGCTCAAAATGACAACTCCAAGCTACAGATTCCAATACCTCATTCCCTAAGACTTCACCATGAGTAAGTTATTTGTTGCTTGATACTTAATTTTCTTGTTTAATTAATAGCGGATTGTAGACTAATATTGGTCTCGGTGTTTGTGTGAAATTTGGAAATCTCCGCATACCCACTATAGGTAAGGGCAAATACTTGATGTATATGTCATAGCAGGAGAATCTGACCAGTACCTATATCAGGAAACAGCTACAAGGTTAGTCTTGCTTATATGTATAGATTTTTTTTTTTAATTTTTAAGGCTGATCTTCAGTTGTATATGTTATACTTTAAAGTTATTAATATAATGAAAGCATATCAATTTTTATAAATGTAAAAATGTTTCAGAATTTCCCAAGTGCTTGGAACTTCAGCATAAGCTGACTGAGATATCATTCATCTCTGGGCTGCCAGGATTGATTGAGCTGATCTGGCTGGCATGCCCCTTAATATCTCTTCCAAAGTTGTGATGACTCAATGAAGATACCATTCTTAGATAGTATTGTATTGTAGTCAAGGGTGCTAGGAGTAGCCTAACTTCCCACCTAGAACTTCTGAGAAGGACTGCCACTTCTCTTCACAGGAGATGGCAGGATTGTCAGACTTGATACTTCATTTGGTTTTCATTTTATGAGACAGCCCTTAACCACCTTTTCATAGTGGTATCTGTAATGAAGACATTGTTGTGTTTATACAGACAGATAATAAATAGAAACCTGGTTCATAGACTTGTGAGTTATTTCTTCATTCTCTGAAACTTAGCCTAATATGGTGGTCATATATGTAGTGCATACTTAACAGTACCCATTAATTGTTTATTTAAAATTATTTTTCTTCTGAAATGCTACTCAAACTTCTATGTGTATTCCCACTGTACATTTCACACAGAAACTATAATACCTATAGGAACAAAGATAGCATTAATAAATAATTGCATAAAATTGAACTTTTAAAAAAATACAAATTAACATTATGGAAGTTATTTTCATTTTTTCTTTTTAATGGAACGTGAATATTTAGGTTCCTGCAGCAGAGTCTAAGAAATAAAAGTTTACAGATGAATGACTATAAGATTGCTCTATTGTGTAATGCATACTCTACAAATTCAGAATGTTTTACATTACCCATGGGAGCTCTGGTAGAAACTATTTATGGAAATGGAATTATGAGGATACCTCTCCCTGGAACAAACTGTATGGCTTCAGGATCTATTACCCCCTTACCTATGAACCTCCTGGATTCACTGACAGTTCATGCCAAAATGAGGTATGTTCTTTTTATTAATTTGGTTCCATGTCAGGGAATTGATACGAGTATAGTATAAACCTTTATTTCATGATTTTATGTGCGTATTATTTCATAGTCAGGTACATTTGAGAAAAAAAAGTTAGCTTTATTTTATTACAAAAGTAAATATTTTTTATTATAGGAATTCTAGGATAAACAAACCCAAAGAAAGTAATTGTTGTAATCTCTACATGAGAGATAAGCATTATAAAAATTTTTTGCACATTTTTTTTCATTTTTTATAGATAGTTAAGAATGAGGACTAGTGTAGCTAGAGCTTCCAACATTTTTGGAAAGGGCTAGAAATCCAGATTTTTTATTAGTAGTCTTTCAGCTTTTAAGTATTGGCTCAAATTTGAAACAACCACTGTATAGGCCAAAGAGAATTTGTCTGTGGGCCTCCAAGTGGAGCATCAGTCCTGGTAGAGCTATGCTCTTTTTCAAATGGTAACCATTGTGATAGAATTACACATGTGCTTCACTTGCATATATAACAGATTTGAGCAAAGCCCCATTAGAACGTAACATTTGGGTCTTAGCAGTGATTTATTAAAGTAAATCTGTGACAAAAGTTATTTAATTTCCCAAATGTATTTTGATGCATCATTTGAGTGACCAAAATCCCTCAAGCATGCTCTTATGAGTTGAATCCAAAGTTTGTTTTTCCATGAGCAGGGGGATCCGTATGCATATTGAAAGCGCCACAGAAACGGAATGAGTCTCAGATTGTGCAGTGCATCCTTACCAAGTGTCCTGCACAGCTTAAACACATTAAATGAATCAACTTCATTTGAATCATTTAAGTTCAGATTTATACTAAGTTACTTCTAAGTAGAGTAGCCCCTATGTTTATGTCAAAAATATGGATTTTTATTTTCTTCCCTTTTTTTCTCCTCAGCCTTATTCACAGCATTGCAACCAGGGTGATAAAACTTGCTCATGCAAAGTCCAGTGTGGCCTTGGCTCCAGCCCTAGTGGAAACTTACAGTCGTTTATTGGTCTATATGGAAATAGAGTCTTTGGGCATCAAAGGATTTATCAGTAAGACAGGACTTTCTGGTGTTTATAACTATTAACCCATTCATTAACTCTAAAGTTACTTTTCTAGGTCCTGGGGACACAGCAGAGAACAAGTCACCACCATGATGGAGCTTATGGAGGAGGACATTAAATAAATGAAATATACAATATGTCAGATGATACATGTTATAGAGAAAAATAAAGCAAAAAGGAATAGGAAGTGTGAGGGTTGGGGGGTTTGTTGCATTTTTAAGTAAAGTGGTAAGAAAAGGTTAATGTGCTAGGTGCCTGGGATGCAGTGAGCAGGATAGACCTGGTCCCTGTCCTCATGCAAATGGATTCTGCCTGAGGCAGCAATGCTGTCCTCCAGTGCATACGAAGTCTGACTGGAAATAAAGAAGGAATTTTCCTACCTTGCAGAAGATACATTATAATGTCTCATTTATTATATAGTTCTAAAATAATAGATACTTTCTGATATAGAAGTGTTTTTCTGATTCATGGTAATTCCAGCTTTTCACGAATACAGCATAGTCTTAATTTTAACCACAATAACTCTTCTTAGATAACTGATTGTTGAACAAAACTTTCTTGGGGGTAGGAGGAAACAAGGGCAGGTATAATACAATTTTTTGTATTAAAAAGTGAACCTCATACTTCAAAAGGTATGGAACATTAATTGTCTAAAAATAAAAGATATCAGAATTGAGAAGATTAATGTTTTTTCATATCTTGTCTCATTTTATTTTTCCAGATAAACATGATTATCAATTGCCAAATCCCAGGAAAAAAGCAAACTTGATATTATAGTTAGGATCTGAATTTTTCCTTACTGTTAAAGTAGAAAATAAGAAAATATGGAGAATATATATGTGTGTGGGCGTGTGTATTTTCACAATCAAATCTTTATATTTTACTCAATGTGACTTTCTTCAAATATCTTTTCATGCATAGCCTTTAATAATTGGTACCTTAAATTGTCTTTTTCCTCCAGGTCAGCTTTTGCCAACTGTTTTCAAATCACATGCATGGGGGATCTTACACACACTCCTTGAGATGTTTAGCTACCGGATGCATCATATTCAGCCTCATTACAGAGTTCAGCTCCTGAGTCATCTTCATACTTTGGCTGCAGTTGCACAAACAAACCAGAACCAGCTCCATCTTTGGTGAGCTCATTGAAGACCATCTTTCCTTAAGATTTATTAGAAACTTTCTTGGAGATGAGGTTCTTAATCCTTTACCTTTACCTTATAGTTTTTTTTTTTATTATTATTCATCTGTCATAAAACTTCTCTGCTTCTAAAGTATTTTGTTTCCAGTATAGGAGCAGAGTCCAGCTTTTTAAATAGAAACTGATTAAGATAGTTGAGTCCTTCCTTCAGGATCTTTGGACTGAGAATTAGTACTTCCAGGGTATTTATTATTATGTTGTAACTTAGCCCTTTAGAATGCTGGTTTTAAGTATACTTCAGATTATGGTTAAAGTATCATGTCACATTGATTTTGCTTTACATTAAAATATATTTTAGATAGAAAAATATAATTTTTGAAATGCAGTATCTCCAGGTGAAATTTTTTAGTCCTATAGGCGACAAGCCATCTTTTTCAAATGTGTAAAAAGTCACGATTTTCACTATAAAATTGGACACATTAGGTTTTTTAAACAAATTAAGCAACATTTATTCTCACACAAAAGTGTTTTTTTAAAGAAGGGATAGTCATAGATTGCATGTTTTTCCATTGTAATTAACCTTAGATTTAATTCCATAATTCTGAAATTTTTTTACATTTCTTTTTATTCTCCCAATTTTCAGTGTCGAGAGCACTGCTCTCAGGCTTATAACAGCATTAGGTAGCTCAGAGGTACAACCGCAGTTTACACGCTTCCTTAGTGATCCCAAAACAGTGCTCTCAGCAGAATCTGAAGAACTGAACCGAGCCTTGATATTGACCTTGGCTAGAGCAACTCATGTAACAGGTACGGTGAATATGTGACTACAAACAACAACAGATGAATTAAAGTGTGCCATGATTCTACTAATTACTATAGTTGTAACATACTAAAAAGATACTTTTCATTTGTTTGAAAAAAGCCTGTTGTTTTGATATCTTCACTATTTCACTCATTTATGGAAGCTCTTTTGTGTACCATCATTCTATTAATAACTGCGTTGAGCATCGTTTTCAGCTATCCATAATTTTAAAGTAGTAATACTTTAAGCTTTTTGGTCTCAGGACTGCTTTACACTCTTAAAAACAAAATTGAAATTCCCAAAGAGTTTCTGTTTATATGGATTATATCTATGGATATTTATTATATTAGATATTAAAATTAAGAAGTTTAAAAATATTTATTAATTTGTTTTTAAATAGCAATAATAAACATTACATGTTAATATATGATGTTATAAAAAAAGTATATTTTCTAAAGCAAAACTTTAGTGAGAAGAGGTGCCATTGTTTGACATTTTTGCTTCTCTAATATCTGGTGTAAAGGAAGACATAGTTTGGATTCTCATCTGCTTAGACATTTAATCCATTGAAGTTTTAGTTGAAGTAAGTGAAAAATGTGGCCTCACACAGATGAGGTTGGAAAGAGAGGAGTATTTTAATAGCTTTTTCAGATAATTGGGAATGTTCTTTGACATCACATGGAAAAATGATAGTTGCTTAAAGGTTAGCTGCAATATGGAATCCAAAACCCCCAGTAAACTTCATGTACTTTGTTACATTATAATCTGTACATCTGTTTTATACATTTAGTGGATTTTTAAATCCATGCATGTTTTGTAACTTCATGAATTATTCATTTTGAAAATACTGGTTCACTGAGTTACGTAGATCTAGCAAACGTTGACATTTTGTTTATACAGTATCAGAAAATTACATTTGTTAATATCACTGCAAAGTTTATTAGAAAAATCTAAGTTTTGGAATGCTATCATGTCGTGGTAGATACAGGTTTTCCAAAATTTCAATTTTTACTTGAAAGGTCAAATTTTATCATTGGAAAAAGTTACTATCATTTGTTTTCCTTAAAGTGACAAGCTCATTTTGTTAATTTTCAAGAAAATGTCTGCTAAATACGTAAGTCTAGCTAGCTATAGTTTTCTGTCAGACGTTCTTTCAAGTAAAATTGGAATTCAAAAAAAAAAAAGCAGCTGATTTAACTCAGTGCTCAGTCAGTCACACAAGTGCACAAGTGTTTTTCCTCAAGACACCCATCAAACTTGGAACACTAGGCATATGCTTCCCCTTTTGTTACATATGATGTTAAAAATAGGTGTCGAGATTGACACTGGCACTTTTCTTTCACTGAGTGCATGTGCTGGAGAATACAAAGCCTTTTCATCTAGTCTGGCACCACTGTTTGATTTGTGCTTAGGACCAGCAGTTTTACCACCATTGCTTTTGTACCGTCAGTGCTCATACCAAGTGAAAAAGCCTGATATCTTTTTATTATTATTTGACCTCATTGAATCTTTGAAGGGCTATTGGGGAATCCCCAAGAGGTCTACAGACCACACTTGAGAACTGATGTTTTAAAGAGATAGTTATTGGTTTTAGCAACCTCAAATACGTTTATGTAAATTATTTTGTTTTACATAAAGAACCCTCTTCAATTCTGAGATTTATACATGCATTATGTAATTATTTCACTCACCAAAAAAGATATCTTTCTTTATTCTGTTCCCTTGGCCGAATAAAGTACTACTAAATCAGTGTCAAAGTAAATGAACAGTAGTGATGGGCTTGTATTACTGTTATCGCTGGTACTCTGTAACCTCAAAAAAAGAGATTTCAAATGTCTTTTGTCATCTTTTCATAAACTGTTCTCATATTTTCTAATGTGATCATCCAGATCATTCATAAACTAAGCAAATTTAGGTTCTAAGCTGAATATAACTAGTTAAGCAGTGAATGCACTGCAGTGAAATTCTCAGTGTACATAATTATTATTTTCGCTATAATCTTTTATGAATTGTGGATATAATCATTTATATCTGGATTACATCTATTTGTTTATGTTTAGATTTTTTTACAGGCTCTGATTCAATTCAGGGAACTTGGTGTAAAGACATACTTCAGACCATCATGAGTTTCACTCCTCATAATTGGGCTTCACACACCCTGAGCTGTTTTCCAGGCCCACTACAGGTAATTTGGTCTTGAATTACTTATTGAATGCACATGAAATCCTTCTTCCCATTCACAATGGTGTTCTAGAGTGAGTCTTGGTGACTTCTGAATAAAATTAGCTTTTATTTATTTTAAAAAATATTTAGGGGCTGGGCATGGTGGCACAAGCCTCTAGTCTTAACTGCTTGAGAGGCTGAGGCAAGGGGGATGGCTTGAGCCCAGGAATTCAGGTTCACAAGGAACTATGGTCACACCACTGTACCACAGCCTGGGTGACAGAGCCAGACCCTGTCTGTAGAAAAAAAAAAAAAAGTCATTACTTACAAAATCTCTCAAGTTGTTCTGTGTCCTACTCTGGTACTGGACATGTTTCTAAAAATTTAATTATTATGGTTTCATCTTAGTTAACAGTTTTAAGGGGAGGAAGAGTAGAAAGAGGAAAAAAATAAAAGTGAAAAAAATTGAAAAAGAGAAAAAAATAGTTAATGGTTTTAGAATCTCATGAAAATTAACATAGTACCTGAAAACTTTTTTCTCTCTCATAGAACTGAAATGGGGAGAAGTATAACGTAATGGAGCTTCACAGAGTGTGCGTAATATGACACTTCACTGAATTTTTTTCTTAATCACAGAAAAACTGTAAACCTGGCTTTTCTAATAAGGAGAAAGGCAAACCTCATCTGTCTTCTCCTTTTCAGAAAAAATGTTAGGCATGATGAACATCCATTTTTCATAACTCCTGGTAGGGCTAGAGCATTTGGTTTTTAAACTTACCAAATCACCTGGAGGGCTTGCTAAGCTGCAGTTGGCTGGGCCCCCAGCCACAGAGCTTCTGATTCAGTAAATCTGGGATAAGGTCTGAGAATTTTGCATTTCTTGTAAGACCCAGATGATGCTGATACCGCTGGTGTTGGGACCACACTCTGAGAATCACTGGGCTAGTGCAATGGATTTTCCTCAAAGACACTAACATATGTAGCCAAAGGGTAGAGACACTTCATTCTTTTTTTTCTTTTTAAGATTGGCGGAAGTATCAACAGATGATTGAAGAAGCTTTGAATTCAGGCTTACTTAGAATTTCCATTTAGGAAATCTAGGAAAAGGAATCTTGGAGATAATCTAGTCAAGCTTATGTATTTTCCAGACACAGAAATTCAGGCCTTAATTGCTGAGTTGCTCAAGGTGACCTAGAGTTTATTAGTGTCAGAATCAAGTCTAGAACTGGTTTATTAACTCCATATCCAGTGCTCTTTCTACTATAACCAATGAAATAAACTTCTAATCCTCTTTTTAGGCATTCTTCAAACAAAATAATGTGCCTCAGGAAAGCCGTTTTAATCTGAAAAAAAATGTGGAGGAGGAGTATAGGAAGTGGAAGTCAATGAGCAACGAAAACGACATTATTACCCACTTCTCTATGCAGGGCTCCCCTCCTCTCTTTCTTTGTCTTCTCTGGAAAATGCTCTTGGAAACAGATCATATTAATCAGATTGGCTATAGGTAAGTCAAAAACCTAATTTGCATTCCATTTGGCAAATTGTTGTATCCATACAACAATGGAGTTTATGTTTTACTCTCTGCCTTCCAGAGTATTAGAGAGAATTGGAGCCAGGGCCTTGGTAGCCCATGTGAGGACATTTGCAGATTTCCTGGTATATGAGTTTTCTACATCAGCAGGGGGTCAGCAACTCAATAAATGCATTGAAATTCTTAATGACATGGTATGGAAGTATAACATTGTTACACTGGACAGATTAATTCTCTGCCTGGTAAGAATAAATACATTTCTAAGCTTATTCTCTTAGATCAAGATGTATGACTAATATATGTTATGCCAATCTGCTCTATATTGCTTTGAAGGATTTAATGAATTTATACTATATCAAGCATTGCTGTCACTTCCCTAAAGAGCCGGAAATTTTCCAATTTCTGTTTTTGTTTGTTTTTGTTTTTTTGTTTGTTTTTTGAGACAGGGTCTCGCTCTGTCGCCCAGTGCAGTGGCGTGATCATGGCTCACTGCAGCCTCAACCTCCTGGTCTCAAGCAATCTCCTCCTGCCTCAGCCTCCTGAGTAGCTGGGAGTACAGGCATATGCTACCATACCCAGCTAGTTTTTTTTCTTTTTAACTTTTTTATAGAGATGGGGTTTCTCCATGTTGCCCAGGCTGGTCTCGAACTCCTGGGCTGAAGCAATCCTCCCTCTTCAGCTTCCCAAAGTGCTGGGATTACAGGCGTGAGCTACTGCTTCCAGCCCCAATTTCCTTATTCATTCATTTAATAAGTACATATTGAATATCAACTGTGTTCTATGTATAGAAGGTACAGAAGTAAATAAAATAGATGTGGTCCTAGCCTTGTGATACTTTGAAAATATGAGCAATTAGACCCTGAGTTGATTCTCCAAAACTCCCACTAGAGGGAGGAAGTAGCAGTAAGTCACTGTGTTTCTTTACAGAGTGCGAATATAACCATTTCTGTACACTTTGGTAACAAACATTCCCCAAATGTTTTTTTCTTCTCCTGACTTTGATGTCTATTTCCAGCAGAATTTTTTTTTTCTTTTTTTTTTTTTTTTTTTTTTGATATGGAGTCTTTCTCTGTCGCCCAGGCTGGAGTGCAGTGGCGTGATGTTGGCTCACTGCAAGCTCTGCCTTCCGGGTTCACGCCATTATCCTGCCTCAGCCTCCCAAGTAGCTGGGACTACAGGTGCCCACCACCACACCCGGCTAATTTTTTGTATTTTTAGTAGAGATGGGGTTTCACCGTGTTAGCCAGGATGGGCTCAATCTCCTGACCTCGTGTTCTGCCCGCCTCGGCCTCCGAAAGTTCTGGGATTACAAGTGTGAGCCACCGCGCCTGGCCTTCGGGTAGATTTCTTTAAAAAGATATTGAAGTAGGCTGGAAAATGCTACATTGAAAAAAATTCTATGGCGGTGACATTTGGAGTGGCATAGTTTAACGTTAACCCCTTAGCTGTGGAGCATAGATATAAAAGTAGTTATTATATTTTAGGGGGAATAATGTAAGTCTATAAATCAATAAGATGTCAGGATAAGATGGAGGTGTAGAAAAAATATTTCTAGGAAACAGTGAGAAATCTTATCTGCTTAGGTGATAGCTGTGAAAGATAGATTAAATTTTTAAAAGTAAAGATGGACATCCCAGGCAGAAGGAATGGTAAGCCAGAAATAGGCAAGAAAGGTCATATATGTTTGGGGAATACTGAACAGTTGGTTTGGGATAGACTAGACGTCTAAGGAAATTATAATAGTGAGATTTTACTTTGTTAAAATCTAGGCTTTCAGATGGCCCTCATGATTTTACACAGGTTGAACATTTTCATATAATTTTTCTGTTGTTTTTCAAAGGCCATGCGTAGTCACGAAGGAAATGAAGCCCAGGTTTGTTATTTCATAATTCAGTTGCTGTTACTCAAACCAAACGATTTTAGAAATCGAGTAAGTGACTTTGTGAAGGAAAATTCCCCAGAGCACTGGTTACAGAATGACTGGCACACCAAGCACATGAATTATCACAAGGTACTAGTCCTAATTGGTATTTCAAATAGTCCTTTTAAAGCCATACTTGAGTATTTGATGAAGTGATTTGGCCGTTTTCTCTCTGGTTCTAATGTTTTTTCTCTTGTCTATATAGAAGTAAGTTAGCTCTCTGAACTTCTTCAAGGTTTGAGAGTTTCTATAATGTTGAGAATAAATTGAAACTGCAGTTTTAGTGGACATAAGGACTTCTATAAAAAGAAGTAAAGTATAATCAAGTATAATTTTAAATGTTTCCTTGCAAAAAAAAATCTAAACAATGTTTTCACATTTAGCTCTTTTAAGAGAATTTTTTAAAAAATGCTCTAACCATTTATCATCTTCTCAATTCCACAGAAATATCCAGAGAAGTTGTATTTTGAGGGCCTCGCGGAACAGGTGGATCCTCCTGTACAGATCCAGTCTCCCTATCTGCCCATCTATTTTGGGAATGTGTGTCTTCGATTCCTTCCAGTATTTGATATAGTAATCCACAGATTTTTAGAGTTGCTTCCGGTATCCAAATCACTGGAGACTCTACTGGATCATCTAGGAGGCTTATATAAATTTCATGGTGAGCTTTTTCCAATTTTAATTTCGTCTAATACCTCCATTATCAAAAGTAGGATGGGCAGGACCACATGGTAATAGTGGCTCTAAAGGTTTTATTTTAAATATTTTAAAAATGAAGTGTTTTGAGGATAAGTACTATGGATGGTGCCATGAAGTATAAAATATACAACATAAAAATATAAACAAAAGTATGAGTTCAGAACAGGGTGATGTTACTGTAAACTAAACAGATCTTGGCGGCCTTCTTGGATGGGTAGGATTTGGACTTGATGCATCCAATTTATAGCAGCAGCAGGGAAAATATAGCACACGAGGCAGAAGGGATCATTTGGGGGAAATCATGGAGGAGATAAAGTATATTTGAAGAAAAATTGCTACATTGGGTTGAATTGAAAATTCTTACCAGAGAGTTCTAGAAATAAGATTGGAAAGACAGATTGTACCTAACTGTAGATCACCTTGAATGCTAGGCTGATTTTGTAATTGCAGATAATAATCAACTGGAAGTTATTGAGTATGATCATGGCATAGGAAACATTATTTCAGAAAGATACATCCAGTTATAGTTGGCAGCAGTCTTAGGATGAAGCCATTACAAGGACATGTCAAAAAGCTCAGTTGTGTGATTAGTATCTAAGCAACAGTGGTTGCATTGAAAATGAGAGAAAAGGGACAAATGGTCACAAAAGAAGGAACAGGACTTGATTGGCTGGTTATAAGGAGAATATTGAAAGAAAAAGACAACTAAAATTTTAAGCATAGTTACTGGAGAGTGGCAGGGTCAGTGACAGAAATGTGAAGGTCCTGGAGCAGCCACTCTGGGAACAAAGTGTTTGTCTGGCAGGCAGTCCTGCTTCATCTTTAAGATACCTTCCCTCAGAGCAGAAGTATGAATTGTGTGTTAACATGGTAGAATAGGCATAAAGTTCAAGTGAGCGTTCTTTTAAAAACATTTTTCTTTTGGATTAGGTAATATACATACTTGATGGGGTGGAGTATACAGTGAAAGGTAATTAGTCCCATCCTGGCCTCCAGCTACCCAGTTTCTTTCGTAGGCAGCCAGTGTTACCAGTCTCTTGCCATCCCCTCTTAGATATCCTGGCTGGTTTTGTTTGTTTGTTTGTTTGTTTGTTTGTTTGTTTTAACACAAGTGTTCTGTACCCTGTTTGTTTCAACTTTATCATGTATTAGGGTTGGTCATTTGTATTAGTACGTAAAGAGCTGCCTCATACATGCCAGATTTACTTTATCAGTCCCCTGTTTTTGACCTTTTAGGCTGTTTTTCATCTTTCGCTAGTATAAACAGGGCTGCAATGACATCCCTTGTTGTATGTCAAGGGATTAAAATTTATGCAGGATAAATTTTCAGAAATGGAATTGCTTCCACTTAAATAAAAACAAATATAAATACAAACTGTATATTACTAGAAACATTCTGAGCCTTCTGCCTCTCCTCAGATTAAAATATTCATAGTATACAATTGCCCAGCATGTGAAGTTGTTTCATAAATCTTCTGAGCTGTTTTTCAGTTATCTGGAAAGCAGTTGATCAGTTTTTCACAGTTATTAGTAACCAGTTAAACATTGTGGTGGTATGTTTTTTTCTTGGCAGATCGTCCAGTGACTTATCTGTATAACACTCTGCACTATTATGAAATGCACCTGAGAGACCGCGCATTTCTCAAACGAAAACTCGTCCATGCGATCATTGGCTCTCTGAAGGATAATCGACCGCAGGGCTGGTGTCTAAGTGACACTTACCTGAAATGCGCTATGAATGCACGAGAGGAAAATCCTTGGGTTCCAGATGACACCTACTATTGCAGATTGATTGGCAGACTAGTCGATAATATCCTTTTTATTGTGATTTTAGACTCCCAGAAATAACAGTATTTTGATTTATGAGAATATATTTTTTCTTTTAAAGTAATTTTTTATGTATTTCAAGGTTTTAATTTTTTTTAAGATCACTTCCATTTTCATCTCTGTAAAGATTTGAAATCTTAAATTAACAGCATCATGCCAATTAGGCTGAAATTCTGTTAAAATTTTTATTTTAGAACTTGAGGATAAGCGGTAAAAAAATTATATTTAAAAATAGACTTTATGGAGATTTGTTTCAAAGAAAAAATCTTATTCTTACATACTATATTTTGTAGCACATGCATCTGTGTGCTACTGGAGAACGTAGGATCTTGTTACTTTAAAAAAATTAATGTTTGTAGTAAATAATAAATGATAAAATATATTTTTCTTTATTGAAAAGGTATATTTTAGTGAAAATATACTTGGATGTTTATTTCTTCATTTTGATTTTATATTTTCAGTTATTAGCACTCTATACTTAATGTCTATAACCATACCACTATTTTACTAGGTAAGAAATTCTACATAAATGAGCATGACTTATTTTCCTACACAAAGGAATTTATTTTCTGAAGCAAAAGAATGACTCATTAGAAAATAATTTTCATATTAATGTCTTATAACTATTAAAAGAAATAGGCTCATGAAACCTAGGTAAACCTTGGTTGCATCTGTGGCTATTATATGTCATATTTATAAGAACCCACCTGAAAGACCAACCATTTATACCTGTGGTTAATCAAATGGTTGCTTTTAATACATTTCAATCATGTCAAACTCATTTGTATTTGGTTTGCATTTGCCTCTTAATCTCTCTAAGCGTAGACAAATCACTTCTTGGCAGCTCATAATCAGATAAATTGACAATCAGATGAGATAGTCCAATTGTTATTGCTTTAACTGTGTGCACCGATGGCTGGCAAATCTCCTGGTCCCTTTCCAAACTGTGACTGGAGATTCAATGAGTTTCCCAACCCAGCTGCCCATGCTCTCCATGTTACTTGTGTGGAGCTCATGGCCTTGGCAGTTTCAGGCAAAGAAGTTGGGAATGCCCTTCTAAATGTTGTCCTAAAAAGGTATGTATTCTGGTTCATGCAGTAAGATTTGTTGTTTATTTGTAAATAGAATGGTATTCTATTTCAAACTTTTAAGACAAACCTGTTGCCGCAAGGCTGATGCACATTGGATGATGACTGTTTTCTGGTTCCAGATCTTGTCTTTGTGATATAGGAGTTATGGAATGAGCCCTGGACAGGATCCTAAGATCCGGGTTTGTTCCTACTTCTACTCATTAATAGCAGTTTGACATTTAATATAGGAATAATGTTAACTTGTCACTTAAAACAAGATTCTCTTCATCTTGTTTTCAAGATTTCAAGATTCTTTTAAAAATTAGCATGAAGTATGGGATAATGATTGGGGAGGAAGTATTTTTAAAAAGCCTTCTTGAGTTTTTATGCATATTACATTTTTATTCAATAAAAAATTCCCCATTGTTTTATTGAAATGGATTAGTTGTCGATCCTCTGAATTAGACATATTCTTTAAAAATAAGATCCGTTGTCAGCCATCTAAAATGTTTTTATAAATTCATACTTACATTCTTTTTTGCCGGTTGCAGTCAGCCTTTAGTGCCAAGAGAGAACATTACAGCATGGATGAATGCAATTGGTTTGATCATCACTGCCCTACCAGTGAGTTAATAATTGTGATTTGTACTTAGTGATGAAATACAGCCAGCTGTTCCATGTCAGCAAAAAGAAAAAGATGCATATAGGATGCCCTTGTACGGGACGTCATGCAAATTAATGAAGTATTTTATGTTTTTAAAGTTTTTTCATATTATTACTGCTTTAAAAATCTACAGTGACTAGTTTTTGCTTTTCTGTATTAGATCTAAATATATCTATGTGACTTACGGGTCTCTGCATTTTCTGGTACCACCTTACCTATCCAACTTTAGTTTTTACATAATAGCTTGATCTACTCTTGGCCACTTAACGTGTTGTATATCTACAGCCTTTGTTCCTTCAGATAGTGCTTAAGACATGTTTTAGGTACTTCTGAATGTGAGGGAATAAGACATTTTTCTTATTCCAGAAGCTTCTTCTTTCCATCACCTTCTCTAAAGCCTATTCATTCTTTGCTAGCTTAGAGCCTCCTTTCTCAGTGAATGAAGCCTTCCCTGACTTTTCCAGCTCACATGAAGACTCCTTTCTCTGACCTCCACACATATTTTTTTAAAGTTTATTATTTTTAAATAAGTAATAAAGCTATAGATTTATTGTTTGATAAATTAATTGATTTACTGCATAGTGTATATCAGGTACCTAAATGAGCTGGACAGATACATGTATGGAGCCCCTTAACTCACAGTTACTTCTCCCAGGTTGTTACTGACTTAATTTGACCAGTTACAAAGCCACCCAGCTGTATTGTGCAGAAGCTGGAAAAATAGAAAACTTTAAAGAATGAGAAAACACTATTACTTTAGACTTTGGGGTGGAATGCTGGATAAGTGATATTTTTCACTAGCTTTCCTCCGATTTTAAAGGAGCCATATTGGATTGTTCTTCATGATCGAATTGTGAGTGTCATCAGCAGCCCCAGCTTGACGTCTGAAACAGAGTGGGTTGGCTATCCATTCCGCCTCTTTGATTTCACTGCCTGTCATCAGTCCTACTCTGAGATGAGTTGTAGCTATACGTTAGCTCTTGCACATGCTGTGTGGCACCATTCTAGCATCGGACAACTTTCTCTCATTCCAAAGTAAGTATAATAATTTCTTAAAGAAATTTGACGTAGGCTGGGTGCGGTGGTTCATGCCTGTAATCCCAGCACTTTGGGAGGCCGAGGTGGGCAGATCACAAGGTCAGGCGATTGAGACCATCCTGGCCAACATTGTGAAACCCCATCTCTACTAAAAATACAAAAATTAGCTGGGCATGTGGTGTGTGCCTGTAACCCCAGCTACTCGGGAGGCTAAGGCAGGAGAATCACTTGAACCAGGGAGCTGGAAATTGCAGTGAACCAAGATCGCGCCACTGCACTCCAGCCTGGTGACAGAGTGAGACTCCATCTGAAAAAAAAAAAAAAATTGTATTTCATTTTGTTCTAATCTCATTAACAGATGAGGTATATACTTCATTCATTAGAACAACTTGCGGCTGGGCGCGGTGACTCATGCCTGTAATCCCAGCAATTTGGGAGGCCGAGATGGGTGGATCACAAGGTCAGGAGATTGAGACCATCCTGGCCAACATGGTGAAACCCCGTCTCTACTAAAAATAAAAGAATTAGCCAGGCGTGGTGGTGTGCACCTGTAATCCCAGCTAGTCAGCAGGAGAATCACTTGAACCCAGGAGGCGGAGGTTGCAGTGAGCCAAGATCACGCCACTGCACTCCAGCCCAGGCAACAGTGTGAGACTCCGTCTCAAAAAAATAAATAAATAAAAATAATCAAGTGAAAGTAATAGCCAGTGAGAGATGTGAGATTAATTAGAAATATTATTGTTACCAAATTAAAAGGAACTTTAAAAAATTATATTTTATTGTAATACTTTGTATATACTGTATGAACAAAATTCAAACAATTTAAATAATTTCAAGTCACAGGAGATTTTTATCTTCAAATTTTAGGTTTCTTACTGAAGTACTTCTTCCTATAGTGAAGACCGAATTCCAGTTGCTTTATGTATACCATCTTGTTGGACCATTTTTACAAAGATTTCAGCAAGAGAGAACTCGTTGTATGATAGAGGTAAAATATAATCTGGGTTTCCTGTGACATGATTAAATTCTGAAGTATCTATTTAAGTTTCTTTACCAGTGTTATTGAAACTGCAGGTCACAACCATTAGTAGTGAAACTAGTTTAACAGGATCCAAGAGCAATTTTAGAGGACTTAGTTTGCCAGTAATGAATTTAGGGTGGGATGTATTGAATTGGAGATGCAGAGGAAACGCCCATCATGAAGGTTGAGAAGAGGTTAAGGATGGAGAAGTACATTTGAGATCTTACAGTGCAGAGGAGCTAATTAAAATCATGAGAATGGATGAAGTCAGTCACTTCTAACAAAATGTCGCAAACAAGGAAAGGACCCAGGAGTAGAACCTTAAAGCAAGAGCTACCAAATGGAACTAAGAAAGTATAATCCAAAGGATCCCTAGGAGTGGAGTTATCCCAGACATCGAGAGATGGTGTCTAGAAAGGGGATTGTTTATCTCTTGATTTTAAGAGAAATTACTTAACTATGAAGAGAAATTTTATTTAAGCCTTGTCAGGGGCATTTTGTAGCACTATAGATTCTTTTATAAATGCAAGCCATATCATATCTCATGTGCATAGAGGTGTATATGGTATATGACAGTTCTACAGCAAAGACAGTATCCCCCGGTGCTAGTGTTGTAATGGAGCCCAGCTGCATCATGCTGAATTACTGAATCACTTGATCACTTAAATAATTTTACATTATTTGTTAAATAGATTGGTGTGGCGTTTTATGACATGCTGCTGAATGTTGACCAGTGTAGCACCCATTTAAATTACATGGATCCCATCTGTGACTTCCTCTATCACATGAAGTATATGTTTACTGGTGACAGCGTGAAAGAGCAAGTAAGTTGAATTTGTTTAATTATTTTTAATGATGTTTAATTTAGAAAACTTGAACATATAGTAATAGACTTTTTTGGTTTGGGTGATTATTTTTATTTTGTCTAATTTTTTCTTTTAAGGAAAAAGGGTGGGTATGAGACCTTTTTAGGCATCAGAGGCATATTATTCTAGATGTAGTATTAAAGGAAATACATGTTATAATTTCTTGTACTTTTCCCCCTTGATATTTGCAACAGAAAATCTGAAAAAGACCTAGAGGGTTAATTAATAGTAATCTCATTAGGGAGAAACAGTGGGATATGGCTGCTGAAATATGAGCAGAGAGGTTGTTGTGTTATGAGTAAAGGAGGTCCTGCTTCTCCTGACACTCATGGTGACAGTAGACAAACCGCGGCATAACTAGAAGACTAAAGTCAGGATTCTAGACTAATCCTGACTAGAGACTAACTCATGAAAAGCATTTAGAGAATATGGGAATGCTTATCCTGAAGAAAAAAGTCCTAGGGAATTATTTATGACCTCAGCATTTTGGAGGGTTTTCATTTGGAATAGGTATTAGATTCGTTCTGTGTCACTTTAGAGGGTGTATGAATTCTGGTAAAGTTAAAGGGAGGCCACCCTGACTTAGCATATGAAGAGGAACTTCCTAATGGGGATGTCTGAAAGTAGAAAAAGACCTTGAATCATAACTGAGTTTCCTACGTGTAGGAAACAGAATCTGGGCCATTTTAAAGGAGTGGAGGTAGGACAGATAGGGAAAGTTAAGTCCATCCTCCTACCCCTCCCAGTACTTTAGGTTGAGATGCCAAGGAGGTTGACTCCTTTATGTCTCAGCAGCAGTGTCAAAGAGAGTTGACCTGTTCTCTCTCATGTAAGAAAGAGAGAAATTGTATCTGCTTTTGTTACAACACAGAACATGCAGAGAAACTGTAAAAGAAATTGTTTATTTGTTTGTTTTTTTAAAAAAAGTATTCTTTACATTTAGGCCTAAGAAACTTTAACACAAGGGAGTACAGAAAGGAAAAGGTCAAAGAGCATTTGAGTAAAGCTAAGAAAGCTGTGAAACGACTTGATGTGTTTGTCTCCTTAGTGTTTTTCAAAAGAGTAGATCTAATATTATTTAGTTAATTCCAAGTGTAAATCAAAACCAAAATAGTTTTATAGATAAATGTTGCAAACATGAGTTATTCAAAGAACTTTATAATTATGCTTCATGCTTCTGTAAAGATGGCATTTTAAAAGAATGATCAACTTGTTGGATGTATAAAATTTCCAGTGTAAACTCTGCTAGCTTTTGGTAGTGGGATGACTGGCTAGCTAGATGAGTGGATACGCCTTTGTAAGTATATGCATATATATGAATATACATATGGTACATGTACAGACATGCACATATAATATATAAGGGGTGTGTGTGAGGGAGAACGTATTGTTTCTCATGCAAGAAAGAAATCATTGTATCTGCTTTTCTTAAAACACAGAACATGTTAAGAAACTTCTCATCTACCCCACGACACTCCTTAGTTTATTGTCTCCGGATATGTGTAAATCCTGCTTTAAATGTGAGAAGTTGAAATTCTCTGATTAAAGTACGTTTTAATGTGTTTTTATTTCTTAGGTAGAGAAGATTATCTGTAACTTAAAACCAGCTTTAAAACTTCGTCTTCGATTCATCACACACATTAGCAAGATGGAGCCAGCTGCAGTGCCTCCACAAGCCATGAACAGTGGGTCTCCAGCACCTCAGTCTAATCAGGTGCCCGTGTCTTTACCAGTAACTCAGTGAAGCCAGACTGTACTGTGGAGAAAGTAGAAATATATCCGTCTTTGAGAGTGGACTCAAACCTTTTAAATCTGAATGCGATCACACTGTAGTGATATAGTAGAAGCAGTGATGATATTCAGATTGTTTTATTTTGATTCAAATGATGAATCTGTTGACACCTTATAACTCCCATCTCCCTATCTATATTTTTGTCTCTAAGAGATCAAGTAAGATACATGTTGTTCATATTCATAACAACTTATTAGAGCTATGTAGGAACATAGAGGTATCTGTGATCAAATGACTTGTCATTGGCACTTTCAGTCTTTCCTATTCTAGCCGTTGTTTTTGTTTGTATTTTTTATTATTAATGACATATTTAGTCTTCAGATATATTATTTTAAAGGCACCACACATGTAAAACAGTTATTACAAATATTTTATACATAAATCTCTTGGTAGATTTTCAGAATAATAGAGATTTATATCAAGAAAAGGAATCTAGATTTTGTTGCATTGTAGGAGCAAACAAGGCTTCATATTCTTTTTAAAATGACTTGAAATTTTATTATAAATTTCCATAGTTTCTATCAAGGTCAACTGGCAGTTTTATTACCTTTGCTATGGACTTGAACTTACTGTATAAAATTAGTTGGAAGCCATGTAAGAAAATAACATCTGAAAATTCTTGAACTTAAAATCATGCTTAAATGGTTGATTCTCCAATTTCTTTTTTTAAAAATAAGTTAATTGCTTTTGCAGGTTGACACTCTCACCTGACAGATGATGTAATTCTTCAATTTTTATAATCTTAAAATTTTTAAATTTTATATTTGTAAATACAGTACACATTTTATTTCTTGGATTTTGAGAGACATTGTTAATTTTGGGGGAATTGGCATTGCGAAAGACTTGAAAACTAATGAGTAAAGTCTGCTGAATGAATAAACCGTGTGATTGTTTCCCGACTCCATTGGAATGAGTGTCGGCTGTGTGCCAGGTGGTGTGCTGGCTGGGGTCAGTTGGAAATGGGGTACTCTGTGGTTCCTACACTACAGTTGGTGACTGACATTGGCCTAGGAATTAAGAGTTACAGATTCTTTTAAAAAGAACTAGTGAATTTAACCAACTGTATTTCAAATTCATATTTCTAAATACATTCCTCCTAGAACTTTATTTTCTTTGTAGCTCATGTAATTGCCATCACTAAATCATTACTGGCCATGCAAGTCCAGCTAAAAATTTATATAATGGTAAAAGTAATTTTTGCAGACTTACTCTTTTCTTTTTTTTTTTTTTTGAGACGGAGTCTCGTACTGTCACCCAGGCTGGAGTGCAGTGGCATACTCTGGGCTCACTACAAGCTCCACCTCCCGGGTTCACGCCATTCTCCTGCCTCAGCCTCCCTTGTAGCTGGGACTACAGGCGCCTGCCACCACGCCTGGCTAATTTTTTGTATTTTTAGTATTAGTAGAGACGGGGTTTCACTGTGTTAGCCAGGATGGTCTCAATCTCCTGACCTCGTGATCCCCCGCCTCAGCCTCCCAAAGTGCTGGGATTACAGGCGTGAGCCACTGTGCCCGGCCCCTGCAGACTCATTCTTAAAATTACCCAGAAAACATGCTAGAGATTATTTCAAGTGTTAATCTTAGCATAGCGTCAATGTATTCTTGCTGCCTTGAGGAATTTATTGCTTTTTGATCCTAGAATGAGGATAAAATTGTGACACTAGTATTATACAAACAATAGAGGAAATGAAAATCAATATAATCACTTTCTCAAGGACATAAACATTCTAATTAATTTATTACAAATTCAGTTTTCCCTCTCTAGCTTAAAAACATGGGAATATAATTTCCCTGGATAGGCTTTTAAATATGTTTTTAATCAGAGACTAATAGAAGACAAAAACTTTATTTGGGTTTAGAATACAGCAGAGGGGAAAAAAATGCCTTTATGTTTATCACATCCTAAAAGTTTTTCTTTTTGAAAATTAATAGTAAGTTTAGAGTGGCTCTGTCCAGTATGACTTTCTGCAATGATGGAAATGTTCTTTACCTGTGCTATTCAATACACTAGTTAGCAGCTACATTTATCTAGGAAGCATTTGAAATGTGGAACTGAATTTTTTAATTTTATTAAGCTTTAATTTAAATGACCACATGTGGCTACTGTATTAGAGAATATATCTTAGAGTGAGATCCATTATAATTGCTCCCATCTAAAAGTAATTCAATAAAATGTTTATCTTTCAAAGGCCTAGGAGTTATTAGAGGAAACAGTTTTTAAATTCTGTGTTACATTTGAAAAATCAGATTGTAGGGACTATCATATAGCTGTTAAAACAAAAACACAGGAGAAATCCATTCATGGAGCCTACCTTTTTTACAGGACCCCCTGGGGTTTTCACATAAATTACTGGGAGGAGAAAAACTTTGCTTCCCTTGTTTTGATTACCGTTTACTCTGGTTTGTTTTTTCCATTTTCCTTACTACACTCCAGAGCCAAGATGAGTTTTTAGGATATAGCTAATGAGATATACTGTAATTGCAGTAAGTGAAGGGTGAAACGTTGGAAGCCATAGGTAATTTTAGATGACATCCTCAGCTGAATTAGTAATTATTATTAAAAACAAACTAGCAATTTGATTTATGTGGCTCCTGAATAGATTTTGGGGAATATGGTTGGTTTTTTTTTTTTTTTTTCAGGGTCTCATTCTGTTGCCCAGGCTGGAGTGCAGTGGCGTGATCTAAGCTCACTGCAACTTCCGTCTCCTGGGCTCAAGCAGTCCTCCCGCCTTAGCCTTCTGAGTAGCTGGGACTACAGATGTTCACCACCATGCCCAGCTAGTGTGTGTGTGTGTGTGTGTGTGTGTGTGTGTGTATTTTTTGTAGTGATGGGGTTTCACCATGTTGCCAGGCTGGTCACAAACTCCTGGACTCAAGCTCTTTGTCCTCCCAAAGTGCTGGGATTACAGGTGTGAGCCACCACATCCAGCCAGGAATATCTTCCACCTCCCAAAAGCTACTTGAATAGCAACCATGCTTTTAAAGTATTAACCAAAATCATGTTTGAGGTTTAGAAAAAGTAAAACATGGACATCTAGCCCAATGAACTTGTAGATTGCCCAAACCTATTATTACCCATTTTACAGTTGAAGAAACCAGAGCCAGGGAGTTTAAATAGTTTCAAGGCCTCACAGTGTTTTGGGGATGATTGATTTCACTGTGACTTTTCAAATGTTTTGTATTTTAACATTAAAAACTTAGTAGTTTTAAGCAGGACGTTTTTATGAATGTGGGGTGTGTGTGTGTGTGTGTGTGTGTGTGTGTGTGTTGCATGTATTTAGAAATATGTAGACACAATATAATCTTGTTATAAAGAGTTTATTATAAAAAATCACATTTTTTGAATGACATGGACACATAGTACCTTTCCACATGTGGTAGCTTTGTCTCCTGATTCCAAGAGTCCCACTCTATGTATGGGGGCTTATGTAAGTGTGCTTATTTTTAATGCCAGCAAATTTTTAATTGGAAATCAATGTACACTTCTCTTTCTAAGGATAAGTCTTTTGCCAAGTTAGAAAATATAAGCTTTTAAATTTCAAAAAAGTTAGAATTTCCACATCTTGAATTTTACACCAAGAGGGAATTTGTAGAGTTTATACTAATTGGAAAAACATTTTTCTGAAAGAACAAGTCTTTAGAAGGATAACTCTATGCTTAAGAAAATGATTAGCTTTCTAATTATGCCATTAACTATGAGATTTATATCGGATGTTTCCACATTTACTTAGGTGGGTTAAGGTAGTCAATAGGCTTGTGATTACCCTCCCGAGCAAGTCCGAAACAAGCCAAGGTTATTGCAACTGCTGTGTTCACTGTTCGAGTTACTTCTTCTGGTGTCTTCCCCAGGGATGGGTTCACTTCCATTATATCTAATCCTGAGAGTAGCCCTACAACAACAAATTGTAATAATGTAATTTATAAAATAGTTGACATTTTGAAAGTAGTACAGACAGACTTGAAAGATTATCCACTAACAGAAAAAGGTAGTAACCGATGGAAAACACTTTAGTTATTGCATCATGTGACTGATGGACATTCTGAAAGTGTCAGCTGGGACTTGGTTTCAGGTCAAGGAGGTATAAATATATATTAGTCAAGTGTACACTTGCTTCTCTATTACCTCAGATTGTTAACTACCTGTTTTGTAGATTTCTTCTGTGATGTAGAGACCTTCTCTGTATGTCAGACCTCCCACGACTGGTGTGCCAGTAGCTGGTGTGAAAGATGGGTCCAGTCCGTCAACATCAAAACTTAGATGAATTGGCCTTTTCTTTCTTTTAAGAAGTGGGAAAGGATTTCAGTTTAAGGTTGATGGCTTCACATTTCATAGATAATAATCTGTTAACTTGTTTTATAAAAAGTAGCAACCCATTATTTCATGTAAAGACTTTATTAATAACTTTGGTTGTCAGTAGCAACCTTTTCTGTTGCACACACATGTGTGCACACACAAAAGAATCCTACCTTCCTAGTAGATAGCTGAGTGTTTCTTCCATCACCTTGCCAATTCCTAGTCTGTCCACTTCAGTCATTGAAAAGTATTTAATGCCTAGAGTTTTCAAAATGTAGCTATAAAAGAGAAATTAAGATAATTATAATTAATAAGGCTGACTGTGCCCGCCTGTCTCCTTTTAAGGGAAATATAAATATAGTAAAATATATAAAACATTTAGGTTCTATGAACCTAACTCAATATAGTTTTATTTGTATTTATTTTTAACAGCAAGTCAATTGAGATTTAATTGCCTGGATACATACATATGTATGTACATGTATATAAATATATGTGTGTGGGCATGTGTGTGTGTGTGTGTCTTGATGTTTAATTTTCTCTCATAGAGTTGGTCAGTAAAGCATATCTAGCACACAAAGGGACAAAAATGGAGGCAAATCACATCAAGGAATAAGCTTACTGTTCCCCAGGGTCCACGTCTCTCAAGCCAATATACACAATATCCTTGGCAGATATACAGGGAGTCACCCAGGAGAATCCTGGCACATCGGGAATCTAAAATTACAATGTTTTCACTTGGTTATGTATGATTCTCTTGAACAAATCCTACATTCAAAGGTAAAGACACATATTGGATTGCGTATATCTTATATTTAGAATATAAATACAGAAGAAATCATGTAAAAATAATACACAATTAAGAAGAGGATGTGTGCCTCCCCTTGATTGCTTTGACTTTGCCTTGAACCAGTTGGCATTTACCTACTTTGTGCCCCAGTCCTGCTGGGCCCTTCTTTCCCAGGGCTCCTCTATAAAGAAACGATTGTGCTCCCATTACTTTGGTAGCTTCCTTCTTTACTTCCCTTTCTCAGTAAGTCCTTAATCCAGAGGATGGCCTAGAGCAGCTGAGGGAAATTTGTGGCCTGTCCTTTGGTTATTCTTAATGTGATAATATGATGATATCTGCTTTGTCCTCCAGGACGTTTAGTTTTTCCCATGTACTAGGCAGATACTTTGCAAGTTTATAAACCCATCCCTTGGTCATTAGTTCAAAAGACATTATTTCTGAGCATTTAACATAAGGAGGTTTTAACCTCTTGTATCATCATAAGGACCAAATATTATAATTGTATCAATAAAAACTTTTTATTGATATACTATGGCATATCAACAAACTATGGCATATCAACAAAGTTATAAGCTGTAATATTAAATCTTAATCTGCCATTTTATTTTCCATCTTTTAGAAAAGGAGTTTCTAGGGAGCAGGGAGATAGTTCTTTCTCTTATGATTTAGATAGGTGCTTCTCCCAGTAAATACATTAGTTCATAAACCATTATATCTGAAATTTTAAAATTTCTTTTTTGAAAAGCCTCTATGATATAGAAGGACTACTCAGTAAGAATGCAGAACTGTGTGGCATGTAGTGGAAAGAGGAAGGAATGAGGAGACCTGGTGCTAGCCCTTGCTTCACTATAGGCTTGGCATATATCTTGGGCAAGTTGGTTAACCTCTGAACCTCCACTGACCTGTTTATAAATGATTACTCTCTGCCCCACCTACTAAAAGGATAGTTTAAGAATTAGCAGAGAAAATATATATTAAGTCAGTTTGCAAGGCAGAGATAGAGAGCCTCACTGCCTTTTATCAACCAACCCTTTGCTTATTGGCTGCAGAGAAAATGATTTGAGATTACACCAAGAATAAGATAACATGGAGTTTCTCATTTCCCTTCCACCTCCTGAATGTCTACTAAAAAGTATTCTATTGCACTAGAGTACCAACCAGTCTTTTACCTTTCCTTTTAGTTCCTTCAGGAGGAAAGATACAGGTTGTCCATGCAAGTTTCCACTTGTGGTTGTCAGTGGAGTGTTGATATCAGTGTGAGCATCCACCCAGATGACTCCAAGATCAGGGTGGACCCTGGCATGGCCAGAGATGCTTCCAATTGCCAAACTTTTGGGGAAAAAATTTTGTGTGAACATCAGGTTTGCAGTGTCACTACATACATCATATTATTCACTCAATGCTCCCACTTGGTTTTCCTTTGAGTCACAGTGTCTGATATTTCTGATAGGTTCTGAATTGGAGATGCCAATTAGTTAAAACAATAGAGAAAGCATAACTTACACTTAATGCTCACTAACTAGTTATATTTACATCGATTGCATTACTAAAAAAACTGTGATTTTTTTTCCCAAAATCCACCTTGTAAGAAAACCACGATTAGAGCGTAGCCAAAAAAATAAATGAGTATAAAAATACTAGCCACACAAGAAATTCCTTAGCATGAGACACTGTTCAATTCTCAGAGTTAAATTTGGATCATTTTCTGTACACTCATCTCTCTTGGTAAATACTTAATTCTCTCAAGTGAATTATGACAAAGTCTTTCAATTTTTCTTAAAATCCAGCTTTTATAATTTGAGAGCATCACTCAGAAGTTCTTACATGTTCTTACTCAAGTTCTTCAGCCAGCGTATGGCGTGTGTTCACTCATTCTATTCAATGCATCTAGTTACCCACTCAACCAGGAACAAAGTTCATCCCAAATACTTCAAGCTCCAGACATTTTGCTGGAATGGAAGACATAAATGATATCTTGCACAGAAGTTAAAAGTTAGGATTTATTAGGTTGGTGCAAAAGTATTGCGGTTTTGCCATTTAAAAACTGCAATTACTTTTGCACCAAGCTAGTACTATACAATGCCTGTATTCTCCCATTTGTGAATGTTTAAGTATCATTCAGAGAATCATGAGCTTTTAGATTCTCGAAGTGGAAGCAATAATGCCTTAACGTTCAGGTATGGATTATTCAGTGGACGTTTGTTTTCCCTTTAGGTTTCTTGTCTTTTGCCATGTGCCATTCCTAAAATTTCCACTTAACAAAGAAAGCGAGCCTCAGTTTCCCAATTGCAGTTTTGATACAGAGGCCTTGGTGACAGTTTGGCTTTAGAAGAGGAAGCCAAGGAGACCTGAAGTCATTGACTGCTCAAGAGCCATAGAAGTGTTTCTACTTTTAGATCTAATCAGGCCTTTCTGGTAAAATTATCCTAGGCCTTGGGAGTAAATATTTAAAGAGGCTCATGCACAAAAATGGTCTTTGCCACATTATTTGTAATGGTGAAAATTATAATGCAACCTGAATATGCCGCAATATGTACGTATATAGCGATGTAACCCCTTGATGAAAAATCATGCAGCAATTAAAAAACTGATGCTTATGATGCTTATGCACATCCCATGAAGCAACAAGGAAATTTGCACTGTAGAGTGAGAACACAACATAGACATCTGTCTCTCTCTCTCTCTCTCTCACACACACACATACACACACACACACACGTTAAACAAAGTCATCATGTACAAGGAAAAAAAAGATGCCATGAAAGAAATGTGCCAGATTTTCAATTCTGGTTGAAATGGTTGCTAGAGAAGTACAATTACCACATTTTTTTTCTTGTGTGTGTGTGTCTGATGCTTTCAAAAATGTTATGATCATTACTTTTATAATGAAAAACACATGCTTTGAAATTGTTGACCTATATGAGTTGTATATATTATCGGCAATTAAGAACAAATAAGCTATGAATTGCCTCACATACTTATTTAGAAATGTAAGCTTGTGATGAATATTTAGATGAAATCCATTCATATTTCATACATTTTCTGCTGTACTAGGTCAAAATACAGATATTGTAAGACTTCAAATTGAGCGAAGTCTGTTTCTATAATAAAAGTAACCTATAAAATTTTTTTAAAGGCAGAAAATTTGATATAAAATATAGGTCAATGCTTTTCTGTCTATATTTCTAAATTTTCTCTCTTCTTATGGCCTTGGTTACTTCCTTTGTGCCAGATTCCCATAGACACAGTTATTCAACAAGACCTGTGGTCTCCGCCCAGCACCAGGCTGATTCTTCCGTTCTTCTTGACTTCTGCCACCTTGCCAGCCAGCTGCTCGCTTGCTTTTCCCACAGACCTTGGATTCTTCACAATTTGAAAGGGACTGTCATTAGGGATGTCAGCAAAGGGCAGGTCCCCATAATCCTTCACATCACACTCTAAAATTAAAAAGTTTTGAGTTACTAAATTAAAAAGTAGATTATAAATCAGTCTGTGTAGGATGATCTCAATTGTATAAAATAGGCATATATTCACAAGTATAAGCAAAGGAAAAACCTGAAAGGTCTGTAAATCTTGGGAAGGTAGACCCATGTCTGCTTTTGCTTGACGTCATGTTACCAGTATCACACACTGGTGCGGCTGTATACTGGGCTCTCAGTGAACACTTCTTGAATCCATCCAGTTAAACTAGACACCAAAATGTAACAGTGATAATCTTCTGGTTTGGGCTTAATAGGGAATGCCACTGTCTCTGTCTCTGTCTCTCTGTCTCTCTCTGCTTATGTGCTTTTTACCTTTCTATAGTAAGCATGCTTCATTTTGATAATAATTAAATACATATATATCGGTATATATATGTATTCTCAGAAAATTTAGAAAGCACTGGTGTATTTTCATCTGGAGATACACACACACACAGACACACAAAGTATCCATTGAACCTGCCTCATAGTGGTATTATCATAAATAAATAAGAATATGTGAATATGTACTTAGCACTGAGCCTAACACTTTGGAAGCTTCGGAAATAAAGCTTTTTAGTTATTCTTTTTAGTAAGGAAAAATTGCAGGTAACCCCAAATTCCTAAGGACTGGGTGTGCTCCCTAAAAGGCCTTGAATTAGGCTTGAAAAGTAGAGAGTGTCATGTAAAACTGTGATTCAGTTCGGTGTTCTGAACTAATTGGCCATTAAATATGGTATTTGTTACATGTCTGTGTGAATCTGATTTAGTAACGCCTCCAAGAAATTTCACCTGATACAACACGTGACCAAATTATGCTTGTCAGTTAAGGGACAAGTCCATTACCCAAGCATTCTGTTCTCTACTGGGTGTCTGTATTTGTCTTTTTTTTTTTTTTTTAAAGATTTACGAAGTGTAATTCTTGTTCACTAAAACTCACTAATTTTAACTGTGCGGGTCAATGAGTTTGAAAAATTCCATCCTGCCCCTTTAGAGGTAATTCTTGCCCCCAACCCCAGGAACTGCTGATCTGCTTTCTTTTGCTATGCTTTTGTCTTTCCAGAATGTCGTATCAGTGGAATCATACATGTAGTCTTTCTTGTCTTATCATGCTGCTTTTGAGATCTACCATGTTTTTGCCTGTGTTTGCGGTCCATTCCTTTTTCTTTTTTTTTTTTTTTTGGAGATGGAGTCTCGCTCTGTCGCCCAGGTTGGGGTGCAGTGGCGCAATCTCAGCTCACTGCAACCTCTGCCTCCGGGTTCAAGCCATTCTCCTGCCTCAGCCTCCCAAGTAGCTGGGACTACAGGCTCATGCCACCACGCCCAGCTATTTTTTTTTGTATTTTTACTAGAGAAGGGGTTTCACTGTGTTGCCCAGGCTGGTCTTGAACTCCTGAGCTCAGACAGTCCACCCACCTTGGCTTCCCAAAGTGATAGGATTACAGGCCTCAGCCACCGTGCCCGACCAGTCCATTCCTTTTTATTGTTGAATACTATCTCGTTGCATGGATGTGACACTTTTTGTTTAACCATCTACCAGTTGATGGGCATTTTGCTGTTTCCATTTTTTGGTTATTATAAATATGGCTGCCCCCAAACATTCAAGCACAAATCTCTTACCCAAGAGAAATGAAAACATATCCACACAAAGACTTGTACTTGAATGTTTGTAGTTGTACTTCTCTGCACCCAGGAGTAGAACTGCTGGGTCAAAATGTAAATATATGTTTACCTGAGAAACTGCCCACCTACTTTCAAAGTGGCTGTATCATTTGCATTCCCATCAGAAATATATGAGGGTTCCAGTTTCTCCACATCCTGACCAACACTTTATCAGAATCTTATATGTAAAGGTAACAGAAAATTGAGCCCATACTTTAAAAATATACGTAAATTTGCATTTGCATGCTTATGTATATGTATGTATATATACACACTGCGCCCACACTAGGCGCTGTTGTTATTATCATTATTACTGTTTTATTTTATTTTATTTCACAAATAGGGGTCCTCTTGCTAGTAGCATACTTCCTGCTGCACCTTGCCTTCCATTTGCTGTTCCCCCGGCTCCCCTACCATCCACCCCAACCCCCGTTCTTGCACACACAATTTATCTTATACTGTAGTTTGGCTGGAAAGACAAAATATCTGAGTGAGGATGTACATCCAGCAATGTTTCCTGAGCATTCTCCCCATGCCCTGCTGCTTTTGTAGGATGTGTTTCTCGGGTTGTAACCAGTACCGCAATTCTGATGTAAATATTCCAGACACACTCCAGGTTCACAGGGGCCTGCTCTTTCCTTCAGAGTGGGGAGGAAATCAGGCTGATCATTTTTCAACTTAAAAATTACCTTGTTCTTTAAGTTTCTCAAGCAGACCAGCCTTTCTCAATACTGTAGGGCCTTCTTCCACCCCTCCTCGTGGCTGAACAATTAAAAAATAAAGTACTTCAGACATTATCATGACCATCAGATGCTCACAGCAGGAACCCTTTTCATTATTTAATCAGTTGAACTGTAACTATCATTTTTTGAGCTCCTACAGAGCCAGGAATTTACATCATCTCTTTTAATCTTCACAGCAAGGTAGACTGAATGACTTTTATGCCAAATAGAAAGAACTAGAATCACAAAGGTTATATGGTTTTCAGACTGGCACACAGCTAATAAGTGGCAGAGCCTATGTTCATATTCAGGTCTTTGGATTCCAAAACCTACATCCCCTCTTCCCGTCAAACCATGTTATCAACACAGTGAACAAGTAGTTTGTGCAAAAGCAGTCTGGTAGATGAGATCCAATAATGAAAAGGCTTTTGACTTTGAGTCCCTCATAAGCTGATAGGAGATATGGGCATTTAACTCCAGTTTCAATACATAGCTGCTTCAGTGATGATATAAAATGTCCTAGTAACAAAAACAGGATGCCCTTAACACTGTTGGGGACAGGGTGTGTCAGTAAAGGCTGCAAGAAATAAATGCTGTTTAAGCTGAGTCTTGCGACATGAGTAGGTAGTTAGGAAAACAAGACAGAGTGATGGAGAAACTCTGCAAACCAAGGGAACGATTGGGCAAAAGCATCGAAAGAGTGTGACATGAAAGAGACCTACGTGCATGTACTCACATAAGTAAGCTAGAGCTCTTGGGGAGAAAGCAGGCAACAGAAAAAGTCATCATCTGGGAGCTGAAAACTACAAACAAAGACCAACCCAGTAATTTCAAGTTTTGGCCTGCTTAACAGTATGATGGGAAGTTCTACCCTTGCCGTTTTGACATTAGGGAAACTAACACTCTTCCTCCAAGGGGCAAGTCTTCCTCAGTCCCCTGAACAATTAGAGGTCTAAAGGCACAGTTCCTTTCTGTATCTTTCTGATTTTAATTTCCAACAGAGCTTTTAGATGCAGAAGATTATTACATGTTGTCAGATGAGACAATGTGTTAAAAGACACGTGTGTCTATCTTTAGGATTGGGGCTGTGGCATCAAAGTAAGCAAGTATTTTTTCCCCATTCAAAGGAACAGAAGACTTGCCCTGGGTGCCAGGCAAATCCTTGATGTTAAATTCCTGTCCCTGGCAGCAAGGGACCCGCCCTATCCTCTGCCTGACACATTTTGCTTCTTTACTCCCTTTTTGCTTGACACACCTGCCTCTCCCCAATCAAGTAAACATGATTTCTCCTTCTTTCAACCCCAATAGGGTGCTGCTTGGTTCATGTTTTGCCTTTAGTTTTGTGTCTGTTTTTGTCTTTTCCTCATTGTTAGATTTCAGTCCAGCTTGCTTTACATGTGGGGCACTATATTTTGTAGTGTAGAGCTGACATATAGTAGATACTCAATACTCAGTTTGATAAAACTCCTTGGCTTTTTTACCCTTCTCCCTTTCATATTTTAGAACAAAGCTCATAGACCCCTTAGTTGACACTATATTTGCTATAACACAGCCATTAAATTTTCTAGAATTCTTTTTTATTTGTTTTATTCAAATGGCTTCTCATGATTGGGCTTTCCTCTTGCTTGCTCTATCTGCCCACTTTGGAAATTGCTTTGTCAGCTCCACCGACTTTCTAAGCTGGGCCCAATCCCTAAATGGCCACAAGTATAAGGTCGCCTTTGGAGTTGAATAGTCTGAAGAGACATCAGTGCAAATCAAGGGCATAGGCATTGGAATCAGATTATCTTGTCTGGAATTATGCAGTCAAGGCTGTGTGACGTTGAGCACATTACCAAACCTCTCTGGGCTTTTTTTTAACCCAACTGTAAGGTAAAAATAATACCTACCTTATTGTTTGTTCGCTGCCTTGCAAGCCTTTCAAGGAGGTGAGACAGGGATGAAGCCCTTTCTCAGACTCAACATTTTAGTCATCTGCCCTCTAATCCTTTCCTTTTGCTTATTTGTCAAACTTGTACCTCCTTTAGGTGAGGACAAATACTTATATGTTGGCCATTTTATCCTCTCTACTCTATGACTTAGTGTAAAAAATCTCTCTCTCTTAGTCCTTACAATCATGAGACAATGAACTCCATTCTCATGACCATGTTTTAATGGGAGGAGGGTGGTAGAAGGAGGACACTTGCTTCCCTTTTGTGAGGTTTTTAAATTATATATTTATTATAACCTGTTCAAGAGTGGGTGAGAACAGTGTGGATTTTAAAAGGAACATTTCTGTGTCAGCAAAATGTCCCTGTGTTTGGGAGAGACTTTTGGAGGATTTCCAGGGGAAGCAAAGTAGTATTTACTGACAGTCCAAATGCAGTTTGGGCCTCTAACCTCTGGCCTCTCTCAATTTGTTTTGCAGTAAAAAGTCAGAGTACACAGCAAGGGTTCCAAATTAAGAGGAAGCAAAACGCTGCCCAGATCCTGAGAAACCTGGAGAAAATCAACCTTAGTAGTTTCAACTCATACATTGTCTTGTTTGATTTTGTTCTTTGTTTTTTATCCTCTTTAAGCACAGATGCGTGTTGAAGTCTAAGGTGTTCTGTCATCACACTCTCTTTACTAGAATAAGTGTGCCCAGGCAGAAAAAAAAGTGTATTCAATGTTGCTGGCATGTGTGGATTCACAGCTCGTGGCTGTAAGGAAATCTGGGGGTTTCATAAATCCATTAAAATCCTTTTAGAGTTGCCAACCCGCAGTAGGATTTTCTTTCTTTTTTTGTTCTTTTTTTCCCCTTCCAAGTGAGGCACATAAAGGATTCTACCTAGTCCATGAATGAACAGTTTCATAGAAACATTAAAACCCTAACATAACATGAATTATTCACAAAGTTGCATGAAACAATAATATTTAGGTTATCCAAATTATAAGAAGCCTGAAGGTTACCACCAAACTATTAAATTTTTCTAGGCATTAATTACATAACTAAACAAATGTATTTCTTAAAATTCTCTCTTCCTCTACATACACACAGTAACATCAAAAACAACAAGAGCAACTAAACCTCAATGAGTAGCTACAATGCAGAAAGAGTCCATTTCAATTCAAAGAAAAATATTTTCTCCTAAAAAATATGAGAAAACATTCTGTAGGTTCAAATGAATTTAGCCTTGGCTGAGATCACGAGCCACAAAAGTAAGTGGATATGTGACTATAATTATACAATGTTGGAAAATGGTGAGAGGACTTTAAAATATGCATTTCCTGGCCAGATTGTATCAGAAAACTGAACTAACTAGACAATAACACCTTACAAATTTTGAAGTCCAAAATTTTCAACTAAATTCCAGGAATTCAAAGAAAGACTTTTTTCCTTACCTGTCCCTTTGAGAAAGGAGCTCCAATAATCCCTATGGTTCTGGACTTGGCGCTCATGCTCTGACACTTCTCTTTGCTGCACTTGAGCTCTCCAGTCAGTCAACCCTCAGTGACAGAGGGCGCATCTTTTTTTTCCATTTATACTTGGGTTGAATAAACAACCTTTATCTAATGAGGACAGCTGGCTCCACCCACTAAACCAAAGAATGACAGTCAACAGTCTTGCAATTTTTCATACATGGAGTAACTATATGGTTACTCCATGTATGAAGTAACTATATGGGGTTACTTCATACATGGAGTAACCTAACTCTGAGTCTAGGTCTCTAATCAAGTGACAATTATTCATGTTCTCACTTCACACCCTTTTAAAAAGCCAGCCAGATGACATTAACCTGACTTCAACAACTGACAAGTTTCACAACTACAGAAGAAGTCCTATTGTTCTGGCTCAGCGAACTCAGGGCAAGGCCCTTTCCTCCTCCAGATCTCTGAAGACGTCCTTGTAGAAGAAGGGCCGGGCTTGGCAAGATCGTCTGTCACATCCCTTCCAGCCCTAAAATCCTGAGTTGAGATTTCACACATGAGGGTAAATGGTTAATCCATGAGACACATTTCATAAACTTTTAGGGTATAATATAATAAAGAGTATATAACTTCCTTTTTTGATGATTACTTTAAAAAATTAGTTACTTGATTGGTAACCCAGAGAGGTTACCATTTTTGAAGTATGGTGTACAGGAAAATAATTGTAGAATCATATCATAATCAAAGTATAGAAATAAAAATAGCTAACATTGAGTTTTTACCATGTGTCCGATGCAGTTCTGTTTCAAAATACCATATTTATATTTATACCAATTTTATGTGAAGTCTCATCATTGGTGCCATTATACTGATGAATAAACTGAAGCTCAGACCCGTTGCCAACATAGGCTGTAGAAGAAAAGTCGGGATTTAGTCTCTGCCATTCTGAATCCACTTAACCGTCGAGCTTATAGTCTAAATGCTGGGAAGGTGTCAACCTCTATGCCCCTGAGCTACCATTTGTCACCATACAAAAGTATGAATTTAAAATAAAGGCACCTTAAAGATCCTTCCGACTTTAAAATTATGTAATTGTAATTTAAAGGGAAAATTCACTTAGTAGAAACTAATTTCTTTTTCCTATTGGTGGGAAAGAACATTTTGGAATTTAAATTCCATGAGGTCAGAGAATTTTGTCTGCTGTATCCCCAGGGCCTAGAAGAGTGTTGGTGTATAATAGGCACTCAATAAATATTTATTGAATGGATAAATGAGGAAACCAAAGTCTCATGGGTCCATTTTGATAGGACTGTTTTCCAAATAGGTTTCCTACCTTTTTCTTGTGGGTTTGCTTGTATATCCTAAATATTTACTTGTGGTATTCCTCATATTGCCTAGATATTAACCTTATAGCATTGACATTGCAAATAACTTTTCCCAACCTGTCAGAAATCTGATAACTTTTTATATGTTATCACTCAAAATCCTCAATTTTAAAATAGACACTTGTATAATTTCCCCCGAATGCTTTGTGCTTTGGAAGTCTTATTAAATTCCTGCCACCCCATCAAATTGTAGGTATGTAGTTTTACATTTTCTTCCATTTGCCTTAGAGCTTATCTTTCTCACTTAGTTCCTGAATCCATCTTTGTATGTTATGTAAATTTTCCAACTCGTTTTTCCTCTATCATTCATGCATCAGTTTCCTCAACAACACCCATTGAATAGTCATTCATTTTGCAATTGATTGGAGTGCTGTCTGTCACTAAACTCTTTCTTCTGTTCCATTGACTTATTTACCTATGGCTGCACCAGATCCATCAGGTTTTATCAATACAGTTTTGCGGTACATCTTATCATTGTTTAGGCAAGAGTAACTGTTTTGCTCTTCTTTTTCAAAATTGATTTACCTTTTATGGGTCTCTATTCTCCTATAGTTGGAATAACCTAATTCCTTAAAAGTATTTGCTAGAATTTTTACTAGATTTATAAATCAATCCATGGAGATTTGCTAACTTTCAAATTTGATTGCTAGAATTTTTTCTTTGAAAAATTCACATCCTGAAAGTTCTTTGTATGCCAAGCTGAGATTGCCTTCCTGTCATATGAACCATTGGTCACCACCCTTTAATCCAAGTAAAGCACATTATCTCTTGGCTGTCATGTCTTTCTTGGATTTCTATTGTTTAGGCTGAATATTCCCAAATACCTCACTAATTTCTTGTGTTACATAGTTGCCACTTTCCTTCAGGTCACCAACTTGGTCGCTGTCTTCAAAACATCTCGCTTCCCTCTGCCTTTCCTAAATAGGGCATCCAGAACAAAATGCACATATCCAAATACAGGTGGAGTTATCTGGTCCATCAGACACAAATTTGATAACATTTGACTTTTCCAAGTCACTGATAAAAATGTTGAATAAGGCAGCACTTTTACAAACACTCTGTGACATTCCACTGGAAACCTTAACCCAGATTGGCATAGCCCCATTAATTAATCATCAGTTGAGATACAACTGATTACTAATTTCCAACTCAACCACTCCATCCTGTTCACAAGGACATCGTAAGGAAATTTATCCGGTGTCTCAATAAAATCTCATCACACTTTACTACCTTTTCTTCTGCCAATCTGACTTCCCTGTCAAAGTTGATGGGCTGACCTTGACAGGTCCAGTTCTTGGTGAACTCATGCTGACTTCTAGTGATTGCTGCTTCCTTTTTATTATTAACACAAGCTATTTTTTCAGTCTCCAAAGCTGTCATCTCAAGACTGCTAGAGGAAGAAGATAAGGGGTGTCTCACCTATATCACTCTATCAAAGATACACTTTCTTCAGCTCAATTCTTTCATTTATCTCAGGGTTATGTACATTGAGGTTTTAAAAGCCCTTCTAACACTGCAAGTCTCTTAACCAAATGTTGAAAGAAAAATCCTATCTGGCATTTTCCTGGGAATGAGACCACATCTTATTTGACCCTAATCCAAAGCTACTGGAATGAGATCTGACACATAACAGGCCCTTGTATTAGTTTCCTATGGCTGCTGTTACAAAGTACTTGTACCACAAACTGGGTGCTTATAAAAAATAAAAAATAAAAAATAAAAATAAAATAAAATACAATTTTTTTATCCATAGTTTAGAGGATAGAAGTCTGAAATCCAGGTGTCGGCAGAGCCATGCTCCCTCTGAGACCTGCAGGGAATCCTTCCTACCTCTTCCTAGCTGCTGGAGGTTTTCTGGCAATCTTTGGCATTTCTCGGCTCATTAGGTGCATCACTCCAATCCTCCATCTTCACTTGGCACGCTCCCTGTGTCTCTGTGTTTTCACATGGCTGTCTTCTTACAGGGACGACAGTCATATTGGGTTAAGCCCCCCACCCACCAGTATGGTGTCATATTAACTAGTTACATCTGCTATGGTCCTGTTTCCAAATACAGCCACATTCTGAGGTACTGAAGGTTAGGACATCAACATATCTTTTGGAGGGATGTAATTCAACCCCTAGCAGCCCAAATTAATATTATTGAAATGATAAAGAAAGCATGAATTAAAAAGTTACATAATGAGGCCAGGCGTGGTGGCTCATGCCTGTAATCCCAGCACTTTGGGAGGCCAAGGCAGGTGGATCACGTGGTCAAGAGTTCGAGACCATCCTGGCCAACACGGTGAAACTCTGTCTCTACCAAAAATACAAAAAATTAGGCGAGTGTGGTGGCAAGTGCCTGTAATCCCAGCTACTCAGGAGGCTGAGGCAGGAGAAGCACTTGAACCCGGGAGACGGAGGTTGCAGTGAGCCAAGATTGCACCACTGCACTCCACTCCAGCCTGGGTGACAGAGCAAGACTCCATCTCAAAAAAAAAAAAAAAAAAAAAAAGTTAAAAAAAAAAAGTTAAAAACAAAAAACTTACATAATGAGAGGGATGAAAAAAATGACACACTTTTGCCCTCTACTTGTTTTTCTTTCTGTTGCTCCAAACTACAGCCCATTTCTGCATTGTCTTTTCAACAGCCAGCTAACAGATAAGAATTCTTTCCAGATGAGGCCCAGGATTCTTAGCACTTTTACCAAAGACTGGAATATACACAAAATTTGAAAGACTAAATCTTGAATCGGGAGACTTCAGGGAATCATTTTGCTTGGTGCATTTCCTAGACCCCTTAAATCCAATACGGTAAGGTTGGACCTGGTCCTGGAACACTACACACTATGATTTTATGGAAATGTTCAAACAGGATGATCTCTGGGTAAGTTACATAGTCATTTCTTTGAGTAGGAACTCTCTTAACCCCTTAAGGCATATTAGTAGCCTAAGTAGCATGGGTCACCATAAAAAGAAGGTTCATAAGAAGTGTCTGGCTCGGGTTGCTTCACAACTATATGTTAACAGACGCCTACTCTTTCCTTCCTTTCTTTTTTTTTTACCCTCCCAGAATTGAAGCGGCACTCTTACGAATGTGGAGGCTATGGGAAACAAACTCTTAAAGAGCAGTGCAACTGTTCTCTCTCTGAGCATAGGGAGCTCAAGGCAGCACTGCTCTGGGACCAGGTGACAGAGAGGAACTCAATGAGGGAGCTACACCTACTTTGGTGCCCTGAGGTCTCCAGAGATGTCACCTAATGTCCAAACCAGTCCCTGAACTATAGCATTGAAGTCAAGGGGAAGATATTTAAGTTTTGATTTGGAAGCTTCAGCTACAGACCCCTAAAGAGAGTCTAAAAATAGGGAAGAAGGCAGAAGGTGTAAATAAAAGGGAATTAAAATCAGTAGATTCGTGAGCACATATGGATTGCCTCTTGGTATTCCTAGGAATAATTCAAAGATTTAACGTTCTGCACTAGTGGGTGAGGATTGGAGCCAGGGAACTACTGTGCATGTCCGTTATTGAGATCTAGATTTATTCCAAGGTCAGTGTGGCCTGGGGTATAGAATTATAGGATATGAAATAACTGTGGCTCCTAAGGTAGAGTGGCTTCTCTACCAAGTTTCGTAGCTACTTGAGTCTAGAACTGAGAATGAAATCCACATTTCTTGGATCCTCCATGTTTCTTGGATAACATTGGATACTTCTAGTGTTATTCCCACAAGCTCATGTCACCTAAACCTGCAAGACTTCTTCATTCTTGTAAATGAGAGTCAACCTTTAGCTTTTAAAAGATTAAAGGAAATTTCAGAATCTTTCAGAAACTAAATCTGACGAGTAATGAACTACACACTCTGAAAAATGGAAAAAATAATCTGGAGAAAATCAATCATGTTTTCTACATAAAAGTGGAAAGTCAATCAAAGTTTACATTTTATTTTTCTCTGCCTTCTTTCTCGTCGTTTGGTCTATTAAGTAATGGATACCCTCAAAATCTAACTTCTCTGGAAAATAAAACTAAAAGTAAAACAAAATTTTATTGTTTGCTGAAGCATTTTACTGCATCTATATATTAATTAACACTTGATATCAGTTTCTTGTAATTATTAAAGAAAACCAAAAGTGTATTAATTTGAGAGATGGTAGTATTTTTGCAAAATAAAATAGGTTGGCTCATGCTCTGGAAACTAACTTATCTAAGCTGCCATTGAAGCATTTCTGGAGGACAGTGGTTTTATCTAGATGTTTTTCAGATTTCTCTCTTTTACTTTGACATTCTGTAGCCTTGGTGTGATGTATCTTGGTATAGATTTTTATATATCATTTTTGGATTTCATATATCCTTCTTGGATTTTCTAGGCCTGATGGATGTGTTAATTTGTATTATTTATCAATTTTTTACAAAAATCCTGGCTGTGTTGTTGTTGTTGTTGTTGTTGGGCAGCCTTCTGAGCCAGGGTAGGCTCAGAGACTCTGAAATCCTGGCTATTTTTATGTGAGCTTCCCATTCTCAGAAGCTGAAAGTCTACAGGTATATTTTTGAAAATAGACAAAATTCAGTGGGAAGTTTAATTTATGATATTTGAGTGACATTTCCCAAATGGAGAAGTAAATAGGAGACCCATTCTCCGTATAGACTCTCTGAAGATTTGACTGAAGACATGTCTGCAAGGAGGCCTTGCTCTTTAGTTCTTCAGGATCAAGAACAAATAAATTGGAGTGATGGCTGAGATCGTGGAACATCTTCACTTGGCAGAGTCTAGCACCTTCAAAGCTATTCAGTTTTTTTAGCCTATGTGCTATAAATCATCTGATGAAGGACAGAATTCTTCTGGCATACCTAACTGCACACCTATATTCTGTGGGTGGTTTGGAACAAATATTCCTACTAAGGAAGAGGTGAGCTGATGAAGTCAGAAGACTCTACACATCTAGATTCTTTAATAATTAATCAGCCAATAAGTATTTACTAAATAATCATTTTACTTAGTGCTTGCTTCCATGCTGTTTGCTATTTGGGATCCAGGAAAATAATATATGATCAGTACCCTTAACTCAGGATCAGCTTCCCCAAAATTGCCATGTATCTTAGTCTCCTTTCCCCTGGTACAGTTCCTCAGTTTTTCTTTGTCCTACATCAACTTCAGACTTTTGAAGAGTCTCTCAACTTAAATTCATCCGAGGTCTTCTTTAATTAAATTCAAGGTTTGCATTTGTTCAAGAATACTACAAAAGTAATGTGGTGTACTTCTCAGTGTATCACATTAGGAGGGATTTGACGTTGGTCTGTCCCATTACTGTCCCATTACTTTAATCACGTGGTTAAAGTAGTACCTCTCAAGTTTCTCCTCTGCAAATTTGCTATTTTTCCTTTGTAATAAATAAGTATCTTGTGGGGGCAATACTTTAATATTATATAATTATCCTCTTTGTCATCACACTTTGACCCACTAAGCTTAGCATCCATTGATGATTCTTGACTAAAGTAAATTACTGCTGTGATATTTGCCAGATGGTAATTGTCTATTTCCATCATTTTATGTTATTTAAAAAAAATGAATTCTAGTTAATAAACTTGATAGATTTAATTTCTCAATGAAATTGAGAAATGTAAGCTTCATTAATATTTATCAATTTATAGTTGATATACAAAAATATACATATCTAATGTATGCTTTTTTTTTTTTTGAGATGGAGTCTTGCTCTGTTGAACAGGCTGGAGTGCAGTGGTGCGATCTTGGCTCACTGCAACCTCCACCTCCTGGGTTCAAGTGATTCCCCTGCCTCAGCCTCCTGAGTAGCTGGGATTACAGGCTCATACCACCATGCCCGGCTAATATTTTGTATTTTAAGTAGAGAAGCGGTTTCACCATGTTGGTCAGGCTGGTCTCGAACTCGTGACCTTGTGATCTACCCGCATTGGCCTCCCAAAGTGCTGGGATTTACAGGCGTGAGCCACCGCACCTGGCTTAATGTATACATTTTAATGAGCTTGGACATATGCATACATCCATGATACCATCACCACATATAAGACACTAACTCCAAAAAAGAGAAAAAAATTGTAAATACTGTAAAGCAAAAATAAAAAAGTAAAGGAAAAAGTATATGTTTGAAACACTTTGAGCAACAAAGGACCAATGGCCCTAATGAAAAGGCGCTCTTAAAAATCATTAAGGAGACTTAAATCTAAGACCTCAAAACTATGAAACTGCTACAAGAAAACATTGGGGAAAATCTCCAGGATGTTGGTCTGGGCAAAAATTTCCTGAGTAATATACCCCACAAGCACAGGCACCAAAGCAAAAATAGACAAAGGATCAGATCAAGTTAAACAGCTTCTGCACAGCAAAGGAAACCATCAACAAAGTGAAGAGACAACCTGCAGAATGGGAGAAAATATTTATAAACTACCCATCTGACAAGGGATTAATAACCAAAGTATTTAAGGAGCTCAAAGAACTCTAGGAAAAAAACTAATCACCCGATTAAAAAATGGGCAAAAGATTTGAATAGATAGTTCTTAAAAGAAGACATACAAATGACAAACAAGCCTATGAAAAGGTGCTCAACATCACTGATCATCAGTGAAATGCAAATCAAAATTACAATGAGATATTACCTCACCCCAGTTAAAATGGCTTTCATCCAAAAGACAAGCAATAACAAATGCTGGTGAGGAAGTGGAGAAAAGGGAACCCTCGTACACTGTTGGTGGGAATGTAAATTAGTACAACCACTGTGGAGAACAGTTTACAGGTTCTTCAAAAAAGTAAAAATAGAGCTACCACATGATCCAGCGATCTCACAGCCAAAACAAGGGAAATCAGTATATTGAAGAGATACCTGCCCTACCATGTTTATTGCAGCACTATTCATAAAAACCAAGATTTGGAAACAACCTAAGTGTCCATCAACAGATGAACAGATAAAGAAAATGTGTTATATACCCAATGGAGTACTATTGAGGTATAAAAAGAATGAATCCTGTCATTTGCAATAACATGGATGGAAGTGGAGATCATTGTGTTAAGTGAAACAAGCCAGGCACAGAAAGACAAACATTGCCTGTTCTCACTTATTTGTGGGATCTGAAAGTCAAAACAGCTAAACTCATGGACACAATTGAACTCATGGACATAGAGAGTAGAAAGATGGTTACCAGAGGCCGAGAAGGGTAGTAGGAGGATGGGGGGAGGTGGAGACAAAAAAAAAAAAATAGAAAGAATTAATTAGACCTACTATTTGATAGAACAACAGGATGACTATCGTCAACTTAATTTCCCACTTTTAAATAACTAAAAGAATATATTTGGATTGTTTGTAGAATAAATGCTTGGGGAGCTGGATACCCTATTCTCCACGATGTCATTATTACACATCGCATGCCTGTATCAAAATATTTCATGTACCTCAAAATAAATATATATACCTACTATGTGCCCACAAAAATTAAAAATAATTTTTTTTTAGAAAATCATTAAGGGACAACAAAGGGGAACAAAATATGGACAAAGGACCTTACTTACATATGGCTAGTAAATAAATTGTGGAAAAGAAAGCCAGGATTCCCACAATCTGAAAAAGGAGTTAGATATAAGGAAAGGTAAAAGGCTAGCATCTGTTCAGTGGTGTTAGAGCAGAGGATCCATATGAACTCATGGTTTTCAATATATTTTCAGGTGACTAGATATAGAAATAAGAAGTGTGTGAGAGTGTGTGTGTGTGTGTGTGTACACATACATTTCTCAGCTCTCTGCTGAAAGAGCCTGGAGACTGATTTCCCAGTACCAATGGATACGTCTGCACATGCATCTTGGTCTCCATCTACCATTCTCAAATAAAAAGGACCAGGGCTCCTTAGAGAAATGGGTCATTCCAGGGCTAGAAGAGAGAAAGTATAAGCTGCAAGTACAAAATAAGCCTGAAATCTCTTGTGGTACCAGAAAGTAAGGAAGTGCTCAATACATGTGAGGATCAGCTGATGCAGTGGCCACACCTGTAATTCCAGCACTTTGGGAGGCCAAAATGGGTGGATCGCTGGAGCCCAGGAGTTCGAGACCAGCCTGGGCAACATGGTAAAACCCCATGTTGTACAAAAATACAAAAATTAGCAGGGCGTGGTGGTGCATGCCTGTAGTCCCAGCTACTTGAGAGGCTGAGATAGGAGGATCACTTGACCCTAGGAGGTACAGACTCAACCTTTCAGGTGCAGACTCAACCTCCCAGGGTCAAGCAATCCTCCCATCTCAGCCTCTCAAGTAGCTGGGACTACAGGCATGCACCATCATGGTGACAGAGCAAGACTCTGTCCCAAATAAGTAAATAAGAGGATCATGTAAAAGATACAGCAGTCAAAAGACTGGCTAAATCTGGGGCAGTCAAAGCCACAAAATAAATAATGATAGTAATTGATTATAACAAGTAGAGTAAAATAAGGATTTCTGAGTCCATGGTGATGCAAGTAATAAGTAAATAAAATGGGAAGAAATAAAAGCTCTTCCTTAAAGTAGTAGGTGTTACCTTCAAATAAAATAGTAAATAAAAGAGCTGACATTTTTGAAGTTATAGATACATCAAACTAACACATAAACTGCAAGCAAATGATGCTGCTAAAGCACTACTCATTTTATCTACTATTATTATTTATTTTTTTTTTTTTTTGAGACAGGGTCTCGTTCTGTCACCCAGCTGGGAGTGCAGTGATCCAATTACAGCTTACTGAAGGCTCAACCTCCCTGGGCTCAGGTGATTCTCCTGTCTCAGCCTCCCAAGTAGCTGGAACTACAGGCATGTGCCACCATGCCCAGCTAATTATTGTATTTTTTTAGAGATGGGGTCTCGCCATGTTGCCCAGGCTGTTCTCAAACTCCTGGGCTCAAGCGATCCACCCACCTCAGCCTCCCAAAATGTACAGGCATGAGCCACCACACCCGGCCTACTCATTTTAAATGATCTTAGTTAGGTTAAACATTGTCGTAAATATTGCGTTATTTATGCTTCTAATATATTTAGCTAGCTTTCTTCTCTACCAATAATTCTATCATAAACAAGCCCAGAAAATAAACACAAATGGGAATAAATGTTTCTCTATGTGTATTGATTATATGCACTGCCTCATGATCTATATATTTAGTTGTGCTTCTTGGAATTTTCAAACGAGCTTTTAACACCACATTTTGCTTTTAATTATTAATAGCCTATCATAAATGCTGTGATGGGTTTTATATAAAATGTATTATTGTTATTATTTGGCTTCTGCACAGGTTAGTTGAGAGTTTTGTTTCCTCAATGTCAACTGAAAGCGTATTGGAGAAAGGGAGGTGTAAAAAAAGTCTTAAAGTTAGGACATGATGCAACTTCTACCTACCTCATTTGATGTTAACAATTAAAGGATGATTGTGAAATGCATAAATAAGCATTAAGCAATTTATACTGTAAATAACTGGTTTGAGTGGCCCTGTGCATTAGCAGGATCGCAGAGGCTGATGTTCTGTCAGGGAGAAGAGGGGAAGATTAAGTGATCCCTAAAATAATCTATAGTGTGCATGGTCATTTTGGGAAAACATTTGAAGAGATCATTCTCCAGTAGCGTGTAACATCAGAACTAGAGTTCACCATCTTTCCAGCTTTATTACTAGACATAAACAAATAAACCTTTACTACTAGGACTGGAAAAACATAATTATTTACAGGTGAGGGGGGTAGATATTTTGAGGCAGTAAATCTATTTTTTCCTTTTTCCTTGTATTTTTCTCTTTCCTTCTTTCCTCACCTAAGAGAGAACCAGGTTTGTGCTCCCAGCTTCAGTGGAGGGAGGTGGCAAGGCAGAGAGCTGAACAAGATTGCAAAACTTCTTGGCTTTCTTTTCCTAAAGTCTTGGAGTAAAGAGAGGATTTGGGTCTAAATAAAGTGTTTTGGCCAAACTTATAAAAGGAAAGGGATTTCTTCCGGGAAAAACCCCTAGAAACATGGAGGCCATCAGAACAGAGGGGTTTGGTCTCTGGGAGAGAACTTGGCTTCTGGGCAGCCAGTTTTCCCCTTTGCTCCTCCCTATTCCATCTTGCTACAACCCAGTTGTGCATGACAGGGAGGTGTGTTTCTTCAGATGGATGGAGAGCAATCAGAACGATTTCTGCCCCAATCACAGCTTGGCAGCAACTGAGGACCACTGGGTCCACAGGAATTTTTCCTCTGGTTTGTGGACACCTTCATGGCCACCTGCATGGACTGAAAACCAGACGGGACACCATTCACACTGAAACCTGGCCCTGGGCAAGACTGTGACCCAACTCAGGATAGGGGCCATGGAGGGAAATGGCAAATGATTGAGGGTGTTTCTTGCCAAGTGGGAAAGGGGCTATGAAATAGAAATCAAGATGAATTTTAGGAAATAAAGGAAATTCTATTTTTGCAAACTTGATATAAGGAGCTGTAATACTGATGTTATTCTATTTTTAAATTAAAAAATTTAAATAAATCACCTTTATTATTTAAAAAGTGGAATCAGAACCGTATAAGAAAATCCAAAAATATGGTCACTATTACTATACTGGGGAATTCTGCTAAAATTTAAAGCAGCCAACCTCTGAAGCTCTTAGATACCAGTTTATCCCAAAGCTAAAGGTGTAACTAAGGGTAAGGGAGAGGGAAACTGTACCAGGGGAAACTCCAAGGGGATATGAACGGAATAGGCTGGACCTTTACAAAGATCTGAAAGATGCAAATAACATGAAGAAGGGGCATATAAGATTCTCTGTTGGACCTACTTCGATAGCCTTGGGTTGGGCTGAGCATGGTGGCACATGCCTGTAATCCCAGCACTTTGGAAGGCCAAGGTGGAAGGGCTGCTTGAGCCCAGGAGTTCAAGACCAGCCTGGACAACATGGCGAGACCCTGTCTCTACAAAAAATTTTAAAAATTAGCTGAACATGGTGGTGCACACCTGTAGTCCCAGCTACTTGGGAGGCTGAGGAGGGAGGATTGCTTGAGCTCAGGAAGTTGAAGCTGCAATAAGCCATGTTTGCACCACTGTCCTCCAGCCTGGGTGACAAACTGAGACCCTGTCTGAAAAAAATAACCTTAGGTTTTATTAAGGATCCTGTCATTTCTCTTATAAATGACCCATGAAATGGTATTTGAGTCTAAAACATAAAAATAAAAATAAACCTTACCATAATCCCTGACTGTCATTTTGGAGTGAATGGATGAGATTTTCTGATTGGATGGGCTGATCTCAACTGGCTTGAGAAATTAGCAGGTTGACTTTTCTCCTGAGTAGACCTGCTTATTTTAGTGTGTCTTAGGCCACCTCATCTGTATGCATACAGGAATCAAATTTTGGTCACATTTCTTGTCTATCCTAGTTTCTGAAGTAAATCGTACATATATAGATTCTGAAATTTTAAAGAAGTAGAAGAGTTTTCCAATTCCTTCACACATTGTCAGATTAGTACCTTGATCTATCTTGACGCCTAACCATCATACGTAGTGCTCCCAGTGTACAGAAAGAAAAAAAATTGTTTCCCCTTCCTGTGTGATATTAAAATGACTCAAACTTTATTAAATCTTTTAAGATCTGAACTCAGGCAATAAAATTTAATCTCACATAGAAACTAAAATGCAGATCTCAATCCTGGGGAAATTTTAAAAAATATTTCATTGGACATTTTACCAGTTGTTAAGTACTTAATGAAAGCTATCTGACAAGATCACAGAGGACCTGATTAGAAGAGGAGAAGAAACACTCTATGGGGCCGGGTGCGGTGGCTCACGCCTGTAATCCCAGCACTTTGGGAGGCTGAGGCGGGCAGATCACCTGAGGTCAGGAGTTCTAGACTAGCTTGGCCAACATGGTGAAGCCTCGTCTCTACTAAAAATACAGAAATTAGCCAGGCATGGTGGTGGGTGCCTGTAATCCCAACTACTTGGGAGACTGAGGCAGGAGAATCACTTGAACCCAGGAGGGAGAGGTTGCAGTGACCCGAGGTTGCGTCACTGTATTCCAGCCTGGGTAACAGAGTGAGACTCCCTCTTTAAAAAAAAGAAAAAAGAAAAAAGAAAAAGAATCGCTCTGTGCGGCCGGACGAGGTGGCTCACGCCTGTAATCCCAGCACTTTGGGAGGCTGAGGCGGGCGGATGACGAGGTCAGGAAATCGAGACCATCTTGGCTAACACGGTGAAACCCCGTCTCTACTAAAAATACAAAAAATTAGCCGGGCATGGTGGCGGGCGCCTGTAGACCCAGCTACTCGGGAGGCTGAGGCAGGAGAATGAGAATGGCGTGAACCCGGGAGGCGGAGTTTGCAGTGAGCCGAGATTGCGCCACTGCACTCCAGCCTGGGCGACTGAGCGAGACTCCATCTCAAAAAAAAAAAAAAAAAAAAAAAAAAGAATCACTCTGTGGCATCCTACTGATCCTACTGCCTCAAGAAGCTTTCCCAATCAGCCCATGAAGGTCTCAACTCTTACAGCTCTCAACTTGCAGAACTATTATTATTGCCAGGAATGCTCACTGCATCATTTAATAACATTGTCATTTACTAGAATGTAGTTCTAGAGGTTGCCTCCAAATCCCTTCTGTGTGAAGGAGCCATGTTTTCATTTCTTTTGTCTCTCTGAAAGCATTTTGTGGGTGCTCAAACAACTACATGTTAAACTGAATGAGTACATTTGGCAGAGAAAGCCAGAGACACAGAATCAATAAAAGATATGCAGATACAGAGAAAGATATTTATTATGAAGAATTCGGTCACTAGATTATGGAGGCTGTCCCATGATCTGCTGTCTGCCAGCTGGAAGCCTAGGAAAGCCAGTGGTGTTGGGTGTGGTTCCAGTGCAAATTTGAAGGCCTGAGAATCAGAGGAGCCAATGGTGTAAGTCCCAGTCCAAGTCTGAAGGTCTGAGAACCAGGATTGCCAACGTCCTGCAGCGGGAGAAAATGGATGCCACAGCTCATGCAGGGAGAACAGTTGCAGTTTCTCTGCCTTTCTGTTCTCTTCATGCCTTCAGTGGATTAGACGATGCCCCGCTGCACAAGTGAGGGCTCTCTCCTTTACTCAGTCTACTGATTCAAATGCTAGGATCTCACTGAAACACCCTTACAGATACATCCAGAAATAGTATTGTGCCAGCTCTCTGGGCATCTCAGCCCAGATAGGTTGACACATAAAATTAACTATCACAATGGGAAAAAAAAACTTCAGGCAGAAATTATGAGAGTCATTTTCAGAACCTTTAGTCTGAGCAAAGTTCTGGCAGTCATTTAAAAAACTTTAACAGGTGTAATAATAATCTCCGACATCTGCCTGGTGTTTCATAGAGTAAAACACACTTTTATGTTATTTATGTCATTTACTTTTTTTTTTTTTCTTTGAGACAGGGTCTCACTCTGTCACCCAGGCTGGAGTGGCAGTGGCACGATCTGGGCTCACTGCAACCTCCACCTCCCGAGTACAAGCGATTTTTCCGCCTCAGTCCCCCAAGTAGCTGGGATCACAGGTGCCCACCACTGTGCCAAGCTAATTTTTTATATTTTTTTTGTAGAGACAAGGGTTTGCCATGTTTCCCAGGCTGGTCTCAAACTCCTGGACTCAGGTGATCCACTCACCTCCGCCTCCCAAATCTCTCAAAGAGATCACAGGCATGAGCCACTGCGCCGGCTGCCATTTGACTTTTGATTATACATTTCTGTTTTTCAAAGTGGAAATAAGTTCAAAGAGGCTGGTTAACTTGCCCAAAGCTGATTTTAACAGGAAGCTAAGTTTGAGCAGAGTAATTTTTTAGTCCAAATATTATCATTTTACTGGATAATTTTGAAATATTTTGTCCCATTTAGTTGCAGGTTTACACCATACAAACATCAAATGTTACAAGCTGACACTTTAAAAAGTGGATTTGAAAAGCAATTTGGTCTACAAGTAGTACCAAGATTGGTATTTAAACAAAACTTAATTTTCTGTGCAGGTCCTTTTTTCAGTCAAGGTAGAATTACTTCTCAGGATGAACTGGCATATCCCTTGATTTTATTGAAAAATATGGGCTCATGCTTGTAATCCCAGCACTTTGGGAGGCCAAGGCAGACAGTTGGCTTGAGCCCAGGAGTTCGAGACCAGTCTGGACAACATGGTGAAACCTCATCTCTACAAAAAAATACAAAAAATCAGCTGAGTGTGGTGTACACCTGTAATCCCAGCAATTTGGGAGGTCAAGGCAAGCAGATCACTTAAAGTCAGGAGTTCAAGACCAGCCTAGCCAACACGGTGAAACCCAGTCTCTACTAAAAATACAAAAATTAGCCAAGTATGGTGGCATGCCTGCAGTCCCAGCTACTTGGGTAGCTGAGGCAGGAGAATCGCTTGAACTCGGGAGGTGGACGTTGCAGTGAGCTGAGATCGTGCCACTGCATTCTAGCCTGGGTGACAGAGTGAGACCTTGTCTCAAATAAAATAAAATAAAATAAAATTTACAAAAAAGGAAAAACAAAGAATATGAACCCCACCATTTGCTTCATCTTCACGTATTTGACTGGAACCTCCTTCGATCAGTGATACTTCATATCTGCATCTATTAACAGGTGAATAATCAAAGGTGAAGCAATCCATGCATTCTGATTTTTAATGTAGGTTTTATTCAGAGTTCATTCTAAGAATGTGACATCCTTGAGCACTATTTTAATTCAATGCAGACTGATGTCTCTGGGCTGTTTTTTAGTATCATGAAATTGACCTGTTTGGAAGAACACAAGAAGCAGCTTTAAAAAATCAATATCTATGTATGCTGTGTGGATATTGAGGTCATTGTGTACCATGTCATTAAAAAATCCCTACACAAGTATACTGAGTAATTTCTTTCAGAACTTAGTGCTATGAAATTTTTTCTTGGCCTGAGAAACTCAAGTTTTTTTCTTTTATACAATGAAGACTATGTAACTGACTTTTCTTTTGAACTATGTTTTCCAGGAAACTCAAAGCAAAATTTATTTCCTACCTGTAGCCAATTATGTCAGACTGTATTACTTGAGTGTTTGTCAGATTGGTTTTGTGTGTGTGTGTGTACAGTTTAATTTTTCTGGTTCTGATTATTTTAACTGACAAATAATAATTGTACATATTTACAAGCATATAGTGATATTTAGATACATATAATATATAGTGATCAGATCAGGGTAATTAGCATATCCATCATCTCAAACATCTATCGTTTCTTCGTGTGGGAATGTTCAATATTCTCCTTCTAGCTATTTAAAACTATATATTATTGTTAATTGTAGTCTTCCTAAAGTGATGTAGAACCCTATAACTTATTCCTCCTATCTAGCTGTAATTTTATATTCTCTAACAAATTGACTATCACATTTTATGTGTAGCCTAAAATCACCCTCAAATTTTTTATAATTTCAAAGCATGGGAAAAATAAATAAACAATTAAAGAGTAATGTGAAACGTTTTGACATAGTTTATGTTGAAATATCATAGGCTGATTTACTTACATCTGTTGAAAAAGAGGCCCTAAATTGCTTGTAAAAGTCAGTGGAAAAAGGATCTTAGGGAATAGCCACAAACCCCCCAAAGTACAAAAACAACTATTGTTAAAGATAAGTGATTTCTTAAGTGGGTGAATGCAGTCACTGTTCCTCTCTTGGATTTAGGAGTTTCCATTGCTTACCATTCCCCCTAGGTCTAGCTTCTGAGCATGGTCCTTCTAGAGTTTCAAAATTTTTGCCAACAAGGCAGTTGGAAGCAGGGCTATGAGCAGTATTTAATTTGTAACATCCAGGAACTTGGCTGCCAAACTCTCCTACAAGTAAACATCAGGGAAAGTTTGTGCTTTGGGGAGGGGCTTCTGTTTTTGGTGCTTTCAGACAATTGGATGCAAGTTCAAGGTCTGATACTCTCTTTTCTACTGACAGAAAAAAAGTATGTCACACCTGTATTAAAACACCTGTAGTTTTAGTATTAGTTGGATTCATATTGCTATGTTTATAACATATTAAAACTAATCTTCCTAGAGAAGGCTTAGAGAAAACTATGATTAAAATATTTATACAACAAGTACTCCTAGACATACTTGCTGGTTGGTAAACTCATTCATTCATTCAAGATATATTTATTGAGAACACAATTTATACAAGCATTTTGTACTCTACTTTCAGCACAAAAACAATGAATATAAACAAACTAATATGTTATAAGAAAAAACTTCCAAGGAAGGTATTAAGAACCTGTGTTTTTCTATAAACAAATATACTTTCACAAAAGTTTTGCGTCCAAACATAAATATCTCTAATGAGATTGATGGGGGACATTTATTATTTCAATTAGTCAACTCTTAGCTATTTATTGGATGATTTGTCAGGTCCCTTATAATTTTTCTTTTTCTTCTTGCTGATAGACCAAACTAACATTTTCTTCTTATTAAAAAGTGGATAATGGCTGGGTGCGGTGGCTTACGCCTAAAATCTCAGCACTTTGGGAGGCTAAGGTGGGAGACCAGCCCGGCCAACATGGTGAAACCCTGTCTCTACTAAAAATACAAAAATTAGCCAGGCGTGGTGGCATGCGCCTGTAATCCCAGCTCTTCTGGATGCTGACATGGGAGAATCGCTTGAACCTGGGAGGTGGAGGTTGCGGTGAGCCAGGATCACACCACTGCACTCCAGGCTGGGCAACAGAGTGAGACTCCATCTCAAAAATAAATAAATAAATAAATAAATTTTTAAAAAGTAGATATGTTTCCTTATAAAATATTTAAAATATTCACAAGAATAAACAAGAAAATGTACATCATACACAACCCTACATCCCATATATATAAATATGGCTAATATTGTGCAATATTACTTTCTAATATTTTGTGTATTTACATATTTTCTTCATTGGAGATTCTTTTATATCTTGCTTTTTTCTCTTATAATTATTTTATGAACATTTCTATGTTATTAAAAATTCTTTTAAAAATGTTTCTAAAGAGATACTAGTATTCTGTCAAGTGATTATATCATAAATTCATCTGAATAATAAATATGTAGATTATTTCACTTTTGACTACTATTAAAAAATACTGTTAAACTTTAAAAATTATTTCAGCATTTGAATTCCCAGAACAGCACAAACAGTATGCAAATAAATGACACTGGCATTTAATATAATAATTGCTGTATTTAGGCATCTCTCTTTTTATCTGTATCAAGAACTTTGATCCCTGACAGGATTAATATTGTATGGATTTAAAATTCTAATTTTCTGAAAATGTACCTTAATGTAACAAATCAACATTTATTTATGGATGGAGAAAACAATATTCCTAACATCAGCAACCTCATCTCTTTCTTAAAAGTCTGGCATTTCCATGTCAGCACAAGGTATAAGCATCCAGAGGACATGGATGTGGTGAGAAAACAAGGTATCTAGGTCAAAATTACTTTATTATTCATCTGCAAAATGGAGTATAAGAAAATTTAAAAACCAAAACAAAATTACTTTATTCTTTTTGCTTAAGCTTTCCTTTTCCCCTAAACTTGTCACTTTCTTACTTTCTATTTTCTATTTTTTTCTATAACATGCACCTCTATAATCCAACATGATAAAGTTGAAAGTTTATATTATCATTCATGAATCAAATTTGCAACATAAGGAGGTGAAATTGGTGTATAGATGTAATGCTAAACTGTATAATTGTGTCAACTACATGTGAACCTGAACAAGTCAACGAACTTGTGTTGCCAAAGAATTTCTAACATCTTCATAGGAACTTATAAAGTAGTCCTTCACATAGGCATTAGTAAAGATTTCATGACAAAAACACCAAAAACAATTGCAACAAAAGCCAAAATTGACAAATGGGATCTAATTAAACTGAGCTTCTGCACAGCAAAAGAAACTATCATCAGAGTGAGCAGGCAACCTATAGAATGGAAGAAAATTTTTGCTAACTATGCATCTGACAAAGGTCTAATATCCAAAATCTATAAGGAACTTAAATAAATTTACAAGAAACAAGCAACCCCATCAAAAATTGGGCAAAGATATGAACAGATGAACAGACGCTTCTAAAAAGAAGACATTTAGGCGGCCAACAAACATATGATAAAAAGCTCAACATCACTGAGTATTAGAGAAATGCAAATCAAAACCACAATAAGATACCATCTCACGCCAATCATAGTGGCCATTATTAAAAAGTCAAGAAATAATAGATACCGGCGAGGCTGTGGAGAAATAGAAACGTTTTTACACTGTTGGTGGAAATGTAATGTTCAACCATTGTGGAAGACAATGCGGCGATTCCTCAAGGATCTAGATCCAGAAATACCATTTGACCCAGCAATCCCATTATTGGGTATATACCCAAAGGAATATAAATCATTCTACTGTAAATACACATGCATGAGTATGTTTATTGCAGCACTATTTACAACAGCAAAGACATGGAACCAACCCAAATGCCCATCAATGATAGACTGGATAAAGAAAATGTGGTACATATACACCATGGAATACTACGCAGCCATAAAAAGGAATGGGATCATATCCTTTGCAGGGACATGGATGGAGCTGGAAGCCATCATCCTTAGCAAACTACCACAGGAACAGAAAACCAAACACCCCCTGTTCTCACTCATAAGTGGGAGTTGAACAATGAGAACACATGGACACCGGGAGGGGAACAACACACACCGGGCCTGTCAGAGGTTGGGGGCAAGGGGAGGGAGAGCATTAGGACAAATACCTAATGCATGCAGGGCTTAAAGCCTAGATGATGGGTTGATAGGTGCAGCAAACCACCATGGCACATGTATACCTGTGTAACAAACCTGCACGTTCTGCACATGTATCCTGAAACTTAAAGGAAAATAAAAAAATAAAGTAGTCCTTCAAGCTTCAAAGATGATGAATATATATAATATATAATATAAATTTGATGAATGTATATAATATGTATTTGATGAACATATATAATATATATTTGATGAATGTGTATAATGTGTATAATATAGATGCAATATATATATATTCATTTAATAAAGACCGCTCCATCGAATAAGGCAATGTCTATTTCAGCTGACTTCAGTGACTCCATACAAATATTCCAAGGGGCAATGACTTGCAAAAATTGTTTCTCGTGTGAATTGAAAGCCTAGATACTCTTCAAAGCCAAGATTTTTCCATTAGTTGTGAAATAGATGTGTCTCACAGAAACTGTTAGCAGAGCAGCTGATCAGTAACAAAAATTGATCTATTTGCTGCTAAGGACAGCAATTGTAAGTTAAAAGTCTTCACCCAAAGAATGGATTTATTATCTTCCAGTTTCATATAGAGAACTCAAAGATTGTACTTACCTTTCCCATTTGAAAAAAAAAGCTCTAAAAGAAATGAATGTTCATTAGTTAACTAGAAAGCAGGATTTGAGGCTACTGCTCTTGAAGAGTAAATTAACTAGGGGGTGAAGGGGATATTAGAACACAGCCTCCTAATTGCCATATGATTGAAGTGCTGCTGCCTCTCATACTAAACACATTGTGCTACCACGCATGCTGGGAGCCATAGATATTGATATATAGGTGTGGGCCACAGACTTTTTTCTTTTGGGGGCTATAAGTGTTCATCAGAAACCAGAAAGCACATCCCCAGTGTTTAAACCAAAGGGTCTCAACAATGCTTGCATGTAAGAAGTTCCTGGAGAGGTTTTTAAAACACCGAGGATTGGGCTCCACATCAGACCAAATAAATCAGAACTTTAAATAAGAACTTCTGGGAGCAAGGCCTGAATATGGTGTATTTTGGCTTAAGCCAGTGAGTCTCTAACAAGCGTGCATCAGAATCGCCAGGAGGGCTTGTTAAAACACAGATTGCTACTGCACATCTAACAGAGCTCTTGCATAGGATGGGTGCTCTAAAAATATTCTCTAAATAAACATTGCTAGATTTGCATTTTAAAAGAACAAGCTTCTATAGCAGGGTTGATTAATTGGTGTCCATAGATGGGCTCAGTAGTCCTTGAGCTTCTGAAGTTGTAACATCTCATGGAATGTGCGTTCAGAAGACAGTTCCTCACTTTCATCAGATTCTTAAGGGAGGGACTATGACCTAGAAATGTTACAAACCACTCTTATGGGAATTAAATTTTTTTTTCATTTAGATTTTTGTCTTCATTGACAGAGTGAAGAATTTAAATAATTGTCTGTTTCCACCAGAAAAATGTTCTGGGATACTGATGAGCACAAAATGCATTTAATTTTTTAAAACCTAAGTCAGCCACTAGACACAGGTCTCTTCATCTAAGAGCCTTTTTGCAAATGAAAACCCATTATTTGAGAAATGCATCCATGCTTGTTTTATTTTGAACTGAATTTATTGCAGTTTGAAAATAAAGAATAAGACTGTCCGCTTCTCTAAAGCAGGGACCTTGCCCTGTCATCTTTGTGTTCCAGGACCTGCCCAGGAGAGGCACACAATGAGTAGTTGAAAGTTGAATTATATTGAAGCTATACATTACTCAATTCTGAAAAAGAATTCAAAGAATAATAATAAAATATCATATTTATGGTGTTCTGTAGTTATGAGCTTTAAAAGTTTTTGTTGTTGTTGTTTTGTTTTGTTTTTGAGACAGGGTCTCGCCCTGTTGTTCAGGCTGGAGTGCAGTGGTATGATTTCAGCTCACTGCAGCTTCAACCTCCCAGGCTCAAGCCATGCTGCCATCTCAGCCTCCCCAAGTAGCTGAGATTACAGGCTTACACCACAATGCCTGGCTAATTTTTTAATTTTTTTATATGTTGCTCAGGCTTGTCTTGAACTCCTGGGATCAAGCGATCCTCCCACCTGGGCCTCCCAAAATGCTGGGATTACAGGTGTAAGCCACCACACTTGGCCTACGTTTTTAAAAATTATTTTATGTTTTTACTTTTTTATTTGTTTCAGCCAGTTCTTGCTCTTCAAGACTCAAAACATTCACCTTCTTCAAGACAAAATCTTTTTGTTAAATGCAATCCCCTTTGCAAGTGTATAAAAATTATTTTTTAAAAAAATATGTTTTAAAAGTAAAACTTGGTTCATAAACTAATACCTTCATTATATTACTGTTGAATACATACATTAATGCTACAGTGTTATGTTGTATAAAATGGAATGGTAAGTATTATAATTATAATTAAGAATGGAGTTGTGATACTCAGGAGAGAAGCCCCCAACCAATGGCCATCACCCCCAATACGGTTATTTTTTTTTCTTTTTCTCTGCCAGATACTTTCCAAATTCACATACCACTTAATTTAGAGAAATTATCTCCTGAGTGCTCTATTCCATTTAGGGTCCAGGGAAGGTTGTATTGATCACTGTCGGCCCAACAGCACCTGTTCCCCAGGGCACCAGGCAAAATAGCAGTAAGCTGCATCTCTCTTTCTCTCTATCTCTGTCTCTGTCCCTCTTTCCCTCTAGATGTGTAGAACGAAGTGAACTTCCAGAGTTTTAAATTCATGCATAAACTTTTTTTCTCATAAATGGACCATTCTCTACATAGATTTCAGTGACTTCTTAGCTTTACAATGCATCATGAACATTTTTCTGTGTTAATAAAGATCTGCCTTATCCTTTTGAACGACTGCAGAATATTGCCTTGTATGGATGAATGATAGTTTTTTTTTTTTAACCAGGCCACTGTTGATGAGCATTTAGAGTGTTTCCACTTTTTCCCTGTGATAAACACAGCAGTGAACATTCATGTAAGTACAGCTTTGTGCCTGTATCTTAGTATAATGTACCTCTCATTAAAGTTTGATAAGTTGACCTCCAGCCCCAGCAGTCAAAAATCCTGGATATGATCCATGTCTGTCATCCAATAGCCATAGAAACTTTGGGAAATTATTCAAGTTCTCTTTTTTGTGAGTTGGAAATGCCAATCTCTTCCTTGCCCCTCCCACATAGTTGATGGAAAGAGGAAGCAATGGACGTGAATATGCTTTGAAAACTGGGAAGCCCCGTGCAAATGCCAAATGGTGTTATGCCATCAGCATTCAATTGTTCTGTATTCTCTTTCTAATACACTGTATGCATTAGTTTTTGTTCATAATGGCCAATTCAATCCTTTGCACTCAGTAGATTCTCATTAAATGAAAGTAAATTCTCATTAAATGAAAGGCTGTGAAGGAACCCAGTGTGTCTTCGATTTTGGTCTGTGGACCACCTGCCAATGAGTCAGTGCACTAGTTTTAAGGCATATTCTTGTTGGGGGAGGAGGAGAAAGGGAAAGGGCCCTGATTCTGTCGTTTTTCAAACTTCCCAAGTGACTTTGACACAGATGAAAATTTGAGAACTACTGAACCGGACTGACATTGTCATTGCTCGTCCTCATTTAAAGCTCCCTGATAGCAAAAGGTAACACTACCTTCTTGTCTTGAGGATAAGCAAGTTTAAGACAGGAAACTCTCCCCCACTCATTTTCCAGACATGAATCTCATCATCGTATCCTCAGAGATCTAACTCAGAGTAGTCAGTTTGCCTAAATGAATGGTAATTTTCTTACAAATCCATTTCCCAAGAGGCGCGTCAGCTTTCTCACCAAGTTTTAGGGTTGTGTGGATGTCTAGATTTGGCTGAAAAAAAAAATCACATGCCACGGCTGCTAACAGTCAAGCTGAATGTGGGCTGTGCAAAATGTCCCTGTGGAAATAAGAAACTAGGCCAGCCCTTTCTGGGTAAAGAGGCCATGAAATGCACAGAGAATGCAGTTTCTTTTCATGTAGTTCTTACTGTGTTAATATTTGAGACCATTTTAGATAGTAGAAAATGCAGGGAAAATAAGAGAGGGAGGATACCTTAAAAATGTTAAACACGGCACGCATGTTCAACAACTTTGACATTACTTTCTCACATAATGTGGTACATAATTCCATCAGAGGATGTAAAATAAGAGAACTTCTCCAAAGATCAGGTAATAAGAAGAGCTCATATTGAGAGAGCTTGCCTGGTGTCAAAGCTGCGTAAAGTATGAGATATTTTACATATGTTATCTCATTAAACCTCATTAATTTGCCAGTCAATACTAAGTTTTAAATAAAATTAAATGTAGAATAAAGTCAAGAAAACATGAACAAGTACTCCAGATACTTTGAGCCAACCAGTGAAGCCAGAAATCCTGGTTTGTTCTAAAGGTTATTAAGTTCAGCTTCTGTGACATCATTTTCCTGGCAAATTTATTGAATAAGGTTATGGTTTGGTGAGCCACCAGGTGAAACTGGTTAGGGAGATGCAAGGCAGTCCTCTTGGGAAAGAAAAACAAACAAGTTTGGAACATCTAGTGCTGTTTAATATTTTCACCTATGACGCTGAGGACAGACACTCAACCATTCCCCCTATCAGAATTGAGAAGCATAGATGTCAGTTAACATTTTAAAATACTCCTGTTTGCATAGCTTAAAATAGAATACCTCCTGTAGAAGGCAAATTCCCTGTCTCATAAGAGCTTCCAATCTGTTATTGGAAGGAGTATGAATCTCCACACATTTTAATTTATAAACATGTATATGTTAATAATAAAAAACAGTTCAAATCCTACAGATTAATAAGTAGGAATTAAAAGACAAAAGCCAAAAAAAATGAGACTCATTGAGCCAATCAAAGAATCCTGTACTTGGAGTCGTCGCAGCTCCAAGGGAGGATTAGTGGAAGAGGAAGGAGCCATGGAAAGCATCCAAGATCACTTGTGGGCTAAAGAAGAGCAAAAGAGAAGGAACAATTAAGACCCTGGTTAGTAGCCTTGTCCAGGCCACATCAGACTTTACCCAGATCTGCATCTAGGGGTTCAGCGATGCCTGAATATCCAAGTTTTCTCTCTGCATCTCAAGCCTCCTAGGACCACCCTCTTCCTTTCCCCTTTTTCTGAATCTCTCCAGGCTAACTTCAGCTCCTTCAACATTGGACACTGGTGGAGTCACCAGAGGGATGCAGGGCTCCAGGCTTCTCAGAATCCTATATTCTACTTCATTCTGAGCTCTGAGCCTCCCAGGTCTGAGTGTGTGGGGGGCCCAGCTGTGCACTGATGCTCTCTAAGGAGTCAGAGGTTGCTCCTTCCAGTAGCCTACAATAATTGTCAAGTGCTTGATTCCAGCAGTGGCTGAGGAGTGCTCCTGCCTATTCGTAACAATGGTGATGATAACACGAAGCAACAACATTCTCACGTAGCTCCCATAATGCAGATAGTGGGCTAAGTGATTCATGACGAGGATCATGATATCAAGGGCAGGCAAGGGTCTGTAATTTGTCTTCTTTGCTGACACCTGTTGCTGATGTTAATTGTTCCTTTACTCCCTTTTTGACTGCTTCTGCTGTGCCCCTCTGCTCCTGGTGGCCAGACGTGCAAAGCTCTCTCCTATCCTCCCACATCACCTTAGGGATTCTCCAGGTCCACCTGCCCACTCAGCCGCATCTCCTTTAGGAGTAAGAGAAAAACCCAAACCCTTTCTTATCACATCCTTCATACTTCTCAGTTCTATGGTTTGGGCATAAATTAATCTGTGAGATCTCCAAGTTTTGCTTGTGATAAATGAAGATAAGATTTTGGACTTCCAAAAACCAATTATGAAATTTGCCAACCAGGCCGGGCGTGGTGTCTCATGCCTGTAATCCCAGCACTTTGGGAGGCCAAGGCAGGCGGATTGCTTGAATTCAGAAGTCCAAGACCAACCTGAGAAATGTGGTGAAATCCCATCTCTACAAAAAATACAAGAAATTATCCGAGTGTGGCGGCACTCACCTGTAGTCCCAGCTACTCGGGAGGCTGAGGCAAGAGGATCACCTGAACTTGGGAGGTTAAGGCTGTAGTGAGCCATGATCGTGCCACTGTACTCTAGCCTGGACAACAGAGTAAGAACCTGTCTCGAAAAGAAAAGAAGAGAAAAGAAATTAACCAAACAAATTTCTTGGCACCCTCAAACATCTGGTTCTTGGAATAAAAAATCATGTTTTGAAGATTAACATATCCCAAATTTGACTCTGTTCTCTTTTATCTTGAGAGCAGTCCATTCACTAAACCATGTTTGCTGCCAGAACAAAGCAAGAATAATGAGTACTGAGAAATGCTGACAGGTAGAGGGCTAAATTTCAGCTTAATATCTCCAGTTACCATCCTGGTACACAAGAAAGAAGCAAAATAGGGAATTCAAAACTTAGGTATTTTTTAAAGCAGAATAATGAGGAGAAAAGAAATGTCAAGGACAGGCTGAGAGAGAGTAGATCAAAGTTATTACAAATGAAGAAAGGACAGCAGAACATTCCTTTTCTCACTTTCTGTATTTAGTGTTGTGAATCATTTTTCTTCATAAAGAGTATTTAGGTCAGAGTTCTTAGATGTAAGCAAGAAAAGCATACTCTAGTCAATTAAGCAGAAAAGGAATTTATTAAAAGGATCCCAGGCAGCTAAGAGAAGTGTTGTGTGAGCTGGAACAACAGGCTCAAGGCTAAGTTTCTGGGAACAAGGTCCCAACATCACTGCATAGGGGGTCTGACAAGGAGACCCTCACCGTGGCTTCAGCCCACACAGCACCAGATGCTGCTGTTTGTCCTGCTGCCAGGAAGTGGACTCTACCATATCTGCAATTGCCAAAATCACCCATGCCACTTCTCCACCAGAAACCAAGCTGAGAACCACTCAAAAGCCTAACAACCCTGCTGCCTCTCACACCACCAAAATTGGCATTATGCAAAGCCTCCTTCCCCAAAAGCTCATTTCCAGCAGTCTGATTGAAGGAATCCAGGAGATACTCATATGCCTTTGTTGCAAGGGCTGGGTGGGATAGAGGAGACATGAAAATAAGGGCATTTTTTTGCTCCGCCTACGCTCATGAGGCTACATAATCCTCAACCCGAGTGACAGTATTCGAAAAGTGCTCAATTAGGAAACTCAATGGAGTACTGCATGCAATCATAAAAAGGTAGAGACACACACTATTGCGGAGAGTTCGCCGGGCTATCTTGTCATGTACAAAAGCAAGGGAGTATAGCAATAAATAATATGCTATCTTTTGTGTAGGAAAGGAGGGAAATAAGGCAAAAATGCATTTATAAAAATCAATAGGAGGATAAAGAAGATACAATTAAAAATAATTACCTATGATGAGAAGAAATGAGGTGGAGGAGTAAGGAGAGAAAGGAGGGCTTTCTATTCGGATTTGATTTCTGAGTCATTACCTAGTAAATAATATAATGTCATTAAAATCTCAACTGCTAAAATTGAAAGCCAAACAAAACAAATAAACCTCATTGTATATAAAATTATTAGGGAAGCTCCACAGAGGAAAGATATATTTTAAGTAAGTTTAAAACTAAGTAACCTGACTGTACTTTCTTAATGGGATGCACTCCTTTATTTTACTTTATTTTTTTTTAACTAGTCACAGGGTTTATTGAGGGCCTAAGTACAGGGCAGTTCAGGAGTGGCAGCTGGACAGGAGAATCACTACTGTTTGTAAAAAGCATGCAGTTTACGTAGCATTTTCACTTAGCAGCCTCCACCTAGCAACCTTTGTTCAAACCAAAATAAAGGCCTAGATTCCTTGTACCACCTGTGTTCAAAGTAATGAACCAGGGGTTCAGATGCCCTTCATAGATCTTCATAGATAAGGAGTGAATCTCCGGGTTCGCCACTCCCAGATTCCTTAGCTCAGAATGTGAAACGCACACAGGGTCATTCTCAGGGTGTGCTTGAGTTATTGCATTCTGGCGCATCTGCCACACACCTTCCTACACTCCTTCATCCCTATGGAATTACGATATAATTTTGGTTAGATTCATAGTCACCCTATATCATTAAGACAGGGAAATACTTTAGATCAGTTAAAAAATATAATAAATATCACGACTACTTTTCCTTCTCTACACAAATTTTTGTTATCCTTAAGTTAATCATTGTCTCTTTTTTTATTATACTTTAAGTTCTGGGGTACATGTGCAGAACGTGCAGGTTTGTTACATAGGTATACACTTGCCATGGTGGTTTGCCGCTTCCATCAACCCATCATCTACATTAGGTATTTCTCCTAATGCTATCCCTCCCCTAGCTCCCCACCTTCCAACAGGCCCGTGTGTGATGTTCCCCTCCCTGGGTCCATGTTTTCTCATTGTTCAACTCCCACTTATGAGTGAGAACATGCAGTGTTTGTGTTTTCTGTTCTTGTGTTAGTTTGCTGAGAATTATGGTTTTCAACTTCATCTATGTCCCTGCAAAGGACATGAACTCATCCTCTTTTATGGCTGCATAGTATTCCATGGTGTATATGTGTCACATTTTCTTTATCCAGTCTATCATTGATGGGCACTTGGTTTGGTTCCAAGTCTTTGTTATTGTGAATTGTGCTGCAGTAAACATACGTGTGCATGTGTCTTTATAGTAGAATGATTTATAATCCTTTGGGTATACACCCAATAATGGGATTGCTGGGTCAAATGGTATTTCTGGATCTAGATCCTCGAGGAATCGCCACAGTGTCTTCCACAATGGTTGAACTAGTTTACACTCCCACCAACAGTGTAAAAGCATTCCTATTTCTCCACATCCTCTCCAGCATCTGTTGTTTCCTGACTTTTCAATGATCGCCATTCTAACTGGCATGAGGTGGTATCTCACTGTGGTTTTGATTTGCATTTCTCTAAAGACCAGTGATGATGAGCTTTTTTTCATATGTTTGTTGGCTGCATAAGTGTCTTCTTTTGAGAAGCATCTGTTCATTCCTTTGCCGACTTTTTGATGGAGTTGTTTGTTTTTTTCTTGTAGATTTGTTTAAGTTCTTTGTAGATTCTGGATATTAGCCCTTAGTCATATGGATAGATTGCAAAATTTTCTCCCATTCTGTAGGTTGCCTGTTTACTCTGATGATAGTTTCTTTTGCTGTGCAGAAGCTCTTAAGTTTAATTAGATCCCATTTGTCAATTTTGGCTTTTGTTGCCATTGCTTTTGGTGTTTTAGTCATGAAGTCTTTGCCCATGTCTATGTCCTGAATGGTATTGCCTAGGTTTTCTTCTAGGGTTTTTATGGTTTTAGGTCTTACTTTAAGTCTCTAATCTACCTGGAGTTAATTTTTGTATAAGGTGTAAGAAAAGGGTCCAGTTTCAGTTTTCTGCATATGGTTAGCCAGTTTTCCCACCATTTATTAAATAGGGAATCCTTTCCCTATTTCTTGTTTTAGTCAGGTTTGTCAAAGATCAGATAGATCCAGATGTGTGGTGTTATTTCTAAGGCCTCTGTTCTGTTGCATTGTTCTACATATCTGTTTTGGTAGAAGTACCATGCTGTTTTGGTTACTGTAGCCTTGTAGCATAGTTTGAAGTCAGGTAGCGTGATGCCTCCAGCTTTGTTCTTTTTGCTTAGGATTGTCTTGGCTATACAGGCTCTTTTTTTGGTTCCACATGAAATTTAATGTACTTTTTTCCAATTCTGTGAAGAAAGTCAGTGGTAGCTTGATGGGGATAATATTGAATCTGTAAATTACTTTAGGCAGTATGGCCATTTTCACGATATTGATTCTTCCTATCCATGAGCATGGAAGGTTTTTCCATTTATTTGTGTCCTCTCTTATTTCCTTTAGCAGTGGTTTATAGTTCTCCTTGAAGAGGTTCTTCACATCTCTTGTTGGTTGTATTCCTAAGTATTTTATTCTCTTTATAGCAATTGTGAATGGGAGTTCACTCATGATTTGGCTCTTTGTTTGTCTGTTATTGGTGTATAGGAGTGCTTGTGATTTTTGCACATTGATTTCGTATCCTGAGACTTTGCTGAAGTTGCTTATCAGTTTAAGAAGATTTGGGGCTGAGACAATGGGGTTTTCTAAATATACAATCATGTCATCTACAAACAGAGACAATTTGACTTCCTCTTTTCCTCTTTGAATACGCTTTATTTCTTTGTCTTGCCTGATTGCCCTAGCCAGAACTTCCAATACTATGTTGAATAGGAGTGATGAGAGAGGGCATATTTGTCTTGTGCCACTTTTCAAAGGGAATGCTTCCAGCTTTTGCCCATTCAGTATGATATTGGCTGTGGGTTTCTCATAAATGGCTCTTATTATTTTGATATACGTTCCATCAATAGCTAGTTTATTGAGAGTTTTTAGCATTAAGGGTTGTTGAATTTTGTTGAAGGCCTTTAATGCATCTATTGAGATAATCATGTGGTTTTTGTTATTGGTTCTGTTTATGTGATGGATTACCTTTATTGATTTGTGTATGTTGAACCAGCCTTGCATCCCAGGGGTGAAGCCGACTTGATGGTGGTGGATAAGCTTTTTGATGTATTGCTGGATTCAGTTTGCCAGTATTTTACTGAGGATTTTCGCATTGATGTTTATCAGGGATATTGGCCTGAAATTTTAGTTTTTGTTGTGACTCTGCCAGGTTTTGGTATCAGGATGATGCTGGCCTCATAAAATGAGTTGGGGAGGATTCCTTCTTTTTATATTGTTTGGAATAGTTTCAGAAGAAATGGTACCAGCTCCTCTTTGTATCTCTGGTAGAATTCAGCTGTGAATCTGTCCAGTCCTGGATTTTTTTTGGTTGGTAGGCTATTAATTATGGCCTCAATTTCAGAACTTGTTATTGGTCTATTCAGGGATTCGACATCTTCCTGGTTTAGTCTTGGGAGGGTTTGTGTGTCCAGGAATTTATCCATGTCTTCTAGACTTTCTAGTTTATTTGTGTAGAAGTGTTTATAGTGGCCGGGCGCGGTGGCTCACGCCTGTAATCCCAGCACTTTGGGAGGCCGAGGCGGGTGGATCATGAGGTCAGGAGATCGAGACCATCCTGGCTAACAAGGTGAAACCCCGTCTCTACTAAAAATACAAAAAATTAGCCGGGCGCGGTGGCGGGCGCCTGTAGTCCCAGCTACTCGGGAGGCTGAGGCAGGAGAATGGCGTGAACCCGGGAAGCGGAGCTTGCAGTGAGCCGAGATTGCGCCACTGCAGTCCGCAGTCCAGCCTGGGCGACAGAGCGAGACTCCGTCTCAAAAAAAAAAAAAAAAAAAAAAAAAAAAAAGAAGTGTTTATAGTATTCTCTGAAGGTTGTTTGTATCTGTGGGATCAGTCCTGATATCCTCTTTATCATTTTTTATTGCATCTATTTGCTCCTTCTCTCTTTTCTTCTTTATTAGTCTGGCTAGTGGTCTATTTTGTTGATATTTTCAAAAAACCAGCTCCTGGATTCCTTGATTTTTTGAAGGTTTTTTTTTGTGTGTCTATCTCCTTCAGTTCTGCTCTGATCTTAGTTATTTGATCTTTTCTGCTAGATTTTAAATTTGTTTGCTCTTGCTTCTCTAGTTCTTTTAATTGTGATGTTAGGGTGTCGATTTTAGATCTTTCCTGCTTTCTCTTGTGGGCATTTAGTGTTAGAAATTTCCCTGTAAACACTGCTTTAGCTGTGTCCCAGAGATTCTGGTACGTTTTGTCTTTGTTTACGTTGGTTTCAAAGAACATCTTTATTTTTGCCTTCATTTTATTATTTGCCCAGTAGTCATTCAGGAGCAGGTTGTTCAGTTTCCAAGTAATTGTGCAGTTTTGATTGAGTTTCTTAATCCTGAATTCTGATTTGATTGCACCATGGTCCGAGAGACTTTGTTGTGATTTCCACTCTTTTGTATTTCCTGAGGAGTGTTTTACTTCCAATTATGTAGTCAATTTTAGAATAAGTGTAATGAGGTGCTGAGAATAATGTATACTCTGTTGATTTGGGGTGGAGAATTCTATAGATGTCTATTAGGTCCACTTGGTCCAGAGCTGAGTTCAAGTCCTGGATATCCTTGTCAATTTTCTGTCTCATTGATCTGTCTAATATTGACTTTGGGGTGTCCCACTATTACTGTGTGGGAGTCTAAGTCTCTTTGTAGATCTCTAAGAACTTGCTTTATGAATCTGGGTGCTCCTGTATTGGGTGCATATATATTTAGGATAGTTATCTCTTCTTGATGCACTGATCCCTTTCCCTTTATGTAATGCCCTTCTTTGTCTCTTTTGATCTTTGTTGGTTTAAAGTGTGTTTTATCAGAGACTAGGATTACAACCCCTGCATTTTTTTATTTTTTATTTTTTGCTTTCCATTTGCTTGGTAGATATTCCTCCATCCCTTTATTTTGAGCCTATGTGTGTCTCTGCCTGTGAGATGGGTCTCCTGAATATAGCACACTGATGGGTCTTGACTCTATCCAACTTGCCCGTCTGTGTCTTTTAATTGGGGCATTTAGCCTTTACATTTAAGGTTAATATTGTTATGTGCAAGTTTGATCCTGTCATTATGATGCTAGCTGGTTATTTTGCCCACTAGTTGATGCAGTTTCCTCATAGTATCGATGGTCTTTACAATTTGTTATGTTTTTGCAGTGACTGGTACTGGTTGTTCCTTTCCATGTTTAGTGCTCCCTTCAGGAGCTCTTGTAAGGCAGGCCTGGTGGTGATAAAATCTCTCAGCATTTGCTTGTCTGTAAAGTATTTTATTTCTCCTTCACTTATGAAACTTAGTTTGGCTGGATATGAAATTCTGGGTTGAAAATTCTTTTATTTAAGAATGTTGAATATTGGCCCCCACTCTCTTCTGGCTTGTAGGGTTTCTGCAGAGAGATCGGCTGTTAGTCAGATGGGCTTCCCTTTGTGGGTAACCCAACTTTTCTCTCTGACTGCGCTTAACATTTTTTTCTTCATTTCAACCTTGGTGAATCTGATGATTATGTTTCTTGGGGTTGCTCTTCTTGAGGAGTATCTTTGTGGCATTCTCTGTATTTCCTGAATTTGAATGTCGGCCTGTCTTGCTAGGTTGTGGAGGTTCTCCTGGATAACATCCTGAAGGGTGCTTTCCAACTTGGTTCCATTCTCCCCATCACTTTCAGGTACACCAATCAAATGTAGATTTTGTCTTTTCACATAGTCCCATATTGGAGGCTTTGTTTATTCTTTTTCATTTTTTTTTCTAATCTTGTCTTCTTGCTTTATTTCATTAAGTTGATCTTCAATATCTGATATCCTTTCTTCCGCTTGATCGATTCGGCTATTGATATTTGTGTATGCTTCATGAAGTTCTCGTGTTTTGTTTTTCAGCTCCATCAGGTCATTTATATTCTCTAAAGTAGTTATTCTAGTTAGCAATTCATCTAACCTTTTTTCAAGGTTCTTAGCTTCCTTGCATTGGGTTAAAACATCCTCCTTTAGCTCGGAGGAGTTTATTATTACTCACCGCCTGAAGCCTACCTCTGTCAATTCTTCAAACTCATTCTCCATCCAGTTTTGTTCCCTTGCTGGCGAGAAGTTGTGATCCTTTGGAAGAGAAGAGGCGTTCTGGTTTTTGGAATTTTCAGCCTTTTTGTGTTGGTTTCTCCCCAACTTCGTGAATTTATCTACCTTTGGTCTTTGAAGTCAGTGACCTTTGGAGGGGGTCTCTGAGTGGACGTCCTTTTTGTTGATGTTGATACTATTCCTTTCTCTTTGTTAGTTTTCCATCTAACAGTCTGGTCCCTCTGCTGCAGGTCTGCTGGTGTTTGCTGGAGGTCCACTCCAGACCCTGTTGCCTGGGTATCACCAGCGGAGGCTGCAGAACAGCAAAGATTGCTGCCTGTTCCTTCCTCTAGAAGCTGTGTCCCAGAGGGGCACCTGCCAGATGCCAGCCAGAGCTCTCCTGTATGAGGTGTCTGTCAGCCCCTATTGGGAAGTGTCTCCCAGTCAGGATACACAGGGATCAGGGACCCACTTGTGGAGGCAATCTGAACCTTATCAGAGCATAAACACTGTGCTGGGAGATTCACTGCTCTCTTCAGAACCGTCAGGCAGGGATGTTTAAGTCTGCTGAGGCTGTGCCCACAGCTGCCCCTTCCCCCAAGTGCTCTGTCCCAGTGAGATGGGGGTTTTACCTATAAGCCCCTGACTGGGACTGCTGCCTTTTTTTTCAGAGATACCCTGCCCAGAGAGGAGGAATCTAGAGAGGCAGTCTGGCCACAGTGGCCTTGCTGAGCTGCAGTGGGCTCCACTCAGTTTGAACTTCCTGGTAGCTTTGTTTACACTGTGAGGGTAAAATCCCCTATTCAAGGCTCAGTAATGGTGGACGCCCCTCCCTCAACCAACCTCGAGCACCCCAGATCGACCTCAGACTGCTATGCTGGCAGTGAGAATTTCAAGCCAGTGGATCTTAGCTTGCTGGGCTCTATGGGGGTGGGGCCCACCAAGCCAGACCTCTTCGCTCCCTGGCTTCAGCCCCCTTTCCAGGGGAGTGAATGGTCCTGTGTTGCTGGTGTTCCAGGCACCACTTGGGTGTGGAAAAAAAAACCTCCTGCAGCTAGCTTGGTGTCTGCCCAAACAGCTGCCCAGTTTTGTGCTTGAAACCCAGGACCCTGGTGGTGGAGGCACCGGAGGGAATCTCCTGGTCTGCGAGTTGTGAAGACTGTGGGAGAAGTGCAGTATCTCGGCCTGAGTGCACCATTCCTCATGGCACGGCACAGTCCCTCATGGCTTCCCTTGGCTAGGGGAGAGAATTCCTTGACCCCTTGTGCTCCCTGGGTAAGGCGATGCCCCACTCTGCTTTGGCTCACCCTCCATGGGCTACACCCACTGTCCAACCAGTCCCAGTGAGATGAACTGGGTACCTCAGTTGGAAATGCAGAAATCACCCGCCTTCCACATCAATCTCACTGGGAACTGCAGACGAGAGCTGTTCCTATTCGGCCATCTTACCAGCAATGCTTGGGATGCATTCTAAGGACAAAATACTGACAAAAATTTTTAAACTTTTTTCAATGGTAATATTGGTATTGTTTCTTAAAATTATTTTCTTTACATTATAGGAAAAAATACAAAAGGAAAGAGATACATTTATAAAATTAAAGAAATCAAGTAAAAACACTGTATTGCTAAAGCTGAAAATATCAGTATGAACTCATGTTCTTAAAAATGTATATCTTCCAGCTTCCAACTCTGTCCATGGTATATCCAAGATGCAATGTCACTGCATTAGCAACTGGCTCTCTTAAAAAGGTGAATTTGACTGTCTTAGTCTGTTTGTGCTGCTATAACAAAATATCTGAGACCAGGTGATTTATAAAGTACACAGTTCTATTTTCTCACAGTTCTGGAAGCTGGGAAATTCAAGATTAATGTGCCAGCAGGTTCAGTTGTCTGGTGAGGGCTGCTCTCTTCTTCCAAGGTGGTGCTTTGTTGCCGTGACCTCCAGAGAGGAGGAACACTCTGTCTTTATGTGGTAGAAGGGATGGAAGGGCCACAGAGGAGGAATGCTTCATCCTCACATGGCAGAAGAGTGGAAGAGAGCAAACCCACTCCCTCGAGTCCATTTATAAGTTCTATTTATAACCCCCTCCTTGAAGGCTCTGCCCTTATGACTTAATAACCTCTTAAAGACCCCATCTCTTAATACTACTACATTGGCAGTTCAGTTTCAACATATGAATTTTGGTGAGTGCACCATCATTCAAACCAAAGTACTTATATGATTCCCCACTGAAGGTATTCAGATCTTGTGCCCAAAAGCAAGCAAAGAAACTCATAAAGATTAATGGAGTCCTATCAAAGGGACTCAGAAGCCAGCTTAAAGTGTCTTCTGATTACATTTGTGACCATTTGAACAACCACCCCTGCCCTGATTGTAGTTTTTTGAAATTCATTAAATTTATTAAAAATCAGAGTTTATAATGACATTAACAAAAGGGGAAGTCAGAAAAAAAGGATATCACATATCACTAATTAAAATAATTATTAAACTAATTCTTTATTCTCAAAATTTGTGAGTAATGGGAAAGAATAAACAATTCATCCTTCTTTTAAGCAGGGACTGTATCACAGGGTAAACAGAAAGCTCCAGTTAATAAGGAATGTCCCCAATCAACACATGTGAAGTGACAGAATTAGGAAATAATCATTTGGCAACAATTAAATCAACCAGTCAGGCCATGAACTGGTGTTGACACTATTAGATGAATGATGGGTAGGGAACTAGACACCTATATGAGGCCATGATAACCACACAGAGATTAGTTTCTTCTTGCAATGGAGGGTTCAAGATGTTATCCCCACTCTCAGTGGTCTCTCTCAGCATCCCACTGGTGGACAACCAGATATTGTGGGCCTATTAATGAGATGCAATATGAAGTAAAACACATCATCTGTGACGTAGTCTAGCCCAAATCTAATAGAGCCTTTATATCTAAATTCCAATGTACAGAAACAAGCTAAATGATACCACAAAGAAACAATCAGAGACATCCAGAATTTGGTGTATTTTCTTCATTATGAGTTATTCTCTTCAGCAAGACAGTGTCATTAAAATGTGACTGGCCTGATTAAAAGGGGCAAGAAATGGCAGTTAGATGCAATGTGTGGTCTCAAATTGGATCCAGTTTTGGACAAGCCAAGTATACGTGATTTGGGGGACATTTAGGGAAATTTAGATGTGGGCTGGTTATTAGATAAGATGACTATTTTAAAATAATGTGTTTAAAGTGAGAAAATGTTATTTTGGCTAAATATGAAAATACTCTTATCTTTAAGTGATGCAACTGATATAGTAAAATGCCTTGATGGCCAGCAGTTACTTTAAAATAATTAGGCATGACACTGGCAATGTATATAGAAGTTCTAAAAATTATATAAAAATAAACCAAGTAGAAAACAAAGAATGGGCTAGGTGCAGTGGCTCATGCTGTTATCCCAGCACTTTGGGAGGCTGAGGCAGGCAGATTACTTGAGGTCAGGAGTTCAAGACCCAGCCTGGCCAACATGGTGAAAACCCAACTCTACAAAAAATACCAAAATTAGCCATGTGTGGTAATGCACACCTATAATCTCAGCTACTCAGGAGGCTGAGTCAGGAGAATCCTTTGAACCCAGGGAGGCAGAGTTTGCAGTGAGCTGAGATCATGCCACTGCCCTCCAGCCTGGGTGACAGAGTGAGACTCCGTCTCAAAAAATAAAAATAAATAAATAAAAATAATAATTCTGCACAAAAATAAACATTTAGACGGCTGCTGGTCAATTAGAAAGCACATTTTTGGCCAGGCGCGGTGGCTCACGCCTGTAATCCCAGCACTTTGGGAGGCCGAGGCGGGCGGATCACGAGGTCAGGAGATCGAGACCATCCCGGCTAAAACGGTGAAACCCCGTCTCTACTAAAAATACAAAAAATTAGCCGGGCGTAGTGGCGGGCGCCTGTAGTCCCAGCTACTTGGGAGGCTGAGGCAGGAGAATGGCGTGAAGCCGGGAGGCGGAGCTTGCAGTGAGCCGAGATCCCGCCACTGCACTCCAGCCTGGGCGACAGAGCGAGACTCCGTCTCAAAAAAAAAAAAAAAAAAAAAGAAAGCACATTTTTTTTCACTGAGATAATTATTTTTTACAATAGATTATTTATTACATTATACTACAAAGTTATCCTTTCTCCGGGGATTTTAAATTACGCAGCCTAAACCTACAATCTGTGCTGGCTGTACTACTTCAGCCAGCAGGAACAACCCACGATGCCATTGAGTGCAAATGTGGATTCATTTTCTAGGGCTGCCATAGTAAAGTTCCACTAACTGGGTGGCTTAAAACAACAGATATTTATTCTCTCACAGTTATGGAGGCTAGACGTTCAAGACCAAGATGTCAGCAGGGTGAGTTCCTTCTGAGGGCTGTGAGAGAGAGCGTGTTGCGTGCCTCTCTCCTAGCTTCTGGTGGTTTGCTGGCAATCTGTGGTGTTTCTTGGCTTGTAGAGACATCACCCAAACCTCTGCCTTTATCTACACCAATTTCCTTTTTTTTGTAAGGACACTAGTTATATTACAGCCCATCCTACTGACTTCCTTTTAACTTGATTTCCTTTGTTAAGGCCCTGTCTCCAAACAAGCTCATGTTCTGAGGTACTAGAGGGGTTAGGACTTCAACATACAAGTTTTGTAAGACACAATTCAATTCATAACAGCGCAAAAGAGCAAAGTTTATAATTGTGCTGTCAAACCATGGCCCCAAGAAGCCTAAGGATTCACAAACTACACAACCCTCAGTTGCCTCCCAGGAAGGGACAGTAGACAGGGCTTCACCTTCGCTGCCTTGGATCAGAGCAGCACTGCCTCTCCCTGCTTACACGTTGATTTTCACGTGAGAGTTCCTGAAAAAAGAAAAATGATCAGAAAACTGTTCTCTGTGTAAAATACTAGCAATACCCTTTAGCCTTGTGCCAGCCCGGGCAGTGACAGCAGCATGACACAGATGAAAAGCAAGTGCCAGCCACTTCCTAGCCCTCACTGGATCGCTGCATTTTCTTCTTGCTCTAAAATTCTAAGAATTGATCCAAATGAATTGCACTGTTTTACAATATTATTTTTCCTTTGCCTCCTGGGAGTAAATTTGATTTTCTTAAGAAATGTCCTGATTCAGAAAAGTGGTTTTTGTTTACTGACAGTCATGGGCATGACATAAGACTTGAAAATTCAGTCTTGTTCATTTATATATTTTTTTATTATGTGCAATTTGGAAATACAAAAAATACAAAGAAAATAAAAGAATAACACTATCCAACGAGTATATTCTTTTAGAAATTAGAAATCAAAACATGATATATAAACACTCTCAAACTTTGTTATTAAAACCTATTACACAAGAGGGCGCTAGATTAACGTATAAGAGGATGCCCCACAAAGGCCAGGCATGTAAATTAGCTATAGTATATAGTATATAATGTAACCTAAGATAAAGTTTAGCCATTGTTTTTTTTCAGAGCTGAGAATTGGCAATAGTTACGAATTATTTTTTCACATTCCATATGGAATTTAATCTCTTCACATCTGTGAATCCAAAAATTTATCTGAAGAAATTGTCCCAACAGACACACAGACACACACACACACACACACACACACACACACACACAGAGAGAGAAAGAGAGAGAGAGAGCAACATGATCCACTCCACAAATGCCTGGAGAATATATGCACACATCTCTCACTCGACCTGAAACAGCAATGAGGTTTTACATTATTAACTGTTTTTATTACCCATATAATGTGTTATGTTAAGTAATTAGAGGCAGTTGTCAAAATAAATTAAGTAAACTCTATTGGTGATGTAGCTTGTCCTTAAAAAGGTTATTCATTTACATGTTTGCTTAGTTTAAATCTATAAGGAAATTATGTGTTTTTAATGCACAGTTTATTCTGGCAGGCTTGTTCTTCCTAGCTTTACGGTTCTCTATCTCACAGAGTTACTTATAGACATCATCAGGACAAATCAACAAAATTTTCAGGAACAGGAAGAAATGTACAGAAACATGCATATCCTCATTTGAAATTTGCCCAGTTTAAACATCCAAAGTATAAAGATTTGAATTTATGTAGAAGGAAAAAGTCAATAAGCTCTGGTTAAAGTTCAAGGGAAAAGATGCTCACAATTCTAAATCTCATTCTACAGTAAAGTCTTTTGATAGGTATCCAACTAACAACTTTGCAAAGAAAATTAGAATTTTTACTAAGTCTCTCGCCACCCCCATCACACTAGACTACATTAAAAACAGTGTGGGTTCTAGGCATAGATGGACTTGAGTTTAAATCCCAGACTGAGGCTTGATTTTCTTACCTCTAAAATGGAACAAATATTCCTGACCTATTTGGTATATCATGATGGCATTTCAAATAAGACAATGTTTGCACAACATGCAGATCAAGTATTTATAAAGTGTTAGATACCTTTCCTCTTTCTTTTTTTCCCTTTTCTTATTTCCCTTCCTGCTTTCCTCTGTTTCCTTCTTTTTTCCTGATTTGTCTGATTTCAAAAGGTGGCAGGCTTCCAAGAGTGGTAAGCTTTATATGTTGTGCTTACAATCACGTTTAATATTTGGTTGTTTTTATCTGTGAACCATTCCTAACCCCCAGGCCCACCCACTGCCCACACCCACATTTAGAAATTCACACAGGTAGTTCCTTGGGGGCTGTACTCTGAGCAGTGCATACAGTGTCTGACTCAGAGTAAGTGTTCTAAGCATTCTTAAATGTATATTTCAAAAGGGGGCATATTCTTTTCCTGTTACTGTTCATTTCAGCTCTATGACACACTACACTTCACTATTAGACAGGGTTTTTTTTGTGTGTGTGTCAGGCAACAGAATCATCCACTCCACTGGTGTAAGACAGGGACTGTTTAAGGGATATGTGCAGCTCATTTTTCAATTGTTGGGGTTATTGCAGAATCAGACTGAATTTCCAAGAGCTGTTGAATCAGAAAGCCCCTGCCATGGCTGCCAGCACAAACGTGCCACCTCGGCCGTGACCTCCATTAGCAAAAGGGGACACCCCAAACCCTGCCTTTCTCTATACATGACTCAGCTATGAATCAAAATCTCATGTGAGAGCCTCTAAGGGTAGAACCTGAGTTACATTTGGAATGCTACTTTTTTTTTTTATACTTTAAGTTCTAGGGTACATGTGCACAACGTGCAGGTTTGTTTCATAGGTATACATGTGCCATGTTGGTTTGCTGCACCCATTAACTCGTCATTTACATTAGGTATTTCTCTTAATGCTATCCCTCCCCCTGTCCCCCACCCCACGACAGGCCCCGGTGTGTGATGTTCCCTGCCCTGTGTGCAAGTGTTCTCATTGTTCAATTCCCACCTATGAGTGAGAACACGTGGTGTTTGGTTTTCTATCCTTGTGATAGTCTGCTCAGAATGATGGTTTCCAGCTTCATCCATGTCCCTAAATAGAACAGCTCTGGTCTGCAGCTCCCAGCATGATCAATGCAAAAGACTGGTGATTTCTGCATTTCCAACTGAGGTACCTGGTTCCTCTCATTGAGACTGGTTGGACAGTGAGTAAAGCCCACGGAGGGTGAGCCAAAGCAGGGCAGGGTGTCACCTCACCCATGAAGTGCAAGGTGTTGGGAGATTTCCCTTTCCTAGCCAAGTGAAGCCGTGACAGGCTATACCTGGAAAAAACGGGAAACTTCCGCCCAAATACTGCACTTTTCCAACGGTCTTAGCAAACCGCACACCAGGAGATTATACTGCATGCCTGACTCGGCGGGTCCCATGCCCACGGAGCCTTGCTCACTGCTAACACAGCAGTCTGAGATTGACCTGCGAGGCAGCAGCCTGGCAGGGGGAGGGGTGTCCGCCATTGCTGAGGCTTGAGTAGGTAAACAAAGAGGCCAGGGAAGCTTGAACTGGGCGAAGCCCACCACAGCTCAGCAAGGCCTGCTGCCTCTGAACAAAAGGCAGCAGAAACTTCTGCAGACTTAAACGTCCCTGTCTGACAGCACTGAAGAGAGCAGTGGTTCTCCCAGCATGGTGTTTGAGCTCTGAGAATGGACAGACTGACCCCCATATAGCCTAACTGGGAGACACCACCCAGTAGGGGCCGACTGACACCTCATACAGGGAGGTGCTCCTCTGGGATGAAGCTTCCAGTGGAAGAATCAGTAGCAATATTTGCTGTTCTGCAGCCTCCGCTGGTGATGCTCAGGCAAACAGGGTCTGGAGTGGACCACCAGCAAATGCCAGCAGACCTGCAGCAGAGGGGCCTGACTGTTAGAAGGAAAACTAACAAACAGAAAGGAATAGTATCAACGTCAACAAAAAGGACATCCACACTGAAACCCCATCTGTAGGTCACCAACATCAAAGACCAAAGGTAGATAAAACCACAAAGATGGGGAGAAACCAGAGTAGAAAAGCTGAAAATTCTAAAAACCAGAGCGCCTCTTCTCCTCCAAAGGACCGCAGCTCCTCACCAGCAACAGAACAAAGCTGGACTGAGAATGACTTTGATGAGCTGACAGAAGTAGGCTTCAGAAGGTTGGTAATAACAAACTTCTCTGAGCTAAAGGAGGATGTTCAAACCTATCACAAGGAAGTTAAACACCTTGAAAAAAGATTAGACGAATGGTTACCTAGAATAAAAAGTGTAGAGAAGACCTTAAATGACCTGATGGAGCTGCAAACATGGCATGAGACTATGTGACGCATGCACAAGCTTCAACAGCTGATTCGATCAAGTGGAAGAAAGGGTATCAGTGATTGAAGATCAGATTAATGAAATAAAGCAAGAAGAGAAGTTTAGAGAAAAAAGAGTGAAAAGAAACAAACAAAGCCTCCAAGAAATTTGGGACTATGTGAAAAGACCAAATCTATGTTTGATTGGTGTACCTGAAAGTGATGGGGAGAATGGAACCAAGTTAGCAAACAATCTTCAGGATATTATCCAGAAGAACTTCCCCAGCCTAGCAAGACAGGCCAACATGCAAATTCAGGAAATACAGAGAATGCCACAGAGATACTCCTTGACAAGAGCAACCCCAAGACACATAATTGTCAGATTCACCAATGTTGAAATGAAGGAAAAAATGTTAAGGGCAGCCAGAGAGAAAGGTCGGGTTAACCACAAAGGGAAGCCCATCTGACTAACAGTGGATCTCTCAGCAGAAACTCTACAAGCCAGAAGAGAGAGGGGGCCAATATTAAACATTCTTAAAGAAAAGAATTTCCATCCCAGAATTTCATATCCAGCCAAACTAAGCTTCATAAGTGAAGGAGAAATAAAATCCTTTACAGACAAGCAATGCTGAGAGATTTTGTCACCACCAGGCCTGCCTTACAAGAGCGCCTGAAGGAAGCACTAAACATGGAAAGGAACAACCAGTACCAGCCACTGCAAAAACATACCAAGTTGTAAAGACTATTGATGCTAGGAAGAAACTGCATCAACTAACGAGCAAAATAACCAGCGAACATCATAATGACAGGATCAAATTCACACATAACAATATTAACCTTAAATGTAAATGGGCTAAATCCCAATTAAAAGACACAGACTGGCCAGTTGGATAAAGCTTCAAGACCCATCAGTGTGCTGTATTCAGGAGACCCATCTCATGTGCAGAGACACACATAGGCTCAAAATAAAGGGATGGAGGAATATTTACCAAGCAAATGGAAAGCAAAAAAAAAAAAAAAAAAAAAAAAAAAAGCAGGGGTTGCAATCCTAGTCTCTGATAAAACAGACTTTAAACCAACAAAGATCCAAAGAGACAAAAAAAGGCCATTCCATAATGGTAAAGGGAACAATTCAACAAGAAGAACTAACTATCCTAAATGTACATGCACCCAATACGAGAGCACCCAGATTCATAAGGCAAGTCCTTAGAGACCTAAAAAGAGACTTAGACTCCCACACAATAATAATGGGAGACTTTAACACCCCACTGTCAATGTTAGATCAACGAGATAGAAGATTAACAAGGATATCCAGGACTTGAACTCAGCTCTGCACCAAGCAGACCTAATAGACATCTACAGAACTCTCCACCCCAGATCAACAAAATATACATTCTTCTCAGCACCACATTGCATTTATTCCAAAACACACCACATAGTTGGAAGTAAAGCATTCCTCAGCAAATGTAAAAGAACAGAAACCACAACAAACTGTCTCTCAGACCACAGTGCAATCAAATTAGAAGTCAGGATTAAGAAACTCACTCAAAACCACACAACTACATGGAATTGAACAACCTGGTCCTGAATTACTACTGCGTACATAACAAAATGAAGGCAGAAATAAAGATGTTCTTTGAAACCAATGAGAACAAAGACACAATGTACCAGAATTTCTGGGACACATTTAAAGCAGTGTGTAGAGGGAAATTTATAGCACTAAATGCCCACAAGAGAAAGCAGGAAAGATCTAAAATTGACACCCTAACATCACAATTAAAAGAACTAGAGAAGCAAGATCAAACACATTCAAAAGCTAGCAGAAGACAAGAAATAACTAAGATCAGAGCAGAACTGAAGGAGACAGACAAACAAAAAAAACTTCAAAAATCAATGAATCCAGGAGCTGGTTTTTTGTTAAAAGATCAACAAAATTGATAGACCACTATCAAGACTACTAAAGAAGAAAAGAGAGAAGAATCAAGTAGACACAATAAAAAAATGATAAAGGGGATATCACCACCATTCCCGCAGAAATACAAACTACCATCAGAGAATACTATAAACACCTCTATGCAAATAAACTAGAAAATCTAGAAGAAATGGATAAATTCCTCGACACATACACCCTCCCAAGACTAAACCAGGAAGAGTTGAATCTCCGAATAGACCAATAACAAGTTCTGAAATTGAGGCAATAATTAATAGCCTACCAACAAAAAAAATCCAGGACCAGATGGATTCACAGCCGAATTCTACCAGAGGTACAAAGAGGAGCTGCTACCATTTCTTCTGAAACTATTCCAATCAATAGAAAAAGAGGGAATCCTCCCTAACTCATTTTATGAGGCCAGTATCATCCTGATACCAAAGTCTGACAGAGACACAACAAAAAAAGAGAATTTTAGACCAATATCCCTGATGAACATCGATGCAAAAATCCTCAATAAAATACTGGCAAACCAAATCCAGCAGCATATCAAAAAATTTATCCACCACGATCAAACTTGCTTCATCCCTGGGATGCAAGGCTGGTTCAACATACACAAATCAATAAATGTATTCCATCAGATAAACAGAACCAATGACAAAAACCACATGATTATCTCGATAGATGCAGAAAAGGCCTTCGACAAAATTCAACAGCTCTTCATGCTAAAAACTCTCAATAAACTAGGTATTGATGGAACGTATCTCAAAATAATAAGAGTTATTTATGACAAATCCACAGCCAATGTCATACTGAATGGACAAAAACTGGAAGCATACCCTTTGAAAACTGGCACAAGATAAGGATGCCCTCTTTCACCACTCCTATTTAACATAGTGTTGGAAGTTCTGGCCAAGGCAATCAGGCAAGAGAAAGAAATAAAGCGCATTCAATTAGGAAAGAGGAAGTCAAATTGTCCCTGTTTGCAGATGACATGATTGTATATTTAGAAAACCCCATCGTCTCAGCCCAAAATCTCCTTCAGCTGATAAGCAGCTTCAGCAGTCTCAGGATACAAAATCAATCTGCAAAAACTCACAAGCATTCCTATATACCAATACCAGACAGAGAGCCAAATCATGAGTGAACTCCCATTCACAATTGCTTCAAAGAGAATAAAATACCTAGGAATCCAACTTACAAGGGAAGTGAAGAACCTCTTCAAGGAGAACTACAAACCACTGCTCAATGAAATAAAAGAGGACACAAACAAATGGAAGAATATTTCATGCTCATGGATAGGAAGAATCAATATTGTGAAAATGGCCATACTACCCAAGATAATTTATAGATTCAATGCCATCCCCATCAAGCTACCAATGACTTTCTTCACAGAATTGGAAAAAACTATTTAAAGTTCATATGGAACCAAAAAAGAGCCCACATTGCCAAGGCAATCCTAAGCCAAAAGAACAAAGCTGGAGGCATCATGCTACCTGACTTCAAGCTATACTACAAGGCTGCAGTAACCAAAACAGCATGATACTGGTACCAAAACAGAGATATAGACCAATGGAACAGAACAGAGGCCTCAGAAATAACACCACACATCTACAATCATCTGATCTTTGACAAACCTGACAAAAACAAGCAATGTGGAAAGGATTCCCTATTTAATAAATGGTGCTGGGAAAACTGGCTAGCCATATGTAGAAAGCTGAAACTAGATCCCTTCCTTACACCTTATACAAAAATTAACTCAAGATGGATTAAAGACTTAAATGTTAGACCTAAAACCATAAAAACTATAGAAGAAAACCTAGGCAATACCATTCAGGACATAGGCATGGGCAAGGACTTCATGACTAAAACACCAAAAGCATGGCAACAAAAGCCAAAATAGACAAATGGGATCTAATTAAACTAAAGAGCTTCGGCATGGCAAAAGAAACTACCATCAGAGTAAACAGGCAACCTACAGAATGAGAGAAAATTTTTGCAATCTACTCATCTGACAAAGGGCTAATATCCAGAATCTACAAAGAACTCAAACAAATTTACAAGAAAAAAACAAACAATCCCATCAAAAAGTGGGCAAAGGATATGAGCACACAATTCTCAAAAGAAATTTATGCAGCCAACAGACACATGAAAAAATGCTCATCATCATTGGTCATCAGAGAAATGCAAATCAAAACCACAATGAGATACCATCTCATACAAGTTAGAATGACAATCATTAAAAAGTCAGGAAACAACAGATGCTGGAGAGGATGTGGAGAAATAAGAATGCTTTTACACTGTTGGTGGGAGTGTAAACTAGTTCAACCATTGTGGAAGACAGTGTGGTGATTCCTCAAGGATCTAGAACTAGAAATAGCATTTGACCCAGTGATCCCATTACTGGGTATATACCCAAAGGATTATAAGTCATGCTACTATAAAGACACATGCACATGTATGTTTATTGTGGCACTATTCACAATAGCAAAGACTTGGAACCAACCCAAATGCCCATCAATGATAGACTGGATAAAGAAAATGTGGCACATATACACCATGGAATACTGTGCAGCTATAAAAAAAGAATGCTACTTTTAAGAAAGACTGGGAAAGAAAATTGTTTTACATAAATGGAAGGCACAATAGAATGCTGTGGAGGGATTTTAAATGTACAAATTCAGAGAATCATTACATTTGTTTTCTATTTGGTTTATTTTTATGTAATTTTTAAAGCTTCTATATGCATTTTTAAACAAAAGTCACTGTTGCTTCTAGTATTACTGGTGAGGAAGATGGAATGTGCAAAATCCAATAATAGGGCCCTATATTTAGGGTCTATTTTGAAACTATGTATTTTGACTATTCCTGCAAATAACCAAATTCAGTAATATCATATTGTCTATTTCCCTAAATAGGACTCTGTTTTGTACCTTGTTAAAATACAGCATTTTAAACACTGAAGAAGAGATGGGCCTCTGGATTATTGTATTTAATTATGCTTTTTCCCAAAGATATTTGTTTACCAACCCCCCCCCCCAAAAAAAGAGCTTAAAAACTATAGTTTCCAGTAACTTGGACTTTAAAATTCACCTTAACTTTTTTATCACCTTAATTATCTTAGGATAATTCAAAATATAGAAGCAGTAACATCATCAAATGAATAATTGCTACAGTTTTCTCACTAGGCTGATTCAATCATTCCCCAGCTCCTACTTAGCCTCTACCTGGACCATTATGTAGTCTATGACCTTTTACAAAGCTTATAAAAGACATTCCAAAATGAGAAAGATTGTTGGCATAACCAAGAGGAAAATTAGAGTAGACGTGGGTTCCTTTTGATATGTTAAATAATTTCCCATATCTTTGCTTTCCAGATCTGACTTCTGCTCTTTAATTTCCATAATAATATCACAGAATGGAAGTAATATCGGGTTTGCAAAGCACAGTGAACTTCAAAATTATTGCAATAGCTCAAATTTCTACTGCTGAACCCCTTTCCTAACCCTTTCATTCTTTCTTTTAAACAAAGCAAATGTTATAGTCTTTATAATGCCTAAAGGATTGTGCTAGGCTCTTTATATACATTGCTTATTTAACTGATTTGAAAACTGCAAGTAGTCCAAATGACTGATAACAGAAAAAACAATTTTGCACCATTAGAGATAATAATTGTTGATCAAATCATTTAAATCACCCAGGACTTAAATAGATGTTCAACTGAGCAGAAATACTTGATTTTACAACCATCCACATCCATATCCAGGTTATAGTGGGATGAAATGAATAACCTACTGAGAGGTGAAGCCGGCTGGGCTTCTGCGTCGGGTGGGGACTTGGAGAACTTTTGTGTCTAGCTAAAGGATTGTAAACGCACCAATCAGCACTCTGTAAAATGGACCAATCAGCACTCTGTAAAACGGACGAATCAGCAGTCTGTAAAATGGACCAATCAGCACTCTGTCAAATGGACCAATTAACAGGATGTGGGTGGGGCCAAATAAGGGAATAAAAACAAGCCACCAGAGCCAGCAGCACAACCCATTCGGATCCCCTTCCACGGCCGTGGAAGCTGTGTTGTTTTGCTCTTCGAGATAAATCTTGTTGCTGCTCACTGTTTGGGTCTGTGCCGCCTTTATGAGCTGTAACACTCACCACGAAGGTCTGCAGCTTCACTCCTGAAGTCAGCGAGACCACGAACCAACCAGGAGGAACGAACGACACCGGATGCGCCGCCTTTATGAACTGTAACACTCACCGCAAAGGTCTGCAGCTTCATTACTGAAGTCAGCGAGACCACGAACCAACCAAAAGGAAGAAACTCTGGACACGTGTGAACATCAGAAGGAATAAACTCCAGGCACACCATCTTTAAGAACTGTAACACTCACCGCGAGGGTCTGCGACTGCATTCTTAAAGTCAGCGAGACCAAGAACCCACCAATTCTGGACACACTACTTATCTCTGTACTTGGTTGTTAGCACAAAACACAGCCACAAAATAAATGATTTGATTTAAGGACAGTGAAGTAAAGGGACAATTCACAAAGGTGTGGGTGGAGCTTAAGGAAACCAATGTGAAATACAGTATCATTCAGAGGCTAGTAACTGTGGGTAAGAGAGGAGAGCTGTCACCTGCCCAAAGAGGCAGGCACAAAGTGTGGTTAGCAGAATCTGGATCAGATAGCTATATACAGAGGGCTGCATGATAGGAGCTAAGGTCATCTGTAGAAGGATGAAGACAACATGCTGTAGCCTAGGAAGATGATGGTTGGAGGAATAACTACTCCAACTTCACCTTCCTCCAATCTTTCAAAAGTTTGCTGCCACCTTGCATTGGATGAACTTGACCAGAAACAACAGTGAGAGAGCCCAGTGACCATTAACACAGTCACAGGGCAGAGAGCCAGAGGGGAGAGTGGATCTGGAGGGGAACAAGAAACAGTAGGCCTTTATCTTTTGCCTGCCTGGCAATTGTTCACAGATGCTCTCTAATTTAAACATCACAAAAATCCTAAAGTAAAGATTATTTTCTGTATTTGCATATGAGAAAACTGATGATCAAATCTATTACTGTAACACATCCATTAATGTAAGTCATCACAATAATAGATTGAAGAAAAAATCTAAGTACGTGCAGGAAAAAAGCACTAGAGAAAATTTAATTTCCAATGATGATGAAATGTTTTAGCAATCTTTTTATAGATAGAAGGGGACTTTCTTAAATTAGTAAAGAATATATATTTTTGTGGTTTTTTTTTTTTTTGAGACAGAATCTCACTCTGTCACCCAAGCTGGAGTGCAGTGGCATGATCTCACACTCACTGCAACCTCCACCTCCCGGATTGAAGGGATTCTCATGCCTCAGCCTCCTGAGTAGCTGGAACTACAGGCTCATGCCACCATGCCCAGCTAATTTTTTGTATTTTTAGTAGAGACAGGATTTCACTGTGTTGGCCAAGCTGGTCTCAAACTCCTTGCCTCAAGTGATCCACTGGCCGCAGCCTCCCAAAGTGCTGGGATTACAGGCATGAGCCACCATGCCCACTGAGAATATATATTTTTAAGTCTACAGTTAATATCATACCTGTTGGTGGAAATGTAAAAATATGGCTTTAAAGTTAAGAAAAAAATCAGGAATGTCCTCTATACTGTTTACATTTAATATTTTAACACGAGTTTAAGCTACTACTGTACTATATATATATAACATAAGGATTGCTGTGGTTAGAAAGTGTTTTCTGAAATTTATGTATTGGAAACTTAATCCCCAATGCAACAGCATTAGCAGGTGGGGCCTAATGGGAATGGATGAATGCCACCATATAAATGGTTTGTGGGAGTGGGTTCTCTCTCTTCCACTCTTCTGCCATGTGAGGAGACAACAGTCATCTTCTCTTGTTCTTCTGCTTACAACATGTGAGGACACAGTAAGAATAGCCACACCAGATACTGAAACTTTGATTTTGGACTTCCCAGTCTCTAGAACTATGAGAAATAAATTTCTATTCTTTGCTTGTGCATTGTCAGTGTGAATGTAAATCAGTACAGCAACTATGGAAAATAGTATAACCGTTCCTCAAAAAACTAAAAATAGCACTACCATATGATCCAGCAATCCAACTGCTGGGTATGTATCCAATAAAAAGGGAAATCAGTGTATCAAAGAGATGTTTGCACTCCCATGATTATTGCAGCACTATTCCTAGTAGCAAAGATGTGGAATCAACATAAGTATCCATTAACAGATGAATGGAAAATGAAAACGTGGTGTATATATACAATGAAATATTATACAGCCATAAAAAAGAATGAACTCCTGTCATTGGAGGCAACATGGATGGAACTGAACTGTAGAACATTATGTTAAGTGGAATAAATAAGACACAGAACAAATGTCACATATTCTCACTCAAATGTGGGAGCCAAAAAAAATTGATCACCTGGAGGTAGAGAGCAGAATGATGGTTACTAGAGTCCAGGAAGGTAGGAAGGAGATGAGGATAAAGAGAGGTTGGTCAATGGCTACAAAAATATAGTTAGAAGAAGTGAGTTCTAGTGATTAATAGCATAATAGGGTGATTATAATTAACAAAAGCGTATAGTATGTTTCAAAATAGCTAGAAGAAAAGATATAGAATGTTCCCAACCTAAAGAAATAATAAGTATTTGAGGTGATGGATATCTCAATTACCTTGATTTGATAATTACACATTGTATGCATGTATCTAACTATAGCATGTACCCCATAAATATGTATAATTATGTATCAATAACAAAATAAAAAGCAAACAAAATTTATCTTCTTTATAAATTATCCTCTCTATGGCATTTTGTTATTGCTGTATAAAATAGACTAAGATAAAGATTTTTTACAAAAAACAGAAACACTTTCATAGACGTTACATTTGTCTGCATGGAAAGCCCAAGAAAATCTACTGTCCACTTATGAGACCTAAGCAAAGAATTCAGCAAGATTGATGCATATAAGAACAATATGTAAAACTCATCTGCATGTTTACATGTCAGCAACAGAGAGTTAAAAGATGAAGTTTTAAAATATAAGGGCTTTAGAAATAATCTGAACAAAATATGTGCATGACTTGTGAAGAAAATTATAAACTTTGCTGAAAAATATCAAAGTAGGCAAATAAATAGAGAGGGGTATATGTTCATGTTTGGGTCATCAAAACATAATGGTTCTTTCAGATTAATCTCTAAATGTAATGTAATTCCAATAAGAATACCAATAGGATTTGGTAGAACTTTAAAATTCACCTTAAAATCTACCTTAAAGAAATAAAGAGTCGAGAATACAAAAAAAAATACTGAATAAGATCAAGACATACCCTGCTAGGTAGTAAGATTTACAAATCTATAAAAATTAAGAAAATGTGACAAGAAAGGAAAGATAAGCAAATGAAAGAAAAGAGATAGCCCAGAGGCAGATTCATATGTATTCGGTTACTGATTATTTGGCAGAGGCGACAGTAATAATCAGTGGGTTTGAGGGGTGCTGTGGCAATTAGTTATCCATGTGGAAAAATATGAAATTAGAGCCCACTTCACACCACCAACACAGATATCATCTCTAGGTGTATCATAGACCTACATTTAAACATAAAACTTTAAACATTTTAGAAGAAAACATCATTGTGGCTTTGAGGGTAAGAAAGTTTCTCCTAAATAAGATGTAAAATGCACATATCATAAAGGAAAAGATTATACATGTGTCTTCATCAAAATTAATGACATTTGCTCAACCAAAAAAACATAAAAAATTAAAAGATAAGCTATAAACAGGGAAAATATATTTGCAACATGTACCACTGACAAATTGATAAGAAAAAGGGTGTATTTTCCTTTCAAAATGAAGGACATTTCAGATCTTGGGGAAGAGAAGATTTACAAGCAGACTGCATGATGGCATTTGGCTGACAAAAGTGAATGAAGTCCAAGTCCATGAGAGAGGCAGAGAGTCTTCCTCTATGATTCACTTTTCTACTAGAGACGCATCCAACTAAGGCCTTAGGAGAGCACCTTATTTTTCCCAAGCCCTGGATCTCACTTGGGGAGAGGCCAGAAGACAATGAGAGAGAAAGACACCACTTTAAGCTATAGACAACTATAGGTCTTAGGAGAGCACTAACTAAGGCCTTAGGAGAACACCTTATTTTTCCCAAGCCCTGGATCTCACTTGGAGAGAGGCCAGAAGACAATGAGACAGAAAGACACCACTTTAAGCTATAGGCATTTTCCCAGACCCAGGACTGACAGGAGGGTGCCATTTTTCAATCCGGTCTCTTACAAAGTCACTTATTATTTGGCACCTGGCAGCAGAGGCCATCACAGGCATTTTCTTCTTTGATCAGAGATTGGAGCACTTGCTCTGGAGTGGGGTAAGTGTCCCCACAGCCAGAATTGAGTGGCAAGTGTGGACTGTACCCCAAAAGTAAGTGCCTGAACTGGGCTGTCTCCTGTGACCAGATTAGAGTGGGAGGGGAGCGCTGAAGCTGTGGTTTCTCCTGGGCGGTGTGATTTGAAGCCAGGAAAAGCTCTGTGGCCTGGCCTGATCTGCGTGTGTCATTGCTAGGTGCCCCACGCTCCTCCCTTAGTTGAAGGAATTTATCCCACCAGTTTCAAGCAACCAGTGGAGGCATGTGGACCCCAGCACTGCTTGACTGGATTTGGAGTGTGAACCACACCTCCCTTCCCTTGCAAAGAACTTGGTGCAGCAGCAAACCCTCCACTTCACAACTGGGTATATTTCCAGTCACTCAGTGTACCTGCTTGCCTGAAATAGGAGCCTGAGCTGCCTCTTCCCACCCCCACACCCACTCCCCACTCCCTCGCCAAGATCCTGTTGTAGCAGCAGTTACTCCACTCTGCAGCAGGTACTCCTTTCCTCTCTGGGGGACATATTTCCAGGTATTTGGCTCACCCTGGACATATCTCCAGGCATTTGGAGCATCCACTTTTCTAGATTGAGAGTCTAGGTTGTCCCTCCTTTCCTGGGCAGAGAACTTGGGGAAGTGGAGATTTCTTCACTCCATGCCCAGGCACATCTATGGGCAGTTGGCAGCTGCCTCCCAGACTCCCTTTTAACCTAGCACTTATGCCTGCCATTGGGGTATGTATAGGCAGGCTTGGCTGGTCTGGCCCTGCCCAGCTTGATACCTCCATCTGGGGAGTGAGCAGGGAGCTTAGACCACTGTACATTCCACAAAATTGCCCATTGCATGAGGCAGCAGAAGACATCTCAGGGTAAACAAAGATCAAGCCTATATCGGTGTCAGCCACAATTAGCTCTTATCCATAAGTGCCACCCACTGGCCTAAAGGATGAACTGCACAACTCAACAGAAAATCTGTTGACACAAGCACACAGCACTAGGGAATGAGATAAGCTTCCTGAGACCTCCACCATACCAGCCTCTCAAGAGGTAGTGAGCCTGCTTACATACCCAGTACATTGCTACTACAACCAGCATCTGAGAAATCCACTACACAAAGATTACCTACAACCATGGAACCTAAACAGAGCCTTTGCCGCTGAAAGCACCCAGAACCAAACCCAAAGGATGCTACAAAACACACATGACAGCTTGAGGGGGGAGAAGTCCCATTCAAGCAAAAGTAATTCAGAAATAAGAAGGAGAAAATGCTTATTCAGATGAGAAGGAACCAGAGAAACAATTCTGAAAGTATGAAAAAAAAAAACAGAGTGTTACAATACTCTCAAAGGACCACAATAATTCTCCTGCAACAGATCCTAATCAAAATGAAATAGTTGAAAGACCAAATGAAGAATTCAAAATATTGAATTTAAAAAAGCTCAATGATATCCAAGAGAAAGGTAAAAACCAATACAAAGAAATTGGAAAAAAAAATTTAGGACATGAAATAAGAGATAGATATTATTAACAAAAACCAAACAGAACTTCTGGAAATAAAGTACTTGTTGGAGAAATTACAAAATGCAGTTGAAAGTTTCAACAATAGACTTTACCCAGCAGAAAAAAGACTTTTAGACCTGGAAGACAGGTCTTTTGAATTAACCCAGCCAGACAAAAATAAAGAAAAAATAACTTAATAATAGTGAACAAAGCCTTTGAGATATATGGAACTATGTAAAGGGACCAAGCCTGCAAGTTATAGGTATTCCAGAAGGAGAAGAAGAAAAAGTAAAAAGTATAAAAAGTATAGTTGAGGAAATAATTCAGGAAAACTTCCCTGGTCTTGCTGGAGATCTAGACATTTAGATACGTGAAGTTTAGAGAACTCCTGGAAAATACATTGCAAGAAGAATCTCACTAAGACATATTGTCATTGGACTGTCCAAAGTCAACCTGAAGGAAAAAATCCTGAAAGTATCAGACTATCCAAAGTCAACATGAAGGAAAAAATCCTGAAAGTGGCAAGAGAGAAGAGTACAATTACCTATAAAGGAAATCTCAGCAGATTAACAGCAGACTTCTCAGCTGAAACCTTACAAACCATTAGAGGCTGGGGTCTTAATTTCATTCTTCTTAAATAAAAGTTATGCCAGCCAAGAATTTTATGTCCTGCTAAACTAAGCTTCATAAGTGAAGGAGAAATAAAGTCTTTCCCAGACAAACACAGGGAATTCATCACCTCTAAACTGGTCTTACAAAAAATGCTCAAAGGAGTTCTAAACATGGAAATTAAAGGGTGATACCTTCCTAAAAACACGAAAGTATACAACTCATGTATCTCATAAAGCAATTACACAATTGAGAATTTAAAGCAACTAGGTAATAATTAACATTATGACAAGAACAAAACCTCACATTTCAAATGTAAATGGACTTAAACGTAAATGAAATAAATGCTCTAATTAAAAAAAAATAGGCTGATGGAACAGATTAAAAACAAAATCCAACGATATGCTGCATACAAGAAACCTACCTAACTGGTAAAGATATTTACAAACTCAAAGTAAAGGAGTGGAAAAAATACTTCACACAAATGGAAACTAAAAGTGAGCAGGGATAGCTATACTTAAATCAGACAAAACAGACTTTAAATCAAAAGCAGTTAAAAAAAACACAAAGAAGCATATTATATAATGATAAAGGGATCAATTCAACAAGAAGAGATAATAATTCTAAATATATATGCACCCAATAGCAACACCAGAGCACCCAGATTCTTAAATACTACTAGACCTGAGAAAGAAAATAGACACCAATACAGTAATAATGGAGAACTTCAATACCCCACTGACAGCACTAGACAGATCATCAAGGTAGAAAATCAACAAAGAAATTCTGAACTTAAATCACATGCTAGACCAAATGGACCTAACAGACATTTACAGGACTTTCTACCCTACAACCACAGAATATGCATTCTTCTCTTCTGCATATGAAACATTCTCAAAAATTGACCATATTCTAGGCCACATGCAAGTCTCAACATATTTTTAAAAATAGAAGCCATATCAGGTATCTTCTTGGACCACAGTGGAACAAAACTAGAAAACCAACACCAAGAGGAACTCTTGAAAGTATACAAATACATGAAATTAAGTAATCTGCTCCTGAATGATTGTTGGGTCAACAATGAAATTAAGGTGGACACAAAGAAATGGAAAAACATCCCATCCTCAAGGATTGGAAGAGTCAATAGTGTTAAAATGACCATACTGCCCAAAGTAATCTATAGATTCAATGCAATTTCTATCGAACTACCAGTGTCATTCTTCACAGAATAAGAAAAAAAATCATCCTAAAATTCATATGGAACCACAAAAGAATCTGAATAGCCAAAGCAATACTAAACAAAAAGAACAGGGTGGGCACAGTGGCTCACATCTGTAATCCCAGCACTTTGGGAGGCTGAGGTGGGCAGATCATGAGGTCAGGAGTCAGAGACCAGCCTGACCAACATGGTGAAACCCTGTCTCTACTGAAAATACAAAAATTAGCCAGGCATGGTGGCACACGCCTGTAATCCCAGCACTCAGGAGGCTGAGGCAGGAGAATCGCTTGAACCTTGGAGGCAGAGATTGCAGTGAGCTGAGATCACGCCACTGCACTCCAGCCTGGGTGACAGAGAGAGACTCCAACTCAGAAAAAAAAAAAAAAAAAAAAAAAAGAACAAAGCTGGAGGTATCAACATTACCTGACTTTGAATTATACTACAGGGCTATAGTAACAAAAACAGCATGGTAATGGTATAAAAATAGACACATAGATCAATAGAATAGAAATCATAAAATAGAGAACCCAGAAATAAAACCACATGACTACAACCAACTGATCTTTGACAAAGCTGACAAAAATATACACTGAGTAAAGGACACCCTATTCAATAAATGGTGCTAAGATCATTGGAGAGCCATATGCAGACGAATGAAACTGAACCCCTATCTCTCACCATATAGAAAAACTAACTCAAGATGGATTAAAGACTTAAATGTAAGGCCTGAAACTTAAAAAAAAAAAAAAAAAACTTCTAGAAGAAAACCTAGGAAAAACTCTTATGAACATTGGTGTAGGCAATGAATTTGTGACTAATTCCTCAAAAGGAAATGCAACAAAAAATAGTCAAATGGGACTTAATTAAACTAAAATACTTCTGCACAGCAGAAGAAATAATCAGCAAAGTAAACAACCTACAGAAAAGTTGAAAATATTTGCAAACAAGGTATCTGACAAAGGACTACTATTCAGAATCTACAAGGAACTCAAACAACTTAAGATGTAAAAAACAAGTAACTCCATTAAAAGGTGGGCAAAGGACATGAACAGATATTTTTCAAAAGAAGACATACAAACACCAAACAAACATATAAAAAATGCTCAGTATCACTAATTATCAGAAAAATGCAAATTAAAACCACAATGAGACACTATCTTACTTGGATAAGCAGTCAGAATGGCTATGATTAAAAAGTCAAAAAAGACCATTGACAAAGCTGACAAAAACAAGCAATGGGAAAAAGACTCCCTATTCAAGAAATGGTGCTTGGATAACAGGCTAGCCATACACAGAAGAAGATTGAAGTTGGACCCCTTCCTTACACCTTACACAAAAATCTAGTCAAGATGGATTAAAGACTTAAATGTAAAACCCAAAGCTATAAAAACCCTGGAAGACAACCTAGGCAATACCGTCCTGAACATAGGAATGGGCAAAGACTTCAAGACAAAGACACCAAAAGCAGTTGCAACAAAGGCAAAAATTGATAAGTGGGGTCTAATCAAACTTAAGAGCTTCTGAACAGCAAAAGAAACTATCAACAGAGTGAACAGAAAACCTACAGAATGGGAGAAAATATTTGCAAACTATGCATCTAACAAAGATCTAATATCCAGCATCTATAAGGAAATTAAATAAGTTTACAAGAGAAAAACAAACAGCCCCATTAAAAAGTGAGCAAAGGACATGAACAGACACTTCTCAAAAGAAGACATACATGCGCCAATAAGCATATGAAAAAAAAGCTCAATATCACTGATCGTTAGAGAAATGCAAATCGAAACCATAATGAGATGCCCTCTCACACCAGTCAGAACAGCTACTATAAAAAGCCAAAAATAACAGGTCCTGGTGAGGTTGCAGAGAAAAGGAAACACTTATACACTGTTGGTGGGAGTGTAAATTAGTTCAGCCATTGTAGAAAGCAGTCTGGTGATTCCTCAAAGAGGTAAAAGCAGAACTACAATTCAACCCAGCAATCTCATTACCAGGTATATACCCAGGGGAATATAAATCATTCTACCATAAGGACACATGCACACAAATGTTCATTGCGCACTATTCACAATAGCAAAGACATGGAATCCACCCAAATGCCCATCAGTGACAGATTGGATAAAGAAAATGTGGTATATATATGCCGTGGAATACTATGCAGCTATAAAAAAGAACAATATCTTGTCTTTTGTAGGAACATGGGTCAAGCTGGAGGCTATTATCCTTAGCAAACTAAGGCAGGAGCAGAAAACCAAATACCACATGTTCTCACTTATAAGTGGGAGCTAAATGATAAGAACTTATGAACATAAAGAAGGAAACAGCAGGCACTGGGGTCTACTTGATGGGGGAGGGTGGGAGGAGGAAGAGGAGCAGAAAAGAGAACTATTGGGTACTGGACTTAATACATGAGTGATGAAATCATACGTACAACAAACCCCTGTGACATATGTTTACTTATGTAACACACCTTCACATGTACCCCCAAACCTAAAATAAAAGTTTTTAAAAATACAAAGAAATAAGTATGATTTTTTTTTAAGTCAAAAACCAACAGATGTTGGTGAGGATGCAGAGAAAAGGGAATGCTTTATACACTGCTGGTGGGAGAATGTAAATTAGTAAGGCCACTATGGAAAACAGTATGAAGATTTGTCAAAGAACTAAAAATAGAACTACTCTTTGATCCAGCAATTCCACTACTGAGTATCTACCCAAAGAAAAATAAACTATTATATAAAAAATATGTCTGTACTCTTATGTTTATTGTAGCACTATTCACAGTAGCAAAGTCATGGAATCAACCCAGTGTCCATCAGTGGATGACTGGATTAAAAATGTGGTATATTTATACCATGGAATACTACTGAGCTATAAAAAGAATGAAATCATATATTTTACAGCAACATGTATTAAAATGGAAGCCATTATCCTTACTGAAATGACACAGAAACAGAAAATCAAAAACCACGTGTTCTTACTTATAAGTGGGAGCTAAAAATGGGCACACTTGGACATACAGAGTCGAATAATAGACATTGGGGACTCCAAATCGTGAGAAGGTGGCAGAGGGGTAAGAGATTAAATACTATCTATTGGGTACTGTGTACACTATTTAGATGATGGGTACACTAAAAGCCCAGATTTCATAATTATATAATATATCCATGTAACAGCTGTACTTGTATCCCTAAATCCATAAAAATCAAAAATTTAACTTCAAAAAATAAGAAAAAGGGCAAAATAACAAATAAAAGACTTAAAGATAAAATTACAATGAAAACAATATGTATAGCTAACAAGGCATAAAGTCCAAATATGTAAAGAACTACAATAAATCATTAATTTCTATGGTTTCAGCAAACAAGACACAAAAATCACAAACCATGAATAAAAAGACTGGTAGATTTAACTATGTTAGAATTAAGTTTTGCATAACAACAGGCATAATAAATAAAGTGAAATGACAGGCTACAGACTGCAAAATACATAATAATATATGATTGACAAAGTACTAAGTTTGGAGAAGACATGTAACAAGGAGAGCTCTTACATATTTGCTTAGAGTTTCTAAGTCGATATCACTTTCAAGATCAAGTTGGCAATGTCCAGTAAAATTGACCATGCTTATACTCTTTAGCAATAACTAGGTATAGTCTTCAGAGAAACAGACGTGTGTAAGAGGATATGTACAAGAATATTAGCATAGCATTATAACAGTAAAAAACTTGAAAACAGTACAGTTCAGCAATAAGTGGATTATTAGATAAATTGACTTTTTTATACATTGAATCCCGTACAGCAATGATAATGAAAGAACTAGTGCTTCATGTATCAGCATGGATAACCTCCAAAGAAAGCATGTAAAGTAAGTTACAGAATAATACACATATTATGATATAATTTTATAAAGTTTAAAACTTTACAATACTCTATTTTTTTAGGTCAGTTACAAATATATGTAGCAAAGGTGTAAAGATATGAGAAAGGTAACACATCAGATTCAAGTTGATCGTTACCTCTGGAGAATATGGTTTAGAGAGAGTATTGGGATCAGGAAGTAGTACACAAGAGGTTCTAATTATATTAGTAACAATTGATTTCTCAAGCAGAATGATGGATATATGGGTATTTATTCTACAATGCTCTATATCTTTGTGCATATCTAAAATGCATTATTATTAAAAATAAATCAAACTGTTGATGAAAAGAGTCAAATTGTAAAATATTTGAAGAGATTTACTCTGAGCCAAATATGAGTGACCAACAGCCCATGATGCAGCCCTCAGAAGATTCTGAGAACATATGCCCAAGGTGGTTGGGCCACAACTTTAGTTTTAACATTTTAGGGAGACACAAGGCATCAGTCAAAACATGTAAGATATACATTGTTTTGGTATAGAAAGGTGGGACAACTGGAAGTGGGGCTTCCAAGTCATAGATGGGATCAAAGATTTTCTGATTGGTAATTAGTTGGAAGAGTTATTATTAATAGACAGAAATATCTAGGCTATGATAAGGGGTTGTGGAGACCAAAGTTTCATCATAGCAGGCTTCAGAAAAAATAGATTGTAAATATTTCTTGCTAGACTTAGAGTCTGTTCTATCAGTAATTTCAAAAGGGAGGAGGGTATAATGAGGCATGTCCAGTTCCCCCTTATCATCATGGCCTGAAGTTTTTCAGGTTAATTTTGGAGGAGGAGGGTCAAGAGGAGGGGGTCATTCAGATGGTTGGGGGGCCTTAGAATTTTATTTTTGGTTTACAGAGCAAAAAAACTATAAGGTGGTGTAAAGAAGAAGTAATTACATGAGTAATTAAAGAACATAGGCTCTGAAGTTTTGAATCTGGCTTTAAATTCCAGCTTTCCCACTCTTGAATCCTGTAACCTTGGCTAAGTGACAACTTCTCTGACCTGCATGTGTAAAATAAGTGTATTCACAGTTCCTCTGTCTTGCCACATGCACCTAATCTATGTTATCATATAGGAAGTGTTTAGCAGAGTATTTGGTGTATGGTAAACATGCTCTCTGTGGTTAAACCATGCTAATCTTTAGAATTTTTTTTTCTACAATCCTAGGACCTATGCACATGCTAATGCCATGACTTTACTTCATAGTGCTCATCTGACTGGGTAATTATGTACTTACAGGGGCAGTTGTTTGATTAATATCTATCTTATCACTAGGCTGTAAATTCCATGAATCAGAGTCAGTATTATTTTTGCTCAAAAACTGTATCCCTAGAATGTAGTAGATTTCCTGACTCCATTGGAACATTTTGGTTGAATAAGAAAATGATTAAACACTAAGTAAATAACTGCTAATATTATTATTTTATAATTTGAATAAAGCTACATTGCTAGTAGGTAAAAAAGTTGGGATTCAAAGCCATCTGAAGGAGTGTAAAAGTCCTTCTTACTGGGCTGATACTGTGTAGTGAGGACTCCTGAAGAAGAATCCGCTGAGGCACCATATGAAGTAGGAGCTTGAAAGAGAAATGTCTTAGCTGTTGTTCTCAACTGGAGGTGGTTTTGCCCCACAGGGTAAAACAGGAGAGTTCCCTGACCCCCCTTGCAAGAGATGTGCTTGAACCCCTTATGGGAGGGAGAGCACACAGATGGACAGGAGCAGGAACCTGGGTGAGCGCTTTTGGGTGCTGGCAGTAGCAAACCCTGTGCATGTGGGCCTTGCAGCAATGTCTAGGGGTGTGTGCCTGTGACTCTTGAAGCCCTGGTGGGCCTGCTACTGTGCTCTTTTAGCTCTCCTATCCACAGACAGCTTGTTAACCAGCACACTGCCCTCTTGGTACCCAGGTTCTTGTCAGTGTCAGGAAGAATCAGGTCACACACACACTTGAAGGATGGAGAATGTGGGGATTTTATTGGGTGATGGAAGTGGCTCTCAGTGGGATGGATGGGGAGCTAGAAAGGGGATGGAGTGGGAAGATGATCTTCCTCTGGAATTTGGCCGTCCCACAGCCAGTCTCCTCTCCGATCGTCCCCAGCCAAACTCCTCTCGAGGTTCAGATGTTCCCTTTCTTCTCTCCTTCTCTGCCTTGCCACTCTTCTGCTTGTCTGCCCATTGAGCCTGGGGTTTGGGGTTTATATGGGTATTGGACAGGGGAAGGTAGTGGGCCAAAAGGCAACATTTGGGCACAAAACCAGGAATGCCTGTTGCCATTTAGGGCTGTGGGTTTCCAGTCTTGAGAGTGGGGCCTTTGCCGGGGAACGGCCCTCTTCTACCCAGTAATTCCCTGCCTCCTGTCCATATCAAGGGGACATTTGGCAACATTTAGGGACACGTTTGATTGTCAAAGCCCAGGGAGGGGATATGCTCCTGACATCTAGTGGGTAGAGGCCAGGGATGCTGCTAAACATGAGACACACAATAAATAATTACCCAGCCAACAATAGCAAAGGTGCCAAGGTTGAGAAACCCTGGCCTAGGCCATCCAATTATGTGTTCTGGAGTTAGCCCATATATTAATCACCCTAGCAAGACACAAATCTTGTACAGCAATGTGCATTTTCTCCTGGTAGTCACAAATTAGAATAATTTAGCTGCTCTCTAGCTAGTCTCAGGCTTCTGGCTGTTTATCCAAGTTGCTTTCAAGTGGCCAGGATTTTAGGGGTTTACTCATTAACTCTGAAGCACTAAAAAGCTGTTTTTCTTTTTAAATTCTAATTTTTCTTTCTTGCCCCATTTACAGGACTCTGAATAAAACTTAATTTTTCCCATTAACTCAGGTTTTAGTTTCAGGATTGTTGTCTTCTGTTTTGAACATTATGTTTCTCAGTCATAGAAAGATGAGGATAAAATATTTTAATGAGATTTTTACAGTATGGGGTCTGTAAGGAAATAATGACTTCCAGAGTTATATTCCTAATTCTTTCCATTGCGTTCATGTACAGTATGCATTTTCATTTCACCCCAAACTGAGAGTTGTTTTCTCTTCCACCCACAGCCGTGCTGGCTGCTAATGGGCTAATTAAGCAAAGCCCATTGCATCATTGCCACCTGGAGTCATTAGCAGGCATTGTGAGGCAAGGATGCAAAACAGGGCTCCCGGACACGAAAGGAGAAGGTCTGAATAGAAACATCAACACCACAATGACCTCAGGGGTAGTTTTCTGGTTCCAGAACCTGGCTGGAGATCTATTAGTACTATAGAGCCACAGGAAATAGGTTTTACTCATAATAAGAGAAAAATTAATAACCCAAGATGTCTGGCAAGGGACTAGAATGTCTTTGCTTTAAAAAATAATCACCCGTAGTACAAATTTTGCTATTACTTTGAGAACAAACAAAAGTATAGACCTTTTACTAACAAGTTTGAGTACCAATAAGATCCAGAATTTCCTCCATTTTGCCTCTACCATTTAGGAGCTAGACAAATTATTTAATCTTTTAAAGCCCCATGTTTCTTATCTTTAAAATGGGGCTAATGGTAGAAGTACATACCTCATTAGATTATTGTAAGAATTAAATTAGTTGATAAATATAAGTAGACAGATGACCATGCCTAACACATACTAAGTGCTCAATAGTAATTATTGTTACAGGAAAGTGGTACCAATCCAGACCCCAAGAGGCGGTTCTCAGATCTCATGCAAGAAAGAATTCAGGGCGAGTCCATAGAGTAAAATGAAAGCAAGTTTACTAGGAAAGTAGAGGAATAAAAGAAGGGCTACTCCATAGTCAGAGCAGCCCCGAGGGCTGCTGGTTGCCCATTTTTATGGTTATTTCTTGATATGCTAAACGAGGGGTGGATTATTTATGCCTTCCCTTTTTAGACTATCTAGGATAACTTCCTGACGTTGCCATGGCATTTGTAAACTGTCATAGCACTGGTGGGAGTGTTGAAGTGAGGATGACCGGGGTCACTCTCGCCATCTTGGTTTTGGTGGGTTTTAGCTGGCTTCTTTATTGCAACCTGTTTTATCAGCAAGGTCTTTATGACCTGTATCTTGTGCTGACCTCCTATCTCATCCTGTGACTTAGAATGCCTTAACCTCTGGGAATGCAGCCCAGTAGGTCTCAACCTCATTTTACCCAGCCCCTATTCAAGATGGAGTTGCTCTGGTTCAAACTCCTCTCACACTATTATTGTCATTATTATTATTACCAATCCCAGCCAGCTCTGCATACCCTCCTTATCCCTAGAAAAATCTGAAAGATGATAACTGTCAGGCCTCTGAGCCCAAGCCAAGCCATCGCATCCCCTGTGACTTGCACGGATATGCCCAGATGACCTCTTAAATCTCTGCACCCCAATCCCTTATTTCTGTGCCCTGACCTCTTATCTCTGCACCCCAATCCCTTATTTCTGCACCCCGACCTCTTATCTCTGTGCCCCAATCCCTTATTTCCGCACCCTGACCTCTTATCTCTCTGCCCCAATCCCGTATTTCCATGCCCCAACCTCGTATCTCTGCACCCCAATCCCTTATTTCCGCACCCCACCCTCTTATATCTCTGCACCTCAATCCCTTATTTCCATGCCCTGACCTCTTATCTCTGTGCCCCAACCCCTTTTCTGGAAGATAAGAACCCCCGAACCCCTTCCGTTTCTCTACTCTCTCTTCTCTCTAGGCTTGCTTCCTTCACTATAGGCAACCTTCCACCCTCCATTCCTCCTTCTACTGCCTTGGCCTGTGTTCTCAAAAACTTAAAACCTCTTCAACTCACACCTGACCTAAAACCTAAATGCCTTATTTTCTTCTGCAATGCCACTTGACCCCAAGACAAACTCGACAGTAGTTCCAAATAGCCAGAAAATAGCACTTTGAATTTTTCCATCCTACAAGATCTAAATAATTCTTGTCGTAAAATAGGCAAATGGTCTGAGGTGCCTGAATGTCCAGGCATTCTTTTACACATCAGTCCCTTCCTAGTCTCTGTGCCCAGTGCAACTTGTCCCGAATCTTCCTCCTTTCCCTCCCGCCTGTCCCCTCAGTCCCAACCCCAAGCGTCGCTGAGTCTTTCTAATCTTCCTTTTCTACAGACCCATCTGACCTCTCCCTTCCTCCCCAGGCTACTCCTCGCCAGGCCGAGCTAGGTCCCAATTCTTCCTCAGCCTCTGCTCCTCCACCCTATAATCTTTTTATCACCTCCCCTCCTCACACCTGGTCCGGCTTAGTTTCATTCTGTGACTAGCCCTCCCCGTCCTGCTCAGCAATTTACTCTTTAAAAGGTGGCTGGAGTTAAAGGCATAGTCAAGGTTAATGCTCCTTTTTCTTTATCCCAAATCAGATAGCGTTTAGGCTCTTTTTCATCAAATATAAAAATCCAGCCCAGTTCATGACTTGTTTGGCAGCAACCCTGACACGCTTTACAGCCCTAGACCCTAAAAGGGCAAAAGGCCGTTTCATTCTCAAAATACATTTTATTACCCAATCTGCTCCCAACATTAAATAAAACTCCAAAAATTAAATTCCAGCCCTCAAACACCACAACAGGATTTAATTAACCTCATCTTCAAGGTTACAATAATAGAAAAAAGTTGCAACTCCTTGCCTCCACTGTGAGACAAACCTGAGCCACATCTCCAGCACACAAGAACTTCCAAACGCCTGAACCGCAGCAGCCAGGTGTTCCTCCAGAACCTCCTCCCACAGGAGCTTGCTACACGTGCTGGAAATCTGGCCACCAGGACAAGGAATGCCCACAATCCAGGATTCCTCCTAAGCTGCATCCCATCTGTGTGGGACCCCACTGAAAATCGGACTGTTCAACTCACCTGGCAGCCACTCCCAGAGCCCCTGGAACTCTGGCCCAAGGCTCTCTGACTGACTCCTTCCCAGATCTTCTGGGCTTAGCGGCTGAAGACTGACTGCCCGATCCCCTCGGAAGCCCCCTAGACCCTCACGGACGCCGAGCTTCGGGTAACTCTCACAGTGGAAGGTAAGTCCATCCCCTTCTTAATCAATACAGAGGCTACCCACTCCACATTACCTTCTTTTCAAGGGCCTGTTTCCCTTGCCTCCATAACTGTTGTGGGTATTGACGGCCAGACTTCTAAACCTCTTAAAACTCCCCAACTCTGGTGCCAACTTAGACAATACTCTTTTAAGCACTCCTTTTTAGTTATCCCCACCTGCCCAGTTCCCTTATTAGGCTGAGACACTTTAACTAAATTATCTGCTTCCCTGACTATTCCTGGACTACAGCTACATCTCATTGCTGCCCTTCTTCCCAATCCAAAGCCTCCTTTGCGTCCTCCTCTTGTATCCCCCCACCTTAACTCACAAGTATAAGATACCTCTACTCCCTCCTTGGCGACCGATCATGCACCCGTTACCATCTCATTAAAACCTAATCACCCTTACCCAACTCAACGCCAATATCCCATCCCGCAGCACGCTTTAAAAAGATTAAAGCCTGTTATCACTCGCCTGCTACAGCATGGCCTTTTAAAGCCTATAAACTCTCCTTACAATTCCCCCATTTTACCTGTCCTAAAACCAGACAAGCCTTACAAGTTAGTTCAGGATCTGCGCCTTATCAACCATATTGTTTTGCCTATCCACCCCGTGGTGCCAAACCCATATACTCTCCTATCCTCAGTACCTCCCTCTACAACCCATTATTGAGATCTCTCACTTGGACTGACCCTGACACCCATCAAGCTCAGCAAATTACCTAGGCTGTACTGCCGCAAAGCTTCACAGACAGCCCCCATTACTTCAATCAAGCCCAAATTTCATCCTCATCTGTTACCTATCTCGGCATAATTCTCATAAAAACACATGTGCTCTCCCTGCCAATTGTGTTGGACTGATCTCTCAAACCCAAGCACCTTCTACAAAACAACAACTCTTTTCCTTCCTAGGCATGGTTAGTGCGGTCAGAATTCTTACACAAGAGCCAGGACCGCACCCTGTAGCCTTTCTGTCCAAACAACTTGACCTTACTGTTTTAGCCTAGCCCTCATGTCTGTGTGCAGCAGCTGCCGCTGCTTTAATACTTTTAGAGGCCCTAAAAATCACAAACTATGCTCAACTCACTCTCTACAGTTCTCATAACTTCCAAAACCTATTTTCTTCCTCATACCTGACCCATATACTTTCTGCTTCCCGGCTCCTTCAGCTGTACTCACTCTTTGTTGAGTCTCCCACAATTACCGTTGTTCCTGGCCCAGACTTCAATCCGGCCTCTCACATTATTCTGGATACCACACCTGACCCCCATGACTGTATCTCTCTGATCCACCTGACATTCACCCCATTTCCCCAAATTTCCTTCTTTCCTGTTCCTCACCCTGATCACGGTTGATTTATTGATGGCGGTTCCACCAGGCCTAATCGCCACACACCAGCAAAGGCAGGCTATGCTATAGTACAAGCCACTAGCCCGCCTCTCAGAACCTCTCATTTCCTTTCCATTGTGGAAATCTATCCTCAAGGAAATAACTTCTCAGTGTTCCATCTGCTATTCTACTACTCCTCAGGGATTATTCAGGCCCCCTCCCTTCCCTACACATCAAGCTCGAGGATTTGCTCCCACCCAGGACTGGAAAATTAGCTTTACTCAACATGCCCCAAGTCAGATAACTAAAATACTTCTTAGTCTAGGTAGACACTTTCGCTGGATAGGTAGAGGCCTTTCCTACAGGGTCTGAGAAGGCCACCGCAGTCATTTCTTCCATTCTGTCAGACATAATTCCTCAGTTTAGCCTTCCCACCTCAATACAGTCTGATAACAGACCAGCCTTTATTAGTCAAATCAGCCAGCAGTTTTTCAGGCTCTTAGTATTCAGTGAAACCTTTATATCCCTTACGGTCCTCTGTCGTCAAGAAAAGTAGAATAGACTAAAGGTCTTTTAAAAAACACACCTCACCAAGCTCAGCCACCAACTTAAAAAGGACTGGACAATACTTTTACCACTTTCCCTTCTCAGAATTCAGGCCTGTCCTCGGAATGCTACAGGATACAGCCCATTTAAGCTCCTGTATAGACGCTCCTTTTTATTAGGCCCCAGTCTCATTCCAGACACCAGACCAACTTAGACTGTGCCCAAAAAACTTGTCATGCCTACTATCTTCTGTCTAGTCATACTCCTATTCACCATTCTCAACTACTCATACATGCCCTGCTCTTGTTTACACTGCCAGTTTACACTTTTTCCAAGCCATCACAGCTGATATCTCCTGGTGCTGTCCCCAAACTGCCACTCTTAACTCTTGTAGTAAATAAATAATCTTTGCTGGTAGGACTATGCTGAATCTCCTTAGGCACTCTCTAATCAGATATCCTGAGTCGTCCCAATTCTTAGACCTTTTATACCTGTTTATCTCCTTCTGTTATTCCATTTAGTTTCTCAATTCATCCAAAACAGTATCTAGGCCATCACCAATCATTCTACACGACAAATGTTTCTTCTAACAACCCCACAATATCACCCCTTACCACAAGACCTCCCTTCAGCTTAATCTCTCCCACTCTAGGTTCCCACGCCGCCCCTAATCCTGCTTGAAGCAGCCCTGAGAAACATCGCCCATTCTCTCTCCATACCTTCCCCCCAAAATTTTCGCCACCCCAACACTTCAACACTATTTTGTTTTATTTTTCTTATTAATATAAGAAGTCAGGAATGTCAGGCCTCTGAGCCCAAGCCAAGCCATCGCATCCCCTGTGACTTGCACGTATAAGCCCAGATGGCCTGAAGTAACTGAAGAATCACAAAAGAAGTGAATATGCCCTGCCCCACCTTAACTGATGACATTCCACCACAAAAGAAGTGTAGATGGAAGGTCCTTGCCTTAAGTGATGACATTACCTTGTGAAAGTCCTTTTCCTAGCTCATCCTGGCTCAGAAAGCACCCCCGCTGAGCACCTTGTGACCCCCACTCCTGCCTGCCAGAGAACAAAACCCCTTTGACTGTAATTTTCCTTTACCTACCCAAATCCTATAAAACGGCCCCACCCTTATCTGCCTTCCCTGACTCTCTTTTCGGACTCAGCCCACCTGCACCCAGGTGAAATAAACAGCCATGTTGCTCACACAAAGCCTGTTTGGTGGTCTCTTCACACGGACGCACATGAAAATAACTAATACTGAATATGTAATATAATTAAATAATGTAGACTTTTATTCTGAAAAAACTTTCCAGAAACATTTTATTTCATGAAAGAAAGGAAGAGGTTTCTTTACGAAATGTATTTTGAAATACAGCAAAGACAACCCACTGATTGGAATTAACACACTGCATTTTCTTTCCCCCTAATTTGGCTGGCTTGTCACTTGATGAGTTATAAACTCTTCAGTGTTATTTATCATTTACTGTGAAATTCTCAGAGTAAAATCTAAAACAAAATGCAAATGTAAGGAGACATTGCTAGTTGGTTGTGTTAGAGGAAATGAGTGTAAAGCTATGTGACCATACTATCTCTAATCTTAAGTTTATAGATTCATATATATATATATATATATATATATATATATATATAAAACTATATCAGCTATTGTATTGTTATTGTCCTGAGGGAAGGAAAGGTGATTTTGCTTATCTTTGTGTTTCTGACACCTAATTTTAACACCTACCAGATAGTAGATGCTCTGGTACTTGTTAAGGGATTAAAATCGTTCTTAAATACTAAAGAATCATAAGAGGTCTCACATGACTGTGTGAATGAATTAAATAAAAAACTCATAGTATGAGTTTTAAAACAAAACTTAATATTTTTGTATCTCTGGTTTTATTATAAAAAAAGTTAAGGCAACTTTGGATGAAATGAAGCTGAATATTCTATTTATAATGTATGTCTAATGGTCTGAATGGGACTAAGGACAGTGTGTTTTCATGGTGACAGTATGTAGGGTTGTTAGGCACAACGTCAGTGTCAGTATAAAAAGAGATTATTTGGTGAAATATTCAATTATTTTTATTCAAAGGTCCTAACAATCATCATCTAGGGAAGATGATAATGTAGTAAATTGGCCAAGGACTGAAATTTGACGCTGTGCACTGTGAAGTCTAATGTCACAATTAAAGAGGACTGTGTCATTCACTCAATAAGTCTCCAATGAGTTCCCCAATGTGCCAGGCCCATTTAGGTTTGGGACTAAATAATTAGGATTCACTGCTAAATATGGACTTACTGGTGCTGGCAAGGAGGTAACATTGGAAAGTTACTGGGTTTCTTTGACCCTCAGTTTCCTCATTTGTTATATGATTATACCTAGAGCGGAGGATATTAGAAAAATAAAACAAGATATGTATTACAGCTACTTCTTGCAGCTCATGTTTTTCTATAATTATAATGCTGATTACTAAAATGTGCTGGGCCACAGGTAATCCCAGGTGTCCAATGAATTGCATAGACTCTAAAGACAATAGGCGTCCAGGGACAATGAGGGACTGACAGGTCCCTCAACTGATTCTGACAACCATTTTCTTTGTCTTTTCTCTTTTTTTTTCCCATTTCCTTTTCTTTTTCTCATTCTTTCTCTGTCTTTCTCACTCTTTTTCTGTCTCACTCTTCCACCCAGGCTGGAGTGTAGTGGCGCGATCTCAGCTCACCACAGCCTCGACCTCCTGGGTTCAGATGATCCTCCCACCTCAGCCTCCCGAGTAGCTGGGACTACAAGCATGCTCCACCACACCTGACTAACTTCATTGTGTGTTTTTGTAGGGTCTAGGTTTCACCATGTTGCCCAGGCTGGTCTCAAACTCCTGGGCTCAAGTGATCTGCCTACCTCAGCCTCCCAAAGTGCTGGGACTATAGGCATGAGCCACTATGCCTGGCCTCTGTAACTTTTTTTCTACTCTCAAGTCTTTATTATCTATTTCATTTGGAAGTACTGTCCTTCACTCCCTGTTCCTTGTCATTATTTGATGTTATTAAGCTATTAAAAAATTATGGAGATTTTTCCTTTGAAATTAACCTAATTTGATTATGTATGAAATATGCTCTGATGTCAAACAAAAGCCAATTATTTTAGGAAAACTATCACAGACTTCTATGAATAATGCAATTACCCCAAATAAATTTAGCTCCAATATTCATTTTATAGCCTTAAAGAGGCTAGAGATGATTTATATTTTACTGTACATATGATGCATTCATTAGTTACTTTTGGCTGCAAGTAACAGGAAAAATAACTGAAATTGGCTTAAGAAATGAGGACATTTATCAGCTCACACAATAGTAGGATTGATTTCTGTGTTGGTTAATTTTGCAAGTCAATGATGTCATTGGGGACCCAGGTCTCTCCTGGTTCATCTACAGGGTCAGTTTCATCCCAAGGTTGGTTACACTCATATTTGTAAGACATAGAAGTAGAACCATATAAACTTGCTTGTTTATACCCAGTGGGAAAGACAAAAAACATAGCTTCCTGTATTAGTCCATTCTCTCGCTGCTATGAAAAAACATCGAGACTGGGTAATTTATGAAGGAAAGAAGTTTAATTGACTCACAGTTCCACACTACTGGAGAGGCCTCAGGAATCTTACAATCATGGTGGATTGCAAAGGAGAAGCAGGCACCTTCTTCACAGGGCAGCAGTTTGGAGTGACAGCAGAGGAAATGCCAGATGCTTATAAAACCATCAGATCTTGAGAGGACTCACTCACTATCACAAGAAGAGCATGGGGGAAACTGCCCCCATGATCCAGTCACTTCCTACCAGGCCCTTCCCATGACATGTAGGGATTATGGGAACTACAGCTCAAGATGAGATTTGGGTAGGGACACAGCCAAACCATGTCACTGTCCTTCCCATAGTTTTCTCTAAGATTCTAAAAGCTCTATTCTCCTATGACCTTGGCAAACTTCTTGCTTTTCATTTACCAAAATTGTCCTGGGCCTGGCCACCATTAAGTCTTTACTGACAAGGGAATGGGATTATCATGGTTAGTTTAGATTAATTAGTTGAGGTGGAATGGATGTTGGTGAGTAAATAACAATGTCCCACTGGGGATTTTATTTTAACATTTAGGTTATTCTTCACTCATTTCTATTTTATTTCATTTTATGAATTGGATCAGGTCTTTGGCTTAACCAACCACACCTGTGACACAGTCAAAAAGACTACAACAAGTTCTAATATAAGAACCTCAACATTTCTTCACTACAGACACATCTGAAATAGTGGTGGTTCAACAATACAAGAGGTCATGAAAGCTTTTTTCTTTTCTTCCTACACCGTTTTGATGATCTCATGCAATCTCATGACTTTAAATATTAACTCTTTATTGATGACTTCTGAAACTTTATATCTGGCCTGTATCTCTTCCGACACCAGGTTTTTATCCAAGAGCTTAATAACACTTCCACTTTGTATCTAATAGGTATCTCAAACTTCAGACATTCCTAAGTGAACTCTTCTTACCCCCAAACCCATTCCTATCCAAAATCTTTCCCATCTCATTAAGTGGCTTGGATACAAATCAACTTACAAAAATTAGTAAAATTTCTCTACAGTAACGATAACCTTTCTGAAACAGAAATTAAGAAAGCAAACTTACTTACAATAGCATCAAAAAATTATTTAGGAGTAAATTTAATCAAGGATGTGAAAAATATATGTAGTGAAAACTATAAAACATTGAAAAAAATAGAAGATGATGAAAATAAATGCAAACATATCCCATGTTCACGGATTGGAACAATTAATATTGTTAAAATGTCCATATGACCCCCCCAAAATTTACAGATTCAATGCAATCTCTATCAAAATAACATGTCATTCTTCATAGAAATATTTTTAAAAACCCTTAAAATTCACGTGGAACCACAAAAGACCCCAAATAGACAAAACAATCTTGACTAAAAAGAGCAAAGCTAGAGACAACGTACTATAGAATTTAAAAATATATTACAAAGCTATAGTAATTAAGACAGCATGATTCTGACACATTAACCAATAAAATAGTATAGAAAGCTTAGAAACAACTCACACATTTACAGTCAATTGATTTTGGACAAAGGTGCCAAGAAGATACACAGTACAGAAAGGATAGTCTCTTCAACAAATGATATTGGAAAAACTGGATATTCACATATAAAACAATAAAATGGACTCTTATCTCACTCCTTATACAAGAATCAACTCAAAATGGGTTAAATACTTAAACATAAGATGTGTAACTATAGAACTAGTAGAAGAAAATTTGGAGGACAAGCTCCACGATATTGGTCTGGGCAGAGATTTCTTGGATAAGACCCCAAATATTATTGCACAGGCAACAAAAACAAACATAGACAGATGAGATTGCATTATATTAGAGAGCTTCTGCACAGCAAATGAAATAATATAGAGAAGAGACAAACCATGGGTTTGGAGAAAATGTTTGTAAATCATACATCAAATAAGAGGCTAATATCCAAAATGTATAAGGAACTCAAACTACTCAATGAAAAGAAAACAAATAACTCCATTTTTAAGTGGATAAAAGACTTGAATAGATATATTTCTCAAAAGAAAACATACTAATGATCAACACATATATGGAAAAATGTTCAACATCTTGAATGATCAGAAAAATGCCAATTAAAACCGGCTAGAGTGGCTACTATGAAAAAGATGAGAGATAACAAGTGTTCATGAAGATGTGAAGAAAAGGGAACCCTTTTTATACAACGTTGGTGGTATTGTAACTTAGTACAACCATTTTTGAAAACAGTATGGAGACACCTCAAAAAACTAAAAATTTAATTACCATATGATCCAGCAATCCCTCTACTGGGTATATGCTGAAAGGAATTGAAATCAGTGTGCCAAAGAGATGCCTGCACACCCAGTTCATTGCAGTATTATTCACAATAGCCAAGCTATGAAAAAAAGCTTAAGTGTTCATCAAAGGATGAATGGAATTTAAAATGTTGTATAAATACACAATGAAGCACTATTAGCCTTAAAAAAAAAAAAAAAAAAAAAAAAAAAACAGGAAATTCTGTCATTTGTAGCAATATGGCTGAACCCAGGGGATATTACTTTAAGTGAAATAAGCCAGGTACAGAGAGAGAAATATTGTACCATCTCACTTATATGTGGAATCTAAAAAAGTCTAACTCCTAGAAGTAGAAAGTAGAAAGGTGGTTAGTAGAGGCTGGGGAATAGGGTGTACAGAGAAAGGGGAGACATTGGTCAATGGGTACAAAGTTATCGTTAAATAGGAAGAATAAATTCTGGTCTTCTATTGCACAGCAAGGTGATTATAGTTAATAATAATGTATTGCACACTTCAAATTAGCCAAAAAAGAAGATTTTGAAATGTTTTCATCACAAAGAAATGATAAATGTTTGAGGTGACAGATATGCTGATTAGTCTGATTTGATCATTCCAAGAAATATACATGTATCAAAACATCACATTGTACCCCATAAATATATACAATTATTATTTGTCAATTAAAAATTAAATATAACCATTAAAAATTTTAAATATTGCATTAAGACATTTAAGAAGAGGATCTGCTCATATTTCAAGCCAAGTTTACATGCTTCGACCTCAGATGTCATCAGAGTTCTGCCTTGTGACATTAGGCACCTGTGCAGGTATTAATAAAAAGATACTTCAACTTGCAAACTATCATTGATCTTTGAGTGTTTAATTCCATAGAAACTCTAGGGAAGTAAGAACTCTTAGAAGGACAGGATTCAGGTCTTGCAGGTGTCTTTACAAAACCACCAACATTTTAGCACAATTTTGACAATATTAACTGCTACAGAAGGAATTATGCAAGTCACTATTTGGAAGAACACAAAGAACACACATACCAAAAAATTCTCTTAGTTAGACCAACAAAAAAAATTTATTGCCCTTGGAGTTGGATGCTGAATACAGCTCATGATATAGTTTATCTCAATTTAATTTCACTATCTCTCCTCTTTCTTCACACTTTGAATTCTCCTCAACTCTCTGCCAACAAGAACTTGCAATCTGATAGAGAAGATGCAAATACAATTATCTGTAATATAAGACAGATGCTTTAACAAGGAGTGAAATCAATTAATTCTGAAACTCTGGTTGAGGGAATACACAAAGACTTTACAGGGAAGCCTGCCAAGAATGTGTAGGTCATCAATGAGGGAGAAGTGGGAACATGTCACAGAAACAATACTTTCAAAGCAAAAAGCAATTGAAGTGACACAGGAAGTGAATTGGATTTTAATGATTTGTGTTTCAGGATGGATCTCAAAGCTGAGAACAATAGGTGACAATACCCTCCCATTGAAACAAAGAGCTACATCATCCTGAGGACCTGATAAAGAGGTGAGCAAAATTGGTTCCACAACAAGAATCCTTGTGTTAATCTCTGTTTTTTTAAGTGGAGATAACTCATGTTAGGTGTTGTTTCACCTAGCATTCAGTAGAATGACCAAACAGCCTTAGCAGAATATCCAACAGCATCAGCTAAATTAAAAGGCATTTGCATTTGAACCCTCATCTCTCTTACCTAGCTTGATCCTGAAGAAGTCAGATATAGCAGATTAGGGAGAAAGAACAGAAGAGTGTTACTGGCTGAACTGCATTCCCCACCACCCTTCTTACTCCCCAAATTTGTATTTTGAAGTCATAACTCCCAATACCTTAGAATGTGACTATATTTGGAGATAGAGTCTTTTAAAGAGATGGTTAAGTTGAAATGAGGTCCATTGGGGTGGGCCCCAATCCACTGGTATCCTTTTAAGAAGAAGAGATTAGGACACAGATGCTTACAGAGGAAAGATTATGTGAGGACATAAAGAGAAGACAGCCATCTACAACAAAGGAGAGAGGCCTCAGAAGAAACCAATCCTGCCAACACCTTTATCTTGGACTTCCAGCCTCCAGAATGGAGACAAAGTAATTTCCATTGTTTGAGCTACCTAGGCTATGATACCTTGCTATGGTGGCCCAAGTTGACCCATAAAAAGAGCAAGATGGGGATGAGGGGGCAGTCAACATCTGCCACCCTGTCAACACATTATAGAAGCTCAATGAATCTTTGTTCTCTCACCCCTGAAACAAAAGATAGTACAAGAGAGGCTGAAGGAGAATAGTTCAGTGGGAATTAAAAAGACATTGAAGGAAGAATTGATGATGATTGTTTGGTTGTAAATGAAAACTAAGGGGTGGCAGAGACTCAAACACGGTTGAGACTCAGAGCAGGCAAAAACAGGGCCACTGAAGAAGTTAAGAGTCCCATGAGAAGACACAAGAATAGTGTGGATGAGAATGCTTTTGAACAATTTCCATCTAAGAGGCCTGTGGCGTATCCTGTCCTTGGGGCCAGGGAATTAAAGGTGGTGGTAATAATGAAATTAACAGTGTTGGACCTGACTGAGAGCACAATACATATAAATGCATCATTATCTGACTTGCATGAAATACCAAGAAAAATTGTATTTGCTCTGCATTAAAATTTTTGGTGAGACATATATTATTATCTCAGAATAACCTGAAATCAAGGAATTACTTCTCTATAATAATTTGAAGCTTGGGACAGAACCCTACATTTCTAATTCAGTCTCATTTTTTTCTCTTCAAATTATAAAAATGATGGCAGACTAGTTTGCTTTTCCAGTGTCATGGAATCATCTTTCTGCCCCTCAGGAATCTGTCTTTGTTCAAGAAGGGAAAGATTCCATTGCGTGATGTGGGAAGCACACAGTACTGGTTGGGAAAAAAGCATCACTGAATAATAAGATATTTCATAAATCTGAATTTAGAAACATAACCTTCTAAGTAATTTTTTCCCTAGAATTCACAAAGCTCTAAATTGCTTTAAAACAATTTGACAGCAGCAGGGTATATCTGCCTAAGTACCACTGAAATGTTCTCCTTTTATTGCTTTTTGTCCTTTATGCTTGACTTACTCTAACCATCTTTAAATTATTCATCATACTGCGGGGAATCATTTAAAAGGACTATCCTTGGATATCACTCCTAATAAGGTGAAAGAGATTCCCACCTCTCCCAAATTCATTTATGGACCCTTCCACACCTGACAGTCTTCTTCTCTACCATGTCCTGCCATCAGTTTGGATAACTATAATATCCATGCTGAAAATTTATTATTCAGGGGTCTCAGTTCCTGGGCCTTATTCGTAAATTGAGAGTACTCACATAGCCAAAGCTAGTGAGTTAGAAAGCAGATAAAAGAGTAGAATTATTAAATAAAATCAGACTTATTTCTTCCAAAAAAAAAAAAAATACAAAGAATGGCTAAGATTAATCAGGGAAAAAAGAAAAACCAAAAATGTCTAACTTAGTCAATGAGAAAGGCAGTAATGGGACAGATTTGGAAGATTGTAATAAAATATTTGTATAACTTTTTACCAACAAATGTGAAGATCTAGATGAAATTGCTGATTTTCTGGGAAATATAAATTTTAAAAAATTTCTCAAGAATAAGTAGAAAATCTGAATAGACCAATAACCAGTGGAAAACTTTAAGAAAATTATCAAAGATCTACTTTTAAAACACGTGCCCTACCCAGGTGATTTTATATGTAGGTCCCTTCTGATTTTCAAAGAACAAACAGCTCCTATGTTATTTAAATCATTGCTGAACATAAGAAGATAGAAACCTTTCCAATTCATTTTAGAATACTAACATATTTATACTAAATCTGATATAGATAGCACATAAGAATAAAACATAGATCAATTTCATCTATGAATATGGTGCTTTCTTAAACAATTTTGTCAGAATTTTCATGCCCAGTAATCCCAGGCTTCTTCCTCTTCCTTCCTAAATCCTGTATCTCTATGCTGGGAGGTGACGGAAAGTTAAAGGAGTGTAAAGTGAATTTAGAACGTTAAGAAATGCCAAAGCAGAAAGTAAAATGTGGTTGTAAATGAGTTCTAAGGTATTTACAAATGACTTGCAAATTATCACGGTCAAGCTTTAAAATATAAGGGGATTTCGTGATTTATTTGCTCACAAAATAAATACTGATGATCAGCAGTTTATCTACATTCTAGAGGGTGTAGCCTAGAGACCCAGATCTTTGGGGGAAAAAATCACTCTCCACTGTAGATTATTTATTGCACTCAGTGGACTAATTCTCAGTTTCAGGTGAGCACAACACAGTAGACAAGTTAGTGACTACTCCTTAGTCTTATCCACAATTATGCTAAAAAATGTGATCCAAGGGAAAGTGGATGGCCACATGAACACAGCTGGTTCAAAAGTAAAAGAGGAAAATTGTCAAATTCGGGTGGATAAACATGTGAAATCAGACATGCACACATACACACACACACACACGCGCACACACACACACACACGCACACATGCATACAACTCAAATTATGCCATGCTACGATTTCCTGAGCAGCTTTTAGAAGCCCACTGAATGAGTGCAACAATCTCTCCCATCCTAAATGCTCTTTTGCGATATAACTTTGTCATTTCTTCAATTAAAAGGTAGAGCCTGTTTCCCCTCTTCTTAAATCTAGGCTGACCCTGTGACCTATTTTTTTTTAAACTTTTTACTTGAAAATAATTTTAATTTATAGAAGAATTGCAAATACAATATGGTAGGTTCCCGTGTACCTTTCGCCAAGTTTCCCATAATGTTAACAGCTTCCAAAACCAGGATACATTGCTTTAATATATTTTGATCTATAGATTTTGATGCTGGTGTGTAACTTTTTAGACTGAGTTGGAATGCTTCTTCTTAAAGCCCAGCTTCCATACAGTAAGGAAGCTCAAGAAGCCATGTGGAGAGGCCTACTTGGAAGAGAATTGAGGTCCCCAACCAACAACCCAATTGAGCTCCCAGCTGGCAGCTGGTACCAACAGCCAACAATGCAAATAAGGCCTTTTGGGCCCTTTTAGCCATCCCAGCAGTCCAGCTGATACCTTGTAATGCAGGAGAGAGACCTGGTCAACCCATAGAATCCTGAGAAATAATACATTGTTATTGCTTTAAGCCACTAAGTTTTGGAGTAGTTTTTTATATACCTATAGATAATTGAAATACTAACCCTAACTAGTTTGACATTTGTACTGTGTACTAAATAAAATTAATCCAGGGAAGCTGACTTACCAGAAAGAAGAGGAAAGGATACAAAAAGACAATTTAGATAAGCAATATTCTATCTCTCTAGTTCAAGCTTGCTAATCTCCTTTATTATCAGACTAAATATGAAGCAAAGGTGTTATTTAGTGATAAACCCTCAGTTTTAGAATGGAAGCTTCTAGGATCAACCTGAGTAGTCGAGAAAGACTGATTAGGAGCCTTCTAAATTCTGATTTGAATTAAATCATGTAAACATTAACCTATTCAAAACTTATATTTAAAAAAAATGAATCTATAGGCACTTGAACTAATTTTGTTACTCACACATTTCCTCTAAGCTTAGCTGTAAAATTAGCTGTTCCAAGAACAGCAAATAAGCAGGACTCTGTGAACTTTCAATAATATAGATCAGGAGCCAACAAACTTTTTCTGTCAAGATCCAGATAGTGTAGATCCAGTTTGCAGGCCAAGAGGCAATCAAGGATATTATGTAGGTACTTACATAACTGAAAATATTTTTATTGATAAATTCAAAACATATTCATAATAACTGAGTGCAATATTTTGGTAATGCAGCTCTACTAATGAGAAGAACAGAATTCTCTTAGGAGGATAATAACTTTCTTAATTGGAGTTCAAATGTAAAAAATATTCTTAGCTCATGGGTCATTCAAAAACAGGTCACAGGCCATATTTCACAGTCTATAGTTTGCCAACTCCCACCTTTGCAGACAGATAATTCTGCTACAAGCTCTGAGTATTCATGTACATTCTTACTGGGTATTCCAAGAATACAAGACCCTGACTGCTCTTTGACCAGGCCATTCACAAGATTGTTTGAAGGAGTACCCTTGAGGGACAAGGTAACATCTCTCCCAAAGAGTAGGCTTACTATAAAGTTGTAGATTCCCCAAGCTCAGTGTTTCTCTCCTGTAATGTATCTCACTGTGTCTGCAGGCTTCCTTCACAGTCTTTTTGCACTGTCCTGAGGGACTTAGAAGGCATGAGACACTGATGCAAATGAACATGAAGCTCTGGCTGCTGCTTTTGCTGAGTGATAATATTTTTAAACCTCTGACCCAGGAGTCTCATCACTTCTGCTATTATCCATGATAACTTGTTAGCTTGTAAGTAGAGTGCAATCTCAGATCCTTCACAGTTCTTGTCATAAATCCAAGAAATAAGAGTTTAAGGTAATTAAGGGCCAATCAATTCCACATTGAATGAATTGATTGTGAGAATGTGGGGAAGAGAGTACCCAAGGGCCTACGACTGATGGCAACATGCCATATCTTGGTCATAAGGGAGAGCTGTGGAAGTGCCGCTAGCACGGCGGAGAATAGATTGGATGGATCACCATTGAGCTAACATTGCTTGGTCCAGAACCAAAATGTTCTGGTCTCAACTGAGAGTGTGCCACTTTTAATTGTGTTTTAGCCAAAGATATAAAGCACCTTATTGGACATCCTTGAACAAGGGAATCCTAAAATAAAGAATTTCAAACGAAAATCCAGAAAGAAATGCTAGTTTAAGGATCAAGTGCCTAACACTTAGCACACTAAGGCCGTAAAAGGACTCTATCACTATCCAGGTATCCAATACCTGGATATTTCTTTCTTGGAACTTTTTCCACAGCATATAATAGGAAATGAAAAATATCAGGATTGTATTAGTTCCCTAGGGCTGCTATAAGAAAGTACCACAAACTGGATGACTTAAAACAACAGAAATTTATTATCTCACAGTTCTGGAGTCTAAAAGTCCAAAATTATGATATCAGCTGGGCCATGTTCCCTCTGAAACTCATAAGGGAGGATCCTCTCTTGCCTCTCTATAGCTTCTGGTGATTTGCTGGCAACTTTTAGCTAGCAGTTGCAGCACTTCAATCTCTGTCCCCATCATCACATGACTTTCTCCCCTCATGCCTGTATCTCTTCTCCTCTTTTTATAAGGATACCCACCATATTGAATTAGGGGCTCTTCCTACTCTGGTGTGAGCTCATCCTAACTAATTACAACTGCAATGTCACCATTCCTAAATAGGGCTACATTCTGAGGAACTGGGTTTAGGATTTTAACATATCTTTTGGGGGGACACAATTCAACTGATAACAAGGGTCTAAGGATCAAAACATGACTGTGTTTATTCAACATGACTGTGAGGAAAACATTGCTCCTCTCTGTATTCTAAAAGGTTAGCAAACTAAGGCTCATTTGGGAGTGGTGATATCTTTTGAAGACATGGGGGGATAGGTTATCATGGTGACAGAACAATTGTGCTTACCAGCACCCACTGACCTAAACTTGCTACATCATGAATGCTGAGATGCTTGCTAATGCATTTGTCCCCTCAGCTGGAAAGAATTACTCTACTGTCACTTTTAAGGAAAGGTCTATACTGCTAAGTATTGCTTCTCTTTAACATCTGTAAATTGATGGTCATGATGACAAGTTTGCTGTTGTTTGTTAGTTTTTGTTTTGGACTTTGAGAGTTTGAGGTCTTTTATATGCATTTTGTTTGGTTTGTTTTGTTTTGTTGCATTTTTTGTTTTTTGTTTTTGTTTTGTTTTGGTTTGGTTTGGATTTTTGCAGTGTGTTGGCTTTTTCCCCATTTCTCTGACACCAGATACGTGATGTCTTTTCTGTGAAAGCAAAATAAAATCTCAGGACCCCAAACTCACTATGCTAAAGGGAAAAATTAAGCTGAGAAGCTGAGTCATACAAAAAAAAACTGCCTTTGCTTTTGTTTCTAAACAGAATAGCTACAGATAGATGGTGATATATCTCCATAGCTGGTCTCCCTCACCCTGACAATCAACAGCTTATCATCACGGTACAGGATAAGAGGGGACTGGTAATTGTCCCCCCACCCCCCCTGAAATACATGCATATTTGATTTGTTTCTCTACTCTATGTTTACTTCATCTTATGTGAAGAGCAGATTTACTGAGTGCGACACAAATACACAACTGACTGTTCCCTATACGCCCTCCTTTTCATGCAACATATGGATTCAGTGAGCTCTAATCAAAGCCTCACTAGAACATGAACATACCCTCCCTTTTTCTCCCTCTTTCTCTTTCTGTCCAATTTTTCCCTATTGAATATTAAAGCCTACGAAATCCTCTTTGGAAAAAAGTATGGGCCACATATCCTACTGTGGCTTGTGATTCTTTTCCCTAGGCACATTTGCAAAATAAACCCCTAAATTGATGGAGACTCACCTCAGTCATTTCCTTTGATTTTACATTTCCAACACCAATTGTCCAATTCTGACACTGATATTATCTACTGGAGTTAGCATCAGATCCCTCAATTTAAACTCCTACAAGGCTGCCCCAACTTCAGGTGGTACAGTAATCTACCCACACTCCTGCCTGGTTGACTATAAATTCAGGGCTCCTATAACCTCCCTTCAAGTTCTATAATTTGCTATAACAGCTCACAGAACACTTTCTACTCCTGAACTGCATTCTTTACCAGTTATTGTAAAGAATGCAGCTCAGGAATAGGCAAATGGAATACATGCATAGGATGAAGCCTAGAGGCAGAGAGGTGCAGCACCTCCATGCTCTCTCCATGTGTGCCACCCTGCTAGCAGCACCTCCATCTGTTCACCAACCTGGAAGGTCTCTGAACCTTGTTGAAGAGTTTTTATAACCCAATCTCCAGCTCTTCTCCCTTCCTGGAGGTTGGGGGTAGGGCTGAGAGTTCCCACCCTCATTTGGTTCCCGACGTCCTTTGGTCTTTCTAGGGACCAGCCCCATCCTGAGTCCCCTAATTAGCATACCTCAGGTATGTTCCTAATCACTCGGGAAATGCCAGGCATTTTAGGAGCTCTGTGCCAGGAACCAGAGACAAAGACCAAATACAGATAGTCCCAGACTTACAATGGTTTGACTTACAATATTTTTTACTTAACAATGAATTTATTAGGGCATCACTCCATTATAAATCAAGGGGCATTTGTACGTATTTTAGCCCATGTAGTCCAGTGAGTTATGTGCTTCTTTGAAAATCTTCTGGGAATATGGACTAGACCCTGGAAAAATGTTTGTGGAATGAATGAAAAAGACACGTGGCAAACCCATTTGCTATAAACATCCCCGAAGCAAAACTGCAAAGATGGCCAAGGCGTCTTCATCACCCACCCCTCCCTCTCCTGCCCCAATAGTAATGACAACCTCCTGAGGTGGTGGTGAGAGGTCCTCTTCCCTGCCTTCAGTCAGCCACATTCATGCTACCCCTCTCCTCTGTTGGACTTTTTCTCCTTGACCCACATTTTGGTTGGTGGACTCCCTTTACAACCTCTTTACCTAGATGTCTTCTAGTAGGATGGCCCTCGCCATACAGTTCTGACCAACAAGTGGAAGTCTGTGGAGTAGGACACCTGGAAAACTTTGTGATATAGTTTGGGTCTGTGTCCCCACCTAAATCTCATGTTGAATTGGAATCCCCAGTGTCAGAGGTGGGGCCTGGTGGGAGGTAATTGGATCATGGGGTGGAGTTCTCATGAATGGTTTAGCCCCATCCCCTTGGTGCTGCTCTTGTGATAGTGAGTGAGTTCATGCAAGATCTGGTTATTTAAAAGTGTGTGGCCCCTGCTCCTGCTTCTCCTTCCACAATGATTGTAAGCTTCCTTAGAAGCAGATGCTGGTGTTATGCTTCCTGTACAGCCTGCAGAACCGTGAACCAATGAAACCTCTTTTCTTATAAATTACCCAGTCTCAGGTATTTCATTTTTTCTGTTTCTTCTTTTTTTTTTTTTTTTTTTTTTTGAGACAGAGTCTTGCTCTGTTGCCCAGGCTGGAGTGCAGCAGCATGATCTCAGCTGACCACAACCTCTGCCTCCTGGGCTCAAGGGATCCTCCCATCTCAACCTCCTAAGTAACTGGGACTACAGGCATGTGCCACCACGCCTGGCTAATTTTTGTATTTTTTTTGTAGAGACAGGGTTTCACCATGTTGCCCTGGCTGGTCTCAAACTCTGGGGTCAAGTGATCTGCCTGCCTCAGTCTCCAGAAGTTCTGGGACTACTAGCATGAGCCACCTCGTCCGGCTTTCAGGTATTTCTCTGAGACAGAGTCTTGCTCTGTCGCCCAGGCTGGAGTGCAGTGGCACAATCTCGGCTCACTGCAACCTCCGCCTCCCAGGTTCAAGTGATTCTCTTGCCTCAGCCTCTCAAGTAGCTGGGATTACAGGCACCTGCCACCACACCCAGCTAATTTGTGTGTTTTTAGTAGAGACAAGGTTTCACCATGTTGGCCAGAATGGTCTCTAACACCTGACCTCCAGTGATCCCACCTCTTCGGCCTCCCAAAGTGCTGTGATTACAGGCATGAGTCACCGCATTCAGCCTCGGGTATTTCTTTATAGCAATGCAAGAAAGGCCTAATACACTTTGCTTATATGACAAGAAAGGACAGGCTCAGCTGACACACCCAGCTTGCTCCTTCTTATAGGTTCAGTGTGGGTGGTGCTGGAGTAGGATGCTGGAGTAGGATGTAGGGGCAGGCAGATGATTAATTGCAGCTCAAATATTACCTCCTAGAAGATGGTAGAGTAAGTAGAAGCATCAGGAGATCTCTTTCTGTTAAAATAATTATAGAATCTTCCACAAAGAATCAAGGAGGTGAGAAACAGTGAACAAGACTCTGAATTACAGATCCTAACAAGGAGTTCAGACAGTTCTCCATGATAATGGGTCAACTTTCAGAAGCTTGCATCCTCAGTTTCCCTCTGCCATGTTCCCTGGATCAGATATTCTCTCTACAATGATTTATCAGTTTCCGAGGTCACTTTTGCCCCCAGAATGAGAGCCCCTCACCACTCAACTGACTCTGGAAAGCAGCATTGCAACCTGCCTCAGGGGAAGCTTCTCACTCACTGTGGAGACACAAAGGCGACCTCTCGAAGCCTCCTCTCACTCCTCTGCTCCAGGTTGTCAGCCTCAGAATTTTATGGAGAGCTTAAGTGAATTTTTGGTCCACCCCTCCTTTGTTTTCTCATTTGGAACTCTACCAACCAAGAGTTTTTCCCTTTCCATCCATTTCTTTGCTTTGCTTTTTGAAGGGCTATCTGATTACAAAAAGGCCTGGTTTGGTTGCAAGCATGTTTGTTCATCACTAGCTTCAGGTGCACAGGGTCTGCAGCTCTGGTCGGGGATTATGCATGATGCAGCTGGGCTGGCCCCTCTGTAATAATTGAGGGACTGAGGTAAATGTTGAAAGCTCGTAAACTATTAATACAAGAGTGCTTCTTTTCTGCCCCCATCCCCCATCCAAAAGCTGTGTGGATAGGCCAAATCAGGAGCCTTTGACAGAAGCATGTGACACAGATGTGAATTCTTGTATTGTTCCAAGCTTCCTCTCATAGCTACAGACTATTTTTTCTTAACTAAGATATATATATAAATATATATATATAAATAAAATTCTGAGACTTTCTCAGACAAATATGCAAATGGCTTAAATTAAGGGAAAATTTATTATAGTTAAAAGAGGAGGGAATTTGGAGCCAGGCAGAGGTTGAATCTTGACTCTCAGCTCACTCTCGGAGTAGGTGTCTCAGAAAAACTGCCTGACCTTTGAAAAATGGGAAAGATGGCACATACAGGGCAGGAGTGTTCTGCAGGTTAGAGATATGGAACATGAAGTACTTACTATAGGGCTTGGCATGCAGAGAGTTTTGCATAGATTATTTATTATGGATGTATTATTGTAAAAAAAATCACTTGTTCGATGATTTTGGTTGAATGGGTGCACCATATAATACATTGGATAGGTTTAAGCTTATTGATCCTGAAGAACTGGCACCATATTAGAATAAGCCAATGTTCTTCTTTATGAAGTTAATATGTACATATACTTTTTTTTAAATATGTATACACTTGTTATCGGCATTGGAAGTCCTGTGCTTCTTTCAATATTGCAGTTATACATGAGGAGTTACTGGGTAAAGAGATCATGTGACAATTTAGTGTAGGGAGCAACTGTGCTGGCAACTTCAAGATTTGAAGAGGAAATTTAGGAAAATTGATCAGTGCCAGAGGACAAGGTAGAGAGGAGAAAATAACCTAGTAGTTCTCCTGGATAAGGGTATGCTGTAGTTTGGATATTTGATCCTCTAAACCTTATGTTGAAATTTGATCTTCAATATTGAAGGGGACGCCTAGTAGAAGGGGTTTGGTTCACAGAGGGTGGATCTCTCATGAATGCCCTTTCGCTGTTATTTCCCATAAGAGCTGGTGGTTAAGAAGAACACGTGGGTTCTCCTTCACCTGCCACCATGAGTGGAAGAAGCCTGAAGCTCTCACTAGAAGCAGATGCTGTTGTCATGCTTCTTGTGCAGTTTGCAGAACCATGAGCCAAATAAACCTGTTTTCTTTATAAATTACCCAGCCTCAGGTATTTCTTTATAGCAACACAAACAGACTAAGACAGGGTATAAAAGTCAGGCCAAATCATCTCCTACATTAGGCTAAGGTGAGGCTGGTGTTGTTCAGGGTGCATATGCTATCTGCTTAAGGGATTTTAATTTTGGGGTGGATTAGCGCCTTTCTTTTATGAGTTCTTCTGTGTAATTTTGTTTTTTGGCAAGAAAAAATAACATGGACTCATTTCCTGACTAAATTTGCATCCAGGAAAGCACTGGCACAAAAAAAATTGTAGAACTGTGAGACCTGGAAATATCTGGAACTTTAGAAAAATCCTGCTCTTGGTAGGCTGTCATGCTATTCAGAAAAAGAACCAGTGCCATTTACTTTAAAATCAGCGATTTGTATTCTAAGCTCAAGTGGCAATTTAGATGTTATTATTCTTATGTTATTATTCTTAAGGCATAAATTTTTCCAGCTCATGAATATCTTGTATTCTTTTACAAAACTTTATTCTTTTGAGGAATAATTGTAAAATAAATTCAACTGTAGAAAAGTACAAAGAAAAAAACAAAAATTTTGCAAATTCTACCCACCTAGGGAGAGATTATCACTGGTAATATTTGATGCCTATAATACTTTCAGGCATCTCTCTAGAGGGACGTGTGTGTATCTGTGTACAATGTATACATCTCTCCTCTCTCTCCATCTATCTCTATTTCTATACACATCTATACATCTATGCATATATATATATATGCAATTTTGTATGTTTTATGATGTGAACATCTTTCTATATCAAGAAATCTGGATGTACATCTTTGTTTAATTAAGAAACATATCTAGGAGTGAGATCAGCAAGATGGCTGACTAGAGATACTTGGTGCTCCTCCCCCTGACAAAAAAGGACCAATGCAACAAATAAACAGCTGAGAATTGACTGTAGTGTTGAAGGAGAGTGCTGGAGTGCAGCAGGGAATGGAGAGGCACCTGTGGTGATTAGAAGCCCAGAAGGGCCCTATGGAGGCACCTGGCCTCTGCAGCTCTACTTGTCCCACCCAGATTGGATTTGCTTGAAGACAGAAGGGACTTCCCTTTCAGGGAAAAGGTAAGCAGAAGAATTCCAACAATCTCCATTGCCACCACAGATGCTGCCTGCCATCTTTACTACAGAATAATTCCACAGTCCTTGCCTGAGCCTGGTTTGCAGAGCTGCTAGGAATTCATGCAGCTGCACTGCTCCAGATTAGGAGCAGGAGGTGTGCCCTCCTCAGGCCCTGTGGTCCAAGCTGCTGCAGAACCTGGGTCCAGGATTTCCTGTGACGATGGTCTTGCACAGCAGGGAAACCAACCCTCCTCACCAGAGGAAGAGTCTGGCAGTCCTGCCCAGGGCAAACCCACCCTTGAGCCAGCCAAACCATACTATGTCCTCTCTCTTGTTTATTTATTTTTTATTTTTATTTTTTTGTAGAGATGAGGTCTTACTATGTGCCTTGGCTGACCTCAAACTCCTGGGCTCAAGTGATCCTCCCACCTCAGCCTTCCAAATTGCTGGGGTTATAGGCATGAGACACAGCACCAGTGTGCCCTCTCTTGAGCTGGAGAAATCCCTGAGCCACTGAGCAGCTGACATGCTCCCAGGCCAGTGGAGTAACTACATGCCTGGGCCCAGGGTCTAAGGAACAGCCCAGTGGTGCCTACCTTCCTCAAGGACATGCCCCTAGCCTGCCCAAGGGCCCCGTGCCTGCAATCAAGGCTTGAGAAACAGCCTCATGGGCTGCCTGTGGCAGAATTATTTCCATGCCAGCTAAGCAGCCATGACTCCACATCTGGGACCTGAGAAACAGCCCCACAGGCTATAGTTGAAAGGCACAGCCCCAGGCTGGTCAAGCAACTGCACATCAGTGCCTGGCTAGAATAACACGCCCATGGCCCCAACCCCAGAGCGCCAGGCCCCAAGTTGGCTGACCCACCTTGCATATGCACACACTCCAGACCTGAGAAACAGCCTTGTAATCCCACCCTCAGCAAAGAGGTACTGCTACCACCACCACAAATTCTCAGCCTAAGCCACTGAGACACAAACATCCTTCCATGAGAAAACTGCACAGAGACTATGTTGCTGCATCTACCTAGAACCAAAGCCAATGCACTCCACCAAACTGACACCCCAAGAGCCATATATATAAATAAGTATTTCCCTACAAAACCTACTCCATAAAATTGGAAGAGGCAACTGTTCTATCAGATGCATAAAAATCACTATAGAAACACAATAAAAAAAGAAAACTACAGGTCAATATCCCTGATGAACACAGCTGCAAAAATCCTCAACAAAACACTAGCAAACAAAATCCAACAATACATCAAAAAGATAATACACCATGATCAAGTGAGATTTATACAAGGGATGCAAGGATGGCTCAACATACACAAATCAATAAATGTGATACATCACGTAAACAGAATGAATGACAAAAACTATATGAGCATCTCAATAGATGCAGAAAAAGCATTCAATAAAATTCAGCATTCCTTCATGATAAAAACTCTCAATAAATTAGGTATAGACAGAAAGTACCTCAACACAATAAAGGCCATATATGGAAAACCCACAGCCAACATCATACTGAGTGAGGGAAAGCTGAGATATTTTTCTCTAAGAACTGAAACAAGACAAGGATGCCCCTCACCACTTTTATTTATCATAGTACTAAAAGTTCTAGCGAGAGCAATTAGGCAAGAGAAAGAAATAAAGGGCATCCAAATTGGAAAGAAGGAAGTCAGGTTGCTCCTACTTGAAGGTGACATGATCTTATATGTAGAAAAACTGAAGACTCTACCAAAAAATTCTTAGAACTAATAAAAGGGTTCAGTAAAGTTGCAGTATACAAAACCGACACTCAAAAATCAGCAATGTTTATACAAAAACAACATACTAGATGAAAAAGAAGTCAAGAAGCCAATTCCATTTACAATAGCTACAAAATAATGTCTATGAGTAAATTTAACCAAGAAGGTGAAAGAACTTGACAAGAAAAACTATAAAACATTGATGAAAGAAATTGAAGAAGAAACAAATAAATGGAAAGACATTCCATGTTCATGAATGGGAAGAATCAGTATTGTTAAGATGACCACAATACCCAAAGCAACCTACAAATTCAATGCAATTCCTATCAAAATGCCGATGATATTCCTCACAACAAATAGAAAAAATAATCTTAAAATTTGTCTGGAACCAAAAAAAAAAAAAAAAAAAAACCCTGAATAGCCAAAGCAATTCTGAGCAGAAAGAACAAAGCTGGAGGCATCACACTACTAGACTTCAAAATATGCTACAAAGCTTTAGTACCAAAACAGCATGGTACTGACATAAAAACAGACACATAGAACAATGGAACAGAACAAAGAACCCATAAATTAATCCATGTATTTATATGAAACTGATTTTTGACAAAGGTGCCAAGAACACTCATTGGGGAAAGGACAGTATTTTCAATAAATGGTGCTGGGAAAACTTGATATCTACATGCAGAAGAATGAAACTAGACCGTCACCTCTTATCCTATTCAAAAATGAACTCAGGCCAGGTATGATGGCTCATGCCTATAATCCCAGCACTTTGGGAGGCCAAGGTGTGTGGATCACTTGAGGTCAGGAGTTCAGCTGGCCAACATGGTGAAACCTCACCTTTACAAAAAATACAAAAGTTAGCTGGGCATGGTGGCATGCACCTGTAACCCCAGCTACTCAGGTGGCTGAGGCATGGGAATTGCTTGAACCTGGGAGGTGGAGGTTGCAGTGAGCTGAGATCATGCCACTGCATTACAGCCTGCGCAACAGAGTGAGACTGTCAAAAAAAAAAAAACTCAAAATAGATCAAAGACATAAATGTAAGACCTGAAACAATAAAACTGCTAGGAGAAAACATAAGGGAAATGCTTCAAGACATTGGTCTGGGGAAAGATTTTATGAAAAAGACCTCAAAAGCACAGGCAATGAAAGCAAAAACAAACAAATAGGATTATATCAAACTAAAAGCCTTCTGCATAGCAAAGGAAACAATCAACAGAGTGAAAAGGCAACACACAGAATGGGAGAAAATATTTGCAAACTATTTGTCTGGCAGGGGATTAATAAACAGAATATACAAGGAACTCAAACATCTCAACCGCCAGAAAAGAATTTTAATTAAAAATGGGCAAACGATATGAATAGACATTCCTCAAAAGACATACCAATGGCCAAAAAATATATGAAAAGTTGTGCAGCATCACTAAGCATCAAGGAAATGCAAACTAAAATCACAGTGAGGTATCATCTTACCCCAGTTAGATTGGCTACTATCAAAAAGGCAAAAAATAACAAATGTTGGCAAGGATGCAGAGAAAAGGGAACTCATACATTGTTGGTAGGAATGTAAACTAGTAGCCTGTAATCCTAGCAATTTGGGAGGCCAAGGTGTTTGGATTGCCTGCGCTCAGGAGTTTGAGACCAGCCTGGGGAACCCAGTGAAACCACATCTCTACTAAAAGTACAAAAAATTAGTGAGATGTGGCGGTGTACACCTGTAATCCCAGCTACTAGGGAGGCTGAGACAGGAGAATCGCTTGAACCTGGAAGGTGGAGGTTGTAGTGAGCCGAGATCACACCATTGCATTCCAGCCTGGGCAACAGAGCAAGACTCTGTCAAGAAATAAAGAAAAGAAAGAAAGAAGAAAAGGAAGAAAGAAAGAAAGAAAGAAAGAAAGAAAGAAAGAAAGAAAGAAAGAAAGAAAGAAAGAAAGAAAGAAAGAAAAAGAAAGAAAGAAAGAAAGAAAGAAAGAAAGAAAGAAAGAAAGAAAGAAAGAAAGGAAAGAAAGAAAAGAAAGAAGAAGGAAGGAAGGAAGGAAGGAAGGAAGGAAGGAAGGAAGGAAGGAAAGAAAGAGAAAGAGAAAGAAAAGAAAGAAAGAAAGAGAAAGAAAAGAAAGAAAGTAATGTAAACTAGTATAGCAACTAGGGAGAACAGTATGAATGTTTCTCAAAAAACTATAATTAACACTACCATATGATCCAAGACTCCGACTATTGGGATTTCTTAAGGAAAGAAAATCAATATATCAAGGACACAACTGCACCCCTATGTTTATTGCAGCACTATTCACGATAGCCAAGATATGGAATTAACCTGTGTCCAACAACAAATGAATGGATAAAGAAAATGTGGCATATATACACACGATGGCGTACTATTCAGCCATTATAAAGAATGAAATCCTGTTATTCATGGCAATATAGATGGAACTGGAGAATCTTATGTTAAGTGAAATAAGCTAGGAACAAAAAGTTAAGCACTGCATGTTCTCACTCACACGTGCAAGCTAAAAAATGTTGATCTAATAGAAATCAAAAGTAGAACAAAGGATACTAGAGGCTAAGAAGGATAGGGGGAAGGGGAAATAAGGAGACATCTATTAAAGGATACAAAATTACAACTAGTTAGGAAGAATAAATTCTAGTGCTCTATACCACTGTAGATGGCTATAGTTAACAAAAATATATTACATAGTTTCGAATAGCTAGAAGGAGGATATTGAATGTTCCCAACACAAAGAAATGATAAATGTTTGAGAAGATGGATATGCTAATTACCTTCAACTGATCCCTATCTATTATACATCATTACGTACCCTATAAATATGCACTATTATATGTCAAATAAATAATTAAAATATTATTAGTCACAAAAAGGATGTATGCAACCAAAATTATATATAGCAGACTATAGCTGCAGCAAGCACAATTTTTGTTGAAAAATTACAGTGTGGTTAAAGGCATTTCTCTTGACAGCCTGGCATTGATGGTATGGTACCCACACCATGCCAGAAATTCTGAACGCAAATCTTCTTAATAAATTCCTTTCTGCTTTGAAAAAAAGAAAGATTATTCATTTGTAATGAATAATATGCGGCTTTAGAAAAAAACTCTTTAAATTCTTAAAGATAATTTAAACAAATTACTAACAGAAATTGTTCTAACGACAATATGTGTATAACATGTGTATATATTTGTTTGACTATTTGGGTTTTTTAAATTTGTGCTTATTTTTCAAATAATTTTATGTTTAAATTCAAAAAGTACTAAGCTCCCTCTAACTCCTAACTTCAGCTACTTGGTTCTCCTTCTGAAACTCAAAAAATATTATCATTTTTTTGTATATCCTTCTAGAGATAACTAGTTAACTATCCAACTAGTTAATGAATAGTTGGGCAAATGTATATATTTGCAAAACATACATTTATGTGAATATACATGCATATAAATGCACTTTTATATATTATTTTCTCTCATATATAAATGGTAGCACCTTATACACACTACTACTCTCTAGTTTTTTTTCAAACAATGTATCTTTGATATCACTTTAAGTATCTTTATAAAGATTTTCTCATTTGTAATACTTCCATAGTATTTCATGGCGTGGAAAATCATAATTTATTTAACTAGGTCCCATGGATAGACATGTATGTTGTTTCCAATTTTTGGCTATTGCAAATAATACTAAAAGCAATAAGCTTGTGAAAATACATCACGTGACTGTAAATATATCTGTAAATTAAATTTCTGTAAGTGGGATTACTGGGTCAAAAAAGTGTTGCCAAATTACTTTTCATAAAAGTTGTTCTAATTAAATGACCATCAGTAATACATAGGAATGCCTATTCCTCCACAGCCTCATCAACATAGTGAGTTATCAAAATTGTTTATCTTCATTAATCTGATTGGATAAAAATAGTATCTTTATGTTTGTTTGTTTGTTTTTTGAGACGGGGTCTCACTCTGTCACCCAGGTTGGAGTGCAGTGGTGCAATCTCGGCTCACTGCAACCTCCACCTCCCGGGTTCAAGTGATTCTCCTGCCTCAGCCTCCTGAGTAGCTGAGACTACAGGCATGTGTCACCATGCCCAGCTAATTTTTTGTATTTTTAGTGGAGATGGGGTTTCACCGTGTTAGCCAGGTTGGTCTCGATCTCCTGACCTTGTTATTTGCCCGCCTTGGCCTCCCAAAGTGCTGGATTATAGGCATGAGTCACCGTGCCCAACTCTTTATGTAATTTTAATTTTCACTTATCTTACTATGAGTGAGGATAAATACATTTTCATATATTTAAGGTGAATTTGGCTGAACGTGATGGCTCACAACTGCAATCCCAGCACATTGGGAGGCTGATGCAGGAGAATCTCTTGAACCCAGGAGTTCAAGACCATCCTGGGCAATATAGCAAGACCTCATCTCTACAAATAATAAAAAAATTAGCAGGACATTGTGTCACATGCCTGTGGTCCCAGCTATTGGGGAGGCTGAGGTGGGAGGATCGCTTGAAGCTGGGTAATCAAGACTGTAGATGAAGGGGGCCAGCCCCTCCACACCTGTGGGTATTTCCCGTCAGGTGGGACCAGAGACTGAGAAAAGAAATAAGACACAGAGAAAAAGTATAAAGAAAGAACAGTGGGCCCAGGGGACCAGCGCTCAGCATATGGAGGACCCATGCCAGCACTGGTCTCTGAGTTCCCTCAGTATTTATTGATCACTATCTCTACCATCTTGGTGAGGGCTATGTGGCAGGACTATAGGGTAATGGTGGGGAGAGGGTCAGCAGGAAAACATGTGAGCAAAGGTCTCTGTGTCATAAATAAGTTTAAGGAAAGGTGCTGTGCCTGGATGTGCACGTACGCCAGATTTATGTTTGACTTTACACAAACATCTCAGTGCAGTAAAGAGCAGTATTGCCGCCAGCATGTCTCACCTCCAGCCATAAGGCGGTTTTCTCCTATCTCAGTAAATAGAATGTATGATCGGGTTTAACACCAAGACATTCCATTCCCAGGGAGGAGCAGGAGACAGATGCTTTCCTCTTATCTCAACTGCAGAGGCCTTCCTCTTTCACTAATCCTCCTCAGCACAGACCCTTTACGGGTGTCAGGCTGGGGGATGGTCAGGTCTTTCCCTTCCCACGAGGCCATATCTCAGGCTGTCTCAGTGGGGAGAAACCCTGGACAACACCTGGCTTTCCTAGGCAGAGGTCCCTGCGGCCTTCCACAGGGCATTGTGTCCCTGGGTACTCAAGACTGGAGAATGGCGATGACTTTTACCAAGCATACTGCCTGCAAACACTTCATAACAAAGCACATCCTGCACAGCCCTAAATCCATTAAACCTTGAGTCAACACAGCACATGTCTCTGCGAGCACAGGGTTGAGGCTAGGGTTACAGATTAACAGCATCTCAAGGCAGAAGAATTTTTCTTAGTACAGAACAAAATGGAGTTTCTTATGTCTACTCCTTTCTACATAGACACAGTAACAGTCTGATCTCTCTTTCTTTCCCCCACAGCAGAGAGCTGAGGTCGTGCCGCTGCACTCCAGTGACAGGGTGAAACCCCATCTCAAAAAAAAAGTGGGGGATAAATTTGTATTTCCTTTCCTGTGAATTGCTTGTTCATAGTATTTGCTTATTTTTTTGTTTATTATTTTCTTATTGATTTGCAGGAGCTTTTTACTCACTAGGAAAAGTAGCCTTTTGCAATATGAATTATGAACATATTTATTTTTAAATAATAAAAAAGTAGAAAACATGTTTAACCAAACAAGACATGCAAAGATTGTGTGCAAATGTTTATTTTTCTTGTGGTGAACAGTGAGAATAAAATAATTTATTGACATTTAAGCAGTAAAGTTAAATGAGCATGACTTCAGTCAGATTCAACTCATGTGCACACTGGCTTAACCAAAAGAGAAAAAAATTATCTTTTTATGTAAGAGGAAGCCCACAGATGGGCAGCTTCAGATGTCATCAATTGTCATCAAAAATCCAGGTTATTTTTGTCTGTCTTGATATTCTTCTCCCTACATCATAATAAGTCTAGCTCCTTTTGCATTTATGAGGTTACCACCAGAAGCAACCACGGCTACGTACCTCCTTGAGTAGGCCCAGTAGGAGAGTGAAGTTGGCTTTTAAATGAAATGAAGACCTTTCCCTCAGAGATTCCATCAAACCTCTTCTCAAGTTTCATTGGAAGAATTGGATCATTGGCCCAGTTTTTAATCATTGGCAGGAGGGATTGAATATTTTTCACTCAAATAGATTCACCACTTGGTCCAAGATCAATACTCCAAAAATCATTACTGCCACTCACCATGGAGGTAAAGTAGCTGTTGGGTAGATTTCCCCAGCACCAGTTAAGTGGCACAACTTCTCTATGCTTTGTTTTCCTTCTCCATCCGTTGAGAATAATAATAGTACCTGACTCAGAGAGATTTTGTTCAATGCCTTGCACTAAGCAAAAGCCCAATAAAAGTTTGCCCCTTTCTGTTGCCTTCTGTTCCTTCCTAGCATGACTATTGTTTTTGTTATTATTACTACTTACTGAATGTCTGTTTAAGCAGCAAAGTTTGGGAAAAAAGCAGTTGAAACCTCTTTTTAGAAGATATATATGGCTGTTGCTAGAACATCCTCATCCTGTTTCTGACTGATCAGTTGTGTCTACATGGATTGTCCACCACATTAGAATCTGAATGGCATCAGTAAGAAATTTTATCATTCACAATTGGCTTTCATAGATTTATTAGTGAGATGAAATTTTTAATTTTAAACTTACTACAGAAATATTTTTGACAATTGAAAATTAATTTTTCCATGCAGATATCTTTCCTTTGGCTTTTTGACATACACAGTGCTATGCTTTCCCCCAATGTTTTCACAAAAGAACTTGCTGGCAGGCACTGAAGCAGAGCAGAGGAAGATGAGGAATGACAACATGAAAAGGAGGCCTAGATCATCATCACTTGCAAAATGTTTCCCCTACTGATGCCTATTTTTTACAATTTTTTTTCTTCTAGGCTATGTTTCGTTTGATATTCTAATGTATTTGTGCTACTGTCTTCTCAACCATACATACTTATACCTATCAAAACCAACATAAATTATCCACACAATAAACAGAGAGAAAAAATTATTTAATAGCACCATATGGCAGACATATGAGACAATATCAAATGGCCTAACATATAAATAAAGTTCCAGATGTAGAAGAGAATATGGCAGAAGAAATATTTTAAAATATAATGCCTGACAATTGAAGAAAAACATAAACCTCAATATTCAACCACATTTAAGCACATTTATTACTCTATTCTCACACTGTTAATAAAGACATACCTGAGATTGGGTAATTTATAAAGGAAAGAGGTTTAATTGACTCGCAGTTACACATGGCTGGGGAGGCCTCACAATCATGGCAGAAGGTGAATGAGGAGCAAAGTCACATCTTACGTGGCAGCAGGCAAGAGGACATGTGCAGGGGAACTCCCCTTTATAAAACCATCAGATCCTGTGAGACTTATTCACTGTCATGAGAACAGCACAGGAAAAATTCACACTCATGATTCAATTACCTCCTGCCAGGTCCCTCCCATGACTTGTGGAGATTATTACAACTCAAGGTTAGACTTGGGTGGAGACACAGAGCCAAACCATATCAGCATATCATAGTCAAACTGCTAAAAACCAAAAATACGTCTAAACAATAGAAGCTGAGAGAGTTTGAGGCCAGCAGAACTAGGCAACATGAGATACTAATGGCAGTTCTTTGGGCCAAAGAAGAATAATCACATATGGAAGCATAAATCTTTAGAAAGAAATAAAAAGCGCTGGAAAGAGAAATATCTGAGTAAATAGAAATATATAATTTTTCTTTAAAATTTTAAAGAGGCTATTTACCATTTAAAGTAGAAATAGGCCAGGTGCAGTGGCTCAAGCCTGTAATCCTAGCACTTTGGGAGGCTGAGGCAGTCGGATCACGAGGTCAGGAGATCAAGACCATCCTGGCTGACACGGTGAAACCCCGTCTCTACCAAAAATACAAAAAATTAGCCAGGTATGGTGGCGGGCGCCTGTGGTCCCAGCTACTCGGGACGCTGAGGCAGGAGAATGGCGTGAACCCGGGAGGCGGAGCTTGCAGTGAGCCGAGACCGCGCCACTGCATTCCAGCCTGGGCGACAGAGCGAGACTCCATCTCAAAAAAATAAAATAAAAATAAAAATAAAGTAAACATAAGCAATATATTGTGGGATTTAGTACATTTGTACAAGTAAAATATATGACAATGGTAGCACAAATTACTAGAGGATAGGTAAATGGAAATATACTGTTGTATTTTACATTATTTGTAAAGTATTAGAATATGAAGTCAAGGTAGATAGTAATAAATTAAGGGTACATATTTTAATTTGTAGAGCAGTTCTGTTCAATAGAATTTTCTGAAATTATAGAAATGTTCTGTCATCTTCACTGTCCAACATAGCAGTGACTAGCCACATGTGACTATTGTGCACTTGAAATGTGACCAGTGAAACTAAGAAATTGGAATTTTAGTTTTAACTAATTTAAACTTAAATAGTAGTATATAGCTAATTGCTACCATACTGAACAGAACAACTTTAGAATAACTACTGAGAAGATACAAAAAGGTATATCTGAAAAGCAAATATAGAAGATTTTTAAAAAGTATTAAAAAACAACTGGTTAATCCAAAAGAAGAGAAGAAAAAGAGAACAACAGAATGAAGAATAGATGAAATAAATAAAAAACAAGCAGCAAATGATGGTAGGCCTATACCCAGCATATTAGTAACTACATTAAATATAAATGCACCAAAATCTTGGTTGTCAAATGGGATTTAAAAACAAAACGGAACTGGCCAGATGCAGTGGCTCAAGCCTGTAATCCCTGTACTTTGGGAGGCCAAGGCAGGCAGATTGCCTGAGGTCAAAAGTGTGAGATCAGTCTGGGCAATATGGCAAAACCCTGTTACTACAAAAAAATACAAAAATTAGCTGGGCATTGTGGGGCACACCTGTAGTCCCAGCTACTTGTGGGTGTGAGATGGGAGGCTCACTTGAGCTTGGGATGTCGAGGCTGCAGTGTGCTGTGTTCACACCACTGCACTCCAGCCTGAGTGATAAAGTGAGACCCTGTCTCAAAAAAATTAATTATTTAAATTAAATAAATTTTAAAACCCCAGAACCAACTCTATTCTCTTTACAAGAGACACCCTTTTTCTTTTCAGATAATTTTAAATTTACAGAAAAGTCACAAGAATATACAAAGAACTCCTTTACCCAGAATCACTAATGTTTTATACTTTGGCATATTTATTGTTTCTTTCTCTCTGATTCTTCTAAATCATTTGAGAGTAGGCTTCATATAGCATGCCCTTTTACCCTTGATGTGTTAGTATATATTTTCCAAGAAGAATACTCCTACCTCTGCTCAGTACAATTAACAACATTGATACAATACTTGTATGTAACATATAGTTCAAATTCCAGTATTATCAGTTGTCCTAATATTGTCCTTTATAGAAATTTCCTCCAATACAGAATATAGTACAGAATCACAGATTGTATTTAGTTGTAATGTCTCTTCAGATTTTCAAATTTCGAAACAGTTCCTTAAGTCAACGATTAGAAAGGTATAAGTTGAACTCTCATTAAGTGCAGATGATATGAAAAGTCAAAAGAATCTGCATACTACTATAACTAATAAGTTAATTTAGCAAAGCCATCAAATATAAGGTCAATACTTTTTTTTCATCAACTCTTAAGTTCTGGGGTACATGTGTAGGATGTGCAGGTTTGTTACATAGGTAAATGTGTGCCATGGTGGTTTGCTGCACAGATCAACCCCTCACCTGGGTATTAAGCCCAGCATCTATTAGCTATTTTTCCTGATGTTCTCCCTCCCAGTGCCCCCTGACAGGCCCCAGTGTCTGTTGTTCTCCTCCATGTGTCCATGTGTTCTCATCATTCAGCTCACACTTGTAAGTGAAAACATGTCATGTTTGGTTTTTTGTTCTTGTGTTAGTTTGCTGAGGATAATGGCTTCCTGCTCCATCATGTCCCTGCAAAGGACATGATCTCATTCCTTTTTAAGGCTGCATAGTATTCCATGGTGTATATATACCATATTTTTTAAATCCAGTCTATTATTGATGGGCATTTGGGTTGATTCTATGTTTTTGCTATTGTAAATAGTGCTGCAATGAACATACATGTGCGTGTATCTTTATAATAGAATGACTTATATTATTTTGGGTATATACCCAGTAATGGGATTGCTGGGTCAAATGGCATTTCTGCCTCTAGATCTTTGAGGAATTGCCACACTGTCTTTCACAATGATTGAACTAATTTATACTCCCACCAACAGTGTAGAAGCATTCCTTTTTTTCCACAACCTCGCCAGCATTTGTAGTTTCTTGACTTTTTAATAACTGCCATTCTAACTAGTGTGAGATGGTATCTCATTGTGGTTTTGATTTGCATTTCTCTAATGATCAGTGATGTTGAGGTTTATTTTTTCATATGTTTTTTGGCTACATGAATGTCTTCTTTTGAGAAGTGTCTGTACATGTCCTTTGCCCACTTTTTAATGGAGTTGTTTGTTTTTTCTTGTAAATTTGTTTAAATTCCTTGTAGACTTTGGATATTAGACCTTTGTCAGATGGGTAGATTGCAAAAACTTTTTCCCATTCTGTAGGTTGTTCACTCTGATGATAGCTTCTTTGCTGTGCAGAAGCTCTTTAGTTTAATTAGTTCCCATTTGTCAATGTTTGCTTCTGTTGCAGTTGCTTTATGAGGTCAATATTTTTAAGTCAATGGCATTTCCATATACATGCAACAAACCATCGTGTAATTAAACTTAAAAATAATCCATCTACAACTTAAAAATAGCAAGTACTTAGGAGTAAATTCAATAAAATAAAATAAAGCCTTCTATGCCTAAAACTACAACAGAAAACTACAAGAAAACCACTGCTGTGAAAAAATTAAAGAAGACCTAAATAAATGGAAAGACATAGCATGCTCATGGATCAAAGATTCAATACTTTTAAATTGTTGATTCTAACCCTAAACAAAATATCAGCAGACATTTTTTGTAGATATTGATAAAATGATTTTAACATGTATATGGAAAAAAGGAGCTGAAATAGTCAATCTTAATAATCTTAAGAAGAAAGATAAAGTTAGAGGAGAAACATTAAAAGATTCTAAGGCTTATCAAAAAGCTATGCTAATTAAAACAGCAGATATTCTATTTCACATAAGGATAAATTCATAGATTAATGGATCAGAATGGGGAGCCTAGTTACCTGATGTTTAACGAAGAGGCTAATAACATTCAATATGAGAAAGAACAATCTTTTCAATAAATGATGCTGAAGTAACTGCATATCCACAAAGGAAAAAAAAAAGAATTTAAATCTTTCCTTATACCATAGACAAAAATTAATTTAAAAAATCATTGACCTAAATGTAAAAACTATCAAGTTTCTAGAAGAAAAGAGAAGAATTTTTTTTTTAACTCTGGGATAAGCAAAAAATTCTTAGATAAGAAGACACTAGAAGAACCAACCATGAACGAATTCAATTATACGTTGAATTTTAGAAAAATTTACCTATGGGTAAGGATGTCCCAGTACTACTTTCATTTTGGGGGTCTTAAAAGAGGATTCCACTGATCCCATCTTTAATGTGGTCTTTATGGCCATAGCTATGATTCAGTCAGAAACAGTTTTATTATCCAGCCCTGTATTGTCTGGGCTCTTGTTGTTCCCCTTCAATTCTGCTTGCAAATTGGCCAGTCCTTTACTGAGCTCATTTCTTTCTTGCAACAACCTGTTCATGATCTCAATGTTCTGCTTTCATGTCTTTCTAATTTTACAAGTTGATTAGGTATATTTTCTGTCTCCCAAGGTATAGCAGATGATAGTTTATCCAAATGTTTCGACAGTACGTACCACAGATTGTAAGTTTTCCAGCTGCCTATGCTAGATTTTATACCACCTGCCTCCTAGTTCCAAAGACATACTGTATATTTTAGGTTTTTATAAAGGTACCATCTTACTTCTAGTATCAATGTCTGAATTAGTTCATTTTTGCTACATAATAAACCCAAGATTTCAGTGGCTTATAGCAATAAACATTTATTTTTATCCTCACAGGCCTGCACATTGCAGGGATTTGGCCAATCTAGGCTGAGCTTTGCTATGCCAAGCTGAACTCCAGGCTCTAGTCCAGTTTATTTCTGCTACACATATTTTCATTCTCAGACCTTTAGAAAGGAGTACCAGCTACCTGAGGTGTGCTCTTTTCATTACAGTTCAAAGGAACACATTGAAAGACTTTACTTGAGTCAAGTACATTGATCTTCCAGTGGACAAATAAGGTCACGTGGCTAAGCTCAATGTCACTGGGGCAGGGAAGTACACTCTACCCACCATGACACAGTGGGGAGGTATAATTCTATAACAGGGATGGGGGAAGAACTGAAAACAGTTATCTAATCCACTCTTCAGAAATAGGAAACAATTTAAATTAAAACATACTAAATCTATTTCTAATGAAGTCAGAAATAAGACTACTAAACGCAGTGATAACTGACAACAGCCACAATAGCTGATGCAGCATAATACGATAGCAATACTAGCCAATGCAGAATATTAAAATCAATTTACCAAATAGGTAAACGTAGTAAATTTAGGTATATATACCTAAAATGGTATATACATGTTTTAGACACACTAGATCAGTGATCTTCCTTTTCCAACCTTAATTTTTCAATGAAAGTTGTTTTCCTAAGGGCTCCTTACTAAAATTCCATGGACCGGTTTGTAAACTGATGACCTATCTAGACCATTCAGCAAACAGGTAAAAAGGCAACAGGAAGAAAGACATCTCTGTGGACTCCATCTGACTGGAGTCACCGAGTAGCTGTAAGTTCTGCAAATTCCAAAGCAAAATGTTCCCCCACTTTTATATATGATTCCTGAAATACATAAAGTGCCAATTACAAGAGGTTTTTCAATGGTTAAGTTATAAAAAACCAGACCAACTGTCTTTTGAAGTTAATATTCATGACCAGGTGTTTAAAATGTACAATGATGAAATTCTAGGAAATAAAGAATAATGAGGACCTTGATGTTTCTCAAATGGCCATACCTAGCTTATTTTAATGCTGAAAATGATGCCACTTACTCACATGAATGAATCATCATTGTAGAGCTTCTGCTAGTCACTGCCCCTTTTCATTTCTTCTCATTGTTGTTGTTAATTTCTAGTGTCTAAAGATTAGGTAATAAATCAAAAATAGCTAGAGGCCCTCCTACCAGCAACCTTTTGTTTTTAAACGCTGCGAAGCTTTGACACTCCAGTCACTTAGCTGCAATAGCAGGAGGAGACAACACATCCACCCGCCCATGCTGTTCCTCCTGAATTGTTTCCCACCCAGACATAGCTCAGATTGCCAAGGTACAGGACTTGAGAACTCATTTCACATTTCATTCTCCCCCTCTGTTCAGCACTCCCTTCAGATTCTTGAAAGCAAGAAATCTGCCACATTTTTTCAAGCAAGTAGGCTCTATATTTAGAGGGCTTTTGAGAATTAAAATCATCACCCTAAATCACAGGTATAGCTTTTTCCTCTTGGGCCCCCTTAACTAGAGTACGTTATTTTTAAGAGCGGCACAAGGCATGTAAGACAAAGCAAAGATAGTGCAGAACTTAGAGGGGAAAGAGGAGATCAATGTGGAGACGGAAACAACCAATAAAATGTAAAAGGTAGAGCAATCTTGCAACTGTATATAAATCAGAGGCAGATCCCACGAATCCATCTCCAGCCCCACATTATAAGACACAATTGAGTGAGATTGAAAGCTGAATTTGGGGGATGGCTATTTTGTAACACTATTTTGCCTTCACCATGCATCAAACGTTGTATTTTCCTCAGTGCATTTCACTGGAACCTCACAAGACATTCTTTCTGAGCGTTGTTTCTATCTGACAACAGTAGATACTGAGAAAAGCTGGTGATGGGTTGAGTGTCCATGAGATCACTCTGAGTTTTAGAGTTCTGGTGTTCTATCATCATATTTAGCTTAAAGGAAAGCCACCCAGTTGGACAGAAATATGTATGTACGTCTTTAACTGGAATCAAAACACTCAAAAAAGCAAAAGAAGTTGACTGAGAAAACAATGATCCCTGATTATGATAATGATGACTACTGCTAGAGGATTTGAATGCCTTCTGATTCAAGGCTGGAGAAATAAATTATGAGCAATGTAATTTTGGTGTTGAGAGATGATTTATTATATTCAGATTCTTTGAATATTGGTCATTTATTCATTCAGTTAACAAATATGTATTCAGCATCGACCAATGCTTGTTTCAGTGGTGCTGGGAGGGGATAGATAAAATCACCCAAAATGTAGAATCAAGGTTAAAATTCTTACAGGAGCTAAATAGAATAAAACACAAATGGAACTTGGATTCTGACTGAGCCTGTCTGTAGCAGGTTATAGATATGCTTGCATCTTTTCTTAGTACATTCATCCTCATTTCCTTTTTTTTTTTTTTTTTTTACAGTCCAGAGGTCTTTTGCTTCTTTTATACCTATTATGCCGTGAATGCACAGGGAATAGGCTCCAGCAGCTCAGGCTTTCCATTGGTTCTCACAAAGTGTGCTTCTCTAGGTGGAGTAGGCTGGTGCTTTAGTTGAACCCAGGAACCTTTCTCTTTGCCTTCCTTCTTTTCCAGATTATTTTCCTTCACACATTTCAGGAAATGATCTCAGCTCCTGGAGTGCTTAATATGCTCAATATGCACATTAATTCTTTTGCCAAGATCTTGCCCTTAACTTGTTTGTTTACAACAAAGCCAATAGCATGCTGGGTAACATTGTAGACTCTTCCAGTTTTGCCATGGTAACACTTGTGGGGCATTCCTTTTGGAACGGTATCCATCCCGTGGATGTCTACAAAATTGCCTTTCTGGCAGATTCTCATGTTTGTGCCCAAAGGAACAACTCCATGTTTTCTAAAAGGCCTAGAGAACACGTATCGGTGCCTCTCCTCTTTCCCTTTGTGTTCCTCATTTTGGTGAATTACTGGAAGATCCCAGTTCCTGCTGAAAGGTTCCCAAGCATGTTAATTGCTTTACTTTGATTGCTCATCTTGTCTCTTTCATCCTGAATGATTTCCCAACAACCATCGACACGTGATGAAATCCAGACTTTTCTTTAATACTCACTTTACTTTAAAAGATTCTCGCTGTATATATGTTGAATTCAGTACATGAGAACATAAAATATTTTTCATTGCACATTTATCAGTCAAGAAAATTGAAGAAACCATTAATGTAAGACAAGGACTTTTCACATTTCGAGTACATTTCAAGAGATAACATCTTTGGCTCATTTGGAAATGAAGTAAATATTTTCTTATAAATGATTTCATCAAGTAGAATGACCTTTGAGGTTCATTTTATCAAGTAGAATGTTCTTTTAAAGTCATGACCAGATTGTTAGATAATGCCATGCAATATGCCTAGAATGTAATTAGATATTGTTCTAATAGCTATAGGAGTTATGTATTCCTTACTAGGCAGCCATAAAAAAGAATGAGTTCATGTGCTTTGCAGGGACATGGATGAAGCTGGAAACCATCATTCTCTGCAGAACTAACACAGGAACAGAAAACCAAACACCACATGTTCTCACTCATAAGTGGGAGTTGAACAATGAGAACATATGGACACAGGGAGGGGAACATCACACACTGGAGCCTGTTGGTGGGTGGGGGCAAGGGAAAGGGATAGCATTAGGACAAATACCTAATGCATGCAGGGCTTAAAACCTAGATGACGGGTTGATGGGTGCAGAAAACCACCACAGCACATGTATACCTATGTAACAAACCTGCATGTTCTGCACATGTATCCCAGAACTTAAAGTATAATAAAAAAATTTTTTTAAAAAGTTATATATTCCTAAAATACAAAAAGTGTTTGAGAAGAATGCACATCAAACTCAAAGACATTTTGAGTTAAATGGAAAGATCTTTATTTATATTTTTCAACTTTTATTTTAGATTCAGAGGGTACATGTGCAGGTCTGTTACATGGGTAAGTTGCATGTTACTGGGGTTTGGTGTACAAATGATTTCAAGACCCAGTCATAGTACCCAATATGTAGTTTTTCAGCCCTCATCCTCCTCCCGTCCTCCACCCTCACATAGGCCCCAGTGTCTATTGTTCTCCTCTTTGTGTCCATGTGTACTCAGTGTTCATCTCCCATTTATAAATGAGAACATATTGTATTTGGCTTTCTGTTCCTGCATTAGTTTGTTTAGAATAATGGCCTCCAGCTACATCTATATTGCTGCAAAGGACATGAATTCATTCATTTTATGGCTGCATAGTATTCCATAGTGTATATGTGTCACATTTGCTTTATCCAGTCCACTGTTGATGGTCATCTAGATTGATTCCATGTCTTTGCTATTGTGAATTGTGCTGTGATGAACATACATGTGCATGTGTCTTTTCAGTAAATGATTTATACTCCTCGGGGTATATACCCAGTAATGAGATTGCTGGATCGAACAGCAGTTCTGTTTTAAATTGAGAAAGTTTCAAACCACTTTCCACAGTGGTTAAACTAATTTACATTCCCACAAACAGTGTGTAAGTGCTCTCTTTTCTCTACAACCTTGCCAACATCTGTTCTTTTCTGACTTTTTAGTAATAGTCATTCTGACTGGTGTGAGATGGTATCCCAGTATGGTCTTGGTTTGCCCCTCTCTAATTAGTGATGCTGAGCATTTTTTCATATGCTTTTTGGCTGCATGTATGTCTTCTTTTGAGAAGTGTCTGTTCATGTCCTTTGCCCATTTTTTAATGGAGTTGTTTGTTTTTTGTTTGTTGATTTGTTTAAATTTCTTATAGATTCTTGATATTAAACCTTTGTCAGATTCACAGTTTGCAAATATTTTCTCCCATCCTGTAGGTTGTCTGTTTAGTCTGTTGGTAGTTTCTTTTGCTGTGCAGAGCTTTTTCATTTAATTAGATCCCATTTATAAATTGTTGCTTCTGTTGCAATTGCTTTTGGAGATTTTGTCATAAAATCTTTGCCAAGGCCTATGTCCAGAATGGGATGTCCTGGGTTTTCTTCTAGGGTTTTTACATTGTAGGTCTTACATTTAAGTCTTTAATCCATCTCGAGTTGATTTTTGTGTATGGTGAAAAGTAAGAGTTCAGTATTAACCTTCGTATATGGAAAGATCTTTAAATGTCTTCAGGGCTTTGTCACAGTTTTAAAACACAATCATATATTCATTGACACTTCTGCCACAGAAAAGAGGGGTCTATGTTTTCTCTTGAATATGATTGGGGCTTGTGACTCTTTGACCAATCAATTGTAGTGGAAGAGACTTCTGAGGTTCCATCATTAAAGGCCAGACAGCCCACTCATTGACAGGAACACTTTCTCTTAGTGCCCTGGGTAGCCAGGTAAGAAGTTTGAATACCCTGAGGTCATACTGCTAGGAAGGTCACATGTAGGCATTTCAATTGACCATCCCTGCTAGGCTCAGCCTTCCAACCATCCCCCTAAAGTACAAAACAGTGAAGCCACATTGGACCCTTCAAAACATTTTATTGTATTTCACAGTTTTGTGGGCCAGGAATGGCACAGGGTTCAGTTGGGTGATTCTTCTATTCCATGTGGTATTAACAGAAGTCATCTGATAGAACAAAACAATGAATCAGCTAATGAACCAGCAACAGAGACAAGCTCAGCAGTTTCTGTCCAAATACCTGACCCACAATATTGTGAGATATAATAAAATGGTTTTTTAAGCCACTGAGTTTTGTAATAGTCCATTATGTAGCTGGAGTAAGATCCTTCTGCCAACAATCCCTGAAATAATAAAAAGAATATAAGAGAGTGATTTATGATGCTGCTGAGTGCAGGACCTCATACTCTGTGAGTAGAAAAAGAATTGGCTAATATAGAAACTGAACACCGGAATGTTCACTATGATTGCCATCAAACCACCCTTTTCGGAGGATCCTAATATAATAGAGCAAACATATCCCATCAGTGCCCTATCAAAAAGAATCCAATCTGTCCCAACCAAAATCCCCCATTCTTATGAAATTTCAAGTGGAATTCCATAAGATGGTATTCCATGAGACAATATCCTTCAAAATTTTTGTGATGGTGTAATTATTCCCTGGATGGTTAAACATCTTTCAACTCTATAAAGATTTAGAATTAAATAGAGAAATGTGTAAGTAAATCAAAACCACAATATTAATGTTGGTGTTAATATTGCACATCTTTCATTTTTATGTACTTGTTTATAAGAATTTAGCCAGTTAGAGCAACAGATTCATACTGTAATTCTAATCTAAAATGTATAATTGAGTAATTAATTTAGACTTGTGATTTCAAAGTGAAATCTTACTAAGTTTACAGTTTTAGCACATTTAAGAGAACTTGTTTCTCCAATATTACGTTTAATATTTTATACTTTTAAAGTACTCTGAGTTTTTTAGTTGTCAGTTTCTGTATTAAAAATGAAATTATAGGCTGGTCACGGTGGCTCACACCTGTAATCCTAGCACTTTGGGAGACTGAGATGGTGGATTGCCTGAGCTCAGGAGTTTGAGACCAGCCTGAGCAACATGGTGAGACCCCGTCTCTACTAAAAATACAAAAAATTAGCTGAGCATGGTTGTGGGCACCTGTAGTCCCAGTTACTCGGAAGACTGATGCATGAGGATTGTTTGAACCTGGGAGGCAGAGGTTGCAGGGAGCCGAGATTGCACCACTTCACTCCAGCCTCGGCGACAGAGCAAGACTCTGCCTCCAAAACTAAAATAAATAAATAAAAATAAAAATGAAATTATATATATAGTTAATAAATACACTTAAAATGTTTGAAAATATCTCACTAAGTTTCTCAAAATAGGACCAAACATTATTTAAAGCTAATATATTTCCTAATTTCAAGTCCTTCCAAAAGAATTTCCTCCTGCCATAGTTTGCTAAGAGCTATTCTAACTCTTTCTCTCCTGGTGATTTATCTGAGAGCTGTTGTTAAGAAGTATGACTGATGACTGCCAAGGGCAAGAAAAAAGGGAAATTCTCCCTGAACAAGAGTGAAGAAGAATCTATTAATTATCAGCAACAGAGACAAGCTCAGCAGTTTCTGAATAAAATAATATTCTGCCTGGAAAACTACCCAGCACCTGTCAGTGCTGAACCACTCGGGAACTTTGAGCATTCACTCTCCCTTGGACTGCTCCACCGCCTCCAAGGAAGTGGAGGAGCAACTCTGCAAACCATGTTCAGGGAGGTCACATGAAGGGAGAAAGGGGCCTGTTGGTCTTCCCCTTTAAGTGACAATGACAATATAAACCCTTCTTTTTAAGAAGAGGATATTGTTAAAACCATGAGAGAATGAGAAGGCAAAAATTGGGTGTAAGGAAAAAGCCAGTTTTTACTAATTCTCGTTCCCTAAACCTATTGGGCTTACTTTTGATACATTTCATTTACACTTATTCAGTATGATCTGATGTGTGTTTGCAGAACATTGTAATAGATTCTGAGAGGTTGCACAAGAAATAGAGAGAATCCTCTCCCCAGGGAACTTGCAATGTGAAAAATATGATACGCACATGGAACAGAAGTACAATGCAAAGAACCATTAAGGGCCGGGCGCGGTGGCTCATGCCTGTAATCCCAGCACTTTGGGAGGCCGAGGCGGGTAGATCACTTGAAGTCAGGAGTTCGAGACCAGCCTGGCCAGTATGGTAAAACCCTGTCTCTACTAAAAATACAAAAATTAGCTGGGCGTGGTGGTACACACCTGTAATCTCAGCTACTCAGGAGGCTGAGGCCAGAAAAATCACTTGAACCCAGGAGGCAGAGGTTGCGGTGAGTTGACATTGTGCCACTGCACTCCAGCCTGGGTGACAGAGTGAGATTTAGTCTCAAAAAATAATAATAATAATAATAAAAGTTTAGAGAGGTGCAGATTGACATATTATATGGATATTATATGGATAGATTAACTGTAGCAGTGCTGAAATAGAAAAGGGTCAACGGATAGAAACATCTGATTTGCACTTTATTTTATTTTAATTTTTATTTATTTATTTATTTTGAGACAGAGTCTCACTCTGTCACACAGGCTGGAGTGCAGTGGTTGATCTCAGCTCACTGCCACCTCCACCTCCCAGGTTCAAGCCATTCCCCTGCCTCAGCATCCCAAGTAGTTGGGATTATAGGCATGCATCACCACACCTGGCTAATTTTTGTATTTTTAGTAGAGACGGGGTTTCACCATGTTGGCCAGGCTGGTCTCAAACTTCTGACCTCATGATCTGCCCACCTCAGCCTCCCAAAGTGCTGGGATTACAGGTGGGATCCACCACACCTGGCCTTATATGCATTTTAAAGGTGTGAGTTTTGAAGAGGTGAATTGAAATGTAGAGGAGGAAAGTAAGTTCTAGGTGTTAGAAATGAAATATTTTTATTTCACGTATATCCCACAATTAAATCAGATTGAAAAGATTACACAAGAAGTGTAAACGTGAAACTATAAATAAATTCTTAGGACATGTGTGATAGATGAAATAGAGGATGGAGATAGATGGATAGAGGACAGAGAGAGAATTTTATGTAAATGTATTCAAATGAGGCCTTCATCATAGTTTCTAACATATAGAAACACTATAAACACCAACCGCTGTTAAGATTCTCAGTGTTCATCCTTGATTTTTGACGTGCATGAGGATTTCTTCAGGGGCACACTACCATGTTGCCTACTCAGTCTTCAACAAAATCTACAGTCTACTGGGGACTTTGCCTGAATGATCACTTACGCAACATTCCCAGAGTTACATTTGAAACCCTGAGGTCTGTTTACAGTAATGATGATGATAAACAATAACAATAATAATGGCTTGTTTATATTTAATGGGTCTTCATTTTGCTCCAGGTACTATGTTAAACATTTTACAAATATGAGTTCCTTTAGTCTTCACAACAACCACATGTGGTAAGCTTTGTCTTTATCTTCTTTTTAGAGGTGAGAAAACTCAGAAAAGGAAAGGCTAAGAAATAGGCCTGAAGTTGCACAGTTAGAAAGTGACAGGCCTGGGTTTGGAGCCCAGGCAGCCTGACTCCAGAGGCCAAGCGCATGGCCATACCTCTGTAATCCTTGACCAGTCCTCGAAATGCAAGACCATCCAGTCACATTGCTTTTTCTACACATTCATCCACATTCCATCCTGAACCAAGCACTTACTGACTTGCTCTCCCAGTTTTCCTCATTCCTTGTCCCTGATTTATTATTCTTTCTCCTCCAAGTCCCAGTTAAGCCTCCTGAAAAAGCATTCTATCTTCACTTGCTCTCCTTCCATTTTCTCTTCAATTTCCTTCAATCTAGTTCTGCACTCTCTGTTCCTCCTCTCTCTCCCCATTTATTGGAAAGTGCTAACACCAAACTCCAACTGGTTCAAATTCGAGTCTATATTTTGATCTTTCTCTTAACATGATACCATGTTCTTCTGAGACTCCTGACTCCCTAGACTTTCCAGGTACTACTCTTTCTAGCTTCCTCTCCACCATCCACTCCTGTTCTGGGTCTCTCTATTGGAAGTAGCCTCTCATTCCCATATGCATCTAGAAGTATGCACCTAGAAATATGGACATATATTTTCCCAGGCAACAGTCCCAACTCTAGTGTTTATCTAAGCTGTGCCTCTTTGCTTCTCATATTTTCCCTAGGTTCCTCAACTCATTTTCCTCTGTACTTCAACTGTCAATGTTTAGCTCAGGCCATGTCTTTCTAATAACACATTTGGATACACCCACTCTCAGGTTCACTGGCAGGTGCGGAGACTCACACTTCCCAGGCAGTCCAGCTCAAATCTTCCCCTAGCCCAGCGGAGCAACAGATGACACCTTCTCTTATCTCACCAGCCTCCCTTTTCTCCACATGTGTCTCAAATATTCACTTCCTCTGAATTCTTTTGACTTTATACAAACCACTATCAGTGTGTGGGTCTAGGATATTGTCTGTGCAGATCCCCTACTTGCTGTGGGAAATCATCCAGACTCCATGGTGTTGTTATAACAGGACTCACCATCTTCTTGCAGATCCACTACCTTGGCCACAGCTGACTGGCCCAAGGGCATCACCTGATCTACAATTGGGCCATAAGAGTTATTCTCCAGTTTGCTTTCTAACTGGAATTGAGGGAAAAAAAACAACAATCCTTCTTGTTATGGGTTGAGTTGTGCTAAGAGTATTTTATTTACTTTCCTCAAATCTGTGAATTTTCCAGTTTTCCTCTGTTATTGATTACTCATGGTAATTGCAAACTTGTGAAATTTGTTGAGACTTGTTTTGTGTTCTAACATATGGTCTATCCTGGAGAATGTCCCATGTGCACTTGAGACAAATATGTTTTCTGCTGGTCTGGGTTGAAATATTTTATATATATATTTTAGGTATAGTTTATAGTGTTGTTCAGGTCCTCAATTTCCTTATTTCTGTTCTGTCTAGTTGTTCTGTCCATTACAGAAAGTAGGGTATAGAAGTATTCAATAATCATTGTAGAACTATCTATTTCTTCCTTTAATTCCATAAATGTTTGCCTTATACATTTTTGGCTTTGTCAGATACGTGCATGTTTTTTATATCTGCTTAATAATGAAGCCTCTATATCCATTCAGAAACTTAAAAGGATCATAGCTTTTTTTTCAAGTTGCTCAGGAATTCTAATAATAGATTGGGTAGCCACATGTTTTACAATTTAGTATTTAACATAATATTTAGGATATATATATTATTTGGCATAATGCAGGGTCTAGAAGCTTTCCTATAGCCAATTAATTCACATAAAGGAATATAGAAAGTTTTTCAAACATGAAAAAAGAATAATTAGGACAATTGAGTGAATTTCTAATCAAGTTTGAAATGAAAATCAATTACAGAAACCCCTACAGAACTTCCTCCTCTGTGAAAATGTTACAATGTGAAATTTACATGTAAACAAAGGATGCTTTGTAAGAAGTACCTCTCACAGTAGATAAATGTTATTTATGTAAACACCTGTCATACTTTTAGTAATTTTGTAACCCAAAAAGTGAATCTTGTATAAAGTATTTTAAAAGTGCATTTTCTAGTTCTCTGTCATTAAAAAGTAACTTCATCTAGTTCCAGGCAGCAAAGAAAAAACATCTGTGCCTTGTGCCTTGGCATTTTCTTTTATAGTGTCCTCCTGCGTAGTTGATCCCCGTGCCCAGATGTGAGAGCTGCTGTTTCTTTAAAGGATGTGGAAGATTAGTTCCCTGTGCTTTTGATGCCTGTCGGAAATTTCAGTACGGTGCATTAAGCAGCTTGAATGAGTCAGAGAATTTTTTAAAGACCCAAAGTTAGAAGGTATAAAACAGCTTTTAAAAAAAGCAAATAAAAGAATATAAGGTCGTATTTGATGTTTAAGTATGGACCTCATTCTGGCGCTGCAAATAGGTGGAAATAATCCCCAGGCTCACAGAGGGAATATATGATCTATAAATTATGCATCGATGTGACTTGTTTTTACTTACTACATCTGCTCATTCCATAATTCCTCTATTGGAAAATGTGCTCTTCCTTCCCTGAGACAGTGAGGGAACCAGGGAGAGCCAGAAATAGTGTGTAACCTAATTTTTTCTTTGTCTATCACCACCTCTGTCAACACATACACACACACCACACACACACACACACACAGAGAGAGAGAGAGAGAGAGAGAGAGAGAGAGAGAGAGAGAGAGAAAATAATTTCCAGTTAGTCCTCATGAGAATGAGAAATTGCTCCAGAAATGGGGCTAGAGCTGGGGTCGGGACTCCCATCACCAGATTTGAGGCTGAGTAGGAAAATGGGAGGGGCCTGCTCTGAAAAAGGAACAAGTAGGTCAGTTGAAGGAGGGCATAGGAGGACTGAACCCTCTGGGGGCGCCGCTGAGCTGGCTGCAGCTGTTCTGTACTGCCAAAAAGCAGATAGCCGTGGAGAGAAAGAACAGAGAGAGCACCAGCTGAGACAGCATGAACAGGGACAAGGGAGAGGTGAGGACTGGCCAAGCCTACTTAGGCAAGAAGGATATTTATACAACACTTTACAGTTTATGAGTGTTTTTATTCCACTATGCCACTTATGTTTAAGCAAATGAATTATGTAAGAGGCAGATAATATTATCTCCAGACAATGTAATTATTTACTTTCACAAATAAAGAAACTGAGGCTTGCCTAAGACCGCAGTTTTACTAAGGATAGAGCTATAATTCGACCTACCTCACTTTATGCCTCTTAAACCTGTCCTTTTTTTTTTTTTTTAATTTTTTTGAGACAGAGTCTTACTCTGTCACCCAGGCTAGAGTGTGGTGGCATGATCTCGGCTCACTGCAACCTCTGCCTCCTGGGTTCAAGCGACTCTCCTCCCTCAGCGTCCTGAGTAGCTGGGATTACAGGCACGCGCCACCATTCTTGGTTAATTTTTAATTTTTTTTTTAGTAGAGGTGGGGTTTCACCATGTTGGCCAGGCTGGTCTCAAACTCCTGACCTCAGATGATCCACCCGCCTTGCCTTTCCAAAGTGCTGGGATTACAAGTGTGAGCCACCACGCCTGGTCAAACTTGTATTATTTAGAATGTCGGTCTCAAGCAGGCCTACTTAGCTGTGGGTCAAAATACAAGGCAGTAATGCAAATCTTCCAGTAGAGCTAGAGCTGAGTTTGTGATGGAGGTAGATGCTAAGAGGTCTGGCTGGGCTTATAAGCTGTTTTCAATAATAAGTCATTTATCTTAAAGGCAATAAGAATATGACCAGATTTATATTACAACAGAGATGTGCAAACTATGGCCTCCAGAACCAAATCTGGTCTGCTGCCTGTTTTGTAACCAGTTTTATTGAGTCCCATCTGTGCCCATTTATTTACATATTGTCTATGGCTGATTTAGTGCTACAACTTGTAGATTTGAATAGTTACAACAGAGAACATGGGGCCTGCAAAGTCTAAAATAACTATGATCTGGCCCTTTTCAGAAATTGCTGACCTCTGTTTTAAAAATCAATCTGGCTGCAACAGGGATTAGAGGGAGCCAAGATGAGAGACAAGAAGCCCAGCCAGAGGTGACCTCAGATCTCAGTGAGAGATAATTGGAATCTGAAGTTTGTTGTTTGGGGCAATGGCAAGGTGGGAACATGATCAGGTTTAAAAGATGCTGACATGAAGACGTGAGAAGGCTTGAAGACAGGATGTGTGAGTTGAAAAAATGGAAAGATGGGAATGATTTTGATTACACTATAACTTTTTAAGATGGAAACTGAAGGCACAGAATTAGATACCTCCCCCAGGAAGAGATGAAAGGACAGACCTACTTCGTCTCTAATCAAGAATAAGGGAAGAGACTCAGGTGGAACTTTAAAGAACACAGGCTGGGAGTGGTGTCTCACCCCTGTAATCCCAGCACTTTGGGAGGCTGAGGTGGATGGATCACTTGAGGGCAGGAGTTCAAGACCCCATTGAGGATCATTTGAGCCCAGAAGTTCAAGACCCTGTCAAGGATCATTTGAGCCCAGGAGTTTGAGACCAGCATGGGCAACATAATGAGACCCCATCTCTATTTCTCAAAAACAAAATAAATTTAAAAATAAAACTACTGTGTGGGTGAATAAAATGGATCTTTTGTACCTGAAAAAGCTTTGGTTTATGTTCCAGGAGCCAAACTGAGTGGGACAATGTGTATTTAGCCTGAACAGATTATTAAAGTCCAGGGGCCCCCAGTGCCTGGATGTCATATAAGCTGCCAAACATCATTGCTAACTCAGTGTGGAATGGGAAGGATGGAAGCTGGACATCTTGGCAAAACCCCATCTCTACCAAAATACAAAAATTAGCAGGGTGTGGTGATGGGCACCTGTAATCCCAGGTTTGCAGGAGGCTGAGGCAGGAGAATAGCTTGAACCCAAGAGGCGGAGGTTGCAGTGAGCCAAGGCTGCGCCACTGCACTCCAGCCTGGGTGACAGAGTGAGATCCTGTCTCAAAGAAACACACACACACACACACACACACACACACACACAGGCTTATGTGTGCTGTAAAGTTTTTGGTATAAGGAATATCTATTCTTCCACTTCTGTGGATATTCTAACTTTTGGACTTGAATCAAATTAGGATCTCAAAAGACTACACATGTAGACCACAGCCACTTAGCACCACATAGACATGCCTTGATTAAGTTTCAGTGAAACTTTATTATTTCCTCTAGCCTGTAGATTGAAGCCCAAGTTTATCAGAATTTGTAGTAAGAACCCCAGCTTAGTCCTAAGCTGTGTTAAACCTAAGATTCAAGGGAGTCTGAGATGTCTGGAGAGCCTATGGAGAGTCTGTAGGAGTGTTTTTACATGAACCTGCAAGGAGCTAGACGGGAAACGATCTCAAGGGACAAGAGAATTAATGTATTGACATCTTGAATATTGATACAAGGAAAGTTCACAATTACTATTTCACCAAATTCTCTCTAAGCACAAGGCATCAGCATTATTGGTACCAAGAGTTACAATCTGAGTGCCTGCTTATTAGGAGACAAGCATTGTTCTAGGTTTTTGACTTAAAATGTCCCAGTTAATCCAGCAACATTTTAAGAGGGTGTTACTCTTGTTCCCCTTTCATAGATTAGGAAATTGAGGCTTGAGATGTGAAATATAATAACTTTTCTGAGATCACATGGCTGGTTATTAGTAGCACCAGGATTTACACTGTCAAAGCTAAAGCTATCCTGGACATATCTCTGGTGACAGGAGTAACAGCCCACAACAGGTGTACCACAGCTTTTGAAATTTTTGATAACTCAATGCAATCTCTGTTTTAAGCCTCATCCTGAAATGTCTATGGGTCATTGCAAAGCTTCCATCCTTCCCATTCCACACTGAGTTAGCAATGATGTTTGGCAGCTTATATGACATCTAGGCACTGGGGGCCCCTGGACTTTAATAATCTGTTCAGACTAAATACACATTGTCCCGCTCAGTGTGGCTCCTGGAACATAAATCAAAACTTTTTCAGGTACAAAAGATCCATTTTATTCACCCACGCAGTAGTTTTATTTTAAAATTTACTTTGTTTTATTTTGTTTTGTGTTTTTGAGAAATAGAGATGGGGTCTCATTATGTTGCCCAAGCTGGTCTCAAACTCCTGGGCTCAAATGACCCTCCCACCATGGCCTTTCAAAGTGCTGAGATTACAGGTGTGAGCTACAGCGCCCAGCCAGTAGTCTTAAATGTGGAATTGGATTGCCTTCCGGAAGGACACACACTCCAGAGTTTTGCACCAGCCCTACTGGTCTCTCAGTTGCATCACTCCAAACCCGATTCCCATGTTTATGTCACCTACCAAGAAACTAGGCACGTTGGATTTATGACCCTGGTTAGAGAACCCACAAAACCTTGGTCTCCATGGTCTTGCCATAAAAGGCCAAGCCTTAGTCCCTTCTGCTCTTGGGACCCACGGACCCTCAGAGGTCTTTCTGTCTCTCTGGCAGCTCTTTCTTCACAGCCCTGGGCCCTGGAGAATATTTCTTATCTTGTTGAATCCTTTACCCGCCATGCGTATAAAGGTTTCTTTACCTGAGTCCACAAATTTGTTCCTCCCTCCAGAGTTTAGGATTTGGAAAATAAAAGCTAGAATTTCTGAATTTATCCTGCCTTTTCCTCTCCAGAGGCAAGGAGGGCCAGATTTAAGATCAATTTCAACAGAGAGAATACAGGGAGGAGAAAAGCAGGATAATATAGGATAAGATAATCCCCAAGTAGTATCTTGCTAATTTAAGTCCTTTGAAAAAAAATGTCACTTAACTGTCAGGAACAAAGTATAGAATAAAGGTCCTTAAATGATTTGGGTGAGAGCTCTCATAACTTATCCTCTGGCACCAGCCCAACAACTAGAAAGAAGAGAAGAATATGCAAAGTATAGCAGAGTGAGTTTAATATCCAGAAAAGTTAGAAGCTGAAAAAAGCTGTGTTTTCACAGCATTCTCACATAAGAGCAATTGCTCAAACCTCTTTTCAACACATATTTGGTAGCATTCTGAGAGCCTGCCCATTGCCTGGTGAAACATATTCTGATGGTGTGAGGTCACGAAGCCCTGACACCATTTCATTCATTGTCCCACTTACAATATGTGCTGCGTTGACCCCATCAGGGTTCTCATAAGTGGAGTCATTTTCTTTTTAGATTGCAGGTCAGTTTTGGGTCTTCTTTCTCCCAAGATGGCAGCTTGGTTAACAAGTACTTGCCATTATAGGGTGAGTTCTAGAGATTTAATGTACAGCATGGTGACTACAGATAATAGCAATGAATTGTATGCAGTACTTGAAATTTGCTAAGAGAGTAGAATTTAAGTGTTCTCACCACACACCAAAAAATGTGAGATGTTGAGGTGATAGATACATTAATTAGCTTGATTGTACTAATCATTTCAGAATGTAAACAACTATCAAAACATCACGATACACCTTAAATATGTTTAATTTTTATTTGTCAATTATAGCTAAATAGAGCTGAAAAATGATGAAAGACCAAACATATAGAGAATTTAGCATGGCATTTGCAGTCTTTTTTCTATTTTTATCCAAGTGTGGCTTTGGAAGTTGAGGTCTGGTGAGTCTTTATTCTCACGTTCTTTATATGAGATGTTTTATCCTGAAAAAGAGTGACAATTTCTATTTCTCCTGCAATTGTGGACTCTTTAAATGCCCAGTTTGCCTTTCACCTTAGGACAGTGCTATTGAGTAGTACACGAAAATATATTCCAGGCCTGTAGCCCAGGTTCAGAAGTGTAAAGCATGAGATTAAAGAGTCACAAAGCAGGCTGGCTTCGGAGATATTGACAGGTAGATTGTGTGGCAGCAAAAAGGTGAGGCAGAGAGACTGTGAGGGTTTAGGTGGGCAGGCACAGTGTAGCATTTTTGGAAATGCACCATTAGGGATCTGAAACGGCATGAAAGGATTGAACGCAGAAAACTGAGATCTGATGTAACAAGTAGTGGATAACACAGGAAGCAGGCTCCACACACTGTACACAGAAGACTGACATGTGAGTTGCCTGGTTATATATCTAAGAATGTAATTCAGTCCAGATTTGACCACCCAAGTCTATTCAAGTCCATCCAAACATTTTCCAATTCACCAAGACTGTCAGGGTGCAAACCTGACTCTTCTTAGGCAACATTCTGTTCAAGCCAGGTCTGGAGCTTGTGGTGTTTCTCAAAACACAATCTGTGCACACCTTCAATAAGAATCACTTTAGCAGCTCTTAAAAATTCATACTCCTGGGACTCTTTCACAGCTATTCTGACTCAGAAGTCCTGGTGTGGATCTTAAGAATTTCAATTGTCTTAGAATTCCTGATCCAAGATGACCAGTGACAATGCTTCATTCTCCTGGGCACAGAAATTGAATTACAGTTGGCATAAGACAAACAGGGTTAATAGGTATCTTCTCCAGGATTAATATAAGTACATTTGGAGAGAGCAATATTCTTTCCACCAATATTGCTAAGCTTTGAGGAGGTAAGCTGGGTCAGCTGGGGTTCATCTTTCTACCATGTAGAAAGAGCCTTCACGTAGAATGTTGCAAATCGCAAATAAGCACATCAGTGTTTGAGTTTTTGGACACAGTAATGTTTGAAGTCTACCTGGAATCTCCTGGCTCCTGGTTCTTTGAGCCCATGCTTTAAAAAAAAAAAAAAATCGTAAATTAATTGGAATTAATTATCTGCTGCTTGCAACCAGATCGCCTAGTATGAAACATACCAGAAGGTTTCCATGAGCATGGTATGGATCTCCAGTGTAATGGGAATTCTGAGCCCACTGAGGTCATCCTTGGGGTTCAGAGCAGAGGTTCTAAAATCCATGTTGTTTTTATTGTGCTTCTTGATCCTCACACGATCCTTGGCTGATTTTTCCCACTTAAATGCCTTCAAATACCACAATGATTCAAAAAATCAATCACTTTACCTATATCATTTTATTGTGGTTTTGATCAATAATTCAAACACCTGTAGGACATTCCCATTTTTATACCCTGCCAAGCATCTCAAATTCAACAGGTACAAAAATGCATTCATGATATCCCTCAGTCCTCCTGGATGTGATTCACCTCTTATTCTCCTGTGAAAGGCGCTGCCATTCTCCCAGTTCCCAAGCCAGAAGCCTAGGCATTCTATTGAATACCTCTCTTTCCATCACTATAACTATACCTATACCTATACCTATACCTATACCTATCTTTCTATTATCACATTAAGTTGGTTCTGCCATCTGAACTCCAAATATACATCTAAGTTCCCAAATACAGTTTTCAAAGCTATTCATAATTTGATCGTTGTTTACCCAAATTATTCCAATTTTGTTCTTTCACCCCCTTTTTATGTGCTAGCCATGTTAAACTTTTTCAGTGCTTCAAAGCAACATCCACACTCTCTTTTACTATTGGACCTTCCTATAAGTTGATCAAGTCATTTAGAACTTTCTTCCCTTACCTCTCTCTCTCTTTGCCCAGTGAACTCCTATTCACTCTCTATGACCCAATCAAGATGTCACTTTTGAAAAGCCTTGTCTATAATCCTGAGTCTGGCTTAGATTTTACTGTTACAAGTTCTCACAGTGCCCCAGTAGTTCCCTATTGTACAAATATTTGGTATGTTCAGTTTACTATTCAATTTTTTGACAGATATAAAATTTATATAAGTGGAGAAAAATATGTTAAGGGCAGAAACATTAAATTATTTCTTCTCAAATTAATTTTTAAGTTTAAGCCAATAAAATTATTCACACATTTTTTAATGGATAAAATTATTCTAAAATTTATCTAGATGAGTAACTGAACAAAAGAAATAGCTTCAAAATTTCAAAAAATAAAAATAAAGTAAAGGGAGGTTAGCCTTATCAGACATGTAAGCCTCTTTTAAAGCTCTAAATGTTAGATTACTGCTTAAAATTCTTCAGTGGCTTTCCATTGCATTTAGAATAAAATTCCTTAACAAGGGCAAATTTCTTAACAAGGACCTACCTGAGTTGTATATATTTGGTAGCACCTAATTCCCATCCAGAATCCTACTTACATGGCAGTCTGGGAAGTGTAGTGTTAGCTTACCAGGCTATACAGGAAAGGAAAGCAAACCAGAGGAGGTGGGGAGGGACGCTGAATGCCAATCGGCCATATCTGCTATAACGCATCTGCAGACCTGGAGTTTTTTAATTGAATTTTTGTAGCTTTCTTTTGGAAGTAATTTTCCCCACTTCCCTACTATTCCCCAAACATAAGCTTTATAAGAATAAGAATTATGTGTATTTTGTTCATTATTATATCCATAGTGCCAAGCACACAGACACTCAAAATAAATATCATAAATATCTGTTTGATTAAAATTATTTATTTATTTACTTTAGAGATAGAGTCTCATCCTGTCACCCAGGCTGGAGTGCAGTAACACCAACCATAGCTCACTGCAACCTCAACCTCCTGGGCCCAAGATATCCTCCTACTTCAGCCTCCCAAGTAGCTGACACTACAGGCACACACCACCACACCTGGATAATTTTTTAACTTTTGTTTTTGTAGAGACCGGGGTCTTGCTATGTTGTGCAGGCTGGTCTCAAACTCCTGACCTCAATCAATACCCCCACCTTGGTCTCCCGAAGTGCTGGGATTACAGGAGGGAGCCACCATGCCCTGCCTGGTTAAAATTTAAATAAAAGAGGCCTCATTACACTTTGAACATTATACCCACTCTTAAGATAATGACCATTTTGAAGAATACATTTTAAGAGAAACAATAACAATACACCGAAGATGACATTGACAGTGACGGCCTTTGGGTTCCATGTCATGTAAGGAATGGAATGGAACATATTTTACCTGAAAACAGAAACTCAAGCAAAATGGGAACTCTGACTTCAATGGTTTGAAAAGCCTATCACATGAAAGAAGAAACAGACTGATTTTGTTGCTTCGGGAAGTAGAACTAGAGCCAATGGGTAAACAGTACACAGAATCAGAATTCAGGAGGTGGCAAGTGTCTTCTACGGGAAATGGCCTACAACATTTGGGTTTCTGTGGGTGGAGGAAGAGGTGGGCTGAATGACTTCTGAGGCCTTTAGATCTTAGGCTAAAGTAGAAGTAGACCTTTTTCTTCCAAATGCTTGTTGAAATGCTTGATTATGCAAGTGTTAATGTCTCATTTCTTTAGGGCTAAAATGGGTTATTCATCCCCTTAGACCATGGCAAACAAAGCCTTCAGACAACTCCTGAGCTACAACATGTCTGAATCATAGGTCTAGTTACACAGCAGGCCATCTGTCATCTCTCCTCTTCCAGTCACCTTACACTTAGTAAGGTTATCCCTGGGCACTTCACACATTGTTAGCAATATGCACTTTCAATTATACTCATTTGCTATTCACCCCACACTTTCTTGGTAGGAAGCTAATAGCATTCTCCTCGCCTTAAAAGCAAGCAGAGGCACAGACACTTGAAGTAGTTTTCATGAGGTCACTGAGAATTAGATATAGGCTCAGAAGCCAGCATGATGCTGAATTCCCTGAGTCACACAGTCCCCTCTGCTGCTCTATAGGAGGCCTGGGCTGAGAAGCTCGGGACACCATGGTGGTGGCTTTAGTTCTACTTTTCTACTCATGCTTTTGAATGAGCAAAGCAATAGTTGTGTGTTTGTTAAAACTGTTTTTAAAGAAATAAAGAAACACAGAACCAAGAACATAACTCATTGACAGGACATTTATTTTGTAGTTCAATGCCTGGGTTCTAATTACTTCCTTGTTCCATAAGATCCTGGAGTCAGATCACCTCAATAGGAAGGGTTTTACTAAATCCATGTGAATATGCTATTTTTAGTGGAAAACTTGATCTTATTCATTCCTCCCATGTATTGCTTTAACCATAATGGAACTGAATCAAGAACGCTTAACAGACGGGTGCTTATACAAAGGGACACTTTCAGTTTGTAGCTATAAGTGCATTTCCATCTGCCCATTCGTGAATTATTCAACCAACACGAAACAGCACTGTTTGGGAGTAGGGTTTTTATAAATGGTGAAATTTAAATGAGTTCTCCCAAGCCCACTCCTGTATTCTCAATTCCCTAAAATATCAGAAAAAAAAAAAAAAAAGGAAACTATATCAGCAACTCCAACACAAGAAAATCTAGCCAATGGCTGTTTATCATCACCAGTTCTGCGGAATTTTTTAATTTTTCCAAGAAAACAGAAGGAGGTTGGTTTTCAAAAAATGGGACATTAAAAAAAAAAAACTTCCATTCAACTCTTAAATGTATTACCCAACAACATTCATATCTTTATTCTGAAATAATTTTCCTTAGAGGAAAAAAGATAACAGATTCATTCCTCATAGATGTTTAACTTTTCCAGACCATAATAGTAACTGTAGAGAGATGCAATTGTCCACAGGGGAGCAAGGGGAAAGAAAAGTTAGGTACCAGATCTCTCACTTTCTATATAAAGTATCACACTGAGAGCAACTGCAATTGAGCTAGTAAACTCCACCTCTCATCTGAAAAAGTATTTTAAAATGTTTTTGGTTTAAGTATGCATATTACACAATCAAAAGTGAAAACCTTTCTGGAGGAATCCCAATTAAAAAATATCAGAATGACATATATCTTTAGAGTCACCACAAAATCCAGTTTCTTTCATCAGCCTTTTCAAAGACTCAAGGACAGAATTTCATAAATTGTGCCATTTAACTGCTCAGAGTGTGAAAACACCTCATAAGATTAAGAAAATCAGGGTTAAATTGCAAGCTGTGTGGCTTTTTGTTGGCTTTCTTTGCTTCTTTTATTTGCTTTTTGTGTATTTGTTTGCTGCAGAAGAATCAGAAAGAATGAGAGGTATATGTCCTTCCCCCACAAACCCAACCTTGGTGGCAAGCAAGGATGTAAAGCCTGAAGATCTGTGACTTCTTTTATTCCTAGTGCAGAATTAGAAGATTTTAAAAATATCTGTCTTATGTGGGGAGTTTGGGCATGAGAAATAGAGATCCGTGGGGTTGGGAGTGGTGGTGCTGAGTGACTGAACTGAAAAAGCTTGCTCTGACCAGTAAAGCAGATGGGAGCATAGAGGAGGAACAGGGGTCCTCTCTGGAAAGGCAGGGTTCAGGGGTGAGGGGGAACAGCTGCCTCAGCATTGTAGGGAGGTGGCAGTACCCCTGGGAGGAGTATACCTGTCTGGTGCATCTTGACAGGCCAGACTCCAGGAAGTGGAACTTGATACTTGGCAAAGACCAAATGCCCATTGTTGGTAAGACCAGCAGAACCATCTGCTGATCTTCTATGTGCTGGTCTTCTATGTGCTGCTGCTATAATTAACAGTGACCAAGGACACCATACAGGGGAGGGCCTTTAATATAAAACCTGCCCTGAATAAGATTTCTTGGAACTTTGAGTAACCTGGTGGAACTGGGGGAACAGGAATCTAATAAAGAGTGAGACTGAATTTCCCACAATTACAGCAAGATGGATTGGAAAATATTCCATTTTATTTGAAGGGTGAAAGAAAATGACACATTTTGCATCCTAAAGTAAAATATTTATCAGATGTATCACTGTGTGTGTGTGTGTGTGTGTGTGTGTGTGTGTGTGTGTGTGTGTTTACTTCCACATTTTCAAGAGATTGCAAACCAAAAGTCCAACTCTAGTAACAATTCAATAGTTTGGAACTATGGACACTATGAAGAACTATGTTTCTCGATAAAAACAGAAAAAAAAAATGCCCATGCAAAGTAGATATACTGCTTTTCAAAGATTTAATTAGCTTACAATGTTATTTATTTAAAAGGGAAATATTATAATGACACTGGTAATTAAATAAAAGAGGAATAAGTTTGGGAAATTTTTTAATTTTTCTGTATCGTGAATGCTGGCACTGAGGAAAAACAGATTGTTAGGAGTTGGGTTTTGTTATGTCTCATTTGCTCAAGAAGGTAGTGAACAATTTTTGTGTTACCTGGTTTGCAGCACTAGTTGCCAGATGGCAACAGTGACACAACACTGCTTGGTTGCTACTTAAGGAAGGTCGTTTAAAAATTGTCTGTGGGGAGTATGGTGGAGCACCATGCTCAGGGGCAAGAGGCAACCATCATCTGTGTCCTGCGTAAGGGAAGTTTGAGACGGACTCCTCTTGGGGACTTTGTATGATCTTTTTCACTCACATGGGTTGGTATGCCACATACTGTTTGACCATCTGAGTTTGCACTCTGTAGCAAACTTTCATTCTGCAAAGCTTTCAGAATGAGCTTTATGCAAAAACAGGGTGAGCAGTCACCCTCCTGTGTGCTTGAGGAACCATTCATTGCATGAGGCCCCTGCTAAAAAAGGATCCACCCCACGAATCCTACAGAAGATAAGAAATGCAGGTATTAATGTCTTTGCATCAAGGCTCCTGGTAAATGTGTATATTTCCTGGGAAGGTCATGCTTTTTCCAAAACTCTGAATTAGGATCTTACTTTCATATAGAGTGGAAATAAGAACACATGCATATGTCAGATGACCAAATGTCAGCAGTGAATATGTTATAGGGAGAGCTTTCTTCCCAGAGTTAAAAAAAAGTATAAAACAACCAATTACATTTCATACAGATATCTTTCCCCATCTAAACAATGTTAAAACGGTGAGAAGAACCCATAATTGTACCACCAACTGGAATGCCTTCTCCAACTAAAGGCACAGGCAGTCTTTAAACATCCCAGGACAAGGCCCAGCCTGCAGCCGTATCCTGAAGATTATCAACTGCTCCTTCTGCTCTCTGCCATTGGAAATGAGGGATACCACACTTGCAGGAAAAAGACAGTGCCCCATTAGGAGGTGGAGTGTATGTCTACAGAGAAGAAGGAAGATGAGGAGGACAGGAGAAAAATTCATTACTCCAGAGCAGACTTAGCTCAGTGCCTACTTATTCTCACAACAAAATTCCTGTCTTCTTCAATCATCTTAAATCTTAAATCATGCTTCAAAAAATAATTATGTAGCTTCTGTTTATGAATTAACATATTCACTAGCCAATTTGAGATTATAGTCATAAGTCCATATCTTAAACTATTACACATGCATTCACTTGCTTCAAATTTGGAGCAATTGTACTTCTAAGAGCTTCTTTGAAACTTCAAACAAGTAATTAGCCTTTCATTGCATTATCCTAAGTCTCACTAAAGTACTGAGACTGAAATCCAGATAGTGACTAGGAGGGCAGTGGTAGAGTGAAACTGAATTCTGTGTGCTAAAGAAAGTGGGATAGCTGAGTTTAGAGTGTCTGTTAGTTTGCTAGAGTTGCCTTAACAAATTGAATGGCTGAAAACAACTGAGATTTATTGTCTCATAGTTCTGAAGGCTAGAAGTCTGAAATCAAGGTGTTCGCAGGGCCATGCTCAATCTGAAACTTGCAGGGGAAACATCCGTCCTTGCCTCTTCCTAGCGCCCAGTGGTTGCCAGCACTTGTTGATTTGCAGACACAACACTCTAATTCTCCATCTTCTCATGTCTGTCTTCCCCCTATGCATGTCTGTGTCTGAGCCTAAATTTCCCCTTTTTGTATGAATACTAGTCATATTGGATTAGGGTCTACCCAAATGACCTCATTTTAACTCAATTACCTCTGTAAAAACCCCATTTCCAAGTAAGATCACATTCTGATACTGTGGGCTAGGACTTTGACATATCTTTTTGGGAGGAGACAATTCAATCCCTAACAGGGGTGTCAATGAGTACCAAAGGATAAACTGAATTGTTTAAAAAAAAAAAGTATCAAAGGCCAGGCATACTACTTCTAAAAATCCTAAGAGAAGAAAATAAAAGCAGAAAGTTTCTGAATGATTATGGCATGGAAACATGAGAAAAGTAAGCTCCTGTTCTGGAGAGCTGCCCGTAAGTAAGGCTACGGTTTGAATGTTTATGTCTCCTCCACAATTCATATTGGAATTTAATCTCTATTGTGGTCGAATTAAGAGGTGGGGCCTTTAGGAAGTGATTGGGCCAAGAGAGCTTTACTAAAGGGCTGAGGGGAACTAGCTAGGCCCTTTGCCTTTCCGGCCCTTCCATCATGTAAGGATGCCACACAAAAGCCTGGCTATGAGGAATGGGCCCTCCCCAGACGAATTTGCCAGTACCTTGATCTTTCCAGCCTCCAGAACAGTGAGAAATAGATTTCTATTGTTTGTAAATTACCCAGTCTGTGGTATTTTGCTATAAGAGCACAAACAGGGCAACATAGTATAAAACAGGGAAAGGGGTGCTGCAAAAAAAAAAAAGTAGGACAACAAAAGAGAAAGCAGGACAATGGTGATGGCAAACTTTGTCCACTTCGCATCTTTACATGGGGCTGGTTTGAGGTGTTTTCGTATGTATAGGGAAAAGTCAGTTTAGTTTTATTCCCAGGTGGATAAATAGCAAATCATATTTGTGCCCTGTGATTTAGCCAAGCCACTTTATATTTTCTTTTGAAAGTGGGTTTTAAAAAATATTGACACCTGAATGGAAGTTACAGACATAGTAAAGTTATCAATGGGTCAAAAATATGGAACTCAAAGTTTTACTTGTCTGTAGTGGACTGTATCAGGCTATAGTGGGCTCCTAAGAAGATAATTTAAGCCCCAGAACCTGAGAATGTTGCCTTCTTTGAAAAAGCATCTTTGCAGATGTCATTAAAGTTAGGATTGTGAGATGAGGTGGTCATCCTGTATTGTCCAGGTGGGCCCTAAATCCAATGACAGGTGTCCTTATAGTAGAGAGACACAGACACAGAGGAAAGCGTGATACAAAGATGTGGGTGGAATTTATAGTCAAGGAACGCCAAAGCCACCAGAAGCTGGAAGAGGCAAAGAGCAGATCATCCCCTACAGCCCCAGAGTAAGCGTAGCGCCTACAACTGCGAGAGAATACATTTCTGTTGTGCTGAGCCACCTGGTTGCTGTGATTTTGTCATGGCAGGCCTAGGACATATGTAGTTTTGAAGAAAGTGGAGGCTCAATTTTTAAAAATATTTTTATTGTTTTCACAGTAAATAATCTCCCTTACTTAAAGAATACCCCTAACAGATATCTACTCATATTTTTTACCATTGCTCCAGTGCCATTTTATGACTTTGTATAACTGACAAAGTAAATCTATTTTTTATTGTTATTATACTTTAAGTTCTGGGATACATGTGCAGAACGTGCAGGTTTGTTACATAGGTATACATGTGCCATGGTGTTTTGTTGCACTCGTCAACTCATCATCTACATTAGGTATTTCTCCTAATGTTATCCCTCCCCTAGCCCCCCACCACCCTACAGGCCCTGGTGTGTGATGTTCCCCTCCCTGTGTCCATGTGTTCTCATTGTTCAGCTCCTACTTATGAGTGAGAACATGCAGTGTTTGGTTTTCTGTTTCTGTGTTAGTTTGCTGAGAATGATAGTTTCCAGCTTCATCCAGTTCCCTGCAAAGGACATGAACTCATCATTTTTTATGGCTGCATACTATTCCATGGTGTGTGTGTGCCACATTTTCTTTATCCAGTCTATCATTGATGGGCATTTGGGTTGGTTCCAAGTCTTTGCTATTGTGAACAGTGTTGCAATAAACATACATGGACATATGTATTTATAGTAGTATGATTTGTAATCCTTTGGGTATATACCTAGTAATGGGATTGCTGGGTCAAATGGTATTTCTGGTTCTAGATCCTTGAGGAATCGCCACACTGTCTTCCACAATGATTGAACTAATTTACACTCCCACCAACAGTGTAAAAGCATTTCTGTTTCTCCACATCCTCTCCAGTATCTGTTGTTTCCTGGCTTTTAATGATCGCCATTCTAACTGGCGTGAGATGTTATCTCATTGTGGTTTTGATTTGCATTTCTCTAATGACCAGTGATAATGAGCTTTTTTTCCCATATGTTTGTTGGCCTCATAAATGTCTTCTTTTGAGAAGTATCTGTTCATATCCTTCAACCACTTTTTGATGGGATTGTTTGTTTTTTCTTGTAAATTTGTTTAAATTCTTTGTAGATTCTGGATATTAGCCCTTTGTCAGATGAATAGATTGCAAAAGTTTTCTCCCATTCTGTAGGTTGCCTGTTCACTCTGATGGTAGTTTCTTTTGCTGTGCAGAAGCTCTTTCATTTAATTAGATCCCATTTGTCAATTTTGGCTTTTGTTGCCATTGCTTTTGGAGTTTTAGTAATGAAGTCTTTGCCCATGCCTGTGTCCTGAATGGTATTGCTTAGGTTTTCTTCTAGGGTTTTTATGGTTTTAAGTCTTACATTTAAGTCTTTAATCCATCTTGAGTTAATTTTTGTATAAGGTATAAGGAAGGGGTCCAGTTTCAGTTTTCTGCATGTGGCTAGCCAGTTTTGCCAACACCATTTATTAAATAGGGAATCCTTTCCCCATTGCTTGTTTTTGTCAGGTTTGTCAAAGATCAGATGGTTGTAGAGGTGTGGTGTTATTTCTGAGGCCTCTGTTCTGTTCCATGGGTCTATATATCTGTTTTGGTATCAGTACCATGCTATTTTGGTTACTGTAGCCTTGTAGTATAGCATGAAGTCAGGTAGCGTGATGCCTCCAGCTTTGTTCTTTTTGCTTAGGATTGTCTTGGCTATACGGGCTCTTTTTTGGTTCCATGTGAAAGTTAGAGTGGTTTTTGCTAATTCTGTGAAGAAAGTCAATGGTAGCTTGATGGGGAAAGCATTGAATCTATAAATTACTTTAGGCAGTATGGACATTTTCACGATATTGATACTTCCTATCCAGAGGCTCAATTTTTGTAGTGTCGGTTCTGATGGTCCAAGTTTAAGTTATAAGACTTTCCCACATTCAGCTCTTAAGTCACATTATCAGATGTCTGTGCCTGCGACATACATCAACTGATACAAACAAAGGAAGAGCAAACAGAATGATATTCATTAATTCAATAAATATTTAGAGAGCATCTTGAATATTTAAGTGTTCAAGATGCTGGGGAAGGCAGTGGATAAACTTCCTGCCTTCTTGAAGTTTACTCTCAGGTGGAAGGCCCAGAAAATAAGCAAATAGACAAACAAAAATTAACATATGAGGCAGAGATAGGCGCACTGAAATACAGCAGGGGTTGGTAGGGGAGCTGTGAGCTATGTAAGGAGGATGATCAGGGAAGGACTCTGAGGATGCAATCTTACAACAAAGACCTAAAGGAAGTGAGAGAGTGAGCCCTGCACAGATATGGTGAAGTCATTTCCTGGTAGAGAGAACAGCAAGTGACAAGACTGAGGCAGGCAGAGTGGCCGAGCGGGGTAGAGGGGCTGGAGACAGCAGTCATGTGGATGTTTTGGCACAGTAAGGGCTTTGCATCCATTCTAAGTGTGGTGGAGTGGGAATCAGTTTTCTGTCTCTCCAGGAGGAGAGTGGCTTGCAGGTAGTTAGTCCTCCTTGGTCAGTAGCCACCAAAACCTACCTCCCTCCGGTGGAGGCAGAGATTACCCACTCCCAGGTCCCAAGACTATGTGTTTGCCTCCCTTGGACCAGAAGATGAATTTCCTGCAAACCAACACTTGGAGACCTTCAAAGGTCCTGATTTCTTCCAGCAGGGGTCTGAAGGAGCCTGATTGTTGAAGCAAAACTTCCCGTTTACCTACTGATTGGAGGGTTTTTGAGCATCTGGAAGCCAGAACAAAAATGGTGAGTCAGGTTTTGAATCCATTTTCCCAAGGCCTTAAATGCCCTCAATGGATGGATGATGGCATTCAGAAGGGAATAAAGAAGGTCATTGCAGGGGAACACTGAGCAATCCCAGGGTTGGGGCATGCAGGCACCATACACGCTGCCTAGGGAGGCCTCACTGCCTGGGCCCAAGAGGTTCTGCCTTGCTCTTTAACGCTTCTTCTTTCTCTCTGCCTTACGCTCTCCTCTAAGCCCTCACTTTCTGTTGCCCCTGTTTATAACCCTTCTTGAGGGTGTACTACTGCTGTGTTTTTTCTTTCTAAGTTGGTGCTGAGGTGTCTAGAGAGCACCTATAAACTGTAGCCCCAGCCAGGCATGGGGGCTCACACCTTTAATCCCAGCACTTTGGGAGGCAGATGCCTTCTGGGGAAAGCAATAATCTCCATTAATTTAACATGTACCAGATTTCTCTTTAGGTATAGAATTATAGGGGTGTACATTTGAACAGAGAGCAAGGAAAACACTAGGATCATGGGCTAAGCAGCGAGTTCAGGAAGGAAAAACAAAAAATGTTTTGTGCTTGTGTTGTGCCTTAGGAGAGGAGGCCCATGGGCATAACTGGGTGGAGGTTTTAGTGTCTGGGTGAAGTGGGCTTGGCATGCAGGCAGGGAGCGAAGTCATCTCCAGCACTGAGATTTCAGGCCAGAGAGATGTCATCTGAGATGTGTGACTACAGTGTCCTTTTCAAGTGGGTACCCACTTGAGTTGATGTGGGCCTCTGGGTTGTAAACTAAAAACCCCCCAAACCAGTAGTAAGAGGTCACTAGTGGGGTCTGTGCTGCACCTGACAGGGCTTTTGTGGGGGGTGGAAGTTTACATTCTGCAGGGTTCCATATCAGATGGGCAGCAGCCTGGCCTGTGGGACAACAGTTCAGCAGTCCCTGGAGTGTATGTGCCCCCAAACTGGCCTCCAGCTCTAGTGAGAAGGGGGAAAGATTGAAAATGTAATTATAAGTAGCTTAAAGCCTGGCGCAACATAGAGCACTTCAGGGGTAATGTTGGACTGGAATTTGAAAAGGAGTTGTTTGAAGACATCCTTATGTCTCTCAGTTAAAGCACCTATTTGGGGCCTATTAGCAACATAAGTATTCTGTCAAATGCCTCCTTCAGATGCCCAGCATTGCGTATTTTAAGAAGTAAAATGCATGTCTTGGTTACTACCAGTAATGTCTGTATATCTGAAGGGAATGAGGTGTGTTTTTGGCAAGGCCTTGTATTGTGGCTTTAGTATGTGAGGGAACATGATTTTGCTTCATGTTTTGAGTATCTATAAGGCAAGAGGTTTCTAGAGTTTTTTACCTTGAAGGGGAGAATTTTTAGGTTATGGGCCAATCACTGATAATAAACTATATACAAATAGTTGATAATAGCTGAAAATGGGACTATTTGTTGATCAAGACACCCAGTACTAAGACGACTGCCTGAAGTCTGGCCAAGAGTGTTATTTCTTGGGTCCCGTCTTTTATTAGGGACATCCTGGCTAAGAGATGGAAAGCAGCAACATTTCAACAAGCTCCGTTATGTATGATGGTGAACCACGCTTTCACATAGTCTGTGAACTCCCATTACTATTCACTCAGTTAATCCCAAGTAGTCAAGGGGCCTAGGGGAGGAACAACCTCCTTCAGCATCTGGCATCTGGCAAGGGACTGATGACAGTGGAAGCCACCATCTCCTGCAGGTGGAATGTACCAGAGGGCCCAGGTTCAGCTCCATCCTGTCCTGAGGAGGTCTCAGTTCCAGTGCTGAGCTTGTGAGGTGCTGTTGCCATGATGAAAAGCATAGGGAGTAGCTTAGTTTAGAGAGTCACAGATTTAGGGTCTGTGACAGCCTCTATTTTTAAGACAGCCCAGTAGATAGCCAGGCATTTGTTGTTTTAATGATGTATAGCACAAGGCTGAAAGGGATAATTTCTCATATCAGAAGTCTTGGGTCATCAAATGGCCATCATAAGGGGTCCAGAGGCATGAAGAGAGGTTGCCAAAGCCTCTATAGTGAAGGAGCTTCTAAGGGCACTAACAAGAGTGCCTGTTGATTTTAATTTGCAAATAAAATTTATAAATGAAAATATATTGCCACCAGAACCTAAAAGGTACTAAAAGATATTGAATTTATACATTCTGTTGTTGTTGTTGTTATTGTTGTTGTTGTTGTTTTGAGACAGAGTCTCACTCTGTCACCAGGCCAGAGTGCAATGGCACAATCTTGGCTCACTGCAACCTCCGCATCCCAGGTTCAAGTGATTCTCCTGCCTCAGCCTCCTGAGTAGCTGGGACTACAGGCACACACCACCGCGCCCAGCTAATTTTTGTGTTTTTAGTAGAGACGGGGTTTCACCATGTTGGCCAGGATGGTCTTGATCTCTTGACCTCGTGATCTGCCCGCCTCGGCCTCCCAAAGTGCTGGGATTATAGGCGTGAGCCACCGCTCCTGGCTATGTTCTTAATGAGTGTGGCAACTGAGTCTCCTTGGAGGAGGATGCTGTCAACATACTGTAACGTCTACCTGTGTTCCCACAGAAGGTGGATCCCATTGAGATCTTATCGGCAAAGACTGTGCATGACAAAGCTGTTGAAGTACCCATGGGTAGCCTAGAAAAGGTGTACCACATTGTATCTCTTCAGAGCTAAAGGCAAACTGCAGCTAAGAGACTGTTGAAACAGGCACTGAACAGAACAAGCTGGCCAAATCTATAACAGCAAAATATTCACCAGTTATTGATTGAATAGCAGTAATTTTAATAATATGAGGGTATTGAGTATGAGGGCCTTGGTGGTTGAGACCACGGTGTTAAGGTTGTAGTAATTCATTATAAGATACATTTTATTTTTCCCAGAATAAAAAAGAGGAAAAATTGGCCTGTCAAAGTAGATGCAGTGGGGATAATCAACCCCACTGATTTTGTATCCTGATGTCATTTGTCAGGTGTGGGAGTCTTTTGGTGTAATCTTTAGTGTCTCCTAGGTATGAATCATGTCATCAGTAAAGAGAGATGATTTGACTTTTTTTAATGGAAAAAAAATGTAGCTCAGGAATGATTGTACTAAGCTACATCTTTTCCCTCCTCGGGTTTTGTTACTCAGCTTCTTTCCATCCTAGACCATCCATCCTCCCGCTGACCTTCCAGATGACTGCAGGTGCATGAGCACGCCCAGCAGGGATCAGCTGAGCAAAATCACCTCGCCGAATCATAGGTACATAGCCACTCTAAGCCACTAAATTTTGAGCTTATTAACTTACAGAAAAAACAGCCTGCTTGATTCATTTTTGCTATCTTTGAAGTAGTGGACATGTAGGGATGACAATGAAATTCATTTATTATTATGATTATTAAACCTGGGAATGCTGTCCATTAGTATCTTTTTAAAAAATTTAGATTCAGGGGTACATGTGCTGGTTTGTTACATAGATATGTTGTGTGATGCTGCGTTTGAGCTTCTTTTGAACCCATCACCCAAAGAATGAACAAAGTACCCAATAGGTAGTTTTCAACCTTAGCCCCTTCCCTTCCTTCCCCCTTTTGGAGTCCCCAGTGTCTATTGTTTTCATTTTTACATCTATGTGTACCCATGTTTAGCTCTCACTTATAAGTGAGAACATGTGGTATTTGGTTTTCTGTTTCTCTGTTCATTCACTTAGAATATTGGCCTCCAACGGCATCCATGTTGCTGCAAAGAACATGATTTCATTCTTGTTTATGGTTATGTAGTATTCCATGGTGTATATGTACCACATTTTCTTTATCCAATCCACCATCAATGGGCACCTAGGTTGATTCCATGTCTTTGCTATTGTGAATAATGCTGCAATAAACATGCAAGTGCAGGTATCTTTTTGGTAGAATGATTTATTTTCCTTTGGATATACACCCAGTAAGGAGATTGCTAGGTTGAATGGTAATTCTATTTTTAGTTCTTGGGGAAATCTCCAAATTGCTTTCCACGGACTTAACTAATTTACATTCCCACCAGCAGTGTATAAGCATTCCCTTTTCTCTGCAACCTGGCCAACATCTATTATATTCTGTCTTTTTATTTATAGTCATTATGACAGGTGTGAGATGGTATCTCATTGTGGTTTTGATTTGCATTTCTCTGATAATTCGTGATATTGAATATTTTTTCATGTTTGTTGGCTGCATGTGTGTCTTCTTTTGCAAAGTGTCTGTTTATGTCCTTTACCCGCTTTTTAATTGGGTTGTTTTTTTCTTGTTGATTTAAGTTCCTTACAAATTATGGATATTAGTCCTTTATCAGATGAATAGTTTGCAAATATTTTCTCTCATTCTCTAGGTTGTCAATTTACTCCATTGATAGTTTATTTTGCTATGCAGAAGCTCTTTAGTTTAATTAGGTCAATTTTTATTTTTGTTGCATTTGCTTTTGAAGACTCAGTCATAATTTTTTTGCCTAGGCCAATCTCCGGAAGAGTATTTTCTAGGTTTTCTCCTAGTATTTTTATAGTTTGAGGTCTTACATTTAAGTCTTTAATCCACCTCGAGTTAATTTTTGTATATGATTAGAGGTAAGTGTCCAATTTCATTCTTCTGCATATGTTTAGTCAGCTGTACTAGCACCATTTATTGAATAGAATGTCATTTCCCCATTGTTTACTTTTATTGATGTTGTCAAAAATCAGTTGGATGTAGGTGTGTGGCTTTATCTCTGGGTTCTCTATTCTGTTCCATTTGGTCTATGTGTCTATTTTTGTACCAGTACCATGCTGTTTTGGTTATTGTAGTCTTGTAGTATTGTTTGAAGTCAGGTAATGTGATGCCTCTGGGTTTCTTCTTTTTGCTTTGGATTGCTTTGACTATTTGAGCTTTTTTGTTGTTGTTGTTCCATATGAATTTTGGAATAGTTTTTTGATAGTTCTGTGATTAATGACATTGGTAATTTAATAGGAAAGCATTAAGTCTGTAGATTGCTTTGGGCAGTATAGCCATTTTAATGATATAGATTCTTTTCATCCACAAGCATGGGATGTTTTCCATATTTTGTGCCATCTATGATTTCTTTTAGCAGTGTTTTGTGGTTCTTCTTGTAGCTATCTTTTACCTCCTTGGTTAGATATATTCCTAGGTATTTTCTGCATGTGTGTGACTGTTGTAAATGAGATTACATTCTTGATTTGGTTCTCTGCTTGAACATCACTGGTGTATAGAAATGCTACTAATTTTAGTACATTGATTTTGTATCCTGATGTCATTTATCAGGTCTGGGAGTCTTTTGGTGTAATCTTTAGTGTTTCCTAGGTACGAATCATGTCATCAGTAAAGACAGGTGATTTGACTTCCTCTTTTCCTAGTTAGATGCCTTTTATTTCTTTCTGTTAATTGATTGCTCTGGCTAGGACTTCCAGAAGTATGTTGAATAGGAGTAGTGAGAGTGGACATCCTTGTCTTCTTCATTTTTAGGGAGAATGGTTTCAAGATTTGCCCATTCAACGTGATGTTGGCTGTGGGTTTGTCATAGATGGCTCTTATTATTTTGAGGTATGTTTCTTTGATGCCTAGTTTGTGGAGGGTTTTTATCATAAACGGATGTTTGATTTTATTGAATGTTTTTTACTGCATCTCATTTTGAGATGATCATATGGTTTGTATCCATTCCGTTGATGTATCATGTTTATTGATTTGTGCATGTTGAACCGTGCTTGCATTCCTGGGATAAAATCCACTTGATCATGATGAATTATCTTTTAGATGTGGTGTTGGATTCAGTTTGTTTATATTTTGTTGAGGGTTATTGTGTCTATATTCATTAGGGATATTGGCCTGTGGTTTTCTTTTTTGTTGTTGTATCTTTGCCAGATTTTGGTATCAGGATAATACTGGTTTTATAGAATTAGTTATGGGGGGATCCCTCTTCTCAGTTTTTTTAAAATAGTTTCAGCAGAATTGGTACCAGCTCTTCTTTGTAAATCTGGTAGAATTCAACTCTGAATCCCCCTCATCTGGGGCTATTTTTAGTTGGTAGGTTTTTTTGTTTTTTTTTTTACTGATTCAGTTTTGTAACTTGTTATTGGTCTGTTAAGGGTTTCAATTTCTTTCTGGTTCAATCTGGGAAGGTTGTGTGTTTCCAGAAACTTATCCATTTCCTCTAGGTTTTCTAGTTTGTGCACATAGAGATCTTTCGTATTTCTGTGGGATTGCTTGTAATGTCACCTCTGTCATTTCTGATTGGATTTTCTCTCTCTTTTTCTGTTAATCTAGCAAACAATCTACTAATCTTGTTTATCTTTTCAAAAAATCAACTTTTAGTTCCATTGATTCTTTGTATTTTTTTGTATTCTTGATTTCATTTAGTTCTCTGTCTTATTTTTTTTCTGCAAGTTTTGGGTTTAGTTTTTTCCTGTTTTTCAAGTTCCTTTATGTGCAACATTAGGTTATTAATTTGAAGTATTTCTATCTTCTCCATGTAGGCATTTAACACTTTCTCTTAACACTGCCTTTACCACATCCTGGAGGTTTTGTTATCTTGTGTCTCTATTTTCATTTGTTTCAAGGAATTTTTTGATTTCTGCTTTAACTTCATTATTCACCCAAAAGTCATTCACGAGCGAGTTGTTTAGTTTCCATGTATATGTGTGGTTTTGAGAGTTCCTCTTGGTATTTATTTCTATTTTTATTCCCCCGTGGTCTGAGAAGATGGCTTGATATGATTTCTATTTTCTTTTAATTGATTGAGACTTGCTTTATGACCCATCATGTGGTCAATCTTAGAGTTTGTTCTCTATGCATGTGAGAAGAATGTATATTCTGTGGTTGTTGGGTGGAGTAGTCTGCAGATGTCTATTAGGCCCAACTGGTCAAGTGGTGAATTTAAGTCCAGAATTTCTTTGTCAGTTTTCTGCCTCAATGATCTGTCTAATGTTGTCAGTGGGATGTTGAAATCCTCCACTATTATTGTGTGGTTGTCTAAGTCTTTTCTTAGGTCTAGTAGTGATTGTTTAATAAATCTATGTGCTCTAATGTTGAGTGCACATATATCTAGGATAGTTAAATCTTCTTGTTGAATCAAACACTTTTTCATTATATAATACCCTTTGTCCTTTTTTGCTGTTTTTGGTTTAAAGTCTGTTTTATCTGATACAAGAATAGTGATTCTTCCTCCTTTTTGTTTTCCATTTGCATAAAAGATCTTTCTCCATCCCTTTACTTTGAACCTATGGATGTCATTACATGTGAGATGGGTCTCTTGGAGACATCAGTTGGGTCTTGTCTTTTTTATCCAATTTGCCACTCTATGTCTTTTAAGTAGACCACTTAAGCCATCTACATTCAAGGTTAATGTTGATGTGTGAGGTATTGTTCCTGTCATAGTGTTATTAGCTAATTTCTTTGTAGTCTCAATTGTGTAGTTGCTTTATAAGCCTTGTCAGCTACGTACTAAAGGTGTCATTTTTTTGATAGCAAGTATCATTCTTTGGTTTCCATATTTAGAACTCCCTTAAGCATCTTTTGTAGGGCTGGTCTGGTGGTGACAAATTCCCTTAGCAATTGCCTGTGTGGGAAATACTTTATTTCTCCTCCATTTATGAAGCTTAGTTTGGTAGTATATGAAATTCTTGGCTGGCATTTCTATTCTTTAAGATTGTTAAAAATAGGCCCTGAATCTCTTCTGGCTTATAAAGTTTCTGCTGAGAAGTCTGCTGTTAGTCTGATGGGATTTCCTCTGTAGGTAATATGGCCCCTTTCTGTAGCTGCCTTTAAGATGTTTTCTTTTGCATTGACCTTGGATAGTCTGATGACTATGTGCCTCGGGGATGGTTGTCTTGTATAGTATCTTGCAAGAGTTCTCCAGATTTCTTATATCTGCATGTTGATCTCTCTAGCAAGATTGGGGAAATCTCCCTGTATTATAAACTCAAAGATTTTTCCAAGTTGCTTACTTTCTCTTCTTCCCTCTCAGAAATGCCAATAAGACCTAGGTTTGGTAACTTTACATAATCCCATATTTCTTAAAGGCTTTGTTCACTTTTTTAAATTCTTTTTCTTTATTTTTGTCTGACTGGCTTGATTTGAAGAACCAGTCTTTGAACTCTGACATTCTTTCTTCTGCTTAGTCTACTCTGTTTTTAAGGTTTTCAACTGCATTTTGAAATTCCTGTAGTGAATTTTTCAATTCCAGAAGTTTCGTTTGGTTCTCTTTTAATATAGCTTTGTTGTCTTTCAAATCTTGGATTGTTTTTCTAACTTCTTTATATTGTATTACAACCTTCTCTTGGGTCTCATTGAGTTTCCATGCCATCTATATTTTGAATCCTATATCTGTCATTTCACACATTTCAATCTGATTAGGATACATTACTAGGTAATTAGTGTAAACCTTTGGAGGTAATGAAACACTGGTGTTTTGTTTTACCAGAGTTCTTGTGCTGATTCCTTCTCATCTGAGAGAGCTGATGCTTTTTTTTTTTTTTATTTTTTTTTGGAATTTGCTATTGTTCGGATGGGGCTTTTTGATTTTTTATTCTTTTTTCCCTTGAGGGTATGACTGTGGTGTATGTTATGTATGATTGATTCACTTCATTTCTGGGTGCTGTCAGAGGGCCAAAGCTCTGTACAGGCTCCTTGGTTGCAGATAGGTTCCTGAGGTGGCTTTCTCGATGTAGCGATTTATTTTTGTTTGGTGGTGTAATTCAGGCTGTTTTCCAGTAGATGGGACTTAACAGGACGATACAGCAGGTAGGTTCTTAGCACAGATTCACCCTCAGTAGGTGGTAGGGTAAGTGCCGGCTTGCCTTCAGCAGGGGTGAAGCTGCTGGAGAAACGTGAAAAGCATCCTCTTTCAGCACAAGCTCACATGGAGAACAGTATACTGGGGAGGGTTGCAAGGGGCAAGAGATGACCCCCTCGCCAAGTCTCCAAGTCTGTTCCCAGGCTTTGATTGTACCGCCTTCCATGGTTGGCACTATGGCCACCTTTCCTTTGTCCCAGTGGGACTTTGTGGGGGCTGCACATTCCCCTCCTTTAGGGGCATTCTGCACTGACAGTTAGATCTCCAGTGGACCCACAACTCCCAATGGACAAAGTCAGAGCAGGATGTGGGGTATGTCTGCAGGTAGTCTGGGGATGCAGTGGCTCAAGGGTGGAGGATCCCTGGGCAGGGCACTGGCACCACATGTGCACAACTGGTATGGTTCACATTACATTATCTCAGCCTGGGTCTGAGGGTGGGGTGCAGCACAGCTGCATGAGCTGGCCACCTGGTTCTCTGTTCTCAGGAAGATCTCTAATCACCAGCAATAGTGTTGCCCTGAGTCAGGGGGGCAAACAGTTTAGCAGTCAGCATTGTCAGAGGTGGGAGGGGAGAAGAGAAGCATTCCTGCTTACCCTTTCTGCTGGGCTCTGAATTCCTCGGGGGTCTCTGAGTTCCTTGGGGACTGATCTTAGCCAGACTTTTGCTACTTTTATTTCTGTATGCCCTAGCCTCTTCATGTGGGGGACTCCAACAGGTTCTGGCTCTCCTCCCTCCATTTTCCACTCAAAACTTGACCATTTACCCACAACTTTGATTTTCCTTCTCAGGAGAACTAGCATGTGATGTCCCTAGTCAGCTGTCTTGAAAAGCTACTATAGTGGTCCATTCTCACATTGCTATAAAGAAATACTTGAGACTGGGTAATTTATTTAAAAAAGTTAATTGGCACACAGTTCTGCAGGCTATACAGGAAGCATGGTAGCATCTGCCTCTTGGAGGCCTCAGGAAACTTACAATCATGGCAGAAGGCAAAGGGGGAGTGGGCATCTCACATGGCCAGAGCAGGAGCAAGAGAGAGAGTGAGGGGGGAAGTACCATACACTTTTAAACAACTAGATCTCATGAGAACTCATTCACTATCATGGGAACAGCACCAAGGGGATGGTGTTAAACCATTCATGAGAAATCCACCCTCATGATCCAATCACCTCTCACCAGGCCCCACCTCCAATATTGGGGATTACAATTTGACATTGAGATATGGGCAGGGACACATATCAGCTACCCATCTTATTTATTTTTTATGTAGAAAATATATGCAGTAGTCTCCCCCAACTGAGGTTTCATTTTCTGCAGTTTCAGTTACCTGCAGTCAATTGTGGGTCAAAAATATTAAATGGAAAATTCCAGAAATAAACAATTCATAAGTTGTAAATTTTGTGCGGTTTGAGTAGCATGATGAAATCTCATGCCATTCTGCTTCGTCCAGCCTGGGATGTGAATCATCCCTTTGTCCAGGGTGTCCATTCTAAAGATGGCACCCATCACTTACTTAATTAGCCATCTAGGTTATCAGATCAAAAAAACATGATACTGTATACATAGGTTGTATATATATTTGGTACTACCCACAGTTTCTGGGATCCACTGGAGGTCTTGGAACATATCCTCCATGGATAAAAGGGGACTACTCTATCGTGTATGTGTTGCTAACAGCCACACATAAACACATAGATGAATAAGACATAGTTTTCACAATCAAAGATACATCCTAACATGCATTTGCTTTTGAGACTGGTTTTGTTAGATAAATAAGTTTGTAGTCTGTAAAACAGGCTACGATATTTAAGAATATTAAGTATAGATAAGTAACTAGTAAGCAAAAAGTTTGCTAGACATTGGTAGGATACATAGAATTTATTAAGTATAAGTAGTAAGCAAGTAGAATGTATGGATGTCTAACATAGATTGAGACAAATGGAAGAATCAAGAGACACCTAATATCAATGAGTTACCTAGGAACTAAATATATGTGAGACTAAATATATGAGAAACACTAAATATTTGGGATACACCATACATGAGCACTTAATATTCATAAAGTCATAATTTAGCCACCCATTGGTGACACTCATTCTGGCTCCATGTGTCCTCTGCCCAAGGAGCATGAATAAAACTCATGGCTGTTCAGCAGGCTGATTGGTTGTAGCTGTGGCCAGGAGTGCCTGTCCCTGCATCTCTTCAATGGAGCAAGTGTGTGTGGTTGTCTCAGGGCAACTTCTGTCTATGGTTCCCCTTGCTAGAGCCTCAACTCTGATCCTTATAACCACCACCAGCTGGGAAGGATAATGCACTGCCCATATGCATGGGCACACAGAGAAAAAGAGAACGGTGACATATGAACACTGAGCACTTACAATTCAGATTGTGTGATTCTTTTACCCAACTTGCATTCAGTCCTACATGTGTTCATTCACCCCATCTCTTTTCCATCATTTTCCACTGTGAGCTTTAAATGGACTTCATAAGCCATGCGATTTGAGCATTTTAATTTGGTTCTTAAAGCTTTCTGTTCTGTGACCTCTGGGATAGCTTGCCTGGTAATAGACTTGGAGGCTGTCATTGTAACAAGGTGATTTCCCTTGTGACACAAGTGAAAAAGATGAAAGCCACGCCACAGAACCATTAGCTGAATAGCTCCCAGAACTTCCATTATCTCAAGGACTATTTATCCTGCATTTCATTCCATTGCTTCTCTTTAGTTCACCCACCTCCTCACTTCCTCTTTGTTTCATCCAAAGCTATTTCTTTCCATGGCTTCTCTTTAGTTCTACCACCTCCTCCCTTCCTCTTTGTTCTATCCAAAGCTATTTCTTCCTCAGGCTGCAGAGAGAGCTGCAGGTAGGAATATCACTGGCTGGAGTCACTCAGTCTACTAGAACACTTCCAAGGGCCTGATGTCTTCCAGCATGGGTCTGAAGAAACCTGATTATTAAGTGAAGCTTTGCTTTTACCTACTGATTGAAGGGTTATTTACCAGCTGGAAGCCGGAACAAAAAATGATGAGACGGGCTTTGAATCCATTTTCCCAATGCCCTAAATGAATGGATGATAGAATTCAGGAGAGAGCAAGACAAAAAGAGCTCCTTCTGAAATGCGACATTCTGGCGTTTTTCACAAGTTTAGTGCAGTTGGTTCTGGAGGCACAGCGTGGAAAAAAAATTGTAATGGTTCATTAGTTCATTCGTGTTATAGTTCATTAGTCTCAGGGAAGGTAGCCCAAACCCCTTCTGGTATGACAACCCAATCTGAAAGGTCTCAGAGGAAAAATTCTTCATCTTCCATCATAACCACTTTGTCAAATAATGTCTACAAATAGAAAGCTTGTATTAGCATATTTATTCAATATTCAATAAATATTTAGTGAGTACTTGCACTGTCAGACACAAATTAATGAATTAAATAGGATTTTGTTGCCACTACAGTTGTGCAAAAGAAAATACTCGAGGGGTGAGTATTATTTATGTTTCATTTGGGTTGAAGATCCAAGACAATGGAAGGCACACTTCAAACTTTGATGAGTGTCCCCTGCACACTGAGTGTCACCCAAGGGCTGGTGTTCAATGACTACCAGATGAGCCCCAAGGTCAGAGGTGCGTTAGCCAGCTGCTCTGATGCTGGAGCAAAGAGAGGTGACCACATTGGGAGGTTACCTGCTGTCACAGAGTTGGTTGGGAAAATTATTACATGAGCGTGTCCTTAGATGTGGGCCATGAGAGAAATCCTGTCCAAGGCAGGATAAAGCGACCCTAACCGGAGGATGAACCACTGTATGCCAAGAGGCTAAAGAAGCAGCCCCAGGCAATACAATGACCCACAACAGGAAATGCAGCTGAGACATCCCCAGGGATGGGTGATAGTCTGAAAAATCCACCGATGGTCTAGGAGAGAGACAGCTCACATACTTCCCAAGCCCAGGGAAAACCCCCCTTTTTCCCCTTCTCCCTATCCTCCACCCAGCTGTGATGCTGGGAGGTCAGAAATGAAGGTAGCAAAAAGGGGATGTGGAAGGAGGTCAGCTGTGAAAAGAGTGGAGCAGCCAACCTCGTCTCTTCCCGCTGTTCACAGCCAGCTATGGCCAGCCTCAGCTGGAAAAAGCAGTTGAACCTTGAATGAAATTCAAGGATTGCATATTTTAATTACTGACTTGAGATTGTTTTTATTACCAGAATGTGATCAGAAAAGCCCTGGGACTTACTCTAAATTGCCATGAGACAGGGGAAGGTGCAAAGCCCTAGAATTTAAAAGGACAGTGGGAGACAAATAATAAAGTTACTTTTGATTAAACTCATGGATTTCACTGGTTTAATTTATGGTTAGATCAGTGGTCTACTGTAACAATCTATTTTAATTTTCTGATTGTATCCCTGCTAGTAATTATAGGGTTATTTTTAATAACACACACATATTTGTGTGTTTGGGTGGACACATACATTCTTCTCAGTGAATACTATGTTAATGGTATGTGAACACACAAAAAGATTATTCCTCAATAATCTTCCTTATACATTCTTGGGCAGCTTGTTTATCTTTCTTTTTGACTGACTCACCTTTATTGAGAAAGCATTCAATTTTTCATAGAAACAGTTCTCTTTTTACGCTGAAGTATCATTAGTTATATATATATATATATATATATATATATATATATATATATTTTTTTTTTTTTTAAACAGGGGCTCACTCTGTCACCCAGGCTGCAGTACAGTGGCACAATCATGGCTCACTGCAACCTTGACCTCCTGGGCTCAAGCAACCCTCCCACCTCAGCCTACTGAGGAGCTGGAACTACAGCTGGAACCATCACGCCTGACTAATTTAAAAAATTTTTTTTGTAGAGACAGGATCTCCCTATGTTGCAGAAACTCCTGAGTTAGCAATCCTTTTGCCTTGGCCTCCCAAAGTGCTAGGATTACAGGCATGAGCCACCACACCCAGCCTTAGTTACATAATATTTAACTAGATTTTGTCATTAAAGGAACACGTACAATAGGCTTAGTTTCAAGTCATTAGCAAGCACAACTGACTCTTGTAATTATACACTCTAACAAATGGAAGGATGTGTGAGACAACTACCTGAGTTTAAACACTCCATGGGCACCCGATGAAAGGTTTAGCAGAGGAAATGGTGACTGTCAGTGAATTCAGCAAATTATTTCAGAGAAAGTAATTTAAAGGTCTAACATTTTTCTCCTGAAAATGTTAATTATCTATTTTTTTTCTTGGTGTTTGTCTTACTTGTAGAAATTCAGCTTCCTGAAACACCCCAGTTCTCCAACAGTTTCATTCAGTGTATCTGTGGGGATATTTCATGTAACAAGTCTCATCAGTTTACACACACATATAACAGAACACATAGGTACAGCTTGGATTATTATAAAGTGAACACACCCATGTACCCAAATGAAAGGAAGAGAATATGACAGGAATCTCAGAAGATCCCCACACTCACATCACATGTGTAGTTCACATCACTACAATTTCCCTGTTTCCCAGAGGTAGACACTATCTCATCAGCTTATCTAATATATTATTAAACCTGTACTTTGAGTTCCTGACTTTAGTTATTAAGATTTTCAGTTTTGGAATTGATTTTAAAATTTAGGCTTCTTGTTCTCTACTGAAGTTCTCCATCATATCAGATAACTTATAGAACTTATTTATCACAGTCGTTTTAAATTCTGGGTCTGAGGAGTCCGAATTCTAGCTCTTCTATGGGTCAGTTTGTATTCTCTGTATTTTCTCTTGTTATTTAGTCATTTCACCTTCTTTCCTGTTATGCCTGATAATTTTTTAATTAAATGACAGATTTGGGGTATGAAAAATCACAAATAAAATTTAAGGTTCTAAGTGGTGCTTTTCCTTTCAGCAAACAATTAGGATAGAGACAGATCATCTTAATTTAATCATGGATTGAGCTATTTCAAAGCTGAGCTGCTGTTATTCTAAAGGCTTATCCATGTCCAGCTTCTTCTGTTCCCAGTATAGCATTTTTTAGGTCCCAGCTGAAAGCTAGGGTCTATCCTTGATAGTTTTTGAATCCACTTTTTCCTCCAATATCCTAAGACTGGTAGAAGTTCTCCTCAACTTTTCAGCTTCTCAGTGTTGCTCATGAATTGGCAAACACCTTAGGAGGAAGAGTAGACTGAATGTTGAACTTACATTATTGTGCCTTTCTTCTCTCTGGAATTTTGACCCCCTAAGCCATAGCTGTCTTAGTAGGTCTCTCATGCTTTCAAATAGATATTTTGCTACATTTTATCAAACGTTTCTAGTTCTTGGCAGGAGTATTGCCCAGCAATAAGCTATCAGAAGTATTTTTTAAAATCCCTGTTGCTGTTTGTGGTATCCCATGACTTTTTTCAAAATACAAGTTTTCTAGTGTTTAAAAAGTTTATCTACAGTAAATTGTACTAATATTGAACTGTAAGCCATCATGTCATGGTTCTGTCCTCAATGGAGTTGGAAAAAAAAAAAAAGCAAAAATACTGTTATTGATAGAAAAAAATAACCCAGGAATTTGTTATGGTAGAGTTAGTTTCTAAATGGCTTGCTTCAGTGCACCGGATGTAGGATCCTTAGTTTTAAGAATCTGGTCGCTCTCCCAGTAAGCAGGTTAAAGCCTGGCCATTCCTTGTGCTGCCCCATTTTTGATTAATAAGTTTACTAACATACTGTCTAGTGTGAGCCTTTAGTAGCTAGGCTAAAACATTTAAACCAAGCGTTAGAAATGGCCTTGAATTTGTCAAGTTCAAAGCAAGAAATAGTACCTCATTTGAAACTAACAAAGTGCCAAGAAAGTGCCTTGCTGACGTTTTTCCTGGAGTTTGATTTTTTCTTTCTCTGTGCCTTTTATCTCTGTCATCCAACTTTATTTTAATTATTTGTTCCCACCAACGTGACAGAATTGGGTCATTCCAAATTCTGTGCAGCAGATAAAACTGCTCTTGTGCAAGCCAGGGAAGGAAAAGCCTTTGAATCCCAGGTGCTTTCAATAGAACAAAATTAACATTCAAGGCTGCACTTGGCTAGATAGTGTGCTTCTTTCAGTGAGCAGAAAAATTAGAGTGTTTATTTATAGCTCTCTTTGAAAAGAGCAGTGTCCATTTTCACCACCAACAACAAAAAATGGTTCTCTTTCCAACTTGGCATATTTTTTCTTTTAGACTAATACTCTTTCCTAAGTTAATATTGATTGCCAATTAAGGCAAATATGTAAATTCAAATGTCAAATGATATGACAAAATTATTTAATGTCTGTAAGCTGTAAAGATAATCAATTGTATTTAATTCAGCATACTTTTATTGAATTTTTATAATAATCAAGTCACTTTTTTAGAACATTTTGAAGGATGCATGAATGAATTGAAGTAATTTTTCATCTCAAAGAATTTCCAATATAGTAACATGAAACTGAAAGTAATTGAAATAAGAAATATAGAGGCAAAAGGTTACCATACAGAGTGGAAACAGATTATTTTTGTTCGGCAACATAAATGAAGGATGTAAGAAGTAGAATTTAAGCTAGATCTTAAAGGGTAAATAAGTTTCATCAAACTTATCTTAAAAGTCACTTTTCCGTGAAGCACTTCCTGCTGTCTCCCCAACGTGCAACTGGCTACCCTCCTCTCACACACATCCTTCATGCCATTCTTTTCTGGACATACCTTCTACCTGTAATTTATTTGTTTGCTGTTATGTCTCATCCAATCAAACCATAAACCCCTTAAGGAGCCTCCAGAGCCTGACACAGGTTAGCAGTATTCTAGCCAGGAGTGAACATTTATAAGCATTTGTTTAATTAGTTAAATAACTAATCAATTAATTCACAGAGAGACTAAAAAGAAAGGAGAGCCAGGATTCTAGTTTCATCGTTATTACAGGTTGGGATCCCCAGGAAGCAAATTCTCATTACACACTAGCATCACCAGGTATGAGTCTTTAAAAACATTTTAGTATGGAAAATGTCAAACCTTTACAAAAGTAGGTTGAATCATACAATGAACCCACGTGCTCATCACCCAACTTCAATAATTATTAAGGCATGGCTAAGCTTGTTTCATCTATACTTCCACACACTCCCACCCACTCTTACATATTATATTAGTATTTTGAAAGAAATCAGGGGGCTTTTTAAAAAAATACTGATGCCCAGAGATTCTCATTTAAAAGGTTTGGATGCAGTGGTTTAGGCTCCTCAATGCTTCTAATGTGGACCAGGAATTGGAACAACATGAATACATGTGGTTAAAGCACTACAGTTAAGCAATTTCAGGAAGAATTCAAGGATTGGTGAATTTCCCTATCTAGCCAGAGCCTATTTTCAGTCTGAGATAATAACAGAAGTGGCAGGAAAAAGGGCTAGGTTGGGGAACAGGGAGGCAAGATCAGTCTTCCCTGTTAGGCAGAGTTTGAATTTTATTCTGAAGTTTATTTTTATTGTCATCCTCATTATTGTTTTGGACGGAGCTCTGGCCTCTGTTATTAATTTCCAGATGGGAAAATTGGATACTGAGCAATTAAATGACTTAGCTAAGCACGCAGGTTAAATTAACATTGAAAGTCAAACAATTAAACCAAGATTATTCATTTCCAGGAAATCTCTGTGATTTTTCGTGATTTTCACAATGATTTCTAGTAAAGGAATTATTTCTCCTAAAGTAAGTAAAAGTGTGTAAGTTAGGTGTATAGAAATGTATAAGTGCTATTGGCTAAAGCAGGGGTCTCCAAGGGGTTAGGTCCCGGTCCCGGGCCTGTTAGGAACTGGACTCACAGCAGGAGATGAGGGGGGCAAGGGGTGTTGTGGCCTGAGTGCTGCCTCTTAACAGATCTTTGGGGGCATTTGATTCTCATAGGAACTGCGCATGTGAGGGGTCTAGATTGCACACTCCTTAGGGGAATCTAACTAATGCCTGATGATCTGAGGTGGAACAATTCCATCTCGAAACCATGCCCCGCCTAACCTGTCCCATGGAAAAATTGTCTTCCATGAAATCCATCCCTGGTGCCAAAAAGATTGGGGGCCACTGGGCTAAAGAGCAACTATGTCTGTGGAGGCTCAAGAAAGAGCCACTAATCAAAATGCATATAGTAACTACTAATATAAAGACAACCCCTCATTCTGAAAAAAATTACTTTTTTTTTTCAGATCTGAGTTCACCTCTTTTACTGACAAAGTTCTATTTAATGGTAACATTTTGTTTGCTTTCTCCAATTAGAATCCTTAGACAAATTCTTTTTTATGTTCTTTATACTTTTAAATTTGTTTCATATTTTAATACGGGCTATCATATGTTGATTCAGTATTTGTTTGAAATGCAATGACCACAAATTGTTGGATTAGTCAGTTATAGAACGATGATCTCAAAATTTCAATTTTTCAAAAATGTTAGCCATAATAGATTTCGAACTTATAATGGGACTAGAATAAATAAATTTGTATGTCACTACATATTGCTAATTTTTTTGAGATATTGTTCATTCTAAAATAGCCCAAAAAAGAGAATGTTTCCTTCACATTTGTTTCTGTATGTAACCTCACTTCAAACAATACTGAAAAAAAAAAGAAACCGTAAAAGAGCATTCCTCAAATATAGTTTTTTTACAGTATGTCAACAAATATTTGTTGAACATGTATTATATACAAATTTAAATTAAGTTTTCTGATTTCAATGTTTTTGGAAGTCATTAAAATTTCGTATAAGTTTCGCACATGATTGAGCAACATTATGACTTTGGCATCATGTCAAATTCAAGAAAAAATAATTTGATTTTCATATTGTTATTTCATTCATGCTTTCAGGCAGCAAGAAAAAAAGGCAGAGCGACATGATGAGGAAAACAAAAAGATGAGATTGCTTACACCCTGCAGCTGTGTCTTTAGCCTTGCATAAAGCTTTTCTTCTTTTACTTTAATCAGTAGGGCGTGCTCAGAAATGTAAAATGGCCTTTCAAATGGCATGTGTTTTCAGCCTAAACATCATCTCATAATTCATGCTACAAGTGTTTCAAAACCTTTAGATGAAAGTAGCATAATGACAGATATTTTATTAGAGTATGAAGCATTTTGGTACAAATACTTCAGTCTTGAAGCGTTCCCAACAGAACTTTTACCTGCTTCCCACGAAGGTGGTTTTAGATCCAAGAAAACCATTTGCTTGTAGAGAGATGTGGAGAATGCAGGATGGCAGATGCACACTCCCTTTATCTCCTTTTTTCAAAGCTTACAGCAAAAGAAAATGTCAGTGAAAACTCATAATCCCTTAGCATCTAATAGTAGTTGGAAAGAAGAATGGCTTGAAATAAGAATCAGCAATCCTTTTATCACTATGAACTACAGAGTGGAATTCTGCATAAGAGAAGTCTGTCTTGCATCACTTCTTGTAAGCTTAGTCAGTGAAGTATATTTCATTTATAGAAATCATCCCATCATTCAACCTGTGCTTATTGAGAGTCTCCTCATAATAATAAAGGTAAATATTTATTGGGTTGCACACTGTAAGCCACAAATTGTGCTTTAATGTTTTACAGGCTTTTACAAGTTGAATTAATTCTCCCAGTTATATCATGAAGTTGGTATTATTATTTCTCCATTTCATAAATGGGTTCTGAAAGTTAGAATTTTCCCCAAAGTCTACACAGAAAGTGTCTTGCAGGACTAGGATTTGAGACTATGCAGTCTCACCCTAGATCCTACATTCCTTTTTATTTTTTGTTTTTTGTAGAGATGAGGTTTTGTCATATTGCCCAGGCTGGTCTCAAACTCCTGGGCTCAAGCAATGGGCCCGCCTCAGTCTCCCAAAGTGCTGGGATTACAGGTGTGAGCCACGGTGCCCAGCCTCTAGGTCCTACATTCGTAACCACTGAATAGTATGTGCATCAATGTACTAGAACCAGCTGGGGGTGTGCAACAATGGTGACCAAAAGAGTCAACATCCCTGTCCTCCTCTGGCTGGGACGTATATTAAAATAATAATTGCCCATGATCTCCAGCCACACAGAGGAGCTCAAAATGTCGTTCCCTAAGATCTGCACATCTGTTCATTCTACCTCCAGTGCTATCCTCCTTGATCTTCTTAGGACTGGCTCTTTGAACTATTTACACTGCTGTCAAATTTAACTTCCTTAGGCCATCCCAGATCATCCAATAACTAAAACTCCTAGTTAAATTATTCATGGGAGCGCTTAACATTAATGTGGCATTTTCTTGTTTCTTGTAAACAACAATTCATTGTTGTTTTTTTCCACATAGTTTATTGCTGAGTGTGTGTGTGTATGTGTGTGTGTGTGTAAGGGAACAGGAAGATGGCAGCAAGGAGAATAAAAATAAAAGAATGCAAGAAGAAAAGAAAGGAGAGTTTCAGAAAGGGAGGAGGAAGAAAAGTGTGAAAGAGAGTGATGAAGGTGAAGAAGGAAGGAAAGGCAGGAGGAGGACATCATGGATAAGACTAGCAGCCTATTTTTTAGATGCCTTTGAGCTCATCTGTATCAGTTTCCTATGGCTGTTGTTGCAAATTACCACAAACATGGTGGCGTAAAACGACAGATCTGTTCTCTCACTGTTCGGGAGGCCAGAAGTCTGAAATCCAGGTGTTGGCGGGTCTTATTCTTTCTAAAGGCTCTAGAGAAAATTCCATTCCCTGCCTGCTTGAATGACCATCTGATCTTTCCTTTCCCCTTGTACCTGAATGTCTCGAAAGAGTTGTACAGGCTTCAGCTCTGTTCACATCTCCCTTTCACTGCAGTCTACGGTAATCTGGCTTCTTCCCTTGTCAGTTTGCTGGAATTACTTTATTTAAGGTCATAAAAATCTCCAGTGAATATTTTTCTGTTATTTAGTACTGAATTAACACGCTATTTTGGTGATATTTATTACTCCCTCTTTTGGAACTCTCTACTTTGTTGACTTTCACTGCATTTGACTTCCCTGGTTCTTTTCTCTTTGTTCTATTTAGTTCCTTCACTGTTTCCTCTTTGGACTTGTCTTCCTCTGCCTATCCTTTAAAGAGTGTATTTCCAAAGATTTCATCCTGGTCCATTGCTTTTATTCTACATAGTAATTATAATGGGGTGATCTCATCTACTTTCATGACTTTAAATAGCACCAGAGTACTAACGCCTTCCAAATATTTACCCTTAGTGAAGAGTCTTCTCTTGAACTTCTCCTGGATATACATCCAACCACTCACCTGTGTCACACTTTTACCACAAATTCATCAGGTCCCAAACTGAAATGATTAACCTTGCCCCTGACCTCCCAGTACTCTCTCTCTCTCAGTGGCATTATCATTCAGTCATCCCAGCTAGAATTTGGAGACTCAGTCCACCTTTAGTTCTTCCATCACCATCTAATCACTCACAAGCCCCACCCATTCTGCAAGTCTGCACTCCCTCCCTCCATCTTCACTGCCACCCTCTCAATTCAAATGCTCATCTTCTCTCCTCACTAGTTATTCTGCTGTCTATGTCCATCCACCATACAAGGTGCCAGATTAATACATCTATCTCAAAGAAATATGGCATCATCACTCTTAACGTAAAATCAAAGATTCTTTCTCTTCCACCTCTCCAACCAAATTTTCCATTTTTTACTTTTGAAATTTGTAAATTACCATAGTATTATATACCCTGAGATGATGAATACCCCTGTGACTTCTTCATGCAGTACCCTCTCACTGAGACCTGTATCACCTGACTTGTAACCTGGTTAACTTTTCATCCTCCTTTATAGTTAACCAGCAAATAACTTCTAGGAAGAATTCCCTGAATTTCCAAACTGCTTTGAATATCACTTTCCATTTTCATATTTCTCTGTATCGACCTCTATTATTGCTTTACCTGTTGCATTATCATTACCAGTTTACCTACCTGATTCTCTCAGTCGACAGCCTCCTAAGGATGGGAATTGCATCTGCTTTATCTGTGCATCCCATTACCTGGCCCACTGCTGGAGAATGATGGGAATCTCTTATTCTAGACCTTGCTGAGGAGGAAGCTGTCCTGGGGGAAGCAAGGCTTTTGGTGCCCTTCACATAACACCACATCACCTAATTTTCAGTCCTCCCTACTAAGAACAGATAACGCAAAATCCCATTACACTTTAGAGTATCTGTATGGAGAATGTGGAAATGAACACACTAGGACAACCTTCTGCTTTGTGATGAGCATCCTTTTGCTTCGGCCAGCATTGAAAACAGAACATTTCTCCACCTCTCAATTGTGATGTCCTGCTCCTTTTGGAAATTCTGTTCTCTTTGAATAGAGCAGCTTCATTACCAGAACCATCAGTTTCACAATGGACAGATTCAAAGCATCTTTCACAGGAGGGTGGCCCGTCTCATGTCTGCAGTTTGGGGTGCGTGTGGGGTTATACACACACCAGAGTCTGTATTAACACAGTTTTAACATTCAGAAGGAATAAACATAAAATCAGATCAAGTCTTTATGTATTAGATATTCGGAGTCACTATACTGAAATATTCTATACTGTAACTTTTTTGAGGAAAAAAATAGTGCTGGGGAGATGAACTGGCCTTGTTCCAGTATATACCTTAGTTTTGATGCTGATAGAAATGAAAGTTATTCACCTATACAAGGAGTCCAAAACACGGACTCATAACTGGGGTTTTTCTGGCCAGCACAGTATGCTGATTTGTTTAACTTTTAAAATTTGTGGAGGATCTCTTGAACCCGAGAGGCGAAGGTTGCTGTGAGCCGAGACTGTGCCATTGCTCTCCAGCCTGGGCAACAAGAGCAAAACGCCATCTCAAAAAAAAAAAAAATTGTGAAATAAAGTATAAAAATCATAAAAGGGCATAAAACATGAGTACATAGTTTAATAAATAATTATAAATTAAATACCTCTGAAACTATCTCTGAGATCAAGAAATACAATATCAGCACCTGTTATGGGTGGAATTGTATCTTTCTCAAATTCTGGTGTTGAAGCTCTAACTCCAAGTACCTCAGAATGTGACTGTATTTGGAGACAGGGCCTTTCAAGAGGTAATTAGGTTAAATAAAGTCATCAGGGTGGGTGGTAATCCAAGATGACTGGTGTCCCTATAAGATGAGGAAATTTGGACACACACAGAGAGAGACGTCAGATATACACACAGATGTCAGAAGTGCACACATAACAAGCAGGCAGCCATTTGAAACCAAAGAGAGAGGCCTCAGAAAAAACCATGCCTGCCAACGCCTTGATTGGACTTCTAGCCTCCAGTACTGTGAGCAAATAAACCCCCCAGTCTGTGGCATTTTGTTACAGTGGCCCAGAAATACCCTTGTGTGCCTGATGACAAAACCCTCCCTCTCCAGCTTGGACATAGCCACCCACTTGATTTACAATCATTGATAAACATAATGTTACTTTTCACTGCAGTTTTACCACTGCGCTTGCATCCAAAAAATTATAGCTTGGTTTTGCTAATTTTGCAGCTTCTTTATTGATTTGAAATTGAATAGCTTCAGGCAAAGCAACTATTCTCTCATTCACAATAGCCAATATCTGTCATGGTCTAGACCTGAGTAGTCCTTGGGCACGTGTTTGTTACTTCTTGGACTCTTGCCCAGCCTTCTAGAATGTGCCTCCTTTAATGGCCAATTATCATCTTAAGAATGACTGAGCCAATGATTCTAATAGTCACACTCCTTCACTCCCACCTGTTACAGGTTTTAAATGTCAAATTTTTGTTTTAGAATTACAGTGGAAATTGTTTGGAGAATTTCATGACACATACTGAAATAGTGTCACCCAGAACTGTCACAACCAAAGATGGAAAATTGCAAGTATAGGCTGAGTGAGCTTTATTTAAAGATGCAGTAACACCAAAACCCCTTTCTTGCCCCTATCCCTCAGGGTCCCAGTAGAAAACAGATGGACAGTTGAGCTAAACTCATTCAGGAAAAATTTATTAAAAAGGAACTTCTTACAAAAGTAGGAGAAACACATGGAATAGTGAAGGAATCTCATGCTAGTAGCAAAGAGAGGGCTACCAAAATGCAAATGGAGAAAGAACAGTCTAGAAGAGAGTCCTTGAGTGTGACCTTTTATCAACGTTCTCACCCAGCCTGAGGGAACTACCCAGGAAGGAAGCCAAAGGAAAAAATTCTTGTCCTCACTCTTCTCCCTCTGATAACCTTCCTGGGCTCCCCACTGGCTGAACCTAACCAGAAACCAGATGGTATGAGAATCTGTAGACAAAATATAGACAGAGCTCAGGAGAAGGGTGAGGCTTGAGGAGGAAATGGAAAATTTCTGGCACATTGCCTTTTGAATGGCCATGGGAGGTGATATGGTTTGGGTCTTTGTCCCCACCCAAATCTCAAACTCTAATCCCCAGTGTTGGAGGAGGGGTCTGGTGGGAGCTGACTGGATCATGGAAGCAGATTTCCCCCTTGCTGTTCTCGTGATAGTGAGTGAGTTCTAGGGAAATCTGATTGTCTAAAAGTGTGTAGCACCTCCCTCTTCTTTTCTTCCTCCTGCTCTGGCCGTGTGAAGATGTACCTGCTTCCCCTTCACCTTCTGCCATGATTGTAGGTTTCCTGAGGCCTCCCAAACCGTGCTTCCTGAACAGCCTGTGGAACCATGAGCCAATTAAACCATTTTCTTTAGCAATTATCCAGTCTCAGCCAGGCACAGTGGCTCACGCCTGTAATCCCAGCACTTTGGGAGGCCAAGGCAGGTGGATCACGAGGTCAGGAGATCAAGACCAGCCTGGCCAAGATGGTGAAACCCCGTTGTTAGGGACAAGCTGCCCCAGGAACCCACCCCCCGACCTCAATGCAGCTGACCCTTACCCTGAATACCCTGCAGCTGCATTCCTGAACCCTTATCTAGGTGCCACAGCAAGGTCACCAGACTTGCTACGCTAAAGCCCTCCAGGCAGCATGAGGGATGTCATGTGAAACGTGGATAAACCTAAGTTACACCCTCTTGTAAATTCCTATTTTCACAAGATAATACATTGTAAGCCTGTCACGAGATGATATGTGGTAAAGTTCACCAAGAAACAACCCCAGGGTCTCTATCCCCCATGTAAACCCCTCATTTTGTAAGCTCAAGGATGCTTCCTCTGACTGTGGTGGAACAGCCTGGCATGTTAATAAACTTACTCGCCTGACCTTGGGTCTCTCTCTTGTCTTTTCTCTCAGCTAACCTTACACCCGTCTCTACTTAAAATACAAAAAAAAAAAGAAAATTAGCCAGTCTCGGTGGCAGGTGGTTGTAATTCCAGCTACTCGGGAGGCTGAGGCAGGAGAATCGCTTGAACCCAGGAGGCAGAGGTTGCAGTGAGCCGAGATCGCACCACTGCACTCCAGCCTGGGCGACAGAGTGAGACTCCGTCTCAAAAAAAAAAAGACAAAAAAAAAAAAAAGAAATCACCCAGTCTCAAATATTTCTTTGTAGCAGTGCAAGAACAGACTAATACAGGAGGGAATGTAGATATTGGTTTCTCTAGGCAATCCCATGTTTGAAATATGATAATTCTCCAGGGAGGACAGTACATGAAAAATATGCAGCTTCACCAGTAACCCTCCAGGAAGTTTACAAAACCAGGATGACTAGATAGTAATAAGCAAGCAAATAAAGAGTGAGTGTCTTCAGGATTCAGATATGGATGCCACTCAGATATATTGCTACCAATTAGATTGCATGCCATTAGTGTTTACTAATTCTAACACTTGAGACACTCCACTGCCAACTGACAAGAAAAATTAGGAGCAAAATACAGAGGTGCCATCTGGAAGGATTAGTATGCTTTTTAGGAAAGTGGGTGTGGCTTGCATTCAGAATTGGAACCAAAGTTAGCTAACCTCAAAGCATAAATCTCCCCTGGAAAAAAAATTGTGTATGGGATCAAAGTGGGAAAATTATTTTTCAGTTTCTTTTTCAAGAGCATAGCACAATAGCATCTATAGCAGAACATAGTATGGTTATTTATATTACATCTATACATATAGATATAAGTATCTATAGTATAGCACACAAATAGTCACAGTTATTTCTAGGTTATTTATATTATACTGAAATTCACTGTACTCCTGTCGTTAAATTTGGAATTGGGCATCAGGAAGATCCATATTAAAATCCAGCCAACAGACCTTAGCCACTGAAATGCCAACAGTATTAAGCAAATGGTAATCTACAAACATAAGTAGCAAGGAAAGTGATTAATTAATGTTTGTCCAGAGACAGCTGTCATTAGTAATCCAGTGGAAGAAAGAGAAAAAAATGATGCAAAAAGAATAAGATAAGCCATGCAGAACTATTGTTAAACAATAAACAAATTCTTAGAAGAGCTAGGATTAGAAATCAGGTGCCAGATTTACTTCCATTCCAAAATTGGAACCCTCGAGGGTGGAATGTAGAATAGTGCAGTCACTGTGGAAAACAGTTTGACACTTCCTCAAAAAGTTAAATATGAAATTACAATACGACCCACAGTTGTACTCCTAGGTATATAACCACAAGAATTGAAAGCAGGACTCAAACAGATACTTGTATGCTAATGTTCATAAACGCACTATTCACAATAGCAGAAAGGTAGAAACACCCCAAATGCCCATCAACAGATGGATGGACAAACAAAATGTATACACGTGTATGAAATATGATTCAGTCATAAGAAGGTGATATATACTACACGTGGATAAACCCTGAAAACATTATGCTAAGTGGAATAAGCCAGATACAAAAAGACGACTGTTGTATGATTCCACTTATACGAAATATCTAGAATAGGCAAATTCACAGAAATAGCAAGCAAATTAGAAGTTACAAGGATAGGAGAGAGAAGGGAACATGAGAAGTTTCTGCTTAATGAGCACAGAGTTTCTTTTTGGAGTGATGAAAATATTTTGGAAATAGATAGTGTTGGTAGTTGTAAAACATTGTGAATGTGATTAATGCCACTGAATTGTACACTTAAAGATGATTAAAATGGAAAATGTTATGTCGTGTATATTACCACAATCTAAAAAATTCCTCCTCCCTTTTTTCTCCGTTGCATTTTATTTTAACTGAGGATGTCAAAGGGGCCCCAGAAACACTGCACAGTGCCATGAGATGAACTTAAATAAAGCCATACCAATAAGTGACAGTGATAAAATAGCTGAAATGTTCATTTCTGGTTTGAGTTCAAAGCACTAGGCTGACCTTCCTTACACTTTAGTTATCAAGCAGGAAATGTTATTAAATTATTAGAACATTAAAGAAAGATTGAAGAACAGATGATATTCCAATATTCCTAAATTAAAGGCTTCTAGACTTTTCTTGCTAAGACCCTAAAATAAATTGTGCTTCCCAGAGACCTAAACAGGACCATAATGTCCACCACTGTGGCTCATTAGAGTCCAAATGGGAAATGAGGAAAAATACCAACGCTGCTTGTCGGAGGTGATGGAGAGTGATATCCCCATTTGACTACAAGAAGCAATACTTTTGGCTGGGTGCGGTGGCTCATGCCTGTAATCCCAGCACTTTGGGAGGCCGAGGTGGGCCGATCACGAGGTCAGGAGTTCAAGACCAGCCTGGCCAACATGGTGAAACCCTGTCTCTACTAAAATAGAAAAAGTAAGCCAGGCAAGGTGGCAGCCACCTATAGTCCCAGCTACTCAGGAGGCTGAGGCAGGGGAATCACTTGAACCAGGGAAGCGGAGGTTGCAGTGAGCCGAGATTGCGCCACTGCTCTCCAGCCTGGCAACAGAGCAAGACTCCATTTCAAAAAAATAAAAAATAAAAATAAGAAGCACTGCTTCCTTCTCCTTCCTCTGGCCAGAACTTGGACTTATTTCTGTCTCCCATGCTGCAGTGTATTTGTCAAGAAGCAAAAGATTTTAAAATAATAACCGTTAACTTATTTCTAATTTTAAAAGTAATATGTTTTTATTGTCATAATTTTAGGGGAAAAATTCAAGGAAGAAAAAATAAATCACCTATAATTTCACTGCCCAGATATAATTATGGCTAGTATTGTGATGTGTGTGTGCAATGTAAGACACATGTGACTAATTTTAGTCAAAAGAGGGAATGCCTAACGTTTCCTCATTATGAAAGAAAGAGTTTTTCATTGAAAAGTATGTCTTTGGAAAAGTACAAGCTACAGGGAAGAAGGACAATTCCATCATGTGAAAACCATTTTGATGTATCCTAGTCCAATGAGCCATAGGCCACTAGTCTGCTTATTGACTTTTTGCAATGAAGGAGATCACAAATCAGAGGAATCATGGGGCCTCTCACCAAAGAAAGAAATGGGGTTATTATAGGATTTGAGACAGCAAAGCAGAGCCATCGCCAAAGAATCAACATGAAGTCTGGACTGCAACATAGACCCAGGGGCCTTTTTCCTCGGAAACCACAAAGTTAAGATAGGTGTGAAATGCTGCATCGAGAAACTCCTTATCTGTAGCGCTCCACCTGGATTGGAAATCAAGGCTACATCTCTGTGTCAACGTGACTCAAATTCTCCCAGCAAGGCGAGTGGGCGCTTCATTTTTATTGATATGATTTCAAAGAGCAAAGTTTCTGACAGTCTATAATTTCAGAAAACAAGCTTTTTTTTAGTAAGACAGTAATAATCCCTCAAAGAAAGGTACCATTATGACTTTATAGCTGTAGCATGACCCTGGGAGAAATGTTGCTTCCTGTCAACAGAGCAGCTGGCTTGACCTGGATGTGGGTCTGTTATTCCAGACTCATGAATGGCAGGGAAGAGCTTTTACCTTCTCAGTCCCAGTTAATTTTGCAGAAGTTTTCTTCCATTTTTCTTAATGCCTAAATTTTTATTTCTTTTGATCTAACTTATTTCAATATTGTCAATCCAACTGTGGATCCTGTTTTTTAACTTAATTTCATTTGATGATGATTTTTATATAATGACCTAGTCCTAAATACTTATCATTTGAATGGCTAAATAATAGACCATCTTATAAGTATACCAAAGACCACCTAACAAATCCAAATTGGTTATTATCAAAGTTTACTTATAAATTTCTCATTTTTACTATAATGAGTTATGTTTTAATAAACATTTTCATGAATGCAGCTTTATGAAAACTACTGGGGCAAAGGTTATGAGTGTTGGAGGCTCTAGATATTTATTTGTCAAATTGCTATCCACAAGGTTGTGTCTCTTTATACTGGTTCAGGTAATCTATGAAAATAGTTATTTGTGGCACTCACCTAAGCACAGGCAACAATTTTCTTTTAACTTTTTAAAATTGTTAATTCCAAGGCCGTAAAGTGGTAACTCCTTGTGATTTTAATTTGCCTTTTACAAGTATAGTAAGGTTAGCATTTTCCCATTTTATTTACTAATTTTTGTTCATTTTTATAACTTACTCAAAATGTTTTTGTGATGATGCATTAGGAAGCTTCAAGTGTTTCTCATCAAACCACCTTAGCACTTTAGGTTGTAAAAATACTATGTATTATAAACTGTCGTGTTCTCAGCAATAGTTTCTTTCTAAGATGCAGTTTACAAGTCTTTGTGAAGTTATTCTTACTCTTTTGAAATTCTCTTTAATCTCACAACCTGAAGTTGGCAACCAGAAATCTAAGTCATCAGGTTTCACTAACCTCCTATTGATGGAAACTGTTTTGTCATGATTGGTTGTGATGTCTGACACCAATAATGTGTTACTCATTACAAAATACCAACTTTGGAAAATAATTTTTTTAATAAATTCTTGAAAATTCAACGTTATTCTACAATACTGTTATACACAATTCCTGTGTTCATTCTTCAGAGCAATGAGCATAGAGCTAACATGCTTTACAATATACATGCAGGCAACAAAACCCAAGCCATCAATACCAATAGGTGTGGCAACCAGTACATGCGCTTCTGTTTCTCCATGTGTGATTCATGTCTTGTATGTATCTTAGATGAATAAGAAAAAAAACTGCTGACTTGAATCATAGTATACATTAAGACTGGGTCAATGAGGACTCAAGGAAGGAATGCTTAATGCAGATACCATTACTGCAGTTTTAAATATTCATTCTGATTCTTTTCTTCATATCTGCTTTCTTTTAGGCCTGGTATTAATGTAATTTCTTACCCACATTGCCCTTTTGGCCTCGTTTAATTTGGATAGTTACCTTAGTGATGTCCCTGAAGTGTAGCAGTGTGCGTCATTGCAGTTATCACAGTAATTTATGATTTCAGTTTGCCCTCTCCCCAGCTCCCTCTAGTCCTTTATTCCTATCACTGCCAACTGAAAGGAGAAAGTTCAAGAACTTGGAATGTCTCAAAATATCTTATCTTCTTTTAATGCCTGCTCCTTGGTTCATTCAATAATCTTTGGTGTACAAGACAGCCTTGGTTATAAATTCACTTTGGAAAACCACGTGGCCTAATGAGATGACACTGACCTGTGAACGGGCAGTTTTTCTTTGGTTCATGGCCTCAATATTTCTCTTATTTAATGTCAAACTTCAGAGCTACACTGTTCAAACGCTGCTAACATTCTGTTTGTAAAATGGATGACAATTTTGTAAACCAGGGGTCACTGAAAGCATGATAAGAAGATAAGTAAGACTTTTGTCAAGCTGGGGTGGGCAGGTGGCGGGTGGTGCTTCTCAATCTGTATTCCAGGGTGTATGGGATGCCATGAGTAATCTTGGGCCATCCTTCTCAATTTCAATTTTTTAATACAAATGGGACCAGCTAAAATGAACTTCAAGGAGATTTTGAAAAGGACAGGAGCGGGGAAAGACATCACAAAGAAACAAAATAAGCAGTCTTAAGTCTGCAAGAGATGCACTGTGGAAGGTTTGTTCTGTTATTTTTTTTCCTCTGCGTTTATTGAATAAAACAAATTAATAAAAAGGGTGTATATTCCAGGTGTACAACATGATGATTTGATGTTCATATACATTGTGGGATGTGAGATGATTACCACAATCAAATTAATACACCTATCACCATATATAGCTACCAGTGTGTGTGTGTTTGTGTGTGTGTGGTGAGTACACTTAAGACCTACTCTTAGCAAATTTCAAGTAAACAGTACAGTATTATCAATTATAGTCATCATGCTGTATATTAGAATCCCATAATTTATTATTCATCTTATAAATGAAAGTCTGTACCCTTTGACCAACCTCTATTCCCCCCACCTCCTAGACTGCCTTCTTTGTTTTTTTGTTTGCTTTGTTTTGTTGTTGTTTTTGTTTTTTTTTTTTTTGTTTTGAGACAGAGTCTCACTCTGTCACTCAGGCTGGAGTGCAGTGGCGCGATCTCGGCTAACTCCAACTTCCGCCCGTCCAGGTTTAAGCAATTCTCTGCCTCAGCCTCCGGAGTAGCTGGAATTACAGGCGCGTGCCACCACATCCGGCTAATTTTTGTATTTTTAGTAGAGACGGGGTTTCACCGTCTTGGCCAGGCTGGTCTTAAACTCCTGACCTTGTGTTCCATCCACCTCAGCCTCCCAAAGTGTTGGGATTACAGGCGTGAGCTACCGCGCCCGGCAACTATCTTCTTTGTTGACATCGTGGGATGTCAACCAGAAGGATACCACCTTTTCCTGTGCCTTCCTTCTTGTATCTCCTTCCTGAAAATCTGACAGTAGGAAGCATTAGAAATTAAATTTAAGTGGCTTGTACAGGTTAATTAAGTAAATGCAGGGTTCCCTTGTATTATTTTAATTTCATAAATCTGTTTGAAGTAATAGTGATGATGCTACAAGTATTGATCTAGAATAATGATAATCTTTAGTTTAAGTAAAATAAAAATATAGCCAAGTACCGAACTAAGAACTGTTAGCATTTGCTCATAATTGCTTTTCTTTCTTATCAAAGGAAGAAAATGCTACAATATCATTGAAATCTCCTTTATTACCATTTCCAGTCTCATTTTTCTCCTTCTTCCCAAAGGCAACATTATCACTTCATTTGTTTGTATTAGTACTCTGTTTTTGGTATAACATTAAGTTTTAAAAATTTATCCATGTCAAAATGCATTATCTTATATATATATATAAAATATCGTTTATATCTTTTATTTGCCATGCAGTATTCCATTGTATGAATATCACAATTAATTTATCTATCCTTGTTTGACATATATTTTGGGTTTCAAGTTTTTGTCATTATGAGAAGTGTTCACTGATATACCCTTGTACATGTTTCCCTGTGCTCATATGCACAAAAATATTTCAAGAGTACATATGAAGAAGTGGAATCATTAGGTTGTAAGGTGAATACATATTCAAATTTACTCAATATAAATAAATTTCTCTCACTAGGAATTTTATCAATGACACTCTCTCCAGCAGTGATTATAAATTCCTATTTTCCCATATTTTGACCAATAGTCACTATTATTCTACCTTAACATCTTTCCCAATCTGAGGTACATCCTGTTGCTTTAATGTGCACTTGCCACTTATTAGTGCATTGATTATCTTCTCATGTTTATTCACCATTCTGATTTTTTCTTCTACAAATTGTCTAATCACTACCAATGATCCTCCCAGGTAGAACAGGTTTATTGTTTACACTTAGCATGAAACTGATGCTCAGACAGGCCAAGTGACTTGCCCAGGCTCATATAACTAGGGAGAACCCCAAGTGTATTAGTCTGTTCTCACATTGCTGTAAGGACATACCCAAGACTGAGTAATTTATAAAGGAAAGAGGTTTAATTGACTCACAGTTCCACATGGCTGGGGAGACTTCAGGAAACTTACAATCATGGCAGAAGAGGAAGCACACGTCCTTCTTCACATGAGGGCAGGAAGGAGAAGAATGAGTGCCCAGTGAAGGGGGGAAACTCCTTATAAAACCATCAGATCTCATGAGAACTCACTATCATGAGAACAGGATTGGGGAGACTGCCTTACGATTCAATTATCTCCACCTGGTCCTTTCCACAACATGTGGGGATTATGGGAACTACAATTCAAAATCAGATTTGGGTGGGGACATAGCCAAACCATATCACCAAGTAAGATTTTGACCTCAGTGTTCCACTTAAACCATTTCTCTTTTCCCAACACTATGCTTCTCAAAACACTGATCAGTGCATTTTAACTCTTTCATTTCAATGTCCATGACCTCCTGTTCTAGGAAGATTGTCTAAAACAGTTCATGAAGAAAGTGAAGTGGAGTGTTCCTGCAAGGTTCAGTTTGAGTTCTGGCAAGAAGCCCTGCCCTGGTTGCCCAGTGGTACCTGGAATCCCTTGGAGATTTGAAGGCTTTTCTACTTCACAATAATCACAATAACCCTCTGAAGTACATACTACTATTATCATCGTTTTACACATGAGGGGTTAAATAACTTGCCTAATGTGATAAGATCAGGAAGACAGAAAGCAAGAAAGGCATTTAAAGTTCCTCTGAGGCCAGCCACGGTGGCTCACACCTCTAATCCCAGAACTTTGGGAGGCCACAGCAGGAGAATTGTTTGAGCTCAGGAGTTCAAGATTAGCCTGGGCAACATAGCAAGACCCTGTCTCTTTTTTTAATAAAGAATAAAAATAAATAAAAATAAAGCTCCTCTGAGTTACAAAAAGATCGATCAGATTTGTTAAGAAAAACACTTTGTGGAGGAGATGAAAGCAAGTGACAAAAGACAGTTTCTTCCCCCACTTTCCCCCAGACTCAGCTTTGAAGAATCACAGGGCAGCATAGCAAGGGATCTTTCAGAGCATCTGTCTGAACCTATTATTATTATTATTCAGCAAAGAAACTGAGTCATTATCTAGTTTACCAGAATCAAGTAATGGCAAGAATACAGAGGTAGAAACTCCAGCCAGGGCTGATGTTTGGGGGTCTCAGGAGAATAAGTGCACACTTGAAAACATGGAGAAACTTTACCTTATGGTCTTTTTAGCTGAACTTTCTATAACAAGGACTCTCAGTTAACAAGGAGCATAGTTACCCTTAAAATCTAAATAAAACAGATAGTGGTCTAAAGAGTCTTTGTGTGTGTGTGTGTGTGTGTGTGTGTGTGTGTGTACAGATCTAGAATAGTCTTTTGCTTATGGTTGCATATTCGGCTATCTTAGCCTTTATGGTTTTCCAGCAGTAAGAATCCACTTCATCCTGATCTATAGCTTCAGATCCTGATACCTTCTTTATCAGGAGGCTGATTCTCCCCCACCTTACCTCAACAGCTGACAATAGCTCCAGGGAAGGGAACAGGTCAAATATGACCACAGTCAGAAGGAGCATTTAATGTAAGAGAATGTTAAGCATGAAGGAGAGAAAGCCCATCCCATCAGATTTCTGGTGACTTGTAAGAAGACAAAGAAAGGAAAAGTAATGCAAATCTAAGGTGAGATGTGATGCTTTGCCCACCTCTCTGGCCAAAGTCATGGAAGGAAGAGGCAGGGAAGAGTGGACATGAAGGGCAGAGGCCATTGCCCAGTTCACATTTGGAAGTGTAGGAGAGGTAATCTCACAAGTGGTCCCCACAACCTACTGAGATTTGTAGACAATGAACTTCAGTTTGGCTCTCCTAACCCATTCTCAGTTTCTAAAATGGAATGGATGAGATCCAGGAATCTGCTGAATATCCTCAGAGGGTATTCTGAAATAAGTGAACATTTGGCTAGACATTTGCTGGAGGAGATCCCCGTTCTTAGAACAAAGACTCTGTAGCTGAGGAATGCACCTTTAGAATAGGAGACAAAGCCAAATTTTGGGGGGCCACAGCATAAGCAAGGGCTAAGGAAGGCCTGGGTCAGTAGGCAGGGCTTACCAGACTAGTTTAAACTGCAAGAGAACAATCCTCAAGCTACACTAGCTGCAGGTTTTAGCAATGAATGTCAGAAGGACGCTGAATTGATGTAAGCCCTCTAAATTCCCAGACATCATTTTGGAAAAGAGCAGTGATAGGGAGCTAATCTAAAATACTAAATCATTCATAGTATATGAATTATGTGATCAGCAGAGATGCTTTAAACCATTGGATGGTACTGCATGTACTGTGTATGTCTAAAATGCAGTTTTCCTATTACCCAGGAATAGGTATTCCTTTTGTAGGAAAAAGCAGATCTATTTTTTCATGCGCGTCTGTGTGAAGAGACCACCAAACAGGTTTTGTGTGAGCAACATGGCTATTTATTTCACCTGGGTGCAGGTGGGCTGAGTCCAAAAAGAGAGTCAGCAAAGGGTGGTGGATTATCATTAGTTCTTATAGGTTTTGGGATAGGCGGTGAAGTTAAGAGCAATGCTTTGCAGGCAGGGGTGGATCTCACAAAGTACATTCTCAAGGGTGGGGAGAATTACAAAGAACCTTCTTAAGGGTGGGGGAGATTACAAAGTACATTGATCAGTTAGGGTGGGGCAGAAACAAATCACAATGGTGAAATGTCATCAGTTAACGCTATTTTTACTTCTTTTGTGGATCTTCAGTTACTTCAGGACATCTGGATGTATACGTGCAAGTCACAGGGGATGCGATGGCTTGGCTTGGGCTCAGAGGCCTGACATTCCTGCCTTCTTATATTAATAAGAAAAATAAAACAAAATAGTGTTGAAGTCTTGGGGCGGCGAAAATTTTGGGGGGGTTGTATGGTGAGAGAATGGGCGATGTTTCTCAGGGCTGCTTCAAGCGGGATTAGGGGCAGTGTGGGAACCTAGAGTGGGAGAGATTAAGCTGAAGGGAGGTCTTGTGGTAAGGGGTGATATTGTGGGGGATGTTAGAAGAAACATTTGTCGTATAGAACGATTGGTGATGGCCTGCATATGGTTTTATATGAATTGAAAAACTAGATGGAATAAGAGAAGGAGAAAAACAGGTATAAAAGTTCTAAGAATTGGGAGGACCTAGGACATCTAATTAGAGAGTGCCTAAGGAGGTTCAGCATAGTCCTGCCAGCAAAGATTATTTATTTACTTCAAGAGTTAAGAGTGGCAGTTTGGGGATAGCACCAGGAGATATCAGCTGTGATGGCTTGGAGAAACAGTGTAAACCGGCAGTGTAAACAAGAGCAGGGCATGTATGAGTAGGTGAGAATGGTGAATAGGAGTATGACTAGACAGAAGATAGTAGGGATGACAAGTTTTTTGGGGGCACAGTCTAAGTCGGTCTGGTGTCTGGAATGAGACTGGGGCCTAATAAAAAGGAGCGTCTATACAGAAGCTTAAATGGGCTGTACCTGGTAGCATTCTGAGGACAGGTCTGACTTCTGAGAAGGGAAAGTGGTAACAGTATTGTCCAGTCCTTTTTAAGTTGGTGGCTGAGCTTGGTGAGGTGTGTTTTTAAAAGACCTTTAGTCCATTCTACTTTTCTTGAAGACGGAGGACCGTGAGGGATATAAAGGTTTCACTGAATACTAAGAGCCTGAAAAACTGCTTGGCTGATTTGACTAATAAAGGCTGGTCTATTATCAGACTGTATAGAGGTGGGAAGGCTAAACTGAGGAATTATGTCTGACAGAAGGGAAGAAATGACTGCGGTGGCCTTCTCAGACCCTGTAGGAAAGGCCTGTATTTATCTAGTGAAAGTGTGTACTTAGACTAAGAGGTATTTTAATTATCTGACTCGGGGCATGTTGAGTAAAGCTAATTTGCCAGTCCTGGGTGGGGGCAAATCTTCAAGCTTGATGTGTAGGGAAGGGAGGGGGCCTGAATAATCCCTGAGGAGTAGTAGAATAGCAGATGGAACACTGAGAAGTTATTTCCTTGAGGATAGATTTCCACGATGGAAAGGAAATGAGAGGTTCTAAGAGGTGGGCTACTGGCTTGTGCTATAGCACAGCCTGCCTTTGCTGGTGTGTGGTGATTAGGCCTGGTGGAACTGCCATCAATAAATCAAGCGTGATCAGGGTGAGGAACAGGAAAGAAGGAAATATGGAGAAATGGGGTGAATGTCAGGTGGATCAGAGAGATACAGTCATGGGGGTCAGGCGTGGTATCAGGAATAATGTGGGAGGCCAGACTGAAGTCCGGGCCAGGAACAATGATAATTGTGGGACTTAACAAAGAGTGAGTACAGCTGAAGGAGCTGGGAAGCAGAAAGTATATGCGTCAAGTATGAGGAAGAAAATAGATTTTGGAAGTTATGAGAACTGTAGAGAGTGAGTTGAGCATAGTTTGTGATTTTTAGGGCCTCCAAAAGTATTAAAGCAGTGGCAGCCACTGCACACAGACATGAGGGCTAGGATAAAACAGTAAGGTCAAGTTGTTTGGACAGAAAGGCTACAGGGTGCGGTCCTGGCTTTTGTTTAAGAATTCTGACCGCACTAACTATGCCTAGGAAGGAAAGGAGTTGTTGTTTTGTAAGGGAATGAGGTTTGGAAGATTAATCGGACATGATCAGCAGGGAGAGCACGTGTGTTTTTATGAGAATTATGCCGAGATAGGTAACAGATGAGGATGAAATTTGGGCTTGATTGAAGTAATGGGGGCTGTCTGTGAAGCTTTGTGGCAGTCCAGCCCAGGTAATTTGCAGAGCCTAATGGGTGTTAGGGTCAGTCTAAGTGAAAGCGAAGAGAGGCTGGGATGAAGGGTGCAAAGGAATAGTAAAGAAAGCATGTTTGAGATCCAGAACAGAATAATGGGTAGTAGAGGCAGGTATTGAGGATAGGAGAGTATATGGGTTTGGCACCACGGGGTGGATAGGCAAAACAATTTGGTTGATAAGGCGCAGATTCTGAACTAACTTGTAAGGCTTGTCTGGTTTTAGGACAGGTAAAATGGTGGAATTGTAAGGGGAGTTTACAGGCTTTAAAAGGCCATGCTGTAGCAGGCAAGTGATAACAGGCTTTAATCCTTTTAAAGCGTTCTATGGGATGGGATCTTGACATTGAGTGGGGTAAGGGTGATTAGGTTTTAATGAGATGGTAAGGGTTACATGATCCGTCGCCAAGGAGGGAGTAGAGGTATCTTATACTTGTGGGTTCAGGTGGGGGGATACAAGAGGAGGACGCAAAGGAGGCTTTGAATTGGGAAGAAGGGCGGCAATGAGATGTAGCTGTAGTCCAGGAATAATCAGGGAAGCAGATAATTTAGTTAAAGTGCCTCAGCCTAATGAGGGAACTGGGCAGGTGGGGATAATTAAAAAGGAGTGCTTAAAAGAGTATTGTCTAAGTTGGCACCAGAGTTGGGGAGTTTTAAGAGGTTTAGAAGCCTGGCTGTTAATACCCACAACAATTATGGAGGCAAGGGAAACAGGCCCTTAAAAAGAAGGTAATGTGGAGTGGGTAGCCTCCGTATTGATTAAGAAGGGAACGGACTTAGCTTCCACTGTGAGAGTTACCCGAAGCTCGGCGTCCGTGATGGTTTAGGGGGCTTCCGAGGCAATCAGGCGGTGTCAATCTTCAGCCGCTAAGCCCAGAAGATCTGGGAAGGAGTCAGTCAGAGAGCCTTGGGCCAGAGTTCCAGGGGCTCTGGGAGTGGCTGCCAGGTGAGTTGAACAGTCTGATTTCCAGTGGGGTCCCGCACAGATGGGACACAGCTTAGGAGGAATCCCGGGCTGCGGGCATTCCTTGGCCCAGTGGCCAGATTTCCGGCACATGTAGCAAGCTCCTGGGGGAGGAGGTTCTGGAGGAATGCCTGGCTGCTGCAGTTCAGGTGTTTGGAAGTTCTTGTGTGCTGGAGATGTGGCTGGGGTTTGTCTCACAGTGGAGGCAAGGAATTGCAACTTTTTTCTGTTATTGTACACCTTGAAGGTGAGGTTAATTAAGTCCGGTTGTGGGGTTTGAGGGCCAGATTCCAATTTATGGAGTTTTATTTAATGTCAGGAGCAGATTGGGTAATAAAATGTATATTAAGAATAAGACGGCCTTTTGACCTTTTAGGGTCTGGGGCTGTAAAGCGTCGCAGGGTTGCTGCCGAATGAGACATGAACTGGGCTAGATTTTTATATTTGATGAAAAAGAGCCTAAACGCTATCTTATTTGGGAAAAAGAAAAAGGAGCATTAACCTTGACTATGCCTTTAGCTCCAGCCACCTTTTTAAGAATAAATTGCTGGGCAGGTGGGGGAGGGCTAGTCACGGAAGGAAACTGTAAGCCGGACAGGGTGTGAGAAGGGGAGGTGATAAAAGGATTATAGGGTGGAGGAGCAGAGGCTGAGGAAGAATTGGGACCTGGCTTGGCCTGGCGAGGAGGGGAGAGATCAGATGGGTCTGTATAAAAGGAAGATTAGAAAGACTCAGCAACACTTGGGGTTGGGACTGAGGGGACAGGAGGGAGGGAAAGAAGGAAGATTTGGGACAAGTTGCATTGGGCACAGAGACTACGAAGGGACTGATGTGTAAAAGAATGCTTGGATGTCAGGCACCTCAGACCATTTGCCCATTTTATGACAAGAATTATTTAGATCTTGTAGGATGGAAAAATTGAAAGTGCCATTTTCTGGCTATTTGGAACTACTGTCGAGTTTGTATTGGGGTCAAGCGGCATTGCAGAGGAAAATAAGACACTTAGATTTTAGGTCAGGTGAGAGTTGAAGAGGTTTTAAGTTCTTAAGAACACAGGCTAAGGGAGAAGAAGGAGGAATGGAGGGTGGAAACTTGCCCATAGTGAAGGAGGCAAGCCCAGAGAAAAGAGTAGAGACACGGAGAAGGGGTGGGGGGTTCTTGCCCTCCAGAAAAGCAGAGAAGGGGTTGGGGCATGGAAATAAGGGATTGGGGGTTCTTGCCCCCTAGAAAAGTGGGACTTGCCACTAGGGGTGAAGGAGAAGGGGTTAAGGGCTTCTTGCCCCTGCCCCAAAAGGGCAGAGAAGGGGTGGAGACATGGAGAGAAGGGGTTGGGTACTTGCCCCTCCCCCAGAAAAGTGGGACTTGCCACTAAGGGTGAAGGACCAAGGCAGGTGTCCCTGGGTGGTCTGACACCTTTGAAACGTGGGTGAATAATCAGAGAGGCATCCTTGCAATGATTAAACACCAAGGGAAGGCTGCCTTCCCAGTCTGTGACCAGCGCCTGAGTTTTGGGTCCACAGATAAAACATGTCTCCTTTGTCTCTACCAGAAAATGAAAGGAATTGAAATTAAGAGAAGGGAGAGATTGAAGTGTGGCACCAAGATTGAAAGGAGAAGGAGGTTGAGGGATAGTGAGGGAGGTTGAAGAAGAGAGTAAAAAGAGGCTGCTTACTGGATTTGAAATTGGTGAGATGTTTCTTGGTCTGGTCGGTCTGAGGACCTGAGGTCGTAGGTGGATCTTTCTCATGGAGCAAAGAACAGCAGTACAGGGGATTGATCTCCCAAGGGAGGTCCCCCGATTCGAGTCATGGCACCAAATTTCATGCGTGTCTGTGTGAAGAGACCACCAAACAGGCTTTGTGTGAGCAACATGGCTGTTTATTTCACCTGGGTGCATGCAGGTGGGCTGAGTCCGAAAAGAGAGTCAGCAAAGGGTGGTGGATTATCATTAGTTCTTATAGGTTTTGGGATAGGCGGTGAAGTTAAGAGCAATGCTTTGCGGGCAAGGGTGGATCTCACAAAGCACATTGTCAAGGGTGGGGAGAATTACAAAGAACCTTCTTAAAGGCGGGGGAGATTACAAAGTACATTGATCAGTTAGGGTGGGGCAGAAACAAATCACAATGGTGGAATGTCATCAGTTAAGGCTATTTTTACTTCTTTTGTGGATCTTCGGTTACTTCAGGCCATATGGATGTATACATGCAAGTCACAGGGGATGCGATGGCTTGGCTTGGGCTCAGAGGCCTGACATATTTTATTTTATTTATTTTATTTATTTTTATTATTATTATACTTTAAGTTTTAGGGTACATGTGCACAATGTGCAGGTTAGTTACATATGTATACATGTGCCATGCTGGTGTGCTGCACCCATTAACTCGTCATTTAGCATTAGGTATATCTCCTAATGCTATCCCTCCCCCGCCACCCCACAACAGTCCCCAGAGTGTGATGTTCCCCTTCCTGTGTCCATGCGTTCTCATTGTTCAATTCCCATCTATGAGTGAGAACATGCAGTGTTTGGTTTTTGGTCCTTGCGATAGTTTACTGAGAATGATGATTTCCAGTTTCATCCATGTCCCTACAAAGGACATGAACTCATCATTTTTTATGGCTGCATAGTATTCCATGGTGTATATGTGCCACATTTTCTTAATCCCAGAGGCCTGACATATTTTAAAGATGAAAAGGTCCATGTTTTCTGCACTTATCTGATTGTAATGTTATAATTTTTTAATGTAATGACATCAGCTTAAGTGGAAAGGGAAAAAATTAAAGTGGTACCTGAAAAAGCCTGGATATAGTATTTGAAGCTATCAGAAATCCAGGCATCTACCCCTTCTCTCTCTCTTTCTTGTCTCTCTCTCTCTCTATCTCTCCCCACCTCCATATGCATATGAGCATATGTGTGGCCAGCAGAGAAGAATGTTATTCAATCTCAATCCCACTCCTAAATTTATTGGGTCCCAGAAAACAAATATGGCTGCTGAGGGGAGCATCTCCTGGGAGTTGTGGCATGGTTATTACAGAATTGAGATCACTATCATGTCTGTCTGCAAGTCTTTTTCTTTTTAACTTAACATTAACATTTTCCCATATCATTAACTATTTGTGAAAATATTTAATATGTGTGCTTAACAGTCTATTCTCCTCTTGTTTATGATTTAGTTTTTACCCCAATGTTTTTCTAGTATTATATAAATAATACTATGTTGAACATGCTTAGACTTATTTTTGTGCCCATACATATTTCCTTAGGACAAGTTCATAGACATGAAATTACTAATTCCTAAGGATCTGGAATTTTTAGCTGTCTAATGGTGAAAATTCTTAAACTACTACTGTTTATAAAATATCACTTATAAATACAGTCTTTCTTAAAACAAGAATATTCAATATATTCATTCTCTTGCACACACAATGAAATTATTGCATTAGTTAGGAATTGTAATTTAGTGCAAGTTGATATAGTTTTCTCTTTTGAATTGAATAATATTTTAGATTTGAGGTAGTGTTTTTATGTTGTAAGTATGACAAATATCAAAAGCTGAAGCCATTCGTTTATGTACTTTTTAAAATGTTGGAGTAAATTCTTTTCTTTTCTAGACTTTGCTGTAAGTATCTGCAAATACAATGCCACATTAGTCTGTGACGATGCTTAGCTTAGCTTTGAGAAAGCATCTTCTGGAGTAAAGCAAATTTTGTTTAAGATGGAGTTTACAGTGCCTAAGAGAATAAATGATTCACACATTTGGAAATATAAATACTTCAAGCAAGATCTATCACAAGGCACATACAAGCCCCAAAGGCAAGCTCCGTATGTTCAGGAGAGAGCACTGCTACCAGTGGATTGTTATTCTAATGAACCACTTAGTGAACAATACTGTAATCATTTGCTGACACCTCATATTTCCCCAACTAGAGAGGTATCCTGCCTTGTCTATCTTTCTTATCCTTGCAACTACAGTGGGAATTCAATATGTGTTTGTTGAATTGAATGGTGGGGCAATAAACAGATAGATCTATGAAGGGATGGTAATCATTCATGAGGACCTAGGTAGTGCTCCACAGTGAGCTGAATGGCCACTGAATTGCTCAGGTTCAGATATAGAGAGGAAACCTCGAAGAGAAAGAGGAAGTCAGTGCCACATCTTCCAAACCATTCCTCCCACCTTTGATCTCAGTGGTGGAAGCCCAGTGGATTCTTCTTGCACACTGTACAGATAAAACCAATTCACTGCACAGATAAAAACTGAGACAGCAGTGTTACAGCAGAGAAAGAGTTTAATTATCACAAGGTAGCCCAGCAACAGGACAGGAGATTTTTCTCAAATCCACCCCCTCAAGAGATCAGAGCCTAGAGTTCTTAAAGATAATTTGGTGGGCAGTAGGTTAGAGAATGCTGCTAAGTGGTTGGGGATGAAATAGGAGTGTCCAAGCTGTCTTCCCATGCTGAGTCAGTTTCTGGGTATGAGTCATAGGTCTGGGTGGTGTCAGTTGGTCTGCCAGAATGGAAAAATCTGAAAAACATCTCAAAGACCAATCTTTAGGTTTTGACAATAGAGATGTTATCTGCAGGAGCAATTGGGAAAGTTACAGATCATGTTACCTCTGGGTACATGACTGAGCAGTAAGCTATTATAGAAAAGCAATCTAGGGGATAATGGCTGGTTATCATTTAACTAGCCTACATTTTAGCAGAATTCAGCCCTTTCCATAATCCTAAACTTGTGGCCTTTCATTAGTCTTACAAAGGCAGTTTCAGTCCCCAGAGGGGGTCAGTTTGGGGAGGGACTATTATCATCCTTGCTTCAAAGTTAAACTACAAGCTAAATTTCTCCATAGTTAGCTTGGCCTAAACCCAGGAATGAGCAAAGACAGCTTCTGAGGTTAGAAGCAGGATGGAGTCAGCTATGTCAAATTTCTCTCTCAGTCATAATTTTTGCAAAGGTGGTTTCATTGGAAGGAATCAACTATGCTACTAATAGGACTGGTAGAAACTAAATTTCTCCACATCCTCTGTATATCTGTTATATTACACAGACTTACATTGTGTATTTGTTTATTTATAGTGCCGGTGAAAAAAGTCAGGCTCTGGATACAGCAATGTAATCTTTAACCTCTAAGGCTCTAAGCTTCATTGCAAAATGGGGATAATGGTGGCACCGACCTCAAAGTGCTCTGAAGATTGAATAGGAGAAACATATAAAGGACTCAGCTTTGTGCCAGGCCCATAGAGAGCCATCAGCAACCATTGGCCTTCATGATGCTGAGAATGTTAAAGCAACCTAAATATGGCCTGAGAAGGACTCTGTACTTCTGTATTTGAGTCCTGGTGGATGAACTGTAACCTAGCTTAATAGGCAGACAAAATTGAAAAGCTAACTTAGTGGTATGCTGTAACAATAGCTATGTCTTGGCCAATCCCAGTGGCCATACTTCAATTCATACACTGCTGAGCATTCAAACTGTGTTCAAATAAGGCATACACCGAGCTGTAAACAACGCAGCCATTCTGTACTTCACTTCCAATTTCTGTATGTCATTTCCCTTTTTCTTGTCTATAAATCTTCTTCCACCATGTGACTACGCTGGAGCCTCTGTGAATCTGCTGATTCTGGGGGCTGCCCAATTCACAAATCGTTCATTGCTCAAATTAAACTCCTTTAAATTTAATTTGGCTGAAATTCTTCTTTCATCAAGAATTAATGTGGTCCTTGCTCTACCAGTTACTACACATTCAAAGTTTGTAAAATACTTTCAGCTTTTGTCAGGTTAAAATCCCATACTGACTCAACTGAAGGACATAGATCAAAAATGGAAATGCCATTTGATAAATGTGCTTGTCTAAAATTCATGAAATGCTAAAAATTAACTTCTTAAAAATCCAACATTTCTTTGTGACTAGATTCAGAAATTCACCCAAGGTAGAATAAAAACCTCTAGAAAGGTAAAGTACCCAGGGAATATTTCCTGCCCCTAAATCTTTTTTCTTCTTTTTTTCTTTTTTTTTCAGAAAAAGTCTCGCTCTTGTCCCCCAGGCTAGAGTGCAATGGCGCAATCTTGGCTCACTGCCCCCTCGGCCTCCCAGGTTCTAGCAATTCTCCTGCCTCAGCCTCCTGCGCAGCTGGGATTACAGGCGCCTGCCACCACACCCAGCTAATTTTTGTATTTGAAGTAGAGATAGGGTTTCACCATGTTGGCCAGGCTTGTCTTGAACTCCTGACCCCAGGTGAGCCGCCCCCCTTGGCCTCCCAAAGTGCTGGATTACAGGCATGAGCCACCGTGCCCGGCCTCCTGCCCCTAAATCTTTTGAAGAACACTACAGCTTTCCCATTTTGTTTACACCTATACTCCCTAATACCATTATTTGCTTTTACACATAGCTATCCTATTTTTTTTTTAATAAAAAGGTAAACCTCTACTGCTCCCATATTTTAACCAATAGCTTATTGGATATTCTGTGTAAAGTCTATATCAATTTCCTTCTTAATGAAATATGAATCTGGGCTTCTAAGGCAAATAGTGGTGGGCTACTCTCCTGTTAGTGGCACCCCATGGAAAAAATTTCTAAGGGCAAAGTGAATGAATCAAGGTCGTCAACAGTTTTACTGATCTTTACTCATCTTTTGATGCCATGGACTGGTACCAAGTATGAGCTAAGCTCTTTGAATTCAAAACATAACCCCAGCTATTGATTTTAATAGAGAACTAGCTCCTTATCATTAAACGTGTGAGGGTCTGTGGGAACCTTGTTTATATGGGTCTGATAACAGTGCTTACTGGAATTATAAGGGGCATGCCCTGACCCCCTGCACACAAAGAGTTTCAGATTACTTTTGGGTAAATTGAATGCATAAAGAAGAAAACAATAAGCATTCCTCCATGCGCAGGCAACGTGATTCATGGCCTCACAACAGTAATTATAACAGAGCCTGGCCTTGCTGTCTATTTATAGTACTATCAGAAATAAGAACTGGAGCTCAATGTTTTCAAAACAAAAGCTATAATTTTTGAAAATGACTTTTAACATTATATTTGAGAATACAACTTTCTCCGTTAACTAAGGGTACATTTTACAGTACCAAAAGTACTGTAAAAGAAGTTATATTAATTAGATTTTATCCTTCTGAGAGTACTTTAGTGGGAATTATTTTAATGGCATGAGAGATTTGCTAACACTGATTCTGAATTTTTTTAAATGAAAATAGGTCTGGGACAGTGTTTCTCAATCTTGGGTTATGAGTAGACCATCTTTTAAAATGTATAAACTATGTTATATTGAATACATACGAAAGAATATATATAATTGATAAGCAAGGTATGAAGTGTGTGCGTGTGTGTGTGTGTGTGTGTGTGTGTGTGTTTTCAAGACAGGATCTCATTCTGTCACCCAGGCTGGAATGCAGTGGTACAATCATGGAGGCTGCTACTGTAGCCTCCAACTCCTGGGCTTAAGCAAACTTCCCCTCTCAGCTTCCGGAGTAATTAGGACTACAGGCATGTGCCACCTTGCCTGGCTAATTTTTATTTTCATAGAGATGGGGTCTCACTGTGTTGCCTAGACTGGTCTCAAACTCCTGGCCTCAAGTGATCCTCCTTTCTTGGCCTCCCAAAGTGTTGGGATTACAGGAATGAACCACCATGCCCAGCCAATGTTTTTTAAATGAACCTATCACCTAGCTTAAGAAGTAGGACATGGTCGCACAATGATGAAACCCACTGTGGACTCCCTTTCTTCCACTCCAACCCCCTGAAGAATCCACTAGCCAGTTTTGAGCTTAGCTTTGCTTTATATTTTCAAAAATACTTTTACCACATATGAACCCATCACTAAACAACATACTGTTCAAATTTACTTTATAAAAATTGCTTTATACACTCTATAATAGTCTACAGCTTGCTTTCTTAACTCAATTTTGTTGCTGTAACTCATTCCTGTTGTTCCTTATAGTTCTCGTTTGTTTGTTTCAGCTGCTCTATAATATTCCATTGTGTGAATATACTTCAATAGATTGAGCTAGTCTTCTGCCTACATTTTGATTATTTCCTGTTTTTTCACTATGATGATGCTGCCATGACCATTTTTTAACATTGAAAGTTATTTTTTTCTGAGATACTTCATCAGTGCTTTAGATTTTCGCTATTTCCATAGGTGTACAGTGGCATCTCATTTTTAAAAAACATGCAATTCCCAATTGACATATGAGATTGAGCTTATTTTCATAATATTTTTGCATATGCTTATTTGCTACCTGAATATCTTTTTTCTTGAGGTGTCTTCTGATCTTTTGCCCATTTTTGTTAAATTGAGTATTCATTTTCTTATTGTTGAGTTTTCAGAGTTCTCTGTGTGTTTTGGATATAAGTCCTATGTCACACGTGTGTTTTGCAAAGATTTTCTCCCAGTCTGTAATTTGCCTTTTCATTCTCTTAGCTGTGTCTTTCACGTGGCAGAAGTTTTACATTTTAATGAAGTCCAACTTATCAGTTTTTTTTCTTTCATGGATTATGCTTTTGGCAGTATATCTAAGAACCCATTGCTAGACCCAAGTTCACCTAGATTGACTCCTATGTTACCTCCCAGAGGTTTTATAGTTTTGCATTTTACATTAGGCCTATGATTCATTTTAAGCTAATGTTTGTGAAAAGTATAAGGTCTGTGTCTGGATTCATTTTGTTGCATGTAGATGTCCAGTTGTTCCGGCACCATTTGTTGAAAAAAACTGGTTTTTTTTTTCTCAATTGAACTGTCGTTGCTCCTTTGACCAGGGTCAGTTGATTATATTAGTGTGTGTCTGTTCCTGAGCTCTCTATTCTGTTTTTTGATCTGTTTGTTATTCTTATGCCAATATCACACTGTTTTCACTACTGTGCTTTATAATAATCTTGAAATCAAGTAATGCCAGTCCTCTGAGTTTGTTCTATTTCTTTAATATTATGTTGGCTATTCTGAGTCTTTTGCCTTTCCAGATAAACTTTATAATTAGTTTATCAATAACCACAAATAACTTTCTGGGATTTTGATTTGGATTGCATTAAACCTATAGATCAAGTTGGGAAGAACTGGTATCTTAGTACTGTCAGAACTTCCCAGCCATGGGCATAGAATATCTCTCTATTAATTTAGATCTTCTTTGATTTATTTTTTTAAAAATCAGAGTTCTTGTGGATAAAATTTTGCTATGAATTCACTTTCTTTAACAGATGTGGAAGTATCCAGTTTATCTACTTCTTGACTGGCATTTGATAGTTTCTGACTTTCCAGGGATTTATTAATTTTATATGAATTGTCAAATTTATTGGTATAAAATTGTTAATAATATTCCTTTATTATACTTTTAATATGTGCAGATTGTGTAGTGATGCCCCTTCTTTCATTCCTGATGTTGAATATTTGTGTTATCACACCCCAACCCCGTACTGATTAATCTGTCTAGAGGTACATCAATTTTATTTATCTCCTCAATGTACCAGCTTTGTGTTGCATTTACTTTCTGTGTTGTTTATCTGTCTTCTATTTCATTGATTTCTGCTCTGATTGTTACTATTTTCTTTCTTCTGCTTACTTTGTGTTTCATTAATCTTCTTTTTCTAGTTTTTTAAGGTGAGAGCTGAGGTCATGGTTTTGAATCCTGTCTTATTTTCTAACAGAGGTGGTGAGTGCTATAACGTTTCCCCTAATTATTGCTTTAGCAGAATCCCAAAACATTTGATATGTTGTGCTTTCCTTTCCATTCAGCTTAAAATACTTACTAGGAGAAGCACTTGCAAAATGGTAAAGTTAGTACTTCTCAAAATCTGCCCCTTTGTAAAAACAAGGAGATCACTGGCAAAAATTGTCAAAATTCAGAATTCTGGCAATTAACCAAAGGCTTGCAACAATCTAAGGAGTGTTTATTCAAGAACATCAGATGAACCTCAGTAAGAGCAGTGACCTTTGTGGAGTGACCCTGTCCCCATCCCTTGCTCTATAGCTCCATGGTAGCCTTGAAAACCTATAGCCTTTCACTATAGTAGCTATGAAAACCAGCAGCCTAGCAGCCACGGCAATGGGCAGAATGGATTTGGAGCTCCCCCCAAAAGCCCCATCCCCAGAGAATTGTCATATTTGACATCTCTGGAAACTCCCTGGAAAAGCTCCATTCTCAAAGCTTGTCTTTATTTTACCTCACTGAGAGCATGTTCCATGCAAACAACCTTTTCACCAGAGCATTTGTAAAAATCAATGAATAGCAATGGTTTAACATCACCACTGCTGGAGGCAGCATGAGGCTGACCAAAAATCTTAAAAGGAAAAACTGGGGAGTGAGATATCCATAAAGGGCTTTGAAAAATTCCAACATATTTCTGAGATTCTAGGAGGCCACATGCATGCTTAGGGTTGTGTGCATGCCCAGGAAAGAATTGAGAAGGCTCCAGTTTCTCACCTTAGGCTGATCTTGAGGCTCCGTGCAAAATTTGGTTTTAGAGAGGCTAAAGTTCATCTTTAGGAAGATTAAAGCAAAGTTGTAAATTGCCTGCCAGATCACTGAAGGCATGCCTCAACATACACCGTAGCCATTTGGCAAAGGTTGGAAGACTTACTGGTTCAAATTCCTTAAGGAAATCTCTATCCAACCATTACCCAACCACTAAGCTAACTATAGAGACTTCAGTAGTTACATGCAAAAAATATAGACCTTATAGAATTATGTAGAAAAGACACTAAGCAAACAAACAGCAGCAGCAACAATAACAGTCACAAACAACCCCACTCTGGGAGAAGGGGAATCTGATTACCAAAGTCGCTACATTTTATTATGTAAAGTGTCCAGTTTTCAAGAACAACAAAAAATGAGACATGCAAAGAAGCATGACGATATGGCCCCCAAAAAGGGGAAAAACAGCCAATAGAGACTGTCTCTGAGGAAACCCAGATGTTGGACTTACGAGACAAAGAGTTTAAATATGTTCAAAGAACTAACAGAAACTATGTCTAAGGAATTAAAGGTAATTATGATGTCTCATCAAATATCAATACATAGAAACTATTTTAAAAACTAGCTATTTCAAAGTATAAAAGAACTGAAATTAAAATTTAGTAGAAGAGTTCAACAGCATATTGAATTAGCAGAAGAAAGAATAAGAAAAATTGAAGATATGTCAATTGAGATGATCTAGTCTAAGATACAAGCAAAAAAAAAAAGAATAGAGAAAAAAAGGATAGCGCCTCAGAGACCCATGGGACATCATTAAGTTTACCAACATACACATAAAGGAAGTCAAAGAGGAGAAGAGAGAGAGAGAGAAAGGAATAGAAAGATTATTTTAAAAAATAATGGCTGAAAACTATCCAAAGATAATTAAAAACAACTACACATCTAAGAAGCTCAATTAACGCCACATAAGATAAACACAAAGAGATCCCCACATAGATACATCATAGTGAAACCTTTAAAATACACAGAGAGAATGTAAATGCAACAAAAGAAAAATGAATCATCCGTACAAGGGATTATAATACTAAAATTAACAGCTGATTTCTCATCAGGAACCATGGAGGCCACAAGGCCATGGGATGACATATTTGAAGGACTGAAAGAAAAAGAATTCACCAAGAATTCTATATTCAGAAAAACTAGCCTTTGAAAGCTAAGGGAAATTAAGCCATTTCCAGATAAACAAAAACCAAGAGGAATTACCATTAGCAGACCTGCCCTACAAAAGTACTAAAGGGAGCCATTCAGGCTGAATGAAAGAACACTAGAAAGTTACATGAAACCACACAGGAAATAAAGAATATCAGTAAAGGCAACTGCATATGTATATATAAGAGACATCATAATGTATATTTTATGAAAGTATAATTCATATACCAAAAAATTCATTCTTTTAAAGTGTACAGTTCAGTGGGTTTTAGTACATTCAGAGAGTTGTGCAACCATCACCACTGTCTCATTTTAGAACATTTTCATCACCTTTAAATAGAAAAAAATGGCAACCTCCCCATGCCTTCTACTTTCATCCCCTGGCAACCAATAATCTACTTTCTGTCTCTATGGATTTGTCAATTCCTGCCATTTAATATAAATGGAATAATAAAATATACACCTTTTGAACTGACTTCTGCCACTTAGGATAACTTTTTAAAGATTCATTCATGTTATAGCATGCATCAGTATTTCATTCCTTTTGATAGCTGAATCATATTCCATTGTACGAATATACCACATTTTTTCTGTTCATCAGTTGAAGGACACTTGGATTGTTTTCATTGTTTGGCTTTTATGAATAATGCTGCTATGAACATTCATGTACAAGTTTTTGTGGGTGGACATATATTTGAAACTCTCTTGAGTATACACCTAGGATTAAAATTGCTAGGTAACATGGTAACTCTATGGTTAACTTTTTGAGAAACTCCCAAACTGTTTTCCAAATGGCTGTACCATTTCACAATCACATCAGCAATGTATAAGGGTTCCCGTTTCTTCACATTCCTGTCAACATTTGTTATTGTCCATGATTTTAGCCATCCTAGTGAGTGTGAAGTGTTATTTCATTGTTTTTTATTTGTATTTTTCTAGTGACTAATGATACTGAGTATCTTTTTCCTGTAATTATTGGCCATTTGTATATCTTCTTTGGAAAAATGTCTGTTCAAACCCTTTGTTCATTGGTAAATTGAGTTATTCTTTTTTTATTGTCAAGTTGGTAAGAGTCATTTGTATATTCTGGATACTAGACTTTTATCAGATACGTGATTTGGAAATACTTTCTCCATTCAGTGGGTTGTTTTTCAAGTCTTGATAGTGTCCTTTGTTGTAAAAAGAATTTTTAATTTTGATGATGTCCAATTTATTTATTTCCATTTTGAAAGTGTTTTAACTTTTTATTTTCATATTCTGCATTAGTTTAGGTAGCAAGAAAGTACTTTGTCAAACTTAAAAGATATAACAAATAAGACTTTTCAGTCCTCAAATTTTAAAAAAATTCTGATTTTTTTATGCTGATTGATTGAAGTTTTTTTAACTGCTTCAAGTTAATTTCAGTAATTTTTTCCTAACATTTTTTATCTTAAAGGTTTTACATTTAATCATTTGTATGAATACCTAAAACTGGAGTGGTTTCTTTGTGGAATTAATCATTCTATAATTATTTATTTATTTTGCTATTCAAATTTTCTAAGCAATGCTTGTTTATTCCATAAAATATTGTTATTGATGTCTTGAGTCTCTATCAACCATACTGTAAGTAACATATATTTGTACTTATATTTTAAAAACAATCAAATATTTTCATTGCACTTTACCCTTCATGACATAGCTGTTAAATTTGCCCTAACTTCAATCATTTTATTGCATGCTCCTTTTCTTTTTATTCTGACTAGTTGACTAGTTTTTTCATCCTAGCAGTTTTATTTGCTTTCTGCCTCTTGATGTACAGACTATATTTAACCTCCTTTTATTTTCTGCACTTTTGCTTTACTTCTCAGCAAGTTTTCGTACATTTGCTCACTGTCTCCTTGAAACTCTTGCTTCCTTCATCATCCATGAAGTGACTTTTGTCCAGGTGTTTCGCCTTCCCTCTGGCACTTCCTCTTCAATTCTCATAGTTGGTTTCTCCCTCTTTCCCCTTTTTTAAAAATGTTGATGTTCTTAAGAGTTCTTTTTTTCTTCTTAAGCAACTTTTCTTGGGCCATTTCATCCCCTTCCTTGGATTTAAGGATCATCCATATGTTAACAATTCCCAGCCTTTTAGGTCTACCCTAGATCTCTCTCCTGAACCCAAGCCCATAGATACAACTGACTACTAGATATCTATATTTGGATGTCTCACAGGCATATTAAACATAGCATGCTCAATATGGCACTCATCTCTTCCCAAGTAAACCTGTTCTTCTGCCAGAATTTTCCCTCCAGAAAATGACAGAATGTCAATCCGAAAGCCAGAAAATCTGGGAACATCTTTAACTTTTCCCTTTCCCTCAGCCTTTATATTTCTCATCTGCATCTTTTGATATTCTTGATTCTGTGTTCTACATAGCTATGGAATTCAATTTCCTCTTCCTCTCTCCATAGCCCCTAACCCAGTGTAAGTGACCACGAGCTCTTCTCTGGAACCTGCAAAAACTGCCTAATTCATCTTCATTCTATCCTCCCTCCTGAAATTAAGAGAATCTTTCAAAATGCAAATCTGATTGTGGTATTCTTCCACTTAAAACTCTTCAGGGGCTTTCCATTACCTCTAAGTCAATGTTTTCAGGCCTCCTTAATCTTGGTCCCCTCCCTTACCTCTACTGCCTCTTTCTGAGCACTCTCCATGTCTCACTGTACTCTCCAGCCATACTACATTTACTTCAGTTTCTTAAACATTCTATGTACCCTGTGGCAGACACTGTTAATTGTCCCATTATCCATTCTGCCTTTCTTCTTTTTAGTGATAGAACCCATCCCATTCTCATCCAAATTTAGTGGTACCCATGCTGCTAGATGTGACCTTGTGAGTGGGTTCTCACCAATGCAATGTGAGGAGGAGTGACATATCCAACTGCAATGTAACTTCCATAAAAGGAAATTGATTGCCTTTTGTTTCCTCTTTGCCCCTTCCCTATGACTGGAATGCAGGTGTGGAACTAGAGTGCAATCTTTATGTGGATGAGGAAATGCACTAGGGCAACGGAAGGCTATAAAATGTTGTTTTGGTTTATTTTTGAGACGGAGTTTCACTCTTGTCACCCAGGCTGCAGTGCAATGGCGCAATCACAGGTCATTGTAACCTTCATCTCCCGGGTTCACTCAGTTCTCCTTCCTCAACCTCCCAAGTAGCTGAGATTTCAGGCTTGCACCACCACGCCTGGCTAATTTTGTATTTTTATTAGAGACAGGGTTTTACCATGTTCTTCAGGCTGATCTCAGACTCTTGACCTCAGGTGATCCACCTGCCTCAGGCTCCCAAGGGTCTAGGATTACAGGTGTAAGCCACTGTGCCCAGCCAAAGGCTATAAAATGGAAGGAACCCAGGACCCTGAATGACCCATGTAGTGGACAGTATATTCTGGTTGTTCATTGCAGCAGCTTAGCCTGCGTATTGGTCAGGGTAGTCTATGTTATATTGCAGTAATTAATAACCCCCAATGCTTAGTAGCTTAGCACAATAAGCTACTTACTTATTTTTCACTCATACTACATAGGTTCAGCACAGATCAGCAGAGTGGCTCTGCTCCTGTAGTCACTTGGGGATGTAGCCTAACGAAGAGCTTCATCTAAATATGTGTCTTATGTGTCTTAATGAGCACACAGGAGAGAAAGGGAATTGGCAAACTGTATTCTGTCTTTTAAAGCTTACAGCTAGAAGTCATCCACATCACTCCACCCACAGTTCATTAAACAAAGCCAGGTTAAGGGTTAAGGATATGTAGTCCTACATGTTCCCAGAAGGGAAAGAAAACCACCATATTTATGACTAGTCCCAGTGACTATTTCTATGGCTTCATTAATACGCCTTAGCTTGTGTTCCCCGTAGAAAAGCAACTTCTACTTGTTTTGCTCAACTGTTTGTAGGATATGTTTCAAAATTTATATTTCAAGAAATTCACAAGAGCATACCTTCTCATTAATTCTTCCTGCAATCATTATCCTTGGGTTCCTAGAATAACTAGTTCCTTTGCATAATGACTCCCAAATATGTATCTAAATACCTGAATCCTCTCCAAAGTTGCAGTACTAGATTTCCCACTGGCCACTACATGTCAAACTTCACAAGCTAAAAAAAATTGAATGTATTACTTCCACTTCCCCCTCTTAAATCTGATTCTTTTAACTGGTTTTATATTTCACTTTGTTTCCTTTTGTTTGTATCTTTGTCCCTAGCCCCTAGAATAGTACCTGGCATGAGAAGGGGCACTATATACAAATTGAATTAATGAATTAATGTTGTCAAAATTTGATAATGGTTCCCAAAAGTGAGCAACTCCATTCCCCTCCTTGCCAGCCTGCTTTAACTGTTCAGAGCCTGCTAAGTCTACCTCTGAACTCTCTCTTGCAGATGATCCTTCTCTTCTACCTGCCACACTTGGCTATTCAGGAGCTTATTGCCTATGAAGCAGACTCTTCTGAAAGCTTTCTGACAGTTAGTCTCATCACCAATTTTTCTATTCTCCTGTCCATTTCACACAGCACTTCCATGTTAATTTCCTTGAAGCGTATGACTCATTTTGTCACTGTTCCACAATCCTATAAGGGGCATGTATAGTATGCAAGTGATGTGCTACATTCTGAAGAGAAAACAGGAATCAGGTACGGTCACCACCCTTGAGCAGCTCGCCACCCCACGGGGAGACAGATGTGTCTAACAGATTCAGAGCAGAGACAGCTGTGTCAAGATGGGAGGAGCACTGACCTGGGGCGACAGAGGTGACAGATGCCGAATCAGCCACGGAGCCACACAAGAGGGGTATTTACCCCATGTCTCCACAGACAATTAGACATCTTCCAGGACCGCATTGAACAGAAATAGGAACAGATTCATCTTTGGAGTCAGGAGGAAGGAAGGAAGGAAAGGATAGGCACTCACTGAGGTTAGCTTAGAAGTGGGGACCAGGGAAGAAAATGGATGGTGATTAGACCCGAGGACTTCTGTTTTCTCTGATGGATGAGGCGAGTTTATTCCTTGAGGAGGACAAGCACTATGCTGTGGAGTGCTCCCTAAGACCTGGGTGTGCTGTCAGCTGGTGGCTTTCAGTTCCCAGTCCCTGCTGGAAACCCCTACCCATGTCCATGGCATGCAATCTAATTCTACAAACAGGTACTAATGTGTTGGGCATAGTGTTTAGCTATATTAGGAAGCTGCTGTTCCTCTTCTTCCTTGTAAATTTCTACCATGGAAGCTATAGTTTGGCTTTCATGACAATGCTTAGATACACACTGTTCTCCAGGGGAGGGAGCCTGAAGTCAAATGAATTGCTGCGTGGATTTTGTAAATTCATAGCAGACCCAATTGCTTGGAAGCCATAGTACTTTTTATTTATAAAAGCCAGGCTTTTTTGAGAGAAAAAAATAAAAGAGCTTTTTTATTTTTTTTAAGGGGAAGGGGATATTATTTTTGGAATTCTAAGAGCTTAACTTTGAATATAGAGCCAAAGCCTGGAAAATTGAAAGCATGTATTTTGCAAATAAGCCACGGAAAAGGGAAAGATGACAAAATAGTTTTTGCCAGATGGCATCCTCCTCAGCACTTTCTCCACCCCCCTCATCCCCGCCCCACACACACACTCATACCATCAAAAAGAATATCAGGCAGGATGATGCAGAGTTTTGTAATTTACTTTAAGTGCCTCTTTTGTGCAAGGCTCTTGGGGAACAAAAGACAATTCCCTTTCAGAAAAGAATCATCTAATCTGGCGAGGGTGATAGACAGGACCTCTCCACAGACACGTGAGGAGTGTCATTTGTCTTCTTCATACTGGCCATGACTTTGCTGATTCCTGGCTCTGTGCTTGGACTTCCAGAGACCATACAGCCTCTGATAGGATCTTCTAGAAATTTCCATGCACCTTTGATGAATTTCCAGGATGATTAGAAAAGCAACTTTATAGTATAGGCAGGTTGTTAAGATCACCTAAATAAGCTTGCCAATGTTGGGGGTCAGAAACCAATATCCCAGAATCTGACACTTTTCCATGCTGAACTGAAGAAGCCTCAAGGTCTTTCTGACCTTCCCTCCCTCACTCTCTCTCCCAAAACACAGGATGCCTTTATCTGCCTAAAGCAACCCACCAAAAGGAACAATTGTTTTTGTTTTTTCTTCCTCTCCCTGTAAAACCAAGACTGTAACTGTTACAGTACATAGCTAGTCAAGCACAAGCGGGGTGGGAGAGGGCTCTCCTGACCAACCAGGAATTTCACACTGCCTCTCTAAAATGATAATTGATCAGAGCAAGTGCAGGGAGAGGCAATTTCCCAATAGACACAAACTTGAAATTGGTCATTGGCAGCTTCTAATAAAATCTCAGGAATTGGGCAACTGGGCTCAAGCATGCGCATAAAGAGACGAAATGGCAGCGTATGGCCTTCTGGGGGCATTCTACCAGAAAAGGGAAGAACACCACATGTGAGCATGCATACAACTGCAGTACACACACTGCTCATGTTCACCTCCCACGTGTTAGCAGGCCACCACGCATGGGGGCGGCCCACTCCAAGGAAAGAATCATGGGAAAAGGGATTCAAGACTCCAGAAGTATGCCAGCATATAAAACCCAAAAGTCAAAAGGTCAAATGCCACACTCGTCCTTCCAGTCACCTATGTGGGTCTCTTCCAAGTGTACTTTCCTTCCTTTTGTTCCTGTTCTTAAGTTTTTTTTTTCCTTCTTATTTATTTATTTATTATTATTATTTTTTGAGATAGTCTTACTCTGTCGCCCAGGCTGGAGTGCACTGGCACCATCTCAGCTCACTGCAACCTCCACCTCCCGGGTTCAAGCAATTCTCGTGCCTTAGCTTCCCAAGTAGCTGGGACTACAGGAGTGAGCCACCATGCCCAGCTAATTTTTGTATTTTTAGTAGAGACGAGGTTTCCCCATGTTGGCCAGGCTGGTCTCGATCTGACCTCAAGTGATCCACCCGCCTCGGCCTCCTAAAGTGCTGGGATTACAGATGTGAACCACCGCGCCTGGCCACTGCTCTAAAGCTTTTTAATAACTTCCACTCCTACTCTGAAACTTGCCTCAGTCTGTTTTTCTGCTGTATGCCCGTCAGTCGAATTCTTTCTTCTGAGGAGGCAAGAATTGAGGTTGCTGCAGACAGGTACAGATTCGCTGCCAGGACCAGTAACTTGGATATTCGCCGCCCCTAACATTATTTTGGTGCCATGTGAATTATACACTTTCTCCCCCCTAACCTATTCACACCTGAACAGATCCATTCACAAGATAACATACAAGTTAATCTCTGCTCCCTGATCCATTCATTCTCCCCAGATTCCCTCAACCAAATCCTCCCTGCTCCCCACCTGTTCTGCTAGGATGATACACATGCGTCTGAACCACCTTGCAGGGTGGGCAGTCACTCCGGGATTCTCCCATATGCATGTTGTGTACACATTAAGTAAATCTGTATGCCTTTCCTCCAATTCATCTGCCTTTTGGGAGTTGACTTTTTTAGTGAACTTTGTAAAGCAAAAATAAAATTCTAAGCTCCCTCCCTCCACACAATCATCTGAATGAACCCCTCCTCTCAGCCAAGAGCATTCTGGAGTAAACCTGAAAATCCAGTTCAGGTCATAATGGAAGAGGGGTTTAGACATGCCTCATTGTACCCGTCCAGCGTTAATAGCAACACAGACGTTAAGCCTGATAAGAAACATTTACAATCTATTTTCTCTGAAGCCGGCTAACTGGAGGCTTCATTTGCGTGATAAAACCTTGGTCTCCACAACCCGTTATCTTATTTATTTATTTATTTATTTATTTATTTATTTATTTATTTATTTATTTTTGACGGAGTCTCTCTCTGTCGCCCAGGCTGGAGTGCAGTGGCCTGATCTCGGCTCATTGCAAGCTCCGCCTCCTGGGTTCACGCCATTCTTCCTCAGCCTCCCGAGTAGCTGGGACAACAGGCGCCTGCCACCACGCCCGGCTAATTTTTTGTATTTTTAGTAGAGTCGGGGTTTCACCGTGTTAGCCAGGATGGTCTCGATCTCCTGACCTCATGATCTGCCTGCCTTGGCCTCCCAAAAGTGCTGGGATTACAGGCGTGAGCCACCGTGCTCGGCCCACAACCCGTTATCTTCATCCAGACATTTCTTTCTACTGATAATAACTCTTTCAACCAGTTGCCAATCACCTATGACCTGGAAAATCTACCTATGACCTGGAAGCCTATCTGCCCACCCCCTTCAGGTTGTCTCTTCCTTCCAGATTGAACCAATATAAATCTTACACGTATTGATTGATGTATTATGTCTCCTTAAAATGTATAAAAGCAAGCTGTACCCTGACCACCTTGGGCACATGTCATCAGGACCTCCTGAGGCTGTGTTAAGGTCACGTCCTTCACCTTGGCAAAATAAGCTTTCTAAATGGACTGAGACCTGTCTCAGATATTTTGGGTTCACAACTTTCAGAGGGGGAAGGGGAAGCTCCCCCTGGGCTCCCCTACACCAAACACCCGCAGAAATAGGGGAATGGATTAAGCTGAATTCCCCCTATCATTTGATAGATAAATAGAAAAGAGAACTGGAGGCTTTGAAAAGAACCTAAGCCCTTCAAATCAAGCATTCTTTTGGAGGGTAAAAAATAAAAATAAATAAATAAATAAAGCCCTTCGCAGTTCTTCAAGGCACGCTCCAGAAAGACTTTATAGCTAAATAATGATTATTAGGCAAATTATTTTTAAAAACTTTTACATTGAGAGCCACATTATTCTTATTTTACACTGAGAACTAAAAAGGATTACCTTGAAATCTCCTCAAAATAGGTCTAGAATTGCTTTATGTTTTTTTAAAAAAAAGAGTGTCTGAAAGGCAGAAGGTTTTCTTTCCTTGTGTGTGTGTGTGTGTGGGCAGATTTGTGAGAAAAATGAAAGCCATGAAACTAGCTTTTTCTTCTCAAAAGATAAGTAGCCCCCCTACACCTTTTTTTAAATACAGAATTTTAGTATTGCTCAAAAGGATATGGGCATGTCAAGTGCCCTTTGAAAAATCCTTCTGATAGAAAGAAAAATAATCTAGACAGACCAGAGAACATCACAATTCCTTTAATCCTTAATAATTACCGGAACTGAGAGAAGAGCTTAGAGTATTGTTAAAATTCCCCCAAGGAAATGTCAAGCTCTCACTAGAAAAGGCTTTTTTTAATCAACACTTAGGACTCCAAGAGAAGAAGAAATGCGAGGAATTTCATAAGCTATTTCAGTTACTTGAAATTTTGTGAGTCAAACAGAGCCAATTCTGAATACATGTGGAGTGGGTGCAGCCGGTGCCCCACCCAGATCCTCTCCATCTGGCTGCAGTTACTGTGAGTGTTGGCCCCTGACTACTCACACCGCCCCCTTCCCTAGAGCAGTGCCCTCAGCTGAATGGGAGCGTCCTTGTCTGGAAGGTTGCACCCCACTCAGGGACACAGGATGGGGCAGCTGGCAACTAATGACTGCCTGACACAGAGATACAAAAGGTTGGCCTCTGTCTCCGGATGAGACAAATTGTGGGGCGGCTATGGCCCAGAGCTCCCCTGTGGGGCCTGGCTGTGGCAGAACTCATCCTTGCTTAGCTTTCTTCCCCTGTCAGATCTTGTTTTCCCAATTCCCTTTCTCCCAAGAACATGCCTTCAACAGCCCTCTTCACCAGAATCCCTGTCTCAGGCTCTGCTACAGGGAACCTAATCTTAGTGCAACTCAGGAAAACCTGAGCCCTCTTATGCCATTTTTACAATCTTCCTTCCTTCCTTCCTTCCTTCCTTCCTTCCTTCCTTCCTTCCTTCCTTCCTTCTTCCTTCCTTCCTTCTTCCCATCCTTCTTTCCTTCCTTCCTCAGAAAAGAGTCTAAGAGCTTCATACAATATTTATAACATGTCAGGTCTCTCTCCTGGGATATTTGCATTTTAACATGACACAAAGAATGTGACTGGAATTAAGAGATTCATTGTTAGTGGCTAAAGAATTTTGAGAGGGTTAACTTTTTAGCACCTAAACCAACACATCACAGGTCAGTATATACTGTGCCTAAATACAAGTTTCATCCTAATTAGAAAGTGCTAGTTTTGTTTTGTTTTGCTTTGTTTTTTTGTGTTTTTTTTTTTGCAAAATTATAACCTCTGCCATTGCCATAAAGACTCCAAGGGGCCCCTTCCAGCTTCTTCCATTCTCAGGAAGGCACAGAGGGGGTTCTGGAAGCAGGAGCCAGGGGTCTCTCTCTTTCTCCACTCCTGCCTCTCATGGCCTCATTCTCTCTCTGGAATCCTGGAATATTAGACCTGCTGGCTCAACATTTCCCAAATAATTCTGTGTTCAAGCACCTTTGGGGAACATCATTTATCTTATCCCCATTTGGGGGGAGTCACAATATCCTTAAAATATTGAATCTATGAAATATCAAAGTAAAGAATCCTATTTAACTTATTGAACCCAGACTTTTCTAAACTTACCCATAGAATCCTATTTTTGTGGATCATAGTTGAGGAAACACCAATCTGGTCCAATTCCTCATTTTAACACTGGAGGCCCACGGAGATGAGCTCCTCTGGGCTGCCAACTCCCTGAGTGACAAGCCACCCCAGCTCCACAGTAATTTGTAGTATCCTAGTGACAGTGCCGCTCTCTGACTACACTAACGACATGCTGCGCACCATCCCCGGGGTTCGCTGCTTTTGCCAATCGACAGACCAGCTGCACATTCTCCCTTCGCAGGGTGACTTTTCATGGTTAATGACTCCGTGTTTGAAATGCGAGCTTCAGACCTCCTGTTACATCTGTATAAATAGATAAAATTGACCCAGACCCAAGTTGACTAAACAAGAGACCTGTTTGTTTTTATTGTTTCTGTGGGGCTCCAAGCTGCCCTTTGAGGTCTTGGCATGTGGGATCTCACCTGTTTGAATTCACGTTTGAATTCACGGTAATTCTCTGTTCCATCAGATCTCAGTGACTTTGATGATTCCAGGGCTCTGTTTCTATCTGCAATTTTTTTTAAGGCAATTCGTATTTTATAAACACTTAGTAATTCTAGATACTTTTCCCTCCTGGTTTAGATGATCAACAATCACTGTTTAATAACAGTTTGGCTTTTTGACCAATGAAGTCAAATGGAAAGGCTCCCGTTCTATGAAAAACTGAAGTGTTTACACTCAAAATAACTTAGGCTTGTCTTTCAGTTCTAAGCATATGAAGAGGACTCACGGTTCCTCAGAGTTGTGTCCTTATGTCTGTAGTCTGTATTTTTATAAATAAACTAGAGCCATGGGGTGTGTATGTATTTAGAAATAAGCCCTCAGGCTTCATGCGGCCTTTCCAGCCCAGCTGAGGGAACTAGCAAACACCCTGTAGGTCTCGAAGGAAATCAGCCATTTTATACCCGGTTTAGGGTTCAGCCTTTTATCTGGGTCTAAACATGTTTATAAAGAAACTATTAGGACAGCTTGCTTTTTCAACACTCAAATCACCCGATCAGCCAGAATGGCCCTACAATAGAGAATCCTAACAAGGTCAGTCTGCCCCACTGCTCCATTCCACTCAGAAAAGCCCTCACACACTTCACAAGTTCAAGGAGGGAAGACAAATGTGCGTTTCTGTGTGGGCGCTAACCATGGTGCTGTAGACATCATTGCAGCTCAGCTTCGGCAGCCTAAAAATCCATCTGGGAAATTAGGGCCCCTCTCCCTTCCGATATCACAAACGGGAATGTCTCCTGACTTCCTGACATATCATCTTCCTGGGTTATTCTCCCTACGCACTGCATGAGGAGAGAAACAAAGCAAACTGAATCTTTCCACAATTAGATGGAAAAACATAATAAACTGAAAGAGGACCTTGTGTGCTTTGCTTTATTCTTCCAGGCAGGCATGCCGTCATCTCATCTCTCTTCCTTTGCTCCTGGAGCAAGTATGGTTTGTAGCCATTAGCAATGCAGCCTCTCCCTTAGTACAACTTCAGGAGTTATTTCAGACTACACACACACACACACACACACACACTCACGCACACACTGACTTAGGGAGTGAGAGTGGAAGGCAGTATGACATGGAAGGGAGAATTAAGGACAGTGATGAATCGAGTCCAGAGTCGGTAGTGTGACACTTTGGGTCCAACAGGCTGTGCCAGAAGCACCATGTTTCTGTGCATGAGAGGCCACTGGCTAAGGCACAACAGGCCCAAAAGGCCCCAGCTGGAGCGACAGCTGGAGTGGCTCCTCCCCTCTCCGCACTGCTGAATTTCCTTCCTGCTCCAACACAGACATGCCAACACCCTTCACTTTTAATTACACAAATGTAAAGTAAGTGCACAAGCATTTCAAGAAAATCGCTCAACAACTAGAGGAACAGATGTTGTAGCCTGAAAAGGAAGTCGTCATTTTGGTAAAGTAAATTTGTGTGTGTGGCCGGAGCTAATGCTCAGCAGGTGTGGGTACTGACTTCTCTAGGAAAATGTTTGTCTTCCTTGTGTGGAATTATTGATGGTTCCTGAGGAGGGAGATTCAGTTATTGGCCTGAATTTGTTTGCTCGGGTGGCCATAACAACGGGCCACATACTGGGGGGTTTAAGCAACAGAAATTTATTTTCTCACAATTCTGGAGGCTGGAAGTCCGAGACCAAGGTGTTGGCAGGGTTGGTTTCTTCTGAGGCCTCTCCCCTTGGCCTGTAGATGGTCATCTTTTCCCGGTCTCTTCATAGGTCTTCCCTCTGTGACTATGTGCTAATTTCCTCTTCTTATGAGGACATCAGTCTTATTGAATTAGGGCCCACCTAGTAAACTAATTTTCAATTAATTACATCTTTAAAGACTCTATCTCCAAATACAGTCATATTTGAGGTACTAAGCATTAGGTCTTCAAGACATGAATTTGGGTGGGTGTACAAATCAGCTCATCATATCACCTGATAGATATCGACTGATAGGTAGATTTTTTTCAGATTTTTTTAAGAGGTAAGGAATAGGAAAGAATCCATCAAGAACTGAAGCAAAAACACAAAATAAGTTGGACCAGGCTCATGGCATCCCAACCTAACAATGAGGAAGAGAATTGATAGTCACTTCTGAATGATGGTGTTAGTCATGACCAAAATGTACTCTTGTTAGACTACTGTATTCAGAAATATTTTTCCTGTTGGGGTACATTGAGTGAGGATAACTTTAAGGGTAAAGGATGGGGATTCACCTGAAGGAATAGAATGTGCCCACTGCCAGTCATCTGAGGAAGTATTTTCTTCTAGAACATGAAATAAAATATCCAGGGAAGCAAACCACAGAGTAGGAGATTCTTATGAGAATTCAGTCTGAAATCAAGATGCAGACCAAGATTTACCACACTCCCAGGGATGAGTCAGCCCCTGCTACGTGGACACAGCCCTGTAGCATTTATGCTATTTAAGCCACTGGTTAAGAGAGCCTAGCAGCAGCTTCAATTTAGCCAGTGAGATTAATAGCCACTGGACGTATTTGCCCAGTTGGTAGCATGGGGTGAGCAGAGAATGAGGGTTAGAGGCGGGGCTCTGGACCATGGGAATGCCAGCTCCTCTTCTTCATTTCATCCACTTTCTGAGATAACATAGCTTTTACTTATTTTTCTTAATTTTTAAACATTTTCAATTGTGGCAAAATACACATAACATAAATGTTGCCATCTTAACCATTTTTGGAAAGAGACAGGGTCTTGCTATGTTGCCCAGGCTGGAGTTCAGTGGCTATTCACAGGTGCCATCACAGCACACTACATCTTTGAATTCTTGGCCTCAAGTGATTCTCCCCTCTCTGAGTAGCTGGCATTACTGGCATATACCACTGCACTTGGCTTAACTGTCTTTAAGTATACAGTTCAGTAGTGTTAAGTATGTTCACTGTTGTACAACCAATCTCCACAACCTTTTTATCTTGCAAAACTGAAGTTCCACCCATTAACAAACACTCTCCATTTCCCTGGCCACCACCATTCTACTTTCTGTTTCCAGGAATTTGACTACTCTAGAGCTCTCATATAAGTGGAATCGTATAGTATTTGTCTTTCTGTGACTGGCTTGTTTCACTTAACATAATGTCCTCAAGTTTCCACCATATGTCAGAAACATATGTCAGAATTTCCTTCCTTTTCAATGCTAATACTCCATTGTGTGTATACACCACATTTTGCTTATCCATGCATCCATCAATAGACATTAGGGTTGCTTCCAGCTCTTGGCTATTGTGAATAACTCTGCTATGAACATCGGTATAGAAAATATCTCTTCAAGACCATGCTTTCAATTCTTTTGTAAATATACCCTAAAGTGGAATTGCTGGATCATATGTGTATTCATTCTCAACAGAAATAGAACCCATAGGAAGGAGGGAAAGAGATGATTGATAGACAGATAATAGATAGATAATGGATAGGTAGATGATAGATAATGGATAGATGATTGATAGATAGATAGATAGATAGATAGATAGATAGATAGATAGATAGATTAGATAGATAGATAGATAGGAGATAGGTAGGCCAGGTGCGGTGGCTCACTCCTGTAATCCCAGCACTTTGGGAGGTTGAGATAGGTGGATCACTTAAGGGAGTTCAAGACCAGCCTGACCAACATAGTGAAACCCCATGTCTACCAAAATAAGTTAGCCAGGCATGGTGGTGCATGCCTGTAATCCCAGTTTCTTGGGAGGCTGAGGCACGAGAATCACTTGAACCTGGGGGGCAGAGGCTGCAGTGAGCTGAGATGGTGCCACTGCACTCCAGCCTGGGTGACAGAGTGAAACCCTGTCTCAAAAAAAAAAAAAAAGAAAAAAGAAAAGACAAAAGACGAATAGATAATACAAAATCAGTTTGCATGATTATGGAGACTGAGAAATCCCACCATCCGCAAGCTGGAGACCCAGCAAAGCCGGTGATGTGATTCTAGTCTGAATCCAAAGGCCTGAAAACCAGGGAAGCCGAGGGTACAAATCCCAGTTCAAGGGCAGGAGAAGACCAATGTTCCAGCTCAAGCAGGCAGGCACGGGGGACAAGAAAGGACACATTTCTCCTTTTCCATCTTTTTGTTCTATTCAGGCCCTCACTGGTTAGAATGATGGCCACCCACACTGAGAAGGACAATCTACTTTACGGAGTCCACCAACTCCAATGCCAATCTTATCCGGAAACAGCCTCACAGGCTTAGCCAGAAATAATATTCAATCTAGGCACCCTGCTGCACAAATTGACACATAAAATTAACCATCACAATAAAGTAATTCTGTTTTTAATTTTTTGAGGGTATTTATTTTTTAAACCAGATAATACATTCACTTGATTCAAAAATCATAATGCTATAAAATGCTTTACTCTGAGAAGTCACAATTCATAACCTTTTCCTCATACTAATCACCAACTACAGCTAACCATACACACACACACACACACACACACACATATATCTATTTCATATCACTCAAGTGTTCCTTTATACAAATGCATACCTATATACTCTCATTTTCTAAGGCCAGAGGCCGCTGTGGTAACAGGACTGGGGCCCCCGTGATCTTCACTCCTGATACCATGCTTTGAACAGGTTATATTACCTGGCAAAATAGACATGGCAGGGGGAATTAAGGTTATGTTTCCTAAAAGAAAGAGATTATCCTGGATTAGAGCGGTAGGGACACACCAATCACTCAGCAGAAGGAGAGGCAGGAGAGAGAAGGCAGAAGTGGAAGTCGGAGATTGAAAGCACGGCAAGGACTCAGCCCACCGTGGCTGGCTTTGAAGAAGGAGAAAGGGGAGGGTCAGCCAAAGGATGCAGTCCACCTGCAGATGCTGGAAACAACACCCTTCACCCAGACAGCCAGCAAGGACACAGGAACCTCAGTTCCACTCATGCATGGAAGCAAATTCAGTCAACAACCTGAATGAGCCTGAAAGTGGGTTCTCCCTCAGAGCTCAAATAAGAGCCCCATCTGTCTGACTCCTTAATTTAGGCCTTGTGAGACTCAAAGCTGAAAAAACCATCTGAGCCCACCAGACTTCTAACTTCTAGAACTAGCTCTGGCTACTGCAGCCTGGAAATAATTTTTTACTGTGTTTCATCTGTTTTTAACTCTGTCCATAATCCCTTTACCCGACAAACACACACGCTGTGTATAGCACTCACTACTACACTCTCACAGCTTCTGCTCCCCCCAGGGAGGTCCAGGCCAGGCGCCTCTCTCCTCTGTGAGAAGCGCATACTGTATCATCAGGCAGATGTGGCCCCCATCACTTGCCTGTATCCAGCCGGTTCCATGTTCGCAGCCCTCCCCGACACCTGGACTCACCTGCAGCCTTGCCCTTTCTAGATGCCATCACTTTTAGAATCAACATCAAACAGTTTAGCATTTCCTCTACTCTATACTTCTTTATGTCATTGATTTTCTTTGTCCAGTGAAATTAGGTCAATTTTTACTCTGCAGTTTGACCACCCAGAGCAAAAGGCACAGAAAACACAGTGATGCGTATTAGGAAGTTCACTAAACTATACCAGATTTGTCCTATCATCTTTGTCTTGGTCCTATGTTTTCCTTATTTATAAAGTAAAAACATTGGCTCAAGTAAGGGTGATTAATCATTTTTTCACCCTAATACATTTGAAGGATATGAAACAATCTCATTGACAACAATGGGAAAATATAGAATGATTGTTAATTGAAAAATTTTCAGAATCTCTGAGGAAAGGAATTACGTGACATTTGAAAAGGTCCCCCTAGACTGGGCACGGTGGCTCACACCTGTAATCCCAGCATTTTGGGAGGCTGAGGTGTGTGGATCATCTGAGGTTAGGAGTTCAAGACTAGCCTGGCCAACACGGTGAAACCCCATCTCTACTAAAAATACAAAAATTAGCTGGGTGTGGTGGTGGGCACCTGTAATCTCAGCTACTCAGGAGGCTGAGGCAGGAGAATTGCCCGGGAGGTGGAGGCTGCAGTGAGCCGGGATCGTGCCATTCCACTCCAGCCTGGGCAATAAAAGCAAAACTCCTTCTCAAAAAAAAAAAAAAAAAGAAAAAGAAAAAGAAAAAGAAAAGGTCCCCCTAATTAGGATTGCCAGATAAACTGCAAGGCATACAACTAAATTTGAATTTTAGATAAACAGAAAATAATTTTTAGTGTAAATATCCTAAATATTCAATGGAACATACTTATACTAAAAAATTATTCATTGTTTAGCTGATATTCCAATTTAATTGGGCATCTAGTTTTTTTATTTGCTATATCTGGCAACTTACCCCTATGTAACTCTAATTCTCTTTTCTTAGGATATGAATGGCTGAGAATCACTGTATGAATTTCATTCAATAAAAATGTTCTGACTGCCAGGAACTGTTCTCAGGGCTAGGAATAGAAATTAACAAGCAGTCCTTTCACTGTTGTTTTTAAATCTTATAGCGCTTGCATTCTCATAGGGAGTTCAGGGACACAGAGACAATCAAAAATATATATAAAAATATATAACATGTTATTGAGGAAAACAAAGCAGGTTATGGAAGTGCCAGTGGGCAAGAGGAGGGATGTCATTTTACATAGGGTGGCATTTGCACAGACACTGAAGGATGGCTTATTTGGGAACCAAGATGATACTTTTTATCTCAAAGTTCTGCTCCAATTCATTACTTAATGACTCATCAAATGTTTATTAGGTGCCCAGTATGTATCCAGCACAAACTAAGTAGTGATGATACAGAAAAAACAATGTGACATACGCATGGTCTCAGATCTCCTCTGTCTTTTAGGATTTTATAGACTAGAAGGGGGAGATTGGCAAATAAACAAGTAATTATCTAAGGATTTCAATGTGCTTTGGGCAGAGGTCCATGGGGGAGAAGGGATATAGAAAAAATATGATCGCTCCTCTGAAAAAAATTACCAGAAAGCATCACTGGAGCTGAATCTCAAATGAATAATTGTATGCCAGGAACCGGGAATGGACATTCCCAGCTCCAGGCAGCAAACTGCTGGAGGGCCAGAAGCTGGAGGTCATTCAGCAAGGGTGGGCAGGAGCTCCAGAGGGGCTTAGCCAGGGGCAGAGGCTGGTCCCCAAGTGAGAAACCTGTGTGTCACACTGAGAGTTCCAAATGATTTTAAGTGGAACAATAGGATAGTAACAATTACTCAAGCAACAAGAACGGAGGCTGGGCTGGAGGAAGCTGGAGAGCAGAACCTAAGCAGAAACTTCCCTTAGCTTGAATTGCCTCCAGATTAATAATATGGATGGAACCAAAATGTGAGACATTTATTAGCAATATTGAGAAACGATTATATAGGAAAAAAGTGTTGAAATCCAGTGTTACAGTTTTTCTTCTTCACTTTGGCTACACAGATTTGACCAAGGATTCATTTAAATCTACAATTACCTAACATTTCCCATCACTGCCAGTTATTATGTCATTACAGTTACCAAATGAGAATTCTCATGGCTTTAGTTCTCAGGTAATGCTCAATGGATAGTTTCATCAACTTTGGCCTCTTCAACAAGAGATGAACGCTAAAGTGTACGACGTCCATAGAAAGTCGTTAGAAAGTCATTATTTAAGGGCTTTTTCATATTGCAAATGGGTCCTTTCTGGAACAATTTGCTTTATGTTTATAAAAAGTATTAAGCATCAGTGCATTTCACACTTGATAATTGGTTTTCTCTTGGCATGACCTTCAATCTGCTACTCAGCAGAAGATACTTCCACCTTCAATTGTAAGATGATGTTAGGGACACATTTCTGCTGGAGGTGGCAGTTACAATAGTTTCCACACTACTCAACACACTGAAGCTTTGTGACAAAGAACACCATTTGCAACTTTGACTCTTACATTAAGTTATGTTTTATGTTATTTTGTTTTCTTTCTCAGAAAGAGACTCTTTCAAAACCCATAGCTGAGCGAAGCAGGTTGAGGAATCCATGATGTGGTATACATTCAGGTATTATTGACACTTCCTACCTCTACAGATGTGAATGTGCTGAAACTAGTGTAGCTCTTGCCTGGGCCTCTCCCAAGGCCCTGTACCTGATTTTATGTTCATAATTTTCTATCCTTGACAAGGGCCTCCCAAATTGTATAATATTCAGGCTCTATAAAAGCTAGATGCATGCTTGAGCCTAAGTAAATCAGACCACAACAACCTAGGAGCAAGGTCAGAGACAAAGAGTATTTCTCTGATTCCTTGGTTTTTTATTTGTTTGTTTGTTAGATGGAGTCTCACTCTGTCACCCAGGCTGGAGTGCAGTGGTGCGATCTCGACTCACTGCAACCTCCACCTCCCAGGTTCAAACAATTCTCCTTCCTCAACCTCCTGAGTAGCTGGGATTACAGGCGCACGCCACCACACCCAGCTCATTTTTGGTTTTTTAGTACAGACAAGGTTTTGCCATGTTGGTCATGGTGCCATGTTGGCCAGGCTGGTCTCGAACTGCTGACCTCAGGTGAACCACCTGGCTTGGCCTTCCAAAGTGCTGGGATTACAGGCATGAGCCACCGTACTCAGCTTTCTGATTCCACAGCAACTTGTCCTGCAGTCACTCAGTCTCCCTGAAATTCCTTCCAAGTATCTCCAGGAATTCCCACAAGTATTTCATGTACTTTCCCAAGCTAATTCCCTTAGCTACGGCAGTCGCCATTTGACTCTGCCTGTTCTGCTTCACAATAGAGCAGGTCTTGTCACTGATGATAGGAAACGTTGCAACTTTGCTGTTGAGATCAGCTTCGCTGCTGACACCCACCATGCCCAAGTCAAAGCAACTAGGGCTGGTGCTGAGCAGAGAGACTCCAACACTGGGTGTCGCATCTTCCTACCCTTCCATCACCATCTCCTGCAACTGATAGAGGTGCAAGTGCTTCCCCTGTCGCAGCCCTTTTCAGTTTAGCAGGCAATACATCACAGCCTGCTCACCAAATGTCTAAGGCACAATGCCCCAGGGGCCAATCTGGAAGGTAATCTGAGAGACAGACCTGAGGCATTCATTTAACCAAGCTCGGCTCTTCCCTCTCCTCCTTTGCCTTCTTTCTCAAGAGGACCATTAGTCCCTCAGGTAAAACACACTCTTGGAGATTCCATTCCAACAAACTTACCCAGATGTTCCTAGCCATGGAATCAAAGAACAAAGGAAAGCTATGAAACAACTGCAGAACCATGCAGAGCAGTCACAGGCGAGGCAGTCTATGGTGGCCAAGAGTGCAGGCTCTGGACTCAGACTGTCTGAGATCTCACCCCGATGCTGCTATTTAATAGCTCTGAAACCTTCGGCAAGTTGTTTAATCTTTCTGTGCCTCAGTTTCATCATCTGTAGAATGAGGATAATAGTAGCATTTACTACATGTGGTTGCTATAAGAACTAAATGAGTAAATGTATATAAAATGGTTGGGAAATGGTACTTTATGAAAAAGTTATAGGAATTTGGGTCACCTGGTTGAAGCATGGAATAAATGCCTATCTTGAAATGGTATCTCTGCTATTTGCTTAGTATTTATTTACTTTTTAGAGTAAAAGCAATACATACACTTAAAAGAAATTAAGGCATTCAAAACATATAGAGTGAGAGAAGCATCTTTTCACCCTGGACCCCAGCCAGTCAGATCTCCTCCCCAGATACAATGTCACCATCAGTTTCTCGTGCCCCCTTCCACGGATACACTATGTGATTGCAAGCATCTATGTAGGTTTAACTTAACTGATGAACTCCGGATCTACAAAGGTGACTGAGAGGGCAGTGATCAGCTCTCCTACAACTTGCCTTTAGGGAACTGACCATCTGGAAGAGGAGCCGATGAGCAACAAAACAGGGCAGAAAGGACACACGGCCACAATGAGGGAAGCCAGAAAAAACAGAGTGGGAGGAAGCAGAAGCAATTATGACTGGTGGAATCATTAGTGGAGAATGTCCTGAGCCTAAACCAGTGATTACCTCCTTTTATGTGTATGTCTGTGCTAAGAAGTTTATTTAGAGTCTCATCCCAAAAGTGTAAACTTCACAAAAAGCTTTACATAGCCAATATGATGGGGCTCTATAATGTTGGGTATATGCAAGTCACTATTATTAAAATTCAAATTATTTTACTTTTCTAAACTAAATTAAATGGAGCACTGAGCCCAGAGAACGATGCCTGAAAAAAGACCCTTTGTGACTATGGTCAATAATAATTTAGTGTTCATTTAAAAATAATAACTGAAAGAGTATAATCGTATTGCTCATAACACAAAAGATAAATGCTTGAGGCGATGGGCACCCCATTTACCCTGATGTGATTATCACACATTCCATACCTGAATGAAAATTTCCCATCTACCCCATAAATATATACATCTACTATGTACCCACAAAATTTAAAAATTAAAACAGAAAAAAAAAAAGACCCTTGGTATCCAGGCTGCCATGGTCCCTCAGGAGATGCTCTTTGTCTTGGTCCGCTTACCTGAAGCAGCCTCACTCTCTCCGGGCTCTGGGTCTTGTTCATGTCACAAACAGACCCCGTACTCTATTCAGGATCCAGGCCACCCCCAACTGGGCTTCTCCCTGCACACAGAACCTGAATTCCCCCAACCCGCAAACACGCTAAAACCCTTAACTCCTTCCAGTGCAGACTTTTGTCTCCGGCCTTGACTCCTTCCAATCTGTGTTCCTTGTTGCAGCCAGAGTGACCGTTGTCATTTTTGTTTGTCTGCTCACTTGATCTTTAACAAGATTTACATTAATTTAACATGGTCTCAAAACGGCATTCATATTAGTTAATGCAATACAATTTATTTTAAATTACCTGTGCAGTTTGAACCAAAAGTTGTCCATTACTTTAGGTTTAAAATAAAGAGGATTTGGTGTTTGTTTCTTTTTTAATCTATGACAAATATGTAAAACTCCTCTGTCAAATACTAAGGCAGGCAATATGAACCATGAGAAACTTACTTTTGTTTTACTTAGAAAAGAAAACTATGTAAAAACTTAAAATTGTACCAACAAAGCTGTTTTGTAATGTTTCCTTGCCGGTCTAAAAATTTTCAATAATTGTAGTGTAGTCTTGGAGGTGGGAGCCCATTTGCACCCCGAATTCGTTTTTCATGGCTGCCATAACAAATTACCACAAATTTGGTGCCTTAAAACACAGAAATGTATTCTGTCTCAGTTTAGGAGCTCAGAAGTCCAAAACTGAGGTGTCAGCAGGGTCTCTCCAAAGGCTCTGGGGGAGAATCTTTCCTTTCCTTTCTCAGCTTCTGGTGCCTTCTAGCATTCCTTCGCTTGCAACAGCATCATTCCAACCTCTGCCTCTTGTCTTCAAACGGCCTTCTTCTGTCTGTGTCTCTCTGTGTCCTGTCTCTCCTTTCTCTTATAAAGACATCAGTCTTTGGATTTAGGGCCCACCTTAAATCCAGGATTAATTTATCTCAATATCCTTAACTAATTACATCTGCAACGACCCTATTTTCAACAACGACCTAGGAAACAATCTCATTAGCTGTCCATCTTTAGTTAACATTGCATGTAGAGTATGTGCCCGCCTACACCAAGATCCAAGTAATTTCCTTAATGAGTTGACACATCAGTTCATTTCATCTGCTGAGGTCAGTGAGAGAACTCAACATATTGGCTATCAATATTTCTGAATTTTATTTTTTAAAGGACACTTTTATCCTAGTTACTCCAAGTCTAGAATAGATAATTAACTAAAGCACTAACAAGTGCAGGAGAAGTTAAAATTTACCTCTCCCAATCTTAGATCTTAGATGGGAAAGAACCCTGTATCAAAAGACCCATTAACAAGAAAAAAACAAACAAGTTTATTAGCAAGTTTATTAGTTTATTAACGTGCATCATAACACATTATTCAAGAGACACCTCAGTGAAAAGTAACTCAAAATGGTTTCAAATTCCACTTATATATCATCTTCAATAAAGAAAATACATTTGTAGAAAAATAACAGGATGAAGGAAAGTAGATTTAGTCTTCCAAGGTGGGAAACTGTAGGACGGTAAACAGATGGAGAAAACTAATGCAATAAGGTTGGTTTACTGATTCCTCTGGTGCTGTCTCTGAGCTCCTAAGGGTCTACAGTTGTCTCCAGTAAAAAATAATTTATATCCTGTCTTTAGACAAAAAAGGGGGCGTATATAGAGTGCTTTTCCTCCAGTTGCTGCTTCTTTAGCTTAAAATTTTTTATCCCAAAGAAGCATATTTTTGGGTGACATATTCGATTTACCTCACACGGATACCTTCTGCTTTCAAATGTGCATCGAATGGCATGCCAGGAAGTCATGGAGCCCAGGTTTCAGCTCATAAGCAGAGAATGATTGAAGGGTGGCAGAATATGCCACCTCGAAGTATGCCACTTTGGCATAAGGAATATTTTGAGCTAAAGGCACATAAAAATAAAAGCAGCAGGTACAAATGCTCTGACCCTACATTTTTCTTCCCAAAAGCAAGAGCCAAAACCCCCATATGTGCAATTCTTTTACCAGGAGGAAAATAACATTCTTACCAAGGACAGGAAGTTGAAAGTGAGGAAATTTTGTAAAACAGACCTTGTTAAACTCATTCATATCTTCCTTTAGCCTTTCCACATAGTTTAGTTATTGTTCCACAATTGCCACTTTATTCAAGCTAGTATAAAAGCATTTAGGTTGTGCCACGTTGGGTTTTCATTTCCCTATGAAGCACTCCCATATCACATAAAACTTATATTAAATAAACGTGTATGCTTTTCTGTGTATCGGTCTTATGTCAGTTTAATTTGCAGGCTCAGCTGAAAAACTCTAAGAGGGTAGAGGTAAATTTGGCCTCTCCTCTAAGATCTAAAACAAATTTGGTCCTACCACACTGCTGCAAAAACCTATTGATGATATATATGCTCACTGCTCATAGGACAAAGACCTAACGCTAAACCAGGACCTGCATGGTCTGGCCCTTGGGTCTGACTCTAGTCTCGTTTCTGGTCACAGCCTCATTGGCTCTCTGTATCCCAACCACTTACACCTTGTTCCTCAAAGGTGGCATGCCATCATGCAATCCCCACCACAGGGAAACACTCACTTTTCTCTGTCAAACAAATGCTACTACCCCCCTATTCCTTTCTCCTTTTCCTACCCTGCAGCTCTCAATCAGTCCTCATTTTCTCGGGAGGCCTTTCCTGACCTCCCGGCCAGGCCAAATCCCTGAAGACAGTTCCCACAATCTCTTGCACCCCTTCTTCATGGCCCCTCTCACAGGGGCTTTTGTGTCTATTTGAGCAATTGTCTGATTAACATCAATGAGCCCAGTGAGGGTGGAGATCCCGTCTCTTTTGTTTTCCATTGTGTCTCCAGCATCCAACACAGAGTCTGACCCACAACCGATATCCAGTATACATATTTGTTGAATAAGTTAACAAGCACAATGATCACCCTGCTCGTCTGTGTTTTTTTATCTCACTTTGTTGGGTGGTATCCATAGATAGAGTCACGGGCATACCTGCATTGGATTCAGGGCAAAAATCCTTTGGCAATCTAGGCAGCTTTGTTCCCACTGAGAAAATTATAAACCTGAACAAAAGCTGAGGTTTGAGAAACGAGGACAAACACTGCTTTTGCACAGTCAATAGAGATTTTCACAGCATGTTCTCACCTTTTTTTTTTTTTCCCTTTAAAAAATTAGTTCTCTGCTATTGCCCAAGTAGGAGGTATACAATAGAGAGGAACAATGAGGAATTGGGCAGGGGGCCATGCTGAGTAGCAGGATATGATATCAGGTAACAACTTGTGAGCCATGTCCTCAGAGTCCTCCTGCCAGGCTATATCTGAATTGGTCACATCTTCTCCGAAAGCAGGCGTCCCCCTTCTGTGCACACTGACAGAGCCTGGTGCTTTGCAGAGCGCCTGCCAACTCCCGAGGAAGGCTTTGTTGGCAGGAGCACCAGGAAGTCTTGGTTTCTTAAAGGCAAGCAACCCACTGTTGAAATTTATGTTGGCCTCCAACTGCCACAAAGACAATCTGCTGAAAAGTTTATTTCAGGTTGAAATGAAAAGGAAATGTCTTAAATGAATCCAGCTGTTTGTTTCAGTTCTCATTTTTTAACTAGTTGAGCCCAGCATATTGATTTTCAGAAAAAAAAAGATTAAAAGGCTGCAGATGTATACAGCCCAGGGTATTGATTTTGGGGGGAAATTCAGTCAAATAATCAAAATGTCATTTCTGGATAAGAGTCCCCATCTTTTTGGATTTTAACAGGAAAATAACGAAGCCCTCCAGCGGACTGGGGAGGAAATAGACAGTAATTCTGCTGCTGCTTGTGAGCAAGTAACCCATTAGAAACTGGATGTAGAGAAACCCCTAAGGAAAAGTCTTTTTGCTTGTTACTCTCCCGTGTTTTCAGTTTTGAGCTCTAGACTGCGAAGGAAAAGTAGGAATACTTTTTTCATAATATTAAAAAACTATAATGTAATAATTTTTAAGATGCAGATTTCCAGGTCTCCAAACTATGAGACTTTGATGCAATTGGTCTGGCATGAGAGCCAGGAGCCTGCATTTTATTTTATTTTATTTTATTTTTTAAGATGGAGTTTTGCTCTTGTCTCCCAGGCTGGAGTACAATGGTGCCATCCCGGCCCACTGCAACCTCTGCCTTCCCAGGTTCAAGCAATTATGCTGCCTCAGCTTCCTAAGTAGCTGGGATTACAGGCACCCGCCACCATGCCCGGCTAATTTTTGTATTTTTTTTTTTTTTAGTAGAGACCGGGTTTTGCCATGTTGGTCAGGCTGGTCTCGAACTCCTGAGCTCAGGTGATCCACCGGCCTCGGACTCCCAAAGTGCTAGGATTACAGGCATGAGCCACCACACCCAGCCAGGAGCCTGCATTTTAAACTCGCACTGCACCTAGCTCTCTGAGAGCTAAGGAAGTCCTTCTGAATAGGTACTTCAATGATTCCCAAAACTTTTTCTTGCCATGGCACACGTTAAAAATGATAGACTTTGCCTAGCATACTGGAGTAAACAGATGGGATAGTTTCTAAGGATTAACTGAAGTTTTTGAAGGCCTTGATTATCATGGTAATTATACTGATAATTAACTGAATTCTACAGAGAATGAAGCAAATATGGACTTTGCCAGAGGCCAGGACTTTGCCCCCTTCTTTCTCCACCGACTCCCTCACAGGCTTCCACACCTACAACCACCCACTAGCCAAGCACCCCTGAACTGCCGACTGAACCTGGAGTAGGGCTAAGGCTGGGCCAAGAAAGGGAAGGGACTAGGCCCCCCAAGAGGAAGACAGTGAACAACTTTTTTTTTTTTTTTTTTTTTTTTAATGAAATGGGATCTGGTTCTGTCACCCAGGCTGGAGTGCAGTGGTACAATCATGGCTCATTACAGCCAATCTTCTGGGCTCAAGTGACCCTGCCACCTCAGCCTTCCGAGTATCTGGGATGACAGGCATGCACCACTATACCCAACTAATTTTTTCATTTTTATTTTTGTAGAGATGGAGTCTTGTTTTGTTGCCCAAGCTGGTCTCAAACTCCTTGGCTCAAGCAATCCTCCCACCTCAACCTCCCAAAGTGTGTGGGCCAATGTGCCCGGCCTCAACTTTTTTTTAAGGTAGACTTTTGATCACCAAGTTGTCATATAGTTACAAAGTTGTTAGCAATTTCTGAAAGGGTATTATTGCTTAAAATAAATCACTCTTACATAAATAATACCTAGTACTTAACTGGGACATACTGTATGTAGACCAAGAGCAGGCAGATGAGGGTGCACACCTCTGATTCTCAACCAGGAGTGATTCTGCCTTCCCCCTGCCCCACTCAGGGGGACATCTGGTACTGTCTGGAACCATTTCGATGATTGCTACTGGCATCCAGTGAATAAAGTTCAAGGCTGCTACTAAACACCCTTCCATGCAGACCAGCTCCCTACCACAAAGAATTATCTAGCCCAAAATAGTCATGGCGCTGGGGCTGAGAAACTCCTCCTTACATGAACATGTGGGAGGACAGAGTGTGTCTCAAAGGAGTTTTTCGTTTCTGTGAATGACAGTGTCTGGCTGAAGAGAACATATTTTGTTAAGGTGAAGTCTGGAAAGAAATGCAGGTTTAAATATTGTCTGTAAGTCAATGTTTACATTGTGTTTCAAGTTCAGTGCTGCTGGTAATTGTTTGGACCTCTGAATTGGTGATTGTGTCAGCCTAACTGCAAACCATTCCCATGGGGACCTGGGTACAACACCTCTTAGGGCACAATGCAGAGCCACATGAGCAAGTGGCAGTACTGTGACTACTTTTTGTTTTGTTTTGTTTTAAGAAACAGCAGCATTTCATAGGAAATAAGCATTAAACTGGTTGGAAAGAAACTGTTTTCTTTGCACTGACTTATAACCTCATATTTATCCCACACTAGTTAATGCTTCTGAAAGACATTATGGAATTCTTTGCTTTTAGAGTGAAGACATAATGACTGCAAAATAAATTTGCCAAAGAAAATCCTAGATGCTAAATGAATTAACAAAATCAGCAATATGTATTCATGGAGAAAGGCAAAAGCCCTCAATTAGACTTAAAATTTCCAAATTGAAACCTTGGACTCTGACCCCTGTGCATCTTCCAGGTCTTTCTGTCCACCTGGAGCACAGTCACTGAGACACTAGCATATTCCCAGACAGGTCTTGCCCTGCCATGGGCAACCAAGGGGTCTCAGGGAGATATACTGGATCCTTCTCTGTCTGGTGGCTAATCACACTGTGCACCAAGCTTTTTTGATGTGGCTACTCAGCACAGGGCTGGACCAGCCTGCAGGAGAGATTTCCTTTAGAGCCTGAGCGTAAATAGAAGCAGAAGACCTTCTGTTGCTGGGCTCACTCACATCACTTCCCCTTGAATAGATGCCAGAGCAGGTTGAAGGAGAAAACTCGAACTCTGCTCCTTTTCTTTGCTACCACTTCCGTTTTTCATTTTTACCCCTCAAGCCAGAAGGTGAAGGCTGTGCTTTCCTTTCCATCTTTTTTTTTTTTTGGAGATGGAGTCTCACTTCTGTCCCCCAGGCTGGGGGGCAGTGGCACAATCTCGGCTCACTGCAACCTCCGCCACCCAGGTTCAAGCGATTCTCCTGCCTCAGTCTCCTGAGTAGCTGGGATTACAGGCGCACGCCACCATGCCCGGCTAATTTTTGTATTTTTAGTAGAGATGGGGTTCCTTTCCCTTTTCTATCCAGATGAACTTCCTCCACTAGGCTCATGCCAGGAGGACAGGCACAGTGCCTTCCTTCTTCCTCACTTCGGCCTCAAGGCTAAACTTAAGGACATACACACAGTACAGGAGAGAGAACTCACAAAGAATAGCTAAGGAGAAAGATAATTTTTAATACTCTACTCATATTAGGTATGATCATCACCTTTTTACAGCTAGGAAATCAAAGTGAAAAAGACTTAAATTACATAGTAGGTGGTGGAGGCAGGATTATTATTATTATTATTATTATTATTATTATTATTGAGATGGAGTCTTGCTCTGTCCCCAGGCTGGAGTGCAGTGGCACCATCTCGGCTCACTGCAACCTCCGTCTCCCAGGTTCAAGCAACTCTCCTCCCTCACCCTCCTGAGTAGGTGGGACTACAGGCATGTGCCACCACACTCAGATAATTTTTGTATTTTTAGTAGAGACGTGGTTTCACCATGTTGGCCAGGCTGATCTCGAACTCCTGACCTCAAGTGACCGGCCCAACTCAGCCTCCCAAAGTGCTGGGATTACAGGCATGAGCTACTGTGCCCAGCTGAGCATGTGTTCTTCTATGGAAAAACACTAGTGGGAGAATTAGAGTCATCCTTTCATTAACTGTGTGACCTGTCTTTGCCTCAGTGTTCTTATCTATAAAATATAGATGATTATAATGATGCCTGCTTTCTGGGAATGGTCTAAAGATCAACTGAGTTAGTACATGACAGCATAAAAGCATGATGCAAATGTCAGGAGGAATTATTTTTGTGATAAATTTGGTACCCATCACATTGGTGATGAGAGAACTGACTCTCATATTCAGGAACTACTGGTTTTTGTGTTTCTTTTTCTCCTTGTTTTCAGAAATTATGCTGCCTAATTAAAATCTCCATTAACTATGGATGAATGATTAGCCTCTGTAGTTATTATCTAAAGAGATATTGCTATAACAACTTTGACTTTTAGACTCCAGACTAAGTGTTTGTTCAAAAAAGAATATTTCATTCCTAATAGCTGCATGTTGGACTGGTCTAGTCACTGCAATTACCACTAAAAGCAAATGTCATAAAAAATTAGTCTCTGTAAGTAGAGTGTGAGTTTTCTGAAAAGGAGATTTACTTTAGAATTAGGCTTTGTTTCATCTATTATTAACAGGATTTCATATTACCCTAGTATGTGTCATCACCCACCTTCTCTGGAAACTCTGATGGCAGTCCCATCATTATTCCTTTTTTTGTTTTGCATTTATCATCTATATTGCATAGTTAATACTTAGGTTACTGGCACTACCTCACATAGTGGACACCTAATAAGACCCCCTTCCTTCCTCAACACTTCTTCTATTAATAAGGCACTTCTTTATCAAGGGGAATCATTTTCATGTGGTTAGAAAGGAGCTGAATCTCCTTCAAAGAGCCAGATCCCCTTCCAACAGTGACTGGTTCAGGAACAGGCACATGGCACAACCTGTGATGGAATGTTGTATTGCATGTATTTTTACCTTCATCGTAAAATCTTCCTTTGGAAAAGCACTCTCCAGCAAACAGCCTAGGAACCTTCCAGAGCTGGCTCCAAGCCCTATCTCTTCCCTCTCTTCCCACCTTACCAACTTTTTCCTGCCTTCTGACCCAGCCATACTCTGAATACCACCCCATGTGCACTTCCTCATGCCTGGAAGGTCTCTCCCCAACTTGCCTGATAAACTACTACTCAGGTTCGTAGATTGTTTCAAATGGTAATTCTGCAAGGAATTCTTTTGATCTCGTGAAGTCACAGTTTTTTAATTTAGAGTCTAGAGCCCTCTGTTCATATTATTCCACTATTACAGCACCAACTATACCACCATTGTAATGTATCTGATTACCTGTAATTTTCCCCAACCAAACTAAGCCCCTTTGGAGCAAAAATCATCTCTTAATTGTCTGTAATCCCAGTACCTTGCATGCTACCTGGCACACAGTAAGTGCTTAATAAATATTTGTTGAATGAATGAGTTCAGGGACAGGCTTCATCCTCGAGGTCAGCTGATGTACTCTAGGGATCCAATAGAAGCCTCAAACCATGGCAAGAATGAAAACATCTGGAAAAAAAGCACGGATACACAAATGCACACATCTGAGTTATTCTCTTTATATTCTCCTTCCCTACTTAAAAAGTTTTATAATTTGTTTTTGTTTTGTTTTGTTTTGTTTTTTTGAGATGGAATCTCGTTCTGTCACCCAGGCTGGAGTGCAGTGGCACGATCTCGGCTCACTGCAACCTCCGCCTCCTGGGTTCAAGCAATTCCCCTGCCTCTCCCTGGTAGCTAGGAGTACAGGGCACGCCACCACGCCTGGCTAATTGATTTGTATTTTTAGTGGAGGTCGGCTTTCATCATGTTGGCCAGGCTGGTCTGGAACTCCTGGCCTCAAGTGATTCACCTGCCTCTGCTTACCAAAGTGCTGGGATTGCAGGCATGAGCCATCGCGCCTGGCCCAAAAGTTTTATAATTTGAAGCCAAGTTGCATTTTTATAAAGCTGAGTCTTAAAGGAATTCTCTAAAAGAATAGAACTAAAGAATAATTTCACATGACATATGGTAGAAAAAGCCCTGGGCTGGAAGCTGTGACACCTGGTCTTTGTTTTGGTTTGGCCACTGTTTAGCAATCAATTAATTAATTGTCAAGCACAGCCCCTCTCTAGGCTCAGAACAAGGAGCCTGGATTAGTTGACTCTAAAACAGCTCCCAATTCTATTAAATGACTATGAAAACACTCTGATCTGTGCCATATAAAATTGATTCATTTATATTCTTTCATGATTTGGGTTTTCTCATTATTTTTTGTCACCACAAACTTTCATTAAAATTACCTCATTCATATTTGTCAAGGCTTTTTCTAGATCTAAATGACAAAAATAAAGTATTGCTTCTTGGAGTCTCCTTCCGAATGGCTTCCTCTGTCTAAATTTCTGTCTCCAAAGCATTTCCCTCTGCTCAGGCCAGGAGTGTAGGACTTCCAGCTTAGGTGGATGTGAAGTGAATCAGGCATGGTTTGGAAGTCCCCTCATGGACAAAGAATTCCTCGGGAAATAGTCACCTTCGATGTGTTTTAGCCAGATTTGCCAACCTCATATGTTGCAACAGAGCCAGTTCTAGGCGAAGTTGGCTCTAGAGCTGCCTAGGGCACTGATCTACAAATGCTATTAAATCATAAATAAATTAATAATTTAAATTTAGTAAATGTAAATATGCATTGCCAGGCATCTCAAGCTCCAGACATGCTTCCCTACATACCTGAAGACATCAAAATTGGCTCTACCGTAACTTAAGTGGTCAGTGCATTTGTATGAGAAAAAATAAATTGTCTACCAAGTATTTTTGCAAGGCATACAACAGGCTGCTCTGCAGGCCTCCCCATCTGCAGGCCTTGACATCACTGTAAGTCAGGCAGTAGACAGTTACCTGAGGTCAGCAGAGCCATACAGTTGAACTTCTGAAAGATAATAGTACATGATTCTGTAATGTTTACAAGAATGAATCACTTATTTTAATATCTCAATTTTGGACAGTTTACTATGCCCCCAGGTAGTTGCCTAGTTTGGAAAACTTGCATGTAATAAACTTATCTTGAACATTTAAAAAGCATACAACCTCAGTAAACGTAAAATTAATTTCTCTATATGCGATGGTTAATTATATCTATTGACTTGATGAGGCTATGTTCCCCAGTTGTTCTGTCAAACCCCGATCTACATTTTGCTGTAAAGGCATCTTTCTGATGTGGTTAATATTTAAATGGGTAGACCTGGAGTGAAACAGATTGTACTCCACAATATGAATGGGTCTCATCCCATAAGGTGAAGGCCAAGGAGCAAAAACTGAGGTTACCCAAAGAAAAAAGACTTTGGTCTCAAGACTACAGCATAGAAATCCTGCCTGAGTTTACATATGTTTCCTCACTTAATTCTCACCATAGTTCCATGGGGGCAGGGGAAGCATATTATTCCATTTTTTACAGATGAAAAATCAAAGCTCAAAGAGAGTTAGTAATTTGCCCTATGATGAATACGTTGGAAGCAGCAAATCCCAGGTTCAAAACCAGGTCCCCCGACCTCAGAGTTCATGCATTTTCCAACCACTACGTGGCTAACCTCCTACAAGCAAAATGTACAGAAGAGCACATTCACAACTTACTACTTGTATTTAGTGTTCAGAAGTTTGACTAGGCTGTGTCATGGTATGGATTTCTTTGGGTTTACCCTGCTTGGAGTTTTCTCAGCTTCTGGAATCTATAGATTTATGTCTTTTGCCAAATCTGAGAAATTTTCAGCTATTATTTTTTGACTATTTTTTCAGTTTTAGCCTCTCTCTCCTCTCCTTTCATACCTCCAATGGAAAAAAAAAAAGTTACATCTTTTATTATAGTCTCCCTGGTTTCTGAGATTCCTTTCAATTTTTTTTCCTGTCTATTTCTGTTAATCAGACTGGGTAATTTCTATTGTCCTCTCTTTAGTTCACTGATTCTTTCCTCTGTCTCTCCCACTCTGCTGTTGAACCTATTCATTGAATTTTAAATTTCAGTTATTACATTTTTCAGTTCTAAAATTTCCATTTGATTCTTCATTATACTTGCATTGCTTTGCTGAGACTTTTATTTCTTTGCAGAGACCTGCAATTTTTTCATTTGTTTCAGGTTTGTTCATAATTGCACTTTGAATCATTTTTATGATGGCGGCAGTAAAATATTTGTCAGATAACTCTAAAATTTTTGTCATCTTGTTGTAGACATCTGTTATGGGCTGAATTGTGTCCCCCACTTGAAAATTTTTATATTGAATTCTCAACCTCCAATACCTCAAAATGTAATGGTACATGGAGATAGAGTCTTTAAAGAACTAATTAAGATTAAATGAAGTCATATGGGTGGGCCCTAATCCATGTGACTGTATTTGGAGATAGGACCTTCAAAGAGGTAATTACATTCAAATTACACCAATAGGGCAGGACTCTAATCCAATATAACTGGTGTCCTTGTAAGAAAAGACACATGAGGGATGCACACTCACAGAGAAAGGCTATGTGAGGGCACAGCAAGTAAGAGTCACTTGCAAGCCAAGGAGAGAGACCTCCATGGAAACAAAATCTGCCAGTACCTTGATCTTGGATTTCCCAGCATCTAGACAGTAAAAAATGTGTTTGAGCCACCCAGTCCATGATACTTTGTTATGGCATCTCTAGCAAACTAATACACCATCTATTTATGGTCTCTCTTCATTACGTTTGAGATCTTCCTAGTTTTTGGTATAATGAGTGATTATCAATTGAAATGTGGACTTTTCTGGTTTTATGTTACAGGACTCCAGATCTTAGTTAAATTTTGTATTTTAGCTTGCTTTCATTGATGCACTTCTAGCAAGGCAATGGAAGGCTCTGCCCCATTACTGTCTGGTAAGGGAGGAAGTTTAAGTTTCCTCCTTGGTCTCTGTGATGGTTGATTCTGGATGTCCATTTGACAGGATTTAGGGATACCCATACAGCTGGTAAAGCATACATTATTCTCGATGCTTCAGTAGACATTGAGCTCATCCCTCTTCTGCTGAAAGGGAAACCCAGGTGGTATGTTATTTGATTAGAATGATTGGGCTCCCCCAGGTGTGTCTGTGAGGGTGTTTCTGGAGTAGATTGGCAGATGAGTCCGTGGACTGAGTGGAGAAGATTTACCCTCAATGTGGGTGGCCACCATCCAATCAGCTGGGGGCTCAGGTAAAACAAGAAGGCAGAGGAAAGGTGAATTCTGGCTCTCTTTTCCAAAGCTGAGATGCCCTACTTCTCCTGCCCTTGGATGTCAGAACTCCAGGTTCTCTGGCTTTTGGACTCTGGGACTTGCATCAGTACCCCTTCACCCCAGGATCTTGGCCTTCAACCTTCCAGTGAGGTTATACCATCAGCTTCTCTGGTTCTGAGGCCTCCAGACTTGGACCAAGCCACACTACCAGTTTCCCTGGTTCTCCGGCTTGCAGATGGCCTATTGTGGGACTTCTCAGCCCCCATAATCAACTTAGCCATTCCCCTAATAAATCCCTTCTAATCCTTTTCTCTAGGATATATGTCCTAGAAGACATATGATACATATAGAGAGACAGAACATATAGATATATAATCCTATATTTATATATATCCTATTTTATATATTATATATCCATATATACTTATATATAGTATAGTATTTATAAGTATGTATACAGTATATATACACTTATATATCCTATATATGATATATATACACATATACTTAAATATATCCTATGTTTATATAAAAATAGGATATATATATACACATACATATATATATATATATAGGATATATAGAGAGAGACTGAACCTATAGAGATCCTATTGGTTCTGTAGCTCTCTCTCTATATATATATAGAGAGAGACAAGTTCTATTGGTTCTGTCTCTCTGGAGAACCCTGACTAAAACAGCCTCCATTGACATCCAAGGGGTCTCTTTGTACTGCTGGCTGAGGCAGGAGATCTAGCTCCCCACTAGGCCTCCACAGATACTTCTGTAACTGGTGGATTTGTATGCCTCATTACTTCTTCCCATACAGCTTCCACTGACCCCACAAGGAAGTGAGTGACCTCATTTCCGCTGGGCAGTGGTGGAAGTCCTGTCTCTCTACCAGGCCTCCTCTGATACCACCCCAGCAGAGGCGGGTGCAGCGCCTCTTCACTGCTGGGTTGTGGTGGAAGTCTAAGCTTTCCCAAAGATCTTCAGGGATACTGCAGTGTGAGGGGGTCTCATTACCACACAGTGTGAATGAAAGCCTTGTTCCCTACCCAACATTCTCTGACACCACCTTGGTGAAGCGCTTGGGGTTTTAAAGATTGACAAGAGTAGAAGTCGGGATGCCCCCTTAGCACTTTGCTGGTGTGGGTGGGGGTGTGGCCACAGATTTTTCTGTGGTGTTTGGCTGGAGTAGAGTGGACATTATGTAAACGTTTCCTGTTTTGCGAGGCTGCCCCTTTTCTGGTTCTTTGGCTAGAGAGTGTGGGCTTTTATCAGGGCTGTTTCATGTGTCCTAGCAGGCGTTTCTAAAGTGCCAGCTTCTTCACCTTCTGGACTGGAATTTATGAAGCAAAAAGAAAACCTGAAGAACTCACCACAGTATCATTTCTTGTGTGCAGAGGTCCCTATGCAGTATGCTGCCTTCTCCCCACCTTTCACAGTCGTCTTATGCTTGTTTTATATATTAATAGAATATCCAGGGCTTTTAGTTGTACTTAGCAAGAGGAATAGGGAAAAATATGTCTACTCCATCTTCCTAGAAGCAAAAGGGTTGATCCATTTTTTGAGCACCCGAAAAGCCAATTTATCAAACAATTTTATAAATAACTTTAAGTGGAAGAATAATCACTGCAGATCTTCAAAATGTTTTTCAACCCGTACCTGTGGGCACTTTGACTTAACCTAATCCCAGCCTACCACCATCTTTTTGGATTTCTCTCTTTTTTCCACTTCTTTTCACTGGTCTTTCTCCTTCCTGTCTAAAGAAAATCCAACAAATTTTCTTCCCCACACTTCCTTGAAATCTTAGTGAAGTTTATCAACTGTCTGCCATGTGCTTAGCTTGGCAGACTGTGTCCTGCTGAAATTTTCCTTCACAGAAGGAGGGAAAGCTGCTGAGAAAACATGGAAACACAGAAAGAGGAAAGTAAAAAGTACCCAGGGAGCCTCTGAGTTTGTGTGTGCACGTGGGTGAGGTCGCCAAAGGGGAGCAAACCTCCTACTTCCTGCAGCTCAGATTACTTATCAATCAGAGGTAAGTGTTATTAGCAACTTTTTGTCCTAAAAAATATGGATGTGAATTTTTTTTTTTTTTTTTTGCTGACTGAGTCTCACTCTGTCGCCCAGCCTGGAGTGCAGTGGCGCGACCTCGGCTCACTGCAAGCTCCTCCTCCCGGGTTCACGCCATTCTCCTGCCTCAGACTCCCGAGTAGCTGGGACTACAGGCGCCTGCCACCACGCCCGGCTAATTTTTTGTATTTTTAGTAGAGACGGGGTTTCACCGTGTTAGCCAGGATGGTTTCGATCTCCTGACCTCATGATCCACCCACCTCGGCCTCCCAAAGTGCTGGGATTACAGGCATGAGCCACCACGCCCGGCCAGATGTGACTTTTTTAACCAAAAAGAGGCTAATGCAACTCTTTAAGGATAGAAAAACATTATTCTCTGAGTGCAATGACCCTCCCATGTGACCCAACTCCTTTGTCATCCTTTCCTCAATATTAAAATCCTCATTACTAATGTGAATACGATTAGCATTTTAATTATGTACTTACCTAAAAACTGTGTCTTTCAGGGTTGGGCACAGGGGCTCATGTCTGTAATCACAATGCTTTGGGAGGCTGAGGATTACTTGAGGCCAGGAGTTCAAGACCAGCCTGGACATCATAGTGAGGTCCCCTCTCTACAAACAATTTTTTAAAACTGCCAGGTGCAGTGACTTGTGCCTGAATTCCAGCACTTTGAGAGGCTGAGGCAGAAGGATCACTTAGCCCAGAAGCTTAAGGCCAGCCTGGGCAACATAGCAAGACTCCATCTCTACAAAACATTTTAATAAATTAGCCCAGCATAGTGGCACATGTCTGTAGCCTCAGCTGCACAGGAGGCTGAGGCAGAAGGATCACTTGAGCCCAGGAGTTCAAGGTTACAGTGAGCCATGTTCGCACCACTGTGCCCCAGTCTGGGTGACAGAGGGATACCCTGTCTCTAAAAAAAATTTTAAAGACCCCATTTTTCAGTTTTTCCCCATCCAGTTTTCAGTATTTAGAAATCCTGGCGCTGAGGGTTGGGCCCTGAAAACTGCTCTGGGCCCCCCACCAGCTTTATTTACAACCCCACACAGTTCCCACACAGCCACAGATGGGTCCTGAGGCCTTAGTCTATCACAGATTTCTTTCTGGAATGCATGAGGAGTGACCCAGATTTTTCAAATGCCTACAATCTCCTTTGAAATAGCAGCTGCTTCAAAGGAAAGATCTATTATAGAAAATACAAACAAATATTTCAGCTGGATGCTACTTGGAGATTTTATAATTTGCCACTTAATAGGATTTTTTGCATTGGCAAACAGAAGGCATTCTGTCACCGTGAAGCATTTCAATTGATTAGAGTTCAGCATCACATAGCTAAAAGGCAAAAATAATCTTACCGTTCATCTAACTAAGTAGATCAGCCAGAACGCTTTATAAATACAACTCAAGAGAGCTAAGCAAGCTGTGATAGGCGATAAGACCTCTGTAACCAATTGCAAACACTGCTAATTTTTCTAAGCCCTTGGTCAAATCATTTTTTTCTAGGTATTGCCTTAGAGAAAAAGCCCTATTTCTAAATTTCTTCTGGAAGTGTGATTAAAAAAAAAATCCATCTTATTGAAAATTTCTTGCCATTGTAGGCTGTTCCTGAGACACCCCCTGACTTCCAACAGAAGAATATACCCTTAAGACAGATTAATTTTATAAACTATGACTTTTTAATCTTTATCTACACAACTACACTGGGAATAGTACCTTGAATTCATTATGTTTTTCAAATTAAATTTAAATTAATGAATTTCTCATGCATGCTGCACAAAACCATCTACTCCATAATACTTATTTGTTACATATTTGCACTGTGCTTGCTGGACATCACAAAAGGCAAGGTTGTTGGTTTTGACTGGTGCCAAAAGATTTTTTAAATGAAAAATTAAGATTTAAAGAGATCGATACAAAAAATAATTATTCCTATCTGGAACTCAAGTCCATGGTTGGTATGTAAACTATATTAAAATCAAAATTCAATCCATCTTTAGTATAGACACCTTCAAATTCTATTTACTATTTTATATAAATGTTAATACTTCTAACAGCTTCATTAGGGTAGAAAAAAATCCTTACCATTATCTGGCAGTGGCAGGTAAAAAAAGCATGTAAAAATGCATTTGAAGCATCATCTCCCTGGGCACTTGGTGACTTTGCCTGGGCACTCAGCTTCATGAACACAGAGCCAGCATTTTAACCTCTGTCTGGGAATGTCACAACCTGGTTCTCCTTCCTGGCTCCCTCCTTATCTTGGCATCACCCCATCTGCTCCACTGGCTTGGCCTAGCCTTAGCCCGATGGGCTGTCTGGTCTTCTTCACGACAGGATGTCTAGGAAACCATTCCACTCCACCCCAACTTGACCTTGACCTCAGTCTCTGGATGAATTCCCTCTCTTTCCATCAGAGTGGGCCTCAGTCAGGGCTGCAACCTCCACTCCCCTCTCTGCTGCCACCACCCTCACGCAATGGATAGACCACTGAGAAGCAGGTAAAACTCTAGAAAATGAACAAACAAGCACTTTAGTTCAGAGAAATGGACAGGATCAGAAATCACTGGTGTACATTGTTTTCTCTGGGATGAGAGGTGCAGATTGTTGAATTCTTCACACTCAGTTCACAACACATTATCATCAAAGATCTCTACAGGGTTCCCCTTTTGTGTTGTTAAAAAAAAGTAAATCAATTAATTACTTTTTATCTTAGTATCATAGCCAACTGCTTTTCCTCCACTCCTTTATGAAAAACCATTCTGACATGTGTACATGATTTTTTTTGTTAAGTGCATTGCTACAAAATTTTCATTGGGGTGTGTGTGTGTGTGTGACAGAGAGTGTGTGGGTGTGGGTGTGTGTGTGACAGAGAGAGAGAGTGTGTATGTGTGTGTGATAGATCTCATTCTGTTTCTTTTCTCACTTGGGATTATTTTTAAGCTTCATTATGTAGCTATGTATAACTCAATCTGTTACTTTTAACTACTGCACAATACCCCATGTGCACGTTCCCCACATGGATTCTACTCACTCTCCTAGTGATAGTCACCCAGCCTGCCTAGAACTCCTGCCATCACAAATAACATTGCAAACATCCTCACATGTCTCCCAAATGAAATGTCGTGATCATTTCTTTAGGTTTATACTTGAGTGGATTTCCTAGGCCATCCTGGGGGGTAGACGCTATCAGTGCCATACCCACATCTCATCGTCTTATTGCAGGCCAGGCCTCCTTAACTGCCAACGGCGAGCACCTGCACTCTCATTCTCAGCAGCCCTGAGCCAATGTATGAGGAGCCTTGTATATAAATACCCCAGCTCTTTCACCTCTTGGATGGGAAAATTGGGAGGTTCTTGTTCTACACCTGCTCCTGGAAGTCCCCAGTTAAGCTCCAGTGACTCACAGCGGAACTTGCTTGAAAACATGCCCTTATTGAGTGCCTTCCCTTCCTACCAGCATATCCTGGCATCATCTCCTGAATAAGCCACTTCCACTTAAATCCTTATCTAAGGAGCTGTTTCTGGGAGAACCCAAACCAAGACATAGAGGGTATCTTTACCTTGACTCAGTAGTATCAGGTTGTTCAACAGAATGACTGCCCGGATCACACTCCCAACTGCAGTGAGGCGGGTGCTGCCCATGTCCCTCATCCTCTCCAACACCAACATCGTCTAGCTTCCCCATTTGTGCCCATCTGACTGGCTTACAGTGATATCTCACTATTATTTTCATTTCCATTTCTCCGATTGCAAACCCTTTTGAGCTTTTCTTTATTTGGTGTGCTTCTATCTTCACCTCTCTGTGAAACCCTTCTGCAATGGAGACAATAATAACAGTGAACACTTAGATCATCCTTGCAATACTCACACCGCATTCTTTGACTCACTTAATCATAGCAACCCTAGGTACTATGCTGATCGTCATCTGCATTTTGAAGATAAGCCAAGGCACAGAGATGTTAAGTGACTTGCCCAAAGCCACATGGCTACTAGGCAATAGAGCCGGAGTTTAAGCCCAGATTCAGGCTGAGAGTCTGTGCTTTCAGTCTTCTCTCCTGCTGCCTTTTCCTAATCAATATTTGAAAAGCCTGTCCCTCTTCCATCCTTCAGAGCCTCCTATTCCCCTTCCTGGTAAATGAAGAATACAAGGAGTGAGTCCCAGAATTGGGCACGGAACCTCTGCAACTGCACAATGCGAAATATACCTGGTCAGCACAATCAGTACAGAAAGAAATATTCTGCTTAACTAAATACTCTGGCTAATGGAAGATGACATGACTATCAAACTGGGATGTAAAAAATAATAACCTAAAGAGATATGGTCTATATTCATTTTCTATTTCTGCTATAAAAATTACCACAAATTTAGTGGCTTAAAACAACACAAATGGATTATCCCGCGATTCTTCAGGCCAGAAGTTCACATGAGCTCAATGGATTCCTCTGCCCTTGGTCCCAGAGGTTGACGTCAAAGTATCAGCTGGCCCAGGCTCTCATCTGAAGGCTCTGAGGGAGAATTTGCCACCAAACTGATGCAGGTTGCTGGCAGAATCATGTTCTGAATTCTTGTTTCCTCGCTGGCTGAGTTGTCGTCTTCTCACTGGCTGGGAGATGTGGCCTCTGTCAGCAATGTAAGGCCACCTACACTACCCATCATGCTGCAACCTCCGTCCTCAAACCAGCAACAGTGCATCCCATCCCCCTCACACCTCTAATCTCTCTGACTTCCGCTTCTGCTGCATCTCTCCTGAACTCAGTCACAGAACATTCTCTGTGTTTAATAGCTGTTAAACACAGCTGTTTATTAGATTGGTCCACCTCAAAATTGATTAGATTGGGTCCACCTCAAAAATCCAGGATAAACTTCTGATTTTATGGTCGGTTACCTTAATCACATCTGCAAAATCCCTTTGGTGTGTCATATAATATATCCATAGGTCCCAAGGATTAGGACATGGACATCTCTGGAGGGCCACTGAGCCATCACAAGGTTCTAGTAGGAATCTGGGGTCACCATTCCGAATTTCAATGGGGGTAATAATAATACCTACTTAGAGGACGATTATGAGAATTAAGTAAGTTAATGTTTGTAAAGTGCTTAGAACAATGTCTAGAAAGTACTATATAAGTGCTTGTTGAATGGACACATGGATGGATGAGAGAATGAAATAAATGCTTGAATAAATGAAGTTCTGAATTTACTTTAAAGATTAGAAGTATAGGTGGCTAAGCTGAATCTTTTGTCATCTAACAGCAAAAATGGGACATATTAAGTAGCTTACAGAACTAATTTACTTTAAGGCCCAGTTAGTCAATACATCTCTGCTCTGGCATGGGCTTTGGGATAGATAATCCCACATGTCACATCATACACTGTGGGTTGTTTTAGAGCATTTATGGACCTTGCCTTGGTATCCGTAGAAATACTGATTTCCTGGAAGTTGAGAAGTAGATACAGGCTTTTGTCTACACTTGATGGAAACTCTTAACTTCCACATTCCCATAACTTTCCACAGTTCCTTTGCTGTACTCAGGACAGAGATAATGAACAAAGAGACCATAAATACCAGGCTATTTTCTAGTTTCAGATTGCTTTCATATCCTGAAGAAGCAGCATGATAAAGTGAATTTGAATCTTGCCTCCGCTATTTACTGGCTATTTGTTTTTGGAAAACTTCCACATCCTAGATGCAAAATGGAGTTAGTAATAGCTGCTGTTAGAACTATAACCAATGTAATCTAGGTACCTAGTGGTGCCTGGCACATGAAATAGGCACTCAGAGAATGGCTACTATTATCATAACATTATTTCTAGGCATGCCAGATAAAATATATGATGTCAGTTAAATTTGAATTCTAAAGAAACAATAAATACTGTTTTGTACGTCCCAAATATTGGGTGGAATATAATTTACACTGTTTTTATTTGCTAAATCTTGCAACTCTAATTATTTCATTTGACCCTTATGACACCATGGAAATACATATTGTTCCCACTATACAGGAGAGGAAACTGGAGCTCAGAAAAGTGTTACAAAGTGATCACAAATACATTGAGTGATAGAACCTGTTTTGTTTTTGTTTTTAACCAAGATCTTGCCCTCCCCTCTAAAGGAGACTCTGTTGCTTTTCTCTCTTTATCTTCATCCCACCTCCAAGGTGCTTAACACAGCCACCTAAACATAGGTGCTCCATACATAGACTGTTGACATGAACAGACAAAGGAGTAGCATGGAACTGTTGTGCTACAACAGACCCTCCCTCACTCCAGACAGGAGTGCTGCAGCCTCTCCCAGCAGGAGAACTGACTTGAAACAAACGGAATGAGATGAGGTGAATGCAAAAGAAAGATGAACGTTCATTCTACTCTTAGTTCATACTGATAAAGCGTTATCTTTCAGGCAATATTTATTAAGAGTCTGCTGTGTGTACCCAGAAATGAGCTTGCTCCCTGTAGGTGTGAAGTGGGTGGACACGGAGATATCTCAGGTAGATCATTAAGATCCTCAAGGTCAGGAGCCAGGACATTTTCTTGTGTTTTGCATTGTGGCCACATATCCCCAGCTCCCACCTGCATTATTTTAACTGCATCTTGTTCCTTGTATCTTATTAGTGTCCTCGCCAAAGAATGAATAGAGGATCTAAAGTTTGAAATAAGTATTGACTACTAACAAGTCATTCCAGTTGAGGTTTAGGTTGTCTGCGAGATTTCACTAAGCCAGGCCAGAGTTATAATAGCCATCAAAGATTTGGCCTTATCAATAATGATATCAAGAAAGAGGTGGAAGAATTTTAAACTCAGCTTTGAGTTACTCTCTTTTGGAGGCAAGCCAATTTAAAAGAAGTCACCGTAAACCTAGAGTTCAGGGATGAATCTCTGAGATCCTATTGTAGGCAAACTCCAGGAGAAGTGTGATTTCCACAAAGTATCCTGTCTCAGGTCCTTTTTCAGTCTCTTTGGAATAACTCAGATTTCTTATTTCTGCAATCACACACAAAAAAATTGTTTCCTATAGTTAAGTACATACTCAGAAAGAAGAACACACTAGTGCTGAGGCCTTCTGTAAGGTGTTAACTCACGTGGCTACAACAGGTACCCTTCCGTAAAGAGAAAGGAGGCCTTCAATTACCATTGCACCCAGAAGGCTTTCCCTTCTCTTTCTACTATGCATTTTGCAGACTTTTTCACAACTATTTCCACAGCCTCTTTTTTTTTTTTTTTTTTTTTTAACCATTGCAATGGTGCCCTTTTCTGCCTATTTTAGCTTTACTTACATTGATTTACTTGGTTTTGTGGGAAGGCTGAATTTGGAGTATTATTTTTAATCCTTATGAAAGAAAGTCCCCATTCCCCCTTTCTATGTTTATAACAGTCTGATCTGGCATCTCCTCGAGAAGGAAATCTCTGCACGGTGTGAAAGTGCTTATAGCAGCCCAAAGAGAGCCAGGCCAACTGGGCCAAAGAAACTGCTTATTGACAACACCTGTATCTCAGCTCATTTCTACACACATAGGCTGGAAATGTCTGCCATGAAATTTCAACTGTTTACTTTTTTTTTTCTTTTTTTTTTTTTTTGAAGCAGGGTGTGGCTCTATCACCCAGGCTAGAGTGAAGTGGGCATAATCATAGCTCACCATAGCCTCAAACTGCTGAGCTCAAGCGATTCTCCTGCCTCAGCATCTCAAGTAACTGAGACTACACGCGTGCACCACCACACCCAGCCTCAATTGTTTACTGTCTAATAAATCAGCAAATCATTTAGCTCAGGAAGTCAAAGTAGAGCCATGGACCACCTACATCAGATTCACCTTGGGGTTCTTACATAAAAGGCAGACTTTGGGGCTCCACTCCAGACCTACCACCAAGTCAGCCTTTTAAATTAAAAGCAAGTTTTTAAAACCTTGCCTTAGAGAAGGTATTCTAAGTGTGATTCTAACTGAACTGTATGATTTACTGCCTCAATTGACTAGCTAGTATTGTCTAGGTAATAACCACCTCCGACTATATCACTTAATTACACTCTCTGGGCCCATGTACCTAGGTCAAGAATGGATCTAGGAGCCATATAGTGGCCACATCTTAGAGGAACCCTGGGTAGTGCCAAGGATCCACCCAGGCTGGGTAGGGTCAGGCATCTGTTGAAGCACCAAGCTGCATGATCTTGTGATTTCTCTATAATGTGTTCAGTACCTACAGAACCCTCTAGACTGAGACAGCCTCCACTTAATCTACTTTTGAGGAGGGAAGATAAGAATGTGTAATGCCACATAAGGGAAATGAGAATTATAGAAAGCAACTGAAGTAATTTTAGCAAGAATATATATGCTAATATACTGAAACTACAAGTTGAATCTCCTGTGGTTTTTCTATTAACTTTCAATCCTCCCTCACTGGAGATTAGTAAAATCATTAGCTGGATAGAGTGAAAGGAATTATCTTTTTTCCTGGTCTGATCTGGATGTTCTTTCTTTGTCTAGCATCTGCATTGTGTCCTGCTTCTCTTCTATTTAGACTGCTCTTTGCTGGAATGGTCGTTCCTCATTATTTGACAAGACCAGCATTCAAACACTTCCAGACTCCCTTGAATGTTCGAAGTCTAGATCCTGCATGCTGAGATGGCATGAATTGGATTTCTGTGCTCTATCTCACTCTCTAATCAAAGTGCTTCCCCCAGAGTCCCAATCCCTCTGAAAAAATGTCTGTTCCTGGAGAAAACTACGCAGTTCTCAGTCTGCCCTTCGGCTCCGTGCCTCCTAGAGGTTGCCTGTCACTGTCAGAGGAAGACTGCAGGTCTCTTCACTTTACTAGGTGAGTAGACATTCTAGGTTGAGACCTCTCTACTCTGAAAAAATTCCCAGTTACACAGAAGCCCTTGCATTTTATCATATTTCCTGTTATCAAACACTCTCAAAGTCACCTGAGGTCTTTCTGCCTCTGTCAGGCAGGCTATATGCCCCTGACTTGCATAACCCTCCCAACCTGTCTGCAGGTAAAAGAATGAAGTGAATTCTCCCTTCCTGAGGGGCATAGTACACAGGTAACCAGTCTATGACATTCTGCTTTTGGGAAAAGCAGAAGTTGGTGGGAAGCTTCTTTGTCTAGTGGGTGTTCTGCTGTCACAGAGCAGCCCACGAGGTGAGGCACAGGTTCATCCATGTGGTTCGTGTTACCTGCAGAGATGTTCATATGTTAAATGCAGAGATGACGCTGCTCCTGTTTGCTGTGTGCTATAGAACAAATTCACAATCCAGGAATGTTCATAACAGGAGCTTTGGATGCATGAGAAAGAGGCAGTAAAGTTGAAGGAGGCTCTTCTATTCTCCTCCCTTAGGAATAAGTTTAGTTAGTGCCCATCTAGTTCAAATAAAGATAATAATCATGTAAGTATTAAAATTTTTATTAAAATTTGAGCTATTGTTGAAATCAGATGATAATATGATGAGTAGAAAGAGAATTTTACTTGATGCTTTATAGGCATTGATGGACTTAAAATGAAGTCCTCTAAAGTGGAAGCTGAATTTTAAACTGTCCTTGGATTTTGTTCAAATTCAATTTTCAAAAGAATGAGGTGCCACAATTTTTTAAATCACTCCAGAAGATTAGTCTTTCTCAAAAATTGGCTATTCCTTAAGGAAAACATTCTATAATGAAAGGCAATAAAGATCTGTAATTGCATGAAATGAGACTTTTCTAATCAATTTGGGCAGGGAACTGAATCAACTTGAAAAAACTGGGCTGCAAATTTTTGATCTTCCAACTAAATAAAGCACCAATAGAGCCATTTATATTTGCTGTTGTTTTTTAACCAGAATTATTTTGAAAATAGAAATTATATAAGACTAAATTATCAAAATAGGAACTTGATGTACTAGAACTACCTTCCTTGGGAAAGAACAAAAAGCATTATTCTTGATTTTTAAAATGGATTTAGCTGTAGAAATATCATCTCCCACTATGCAGGAAAAAGAGACATACATAAGTGTGACAATGGATCCAAGACACTCATTTATTCATTCAACAGATATTCATTTGTACCAAGAACTGGTCCAGCCAACGCATGTAATGGCCGTTTATTTTCTTTAGTCTTTTGGATCAGATACCAATAATACATTGCTAGCAGAAACATTTCCAAAGATAAAGATGTTTATAAAGTAAAATTGTTCGGCTGGGTGCGGTGGCTCATGCCTGTAATCCCAGAACTTTGGGAAGCTGAGGCAGGCGGATCACTCGAGGTCAGGAGTTCGATACCAGCCTGGCCAACATGGCAAAACCTTGTCTCTACTAAAAACACAAAAATTAGCCAGGCATGATGGTGGGTGCCAGTAATCCCAGCTACTCAGAAGGCTGAGGTATGAGAATCACTTCAACCCTGGAGGAGGAGGTTGCAGTGAGCTGAGATTGCGCCACTGCATTCCAGCCTGGGGGATAGAGCAAGACTCTGTCTCAAAAAAAAGAAAAAAAAATTGTTTTCCTTCCAATATCACCTCAAATGGGTGTTAACAAAGCTTTGTTAATCCCACTGAAAATTTCAAATGAATTCATCTGTGCTTCTTCATTTACTTAAATAATCATACAAACAAATATTTTTCATTTTCCTTATATTACATATGTTATAAACACAGGCATGTATATATACATATTACTCTATAACTTTTTCCACTTTATTATATGTTGATATATGACTAAGACAACATGTAGGGATATACCTTTTTATTTTACTTAACTACACGGTGTTCTATAGTCTAAATTTCTATAATTTAAAAAATGCAATTATTACCTTATTGAAAGATCTTCCATTTTTTCTTGTTTTTATAAAAAAGAAAATTGCCACAATAAGCATTCTTTAATATATAAATTTATATGCAAATAATTTTTCTACAAATATATGCTCAAATATATACATAGTATATCCATTTTTAATTTTCATAAAAATGCCAGATTACTTCAGCATGAGCTATGTCAATTTATAAGCAACCCACAATGTGTGTGACTTCTTCACATCCAAGCCAGCACTTGATATTATGAAGGAGGAAACATTTTAGGTTTTCCAGCTGGAGCGCTATAAACTGACTGACAAAAGACAGATGAACTAGAGTAAAACAGAAGTTTATTAGCAAGTGCATCACTCATACACATGACAGCACTCAGCAATGAGTAACTCAAAGGGGTGGTTAGAACTTGGGCTTAAGTAGCATCTCAACAAAAGAACAAAAAATTTTAGAGAAGTGACAAGGAAAAGGAAAAGGAGTTTGAGTCTCCAGGACCCCAAGTTGTGGGAAGGCAAATATATGGCGGAAACAAATGGAAGATAAAGACTAGTTAGTGTCGTTTGTTAAGTAGATTCCCCTAATGCTCTGATAAAGGTTTAGAGTTGTCTCCAATGATTAAATTCTGTCCTTCCTGGTAGAGAGGGGCAGGAAGACACTGTAACAAATTTGTATCCTGCTTTTAGGCAAATAGGGAAGGGCAGAGAGCTTTGCTTTGCTTTTTCTCAGTTGTCTTAGGCTCAAAATAATCCTTTGCCAAAGTAGCGTATATTGGAGTGGCTTAGTCCACTTCAATATTAGCAATACTTTGGCCGGGCACGGTGGTTCATGCCTGTAATCCCAGCACTTTGGGAGGCCAAGGCTGGTGGATCACTTGAGGGCAGGAGTTCAAGACCAGCCCAGCCAACATGGTGAAACCCCGCCTGTACTAAAAATACAAAAATTAGCCAGGCATGGTGGTGCACATCTGTAATCCCAGCTACTTGGGAGGCTGAGGCAAGAGAATCACTTGAACCTGGAAGGTGGAGATTGCAGTGAGCCAAGATCACGCCACTGCACTTTAGCCTGGACAACAGAGCAAGACTCCATCTCAAATATATATATATGTGTATATATAATCAATGTTTTAACTTGGAATCCAATAGTTTAAAATGGTAGCTTGTTTTTATTTTAATTTGCATTTTCCAGATGACTAATAGAGTTCATATATTTATTGAACCTGACGGGGCTCAGAACACCATACTCCAGAGTATGGTGCCTTGGCATGCTAAGTATTTTGACTGAAGGAGATTGGAGGCTGCAGAAGCCTGCAGGTCTCTCACCTTCTCTTGCCCTCCTTTCTCCCACCATCCTTGCTCCCCTAAAGCAAGTCATGGAAACTAAAATTCCTATCCCACAAAGTAAGCTATAAAACTTACAAAGGTCACTCTCTGATTTCCTCCTTTCACCCCTGAAGATCCTCATGTGACAGGTGTCCTGCCCCATGGGGACAAGGGATATCATACAGAGACACAGGAAAAAATCTGAATAAACAGACCTAGCTAAGTCCTCCACCCCACTCCACTCCCCTGTTTATTACTATTAGATAATATCTCTTTTTGTCCAATTATCTTTCTCCACATCTCCACAACTATTTCTTTCATCAGACTAAGCATAGAAATGCACAGTCTTCCCTGGGTGTTTGGGTCTTCATTTTTAAGGCTCCAGTGTCACATAAAACTTTGGTTAAATAAATGTGTTATCCTTGTCTCTTGTTAATCTGTCTTGTGTTATAGGGATGTCAACTGTGAACCTTGCGATGGGCAAAAAAGATATTACTTTTTCTCCCCTACAGACATTTTCTCTTTTCTGTGGCCTGACTGCTGATTTTCTTGGCTCATTTTTCTACTGAATTGTTTATAATTTGCTTGCACATTTGCTAGAAGCTCTTTGCAATACAATCCTTTGTTATGTGTATTGCAAATGTTTCCTCTCAATCTATTTGATTGTCTTCTGTTTTTGTGTTTTCTTTTGCTGTGCTAAAGCTTTTAATTTCTGTGTAAAAAATTCTGTCAATTTGTATTATTTATGGCTTTTCTTCTCTCTTGGTTAAGAAGGTTACCCCCACTACAATCTCTATCCCAAGGAAATATAAAAATTATCAGGGTTTTGTAGTCTTTACTTTCATGCGCGTCCCTGTAAAGAGAACAGCAAACAGGCTTTGTGTGAGCAACATGGCTGTTTATTTCACCTGGGTGCAGGCGGGCTGAGTCCGAAAACAGAGTCAGTGAAGGGAGATAAGAGTGGGGCTGTTTTATAGGATTTGGCTAGGTAAAGGAAAATTACAGTCAAAGGGGGCTTGTTCTCGGGTGGGCAGGAGTAGGGGTCGCAAGGTGCTCAGTGGGGGAGCTTTCTGAGCCAGGATGAGCTAGGAAAAGGACTTTCACAAGGTAATGTCATCACTTAAGGCAAGGACCGGCCATTTACACTTCTTTTGTGGTGGAATGTCATCAGTTAAGGTGGGGCAGGGCATATTCACTTCTTTTGTGATTCTTCAGTTACTTCAGGCCATCGGGGCTTATACGTGCAAGTCACAGGGGATGCGATGGCTTGGCTTGGGCTCAGAGGCCTGACATTCCTGCCTTCTTATATTAATAAGAAAAATAAAACAAAATAGTGTTGAAGTCTTGGGGCGGCGAAAATTTTTGGGCGGTGGTATGGAGAGAGAATGGGCGATGTTTCTCAGGGCTGCTTCAAGCGGGATTAGGGGTGGTGTGGGAACCTAGAGTGGGAGAGATTAAGCTGAAGGGAGGTCTTGTGGTAAGGGGTGATATTGTGGGGATGTTAGAAGAAATATTTGTCGTATAGAATGATTGGTGATGGCCTGGATACAGTTTTGTATGAATTGAAAAACTAAATGGAATAAGAGAAGGAGAAAAACAGGTATAAAAGCACTAAGAATTGGGAGGACCTAGGACATCTAATTAGAGAGTGCCTATGGAGGTTCAGCATAGTCCTGCCAGCAAAGATTATTTATTTACTTCAAGAGTTAAGAGTGGCACTTTGGAGATAGCACAGGAGATATCAGCTGTGATGGCTTGGAGAAACAGTGTAAACCGGCAGTGTAAACAAGAGCAGGGCATGTATGAGTAGTTGAGAACGTGAATAGGAGTATGACTAGACAGAAGATAGTAGGGATGACAAGTTTTCTGGGGCACAGTCGAAGTTAGTCTTTTGTCTGGAATGAGACTGGGGCCTAATAAAAAGAAGCATCCATACAGGAGGTTAAATGGGCTATACCTTGTAGCATTACATGTCTGACTTCTGAGAAGGGAAAGTGGTAAAAGTATTGTCCAGTCCTTATTAAGTTGGTGGCTGAGCTTGGTGAGGTGTGTTTTTAATAGACCATTAGTCAGTCACTGAATACTAAGAGCCTGAGAAAATGCTTGGCTGATTTGACTAATAAAGGCTCATCTGTTATCAGACTGTATAGAGGTGGGAAGGCTAAACTGAGGAATTATGTCTGACAGAATGGAAGAAATGACTGTGGTGTCCTTCTCAGACCCTGTAGGAAAGGCCTTTACTTATTCAGTGAAAGTGTCTATTTAGACTAAGAGGTATTTTAGCTTCCTGACTCGGGCATGTTGAGTAAAGCTAATTTGCCAGTCCTGGATGGGGGCAAATCCTCGAGCTTGATGTGTAGGGAAGGGAGGGGGCCTGAATAATCCCTGAGGAGTAGTAGAATAGCAGATGGAACACTGAGAAGTTATTTCCTTGAGGATAGATTTCCATGATGGAAAGAAAATGAGAGGTTCTAAGAGGCAGGCTAGTGGCTTGTACTATAGCATAACCTCCCTTTGCTGGTGTGTGGCGATTAGGCCTGGTGGAACCACCATCAATAAATCAAGCGTGATCAGGGTGAGGAACGGGAAAGAAGGAAATATGGGGAAATGGGGTGAATGTCAGGTGGATCAGAGAGATACAGTCATGGGGGTCAGGTGTGGTATCAGGAATAATGTGGGAGGCCGGATTGAAGTCTGGGCCAGGAACAATGGTAATTGTGGGACTTAACAAAGAGTGAGTACACCTGAAGGAGCCAGGAAGCAGAAAGTATATGCATCAGGTATGAGGAAGAAAATAGATTTTGGAAGTTATGAGAACTGTAGAGCGTGAGTTGAGCATACTTTGTGATTTTGAGGGCCTCTAAAAGTATTAAAGCAGTGGCAGCCGCTGCACACAGATATGAGGGCTAGGCTAAAACAGTAAGGTCAAGTTGTTTGGACAGAAAGGCTACAGGGTGTGGTCCTGGCTCTTGTGTAAGAATTCTGACCACGCTAACCATGCCAAGGAAGGAAAGGAGTTGTTGTTTTATAGAAGGTGCTGGGGTTTGAGAGATCAGTCGGACACGATTGGCAGGGAGAGCATGTAGGTTTTTCTGAGAATTATGCCGAGATAGGTAACAGATGAGGATGAAATTTGGGCTTGATTGAAGTAATGGGGGCTGTCTGTGAAGCTTTGCGGCAGTACAGCCTAGGTAATTTGCTGAGCTTGATGGGTGTCAGGGTCAGTCCAAGTGAAAGCAAAGAGAGGCTGGGATTAAGGGTGCAAAGGAATAGTAAAGAAAGCATGTTTGAGATCTAGAACAGACTAATGGGTTGTAGAGGCAGGTATTGAGGATAGGAGAGTATATGGGTTTGGCACCACGGGGTGGATAGGCAAAACAATTTGGTTGATAAGGCGCAGATTCTGAACTAACTTGTAAGGCTTGTCTGGTTTTAGGACAGGTAAAATGGGGGAATTGTAAGGAGAGTTTATAGGCTTTAAAAGGCCATGCTGTAGCAGGCCAGTGATAACAGGCTTTAATCCTTTCAAAGCATGCTGCGGGATGGGATACTGGCATTTAGTGGGGTAAGGGTGATTAGGTTTTAATGAGATGGTAAGGGGTGCATGATCGGTCACCAAGGAGGGAGTAGAGGTATCTTACACTTGTGGGTTAAGTTTGGGGGATACAAGAGGAGGACGCAAAGGAGGCTTTGGATTGGGAAGAAGGGCAGCAATGAGACGCAGCTGTAATCCAGGAATAGGGAAGCAGATAATTTGCTTAAAATATCTCGGCCTAATAAGGGAACTGGGCAGGTGGGGATAACTAAAAAAGAGTGCATAAAAGAGTGTTGTCTAAGTTGGTACCAGAGTTGGGGAGTTTTAAGAGGTTTAGAAGCCCGGCTGTCAATATCCACAACAGTTATGGAGGCAAGGGAAACAGGCCCTTGAAAAGAAGGTAATGTGGAGTGGGTAGCCTCCATATTGATTAAGAAGGGGATGGACTTACCTTCCACTGTGAGAGCTACCTAAAGCTCGGCGTCCGTGATGGTCTATGGGGCTTCCGAGGAGATCAGGCAGTGTCAGTCTTCAGCCGGTAAGCCAAGAAGGAGTCAGTCAGAGAGCCTTGGGCCAGAGTTCCAGGGGCTCTGGGAGTGGCTGCCAGGTGAGTTGAACAGTCCGATTTCCAGTGGGGTCCCACACAGATGGGACACGGCTTAGGAGGAATCCTGGGCTGCGGGCATTCCTTGGCCTGGTGGCCAGATTTCTGGCACTTGTAGTAAGCTCCTGGGGAGGAGGTTCTGGAGGAATGCCTGGCCACTGCAGTTCAGGCGTTTGGAACTTCTTGTGTGCTGGAGATGTGGCTGGGGTTTGTCTCACAGTGGAGGCAAGGAATTGCAACTTTTTTTTTTTTATTATTATTGTACACCTTGAAGGTGAGGTTAATTAAGTCCTGTTGTGGGGTTTGAGGGCCAGATTCTAATTTTTGGAGTTTTATTTAATGTCGGGAGCAGATTGGGTAATAAAATGTATATTGAGAATAAGATGGCCTTTTGACCTTTTAGGGTCTAGGGCTGTAAAGCGTCACAGGGTTGCTGCCGAATGAGACATGAAGTGGGCTGGGTTTTTATATTTGATGAAAAAGAGCCTAAACACTATCTGATTTGGGATAAAGAAAAAGGAGCATTAACCTTGACTATGCCTTTGGCTCCAGACACCTTTTTAAGAGTAAATCGCTGGGCAGGTGGGGGAGGGCTAGTCACGGAAGGAAACTGTAAGCCGGACCAGGTGTGAGGAGGGGAGGTGATAAAAAGATTACAGGGTGGAGGAGCGGAGGCTGAGGAAGAATTGGGACCTAGCTCAGCCTGGCGAGGAGGGGAGAGGTCAGATGGGTCTGCAGAAAAGGAAGATTAGAAAGACTCAGTGACGCTTGGGGTTGGGACTGAGGGGACAGGCGGGAGGGAAAGAAGGAAGATTTGGGACGAGTTGCACTGGGCACAGAGACTAGGAAGGGACTGATGTGTAAAAGAATGCCTGGACTTCAGGCACCTCAGACCATTTGCCATTTTACGACAAGAATTATTTAGATCTTGTAGGATGGAAAAATTGAATGTGCCATTTTCTGGCTATTTGGAACTCCTGTCGAGTTTATATTGGGGTCAAGCAGCATTGCAGAAGAAAATAAGATGCTTAGATTTTAGGTCAGGTGAGAATTGAAGAGGTTTTAAGTTCTGAAGAATATAGGCTAAGGGAGAAGGAGGAGGAATGGAAGGTGGAAGCTTGCCCATAGTGAAGGAGGCAAACCCAGAGAAAAGAGTAGAGACACAGAGAAGGGGTTGGGGGTTCTTGCCCTCCAGAAAAGCAGAGAAAGGGTTGGGGCACAGAAATAAGGGATTGGGGTGCAGAGATAAAGGTTGGGGCATGGAAATAAGTGATTGGGGGGTTCTTGCCCCCTAGGAAAGCGGGACTTGCCGCTAAGGGTGAAGGAGAAGGGGTTGAGGGGTACTTGCCCCTGCCCCAGGAAAGCGGGACTTGCTGCTAAGGGTGAAGGAGAAGGGGTTGAGGGGTTCTTGCCCCTGCCCCAGGAAAGCAGAGAAGGGGTAGAGACAAGGAGAGAAGGGGTTGAGGGGTTCTTGCCCCTGCCCCAGGAAAGCAGAGAAGGGGTAGAGACAAGGAGATAAGGGGTCGGGGTACTTGCCCCTTCCCCAGAAAAGCGGGACTTGCCGCTAAGGGTGAAGGACCAAGGCAGGTGTCCCTGCGTGGTCTGAGACCCTTGAAACGTGGGTGTATAATCAGAGAGGCATCCCTGCAATGATTAAACACCAAGGGAAGGCTGCCTTCCCAGTCCGTGACCGGCGCTGGAGTTTTGGGTCCACAGATAAAACGTGTCTCCTTTGTCTCTACCAGAAAATGAAAGGAATTGAAATTAACAGAAGGGAGAGATTGAAGTGTGGCGCCAAGATTGAAAGGAGAAAGAGGTTGAGGGATAGTGAGGGAGGTTGGAGAAGAGAGTAAAAAGAGGCCGCTTACCGGATTTGAAATTGGTGAGATGTTTCTTGGGCTGGTTGGTCTGAGGACCTGAGGTCATAGGGCGATCTTTCTCACGGATCAAAGAACAGGAGGACAGGAGACTGGTCTCCTAAGGGAGGTCCCCCGATCCGAGTCACGGCACCAAATTTCATGCGTGTCTGTGTGAAGAGACCACCAAACAGGCTTTGTGTGAGCAACATGGCTGTTTATTTCACCTGGGTGCAGGTAGGCTGAGTCAGAAAAGAGAGTCAGTGAAGGGAGATAAGGGTGGGGCTGTTTTATAGGATTTGGGTAGGTAAAGGAAAATTACAGTCAAAGGGGGTTTGTTCTCTGGCGGGCAGGAGTGGGGGTCACAAGGTGCTCAGTGGGGGTGCCTTTTGAGCCAGGATGAGCCAGGAAAAGGACTTTCACAAGGTAATGTCATCACTTAAGGCAAGAACTGGCCATTTACACTTCTTTTGTGGTGGAATGTCATCAGTTAAGATGGGGCAGGGCATATTCACTTCTTTTGTGATTCTTCAGTTACTTCAGGCCATCTGGGCTTATACGTGCAAGTCACAGGGGATGCGATGGCTTGGCTTGGGCTCAGAGGCCTGACATTTACAACTGTAGGTTCCAATATCTTTCAGAGCTAGCCTTTGCCTGTGTTTGTTTTTCTAGAACTCTTTTTTTGTACACTTATGTATAATCTCTTCCTATGCTCCATCCTCTGCATTGCCCTGGATTTAGTAACAGGGGTTTGTTTGTTTTGATTTGTTTTATGGTTTTTGTTTTGTGCCTTGTTTTTGCAGACTTGATCTGTTCTGCCAAAGAAGAAATCAATATGGGAGTCATTAGCAAGGGCAGCTTCATTTTCAAAAGGCCTAGAGAGAAGAAAACACATAATACGACCCCCATTGCTCAACACTTCCTGCCACATGTCTCTATGCCCACACATTGGCACATTATAGCACCCCCATACAACATGGCATGGCTTCAAATTCTTCTCAGTAAAACACCTGTAACAGACTGTTTTTCTCAAAGACGTCTGCAACTGTACCTCCTACCCCAGGTGCTTTCTAGAACCTTGCTACTCTCTCTTTGAGAAGTGGAGTCTGATTCCCCTCCTCTTGAATGTGGGCAGATTTGAGGCTCACTTGTAACCAACCGGGTATAGCAGAAGCAACTCTGTTGGCATCCCAAGATTAGGTTATGAAAAATAATGCAGCTTTTTCCTTATTACCTGAAATGCTCACTCATAAGGATAAAATACATGCCCTTGAAGTCTTTAGCTGCCAGGTAAACAGTTCAATTACCCTGAGGCCACTATGCTGTAAGGAAGGCTAGCCCTATAGAAATAATATATGTGTGTATATAAATAAATTTGTGTATATATACATATGTATACATCTATAAATACATATATAGAGAGATGCCAACCCCCAGCTGCTGCAGACCCCACTACACCAAACCACTGTCTGACTGAACTACATAAAAGACTTTGAACCAGAATTGCACAATTGAGCTCTTTCTGAAATCGTGACCTACAGAAACCAAGAGTGACAATAAAGTATCTACTGTTGTTTTAAGCCATGAAGTTTTGAGATGTTTTGTTAGAGAGCAATAAATAATTAGAATGCCATACTAGATAGAAACAACCAATAGAATGAAGTTGGCCATGAGTTCAAACCTATTTACGTCCTTTGCCTAACTATAAATGAAACTTTAGACATCTATAAGCAAGATATGTTTCAAAAGAGGGCTTTTATAGGTTCTGAAATAACTCCATGATTTTGTTTCCTACTCTTGGGTATAATTCTGGTTTTGCTACCTTTCTAGAAAATTATTCCCTGCACTTCTGCAAAAAAAATTAAATAAATAAGAAAATTGTAGAGAACTGAGGACTAGGGCCACATAGAACAGCTGTCTACCACCTTCTGGTTCATTTCTGCCCCTCACTTGACATGCCTAGATAAAACTTCTTTCAGCAATTCCCAAGGGATTGTCTGTGTTAAGATGCTCAAAAGTCTGAAGGGGAGTTAATTTCTTAATATACCTTTTGATAATCTTACAAACATTCATAAATATGATCAAACAGATGCTTCATCTTATTTTTTCCTGATTCCCACTTGCCCTCTGCCACCTCAATTCCCCACATACACACCATCTCCAAGGTAACCCCTGTCAGCAATTATATCATCGTTCCATATAATCCTATACAGCCAGACATGCATGTATATGACTGTACAAAAAAGCTAAAGCTTTTAAACTTGTCAGTCCCACAGACTGTGTTCACTGCTATGTGGCTGATAGCAAACTATGCCTCCCATGCCTTCTTCTTTGCCTCCTACTTACACCTTTATAAAATTCCCACTCCGTGATCTTCTTTCTCACAGGGATTACTTTAATTTAGATCATTTGAAGCCCTAACATTGCTGCTTAGGCTTTCATCTCTCCATTCCTCTTTCTCTCCTACCATTATGTTCTTTTTAGCAATGTTTATTGCTATACTTCTGACCTCTTCTCAGGGAATTCAGGCACTAAAACAGATGAAAGGCTAGAAATGAGCATTACTCTTGAGAAGGGTGGTTGACAAAAGCCTTAGTCCTTCTTGATTTGGAGAACAGACAATGCCTCGCCAGATGGGTTCACTGACCTCTCCCTTTACTGATCGCCTTGCTGTTGCTTCCACATCAGCTACATATTCCAGGAGGGAAGTTAGAAAAGCCCTATTAGCTTTTCCAGTTATCACTCTCCTATTGTCACCATAGCGACAGATGTTATATGAAATCAACTGCTTTATTGTGAAAACAATGTCGGTTGAAAACTGGCCTTGAGGAAGTTGTGAAGATGAGATTCAATTTTGATATACTCCCTGTGGGTTTTCTTTTCTATATTACTTTTTTAAAAATATACTTTATTGCAGTGTAATAATATAAAATAAAGTGAAAAGTCAAAGGGTCATCTTTTGAATTTCTTCAATGGTTCCTTGATTTAATGGTATGAGAAAAGGTCTTGGAGGAAGACTTGAAAATAAATCAAACATGTACAAATTCACAGAACATCAGTGCAGCAAAAGAAACCATAATGAAATGTGTTGTGTATTGAACACTGACTGGAGTAATTTTATTCTTCTGAATGTAAACATGAAATTCTATGTCTGGATCAAAATCGGGATTAAAAACACATACACTTGGAATCTGATACCTTCCCATTAACTAATTAGAACCTGATTCATTGGAAATGAGACCATTTAGAATCTAGATGGTTCCAGAAAATCAAGTTAAATAATGGCACAACTAATGTTTGAATCATAAATAAGATATACAGAAATCCAGGATGGAATAATACAATAAAGTGAAAATAAAGGAGTAAGAAGTTCATATTATTATCACCAGTTTGTGCTGACAATGAATTTAGGAGACATGTTACCTAAGGGACATCTTTCTACAAATGGCTGGGGAGCATCATTCATTGACTAAGCCATCAAGGTTCAAAGGACTTTGAACTAGATTTGATTTCAAAGACATATTTAAAAAATGCCTGACCCTTGGCATAAAATTACCCAGGACTCTGTCAGGCATATGACAAATAAAGTGATATACACCAACTGCAAGCACCAGGAATTAGAATGAAATAATTAGATGGTGGATAGACACAAGTGTAGTTTCAGTGTCTAATCATGTTTTCATAACCACAAATTAGAATTTAGGTATATTGCAAGACACATTTATGAGCTTCTTTAAAACATTATGAATATCAAGTTGAGTAACTGTACCATGTATTAACCTATTTCTTTGAGGCTAAACATCATAATATATGGTAATTCATATAGAGAGAATTTTCAATTAGGAAATGAGAACATTTTGAAAACTAAAGAATGAGATTTAGTTCATGTCAAGGAAAGGTATGATTATGTTCATATGTTTATTATGCTAAATCTGGCTAAGAGGACTTTCTGGAAATAGAAGGCATTGGTATCAGAAACCTAGATCCAAACCTTGGATCTGCCTCTTTCTAGCTATGTGATTTAGATGAATTCCTTAACCTCTAAACCTCAGTTTTCTTATTTGTAGTATCCACCTGGCAATGGGTTGTAAGGATTCAGTGAGTAAATGCAAAGAGCTTATTTCAACTCTTAGGATATGGAACTATTATTATTGTTAGTATTATTCAGCTGTGCAATCCACCAATTTTAACACCTATTTTTCAAACATTAGGAGTTTAAGCTAATAATATACATTTTTAAAGCTAATTTTATGCATGTCCTTATTGAACTGGTACAAAAAATATATCAGTTGCTCTTCACATTCACATTGATGCCAAACAAGGCCTCAAATCTACATATTCCATCATCTGATATTTCTGACCAGGATTAGAAATTATCTTAGGAAATACATCTGCAAACAGTTTCCCTGCAGAGTATGCAATAATCAGAGCTGTCAGAATAAAACAGGCCAAGAAGTAATGAGAAGAAAAGAAATTGGAAACAAACTGATGTGCTTAAAATACTTACTGCCATGATAAATATTAGCCTTACATTTGCAGTATCACATTAAAAGATTATAAATGTCAATTTATTTGTAAACTAAGTTGCCTAGGATTTAGATCAACAAGCTAATGTCATGAGTAAATGGGCTCCTTCAGCAATCTGAGGCATAAGAAGAAAAGTAATTGGGAAACAGTGAAGGATTATACAATTATATTACATTTGTTAAATCTAGTGAATTTGGCAGATAACCATTTGCCTCTGAAATTGGCTTCTGGGAAATGAAAAGAACCCAGGGAACATGTAGAAAAATCAAATTAAGTTTGGATAAGAGCTTCTGAAAAGGCAGTGTCCTTCTGTTCAGAAAGCTACACCTATCTTGTGCCTTGTTATTTCAGAATCACAAGTTTCAATATCTGAAGTAACATGATTTGGAAGCAGTGGGTCTCAGATCTTTTTAATATTACAGTTTTTTAAAGAGCTCCCTAAATGTCCTCTGCATCAAATCTCCCAAGCAAAAGAAATCATCTTTGGGCCTGCAAGGTAGCTTGTACCTTTAATCCCAGCACTTCAGGAGGCTGAGGCAAGAGGATCACTTGAGGCCAGAAGTTCAAGACCAGCCTGGGCAACATAGCGAGACCCCACCTTTACAAAAATAAAACTTAGCTAGGTGTTGTGGCACATGCCTGCAATCTCAGCTACTCATGAGACTGAGGCAAGAGAATCACTTGAGCCCAAGAGATTGAGGCTGCAGTGATCTATGTTCTCACACCTGCACTCCAGCCAGGTGACAGAGTGAGACCCTGACTCAAAAAGCATATATATGTGTTTTTTAGAAAAAGAAATCATCTTTGGCATTTTCTTCAGTTGTCACATCAGATCTTAAAAGCAAGAAGAGAAGACTTTCAGGGAAGAGCCTGGAGACCAGGTCTGTCTCCAGCTCATGGTGATTACCCAAGATCCTTTACCACCTCCACACATGGTGGCCTGGGGCCGCACATTCCCCTGGCTAGCACTGACCAGAGGCGCTCTTCTGGATTCTTGACCTCAACCTCCAACCACAGTCCTCTTCTCCACTACTCCAATCTGAAAGGTACCATTTAGTTTCCAGTTTCCTTCTGTCACAATTGTTTCTTATGACTGGGAAGGTAGTATAGTGTAAGGCAACCATGAAATTAAGTAATTGACCAACTGTGTAGAACTAAAGTTAAATCTGATGTCTGACCTAGAAGAAAACAAACTGAGAAACACATTGTTAGTGAGACAAGTGATCTCAACTTCTATCACTTCTCTCCTGGCCTAACTAACCCTAGGACAAATAACTATATTGCAAAACCCCCAGGGTACAGACGACTTGTATATACAGTCACCCTCCATATCCATGAGTTCCATATCTGTGGATTCAACCAACCACAGATCAAAATTACTTGGGCGGGGAGAGGTTGCATCTGTATGAATAGGTGAAGATTTTTTTTCTTGTCATTATTCCCTAAACAATACAGTGTAACAACTATTTATGTAGCATGAACATTGTATTAGGTATTCTAAGTAATCTGGAGATGATTTAAAGTCTAAAGAAAGAAGAAGGATGTGTATAGGTCATAGGCAAATACTACAACATTTTTTAAATCAGGGACTTGAGCATCAGCAGGTTTGGTATCCATGGGGAATCCTCCCATTCAGAGAAAACCTCCAGGAGCCTGAGTTGGCCCAGTATCTCCTCAGAGTCTCTCTTCTTATGACTGTTCTGCAGTTGTGCTTCAGGCAGGCACTTGAGTAGCAACACCCAGCAGACCCCAAACTGTCAGTTCCAGAATTTTTCTCTGGGTTTCCTGGGACTGCCTGGCCCACCTGAGACTATATACCCAAGAGGTGGGCTGGAACACTGGGCTAGTCTGTGGGAGTGGAGAAATGAAGCACGAATAGCAGATTCCTGTGAACAGTGAACTTTAAGGAAAGGGGATTTCCTGAAGGAAATCACATGGAGAGGCTTGGGGCATTATGCTGTGCCCCCCTTTCTTCAGTTAACATGTTTTTCTTGGGAATTCAGGTATACAGGGTACTTGCAATTAGAGCTGCTGAGGAAGGGATGACTTCCTTTTTTTCAAGTGAAAGTAAGTATATTAGGAAAGTAAAGAAAGAATGGCTACTCCACAGGCAGAGCAGCAGCATGGGCTGCCCGACTAATCACACTTATAGTTATTTCTTGATTATATGCTAAACAAGGGGTGGATTATTCATGAGTTTTCTGGGAAAGGGGTGGGCAATTCCTGGAACAGAGCGTTCCTCCCTCCATTCTTAGACCATATACAGTAACTTCCTGATGTTGCCATGGCATCTGTAAACTGTCGTGGTGGTGGTGGGAGTGTCTCTTAGCGTGCTAATACATTATAATTAGCATATGATGAGCAGTGAGGATGACAAGAGGTCACTTTCATCACCATTGTAGTTTTGGTGGGTTTTGGCTGGTTTCTTTATCACAACCTGTTTTATCAGCAAGGTCTTTGTGACCTGTATCTTGTGCTGATCTCCTTTCTCATCCTGTGACTAAGAATGCCTAGCCTCTAGGGAATGCAGCCCAGTAGGTCTCAGACTTATTTTACCCAGCCGCTATTCAAGATGGAGGCACTCTGGTTCAACCAGCTCTGACTTATTTCCCCCATCCCTTTTACAAGGGAATCCTTAATCCTAAGGATTGTAGAGGGATGAAGATCTATCTTCTGTAACTTCTTCAGGCTGAATAGGGGCAATGATAGTCCTGCCTAACTATTAGGGTCTGTTGTATTCAGAGTAGAGAGAAGCTCAGTCAGAAAGCATAGGTATGTCAAGGGCCATTCATAACTCATGAGTTCCAACAAAAGGTGATATCTGGAAGATATTTAAGTATTTAAGAAAACATTGAGTAAGCTTATCTTGCATTCCTACACAAAGAGTACAACAGCAAATACATTCCACAACAGTAAAGCAAAATAAGCAAAATTATCCCAAATAAACTAAATAAGAAGACATTTCATGAACTGATCAACTGTTGGCACCAAACTGACATGGGGTTGCTAGCTGATTCCAATACATGCCCAGAATTAGAATATTGATCCAGATTTTTACATTACCCATCCCTCTTGTTTCTTCTGGGCAGCAGCCAGAGATCACTGGTTGATTCACAAGAATAAGCAGACTCAGTCTAAATTGTAGAAAAAATACCTCAAAAACAACTGATAAGTTTAGAATTAATAACAGGAGTACCACAGTTCTTGAAACATAATTTTTCTCTTTCCAGTCTCCCATTTTTACTAAAGACAAATCATAATAGGACCGATTTGTTTGCAAAAATAAGCTTTGGTCTTTTACTTGGCCTGATTATTTGTATAAAGTGCAGCAAGAATAACTATTTTTCACAAAGGCTTTTTAAATTTGCTTCAATGGAACTTCGTTGCATAAAAGGAATCTCAGATAAGACTGTTTTAAAGCCAAGCCCAGCCATGGTTTGTTGCCATCAAATACTTATGAGTTGGGTAAATTACTCTCCTCTTGAGGTCCCAAGATAAACTGGGGCTCCTGAGCCTGTGAGAAAGTGACATTCTTTACTTAGCATAGGTCAGGAACTTGTACTGTGACTGTGTAAGTAAGCTGTGAAGCCACTGGAAGGTATGACTTCCAAAGCCCAATGCATGTTTGCTCACCGGCCTAATCTGTTCATTAATCACATTAAAGCTATGCTCATGTGTTCTAAAATTCTGTTTTCCCGAAGGGATAAAGCTGATTCCCTAAACTCTCTTTGCCACTTAAGCTTTGTTCTGAACTCTGTTTTAATTTCTGACTAGACTTGTCTCTTTGTCTTAAAATACTTTGATTAGAAATCTTTAATATCTCAGACCTGAGGTCTGGCGCTTTTGCCAAAGATGATATTTTTAAGCTAATTTCCAAGAAGGCCTCTTTAAGGACACCCATAACCTATGCTGAAGCAGTTAGGCTCATTAAAGTAAATGTCTGGTAAATATCCCACAACATCAGGATGTTTGAGTACTAAGGTTAACAATTTTGGTAACCCTTTTGTTACTGCTCACCTTAATGGTTATGAAAACCTGGAACATGTTTAAGGAATAGAAAAAAACTAAGTGCTTTTAGTGGAAATTCAGTAAACACAAAAGAATAACTCATAGTTGCTGGAATAGCATAATGAGGGTGGCTTTTTTTCCAAACATAGGACTGATGTCAGGTTACAGATTTGTAGAGATGAGAGCAATGCTCCCTGGAATCTTCAGTGATCACCTACTTACCCTGTTCCTCCTCTCTGCCTGCTTCTTACCTTCCTCGTGAATCCCAGACACTGGGGGCAATGCTGCCTAATTTACCATCAAAATCTTCTTTTTCATTTCCCTGAATGGGTTAGCTCATATTCAAGCTTAAGTATATTAATGAATATACATATTCATGAATATATATATTCATGAATATGTATATTCATTAATATATATTCATGATATGTATATTCAGTAAGTATATTAATGAATATATATATATATATGTATGTATTTTCCTCCCTACTTGAGTCCACTCTGAAACTAAATGGAAAGCTGAGAGGTGTTCAAGACAAGTTTTCAATGTTTTCACTGTATTGGAAATTCTTCAGTAGCAAGAAAAAAGAACACATTTAACTTGTTTCTGGAAGCAGCGGACTCTCCTCCCTGCATCTGCCCCTCATCCTCCCTGACCCACCCCTCCTCTTAGTTCTTTGAGCCTTAAATAGATTTCTAGTAACCCACACTTTGTCTGGACTTACTGACATCCTTCATTAAATATTAAAACAAATATATATAAAGTACTTAAAGTTTGTAAAATTAGTAGATAGCAGGAATGTTATAGGTATTGTTTTCAGTTAACTTTAAGAAATCACAAGTTTAAGGAATTTACATCTTAATGCCTTGTAAATAGAATTAAGTTGTATATGGATAAAATAAAGGAAATTACCATGTTATATCTTTTTCAAAACATGTATTTGCTAAAATATTTTTCAATTCACTGAGCTTTTTTTCTTTTGTAACTTTAGAAAATAAGTTTTAACTTTTATTAGAAAAATATATTTATATAAAGAAAGTTATATTAGTTAAAATTGGATAATCTCTGGGTTATTTGTGCAAGACAATAGGTGAATATTTTCCACACTGAAATTAATGTTGTCATGCTTTATGACATAAGCATTTAACTACTCATTTATGTTTTGGGGAACCCCAGGTAAGTTTTCTGGAAAAGAAGGAAGAGAGGGAGAAAGGAAATGTTGTCCTGTCCGAAATAATCCATTGCCCCATCTTTACACAAAGCAGAATTAAACAGCCATCCGGGCACCTTAGTTAGATTTCCTAACAGTTTAAATATTGTCAGCCCTATGCAGTTTACTTTCAAATCATATAATCTCCCCTTCACATGTAATGCAATAAATTATCTCCAAATATGTTATCTTTTCTCAAAATTTTAACTATACTTTTTCATTAATTCCTCCTTTTTTATTACCCGTGTGAGTCACTCATAATGGGAATAATCAGAAAATAAAAGAAATCTGATGAATGAAAGTGGACATCCTTATATTCAGCTGAAGTATAAACTGATACAAACTTTCTGGATGATACCCAAGCAAGGTCGACCTAAAGTTTTTAAAATGCGAATAGTTTTGACCCAGAAATTCCACTTGTAGTGTTATAATTAAACAAATGCAAATGTTTAGCCACAAAATATTGAATATACATCATTTTTTTCTTAAAAGGAAAAAGTATTGGAACCAAACTCAATATCCTATTTTCATGCGCTTCTGTGTGAAGAGACCACCAAACAGGCTTTGTGTGAGCAACATGGCTGTTTATTTCACCTGGGTGCAGGCGGGCTGAGTCCAAAAAGAGAGTCAGCAAAGGGAGATAGGGGTGGGGCCGTTTTATAGGATTTGGGTAGGTAAAGGAAAATTATAGTCAAAGGCGGTTTGTTCTCTGGTGGGCAGGAGTGGGAGTTGCAAGTGCTCAGTGGGGGTGCTTTCTGAGCCAGGATGAGCCAGGAAAAGGACTTTCACAAGGTAATGTCATCACTTAAGGCAAGGACCGGCCATTTACACTTCTTTTGTGGTGGAATGTCATCAGTTAAGGTGGGGCAGGGCATATTCACTTCTTTTGTGATTCTTCAGTTACTTCAGGCCATCTGGGCTTATACGTGCAAGTCACAGGGGATGCGATGGCTTGGCTTGGGCTCAGAGGCCTGACATTCCTGACTTCTTATATTAATAAGAAAAATAAAATAGTGTTGAAGTGTTGGGGCAGTGAAAATTTTTGGGGGGTGGTATGTAGAGAGAATGGGCGATGTTTCTCAGGGCTGCTTCAAGCGGGATTACGGGGCGGCGTGGGAACCTAGAGTGGGAGAGATTAAGCTGAAGGGAGGTCTTGTGGTAAGGGGTGATATTGTGGGGATGTTAGAAGAAATATTTGTCGTATACAATGATTGGTGATGGCCTTGATATGGTTTTGTATGAATTGAAAAACTTAATGGAATAACAGAAGGAGAAAAACAGGTATAAAATGTCTAAGAATTGGGACGACTCAGGATATCTGATTAGAGAGTGCCTAAGGAGATTCAGCATAGTCCTACCAGCAAAGATTATTTATTTACTTCAAGAGTTAAGAGTGGCAGTTTGGGGATAGCACCAGGAGATATCAGCTGTGATGGCTTGGAGAAACAATGTAAACTGGCAGTGTAAACAAGAGCAGGGCATGTATGAGTAGGTGAGAACGGTGAATAGGAGTATGACTAGACAGAAGATAGTAGGGATGACAAGTTTTTTTGGGGCACAGTCTAAGTTGGTCTGGTGTCTGGAATGAGACTGGGGCCTAATAAAAAGGAGCGTCTATATAGGAGCTTAAATGGGCTGTACCTTGTAGCATTCTGAGGACAGGTCTGACTTCTGAGAAGGGAAAGTGGTAAAAGTATTGTCCAGTCCTTTTTAAGTTGGTGGCTGAGCTTGGTGAGGTGTGTTTTTAAAGACCTTTAGTCCATTCTACTTTTCTTGAAGACGGAGGACCATAAGGGATATAAAGGTTTCAGTGAACACTAAGAGCCTGAAAAACTGCTTGGCTGATTTGACTAATAAAGGCTTACCTGTTGTCAGACAGTATAGAGGTGGGAAGGCTAAACTGAGGAATTATGTCTGACAGAAGGGAAGACATGACTGTGGTGGCCTTCTCAGACCCTGTAGGAAAGGCCTCTACCTATCCAGTGAAAGTGTCTACCTAGACTAAGAGGGATTTTAGTTATCTGACTCGGGGCATGTTGAGTAAAGCTAATTTGTCAGTCCTGGGTGGGAGCAAATCCTCGAGCTTGATGTGTAGGGTAGGGAGGGGGCCTGAATAATCCCTGAGGAGTAGTAGAATAGCAGATGGAACACTGAGAAGTTATTTCCTTGAGGATAGATTTCCACGATGGAAAGGAAATGAGAGGTTCTAAGAGGCGGGCTAGTGGCTTGTGCTATAGCATAGCCTGCCTTTGCTGGTGTGTGGCGATTAGGCCTGGTGGAACCGCCATCAATAAATCAAGCGTGATCAGGATGAGGAACAGGAAATAAGGAAATTTGGGGAAATGGGGTGAATGTCAGGTGGATCAGAGAGATACAGTCATGGGGGTCAGGTGTGGTATCCAGAATAATGTGAGAGGCCGGATTGAAGTCCAGGGCAGGAACAATGATAATTGTAGGACTTAACAAAGAGTGAGAACAGCTGAAGGAGCTGGGTAGCAGAAAGTATATGCGTCAGGTATGAGGAAGAAAATAGATTTTGGAAGTTATGAGAAATGTAGAGAGTGAGTTGAGCATAGTTTGTGATTTTGAGGGCCTCTAAAACTATTAAAGCAGCGGCAGCCGCTGCACGCAGACATGAGGGCTAGGATAAAACAGTAAGGTCAAGTTGTTTGCACAGAAACACTACAGGGTGCAGTCCTGGCTCTTGTGTAAGAATTCTGACCGCACTAACTATGCCTAGGAAGGAAAGGAGTTGTTGTTTTGTAAGGGATTGAGGTTTGGGAGATTAATCGGACATGATCAGCAGGGAGAGCACGTGTGTTTTTATGAGAATTATGGCGAGATAGGTAACAGATGAGGATGAAATTTGGGCTTGACTGAAGTAATGGGGGCTGTCTATGAAGCCTTGCGGCAGTACAGCCTAGGTAATTTGCAGAGCCTAATGGGTGTCAGGGTCAGTCTAAGTGAAAGCGAAGAGAGGCTGGGACGAGGGGTGCAGGGGAATAGTGAAAAAAGCATCTTTAAGATCAAGCACGGAATAGTGAGTTGTGGAGGAAGGTATTGAGGACAAAAGAGTGTACAGCTTGGGCACCACAGGGTGGATAGGCAAAACAGTTTGGTTGATAAGATGCAGATCCTGAACTAATCTGTAAGACTTGTGCAGTTTTAGGATGGGTAAAATGGGGGAATTATAAGGAGAGTTTATAGGCTTTAAAAGGCCATGCTGTAGCAGGCCAGTGATAACAGGCTTTAATCTTTTTAAAGCGTGCTGCGGGATGGGATATTGGCATTTAGTGGGGTAAGGGTGATTAGGTTTTAATGACACGGTAAGGGGTGCATGATCGGTCACCAAGGAGGGAGTAGAGGTATCTTATACTTGTGGGTTAAGGTGGGGGGATACAAGAGGAGGACGCAAAGGAAGCTTTGGATTGGGAAGAAAGGCGGCAATGAGATACAGCTGTAGTCCAGGAACAGTCAGGGAAGCAGATAATTTAGTTAAAGTGTCTCAGCCTAATAAGGGAACTGGGCAGGTGGGGATAACTAAAAAGGAGTGCTTAAAAGAGTATTGTCTAAGTTGGCACTAGATTTGGGGAGTTTTAAGAGGTTTAGAAGCCTGGCCGTCAATACCTAGAACAGTTATGGAGGCAAGGGAAACAGACCCTTGAAAAGAAGGTAATGTGGAGTGGGTAGCCTCTGTATTGATTAAGAAGGGGACGGGCTTACCTTCCACTGTGAGAGTTACCCAAAGCTCGGCGTCCCTGATGGTCTACGGGGCTTCCGAGGCGACCGGGCAGCGTCAGTCTTCAGCCGCTAAGCCGAGAAGGAGTCAGTCAGAGAGTCTTGGGCCAGAGTTCCAGGGGCTCCGGGAGTGGCTGCCAGGTGAGTTGAACAGTCCGATTTCCAGTGGGGTCCTGCACAAATGGGACACGGCTTAGGAGGAATCCTGGGCTGCAGGCATTCCTTGGCCTGGTGGTCAGATTTCTGGCACTTGTAGCAAGCTCCTGGGGGAGGAGGTTCTGGAGGAATGCCTGGCCGCTGTGGTTCAGGTGTTTGGAATTTCTTGTGTGCTGGAGATGTGGCTGGGGTTTGTCTCACAGTGGAGGCAAGGAATTGCAACTTTTTTCTATTATTGTACACCTTGAAGGTGAGGTTAATTAAATCCTGTTGTGAGGTTTGAGGGCCAGATTCTAATTTTTGGAGTTTTATTTAATGTCAGGAGCAGATTGGGTAATAAAATGTATATTGAGAATAAGATGGCCTTTTGACCTTTTAGGGTCTAGGGCTGTAAAGCGTCGCAGGGTTGCTGCCGAATGAGACATGAACTGGGCTGGGTTTTTATATTTGATGAAAAAGAGCCTAAACGCTATCTGATTTGGGATAAAGAGAAAGGAGCATTAACCTTGACTATGCCTTTGGCTCCAGCCACCTTTTTAAGAGGAAATTGCTGGGCAGGTGGGGGAGGGCTAGTCACGGAAGGAAACTGTAAGCCGGACCAGGTATGAGGAGGGGAGGCAATAAAAAGATTATAGGGTGGAAGAATTGGGACCTAGCTTGGCCTGGCGAGGAGGGTAGAGGTCAGATGGGTCTGTAGAAAAAGAAGATTAGAAAGACTCAGTGATGCATGGGGTTGGGACTGAGGGGACAGGCGGAAGGGAAAGAAGATTTGGGACGAGTTGCACTGGGCACAGAGACTAGGAAGGGACTGATGTGTAAAAAATGCCTGGACGTCAGTCACCTCAGACCATTTGCCTATTTTACGATAAGAAGTATTTAGATCTTGTAGAATGGAAAAATTGAAAGTGCCGTTTTCTGGCTATTTGGAACTACTGTCGAGTTTGTATTGGGGTCAAGCAGCATTGCAGAAGAAAATAAGACATTTAGGTTTTAGGTCAGGTGTGAGTTGAAGAGGTTTTAAGTTTTTGAGAACACAGGTTAAGGGAGTAGAAGGAGGAATGGAGGGTGGAAAGTTGCCTATAGTGAAGGAAGCAAGCCTAGAGAAAAGAGAGAGTAGAGAAATGGAGGGAAGGGGTTCGGGGGTTCTTACCTTCTAGAAAAGTGGGAAAAGGGGTTGGGGCACAGAGATAAGAGGTTGCGGCACAGAAATAAGGGATGGGGTGCAGAAATAAGGGGTCGGGGCATGGAAATAAGGGGTCGGGGCACAGAAATAAGGGGTCGGGGCATGGAAATAAGGGATTGGGGTGCAGAGATAAGAAGTCAGGGTGTGGAAATAAGGGACTGGGGTGCAGAGATATAAGAGGTTGTGGCGTGGAAATAAGGGATTGGGGCACAGAGATACGAGGTTGGGGTACTTGCCCCTCCTCTGGAAAAGCGGGACTTGCTGCTAAGGGTGAAGGAGAAGGGGTTGAGGGGTACTTGCCCCTCCCCCAGAAAAGCAGAGAAGGGGTAGAGACAAGGAGAGAAAGAGTTGGGGTACTTGCCCCTTCCCCAGAAAAGCAGGACTTGCCGCTAAGGGTGAAGGACCAAGGCAGGTGTCCCTGAGTGGTCTGACACCTTTGAAACATGGGTGAATAATCAGAGAGGTGTCCCTGCAATGATTAAACACCAAGGGAAGGCTGCCTTCCTAGTCCGTGACTGGCGCCGGAGTTTTGGGTCCACGGATAAAAAGTGTCTCCTTTGTCTCTACCAGAAAATGAAAGGAATTGAAATTAACAGAAGGCAGAGATTGAAGTGTGGCGCCAAGATTGAAAGGAGAAAGAGGTTGAGGGATAGTGAGGGAGGTTGGAGAAGAGAGTAAAAAGAGGCCGCTTACCGGATTTGAAATTGGTGAGATGTTTCTTGGGCTGGTCAGTCTGAGGACCTGAGGTCGTAGGTGGATCTTTCTCATGGAGCAAAGAACAGGAGGACAGGGGATTGATCTCCGAAGGGAGGTCCCCCGATCCAAGTCACGGCACCAAATTTCATGCGCGTCCGTGTGAAGAGACCACCAAACAGGCTTTGCGTGAGCAACATGGCTGTTTATTTCACCTGGGTGCAGGTAGGCTGAGTCGGAAAAGAGAGTCAGTGAAGGGAGATAAGGGTGGGGCTGTTTTATAGGATTTGGGTAGGTAAAGGAAAATTACAGTCAAAGGGGGTTTGTTCTCTGGCGGGCAGGAGTCGGGGTCGAAAGGTGCTCAGTGGGGGAGGTTTTTGAGCCAGGATGAGCCAGGAAAAGGACTTTCACAAGGTAATGTCATCACTTAAGGCAAGGACCGGCCATTTTCACTTCTTTTGTAGTGGAATGTCATCAGTTAAGGTGGGGCAGGGCATATTCACTTCTTTTGTGATTCTTCAGTTACTTCAGGCCATCTGGGCTTATACGTGCAAGTCACAGGGGATGCGATGGCTTGGCTTGGGCTCAGAGGCCTGACACTATAATGGAGGAATAACTTGAGTGAATTGTTTGTAGTTCATAAAATAGAATAATATTCAACCATTAAAAGGTTATCATGTAATATACCTAGTGTTAGAGTATGCTTTTTAAAAGGTTAAAAAAAAGAACATGTGTCAAAGGTTTTGTTTAACTCATTAATTAATGAGAAAACAGTAAAACAGGTTCAAAGGGCATTGGGGAAGCTAGGCATTTATAGGTAATTTAATAAATAAATGTTAGGATAAGATTGCTGGGATAGGAGCAAAATTGGTTAATGTCAAGATGGCAATGAACTACAGTCTTTAAGATTATCACCACACCATACACACACATGCACACACACACACACACACACACACACATACACATAAACCTACCTGGCCCACTGACCTAATAGAAATTATCTACATCTTGACACAAATCTATGTTAACCTCTGCATCTACAGAGTAGTAAAATAGTCCAGGTAACAGAAAATCAAAGCTGCAAGCTCAGCAATGCCCTGAAAAAAAAGCCCAGTTTTTTGTTTGTTTGTTTTGGTTTTTTACCTATTTCTACGTTTCAGATAATTTTTTCACACCTCCTAGCATTGGTATGAGAATTGTACGTGTCAGTACATGCAAAGCACATAGAAAAGTGCCTGGCACAGAGTGATTATTATCTACCATCATCAACACATAGCTGTACTTTTGGATTTTTGTTTATTAATTAAAAATCGTTTACTTATAGAAGGAAAAGAGACAAAGTGGGTGACAGAGTGGAAACTCAAGTTTTCTAGTGAAACCATGCATAATATATTGGAAGTTGAGGGAAAAAAGTCATCATAGACCTGGGTCTTTTCTAAGAGAGGGTATTGAAACATTCTTAACTAATGCCATTTCACTCTATTTGTTTCTAGAACATTGTGGGCTTGGGAGGTTGAAATTGACAACTTCTAGTGTCAAAATTTAAAAGGTCTTGATCATTTGAGCCAAGAATGAGAAAAGCTACGCAGTGGGAGGCAGGAAAGGGGGAGAGCTTTTTAGAATGCAGATTATTGCCAGCAAAGCAAAATGAATTTGAAAGGAGCTCAATGGGAAAGGGTGAATATGTTTCTCTGGAGCTAGAAATAATAAATGGAAATTAATTCTATAAGGTCTTTAATTTAAAAGATGGGTTTATAAGATCTCACTTTCACTTGCTTTATTTAATGTGTTGCCCCAATTATATTGTTTTTATAAGTTAACAACTTATTATAGTCACTTTCACAGTTTCACTTGCATCCTCAATCCTCCCAACTCTGTTTTCCCATAAAATCTTAGGTTATCAATCATTAGTTATTTTACTGCAATGATTTCAAGAATGGTTTGGCATTTGTATTTCAGAGTCTTTGCAAGGGATCATAGCTTTAAAATCTCTATTTCCCAATTTCTATTATAAACATTTGTTGCAAGATATGGTCCTCATGGAATCTTGGCTAACAGTTAGGCAGCCTATTTACTCCAATTGTTCATTCTAGCAAAATAGACTGCTAAGAATCTGATTCATGTTTTGGAACTCCTCCCTCAAAAAATGTACATATGCTCATAGATATAACATTTTGCGAATAATTTCTGGAGGGTTATTGGGCCCCACTGAAATCCCTCTATGTGTTGGTTGAGCCTGTATTAAGAACTACTGTTTTGGTCTTGTTTGTTTGTTTAATCTTTTATTACAGAAAATTTCAAACACACCCAGGAGTAGACAAAATGATATAATGAACCCCCATATGCACATGACCCAAACCCCACAGCCATTGATCCCATGCCAATTCTGTGCTCCTTCCATTTTAAATCTGTCCATAAATCAAGCTGGACCATCAGATAACCATACATCTGAGATAGATTATTAGTACTAGAGGCAGCTCTCACCAAATTATACTTAAGTGTGATCATAAGTTTGAAATGGTTTGATAAATTCTTGAAGTGATCCCTAGAAAAAAGTCGCTTTTGTACCTCTTACAAATTCATGTTGAGGGCCAGGCATGGTGGTTCATACCTGCAATCCCAGCACTTTGGGAGGCCAAGGTGGGTGGATCACCTGAGGTCAGGAGTTTGAAACCAGCCTGGCCAAGCTGGTGAAACCCAGTCTCTAGTAAAAAAAATACAAAAATTAGCTGGGTGTGGTGGCACACACCTGTAATCACAGCGACTGGAGAGGCTGAAGCAGGAGAATCACTTGAATCCAGGAGGCAGAGGTTGCAGTGAGCCGAGATGGCACCACTGCACTCCAGCCTGGGCAACAGAGCGAGACTGTCTCAGAAAAAAAAAAAAAAAATCATGTTGAGGATGTTATCTACTCCATACCATCCCACCCCTCCTAGACCTCATTGCTGGAACAATCTGCACTTCTCAACTATTTCTTTGGGAGTATCTTAAGAATACTGTGAATTTCATGACTGATCATTTATTACTCAAGATTTTTGGTGGATAGTTTAAATATTAATAGTTATTGCAATTGTGAGTCCTACTTCTGTTTCTTTTATATTTAAACTCACTTCTGGCAAATCATTTGATTTTTTTGGTGTGATTATCATATACCCTGCCATTTCATTGACCTTTAAAATTAATTCCTAGAATTTTTCTGTGGAGTCTCTTGAGTTGTCTATTTATGATAATGTATGATAAGTGTGTGATAATGTCATCCAAAAATAATAAAGTTGAGACATCTTTTCTAACATGTATTTCCATTGATTCAATTTCATGTCCTATAGCATTGACCAGAAATTCTGGAGTGCTATTAAATAATAATATTGGTAAGGGATTGCCCAATATATTTCTGGCTTTAAGGGAAATATTTTTGAGTTTCAGCATTAAATAAGCTCTATGTTGTTGATTTCAAATAGATATACTTTGTCACATTAAGGGCTATTCCATTTTTACTTTAGAAAGAAATTTGTTTATTTTATTTTAAACAAAAAATGAGATTCTCTCAAATACTCATGCGACCTACTTTGAAATAAACGTAGCCCATTCCTAATTTATTTAGTAATGTTATTTTTGTGGTGAATTTTATAATATTAGACTTAACACCATTATATTGCCAGAATAAATCCCATTGCACAGGGCAGGTCATTATTTTACAAACTACTAATTTATATTCAATCCTTTGTTTATAATTTTTCATACATACATATAAGTGAGACTGTTCTATGGCATCTTGTCTGTGTCTATTTGATATTAGGATTATATTTATTTCATAAAATGAGGTGGGCAATATATAATCTTTTTCTCTATCCCAGTTAATTCGATATAAAATTGAATTAACTGATTCTTGAAAGAAAAATGTGGTATGAGTTTAATGTCTTTGGAGAAATATTGATAGCTTTCTCAATTCATTCCATATTTGTGTTTGTGCAATTAAAAAATACATTTTTTAAAACTTCAACTTCTATTTTATTTATTTATGTATTTATTCATTCATTAATTTATTTTGAGACAGGGTCTCACTCTGTCACCCAGGCTGGAGCACCGTGGTGCGATATCAGCTCACTGCAACTTCCACTTCCTAGGTTCAAATGATTTTCCCACCTTCCAAGTAGCTGGAACTACAGGTGCATGCCACCACACCCAGCTAATTTTTGTATTTTTTTGGTAGAGACGGGGTTTCACCATGTTGGCCAAGCTGGGCTTGAGCTCCTGACCTCAAGTGCTCCACCCATCTCGGCTTCCCAAAGTGCTGGAATTAGGTGGTGTGAGCTACCACGCCCAGCCAACTTTTATTTTAGATTCAGGAGTACATGTGCAGGTTTGTTACATGGGTATATTGCAGGATGCTGAGGGTTGGGATATGAATGATCTCATCACCCAGGTAGTGATCATAGTACCTAATAGATAGCTTTCAATCTTTGCACCTCTTTCTCCTTCTCCCTTCTAGTAGTCCTCATTGTCTATTGTTGCCATCTTTATGTCCACATGTATCCAATGTTTAGCTCCCACTCATAAAGTGAGAACATATAGTATTTGGTTTTGTTTCTGTGTTAATTCAATCAGGATAATGGTCTCCAGCTGCATCCATGTTGCTGCAAAGGACTGGTATCACTTTTCTTAATCCAGTCCACTGTTGACAGGAACCTAAGTTGATTCCATGCCTTTGCTGTTGTGACTAGTGCTACAATGAACATGTGAGTGCGTGTGTCTTTTTGGTAGAATGACTTATTTTCTCAAAAAAATATTAATAAGTGGTTGTACCTTCTAACATTTTCATTTTTGTTAAAATATAAAGACAAATTATTTCCTTAAAATTGGTTAATTTTATAATATATAAATCATACTTCAATTTAAAAAGTGACTTTGGAGTTGGGGGGAAGGCATAGAAGGAAAAATCAGGATTCACTTGGATTTCCTAATTCTTAAAAATATTTTTAGCCCTTACATTTAAATGTAGTTTGATGGTACAGATAGTTCATTTATCTTCTATGATTATAAGAATTCTTTTCATTTATTCACATAATTTTGGTGTCCTATTGAGGAAGTTATTATCAAAACACTGAGAAGGTTGTCAATGGAAATAGAAAACACACTGTGAATCACTCAAAGAGGAAGGACATCTGAATTTGTTCTTTCCATCATTAATGCCAAATCATGAAAAAGAGAATTGATAACCAGACCGTACAGAGAGCAGAATTCTAAATAAAATAAATTATATTAACTGTGTGCCTGGTGCAGAATTTCATATTGAGTCCCTGCTCACTCTAATAGAATCCAAGCCTCAATCATTATTTAAGGAGCCAGAGAGGAGCATTAAGAAAACATTTCAAAGATCTTTGAAGGCTTCTGAGGACCGATCAGAGATTGACCTTCAGCATCACCCAGACAGAGGAACTCTTGCTGCCAGTGTAGTCTTGGTAACTGAATCATTACAGAAAACATACTCCATAACAGATGGAGATGTTTCCTAATCTTTGTGACATCTTTTGAAAGGCTCTCTGTTGAAAAAATTCACAAACAAACAAACAAAAACCTCTACTTCCTTAACATTTTATAACTATGGCAATGCCCAACAAGATTAGTCAATTTACTGAAGGGTCGTTTACACCTTAGCACAAACTTGGCATCTGAGATTAAGATCAATTGACGTCAAACTTACTTGCCCAAGGATCTGGGCAAACAGGGCCCACCAGAGACTTGTATCCAAATGTAGCAGGAAAGAGCACCTCTGGGAAAAGGAAAATGAAGGTGGCTGGTTAAAAAGAGAGCATCAGGTAAAAATGGGGAAAAATGTAGAAGAATGATCTTTGAAACTCAGACCTTCGATGCCTTCTTCAAATCATCACAGGACACTGACCTATAATCACCAGATTAGAGGCCTCGTTACAAGTTACCTGAGTTTTCATAATCCTGTTGGCTTGAGCCTAATCAGTAACTGCATTTTTACCATAGAGCTAGTGCAAGCTCTCTGCCCACAGTGTATTAGTCTCCAGACTAATGGAGACCAATAATGAATAAAACATTGTATGTTCTGTAGAAGACAAACTACGTTAACAAATATTTAGGCTTCTCAGAGCATCACATGGATATCTGCAGTACTGCAGACTCAGTGTCTCTGGCATAATCTCACAGTTCTTGGTTGGTTTGTGACTCACACAGGCTGTTCATGCAATCCATCCCTTTGACATCTAGGGAACCCATTTCTTTCGAGATACATTAGGAAAACCTCAGAATATCACTAACCTTCCTGTCCCCGCATAATACAGCCAGGGTTTACAGTAGAGGAGTGTCCCCTTCACCTAAGGCCAATTCATCTACTTGTGCTCCATATCCCATATGTCAACTATCAAGAATTCTATCCCTTCTCTCTTCTACATCTTTAACCTCTCCATTTTGTCTTTTCCCATTAGGAAAGGGAAAAGAAAATCAACCAATTTCATTTCTGTCCTAGCTCTGGCTGCTATAACAAAATACAATAAATTGGTGGCTTAAACAGCAAACATTGATTTCTCACAGTTTTGGAAATTGGAAGTCCAAGACAAGGATGCCAGCAGGGTCAGGTTCATGGTGAGGACCCTCTTCTTAGTTTGTAAACAGCTGTCTGATTGCTGCGTCTGCTTGTGAAAAGGAGAGTGAGAGAGCTCTCTGGGGTCCTTTTATAAGGGCACTAATCCCACTCATAAGGGCTCCACCCTCTGACCTAATCACCTCCCAAAGTCTCCACCTCCTAATACCATCACATTGGGGGGTAGGATATCAGCACATAAATTTTGGAGGGACTCAAACACTCAGCCCTAAACACTCCCCATCTATTTTCCCCTCTCTTTTCTTCTTTTCATAACCAAATTTCTCAAGACGGTGCTCATTCTCACCACATCTGTGGCCTCATCTCCTGGACAATTCTCCACCCACTCTGCTGTGGCTGTCACCACCACTGCTCCTTGAAAGGGACTTCACTTGAGCTCCACAGTGTTGCTAAACCCAAAGGACACTTTGAGACTGCATCTTACTTGCCCTCTCAGCTGTGGTTAGCACCTGAGCCAAATCCTACCCAACCCAGCCCCTCAGTCTCTGCACTCCAATCACATTGGCTTCTTTCAGTTTCACCAGTTTTACATTTTGTACTTGCTGTCCTTCCTTGAAATAAGCCCTCTACTAAGAGGGCTTATCATTAACTTATCATAATTTTCCAAACACAACTATTTTGTTCACTCTGTACCTCCAGGCCTAGCATACCCAAGGCATTCAATATATGTTGCTTGAACAAATATTTTAAGTTACAGTACTGTTAGCAACAGTAATTATTCTAGCAGTAATTTCTTTGGGCACCCTCTTTGCTCATAACTCTTTGATCTCTGTAAACCCACCATCATAATTTTACATGAAATCTCAGAAAAATGGCCTTTGTGCAATTGAAAAGAGAATGGTGATTATGCATGGCAGAATTACATCAAAAACCCTGAAGCTAACAAATCCCAGGAAGCCATCTAATACAACTCACATCCCATATGAACATTATTGGTCAGCTGTGGAGAATACTGAAGTCTGAAAATGTTAGCTGGATTATGCACAGTCTAACAGATACTGTGTGGCTGAGCCCAGGAGTTCAAGACCAGTCTGGCCAACATAACGAAAACCCATCTCTACCAAAGATATAAAAACTAGCTGGGCATGGTGGTGCAGCCTGCAGTCCCAGCTCCTAAGGGGGCTGAAGCAGGAGGATCGTTTGAACCAGTCGGGGTGGAGGTTTCAGTGAGCTGAGATGGCGCCACTGCACTCCAGCCTGGGTGACAGAACAAGACTCCTTTTCAAAAAATAAAAAAAAAAAAAAAAATTAAAAAAAAGAAAGAAAGGAAGAAAAGAAAGAAAGAGAGTTTTATAAATTTGTCTGCATCTAAATGAGAAATAGTTTGCTTCCAGTTCCACTCATTTTCCCCCTAGAATCCCAACACCATGACATAGCGCCATTCACAATTTGATGGCCTTACTTTCATGAATCTCGTTACTCTATAAAGCCCCTCACACATCTCCTCCACACACACATTTATTATTCCACATGAACGGATGTTAACAATATGTGAGGTTTCTTAAAACATGGTCACCTTCTCTTCATATCTGACCCTTCCCCAAGTAATCTTTCAATAGTCAACTTGGGCTGTATTGCCTCTGTTGAGCACCTCCTAAACACTGCCCCACAGGGCAAAGTTTAGTCCCTACCTAAGATGTACACAAAAAAATTTAAATGATTCCTTTCTAAATTGAAAGGCATATTATAAAATTATTTTCATTATCTATATCTAAATTATATGTGCAGACTTCACCAAAGCACATGTAGTAGCATCTATATATAACCTAGGAATACATCTATCCAAGGAGGTAAAAGATCTCTGTAGGGAGAAGTACAAAACACTGCTAAAATAAATCATAGATGACATAAATCAATGAAAAAAAATTCCATGCTCATGGATTGGAAGAACAAATGGTGTTAAAATGGCCCATACTGCCCAAAGCAATCTACAGTTTCAATGCTATTCCTATCAAACTATCAACATCATTTTTCACAGAACTAGAAAAAACTACTCTAAAATTCATATGGAACCAAAAAAGAGCCCAAATAGCCAAAGCAACCTTAAGCAAAAAGAAGAAGGCTGGAGGCATCACATTATCTAATTTCAAATTATACTATAAGGCTACAGTAACCAAAACAGTGTGGTACTGGTACAAAAACAGATATGTGGACCAATGGAACAGAATAGAGAACCCAGAAATAAAGCTGCACACTTACAGCAATCTTATATTCAACAAAGTCAGCAAAAACGCGTGATGGGGAAATGACTTCTTAGTCAATAAATTGTGCTGAAATATCTGGCTAGCCATATGCAGAAGAATGAAACTGGACCCCTACCTCTCACCATATACAAAATTTAACTCAAGATGGGTTAAAGATTTAAATGTAAGACCTCAAAATATAAGCATCTAAGAAGAAAACTGAAGAAACACTATTCTGGACATCAGCCTTGGGAAATAATTTATGATTAAGTCCTCTAAAGCAATTGCAACATATGTAAATATTGTCAAGCGGAACCTACTGAAACAAAAGAGCTTCTGCACAGCAAAAGAAACTATCAACAAGTAGTTTGTGAATTTTTTCTCCCATTCTGTAGGTTGTCTGTAAGCACTTTTTCCCATTCTGTAGGTTGTCTGTTTACAGAATAGGAGAAAAAGTTCACAAACTACTCATTCAACAAAAGTTTAATATCCAGAATCTATAAGGAACATAAACAATTGAATAAGCAAAAACCAAACAATCCTATCAAAAAATGGGCAAAAGACATGAACAGACATTTCTCAAAAGAAGACATACAAGTGACCATCAAACATATGAAAAAACACTCCACATCACTAATCACCAGAGAAATGCAAATCAAAACCACACTGAGATACCATTTCACACCAGTCAGAATGGCTATTACTAAAAAGCGAAAAATAACAGATGCTGGTGAGGCTGTGGAGAAAAGGGAATGCTTATACACTGTTGGTGGGAATGTAAATTAATTTGGCCACTGTGGAAAGCAGTTTGGAGATTTCTCAAAGAACCTAGAACTATCATTTGACCCAGCAGTCCCATTACCAGGTATATGTCTGAAAGAAAACAAATCATTCTACCAAAAAGACGCATGCACTCACAAGTTAATTGTAGTACTATTCACAATAGCAAAGACATGGAATCAACCTAGGTGCCTATCAGTGGTAGACTGGATAAAGAAAATGTGGTACATATTCACCATGGAATACTATGCAGCCATAAAAAGGAACAAAATCTGAGCAAATTAATGCAGTAATAAAAAACTAAATACTACATGTTCTCACATAAGTGGGAGCTAAACATTGGGTACTCATGGACATAAAGATGGCAACAGTAGGAACTGGGGACTACTACAAAGGGGAAGCAGGAAAGGGGACAAGGGTTGAAAAACTATTTAGCCAGGCACGGTGGCTCACGCCTGTAATCCCAGCACTTTGAGAGGCCGAGGCGGGCGGATCACGAGCTCAGGAGATCGAGACCATGGTGAAACCCCGTCTCTACACTAAAAATACAAAAAATTAGCTGGGCACAGTGGCGGGCGCCTGTAGTCCCAGCTACTCAGGAGGCTGAGGCAGGAGAATGGTGTGAACCCAGGAAGCGGAGTTTGCAGTGAGCTGAGATCGCGCCACTGCACTCCAGCCTGGGCGACAGAGTGAGACCCCATCTCAAAAAAAAAAAAAAAAAAAAGAAAAAGAAAAGCTAATTATTAGGTACTGTGCTTGGGTGATGAAATGGATAATTCCTATCCTAAACCTTATACACAATATACCCATGTAACAAACCTGCACGTGTACCTGCTGAATCTAAAATAAAAGTTGAAAAAAAAGGTATCTATACATAGTCAAATCCAAATGTAAGGCTTGTGAAACATCAATAATTTGCTAATGGAGACTAATTCTTTATGATTATCTTGTCAGAGGAAAACAGTGAATAAAACTTTTGGTGATTTTACATAATAAGTTTAAGAAGAAAAGTTGTTCCAGTGAGATTACAATACTATTGGTGACATCTCTACAAATTCACTCTTACTCCAGAAAAAAGTCTGCCAGCCCAGATTAGCTGGGAGTGGTTTTAAAGAAGAATAAATATGCTGCCCTTCTAAAATTTTAATATGTATAGGAATCACCAGTAAATCAGGTTAAAATAAAGATTCTGATTGAATTGATGAGGGTGATGGAGACTGAGGTTCTGTATTTCTAACAGGTGTCCTGGGTTTGTCTATTTTTCTGACCTATTTTCTACCCTTTGAGAAGTAAGGCAACAAAGAATAAGAAAAGATACTGTAATTGCTGTCAACTATATTTCCAGTGACAATATCCCAAGTCTTAGATCAGCATGAGCTCAACCACTGCCAATTGAGACTCCAGTTATTGGAACTGTTTTGTGAAAAAGAATAACAAAGGTATATTTTGACAATTAGTTGTAACAGCAGCCCCAGATGAACTTGAAATAGCTGCGCTCAAATACTTATTACTAGTTCACATGCCCTTTTCATTTCTGGAGTGGTTTCTATTGAAAACTAATTTGAGACCAGAAAATCTTACAAAATTTAATTTTGAAATATCGTCACCTTTGCTACCAAAGAAAACATCCCATCCAGACAAACATGTTTCCAGGATGTGAAATTTAATGGAAGAACAAGTACAAAAAATACCATGTTCTACATGCTGCATAAACTCCAGGAAAACTGACATTCCAACTCAGCAGAACATAGGGATAAACCATCTCAAAGGGAACTCTCCCCAGGCCTAAAGTAAGAGCAAACTTTACCCAAAAGGATGCGTTGAACCCATAGATCAATTTGGGGAGAACTGACATCTGAACAATATTGAATCTTCTAATTCATAAACATAAATCTCTCCATTTATTTAGGACTTCTTTAATTTCTCTCAGTGATGTTTTAATAGTGTTCACTCTTCCAATCTTACACATTTTTTCCTGTTTTTCATGTTTTTAGATACTATTGTAGATGATTTAAAATTTTAATATTCAATTGTCATTGCAAATACATTTAAGATATAATTGAATTTTGTATACTGACCTGATATCCTATGACCTTGCTAAGATTAGTTCTACCAATTTTTAAGAGTCTATAGGAATTTCTTTGTATACAATTATGTCACCTGTGAATGAAACCTGTTTTAAGTATTCCTTTCTCATTTGTATTCTTTGAATTTCTTGTTCTTGCTTTATTGTATTGGCTAGACCTGCGAGTACAATATTGGATAGAAATTATGAGAATGGGCATTCTTAGCTTATTTTTGATCCTATGGGTAAAGCCTTCAGTCTTTCGCCATTAAGTATGACATTAATGATAGGTTTTAAACAACACTTTTTATCAGAAAGTTCCCTGCTTTTCCTAATTTATTGAGATATTTAAAAAATGAAATGTTCTTGAATTTTGTCAAGTGTTTATGCTACATCTCTTGAAATGATCATGTGGTTTTATCCTTTATTTTGATAAAGTGGTAAATTACATTGATTTCTCAAATATTAAATCAAACTTTCAATCTTATGTAAACCATACTTGCTCATACCTGATATACACACAGAGACACACACACACACAGAGCTATTGTTTTATTTGCTAAGTTTTTATTACTTATTTTTGTTACTGTTCATGAGTAATATCAATCTGTAGTTTGGTTTTTTTTTCCTTGAATTGTCTTTTCTTTTGCTGTTAGAGTTATGCTGGCTTTGTAAAATGAAGTGAAAAAAATGTTTACTCTCTTCTATTATCTGGAAGAGTTTGCATAAGGTTGGTATGACTTCTTTAAATATTTGTTGGAATTCAATAGTGAAGCTATCAGAGCCAGGAGTTTTCCTTGTGGGAGGGTTTTTAAATTATGAACTTAATTCTATTAATAGGTATAACATTATTCAGTTTTCTACTTTTTTATTAAGTCTGTGCTGCTAATGTGTATCTTTCAAGGAATTTGCCCGTTTCATCTAAGTTTTACTTTTCTTCAATTTTCCTTTATTAGGCTTTTAATATCTGTAAGATTTGTAAAGATCTCTCCTTTGTTCACTCCTGGTATTGGTAAGTTTTGTCTTCTTTCTATTATCTTGATTAGTATTTGTTGTTTTTCAAAATTTCTCAATTTTGTGCCTATTTTTATTTCACTGACTTCTGCTCTTATCTTTATTGTTTCCTTCTACATACTTTGGGTTTAATTTCTTTCGCTTTTTTCAGCTTCTTAAGGTGGAAGCTTAGATCATTGATTTGAGATCTTTCTTTTTTCTACTATAACATTTAAAGCCATAAGTTTCCCTCCATTCAGTACTTGAGCTGTGTCTCAAATTTCAATATACTCTATTTTTATTTTCACTCATTTCCAAATAATTTATAATTGCCCTTGTTGATATATGAATTACTTGCAAATCTGGGTTTAATTTACAAATATTTAGGCATTCTCCAGATAGCTTTCTCTTATTTCTTTCTACCTTATTTTCTCTATGGTTAGAGAACATACTCTGCAATATTTCAATCCTTTTAAATTTATTGACTTATTTTATGGTCTTATAACAAAAAATAAAATATGGTTTGTTTTGGTGAACACTTCATATGCATTTGAATAGAATGTTTATTGCATTGTTCTTGGGCAAAATGGTCTATAAATACCAATTAGGTCAAGTTGGTTGACAGTGTTATTCAGTTCTGTCAATTTTTGTTTCATGTATTTTGAAGGTATGTTATTGGGTTTATGCATAGTGAATCAGGTTAAATACACTGGGTGTATTTAATGGGTGAATGTTCCCTTTTTCCATTATGAAATAATCCATCCTATCCATGACAACCTTCCTTCTGAAGTCTATCTTGTGTCACAAAGTAGCCATGCTAGCTTTCTTAAATGTAGTGTCCACATGGTATATATTTTCCCAACCTTTTACTTTTAATGCACGTCTTTATAATTAAAGTAGGCTCCTCATAGACAATATATAATTGAGCCTTACTTTTTAAATCCAATTTGATAATATTTACCTTTTAACTGGAAAAAAATAACTTTTATGTTTAAAAATCCAGGCATTTGCCATTTTACATGTTCTTTACTCCCTTGCGTAGGTCTGAATTTGTATCATTTTCCTTTCACCTGAAGAATTTTATTTAACATTTCTTATAACGCAGGTCGGCAGGCAACTAATTTTCTCAGTTTAGTTTCTGAAAAGGGTTTTTTGGTTTTGCCTTAATTTTGGAAGAATATTTTTGTTGGTTATAAAATTTTGTATTGACATATTTTTTTCAGCATTTTAAAGATACTTGTGTAGCTTGACCAGAAGTCCGCTGTCACTCTTATTTTGTAACTGGTTTTCAGAAATTTGGGTATGCCTTGGTGTGGGCCTGGTTGTTTGAAGGTACAGATATGCAGATGTTTAACCTTGTTGAAATTTGTTGAGCTTCTTAGATTTTTGAGATGTAACATTTTCATCAAATTAGGAAATTTTTCAGAAACTATTTCTCCAATTATATTTTCTGTCCCTTACCCATCCACCGTATCTTTCTTGGACTCCAATTTTAAATCTGTCAGACTCTTTGACATAGTTCCAAAAGTCATTAGGGCTCTTTTCATTTTGTCTCCAATTGTTTTTCTTTCTATTTCATTTTGGATAGATTTTACTGCCATGTCTTCAATTTCACTAATCTTTTCTTCTGTGGTGTCTAATCTGCTGTAAATCCTATACAGTGAAAATTTCATTTCAGATATTAGATTTTTCATTTCTGGAAATTCCTTTTCATCTTCCTTGTTTCTCCTCATTATTTTTGTTTTCCTTTAAACACTTTACATAGTTATAATTCCTGTTCTAACCATTTTATCTACTAATATCATGATCTCTGACATTTTGGGGTTCATTTCTCTTGGCAATTTTTCTCCTGGTCATGGGTCACATTTCCTATCTTTTGATAAGCTTAGTATTATTAGGGTGTTGAGTATCTGGAGTTTGTTGCCTTTTTTAAAAAACAGCATCAGTCTTTGTTTTGAAAGACAGCAGGTCAGTTTGATACCTTTGAGTTCTGTTTTTAAGCTTTGCTAGAATGATTCTAGTGTAGCCTTCATTCAAGAGATAGTTCAGGGGCTGGGCATGGTAGCTCATGCCTGTAATCCCAGCACTTTGGGGGGCTGAGGTGGGTGGATCACTTGAAGCCAGGAGTTCAAGATCAGTCTAGTCAACATGGTGAAACCCCGTTTCTACTAAACATACAAAAAAAAAATTAGCCAGGCATTCAGGAGGCTGGGGCAGGAGAATCACTTGAACCCAGGAGGCGGAGGACGTTGCAGTGAGCCGAGATCATGGCACAACACTTCTCCAGCCTAGGCAACAGAGTGAGACCCTGTTTCCAAAAAAAAAAAAAAAAAAAAGAGAGCTAGTTAGATCTATTATTAAGGCAACATCACTCTGAAATCTCTGCTGGATACCTCAGAGGTCTCAGGAATCCCCACGTTGCCTGGCCAGAGTTTAGACATCACCCTGACCTGTGTGAGCTCTGGGAATTTTTCTGCTTATGACACCCTAGGCTTTCTTTGTGTTGTGGGTTTTCACTCTGCACATGGGTGGCCTAGCACTTAACAAAGACTCAATACAACCCTCATACATATTTCTGGAACTCTTTTTATCTTTAGCATCCCCTTTTCAGGAACTCTGTCCCACAACTTCCAGTCATCTCAGCTTCCCTGAACTTTGATCTCCATCTTCAACTCAATAATGCCATCAGGGATTTGGGGGCTCCCCTACCGGTCTGGAATTGGCCTTTGGGCTGAAAGCTGAGACATTTAGGGCTTTTTCTCTTCTCTCAAGGATCACAACCTTATGCTGCCTGCTGCCCAATGTTTGAAAATGGTCGTGTCATTTATTTTGTCCAGTTTGCTAGTTGTTTATGGAAGAGAGGGCAGTGATATCTGGTCATTGCTTTTCTTTTACTTTTCTTTTCTTTTTTTTTTTTTTTTTTTTTTTTTGAGGCAGAGTTTCGTACTTGTTGCCCAGGCTGGAGTGCAATGGTGCAATCTTGGCTCACCACAACCTCCGCCTCCCAGGTTCAAGCAATTCTCCTGCCTCAGCCTCCCAAGTAGCTGGGATTACAGGCATGCGCCACCATGGCCGGCTAATTTTTTGTATTTTTAGTAGAGACAGAGTTTCTCCATGTTGGTCAGGCTGGTCTCAAACTCCTGACCTCAGGGGATCTGCCCACCTCAGCCTCCCGAAGTGCTGGGATTACAGGCATGAGTCACCGTGCCCGGCTGGTCATTGCTTTTCTTATCATGGCCAAAAGTGGAAGTTTGTAGTAGTTTTTCATGAATGGAATTTTGAGACTAAGCCATGTGTTTAGAGGTCCAGATGATAAAATATGCCACAATACTGAGGTGAGGGGAATGCCATCCATTTCTGTGAGGAACAATCATGGCCCTACCTAGTGAGGACTGAAGGGATGGCAGTACCATTTTGTCACCTCAATGGTTTTCTACTTTGGGGATGGAGCATGTAATACTACCCTGCTCAGGACAGCATTCTTCCAAAAGGGGCATGCATGGCAGAGCAGAGAAGTGAGTATTTGACTCTCAGAAGGTGATGCCTGGGCTGCTAGGGCATGAGATGCTGGATGAGGCCTCTCAGAAATTCTTGTCTGTGGAATAGGGAGGGATGATCTGGAAATGACTGGCTTATTTTTACAGAATACCGGGTCTCCAAACCTTCATTTCCAGTGCTATAATATATTATCTTTTAGGTCTAGAAAAGCTATGGCCCTCAATTCATAAACATTTTTTCAAAAACATTGATTGAGGCCGGGCGTGGTGGCTCATGCCTGTAATCCCAACACTTTGGGAGGCCAAGGAGGGCAGATCACTTGAGGTCAGGTGTGTGAGACCAGCCTGGCGAAACCCCATCTCTACTGAAAATAAAAAAAATTAGCCAGGCACGATGGCACTCGCCTATAATTCCAGCTACTCGGGAGGCTGAGGCACAAGAATTGCTTGAACCTGGGAGCTGGAGGTTGCAGTGAGCCGAAATGGTGCCCTTGTGCTCCGGCTTGGGCGGCAGAGTAAGACACCATCTTAAAAAAAGCCAAACAAATATTGGTTGAGCTCCTTTGCATACAATGAAAAAAAAAGTCCTTGTCATTGAAGTCTTCCAAGACACCTGAGGGAAAGGCAGCTGCATTAAATTAATGATTATGACTATGTTGAAGGTGTAATGAGAGCACACACAAAGAATAAGCATTCACGGCTGTTTGGACAGCAGCTGAACATGTAGAATTCAAAACAGATCTTTCATTGTACCATTCCTAACTGCAAAAGAGGGTCTCCCAGCCAATAGAAATATAGTCAATTTCATTTGCCCAATGAGGTATAGACAATGGTCTACTATTTTTTAGTCTTTAGTACAGTACTTTATTCTTTCTCCAGTGTGAAACACTAACCACTGGAGAGTTTTTTTGTTTGTTTGGTTTTTTTAGACGGAGTCTCTGCCACCCAAGCTGGAGTGCAGTGGCACGGTCTTGGCTCACTACAGCCTCCACCTCCCGGGTTCAAGAGACTCTGCTGCCTCAGCCTCCCAAGTAGCTTGCATTACAGGCACACACCCGGCTAATTTTTGTGTTTTTATAGAGATGGGGTTTCACTATGTTATATTTTTAGTAGAGATGGGGTTTCACCATGTTGGCCAGGCTGGTCTTGAACTCCTGTCCTCAAATGATCCACCGGCCTCGGCCTCCCAAAGTGCTGGGATTACAGGTGTGAACCACTGCACCCGGCCCCAGTGAAGAGTTTTCTAGTATGCTCAGCATAACAGTGATGATAGAAATATGTTTCAATGCTCTGTTTAGTTATTGGACTAGTCTTCTTCTTAATCATAAACATTTCATAATTTCAAACATGAAGTTTTTAATAAGCAAATAAAGAACACGGTCAACCTCAAAGGAAATGCAATAGAAAATGAAAACTGAAAACAAATCCATTTGGAATTGTAACACATTTTAAAGAAACCCCTAGGAAGTACAGAATTGAGCCCATTGGCAAACTGGATCGATTCAAATAGCTTGATATTAACCACTTGAAGAAATCAAGCAAGCTCTCATTTAGGTATTAACTAGGTTCAGTGGTACATTTTATACATCCCACAGCACATTTGCATACTATTAAAAACGCAACAGCAAACCAATTTGCAACTGGTTATTCTATCCAAAATTGCAAGCCACTTCTCCCCAACCCCTACACAACACATATGAGTGTGAAAGTGTGTGTGTGCACGTGTGTGCGTGTGTGTGTGTGTGTAGGAGAGCTGGAAATGGTAGTCACTGCTTTTATTTATCAACAAGTATTAAACCCTTTATCTGCTAAATGTGTTCACTTCAGTGAGAATTCCAAAGCATAATATTAATTCCCTCCCTAAATAATGGTTTGCAGCATGTGAAATAGTAGAACTCTGTGCAAAGATAATATATTACTTATAATGGAAGTGGACACACATTGATGGAAGCTGTAAATGTCCCTCAGGCAGCAAAATACAAGCCATGCCTCTTCTCACCTCCTCTAGATCCAACTCAACTCACAATACACAGCAACTCTGTATGCTGTGCAGGCAGAAAAACCTGTGCTGAATAAACCTGTGACTGTTTGGAAGGTCAGCAGTTTTCCACCAAACGAGGTAATGTGCTGCCAAGGATTATCTCACTAGCAAGAGAAAAAGCTCAGTGCCCAACTAACAAAAAAAATTTAATTATATATGAATAATTGCATTTCCATATGCGAAAGACTCAGGAAAGTCTGTAGGGAGGTGAGTTTTCTTCCATCATGCCTCTGGAGGACATATATTTGAACATGCTTAAAATAGAAAAGGCAAATCAGAATACATATGCTTTAAATAGATGAAGCTCTTGTTACATGAAGGAAAACAGTGTTGCAGGCATGCCTCATATATTTCTCCATTTCTTTTAGAATGTCAAGATGCTATCTGTGTAAGTTCTGCAGTCCCTGAGTCTTTCCTGCTCTCTTCCCTTGTCTTGTAGTCAGCGAAGAGAAGTATTCTTTTAAAAATAAAAAAGGATATATTATGCAAGCAAAAGAACCCAGCCTCAAATATGCACATACTATATGAATCTATTCATGTGACATTTTGGAAAAGGCAAAAATGTAGGAACAGAGGACACATAAGAGGTAGACGGGTTGGGGTGGGGGAGAAAGGGCCTAAATGCACCAGGACAGACGGAAAGTTCTCTTCAGGATGCTAAAATCGTTCTGTATCTTGTCTATGATGGTAGTTACAAGAATCTATTTATGTATAAAAACTCATAGAATTGTACACTCCCCAAAATTGCATTTTAATTGCGTAGAAAATGTAAACATTGATTTGATTTAAAACTTGAGTGCCTATTTTGTACCAATACGACAGTAAGCTTTTCCTTGCTATAATGATGCTGATATTCAGCATGTCACCCACAGTGCTAATCCACATCATTACAGCATTATTACTTCAGCATCGTTAGAGCATTGTTACTGCACTATTATTTCCAGCATTATTACGATATTATTACTTTAGTGTCACCCAAGCTTCCTAAGCTTCTTAACCAAGTAATATAACTCAAACTACAGGAATTACTGCTTGGTGTGAAGCATTTCCAATTTTCCACCTTTCCAATTTTCTTGACTTTCATTTCATTTCTCTAACTTTTGGGCCACTATTTTAAAATACATAATTAGCAAGGCATATAAAAAACAAGATATGTTTGTTCTCCTATGCCAAAAAGTGTGCCTCACACCACAAATTCCCTTAATTTTTCCTTCCCTCTTTCTTCTTTGAAAGAATAACCGAAATTGTAAGAAAATGTTATTATTTGCTCACTTTTGAGAAGTGGTTTGTCTTGTAACTGGGTATCAATGATGATAGAGTCTAAAGAAGACTTTCATAGACTGTTCCTTCCCCCATTCTCTTTGGTTTCCTTCCCTTTTGCTATTTTCAAGCTGTTAATGGTATTTTATTTTTGAACACACACTATTGCCATATAGAGTGTTGTCTTCAAACTCAGAGGCAACATTAGAGAGTAAGGACTTCCCACTTTAGCTTATTGTAGATCCAGATGTCCAGAACATTCTAATGCCTCCACCTGAAAACCCTTCCTGGAGTAAACCTTTTCTATTTTGTTGCATTTCTGGAAACGGGAGTAATCCAACACCATCTCTTCCTTAAGACCTGTAAACCCTGTACTAACTGCAAATGCCTAACATAAACCTTAGGGGGATGTATTAGTCCATTTTTGCATAGTTCTTGCTATAAAGAACTACCCGAGGCTGGGTAATTTATAAAGAAAAGAGGTTTAATTGACTCACAGTTCTGCAGGCTGTACAGTAAGCATGGCTGGGGAAGCCGCAGGAAACCTAAAATCATGGCTGAAGGCAACGGGGAAGCAGGCACGTCCTCCATGGCTGGAGCAGGGGGAATAAAGTCAAGGGGGAGGTGCTCCATACTTTTAAATAAGCAGATCTCATGAGAACTCACTCAGTAGCATGAGAACAGCAAAGGGGATATCCGCCCTCAGGATGCAATCACCTCCCATCAGGCCCCTCCTCCAACACTGGGGATTACAATTCCGCATGAGATTTGGGTGGAGACACAAATCCAAATCCTATCTGGGGAGAAACAATCTTCTCATTGTGTGTCTTGGGATCGCTCATTAAGGATTTCTGGACATTTGTCACAACTGGCTCTTAGTGCTTAATATAGCATCTCTATCCTTGAGAACAGTGTATTCCTACCTCTTCTCAGCTGTCCTTCATCCCCTGCTATCTTGTCTTTCTCCATCTTGGTGACTCTGTCCTCTATATCAGAGACTGAACTTTTCTTGAAGGCTTCCCTGTTCTAACCTCTGTTTTCAGTTCCCTAGGCCCTGACATTGACTGAGTCCCATGATCTGAGACTCCTCCCTGGAGACTTTGCTTACATTTCCCAGCATGCGCTAATGAAAAGTGAATCTGATTTTTCTTCCAGATCCTCAGTTATATTCTCTAGAGGAAGCATCTTCAATGATTTCTTGGGTATCCTTCCAGAACTTTCCCTGTATATACATACTCTATACACATAACACCTTTCTGAAACACCCTTATGAATAGAAGCATATTATTCCTATGATCTTGTGCTTTGCATTTTGCTTTATATGCTTATTGATCTTTGTATTTCAAAATAACTATATCCACGTCATTCTTTTTAACAGCAGTATAATTGGTACGTACCATAATTTATTAATCAAACCTTTATTGCTTGAGTATAAGTTGTTTTCTTCTTTTGTCATTGTTGCCATCATAAACTATGGTGCAGTGAAAATCCTTGTACTTACGTTTCTGCAAACACATGCAAATATACCCATTGCAAATTTTTTTGAAATGGAATTAATTGCTGGGTCAACACCTTCATCATAGATTTCACCAAATTCTTCTCCCAAAATATGGTATAAATTCCAATTTCTACCTGTATTAGTCAGGGTTATCTAGAGGGACAGAACTAATAGGATATATAAATGTGTAAAGGGAAGTTTAGGCCGGGTGCGGTAGCTCACACCTGTAATACTAGCACTTTGGGAGGCTGAGGCAGGCAGATCACCTGAAGTCAGGAGTTCCAGACCAGCCTGGCCAACATGGTGAAACCCCATCTCTATTAAAAGTACAAAAAATTAGCCAGGCATGGTGGCAGGCGCCTGTAATCCCAGCTACATGGGAGGCTGAGGCAGGAGAATTGCTTGAACCCGGGAGGTGGAGGTTGCAGTGAGGTGAGATCATGCTATTGCACTCCAGCCTGGGCAACAAGAGCGAGACTCCATCTCAAAAAAAAGGGGGCAGTTTACTAAGTATTAACTTACACAATAACAAGTTCCCACAATAGGCTGTCTGCAAACTTGAGGAGCAAAGAGAGCCAGTCTGAGTTCCAAAACTGAAGAACTTGGAGTCTGATGTTCGAGGCCAGGAATCATCCAGCATGGGAGAAAGATATAGGCTGGGAGGCTAGGTCAGTCTCGCCTTTTCACATTTTTTCTGCCTGCCTTATATACGCTGGCAGCTGATTAGACTGTGACCACCAGATTAAGGGTGGGTCTGCCTTCCCCAGCCCACTGACTCAAATGTTACTCTCCTTTGGCAACACCATCACAGACACACACAGGAACAATACTTTGCACCCTTCAGTCCAATCAAGTTGACACTCAGTATTAACCATCACACTACCAAAATGATGTGACAGCTCCTGCTTCACACACCTGCACCAAGCTCATGTATTATTAAACTTTTAAATCTTTACTGCTCTGACAGGTTTTTTAAAAGCTACCTCATTATTGCTTTAACTTCTTTTATTTAATTATTAGTGAAGTCTATATACCTTTTTTTATTTTTATTTTTATTTTAGATGGAGCCTCCCTCTGTTGCCCAGGCTGGAGTGCAATGGCACCATCTCGGCTCAGTGCAACCTCCGCCTCCCAGGTTCAAGCGATTCTCCTTCCTCAGCCTCCCGAGTAGCTGGGATTACAGGCACCCACCACTACACCCGGCTAATTTTTGTATTTTTAGTAGAGAAAGGGTTTCACCATGTTAATCAGGCTGGTCTCAAACTCCTGACTCTGCCCACCTCGGCCTCCCAAAGTACTGGGATTACAGGCATGAGCCACCATGCCCGGCCTGAGGTCTACCTCTTTATATGTGGTTTGGGTCCATTTTTTTTCTCTTTCTGGAAACTATGTTTTTTGCCTATTCTGTGATTGATGGAGATCATCTCTCATGGCACTCTGGGTCCTCAGAAATCACAGCAGGCAGTGTGGCACAGGCTGTCTTCAGCCTTCTCAAGCCCCAACAAGCCCCACCACCCCTTCCGCTGTTACAGCTGACCTCCAGGATAGCAGCAAGGGTCACTTCTATACCAAGCTGGCCACCTCTCTGGCACTTCTGTTGTAAGACACTTTCCTTAGTTCAACTAAAGATGGGGTCCTCATCACACGACCACAAAAAATTAGGCTCGCACACTATTTGAAGGGTGAGAAGGGCAGCGTTTCTTGGGTGAAAAGGAAAAGAGGGAAACAGGGACTCTCTGCAAGGCCGGTTTCATGCGCGTCCGTGTGAAGAGACCACCAAACAGGCTTTGTGTGAGCAACATGGCTGTTTATTTCACCTGGATGCAGGCGGGCTGAGTCCGAAATGAGAGTCAGCCAAGGGAGATAGGGGTGGGGCCATTTTATAGGATTTGGGAAGGTAAAGGAAAATTACAGTCAAAGGGGGTTGTTCTCTGGTGGGCAGGGGCAAGGGTCCCAAGGTGCTCAGTGGGGGAGCTTTTTGAGCCAGGATGAGCTAGGAAAAGGACTTTCACAAGGTAATGTCATCACTTAAGGCAAGGAACGGCCATTTACACTTCTTTTGTGGTGGAATGTCATCAGTTAAGGTGGGGCAGGGCATATTCACTTCTTTTGTGATTCTTCAGTTACTTCAGGCCATCGGGGCTTATACGTGCAAGTCACAGGGGATGCGATGGCTTGGCTTGGGCTCAGAGGCCTGACATTCCTGACTTCTTACATTAATAAGAAAAATAAAACAAAATAGTGTTGAAGTGTTGGGGCAGCGAAAATTTTTAGGGAGTGGTATGGAGAGAGAATGGGCGATGTTTGTCAGAGCTGCTTCAAGCGGGATTAGGGGCAGTGTGGGAACCTAGAGTGGGAGAGATTAAGCTGAAGGGAGGTCTTGTGGTAAGGGGTGATATTGTGGGGATGTTAGAAGAAACATTTGTCGTATAGAATGATTGGTGATGGCCTGGATACGGTTTTGGATGAATTGAAAAACTAAATGGAATAACAGAAGGAGAAAAACAGGTATAAAAGTTCTAAGAATTGGGATGACTCAGGATATCTGATTAGAGAGTGCCTAAGGAGATTCAGCATAGTCCTGCCAGCAAAGATTATTTATTTACTTCAAGAGTTAAGAGTGGCAGTTTGGGGATAGCAGGAGGAGATATCAGCTGTGATGGCTTGGAGAAACAGTGTAAACCGGCAGTGTAAACAAGAGCAAGGCATGTATGAGTAGTTGAGAACGGTGAATAGGAGTATGACTAGACAGAAGATAGTAGGGATGACAATTTTTTTTGGGGCACAGTCAAAGTCGGTCTGGTGTCTGGAATGAGACTGGGGCCTAATAAAAAGGAGCGTCTATACAGGAGCTTAAATGGGCTGTACCCTGTAGCATTCTGAGGACAGGCCTGAATTCTGAGAAGGGAAAGTGGTAAAAGTATTGTCCAGTCCTTTTTAAGTTGGTGGCTGAGCTTGGTGAGGTGTGTTTTTAAAAGACCTTTAGTCTATTCTACTTTTCTTGAAGACGCAGGACCGTGAGGGATATAAAGGTTTCACTGAATACTAAGAGCCTGAAAAACTGCTGGCTGATTTGACTAATAAAGGCTGGTCTGTTATCAGACTGTATTGAGATGGGAAGGCTAAACTGAGGAATTATGTCTGACAGAAGGGTAGAAATGACTGTGGTGGCCTTCTCAGACCCTGTAGGAAAGGCCTCTACCTATCCAGTGAAAGTGTCTACCTAGACTAAGAGGTATTTTAGTTATCCGACTCGGGGCATGTTGAGTAAAGCTAATTTGCCAGTCCTGGGTGGGGCAAATCCTCGAGCTTGATGTGTAGGGAAGGGAGGGGGCCTGAATAATCCCTGAGGAGTAGTAGAATAGCAGATGGAACACTGAGAAGTTATTTCCTTGAGGATAGATTTCCACAATGGAAAGGAAATGAGAGGTTCTAAGAGGCGGGCTAGTGGCTTGTACTATAGCATAACCTGCCTTTGCTGGTGTGTGGCGATTAGGCCTGGTGGAACCGCCATCAATAAATCAAGCGTGATCAGGGTGAGGAACAGGAAAGAAGGAAATTTGGGGAAATGTGAATGTCAGGTGGATCAGAGAGATACGGTCATGGGGGTCAGGTGTGGTATCAGGAATAATGTGGGAGGCTGGATTGAAGTATGGGCCAGGAACAATGGTAATTGTGGGAGACTCAACAAACAGTGAGTACAGCTGAAGGAGCCGGGAAGCAGAAAGTATATGCGTCAGGTATGAGGAAGAAAATAGATTTTGGAAGTTATGAGAACTGCAGAGAGTGAGTTGAACACAGTTTGTGATTTTGAGGGCCTCTAAAAGTATTAAAGCAGTGGCAGCTGCTGCACGCAGACATGAGGGCTAGGCTAAAACAGTAAGGTCAAGTTGTTTGGACAGAAAGGCTACAGGGTGTGGTCCTGGCTCTTGTGTAAGAATTCTGACCGAGCTAACCATGCTTAGGATGGAAAGGAGTTGTGGTTTTGTAGAAGGTGCTGGGGTTTGAGAGATCAGTTGGACACGATTGGCAGGGAGAGCACATGTGTTTTTATGAGAATTATGCCGAGATAGGTAACAGATGAGGAAGAAATTTGGGCTTGATTGAAGTAATGGGGGCTGTTTGTGAAGCTTTGCGGCAGTGCAGCCTAGGTAATTTGCTGAGCTTGATGGGTGTCAGGGTCAGTCCAAGTGAAAGCGAAGAGAGGCTGGGATTAAGGATGCAAAGGAATAGTAAAGAAAGCATGTTTGAGATCCAGAACAGAATAATGGGTTGTAGAGGCAGGTATTGAGGATAGGAGAGTATATGGGTTTGGCACCACGGGGTGGATAGGCAAAACAATTTGGTTGATAAGGTGCAGATCCTGAACTAAATTGTAAGGCTTGTCTGGTTTTAGGACAGGTAAAATGGGGGAATTATAAGGAGAGTTTATAGGCTTTAAAACACCATGCTGTAGCAGGCGAGTGATAACAGGCTTTAATCTTTTTAAAGCCTGCTGTGGGATGGGATATTGGTGTTGAGTGGGGTAAGGGTGATTAGGTTTTAATGAGATGGTAAGGGGTGCATGATCGGTCTCCAAGGAGGGAGTAGAGGTATCTTATACTTGTGGGTTAAGGTGGGGGGATACAAGAGGAGGACGCAAAGGAGGCTTTGGATTGGGAAAAAGGGCGGCCATGAGATATAGCTGTAGTCTAGGAATAGTCAGGGAAGCAGATAATTTAAAGTGTCTCAGCCTAATAAGGGAACTGGGCAGGTGGGGATAACTAAAAAGGAGTGCTTAAAAGAGTATTGTCCAAGTTAGCACCAGAGTTGGGGAGTTTCAAGAGGTTTAGAAGCCTGGCCGTGAATACCCACAACAGTTATGGAGGCAAGGGAAACAGGCCCTTGAAAAGAAGGTAATATGGAGTGGGTAGCCTCCGTATTGATTAAGAAGGGGACGGGCTTACCTTCCACTGTGAGAGTTACCCCAAGCTCGGCGTCCATGATGGTTTAGGGGGCTTCCGAGGGGATCGGGCAGTGTCAGTCTTCAGCCGCTAAGCTGAGAAGATCTGGGAAGGAGTCAGAGAGCCTTGGGCCAGAGTTCCAGGGGCTCTGGGAGTGGCTGTCAGGTGAGTTGAACAGTCCGATTTTCAGTGGGGTCCCACACAGAGGGGACGCGGCTTAGGAGGAATCCCGGGCTGCGGGCATTCCTTGGCCCAGTGGCCAGATTTCCGGCACATGTAGCAAGCTCCTGGGGGAGGAGGTTCTGGAGGAATGCCTGGCCGCTGTGGGTCAGGCATTTGGAAGTTCTTGTGTGCTGGAGATGTGGCTGGGGTTTGTCTCACAGTGGAGGCAAGGAATTGCAACTTTTTTCTGTTATTGTACACCTTGAAGATGAGGTTAATTAAATCCTGTTGTGGGGTTTGAGGGCCAGAATTTAATTTTTGGTGTTTTATTTGATGTTGGGAGCAGATTGGGTAATAAAATGTATTTTGAGAATAAGACGGCCTTTTGACCTTTTAGGGTCTAGGGCTGTAAAGTGTCTCAGGGTTGCTGCCGAACGAGCCATTAACTGGGCTGGGTTTTTATATTTGATGAAAAAGCCTAAATGCTATCTGATTTGGGATAAAGAAAAAGGAGCATTAACCTTGACTATGTCTTTGGCTCCAGCCACCTTTTTAAGAGTAAATTGCTGGGCAGGTGGGGGAGGGCTAGTCACGGAACGAAACTGTAAGCCGGACCAGGTGTGAGGAGGGGAGGTGATAAAAAGATTATAGGGTGGAGGAGCGGAGGCTGAGGAAGAATTGGGACGTAGCTTGGGCTGGCGAGGAGGGAAGAGGTCAGATGGGTCTGTAGAAAAGGAAGATTAGAAAGACTCAGTGACGCTTGGGGTTGGGACTAAGGGGACAGGCAGAATGGAAAGAAGGAAGATTTGGGATGAGTTGCACTGGACACAGAGACTAGGAAGGGACTGATGTGTAAAAGAATGCCTGGACGTCAGGCACCTCAGACCATTTGCCCATTTTATGACAAGAATTATTTAGATCTTGTAGGATGGAAAAATTGAAAGTGCCATTTTCTGGCTATTTGGAACTACTGTCGAGTTTGTATTGGGGTCAAGCGGCATTGCAGAAGAAAATAAGGCATTTAGGTTTTAGGTCAGGTGTGAGTTGAAGAGATTTTAAGTTTTTGAGAACACAGGCCAAGGGAGAAGAAGGAGGAATGGAAGGTGGAAGCTTACCTATAGTGAAGGAGGCAAGCCCAGAGAAAAGAGTAGAGACACGGAGAAGGGGTGAGGGGTTCCTGCCCTCCAGAAAAGCAGAGAAGGGGTTGGGGCACGGAAATAAGGGATTGAGGCACAGAGATAAGAGGTCAGGGTGCGGAAATAAGGTATTGGGGTGCAGAGATAAGAGGTTGGGGTGCGGAAATAAGCGATTGGGGGGTTCTTTCCCCCTAGGAAAGTGGGATTTGCCGCTAAGGGTGAAGGAGAAGGGGTTGAGGGGTACTTACCCCTGCCCCAGGAAAGCAGAGAAGGGGTAGAGACACGGAGAGAAGGGGTTGAGGTACTTGCCCCTCTCCCAGAAAAGCAGAGAAGGGTAGAGACAAGGAGAGAAGGGGTTGGGGTACTTGCCCTGTCCCCGGAAAAGCAGAGAATGGGTAGGGACAAGGAGAGAAGGGGTTGAGGTACTTGCACCTTCCCCAGAAAAGTGGGACTTGCCGCTAAGGGTGAAGGACCAAGGCAGGCGTCCCTGCGTGGTCTGACACCCTTGAAACGTGGGTGTATAATCAGAGAGGTGTCCCTGCAATGATTAAACACCAAGGGAAAGCTGCCTTCCCAGTCCGTGACCGGCGCCAGAGTTTTGTGTCCACGGATAAAACGTGTCTCCTTTGTCTGTCTCAGAAAATGAAAGGAATTGAAATTAAGAGAAGGGAGAGATTGAAGAGTGGAAAGGAGAAAGTGTGGTTGAGGGACAGAGAGAGGCTGGAGAAGAGAGTAAGAAGAGGCCGCTAACCTGATTTAAAATTGGTGAGATGTTCCTTGGGCTGGTCGGTCTGAGGACCTGAGGTCGTAGGTGGATCTTTCTCATGGAGCAAAGAACAGCAGTACAGGGGATTGATCTCCCAAGGGAGGTCCCCCAATTCGAGTCATGGCACCAAATTTCATGCGTGTCCGTGTGAAGAGACCACCAAACAGGCTTTGTGTGAGCAACATGGCTGTTTATTTCACCTGGGTGCAGGCGGGCTGAGTCCGAAATGAGAGTCAGCCAAGGGAGATAGGGGTGCGGCCGTTTTATAGGATTTGGGAAGGTAAAGGAAAATTACAGTCAAAGGGGGTTGTTCTCTGGTGGGCAGGGGCGGGGGTCCCAAGGTGCTCAGTGGGGGTGCTTTTTGAGCCAGGATGAGCTCGGAAAAGGACTTTCACAAGGTAATGTCATCACTTAAGACAAGGACCGGCCGTTTACACTTCTTTTGTGGTGGAATGTCATCAGTTAAGGTGCGGCAGGGCATATTCACTTCTTTTGTGATTCTTCAGTTACTTCAGGCCATCTGGGCATATATGTGCAAGTCACAGGGGATGCGATGGCTGGGCTTGGGCTCAGAGGCCTGACAGCCAGAGTCCCTGCTAGTGCACTTCCCACCTCGCAGATGCAATCCCAGGTACCACACCCCGGAACAGGAGAGAGATGCCAGGCTCCTCCCCGCTGCAAAGGGCGTGAACTTCCCAGGGCTCCACATCAGAGCGCATTCCCCATGGTGCGCAGGCCATCAGAGGTTCTGCCAGGGAGCCCTTCCCACCTGGCTGTCTCACTTCCACCAGCAACGAGGCAAAAGATCTCTCCACTCTCAGGTTTCCCAAACTTTAAGGAGGGCGGAGAGTTCTACTTTCGCCTCCAGCCAACTCCCTAGAGCAAGTCAGAGGAGGCATGGGAGACACAGCCCTCCCCCCATGCCTAACTCACCTCTCCAAGCTCCGTCTCCTCCACTCCCTCCTAGGTTTGAGGTTCTTATCCAGCCTGGGCAGAGGCCATGGGAGGCTAATTCAGTCAGTCGTCTTGCTGTGTCCAGTGTGTTGAACAAACAGGACTCGTGACATTATCCAAATACAGCTTTGTTTTTGTCTTCCTCACCTAACTTTTCTCTGTCAGGATAATCTTCACCCGGATAAAAATTCTTGCAGTTCCTTGGATTTTTGGCTTTCTCTGTTGTATTATGTATATATAGTCACAAACGCCATCTGCTTTTTCGGTCATCAGGATGTCCAGTCCTGGTGACAGTCAAAACCAACGCTGAATCCCCTCCCTGTAAGGCAGGGAGGAGACGTGAGGAGTACTTGGCTGGGTAGCTTCAGGCTCTCAGACCTGACACTTCTTGAGAAAACAAGCAATTCAAGCGTCCCTTCTTTGTGCACGCTCCCAGAGGTCCGCTAAAGCCTTGTGAGCTCGCCCTTGTAAACCAAAAAGTATCTGAGACAGGTCTCAATCCATTTAGAAGTTTATTTTGCCAAGGTTAAGGCAATGACCTGAAGACAGGTCTGTGTCTTTCTCCAAAGACGATTTTGAGGGCTTCAGTATTTAAAGGAGAAAAGCCGGCTGCAGGAGAAAGAGGGAAGGTATGGTCATGTGACTCAATCCACGTGTTGCAAGAGAAAGGGAGCAGGTAGGGGAAGAGTCAATTATGTAGTTGTCGGCCGGCCGCAGTGGCTCACGCCTGTAATCCCAGCACTTTGGGAGGCCAAGGCAGGCAGATCACCTGAGGTCAGGAGTTCAAGGCTAGCCTGGCCAACATGGTGAAACCCTGTCTCTACTAAAAATACAAAAATAAGCCTGGCGTGGTGACATACGCCTGTAATCCCAGCTACTAGGCAGGCTGAGGGAGGAGAATCACTTGACCCCAGGAGGCGGAGGTTGCAGTGAGCCTAGATCCTGCCACTGCACTCCAGCCTGGGCGACAGAGGGAGACTCCCTCTCAAAAAAAAAAAAAAAAAAAAAAAAAAAAGTTATGTATTTGTTTCATGCTCAGTAAATCGGCACTTTACATAAGATAAGGTGAACCTAGAGTAGCTACCTGTGGAGATATTTAACCTTTTATCTGTAGCTGTCTGTTTGGAAACAAGGAAAGAGCTTTTTGCATGACTCAGCTTTCAGCTTAATTGTTTTTCCTTTTGGCAGAGTGAATTGGGGACCCGAGTTTTGATTTTCCTTTCACACACTTGACCCCAGAGGATATGCCTCTGCTACTAGGGGCCTGTGCAGTACCTCCTCAGGCCTCCCACTCTTCTGGGTGAGACCTTCTCAGGCCTCTGCCATGCCCCTGCCAGCCAGCCTCCCCTCTTCCCCATGAGGGAGAGTTGTCCACTCTGGGCTGTGGGCAGGGCCCCATGCAGTAGCATCCACGCAGGCCTGAGGCCACATTTTCACTCCCTCTAGATCCGCAGGTGGGAGTGCAGCCACCACCATTCCCCTTGGCTGTCTCCCAGGCCTCAGATATCAGTCCTCTGCATCCTCAATCACAGGAAATACAGTCCCAGGTTCTCCGTGTGGTCCTTAAAGCCTCCATCCATGAAGCTTGAGGTAAGGAGGAAGTGTCAGAGATAAGCAAGGCTTAGCATTGATGAAAGTGGGAAAAGCAGGTGATGGGCTTCAGGGCATACTATCCCAAAAGGTAGTGCTTTGACATTTGAGAAAACTGCAGTAAAAGAGTCTTTGTGACCTTCTCCCATGCTTCTCCCCTGAAGCGGGCATGAAAGAATTCTTCTGAACTTCCTCTGAAGTAGGTCATGAGATCCTCATTGGAGATGTATCCTCCCCATCCTAGAAAAAAATGTCCTTGTCTCTGAAGACATAGGGACACAGGAAAAATCTGAACAAGCAGGCCTTGCTAAGTTTCCTCCAGCTAATCACCATTCCATCAGACCTTTTTTGTCCAATCATACTTTTCCTCAGTGTTCCACGTCTCCATCAAATCTAACATAAAAATACACAGGTTTCCCTGTTTCTTTGGGTCTTCATTTCTGAAGGCTCCTATGTCATGTAAAACTTACATTGAATACATTTGTATGCTTTTCTCCTGTTAGGCTGTCTTTTGTTACAGATGCCTAAGCCTTGAGCCTAGTGATGGGAAGAAAAGATGTTTCCTTTCCCCTCCACAGGTTTTATTCAGGAAAGAGCTGAGCTCCGTTTCACTTTACACACAAGTGCCTAGGTGTTTTAAATAGACAATCAGGAAGTAGGGAGGGGAAGAGGCAGGGCCTTCAGTGGAGTTAGGGCAGTGAAAAATACAAAAAGCCAGAAAGAGAGTTAATTCAAAATAAATGTGTTAGGCCATCTGTGTCTGCTAACTGGCATTTATGGAATTGGGGCTTCTGCCCTCCCAAAGGGACAGGAAGACAAAAATCCTATCGTTTCTGATGATTACATTTCAAAGGAATGACTTTCAGGTCCTTGACAAAGGTGTCTTCTGTTGTAGCAGATTTATAATACTTCTCAAAGGGACTGAGGAAGGCTTTACAGTTCTAAGCTTTTTAAAAGTAAGTGTGCTAAGAAAGGCAGGTCAAGGGCCCATGGTCAGCTGTTGGCTAGAACAAATAGTAAATTCTTTTCACAGCCTTGGCCTTTTCCCTATGGAAACTCAAAGTGGGGGAGGGGAGGAGTTATCTTAGGGACATAGCCTTAGGCTGCCAGAAGCTATGGCAGAGTTTGAGCAAGTCCCCTAGTGCAGATTTGGATGGATTCCTTCCTGCTGAGAATTTTGCAGTTCTCAGCAGACACTCCCCACCATGGAGAAGGTAAGGTATAAAGCACAGCTTGCTCCAAATACAGCCTCCTCACAAAATTCTCTTTTACCCCTTTCTTGTGTTCTTGACCTCACTGAGGCATCTGGGTGTCACTCCCTCTTTCATGTAACTGTGGCAAAGGGTCTGTCTCATACACACATCCGTGTTCTGTATCTAGCTCGCTGATGCTTCAGTGGAAGCAGAGCCCAATCCCAACATCTTGTTACATTGCAAACTGATGATCATACCAAAAGTTGGCCATTGGGAGCTCAAGAGCCAAAATATATGAAACTCAGCCTCTTTGCTCTCTCTATTTTGGTTAGTCTCTCGCAAAAGCAAGGTCTTATTTGAAATTAGAGAAGTGATGGGGCAAGCAGAGATTACAGAGAAAATAATAAATACATCTACATCAATATGCCATGTATCATTCTGACAGATGGGTCTTTTGCATACTAAGCACCTAGCCCAGTATCTGACCCATAGTAAATAATAAATGCAATGAGTGGACTCTGTTTCTGAGTGATGCACTCTTCATGCAGTACTTATTTATGGCTGAGATGCAATGAATTGTCTAATATCTGGCTATATTCATTTTATTTTGAAAATGGCATTTGCAATTTGATTTATAACAGTATTTATTATGTGACATTTTGAAAATCCTGAAATGCATAAATTAGGAAGCAAACTCACCTGTAATCCTACCACTCAGAAATCATCACTGTTAACATTTTATATGCATATAAGCATATGTTACTTAAAAACAAAAATACTAAGCTAAATTATATAATACTAAATTTTTATGACCAAAAAATGATATGTACTCAATGGATGTTATGGCCTTTTTTTTTTTTTTTTTTTTTTAAGTATAACTTTGCTCACATTTGCTGTCGTGTTTGACTTTTAGGTCCTGCCCTACTCAGTTTTGCCACAGTAATGCTACATAACAACCAACCATCATTTCCCTCTCACTCACATGTCCTCAGGGGCAGGTCTGCTAGTGACAATGCACGTGGTAGGGCCTGGCTCCTGGCTGCAGGCGTGATTCAGATCTGTGTCACATGTCTCTGTACTTCAAGTCTTTACTTGCTTCATGTCCACTAATATCCCATTAGCCAAAGCCAGTCACATGGCCAAGCCCAACATCAACAGGGCAAAGATATATAGTTATCCCTTGGTATACATGGGGGATTAGTTCCAGGACCATCTGAGTATACGCAAATCTGTGCATAATCAAGTCCCACAGCTGGCCCTGCTGAACCTAGATATAGGACAAGTCGGCCCTTGCATACTCAAGTTTCACATCCCAAGAAGACTGTATTCTTTATCTGCATTTGGTCGAAAAAAATTTGTATATAAGTGGACCTGCACAGTTCAAGCCTGTATTGTTCAAGGGTTAACTGTGCTCTGCCTTTGGTGAGATTAACTGTAAATTACATGGAAAAGGCAGTCACATGGAAAAGGATACACACAGGGATAAAGAATTGGGAACAATAATCCAATCTACCTCAGGCATAAACATCCCTATTTACCATTGGTTGGAATCCAAGAGTTCCACATGAATGATTCAACCAACCAATGATCAAAAATAGTTGGAGGGGAAAAAACAAAAAAAGTTAATACAAATAAAAGACCAATACAGTATCCATTTATAGCCTTTACATTTTATTAGGTATTATAAGTAATCTAGTGATTTAAAATATATGGGTAGAATGAACATAGGTTTTATGCTAGTACTGCACCATTTTATGTTAGGGACTTGAACATCCACATATTTTGGTATCCTGGGGAGGTCCTGGAACTAATCCCCCCAAAATACCAAGCAACAACTGTGTGTTGTTTTATTGCAGTTAGGTCTAGAGTATTCACTGATTTTCATTATGCTTAACAACTAACTATAAGATTTATTTAGGATGGGCATAAAAGACATTCTGAATGCACTAAAGTCTGGTGATTCTGTGCTAAAATAAAGTTTGAATCCCTACATCTGTACTTAATGTGATGTGCTCACTCTCTTTTGTCTGCTTACTTCATTCCTTTGATTTGAATGCTCCCTTGAACTTCTCTGTATATTTCCATGTGTGTCAATCAGGAGTCACCTTTCTCCAGGTTTTTGTAGAGCCAAAAGCAATAGTTCTTTCCCATTTCTATCTAAAACATTTCTATCATGATTCTCAGGGAAAATTAATATTTTTCTTATATGAAAATACTCCTATATTTCTAACATATAACTAATATTTCTTATATTGAAATATAGTAGTCCCTCCTTACCTTCGGTTTCAGTTACTTGGTGTCAACCTGTTATCGAGCAAATGGGGCTCCCTGCCTGATGTGCTGGAAGTCAAAACTGACACCAGATTTTTTGAGAAAAGAAAAGCTTTATATTGAAAATCGTCTCAAAGAGACAGGAGTCAAGCTGAAATCTGTCCCCCTGTGCTGGCCTTAAGGCAGTAATTTTATTAGAAAAAGTTTAAGGGGTGGATACTGGGATTAGCAGGTGGTTGGTGGAAGGAAAGGGGAGGTCTGGAAAGTCCGTGGGCATGCTCAGTTATCTCTTCATGCCACTTCATGGGTCCCGTGTGCAAATTCAGGGGGAGTTAGTATGAAACATGCAGTGGGAATTCAGGCTATGACTTCAGCAGGTTCATTCTGCACAAATGCCAGTCTGCTATCTGAGTTCAAACAGATTTCAGCCAGTTCTTTTATCTCATAAGAAGAGCAAATTTCAGTGTTTCAGCAGGTTGTTTCTTATCTGCCATCATGAAAACTCAAGAATTTCTGATAGACATTGCTTGTTGGTTTCTTTTTTTTTTTTTTCTTTTTCTTTTTTTTGAGATGGAGTCTTGCTCTTTCGCCCAGGATGGAGTGCAGTGGTGCGATCTCAGCTTACTACACCCTCCGCCTCCTGGGTTCCAGTGATTCTCCTGCCTCAGCCTCCCGAGTAGCTGGGATTACAGGTTAGCGCCACCATGGTCGGCTAATTTTTGTATTTTTAGTAGAGACAGGGTTTCACCATGTTGGCCAGCCTAGTCTCGAACTCCTGACCTCAGGTGATCCACCTGCCTCAGCCTCCCAAAGTGTTGGGATTACAGGCGTGAGCCACCTCAGCCTCCCAAAGTTTTGGGATTACAGGCGTGAGCCACCACACCCAGTCTGTTAGTCATTGGTTTCTCTAACTCTTTGGGACACAGTTACAAACTAAGTTCTGAAAATAAGTGAGCACAGTACAATATATTCTAAGACAGAGACCACATTCACATAACTTGTATTATAGTATAGTATTATAATTGTTCTATTTTATTATTATTGTTAATCTTACTGTACTTAATGTATAAATTAAACTTTATCATAGGTATATATTAGAAGTATAGAATAAACTTACCTGTGTATAGAAGAAAACATAGTATATATAGGGTTTGGTACTATCCACGGTTTCAGGCAGCCACTGGGGATCTTGGAACATAACCCCCATGAATAAGGGGGGACTACTGTACATTTATTATAGACTTTTCCTCTTAAGCATATAATGTAAAATACTTTAACTTCCTTTTTTAATGAAATGAATAAGAAATAGCCCTGTTATTATATTAAGTAATAATATGTTAATCATGTCATATTGTTTTAAAATTTGGAGGCTATCTTCTCTATTTCACTATCTAAGTCTACCCAAAGAATCACATAAACCAAGAAAATTCCTGCAACAATGGCATCATAACTGTCATCACAACTGATCCTTTCAGCCATTTTCCAAGTGCAGTAACTAGGTATTTTGATCCATGTCACATAAACTATGCCGGTGGTTTCATTTTCCTGTTTTCTATCCCAGTTCCTGATAATGTGTGTACAGAACCCCAGTGAGCATGTGCTCTTCGAGACTAAATTACTTCTTGATAATAGTGGAGGTGGGAAGGAGCACTAACTCTTTAACACTGCTGGGAAAGCACTATTTAATAGTGTACTCCTCAACTGGGGGTTGTGTGACCCCTGTCTGAAGTGGATTGGGAAATGTGTGGGGCACATTTTTGTTGTCACAATAACAAGAATCTGCTACTGGCATTTAGTGTCTGGGGATCTGGATTGGTAACTTACTATGCACAGAACCATCCCACACTACGAAGAAATCTCCAATCCAAAATGCCAGTTGTGCCTTGTGTTGAAATACTGATTTAGCGAGTAGAGCCTTTATTAGTCAAGATTTTTAGCTGCAAATAACAGAACCAACTTCGGCTAGTTTAAATGGAAAGGGAACTAATTAAAGGATATTCAGTAGCTCACAGAATCCTTAGAAGGTCCAGAAAATTAGGCTGGGTGGCTAAGCAGTAGGAACAATGCCTTATTACACTGCCAGCTGATCTGGGAGAATCCAGCTGGTGCTACTTTTTTACCAGCTTGTAATTCTTACACAGAATAGGGATATGTGGGATGTGGGACACCCCAGCCAGGTAGGGCCTTTGCCACTACTGCTTCTGAGAGCTGGCTATCTCTCCACCATCCCTGCCAGGATGAACTGATTCCATGCAGGGTTTCCCTGTTGCTTGGTGGAGCCCAGGTCACATATCTGAACCCCAGTGACATGGAAGGCTGAGGGTGAGTTCTTGGCCTCCACCTTGGGGCCTCTGTCCCAGGGAAGCAAGGTTCACAAGGTAGAAAGCTACACGAAGACAGAAGAGGAGTTCAAAAGATACTGGGCAGTCACCAAGTGTGACAAATGCCCACCAAATCATCAAAGGCCCTTGTTACCTCTCCCTAAAGACACTTCTTGAGCATGGACCTGGGAAAAACAGCTTCTAAATTTGTCTTCCAGAATCTTGAAAAGATATGCTTAGTATCTCCCCACTGTTGCATATTCATTCTATTTTCTCTACTTCAATTAGCATATCAGATATTCTTTGGATTCGTGCATAAGTATCATTTTCGTTTCTTTCCTCAGCACTGTAATTCCTGTCCAGCTGTAAGATTAATTTCTTTGTCCTCTTACCTCCTACAACTTCATATATCCCACATTAGTGGTTTCAAAATAAGATTTTTTGAAATTATGGATAAGATAACATATGTGACTAAAAAAAATCAGTGAAGACAATGTCTTTCGTTTGAAGATATTATCATGGCAATATTGTGCCCAAGTGGTTTTGGGCAGGAAGTATCAGGAATAATTTAAAGCATTGTACCAGGCCAGGTATGGTGGCTCATGCCTGTAATCTCAACACTTTGGGAGGCCAAGGTGGGAGGATCACTTGAGGCCAGGAGTTCAAGGCCAGCTTGGGCAACAGTAAGACCCTGTCTCTACAAAAAATTTTAAAATTCACTGGGCATGGTAGTGTGCCTCTAGTTCCAGCAACTCAGGAGGCTGACACAGGAGGATCCCTTGAGCTCAGGAGTTGGAGGCTGCAGTGAGTTATGATCTGATTGCACTGCTGCACTCCAGCCTGGGTGACAGAGGAAGACCTTGTCTCTAAAAATAAATAAAGCATTGTACCAATTTACTGTGTTTACCTAAGAACAAGAGCTGCTTCTGCATATACCAAAAGTTGGCAGGACTGCAAGCAGGACTGTGTCACTTTTCTCAGATCAGTCAAAGAAAGTAACACGTAAATATATAGGGCAGTGTCACTGAATAGTAACTTTTCAGAAATAATGCGAACCATTACAGGGAAAGCAACATAGATTTACTGAAAACAATGAATTTCTTACTTTAATTGTTTCTTTGATGCTGTAATAGAATTTCATGGTCTTCCAATAAATGATTAAATGATGGAATATGCAGAGGAGTAAATATTGCAGTTTACATTTTAAAATCATCCCAAATCACCTAACTTTATCAGTTACACTTAATGGATTCAAATAAGTAGTTTTGAGCATATCACCTTGGAGATGATAATAGCACCTTCCTCTTTAGAAGCTCTCAAATTACCTTATAAATAAGCCTTTATCCTCAAAACTGTGATGCAGAAATGAAGTGCTGTAGTTAACATCACAATTTTAAATTCACTGACTCTAAGTGAACTGCTTTAATATTCATTTTCACTGTGAATGAAATAATCTAGGGACTTGTCTCATTAGCATCTGTGCTGCTCTCAAATTCATATAGGGACCTAGAAACTATTTTTTAAAGTACACCAAGTTTATTTATTTTTATATGAAGTCTATCTACCTAGGAAAACTGGAATTTAGGGTTGTATCTACAATTTGTTTAAAGTTAAAATTATTATAGGTGAGATTTGAAAGTGTTGAAAATAAGGGATGACGAAAGGTTATCCATTCATCAATTTATGTGTGGAGATACTAAAAGTTTAAATTTACAGTATAAAATCTACAGTTTGTATAATGAAATAAATCACTATCTTGATTGTATAATGAAATAAATTCCTAATTTGCTCCATGATGTGATAGATGGTTTCTGCATCTGTGATCGAATGCAGAGAAGCAAACACATCTGTTTGGTCACATGCCTGAAATAATGTCCAGAACATGAAGTCAAACTGCTTTAATTACCTCCTTATGGGAGTGCCTGGCTGCTGGGATGACTGGAAGGTAACACATTTGGAGTTTTGGAATGAATAATTTGAATCTTAAAATTATTAATCTTAAAATTAAGATTTTTTTGTCTCTAAATTAAAAATTATTAATCTTAAAAATTAAAATTTATTGAATATAAATCTAGTATATCTCAAAGCCCTATAAAAATAAATACTTCTATGCTGAGAAGTAGACTAATACAATAATCATCTAACATTTTATAAATGGGTCCAAGTTCAAAGCTGACAGAATTTTGTCCTGCTGTTGAAAATATTACTTTTTGACATTCTTAATTCATCTAGGACATATTATTTTTCCAGTGATTGATCCCCAAAAATGTTGGCATTTGTTGATAAATATGAATATGTGCCACTGGGGCTTCCCTACACGAAGCTGACAACCAACACAAGTCAAACAGAGTGTAAAGTCTTCTAGAACTCTAAGCTCTTCCTGCCAACAGATGGAACAGCGTGGCCCCTTCAAGGCCTCACATAGCAGTAGCTAACTGAAACAGCGGTGTCTGCATGAGTAGCATCATGGTGTGGTCACAAAGAGCACTGTTCTAGGATCCTTGAAAATCACCTTGCCAAACTCTTTCCAATTCCAGATTGGGCAGTGAGGCTCAGAAAAGTGAATTAGTTTGGTCAAGATCATGTGTCAGTGGTGGACCCAAGTCTAGAAGACAGTCTAGAAGGCCCAAGCCAGCACTCTGTTGCCAACCACGCAGCCTCCCTGTCACAAGACAAGGCTACATAACATACAGTACCGACTCAGGACAACTCACTCTGCCTACGTGACCCAAAGAGCAGTTATTCTGTGACTAATGGGAATAAAGTCACTTGGAACATTTCAGATCCCAAACATAGAGTTCTGCAAATTAATGTCTTATTCACTTTTAAAAATGGAAAATAAAATTTTTTATTTTATACCTTCCATTTTCTTCATAAACCTTCTTAAATGGAGCTTTCATTGGTAAGGATTAGAATCCTTAATCCCTATATTAAGTATCTGGGTGATGTGATTTTCAGTTCTATCACATCAGCTGATCACTCTCATGTAAGTTCAGAGAAATTCAGGGCTGCAAGGAAGCTGGTTTAGTCAAAAGAAAGTGACTTTCCTTTTCTTACACTTTTTAATTTGTCAAGTATATCGTACTTGGTGGAGAGAAGTGCTGCATTTTGGAAAAAGTGTTGGCTTTGAATTAGAACAGATCATAGTTTAAATTTGGCCTCACCTTTATTAGCTTATAACCCTGGGCTATTTAACCACACAGGGCCCCTGATTCCTAATTTGTAAAAGTACTAATTACTTCCTAATAGGGTCACTGAAGGGAAGAAATTTAATCATACGCCTAAATCACCTGGCACACAACCTGGGACTTAGTATTTAACAAAAATCATGATTTTAAACTAAAATAACAGTAAGACATGTAACCCCAGATTGCAAAAAGTATATACTATTTTAGCCTTTCAAATTATCTAGATGGACTGGGAATCGCTCCCAGAGGATATCTGTATATACACGCTGAGAAGTGCCTTCTCTCCAGAAATACTGTTCACTTAGATTATGGGGTGGTAAGGATAACACCGGGGCATTGACATAGAGCCCCAGGTGACAGTTCAAGTCCAGTTCCCTGATAGCAGTGGGGCCCTGGATAAGGCATGCCACCTTTTGGAGTCTGTTTCCTTGTTTGAAAAACAAGGCAAGGCCAAAACTATCTTTGCTTTCTACCTTAAGGATTTACTTAAAGAAGCCATTTACAAACAAACAGTCAAGCCCTCTACCACTGAAAAGGGTTTCATGGCAAACAGCTCCCAGGATTCTGCACCTGGATGGACCTCCACTTTTCATCTTTGCTAGGATGTCACATCAGTGACACATTCTTAGCTGTTTATAAGACGCTATTTAGATTTTCTTTGAATTTAAGGTTCTGTTGTTAATTCTCTGTGAAGCTGACTGATTTGATATGATTTTAAAGGGTAAAGTTGAAGGTGCTTTGACAACTGTGCTCTCTTAGCATGAAGGACGGGATCATAAAGGTGAAGCAACACTGAAACTAAACTATTGGAGCTCCGATTTATGACTTCGTTACGCCAACATAGATCCAACTACTCTCAAGAGTGAAAAAAAGAAATGAGGAAAAGCAACAAGGGAAAACAATATGTTTATTAAGAGCCATGAAAATGCATAAACTCATTTGTAAATAAATGTAGTATAATTTACCCAGTGAAAAAATAGCTAAAATCCATGAGTAAACTGGATTTTATATTTGAAATGATTTTACATATTTGATCTCCAGTGATTTCCCCTCCATCATGATCTACTCCATCAATGACTATAGAAAAAGTTGTTACCAACAATCATCATACCGGGGAAGTTTTTCAAGATGCTCTTTCAAACAGAAGCAGTGCAAACAAGTTCAGATGGCAAGGGATACGATAAGACCTGGAGCTTATCTTCGGACACGTAAAAAATAAAAATCCCAAACATGTATTCCTTAAGAAATGAAAAAGCAGAACAACATTTTGATCAGTGAAAAATATTATAAGGATATATAAAACATTCTTAACCAGTGATCGCAATAATTACATTTATAAATGTTCATTCAAGTACTATTGTTCAATAAACATTCAAATTCTCATTAAAAGTAACACTAGATGTAGACACACCTGGACAACGCTTCTTTTGATTTAGCAACAATTGTGTCAACAGGAGGCAAGTGACCCTTAAAATACTGTTGTTGGCTCTGTTTTATTCTGTTTGTGAATGATTTGTTCACAGTCTGTATGTTTTTTTCTGCAAGGACCCGAGAAATATCTCACAACAGCTAATTAAGAAATCATTTCTATAAAATAACTCTCAATATTACAGAAACAGATATTCTAAAACACAAGTGTAGCTCAAAAAATAATTGGGCAGAATCAATTTTCTTTGGCAAGAAATTGCTAATTCCTCACCAAATGTTGGTTTGCTGTTGTGCAGACACTATCAGAAACTTCTTTGGTGTTTACCAAAGAGCTACTTAATAAGCTGAAAAGATTTCATAAGCTATGTTGTCACAATCGCAATGTAGAGCTTATGTCAAAGTTGTGCTGAAATCAACGTCATTTGCTGAATTACTGTTGTTAATAAGTCTTCCTTCAAAAAGCTCCCTCCTAATTCTGGCCTGAGTCTCAGGCTTTAATAAAAGTTCCTTTATCTGTTTCACTTTGGACTTCAGACCCATCGTTTCTCGATGCAAAGCTTCATTAATTAAGTCTCGAATTCCAATAGGTTTCTTGCCTAAGAAAAAAAAATTATATAATAACATTTCATTAAATATGGCATACTGACTTATCAAAATAGGATTTTAAAAAAACTTTAAAATGTTGCCCACATTTTATAGAAAAGGTTGCATTTCACCAAAAATATATCATTTACATGAAACATAATTTACTATAAATAAAGATCACACTGCATAGCAACAGCACACTTAGGACAAACATGAAACATTATGGACTAATTGTACAGATGACAATTCCAACAGTGATTATTTTAAACTTAGCACTTGATAGCTGTGTGTGAGAGTTCTGGCCTCAGATAAAGTAGTCAAATGCCCTGCTAAGCAATATAAATGGCAGTATTCCATTGATGGCAAGGCCTCTTTCTCGGCCTTTAATTTGCGTCCAGGAGGCATAACCCAAAGTTCCCTTTCCCTTGTGCGTGGCTGAGGGCGAATGAAACTTGGGCCATTCTTCTTTCATCAATTAATTTCCTCTGCCAGTCCCAGCACTCCATTTTTCTTCTGTTGTGTTTCAGCAATGCGAACACATCGATCATGAAAAGTATTAGGCAATCTTCACAGATTGCACCAGAGAAACTTAACTTAAACAGCACGCTGCAAGTCAGTCCCTAGACTCAGCAGAGGGAAGCAGGGAGGCTTTGCACAGAGACATGGGGGCCTGCGTTCCGGGCTCATTTCCTGTTGTTCTCATTGTCATTGCCATTCTGATCAGCTGCTTCGGTTTTCACAGAGCTCCCCTCCCCCGGCTTGTTTTTATTCTGTGTTTCCTCCAGATACTGCTGGACAGCCTTGAGCACCGCGTTCTCCACCAGCCTCTTACTGAGCCTTACTAGTTCAGCGTCATCGGGCTCCCCTCCGTTCTTTTCACCTACATTCCACAATAGAGAAGAGAGGTCACTGAGATCACATTGCCATAGAAACTTGGCATGCAGGGGCCGGCTAGTTCCATTGGTTAAAAAGAGCAAGTGTAAATTGGATCTATAAATTCAAGAACAGTGGGTTGGCTTTTCATTTGGTATTTGCAGAAGCAGGAGCCTGTCTATTCCTGAAGGCTTCAGATTGAAAAGTAGTTCATTAGTCCCAATCTAGACAAGCTCTACCTACCAATGCCGGATGTTTCCCATTTATATGTGAATTTCTGTTCTTCTCTCATCCAAGGCTAATTACTACTACTAACGTCCATGTCCCCACCACGTGGAGTCTCAGACATGTGAATTCACTAAGTAGGCCTATGTCTGCTTCTCATTCTCGAATATCAAATATCAGGTCATCAAGATTTCCCTAGCATCTCATTACTTAAGATCACTAATTTAAAAATGCTTGGCCTATAGGTTGGTTGTTAATAAATGCTCAGTGCTGCCTTGAAGATAAAGGCAGTTACTACCACTAGGAATTGGTTTAAAGTAAGCTTGTAAGACTAATATTTTTTTTAATCCCAGTGCTATCACTGCAATTTAAGAAATAGGAAATTCTTTAAAGAAAAATTAGGATTATGATGATAAATTACTAGATGTAAATATTTTATGGTCATTTTACTTCCCTGGGAGTGATAATCCAGGTCTAATTATTCCATCTTTCATTTTATTCTAAAAGAGCTGGTTCCCAACTATTCTCATGCTACACATTTCCCAGTCACTCTCTTTCAGACTCCTTTAACTGGGAAAAGGAACTAAGGGGCTCCTTCCCCAGTTAAGGGAGACAAAGAAGAGAGTGACCATTCAGTGCTCAATCTCCTCCCATCGAGCTGGGGACCCAGGAAAGAACAAGGTTGGAAGCAAAGAAGTCACAGGATGCTCGCACATTAAGATCAGCTCAGTTTTGCAAGATTACCCATGGGTTCTAGAAGGCAAAGCCAGTGAGTGTTGCACTTGCATCTCTGGGTCTGAGACAGGCAGATACAAAGGGTGTGAGCTGGAAGATGGACACTGTTTCCTGTACTCACATGTAATAGGGATTGAAGAACAGAAGCAGGTATGCCAAGGGTGAGAACTGGCCCCCAACCTTGCTTCAGAGCCCCCTACTTGTATGTAACACCCATCAAGACTAATTGTGCTTATAACCATCCCCATCATTCCTAGCAACACCCTAAGCAGAAGAGAGGGTAGGATAAGACCCATCTAGAAACACTAATAGTGGGAACCCTTAGCAACTGCCTTCTCCTCAAATATGGGCAATATGGCACCCCAGACCCATGATCAGATGTCCAAGATAGAACATCTGCAGTGCAAAATATGTTTAGAATTGAGTAAATGTCAACTCAGTAATAACTAAATAGAACTTACTAAATAATACGGTTAAAGAAATTCATTGGTAATGTATTTACTATGAAAGTAAATTCATTGGTAATGTCATGTTGGGTGGCAAGTTAAGACTTTTTGTTTATCAGTAGGAATGAATGAATATATTGCCTAATATTTAGGGATTTTATCTCAACCTTACAACACGGTGTTTATACTCTACAGACAACATCTCCAAATGCATTAACTGGAACTGTTTGTATAATGACTCTTCCCATTTAAAAGGGAAAAATCCAACTGCAAATGAAGGAATACTTTTTAAGTACCCTCCAAAACACTGTAAATGACTGTCTACATCTGCCATCCTACTTGTGCTCTGTATCAAGGCCAGACATTGCACCCTGGGGGCTGTTCCTGAATCTAGTCAGCTTTCTCATCAGCAAGATGACAGGGTTGAATTTGAGTCCAATGAATGGCTCAACCTCCAAATCCCTTTTGGGTCTAATGTTCCATGCTTCTGTGATTTCTACTAGTCCACAGTGAAGTGTCCCTGTTATCTTAAACACAAGAATCTTCCTACAAAAAGCTAATTTTGGCCAGGCGCGGTGGCTCACGCCTGTAATCCCAACACTTTGGGAGGCTGAGGCAGGTGGATCACGAGGTCAAGAGATCGAGACCATCCTGGCCAACATGGTGAAACTCTGTCTCTACTAAAAATACAAAAATTAGCTGGGCGTGGTGGCATGCACCTGTAGCCCCAGCTACTCAGGGGGCTGAGGCAGGAGAATCACTTGAACTCAGGAGGCAGAGGTTGCAGTGAGCCGAGATCGTGCAACTGCACTCCGGCCTGGTGACAGAGTGAGACTGTCTCAAAAAAGAAGAAAAAAAAAGTGAATTTTCCCTGCTGATGTCCTATTTTTGTTTATGCTGTTACTATTATTCGAGGCAGTCAAGCTCAAAACGAGATTGTAGCCATCTTTGATGCCTTCCTTTCCCTCATTAACCCCCTTAATTACCAAGCTTTGTCAATTGTGCTTCATGATTTCTCCCGTCTTCAATGTGCCAGGTATAAAACCTTTAGTTATTATTTCTAATACATCTCTGTCACTATTTACTCTACAGAGAAACGTCTGTCTGCCAAGGCTTTCCAAAATTTGCCTTTCCTGGCTGCCTGCCCACCACTGCACACCTCCACTGTCAGCTTCCAACATCTCCTCAGAGGCTTCCACACCATTCCCAATTTCTAGACGACCCTCCCTCTCTTTCAGCAATTAGAATACCATCTACTCCATGAAACCTTTCCTGATTAGCTAATGTAGTGTGGATTTGTGTCCCCACCCAAATCTCCTGCGGAACTGTAATCCCCAATGCTGGAGGAAGGACCTGGTGGGAGGTAACTGGATCATGGAGGTGTGTTTCCCACTTGCTGTTCTCATGATAGTGAGTGAGTTCTCATGAGATCTGGTTGTTTGAAAATGTGTAGCACCTCCCCCATTTTCTCCCTTCCTCCTGCTCTGGCCGTGTAAGATATGCCTGCTTCCCCTTCACCTTCTGCCATGATTGTAAGTTTCCTGAGGCTTCCCCAGCCATGCTTCCTGTACAGCCTGTGGAACCATGAGCCAACTAAACCTCTTTTCTTTATAAATTACCCAGTTTCAGGTATTTCTTTACAGCAATGCAAGAACGGACTAATACCCTATACTAGCTGGAACTGATGAGCCTCCACTGGATTCTAATAACTCTCACTGCATGTATAGTACATGGCCATTTGGTCATTCATTCAACAATTGTGTACTGAGGATCTATAAGGATACAAAGCAGTGAGCAAAGCAACATCCCACTGGGTTTTTTTCTTAATTTCTTTACAAATTATGAGAATTATTTATTAATGTACTTATTCAACATTACTGATTCAGTATCTGCTCTGCTAAAGACAGTCTTGAGTATAGAAATTATATCCTCGGCTTCTCAGTTCTCTCCCTCTGCTAACATAGGACACCAATTATTCATCACAATAAGAGCTCAATACATATTTGTTAGTCAAGTGAATTGATGACTGAAGTCCTTGAAACCAATAGCAACATTTTAAAAATGTTTCTATCTTCCTATAAGGACAGCACACCAATGACCAGAAATTTAAATTTAATACTAAATTTAAAACAAGAGCAGAGAATTCTGGAATCATTTAAATATCCATGTGAAAAATCTACCTCCACTTCGCTTGATGAACCTGGTCAGTAAGACAAAATATCTGACCTATGGGACAAATATTAGCTACTTATAATAACTAACTAACCAACCAACCAATCAAAACAATAAATTTAGAAGCCAATCTTCTAGATCTGTCCTGGACTCTGGCCTCCCTTTATGATTTCCACAAAGTATCCTCAGACTATGACCATTAGCCCAGGGATGAGTCTACAGGAAGGCTTATCACAGAGCCCTGCAATAATGCAGCAATTCAAAAAATAGACATTTTCATCCCTATGAGATCTCATTTGTGTTCCCACTCCTAGCAGACCTAATTCAACTTAATTAAAAAGAGGGATCTTAAGATTAGAATTATGCTGTATTTTTCTTCTGCCAACTACCTGACAAGTATCTGTCTCTCAGTGAGCTCTCAGACAAATGGCTACACTCATTTTAACTGTAGGTCCTTCAATAATGGCAGTTCAACATGCTGGCGCAACACACACAAACTATCTTTTGATATTCCAACAGAAGTACATATAAAAAGTATTGCCAATGTAAGCAACACATTCTTGATAGGAATATTCTTTTTTGGACTACAGGGTTACTTAATATTCTACCTAATAAAATGACAGATTAGCCTTTGTCTTTGACATTGTTATTTTAGAAATCCCCCAGAATATTCTTGATCAATTTCTTAGGAGAATAGTAAAAATATAAAAGAAAAGTCATGAAAAATCTTTTAAGCACATCAAACACAGCACTGGCCCTAAAAATACAGACTTAAGAAACTTTTCAATCAACTTCAGGTAAGCAATTCCACTCTCTGTAGGAGTTGTGGCATCGTTCATCCAGGGTTCGTACCTATGATTCTGTTTTGTTTATATTAACCCAAGATCTCTGATACCAAATCATTGCAGGGATAAAATTTATATCTGTGGTTATTGAAAAGAAAATAAATAACTCCTTTGTGGTAGCAAAAATATTTTACACCTACTGCGAAAACTGAAGGTCAACATTAATGTGCTTCAGCTGGTCTTAAGTGTGAGTTGACCCAACAACAGCTTAACTGATGTCACATGAAGGGCTCCAGAAACCATCACACACCCTGCCCATTGCCAGTATCTAGGTGCCTATTTGTCCTGAAAAGAACAAATCAGGCTAATTTTTTGGAAAAGGGAACAAAGAAAAATCTTCATTACAATACAGTTTAAGATGGAGTGCAACCATGTTAAAATAATCACATTCAAACACTAAACATGAAAACATTAAAAGTTCTCACTTGCTCACATTCTAACTATCAGAAACCTCATTTGGTATCTGAACAAAAGCTTCCTAAGCATCCTCCCCTTCACTGGAACTTCCTGTTCCCGATGCATAAGGGTGTCCTCCTCAGAAGTGGATTTTTTTTTTTTAACTGAGCTTACCTTTTCTTTTGTCCATCTAACTAAAAAGAAGCACTAAATATAGATCTGTAGGCTATTCACAAAGTTAGGATGGCATACTCGGCTGCCTTGCACACTACCTGCAACTGATCTGTGAGGAAGGACAGGTCAGGAATCATCCTCAAGTGCACATTTAAACTGACACGGTCCCGGGACCCTTATCTGCCAAAAGTATTAGCTGCAGTACCCCAGGAAACAGAGTTCCTGCAAATACAGCTCCCCTCCTCTTGCCAAAAACCAAAACTCACCCCCAACACATACACACCAGAAAATTTTATAATTAAAACACCAAAACCATATTTTAAAACATTTTCTATAATGTAAATTTCAAAAGGGAAGGAACCATGCCTTTGTAAGGTTTATTCTAGATTCAGTAGCACAGAATAAATAGGAAAATGATGTTGCTGTATGTACAAAAGGACATCCCCACAGGGGTTTTGGAGACTGCTACACTGTATGTCCCTCCACCCAACTCCACCCTCATCATTTTTACACTGGGGATGGTAGGGGTGGAATGCAGCTAAACTGAAAATCAAGAGTAGCCTTGAGAGAAGAAACAAAGGGGAGACAGAGTCTCAACAGGCATTTGGCCTACAGTCTGAGTGGGCAGGGGTGGTGATTCCAGCCTCAGCTAAAGTGTCATAATGACAAAGCATTATGAACCCTTCAGGCCTTTTGTAAACACAGCAAGTGCTGGCGCATTTGGAATCTTCATTTCTTTCCGCCGTTCCCCAAGATGCTGTCTGAAGCCAGCCCCCCGATCCGCACATCCTTGTAGGAATCCCCAAACCACATGGTTCAGGATGAGCCCTGTGACTTGTGCCCTCCACATGGCTCCTCATATGGTCACATCAAAGATGGCGGCAGACATGCGATGGATGTTTGTAGGCCACGCAGCCCACCTAAGAACCCTCCTGCTTCCCCTTTCCTGATATCCCAGCACAGCCCCTTAGAGACTTTTCTCTGTCAGTCTGTGACATCAGTTCTCTGACTCTATATTATGATTCTCATTGCTGCCTATACAATTTCTGCAGATAGCTGTCATTTCTTACTGGAAATCTTAGAAAATACTGATGGTGATATGACAGAACTCCTAATGTGTGTGCAAGGAGAGAAAAGCAAAACATACATTCAGGTTTGAAACCAAATTTTGGCATTTTCTATCTGCACAACCTTGTCCGTGACCTCTCTAAACCAAAGTTGGGGTATCATGGGGATGACAATATATACATTGCATTGATGTTATAAGGATTAAAGATAATGTATGAGAAGTGCCTAAAATGGTGCCTGAAACATCGCATGCTAAAATGTAGGTTATGATTAAATCTGAGTTCAACTTATTTTAAAAATAATATGCCCAATACCTGCTAAATGCCAATTATTTGTTTATTTAATCAACACTTTAGTAAGCACCTATTACGTACCACTACTAAGTATGTAAAAATGAATAAGATACAGTCTCTGACCACACACAAGTCAGTCTAGGAGGATGACCTAGTTAATTGCAATGATGATTGCAAAACAATAGATTAAGTGCTGTAACAGAATACACTCAAGGTCTAGTGGAGTTGGGATGGGATAAAAAGGTAAGTTTTAAAGGAGAGGTATTTCAGCTCAATGAATAAGAGTTTCCAGGCATGGCGACAGGGATGATGGAGAGGCAGGGAGGTTTCCAGACATAAGAAAGGCATATGCATGTGCACAGGAGCATGAGAAAGCACGATGCATTGGAGTACTGGAAGTATTCCATATTGTCAGGATAAAGAGTTCAGAGAGTCATGGGTGAGGTGAGGATGGCTTAGGGGGAAAGAAAGCTAGAAAACAGGTGGGGATAAAGGGACCTATGTACCATGCTGTGGACTGAAGAGGGACAAATATAGAGGCAGAGAGCTGGGTGCAGTGGCATGCACCTGTAGTCCCAGCTGCTCATGAGGCTGAGGCAGGAGGATTGCTTGAGCCCATGAGTTCAAGTCCAGTCTGAGCAACATAGTGAGACCACATCTCTAAAAACAATAGAGGGAGGTTTTACAACAGATAAAAAGAGAAACAATGAGGATATGAACCATGGTAGATGCAGTAGGAAAGTGAGGTGCATATTACAACAAGAGTTGAATAGGAATACTAAACCATGGCACCAATTTAATTAGGGAAGGAAGATAAGGAAAGACAGGGAGAGTGCAGAAAACGAATGCAGAAATAATGGCCAAAAGTGTTTGAAATTCCACAAAAACTACATATCCTCAAATCGAGAAACTCAAAGAATCCCAAGAAATGTGATTCTTGAGAAGAAATGTGAAGTACAAGAAATGTGAAGAAAATCACACCAAGGAATATCATGATCAAATTTCTGAAAACCAGTATTAAAAGAAAATCTTAAAACAGCCAAAGAAAAAAGACGCATTATATACAGAGAAACACAGACAAGAATGACAGCAGACTTACTCATCAGAAACAATGCAGAAGAAAAGACAACAGTGCAACATTTTAAAGTACTAAAAGAAAAAGAAAAGGTGAGCTGAGATTGCGCCACTGCACACCAGCCTGGGCGACAGTGCGAGACTCCATCTCAAAAAAAAAAAAAAAAAGAAAAGGCAACACAGAATTCTTTACTCAAAAATATTATCTTTCAAAAATGAAGGTGAAGGATGACTTTTTCAGACATACAAATGCTAAATGAATTCATCGTCAGCTGACCAGCACTAGAAGAAATGTCAAAGAAAAAACCTGAGGCAGAAGGAAAATGATACTACAGAGAAATTTAGATCTACTCAGAAACAAAAAGAGAACCAAAAACTGTACATACGTAAGTAAAAATAAGACTTTTCTCATTCTTAATTTCTTTAAAAGAGAACTGCTTTAAGTGGGTATTATAAAATATGTAGAAATAAAAGTTATGGCAACAATAGCACACAAAGATTGGGAGGGGGAAAATGCAAATAACTGTAAGGTTCTTCTGTTAAACGTGAAGTGGCATAATATTATTTGAAGGCAGATGTATACTTTAAAACCCTACAGTAACCACTAACGTAAAAACAAAAAGAGGCACAGCAAATAAGCCAATAATGGAGATAAAATGAAATAATAAAACTCCTTAATACAAAATAAGGCAGTAGAAGAGGAGAAAAAGAAGCAAAGAACAGATGAGACAAGTAGAAAACAACTAGCAAGGTGGGAGATTTAAACTCACCCATATTGATAATTGTATAAAACATAAGATGGCCTAGACACTCCAATGAACAGTCAGAGATGTTGATTTGGATTAAAAAATCAGAATCAACTATGATGTGTACCAAAAAAAATCCACTTCAAATATGAAGAGACAGGAAGGTTAAAGGTAATAATACGGAAAAAGGTATGCCACACTAATGCAATGGAAAGAAAGCTAAAGAATCAATATCAGGCAAAGCAGACTTCGGAAAAAGTATTACCCGGAAGAGATATTATATAATAATGAGGGAATCAATTCTTCAAGAGGGCGTAAAAATCCTAAATGCATATATGCCTCTTAACAAGAGCATCAAAGCACCTGAAGCAAAAACTGATAGAACTAAAAGGTTAATAGATGATACACAATTACAGTTTGAGATTTCAAGACCATTCTCAAGAGCTGATAAAATAGAAATTCTGTGAAAATACAGAAGACATAAACTACAGTACTAACCAAATCCACCTAACTGAAAATTACAGAACCCTCCAGCCAACAACAGAATACACTTTTGTTTTAGTGTATAGAAAACCTTTGCCAAGAGAGACCACATTCTGAGCCATAAAACAAGTCTCAATAGTTAAAAATACTGAACTCATCCAATGCATGTTTTTGTTCCACAATGGATTCAAATAAGAAATCAGTAACAGAAAGATACCCTGAGAATCCTTTAGTTATTTATATTTAAACAATGTTTCTAAATAATCCATGAATCAAAGATGAAATCAAGAGGAATTAGAAAATACCTTTAACTGAACGTAAATTAAAACAAAACATATCAAATTTGTGGAATGCAGCTAAAGCTGTACTTTATACACTAAGTGCTTATATTAGAAAGTAAGAAAAGGTCTCAAGTCAGTTATCAAAGCTACCACATTAAGAACATAGGAAGAGAGGATCCAATTAACCCCAAATTAAGCAGAAAGAAGGAAACAATAAAAATAGTAGGAGAATGAAATAGAAAACAGATAAACAGTAGAGAACATCAGCGAAACCAAAGGCTAATCCCTTGAAAAAAAATCTATAAAATTGATAAAACTGTATCCAGACTGATCAGAAACAAAAAATACAAGATGTATATTGCCAATATCAGGAGTGGGGGGTGGAAACATCACTATCGATTATACAAACATTAAGAGGATAATCAGGAAATATAAACAATTTTATGTGAAGAGATGCAACAAACTAGACGAAATGGGCAAATTCCTTAAAAGACACAGAAATGAATGGGATTTTTTGATACCACATTCCAGAGTCACTGAACAAAGCCTTATGGAAGGCAGGGAAGTTCACCAGTCCCGGGGCTTTGCTCTTTCAGTGACAAGAATCAAGTCTCTCACAGATCCCTGCCTAAAAGCAATGGTTGCACTGTGGAACACTGGAACTATATGTAATTTAATTTAGGACACATTAGACACACTACCAATGCTTTTCTACTTTTTGGTAGAGGTATATTTCAAAGTAACTGCCATTTTTTAAACCGCAATGTACCTATTCGTGGCCTTGTCTGACTTTAAAAGAGAACTTTTTTATTCTAAACAGACTCCCTACGAATGGTTACCCTGTCATTTGACTCATGTGTCTCTACTTTTCCCTGTACTTTTCCCATTTGTAATTTGTAAAGTGCTCTCTTATGATCACCATGTATTTTGTAAATAATGAATAGTATTTGTTAAAAAAAAAATCAAGGCTGCAGTGAACTATGACGGCACTACTGCACTCCAGCCTGGGCAACACAAGACTCCATCTCTTTAAAAAAATAAAATTTTATGAAAATGTAAAGGAACTTGAAAAGCCAAAACAGTTTTTAACAAGAAGAACATGATTAGAAGACTTATACTTCCTGATTTCAAGACTTACTTTGAAGCTACAGAAAGAGAGACAGTGTGGTATTGGCATAAGTATAGACATATAGATAATAAAACAAAACAAAAAAAATCCGCAACTAGACTCACACACGTATGGCCAATTAATTTTCAACAAAGGAGCTAAGGCAATTAAAAAAGAATAATCTTTGCAAGGAATGGTACTAGAATAATTATATATCCATATGCAAAATAAAGAACCTCAACTCTTACACCAATATAAAAATTAAAATGAATCACAGACCTAATACGAGAGCTTTGTAAGTATAAACTGTCTAGAAGAAAACACAGAAGAACTTCTTAGTGACCTTAGATTTGGGAAAGATTTATTAAATAGGACAACAAAAGCACAAACTTTAAAAAAAAGAGGTAAATTGAACTTCATCAAAATGTAAAACATTTGCTCTTTTCAGGACCCTGTTAGAAAACAAAAGGCAATCCACAGACTGGGAGAACATATTTGCAAAATTTATCTATTAAAGAACTTGTAGCGAGAAAACAAAAAGAACTCTTACTACTTAACAGTAAGAAAAGCAACCAAATACAAAAACGGCCAAAATAACTGAAAAGTTTTTTTCACAAAATAAGATATACAGATGGTCGATAAACATGTAAAAAGACATTCAACATTTTTAGTTATCAGGGAAATACAAATTAAAGTCACAATGAGATACTACTACTCACCCAACAGAATGACTGTCAATTAAAAAGATAGACAATACTAAGTGTTGGTGAGGATGTGAAGCAACTGGAACTCCTATTGCTGGTGGGAATGCAAAAATGGTAATAGCCACTTGGTAAAAACAGTTTAGAAATTTCTTATAAAAAGTTGACCATATTCTTACAACGCAACCCATTAATCTACTTCTAGCTAGACTTGAAATCAAATAAAATGAAAGCATATACTCACATAAACACCTATACATGAATGTTTGTAGTAGCTTTATTCATAATTATCCCAGACTAGAAACAACTCAAATACTCTTCAACTGGGGAATCAATCAATAAGCTATGGTAAATCCATGCAATGGATTAGTACTCAGTACAAAGTAATGAAATACTGATACAGGCAACAATACAGATGAAACTAAAATACGTTGTGTGAAATAAACTAGATTCAAAGGGTTACATACTGTATGATTTCATTTATATGACATTCTGGAAAAGGCAAAACTAGACTGCAAACAAACCAGCGGTTTCCAGGTGTAGCTGTAACAGGAAGGGTTGACTATAAAAGGGCATGAGAGAATTTTGGAGAGTGATGGAACTGTTCACAATCTTGATTGTGGTGCTATGACTCTGTGCTGATTACAACTGACAGACTTATATACAGTGAATATTACTGTATGTAAATTATACCTCAATGAAAAACAAACCATATTGGGAACAATTTCTTCCCCATGATGAGGGACAAGTTCAGCCTCTATTGGGGTCAACCTGTGAACCTGATGAATGGACTAGTGCCCTGTCACTCCGCAATTAGCATGTGGCTGGTAATGATGATGGCTTTCTCAGCCCCTCTGTTTTAGACACATCTCAACTGTAATATCTGTAATCTCTCACAGCTGCAGGCCTCAGATTCTCAGTTGCTTTCCTTCTGAATCATATTTTTCTGTGTGCTTCATACCAAAATAGGAATAATAATTTCCACTGAAATAGACTGGGGTGGTTTCTGAGCATAAATATGACTCAAATAAATTGTTTTAATTCTCCCCTTCAGTGTATCAGACAGGTATCATCTGCCCCAATCTGCTCAGAGAGTACAAACTAAGTTGGTAGCCAATATTCTGATTGACATGTGATCACCCTCACTCTGTTGTTTAAATCTCCTTCAGAGGGGCACTGTGCTCATGGCAGTTTGTTTTGCTGACTGGTTTTGCCTTGTCTTGTTTGTTGGTTCCCATTTGCTATTCCATATCATATGTTCTCTACTATATGGTAACCACGGTGGTTTCCTCCCTGAATTTTGGTTCCTGTATTTGTTCAGGTTGGAATGTGGGGATGCCTCAAGATCCCTGACTGCTTGCTCAAGACCACTCCAAGTCATTTTGTGCAGAACTGATTGAGAGGTGCAATTCTGAGTAGTGTTAAAAGTAGTATGCATTCTAGACTGGGCACAGGGGCTCACGCCTGTAATCCCAGCACTTGGCGGATCACCTGAAGTCAGGAGTTCGAGAGCAGCCTGGCCAACATGGTGCAACCTTGTCTCCACTAAAAATACAAAAATTAGCCAGGCGTGGTGGCTCATGTCTGTAATCCCAGCTACTAGGGAGGCTGAAGCAGGAGAATCACTTGAACCCAGGAGGCGAAGGTTGCAATGAGCCGAGATCAGGCCACGATACTCCAGCCTGGGCGAAAGAAAGTGAGTGAGACTCTGTTTCCAAAAAAAAAGTAGTATGTATTCCAAACACAATTCCTGGTCCACAGGAGTGTCAACAGAAGTATGTCTATCATTGAAAAATTATTTTTATGACAAAGAAGAAATAAATATAGTTTCAAACATGTCACAAGCATAAATTTTCAAATAATCATGCTTTTGTCTGGTAGAAAAACAAAGAAATCAGAAAATGAAGGACTCCTTAGAATCTAAATATTATTACATTCATGTAATTTCTTATCATGTATTTTAAGAGAGCATTACCTAAAACTTAAAAGCATGAAACTGGAATTAATTTTTACATATTTGGCCAACACACCTGCTCATGAGAATACAGACTTTTCTTTATAGGCTGATTATCCTAGGCTAGGAATTGATATGAGCAGAAATAAGGTCACTTTCCTGTTCTGAAGGCAATGTTCACCGATGTACGTCGGCAGAATAAATGTTGCCATTAATGTAATCTAGTAAAATAAACCATAAGTTGCAAATACACTTCACTCCTTTTATAAGCAGTAAGGACACACCAAACTCAGAGGGCTTCGCAGGCTGAGAAAATTCCCATGATGCCAGCTCACTAACAGCAGTCACAGGAACACTTTTTTCCACTTGTTCAGGTAACACTTCATACTTTCCAAAGTGTTTTCGGAAACATTATTGCATTTGGTTATCACAGAAACCTTAAGAGGTAAATTAAGTGTCATTCTTCCCACTTACAGGTAGAACAATGAGACTTGTATAAATTGCCTATGATCACATAGCAGTAGTGATGGAAACTGATAATTCCCTCACTACGAATTAGGAAGCTTAGTTCATCCAAGACACCCACCCCCAGGCAGATATACTTCACAGTGCTCTCATCCTGGGAAAGTGAAGGTATACGAGAGAGAAATATTATGTGAGAAATAGCACATAATTAATGATTGGTTAATTAGAAAACAGAAAATTCTCAGCTTGAAATGTCCAATACTAAATAATGGTCCTGATTAATGCAATACAATTACTTCCTCCATCCCTCCCTTCCTTCTAATGCAATACAAGTCCTCCCTCCCTTTCTCCCTTCTTCCCTTCCTTCCTTCCCATGCTTTCATCTTTCCCCAAGTATTCATTGAGCATCCTCTTTTGTGATAAGCATTGTGCTATAAATACAGAAATGAATCTGACATGGGCCCTGCCTTAGGAAACCTGCAATTCAGTACAGGTAGAAACACATTAAATAAATAAGAGATCATGAACGCTCTCAAGGAAAGATGTACGATATACAAGGGTACACAAAGTAGACAGCAGTGAATTCCGTCTAGGGGAAAATATTTCAAAAAGTGAATTGCAGGAGGTGATGTTTGAGCTGGATCAGACAGAATGAATAAGTATTTCTCAAGTGGGCCAGGGAAGAAATGCCACAAGAGAGAGAGTTAAGACCAGCTTGGCTTGTTTTATAGCAGCAAAACTTGCTCTGGTTAAGTAACTGATGAGGTGGGCGGGAGGAGAATGATGAGCCTGGAAACTTATGCAAGGGAGAGACCCTGAAGGCTCCAGGGGGACACACTGAAGAGTCTGCATATCAACTATTTCTCAAGCACCTACTATGATCAAATTGCACTTCCAGATTCTAAGACATACACAAATTATTAAGGCTCGTCTTCAAGGTTGCTTATTTCAACCTGTGAAGTATAACGCTAAAGAAAATTCGACTTTCAGAAAACTGCTCATGTTATGAAATGTAAGCTTCGGTCTCAGAACATTCCTATTATTTTATGGGAAAACATAAGATATGTCACTGACTAGTGATGCTGCTTCATTTTATCTTTGATGCCAATATCCAGTCATTATGCTTAGTGAGAGGGCCTAAAATGTAAGCAAAACTACAAAGTGACCAAGAGCATCACAAATACTTTAAACATCACAGGGTGAAAACATTATATTAAAATATTTTTTCATAATATTTTTTAAAATTATTCAAAATTAGCTCTGCAATCTTTAACTCAGCTGACTAATCCTAAACCAAATGCTTTTTGGATGAGTGAGTAGAATATGGTTTACCCTGTGAATTTTTCTAATTATTCAGCTAGCAAACACATAAAATAGGTTTAACTGCCACTGTTTTTCTTTGAAGTCTGAACATGAAACTCCAGGTACACAGAAATATTTGGTCAGTACATCTTGCTTGTGAATACTAATCAATCTGTCAACCAAGTTTATCGAGAATTATAAAAGTAATAATAATGGGTCAAATAGAGTGTGATGCTAAAGAGAACTTGAAGATAAGTTGATTAATCATTACAACAAAATCAAGAGAAAGGGTCATCTTTGGCCAACTTTTCTAGAAATATCATAAAAATGAACAGAGAGACAGAGCACACCGTTAAAAAACAACAACAACAACAACAACAACAAAAACCCCTGCAGCTTGGTGATCTCATAAATTTATTGCTTTAGCTTCATGAAGAATGACTGAAGAAAGTAATTTAGGATATTTCTCTTCTCAGTGGCCTACAATTATCAATTTACAAGAGGCTCCAAAAAGTATTCAGACAAAAACTAAATTGTTTTAAAGTTCTCTTTGGTGATGTATACTGTTTATTAAGGTTCTTTGAAAATGTAAATTCTTACTGTAGGAAATGGAACTAGCATTTAAACTTGTTGAGTAATAGTACACTGATGACATGTAAATATAAATTAATTTGACCCATCAGTTGACATTTGCTTCTCAAGCTCTTGATCTTCACATGTGCACGAACTGCTCCCAGGCAAAGGAATTTCAGTTCTCTGTGGGGAACAAGTGCATGTGTACTAGGATGGACTAAGAACAGTCACTAGCATGCTGGGCTTCCCCCACAGGCCACCCTAAAGGCAAGATTAATTTCTGTGTGGAAAGCAGGGAACCGAGGCGATGATTAGAAGGAGGAGGTCAGAGACAATCCCAGTCTTGTCCTCTACAATGTCCTACTGTTCCTTCCTGAAGAGTAAGCCAGAGTTGGCCCCACTGAGGCTGCTGAGGGTCTCCTCCCGGGATCTCTGGAGGTGAGGGGCTGTGTTCTTTCACCACCAGCTGCTTCCAAGATCTAGTGTCCTGCTCATTAAGCCCCCAAACTCTGCACACTTGTATTTTCCAACACGTATTATTTCTTTACTTAGTTGTGACAATTATATTTATGGATCCTTTTAGTAATAACAAACAGACGTCATAGTACGCATCTATTATGTGCCTGGGTTTTCCCCCCACACATTGAAGTCAAAAAGCTTTCTATTATCACTCCTTTACAAACAAGAGTCAGAGAAGCCATGAGACTTGCCGAAGTCTACAAAACTAAAAACTGACAAAGTGAAATGTAGACCTATGTGGCTCCAAAACATCACACTTTTGCCATTATACCATAATGCTGTTCCACATCTGACAAATGGAACTGTATTTCTATGATAGCTTCTGTAATTTTTTTTTGTTCTAAAATGAGACTGCTAACCAGAAACTATTTATATTGCTTTCTCTTGAGTTACAGGGTCAGGATTACCTGGGCTGGAATCCTAGCTCCCCAACTCCCTCCTCAGTATCCCTGTGAAAGTTGCTCAGCCCCTCTATGGCCCACTTTATCTGTGAGCCAGGGAAAACAGTAGTTCTACACCACAGGGCTGCTGTCAAAATTAAGTAAGAAAATCATATAAAGCTGCCTGCAATCCCAGAACTTTGGGGAGCTGAGGCGGGCGGATCACTTGAGGTCAGGAGCTTGAGATCAGGCTGGCCAACATGGCGAAACCCCATCTCTACTAAAAATACAAAAATTATCTGGGTGTGGTGGCACATGCCTGTAATCCCAGTTACTGGGGAGGCTGAGGCATGAGAATCGCTTGAACCCGGGAGGCAGAGGTTAAAGTGAGCCGAAATTGCACCACTGCACCCCATCCTGGGCAACAGAGCAAGACTCTGTCTCAAAAAAAAGAAAGAAAATAATACAAAGCACTTAGCATCATGATTGGCCTATAGTATAGCAATCAATAAAATGAGCTATTAATATGGTTTAGATGTTTGTCCCCTCAAAATCTCATATTGGAATATAATCCCCAGTGTTGAAGGTGGGGCCTGGTGGGAGGTATTTGGATCATGGGGCAGATCTCTCATAAATGGCCTGGTGCTGTCCTCATGATAATGAGTGAGTTCTCACCCTAAGTTCATGTGAGATCTGGTTGTTTAAGAATGTGGCACTTCTCACCAGTCCCTCTCTTGCTCCTGCTCTTGCCATGTGATGTGCCTGCTCCCACTTCACCTTCTGCCATGAGTACAAGCTTCCTGAGGCCCTCACCAGAAGCAGATGCTAGCACCGTGCTTCCTGTTCAGCGTGCAGAACTGTGAGCCAATGAAACCTCTTTTCTTTATAAATTACCCAGTCTCAGGTATTCCTTGATGGCAACACAAAAATGGCCTAACATAGCTACTATTATCACCATTTGATTTAAATGAAAGAGACACTGTGACCCTCTTTCAAGTTAGAAGGTTACAAGGCTATTTATTTATGATCTTCCTGATAAACACTTCTGTAAGCAAACATAATATGGGAAACCTACTCACTTTATACAATATATTTCTTGAAACAGTGTTGAAATAACTGTAAACAATAATTTTATGCACTGTTCTATATAGCTAACATTTACATTCTTTTGCTACTAAGTGATATTCCATGATAGGTAAAGAGAAGAGCTACTCCTAGTTATGCTTGCAAAAGGCTTCCAGCAGACATAAACAGACCACAGCAGAAATAGTGTGATACATACAGTTTTAGGTTTCTAGATGCACCAAACTGAATCAAGTTCAGTTTATATGCAACTTTCCAAGTACTATCTACCTGAGAACACATGTTAAGCACATGTGGTAAACGTCGCAATCATCCACAGTTTCAGCTTTGCTCTCACCTTCCTTGTACAATCAACACATACTTTCAGTCACAGGGCTGCTTTCCATCCAGTCATTCCTTTTTGGTTAAATCCCCAAAAGACTGGATATAATTAATGGCATAAAAAATAGAGCAAAAGATACACTCTCAGTAAAAATCAGGACCCAAAGGAAACATAAATTATAATAGCAAGTAAAGAATGGGGGGAAAAACAGATTATGGAGGTGCAAATCCCCATAGCCAAGTTTTGAGTTCTGAGCTTCCCAAAATTCAGAGTGAAAGGAGATGCATTGTGGTTCTCATTGCCAAGAGCCCAAAGCACACACCACAGTAGCTTAGGATCAGAGTGGCTACTCCATTGCCGCCCCACTCCAGGGCTCTAGGCCACATCCACTTTACAATGGTCTGCCCCAAATCCCTTCCTCACCTACCCTTCACCCTTCTCTTATAAAAGTATCCACTGCACCTGTCCCCTTGGTAACTGCTCCTCTCACATTCTCTCTGGCTCCAGTAGGGCTGTTGATCCAGAGCTACCACAGGTCCATATGATGCTCTGCATGGATCTTTTAAGAAGTGACCCTTCCTTAAGACACTTCATTTCCATCTTCTGGGAAATTTTCACAACATGCTGCTTTCGTTTGTATAGAAAGGCACTTTACACCATAACACACAAATTACAATGTCTTCAATGTGTATACTGCCTCACAGGTTGCATACACATTGTAGTTTACAACCTGTACCTTTCCTCAAATTTCATATATGGGAATGAGGAGAGGGAAACTCATTCTCCTTGAATGTCAAGCAGTAAGGGTGTTCTCCAGAAATGCTGGAAGTCATATCCCCATCACTGAGTGAAGCCAGAGAGAGTGACGACACAGAAGCTTCTGGAAGCCAGAGCCCTACCAGCAAGGGAACCTAAGAGGCTGAGAACAGAAGCTGAAAGAAGAGATGGAGAGGTGGTGTCTGTAAGTTGGTCTCAAGGCTGATCTCTACCCCTTTCATGTTGTTTGCATAGGTGAGCCATTACATTTTCCCTTCTAATAAAAACTAGAACAGATTTGCCTTGATGTATGCCACTTCCGGGCATCTATCCTCTCACTGCCTTGGCTCTACTGCCCTTTTCTGTTTCTGCTGACTAGTTCCCAGATCCTTCTAAGAATTCCTCAGACTTCAGAACATTCTAGCCACTGCTTTGGCCCCCTGACGTCTGAGCCTTTGGTCCCCTTTAAACCTGAAGCCGTGAGAACACAGCTTATTATTCTCAAATGCTAATCTCTACCTGGCTGCAGGTTTAACTCCAATCTAATTTGCTATCTCCCTATATCATAGATTGACAGTGGATATCATTAATATGGATTGAGAGAATTGGCTTAGCAAAATATAAAAATACTATAACATTGCAGAACACGTGGTTAACAAACTTAGAAGAAATTATTTTTAAAGAATGTTCAAAACTATTGAAAGATTAGTTTTCAAATGATTTGTTCTTTTTAAGTTTGTTGAATTGATCTAGGTGAGAGTTTTCCTTGGAAACGTCTTATTAACAACTAACTTGAATTATTGCAATATATATATATTTTTTTAAAAATTATTTCTTTTGAAGTGGTCATATCTTTGCATACTTTGTAAAAAATTATGGAATTTTATTGTGAAAAATACATCATTTTAAAATACGGTTATTGTTTTTTGTCCCAAAAGAAATAAGAACATTGGCATAAACAAAATGCTCACCTTGGAACAATGGGGAAAAAAGATATTGCCAAAATGTGTAGCCAACAACGATGTGCCAGTTATTAAACCACTGCCCCTCAGCTCCAAGCCCACCCTTCCTTACTCAGGTTTATGATAACAGAGCTGGGACTCAACTCACTTATTTCTCCTTTGCCCGCTGGATCTGCTAAAAGTTCTGCCAAGAGGGGGAGGCAGAGAGAAACTGGACAGCTGCGCAAAGGGAACAGGATCTTGCCCTTTGCTATTTGTTCATTACTCTCATCAGTGTTGCCCCAACAACTGGTTCCAATAGCAGATGGCTCTAGTTTTCATCTTTTCCCTCCTGGTATCAGCCTCACTGCATTCCCTTAGAGACAATAGCAAAGTTGGCCAATGTCCCCTCCTCAAAAGCCAGAAGCCCAGCTTTGACGGTCCCTATTCTGTGTTACTGGGACACCTCCTTGGAGACAGTAACCTCTCCTCAAAGGTCTGAGTCTCGGCTATGTGGGGGTCCTTCCCACAAGTAACCCAGCCTAAAAGTTACTATCTTTTCCCTCAGTATTGCCTTTCCACCCTTTATTCCTCCAAAACTTACTTAACTAATTCCCTACGTTAAATTCTCTCTGTTAAAGCAACTGGTGTAGTTTCTATTTTCTTGGTTAGATTCTAAATGATACAAACTACTTCTTCATTTCCCCCCCACAATGTTTTATTTACAGCGGACTAAGACATGAACGACAGAGGCAAAGGGTACAAAGGAACAGCTATGAGCTTGAAGTTTTTTAGAAAAAAATGCGTATTTCATGAACTTGATTCTCCATAAAACAATTTATGTCTTTCAATATTCAAATTTAACAGTTTTACTACATATTTTTAGGCTCTGTAAAATCTGTAAATCTGATTTTACATTGGAGGTTCAGTAGGTTAAGTACAGTACTGGGTATATAATAGCATCTCAATGAATTTTTATGTTAAATTTACCAAACTAATTTTAGAGAAAATTAATTTAAACCTAAATGTGGACAAAATAGTTTCATAAAAATTTTATTTATAAAGACAATAATACAATAGACATTACACCTTAGTTTATTATCTCTAGGATTCATTGGTACCAACTGCCAGCTGTTACCATTAGTTCAATAATTGGTATTTTATGTGGTATGTAAGTGTTACAACAATGTATTTGAGCCCAAACTTGTATGTTATACTTCTATCTTAAAGCATATTTGTTGGTCTTAAAGCCATTAATTTAAAATATTCTTTTTTTTTTTTTTTTGGAGACAGAGTTTTGCTCTTGTTGCCCAGGCTGCATTCGCTCTTGTTGCGCAATGGTGCAATCTCAGCTCACTGCAACCTCCACCTCCTGGGTTCAAGCGATTCTCCTGCCTCAGCCTGCTGAGTAGCTGCGATTACAGGCATGTGCCACTACGCCCAGCTAACTTTGTATTTTTAGTAGAGAAGGGGTTTCTCCATGTTGGTCAGGCTGGTCTCAAACTCCCAACCTCAGGTGATCCACCCACCTCGGCCTCCCAAAGTGCTGGGATTACAGTCATGAGCCACTGTGCCGGGCCATTAAAATATTCATTTAATAGTGACTATAAATTAAGGAAAATAAAAAGGTAGACATTTTTTCATGAAAATTTTGGTGTTCTAAGCAAAAATTAACAAGTGGAATCTAATTAAACTAAAAAGCTTCTGCACAGCAAAAGAAACTATTATCATAGTGAACAGACAACCTAAAGAATGGGAGGAAATTTTGCAATCTATCCATCTGACCAAGGGCTAATATCCAGAATCTACAAAGAACTTAAACAAATTTACAAGAAAAAAACAAACCACCCCATTAAAAAGTGGGCAAAAGACATGAACAGACACTTCTCAAAAGAAGACATCTGTGCAGCCAACAAATATATGAAAAACAGCTCAGCATCACTGATCATTAGAGAAACGCAAATCAAAACCACAATAAGATACCATCTAATACCAGTTAGAATGGCGATTATTAAAATGTCAAGAAATAACAGATGCTGGCGAGGCTGGAGAAACAGGAACACTTTTACACTGTTGGTGGGAATGTAAATTAGTTCAACCACTGTGGAAGACAGTGTGGAGATTCCTCAAAGACCCAGAACCAGAAATACCATTTGACCCAGCAATCCCATTACTGGGTATATGCCCAAAAAAATATAAATCATTCTATTATAAAGATACACGCACACGTATGTTTATTGCAGCACTATTCACAATAGCAAAGACATGGAATCAACCCAAATGCCCATCAATGATAGACTAGATAAAGAAAATGTGGTACATATACACCATGGAATACTATGCAGCCTTAAAAAGGAACAAGATCATGTCCTTTGCAGGGACATGGATGGATATGGAAGCCACTATCCTCAGCAAACTAACACAGGAACAGAAAAAAAAAACAAACACCACATGTTCTCACTTACAAGTAGGGGCTGAACAATGAGAGCACATGTACACAGGGAGGGGAACAGCACACACTGGGGCCTGTTGGGTGGATGAGGGGCAAGAGAGTATCCGGATAAATAGCTAATGCATGCAAGGCTTAATACCTGGGTGATGGGTTGATGGGTGGAGCAAACCACCATGGCACACATTTACCTAACAAACCTGCACACTCTGCACAGGTATCCCAGAACTTAAAATAAAATTTAAAAAAATTTTGCTCTTCCATTTAAATTGTTCGGTGACTTAAAATAGTTTGAAAATTCTGCCTTAAAAAATCTTCTCTCAGGCAATTTATTATGAATTACTAATACAAAATTTGACTATGAGAACTTCTCTATTTTATGATCCCATTTCAGTATTTTCATTGTTTAAAACAAGATTTACTGCAAACATAATTAGAATACTACTGGGTTTAATGTATCTTTACCACTGGCTTCTAAGACCACCAAAAGAAAATGTGTTAAACTAACACTCACTGTCCTAATTCTGTTCCCCTAGAGCCATACAAAACAACTCTTCTTTTGCTTCCACATTAAAGAGCCCTCTAAATGTTCTAAGACCACTAATTCTTCTACCTTCTCTCCTCCCAGCTAAGCTGCCTGAGTCCTTCAGCTTTCCTCTTGTGATGTGGTTTCCAGGCTCGTCACCATCCTGGCCTCCCTCAGGTCACACTCCAGCTGGCCAGTACTCTAAACAAAGTCTGACTACAATAGCCCTAGATAGAAAGTCTGAGATTAACAAGTCATCTGCTTGCCAGTTTATCAGCTATCAATCAAATCCTGAAAAGGCTGCATTTCACAGCTAACTTTAGCTGAACATTTAAAATGCTTAGAAAGTGTGAATTATATTTTTGCTTAAACAGTCAGATATGAGACATCAAACTGAAGCCTGATGTAATTCACATGGCAAATGCCAACAACTACTATCTGACCTCGAAGTCAGGAGAGAAGCCGGGGAGGGGCTCTGAGCCAGGTCGTTTAGAGTGAATCACCCTTTCCACCTGATTCCTTCTTCCCTCTCCCATCAGCACTACAAACTAGGTAACTAGGTGAGCTCTGACTCCCTTGGGAATATGAGATCCTCTGTCAATCCACACCAAGCATCTTGTTTGTATATCACTTTCTCCCTGGCACTACATAGATACATAATAGGTTTATTAATGTTCTTGACTAAATTCATAAGTTTTGGGGGAAAGTATATAAATAAGTGCAGAAAATTATAAGCCTCAAATATCTCTGATTTAACCTTTAATAAAATTAACAACATTTATGTTCTAGTTACCATATAATTTAAGTTAAAGCTATACTTATTCTTTATATTTTCATCATACAGTTCCGCTTTTGTCTATGACTATTTGCTAAGGGCAAAGAACTTTACCATGCAACTGAAAGATTTATTTTAATAGTTTCAAGGTCTGTTAACTTGTAACTCACATTATGAATGTTAGTCACAGAAGATTTTATTTGCTAAGATGTTTGCTGTAGGAACTGTTTGTTCATGTCAAGTTGTAAATCCTGCCTGGGATAGAAGCTTAAGGTAATTTCCAATTTGGGTAGTAATTAACTCACTCTCAGTGACTTAGCTATGGAACTCCCTGGGCATGTAAGAGGCATGGCTTTGCTTGTTAGACTGAAAGCATCAATCAATATCCTTTATCTTGGCTTTTTACGTTCAAGGCATAATAAACTTTGAGGTCTCACAGATTTCTTTTTACAAGGCCATGTAACTTTTTAAAGAAAGAATCCATTAGTAGGAAGCATGTGTTACTCATCATCATACCTTTCAGAACACCTGGCTCAGAGTTTTCTGAATCATGGGCTCAACAACATTAATTGAAGTGAACCTGCTATTCCTTAACAGCAGCTCTGACTTAAGGCTACATTTCATTGCAACTAAAATGGAACATGAATAGTAAGTCAGAGAACTCTCACTTCTTCACTAGGTTTGGTAATATTTGTTTCGGAATACACACTGGGACATGGCATCTAATAAACTCAGAAAATATAATTTCCCTGCAACAAAAAAAGTGTATTAATTGTGTAACCACAGTCACCTTAGAAGTCAGCTTGGCATAACTATGGTTTTATTTCTACTTATATACACACTGAGTGTCCCCTAAATCAAGCAAGTGTAAACAAAGAAAAAAGGGAGGATTTACTGCTTCATGTAGTGCAGAAGGTCTTGGGCATGGCTGAACTCAGAGGCTCAGACACTCATCAGGACTCTCTCCTTCCCTAGGCTTACTTTCCTCTGTGCTGGCTCCATTCTCAGAACGACTCTTCCTGATGGTACTTGCTCTACAGTACCAAGTACTGTGATCTTAGGATGACAGCCTTTCTGCTCACAACCCAAAAGGAAGACAGGCTCTCTATCAAATCTCAAGGAAGATCATGGTTGACTTTGCTAGGACCACATGTCTCTCCTGGGGCAGGAAGTAAGGCCTCATGATGGACAAGACCCCAAGAAGTGGGGGAAAGAGTTCCCCATTCCCCATAGGAAATTAGGCTGTGCAGATCAATGCTGCAAGTCTACTCAAAAATTCAAGGTCTGACATTCCAAGTGCCTTTTTATCTCTACTGCATAAGGTAGAAATAAAAGCATAGTTCTGCCAAGCTGACTTTTTTTTTTTTTTTTTTTTTTGAGACAAGGCCTCACTTTGTCACCCAGGCTGGAGTACAGTGGTGCAATCATGGCACTTCAGCCTCCCGAGTAGTTGGGACTACAGGTACACATTATCACACCCAGTTAATTTTTGCCATGTTGCCCAAGCTCAAGCTGACTTCTTACTGCGGCTATGCAATTAACACACTATTTGCTGCAAAGAAATTTATATTTACTGAGTCTATTATATGCCAAGCACAGTGTCAGGAATTTTATAGGCATTAGCTTATTTAATTTTCTCAATAGGTAGATACTGTTTAAGACAAATGCACAGAAAAAAATCTTAGAGAAGTTAAACGGTAAATGTCAGAACCAAAAGTGCAAACTGAGCCATTTTGTCTCTAGAGCCTCCATTTTTCTACCATATAGACATTGAGAATTTTGAAACTCTTTTGAGTTGGGCTGTCATCATCACTGCTTATCTTTTATTTTTTATTTCATTATTTTACTATAAATATTTCCCAAGAGCACTTGGGATAATTTGGTCTTATTAAAATGCAAATCCATGGCTGGGTGCAGTGGCTCACATCTATAATCCCAATACTCTGGGAGGCCGAGGTGGGAGGATCACTTGAGGCCAGGAGTTTGAGACCTGCTTGGGCCATCTCTTTAATAATAATAATAATAATAATAATAATGTCCCAGGAAGGAGTAATTCAGATATGAAACTTTCTTTTATTAGCCAAAAGCTTTCGGTATATCAGAGTCCTGCTGCTTCTTTCATGGCCCCCCAGGAAGATGACACAGGACAGACCACATCACACTGCTGAAGGACAGGGCTTTTGGATACAGCTCATGGCAGTCAATGGCTCTACTGGGGGCTGGGAATAATTCTACAACCTTGCTATTCCTCATGGAAATTATTCAACATTTGATGGTAGAATCCTGCAAACTCTAAAAATGTCAGAATAACAAGAAGGAATCCAGTTACCACATAGCCTATGAATTAATAGATGGAATCAGGAAGGTAAGATAAGAATAGTAAGTACTAGCATTTGCTCTAATGTTCCTTTACTTGATTTTAGAAACATAAGCCTCCTAATTACAAATTATTTAATAAAGGGAAAATCTAACCTTTAGTGACTATGGTTAAATGTTTGTTTTACCTTGCACACCATTCCTGCTGCTACCACAATATTACCCACAGAAATCTTACGCAAAATGTAGTCTCAGGTTACACACAATACCTCTGGCTTCACTGCTTCAGAAAGAGGGCAGCAGATGCTGAGCTGCCTAGGATCCCAGCCTTCTACCAGCTCTCAGCCCCATGGCACCCCGGGAGACTGTAACTGAGAAATCCCCCACACTTCTGGCTTTCAGCAACTTGCACTCTTAAATGAGACAGGGAGCATCTATTTTCTAACAGTTGCATTTAATAAGCAGTCTTGAACATAATCCTAGCATAGTACTTGGCACACAGTAAACATTAAATAAATTAAGAGGAGGAGAAAAAGAGGGGAAGTCAAAGAGGAAGATTTGGAGGAGGAGGAAGAGAAAGAATTGCATCACATCTATATCACTCATTCTTTTATTCCCTAGACTCTTAGCTCTAAGGGGCAAATGAGAAAATATGAATTAAACAAGAGTAGTTCAACCCCCACTTCTTAAATCTGAGGAACTGAAGCCCTGAGATGTTAGCAGCTTGCTCAGACAGACAGGATGTAATAGCAGAGCTGGGTTTCCCATCCAGCTCTCTGTCCTCCCAGGCCTGTGCTCTGTCTACAGTAAGAACTGCATGCCAAGCAATGGGCCATATGTTTTTAACAGGCAGTGGCAGAACTGGAGTTATGCTGTGTCCCCTGTGGGCAAACACATTTTTACTGGCAAGGAAGAAAAATAAAGTGTCACTGTCCTTTGATGGGAGGTTCCCTATCCTCATTCCCTGGGGCCCAGAATGTAAAGTCTAAGTGTGAGCCTGTTAAAATGTTTCTCTGGTACGTTCAGTAACCAAAGCTCTTCATGGGTTCCAACATTAACCAGTTATTCCATATTCTATCATCTGATAGGCTGATTGACACTGAAGCTCTCTCACACTCACAAGAAATGTGTATCATTCCCTTCATCGACAAACATTTAGAACATGCCTCCTCTGGGTAACACGCTATGTTAGGGTCTGGTGCCACTAAGAGAGATGTACGACACCTACCCTGAATACGAGGTGTTTGAAATCCATGTGATAAGATAGAGCAGACATGTGAAAGGTAACCATGAAGTCAGCATATCTTAGGTGCAAATGAGAAGAGCAAAGTATAAGGCTATAGGATTTCTAGGATGACTTCTAGGTAATTGGAAAATCTAAATATAGATGTCCTTGTGTAAAATTTGATCACCTTTATGGTAATTACGGTTATATATATGTATTCACCAGACATTAAATCCACACTGCATACCTCAATTTATGGATTAATGTAATATCAGAAATTATCTCAACATTTGACTCATATTTATAAAATGAGTACTATAAATGGTCCCAGTAATTCATCCCACACAAAAAGACTATACTAACACATATTTCATGTATAAAATTAAAATGTGTCTTGTTAAAACACATACTTATTCTAATATTTTATTTTCAGCCATCACAGAATATCAGGACTAGAAAGAAACTGAGTTGTCAGTGCATTCATTCATTAGCAAGTCCATTCTCCCCTTACAACATCCCTAGAAGGTGATGTCCTTATGATGTCCCCATCCTGTCCTTGAATACTTTCAGTGACAAGAGACTAACTCATGAGGTAGGTCAGTTCATCTTTACCATTCATCCATTTAATTCTACATAAAAGCAGTGTACTTCAAAATGGGAAAATCAGCAACAGCAAAAGAGAAAATAAAATGTTTTCTAATTAGTTACAGAGGTATCTACATAGTTATTAAGTTTTCTTGTGAGGTTTGCTTAATAAGATAGATAACCCAGAGTGGTCCATATGCCTCTGCAATATTGACCACTGTGGGTTATCTGCAATGACATTTCTGTTCATGATAGACATTCCTTTCAGGCAGCTCAATATGAGAAATTAGGTAATTCAAATAAATCAAGTTCTATATAAGTAGTCAGCAAAAACTACATTGGAAAATACCTATAGTATTTGTTAAACCTATAATATTTCCAGTAATTTTTAATGTTAACAATGTTCCCGTAGAGCAAGAGAAAGAGCCTAATCTTCCAAGAAACATGAATTTATTGGCAGTGTATTCTACTTACTGTGGTGAAAAATACAGTTTGGAAAAATGTTTAATTTCCAAGATTTAAACAAAAAAGTGTTTTGTGCTGCACTAATTAATAAATAAACCATGACAAGCTCTGCTGTATTTGACTATTCAGCCCACTGGCAAAATTTCTAGCAATCCCACTACTGGGTATCTATCCACAGAAAAGGAGATCAGTGTATCAAAGGAATACCTGCACCCCGATGTTTACTGCAGCATTATTCACAAGAGCCAAATACGGAATCAACCTAACTTTCCATCAATAGATGAATGGATAATGAAAATGTGGTATATATATACTATGGAATACGATTCAGCCATAAAAAAGAATAAAATCCTGTCATTTTCAGCAACATGGATGGAAATGTAGGTCATTACAGGAAGTGAAATAAGCCAGGCACATAAAGACAAATATTGTATGTTCTCATTCCTATGTTGGAGCTTATAAATAAATAAATAAATAAATAAATAAATAAATAAGTAGATCTCATGGAGATAGAGTGGAATGATGGTTACCAGAGGCTGGGAAGTTGTAGGGGAGAAAGATGATGAGAGGTTAATAGGTACAAACACAGTTAGATAGAAGGAATTGGTTCTAATGTTTGACAGCACAGTAAGGTGACTATAGTTAAAAACATTTATTGTACATTCCAAAATAGCTGGAAGTTGAAATATTCCCGCCACAAGGAAATGATAAATGTTTGAGGTGATGGATATCCTAATTGCCCTGATTTGATCCTTACACATTGCATGCATGTACCAAAATATCACATGCCCCATAAATATGTACAACGATTATGTATCAATTCAAATTGCATAAGAATATTTCTGGGTATGCATATAGTTAACTTTCTACAGCTTAGGCTCCCACACAACTAGTTGATTTAAAAAAATCATCATTTGCTATCAATAGACTAAAACAGTAGCACTAATAAATCAATTAAATTAGAATTATTTCTATCTACCACCACCACCAAACGGCAAAAGCAGGATAAAATAGCAGCAGGAGAGGGGAGGGGTCACTTGACTCTTACCACTTGACCAACTGGGTATATCCTTGCTGTATCTCTGTAGGACTGCAGAGGACGAGCTTTCCAACTCACCTGTGTTTTGAGAATAACACCCACAAATTTAAACTTTCACCAAAAACTCATCAAATTCTCCATAATTTGGGCTACCTTCAAGGAGGAACATTCTAGGGCCACCGCCTGTTACAGAATTAGAAGAAGTGAGTATTCACATTTTTGTGCTCTGCTTTTAGTAGATGCTCAAGGAGTACATTGCTCAGAGTAGGCTAACAAGGCTATTAGGAGATGACACAAAGATAAATAAGACCCAGGAGGTTACGGTACAATCGAGCAGCAAGATCAGAAAAAAGCTGGACCCTCCCAAATGTCTATTATGGATTCTTTCACATTATCAGCACAACTTACAGACTAGATACCCACAGTTTGTGCTAATTTATATGTTCCTTGAGGCACGCTGAGCAATAAATTCTCTGCCACTTTTTAAATGTCCCCTTTATAAGTACTGTTAGGCACTTATTACCAGAAGGACAGTGATGCCTGGCACAGAAGCCTATCTTTAGACCATCCTGTACCAGAGAAATTAAACACTGCATCAGGAAACAGCTCTACAATGTGCATATGTGTTTCCATGGGGAGTGTGAACGGAGTATGAAGCAGATTAGGAAGAGAAAACCAGTGAAGTAACCACAAAATCAGACAGATGAAAGAATGATGGGCAGAAAATGGAGAGGACCCAGGGGGCCATCAGGAGTGAATGGGGGCAGGGGTGCAAATGCATTTCTTCTAACCATAATTTGCACCTCCAGACTCGGGCTTCATTTCAGATATAGAGTTCTATCTTCATTTTTTTCTTAAAGTTTGGAATTTGAAACAGTAAGCCCCAAAAGCAGTACATATTACTTCCTGTCCATCAATATTAGGAAGCACTGTATGTAAAACAGAAGACTGTTCTTCAACAGTCCCTGATAAGGAAGACAGAAAAGAACAAATTCCTTCTGGAGTTGAAACTTGACGTCTTCAGATGGAGCCAAAAGATGCTTACAGACAGGGGAAGAAGAGAAACAGAGCAGGAGAGCAGGCACTCCAGGGGAAAACCCTGAGCAGTGGAACAGAAAGTGAAGAGGGTGGGGAAAGAATTCACTATCCCTGCATCGGCCCATGCCAAGGTTTTTCAGAGAGGAGCATTCCCCAAGAAAAAGATCAACCAACCCAAATCTTCAGGAACTACAAATAAATCATTCTGACAAATAATCTGAAGAGTCTTGGGCTGCCAAATGAATGCCAATGGTCTTTGTTAGAAAGTGAATGACTTTGTTGTAAGGTCATCTCAAGTTGTAAGAGCAGGACTGTCACACACTTTACAGTATCCTTTCACAAGTAAAATTTAGAGCGCAGCTTATTGGCTCCTTGTTAACAATCAAATGCTCCACAGTTTCCAATGTTTGGAGACTTCAGCATTTATTCCAAAGCATTCCCCAAAGAGTTACTGTAAAAACTGTCTTATTTCCCAAGTGAACAGGTATAGCATATGTATTTTTTTTTTAACAGTCCCTGGCTAGTTTCCTGAAGAACAAGCAGCAGGAAATATAAACCAGACGTATATCTTTCAGTATCTGAACCAGATATGAAATTCCATGGACCTATTTAAATTAGAATCAAGCACTGATATGACACAAATGTGGTTGCAAATTTAGCAAGTATGACTGGAAACATTATATTGAAAAGGAAGTAAAAATTCCCTATTTCGGGGCAACTAGGGTAAGGCAAACTCTATTCAGCATACTAATTAAAATGCCAGTATTCCATTTAACAAAGCTAAAATGTAAGTGAATATACATAAGCCAGTGAAGAACAAAATTCAGTGCAAATGTCACCACTTTAAGTTGTCTTTTCTAGGCACAAGCCGCTGTGGAATTCAACATTCATTTAGGCAGGTTCAATGGGGCTTCTGCTAGAAGCAAAGCGGCATCACTTGTTTAGAGTGGTCTCACAGGCACACTTGAATCCAGGAAGAACAAAGCAGGGGACACATGAAAATATCTGCAAGTGTCTAATATGTGTCATTTTAGAACCAGCTTTACCTATTTGTTACTGTTGAGCATTGCTCTGAAAATATGCCAGTTTCAGATAAGAAAAATAAAGTCTGGCTTGTACAGTATATCAAATCGAATGCAGTGATTTAAAGAAACTCAAAACTAAACTCTGACTCTAATGTAGTGGGATAAAAATGAGCTGGGAGAATACCAACAGAGGAGAATCAGAAATGAGTTTTCAGTATTTTGTATTTTTAACACAGCCCATCTACTGAGTTGCAGTACTTTTACAGTTAATTTGTAACTACACACCTACCAGTCCCTTTAAGAAACACACATTAAAAACCATAGCTGATTAGTCTGCTATCCTTCCCATTAAAAAAAGAGCAAAACTACCCCTAGAAGACAACCGCACAAAATAGTCAAGCACTTAGGATTCTGCACAGTACAAATCCCACTTACTGATTTTTCCTTCATCTCTTGAGAAAGGAAAGCAGCAAAGCTGGCCCATGGCACTGGTCCTGTCTGTCTTTCCTGGTGTTCTTCTCCGTGAGGACCCCAAATAGAAATTGCAGTTTATAGCACAGTCTGCGAGCACACCCTGCCTTTTTCACTCCACGGAGCAGCACAGGCAGCTTGAAGAGCCAATGCACACGCCGCCGGGGGAGAGAAAGGAGAAGGGAACTTGCTGCCGTGAGCAAAAAAGGCTCCACCTCCAGTCCTCCAGCCTAATGCAACTGCTCTGGGACTGGCATTCAGTGAAGGAAGTGGCTATACGCTCCCGTATTCTCACAAAACTGTGAGTCCCTGGCCATAGGTCAGTGCCATGTGTTCTGTCTGGCTATTTGCATATGTCTTTAAGAAAGGTAGTCGAGAAAAACCACAATGAGCCCTTTCTCCTACAGACAACTGCAGTAATTACACATGAAAATTCAAACCCCCAAAAAAACCATATTTTCTGTCTGCTACTTAAAGAGGAAGAGCCTTCTTTTATCCCTAGGAGATTGTGGTTTATGAATAGAAAACCCAACATAGCAGAACACTGGAATCACAACTTGTATGAAGTACCATTAACTACCTAGCAAACTGCATGAACAATAGAAATGATAGGCTAAGTGTGGGGAAAGAGGCTATCGACTGTTATCTGTACGGTACGGCATATCTTTTAAATTCCTGCTTTCTGATATATTGCCTTATTCCCCTAGTAAAGCAGTAATCAATAATATTAATTTTGAAATTATACCATCAAATATGTCAACAGCCTAGAAAATTACCCAAATATAGATGCATCACTGACAAAAAGACAAAAGATTAGGGCATCTTTCTGAATGAAGCCACAAGGTGATTGAGCAAATTCAGGGGCAGCAAAACAACTAATTTTAAGAAAGGCTATATTTTGAACTCTATTACATGAAATAACAGATTTCATGTAATTGTTCAAAATCTGTTATCTTATAGAGGGAATAGCCTTAGTTTATGACACTCTAGGAAAGAAAAATTGTTCATAGTGCCAGAAATTCCACCCTGATTCTTTCTTACTCCTCTATTTACTAGCTAGGCACACCTATTTCCCATGGATTAGAAGGAGAGGGAACAGGATGATGCTGAACACCTCAAGTGGTTCTGAACATAGTCCACCTACTTTCATGATCATCCAAACAAAAAGAGCCTGCAGCATGGAAAAATGAAAATTGTCAATTTTACAAATTATATTTGTCGCATTAAAAAAAACAGTGAAGATGCTGGCAAACACTAGTATCTGTTTTCAATGCTTTTTTTCTGAAAGATAGAATTTTGATAATTTTGATGCAAATATCAAAGAGTATTTGAGAGTGTTATCAAGGAACACAGTTGTTTTTATATGTCACAGGTACATTAATATGCACTTTGACTTCCACATTAGAAATATTGTGAAGATCTATGGAATAAAAAGCAAAGATCTGACTGATTAAACTGGCAGGTCTATCCACATAATTAAAATTAATGTTTAGAGAATTACATGTCTTTAAATTGCTTTCACTTTTTCAGACTATTTAAAATGTAAAGATGCTTATTTTACCTTGGTTTAAAGAGGACACTCCATTCTATCATACAATGAACATTATAATTTTAAGTAAAATTCCACTTTTATAACCAGTTGGGTTTCTTCACAGCTTAGTGACTTATAAATAAACAGCAACTTTAAACTCTTCCAGTATTCCCCCAAATTCACCAATACATGAGTGAATACAGGTGTATGTTTTAAAATATAAAATGATTTTGTATATAAATGTAAAATAGTCCTAAAAGCAATAATATAAACCTTATTAAGACCAGAAAGCAAATAAATGGCCTGTAACCCTAAAAATGGAAACATCAGAACCTACAGCAAATTTTGAACACTGGAGACGTGACACAGAATGTGGTTCTTCCCAGCCTTAACACTGCCACTACCCAGCTAGGAAACACCAGAGAAGCCCTTGGTCCTCTCTGGACCTCAGTTTCTTCACCCAAAAATAAGGCAGTAGGCATATTAGGATCCTCTACAGTACTAGCATTATATGATTTTGTGATCAAAATAACAAAGGAAATAGCCTAACAACCAGTGAACAATTATCCTAAACATTACTTTTTGTGTTCAGTGAAGATGTATTTGCAGGGAACGTTCTTCACTGAGGAAAATTAGTAACTCCTGGCATTTCCCAATCACCAGCATCAGTATAGTGATAAAACCTTTAGAGTCAGGAAACCATGGGTTTAAATCCCAGATGTCAGGTATTAACAGTTATGAAACTCATGCCTCCTGGTCAGAGTTTTGATATCTTTATCTGTAATTCAGGTAAGTTCATTATAAAGCTTTTAATTTGCATTGCAAAATAGTATTTGATGGGGAGGGGAAGAAGAGAACAGATTGTCTGATGGCTGTATTTATATGCACCTCAGTCTTTCTAGCACCAGGTAGTAATCTTGCCTCCTGCTCTTCCAATTTTGTGCCCTACTAGCTGCCATCTTGAGTTAATGCTTATATATCTGGCCTCCAAACAAAAAGGCCCTCTACTCAAACTCAGAGCCCAGGAGGATAATGTTCGTGCAATAAATCCTACCAACTTAACTTTATTATTAACCATTCCCTGTTGGCACTGCTTCTGAAAATGTGCAATTAAGAATAGGGACAGGCACCATGGCTCATGCCTATAATGCCAGCACTTTGGGGGGCCAAGGTGAGAGAATCACTTCAGGCCAAGACTGCGAGACCAGCCTGGGTAACACAGTGAGACCCCATCTCTACAAAAAAATTTTAAAAATTAGCTGGGCATAGTGGCACATGCCTTAGTCCTAGCTACTCAGGAGGCTGAAGCAGGAGGATTGCTTGAGCCCAGGAGTTCAAGGTTATAGTGAGCTATGATCATACCACTGTACTCCAGCCTGAGTGCAGGAGTGACCGAGTGAGACCCTGTCTCTATAAAAGAAATAAAATATGGCCAGGCGCGGTGGCTCATGCCTGTAATCCCAGCACTTCAGGAGGCCAAGGTGGGTGGATCACGAGATCAGGAGTTCAAGACCAGCCTAACATAGTGAAACCCCGCCTCTATTAAAAATACAAAAATTAACCAGGCATGGTGGTGCACGCCTGTAGTCCCAGCTACTCGGGAGGCTGAGGCAGAAGAATCACTTGAGCCTGGGAGGTGGAGGTTGCAGTGAGCTGAGATCATGCCACTGCACTCCAGCCTGGGTGACAGAGAGAGACTCCATCTCGGAAAAAAAAAAAAAAAGAAAAAAAAAACATATATATATATATATATATATATATATATATATATATATATATACATATGAAATGTGTCATTAACTATCAAGATATTCTGCATGAATGAAGGGGAGCTAGATAATGTTAGAGGCTTTTTCATAAGCATTAAGTGAATTAACCATAATGAAAGATAGAAAACAATGGAGAAATTCAAGATAAGAATTCTAAAACCTAACATTTACTGGACACATAACACCAGGCACTTGAGTTTACTCATTCATTTAATCTCTAAGACAGCTCTCTGAAGATGGTGGTATTACTATCCCCATTTTACAGGTGAAAAACGTAAGCTCAGCAAAGTAACTTGGGTGAAATCTTTTGGAGAGTATTGACAATAAGGGGATCTGAACTCAATCTGTCTGGCTCTACAAACCCTAAGCATTTGATCCAGAGTTCTGTATTATTAAACACAATTTGTGTGTAGACTCAGCTATATACAATATGAAACAGCATACCACAATTTCAAAATATTATGCAGAAAAATGTTATTTAACCAAGCTCTATCAAAATCTTGCCTTGGTTCCTCATGTTTTGCCATCAAATCCCTTTACTAATGCTGCTAGAGTAATATAATCCTATTTCAAAACAAAGGACCTAAAGATAGACCCTTTTTGGGGCTGGAGCCTAGCACTGTTGCCTGCCACATCTTGGAAAAACGACTCAATTAAGAGCACAGAAATAGCAGAATGGCCCCTGAACACATTCATCTTCCAGGAAAAATAGCAACTTGGACCATTCACAAACATAATCCCTGACAATATTCATGACCTTTTATTAGGGAATTAACACTCTTCTCAGTAGCATATGGAGGTCTACTGTAAGATTTAAAAAAGAAGGTTAACCTTGATGAGGAAAAATATCTGATATGATACTATGTTCATAAACTTAAAACCATAACCTTTCCATGCTTTCTTTTCTCCCAGGCCTGGCTACAGACCAATCACGGTTAGGACAGTTGCCTATATTTGCTATCATATTTTGGGCTTTTTATTACAATTGTTTAAAATGGCAGCAATAAAACTAAAAAGTATGAGGTGGGTGGCAGCTGCCTCTTGTCCATGTACTTTAACTGTCAGCTCTGATTATTGTCTCTAATGGAAAAAGATAATTCTTAACTATGACCAAAAGCTCTATTCTCTGTTGGTTAGCATCTTTTTCTACCTATAACTGAACATATATATATATATATATATATATTTGGACTTCTGAGAAACCTCATGGAAAAGTCTGAGTCATAATAAAAAGCAAACCTTGCTGTAAGATTCTGACTCTACAAAACTATGCAAATTATCAATTCTTACCAAAACTGTACAAATTCCCAATCTTCTGAGGCTTCCAACTCACTAATTAAAGGAAATTTGAGTCTGACAACTTGCAGAGACACATGAGAAGGAAAAACATGGTAAATATCTTGTATTCAAAAGAGAGGAGAGAAAAGAGGACATTAAATGATGAAGCATAAAGAAAGAGAAAAACCACTTTATCCTTCTAAATTTTGGAACCAAGCCTTAGGAGACGAGACATACCTTTAACTATAAAAGAGACAATTTAGAAAGATTTCATTACACAGCTGGTAGCCCACTCATGGAAACTGTTATGCCAAGAAATGTCACAATTTCAGTGAAAATGTATGTTAAGTTCAAGAAGTGCTTGACAATTCGTGGAAACATAACTTGTGGAAATTGGGATGTTTTGGAATACATTCCAATTTTTATGTTGCCACTGGGTACCAAAAAGACAAACAATTATTCTGGGCCTGAAGAAAATCGGATGGACATACCCAGTATTACATTTTGTTTCTCTGTGTTCTTGTAGTGAAACCGCGTCTCTACTAAAAATACAAAAAAAAAAACCAAAAACAAAAAAACAAAAAAAAAAACGTAGCTGGGCGTGGTGGTGGGTGCCTGTAATCCCAGCTACTCGGGATGCTGAGGCAGGAGAATTGCATGAACCTGGGAGGTGGCGGTTGCAGTGAGTCGAGTTGCACTACTGCACTCCAGCCCGGGCAACAGTGTGAGACTCCATCTCAAGAAAAAAAAAAAAAAAAAGAATTCAACTCTCAATAATCAATCCACAATAGGCCAGACCCAAAAGATGCTTCTTTATTGTTTAGCCACTGCTGCATCTTTGTAGTCATTTTGTAACCAAAGAGAAAGATTCTGAAACAACATCATTAAACCACAACCGAAAAAACTTTATCTATAAATCTCACTGGTTAAGTCCTGTTCTTAATTACCTGCAAAAAGAATCAGTCTTAACTGTGAAATTTGGAAGCCAAGAATCTTTTTTTTAAACCATTACTCCTACTTTAGTCATATTTTCAACAGACTTTTTACTTCTCTTTACAGTGCTTTTGTTTTTCTCTAAAACTAAAAGTTATAGGTATTTGTATTTGAAACTGCCATATGCTATACAATTTTAATATGTATAGCAAATGGAAAGAGAATTTTTTTTTCTATAAAACAGAAGCCATAAAAGCATAAGATGCCATATACAGCATATGTGCATTTAGGAAAGGGGAAGAAACAAGTAGATACCAAGAGCTACCAAAGAAGTCCTTATTCTTCACCAATCCACAAGAGTCATTCCGAAATCTCTGCTGATGCATTTCTGCTTAGTGCCAATTTTCAAATGCCTACTCCATGGTTACTATTCAGTCAGTTCTTTTCTATGTGTGTGGCCCAACATTTAACGGCATGGATAGTCAAAGCCTTCTCCTTAATTGAGAAATAAGTTAGGGAGGAAAATTTATCTCCCTGCTTAGAGGACACACAGCAGTAGAGCACTGAGAGCACTGGATGTAGGAGGCTGAAAGATGGGCTGACAAGTCCCAGCACATATCTGGACACCTCACATTTACAGCATACCCTGCTATCAGTTTAATTCCATCCACTGTTTATTGAACACATACTATGAGCTAATATGATCATCACATAAGCTCTTGCGGTAAAGTTAACTCTTGTGTCAACGGGTGCCACCAGAGTAGGTGAGAGAGCCAGGGCCCAAGGAGGGTACGAGCTCCCCATTTGAAGTCATGGCCTTAGGGGAGCTGGAAGGAGCCCAGCATTCCCATTGTGCCAAGTCATACTGGAGTTTTATTAACCCAAAACAGTAACAGGAGAACAAAGGCCAATAACAGTCACTTATTCTAGACAGATACTGTTCAGCCCTGCTTTTTACAGTCTGACCTTTTTTCAAGCATTACTGAAATCACAAAAACTGACATGAGTTACTTCCTCAAAAACAAGTTAAATATTTGGATGTTAAAACCTTATTTGGAAAAAAAAAAAAAGGAAAAGCAAAGAATATACTTAATCTACTGACCAGTATTTGTATTATCAGACATGGCTGCTTTCTTAGTCAAGTGCTTTTAATCTTTTAATGTCCTAGACCTTTCAGAGGAGAAACCAACATCCTTCACAAGAAGAAAAGAAACATATTTCAGAAACACCAACAGGGCCCAATGAGAAGATTTTACTTGTAGTTTAACAATGTAAACAACAGAAAATTTGGTTCTACAATTTCTAAATCATTGGAGGTTTTTCACAGGTCCTAATTATTCTTTATGTGGAATGCTCTCAATCTATATTTAGCTCTGAAAGTGGCCCAGTGTTTGACCTTGGGCAAGACAACAGTCAGTCACATTTCCTGGTATGTCAAGCTTCAAATAAAAGGTACTTTAATAACTCAATATATTATTATTAAAGCTTTTTTTCCTATAATAACACTTAAAGGGATAAGGAAGAATGAAAGTGAATCCTCAATTAAAAGAAAATTTATTTATACCAGATAAAATGCTGTTAAATCAAGGCTGCTCTTGGCAGGTCTCAAAATCTGTCATGGTCCACCACAGCCCCGGCTGACATGCCTCCGATACGCCATGTCAGTATTCATTCTGATTAGTCTGTTTATGGATGCTTCTAACAACATGTGGTAACTGTCAGAACTATCGTTTAAATATCCCACTGAATCTATTTTCTGTTCACACATTTCTTAATCCACAACTGAAATGTGTATCTGTTAGGATGCACTCAGCTGCAAATACCAAAAATTCTTGATTCATCTGGTTTAAAAATAAAGAAATGTCATTATCTCCTATAATCCTATAAGCTATGGTAGTGTCACTCAAGGGGTGGTTAATTCAGTGGCTTGACAAGATCATCACGGCTCATCCTCCTAGTGCCCCACGCTCAGCCTGCATACTTACAGTCACCCACTGTCCCCCATGGCCAAGATGGCAGCAAAGTCTAGGCTTCACATGTACACCCAACACTTGGCAGCTAAAAAATGGTAGTCTCTTCCCTCTAAATCTCTTTTTATCAACTCATTGGGCCCTACCAGCGTTTCTGAAATATGTCTCTTTCCTTCTTGTGAAGGATGTTGGTTTCTCCTTTGAAAGGTCTAGAGCATTAACAGATTAAAGGCACTTGACTTAGAAAGCAGCCATGTCCCATAATACAAATACTAGTCAGTAGATTAAGTATAAGAAACTGCTGAGGTCCCCAGCAGACTTCTCACATATATTGAAATTGGGTCACATGCCACTTCCTTCACTAATCACTAGGAAGAAGAATGGAGCTCATCACCTTCGGGGCAAAAGTCAGGCCCATGTGGCCTGAGGCCCACTTTATCACAGTGAAAACGAAGAAAATGGGCTCAGAATAGGCAAGCTACTAGTGTCTGCTAGTGTTCTGTGTTTACCTTTTAATAAAAATCTGTATCTGCTTTTTGGTCAATTAATATTAAGAAAGTGATTAAAAGGGTCTATAAGTAATTATATATATATATAATTATATATATAGCAAAAAAGGGGGGAAAAGCCTAAAAAGTAAATCACTGAAAAAGAGTGTCATGCTTCCACACTAATAAACAAAATTGTAATTGTAATACATGGCTGGAGAACAAGTAGCAAAACTGTGAACTGCCTTTCTCTAAACCTTATTATACTAAGACTGACTGCTTAAGTAAAAGCTTCCGCTTATTATGATCCAAGTTGTTAGCAATGAACACATATTTGGCAGCTATGGTTCTTTGGTACCAAATATAAAACTGTGATGGTCAATTGCGCTTCCTTTACTCATAGCCAGAATCAAGATAAAATACTCACCTGAATCATTACTCTAGTAATAGAAGATCAAATAGAACCACAATTCATGAATTGACAAACTGTTGTTTTCTCAGTTGCTCACACTCAGTCCCTTAGGCATTTTATATAAAACATATTACGGTCAGATACAATATCAAAGGATCCCTGTGGGTTAATTAAAAAAGACAGAATTTAAACTTCATAAAGGGAAATAAAATATACTCTGTGTTTCTTTAGCCCTCATTATCTTCATTTCTACCAGAGCAAGTTTCTCTGTAGAAGATGCAATCTTGAATCACACAGAGACATTTTTAGGCTACTGATGTTCCACAGACCAACAAGAAACAATTAACAAATCTGTCACACTTATGGAAATAATTTCCAAAACCTTTTATCTCTATCATAGCCTCTTGTTTAAGGTCTCCATCCTTTCTGTACAATACATATCTCAGGTAACTAGCTGCAAAGCAAATCTGAAGTTCTAGGTTTCCCAGGTAACCTTCAGCTATTTCATTCATACCCATAGCTTGAACTACTAACCTAATGCCACTGAATCCTATAACTGTCATATATATATACACACACACACACACACACACACACACACACACACACACACACACACACATATATATAATCTATGTCCTGGACCTCTCTCCTCAACAAGCCCCTTAATTGGGCCACAGCTGCTTTCATATGCCCAAAACTGAACTCATCATCTTCTTGTCACCAAAATCTGTTTTCTCTTTTATCCTGTACCACCAATTGGTGTAGGGCACCACTGTCTACCTAGTTGTCTAAACCCCAAATCTGGGAGCCAACCTAGGGTTCTCTTCTGTTTTGCAAAATCTATCCAAAATCTTAAAATATTGATTCTCCTGCCTACCAAGATCTGCAATGCACCCCTCCTCCTTCTCCTTCTCCATCCACTGCAAATGCCAAGTGCAGGCAATTATCATGACCTGCCTAGACTACCATTCCTGCCTACTTATTGGTCTTGCTGATCAGTTTCCTGCTCCCCCTCAACCATCGTGCTTATACTGTACCAGCAGAGTGTCTTTTCTTAAATACAAATCTAATAATGTCATTTCCAGCTCCAAAAATGTTGATGGCTCCCATTCCCTACAAAATAAGATCTGGGTGGAACCAAGATGGCCAAATAGGAACAGCTCCAGTCTACAGCTCCCAGCGTGAGCGACGCAGAAGACGGGTGATTTCTGCACTTCCAACTGAGGAACTGGGTTCATCTCACTGGGGAGCGTCGGACAGTGGGTGCAGGACAGTGGGTGCAGGACAGTGGGTGCAGGGCACTGAGCGTGAGCTGAAGCAGGGCAAGGCATCACCTCACCCGGGAAGTGCAAGGGGTCAGGGAATTCCCTTTCCCAGTCAAAGAAAGGGGTGACAGACGGCACCTGGAAAATTGGGTCACTCCCACCCTAATACTGCACTTTTCCAACAGTCTTAGCAAACAGCATACCAGGAGATTATATCCTGCGCCTGGCTCGGCGGGTCCTACACCCATGGAGCCTTGCTCATTGCTAGCACAGCAGTCTGAGATCAAACTGCAAGGTGGCAGCAAGGCTGGGGAAGGGGCACCCGCCATTGCCCCGGCTTGAGTAGGTAAACAAAGCGGCCAGGAAGCTCCAACTGGGTGGAGCCCACAGCAGCTCAAGGAGGCCTGCCTGCCTCTATAGACTTCACCTCTGGGGGCAGGGCATAGCCAAACAAAAGGCAGCAGAAACCTCTGCAGACTTAAATGTCCCTGTCTGACAGCTTTGAAGAGACTAGTGGTTCTCCCAGCACACAGCTGGAGATCTGAGAATGGACAGACTGTCTCCTCAAGTGGGTCCCTGACCCCCAAGCAGCCTAACTGGGAGACACCCCCCAGTAGGGGCAGACTGACACCTCACACGGCCGGGTACTCCTCTGAGACAAAACTTCCAGAGGAACGATCACACAGCAACATTTGCTGTTCACCAATATCCGCTGTTCTGCAGCCTCCGCTGCTGATACCCAGGCAAACAGGGTCTGGAGTGGACCTCCAGCAAACTCCAACAGACCTGCAGCTGAGGATCCTGACTGTTAGATGGAAAACTAACAAACAGAAAGGACATCCACACCAAAACCCCATCTGTACGTCACCATCATCAAAGACCAAAGGTAGATAAAACCACAAAGATGGGGAAAAAACAGAGCAGAAAAACTGGAAACTCTAAAAATCAGAGCGCCTCTCCTCCTCCAAAGGAACGCAGCTCCTCACCAGCAACGGAACAAAGCTGGACAGAGAATGACTTTGACAAGTTGAGAGAAGAAGGCTTCAGACGATCAAACTACTCCAAGCTAAAGGAGGAAGTTCAAACCCATGGCAAAGAAGTAAAAAACCTTGAAAAAAGATTAGACGAATGGCTAACTAGAATAACCAATGCAGAGAAGTCCTTAAAGGACCTGATGAAGCTGAAAACCAAGACACGAGAACTATGTGACGAATGCACAAGCCTCAGTAGCCGATTTGATCAACTGGAAGAAAGGGTATCAGTGATGGAAGATCAAATGAATGAAATGAAGCGAGAAGAGAAGTTTAGAGAAAAAAGAATAAAAAGAAACAAACAAAGCCTCCAAGAAATATGGCACTATGTGAAAAGACCAAATCTACGTCTGATTGGTGTACCTGAAAGTGACGGGGAGAATGGAACCAAGTTGGAAAACACTCTGCAGGATATTATCCAGGAGAACTTCCCCAATCTAGCAAGGCAAGCAAATATTCAAATTCAGGAAATACAGAGAACGCCAAAAAGATACTCCTCGAGAAGAGCACTCCAAGAAACATAATTATCAGATTCACCAAAGTTGAAATGAAGGAAAAAATGTTAAGGGCAGCCAGAGAGAAAGGTTGGGTTACCCACAAAGGGAAGCCCATCAGACTAACAGCTGACGTCTTGGCAGACACTCTACAAGCCAGAAGAGAGTGGGGGCCAATATTCAACATTCTTAAATGAAAGAATTTTCAACCCAGAATTTCATATCCAGCCAAACTAAGCTTCATAAGTGAAGGAAAAATAAAATCCTTTACAGACAAGCAAATGCTGAGAGATTTTGTCACCACCAGGCCTGCCCTAAAAGAGCTCCTGAAGGAAGCACTAAACATGGAAAGGAACAACCAGTACCAGCCACTGCAAAAACATGCCAAATTGTAAAGACCATCAAGGCTAAGAAAAAACTGCATCAACTAATGAGCAAAATAACCAGCTAGCATCATAATGACAGGATCAAATTCACACATAACAATATTAACCTTAAATGTAAATGGGCTAAATGCTCCAATTAAAAGACACGGACTGGCAAATTGGATAAAGAGTCAAGACCTATCAGTGTGCTGTATTCAGAAAACCCATCTCACATGCAGAGACACATATAGGTTCAAAATAAAGGGATGGTGGAAGATCCATCAAGCAAATGGAAAACAAAAAAAGGCAGGGGTTGCAATCCTAGTCTTTGATAAAAACAGACTTTAAACCAACAAAGATCAAAAGAGACAAAGAAGGTCATGACATAATGGTAAAGGGATCAATTCAACAAGAAGAGCTAACTATCCTAAATATATATGTACCCAATATGGGAGCACCCAGATTCATAAAGCAAGTCCTTAGAGACCTACAAAGAGACTTAGACTCCCACACAATAATAATGGGAGACTTTAACACCCCACTGTCAACATTAGACAGATCAATGAGACAGAAAGTTAACAAGGATATCCAGGAACTGAACTCAGCTCTGCACCAAGCAGACCTAATAGACATCTACAGAACTCTCTACCCCAAATCAACAGAATATACATTCTTTTCAGCACCACACCACACGTATTCCAAAATTGACCACTTAGTTGCAAGTAAAGCACTCCTCAGCAAATGTAAAAGAACAGAAATTATAACAAACTGTCTCTCAGACCACAGTGCAATCAAACTAGAACTCAGGATTAAGAAACTCACTCAAAACCGTTCAACCACATGGAAACTGAACAACCTGCTCCTGAATGACTACTGGGTACATAATGAAATGAAGGCAGAAATAAAGATGTTCTTTGAAACCAACGAGAACAAAGACACAACATACCAGAATCTCTGGGACACATTCAAAGCAGTGTGTAGAGGGAAATTTATAGCACTAAATGACCACAAGAGAAAGTAGGAAAGATCTAAAATTGACACCCTAACATCACAATTAAAAGAACTAGAGAATCGAGAGCAAACACATTCAAAAGCTAGCAGAAGGCAAGAAATAACTAAGATCAGAGCAGAACTGAAGGAAATAGAGACACAAAAACCCTTCAAAAAAATCAGTGAATCCAGGAGCTGGTTTTTGGAAAAGATCAACAAAATTGATAGACTGCTAGCAAGACTAATAAAGAAGAAAAGAGAGAAGAATCAAATAGACGCAATAAAAAATGATGAAGGGGATATCACCGCTGATCCCACAGAAATACAAACTACCATCAGAGAATACTATAAACACCTCTAGGCAAATAAACTAGAAAATCTAGAAGAAACAGATAAATTCCTCAACACATACACCCCCCAAGACTAAACCAGGAAGAAGTTGAATCTCTGAATAGACCAATAACAGGCTCTGAAATTGAGGCAATAATTAATAGCTTACCAACCAAAAAAAGTCCAGGACCAGATGGATTCACAGCCGAATTCTACCAGAGGTACAAGGAGGAGCTGGTACCATTCCTTCTGAAATTATTCCAATCAATAGAAAAAGAGGGAATCCTCCCTAACTCATTTTATGAGGCCAGCATTATCCTGATACCAAAGCCTGGCAGAGACACAACAAAAAAAGAGAATTTTAGACCAATATCCCTGATGAATATCAATGCAAAAATCCTCAATAAAATACCGGCAAACCGAATCCAGCAGCACATCAAAAAGCTTATCCACCATGATCAAGTGGGCTTCATCCCTGGGATGCAAGGCTGGTTCAACATACGAAAATCAATAAACATAATCCAGCATATAAACAGAATCAACGACAAAAACCACATGATTATCTTAACAGATGCAGAAAAGGCCTTTGACAAAATTCAACAACCCTTCATGCTAAAAACTCTCAATAAATTAGGTATTGATGGGCCGTATCTCAAAATAATAAGAGCCATCTATGACAAACCCACAGCCAATATCATACTGAATGGACAAAAACTGGAAGCATTCCCTTTGAAAACTGGCACAAGACAGGGATGCCCTCTCTCACCACTCCTGTTCAACATAATGTTGGAAGTTCTGGCCAGGGCAATCAGGCAGGAGAAGGAAATAAAGGGTATTCAATTAGGAAAAGAGGAAATCAAATTGCCCCTGTTTGCAGATGACATGATTGTATATCTAGAAAACGCCATCGTCTCAGCCCAAAATCTCCTTAAGCTGATAGGCAACTTCAGCAAAGTCTCAGGATACAAAATGAATGTGCAAAAATTACAAGCATTCTTATACACCAATAACAGACAAACAGAGAGCCAAATCATGAGTGAACTCCCATTCACAATTGCTTCAAGGAGAATAAAATACCTAGGAATCCAACTTACAAGGGACATGAAGGACCTCTTCAAGGAGAACTACAAACTACTGCTCAACGAAATAAAAGAGGATACAAACAAATGGAAGAACATTCCATGCTTGTGGGTAGGAAGAATCAATATTGTGAAAATGGCCATACTGCCAAAGGTAATTTATAGATTCAATGCCATCCCCATCAAGCTACCAATGACTTTCTTCACAGAACTGGAAAAAACTACTTTAAAGTTCATATGGAACCAAAAAAGAGCCCACATTGCCAAGGCAATCCTAAGCCAAAAGAACAAAGCTGGAGGCATCACACTACCTGACTTCGAACTATACTACAAGGCTACAGTAACCAAAACAGCATGGTACTGGTACCAAAACAGAGATATAGACCAATGGAACAGAACAGAGCACTCAGAAATAATGCCGCATATCTACAACTATCTGATCTTTGACAAACCTGAGAAAAACAAGCAATGGGGAAACGATTCCCTATTTAATAAATGGTGCTGGGAAAACTGGCTAGCCATATGTAGAAAGCTGAAACTGGATCCCTTCTTTACACCTTATACAAAAATTAATTCAAGTTGGATTAAAGACTTAAATGTTAGACCTAAAACCATAAAAACCCTAGAAGAAAACGTAGGCAATACCATTCAGGACATAGGCATGGGCAAGGACTTCATGTCTAAAACACCAAAAGCAATGGCAACAAAAGCCAAAATTGACAAATGGGATCTAATTAAAGAGCTTCTGCACAGCAAAAGAAACTACCATCAGTGTGAACAGGCAACATACAGAATGGGAGAAAATTTTTGCAATCTACTCATCTGACAAAGGGCTAATATCCAGAATCTATAATGAACTCAAACAAATTTACAAGAAAAAAACAAACAACCCCATCAAAAAGTGGGTGAAGGACATGAACAGGCACTTCTCAAAAGAAGACATTTATGCAGCCAAAAGACACATGAAAAAATGCTCATCATCACTGGCCATCAGAGAAATGCAAATAAAAACCACAATGAGATACCATCTCACACCAGTTAGAATGGTGACCATTAAAAAGTCAGGAAACAACAGGTGCTGGAGAGGATGTGGAGAAATAGGAACACTTTTACACTGTTGGTGGGACTGTAAACTAGTTCAACCATTGTGGAAGTCAGTGTGGCCATTCCTCAGGGATCTAGAACTAGAAATACCATTTGACCCAGCCATCCCATTACTGGGTATATACCCAAAGGATTATAAAACATGCTGCTATAAAGACACATGCACACGTTATGTTTATTGCGGCACTATTCACAATAGCAAAGACTTGGAACCAACCCAAATGTCCAACAGTGATAGACTGGATTAAGAAAATGTGGCACATATACACCATGGAATACTATGTAGCCATAAAAAATGATAAGTTCATGTCCTTTGTAGGGACATGGATGAAGCTGGAAACCATCATTCTCAGCAAACTATCGCAAGGACAAAAAACCAAACACCGCAGGTTCTCATTCATAGGTGGGAATTGAACAATGAGAACACATAGACACAGGAAGGGGAACATCACACACCAGGGCCTGTTGTGGGGTGGGAGGAGTGGGGGAGGGATAGCATTAGGAGATATACCTAATGTTAAATGAAGAGTTAATGGGTGCAGCACACCAGCATTGTACATGTGTACATATGTAACAAACCTGCACGTTGTGCACATGTACCCTAAAACGTAAAGTATAATAAAAAAAAGAAATAATAATAAAAAAATAAAATAAAAAAATCACTGATCATTAGACAAATATAAATCAAAACCACATGACAAGTAGCCCAAAACTTTACAGAGTTGCCTACCAGGGTCACTGTAATGGAATTTATGGTCTTAATAAATTACTAGTTGTATCATTAAAAAAAAAAGACTGAATTGTAAAGTTAACTTCTAATAGCTTGCATATAAAATAAAAATGGACAGGAGAGAGAAGAAAATGGTTAACATATAGAAATAAAAGCGTACATATAAAAAGCAAATAAAAATATTTAAAAGTGAAAAAAAAAAAAGATCTGAACTACTTAAAGATAAGTAATTCATGTGCAGAGTGAATTACTTACACGTCCCTGCACAGACTTCACTGGGTCGCTTATGCTGCTTTCTCGGCCTGGAAAATCTCTCTTTCATTTGCCTCCCTCCACACTGAACATTCTCATTTTCAGTTCAAAACTTTCCTCTTCTGTGCAGCCTGTCCTGACAATCCCTGGCAGCATTAAAAGCACCTTCACTTGGTTCCCATTAACTTCATTACAGTCATTACCACTTTAAATTGTAATTGTTTGTTTGCATGACTTCCCACTACAAAGTAAACTCTGAGAGCACGGCTGTGTTTGCCTACCATCTTTGATCTTAAATACACATCATAATGCTTGGTACTTGGTACCCTCAATAGATACCTGTTCAATAAGTTGCACAAATAAATTATAATAACCAAAATTGAACTGAAGAAGTTTTAAAGTAAAGGAGAAGCCTTTATGTGCACAGTAGTCAGCAATGCTTCAAATGCCAGCAGGGAGCTATGAATGAATTGGTAACTCAGGCAGTATCAATGAATCCTAAATTCACTCTGCCAGTGTGACAACCAAGACCTATTTACTCACTAATCATACTTCACTACCCCCATTCATATTTTAAGAGTAACTATATAACAATAAAGGGTGCAACTGAATTGGATTTTAAAAACCTCTCTTCCAATTAATCAGATATCCAATAGTAATCAGGGTCTAGCTGTGACAAAAACTAAAATACAATTTAATGCAAAATAGAGGTTTCGTAAATTCTAATGACAGAAGAAACTTCATGAGGTAATCCAGACCTCCAGATTAGATAACCTCATAAATGATATGCTCTTTTCCATCTTAAAAGATAGTAAAGGTATTTTACAAATCCCTTAACACCTTGTTCTAGTATCTTAATCCTTTAGAGTTCAAGGTTTTTCCTAATGCCTAGAATAGTGTACTCCTAGTAAGATTAAGATGAAATGGACATTTTCTTAGACTAACCCTACCATAAGTCACTCTTAAGCCTTGTTTTTCCTGGGCTTAAGAATTCTATATACAGTTTGTAGCATTTCTACCACAATAATAATAGGCACCAGTTAGTGAACACTGAGTATGTCCAGGCATGATGCTAAGAGATTTTCATGCATTATCTCATTCAGTCCTCATGAAATAACAACTATTTTATTATGCCCATTTTATTGATGGGGTAACTGGGCTTTGAGTCATTAAAAATGTGCAAAAAGTTGCTCAGCTGGAAACTGGGAAGTGGCAGTGACCATTAGAATAAGGTCTGCCTGATTGTAGGAACTTCTGGTCACTATGCTTTCCTCTGTAGTTTGAGCTCTTTCTCCGTCTCTTTCTACTATTCTACATACTCTCCAATTCCTCCATGTTTCACTGAAGTGGAGAAGAATTTAGTGAGTTTTATAAGTCTGTCTATTGTGATTTCACCACATTAGCAGGTTTTTTTAAAATAACACTATATTATACAGATTTGCCAACTTTGTTTTTCCAGTCAAAAAAATTAAACCAAGTTTTTATCTTCACCTATGATATAAAATATTGTATGCAAAAGTTATATATATACACACACATATAAGCATCTTTACTTTTGAAATGCACCAGTGTTGATCACACGCCAATAAGGAAAGCATTAGGAATAATGCAAATCTTTAATAATAAATATTATTATTATAAATAATAATAATAAATAATAGAAAACTGATGTTCTGATGTTAGGAAATAATACCATTGCAATAAGTATTCTATATGACTAGCACTGCTATGGATATGAATAAGTAACATTTTCTTTTTTCTTTTTTTGAGACAGTCTTGCTTTGTCCCTCAAACTAGAGTGCGGTGGGGTGATCTCAGCTCATGCAACCTCTGCCTCCCAGGTTCAAGCAATTCTCCTGCCTCAGCCTCCCAAGTAGCTGGGATTGCCTGGCTAATTCTTTTCGTATTTTTAGTAGAGACAGGGTTTTGCCATGTTGGCCAGGCTGGTTTTTAACTCCTGACCTCGGCCTCCCAAGGTGCTGTGATTACAGGTGTGAGCCACCGGCCGGCCAGTAACGATTTCATAACACTGTATGTCAAGCACTGTGGTAAGCACTTTTAAAACATTAATAAACATCGATTAATGTGGTGAAAAATGTGTTCAGAGGCAATGAGGCAATGTTATGGACTAGGCAGCCATAACTTTTGGCAACTATTAATTCATTATTATGTTAATGGCTTTGTTTGACCAGACTGCACACTAAGAATTTCATTCACATGGTTTTATTTTTCCTGTTTATTTGGAATTCAGTATTTACCTTCATATTTTTTACAATAAACTTCCAACTGAAGGCTCCACAAATAACTCGTGAAATACCTTACTACTGCATCATTTTAGTAGTGATGCTTAATTTTTCAGATAAACTTAGCACCGCTCCTTTAATATGCAGGGTTCCTAAGATGTCTAATATAAATCATAAGGTTTGAAACCAACAGACGGTTGGATTTTCAAAATAGCCTGAGCCACAGCTGCCCCTTTGTGTTAGCATCCGGATTAACAGCTGATATACCAGTTAAAATACAGTGAGCCATCACTAAGATTAATTTTCTCAGTTAATTATCCCAAAGCTTCGTCTAACTTTGGCAGATGTAAAGAAGTAAGCTGAGAGTTCCAATTATTAGTTGCTTTTCATTTTTATTAGGGGCATATAACAACAAATTTTAAACATTTTCTTTTTAGAAGGCATGTTTCATCAAAGAAACATATAAAGGGCACACTTAGGATGCAAAAAGAAACAAGACTGGAATTAGAGTATTTAGCAAGTCAAAGGTTCCACTTTTTCAAGAACATTATACTTTCTTAGGTAGGGTGACCTAAGTCCCAGTTAAGCCAGGATAGTCTTGGTTTTCTTCTTTTATCCCAGCCTAGTAAGTAATAGATCCCCTTTTACACTTAAAAGTATACCATTTAGATGATAAATCATATGGTCACCCAATTTGTATGTCATAAAATAAATAAATACCTTGTAGTCAGCTCTTATTAAATAAATTACTCCATAATTTTAACAGAGAAAATTTCTAACTGCTAAGTTTTCAAGTGGAAAAAAAAGTATACAGTTCTCTCAGATAATAAACTGTTTTTTCACTGTTCCCTCTTCTAAAATGCTTGAAATAAATTCATCTTAATCGGTCTAAGTAGAGATGAAATTTTCTTAATCATATCTCTGTGAGCCTGTGCAAAGAAAGAAAAAAAAACGCAAATGTTTTGGTCCTGCCTATCATACAAGAGACATTCCTGTATTACATAATATCTATTTCACATAATGATGATTTTTAAATGAGTCATTTCACATAGATATGCTCCTGTCTGTCTGGGGCATTTTTATACTTGTTACATTTTTACCACATAATGCTCAAATGGAAATTAAAGGAGGGGAAAAAATTAGAGAGTTATCAAACCAATTCATATTTAACATGGAGATAGCTTAATAGCCATCAAAATTAATTTATGAAAGTGTTGAAAATACTGATCAAAATTAAGTTAACTATCTACAGATTACACTTTTTCATGGTTTCCCTGGACCCATGAACTAAAGCAGAGGTTTCTTTTAACGTTTTTGGCCTCAGGACTCCTTTATACTCTTCAAAATGACTGGCAACACCCCTACCCATCCACCTAGAGCTTTAGTTTATGTGGGTTATATTCATAAACATTTACTAAATTAAGATAATTGTGGATATTCTTTGATACTATAGCAAAACATGACAAGCTATAGTTTCTTCAAGTTTAGTTGCAATGTAGAATCTTAAAACATACCAAGGAACTTTTTATACTCTACATTCTTGATCTATCTTGAATTTTTAATGGATCTTTTCTCCATGCATGACTTTATAGTAACATGTATACTATAAAAATCCTAGAAGAAAACCTAGGAAATATCCTTCTCAACATTGGCCTTGGCAAAGAATTTTTGGCTAAGTCCCCAAATGCAATTGCAACAAAAACAAAAATTGACAAGTGGGACCTAATTAAAGGACTTCTGCACAGCAAAAACTATCAACAGAGTAAACAGACAACCTACAGAACAGGAGAAAATATTTGCAAACTATGCATCCAACAAAGGTCTAATTTCCAGAAATTGTAAGGAACTTAAATCAACACGTAAAAGAAAAAAACTCATTAAAAAATGGGCAAAGGACATGAACAGATACTTCTCAAAAGAAGACATACAAGTGACCAACAAATATATGAAAAAATGCTCCACATTAGTAATCATCAGAGAAAAGCAAATCAAAACTGCAATGAGATATCATCTCGCACCAGTCAGAATATCTATTAATAAAAAGTCAAAAAACAACAGATGCTGCTCAGGCTGCAGAGAAAAGGGAACACTTACATACTTTTGGTGAGAATGTGAATTAGTTTTGCCACTGTGGAAAGCAGTTTGGAGATTTCTCAAAGAATTTAAAACAGAGCTACCATTCAACCCAGAAATCCCATTACTGGGTATACACCCAGATGAAAATAAATTGTTCTACCTAAAAGACACATGCACTCATATGTTCATCACTGTGCTTGCTATTCACAATAGCAAAGACATGGAATCAACCTAGGTACACATCAATGGTGAACTGGATTAAGAAAATGGGATACATATACATCATGGAATACTACACAGACATAAAAAAGAACAAAACCATGTCCTTTGCAGCAACAATTAAAAACACATTAATTAATATCACCCCCATCTCCCTAGAAAAGTCTTTAAGTATGGCTTGGCAAGGGACATAAGGACACTTTGAGGAGTAATGGAAAGTTCAGCATCTTGAAGGCAATAGCGGTTTCACAGGCATGTGTATATATGTAAAAAGTTATCTAGTTGTATACTTTTAAGTATGTGCGGTTTTGCATATAAGTTATACCTCACAGAGAATGTGATAGATAAAAACAAACTGGGAGGCCAGGCATGGTGGCTCACACCTGTAATCCCAGCACTTTGGGAGGCCACTTTGGGAGGCCAAGGTGGATAATTTGAGGTCAGGAATTCAAGAACAGCCTGGCCAACGTGGTGAAACCCTGTCTCTACTAAAAATACCAAAATTAGCCAGGTACTGTGGTAGGCACCTGTAATCCCAACTACTTGGGAGGCTGAGGCAGGAGAATCGCTTGAACCCAGGAGGCGGAGGTTGCAGTAAGCCAAGATCACGCCACTGCATTCCAGCCTGGGCAACACAACGAGACAGACTCCAGCTCAAAACAAAACAAAACAAAACGAACTGGGAAAATGAAGTTCATTATCCTACTGTGTGCTCTGTCAAGCACCTGATAATATATGTGAGTTTTCCAAAATTTCTATTTTTGCTTGAAAGCTTGAATTTTATGATTAGCAGTAAATAATGTCAGTTGTACTTGCTGTGACAGGTTTACTTGTTTATTTGCAAGAAAATGCCTGTCAACACCCAAGTATGAAAACAAGTTTGTCCTTCAATCATTCTTCAAGAAAAAATGGTGTTCCATGGAAGAAAGGGGCTACTTTAGCTCACAGCTTAAATAATCATGCAAACACATTTCTTTGGGTCGACCTACTTCAATATGCAGCAAAAGTGCCTCAAGCATACCTCCCATTTTTGTTACACAGAATATTAAAAATACATATACTCAGAAGTTGAGATTAAACGCAATTAATAATTTTTGCTACTCAGCAAGAACATTCTTACGTGAAACTGCCTTTAAAAAATTTTTTTTTAGTTGCAACTGTCTAGATTCATACTGGCCATACACAGTTTTATTCACCATTGCTTTTGCATGTAAATGTTAACCCAATGGAAAAGACAAATAATGTCTTATTATTTTTATAAAAATAGTTTTGTCCTCGCTGACCCCCTAAAAGTATCTAAAGGACCACCAGGGATCCATGGGCCAAATTCTAAGAACTGGTGAACCTAAAGTATATTTTAAAAGAATTTAAAACCCAGGCCGGGCACAGTGGCTCACACCTGTAATCCCAGCACTTTGGGAGGCTGAGGCAAGAGCCCAGGAATTTAAGACCAGCCTGGACATAGGGAGACCCCGTCTCTACAAAAAATAAAAATTAAAAATAAAGTAAAAACTCAACAAAAGTATAGCCTTGTAAATGATTAGAATACTAAATCATGTGTAAGATAAGCACAATGAGGCACATATTCCTACTGCAAAAAGCAAACTAAAAAAAAGGAAGACATTCATGCACATATCTATCGCCAATGCCCCTCTCCACTAAGTGAGCATATTGGATTTAAGAAATACACACATTTTCAAATTCAACATTTTCAAATTTTATTATGTATCAAAGGTCCAGGTTTAAGGATTCTAGAAAGCTCAAAACCTTTTTTTCCTAGCTATGCCTTTCACCCAATGAAAAAATTAATTTCCTTCTCCTCCTACGCCTTCCTGCAGCATCAAACAATGGTTACTATCTTCCATAAAGGAGATCCCCATGCCTACATACTAAAACTGGGCAACATCCAGATGTGGGCAACTCATCTCTGCCCTGGCCCCTAAGGGTAAAGGAGCACTGAAGATAAGGACGTCAGAGTCAGAGAAGAGGGTCTCCTCAGTCAAAAGGGACTCCAACCTCAGAAGCAAGGCAAAAGGTCTTTTCTTTTTGGCTGAACTACTGCCCTCATATGACTACTAGAAATCCCTGGGTGAACCACAACAAGCCTTTTAAGACTAGCAAGCCTTTTAAGACTGATCTAGGCTGTCCGAGTGTCTTAAGGGTGATTCTCAAAAAGCAAGGACATCTAAATGGAATAATTCATTGACTCTACTCACTCAGAATTATCCTTAGTGTTTCAGCCCATAAAGTCTGAGCAGGCTATCCCGTTGTTCTGGCCTATTTAGCATTGGACACATTCTGACTAAACTACAGCTATATGGCACTAACTTATCTAGAACTCTTTCCTGGTCTATCACCATGTCAATGGAGATCTTTGCTTCTTCTGTTTAGTTTATGCTTGGCCCAACCCTATCCTCCTCCTGGCCTCTTATGCTACAGTCTGAAATTAATTAACGGTCTTATCTTTAGGACTCGGTCCTGTGTTGTTGAGTATTAAACATCATCCTTGTTTTAGTGTATGTACCGCTGAAGCAAGCACAACATCATTCTCTTTTTATCTCACATTTATCTACTCAGTATTACACATTCACTGCCTCAGTGTATGTAACTATGTCCATCCCCTCACCAACTCCTCATACCCGCAAACCTAGCAACCTCCCACTCTGCAGCTTCCTCAGCTAACTCCACTGTGGGTTCAATCAAAGTGTCATCTATCACTATTAATGCCTCCACCCTGCTTCCCAATCCATTGCTTCTCTTTCATTGTATCAGGTTGGTGCAAAAGTAATTGTGGTCTTTGCCATTAAAGCAATGAAGACAATTGCTCCAGAAAGTCTCCTTTCTCTATTGACTATCGCTCTGCTCCTCAATCTCATCCCATTCAGCTGAATTCTTTTACTCCCCTATCCCCCTACTCTCCTATTAAATGGTAAAATTATAAGCTTCCACTGTGTCCTATCAAATCCCATTACTGTTACAGACAAGCCCTATTCATCTATTCCTCTGCCATTTCTCAGATGTAGCCTTTGCTGTCCGGTGCTTCTGTATCACTCTTAAGGACTGTGTCTTATACTTCTCTGTATCACATGATACCCGAGAGAGAAGTAGGCACATCGTACATGTTCAGTAACATTCATTAATGTTGAATAATAATTATTAAGCAAAGAAACAAGTGTTCCCAGAAAATAATTCTGTTTCTACCTCTGCTTGCAGAAGTTATAAATATACTGGACTGCAAACAAACAAACAAACAAAAAACGTCTAGACCTTTCCAAATTCCCCACTGCCTCCTGTAAGATATGTCTGACAGCTGAAAGTAAACTAGTCTTTGCAAGCACTAAATTGCTCATCAATCTTACAAAAGGTGTCATTTAGTCATTTACATTCCCAAGGGAAATACAAATGGAACACAGCTGCCTGAGAAAAATTAATTCACCCAACTCGAGTAAGTAGCTCACAGAGAACAGCTTTCATAATCCTAAAATATCTGAATCATATTTCATTCCTGGTTTTCACCAAAAAGAAGTAGGGTTTTCACCTTTTTATTAATTATTTGAATTTTAGCTGATTAGTGCAGTGCGGTTTGCACAGTTATAGCCCAATGACAAGCAGGCATAATGTCACCCAAAGCTTTGAGCATGAAACAACCAAAATGTACCTTTTCTTATATCTGAAAATAGGAATGTTGCCACCATATCCGACCAAAGTCTCCTAATGCTCCACATAAAGGTATACAATGGCAGAAGATTAAGAGGAAAATGTTCACCATAGAAATGTAAAGCAGGCAACAGCTGGCAGGAGGTACAAACTCAGATGCTCTCAGGAGCCAAGTAGGCAGTGTAAAGGTAAACAGATTTGTACAAGAACAACAGGGTAAGTGGGATGATAAAAGATAGCTACGCTCAAGGTCACAATGCCTATTACTCCATCCAGGAAACTGTAGTGCCATGCAAGAACGTGAGACCAATGTGGTAATGTGGGCACCTCATCTGATTGTTCAGAAGAAGGTGGAAATCCAGATTTAATATAAAATCACACTAGTATTGGCAAGTAATTTGAATTATACAAAAACAAACAAAAACCCCTGTTCAATCAAGTACATGTAAGGCTGCTAATCAGTGATTTCTGAGTCACACAGTAAAAGATGTGATGGGGTGTAAAAGAAATCCTAGAAAATAATTTCTAAAACTAAATCCCTACTTCATGTGCACTAAAAATGAACCAATTAATGGATAAAATTTAAAATGCATAAAATAGAACTGGATTTATGAGTTTCTCCTGTGTGTATGAGAACCTATATTAATGATCATATCAGGTAAATTAAAAGCCTACATGGAAAAACAAAAACAAAAAAAACTAGAAGAAAATATGAACGAATATATATCAAATCTTTGGTTTGAAGATAATGCTAATCATAATGGTCATGAAATAAATCATAAGAGAAATTTTCACCTATAATTTGATAAAACTTAACACTTAATATATAAAGTTCCTTGTCCAAAATTAAAAGCAACATAATACCTGGAAAATATTTGAAGCCAATATGGCAAACAAAAGGCTAATATCTTTACTCTCAACTCACAAATTGGTAACAGAATCCAGAAGAAGAAATCCCAACTCCTTACGGATGAGGATGATTTGTGGTTGCCAGTTCCTAACTCAGTTCAAAGCAATGTACCCTGTGGGACCAGGGCTGTGACAACCACAAAACCCACATGGGCTTCTGAGGGGAAAACATGCACAATAAGATGAGCTCCAAAAAAAACTTAAAAAGCACTAGAGGAAATTGAGGGCCACAGAAGACCAACTACAAGAATTCATTCCCAAGGAATCACAGAATTTTTTTAAATATGAAAAGAACTTTAAAAAATGACTGTATTGAAATCCTCAAAGACATGACAGAAGAATTAATATCCATGAAGCAAAGAATAGAACAGGAAAATATGAAAGTAAATCAACTGGAGGCCAGGTGCAGTAATTCACGCCTGTAATCCCTGCACTTTGGGAGGCACAGGTGGTGGATCACCTGAGGTCAGGAGTTCGATACCAGCCTGGCCAACATGGCAAAACCCTGTCTCTACTAAAAATATTAAAAAAAAAATTAGCCGGGCATGGTGGCGCACACTTGTAGTCCCAGCTACTCGGGAGGCTGAGGCAGGAGAATCACCTAAACCCAGGAGGTGGAGGTTGTAGAGGTTGTGGTAAGCCAAAATTAAGCCATTGCATTCCAGCCTGGGTGAAAGAGCAAGACTCTGTCTCAAAAAAAAAAAAAAAAAAAAAAAAAAAAAGTGAATCAACTGGAAACTTTACAAACGTAGCATATATACTAACTGATTTTTTTTTTAAGATGTCTTAAATGGTATAACAGAGATGGCTGAAGAGATAATCAGTGACTTGTAATCTAGCACTCTCCAAGAATGTACCATTAACAAAGATAGGAAATATGCAAATCTAATGAGGGCTAAATTATCTCCCCAGAAAAATTCACACATGTACCTACATACAAAGTTTTATGAACAATATCAGGAAGTTCTCAGTGTCCCTGAGGCCCAATTTCTATCCTAGAACTCTGAATAATATCTTAAGATCAGAAATCTGTCCCACGGTATTAATGTATACCATAAAATGTTGGCTCAAGCCTCAAGAAATTGACATTAAATTTGAGTTAGGATCAAATCAAAGAGAAGCCAAACCAAGGTAGGCCAATTAAATCTGATTAAGAAATAAAACAAAGTATCCCAAATCTAATATTGTTATAAAATATAGGTAAGATTGATAAAATCAATAATATCTATAAGCAAATGAACTCTAGTGTACATTAAACTTGGTTAATTATAACAATAAATTATCACTTTAGATGCACATATGATTTTAAAGTTTATATTGTCATCGCCAAATGTGACCCACGAAAGCATTTGTAATAAGCAAAAATCATTTTTTAAAACAATGTGAAATGATTGGCTTGGGGATACAAGATTGGCAGCGTTTGAAAAAGGCAAAATTGTTTTGAATTAGAAAGTGTAACAGCAATAAAGAAGCTTGATGGAAAGATCTGGAGAAACTACCTCACATAAGGGGAAATTTAAAGACTATAAACTGAAAAAGAGCAATGAAAGCGAAATCTCAGTGGCTTGAACACAGTGATGGGGGGTGGTAGGCTGAATAGAACTGTCCAGTGTCAATTTAGGTAATCTATGATATAAGCTTCATAATGCCAGTCCTGTAATATTTTCAGCAATATCAACATATTCCTAATTTTTTTAACAGGAATGAGAAAGGTAATGAGGCACTGCAATTCTTATAAGGTTGGCCTTGTAAGAGACCTTATAAGGTTGGCAGAGAAGATAGGGGAAGCTGGCCAAAATCTGTCCTACACAAGAAGTATCTAAGTTTTCCATTTACAATGAACCTAAACAGAAATGTTTGGTCCTCATCAAAACTTGGATGGAAGACAGCTCTCTTACAGAGATTCTGAAAAGATGAAAATTCTCCTTAAAATAGACTTGAGATGTTTCAGAATATAAAATTCAAACGACATACTGAATATCTTCTGTTTAAAATAGCTGAAGTCTTTGAAAGGTAAAATGAGGACCTCTGAAGATGTCTAATGAAAATTTGGAAGTAAAATTGTGTCTCTTGAACATTTTTAAATGCTTTAATAAACGTCAGTATTAAGATTCTTTCAGGATGTATACATCCATAGGTGTTCTTCCAGCTGATTTGGAGATAAATTACCTTGGTTAAAGACCTTGCAATATTTAGCTACATATACAGGCATACCTCAGAGGTATTATGGGTTAGTTCCAGACTATTGCAATAAAGCAAACATTGCAATAATGCAAGCCACATGAATTTTTTGGTTTCCTAGTACATATAAAATTATGTTTCATTATATGCAGTCTATTAAATGTGCAATATTATATCTAAAAAATGTAAACATTTTACTTTAAATACACTTTATTGCCAAAAATGCTTACAATCATCTGAGCATTAAGCAAGTCATAATCTTTTTGCTGGTGGAAGGTCTTGTCTGTTGATGTTGATGGTTGCTGACTAATCAGAGTAGTACTTGCTGGAGGTTCGAGTGGTTGTGGCAATTTCTTAAAATAAGACAATAATGAAGTTTGCTGCATCAATCGACTCTTCCTTTCATGAAAGATTTCTCTGTAGCATGGAATGCTGTTTGATAACATTTTACCCACAGTAAAACTTCTTCAAAATTGGAGCTGATTCTCTCAAACCCTTTAAAGCCACTGTTTTATCAATTAAGTTAATGTAGTATTCTAAATCCTTTGTTGTCATTTCAACAATGTTTAAGGATCTTTACCAAGAGTAGATTCCATCTCAAGAAACCACTTATTTTGTTCATTCATAAGAAGCAACTCATTATCCACTAAAGTTTTATCATGAGATTACAGCAATTCAATCCCATCTTCAGGCTTCACTCCTAATTTTAGTTCTCTTGCTATTTCTTTTCTTTTTTCTTTTTTTTTGAGATGAGTGTCACTTTGTCACCCAGGCTGGAGTGCAGTGGTGTGATCTCGGCTCACTGCAAGCTCCGCCTCCTGGATTCACACCATTCTCCTGCCTCAGCCTCCCGAGTAGCTGGGACTACAGGCGCCCGCCACCACGCCCGGCTAGTATTTTTTGCATTTTTAGTAGAGACAGGGTTTCACGGTGTTAGCCAGGATGGTCTCGATCTCCTGACCTTATGATCCGCCCGCCTTGGCCTCCCAAAGTACTGGGATTACAGGCGTGAGCCACCGCGCCTGGCCATTCTCTTGCTGTTTCTATCACATCTGCAGTTACTTCCTCCAATGCAGTCTTGAATCTCTTCTCAAAGTCATCCATGAGGGCTGGAATCAACTTCTTCCAAACTCCTGTTAATGTTGCTATTTTGACTTCCTCCCATGAGTCATAAGTGTTCTTAATGACATCTAGAATGGTGAATCCTTTCCAGAAGGTTTTCAATTTGCTTTGCTCATATCTATCACAATAATCACTATTCATGGCAGCTATAGCCTTACAAAAATATTTCTTAAATAATAAGCCTTGAAAGTCTAAATTACTCCTTGATCCATGAGCTGCAGAATGGACACTGTGTTAGCAAGCATGAAAATAACACTAAACTCCTTGTACATTTCCATCAGAGTTCTTGGGAGACAAGGTGCACTGTCAATGAGCAGTAATCATTTGAAAAGAATTTTTTTTTCTGAGCAGTAGTTAAAATACTCAGTAAACCATGCTATTAACAGATGTGCTGTCATCCATGCTTCGTTGTTCCATTTATAAAGTATAGACAGACTGAATTTAGAATAATTCTTAAGGTCCCTAGGATTTTTGGAATGGACAATGAGCACTGGCTTCAACTTAAAAGTCACCAGCTGCATTAGCCCCTCACAAGAGAGTCGGCCTGTTCTTTGAAACTGTGAAGTCAGACATTGACTTCTCTTCTGTAGCTATGAAACTCCTAGATGCCATCTTCTTCCAATAGAAGGCTGTTTTGTCTACATTGAAAATCTGTTGCTTTGAGCAGCCACCTTCATCAACGACCTTAGCTAGATCTTCTGGATAACTGGCTGCAGCTTCTGTATCAGCACGTTCTGCTTCACCGTGCACTTTTATGTTATGGAGACAGCTTCTCTCCTTAAACCTCATGAACCAGCCTCTGCTGGTTTCCAACTTTTCTTCTGCACCTTGCTCACCTTTCTTACCTTTCACAGAACTGAAGAGAGTTGGGGCCTCGCACTGGATCAGGCTTTGGCTTAAGGGAATGTTGCAGTTGGTTTGATCTTCTATCTAGACCACTAAAACTTTTTCCATATCAGCAATAAGGCTAATTCACTTTCTTTTGATTTGTGTGTTCACTGGAATAGCACTTTTAATTTCCTTTAAGAACTTTTCCTTGGCATTCACAACTTGGCTAACTGGTACAAGAAGCCTAGCTTTCGGATTATTTCATCTTTCGACATGCCTTCCTCACTAAGCTTAATCATTTCTAGCTTTTTTTTTCTTGCATGTCCTTCCAATGTATCATTTCTAGCTTTTGATTTAAGGTAAGAGATGTACGACTCTTCACAGGGGAATGAATGGCTGTTCGGTGGAGCAGTCGGAACACACACATTTATCAATTTGGTTTGCTATCTTATATGAATACAATTCATATGGTGGTGCCCCAAAACAATAACGATAATAACATCAAAGATCACTGATCACCATAACAGATATAATAATAATGAAGTCTAAAATACTGTGAGAATTACCAAAATGTAATTGACACAAAAAGAGCACATGCTGTTAGAAAAAATGGCCCAGAAAGACAATTGATACAGGGTTGCTACAAACCTTCAATTTCTTAAAAATAAATAAATAAACTGTCTTTTTAAGGCAATATCTGTGAAGCACAATAAAGCAAAGCACAATAAAACAAGGTATGCATGTATTTGTCTTCTTTGAGTATTTTCATGTTACTTTAAAAGCATATAAATCAGGTTGTCTTGAAGTTCACAGTTTTAAAAGAATAGTGTCTGGTTTGAAATAATAAATCTGAATCACAACAGAGCTGGCTGCTTTGAAATACGTTCACATTGCAAAAAGTGGAGTATAGCTCTATTCTGGATGAAAGATCTCCCTAAGTGTACACACTTTCCACCTGGAAACACAGTTTTATATGAGTCTGTCTCATCTCCTGCCATCTGACAGATGCATTTATGTATGAACCTTATGCCTCCCCTCAAAACATCTTTTTTAGGGAAGAAAGTGAAGTTTTCAATTTTTGCAGGCCACCTATATTTTCTCTTCTCAAGGTGAAACTTTCTGGCTGGAATCATTTTATTCGTAATTACAAGCAGCAAATACAAAATGCCAGTTGTGGAAGGTCATGGAGGCCTTCCCTGGAGAAAATGTTTTCTTCATGTTCATGAAATAAAATTAAATTGAAATGATTTCTAAATCAATATTTCCAGACTTCATTATAATTATATTTAAAGCCAGAAGTATAAAAACTACAGGTAGTAAAGTCTTAACTGATCAATATAAATATGAAAAATGCTCTAGAAAATTTTCAATGTATCATTGTCAAAACATAATATTTAGGAAAGTATATCATTGAGAAAAACGTATACAACTAAGTTTAAATATTTGCCAAGATAAAAGTGATGCCAAAAAAATTAAAAATAAAGATAATAAATAATTTTTAAATGACACTCACCAATCACAATGGAAGATTCACAGTGATAATAACCATTACTTTGTTTTTTCTTCAGCATGGAGCAAAGATCTATGCGATATAATATTTCTTCTCCAAATCTGTGACTGATAAACTTTTCATATAAATCAGGATCTATTTTTTTCACTCCCTTGAAATGAAAAAACAAATCAATCAATCAATCATTTCACCCATGCAGCCAGTTCATAACTACATCACTTTCTTTGAACCTGATTATTACATTACTACATTGTTACACCACTGCCTACTGGCACTTGAAATGGATATACAACAATAAAATTGTTGTGAAGTTGTTTTTCAAGTCTCCCTACCTAGAAGGAGTTGTATTAAAAAACCATCAATAAAGAGTGTTAGGTTTAAATTTGGCAGTTTTCAGAACTTCATACATTTTAAGCTCCAGAAATAATAAAGTATACTGAGTTAAAATGTTGAGATACCAAGGAAAGACTAATCATCTCCAACAAAAATGGAGAAATGGATAATTTTTTTTTTTTTTTTTTTGAAATGGAGTGTCACTCTGTCACCCAGGCTGGAGTGCAGTGGCGCGATCTCGGCTCACTGCAACCTCCACCTCCAGGGTTCAAGTGATTCTCCTCCCTCAGGCTCCTGAGTAGCTGGGACTACAGGCGCGTGTTACCACACCTGTATTTTTTCTGTCACCACAAAAAAATATTTTTTGTAATTTTAGTAGAGACAGGGTTTCACTGTGTTAGCCAGGATGGTCTTGATCTCCAGACCTCAAGATCTACCCGCCTCGGCCTCCCAAAGTGCTGGGATTACAGACGTGGGCCACTGCGCCCAGCGAAATAGATACATTTTTTTAAAGTAAGGTAGAAAAAATAAAATACTATAAATCTTTAAAAAGTAAGTTGGATCTTAACATTTTATAGTGGAAAAAATGCCCTAATAAGATGGAGGTAATTTTTAAATTTCTTATGTAAGAATCATCTGAAAGACAAGATTACTTGAATTGGAGCAGGGAAGTCAGTGGATCTTCCAAATTCTTCTCTATCTGCTCCTCCTTACTTTCAGTGTATTTTCTTAGCAGAAACAGCTGGTTGTTGAAAAATTACAGTGGGATGCCCTTGGTACCTCTGTAGTTCCCCAAAACATGGGAAAGAATATATCTGCCTCTGCTATACTATACAATGGCCCTGCAACTCAGCCTCAGAGTCCCAAAATACAGTCCATAAGATTAAAGTAACTAGAATATATATTTTCTCTTTTCAATGACAAAAACTTATTTAGAAAACTAGTTAATGGGAAAAAATTTATAAAAGCAAAAATATTAAATCACTACAAACTGCCACTGCTATAATTTTATGTGTTTAGTTTTTCCTTGCCAACACAAAGTATATTTTTTCTCTTCTATAGAATGTGGTTGTTCCCTGAGTACTATTTGATAACCAGCTTTATATTTTCAGCAAATATGCTGTGTCATAATATAATAATATACAGATGTGCCAAAATAATATACAGATGTGCCAAATATTTTTCTCCATAGTACTTCATTGCATGAAAGTCTCATAATTTATTCATCCAATTATTTACTGTTGGACATTTAGGTTGATCTTAATTTTTAATATCATATTAAACATGTTTCTATTGATGCATGTTTTTGTTCAATGTCTAAAACTGGACTCCTAATCTCTCCCCCTTACCTCAAAGGGTTCTGTGGACTAAGTAAGTCCATTTATAAAAGTGCTTAAAACAATGAAATATAATAAATTATATAGAAACACACACATACACACAGTCATTATCATTAGTGAACTTTATGTAATAACTTCATTCGAGATAACATTTCAAGAATAAAAACATTCAAAGTAAATGGAAAATGAGCAACGATTCTTGTCTTCTAAATGCTTGTGTGTGTGTGTAGGGGTGTGCAGGTTGGAGAAAGTCATTCCTTCAGACTGGAGAGAAGACTGGCAATAACACAGCAGACAAATAAGAACCTTCAATTTTCAAGAAACCAGTGCAGCACCGACTAGCCACTATTGCTATAATCTTCACTTCCGTTTTGTAAAATGTCATTTTTTAAAGAAATAAAACATGAGATTGACTCTAATCTTCTAGGCTTATTAATTTAATTTCAGCAAAAGGTAAACGCTAACTGTTTTGCAAGAATTTTTCACAGATGATTTCCAACATGAGTCTTTAGGAGTTAATTTTTACTAGCAAGTGAAACAGAATTAATTCCTTAACTCATAATTTATAGAGAGAGCTATGGTTCAAAAAGGCATGACGCCTTTTGAAGGCACCGAAATTATATGTCCTGATCAGAAAAATCTTCAGTAATAAACAACCTAGAAATAGCTAAGCCTCTGCATTGTCTGATATATATCACAATTTCAACATGATCGTCATTCTCTGGAGAAATTTTTTGTTTGGCAATATATTTCTTTTCTGATAAAATTTATCTGAATTGATCTCACCATCCAGCTGCAGCAGGTGGCGTTTTCTTTCATACTAAAAAAAAAGGAAGACTATGATTCTGAGGAAATAAATGGGACCTCAAAAGTGGATCATTTAGGGTAAGCCTAAGAAGGGACCTATTTTCTGAATGAATCCACTGGGATGGCAAAATAGTTTCAGAAGCATCATCCTCCCAGATTATATTTTAAAGCTAAAAAGGCTGCGTGGTGGCATTATTTTCAGGTTGTGGACCCCCAAAATTATTCTCTGCTTCCCTTCATCATAGGCCAGACCCTTCATCATAGGCCAGACCCAAGGCACTATTACTTAACTATCAATGGAGGTATACAATGTTAGGAGAGTTCAAAAGATATCATGAAAATTGTTAAATTTGATCTATAAAGGCTAAGAGTTAGGATTATTTCACATGTAGAAGAAAAATATGTGAGGTATCTTTAACAAATCATGCTATGGGTGTTGCAACCCTGGAGTTTTGAATATGATTGTTGATGGTCTAGTCCTTAGAAGGTTATTTTTGCCTTAAACCTAACAAGGAGGAGGCATATTTTTAAGAGCTTCATATTTATAATTGTATCCAGTATAAGTGACATTTCAATTATGCAACGTAACATTAGAAGAGAAAATAGGAGGTTAAGTATGGAATATCAGACTTTGAAACAATAAAATAGTGGTAAGAAACGTCAAACAGAAAAAAGTTTTCAAGACTATCTTAATTAATCATTAGAAATGACTGAAGTTTTAACTTATCTTTAGCCTAGTTTCAGTCACAGTTTAGGAAAAATTATCAGCGATGTTCAAATACACTTGATAACCTTTGATACAATGTACCGGGAAACAGGAATTTCATTCTTGGTTGTAACTTGGCACTCAAACAGTCCACTCCAGAGAAAATGCCATTGAATGCATGACGAGTATTTTTAGAATCATCTGATGGCTCAATCTGATAAGTAATGGAAATTATTTACTCAGGAGGCACTCACCATATCATTTACATTTAGCTAAATGATGTGCATAATTTAATATGTACCAAAGAGGGCTCAGACTTACATTACTATGCCTCTGACTCTATTTTTAATACAGGAAGTAGACAGACGGTCACAAAACATGGAAATTCACATTTGCTAATCTCAAAGTGAAAATCATTTAAGATTCTAAAAAATAAGATACACTTATTCATCTTTAATTTCTATGACAAACCTTTTGTGGTCAGAATGGAAATCAATATTAAGAAGGTCGAAACATTTTTGTAATAGAAGATAACTTCTTATTGTTACTTGTTATAGCAATCACAATGTCCATGATGAAAATATAAACAGGCTTCATATAAGACAAAGAAATTATCTGTCCTACTGATAGTAAGCTTGGCATTCCTGGATTTGATTTCTGCTATGTTTTCCAATAGTTTATTGCTGTCATATAAGTAGCTATAAAAGAAATACACATTTCCTGTGATAATGACTTGACAACAAAATTAAGAATGTGATTTAAGAGCCAAACTCGCTTTCCATTTTGGGCATAGGCTGGTTAAAGAAGAACAGTAATCTCTTACACTTATTTTTGTTAAGTGGCAAAAAGTTACATTTGTTTAATGTTATATTGGTTAAGAAACTGAAATCACTTTTAGTGATCACTGCCCCAATGAAAATGTACATATTGGCAATTCAAAGTTATGAAAACATTATATATTGGCATGGGGCTTATCCCTGGCAAATCTTAAAGTTCTTCATGACTCCTTCACCTCTTTGCATAACTCCATTTTTTGCTGTTATTTGCACTATTTCATTTTCACCATCCTCCTGATACAGAACACTTGGTTACCTCCTCGCCAGCTGCAGCCTTCCCTCAGCTGCAGCCTTCCCTCAGCTCCTCTGAGTCAGGAGGAGGCTCAGTTCCACCCCAGCCTGTTCTTGACAGGGAGGGAAAGAGATGAGGAGCTTCACTGCACCAACCAATGAGCTCCAGAATAGCATGGTGATTTCAGATCATGTCCAGCACCCAGGGTGAGAACGGCCTTGCGGCCTTCCCATCTTCTCCTCTGGCCGCTCTGGGCCAGTCTATGTGGCTGGGCTCTGCTTTGGTCCCCTGGTCGAATGTGCCTGTTTGCTGTCTTGCTGAGGCCCTGACACCCCACCAACTGCCTGTCAGTTAGTTTCCAGCGGAAATATAAGGAGTGATGAAAAATAGAAAAGTCAACAGTACTTTATATGGCCCAATTATTGTGGCCCAATCTGAAAAAAAAATGATGCCATCTATCATCTGTATTACAGTAATGGAAAATATAAAGCATTTACTATGCACAGGCACTGTTCTAAGAACTTTTCTGAACTCATTTAATAACCACAATAACACTATTATCCACAGATAAGAAAACTAAATCACAGAGAAATGAGGTCACTTACCAAAAGACACAGCTAGTAAGAGATAGAGCTTGGATACAGATTCAGAATAAGTAGAGAAAATAATATATTGAAAAGAAGAGCAGAATAATAATTTCAAGCCCTCCATTATTTACTTTAAAATATTAAAATTCTAAGAATATTAATCATTATTAAGATACAATCATATATACTATCATATTTCCAAAACCAATGTCAAAATTACTTTGGGAATCCCTAGCATTCTAAAATACATGCCCTTAATATAGTGCATGAATATTAGTAAATCAAGTGATATGTACAGGTCACAGTAAATTAATTTCAGAGAGGGAGATAAGAAAGAATTCATAGATGCTACTTATACATAGAAAAAATTATCCAAATAATCCAGCCTGCAAAAAGAATGCTTCTTATACTGTTAATATTCCAAATAATCAGGTACAATACTGGCACAGATGGTCTATGTTTTCTGGACCAGCTATTTATTTCCATATGTAATATTTCTCAATTCTTAATTTTGTTTTATGCTAAAGCGTCTATTCAGTTCACCATGGGATTTTTTTAGGCACGCCATCTCCCTAACTCCTGTATTTATAAACTTACTTTTAGCATTCCAGTCTGGTTTAATGTTCAGGCTTTACAGAAAGAAAAAGCAGAAACTCTACCCTAGTATTTTAACTAACATTTACAATATTACACCTTTCAGCAAGTAGTAGGTAGAAACAGAGCTGCTAGAGCTACACATTTTAAATCTACTACTGACACCTCCTTTTACCTATCCTAAAACTTTTAAGAAGTGCTGGATGCTCCTTGGTGGCATCAAGTAGCTAGGAAAGCAGTCACAGAGGGAAGACAACACGATTCCTAATAACACAAGTCACGTCACAAAAGCCACCAAGAGAAAATGCTGGTTGCCTCCTGGTCCTAATGTGTCATTCCAGGAGGTGCTGGCATCAAACAGACCAGAGGAAGAAACATGGCTCTGGTTCACAAACATTTGGTTCATTTATACTGACTAAGGCCATGTTAACCACAGAGAGAACAACAGGTCACTGGCACCCAAGAAGTTCTCAAAGTTGCAGGCTCAATACAACAAGCACAGCGCTAGAACACTGCAATGCCTTTATTTACAACACAGTCTGTTCCCACGTAAGCTCATTGTTTGTCTACTTAGCCAACCTCAATTCTTTCTTCTCAAGTCCTCCTCCTTCTCATTTCCTGCAGGAGAGACCATATGCTGTTTGGCCACATAACTGTTTGTTATACTTGCATGTGGCTTTTCTCAGTATAATGAAACAAAGAAGGGGCTCAAAAAATGAGGCATCCAAGAAAGATTCCTATATGCTCAGTCTCAGCTGAGCACTCAACTCCCTTTCATCAAACTCCAGCTGTGTTCTTGGCTTGGAACAGTCTTGTGGTCACTCGAATGTAACAAGCTACAGCCTCCTCCTCCTTCCTATCATCTGTTTTCCTAATGTTTTGCTCTTTGGTACATGTTCTGAACTTAGCAACTTAACCATTTATTTCCATACATCAAAAATAAAACAATCTCCCACATACACTTACAACTTAATCTATTATGTTTCCTTCTTTCAATGCAATAGCTTTTTCCTTCTAATCAATACTTTCTAACACTAAGTAATTAATGCCAGTAAGCCACTGGTATAAAAAATTCTCAGTATAAAAAATTCTCAGTATAAAAAATTCACTGGTATAAAAAACGTCAACACTGAAGCAGGAGAATGGGGCTGTTTGGTAGAAAATCATTCAGAAATAAGTTCACAGAAAAATCCTAACTTTAACTTGCCACATAACACTGGCCTATGTATTGCAACATATTTATATCATGGTAGAATGTGTTGTGCTTTTATAGCTTAGAGGTCAAAAGTATGGAACCACTCACCTCAGCTGATTATGTTATCAAAAGATAGAACTTCAGACATAACTGTACCTCAGATACCATTCAAATGAGAGCTAAATACTGTCCCTAGACAGTGTACAAGAGACTGTACACTCTCAAAACATTTTAAATGCATCCACAGACATCACTAATTGTAGCCTTGTAACTTTAAATAAGAAAGACCTAAAGCATTTTCCCAGATCCTCCTGCCCCATGTACCTGGTACTTTCTACTTTTCTCACTTTCTTATGAACTAATCAATTTCCTAGACTCTTTTCCCATCAACATTCTTCCTTCTCACTTTTCTCCCCCTCATTCTAACCCCCAACATCATTCTCAATAGGATACCTTACTTAACCTAACTCAGCCTCTTACTCTGCCTAACTACCCAGGAGTATTCCCTGCATACTACTTAGAAAAGATGCCCCTGTCTAACAGAGGAAGGACTCCAACAACTGAATGTTACAAGAACTGGGTGAAGAAATGGGAAAGACATAGTGGCATTGCGATTTACATTGACACCCCTATAACTTAGGAAATGGAACAAGGAAGAAAGGTGCTCAATGATACAAGCCTTTCACCTTATTTGGTTTGGAACTGTTCCCTGGACATCGTAACAGATATAAGGGAGTCTGATGGGAAAAAAACAATAGCTAAATATGGAACAGTCATTAAACATATGACCCAAGAATCATGTGTAGCCCTTAAACCAATTTTAAAATGAATGTTTCTCTCCAGATAGAGCAAGAAATGTAAACAAAGACTTTCTAAGTATGACACACATGGCTATGTAAAATAATTTTTATATAACATTCAACCGGAACCTTGCCCACATTTCAAACTTAAACATTTAATTGTGAAATTTCCCCTTGTTTACTTTAAAATACAGATCGTCCCTGACTTAGGATGATTCAACATATGATATTTCAACTTTACGACGTGTGAAAGCAACATGCATTCAGTAGAACCCATACTTCGAGTACTAACACAACCATTGTTTTTTCACTTTCAGTGCAATATTCAATAGCTTACATGAGATATGCAACACTTTACTATAAAATGGGTTTTGTGTTAGATGATTTTGCCCAACTGTAGGCTAATGTAAGTGTTCTGAGCACATTTAGGTAGGCTAGGCTAGGCTATCAGGTTTGATAAGGTAAATGTATTAAATGCATTTTTAACTTACAACTTGTTCAATTTATGATGGGCTTATCAGAATGTAACCCTATCATAAACTGAGGAACATCTGTATAGAATTACAGGGATTACATAAATTTTCTTTCTTTTTTTTTTTTTTTTTTTTTGAGACGGAGTCTCACTCTGTCTCCCAGGCTGGAGTGCAGTGGCGTGATCTCGGCTCACTGCAACCTCCGTCTCCCGGGTTCTCGCCATTCCCCTGCCTCAGCCTCCCAAGCAGCTGGGACTACAGGTGTCCGCCACCATACCTGGCTAATTTTTTGCATTTTTTTTTTTTTAGTAGAGATGGGGTTTCACCGTATTAGCCAGGATGGTCTCAATCTCCTGACCTCGTGATCCGCCCACCTCAGCCTCCCAAAGTGCTGGGATTACAGGCGTGAGCCACCGCGCCCATCTGGATTACATAAATTTCCTAATGCACTCAGAGTCAGCCTGTATCTATAAACATTAGATTTGCTTTTTAAAAGTACAGTTAAAATAGGCATCAAACCAGTCAGTAATTTCCACCCAGCCTTTTCTTTTAGAGATTTCAAAAATTAAGAAAGAATATTTTCCAAATTTTGAGAAGCACTTCAAGACTAATAAAAAAAGCAGTGAGTGGGGCAGGAAAAGAAAAAATTGACAAAAGACAAGGATTTTGTATCTTAAGATAATAGAATGCAAAAAATTATATACACTGGCATATTCCCCTTTTGCTATACCCACTGGGTGCTACCATTGCTCACACAGACCCCAGAAAGCTTAACAAGCCAAACGACACCATCTTCTCCATGTCCATCACATACCCACTTTGTACATCTTAGGTACCTGCCAATAAGGATATATGTGTGATGGAAAAGTTACCACCTGTTGAGAAGTACGTTTGATTTGATTTCCCTATCCATTCAGCTTATTCCCAAGTGACCACTCCCTGGTAAATTAAATTCTAGAGATATTTGGCCTGGAAGTCCAAGAGCACAAAGTTTACCATTTTCTGATTGTCAGGGTAGGTCAGGGAGGGTGAAGAGCAAGGTGGGATCCAAGGGGACCAAGTCGTGAAACATGGAATGGGTAAGATTAGGGAGAGGCTGTTGCCAAAGGTGCAGGATCACTACAGGGAGTCACAAGGAACATTCTCCCAGGTAATGAATGGCCAATGAAAATCCCACAGTAGTGCTGGAGACCAAACCGGAAATTACTGTGAAAGAAATATTCTGCTCTAAATAAAGTTACACAACAAATTATTATAATTAGATCCAGCTGTGGGGAAGGCAATCCCCAAGGAAGGAAGAGAGGTAGTTTCATACTCTGGTCTTCAGCTTAGGGACAGTATAAAGATACAGTTGCACTGAAAGGCCTTAAAGATGGATCTCCAAAATGGTGTCACAAACCTGGCCAACAGTTAAATATACTGCCATCAGTAGGGTTTAGAAATAGAACACCTCCTGTAGGAACAAAACTGGAATTCCTGTAGCCAAGGGTGGCTAGTCCCTAAGATGATATGAGTAAGTTCTGTTAGGTCCTCAACTACAGATAAAGTGAGGATTGGCCCTGGCAAAGAGGCCAACAACCTTTTTGTCTTTTAATTTACTAGAGTAACCAATTGAAAGAGAACTGAACTGGTTTAGTATTTTGAAGAACCAGTATTATTCTATTTTTAAGGTATCTTTCCTTGAGAGAGTAAGATTCTGATGGTCAAAATAAACCAGCTCATATGTAGAAATGGAAGTATAATTCTGATATAAACTAGTTATGGTTTTGGATTGCAACCTTAATTCCTTCTCATATCTGAGTCCCTCAAGAAGAATACAGCTTTACCTTCTTTCACTATGCAGTTAATTATTTTAATAAGAGTTGGTTGGCCAATCTTTCCAGTGACAGAAAATCTTCTTGCCATCCAAATAATTCCAGCTGGTTTGCTTTTATGTGACCATTTGAGTGGGTCAGTAATTAGCTGTCACTTACTAAACAAGGTAAATAGTTCTGCATCAACACCATTTTGGAATAAAATCTTAGGTTTTCTTGACCATATATTCTATTTTGTCTTTACCCATAATCAATCCACTGTGGGACTTGCCAGTTGCCTATATTTTCATGATGTTCCACTTTGTCCTTGACTAAGAAAATGAAAATTACCAGCTGACAGAAGTTTCAAAATGTCTAAAAACGACTCGCTGAGAAAAACATTTTTCCCATAACTAACGGTAATCTTTGAGATAGAATTTTTATATTTAATATAATTAAGGCAAACACATGCAATTTTAATTAACTTGAATACTCTGATACTGCATCTTTTAATATAAGTTCTAAAACTCTGTTTCTTCAATTACACTTAAATCAGAAGTTTATCGGGCTGGGTGTGGTGGCTCACGCTTGTAATCCCAGCACTTTGGGAGGCCGAGGCGGGTGGATCACAAGGTCAGGAGATCCAGACCATCCTGGCTAACATGGTGAAATCCCGTCTCTACTAAAAATACAAAAAATTAGCCGGGCATGGTGGCGGGCACCTGTAGTCCCAGCTATTCAGGAGGCTGAGGCAGGAGAATGGCGTGAACCCAGGAGGCAGAACTTGTAATGAGCCGAGATCGCACCACTGCACTCCAGCCTGGGAGTCAGAGCGAGACTCCATCTCAAACAAACAAAAAAAAAATCAGATGCTTATCTGTAGATGCAACTGCTGGAAAATAAATATGTCCACAGAATCTATATGTTTAACAAAAAAAAAAATCACTTAAGCTGGAATTATCAAATCAGCATTTCCTAAGCCATGTTCTACCAAATACTAATGGCTACAAAACAGTCAGTGGAAAAAGGACTTGCTGGTCTGGTTGGGAAACAATGCTGAGTAGACTATACAACTGTTCAAAATATTTTCTGCCCCACCTGTGGTGTACCTTCCTGGAAGCAAATTATATATCCTGCTCTGTTACACTCAGAAGGAACCATGTGACTTGCTTTGGCCAATAAAATATGATCAGAAATGATGTGTGTCACTTCTTAGCAAAAGCTTTAAGAATCAGCATGTTCACCAACTCTCTTTCCTTTTGCCAGAAGAGCAGAAAAGTCCTAGATGGAGGCTGCCCAGCCACGGTCCTGAGTAAAGACAATGTGGAGCAGAGCCAGAGGATCCATTAACATGGGGGGAAAAAAAGAATCTCTGTTGTTGTAAGCTCTTGAGATTCACAATAAGCATTTGCATTTCAGAGAACCTAAGAAGTTCTGACATAAAGAATTTGATTAACTTTACTTAACCCATCATTGCTAACATTCATTGGATCACAGATCCCTGCCTCACATAAAACCCTGACAGATATTCAGAAAGAAAAATCTCAGAAAATGCTATTGAAGATACTTGCTTCAAATCTCCATTCCACTTTGAAGATTTAATATTAGGTTCACCAGTCATTTCTTCCAGGGTTTTCAAAGTTGTCAAAATCTCTAACAGAATCAAGATCAACCAGGAATCATTTGTAATCCTGACTTTAGTCAATTTCTAGAATTTCCCATAAAATAATTTAGCATTCTGTTTACTGTTTCTCAATTTTTAAAGACATACAAAGTACTGAAAGATTCCAAATGAATGTTAAGCAGGTTTACCTTTGTAAACATCATTTCCAATTGTTAAACAATTGTAAACTTGTTTTTTTTCAATATACAGAAATAGACAATACAACAGCATAAAGTTGAAAAATACATTAGAAACATAAGTGAAGGCACTTGTTATAAATAGTGCTCTTTAACACACAGTAGATGACAGTGTTGACTAATGTAATCTAGAGTATCTCAGAAGAAATTACATTCTACCTCATGAGAATTCACTGAATTTTTAGTGTTAAAAAGCCATTAAAACAAAGAGATTTGCTGTTTAATGTACTTGGAAATATGAAAAGTGACTCAAAAACAACTAAAAACTGTGAGTAATTAAGCCATCTGACACCGGGAGATTCAAAAATAGTTTACAGAAACAATCTGCTTTATCTTGCACCAAAGATATTTTTAAAGTTTTGTCTGGAATAATCAAGGTTCACTGAATAACCAGGGCATCTACAAATGCCCTCTTTGTGGGATGAAGGAAGGAAGTGGCAGGGTAGTCTCCAGGCTTCTCTGTGCCTCTCCTTTGTTAGAATGAAGGAATATTCTTTAAAATGTAGAGCCCTTGCCTATTCTGTCTCCCAGGTCAGGAGGGCCTCTACCACCAGCACTTCCACATAATTTGGTATTGACAGGATTTCTCTACCTCTCAGTTTCACTAAAGATGTAGTATGTGGCTGGGTGCAGTTGCTCACATCTGTAATCCCAACACTATGGGAGGCCAAGGTGTGAGGATCGTTTAAGGCCAGGAGTTCAAGACCAGCCTGGGCAACATAGCAACACCCCATATCTAAAAAAAAAAAAAAAAAAAAAAAAAATTTTAATTAGCCAGGCATGGTGTGCACACCTGTAGTCCCAGCTACTCAGGAGGCTGAGGCAGGAGGATCATTTGAGCCCAGGATTTGGAGGCTGCGATCAGCTATGATCATGCCATGAACTCTAGGTCTGGGCAACCAAGTGAGATCCTAGTTCTTTCAAAAAAAAAAAAAAATGTGTAGAGTATTTTTCCCATTGTCCTTGTTGCTCCATCTGGCTTCTAGGAGGACAAGTGAAAAGATTCAGATCTAAATTGCCCCTATCTTCCTATCAGTACTTGAAGACCTTTCTTCTTTCTGTCATTCTCCTTCCACACAGAAAAGAAAGCCAATATGAGGTTAAAAATATATATAACTGTGTGAAGCCAAATTAAGCAATTTGGTCAAACTGTTTACCTTATAGACATTTCAGGATAGCACAGGAGTCAAGAGTCCTTCTTTTACGATAAGTCAACAGAGATCGAGAGAGGTTATGTGATTTTGTCCAGGACTAAACAACAGGGCTAAAACAGGAAAGCTCATGCTCCTTTAAATTACTACAGGGATTCCTTTAAGAAGGAATAGTCTTAATGCTCCTGAGTTTTAACATGGTTTATAAAAGCTCACTGTCATGCAGACCCCCAAAAGTGAGTGGCAGTCAAACTATACCAGGCCCAGTTAACAAAATCCTGAAAAAATATGCAGAGATAGATAGATAGATAGATAGATGGATGGATGGACAGACAGACAGACAGACAGCTAGCTAGGTAGCTAGATAGATAGAAGTAAATAATGGTAGTGAGTGAAGAAAGATGACATCAGGGCTCACAGTTAGGGAGGGATGCAGAGTAAGGCTGAATTCAACCAACCTAGTATAGAAACTTTCCATTACAATTCTAGTTCTGTATATTCAATCACCAAACAATTCAGGAACTGGAATTTCCTCTTAATGGTAGCATCAGAACAAAATTTTCAACCATATGCTCTCCTTTTCCATTCCTACCAATGACTGTCCTATATCCTCTTCTCCACTCCCCTCAACATCATCATCATCATCAGGTCCAATGATCACCCTTCAGCCCTTACTTTTTGCATCTTGAATTCTGCCCTCAAAACAAACCAGTCTAAGTGAAAGTCGCTAATAATTTTCAAAGTTCATTTTTTTCATTCTAAAGTACTCTCATTTTCTGACTCTGTAAAACACTGCTGCAAAGAGGTGTCATGTTCATAAAACATGTCTTTGTCAGTTTAAGAGCTACAGTAGTAATTTGAAAGAGTCATAAATCAGGGAAGATACCTAAGAAGCCCAGAAAATAATTTGTGATTAAAAACAACTGATCTATACATTAGGCGATCACATTTATTTTTTGAGGATGTTATCACATTTATTTTTTGAGATCTGCATTAAGATGTTTGTTTGATTTGAAACTTGTCTTCTTCTGCCATCAAGTGTTAGCACATATTTCTAACCAACCAAGATTTGCAACATTGAAATCACTGAAACCCAAGTTCATTCAGTAAGAAAAATAAGTCCAAAAAGATACCGTACAAAAAGCATGAGGCTGAACAAGTTAGCGGACTAGCTATGTCAACTAAATTCTGAAAAAACTACAAATAACCTGAACTTTAGTTACTATTTCAGAGACAGTAATTTAATATGATTTTCTGAGGTTTCATTTGATGAAAAAAATTACAGAATACAATGATAATGATTCCTTTTGATGTTTTATTATGCAAAATACCCATTAGAATTTCATGAAACTAAGAATATGCAAAGCTGACACATTGACTAAATGTCTCCTGGTGTTAGAAAGATACATAATTGCCAAGAAAAGCCTTATGTTTCACAGAATCTGTCCTTAGCCTCAACTCAGCTCTCTAACTTGGGAACCAGAATATCATGCTGTCACAGAAGAAGTTTCACATCAGGACATTTGAGAGAGAGTTTCTGTATTTTCAAAATTTTGAACACAATATATTGAATGTTTAGTTCCCCACTGGGCTTTTGGTTACTACTACTACATGCAATTACCTGCCAACAAGTGCCTACCAGAGGACAGGACCCCGGAAGCCCAGGGACTTCTGCACCAAATACTGAACACCACTGGGAAACCCTCACACTAGATCTGTACGACCTCCCAGGGGGTGAATGCTCATCCCCTGCACCAGCCATCTGTCCACATCTTTAATGTCAATGAGATGTTTTACCTTCATAAACAGACTGATGATAGCTCTGACTTTGAATCTAATTTTTTAAGTTGACATGGGTAACAGCTTTTCAGGTTACTTTTTAAATGACAATGACTAGATGATTAAAAAAAAATCTCAATTGGTTTATCACTACAGAATATCGCATTATACCTCCTATAGACAATAATGAATGGACCGGCTATCTTACTATCTCAGAATTTTCCTATAATATTTCCTGTAATAATCCAGAGCATTCCTCTACACAGCACACCCCTTTTTACCAACAATCATCATGTCTACCCTGACAACAGTAGCACCAGTACTTTAGGTGCTTTTAGTGCATCAGTACTTTCAGTGCATCAGTATCATACATAAAATCATTTCCAGACTACCCTCTAGCAGGTCAAATTGAAATATAAGGAGGACACCATCTGGCTTCAGTCTTTAAAACAGAGCATCTCAACAGGAGATATCATTTAGCTCTTTTCCAGACAGTCTCACTATACACCACCCCTCCATACCAGAAACTGAAGGACCACTCCCATGACAATGGAAAATCTTCAGGTTTTCTGAATCCGGTGGCTGCCCCTCACTCCTGCATTGTCATGGGGCACCTAACTTTGCTCATCACCACTTCTTATTACACTCCACTCACCAAGGTCCCACCATTCCTCAGAACCCCAGCAAACCAAAATGGGAATCCTCAGCATGTCAAGGGGGATATACTATATTCTGAGTGACATTAAGGTCAGTTCTATTCACTGATCTACCGGAAAAATCATGGGCTAAGAGAGTAACTGTGGGAAGCCACTTTTTACCTCTAAAATGCGATGAAACACATTAAGGTGCTGGCAAGGCAAACCCAAGGAAACCATTTTATACAATTTTAATTACAGTATACATTTTATAGGATAGATTTTATATACTAAAGAGTATAGTATTTTATTTACTTTGTATGCTGTTATAGAATCCTTATATCTACTTCAGTAGCTGCTTATATCATTTATATGATTTACCATAATTGACTTAAACATTTCCCTATTGTTGTGGGAGTTATTTCTATTATTTCCCTATTATTGATAATACTTCAGTAAACATCTTTATGCATAAAGAACTTCTCTTTTTAAATTATTTCTTTAGAATAATATCAGCAGCTAGGACATCTTAAAGAAAATGAGATTTTTAACATTTTTTTAATGTCAGTTGCATAATTCATAGCTCAAAGGGCCATATCAATTTTATATGACCTCTGATAGTCTTTCTACCACGAGTTTATCCTAACAAATGTTCTTCTCATACACCACGGTTGGGAGTATAAATTGTCACTATTGCTTGACAAGGCAATCTGAGGTATTTCTGAAGGTTTATAATGTCTAATACCCTCTGCTCTTAGAATTCCACTTCAAAGAATTGGTTCTTTGAAATACTGGCATATCCACCCAAAGAAAAGTGAACAAGGAAGTTCATAACAGCATTGTTTGTGGTACCAAAGAAACAGAAATCAACCTAATTATTCATCAACAGAAGAATGTTTAAATTATGATAAATCAAAATAATATTGAGAGTTTTATTTCTGTTTTAAAGAAACTATATGCATGTATGTATGTCCATATATATTTGCAGCACATAGGAAAAGGTCTGGAAGGATCTACTGGCAGTGTTTACCTAGAGAGACATTCTGTTGGGAGGAAGTGGGTTGCAGGATGGTAATGAGGGAGTAACTCTACCTTTCACTCTATAGGTCTGTAAGTATTTGAATTGTTTACAGTAAGCATATATTCAGCTAATAATTTTATAATTAAAGTAACTTTTTAAATAAAGAATAACATACGTGAAATGAGTCCAATCTCCTAACATGCAAGTGGATTAAAAAAAAACTATTATTTCGCCACTCCCTTCTTTTATTTCACTATCAATCTAAATAACATGGAAAGCCAGCAATACATTCCACGATCATCTTTATTTAATGGTCACTTGCTTGTGACATTAGCTCAATGGATGGATTCAGAACAAAAATCTAGAAGAAAATTAGTGCCGAGAGAAGAAAATAGATAGCTGGAAATGTAAAAACGTTAAGACTGAGACTAAGGAACCATATATTTTCAAATAATCTACATACCAAACCACGAATTATAGTAAAGTAAATAAATGAAATCATCTTGTATGTATGCCACCTTTTCATACTGGTTTTAACCTTTACAGTAGATTTGCTGCATAAGAAACTGTTGGATATTTATTTAAGCCTGCAGGTCTTAAGTATATTCCTCTGCAGATCATCTGTATCAGAACCATATATGGCATTTACTGAACATCAAAAGCTTAGGTCCTAGGTCCATCTCTAAATCTAAGGGTAGAGGGTGGAAATCTGAAGCTTCAACCAGTACGCCGGCTGACTTGCGAATCCCCATATCTAAGATCTACTTCCTTAAACTTTCAGGAACACTGACCACTATAATAGTGATAGGAATAGACTCATTCCATAAATTAAAATAAAAAATTCTTATTTGGCTTACTGAAAATGATAATATCATAATTTGTTTTCTTTATTTTATTTTATTTTATTATTATTATACTTTAAGTTTTAGGGTACATGTGCACAATGTGCAGGTTAGTTACATATGTATACATGTGCCATGCTGGTGTGCTGCACCCATTAACTCGTCATTTAGCGTTAGGTATATCTCCTAAAGCTATCCCTCCCCCCTCCCCCATCCCACAACAGTCCCCAGCGTGTGATGTTCCCCTTCCTGTGTCCACGTGTTCTCATTGTTCAATTCCCACCTAGGAGTGAGAACCTGCAGTGTTTGGTTTTTTGTCCTTGCGATAGTTTACTGAGAATGATGATTTCCAATTTCATCCATGTCCCTACAAAGGACATGAACTTATCATTTTTTATGGCTGCATAGTATTCCATGGTGTATATGTGCCACATTTTCTTAATCCAGTCTATCATTGTTGGACATTTGGGTTGGTTCCAAGTCTTTGCTATTGTGAATAGTGCCGCAATAAACATATGTGTGCACGTGTCTTTATAGCAGCATGATTTATAGTCCTTTGGGTATATACCCAGTAATGGGATGGCTGGGTCAAATGGTATTTCTAGTTCTAGATCCCTGAGGAATGGCCACACTGACTTCCACAATGGTTGAACTAGTTTACAGTCCCACCAACAGTGTAAAAGTGTTCCTATTTCTCCACATCCTCTCCAGCACCTGTTGTTTCCTGACTTTTTAATGACTGCCATTCTAACTGGTGTGAGATGTATCTCATTGTGGTTTTGATTTGCATTTCTCTGATGGCCAGTGATGGTGACCATTTTTTCATGTGTTTTTTGGCTGCATAAATGTCTTCTTTTGAGAAGTGCCTGTTCATGTCCTTCACCCACTTTTTGATAGGGTTGTTTGTTGATAACGCTGCATATCTACAACTATCTGATCTTTGACAAACCTGAGAAAAACAAGCAATGGGGAAACGATTCCCTATTTAATAAATGGTGCTGGGAAAACTGGCTAGCCATATGTAGAAAGCTGAAACTGGATCCCTTCCTTACACCTTATACAAAAATTAATTCAAGATGGATTAAAGACTTAAACATTAGACCTAAAACCATAAAAGCCCTAGAAGAAAACCTAGGCATTACCATTCAGGACATAGGCATGGGCAAGGACTTCATGTCTAAAACACCAAAAGCAATGGCAACAAAAGCCAAAATTGACAAATGGGATCTAATTAAACTAAAGAGCTTCTGCACAGCAAAAGAAACTACCATCAGAGTGAACAGGCAACCTACAAAATAGGAGAAAATTTTCACAACCTACTCATCTGACAAAGGGCTAATATGCAGAATCTACAAGGAACTCAAACAAATTTACAAGAAAAAAACAATCATAATTTGTTTTCTAAATATTAAGCATTCTAATCTAAATAAAATGCAATCTGATTTAGATTTTATGTACCATTCAAGCAGTGACTGTTTCTATTTTGATCACCACTCTGTGCCCAGCACCCAGTGTCTGGCACATAGTAGGCACTCAATACATATTTACTTAATTAATATGATTTGGAACAGGGAGCTCCTTACACGTAGAAATGACTCTGCGTGAACTGGAGCTGGCCAGTGGGAGGGAAGAATGTGAGACAGAATGAGATGGGATGGGTTTCTCAGGTGCAGAGACAGTGCTCTGTAACTGATAAGACTGTGATCTCAGTTACATCACAACCATTCCAAGTCTCATATTACTTTTCTATAGGGTAAGATTGATTCTGTGAAATTAACTGCCAATAAATCATTTAAATGCAGTTTGAAATGTTGACATATATAGTTTAAGCATTTTTTTAAATAAATGTCCTTGGGTGCTCTCATTTCAAAGTTAATATTATAAAGACAAAGAAACATTTTGAAACGGAGATATTACCTTCACCACTGATTGTCATTCTGTGATTAAGTTTGAAACCACTTGGAAGAGGACAATCCATTTGAAAGCAAAACAAGAAAGATAACCAGTAAAGAATCAAACTGTCAGTCTACAAGTTTTGTAAATTGTTGTCATCCCATATTTCAAAATCTATCATTTACACCAATTATTTTTACCTAACATACCTAATATGATACTGGAATGATACCTAATATGGATATTACTAAATTTGTGGCAATGTAATCCAAAAAACCATGCAAGATATCTTTCTGAGATTTTCAGCAATAGTTTGTAGAAAACTCTTAACTATAGGATGGTGAGTCACCCAAACCCATGATTTAAAGGGCCCAAAAGACTTTTCTGAGGACAGAGACATTAAATACAAAATGTGGCAAATTTAGAAAAAAAAAATTCTACTTACTACTACACATGGCCTTCATTTCTAGAGCTGCAAATCAGTCTTAACTGCAGCAAAGGGTCATGGAGAGCAGGGAGCGGATATTAATCTGCATGCCCATCTCCAAAACTCTGGTATATGAGAGCAGGCCATCAGATGTCTGAATTTGCATGAGGAACCCCCTAGGCTGAAATAGGAAACAAAATGAAGGGTGGCCTTAGGATTTTAGGAGAAATGCTCATGAACCTAGACGGAAGTCAAAAGTTGCTCCGACTTCTGCGGGAAGAAGGGGTGGCCTATAAAGGCAGTAAGTCACCCTGAGACAGGGGAAGTCAAAAGACTTGTCACTTGGATTGTGCCACTGGGTTGACCATCCTTAGGGAGAAGTACTTTAAAGTACCTCCAGGAAAGGGGGTCCCTCAGTTACCCTCATGCCCAGTCCCCGGTATACCTGGTTCCAAGGCCTTAATTGAGGCAACTGCTGAAAGATGGTCTTTTGGAAACCTTGAAGAGCGACAGGAAGAGGGGTAAAAAAAGCTTACCCAGTTGCGGTGAGCAGCACCAGCGTAACAGGCCAGCAGAGGAAGCTTTGAGAGCAACAGGATGCAAATAACCACAAGCAAGAATAGCAGCAAAAGTGAACTCTGGCACCACCTCGAGGCTCTTCAGGGGATGAAGCAGGTGAGGCAACAGTGGTAGAAATAAATGATGGCCAGACTATGCAAGAACAGCCATCGTGGCAAAGGCAGGCAAAGCTGAAATAGCCTCCATGGAAGGCCAGGAGCATCCTCAGCACCCCTGGGAATTGGAACCAACCTGACTTGGAAACCCAGAAGCAAGAGTAGTGTCAGAGACCACAGCAATGTCACTCGTGCTCCAGACCATGCTTATGGCTGGTGTGGCCTGGTAAAACAGGCTTGCAATAAGAACATGCACTCACATTCTTACGGAGCCACGGTGATTTTGACAACTTCATGAAGGTCAAATGAGGTTTAAAACTTCTGCTCTCTCCTACCAGGATGCCTTTTTCTTGAAATGTCCTATTTGCAGTCTCTGAAGAAAATAAAGAGAAACAAAGAAATGCTACTACAGTATTTTCAGTTCTTTTTAACTGTAAAAAAAAATACCAGTTCAAACAATCACTAATTATTTTACAGTGAAGATTACTTTATACACCTGCTTCAGATATTTTCTTTAAAAGAGAGAAAAAATCTACAATGTGTATGATAACAAATGCTATATGACAGTTAAATGTCCAGTGATTTCACACCTGTGGTAAAGCACACAAAAGCAATAATTTGAAAGGGATATCTAATAAACAGAATAACTGCTGGGCTGACATGATGCTGATTTTCACAGAACATTCCAGTGGTTTCCCTGAGTATAAAAAAGGACTAGCTTATCTGAAACCCTTCATATCTCAAACTTCTGCTTCCAAGATGAAGTAGCAGAAACCTTCCCTGAGCAATGAGAAACGAACAAGGTAAGCCCTTTGATTATTCCAGCTTACATCTTTGAATGCCCAAGGTCTTGTGTAAGGAGATGAAACAGATAGAGTCCAGCCCTTTCCTGGATTGAGGCAAAGGAGCTGAAAGGGACAGAATACTTGAGAAGTAAGACTTGTACCAAGAAAATTCCAGAGCTCTTCAAAGGGTTCCCCTAGAATATTCTGCTGAGTCCTGATCAGTGCATGTGTGCAAGGAAACTACCAGAGGCTGGGGAAAAACACATTCAAAAGGATTAGAGGGAAGAGTGTCTAGTACTTTAACAAGAAAAGGTGAGCCCTTTGATTGTCCCAGCTTATATCCTTGAGTGTCCAAGGCCTTCTATAAGTAGGAGAAACCCAGATGGAGCCCAGGAATACTGTTCCATTAGCCAGACTGGAAAACCCCAAGATTCATGAGACATTAGGTAAAAAGAACAGTCTTGCCTCAGTAGTGGGGAATAATTAACTCTGGACTGGTACTCTTTTAGTACCACCTAGGAAATCTTAGAAGCAAGGCCCAAAACAAACAAAAAAACAAACAAAAAACTATTTCCAAGTAACTTAATTGTGTACCAGAACAATGCCCAAGGATATTTATAGAAATACAAAACAATTCAGCATCCAACAAGGTAAACTTCACAATGCCTGGCATCTAATCAAAAACTACTAGGTGTGCAAACTAACTGGTCAATATGGCCCTCATTTTTGAAAAGATAAATCAATTAATCAAAAGTTACTCAGAACTGACATAGAGGTTAGAATTAGTAGATAGGACATCAAAATAGTTATTGTAACTGTATGTCCTATGTTCAAAATGTCAAGTAGATGTTGGGAGAAAAGCTGAGTGTTAGGAGAGAAGCTGAGGCAGGGCTTGCATGTCTGACATAATGTAAAAGAGTCTTGGAACATGTCCGGGGTCCAGGGTCTAAAACCCCTCGTGGCCTTTGGAATATGTCCAGACTTGCTGGCTCCTTGCTTCTAGCACTCCCATTATCTCAAGTAGTCATATGTTTCAAAGAAAATGCTAAACCATCACAGCTGTAACTCATTCGCTTGATACACCACTTCCTTTCAACCTCCACATCCTCACCACCTGTTTCTTTGTCTGATCACCAATAAATAGTGTGGGCTCCCACAGCTCGGGGCCTTCACAGCCTCCATACTAGCGTTGGTCCCCTGGTCCTACTTTCTCTCTTAACTTGTCTTTTCTCATTCCTTTGACTCCACCGGACTTCGTAGCCCCCACGGCCTGGTGTTGAGTCTGATCACCCCAACAAGTAGAGACATGGAAACTATTAAATCCAAATCCAAATCAAATTTATATACAGATGGAAACTGCAATGTCTGAGAAAAATTAACTGGATGGAAATAACAGGTGAGACACAGCAGAGCAAAATATTGGTAAATTTGAAAACAATGCAATAGAAGCCAAAATAAAACACACTAAGAAAAAGAAAACATAAAGAAAAAAGAACAGAGAATAGAATATCAGTAAGCTGTGGGGCAACTTCGAGTTGTCTAATATGTCTGTAACTGAAGTTCCTGAACAAGGGGGAAAGAGATGGAGTTAGAGAAAATATATGAAGAAATAATGGTGTTGCAGAATAAGAACTGCCACAACTACAATGGAAAATAATCTGGGTAGCAACTATTAAAATTTAGGCTATACAAGCATTTTGAGCCAGCAATTCCAATTCTAGGAAAATACGAAGAAATAAAAGCATCAGTATACGAAATTCTATGAAAAGATATTTATTAAAGCATTTCCTGAAGTTGCACAAACTGGAAACAACCTTCATCAATAAATAAATGGTTGATAAATAACCATATGACCACCATGAAGATAATAAAATTAATTAGAATTACACACACAGACATGAGAAGATGGCCATGATCCATTAAGCAAAAAGAGAGAACTTACATGGTTATTACATCTATAATATGATTCTCTGGAATATAAAAGAGAGAAAGAAAATAGATGATCTATATGTTTTTACTAACATGGAAAAATAGTATAGAATACTTTGGGATGTGGGTTGAAATTAAATAGAGGAGACCAGAGTTATAAATATAATACATATATATGGATAGAATTGTTAAAATGAGCATATATTACTTTTGAATAAAAAAATTAAAACATAAAATAAGCACAATAACAAATGCACTATACATTAACAATATAACATTGCTATGATTTCACAAGCATCAAATTAGAATGCACAAAGAGGAGGACAGAATCATTTGGCATACATGTGAAAAATTCATATTTTTTAAAGATCAAGGGTAAATAAATTTTCATGTGGTCTTTTTATCCAAAAACAGGTAGGGCTAATACTATTAAGCCAATTCTAAAGACAAGAAAACTGGAACATAGGAAGAACTCAGAATTTTATCAGATAAATTTAACAAAGATATTGAAATAATTAAAAAGAATCAAGCAGAAATTCTAGAGTTGAAAAATGCAGGCTGAGCACGGTGTCTCATGCCTGTAATCCCAACACTTTGGGAGGCTGAGGTGGGAGGATCACCTGAGGTCAGAAGTTCGAGACCAGCCTGGCCAACATGGTGAAACCTCGTCTCTATTAAAAATACAAAAATTAGCCAGGTGTGATGGCGTGCCTGTAATCCCAGCTATTCAGGAGGCAGAGGAAGGAAAATCGCTTAAACCTGGGAGGCGGAGGTTGCAGTGAGCTGAGATTGCACCATTGCACTCCTGCCTGAGTGACAGAGTGAGACTCCGTCTCAAAAAAAAAAAAAAAAGCAACTGACATGCTGAAGAATGCATTAGAATCTCTTAATAACAGGGCCAAACAGGCAGAAGAAAGAATTAGTAAGCTTGAGGACAGGCTATTTGAAAATACGCAGTCAGAGGAGACAAAAGAAAAAAGAATATAAAACAATGAAGCCCACCTACAAGACCTAGAAGATAGTCTCAAAGGGACAAATCTCAGAGTTATTGGCCTTAAAAAAAGGGAGAGAAAGCGGTAGGGGTAGAAAGTTTATTCAAAGGGATAATATCAGAGAATTTCCCAAACCTGGAGAAAGACGTCAATATTCAAGTACAAGAAGGTTATAGAACACCATGCAGATTTAATTCAAAGAAGACTACCTAAAGGCATTTAATAATCAAACGCCCAAAGGTCAAGAATAAAGAAAGGATCCTAAAAGCAGCAAGTAAAAAGAAGCAAATAACATACACTGGAGCTCCAATATGTCTGGCAGCAGACTTTTCAGAGGAAACTTTATAGGCCAGGAGAGAATATCATGACATATTTAAGATGCTGAAGGAAAAAAATCTTTTACCCTAGCATAGTATATCTGATAAAAATAGCCTTCAAACATGAAAGAGAAATAAAGACTTGCCCAGAGAAACAAAAGCTGAGGGATTTTACCAACACCAGACCTGTTCTATAAGAAATGCTAAAGAGAGTTTTTCAATCTGAAAATCTGAAAGAAAAGGACATTAATGAGCAATAAGAAATCATCTGAAGGTACAAAACTCACTAGAAATAATAGGCACAAAGAAAAATATGTACTATTGTAACACTGTAACGGTGGTGTATAGATTAGTCCTATCTTAGGAAGAAATATTAAACAATGAACCAATCAAAATAATAACTACCACAACTCTTCAAGACATAGTTCTATAAGACATAAAGAGAACAACAAAAAGTTAACAAGTGAGAAGACAAAGTTAAGGTGTAAAGTTTTTATTAGTTTTCTTTTTGCTTGTTTGTTTATTCAATCAGGGTTAAGTTGTCATCACTTTAAAATAATGAGTTATAATATTTGCAATCCTCAGGGTAACCTCAAAGCAAAAAATATACAATTGATACACAAAAAATAAAAACTGAGAAATTAAGTTATACCACCAAAGAAAATCACCCTCACTAAAAAAAAGGCAAGAAGAAAGGAGGAGGAGAGGACCACAAAACAAACAGAAAACAAATAACAAATGGCAAGAAGAAGTCCTTATCAATAATAACATTGAATGTAAACAGACTAAACTCTCCAATAAAAAGACACAGAGTGGCTCAATGGATTTAAAAAGACAAGATTCAATAATCTGTTGCCTGCAAGAAACACACTTCACCTATAAAGATGCACACAGACTGGGAAAAAAAGGATAGAAAAAAGAAATCCCATGCCAATGGGAACCAAAACAGAGCAGGAGTGCATATGATTCTATCAGAGAAAATACATTTCAAGACAAAAACTGTAAGAAGAGGCAAAGAAGGTCATTGTATAATGATTTAGGGATCAATTCAGCAACAGAAATAACAATTGTAAACATATTTACACCCAACATTGGAGTACCCAGATATACAAAGGAAATATTTTTAGAGCTAAAGGGAGAGACTCCAATACAATAATAGCTGCATACTTCCTGGATACTTCAACACCCCACTTTCAGCACTGGACATACCTTCCAGACAGAAATTCAAAAACGAAACCTCAGACTTAATCTGCACTATAGACCAAATGGACCTAATAGATATTTACAGAATGTTTCATCCAATGGCTGCAGAATACACATTCTTTTCCTCACATGAATCCTTCTCAAGAATAGACCATATGTTAGATCACAAAAAAAGTCTTAAAACATTCAAAAAACTAAAATTAATATCAAGCATCTTCTCTGCCCACAGTGGAAGAAAACTACAAGTCAATAATAAGAGGAATTTGGGGAACTATACAAATACATGGAAATTAAATAATATGCTCCTGAATAATCAATGGGCCAATTAAAAAGAAAACTGAAAAAATTATTGAAACAAATGATGATAGAGCTACAACATACCAACAAAATCCATGGGATAGAGCAAAAGCCATGCTAAGAGGGAATTTTATTGTTTTAAGTGCCTACATCAAAAAAAAGCAAAACTTTTAAATAGATAACCTAATGATGCATTCTAAAGAACTAGAAAAGCAAGAGCAAACCCAACCCAAAATTAGTAGAAGAGATAATAAATATCAGAGCAGAAATAAATGAAACTGAAACAAAATACAAAAAAATCAACAAAATGAAAAGCTGTTTTTTTGAAAAGATAAGCAAAATTGACAAACCTTTAGCCAGACTAAGAACAAAGATAGAAGAACCAAATATATAAAATAAGAGCTGATAAATGAGACATTACAACTGATGCCACAGAAATTCAAAGGATCATTAGTGGCTGCTACGAGTAACTATATGACAATAAATTGGAAAATCTAGGGGACACAAATAAATTCCTAGACACATACAATCTATGAAGATTGAACCATGAAGAAATCCAAAACCTGAACAGACCAATAACAAATGAGATAAACGTCATAATAAAACATCTCCCAGCAATGAAAAGCTTGGGACCTGATGTCTTCACTGCTGAATTCTACCAAACATTTAAAGAACTAATACCAATCCTATTGAAACTACTCCAAAAAATAGAGGGGAGGGAATACTTCCAAACTCATTCTACAAGACCAGTATTACCCTGATATCAAAACCAGACAAAGACACATCAAAGAAAGAAAACTACAGGCCAATATCTATGATAAACATTGATGCAAAAATCACTGAATTCAACAATACACTAAAAAGATCATTTATCATGACCAAATGAGATTTATTTCAGGGATGCAAGGATGGTTCAATATATACAAATAAATCAATGTGATACATCATATCAACAGAATGAAGAACAAAAACCATATGATCATTTCAATTGATTCTGAAAAAGCATCTGATAACATTCAACATCCCTTCATAAAAAACTCAAAGAACTGTGTATAGAAGGAACATACTTCAACATAATAAAAGCTATATACAATAGATCCACATCTCGTATCATACTGAATAAGGAAAAACTGAAAGCCTTTCCTCTTAACATCTGGAACATAACAAGGATACCCACTTTCACCACTGTTATTCAACACAATAGAAGTCCTAGCTAGAGCAATCAGACAACAGAAGAAATAAAGGGCATTCAAACTGAAAAAGAAGAAGTCAAATTATCCTTGTTTGCAGATGATATGATCTTACATTTTTTAAAAACCCAAAGACTCCACCAAAAACTATTAGAACTGGTGAAAAAAATTCAGTAAAGTTGCAGAATACGAAATCAACATACAAAAGTCAGTAGCATTTCTATATGACAATAGTGAACAACCTGAAAAAGAAATCCAAAAAGTAATCCTACTTACAACAGTCACAAACAAAATTAAACACCTAGGATTTAACCAAAGAAGCAAAAAATTTCTACAATGAACTCTATAAAACACTGATTAGATAAATTGAAGACAGCACCAAAAAAAATGTAAAGATATTCCATGTTCATGGATTGGAAGAATCAATGTTGTTAAAATGTCCAAACTACCCAAAGCAATCTACAGATTCCATGCAATCCCTATCAAAATTCCAACGACATTCTTCACAGAAATAGAAAAAACAATCCTAAAATTCACATGGAATCACAAAAGACCCGGAACAGCCAAAATTATCCTGAGAGAACAAAGCTGGAGGAATCATATTACTTAACTTCAAATTATACTACAGGGCTATAGTAACAAAAACAGCATGGCACTGGCATAAAAACAGACATATAGATCAATGGAGCAGAATAGAGAACCCAGAAACAAATCAATATATCTACAGTGAATTCATTTTCAACAAAGGTGCCAAGAGCATACAATGCAGAAAAGACAGCTTTTTCAATAAATGGGCTGGGAAAACTGGGTATCCACATGCAGAAGAATGAAACTAGACACCTATCTCTCACCACATACAAAAATCAAATCAAAATGGATTAAAGACTTAAATCTAGACCTCAAACTATGAAACTACTACAAGAAAACAGTGGAGAAACTCTCCAGGGCATTGGTCTGGGCAAAGATTTCTTGAGTTATATCTCACAAGCACAGGGAACCAAAGCAAAAATAAATAAATGAGATTACACCAAGCTTAAAAGCTTCTGGCTGGGCATGGTGGCTCACATCTGCAATCCCAGCACTTTGGGAGGCTGAGGTGGGCAAATTGCTTGAGCTCAGGAGTTTGAGACCAGCCTGGGCAACATGGATAGACCCCGTCTCTACAAAAAGATATGAAAATTAGCCAGGCATGGTGGTGCGCACCTGTAGCCCCAGCTACTTGGGAGGCTAAGCTGGGTGACAGAGTTGACCAAGTCTCAAAAAAAAAAAAAAAAACACCACGAGGACCAGAGGACCAGGCAGGCTGAAAGGCCATGAAGCCAAGGAGACAGGCACTGTCCAAAGTGCTGGTGGAGCCCAGGTCCAGTACCAGCACCCCAGTGAGCATTAGGTGCCAAACCACAGACAGCACACAAAGGGCCAAAACTGTTCCCACTGGCCTTGGACTGGTAGTAGCTGTCACTGATGACACACCTATCCCAAGGATGAATTCTGCATGGTCCTTTTCTTCTTCAAGTTGCTAGCTTCTGATTCAAAGTCTGCATCAGACCAAGATCATATTTTCCTTCCCTAGCAGCAAGGAAGTCTATGAAAGAATGTAACTAACACAAGAGATTGGTATAAAAAATTTAGATGCTGGGTAGCCAAAAAAAAAGAAAGACAAGTCCAGCATAAGCATGTTATGAAACAGTGAGAGTGTATTCCTAACAATTATCGTTGTAATTAACTTATCAACTTAGAGTTCATATAAATTACCAAAACTTCTCTTTTCTCAACTACCCTGTCATAACCCAACTTTGACCCTCTCTATTTTGGCATATTCACAACTGTTTTAAAAGAACCTCATGTTGAAATATTAGGCTGAATCATACAAAACTGTCACTTTTATGGGTCAAAAACAGTCAAATATTAGCGATGTCTTATGGTTTTACATATGTCATGATGGACTAACTTACTATGTTCCTAAGATTTGACTGATTAGAGCATAATTTCCAAGTCTTCGAATATTTGCAGAATTGTCCCATATAGGAGCTTCCAATAGCAATTTAGCAACACGTTTGTATCAACCCAGAAAACAAACAGCATAAAGGTGTGGAAGCACAAATTCATTTATTCAGTTACCTACTGAGCACTCCCTGTATGTGCCAAGCACAGTATCTGCTGAAGGCTGCACAAAAGAGACTCTAAAAGTTATTTTGGTCTCCTGGGAGGTTACAGTCTCATGGGACAGATTTCAGCACAAGAAGAAGAAGGACTTCCCAATCAACATCAAAAAAATCAAATTTGAATTTTTGAATTTATCAAAAAATTTGATGGATATAAGAAATGGACTTCTGTTAACAGAAAATTAAAACAGTGGGCATTTGTACTGTTCTTTACTACCTAATGTTTATTTATTATCTTATTTGCTATAACAATCTTAAATCAACTGAGTCTAAAGAAAACATTTTTCTCTTTTTTTCCTTTTTTTTTTTTCAAGACAGAATCTCGCTCCGTCACCCAGGCTGTATTGCAATGGTACAATCTCAGCTCACTGCAACCTCCACCACCTCCCAAGTTAAAGCAATACTTGTGCCTCAGCCACTTGAGTAGCTGGGATTACAGGCACGCACCACCATGCCTGGCTAATTTTTGTATTTTTAGTAGTTATGGGTTTTGTCATGTTGGCCAATCTGATCTTGCACTCCTGGCCTCAAGTGATCTGCCCGCCTTGGCTTCCCAACCAAAGTGCTGGGATTACAGTCATGAGCCACCGCGCCCAGCCAACACTTTTCAATTTATTGATTTCAGTTACCTCAGATTTTGACCCAACAGCTCTCATTATTCACTAGGTCTGAAGTATTTTATGATATTTATTCACAATACTGTTTTAAATAATATTTGTCACAAAGAACTTTTGATTTTTATTAATGTGCTTTTTCAATATAGTCCATAGGTACATAGAAGTGGGGAAAAAGAAAATGCCTTCTTTTTGAAAAGTACTTCTTAATACTGATTTTATATTCCTAACAGTAGTATAATCTATTGCTTAGGGTATTAGGTAATGGTTCGAGCAATGTCATATTTGGGATGAGAAAAGTTTTTACTAATATGAAACCTACATGTCATTTTTCATCTGTGTTAACAACTTACACAGAAGTTGGAAGTCCTGGAAGAGAAGCTTATGAATAATTGAGATTGCTTAATTCCTCCCAGTACCACAGGCATTCCTTCAAGCACTAAACCAAAAATCACAAAACACATACATCAGATATCCTTCAAAAAGTCAGGTAAGGGTGCCTCCTAAATAATATAACTTATAACTGAAGATGAAAATTGTCTGAAGAACAACTACTTAAAAATATATTTACATACAAGGACACTTTGCTATATAAAAGAATACTGAAATAAACAATTTAATAGAGAAACAACACATTTGTAACCCTAACAAATACAGCTTTATCTGTTTTTTAGGCTTTACATATTTTTTTCTATAGGAGATTTTCTTTAGGTGAACTCTTTAAAATATGTAGCAGCAATAAATTTACATAATAATCTTAAAATGCAAAGAAGTTGTTAAAAGTTGTCTCAAAGTAAACTGTAACAGATCAATTTTAACAAAGTCATGTTTCTACTTATATACCCTTTTTGCAAGATAAATATTTACCCCTTCTTTCCAAGCTTTTGCTATTTTCTCCCTTTCTCTAATATTGTTAAAGATGTTTATACGATCACATGATCTCCAATTTGAGAATAATCAAAAAGAGGTTTATTAATAAGAATAGTCTAGAATGCTAAAAGGAATTAAGTTCATTATATTACTAAACTTATACAGATAATCCTCAAACTACAAAGGTTCAATTTATGATTGTTTGATTTTACAATTGTGCAAAAGCAACATGTGTTCAGTAGAAACTGTACTTGTAAATTTTGAATTTTGGTCTTTTCCCAGATAGCAATATGCAGTATGATATTCTCTCTCAATGCCAGAAAGCAGCAGCGAGCTGCTCCCAGCCAGTCACAGGATCACAAGGGTAACAACAAACACTCTATAGTGTGTTGTGTTGCCAGATGATTTTTTTGCCCAGCTATAGGTTAATGTTAAGTGTTGTGGGCACATTCAAGGTAGGCTAGACTAAGCTATATTTTCAGGTAGGTTAAATGTATTCAATTCATTTTCAAGTTACAATAGGTTTATTAAGATGTAACTGCACCATAAGTCAAGTATCTCTATATATTATTTCAGTATGTGGATGTCACAAAAATGGCAAGTTCAATTTTTGATTTGGGGCTAGGCGAGGTGGCTCATGCCTATAATCCCAGTACTCTGGGAGGCCAAGGAGGGAGAATTGCCTGAGCCCAGGAATTTGAGACCAGCCTGGGCAACATGGTGAAACCCTGTCTCTACAAAAAAAAAAAAAAAAGAAGTACAAAAATCAGCCAGGTGTGATGGCCTATGCCTGTAGTCCCAGCTACTCAGGAGGATGAAATGGGAAGCTCACCTAAGCCCAGGGAGGTCAAGGCTGCAGTGAGCTGTGATGACACCACTGTACTCTAGCCTGGGTGACAGAGTGATACACGGTCTTAAAAAACAAAACAACAACAACAACAAAACTAATGTGTAATTAAACAATAGCAAGCATGAGTATTTTCCATGTCTTCCAATTGCAAGATACTTTCTACTACTATTGTAAGTTATGCTAAAATTGTGTCACATATAATACGAAAAATCTCAATAAAATTTTAAAATCACTTTTCGTCACCTGAAACTTTAAAGAAATAAAAGCCATAAAGCTGTTTTTGTTGTTCCTATAATATTACTATTAACATTTAAAGCATTCCTGTATCCACATACTGCTTAAACAGTTCCATTTTAGACAGTCTTAGCAAGTCACTTGAACTATGTTTCAATATAAAGGCTGACATAATGCTGAAACCAACTTCAATTTAAAAATTTTATAGTCCTCATCTTAAATAGATATTTCCAGTTGATTACTGTGTAAAACTGACAAGTAGAATTTTTAAGTGTCATTCTTAAAAGCACATCTTTAAAATACATCTTGATGCCAGAGGAATTCTACTCATTCTACCACAGTTGATAAAGAGAACCAGACTGAGCCTTCTAACTCCAACCCAGTTCTCCCATTATTTAGTTTGTGCTCCTAGACACATCACTTAACACTGATAGTAAAAGTGATGAGACCATAATAAATTGTCTCTCAGGTCCCTTCTTATCCTAACAACCAGCAAATCCAAGTGAACTGCCAGAGAGAGTTCTGGTACATCACCCTTAGGGGATTCTAGAACACCAGGACTGGGTTTAATTTTCATGCAAAGATTTAGACACAAATGTAAATGAGGGAAGAGAGACTACCTAAAGTTAAATGTTCTTTCAAGTAAACTTTTATGTGTACATCACACTTTTTTTTCATTGCTTTATGTATTAAAATATATTTATTGAATCTCTACTATGTGGCAGGAATTGAGGACACAAAGACGGAAGATTCCCTCAAAGACCTTTCAATTCTGGTTGGGAAAGTTAGATTTCTAAACAATTACACTAACTTGTTATAGTTTCTACAGTAGAGATATAGGGGATAAGAGGATAAAATGATCATTTCTACTTTGGAGAAAAAAGGCCTTTATTTTTAAAGTGACACTTGAAATAAGTCTCTATGAAAGGTCAGTGATACAATGTGAAAGGAAATTAAGAAAACAATTGCATCAACATTATAAATAAAATTATAAAATAATTAGGAATACAAAAATTTTAAAATACTTAGGAATAAACTTAACCAAGGAGGTGAAAGATGCATATTCTGAAAACTATGAAACATTGCTAAAAGAAATTAAAGAAAATACAAATAAATGAAAAGACATCCTGCCTGTTTTAATGAACCGAAGGACAACATATTGTTAAAATGCCAATACTGCTCAAAGCAATCTAATGATTTAATGTAACCCTATCAAAATCCCAATGGTATTTTCTGCAGAAATTTAAAAAAAATCCATCCTAAAATTCATATTGAACCTCAAGGATCTCTGAATAGCAAAACAATCTTGATAAAGAAGATCAAAGTTAGAGATTTTACACTTCTGATTTCAAAAGTTACTACAAATCTACAGTAATCAAGACGGTGTAATATATGCATAAAGACAAATATATAGGCTAATGAAATAGAATAGAAAGCTCAAAAATAAACCCTCACATATATGGTTGCTATGGTCTGAATGTTTGTGTCCCTCCAAAATTCTTACGTTGAGACCTAATCCCCAAGGTAAAGGTATTAAGAGGTGGGGCCTTTGGGAGCTGATTAGGTCACAAGAGGTCTGCCTTCATTAATGGGATTACTGTCCTTAAAAGAGATTTTGGGGTCCTAAATCACTTTTGTCTTTTGTCTTTGTCCCTTTTGCCCCTCCACCATGTGAGGATACAGTGTTCTCCCCTTCCACTAGGTGAGGATGCAGTAGCAAGGTGTCATCTGTGAAGCAGAGAGCCCTCTCCAAACACTAAATCTTCTGGTGACCTGATCTTGAACTTCCCATTTCCAAAACTGTGATGAATAAATTTCTGTTGTTTATAAATTACCCAGTCCAGGAATTTTGTTATAACAGCAGGAAGGTCAAATGGTTTCAACAACTGTGCCAAGATCATTCAATGAGAAAAGACAGTTGTATTACGCCATTTCTGCATTGCTATTTAAAAAAAAAATACCTGAGACTGGATAACTTATAAGAAAAGAGACTTTAATTGGCTCACAGTTCTGCAGGCTGTACAGGAAGCATAATGCCAGCATCTCCTTCTGGGGAGGCCTCAGGAAGCTTACAATCCATGGCAGAAGGCACAGGGGAGCGGGCATCTCACAGGGTGGGAGCAGGAATAAGAGAGAGAGGGGAAGGTCCCACACACTTTTAAATGACCAGATCTCACAAGAACTCACTCACTAGCATGAGGATGGTACCAAGAGGATGATGATCCAATCACCTCCCACAAGGCCCCACCTCCAACACTGGGGATTACATTTCAACATACAATTTGAGAAGGGATAACATACAAACTACATCAGCAGTCTTTCAACAAATGGTGCTAGGAAAACTGGATATCCACATGCAAAAGAATGAAGTTAGTCCCTTACACCTTACACCATATACAAAAATTAACTCGAAATGGATCAAAGATCTAAACATAAGAGTTAAAATTATAAGACTCTTAAGAAAAAACATAGAGGGAAAGGTTCAAGACATTAGATTTGGCAATGATTTCTTGAGTGTGACACCAAAGCACAGGCAACAAAAGTAAAAACAGATAAATTGGACTACATAAAAATTTAAAACTTTTGTGCATCATAGGATATAATAGAATGAAAAGGCCACCTATGGAGTGGGAGAAATATTTGCAAATCGTATATCTGATAAGAGATTAACATTCAGAATTTAAAGAACTCCTTCAAATCAACAACAAAAGACAACTTGGTTTAAAAATGGGCAAAAGGCTTGAATAGGATTTCTCCGTAGAAGAAACACAAACGGCAAAAAGCACAGGAAAAGATGTTCAACATCACTAATCATCAAGGAATTGCAAATCAAAACCACAAATGAAATACCACCTCATACCCATTAGAATGGCCATTACTGGAGGGAGAGAAGCAAGGAAAATGGCACCTGTGGTGGTGAATGCAATGAAGTTCCTTGGGAGCAGTACTACAAAGATGCCATGGAGCAGGGCCACAATTACAATGCCCACCTCTGTGCTGAGCACAGCATGTGCCTGCCTTTCTTGGCCTCACAGACTGGAGTAGCCCAGAACAATTATTACAGCTGGATGAAGAAGTAACCAGGTTCTAGGATTGGCCTCTGGACAACTACTCGTACCCTGCCCAGCACTGGCGGAAAAAGCGGTGAGCCCACCCCTGTGAAGATCCACAATTTTTCTTCCCACCTATTAAGCCAGACACAGACCCCACCCTGAAGAAGGAGGGGCTGATCTCTCAGGACAGCAGCAGTTTAGAGGTTCTGTTGCACACTGACCCCCTGGGGAAGCGAGGTACCCCAGATCCCCGAGTTGATGATGACAGCCTGGGCAAGTTTCCTGTGACAAACAGTCAAGCACGAAAGCGGATCCTAGAACCAGATGACTTCCTGGATGACCTCGATGATGAGTACTGTGAAGATGCTCCCAAGCATCGGGGAAAGGGGTAATCCAAGGGTAAAGGTGTGGCAGTGCCCATAAGGAGCTGGATGCTTCCAACCTGGAGGACCAGGATAAGCCCTATGCCTGTGACATTTGTGGAAAACGTTACAAGAACCGACCAGGCCTCAGTTACCACTATGCCCACTCTCACTTGGCTGAGGAGGGCGAGGACAAAGAAGACTCCCAACCACCCACTCCTGTTTCCCAGAGGTCTGAGGAACAGAAATCCAAAAAGGGTCCTGATGGATTTGCCTTGCCCAACAACTACTGTAACTTCTGCCTGGGGAACTCAAAGATTAACAAGAAGATGGGACAACCTGAGGAGGTGGTGTCCTGTTTCGACTGTGGCTGCTCAGGGCATCCATCTTGCCTCCATTTCACCCCCATGATGATGGGGCAGTGAAGACATACTGCTGGCAATGCATCGAGCACAAATGTTGCGATATCTGCGGCACCTCTGAAGATGATGACCAGCTGGGCTTTTGTGATGCTGCGATCATGGCTACGAAATGTACTGTCTCACTCCGTCCATATCTGAGCCCCCTGAAGGAAGTTGGAGGTGCCACCTGTGTCTGGACCTGTTGAAGGAGAAAGCTTCCATCTACCAGAACAAGAACTCCTCTTGATATAGCCACCCCCCTGCTCCCCGACATATCTAAGGCTGTTTCTCTCCTCCACTTCATTTTTCATACCCACCTTTCCCTTCCTCCTCCTCTCCTTCACAAGTCCAGAGAACCTTGGGGTGGTTGTTCTAGCCTGCCTTTGGCAGCCACAAGCTGATGTGGCAGCTCTGGCCACCTCTGGCCCTAGGCCCTCAAGGAGAAAGGAGCAACACACTGCCCCAAGGCATACCTGTGGGCCCAGTTTCTCTCTGCTCTCCATGAAATGCATTCATTCTGCTTGCCTTGGGCCCAGGCCCTGGTCATCACAGGGTTCAAACAGTGTCCTCCTAGAAAGAGTGGGAGAGCAGCTCACTTCTCTCTCTGTTCTGCCTCCACTCTGGTCTCCAGAGTTTTCCCATCCCCCAGAGGCGAGCCAGGCCAGAGCCTCTGCCCAAGGCAGCTGGTAGCGAGCAGCTGAGGCCACAGCCACAAGGAGCTTTCCATGCCCCTGTGTCACTTAGCCTCACCTCCTTCCTCCAGAGTGGCTCTCTGCAGCCCTCTGTTCCTGCTACGTAGGATTCTTTGCTGGAGTCAGGATGTTCTCGGTCACCCTCCTGGCTCTGCCCTGTCCCAGTCCACCCCACCCCAGGGGGAGCAGCAGCTTCACCTTGTGCTTCCCAGTGCTCTCCAGGCTCACTCTCATGGGCGGGCTCCAGTGACTAAAGCATTCCCCACCCTTGGAATGTCTCATCTTCTACCTCTCTTCTTATTCATTTTGGTTTTGTGGGGAGAGGGGAAGGATCAGGGGGCCAGGCCAGCAGCTCAAGGGCCACAGGGAGATGGGTAATGTGCCTGTTTTTTTAACACAACAAAAAAGCCTACCTCCAAAATCCCCTTTTTGTTCTTCCTGGACCTGGGCATTCAGCCTCCTGCCCTGAACTGAATTGGGAGCCTTGCCACCTGCCCTGTGTATCCTGGCTCTCAGCTCATGGGGAAGCCACACAGACATCCCTTTCTTCCCCTGCATGCTCGCTAGCAGCTGGTAAGGTCTTCACACTCTGATTCCTCAAGTTTTCTGCTTAGTGGCACTGACATTAAGTAGTGGGGGGCCAGTGCATGCCAGCATACCCTGGAGTAGCCTTCCCCCTTGGCCGCAGGCAGGCCCTAACTCACTGTCACTTTGAAGTTGTCTTTTTTTTCCTTTCGTTAGTTCCTGTATTCTAAACATCAGTAAACATAAACGTTTTTACACAGAGCCCTCTGCTGGATGGTTTATCTCCTGCCTCTCTCCATTAAGAAGGCCTTTTCATCCTAAGATTTCCATGACGGTGGTTTTTTTAAACATTTTGAAATACAGCTTTTTTTCCCCCAAAATTAAATTTTTTTTGTTGAACTCCAATATGTAAAGCGAATATAAAATTGGTTATTTTGCTAGTTTTAATTAGTTACATAAATTCAAGTTTACAACAATTCTTTGTTATAAAGAACGATGAAGCTGTTTTGATCAATACAAAATTTGGGTTAAAAAAAAAGGGCCATTATCAAAAAAATAGAAAATAACAAGTGTTGGAGCCCTAGTACACTGCTGGTGGGAATGTAAAATAGTCCAGCTGCTATAGAAAACATTAAGACAGTTCCTCAAAAAATTAAAAATTAAACTACCATATGATTTAGCAATTCCACTTCTGGTTACATATCCAAAAGATCTGAACTCAAGGTCTTGAAGAGATATTTATACATCCATGTTCATAGCTGCATTATTCACAATAGCCAAGAGTCCATCAACAAACCCATCAACAGATAACAAGATAAGCAAAATGTGGTATGTACATATACCACGGAATATTATAAAGCATTAAAAAGGAATAAAGTTCTGACATGATACAGCATGGATGAACCTTAAGGACGTTATGTTAAGTGAAATCAGCCAGTCACAAAAAGATAAATACTACATGATTTCACTTCTATGAGGCAGCTACACAGTCAAATTCATAGAGACAGAAAGTAGAATGGTGGTCGCCAGAAGCCAGGGGAAGGAGGGAGTGAGGATTTGTTTTTCATGGGTATGGAGTTTCCATTTTGCAAGAATAAAAAGATTCCGTAGATTGGTTGCACAATAATGTGAATATACTTAACACTACTGAACTATGTGTTTAAAAAAAGTTAAGATGGTAAATTTCATATTATATGTATTTTACTATAGTTAAAAATTATTTTTTTTTTCAGACGGACTCTTGCTCTGTCACCCAGGCTGGAGTACATTGGTGCCATCTCAGCTCACTACAACCGCTGCCTCTTGGGTTCATGCGATTCCCCTGCCTCAGCCTCCTGAGCAGGTGAGATCACAGGTACCCACCACCATGCCTGGCTAATGTTTTTGTATTTTTAGTAGAGATGGAGTTTCACTATGTTGGCCAGGCTGGTTTCAAACTCCTAACCTCAAGTGATCTACCCGCCTCAGCCTTCCAAAGTACTAGGATTACAGCATGTCCAGCCAAAACTAATTTTTTTTTTAAATAAAAAAGATCAGTGGCTGTTGTCTGATCATGTGAAGAATGTAAAAGTTTCCATGGGATGGCAGCAGCGTCAACTAAGGCATGAAGACATGACATGGCCCAGTGCCTCAGGGGACCTCTAAGTAGTTCAGCATATCTTAAACAATGGGTGCAGCATGGACAACACAAGAAATAAGGCTAAATACACAGGCAAGAATCAAGAAGCTGAGAATCTTAAATGACACAGCAAGAAGAATAGATTTTATCCTAGATCCAACAGTAAGTCAATAAATTCTTTTAAGCAGGGAGCATAAAAATGCTTAGTTTTGTGCTTTAGAAAAAGAGTCTGGAAGCAAAGCGGCAGACTGTAGACCAGGAGACTATTGCAGTAGAATGGGTGAAAGATGAACAGAGCTTGGACTGAGGCACAGCAATAGGAACAGAAAGTAGGGAACGAATGGGAGTGATATTTAAGACAGAAAATTTACAGCATTTGATGACTATGAATATCTAAAATGACTGATGCTGGGGTTTAGGATGACACCTACATTTCTTGATGTTCCTGGTGGAAGAGTAGGGAGATTGACCATGATGGTAAATACAAAAAGTGAAACATGGGGCCAGGCGCGGTGGCTCACACCTGTAATCCCAGCATTTTGGGAGGCCGAGGCAGGCAGATCACCTGAGGTCAGGAGTTTGATACCAGCCTGGCCAACATGGTGAAACCCTGTCTCTACTAAAAATACAAAAATTAGCCAGGCATGGTGGCAGGCGCCTGTAATCCCAGCTACTCAGGAGGCTGAGGCAGGAGAATTGCTTGAACCCAGGAGGCTGAGACAGTGCCACTGCACTCCAGCCTAGGCAACAGAGTGAGACTCCATTTCAAAAAAAAGAGAAACATAGTTAAACAGAGAGTCAGGTCCAGAAATCTAAAAATATAAATGCTTAAAGAAAAAAGAGATAAGCTAATGAAGAAAGCTGAGAAGATACATTGAGAGAAGTATTAAAAAAAAAAAAAACAAAACAAACAAAAAAAGAAAGTGGTGTCTCAGAAACCAAAAGGAGAATTTAAAGAAGGGAGTCCTCAGTTGTATGAATAAATCTAGAGCATTCGTTAGATTCAGCAATTACAAAGCTATCAGGGGCCCACGATGTGGCATGCAGTGAAGTAGGCCATAGCCTACTGACCGCAGGAGGTTTGAGAAAAGGACAGTAATGAACTAAAGACAGATAATGCAGGCAACTCTTTTAAAGATTCTGGATAGGAAAGGTACAATGAAGATTTTTAAATTTTAAAGATTCTAGGTAGGAAAGGTACAGAGAATACAGGCAACTCTTTTAAAGATTCTGAGTAGGAAAGGTACAATGAAGAAGCTAGCAGGAGATTCAAGATCAAGAGATTTTTCTGTAGCTAATTCTTAGGATTTTTTAACTTTGTTTTTTGTTTGTTTAGGGATAGGAAAGGTGTTATTGAGCAAGTAAAGTTGGGGGAAAGGAGGTAATAAAGACAAAGGGTTGAAAACACAGAAGCACAGAGAGGGAAGAAGTAACTGGTACAGCAAGATCCTGGTTGAGTCCAGCAGACCAAGAACACAGCTGAAGGGGTTAGTCTTAACTAGATAAAGGACACCTCTTTTCCCAAAACTGTATGAGAATTTAAAAGCCAAATGCAGTAGCAGATAGGTTCACCAAGCACAGGGACTTGAAGTGAGCAGATCCCAGCCTCAGTGCCATCTGCTGAGAGAGGGGTAGAAGGTTATAGTTGCTCCAAACAGGGGGCTGGGGCAGCAACAGCAGACATGAGGAAAACTGAGCAGAAGCAGTGGACCTGCCGAGCCAAGGCTCTGAGTGTGGAAAACATACATTTGCAGGAGAGCCAACCTACATGACTGTGTGATTTCTTCATTTTCTCATTCTTTTGATGAATACTTATTAACAACTTATTTATTTATTTATTATTTATTTATTTATTTATTTATTTATTTGAGACAGGGTCTTTTTCTGTCACCCAGGCTGGAGTATGGTGGCATATTCACAGCTCGCTGCAGCCTCGCCCTCCCAGACTCAAGCAATCCTTCCACCTCAGCCATCTAAGTAGCTGGAATCAAGGCATGCACCATCATGCCAAGGTAATTTTTTTCTATCTTTTGTAGAAACAAAGTCTCACTATGTTGCCTAGGCTGGTCTTAAACCGCTGAGCTCAAGCAATCTTCCCTCCTCAGGCCCCCAGAGTGCTGGGATTATGTGAGCCTTAACGCGTTTTATGTGTCACACATTATAGACAGTACTGGGTATACACTAGTGACCAAAACAGTCATGGTCCTGGCCCTCGTGGAGCCTAATCTAGCCACAAAGATAGTCAATCAAATAGACAATAACGGGCCAGGCACGGTGGCTCACGCCTGTAATCTCAGCACTTTGGGAGGCCCAGGCAGGCAGATCACTTGAGGTCAGGAGTTTGAGACCAGCCTGGCCAACATGGAGAAACTCCGTCTCTACTATAAACACAAAACTTAGCTGGGTGTGGTGGCAGGCACCTGTAATCCCAGCTACTCGGGAGGCTGAGACAGGAGAATCACTTGAACCCAGGAGGCAGAAGTTGTGGTGAGCCAAGATTGTGCAACTGCACTCCAGCCTGGGCAACAGGGCGAGACTCCATCTCAAAACAAACAAACAAAAAAAAAACCGAATAGACAATAAGGTAATCACAACCTGTGATGAGACCTATGAGGGCATCCCACTGGGTACAGTGATAGAGAGCTTACTTATAAAAATACTCTACTCACAGTGGGCAGGGACTCTCTGAAGTGGTGACATTTGAGATCCTAAGAATGAAAAGGTCTAAGCAGAAGGAACACTCAGGCATTTTCAGAAGATCTATGGCAGAAAAGACTCTGTTGAGTCCAGTACCTGTAAGAAGCAAGTTCAAGTGGGGCACAGTGGGCAGGGAGAGAGGACCACGATAAGGCAGGAGATATAGGCAGTGGACCAGAACATGGAGGATATTGTGGGCTACAGCAAGGAGGGTGGATTTTATTTTGCCCAGGTGTTGGCGCAAAAAAGCAAATGACTGGATTGGATCTGCCATCGGTGTTTCCCAGACAGGTCAAACAGAAGGAGATAGGACAACTGAAAGAGCCACCAAGAGAATGGCATACCTTGAGGCCTTGTCTACTTTAAGAATGAATACATCCATGCTGCCTTGAAAGAGGCCAAGCCTGGGTGAGGTTCCGGAGCATTAGCAGTAGTGGAAACGAAGTAAATGGCAACTAGAATGGGAAGTTGTCGTGATAGCTATAACTAAGTTTAAGGTCTCAGAAATATGCTTATGAATGGCAGAGTGGTGTATGGGTGTAGGATGCTAACGTCAAAGAAGTCAAGGGATTTTAAGAAAAGCAACAGCTGTGATGGCAGTAGTGGGAATGGAGTATTTATCATTAATAATAATAGTTACCATCTATTTAACATTGTCTGCGTGCCCAATACTGTGCTAAGCACTTCGTATAGATTATCTCACTTTATTTTCAGAACGGTTACTATTATGCCCATTGCACAAATAAAGAAACTGAAGGATTGGGAGGTGAAGTAAATTGCTTAAAACCACTCAGCTGGTAACAGGCTGCACAGGAATGCAAATGGTTCTGACTGACTCCAAAGCTCACTTTGTGCCAGGATGGCTGGACAGATTGTGCTCGTGCTACTGAAGGACGCAAGCATTGCAATGTGAGCTATGAAACAAAATCCTCAAAATAGGAGAGGAAATATTCAGATGACAGCAAAAAGAGAGGCAGAAGTTAACAAAACCAGGTAACATGAACCACCAATAAGGAAAGACCTTTGCGTGAGGATATAACAGGGACAAAGCAACAGAAAACTAAGAGAATGTGGATGATACCTCTGGGTCCTGTGGAATTTGGGATTGGGTGAAATGAGCAGCCTTCACCTAGAGGAAGCTGTGATTTCAATCAGGTAAGAGCCGAGTTTCAGCTAAGGCAAGAAGAGGTGTTCCTGGAAAATGTTTAGGGAGTCCGGTTGCTAATTTACAATGTAACAGAATAGCATAGTAATTAAGAGCACAGAATTTGGAATCAGACTGGTTGGATTTGAGTCCTGGTTCCACTACTCACTAACAAATTACTTAACTTCTTTGTGCCTCAGTTTCCCTGCCAAATGGGAGTGATGACAATGGTCTTCCTACTGTTTGGATGTGGTTTTTCCCCACCAAAACTCATGTTGAAATTTGATTCCTAACATGGTTGTGCTGGAGATGGAGCCTTGTGGGAGGTGTTTGGGTCACAGGGGTGGATCCCTCATAAATAGATGAATGCCTTACATCAGGAGTATGTTCTCACTTTCATGGGACTGGATTAGTTACTAAAGAGTACGCTCTCATAAAAGTGAATTAGGCTTCCTAGATTCTCACTTGCTTCCTCTATCGGCAAGTGATCTCTTTGCATGCACCCACTCACTTTTCCACTTCTCTGCCATGTTTTGACCCAGCATGTGGTTCTCACCGGGAGCCAGCCAGTGCAGTGCTATGCTCTTGAACTTCCCAGCCTGCAAAATTGTGAGCTCAATAAACGTCTTTCCTTCATAAATTACCCAGCCTCAAGTATTCTGTTATAGCAACACAAAATGAACGAAGACAGCCCATACCTCATAGGTTTGTCAGGATGAAATTGATATTTAATAAGATAATTAGAATAATGCCTGGTACAAAGTCAGTCCATTTAGAAAGTGTTTGATTGAAAATCAAGTAAATAAAAGAGGTGAGAATAAAAAGGATTAAGAGAGAGATGAGAAAGGAGAGGAAGGATGAAGTGTGCTTGGAGGCATATGCAAACAGAGGCAGGGTATAAAACTAAGGCTCTAATGGCCTCAATGGTGCAGGTCTGTGAATGCAGCCATCCTAGTTAAGAAGACAAGCTGGTCTTCTAAGTGAAGTGTGGCTAAGTTATTTTTACGTTTCTGAAGAAAGCGTAGCCCAAGCCATTAGGGGAACGGTTAGCAGGCTGCTGGGACACCCACCAGCCTGTGGTGGTCAGAAATCCAAGACTTCATGTAGTAATAGAGCACCCTAGAAGGGCCTAAAGATACCAGAAACTGAACAGATTCTTCACAAGGAGCAGAAAACACGGAATGTAGTCTCTCCATCTTTTGGGGGAAATGACAGTCAAAATGAAAGAAAGCATAATGTTCAAATGAACATTCTAAAAACCTTTCATTTTTTCTTGTATGAGATAAATGTACTTAGAATCTTTTATCATGCTAACCAAGGGCACTTTTCTATTTAAAAAAAAAAGTTTTGCAAGAACTATTATAATTCTAGTGGGCTAAATTTTTAGCAATCTCTCAGTCTCGCAAGCTTAAAATTATATATGGCTGAAAAAATGAATGAAATCACATATCCATTTCTATGCAAAAAGCTTTTCAATGCAATTTCATCATTCATTATAAAATGTGGGAACATGCCATATAAATGCAAAATTTTCAATATCTTCTTAATTCTATCAGCTACTGGGTAATTCTAGGAAAGAAGGTGCTGTTTTATTCTGGAAAAAAAAAAAACACACAGGATCACTCAAGGTCAAGCTAGGAAGCTGAGACACAGCCTCTGATGCCATACACCTTACCTGCTCCCTCAAGTGGCTACCACCATAAGCCCACATGTACATGTGATGCAAAGAAGGGCTTGGTCTCTTTAGCCCACCAGCAGGTACCAAAAATAACTGTTAGTAACAGCATAATTTTAATGGTGTAGGAAAAAAGAAATATCTTTTTCTCACCCATCCTATATTCATTGTTATAGACAACTCCATAAAAAAGACAGATTAACAAGAGACAAGCATACCAATTTATTTAATAGAAGTTTTATGAGACATGGGACCTTTTATAAGAAAATAATGACCCAAATAAACATGTAAACCTGTGTATTTTTATGCTATGTTTGATGAAGAAGTGGATAGTTGTGGAGAAGTACAATTGAATTAAAAAGTATGATCTAATGGCAATAAACTGGGGGAAACTTAGCAAGGCCTACTGACTCAGCTTCTCCTCTGTGACCCGGTGTCCTCAGAAAGGAGGATGTTCCATTCCTCCAGGCATAGAGAGCGCATATCTCAAATGTGGGTCTTATGACCTCCTTCAGGGAAGGGCAGGAGGGCAGAGAGTGACTTTCCTACTTCTGCTGTTTTCTCAAATTCCTTTAGCTTAAAATATTATGGAGTAGCATATCCTGACCCCCATTAATGGTAAAAGCTCATCAATTTAGACTTTACTAGTTCAAAATGTCCAATAATTTTCTTCAATTTTACACATTAAAAATTCTAAATGACTCTTTATCCTGCCAATATTTAGTAATGAGTACAAAGAGTAGTGTCTGAAATTGGTTCCTTTTTTCCTAAGAACTATGTAACACTTTAAGAATTTATTTTTTTAACTTGTAAATCTAAAAACTCTCTCCATGAAAATTAGGTAAATCAGACTCAAACTTTGAACAACACAGGTTTGAACTAAGCAGGTCCACTTATATATGGATATTTTTCAACAGAAGTTACACACGTGTGCCTGCCCCTCCTGCCTCCCCACTTCCACCTCCACCTCTTGTGCCTCTGCCACCCCTAAGACAGCAAGACTCACTCCTCCTCTTCCTCAGTCCACTCAATGTGAAAATGATGAGGTTGAAAACCTTTATGATCATCCACTTCCACTTAATCAACAGCAAACATGTATTCTCTTTCTTAGGATTCTCTTAATAGCATCTTCTTTTCTCTAAATTATTTATCGTAAGAATATAGTATATATTAATAATACATGTAACATATACAATATGTGTTAATCAATTGTTTATGTTATCAATAAGGCTTTCAGTCAATAGTAGACTATTAGTAGTAAACTTCTGGAGGAGTCGAAAGTTACATGGGGAATTCTGACTACGCAGGGTTCTGGGCACCAATCCCCACATTGTTCAAAGGTCAACTAGAATTACTTTCTTTACAAATTATCCTGCTTTACAGTAAGTCAGTCTAGCTCTGTCTCCATTATTTTGAATGAACAAAATTTTAATATTCCTGTGTAGGCATATACATACAATTTATTACAAAGTTTTAAGAAACTTTGGTCAATGGAATATATTCTTCTGAGAGTTAGAATATATCATTTGAACAAACAGCTTATAAAATATGGTACAAAAACAAATATTAAATCATTTTACTGATACTGTTGGGTTAAAGTGGCACTAATCCTAAGGCATTCTTTTTTTGAGATGGGGTCTCACTCCATTGCCCAGGCTAGAGTGTAGTGGCACAATCATGGCTCACTGTAACCTCCAGGCCCTGAGCTCAAGTGATCCTCCTACCTCAGTCTGCTGAGTGGCTGGGATTATCGGCGCAAGCCAGTGTGCCCAGCCTGAGGCATTCTTTTAAAAATATATCTAAAGAAGTAAAATATTGACAAAAATCCCATGTGCTGAACATTCTGAATATCTGAACACTATGTAAATAGAGGCTATATCTAAACTTCAATGCCTGACACAGTAAGTCCCCAATAATTAATAAATACATGTTGCTTCAGTAAGTGAATAAAGTTTTCCATGTATATTCAAATATTTAGGTTCCTTATAAAAGTGCATAAAAATTATAATAAAAACAATAGTACAATACACACATAAAAGATTAAAAGCAAGTATAACAGTGATTGTATGAGGGGAAAAGAATGTTGTTCTCCCTCCAGCTTCTATTTTTTATAATGTTTTGTTGAAACTTTTGAAAAACATAAGTATTTTTAATCAACAGTACCTAATACCTCTGGAATCAAGAAAGGAATTACAGGAGCAGTAACAACAAACCAACATCTTCGGGCTTATATTCATATTAAAGCTGGTGATACTTCACATTCCTCAGCACACAATGGATCTTTCATCAATATTGGAAAATGCCTTTGTGAGAATATTTGCAAAGAATGGATGGAATTCTCAATGTTGCAAGCACCCAGTGAATTATTTAAAAGAACAATGAATGAATGAGTAATTAGAAATGTTTCTTGAGTGCAGAGATATTTATATTACCAAAGAAAAGCTCTAAGTCTAGCATTTTTTCCAGAGCAGCCAAGAAGAAAAGATTAAGTTTAACTGTGGACTATCAGTCCCAAATGATTTGCCCAGGAAGAAAAGATTAACTGTGGGCATTGGTCCCAGATGATTTGCCCTCAGAACAATTAGAGTTGCCTTCTCATTGGCCTACTAATGATTTTAAGTACTCCTTGACTTGTAAATATTGCTTATTTGTTTGCATGCTTGCTTACATGTTTTGCTTCACCCTATCCCTAAAAATAGGATTTAAGATAACTCCAAAGAAGTATACACTATAATAAGTAAATTTAAAATAAAGAAAATGAGACAAACAGAAACTAAAACTGGAAAGATAACATGAAGCCAGGTATGAGGTAAGTGCACAAAAAGAATAGCATTATGTCCTATATTCTAAATTGAAGTATGCAATAAACTGGATTCTAAGTGTTCAAGTAACCAATTCTAACCCAAAGACACAAGTTAAATGTTCAACATTCATTAGGTAAAAAACAACATGTTCAAGAGAAATAGTCCTGATATTAAAATTAAAAAGAATTTTTTCTTTTTTCTTTTTTTTTTTTTTTTGAGATGGAGTCTCGCTCTGTCACCTAGGCTGGAGTGCAGTGGCACGATCTCGGCTCACTGCAACCTCCGCCTCCCGGGTTCAAGTGATTCTCCTGCCTCGGCCTCTTGAGTAGCTGGGACTACAGGTCCCATCACACCCTGCTAATTTTTTGTATTTTTAATAGAGACGGGGTTTCACCATATTGGCCAGGCTGGTCTCCAGTACTGGCCACTCCTGACCTCACGATCTGCCCACCTCGGCCTCCCAAAGTGCTGGGATTACTGGCATGAGCCGCCGCACCCAGCCAAAAAGAATTTTTTCTAATCAACTCATGTTATTTAACAAGATATAATCAACATTTGTAATACTTAAAATAAACACAGAGAATTTCCATAAACCTGTTTCTTAGAAAATCATCAAATAATGCCAAAAGAATTATAGTAAAAGCAATTCTGTAATATCAATTCTACAAAGTTTTACATGATTTTGTCTAAGTACCTATACAATTTTTTTGATGGTCTGGCTTAGTCTAGAAATGTATTTCTCAGTGAGAGGAATAGACGCTCTTGCAACAAATAGAAAAAGAAAGGAGGGGCTGGGCACAGTGGCTCATGCCTGTAATCCCAACACTTTATGAGGCTAAGGTGGGACAACTGCTTGAGGCCAAGAGTTCAAGACCAGTCTGGGCAACATAGTGAGACTCCAACTCTTAAAAAAAAAATTAGCTGGCCATGGTGGCACACACCTGTAGCTGAGGCAGGAGGATCGCTTGAGCCTAGGAGGCTCAAGGCTGCAGTGAGTCATGATTGCACCACTGCACTCCAGCCTGGGTGACAGAGCAAGACTCTGTCTTTAAAAAAGGAAAGGGGAAAAATGTTATGATAAACATACCTAGTAAAGATGTAATAGCCAAAATATTTCCTCCATAGAAGTCTTGCATATCCTTTAGTTGATTTATTCCTACATGTCTCTACTGTTCTTGTTATTAAAAATTGTGCCTCTTAAAAAATACTTTAATTATTTATAGGTTTTTGTATACTGATCATGTACCTAGGGACTTCACTGAAGCTATAAGTTTCTCCTATGCAACCTAATAATTTGTCTTTCTCTCGATTTTAAAACTTCTAGCTATCATTTGTTTTTCTTTGTGACGTCAACGAACAAAGTTTCTTCATACTCTCTATGAACCAGAAATCTCCTCAATTCATAAAATCCAATATACTGCTCTCTGATCACACCTCCTAATTTTCCTGTCTCACTCTTGAACTTCTACTAACTCTAATCTTCAGCCCTATTACTCTATTCTCCTTCCAAATATTAGTCCCATCCAGACTTCACTGCCTTTTCTAATGTACGTCCAATAATGATCACATCAAACATTCTACCACTCTCTTGACAGTCTGGCTCCTTTGTCTTTTTACCACACCTACCATACAAGTGCTCCAGTATGGATTAATTCAGTTTCCCCTCTCCATTCTCACAGCTAAATCCTACATAGTACTTGAGAAGATCACAGATTAGTACCATTACAAATTTCTGCACTCATCCCAAATGCAGCTTCTGCATTGCTCTGCAACCCCATTACATGCTGCTTATTAAACTTTCCCCTTCCATTTCCCTTGGTCGCCATTCTAAACTTTCACCGCTCTCCTCATGCCCTTATTTTACCTTCACTGCTCCCTTTAGCATACGAATCTCATTTGATGGTATCTCTAGATTTGCAATTTATACTTCAGTAACACTAAACTACTTGTAGGCCCCTAAATAGGACTTGATTTATTTGCATATGCTGTTCCCTCTACCCAGGATACACTCCTCCAATTTGTCCAACCAGAAAACCTGTATTTACCCTTCAAATGTCAACTCAAACGCTATTTCTCCTATGAAATCTTCCTCAATCCGCCCCCTTCTCCTTCCTATGTGCCTGCTATACTCTGTGCCTCTGCCTCTAGCTACAAAAATTATTGTTATTATTATATTGCACTGTAATTGCTTGCCTGTTTGTTTCTGCACAAGGCTATATGCTCCTTAAAGGAAAAGGATCTTTTTTTTTTCCAGTTTTCTATCCCAAGTACTAGTTGGCACTGGCTAATTGCATGCTAAAGGAATGAATTCTTCCTACTCAAGTATAATTCCTTGGGCCCAACATTATGTAGAAGAAATGAAATTTAGAGGTAATAAATTTATAAAAACCTTTGCTAAAATGAATGCGGCTGTGTCACTAATAACAGCAATAGTGAATTTCACATTTGCAACCCAATTGAAATGCTGTTATGTAAAACGTATTTCAAGTACATAACAGAAATCTTCTACTATAAAGATAACTAAACAGCTCTACTTCTGATACATCTGAATGGATAATGAACTCAGCGAACTTAAACCATATACTAGACAGCACAACTGACACTATGCTAAATGTCATTCTAACAATTAATCTGTATGATAATCCAGCCCTATATAAACACTGACATTCACAAAAATATTTATCACAAATATCTTAAGAACACAAAAGAAAAACCAACAATGAAACCTGATCCTCACTCCCTGCCAAATGTACACTTTTAAATGGGCAATTATTAAACTGCAAAGAGGCAATGTAATATTAAGTGAAAAGGATGTCCCAATAGATCACATACAACAAGATGCCCTTTTTATTAAGTTAAAACCAACTAAAATGAAAATACATATACTTTGGGAAAATAAAAGGAAGTAAACACTGACTTCAGGATGACAGTGAACTTAATTGGAGGAAGGCCAAAGGATGCATTACTGAAAGGACAATACGGTTAGATTACTACCAAAGCACTAGCTTCTGTTTGGGGTGGTAGATTCCTAGGTTATTATTTTTTTTTTCTTTTTTTCCAGATTCTGCTCTATTCATTCCTATAGATGATTGTTTCTTTTTTTTTTCTTTTTTTTTTAAATTATACTTTAAGTTTTAGGGTACATGTGCACAATGTGCAGGTTAGTTACATATGTATACATGTGACATGCTGGTGCGCTGCACCCACTAACTCGTCATCTAGCATTAGGTATATCTCCCAATGCTATCCCTCCCCCCTCCCCCCACCCCACAACAGTCCCCAGAGTGTGATGTTCCCCTTCCTGTGTCCATGTGTTCTCATTGTTCAATTCCCACCATTCCCAGGTTATTATTACATTGCTTTTTAAGAGATAGAGAGAGAAACGTAGATACACAAAGAGAAGGAGGGATGGAAGCAAGAAGAGAGGAAAGAGGGGGCAGAGAAAGAAAAGCAAAGAAGGAATAATAGATAGAAAGAAAAAAAAACACAGATAAAAGTGGACCAAGCATAGACCAATAATGCAAGTGTGTTATGAACCAAGGATTATTGAACCTGCAATGAGATGACATGAAATGACATGACATGACATGACATGAAATGAAGTGAAAATAAAAATTTCTCACAGCATGTAGGCTAATACCCAACCTATTATCTCTGGATCAAACTGAAGTCACTCATCCAGGTTATGATTTTTTTTCTGCTTCCAATTCCCTGACACTTTCAATTGTGCTGCACAAGGCAACATGTTCTCCAACACATATGAGGTCTTCTGCTAACACCAATGGTCCTTCTGCTCAGAGAGTAGTCCCTCCAGGGGACTGGGTGGAGGGGAGCAGCATAAATGGAAACCTTGCTGATTCACCAACTGGCTCTCTGCAATGGGGATGACAACTCCCACAAGCCTCTGAATAGGCAACCAATAACTCCTATTCATTGATTCAGTACCTACCAAGTGCCAACTGTATGTCAAATGTTATGATAAGCACTGAAATCCTTCAGACTTATGATTGGGACAGTCCTAAAAAATACTTGAGTCTAGTCCATCATCTTTTAAAATTTAAAAATGTCAAGTCTCTGTTACAAAATTGAAAAAAATTGCTTCTCCAACAGACAAGATTTCATATGAGTGTGTTGCTGTTTTACCTGCTATCTCCAAAAGTGAGTTTACATGATCTCCTTCTGCCAGCTTCACAAATCCAACCTGATTTCCAAAAGTACCAATCCCTTGAAAGGGCAAAGTCAAATGTTTTCCCTGGAGGAGTTCTTCTATGAATGGTTTCAATTCCAAAAGAGCATCAATACCACTAGTAAGAAATAATACATTTTTCAGTAACACATTAAGTAATAAAATATACAAAACCAAATAAGATACAAAGTACCAGTTTTAGAAAGATGAATTTTGATATTTGTACTAATTATTTTAAGGCTCAAAATACCTTCTAAATCTAAACTTTATGATTAAAACTGACAGTTTTAAACAAAAACTATGGAAGAAGTAAAGAAATCTTTACCTAATTATAATCACTATTAAAGACATGAAAGTAGACACTATTTTACAGTTTACCAAAAGATTTTTAACCAAGTGAAATATTATATGAACAACTCAAAAAATTACTGAAAATATATCCCAAAAAACTGAGTACCTACAAGAGCTTACATTAGATTATGTGTCAAGTTCTAGATTTTTGATGAAAGTACTAATACTTTTACAGTACATATATTTGTGAGGCACTCTAATAAAAGTTAAAGCACACTATCCCTTAAAATATAACAGTCTCTATAATTAGATAATTTGCTATACTTAGACTCAAATAAAATACAAGTTTAATTATATTCCCCAATTGTAACTATGTAAGTTTGCCATATATACTTTAGCTATTTAGCCTATGCAATTATACGCCTGCTATGTGTTAGAAGTGCGATATCTTTCCTTCTTCCTTCTTCTTTTCTCCCTCTCTCTCTCTCTCTCTCTTTCTGTCTCCTTCTGTCTCTTTCTCTCTTCTTTTTTTCAGACAGGTTCTCTGTCACCCAAGCTGGAGTGCAGTGGTGTGATCACAGCTGACTGAAGCCTTGACCTCCTGGGCTCAGGTGATCCTCCTGCCTCAGCCTCCTGAGTAGCTGGAATACACAGGTGTATGCCACCATGCCTGGCTATTTTTTTTTAATTATTTATAGAGAGGTCCCCCTATGCTGTGAAAGCTGGTCTCAAACTCCCAGGCTCAAGTGATGCTCCTGCCTTGGCCTCCCAAATTGCTGGGATTACAGGTGTGAGCCACTGTGTCCAGCCACATTTTTCTTAATAAAAACAAATGTTTACAATATTATTGAATTGGACATTACGAGATTTTTGATATTTGGAAAATCAGAATTACTTCTATCCTGAAGAGAATTTTGGTGTAGGTACTTTGAGAAAAAAATGAAATATCACTAGAGGGCAGCCATTACTTAAAAAAGAACTAAGCACATTCATACAGGGCTTTAAAACACCCTTCCAGTGGATTGCTATTCGTTTAAATTATTTTGATCAGTGATTTGTTCAGCCAAGTGTTTGAAAAAATCAGCATTTTTCTTGATCTTTCGTATTTCTAAATTAGTCTTCAGGTAAAGTTTTTAACTGATTTTCATCTATGACTTCTATACTCAGTCTCATTTCTCTGAAAAATTACATAGCTATAAGTATGGTACATTTCTCATTTCCAAAATTGTAAAGTATTGTGCATTTGTCATTTCGCTTTGGAAATGACAAATGCACTATACTTTAGTATATCTATGTAAATGTCAACATTTCTCATTGTACCTCCAAATCCAGTTTAAATTCACTATTACCTAACTGTAGTTATGTTCATCCAAACAGTGCACATACTTTTAAGTCAGTATTTTCCTTCACTGTGTGCTATGAATTAAAGCATGTGATAACAGAACAGCTATTCCTGGCTCATTTATAAGTTGGGGGAATTCAAGATATTTGTTTTAAATGAAACTATATGTTAAAGCAGACCATGAGAAAGGTTAAGACTTTTCAGAGACAGTGAATTCTATGTCGTTATTCTTTAAAGAAATATAGATGATCTAAATTCGGTCCATTTTTCCAGTTCTCTAGTAGTATAAATCAGTAAATTTGTGCTAATAAGATGCCACTGATTCACAGAGTAAGAAGGAATCAGTGTCTACTGGGAGTATCACTAACTTTCAAAATATTTTAAACAGAATATGTTTTTAAGAGGGGCTTATGAAAAGGCTTCTTTAAGGTAAAGTAAGTAAAAAGTATATGCATATAAGAAACGAAATTCTCAAACTGGAGTTCAGACCCAAAGGTTGTATTTCAAACTAAGACAGGACATTTGTAAGTCTTTTCAAATCAGCAGCAGGGCTTAGCCTAATATATTTCTATTCCTTTCTTCTACACTGTAAGGATACAAACGAGTTTAGGTGACATCTACCTCAAGAAATTAATGATTTTTTTAAGTATCTGCACATTCCATATCCAATCCACTGATCAGTATACTATTAAACAACTAAAACTTGATATTAGACTTTGAAAATTAGGAATCAATATAGGACAAGAAATGGACAATCTAGATGTCTAACATACAGTATAGGATAAAAAGTTAAAAATCAGAGACTTTTAATAAATTGTTCACATAAACAATGTCTTCCCAGAAACCTCATCAATTCCATTCTAGCTGCCCCAAAGTGAGGTCACACCTTGAACCTCACCATCAATTAAAAGTTGACACCTCTGCCCCTCCAGAATAGGGGTGGACCCAAACCAATCAGCTAAAGGCCTTAATAGAAAAGACTGGAGTCTCCTAAGAAGGAATTCTGTCCCCAGACTGACTGAGGTCTTGAGACTACGACATCAACTCTTCCCTTCCAGACTGCCCTGAAGATTTCAGACTTCTCCCTCAATCATGGGAGACAATTCTTTAAAATAAATCTCTCTACATAAAGATATACATGTCTACACAGACAGATACAGATAGATATCTACATAGATACGCTCCTATTGGTGCTGTTTCTCTGGAGAATCCTGACCATTCTAACACACACAGAGCACTACTCCCTTCTCTCAACCTTTCATTTTGCGTAGTATCTTCTTTGGATTCTCTTTGGATGCTCTTTCAAGAGCATCAGAGAACTTCTTTTTTCTTCTGATTGGCAAAGTGATCAGACAAAGTCAGGCAAGTAAAATCTCCCCTCCTCTCTGTCCTTGCAGGATGCTCAAGGCTGCTTTGGGTACATCAGCTTGGGACAGATCATAAGATTGACCTCTAAAGACATGAGGTTCTACTGTTTAAAAGACATAACTACAATAATCATAATGGGGTTAGATATTTTGAGTTATTAATGTCTTTTATCTTATCCCTTTTATTTTACCTTTTCCTCAATCCCTTCCTAATTCAAGCCTTGCTCCTCATTCCCTCAGGAAATATAGCTGTCAAAGTAGAAAACAAAAGCAACCTGCATTCATCCTGGCTTTGGTTTTCCATACATCTTAGGCTTGAACTTAACACAGTGAGCTATATAGGAGGTAACAGAGGAAGGGAAAATCTAAGTACGGATAAGAATGTCCCAGAAAATTGGGGGAAGAACAAGGTTTCTTCCAGATTGGAAAGCAGTAATCAATGAGTTGTCTTCAACCTTTATGGCAGAACCCTGGCATGGGGGCGGTGGGGGTAGGTAGAGTACAGTGACTCTAAAAATGACTAAGATGAAACTGAAATTGTCCAGTGGCTTAGTAAAATGGCAGCTCTTATAGCTAATAATAGAGTGCCTACTATGTGCCAGGCCCCAGGCAAAGAGCTCTTGCATGTATTGGTACTATTATTTTCTTCATTTACTTAGAAAGTACATGATTTGCCCAAAGTAAGGCAGATAATAAGAGGTGGTTTTGCCATGATTCCAGAATATGTATCTAGAATTTTAAGCTAAATGGTCAAGTCCAGAGTGCTTATATTATGAGCACGGACAAAACAATTACATAACCAAGGGCTACCACTTGATAACCATAACAGAGTTTAAAAGTTTAGATTAAAAAGAATATTTATACAGTTTATTCTGTATATTAACTATTAATTGGAATAAATTGTATAGAGACTACTTCTTTAAAATTTAGAATGTCTCTTTGGGTTCTGCTGTGCTTACTCATATTAAAGTAATAATTTGGAAAATTATATTTAAGAAAGATACATTACTCACATGTTTACTTCATCTTCATTTAATAATTGCATCACCAGCAGGGTAATATGAAAGGAACCATCACTGACCATTGCTTTGGCCAGTCGCTCATCTTGTTGTATTATTGCATTCTGCAGGATCTTAATTCCTTTTATAATCTAATAACACATACACACATATAAAAAAAATTCCAGTGATTAGGTAAGCAAAATTTCTTTATGGTAAAATGTAAAATCAAGAAGAAAAATAAGCAACAACCAAAATTAGAACAATGTTAAGATTCTTCAACCAAATGAATGCTTAATTGTCTACTTGTTCTCAAACAGATAGTTGACTGGGACAGCTTAAAAGGATGTGTAAGTTTTAAAGCATGATGATTGTCTATCTTAACAGTACTGAACCCAACACCCTTATTTTGCAGATCAGATTGCTATCTGACTGGAAAAACCTCTCAATGGCCCTGCATCTTTTCAGAAATTTGTCCTTGGAATACCCAATATGACTCAATAACTATGATCTTTCCTAAGAATAAGGCTTTATTCTTGCCACAGAAAGGTCAAGCCAGCAGACAACATTCCATTTCTGTTAGAAGCAATAATTATTTGTCTCCAAGTGAATGTGTCTGTGAACCCGTTCCTCATGGCCTTTAAGATTTTTTACGACAGCAATAATTTCAGTAGAAATGACTACTGTCATTTTTCCATACCTGTGGGGAGGGGCATTACCATGAAGAGTTGCAAAGAAGTCCAAATGCACACATTAGAAAAACAGAATCTGCATCCAGGAGAAATCCCCACAGACCTGGTCCACCATCTCCCTTCCTCTCTCAGCACCTGCTCCTCTGAAACAGGGAGAGGAATGATGCATCTTCCCTCCTCCACTTCCAGTTAGATGCAATTCTAGTCAACTTCTAAATGTGAGTACATTTGAAAGTAGTCTGAATACAAAATAGCAAACCCAGAAAAAAAACAACAGAGAAAAGAGAGCACAGAGAAGCCCTAAGGGAACAGAAGACAGAAGCCCTGAGGCAGCACAATAGAAAAAAAGGGAAAGAGTGGGGGCTGACAGTCAATGCAGAATCCATAAAAAAGCAGAGATAAGAAAAAACTGACTCATGAGCATAGCAAACTGTTCTGATACCAAAGTAGCTGTTTTATCCTGAACAATGTTCCCATTATCTGCGGAATGTGATTGTGCAAATCATGAGATGCTGTCCTTGGATCTCACTTCCCATTGACAGACTCTCTCCTTTGACCAAAACTTTAGTCAGGCCCCTCCAAGTCTTCTGCTTGACTAGGCCTAACCATGGGCTTCTCTCTCTGTCCTTGTAGAATTTAGTTTGAGCAAGAATGCTGCTATGTCAGTTTCAAGAAATCCCCCACCCTTGGTGTCTAACCACCCTCCATATCTGAGCTCACCTAAGAAACATTTAGGATTTACTGTACCCCCATCAAAATGTTTTCTTCTTTTCTTTTTAAACTAACATGCAATTGAAAGTTAATGGAAACACATATTTTCATATACTTCCAATTAGGATATTTGTATGCAGCCATCCTAATCCACTTTCCAATTCTATTGCTTAAAATATGAAATCAAGATTTTCCACTAATAAAGAATTCCGAACTTCTAAGAATGTGTTTAAAATCAAAGACCAGTGGAATTCTGGATACTTTTTTCTTTAAAACTAGATGCCAACACGTAGAGGCCAAAAGTAGAGCAACTCATTGTGAATGTGCTAGCTTCCAAAAGCTTGTTTGCAGGTCACTTAATTGGAACTTGGAATACAGTCTTCCATTGAAACAATGTTATAAATGCTAATTCTTTTCCCAAGCCTTCCCACAAAAGCTCATAAGTAGTTTAAAAAGAAAATTAACATTAGACACTTTAAAACAAACAAACAAAAATGTGCTCATGTAGAAGATACAAAATATAACTCCTAATCTTGCCTGACTACATCTCTTCCCCATATTTGTATGTAAGCTTTCTAAGTGATTAACTACAAATAAGTCTCTTGAAAAGGAAACATTACATTATTTGGTTTCAAGGTCACTTGAAACCTGCATTTCCCTCTATTATAAGTTACCCTACCTCCTCCAAAACCAGTAACTGCTGTTGAACCTGTATTATGAAACCACCATTACACTGTATTTATTATTTTTAAGTATTCTGGTTATAACTTGGAATGACAGAAACACGCTTTTGCCATGAAACAGCAGCAGAGAGAGAGAGAGAGCGAGAGCGAAAGAGCGTGTATGTGTGCGCACCTACTCTTGAACAAACACCAGTCTAGGTATGGGCATGCACTAAAAACCTTGTGAGGAAGACAAGTGTCAAGTTGCAAGGATGACAAATGGCATACAGAAAGCTGTGAAAGCCTTTAGCTGACAGGAATGGGGCAAGGAAAGGGATAGTTGACCTAGACGAGGTGGTCATGGGTAGAGAGGTTTGAGCTGAGATTCCGGCATTAACAAAACCAAGAGGAGCAAAGAGAAAGCTCCAGCCAGAGAAGGCTTTTCCTGGGGCCAAGGGAACCTGGCAAGCCCAAGGAAGGGTAGAAGAGCTCGGGCAGAAAAAGCAAGGGCTGAAGGAGAGACGAACAACGACAAAACCTCAGAGAACATGGAAAAGAGGTTGTCTTTATCCTATCGATGGGAAAATCCTGAAGTATATAAGCAGGTTGGTGACACGGCTATATTCGGGTTTAAAAAATAGTCATCTAAAGGAGGTATTATCACCCACCTCATTTTACACCTGAACAAACTGAAACTTGAAAAATTTAGGTAACCTGACCTGCACATGCAGCGGAGTCTGTGACTCAGCTGGGACTAACAAGTCTGTCAGACCCAAAGCCTGCACTCTTTCCAGCATCTACACAACTTTACAGGGGTAGAGAGGCAGAAACAAAGGCTACAGCAGGTTAAAGGATGAAAACTAAAAGCTGCGGACAGGACTCTCATCCCCTTTCTCCCTTCACCTTTGTGATGCAAAGCCTAGAAGTTAGTGGTGAAAGGAAAGAATTTTTTTCTCTTCCTTCCTCTCAATCCCCTTCCCCACCTTCCCTATCCCATCAGCACATCATCCCATCAGTCTTCTCCGGAAGGGGTAAGAAGCCATAACACAGCTAGGAGGGGAGAGAGGGCAGACATGGGGGTGATGCAGAGATGCTGCTCAGTCTCCCCTAGGAGTAAGGAATACAGGTGAAGGGAGAAGCAGAAAATGAGCGGCCTAGGGAAAGTGACACCCAGAGGTGTTCATCGAACATCTGTCAAATCAAAATACAGAACCTGGATTCTCTTCCAATCACAAATCATGTGTCCATAGGGAAGTCACTTCAACTGTCTGACATTCAGTGTCCTTAGGACCTGGCTTCTGTCTGGCTGCTCATGAAAGCAGCAGCACCTTTCACTCCCTGAGCTCTTCTAATCCCCACAGGTATACGTGATCCTAAATTTCAAACCAAACTTGCAAGTATTTTAATAAAATGTATAATTGCTGATTACACTAACTTTGTATTGCCTAAACACTTTTAATGACTATTGCACTAGGACCTTTAATTTTTTTTTTTTTTTTTTTTTTTTTTTTTTTTTTTTTTTTGAGATACAGTCTGGCTCTGTCACCCAGGCTGGAGTGCAGTGGCACAACCTTGGCTCACTGCAACCTCTGCCTCCTGGACTCAAGCAATCCTCCCACCTCAGCCTCCCAAGTAGCTAGGACCACAGGTGTGAGCCACCATGCCCAGCTAGTTTTTGTATATTTAGTAAAGATGGGGTTTTGCCATGTTGCCCAGGCTGGTCTCAAACTCCTGGGCTCGAGGGATCCATCCACCTCAGCTTCCCAAAGTGCTGGGATTACAGGCATGAGCCACCACACCTGGCCCTTATTAGGACTTTTAAAAAGTATTCCTCAACCAAAGGAATCAAATATGTATCAGTAAAATCAGAATATGATTCTTCAGTACATCAAATCTAAAATCTTATATGGCTAGGTAACTCTTCTCTTGTTATGTATATCTTCTCCCCAGCTAAACTGTGTCTCACAGACTAGATATTTCCTAGAATGACCCAAAATAATTTATTTTTTCTTTTGATATTTCTTTCATTTTAATTTTGATTTGATTTTTAACAATTTGTTAGCATTCCCTAGAGACATTCTAGTTAAACAAGGGGAAAGGCAATGTGGAAATGTGCCTGGTCAAAGAGATTATCACCCACAATCAAACAGAAATTCAAATCTGGCTCGTAATTGGGCCAAAGGGTAAAAACAGTCAGTCTTCCAAGTGAGGTGTTCTTTCCTGAGGGATTTTAATTCCTACCTCACCGCTTCAGTGGTTGTAATGAGATGCAGTAGTTTTCTCTCTCAGGGGTTTCTCAGTATGAGCTAACTGGCTAGTTCCATTTCCTATTATTTATTGCATTAATTTTTCAGATTTTAATAGATTTTTACCAAGTTTAATGGTGCAATATTAAGTTGTTACAATACTGAGTAATTTTTTAAAGAAACTATGTTGAAATAATCACTATAATAAACAAGATTAAGCAGCAAGAAACCCCAGTTTACCTTCCCAACAGAGATCTCAGAATCCTCTTTTTTCAACTGGTCATTTCTCTCTACTTCCAAAAGTTCCCTCAGATAAAATGAACAAACACTTGCAAATGACCTTGACATGCCATCTGGCAACACTTTTTCAAGTGGATTTTGCAAAATTACCGTTTAAATATGATTGTCTAAATATTTTTGGAGGCTGAGGTGGAAAGACTGCTTGAGTCCAGGAGTTCAAAGCTGCAGTGAGCTATGACTGTGCCACTGCACTCCAGCCTGGGTGCCAGAGCAAGACCCTGTCTCAGAAAAACAAATGATATTTTCCAAACCTGTTGTTTAAATACATTTCTATTACTTAAACAGAAATATTCCCTGGACAGTCCTGCTAAAATGCCACCAAATACTCTTAAAAGCTAAGAGCAAGTGGGCTAATAAGCATTTAGTTGTACTTTAAATTTAGAATAAAATTTCACAGTAAAAATAACTTTTTAAAAATAGCACCTCTTTGTTGGTGATTGGAATGGACAGGAAATAGTTGGGTTGATAATCTTTTCTCTTTTTTTTCCTCTTCTTTACTTGATCACTCTTGACCCATTCATTTTCTTGACTTCTCTTCAAATTTATTTGAGGTTCATCAGTGACTAGAGGAAAAAAGTCAAACAATACGTCTAATACATTTAAACAAAGATAATACAGTCAGAAAAAAAAACAAGCAATATATAAGTAGCAATCATTCATCAGTGTCATTTTCAAATCTAAAGCAGGAGTTTGCAAACATTTCTGTAAAGGACCTCATAGTAAATAGTTTAGGCATTGCAGATGACATAGTCTCTGCCGTTAACTACTCAACTCTGCTGTAGACAAAACATAAATGAGTGGGTACAGTTGTGTTCCTGCTTTATTTTCAAAGCAGGGTGGTTAACCAGATTTGGCCTGAGGGCCATAGTGAGCTGACTCATGATCTGAAGCACAGCTCCCGGCACCACAATGTTCATAACACTAAGAAAGATCATTTCTTCAACCATCCTGTATAGGTATGTTTGTAACTTCTAGGGTATAACCCTACTGCCACACAAAGTTTTGGTCTGGGGCCACTGTCACACTATAAACTATTTGTTGCAAAAATTAAGAGAATGCTTTGGAAACTTCCATAGCAATGGGGCAGAATAATTTGGTCTGCTGAATTTTGATTCCTACTTTGTAGGTCTTTTCTTTTATTTCATTTTCTAATAATTTCATTTTTATTGTATTTTACAAAAGTATCCATTGGCAACAAACAGGAAATTTTTTTTTAAAAACTGATCCTTGGCCAGGCTCGGTGGCTCACGCCTGTAATCCCAGCACTTTGGGAGGCCGAGGCGGGCGAATCACGAGGTCAGGAGATCAAGACCATCCTGGCTAACACGGTGAAACCTCGTCTCTACTAAAAATATAAAAAATTAGCTGGGTGTGCTGGCGGGCACCTGTAGTCCCAGCTCCTCAGGAGGCTGAGGCAGGAGAATGGCATGAACCCAGGAGGCAGAGCTTGGAGTGAGCCGAGATGGCGCCACTGCAGTCCAGCCTGGGCGACATAGGGAGACTCCGTCTCAAAAATAAAAAATAAAAAATAAAATAAAATAAACTGATCCTTAACAAAAGGTCATCTGAGAAGCGTTTACAATACCACTTTTTAAAGTAATCCTTGTAAGACTCATTTACAACATCTAACAATTCTAATTACAAAGCATGCTCCCAGAAATAATTACTAAATCTGTGTGAAATGCCATCATCTTTTTTTTTTTTTTAACAGATTCTATCAGGGCTTCCATATGCACGCAAAACTACAATCCATTAATTGAGCTTCCAAGCCATGTCTTCTTGAATAGTAGTTTACTGTTCAAAATACAGTTCCCCTGCAGGGCATGGTGGCTCACACCTGTAATCCCAGCACTTTGGGAGGCTGAAGCAGGAAGACCACTTGAGGTCAGGAGTGTGAGACCAGCCTGGGCAATAAGGTGAAACCCCATCTCCTCTAAAAATACAAAAATTAGACAGGCATGGTAGCACAAGCCTGTAGTCTCAGCTACTTGGGAGGATGAGGCACAAAATCGCTTGAACCCAGGAGGCTGAGGTTGCAGTTACCCAAGACGATGCCACTGCACTCCAGCCTGGACAATGGAGTGAGACTGTCTCCAAAAAACAAAACAAAACAAAACAAAATAGAGTACCTCACAGAGACTTTGTGAAAATTCAGATATATTTTCTGAGGTGTTATTTTGAAAAAGGAAGGAAAGAACCACTTTACCTTACATTCAATCCTATTCGGTTGGTTTCATCTTTGGGATCACCTCTAATAGACCACAGTAACTGCCTGCACACAATGCCTTAAGAAGGATTGTGAAAAGAAGTCTGGGCTCAACCCACAGCCCAATGCCTGTGTGCATATGCAACCCTGCTTTAACTGAATCCCTTATTTTACACGATAAAACAGAAAAGCAGAAAAACTTTGCTACTGTATCAAATTGCTTCTCTACTGAAGTTCTGCACAACTAGTTAACATTACACATAAAACCACAGAGCAAAAATAATTCTTATTCTGTTTCTCTTTGAGATATTAATAGTAAACAATTTTAAGTTAATGCCTCAAATAGTATTTTAATGCTAATTTCTAAGAAAAATAGTACAGCGTGTTTAAAATTAAAAAGCTAAGAGTGTGTAGAAATAGATATGTTTTCTTTCCACAACATATATTTGTAAGACCTACAAAATGGGGTAAACTAAGAGCAAGGTGGCCTCGGCAATATATCTGACCATATCATTATGAATTAAGGCAAACTTATCTGGTGTGTTCGTGCATCTATTTCATCACTATATCTCTCAACAATATGTCTAATGATTAATGTGGCTAATGATAGCTCTTCATGATTAGAGGATACACGTTTAAAATATAAATTATTATTAGCTTCTTTTACACACCTAACCTTATCAGAACTTTACAGATTTTATTACTAAGAAATAGTTTGTAGCATTTTTATCTGTGTTATAAGAATTATGTGAATTGTCTCATTCATGATGCCATTGGGTTTTATTTCTTACGTAAGAGTTTTAATACAGCAAATCAAATGAATATATCACTGGGCTGCCTGCAATTTTACACATCTAAGAAAAGGTCCTACATCTAACTGCAGTAATATGAATATACTAATTTTAAACAGAAGTAACAAAATATGCTAATGAAGAACACATATATTTTAAATCCACTTCTAAATACACTTCTAGCCCACCACCACCTACTGTTAATAAATTAGTACTCTGAAAATGAAAGCCAATTTTAATATAGTTGGAACCAGAGCACCTGGGTTAGAATCCTGGCTCTCCCACATACTAGCTGTGTGACTGTGTGATTTTAGATGAGCACATAAACTCTCTTTATTCAGTTTCCCTGTGTAATTTTAGAATAATAATAATAGCTACTTCATAGGATCTTTTTGAGGATTGAGTCAGTTAATACATAAAAACATTTAGACCACTTCCTGGTACAAAGTAAACACTATTATTAGCTATTATAATTATTAGATAATACTCAGAACTAAACATAATTAGGAAGATAAATCTGTATCTGCTAAAGAACATTTAGTAAACTCCAGGCTGGGTGTGGTGGCTCATGCCTGTAATCCCAGCACTTTGGGAGGCTGAGGCGGGCGGATCACGAGGTCAGGAGATCAAGACCACCCTGGCTAACACGGTGAAACCCCGTCTCTACTAAAAATACAAAAAAATTAGCCAGGCGTGGTGGCGACCGCCTGTAGTCCCAGCTACTCGGGAAGCTGAGGCAGGAGAATGGCGTGAACCCGGGAGGCGGAGCTTGCAGGGAGCCGAAATTGCACCACTGCACACTCCAGCCTGGGTGACAGAGTGAGACTCCATCTCAAAAAAAAAAAAGGAAACTCCAAAAAGAAACAGATGATTTATAAACTCTCCATTGTTTTTACTCATCTAGACCACTTGCACCTTCTATGAGTATGGAAAATGAAAAGCTGCCCTGAACAGTTCTTTTTTTGTTATTTTTTTGTTTTGTTTTGCGATAGGATCTCACTCTGTCACCCAGGCTGGAGTGCAGTGATGCAATCATAGCTCACTGTAACCTCGAACTCCTGGGGCTCAAATGATCCTCCCACCTCAGCCTCTCCAAGTAGCTGGGACTACAGGTATGCACCACCACAGCTCATTAATTTTTCATTTTTTGTAGAGGTGGGGGTCTCACTATGTTGCCCAGGCTGGTCTTGAACTCCTGGGCTCAAGCAATCCTCCCACCTTAGCCTCCTAACATGCTGGCATTACAGGCATGAGCTACCACACCCATCCCTGAACAGTTTTTTAAATTAAATATAATGTTGAAAAATAAATTTCAAAAGCAAGACCCCCTTTTTTTAAGGTAAAATTACAAATCAATTCTAAATAAGTTCCTAGCATCCATCCCCTTATATTTCATTGTCCAAATCACCACACAGGGCTAACCCCAAGCAACACAGGATGCTGGGATGGTGAATCTGGCAGCTATCAACCTGTACTGTACTGGGAAAAAAATACAAAAGATAGAAGGGAAAACAGCAGTTGAGAAAATGACTAGTACTGTGTGTTTCAATTTATAGAGGCAGCACTGGATAGTGAAAAGGCCAATGACCTGAAGACTAGATTTCCAACAAGCATCTTTTAATTAAGTAACTTAATAGGTTTATCTGAGAACTTAAAAATCTTACTAATCCTTGGAGAAAGAGCTGATTCCAGGTCTGGAGCATACAATGTATGAGAGTTCTGGAAATTCAAAGACTCCTAGGGTCATATGAGAAGATCTCTAAATTCAATTTAAATGTCTTCTCATTGGCCAAAGATGGGACAATTTGGGCACCAAATAGAATAAACTTCAGTGGTGTTAAATACATCAAATATGCTTAAATCCATCCATTCTTAATGATACTAAAAAAAATTAAAGCCAAAAACTCACAGGTCACCTTTGGAGGAATCTAGAGAAACACGATTCTAAATATCTGATGATAACAGAAAAAAGTCAAGCATTTATTCCATCTTTCCTTATAACCAAATAGTCATATAGGAAATTAAATAGCTAGCTAAGGTAAAGTTCTTTATAGAAATTTCAAGCTAATTAATGCAAAAAGATAGTTAGAATATCACCATTTCAAAATGCTTAACAAAGTAAGAGATCAACCCAATGACCATCAATGGATGATCCATTAGATGGAAGGCTGATGGGGAACTTTAATAATAGATACTTTAGAGTAATAAGACCTGAAGCCACTGATCAATCTTAAAGTTGCAAAAAGGCAAGACAAGCAAACATTATTTGCCTACTGATATCACACTATAGGAAATTCAAAATACTATCTTTGGCCAGGCACAGTGGCTCATGCCTGTAATCTTAGCACTTTGTGAGACCTAGGTGGGAGGACCACTAAAGGCAAGGAATTTAAAACCAGGCTGGGCAACACAGCAAGACCCCATCTCTACAAAAAATTTAGAAATTAACCAGGCATTGTGGTATGCACCTATAATCCCAGCTACTTGAGGTGGAAGAATCACTTGAGCCCAGGAGTTCGAGGTTACGGTGAGCTATGATCATGCCACTGTACTCCAGTGTGGATGACAGGGTGAGGCCCTGTCTCTCAGAAAGAAAAAAAAAAAATACTATCTTTGGAACATTCTTACAAATGTCAGAAACTTAATTAAGCCTCTTGATCTAACTACCAGTTTACTAGAAGAGACAGAAAAAAATTTTAAATAACCAGAATAGCAAAACTTCTACACAACCTGATTTCTTCAACAATAAACACACACATACACATACCCAAAAGGAAAAAAGGAGATTTATACATGAAAAGAGACTCAAGAGATGTGTCAGTGAAATATAGTGCATAGATTTTGGTAACTAATTCAAATAATCCAGATTTTTTAAAATTATGACATAATCAGAGATTGTCTTGCTATTTGATGACATTAAGAATTACCAGTATTTTTTGGTATAGTAAGGATATTTTGAATTTTTTCTTAAAGATTCTTTACCTTTTAAAGAAATATACTAAAGTATTTACAGATAAAGTAATATGTCTGGGATCTACCTCAAAATAATCCAGTAAAGAAGAGGTAATGAATACATGAGGCTTCTTTTCCTATTTTCTCTAATATATGCTTCAAAGTTTCTACAATGCAACATTAAAAAAAAAAAAAAAAAAAAAACAGGGACAGGGAGGAACGTTTAGACAATCTCTCTCTAGGGGGTCTCTTCCAGTTCTAGCTTTCTGTGATTTGTGGTAAAGGTACTAACTGTTAACACTTGTACTAATTACGACAATTTGCGGTGATATTAAATAATGGATTCAAGATTGAGACTCATAAACCTACCGTCTAGGTTATTTTTTTCCCAAATTGCAAGCATCAACCCATTAGTGGGTTATGAAATCAACTTAGAAGATGATAAAGAACACTTTTTTTTTTCTGAGGCAGAGTTTTGCTCTTGTTGCCCAGGCTGGAGTGCAATGGAGCGATCTCTGCTCACTGCAACCTCTGCCTCCCAAGTTCAAGTGATTCTCCTGCCTCAGCCTCCCGAGTAACTGGAATTACAGGTGCCCACCATGCCCAGCTAATTTTTTGTATTTTTAGTAGAGACAGGTTTTCACCATATTGGCCAGGATGGTCTCGAACTCCTTACCTCAGGTGATCCACGTTCCTCGGTCTCCCAAAGTGCTGGGATTACAGGTGTGAGCCACCACATCTGGCCAATAAAGAGCACTTTTTAAAGAATGGAATGGAATGAGACAGAAGTCATGTAGATAGTATATTGCTCACAGTTAGTATAAGTATTGTTTTATGAAATTTTTATTTCCATTTTTTGCATACACTGTTTATTGGGTGGCCATGTATAGTACATTCTTTACTGTGAAGATAAGATATATAATCATTTTTTCTGTATTTTACTCACACTCCAATATGAACAATACTAAAAAGGGGGACAGAATTAACACAGTATTTCAAAGACCACTGACACTACGTTGTTTTCTACCTTACCTATTTAACACTACCTTATCTATTTAATACTAAACTGTCTTCCCATCTGTAGCAACTTATTTTTGCCATTTCAAACATCCTATAAATCCATTTTGCAAAAAAAAAAATCATAATCTCTCAAGGTAATGGTTATAACATATAACAACTCTAACCATTCTGCTATCAGGAGAATGACATAGTGTAAAACCCCAACCCAGAATACTTTCAGGCAAAAATAAAGTAGGACATGGTTTGTCTAAATTTATTTAGTTTTCTATAATTTTACCAATAACTATTTAACTTTCCTTTGAACTGGATAATCTAAAATTTTCTTTTGTTAGGCATCACAGACAGTGTGTAGTTTTAAAATACCTAATGACAGATGGGGAAAAAAGGAATCCTGTATTTATTGCTACAGTACAGTTTTACCAACCCTTGTAATACACTTTTCTTAATTCCGTGAGCCCTGCTGATTTATCATACACTTGATACACATTGAGCCCAATCTCTCTCTCTCTTTTTTTTTTTTTTTGAGATGGAGTCTTGCTCTGTCGTCCAGGCTGGAGTGCACTGGCGCAATCTCGGCTCACTGCAAGCTCCACCTCCTGGGTTCACGCCATTCTCCTGCCTCAGCCTCCCGAGTAGCTAGGACTACAGGCACACGCCACCATGCCCAGCTAATTTTTTTTGTATTTTTAGTAGAGACGGGGTTTCACCGTGTTAGCCAGGATGGTCTCAATCTCCTGACCTCGTGATCCACCCGCCCTGGCCTCCCAAAGTGCTGGGATTACCGGCGTGAGCCAGCGCGCCCGGACTTTTTTTTTTTTTTTTTTTTGAGATGGAGTCTTGCTTTGTTGCCCAGGCTGCAGTGCAGTGGTGCAATCTCAGCTCACTGCAACCTCCACCTCCCAGGTTCAAGCGATTCTCATGTTTCAGCCTCCCAAACAGCTGGGACTACAAGCATGTACCACCTTGCCCAGCTAATCTTTGTATTTTTAGTAGACATGGGGTTTCGCATGTTGGCCAGGCTGGTCTCCAACTCCTGACCTCAAGTGATCCGCCCTCCTCGGCCTCCCAAAGTGCTGAGATTACAGGCGTGAGCCACCACGCCCGGCCCCAATATTTCTTCTCTCTTGTTTGCATACCATCTCTGATTTTATCTGTAAAGTTTATTTATATATGGTCAAAGTATAAAATCCGTGTGCTTTTCATTACTGAACTCCATTTTATTTCTCACTTTGAAATTATAATGTAGGTTCTAAAATACAACTGGATATTATTCTTTATTTTTAGTTTCATATGAAAATATAAGGAACAAAATATTTATGTAATCATCTAGTTTACCAATTAGAATTTCAAAAATCAATGACCATAGAACAAAATGTAGAAAAATTTGGCCACAGGCCCAGGACCTCTCAACTGATTATTTAGAGTAACTTCATTGGTTAGCAAAAAAGTCATCAGTTGGAGTACAGCTCATAAACCCATCTTACAAATTTAATTTATTCCACTTGTTAATTTTCATAATGATTTCAGTAGCCATTTTAATGTGTAGTAATGAATCTGGTCTTGCTGACAAAGGCTGTAACTCTCTGATTCGTGTATTTGTTTTTTTAACTGAAGCACCACGTGTAATTTTATGTAAATTATCTAATTTTTTCTCAAGTTCTATTTATTCCCTCAAAAACTACAAAGAAATGAATGATGAGAAAAATTAAGTCATCCATCCGTTATAGTGGGTTCACTGTTTTCACACTTACTCTTAGCTAAAAGGCTGAGAATGAATTAGATTTGTTTTGATATTTTATTTTTTCTTGTTATTTAGGCAGCTAAAATCTTCAAAGTAACCATTCCTAAAATTCCTTAGCTATTGACTTAGAACACTATCTTCTATATTTCATAGGATATTTTTTTTGAGACTGAGTTTCACTCTTGTTGTCCAGGCTAGAGTACAATGGCACAATCTTGACTCACTGCAACCTCCATTACCTAGGTTCAAGCGATTCTCCTGCCTCAGCCTCCTGAGTAGCTGGGATTACAGGCACATGCCACCACACTCGGCTAATTTTTTGTATTTTTAGTAGAGATAGGGTTTCACCATGTTGGCCAGGCTGGTCTCAAACCCCTCACCTCAGGTGATCCACCCGCCTCAGCCTCCCAAAGTGCTGGGATTACAGGCGTGAGCCACCACACCCGGCCATATATTTCACAGAATTATTCCCCTTTAGTATCTCAATAATCTTTGGCAAATTACTAAAATTTTCTTAAAAAAAAAAAAAACCTTACCTTCTCCCTCTTTAAGTTTCTATGAGGATTATGTGCTGGGTGCAGTGGCTCATGCTTGTAATCCCAGCACTTTGGGAGGCTGAGGCAGGTGGATCACTTGAGCCCACGAGTTTGAAACCAGCCTGACCAACATGATGAAACCCTGTCTCTACTAAAAATACAAAAATTAGCTGAGTGTGGTGGTGGGCACCTGTAATCCCAGCTACTCGGGAGGCTGAGGCAGAAGAATTGCTTGAACCCAGGAGGCAGAGGTTGCAGTGGGCTGAGATCACACCACTACACTCCAGCCTGGGTGACAGCACCAGACTACATCTCAAAAAACAAAAAAAAAATTCTAAGAGGATTATGTGAGAAAATGTAAAGCATTTAGCAATGTGCTGGAGGAGCTCAATATTATTATTATAAAATATTTCTCTTAAAGGGAAATGTTTTATAAATAATTTAGCAAATATATGTAAGAAAAAACCTGGTGAAACTAAATTAATGAAAATGTACTGAGGCTAGTTACGTTTTAAGGACTTCACATGTATTGAGGAATTGAATCTTTCCAACAATCCTGTGAGACAGCTACCATTATTATGCCAATGTCAATGTCATCGATAATGAATGAACTTGAGCCTGGAAAAAGTACACACTAGCTGAACTAACTGTCCTCAGCTCAGCACCAATAACAGTACCTGGTACATAACACACTCAATAAATATGTGTTGTATTAATTTAGTGATTGGGCTTGTTCCAATTTTTATTCATTTTCTTATTTTTTTAACAAAATAAAAGATATTAATCATTTATGTTATTTGGGGCAGATATTTGCCTTAACCTCTTTCATAATAACATTTGGAATATGCAGTATATGCTTCCCCAATTAATTATAGAGGATGCAGAAAACAATTTATCTTTTATTTTCTTAACTGACTCAGGGTAACCACCTACTATATCAAGTACAAAGATTCGATCTTTATTTGATATAGCATTTTTGTATAAAAAAGTTTTAGGTGAAGGTAAGTTTCAATTTATATTTTAAGATGTTTAAAATCTAAGTATTTTTTAAATGTAACAACTTGTTAGGATTAATAAGTAGCAAAATTACGATTTCCCATATCTCCAAAATCTTCAGTTATTACAGAGTAGAATTCTGTGTGAGGTAAAATAAGAATTATAAGCATTTTACTATAAGGAGAACTGAATTCCACATTTAGGGAAGACATGACACACAAAAAAAAGAAAATCAAAAGATTTTATTTAAATGTGGCTTAAGACCAGGCATAGTGGTGCATACCTGTTTTCCCAGCTACTCAAGAGACTGAGGTGGGCGGATCACTGGAGCCCAGGAGTTTGAGACTAGCCTAGGCAACATAGTGAGATCCCATCCCTAAATAAATTCGATAAATGTGGCCTGATAGTTAAGAACTGTGATTCCTTTAAGAGACTAGAATCAATTAAACTAAAACTCTCCACAAAGTCACACTGTGGGAAGCATACTAAGCTATTCCCAACAGCAGAATGACTCTCCATTCTACTTTTGAATGCAGAACAGTAGCAACCCAAATGCTTTCCTGGATGGTTTACTGGGTTTATAATCAACTGACCCACAACATTTCCCTTGTAAACAGCAAAGACCCCATCCAAGTCAACCAGGCACTAAGCTGGATTTTCTCCTAAAACGTGTCCACCCTATGGAGCCAAAGGTGTGGCACAGGTTGTACTGTCTCCTCATCATTTCTTTTTTGTTTTGTTTCTTGAGACAGAGTCTGGCTGTGTTGCCCAGGCTGGAGTGCAGTGGCGCAATCTCGGCTCACTGCAACCTCTGCCTACCAGATTCAAGCAATCCTCCGGCCTCGGCCTCCCTAGTAGCTGGGCTTACAGGTACGTGCCACCATGCCCCGCTAATTTTTGTATTTTTAGTAGAGACGGGATTTCACCATGTTGGCCAGGCTGGTTTCAAACTCCTGACCTCAAAAGATCCGCCCAACTCGGCCTCCCGAAGTGCTGGGATTACAGGTGTGAGCCATGGCACCCAGCCTCCCCATCATTTCTAAAAGATTTCCATTGTACATGCATTTGGATATTTTACTTCTAATATACTTTTATATTCTCATATTTAGTTCTAATGCATGTTATCTTCTAATTTTTAGTTATAACATTCTAAACTATAACCCTAATAAAAGTCTCTACATGTTTTGGTTAGTTTTGAAGAAAAGACCCATCTCACCCAACCAGACCACATGCTGCCTAATCAAGATACCACATTCGCACTGAAGGCAACGCAGCTGACAATCGAGAGACACTAACCGTTTCAAGGGGAGTTTTCCTACTGCCAAGGATTCCCCTTCCCATGATGTTTTTGTTAGCACTACTTTCCTCATTGCTCTGCCAGGGTGTCTATTAGCAAGAATTTCTTGGCAGTTAACTCGCAATTTCCACACGTCAAAGAAAACTGAAGGAATCATAGGCAACAAACAACCTGAGAATTTTGAGGTTGCCATCTACCATGGAGCAAATGAGTAGACTGATTACTAAATGTACAAGAAAGCCAAATTCAGTCCATTCAAGCCACAAACTAATTATATTGTGTTTCAGGCACAAACACTATTATTATACCTTTCTTACGGTTTAAGGGTTGGCAATAAAACTCCCAGTTTTTGTACATTCCTATAAAAATCTCACTTCAGAAAAACTAGTTAGTAGTTTCTGGTTTGCAAAGAATTGTACTATTTGTTCCTTAGTGTTTTAGTAAATGCTATTATAAAACTGAGAGAGTAAGTTGTCCCCAAATAACTAAGGGGTACGTTTCAAAGGTTTTATAAATAACATTTATTCGTTATTTTACATTTTTAGCTTCTTTCTTGCATACATTATCTCTTTTTAGCCAGAAAGCAACACTATGAGATAAACGGGGGGGGGAATTTTTATCCACACTTTAAGTGTCAAAGGTCCAAGTAGATAATGAAGTAACCAAAACGTAAAACACAAGTTTTCTGTTTTTCCCTTTGCACCACGCTGCCCATGTATAAGTTGGAGCCTGGAATTTTCAATCCATCTTCCCACAAAAGTCATATAATACATGGTGGTTTGCAGTCTAGACTAACCCACAAAGACTTTTAACTCATAAAGCCTGAATTATCAAAAAGCGTATATATTAGTTAAAAGTAGACTTTTGTGGACTGGCCTGAGCCCCTAGTATACATAGATAACATCACTTCTTTGGTAAAAAATATATCATATCCTAGAGAGAAAAGATCCTGTTCATATGAAGAACTGGCCATCCCTCCAATGCACATCCTCTGAGGAAACAGCTGTTGCTTTCAGAGCAGGAATGAAATGCATGCCACAAACACATCCAGCCCCTTCCTTCTTTCTGGTCCCAATGGCTGTTAATCTCCCTAACAGTAGAGATATAAGAATATGGTGACTACAGAAACACTATTTGCTCTCTGGGATTCTGGCAGTATCTTGCTTTCCATCGCTAGTAGAAGCTATGTGTTCATATACATTAGATATATGTAAGCTATGTATAAATCAGAAGTGCCTGCAGCTGGAAGAATGAACAGACTCATCCCTTGTTCCAATCTAACTTATGCACTCCAATGGGAGTGATTCAGAGACTGGAACAAGGCTCACAGGGAGAACGCGGGTGAGTGAGGCCCATGGTGGGCACACAGGGCATGGCTATTCATGAGAAGCCTTCTTTATTTATATCCAAATTAGAGAAAGTAATGAAATCAGAAAGAAGTGATTGAATTTTTTAAACATATTCATTTTATTTGTTCAACAAGTAGGATATTAAGAGGAAAACATTAAATCCTTGCTATTCTCACTTTTTTCTAAGAGTATCTTCTAATTAACAGGTATGAAAATTCTTCAGTGAAGGTTTCCCCAACAGCCGTGAAACTCACAAACATGGTTCTGCTCTACGGGGCAGTTGTAAAGGAAAATATAGGAAACACCTCTTCCTGATTCCTTCTCCCCCTTGGATTATGGAATGGGAAAGACTGCTTAATAAAATACCAAAGACTTAATCGTTTTAAGTTCACATCTTCCCAAAATACAAGTCAGGTTCACTGCCTCCAGAAGACAGTGTGATAAAGAGTAGTGTGGTTTCTGAGACTGGCTGAGCATCAGAATTACTTGAGATGTTTAAAAAAATTTTTAAACAAAAAGATTCCCTGGCAGGATGCAAAGGTTGAAAAAGAAGAATCTGTGCTTTTACATCACTCTGCAGAAAATTCTGATGGTCAGATAATTTCAAGAGCACTGAATAGTTCATACTCATCCTCCAAGCCTCTACTCTTGCCAAACACCTAGAAAGGCTTCATGGACACCCTCTCCTCCCACACCCAGGTTAGATGCCTCCCTGAACACATCCTCACGTCATGCACTTCCAGAGCAGCCTGTATGGCATTCATCTTATGAGATGATAGCTGTCAACAGATTGGCTCCCCAATGAAGCTGGGAGCTTCTTGACGTTCAAGACTGTTGTGTGTTTTAATATTCCCAATGTCCAGCACAATGCCTGGCTATAAATGTTCATCAAAGAAATGACTAACAAATCAGAAACCAGATTCTACAACTAGTTCTTTCCCACCGTGTGAATTTAATTTACTTAACTTCTCTAAGTCAGTTTTCTTTTCTCAAAATGAAGAGACTAAAGCAGATGATTTGTTATGCCACAGAGCCCTAGTCATGAAAAAAGCATATCAAACCACAGCAAGGCTTTACGTAAGGTTGCAAACAGTTGAATGGCGCAGAGTATGTAGTCAATAAACATCCAAACATATTGACGCTTTTCCTTATTTTCCTCCCCACAAGTAACCTGGACAATAGTCAAATCTTTAACATTTTCAGTGAAGGTAAACCCAAATATCATGGACAGTGTTGTTTTTACAATGACATAAAACAGATTTTTTTTTAATTTATTTATTTTACTAAAATAGAGATGGGGGTCTCCCTATGTTGACCAGGCTGGTCTCAAACTCCTGGCCTCAAGTTATCCTCCCGTCTCAGCCTCCCAAAGTGTTAAGAACACAGGCATGAGCCACCGCATCTGGCCAAAACACAGATTTGGATATTTATGTAATTCCAGCAGTATTTCAATCAAGTAAGCATTGTTGCTTTAAAGTTTGTGAATGAAGCTCTCAAAGACTGAATTGATCCAATACATGAACATTTAATTAAAAGTTGACCTGTTCTCACTATTAACCTGTTGAGCTCCTTTGGGGCAGTGATAATGCCCATCTTGTTCACTGATGGACCCTCTCAATGCCTAGCAAAGTGCTTAGAGGATACCAAACAGCTAGTAAACATGTGTTAGATAAATGGGTACTGCTGAAATTAGCAGTGGCTCCACAATAATCAAGGGCATTATCTATCCCATTATTTTCAGAAGTAGCTGGCTCAACATTTTGTGACACACGTCAATATTATCTGTGATTATTTTATCACAGATATTATTATATATGAATATAACATTATTATTATTATACCAATAGATATAGACAACTATTAAATAAAAAACAAGACTTGGCGCGGCACGATCATTCACATCTGTAATCCCAGCACTTTTGGAGGCCAAGGCAGGAGGATGGCTTGAGCCCAGGAGTTTGAGACCAGCCTGGGCAACATGGCAAGACCCCACCTCTACAAAGAAAAATAAAAATGTAGCCACATATGGTGCCACACATGCCTGTGGTCCCAGCTACCTCCCACCAGGAAGCTGAGGTGGGAGGATTACTTAAGACTGGCAGGTCAAGGCTGCAGTGAACTGTGATCACACCACTCCAGCCTAGATGACAGAGCAAGACTGTGTCTCAAAAAACTAGAATAAATGAAATGAAATCAAAATTAAAACTCAAAAACATAAGTATTAAAAGTGAAACAACTTATAAAGAAAAAAATATATATATAACTAAATTTACTACTCATTGCTTCTAAATACGCGTTTACTTAATAAAGTACTTACTTCCACAGTCATCCTGAATATCTACAGTAGCAAATGGCATGTCTACCAGAGAATCCATAGTATTGGCTTCAAATTCCTCTGACATTTTCTTTTTTCTTGATACATTTTCACACTCATTGGAATTAATTCCTCCTTTAACATATCACAAACAGAAAAAAAAGGATTATTTAACTTGTCATTATTTAAACATATCCTAAATGAAAATAACTCAGCTCACTGATTTCAATATAAATTAACATCTGTTAAGAAATGTACTACTTGTGTTCAAATATATCATAAAGCTATTTATATAAACATTTATACCACACTCTATATTTTTGTACACTTATAAAGCTTTAATCATTTTCTAAAACACAGTATTCAATGTATGATTAGATGAAAACTGAGTCAATCAATAATCCTCAAGATCTTTTACAGCTATATTTTAATTCTAAAACTACGTTTTTTCACGTACCTTTTAAAACAACCAGCAAGGTTTGTCAGTCATTCTCATTCTTATTTTTAGCAATATCACTTATGTGTTCTTATTTGTACAAGTTCTGGCCTATAATTTTTTCTTCAATAAAGACTTTTAAGTTGTTTCTCTCCATCATTATATTTAACACTGGATATTTAGTTAAAAATACATGGTTCTAAATATGCTTTTCTGAAAATTCAATTATTAAAAAGCAAATGATCTTACAGTTTCCCTAACTCCTCTCCCATGGTGATATACTAACTTTAAAGCCATATTTCCTATTTGGTCTTTTTTTGTTTTCTTGCTATGGGTAGAACAATCATATACCTTGGGTGGAGGTAAGAGAAAGAAGGTGTATGTTTAAATTGATAAAGTTAATTGCTAAATTTATCAGATGGTGGTCTCCCCAGTGCCATTATAACCCATGCCTTTATTGACAGACACAAATGCTGTCCGAACTAATAAGATTGAACAGAATCCTGGAATACTAATATAATTTTTACTCTACATATTTACTAAAGACTAATTTACCACTCAAGATGTTTAAGAAGTCCTTTAATTCATTCTCTTGTAATACTCTATTTTCAGATACAATACCTGTAAAACATAGTCCATTAAGAATATGGCTACACTGGGAAGTGAGGAGCCCCTCTGCCCCGCCACGACCCCGTCTGGGAGGTGTGCCCAGCGGCTCATTGGGGATGGGCCATGATGACAATGGCGGTTTTGTGGAATAGAAAGGCGGGAAGGGTGGGGAAAAAATTGAGAAATCGGATGGTTGCCGGGTCTGTGTGGATAGAAGTAGACATGGGAGACTTTTCATTTTGTTCTGTACTAAGAAAAATTCTTCTGCCTTGGGATCCTGTTGATCTGTGACCTTATCCCCAACCCTGTGCTCTCTGAAACATGTGCTGTGTCCACTCAGGGTTAAATGGATTAAGGGCGGTGCAAGATGTGCTTTGTTAAACAGATGCTTGAAGGCAGCATGCTCGTTAAGAGTCATCACCACTCCCTAATCTTAAGTACCCAGGGACACAAACACTTCGGAAGGCCGCAGGGTCCTCTGCCTAGGAAAACCAGAGACCTTTGTTCACTTGTTTATCTGCTGACCTTCCCTCCACTATTGTCCTATGACCCTGCCAAATCCCCCTCTGCGAGAAACACCCAAGAATGATCAATAAAAAAATAAAAAATAAAAAATAAAAAATAAAAAAAAAAAAAGAATATGGCTACAACATGGCTATGATGATAGGCCACAGTTAACATACAAGCCAAAAAACACACATTTTTACTGCAATTTGATTAATCTCTACTATTGTTCACACACACACACCCCTGTTGTATTAGTCCATTCGCATTGCTATAAAGGAATACCTGAGGCTGGGTAATTTCCAAACAAAAGAGGTTTATTTGGCTCCCAGTTCTGCAGGCTGCACACAAAGCACAGTGCCAGCATCTGCTTTGGTGAGAGCCTCAAGAAGCTTAAAATCATGGTGCAAGGCAAAGGGAAGCCAACATGTCACACGTCAAGAAAAACAGCAAGACAGAGAGGCAGAGATGCCAGCCTCTTTTAAGCAACCAGATCTCACATGAACTCATTACTGCAGGGAGGGCACGAAGGCATTCATGAGAGATCTGCCCCCATGACCCAAACACCTCCCACCAAGCCCTATCTCCAACATTGGGGATTACATCTCAACACGGGATTTGGAGGAGACAAACATAAAAACTATTATCATTCTGCCCCTGGCCACCTAAATCTCACTGCAAAATATAATCATCTCTTCCCAATAGTCCCCCAAGGTCAACTCGTTCCAGCATTAACTCAAAAGTCCAAAGTCTCATTTGAGACTCAAGGTAAGTTTCTTCCACCTATGAGCCTGTAAAATCAAAAAGAAGTTATTCAGCTCCAAGATACAAAGGTGGTACAGGTATTGTGTAAACACTCCCATTCCAAAAGAGAGAAATCCAAAAGAAAGGGGCAACAGGCTCCACATAAGTCCAAAACCTAGCAGGGGAGACAATAAACCTTAAAGCTCCAAAGCTCTCCTTCAACTCCATGTCCCACATCCAGGGCACACTGGAGCAAGACATGGGCTCCCAAAGCCTTAGGCAGTTCTGTCCCTATGGATTTGCAAGGTGAAGCCCCTGTGGCTGCTCTCACAGGATGGAATTGAATGTCTGCAGCTTTTCCAAGCTCAGGGTGTAAGCTGCCAGTGGCTGTATCATTCTTGGGTCTGGAAGGTGGCAGCCCCCTTCCCACAGCTCCACTAGGCAGTGCCCTGGTGGAGACTCTGGGTGGGGGCTCCAATCCCACATTTCCCCCCAGCATTGCCCTAGGAGAGTTTCTCTGTGAGGGCTCCACTGCTGCAGCAGGCTTCTGCCTGAGCACCCAGGCTTTCTGGTACATCATCTGAAATCTAGGTGGAAGCTGCCATGCCTCCTTCACTCTTGCATTTATTCTGTGCACCTGCAGGCTTAACATCACATGGAAGCCCCCAAGGCTTACAGTGGCTTGTGCTCTCCAAAGTGACCAGAGCTGTCGCTGGGGCCTTTTGAGCCACAGCTGGAGGTGGAGAAACTGAGATGTGGGGAGCAGTGTCCCCAGGCTGCACATGGCAGCATGCCCCTGGGCTTGTCCCCTAAAACCATTCTAGGCCTCCAGGTCTGTGATCGGAGAAGCTGCCCTGGAGATTTCTGAAATCCCTTCAAGGCCTTTTTCCCATTGTCTTGGCTATTAGGAATTGCCTCCATTTTAGTCATGCTAATCTCTCTAGCAAGTGGTTCCTTCACAGCCCACTTCAATTCCTCTCCTGAAAATGCTTTTTGCTTCTTTACCACAAGCCTAAGCTGCAAATTTTCCAAATTTTTGTGCTCTGCTTCCCTTTTAATTATAAGGAAAGCAACTTTAAGTCATTCCTTTGCTTCCATATCTGATTGTAGGTCATCAGAAGCTGCCATGCCACTTCTTGAATGCTTTGCTGCTCAAAAATTTCTTCCCACTGCACTCCACCCTGGGTGACAGAGTGAGACCCTGTTGCAAAAAAAAAAAAAAAAAAAGAAAGAAAGAAAGAAATTTCTTCTATCAGATACTCTAAGTCATCACTTCTAAGTTCAAACTTCCACAGATCCCTAGGGCATGGACACAAGGCAGCCAAATTCTTTGCTAGGGCATAACATAGAGACGTTAACTGCAGTTCCCAATAACTTCCTCATATCCATCTCCAACCTTGTCAGATGGGCCTTCACTGTCCATATTTCTATCAGCATTTTGGTCACAACCACTTAACCAGTCTTTAAGAAGTTCCAAACCTTCCCTCATCTTCCTGTCTTCTTCTGAGCCCTCCAAACTCTTCTAACCCCTGCCCATTACCCAGTTCCAAAGCCACTTCCACCTTTTCAGGTATCTTTACAGCAACACCCTGCTCTTTAGTACCAATTTTCTATCTCAGTCCATTTGCATTGCTGTAAAGGAATACCTGAGGCTGGGTAATTACTAAAGAAAAGTTTATTTGGCCCAGAGTTCTGCAGGCTTTACACAAAGCATATTACCAGCATCTGCTTCTGGTGAAGGCCTCAGGAAGCTTATAATCATAGTGGAAGGCAAAGGGAAGCCAATGTGTTACATGGTGAGAAAAGGACCATGACAGAGAGGTGGAGGTGGCAGCCTCTCTTAATCAACTAGATCTCTTCTGAACTCATTATCACAGGGAGGGCACCAAGCCATTCATGAGGGATCCACCCCATGACCCAAACACCTCCCACCAAGCCCCACCTCCAACACTGGGGATAACATCTCAGCATGAGATTTGAAGGGACAAATATCCAAACTATATTACTATATTCTGGATAAAAGCAAAAAACAACAAAGCCTTTTTTAATTAATTAAGTTCAATGCCAAAAAACCCTAATAGTACATTCTTAATAATGTTACTATTTATATTACAGTTCAAATTTTAGGAATTATGAATGCCTCATACACAGGTGTTCAACAACTGTCAGTTCACTATGAGTCTATTCATAAACTTGCAAATATGTGAAAAATGCGAGAACAAGTTAAATGCCTCTTTTCTATTTTTATGCTTGTGTTTTAAAAACACAAATGCAGCTTAGGCTTAAATAAAAGTTTTCATAGATGAATACACATCCTGTACCTTTGGGCACATGCAGCTACACATAAAGGATCACCACTGACCATGTATGTTACACTTGAAAAGCTAGTAATAAAACATGCAACTAAATAGAAACAAGGCTGAATGAAAATCAGAACAAAATGAAATAAACCCAACCATTGTTTTTCCTCTATTTTATTCTCAATCTAAGAATTTAGTGATAAAAAATTGACCTATTTAACACCGTCATCTCACTACTAGCTTCCAAGTTCTTGTGCTACTTGGAAATACAGATTCTTAGCAATAAGTGAGGGAGAGGAAACTTAATTTTGGGCTTCAACACATTTTGAAGGCAAAAGAAAGAATACAATGATGAATTAAATTAAGTCAATTTTTAAATAAGAAAAGTTCGCAAAATCGCTTAACTTTTGGTTTCTCCTGAGCTCAATTAATCACCAACAATTAGAGAGCAAGTGCTATGGACTTCATTCTGGCTATACCAAAGAGAGAATCACACGGTAACAATGGTAATAATAGTAACTGCACATTAGAATCACCTGCAGAGCTTTAAAAAAAAAAAATCACTAGAACGCATGTGTGTCACTCCAGCCAATTAAATCAGAATCTCTGGAGATTAGGCCAACCTCTGGTATTTTTTTAAACCTCTGCAGAGTAATTCCGATGTGCAAGAGTGGTTTTCCAATTGAAAACCACTGCTCCAGAAGATCCCCTTTCACTTCTTCTATACCTTGACCTCACACCAGACTAAGAGATTGTGTGAACAGTTAAGAACAATCAACTTCAAAGTAAAACCTTAGATCAGACCTCTACCGTCAGGGAAAACCTTGCAGATCGCCAGCTCAGGGCTGAGTTAGGTAATCCAATCTTCTAGGCACCTAGTGCTTCCTCCAATCACTGCATGTATACTTTATGTTATACATGTCCGTTTATCTGTCTTATCCATTAGATTCTAAGGTAAAGTGACCATACAATTCACCAAACCAGGACACTTTTGAAAGTGAAAGGGACAACTTCCTATAACTGCACTCCATCATGTGTCGTCACCATAGTCGAAGTTCCTTAAAAGCCTTGTCTTATTCTCCTTTGATTCCTCCATGCCTAGCACTGAGTTCAGCTCACAATAGGTGCTCAATAAATTTTTACTGAATGAATAAATGTGATAAAGGTAAGTCCACATTTGAGAGTGGTTAGTAAGTCACTAGTAGCTAGTGTAGATAGCTACAATGCAATACAGCTATCTCACTGCCCATGAAAAATAATTCCTGGTATTTAGTGGCAGCCTCAGCACAACACAGATTCTCTCATTTTCACCAGATGAATAAAGGAAAAGTACTAGTATCCCATTTGACATGAAAATAAAAATTAAAGCATAATATAACTTGTTCAACATCATTCTTTACCTTGCTAAATAAAGCATATTAAACTCAAATGCAATGTTACATCAAAATCCACAGGAGTCTAGAACTTGAAATACAAACAACTATCTTCTCTTAAGCTATAGAATAATAGGAATTATTAACTCAACAATTTTTGAGATAGGAATTATTAACTCAAAAAAAAGGAGTGCCACTTTCAAATAAGTCTTGAAAGAACTGCTGGTCATTCTATAGAACAATGTTTCTCAAACCAAATATTTAGAACACTTCCTCCAGTTCTCTAAGCTCTAGTGTTTGGGCAAAGGTTGGTAGATGTGAATTAAATACACCAGTCATAACTACACTTTCTCTTATAGAAGGTATAAATATTTTGCTTTTGGAAAACTGCCTTAAAATAACCAACTCTTAAAGCATTTAAACTCTTTTAAGTTCATTGGGTTGAGTACTTAAAAGTCTCCTACAATTTGTTCTAACCATAGTTAAAATTCTATCTTTTGTATAAATCCAAATAAAAGTTATGCTTCCAAATGCATTAATAACATAAAGATGAGGTGAAGCTGGTAAACTATTAATATGTCTGTTACTACTACTAACAACAGCTAACATTTAAGTGCATGCTTGAAGCCAGGCACAGCTGGAAGCACTGGGAGGAACTCATTTAATCCACACAACCACACTATGGAGAGGTACTATTATGATGCTCATTTTACAAACTAACTGATTAAATAAGTACTTGCTCAAGGGTAAAACTAGTGGGTCTTGGGGCTGGAACTGGAATCCAGTCACTCTATTACCATTATGCCCTTTCTGGCACCACACACTGCCACCTTATTATACACTGACTATAGCAATGTAAACGGAGGCAATCCTTTCAGAAAGCAATCTGGCAATAGACCAGAAGCCACAGAAATATTCTTCCGATGTTCTTCTTACTGCTCTCTGGTTATCTATCATCCATGCTCAAAGATTCACCACAGCTTTATTTAAACAAAAAAGGAAAAGTGGAACAAAACTTAAATGCCTAATAACAAGGAAATGGTACAATAGCCAAGATTTGGAAGCAATTTAAGTGTTGGATAACTAAGGTTATCCAATGGAAAAAGGAAATATGGTACATATATACAATGGAGTACTATTCAGCCATACAAAAGAATAAGATCCTGTCATTTGCAACATGGATGGAACTGGAGATCCTTATGTTAAGTGAAATAAGCCAGGCATAGAAAAACAAACTTTCTATGTTCTCACTTATTTGTGGGAACTAAAATTAAAACATTTGAACTCATGGAGATAGAGAATAGAAGAATGGTTACCAGAGGCTGGGGAGGGTGGTGGAACGGGTGGGGGGAACATGGATGGTGACTGGGTACAATGAAATAGAAACAATGAAAAAAATAGGGAAACAGTTAAACGAAGCATGCTCGCGACAATGACAACTACGAACAATGACTATGAAGAATGCAATGACAGAAAAAAGCTAACAACAAATGCCAAGTTTTTAGAAAGGAGATATAAAATTGCATATGCTCTATGATTTACAATTATGTGGCCAAAGGCTAAACAGTATAAACTGCTTGTAAATGCTGACAACTATATTGAATATATTCATGTTTCTCATTTCTGCTATTCAAACGTTTCAAAATTGAATATTACCTAAGAAAAACAATACATACATTTTAAGTATATTATAAAACCATACCTTTAAATATATGCAAATATTCAAATACAGGTGAAGCAAATGCCTTCATCAAAAACAGGCCAACAGGGTGGGCCGGGTGAGGTGGCTCACACCTGTAATCCCAGCACTTTGGGAGGCCGAGGCAGGTAGATCACGAAGTCAGGAGATAGAGACCATCCTCACTAACACGGTGAAACCCCATCTCTACTAAAAATACAAAAAATTAGCCGGGCGTGGTGGCACACACCTATAGTCCCAGCTACTCGGGAGGCTGAGGCAGGGGAATCGCTTGAAGCTGGGAGGCGGAGGTTGCAGTGAGCCGAGATTGTGCCACTGCACTCCAGCCTGGGCGACAGAGCGAGACTCTTGCCTCTAAAAAAAAAAAAAAGAGAGAGAAAAGGGTATGGAGAGTTCTCCCACTGTCACACAAAATGCAGGTTTCCTAACTGGATAATAAATGACTACTCAATTTTGTGAAGTAAGTCTCTCATCACTCTACTAGGTAAATAGTAAATTTATCCCAGCTGAGCAAGTTGGCTCACACGTGTAATCCCAGCACTCAGAGAAGGACTGCTTGAGCCCAGGAGTTCAAGCCTTGGTGACATGGCAAGACCCCGTCTCTACAAAAAAAAAAATACAAAAATTAGTCAGGCATGTTGGCACAGACCTGTAGTCCCCGCTACTTGGGGAGGCTGAAACAGGAGGTTGGCATGATCCCAGCCGATCTAGGCTGCAGTGAGCCATGATCGCGCCAGTGCACTTCCACCTGAGCCAACAGAGGAAGACCCTGTCTCTAAATACATATATACATATATACATACATACATAAGTACATACATAAATAAGTTTATTCCTAAGAACAACTGGAAAGGGCTAAGGGCATCCATTCTAGTCCTGGCTTAGCTACTAAAAATAGTATTAGCATCTTACACGTTAGTAAATGTTGACAGCTGCGTAGAAATCAACAAGTTACTTGACCTCCAGGCTTTCCTTTCCTCCTCATAAAAAGGGAACAAAAGTAAAATCCAAATTATTAGGGAGAAATGGACAAAACAAGTTAATAGTGTCCGAAAATGGATGAAAGGAGGAAGTAACCTCCACAAACATCTTAAACTTTATGAGTAAGGAAAATATACAGATATGCTAACAGGATCCTGAATTGCAAAGCCACGGCACTTAAACAAGGAACTGGAGTATGGCTCTTTTCTCCTTAACAATTTCCATTCCCATGCATTTCCTAAATGCAAAAACTCACTGTCATCATTCACTTAACAATTGTCAACATATTCACACGATTAACTGCTATTTATATAGTACACTTTAACGTTTTTATGCTTTTTATACTCTTCTATGAGTTTATCCTATGAAACTCTTGCAGAGGAGCACCTTTTCTCTAATTGGTTTGCGGACCCTTTTACCGAAAGTCCACCCCTAACTCGCTCTATCACAAAGTTCAGTTCACAACAAACGCTGACCTAAACTGGAAATTCATTCCGGGCGCTAGTGTAGACTTGGCGCCAGTTTTAAAAGCGGTCATGTCCAAACCTGGCAGAAAATCCTAAATGAGACAGTATGGTGGTTCGGGTGCTTAATATTTGTGATATAAGATAAAATCGAAATTTTACTAGGTTTTGTTTACATTTACCCACATCAACACCGTCGGAAGGAATGTGTACTGGCATGAACTTTGTGCAAAGGGTCACAGGATGAGAAAGGGAGAAAGAAAAGTGAAACTCGGGGATGGGCTCATACCCCCGCCTCCTGTCGGACCCACAATGCGTGCATTAAAACGCTTCGCTACAGGCAGCACTGATGTACACCCCGGTTGCACCGGGCTTCTCGGTGCTACCCTGAGTCCTTTTGGGAAGGAGGGAGACTCGGAGAAGGGCCGGCGCGGGTCAGGCCCTCCCAAAGTTCGAGCGCAGAGCAGGCCCAGGCCCCCGCGGCTCCTGTCGCCCCCGCCCCGGCCCGCTGGACAGCCCGGTCTCACCCGCTTCGGGGCGCTCCATGGTCGCGGCGCATGCGGGCGGCGCGTCTGGGCTGGCGGCAGCGGCGGTGGCGGGCCGCGTCCCGGGGCTGGAGGCGAGGCCGAGGCGGAGGCCAGGGCGGGGCTCGGGGCCTGAGGGCGGTGCGCTGGGCCGGCGCGGGGTCCAGCGACAGGCTGCGGGGGCCCGGGCGGCGGAGGCCAGGCCTGCGGAAGCGCGGAGCTTCCCAAGCCGCAGCCCCCGCGGCAGCGGCAGCAGCGGCGGCGGCAGCCGCAGCAGCCGCAGCACCCGCATGCCAGGCCGGACGCCGGAACAAGCCAGAAGGGGCCGACCCGAGTCGCCGGTGGTACCCGGATTCGGGCGAGAGGCGCGGACGCGCTCGGGCAGGGCGGGGGAAACTAGGGCCGGCGACTGCGGCGTCACGGCAGCCCAGGTCGTCTCGACTCTGCAATGCGACGCTGGGTCTTCGCCTGCCTGCCGAGCCCCGCGGCCTCCGACGGCCTTTGGCAGCCCTCATTTATTTCCCGTGGCGCAGCCTTGCCCCTCCCACGCTTTCAAGGGCGAGATTGGGACTAGGATGAAAGAATTCTCTGGCCTGGTGTCTTTTGAGAATCCATGTGCTTAGTTTTGCAATCAGGGTTCTGATTGCAGAATATTTGGGAAGAGCGAAATGTACAAGAACGAGACCTTGTACTTCTGTATAATGAGATACTTTATTTACCTTACTTTTAAAAACTGCAAATTGTGACAAAGTCTCTAATTTTTAACAATGATGTTATGTTTAGACATTAAGAGGAAACCAGTTGCTGGTTCTTGTAGTATAAGGTACTGCAGTGAGTAAATTGGGAGAAAAAGAAATTTACTTAGTTTAAAAAAATAAAAACCTTTCACTTGAAACGGAATGCTATTGGGATTGGTTTTAGTGCGAAGAAACCAGGGGTTAAGAACATTAGGTGCATCCGTCCACAAATTAGCGCCTTTCGTGAATAATAACACTTCGCTTATGTTGAATGCATCGTAGAATAGGGATGGAAGAAAAGAAGACCCCTACACAGCCACAACAGCTGGCGTAAAGGCTGCACACTAGAAGTCGGCAAACTAGTTACTCTGATTTTCAAATAATTCTAACACGTTGAGTTTCTGATGCCCATTTATGGGCTGGTAGGAAAGTACAACCAGTTCCCCTAATATTTATTTAATGCTTGAGCTCTGTGCTGAGGATGTGCAGGTAAGACAGGTCTTTTACTTATGGAGCTGATCATATAATAGCAGAGAAAGAAACATAAGTAACTGCGGAAATAAAAGCTGCAAAAATGTGGTCCACATTCATAGTGAAGAGGATGAGAATATGCCACCCCAAATATGCCACTTCAGCATAAGGATTATTCTTGAGCTTAAAACAGTTCAGAAACTAAAGACTCAGGAACAACTTTGACCTCCCCCTTTCTGCCTAAAAGCAGGACATAAATTTCCCTTCGTAAAGGTGACATAAATTTTTATTTTTAAAGCTTTACCAGGCCGGGCCCAGTGGCTCACGCTTGTAACCCCAACACTTTGGGAGGTCAAGGCGAGTGGATCACTTGAGTCCAGGAGTTTGAAACCAGCCTGGGCAACATAGCAAAACCCTGTCTCTACCAAAAATACAAAAATTAACCAGACGTGGTGACCCATGCCTGTAATCCCAGCTACTCCAGAGGCTGAGGTGGGAGGATCGCTGGAGCCCAGGAGGTGGAGGTTGCAGTGAGCTGAGATGATGCCATTGCACTCCAGTGTGGACAACAGAGCCAGATCCTGTCTCAAACAAACAAACAAACAACAAAGCTTTACCACTCACCCATACCAGAAAGAGGAGAATGAGTCTTACCTGCATAACAAACCCATACATTTTCTAGTAACCTTCCCATACTGCAAAAAGGCTAAGCCCCCTTTTCCTTTGTCTAGCCTCTCCACACTTTATCATCGTTAAAATGGTATAGAAGCCCCCAGTTCTAACTGCCTCTTCGGGCTTTTAGTTCTTTCCTGTGAAGCATCTATGTGCATGTGTAATAATCCTTTTCTCGTCTTAATCTGTCTTTTGTCAATTTAATTTACACAGTCCAACCTAGTGAACTAAATGGGCAGGAGAAAGATTTTTCTTCCCCTGTGGTGTGTACCAAGAGATATATGGAAGTTTCATTCTCTTACCTAAGCAGAGGTAACAGCCCAAATGCCACATATTTTTCACCACCAGTATTATGAATACAGAGTCTTATCAACACCTACCATGTGGAGGAACATTTTAATTACCCAAGTCTGAAAAAGGAATTTTTCACAGAGCTTCTTTTAGAAATGACAGGGAGAAAGGGAAGTACAAGGTGAACCTTGGACATCTTCTTGTGCCAAAAAGCAAAGACAAATGGGGACTATCAAAAACACAAGGACTAGCGAGAAACAGCTTTCTTTGAGCAAATGGGAGATAATCTGACATCATAAAAGGATAACACCTGTAATTATTGTAACATACTGAATACAAAATCTATATACCCATAATAATACTCAAAAAATGAGGAAGAAAAACTAGTAGGCCACCATTAAAGGTGACAAGTACGCAATTCCTTAGTCTCCTTACTCTAAAAATTAAAGGGAAAGAAAGATTTACCATGACTTTTTAGAAGTAGTAGTATGGGAAAGCTGCTTTGCACAGAAGAATTTTCAATAATAAATATAGGAGACATAAAATAATTGGAAAATTACCATTTTGCCACCACAACTGATAACTGATTGATGCAAAGATCATCAATATATTCTAAAACCATTACATGAAAGGTTAATGTGGACCGAAATATTTATAAGTTGCCAAAATACTACCCCCCACAAAATACTTGGTAATTGCTCAGGAGAGAACATATTTTTACTCCATGTAAATAAACCTGGTTGTCACCACCTTTATCGTGATTAAACTCAGCATCATTAATGGTGGACAATCTGTGAAAGCTCCTGTGAAAGCTATATCATCACTGCAAGGTAGTCTTGCCATAAATATTTCACCTGAAGCTGCTAAGGCTTTAAATATAATTTTCAGATTTCCAGAAATACAGGAGATAGAGGTACAAGTAAAATAACATGATGAGGAAAGAATCAGACCAATCCAGAATGTGTGACATTCTAGAAAATAATTGGCTCAGGCTTTTCAAAATCTCGGTGGGGTGTTGTGGTCCAGGAACAGTGTGGTAGCTTAAAACTAAACCCTTCCAATCCAGTTGTTTTGGCACTGTGCCAGTGTATATTGTCCTCTGGGGAGAAAAGGGCTGTGTACTAATAGTCAGGGAGGAATGGGCAGAACATACGGAGGGAGAGGGAAGTGTGGACCAGAGGATCCATGCCCTCATGAGTCGTGCTGCAGGTGAACCTTCGTTAAAGCATTGGGCAACCTGGTTCTTTTTTGCTTTCATAAAACAAATTAATACCTATGAATTCATCTTTTTTTTTTTTTTCTGAGACGGAATCTCGCTCTGTCGCCCAGGCTGGAGTGCGGTGGCGCAATCTCGGCTCACTGCAAGCTCCGCCTCCCGGGTTCCCGCCATTCTCCCTGCTCTACTTCCCGAGTAGATGGGACCACAGGCGCCCGCCACCACGCCCGGCTAATTTTTTGTATTTTTTAGTAGAGACGGGGTTTCACTATGTTAGCCAAGATGGTCTCGATCTCCTGACCTCATGATCCGCCCGCCTCGGCCTCCCAAAGTGCTGGGATTACAGTTGTGACCCACCGCGCCTGGCCGAATTTATCTATTTAATTGATTTTCAATATTAACTGGTTCTGTCAATAACCAAACATCCTATAGGGATTTTTAAGATTTTTAAGCCTCTATGTCAGTTTGCCGATTATCTCTAACCTTAACTCATTCTCAGCACCATTTAGCAGTTATTAAATAGAGTTTGTTTCCCACATCAGTACATTGAACTGTCCTACTGCTGTCACAGGGGACCGCAGCTATGGTCAAGATCAGTAGGAACTGTCAGTGACCTCCTTTGGGGAACAGTCCCTGACCCCACCCTTCTACTTGGGTTAGGTACTCCACCTGAGGGCTTTAATACTCCTTGTGCCCGCTCTGACCATCCCTTTTGCCACATTTTTCTGTTTCATACATTAGACTTTACGCCACTAGAAGGCAAAGACTATGTTTTAAAGTCTTCGTATTCCCAAATGCATAGAGATTTCTCAATGAATAGACATTCAATGAATGAATAAAACTTTTATAAGCATCCAGATCCATTAAGTACTCAGATTTGTCAAAAAATAAAGCAGCACTCCCAGATAAATTTCAAAAAAAAAAAAAAAAAGAAAGAAAGAGAAACAATATCACGGGTAATCTTAATGTCCTACAGTTTTGTTGGCAAACAGCCTGTTGCGTGGCAAGAGTGGCGCCATCTTGAAGCAAAACCTCCATGAAGAGCAATGTCTGGCTCCTGCATGCAAAGGTGTTCTGCAGCAAGGTTTTTAAACCAAGCATCTAGCATAGACAACCCCTCATAAAGATGCTTATCTGACCTCCCCAGTGGTCATAAGTTTGAGATGGGACCAACTGCCCAAGTCTTAGAATACTTTCTGGAGGGTGGATGCGAGGATGTGTAATCTCATGGCCTCTGGAGAGTCACTTTGGTTCATAAGACCCTGTTAAATATTTCTTTCTGAAAAACTGGATTTGTCAGTCACTTTCTTCAGCCTCTCAGCTCCCACAACCCTTCAGGATAGGTTTGCATATACCTGCTCACGCCTGAACAAGCTTCTCCAGCTTAAGGCTAAAAATTAGCCAACATTAACTTTAACATCTAAATGTTTTTTCTTTTTTAAAAATTTTTTAATTTCTATTTTTTTCTTTTTTTCCCTGCAAAGCCAACTGCAAGTATAACATTAACATCTAAATCTTAATAGCTAAATGAACCTACCAACTCATGCCAAGACGCCAGTCCTTTGTGAAATTCCTCCAAAATACTTTTGGGTTTCCAAGTGGTGTCTGGCAAAACTAATCTAATGAATCATTCTAAGCTACCACCTGTTCCCAGCCCTTGCTTCACTGAGTTCCATTTGTCCAATCTTGACTCCGGAAAGTCCTCTGCCCTCGCGCACATCAGCTGCCTGCTAATTCACCTGGCCACAGTGGATTCTCCCAGTCTTCATGGTGACATCTCTTGCAAATGAAAAGAACAAGGTCAGCTGGGCACAGTGGCTCACGCTTGTAATCCCAGCACTTTGGAAGGCCGAAGCGGGTGGACAACCTGAGGTCAGGAGTTTGATACCAGCCTGACCAACATGGCAAAACCCTGTCTCTACTAACAATACAAAATTAGCCAGGCGTGGCGGCACATGCCTGTAATTCCAGCTACTCAGGAGGCTGGAGCAGAGAATCGCTCGAACTCAGGAGGCAGAGGTTGCAGAGGTGCAGTGAGCCAAGATTGTGCCTGGGCAACAAGAGTGAAACTCCATCTCAAAAAAAGAGAAAAGAACAACTTCTCCCTACACATTACACTCTGCTAAGAGTAGAGCAGGTTGAGCTGCATCACAGAAGATTTTTGGGACCTATAAGAATTACAGAATTCCTTGAGATACAGCAAGTTTCTTTACAGACACTGCCCCATTTCCCCCAGAGGGCAAGGTACAATGATTGCTGAAATAATTGGATGGGAAGTGTTCAGGTTCAGATTGCCACACTGTTCCTGAAACATGACCCATTTCTGACTTTCAGGAACTACTACTAAATTGACTCATTCACCCTGCCCGACTCCTTTCTTTATGGTGAGTTCTCTCTTCAGGTCCCTCATTTCTCTTCTGTGATACGGTCCTGACCTAGTGAATTTCTACCAAAACAATTGACTCTGTTTTAATTCTTGCCCTAGGATGTTCCTTGGTCCCCATAGAAACTAAAGTTGCAAATGGTTACAAAAAAGGATGACATCATGCAGTTCTACAAGACACGGCCAAATATCAGTACAAAGCTAACTGGGACCCTTGGTGACCCAAGGTAACTCGGGGTGACATTTCATTTTGCTGGAAGAAGAATATGTGTTTAACATGTAAGCTTTTCAATTAATGTTTGAGTATAATATTTTTAAGAAAGCACTACACCTATTTAATAATAGACTTATTTCAGTAGTCAGACACAGTTGAAGGGCCTGATAATATTTAATAACAGAATGCAACATTTTAAATTATTTTAAATATTTCTAACTACAAATCTAAAATTTTATGTAAGTAACATGTTGTTTTATGATATTTTTAAATTCAGAAAAACTTATGGAATAAAATGTAAAATTATCTATAATTGTATCTTTTTAGACATAGATATACATACACATATAAACACATACTCCTGCAGCATATATTTTATAAAAATGAAATCATGTCACATTATGGCATCATAAGCTACTTTTGTCTTTTACAAGATATTGTGACTAATTTCTCATGTCATTAAGCATTCTTCTATATTTTATATTATTCTTTCAATCATGCATTTTTTTTTTTTTTTGACAGAGTCTTGCTCTGTCACCCAGGCTAGAGTGCAGTGGCATGATCTTGGCTCACTGCAACTTCCGCCTCTCGGGTTCAAGCAATTCTCCTGCCTCAGCCTCCCTGGTAGCTGGGACTACAGTCACCTGACACCACACCTGGCTAATTTTTGTATTTTTAGTAGAGACCAAATTTCACCATGTTGGCTAGGCTGGTCCCGAACTCCTGACCTCAAGTGATCCACCCACCTCGGCCTCCCAAAGTGCTGGGATTACAGGCGTGAGCCACCGCACCCAGCTCAATCATGCATATTATATCCTTATATAAATATATCATAATGTATTTGACCAATTGCCAATGTCATTGTTCAACCTCATTTAAATTCATCTCAGTTTTTCTGTGTTAAAAATAATTCTATGATAAGTACATTTTTCTGTAATTAGTTTAAATTTTTTAATTATTTCCTTTTTTTTTTTTTTTTGAGATGGAGTTTCACTCTTTTTGCCCAGGTTGGAGTGCAATGGCATGATCTCAGCTCACTGCAACCTCCATCTCCTGGGTTCAAATGAGTCTCCTGCCTCAGCTTCCTGAGTAGCTGGGATTACAGGCACACGCCACCACGCCTGGCTAATTTTGTATTCTTAGTAGAGATGGGGTTTCGCCATGTTAGCCAGGCTGATCTCAAACTTCTGACCTCAGGGGATCCGCCTGCCTTGGCCTCCCAAAGCTCTGGGATTTACAGATGTGAGCCACCACACCCAGCCTTAAATTATTTATTTAAAATAAATTCCCAGAAGGAGGTGTGATAGGTAATAGATTCTAAATTATTACAAGCCTTTTGAAATGTGTTGCCAAATTATCCACCAAAAACTTCATGCAAATCTATATGCTTATAAGCAGTTCATGAAAGTTTATTATCCATCCCACTAACCCTCATTTTCTATTTACAATGTTCAAATGGCTGTTATTTTACCTCTTATTTCTTTTATTATTAATAAATCTGCATATTATTTCATGTGTTTCGTAACCACTTGCACACCTCTCTTTATAAAAAGCTTCTGCTTATTTTTCTTCTAAATCGTTTACCTTTTTCTACTACTTTATAAAATCCATTATTTTATTATATTTTTAACTTTTATTTTAGGTTCAGGGGTACATGTGCAGGTTTTTATATAGGTAAACGCATGTCACGGGAGCTTGGTGTACATATAATTTTGCCACCTTGATAGGAGGCTAGTTACTTTTTCCGATCCTCTCCCTGCGTCCACCCTCCACACTCAAATAGTCCCCAGTGTCTGTTGTTTCCTTCTTTGTGTCCACTTGTTCTCATTATTTAGCTCCCACTTACAAGTGAGAACATGCAGTATTTGGTTTTCTGTTCCTGTGTTAGTTTGCTAAGGATAATGGCCTCCAGCTCCATCCATATTCCTGCAAAGGACATGATTTCATTCTTTATTATGGTTGCATAGTATTCCATGGTGTATAGGTACTATATTTTCTTTATGCAGTCTACTGTTGATGGGCATTTAGGGTGATTCTATGTCTTTGCTATTGTGAATAGTGCTGCAATGAATATATATGTGTGCATGTCTTTCTGGTAGAATGAAAATCGATTACTTTAAATACTTTGTCATATATACTGAAAACATTTCCCCTAGTTTGTTATTTGTATTTTAATTCGTATATAGAAGTTTATAATGTGCAGAATTTGAAAATTTGTATGTAGTCTTATGTATTAATTTTCCTTAGTGGTTTTATTTCTTTGCTCTAATGATTTAAATGTTTTCCTTTCATTCCCTTTCATTTAAATGTTTCCTTTCCTCTATGGATTGTTTATAGTGGCTTCTACTTCTTTACTTCTGAACTTATTTGGTTGTATCTTATGAGATAGGGACTTTTTCTCTAAAGAAATCAAATGTCCAAGTGCCATCATGACATACAACCTATGGTCAAGGACTTCAAGGTCTGGGACCAGATGCAGTGGCTTAGGCATGTAATCCCAGCACTTTGGGAGGCCAAGGTGGGCAGATGACTTGAGGTCAGGAGTTAGAGACCAGCCTGGCCAACATCTCTACTAAAAATACAAAAAAATTAACCGGTCATGGTAGCATATGCCTGTAATCCCAGCTACTCAGGAGGCTAAGGCAGGAAAATCGCTTGCATCCAGGAGGCAGAGGTTACAGTGAGCCGAGATCGCGCCACTGCACTCCAGCCTGGGAGACAGAGCCAGACTCTGTCTCAAAAAAACAAAAAAAAAACAAAGCAAAATGAAACAAAAGAACTTCCAGGTCTATTTTCCCCACAAATCTACCTGCCCTGTCTCTTTTTCTCAGGTCATACTTTTCATCAGTCAATCTCACAAACTAAACTATGCTCATGTACTAAGTCCCAGTGAATTATTTTGGCAAAAATAATGGCAGGAAAACACTCTGTACACCTGATATGCAGGCAGCCACTTAGCCATTAAATTACTCCGATTTCTCTTTGTTCAAACCTCAGTTCTGGTCCTTGTAACCACACCATGAGCAGGGAAGGCTAATGGAGCAGCAGAGGGAGACAAGACGCATGAATATGGAGTTCCCTAGGATTCAGGTAGTGTGGCCCATTCACGCCACGAGCATTTAATTCTAAGTATATTAATGTATGCTGCTTCTTTCCCCTGCTTCTCCATGAGGGCAGGGATTTTATAGTCTCCATCCAAAGTCTAGTATGCAGGAGTTTCTAAATAAATGTTTATTGAGTTAGTTATTTAATGAACTTTCTAGAGATTGAACCTAATCTTAAAGAGTCAACTCTAATGGAAGCCAAGGATGGAGATTTTGGAGGTTTGAAGGCCTTTTGGCTGTTGTTTTTGCCTGCTCATAAATCTAATAATACCTGTGGACATTTACTTCTAGCATCATAAACTTGTTACATTTGTGGATATCGACTCAACATTTGCATCGCTAATTCATTCCTCAAGCATTACCCATGAAATGAAGGAATATTGTAATTAGTAATTCTTGGTACCCTGCCTATTTTCAATAAAAGGAAAAAGAAAAAAGTAAGCAAGAAAGAAAAGACAGCCAGCATATTCAATTACAGTATTGTCACATGTAAATAATCTGAGCAACCAAAAATAAGCCATAAATGTGTTTACCAAGATAAATTATTATAAATGATCTCAAGCCTCAAATTTGTCCAGAAATATAACTTATTTATTAAAGTGACTACTTATTTAATAACACAATGCCAATTGGAGAGAGGACACCTTCATGGCAGACAGAACATTTTTCTAAAATCATGTCATGTAGAAAATTATCCTAATGCCACATAGCCTCCAAGTCCACTGCCAGACAAGCTATCACAGAGATCATGGAAATGAAAGACTTCAAGACCAAATTAAACTGTTCACATCAACAGTTTATTAAATCAACTTAAAACACATAGCGAGAAAAGGGGGAAACAAGCAGCATACATTAATATACTTAGGATTGGATGTTCGTGGCATGAATGGGCCACACTACCTGAATCCTGAGGAACTCCATATTCATCCATCTTGTCTCCCTCTGCTGCTTCATTAGCCTTCCCTGCTGGTGGTGTGGTTACAAGGACCAGAATTCAGGTTTGAACAAAGGGTTCCATATATTTAAGGCTGCCTAAGCCACTTGCTGTATTGGAAGGATGCAAGGACAAGTACATCTGGCCACAGGGGCCTCATATATATGCAATGACTCATGATTATTAGGCATTTCTTTATCATTCCATCCCTTTTAACATGCATCTACATTTAACATATACATACATACTTTACTTACTAACCAGTTATCTATGTGTAACACATCTTAGTTCATTAATTTCAGTTTTCTTCTATAACAGATCTTAATGTTCTCAAACAATATAACATGTGCATGTTACAAATCTCTAACACAATTCCCTGACTGCTTAATCGGCTGTTGTTGTACCAAACTTTTATAACTCATCTTGAATTTCAACTTGGCATGAAAATCCTCCAGAAAGTTTGGCCTCAACTTTTGGTGTTCATTTATTTTTCCTAATAGTGACCAGCTCTGATTCTGGTTATTTCCAAAGTAACAGTAAAAGGAAAATGTTGTTTACCTATCTAGATTTTCCTCTCACTCCTAAGATCTGTACGTTTCCCACCCACTTAGATCCTTATTAAAAACTCCTTTACTTGAAATGCACCTTTTTATTCATCCTTGCTCTTCTTAATTCAAAAGAAAGAAGGAAAGAAGAAAGAAAGAGAGAGAGGGAGGGAGGGAGGGAAGGAGGGAGGGAGGGAAAGAAGAAAGGAAGGAAGGAACTAAAGAAGGAAGGAAGGAAGGAAGGAAGGAAGGAAGGAAGGAAGGAAGGAAGGAAGAAAGGAAGTCAGTTAGTTTATTAAGGTCTCAGCCTGGGCCTATTATTAGGTGGAACAAGTGTTCTCATTCACCTTCCTTTTCCCTCATTTGAGTTTTCTGTAGCCAATTCTGCCACAAAAATTTTGAATTTCCACAGTAGGCAACCACGAGAAAGCACTGCCTCCCTGTTCTCCCTCAGGACTTTTGCTGAATATATCACAGGCAGAGTGACCAGCTGTCCTGGTTTGCCCAGGACTGTTCAGTTTTAGCACTGAACGTCCCATATCCCAGGAAACCCCTCAGTTAGAGAGCCAGGAAGGGCTTGGAAGGGGAGGTAGTATTTAAGACCAGATTTGAAAATGAGTGGATTAAGGGCACAATACATTCCAGGGTTGTGAAGACAGGACTGTGCAGGTAGATGCTAAAGAGAGTGGGTCTACCAGTTTGGCTGGTTTGAGTGACGGAGGACTGGGAGACAAGGCTGGAAAATTTGGTTGGGACCAGATTATGGAAAGTCTTAAATGCCAGGCTAGGCAAATGGGACTTTATTACATCAGAATTGGAATTTGTTCAAGAACTCTGACCTTGGAACTGACATGATGAAGGATAACTCTGGAAAGACACATCTTTCAGGTCTGTGCAGGATTTATTGGAGGGGACAGAGAATCAAAGCCCCAAGCCCAGTTAGTTCACTGCCATACTACAATAATCCAAGTATAAGGGACAGAAATCTAAACAACAGTGTTGGCCTAGAAATGAAATAAAAGTGATAGAGTTAAGAGTTTGCAAGACAATAGTAAGTGAAACTCAGCAATTGATAATGTGGAGAAAGAGAAAGAGTTGGCTGATGCCAGAACATTAGAAGCAGAGTGAATTGGGTATTCCCAGAGAAGCCCAGAACAAAGAGGATGAGGAGTGGAAGAATGGAGAGAGGGGTGAGAGCGGAGTGAGCAGGATGGCGGACAGTGTGTGCTGAGGAGTGGGATCCTTCCCTGGATCTCACATACCTTCAATAAAGTCAATAATTAAGTTCACCACTCTTAGTTGTGAATGATTTTGTTCTGGAAACCAAGGAGATGGCTGAGAAACACAGAGCACACGAGGACCCCCTGTGCCTAGAGGCTGAAAGAGTCCTGTGATTATAAACCCCTAAGAATTGGCAGAAATCTTAGGGAGGGGCTAGACTTTCACATGCCATCAGAATTTGAGTCCCTTTAACTAGATCTTCAGAGGTGGGAGTGACATTGAGCTAAATTCTATTTAAATCCTAAAAAGGAACCAGTAAAGAGAGACAGAAAAGGAAAAACACTGGCTGGGCGCGGTGGCTCATGCCTATAATCCCAGCACTTTGGGAGGCCGAGGCGGGTGGATCATTCAAAGTCGGGAGTTCGAGACCAGCCTAACCAACATGGTGAAACCCCATCTCTACTAAAAACTCCACCAGGCATGGTGGCACGCACCTGTAGTCCTGGCTGCTTGAGAGGCTGAGGCAGGAGAATTGCTTGAACCCAGGAAGTAGAGGTTGTAGTGAGCTGAGATCGCACCACTATACACCAGCCTGGGTGATGAAGTGAGATTCTGTCAAAAAAAAAACCAAAAAAACCAAAACTGAATAATGGGGGTGAGAGCTATAGAGTCTGTTCAAATGAAGGCAGTGATCTCACACAGGATGGAAGCAAGTTAAGGAAAGATGGGTCCTGGTAAGTATTTGGATGGGTCGTGATTAAGGGAACTACTTTCTAAAGATGTCAATTTGCTTGATGGAAATAAGTGAAGTCATTTGCTGGGAGGAGAGGAAGACACTGAGGAAGGACTCTTGGCAATTTGGAAGTTATAGGTGTACAAGTGATCATTGAAACTATGGATGTGGATGAGGTCACCGAGAGAGGGTATATAAAGTTAGAAAATTAGAGGGCTGCAGACGGAAGACCTTCACTATCTTTGCGATTAGAATCTGAATTTTTTTTTTTTACATTTTGTCAGCTGCCTGAATTATTACATACTTAATGCATTTCTTCTTTTCTGGCCAAGAATAAGAAATAAACACTGTTGAGGACATTTACATCCAGAACATTGATTCTTTTTCTTCAGTTAAAATAAAAGAGATCATTTACTTATTACGAGGTATACTCTAGCTTGTATTATTTACTCAGAAGATAATGATGTCTTATATTGTGGATTTTGAGATAATCTCTATTTTTATACACTGAAGTAGTTAGTGTTCCTGACCACATTTTGAGCAAATGCCAGATTGGCAGATTAGGCTTAACAGCTCTAATTAGGCTTCCTGAATTTGATTAGTGCTAGGGATTAGTTTCTTCTTTGATAGTTTATTTCACAAGATTTCTTAGTTTGAAACTGTGTTTTGCTGACTATTTTTGGTATCATATACATCATATAAACCATCATTATACATTCCAATAGACCATTCTTCATTGATGATTTGTTGTTGTTATTCCCTGGTAAGATTTTCTGAATACTAAAAGGAAAATATTAAGAGCGATATCAAATTTCACTTTCTGGGTCATCAGGGCTCTATATTACTATTTGTTGGTTTCATTATCTTCCTAACGTGCCGGAAATTATTGATGCAGTTTATGTTCAAACTTCTCATTGTTCATTCTAAAATGTGTGTTACAATTGTTTTTTCAGGAAGATATTAACATAGATTATAGTAATAGGATATTAATATCTGGGCTAGCAGATTTTACATCTTATTCAACTTAGTCATCTCATTGCTTATTTGGCATAAGTATTCCTCGTTTTTTAGTTGTGCAATTGATATTTAAAACAGGCATCATACAAGCCTTAACTGGCAATGCTAATCTTATTTGCATTCCAATTAGAGTATAATTGACAATTACACTATGAGGTTTTCTTTGAATATTGTAAGAATTAGAAGATACAAGAAGTGGAAAAAGTAGTAAAACTTTAAGAGTACTAGAGAGAAATAGAATCAGAGTGGGAGGAAATTTGAGTCTATTTTCCCTTACACAGTAAAATATTTCCTTACAGATGGTCATCTATTTGAATACATGGTCCAACTAAAAGCTCTTTGTCTAAATATTGTGTGGTTTCAAACGGCAAATATCTTCATTGTCTATTGATTGATCTAGTAATATAGTGAAAGACAAAATAATTATAGCCAACCAAACTGCAAAAATTCCTTTACTATAAAGTATTAGCTACAAGGCAGGCATGGTGGCTCATGCCTGTAATCCTAGCACTTTGAGGGGCAAAGGCAAGTGGATCCCTTGAGCCCAGGGGTTCAAGACCAGCCTGGGCAACATGACAAATCCCATCTCTACAAAAAGTGCAAAAATTAGCCAGGCGTGGTGGTGTGCACCTGTAGTCCCAGCTACTTAGGAGGCCGAGGTGGGAGAATCTCCTGAGCCCAGGGAGGTGGAGGCTGCAGTGAACTATGGTTGAGCCACGGCACTCCAGCCCAAGTGACAGAGTAAGACTCTATTTCAAAAAAAAAAAAAAGAAAGAAAATATTAATTACCCAAGGTCCTCTGATTTTTTTCATTCTTTTATCACTTCAGAGTAACAGTAAATTTTATAGACATAATTTATATATATATAAACCATATATAATACTATGCCACTTTTAATTAATATCTTTCAAATATCTCTCTCAAATAGGTATTTTATATATATAATAATTTGTATTATATTATAATGCCTTATTGTGTTAATATGCAATCATTTGTTTAACCAGTCCCCAAATCTTGAGCATTTCCAGTAGAATCCACTTACAAATATCCTTGGATTTTTTTCTCTTTCATTTGTATCATTTTCTTGATCCATATACCAAAAGTAAATTTATCAAATTAAGAGGAATGTTCCATTTTATGGGGTTTTGGGGGTTTTTTGTTTGTTTATTTTTGTTGGTTTTTTTTTTGCGTAGGTAAAATATGGTAGTCATATGATGACAATCTATACAGCAATTACAGAGGATGGACTGATCTACATTAACTAACATGCACAGATCTCAAAAACATCATTAAGCAAAGCAAACAAATTGCTAAACAATTCAATATACCATTTGCATTAAACACACTATTTCCAATGAGTTCATATATGTATGTAAAAATATTAAAGTCTAAATGGAAGTATAACAAACATAACAGCCATTAAGAGGGGAAGGGACAGGAATGGGGAGTGGTTGGTAGCTGAATGACAGTATCTTTATAACAACCTAGTTTCTCAAAAGGATAATGAATTCATGCATTGCTTGGGTAATTAGAATGGATTTAACTTTTAAAACAAAAAAGCTGGCTGGGCACGGTGGCTCATGCCTATAATCCCAGCACTTTGGGAGGCCAAGGTGGGTGGATCATGAGGTCCAGAGATCGAGACCATCCTGGCCAACATGGTGAAAACCCGTCTCTACTAAAAATACAAAAATTTGCCTGGCATGGTGGCACATGCCTGTAATCCCAGCTACTCAGGAGGCTGAGGCAGGAGAATTGTTGAACCCAGGAGGTGGAGGTTGTAGTGAACCGAGATCACGCCACTGCTCTCCAGCCTGGCGACAGAGTGAGACTCTGTCTCAAAAAAAAAAAAAGCAAAAAAGCCATATACAGATTTGAATAAAAGAGTGATGGTGTTCATGAATGAGTGAAGGCTGAGCTCATCGCACCAGGCTTTGCTGCCTCTGCATGACCCTTGTAGCTAATGAGGTTAGTTCCTAAAAGGAATCTCACACGTGTTAGGCTGGGATGTGGCCCAGCATACCTCTCCCCTATTTCCTCACAACCCAGATTGGTGCTCAGCCACCCGGTTACCATACATGATTGAAGCTACAGGCTTCCTCAGGCGCTCCACTTACCAAGTAGACCTCATCAGGGCCCTGAAACTTTTATTTTTTTACTTTATTTTATTTTATTGTATTTTTTAAGAATAATAAGTAGCATAAAAAGCATCTGCTTCCCCAAAGCCCTTACTACACTGGGTTTATTATTTACTTGATGTTTTCTAAATCATCAGCAGTGCTGACATTTTTCTATTGGTCAAATATTTATCAAATGCCTAATAAATTCCCAAAAACTCACTGTGTCTTGTAAATAGGCATCATTTGTTCAAGGGGCAGCATGGCGAAGTGGTTAAGGGTATCACTTTGAAAGCCGGATTTCTATCTGTGAAAAGCTTTAGAGGCAGGCCTCCCATACTATTACAGTTTCCTGTAAAATTAAGTATGAGCTCTTCAGCTGTGGATCTGAGGCCTGCCACAATTCATTTCTACACACTTTTTTTTTCTCATTGATAATTATTCTCTAACATCTTTCAAATGGATCAAATTAATAATTTTTTGTTCCCTAACTATCTTTGAAAACGATGTCCAACAACTATATTGTAGTGTATGATACTCACTTCACCTAAAATGCCTTCTGTATCACCTGAAGGAAAAGTTTCAGTCTTTCCTTTTATGACCATCTCATATATCCCCTTCATCTGATCTTTCCAACCAAATAAGGATACTTTCTACTCTGAAAACTTCCTCTGCTTTATTTTTACCTCTTTTGGGGTGATTAAAATATTTTAGCTTTCATTATAAATAATTCTCTTACGAGATAGTTAACACTTTAAGGGAGTCTAACACTTTGCTTAGCACATAGGACAGATTTGATTTTTTTTCCAAAATAAATGATGAATTGACTGATCCATGTTCACACACCGAGGCCTCATTTCATCTGTGCTAAAAATGTGAAGTAGCAAATCCAGGAAATTTCCAGATAATTAAAAAAATTAATTGATTTTCTAGCAATTTCCTGACCAAAGCCTTGAAGAAACTACACTTCTTTTTTTTTTTCTTTTTTCTTTTTTTTTTTTTTGAGACACAGTCTGGCTCTGTTGCCCAGGCTGGAGTGCAGTGGCACAATTTTGGCTCACTGCAACCTTTGCCTCCTGGGTTCAAGGGATTCTCGTGTCTCGGCCTCCAGAGTAGCTGGGACTACAAGTGTGTGCACCACACCTAGCTAATTTTTTATAGTTTTAGTAGAGACAGAGTTTTGCCATGTTGGCCAGGCTGGTCTCGAACTCCTGATCTCAGGTGATCCACCCGTCTCGGCCTCCCAAAGTGCTGGGATTACAGGTGTAAGCCACCATTCCCAGCCTTCTCTTTTTTCTTAATCAATATTTGCCTCATTTTCTCTGTGGAAATGTGACTTTCATAGATCCCAGGGTTGAATCTCAAAGTGTTTGCCCCCAAGACCTTGATGTAATCGGACAAAAGGAAGAAACGCATCATTGGCTTCATTCCACTGTCTGGAGGGCTTAGCACTTTATATCCCTCAACCCTGGCCTCTGGTGTACTCTCCACAATTACTGGGCTCTTGTTTGTTGACCCCTCTCCAATGTATTTGACTTATTTTGGATTGATTGCGTCCCCCCTGCAACCCCTTCATTCCATTTTTTCTCCTCTTCTAATTTGGAAGTGATATTCTCTATGTTGATTGTTTTAAAGGAGTTATCCTAAATAATTAACAGGCATACTTAAAAAAATCTAAAGTTAATGTCTTTACCTTCTCCCCAAATAACACAAGGACCTTCAAAAATTTTAACTTCGACTACTGCCCTGAATTATATGCTGTTATAATCTCTCTTCTCTCTGACAATTGTTAAAAATCATCTCTTTATCTTTGGAGCTTTATAGTTTTAGCAATCTAAGCATGAATTTATTTTACTTATTCTGCTTGAAAACATTGGGCTTCCTGATTCTGAAAACTGGTATCTCTCAAAAGTTTAGAAAAAGCACCCATTTGCTATTTTATTATTGTCTATTTCCCCATAATCTTTTTCTTTCCTTCTTCCAGAACTCTAATTATGTTACGAAGTCTGACTTTGTCCTCAATTCCCTTTAGACTCTCTATACAATAGTTCCCCCTTCTCTGTGGTTTCACTTTCCATGTTCAGTTACTCACAGAACAGTACAATATATCTTAATATTTTGAAAGAGGCGAGGTGTGATGGCTCACACCTGTAATCCCAGCACTTTGGGAGGTTGAGGCAGGCGCATCACTTGAGGTAAGGAGTTCAAGACCAGCCTGGCCAACATAGTGAAATCTTTTCTCTACCAAAAACACAAAAATTAGCTGGGTGTGGTGGCATATGCCTATAATCCCAGCTACTTGGGAGGCTGAGGCATGAGAATCACTTGAACCCTAGAGGCAGAAGTTGCAGTGAGCCCAGATTGTGCCACTGCACTCCAGCCTGGGCAACAGAGTGAGATTCTGTCTCAAAAACCAAGAAAAAAAAGATATTTTGAAAGAGAGGGAAAGACCACATTCACATAATTTTTATTATAGTATATTGTTACAATTGTTCTGTTTTATTTTTAGTTATTGGTGTTAATCTCTTACTGTGCCCAATTTATAAATTAAACTTTATCATAGGTACATATGTATAGGAAAAAACAGTCTTATATATGTAAGATTTAGTACTATTTGCAGTTTCAGGCTTCCACTGGGGGGTCTTAGAACATATTCCCCTCAGATAAAGGGGGACTACTGTATTTTCCAACTCTTTGTTTCTCTGAGCGTAATTTTAAACAAGCCCATTAAATGTTTCCTCCAGTTCACTAATCCTTTCTTCAGCTTTGTCTAATATGCTATTTCTCCAGCTTTTGAATTTTGAACTTCAGGTATTATATTTTTCATTCCTAGGCCATCCATTTGGTTCTTTTTCAAATCTACTTGAATTTTTTCTAGTCTATTGTTCCTGTTTGCAGGTTTTTACTTCTTTAAACATACTAACCACATTATTTTCTAGTCTATATTTGATCATTCTAATATCTGAAATCTTTGCATATTTTATTATAATAACCTTTCTGGCTTTCTTTCTGGTTCATACTTACATTACCTTTATTTCTTATATGTTTTGTGTTTTTTTTTTTTCATTGTGAGCTTGTATTCGATCTTTATCTGAGGAAATTCTTTGAAGCCTGGTTTGAAGTTGCATTCCTCCAAAAAGAATATCGTTTTATTTGTGTCACCAGGGGGCACTATTAACCTGGAACAACTTAAATTCCTTACTTGGCGTTTCATACTACATTGGTAGGGTTGCCAAATAGAATACAGGGCATCCAGTTATGTTTACATTTCAAATAAACAAGAAATTATTTTTTGTGCAATATTTGGGACATACTTATACTAAAAAGTATTCATTGTTTATCTGAATTCAAGTTTAACTACGGATGCTCTATTTTTATTTGCTAAATTTTGCAGCGCTATGCATCACTAGCTTGAATCTGGCTTTAGACCCACATAAGCACTTGGTTGAGTTTATGAATTCTCAGAGAATTTTTTTTCCTCTTCTCCCAGGGCAAAAGTTGAGAGAGGCAAGTTTTCAATGTCTTCTTCTTTAGATAGACATATTTCTTGCTCACTTGTATACTGAGAGTGTTGCCATTAGAAACTTAGCTCTATGCAGGGATCACCTATTAGATTCCTCACCATAGGCCGATCTGTTATCCTCTGCATACCATTTCTCAAAATGTAAATTCAAGGTCCCTTAGGTTGACCCTTAGGGTGAAAACGTGCCTCAGAAATCATTTACCTTTCAGGAGTCTTTTCTTTTCTTTTTTTCTTTGTTGTTGTTTCCATAGATTCCTTACAGTTTTGCCTGCTATATAAAAGCATTTAACATATTATTTATATAGTATATTCAGTACTTGGAGGTTTTTTCAGGCGGCCAGTAGGAGAGAAGGTATTGGGAGTGGGGCCATTCAGAGTATCTCAAATGCTATTCCATCAGAACTAGATATCCTTCAATCCATTCCTGCTGAATCTGCCTTCTGGTATTCTTGGTGTCTCCTTGAAGTTACAGTGTTCCACAACAGTACGTGGGTCTATTCCAGAGTAGTTAGTATCGTGTGTCTTTGCTTTCATACTCTGCAAAAACTGGTGATCTCTCCAGTGACAGAGTACAAGACCTTGCTCTAAGCTCAATCTAATGACTTGGGCATGGTACCACATTAATTTCCTACCAGTGCTCTTTCTCTGAGGCTAGAATCTAGTTCCCTGTGACCTAAATTCTTGGGGAGTTCTACAGTGTATTAATCTAATGCTGCCACCACCACTACCTCAATACCTCAGCATGTCTTCTGAGTTAGTCCTCAGGAATCCCATTCAAACTGGTGTGTCTTAACTACAGTTTCTGGAAACACACCTAAGATTCCACATGGGATTAGCCTTAGATTAGTTTTTTAGTTTCTTTTAGGAAGATCAGTTTTCAGATCAGGATTAGATTCCACTGGGCAACTCTACCTTCATGGGTGAGTGACTAGCAGCTTCTTCCTCGTCCCTATCAGTCCCAGTGTCAGAGGTTTAGTTTGTCTTTCTTCCAGGCCCACCCAGCACAATACACCTTCAGTGGTGTGCTAGAGCTGGCTTATACCAGATTGCAAGAGTCAACTTTTAAACTTTCAGGAATCTTGAGTGCTGGTTATTAAGTCCAGCTATTATTAAAAATTAAATTAGGGAGACATAATCAAATAAATTATATTTAAAACAATGGTAACTATAAAACTCTTAGAAGAAAACATAGGAGTTAATCTCTCTGCTTTGGATTAGGCAATGATTTTTTAAATACGACATGACATCAAAAGTGCAAACCACAAAAGAAAAATTAAATAGGCCGGGCGCAATGGCTCATGCCTATAATCCCAGCACTTTGGGAGGCTGAGGTGGGCAGATTACTTCAGGTCGGGAGTTCGAGACCAGCCTGACCAACATGGAGAAACCCCACCTCTACTAAAAATACAAAAATTAGCTCGGTATGGTGGCGCATGCCTGTAATCCCAGCTACTCAGGAGGCTGAAGCAGGAGAATCGCCTGAACCCAGGAGGTGGAGATTGCAGTGAGCCGAGATTGCGCCATTGCACTCCAGCCTAGGCAACAAAAGCAAAACTCCATCTCAAAAAAATATAACTAAAACTAAAATAAATACATAAATCAAAATTTAAAAGTTTCATGCTTCAAAGGACACTATCAAGAAAGTGAAAGTACAGCCGATATAATGGGAGAAAATATTTGCAAATCATACAAGGGCCTTCAAAAAGTTCATGGAAAATGCATATTATGAAAACATTATGCATGGATTTCAAGTTGTTTTTGCACCAAAATAAACTCATACTAACTTGTTATAAAATATCTGAAGAGGATCTACATTGGGACACTAAGAAGGCTAAGACATCAGTTTGAAAAGAGCTTCTATCAGAGCAATATGACTTCTGCTAAAATTGAAGCAAGAATAAACATCAAATTTATGGTGAAATTTTGGTGAGAGAATGGTGAAATCATTAATGATTTACAAAAAGTTAACGAGAACAATTTCCCAAAGAAATCAGCAGTTTACAAATGGATAACTTGGTTTAAGAAGGGATGAGACAATTTTAAAGAAAAAGCCTACAGTGGGAGACCATCACATCAATTTTCAAGGAAAAAAATTAATCTTGCTCTTGCCCTATCTGAAGAGGATTGACAAATAACAGCAGAAACAATATCAATACCATAGGCATCTCAATTGGTTCAGCTTACATGCTCCTGATTGAAAAATTAAAGTTGAGGGCTCAGTGGCTCATGCCTATAATCAAAGTGCTTTGGAAGCCCGAGTGGAAGCATTGTTTGAGGCCAGGAGCTTGAGACCAACTTGGGCAACATGGTGAGAACTCATTGCTACAAAAACAATTTTTTTTTTTTTTTTTTTTTGAGACGGAGCCTCCCTCTGTCACCCAGGCTGGAGTGCAGTGCGCAATCTTGGCTCACTGCAATCTCTGCCTCCTGGGTTCAAGCGATTCTCCTGCCTCAGCCCCCTGAGTAGCTGGGATTACATGTGCCTGCCACCACACCTGGCTATTTTTTTTGTTTTTTGTGTTTTTAGGAGAGATGGGGTTTCACCATATTGTCCAGGCTGGTCTCGAACCCCTGACCTCAAGTGATCCACCCGTCTCAGCCTCCCAAAGTGCTGGGATTACAGGCGTAAGCCACCACACCCGGACAATCTCCTACTGGCTTTTATTAGTTGTACGTCTTTATGCTGTTTTTACCCAGTCTAAATTTTACAGATAAAACTTGTCTGAGTTCAGTGGCTTACACCTATAATCCCAGCACTTTAGGAGGCCAAGATGGGCGGATCACTTGAGGTCAGGAGTTCAAGACCAGCCTGGCCAACATGGTGAAACCCCGTCTCTACTAAAAATACAAAAAAAAATTTAGCTGGGGGTGGTGTCAGCGACCTGTAATCCCAGCTACTCAGGAGGCTGAGGCAGGAGAATTCCTTGAACCTGGGAGGCAGAGGTTGCAGTGAGCCCAGATCACACCACTGCACTCTAGCCTGAGCAACAGAGTGAGACTCCGTCTCAAAAAAAAAAAATAATAAAATTAGCTAGGTGTTGTAGCACACACCTATAGTCCCAGCTACTCTGGAGGCTGAGGTAAGAGGATTACTGGAGCCCAGGAGGTTGAGATTACAGAGAGCTAAGATTGTACCACTGCACTCCAGCCTGGGTAACAGCGTGAGACCCTGTCTCTATAACTAAACAAAGCAAAACAAAAAAGCCTTTAAAAGGCATCCATTTTTCTTCAGTTAATAATGTAAGAAAAACTACATTGACATAGTTAAATTCTCAGGAATCTCAATTATTTAGAGATGGACTAAATAAGTGGCTGGTGTTTTGGCTTCCAAAAGTGTCTTGACTTTGATGGAGCTGATGTTGAGAAATAATGTTTATATTTATCATTTTTATCTTTTAATTCCATTTTTCCACGAACTTTTTATTTTTATTTTTTTTGAGACGGAGTCTTGCTTTGTCACCCAAGCTGGAGTGCAGTGGCGCGATCTCAGCTCACTGCAAGCTCCACCTCCCGGGTTCACACCATTCTGCCTCAGCCTCCCGAGTAGCTGGGACTACAGGCACTCACCACCATGCCCGGCAAATTTTTGTATTTTTAGTAGAGACGGAGTTTCACCATGTTAGCCAAGATGGTCTCGATCTCCTGACCTTGTGATCTGCCCGCCTCGGCCTCCGAAAGTGCTGGGATTACAGGCGTGAGCCACTGTGCCCGGCTCCACGAACTTTTTGAAGTCCCCTTTTATATCTGATAGAAACGTATATCCAGGATGTATATAAAAACCTCCTATAATTCAATAATAATACAAAATCCGATTAAAAAACAGATAAAGGATTTTGGGTACAGTGGCTCATGCTTGTAGTCCCAACATTTTGGGAGGCTGAGGCAGGCAGATAACCTGACATCAGAAGTTCGAGACCAGCCTGCATGGTGAAACCCCGTCTCTACTAAAAATACAAAAATTAGCTCAGCATGATGACATGCACTTGTAGTCCCAGGTACTCAGGGGGTTGAGGCAGGAGAATCACTTGAACACCGAGTGGCAGGCACTAGGTTGGCTATAATTTTAAAAGACAGACAATAAAAAATGCTGGCAAGGGTGTGGGGAAATTAGAAATGTCCAGTATAGCAAATCCACAGGGACAGAAAGTAGATAGGTGTTTGCCTAGGGCTGGGAGAGGGGTGTGGCTGCTAAGGGTTATGGGGTTTTATCTTTGGAATGATGAAAATGTTCTGAAATTAGATTGTGGTGATGGCTGCAAAACTCTATATAAATATTCTAAAAACTATTGAACTGTATACTTTAAATGGATGATCTGTGTGGTGTATGAATTGTATCTCCATAAGCTGTTAATTTAAAAAATGTAATAAATATGCAAACATATCACTTTCTAATTATTTTACAACATTTTACTATTGTCTAAACTCCTGAGGTTATTTACCGAAAGATGATGCCCAAGTGGCCCCAGGACATAGAATCAAATTGTGTATGATATTAAAACAACAAGAATTGTTTATCTCAACTAATATCTTGTTTATATCTTTGTAACAGACAGCCAGATGGTAGTGAGTGCTAATACTGTGTACTAATCCTTTAGGAGGACTAGTTTGCTTGAGGTTTAGACACAAACAGGAATGATCTGTGCCATTATAAGAAATATAATGATGTCATGAAGGGCTTTATGATAAATAAAATGATTAGAATATGGTATTAAAAATATGTAGCCATTTATCCTATTGCATTTCATCAAGAAATATTAAATATTATAAAAAATGCAAAAATGAATTTTCTCATTCTTGCAAGCAGTCAAGTCTCAGCCGGAAAAATGGAAGTCAATTTAAATATTTAAAGATAAAAGGCTTTAATTTACAGAGAATTAGGTATAGGTACTGTACTTATAAATTTTTGCAAGGGCATAAGGAATGAAAGTCGGAGGAGCTGCCACCAGCTTTCACATTCACAGTCCAAAGAATCTGAAACTTCTTGCTTTCATGCAGAAGTCAGGAGGATGTAAGAGACTGAAATCAATAGTCATGATTGCCCTGAAGTCCTGGGGTGAACGACACAAGGGAATATAGAAGTTGCTGCAAAAAGTCACAACTTCGGGCGGGGTACAATGGCTCACATCTGTAATCCCAGCAATTTGGGAGGCTTGAGGTGGTACGATTGCTTGAGGTTAGGAGGTCGAGTCCACAGTGAGCTATGGTGGTCCCACTGCACTCCAGTCTGGGTGATGGAGTGAGACCCTGTCCCCCCCCCAAAAAAAATAGTTACATCTTCTTAAGTCCACATGTCAACCAACACAATTGAAGAAAGAGGAATGGATTCTGTCTTCTGCCTTGTAATTTAAGCACAAGTACACCTCATGGGCAGAATCTAAACTGTATTTGGTTTACAGGGACTATGAAAAGACAGTTCTCATTCATCAGCCCCTGACATGAAGGGGTGAGTATCAAAGGAAATAGAAATAGTGCTGAGTACCAACAAATCATATATGACTTATTTCCCTCAAGGGTAGTCAGGTAATTTTTTGAGACTGTATATAGCATGAGTTTGGGGTTGTTCTTATTGATAGGGGATGCAAGTTGCAGAAATTTAGTTTTTCCCTGAGATAACATCTTGACATGTCTCGAACCATTAGATTCCTAGACAGTTTACCAAGTTGGCAGGCCCTGAAGTTTGTTGGGAGATTATTTTCCACCTTCTATCACACATATAAATATATATGTGTGAAATATATATATATATAAGAATGTGAATTCCTCTCACTTGGTCCAGTCATCATTATGTCACTAATGTAGTGGGCCAGTGTGAAGCCCTACAGGATGACAGGACTATCAAAGTTCCTAAGGGCTAGATTAAGACTGAGAGCTAGAGACTTGGCATAGCTCTGAGACAGGACTATTGTGTACTGCTTACACTTCTGTGTAAATGTAAGGGGCTCCTGTGATCTTTACTTATTGGTATAGAATGGGAGTCAGAAGACTAGAGTCTGCAGACTGGACATTTGTTTTGTAAGTAAAGTTTCTTTGGAACACAGCCATGCCCATTCATTTACATATTGTTCGTGGCTGCTTTCACCCTACCATAGCATATTGAGTAGTTGGGACAAAAACCTTTACAGACCAGCCAAAATATTGCCCTCAAACTCAAGATAAACAGAAATAAAACAAAGTCTTAAATTTAAATCTAAAACAAAACCATGGCCCCTTTATGAAAAACATGGGCTAAAATGTATTAATAATGGTTAAAACCAAGTGCTTTTTTTTTTGAGAGATTTGCAATAATTAATACCTATTTAAGTGGGTTTTCCCCCTAGGTCTTTATATTCTAGTATAAAACAGCCAGAGCTGGGCTGTTCTCTTAACCTCTGATCAAATAAGCCTGTTTAGAAAAATCTATGTGTTTTGCTTATATCATTGGGCAAAGTAATTTGTAATATATGATTGACATAATAAATCATCACTTCTAATAAAGCACATTTTTAGAAAAATAAAATTTCTGTGCACCTGTTTTAAAAAGCTCCAGTGCACTTTCCAGCTCAGTCAGAATCCTCATTTGGAATTAACTGGGGGTCCCTGGTTCCTGCTGAAGTTACATATTGACCTGAATGAAACAGGCTGGCCTCCAGCATAGACTCCAAGCTCTGTGTTTATTGAGTCAAGAGTAAGGATCTTCTCTCTCTTAAATCTAGTGGTGGGCAGGGAGAGGACAGGGGCCAAAGATAATTGACTGACCTTTTAATTTATATTGCCATTTGCAGACACTTTTCTTGTATTTTTGAATTCTTATTTTGTCACAATAATTTGAAATTATATAATGCTTCCTAGGTTAGTGAGCATTTTCAGAAACATCATTTGATATCCATATCAACTCAGAAAGTATTTTCTTCTCACATGTCATAGATGAAGTTCAGAAATAGTCAGTAAATCATCCAGGTTCACAGAAAACAAGACCAAAAGTTACTAATACTCACCAAGCATCCATTAGATGGCAGGCACCATCTCAAGCCAGAACTCATATCTTGACTTTTAGACTCTGTATTAGTCCGTTCTCACACTGCTATAAAAATAATATCTGAGACTGGGTAATTTATGAAGAAAGAATTTTCATTGACTCACAGTTCCCCATGGCTGGAGAAGCCTCAGGAAACTTATGATCATGGCAGAAGGGGAAGCAGTCACCTTCTTCAGAAGGCAGCAGGAGAGTGAGTGCAGAAAAAACTGTCACCTTTAAAACCATCAGATCTCGTGATAACTCCTTCACTATCTTGAGAACAGCATGGGGGAAACTGCCCCCGTGATCCAAACACCTCCCACCAGGTACACCTCCCTCCACATGTAGGGATTACCATGCGAGATGAGATTTGAGTGGGGACACAGAGCCAAACCACATCAGACCCCAAGTCTAATATGGTCTGAATGTTTGTGTCTCCCAAAAATTCATGTGTTGAAACCTGATGTCCAATGTGATAGTATTAAGAGTTGGTGTCTTTGAGAGGTGATTAGGTGCCATCTATGAGAAAGCAGGCTCTCACCAGACACCCACTGAATCTGCCAGCACCTTGATCTTGGACTCCCTACCTCTAGACTGTGAGAAAAAAAAAAACCAACTGTTATTTACAGTACCCAGTTATGTACTCAGTTATAAATAGGTCAGTTTATTGTATTTAGTTATAGCAGCCTAAATGGATTAAACAAAGTTTAATATTCTTACTATCACAATGTATTAATTCCCATTCTAGTGAGTACTGGGGATAGTAGTGATGGTGGTAACTTTTAAACATACAAAAATATGTCAAACACTACCCCTCAAACTGAGAATAAGATGACTAGGAGAAAGGAGACATAACTATCAAACTTTAAGGCAAATGCTGTGTATAAAGTTATTGAATGAATGGTTTTAAAAGTATTCTTATACTACTGCATGAAGAATTAAGCTGAAGAGCAAGAAGAACTTTTTTCTTTCTTTCTTTCTTTCTTTCTTTCTTTCTTTCTTTCTTTTTTCTTTCTTTCTTTCTTTCTTTCTTTCTTTTGAGATGGGGTCTCGCTCTGATATGGTTTGGCTGTGTCCCCACTGAAATCTCAATTCGAGTTGTATCTCCCAGAATTCCGACACGTTGTAGGAGGGACTTAGTGGGAGGTAATTGAATCATGGGGGCTGATTTTTCCTGTGCTATTCTTGTGATAGTGAATAAGTCTCATGAGATCTGATGGGCTTATCAGGGGTTTCTGCTTTTGCTTCTTCCTCATTTTTCTCTTGTTGCCAATGTAAGAAGTGCCTTTCACCTCTCACCGTGATTCTGAGGCCTCCCCAGTCATGTGGAACTGTAAGTCCAATTAGACCTCTTTCTGTTCCCAGTTTCAGGTATGTCTTTATCAGCAGCATGAAAACAAACTAATACACACTGTCACCCAGGCTGGACTGCAGTGGTGCAAACATGACTCACTGCAGCCTACACCTCATGGGTTCTAGCGATTCTCCTGCCTCAGCCTCCCAAGTAGCTGGGACTGCAGGCACACATCACCAAGCCCAGCAAATGTTTGCATTTTTTGTAGAGACGAGGTTACGCCATGTTGCCCAGGCTGGTTTTGAACTCCTGAGCTCAGGCAATCTACCTGCCTCAGCCTCCCAAAGTGCTGGGATTATAGGTGTGAGCCACGGTGTCCAGCCTTCAGAAATTTTTAAGAGTTTAGTTGTGATATTCTGAAATATCTAAGCCCAGGAAGTTGTGTCTCTGGATAATTATTAAGTTTTTGTTTGTTTGTTTTGTTTTGTTTTGTTTTTTGAGATGGAGTCTCACTCTGTCACCCAGGCTGGAGTGCAGTGTCATGATCTCGGCTCACTGCAACCTCCACCTCCTGGGGTTCAAGCTATTCTCCTGCCTCAGCCTCCCAAGTAGCTGGGACTACAGGTGCACACCACCACGCCCAGCTAATTTTTGTATTTTTAGTAGAACGGGGGCTTTACCATGTTGGCCAGGCTAGTCTTGAACCCCTGACCTCAGATGATCCACCCACCTCAGCCTCCCAAAGTGCTGGGATTACAGGCATGAGCCACTGCACCTGGCCTAATTATTACTATTAAAGAGCAAACTTATCTTTTGGGAATGATTCCAGCGTAGTCCTGCTTAAAGTCAGCAGCTGCATGAAATGTTTCCCTTCCAGTTCTGTTATTCTATGATACTCCCTCTAGGAAGAGGGTGTTTTTCCCTCCACTTTATCTCCTATACAGTCATTGTGAAAGACTTTGTAATCTCAGATAAGAATATGCTTTTTGAAGTATGTGTCATCAAGCTCTGTGCAAATGTGAGGCAGAAACAAGTATGCTTTTCCTTGGCTTCTTGCTGAGGTCACACACTACCAGATTTGCCAGAGTTATTCACTCATTAATTTATCTGATAAACATTTATTTTACATACACTATGTACTTGATTTGTAGATTATAAAACAACTTTAGTAAAACCATTTCCTATCTAATAGATTTTGAGTGGCCTTGTCAAAACCAATTCTAGTGACACATATGAATTATTATCTTCATTAGAAAGCAGTTTCAAGTGCCTGGAACCCTAAGGCTAGGTAATACATGAAGGAAACTAAACAAGCATCCTTTTGTCATTCAGGGCAGGGGTCAGCAAACTTTTCTGTGAAGGGCCAGATTGTGAACATTTTAGGATTTTAGGGCCATATGGTCTTTGTTGCAATGACTTAAATCTCCCTTGCAGTGCAAAAGCAACCATACAAAGTATGTGAATGAATGAACATGGCCATGTTCCCATGAAACTTTACTGATGGGCTTAAATTTGAATTTCACATAGTTTTCATGTAACACAAAATATTACTTTTTTGACATTCTAGAAACCACTTAAAATGTGAAAACCATTCTCATCTTGCAAATCATACAAAAACAAGGCAGTGGATCATCATTTGCTAATCCCTGATCTAAGGAAAAAAGAAAATATAGTTGTAGATGAACAGAAAGGACATGCAGGCAATATAATAAAATGTCAAAATAAATATAAAACTAAAAGGTAAATATTTAAAATATGTTAATGTCAAGAGTCTGAAAGATGATAAAGTGTTATGTGGGTTTCATTTCTGGATGGAGCAGATTTGGCTCTCCTTAGATGAGTAATTTCAGCCATCGGTAGAGAAGGACTCCAAATGACTGCATTCTAAAAGATAAAAAATAAGGACTTATTTTCAAATGTGTCACAGCGCTTAGCCTTATGTTGTCTGGAAGTTGAAGTGCTTCCCACACAACCCTCTGTACTTAGCTACTATTTTTGTTTTTTAAATAACTGACCTGAATTTCCAAAACTATGTGTTACTTGCAGAAAGTATGGTAGACAAAGGAGAAATGGTATATTACAAGAAACCTCTTGATAAGCTCTCTTAATAAAATCAAACTCTAGCCATCAAGGTTTAGAATGGAGGTAGGGTGTTCAAGTGAAGACTGTGACTAGAGCTAGGAGTGGGGACTGGAACTCACAGACCTGATTGGAGTCTCTAGAAGCTCCCCACGTTGACCATCTCCTGTGCCTGGCCTCACATCCTTTTGCCTGTCTTTAGTTTAGTTATTACTCCTGTTGGAAACAGCTTCATGTCTTATCACCCAAGAACAACTTTCCTCAGTTTTATTTATTTATTTATTATTGCTTTTTATTTTTGAGACAGGGTCTCACTCTCTTGCCCAGGCTGGAGGGCAATGGTGCCACCATGGCTGTCTGCAACCTCAGCCTCCTGGGCTCAAGCAATCCTCCCACCTCAGCCTCCAGAGTAGCTAAGACTGCAAGCGTGCACCACCACCACATCCAGTTAGTTTTTGGGTTTTCTTGTTTGTTTGTTTGTTTTTGTTTTTGTTGTTGTTGTTGTTTTGTAGAGACAGGGTCTCGCTATGTTGCCCAGCTTGGTCTTGAACTCCTGGCCTCAAGTGATCCTCCCACCTCAACCTCCCAAAGTGTTGGGATTACAGGCGTGAGCCATCGAGCTCGGTCCAGTTGAACTGTTTAACTCTCATGTTTTATCCTGGGACTATCCTATCCTGGGATAGCATAAGGTGGGATGTCTGCAGAGACCTACCTGGCATTCAAGCGAGTGCACACTGGAAGTGTGAGGGAATCAGTGCCCCATGGACAGTCCCCTTGCCTGGTTGGGACAGGAGATAGTGAGTCAATCAAATGTTCCCCTTTTCCTTCCCTTAACAGACAATTCTGAGGCTCCTTGGAAGGTCCTGGCAAGATAGCATCCTTTTATTGGCTTTTTTTTTCCTTTGAGGGTCAGTTTAATATTCCAAGCTGTTTTTACTCATAATACTTTTGGCACCAAATGTGTGGGTTGTTTCCATGCCAACAACCAGTTCTCCAACCTTCCAGATACCAACTGGGTATCCTACAATTGAATTCAATTCCTACAGTAACTAACTGGAGTCGTGTCAGATTCCGCAGACTCACTCCCACAAAACTGCCTTCGTTTCAGATGCCAGTTGCAAGTATCTTGCTTCCATCAGTACTTCTGACCAACTGACTATTAATCACAGGTTCCTATGACCCCTTCCTCAGGTTTTATAATTTGCTAGAATGGTTGATAAAACTTGGGAAAAGACTTTATTTATTATCACTGCTAATTACTAAAGGAGAGAAATGAACAGGCAGCTGAGGAGATACACAGGGAGAGATCTTGAAGAGTCCTGAGCACAGGAACTTCTGTCCCCGTGGAATTGGGGTGTGCCTCCCTCTCAGCATGTAGATGTGTTCTACAACCCTGAAACTGTCTGAATCGTATTGTTTAGGGGTTTTATGGAGGTTCCATCATGTAGGCATGATTGATTAAATTTTGGCCATTGGTAATTGAACTCAATCTCCAGCCCCTCTCCCCTCCTCAGAGATCTAGGAATGGGGCTGAAATTTCCAACCCTTTAATCACATGGTTAATTCCTCTGGCAACCAGCTCCCATCCTAAAGCTATCTAGGGGCCCAACAAGGACTGGGTGCAGTAGCTCACGTCTGTAATCCTAGCACTTTTGTAGGTCAAGGTGGGAGGATTGCTTGAGCCCAGGGATTCAAGCCAGTCTGGACAGCAAAGCAAGAACTATTCTCCACAAAAAATTTAAAAATTAGCTGGGCATGGTGGCACACACCTGTGGTCCCAGCTATTCAGGAGGCTTAGGCGGAAAGGTCATTTGAGCCCAGGAGGTGGAGACTGCAGTGAGCCATGATCGCGTCACTGCATTCCAGCCTGGGCTACAGAGTGAGACCCTGTCACACACACACACACACACACACACACAATTCTGTGTCAGTAACTGGGGTCTAAACTAAGTATGTACTTCTTATTATATCACAGGTATCCAGAGTGTCTTAGTCTGCTCAGACTGCCGTAACAAAGGATCATAGGTGGCTTAAACAACAGAAATTTAGATTCTTGTCATTATGAAGGCAGGAGTTGTAGATCAAGGTCCAATAGGGCTGGTTCCTAGTAAAGGTCTTCTTTCTGGCTTGTAGACAGCTGCAGTGTTGCTGTGCCCTCACATGGCCTTTCCTCAGAGACACTGAGAAGAGAGGAAGTCCTCTGGTATCTTTTCTAGTAAGGGCATTCATCTCATTGGACCAGGGCCCAACTCCCATAAACTCATCTAACTCTAATTACCTCTCTAAGGCCCCATCTCCAGTACTATGACATTGGGGATTCAAGCTTCACCATACTGGAGGACGCAAACATTCAGCCCATAACATAGTGTACGACATTCACCTTTACCGTGGGGAATTACTCTCTTGTTTTTACTGGCTCAAATATCCAGCCTCAGGAGCCACTATGCATCCTTTAGTGCTCTGATCCAATCTTGGTGTTGGTAGTCATAATCAGGGAAATGAATCCCTTTAGTTATATCCTTGGACAATCTCAGTGATATTACCAATTATCAATTATATGTTCAATTAATTATTGAACATATGGCCAATTATAGGTTAGCCACGCTAATATTATATGTACAATACAGGCTGTAAAAAAGATTCCCTCTTAGTTCTCTGAGGGCCTCAGTGGTTTTACTTGCAGCTCTGATGACTGATACCACATTTGCCCACGTCAGAGGTTCTAGATCCTGGCTGCATAACAGAATCAGCAGGGGAGGTTTGGAAAAATAACAAGGTCTGATCCCACATCCAAAGTCTGATATAGTTGTTCTGGTGCAGGGATTGAAGACTCAGAAGGTTTTAATTCTAACGTGCAGGCTCAGAATATAGGTCACTGCCCTGTGTGGGCCTATACAAACTGCTCACTGCTCACTGCGAGTTTTCCTACTTGACAAACAGTGACCTTTGAAAATGACTTACTAAATACTCTTAAGTAATTTGGGGCTGGATTTATCAAGAGTCCAGGCAACGGTTAATTGTAAAAGTTCTTCCAATCACTCAGGAGAAAGTAAGTACGATAACATTGAAAAAAAAACATTGTACACCAATGTTCAGTGAAGCATTTTGTACAGTAACCAGAAGGTGGGAGAAATCCAAATGTCCATCGATGGATGAAAGGATAACCAAAATGTAGTACATACATACAATAGAATATTGCTCAACCTTAAAACAGAAGGAAATTCTGATACATCTACAGCATTCATCAACCTTGAAACATTGTGCTGAGCGAAATAAGCCAGATACAAAAGGACAAATATTGTATGATTCCACTCCACTTATATGAGGTACCCGGAATAGGCAAATTCATAGAAACAGAAAGTAGATTAGAGGTTACCAGGAGCTGGTGGGTAATAGGGAGTGGATGGGATAATGGACAGTTGGTGTTTAGTGAGTACAGAGTTTCTGTTAGTGATGATAGAAAAATAGCAGAAAGTATTACATTACTTTCAATGGCAAAATCCACAATTACCTTGGCACCAACCTAATACTTAATGCCACTGAATTGTACAGTTAGAATGGTAAATTTTATTTTATGTATATTTTACCACAATAAAACAAAACCTCCTCTTTTCAGGTATGATAGTTCTGAACGAAGATTGAAGCTGTTCTGTAGTTCTGAGGGTTATCATACCACTGAGAGTAAAAGGTAAGTTGGTAACAGTGAAAGAGAAACCTCATTTAATGAATGTTTTTGGAATGTATCATCAGTCTGAAGTCACTATAAAACGATGTACTTGCAGGACATTTTTCAGTGTGATAAATATTTAAATAACAGTAAGTATGTTTAAGCCCTTTAAAAGAAAAAAAAACAGTGCTTTCGGTTTGGAATTTACTTTTCTAAATTTTTTGACATCGAAATTAATGTTTGAAAATAATAAAAGTAATGATGATCTGATCAACTTAATCTGGTATCATAACTCCAGAGTTGTAGATACAATAGTAGAGGGTGTGTAGCCCTCAGCTTTAAAGATTATCAACTAATGATTAACATAACGTTGGGACAGGTGCTGTAAAGGATGGAGATTATCATGCTTTTGGAATTTCTGACTCACACTATAGTCTGCCATAAAGAGCAGTATAAAAAAGGATTTGTTCAGATTGAAGGAAATCACATAATTAGTCTTTTAGTGGCAGTAAGGACTGCATGTTTTAAGATAATTCTAGGTGAAAAGGCCTTCCTGTAGATTAACTGTTACCAGCTCCCTTTTTCCTGTCTGACTGTCAACTTATGCAAAATTTTACTCCTTTCAAATTTGGATAATACCTCTCTTTCTTTGCTTGCTATTAACGTGATTAATCTGTTTCTTTTCTTTTTTTTTTTTTTTTTTTTGAGACGGAGTATCACTCTGTCTCCCAGACTGTAGTGCGGTGGCGCAATCTCTGCTCAGCGCAAGCTCCACCTCCTGGGTTCACGCCATTCTCCTGCCTCAGCCTCCCAAGTAGCTGGGACTACAGGCGCCCGCCACCATGCCTGGCTAAATTTTTGTATTTTTAGTAGAGTCGGGGTTTCATCGTGTTAGCCAGGATGGTCTCAATCTCTTGACCTCGTGATCCGCCCACCTCGGCCTCCCAAAGTGCTGGGATTACAGGCTTGAGCCACCGCACCCAGCCTAATCTGTTTCTTGTACCTTCATTTCTCTCTTTCTGCCTCTCTCTCACATGAAGTCTTTTTCCATGGTACCATATTCTCAGAAATTATAATGAATGTAATGAGAAAAAGAGTAACTCATCATTTCAATGTTTTCTTTGCAAACAGCTTTTCAGTTACAACTCAGTGGTATTACATGATGGCGTTTATGTCAACAATTCTTAACCTTCTTACTCTCAGGGACATGGGGATGCTCTTCTCCAGATGTTTACTAAACTCTCCTGCAGATGAGATTTTATGTTACAAAAAAATTTCAGAGTTGAATGAATGAATAAAGAGAAGAGACAGAAGTTGTCTAAAACATTCAAGTTTATAAAGACATTTACAGAATGTCCTGGAGTCCTTCAGCTCTCCTGTGATGAAATTCCCTTTCACATCTCTCACATAACGACAACTTGTCTCAAAGTGAAGAGACTTTTGTGATGAATACTCTGTCTTCATTCAGAAAGGAATTTCCTTATCCCTAAGTGCTAAGTGGTTGAGGATCCCATCTTACCCAATTTTTGTTCCTTGCCTACCAATAGCGGCCTCACTGTGTGTATATGTGTGTGTGTGTGTGTGTGTGTGTGTGTGTGTGTGTGTGTGTGTGGTCAGAGACTGGCACCTTGCTTTTCCTCCCTGCCTTCTAATTTGACTGAGGACTTCTAGGAGCTTCCCTTTCCTTCCCTGCTTCCTTAGGGAATCTTCAATAGTTAGAGGGCTACATTTTGAGAAGGTGTTTTCCTATGGGCTATAGTTGAACATCAGAATCAATTTTCACAAAGAAGCGATGTTGCCCAAGAAAATATGTCCTGTAGCATAAGCAAATGGAAAAACATTCCATCCTCATGGATAGGAAGAATCAATATTGTGAAAATGGCCATACTGCCCAAAGTAATTTATAGATTCAGTGCTATTCCCATCAAGATATTTGATATTCTTCACAGAATTAGAAAAAACTACTTTAAATTTCATATGGAATCAAAGAAGACCCCATATAGCCAAGAGAATCCTAAGCGAAAAGAACAAACCAGAGGCATCACACTACCTGACTTCGACTATACTACCAGGCTACAGTAACTAAAACAGCATGGTACTGGTACCAAAACAGACATATAGACAAATGGAACAGAACAGAGACCTCAGAAATAACACCACACATCTACAGCTATCTGATCTTCAACAAACCTGACAAAAACAAGCAATGGGAAAAGGATTTCCTATTCAATAAATAGTCCTGGGAAAACTGGCTAGCCATATGCACAAAACTAAAACTGGACCCGTTCCTTACACCTTATACAAAAATTAACTGAGGATGGATTAAAGACTTAAATGTAAAACCCAAAACCATAAAACCCCTAGAAGAAAACCTAGGCAATTTCATTCAGGACATAGGCATGGGCAAAGACTTCATGACAAAAATGCCAAAAGCAATTGCAACAAAAGTAAAAACGGACAAATGGAGTCTAGTTAAACTAAAGAGCTTCTGCACAGCAAAAGAAACTATCATCAGGGAGAACAGGCAACCTACAGAATGGGAGAAAATTTTGGCAATCTACCCATCTGACAAAGGTCTAATATCCAGAATTTACGAGGAACTTAAACAAATTTACAAGAAAAAAGCAAACAACCGCATCAAAAAGTGGGCAAAGGATATGAACAAACACTTCTCAAAAGAAGACATTTATGTGGCCAACAAACATATGAAAAAAAGCTCAACATCACTGATCATTAGAGAAATGCTACTGAAAACCATAATGAGATACCATCTCATGCCAGTCAGAATGGCAATTATTAAAAAGTCAAGAAACAATAGATGCTAGGGAGGCTGAAATAGGAATGCTTTTACACTATTGGGAATGTAAATTAGTTCAACCATTATGGAAGACAGTATGGTGATTCCTCAAGGATCTTGAACCAGAAATATGATGTGACCCAGCAATCCCATTACTGGTTATATACCAAAAGGAATATAAATCATTCTACTATAAAGACACATGCACACATATGTTTATTGTAGCACTATTTACAATAGCAAAGTCATGGAACCAACCCAACTGCCCATCAATGATAGACTGGATAAAGAAAATGTGGCACATATACACCACGAAATACTATGCAGCCATAAAAAAGGATGAGTTCATGCCCTTTGCAGGGACACAGATGAAGCTAGAAGCCATCATCCTCAGCAAACTAACACAGGAACAGAAAACCAAACACCGCATGTTCTCACTCATAAGTGGGAGTTGAATAATGAGAATACATGGACACAGGTAGGTGAATAATACACACCAGGGCCTGTTAGGGGTTGGGGGGTGAGGGAAGGAAACTAAGAGGACAGGTCAAAAGGTGCAGCAAACCACCATGGCACAGGTATACCTATGTAACAAACCTGTTCGTTCTTCACATGTATCCCAGAGCTTAAAATTAAAACAAAAATAGAAAAGGAAATATTAAGAAAAAGGAATATGTGTCCCATAGGCATATGGATAAATACACAGTTGAGCTACATTGTGGCTCTCCAATCATTCATTTGTTGGTTTGACATGTATGTATTTATTTATCAAATGACTGCTATATCCTATGCACTATTTTACAGACTAGGTATTAAGGACTCTTATTCTAGTGGGGACAGTTAAAAAGGTAAACAACTAAACTATATAGAGTGATATATCCAAGAAACATCCGAGAAAAAATAATAAAGCAGAGAAGGCAGAGTAAGGAAGAATGGTTACGCTATGTTAGATAGGGTGGTGAGAGAAGTCTTCTCTGAGGAGATAACATTTTAATAAAGACCTGAAGGAGGCCAGGCATGGTGGCTCACACCTGTAATCCCAGCACTTTGGGAGGCTGAAGCAGGAGGATCACTTGTGGTCAGGAGTTCGATACCAGCCTGGCCAACATGGTGAAACCCTGTCTCTACTAAAAATACAAAAATTAGCCGGGCATGGTGGTGAGCACCTGTAATCCCAGCTACTCAGGAGGCTGGGGCAGGAGAATCTCTGGAACCCAGGAGATGGAGGTTGCAATGAGCTGAGATCGTGCCACTGCACTCCAGCCTGGGTGACAGAGTAAGATTCCATGTCAAAAAAAAAAAAAAAGAAAAAGAAAGAAAAACCTGAAGGAGAAGAAAGTCTTGCATGAAACCGAGGGAAGAACATTCCAGGCAGAGGATTCGGCAAGTACAAAGGATCTACCTAAGGTAGTTGTGAATGTGTGTTCCAGGAAGAGCAAGAAGACCAGTGAGGATAGAGTACAATAAAAGAATGGAAGTACATTAGGGAATGAGGACAGAGAAGTGCAGATGGACAAACCCTATGAAAAAATTGCAAGGACTTCGGTTCTGCTCTAAGTAACATGGAAAGCTACAAGGGATTTGAGCAGATGTCTGACATGATCTGACTTTTATTTTAAAGTTCATGCTGGATACAGTATTGAGAAAAGTCTGAAGGGGATGTGGGTGAGAGTAGAAACATCGAAACTAGTTAGGAGGTTATTGCAATAATAGGTGAGAAATCAGGGTTGTTTAGAACAAGATAAGAGCGGTAGAGATGATGAAAGGAAATATATCTGGAAATATGTGAAAGTCAAGTTAATAAGCCAATGTCTATGGATACAATAAGGGATGAGCAAAAAAATAGCGTTGAGATGACTGGGTCTTATTGAAGTGTTGCAGTGTCAATCTCCAGTTGAAATCTATACTATCAATAATGCTTATGATTACAGATGAGAAAACAGAAGTTCAGAGAGGTTAGGTAATTCACCTACAGTCACGCAGGGTGCAGGAGGAGGAAGCAAGGTTTAAACCCAGATCTATTTGATCAGAATCCATACTTTTAAACAGTACTACTTAATAACATACTTTTTAAAGAAAACTTTTATTTTAAGTTAAGGGTTACATGTGCAAATTTGTTATATAGGAAAGTTGTGTCATGGGATTTGTTGTATAGATTATGTCATAACCCATAATCTATGGGTACCTATTAGTTATTTTTCCTGATCCTCTCCCTTCTCCCACACTCCACCCTCCAATAGGCCTCAGCGTGTGTTGTTTCCATCTATGTGCCCATGTATTCTCACCATTTAACTCCCACTTATAAGTGAGAACATGCAGTATTTGGTTTTCTGTTCCTGTGTTAGTTTGCTAAGGATAATGGCCTCTAGCTCCATGCATATTTCTGCAAAGAACATATCATTCTTTTTAGGGCTGCATAGTATTCCGTGGTGTATATGTACCAAATTTTCTTTATCCAGTCTTCTATTGATGGGCAGTTAGGTTGATTCTATGTCTTTGCTATTGTGAATAGTGCTGCAATGAACATATGCATGCATGTTTGTTTATAATAGAATGATTTATATTTCTTTGGGTATATACTCAGTAATGGGATTGCTGGTTGAATGATATTCCTGTTTTTAGGCCTTTGAGAAATCACCACACTGTCTTCCACAGTGGTTGAACTAATTTACGCTCCTACCAACAGTGTATAAGCGTTCCTTTATCTCCACAACCTCACAAGTGTCTGTTATTTTTTGGTGTTTTATAATAGCCATTCTGACTAGTGTAAGATGGTATCTCATTGTGGTTTTGATTTGCATTCCTCTAATGATCAGTGATGCTAAGCTTTTTTTCATATGACTGTTGGCCTCATGTATGTCTTCTTTTGAAAAGTGTTCGTGCCCTTTGCCCACTTTTTAATGGGGTTGGTTTTTTTTCTTGTAAATTTAAGTTATTTATGGATGCTAGACATTAGACCTATGCCAGATGTGTAGTTTGCAAATTTTTTCTCCCATTCTGTAGGCTGTCTGTTCACTCTGTTGATAGTTTATTTTGCTGTGCATAAGTTCTTTAGTTTAATTAGCTCCTATTTGTTAATTTTTGCTTCTGTTGCAATTGCTTTTGGCATTTTCATCATCAAATCTTTGCCTGTTCCTATGCCCACAATGGTATGGCCCAGATTGTCTTCCAGGGTTTTTAATTTGGGGTTTTACATTTCAGTCTTTAATCCATCTTGTGTTAATTTTTGTATATGGTGTAAGGAAGGGATCCAGTTTCACTCTTCTGCATATGTCTGGCCAGTTTTCACAGTACCATTTATTGAATAGGGAATCCTTTCCTCATTGTGTGTTTTTGTCAGGTTTGTCAAAGATCAGCTAGTTGTAGGTGTGCAGCCTTAGTTCTGGGTTCTCTATACTGTTCCATTGGTCTATGTTTTTGTACCCGTACCATGCTGTTTTGATTACTGTAGAACTGTAGTATAGTTTGAAGCTGGGTAGTGTGATGTCTCCAGCTTTGTTCTTTTTACTTAGGATTGCCTTGGCTATTTGGGCTCTTTTTTAGGTTCCATATGAATTTTAAAATAGTTTTTTCTACTTCCGTGAAAAAATGTCATTGATAGTTTAATAGGAATAGCACTGAATCTATGAATTGCTTTGGGCAGAATGACCATTTTAACAACATTGATCCATCCTATCCATGAGCATGGAATGTTTTTCCATTTGTTTGTGCCATCTCTGATTTCTTTGAGCAGTGTTTTGTAGTTCTTGTTGTAGAGATCTTTCACCTCCCTGGTTAGCTGTATTCCTAGGTATTTTATTTTGAGTGTGTGGCAATTTTGAATGGGATTTCATTCCAATTTGGCTCTCAGCTTGACTGTGTATAGGAGGGCTAGTAATTTTTGCACATTGATTTAGTATCCTGAAATTTTGCTGAAGTTGTTTGTCAGCTTAAGGAGCTTTTGGACCAAGACTATGGGGTTTTCTGAATATAGGATCATGTCTGAAAACAGGAATAGTTTGACTTCCTCTCTTCCTATTTGGATACTATTTATTTCTTTCTTTTGCTTGATTGTCTTGTGCTGGTTTTCAAGGAAAATGCTTCTAGCTTTTGCCCATTCAGTATGATGTTGGCTGTGGGCACTTATTATTTTGAGCTACGTCCTTTCGATACCTAGTTTATTGAGAGTTTTTAACATGAAGTGGTGTTAAATTTTATCAAAAGCATTTTCTGCATCTATTGAGACAATTATGTGGGTTTTGTCTTTAGTTCTGTTTATGTGATGAATCCTATTTATCAATTTGTTTATGTTGACCCAACCTTGCATCTCATAGATAAAGACTACTTTGTCATGGTGGAAAAACTTTTTGATGTGCTGCTGGATTAGGTTTGCCAGTATTTTGTTGAGAATTTTTGCATCAATGTTCATCAAGGATATTGGCCTGAAGTTTCTTTTTTTTGTTGTCTCCCCCAGGTTGGTATCAGGATAATACTGGCCTCACAGAATGAGTCTGGAAAAAATCCCTCCTTCTCAATTTTTTGGACTAGTTTAAGCAGGAATGGCATCAGCTCTTCTTTGTACATCTGGTAAAATTCAGCTGTGAATCTGTTTGGTCCCGAGAATTTTTTGGTTGGTAGCTTATTTATTACTGACTCAATTTCAGAGCTCATTATTGGTGTGTTTGCAGATTCAATTTCTTCCTTGTTCAGTCTTGGAAGGATTTATATGTCCAGAAATCTATCCATTTCTGCTAGATTTTCTGGTTTATGTGCTTAGAGGTGTTCATAGTATTCTCTGATGGTTATTTGTATGTCTGTGGGATCAGTGGTAATATCCCCCTTGACATTTCTGGTTGTGTTTCTGTGAATCTTTTTTCTTCTTTCTTAGTTTATCTAGTGGTCTATATTATTAATTTTTTCAAAAAACCAGTTCCTGGATTCATTGATCTTTTGAATAGTTTTGTGTGTCTCAATCTCCTTCAATTCAGCTCTCATTTTGATTCTTTCTTCTCTTTTGCTAGCTTGGGATTGGTTTGCTCTTGGTTCTCTATTTCTTTTAGTTGTGATGTAATAATAGGTTGGTAAATTGAGATCTTTCTGTTTTTTTTCTTTTTCTTTTTCTTTTTTTTTTTGAGACAGGGTCTCACTCTGTCACCCAGGCTGGAGTGCAGTGGTGCAATCTTGGCTCACTGTAACCTCTACCTCCCCAGTTCAAGCAATCCTCATGCCTCTTCCTCCTGAGTGGCTGGGACTGCAGGTGTACCCCACCATAACCAGCTAATTTTTGTATTTTTAGTAGAGGTGGGTTTTGCCTTATTGGCCAGGCTGGTCTCAAACTCCTGACCTTAGGTGATTCACTCACCTTGGCCTCCCAAAATGCTGGGATAACAGGTGTGAGGCACCATGCCCAGCCCTTTCTAACTTTTTTATTGGTCATTTAGTGCCATAAATTTCCCTCTTAACACTGCCTTAGCTGTGTCCCCGAGATTCTGGTGTGTTGTTTCTTTGTCCTCTTTAGTTTCAAAGAACATCTTGATGTCTGCCGTAATTTTATTATTTACCCAAAAGTCATTCAGAAGCAGGTTATTCAATTTCCAAGTAATTGTATGGTTCTGAGGGAATTTCTTGGTCTCGATTTCTAATTTGTTTGTGCTGTGGTCCAAGAGATTGTTTGTTATGATTTCAGTTTTTTTGCGTTTGCTGAGGAGGGTTTACTTCTGATTATGTGATCGATTTTAGAGTAAGTGCCAAATAGCAGTGAGAAGAAGGTATATTCTCTTGTTTTGGGATGGAGAGTTCTGTAGACGTCTATCAGGTCCATTTGATCCAGCGCTGAGTTCAGGTCCTGAATATCTTTGTTAATTTTCTATCTTCATGATCTGTCTAATATTGACAGTGGGGTGTTAAAGTCTCCCATTATTGTGGGAGTCTCCATCTCTTTGAAGGTCTCTAAGAACTTGCTTTATGAATCTGGGTGCTCTTGCGTTGGGTATATATATATATATATATATATACACATATATATATATATATATATATATGATAGTAAGATTTTCTTGTTGAATTGAACTCTTCACCATTATGTAATGACCTTCTTTGTGTTTTTGATCTTTGTTGGTTTAAAGTCTGTTTTGTCTGAAAGTAGGATTGCATCCTCTGCTTTTTTCTGTGTTTCAATTTGCTTGGTAGATGTTTATGCATCCCTTTATTTTGAGTGTATGTGTGTCACTGCATGTGAGATATGCAAGTTGGATAAAGCACCAAGACCTGCTGGTGTGCTGTCTTCAAGAGACTGGATAAAGAAGACAGCATACCAATGGGTCTCCGTTCTTTATCCAGTGGGCCACTCCATGTCTTTTAATTGGGGCATTTAGCCAATTTACATTCAAGGTTAGTATTGATATATGTGGATTTGTTCTGTTCATCATGATGTTACATGGTTATTTTGCAGACTTGTTTACATGGTTGCTTTATAGTGTCACTGATCTGTGTACTTCAGTGTGTTTTTGTAGAGGCTGGTAACAGTCTTTCCTTTCCATGTTTAGTACTTTCTTCAGGAGCTCTTGTAAGGCAGGTTTAATGGCAATGAATTCCTTGAGCATTTGCTTTTTTGAAAAGGATCTTATTTCTTCCTCACTTAAGAAATTCTAGGTTGGAATTTTTCTTTCCTTTTTTTTTTTTTTTTTTTTTGAGACAGAATCTTGCTATGTCACCTGGGCTGGAGTGCAGTGGTGCAATCTTGGCTTGCTGCAACCTCCGCCTCCCGGGTTGAAGCAATTCTCCTGCCACAGCCACCCTAGTAGCTGGGATTACAGGTGCATACCACCACGCCCGGCTAATTTTGTATTTGTAGTAGAGACAGGGTTTCACCATGTTGGTCAGGCTGATCTCGAACTCCTGATGTCAGGTGATCTGCCTGCCTCAGCCTCCCAAAGTGCTGGGATTGCAGGTATGAGCCACCATGACCAGCCTCTTTTCTTTAAGAATGTTGAATATTGGCCCCAATCTTTTCTGGCTTGTAGGGTTTCAGCTGAGAGGCCTGCTGTTTCTCTAATGGACTTCACTTTGTAGCTGCCTTTAAGATTTTTTTTTCTTATATTCACTTTTTTATTTGGAATTTAAAAACTATAATCAGAGGCACATAATGGTCACATTCTTACTTTTTAAAATTTATGTTATATAGCTGTTAAATGCTTGTGTTAAAAAAGTTATAAAATTTCAAGCATACCCCAAAGCAGACAGAGTAGTATAATGACACCCATATATTCGTCATGCATTTGAACAATTAATGTCTTGTCAGTCTTGTTTCTTGTATCCCCTATCTATCCTTCCATCTTTTTTTTATATATACTTTAAGTTCTAGGGTACAGGTTTGTTACATATGTATACATGTGCCATGTTGGTGTGCTGCACCCATTAACTCGTCATTTACATTAGGTATATCTCCTAATGCTATCCCTACCACCTCCCCCCACCCCACGACAGGCCTCGTTGTATGATGTTCCCCATCCTGTGTCCAAGTGTTCTCATTATTCAATTCCCACCAATGAGTGAGAATATGCGGTGTTTGGTTTTCTGTCCTTGCGATAGTTTGCTCAGAATGATGGTTTCCAGCTTCATTCATGTCCCTACAAAGGACATGAACTCATCCTTTTTGATGGCTGAATAGTATTCCATGGTGTATATGTGCCACATTTTCTTAATCCAGTCTATCATTGACGGACATTTGGGTTGGTTCCAAGTCTTTGCTATTGTGAATAGTGCCGCAATAAACATACGTGTGCATGTGTCTTTATAGCAGCATGATTTATAATCCTTTGGGTATATGCCCAGCAATGGGATGGCTGGGTTAAATGGTATTTCTAGTTCTAGATCCTTGAGGAATCACTGCACTGTCTTCCACAATGGTTGAACTAGTTTACAGTCCCACCAGCAGTGTAAAAGTGTTCCTATTTCTCCACATTCTCTCCAGCATCTGTTTTTTCCTGACTTTTTAATGATCACCATTCTAACTGGTGTGAGATGGTATCTCATTGTGGTTCTGATTTGCATTCTCTGACGGCCAGTGATGACGAGCATTTTTTCATGTGTCTGTTGGCTGCATAACTGTCTTCTTTGGAGAAGTGTCTGTTCATATCCTTCGCCCACCTTTTGATGGGGTTGTTTGATTTTTTCTTGTAAACTTGTTTAAGTTCTTTGTAGATTCTGGATATTAGCCCTTTGTCAGATTAGTAGATTGTAAAAATTTTCTCCCATTCTGTAGGTTGCCTGTTCACTCTGATGGTGGTTTCTTTTGCTGTGCAGAAGCTCTTTAGTTTAATTAGATCCCATTTGTCAATTTTGGCTTTTGTTGCCATTGCTTTTGGTGTTTTAGACATGAAGTCCTTGCCCATGCCTATGTCCTGAATGGTATTGCCTAGGTTTTCTTCTAGGGTTTTTATGGTTTTAGGTCTAACATTTAAGTCTTTCATCCAACTTGAATTAATTTTTGTATAAGGTGTGAGGAAGGGTCCAGTTTCAGCTTTCTACATATGGCTAGCCAGTTTTCCCAGCACCATTTATTAAACAGGGAATCCTTTCCCCATTTCTTGGTTTTGTCAGGTTTGTCAAAGAGCAGATGGTTCTAGATGTGTGGTATTATTTCTGAGGGCTCTTTTCTGTTCCATTGGTCTATATCTCTGTTTTGGTACCAGTACCATGCTGTTTTGGTTACTGTAGCCTTGTAGTATAGTTTGAAGTCAGCTAGCGTGATGCCTCCAGCTTTGTTCTTTTGGCTTAGGATTGTCTTGGCAATGTGGGCTCTTTTTTGGTTCCATATGAACTTTAAAGTAATTTTTTCCAATTCTGTGAAGAAAGTCATTGGTAGCTTGATGGGGATGGCATTGAATCTATAAATTACCTTGGGCAGTATGGCCATTTTCACGATATTGATTCTTCCTATCCATGAGCATGGAATGTTCTTCCATTTGTTTGTGTCCTCTTTTATTTCATTGAGCAGTGGTTTGTAGTTCTCCTTGAAGAGGTCCTTCATGTCCCTTGTAAGTTGGATTCCTAGGTATTTTATTCTCTTTGAAGCAATTGTGAATGGGAGTTCTCTCATGATTTGGCTCTCTGTTTGTCTGTTATTGGTGTATAGGAATGCTTGTGATTTTTGCACATGGATTTTGTATCCTGAGACTTTGCTGAAGTTGTTTATCAGCTTAAGTTGCTTTGGGGCTGAGACAATGGGGTTTTCTAAATATACAGTCATGTCAACCGCAAACAGGGACAATTTGACTTCCTCTTTTCGCAATTGAATACTTTTATTTCTTTCTCCTGCCTGATTGCCCTGGCCAGAACTTCCAACACTATGTTGAATAGGAGTGGTGAGAGAGGGCATCCTGTCTTTTGCCAGTTTTCAAAGGGAATGCTTCCGGTTTTTGCCCATTCAGTATGATATTGGCTGTGGGTTTGTCATAGATGGCTCTTATTATTTTGAGATACGTCCCATCAATACCTAATTTATTGAGAGTTTTTAGCATGAAGGGCTTTTGAATTTTGTCAAAGGCCTTTTCTGCATCTATTGAGATAATCAGGTGGTTTTCTTCTTTGGTTCTGTTTATATGATGGATTACGTATATTGATTTGTGTATGTTGAACTAGACTTGGATCTCAGGGATGAAGCCAATTTGATCATGGTGGATAAGTTTTTGATGTGCTGCTGGATTCAATTTGTCAGTATTTTATTGAGGATTTTTGCATCGATGTTTATCAGGGATATTGGTCTAAAACTCTCTTTTTTGTTGTGTCTCTGCCAGGCTTTGGTATCAGAATGATGCTGGCCTCATAAAATTAGTTAGGGAGTATTCCCTCTTTTTCAGTTGATTGGGATAGTTTCAGAAGGAATGGTACCAGCTCCTCTTTGTACCTCTGGTAGAATTTGGCTGTGAATCTATCTGGTCCTGGACTTTTATGGTTGGTAGGCTATTCATTATTGCCTCAATTTCAGAGCCTGTTATTGGTCTCTTTAGGGATTCAACTTCTTCCTGGTTTAGTCTTGGGAGGGTATATGTGTCCAGGAATTTATCCATTTCTTCTAGATTTTCTAGTTAGTTTGTGTAGAGGTGTTTATAGTATTCTCTGATGGTAGTTTGTATTTCTGTAGCATCAGTGGTGATATCCCCTTTATCATTTTTTATTGCGTCTGTTTGATTCTTCTCTCTTTTCTTCTTTATTAGTCTTGCTAGTGGTCTATCAATTTTGTTGATCTTTTTAAAAAACCAGCTCCTGGATTCATTAGTTTTTGAAGGGTTTTTTGTGTCTCTATCTCCTTCAGTTCTGCTCTGATCTTAGTTATTTCTTGCCTTCTGCTAGCTTTTGAATGTGTTTGCTCTTGCTCTTCAAGTTCTTTTAATTGTGATGATAGGGTGTCAATTTTGGATCTTTGCTGCTTTCTCTTGTGGGCATTTAGTGCTATAAATTTCCTGCTACAGAATGCTTTAAATGTGTCCCAGAGATTCTGGTATGTTGTGTCTTTGTTCTCGTTGGTTTCAAAGAACATCTTTATTTCTGCCTTCATTTCGTTACGTACCCAGTAGTCATTCAGGAGCAGGTTGTTCAGTTTCCATGTAGTTGAGTGGTTTTGAGTGAGTTTCTTAATCCTGAGTTCTAGTTTGATTGCACTGTGGTCTGAGAGACAGTTTGTTATAATTTCTATTCTTTTACATTTGCTGAGGAGTGCTTTACTTCCAACTATGTAGTCATTTTTGGGATAAGTGTGATGTGGTGCTGAGAAGAATGTATATTCTGTTGATTTGGGGTAGAGAGTTCTGTAGATGTCTATTAGGTCTGCTTGGTACAGAGCTGAGTTCAATTCCTGGATATCCTTGTTAACGTTCTGTCTCGTTTCTCTGTCTAATGTTGACAGTGGGGTGTTAAAGTCTCCCATTATTATTGTGTGGGAGTCTAAGTCTCTTTGTAGTTCTCTAAGGACTTGCTTTATGAATCTGGGTGCTCCTGTATTGTGTGCATGTATATCTAGGACTGTTAGGTTTTCTTGTTGAATTGATCCCTTTACCATTATGTAATGGCCTTCTTTGTCTCTTCTGATCTTTGTTGGTTTAAAGTCTGTTTTTATCAAAGACTAGGATTGCAACCCCTGCTTTTTTTGTTTTCCATTTGCTTGGTAGATCTTCCTCCATCCTTTTATTTTGAGCCTATGTGTGTCTCTGCATGTGAGATGGGTCTCCTGAATACAGCACACTGATGGGTCTTGACTCTTTATCCAATTTGCCAGTCTGTGTCTTTTAATTGGAGCATTTAGCCCATTTACCTTTAAGGTTAATATTGTTATGTGTGAATTTGATCCTGTCATTATGATGTTAGCTGGTTATTTTGCTCGTTAGTTGATGCAGTTTCTTCCTAGCATCAGTGGTCTTTACAATTTGGCATGCTTTTGCAGTGGCTGGTACCTGTTGTTCCTTTCCATGTTTAGTACTTCCTTCAGGAGCTCTTGTAAGGCAGGCCTGGTGGTGACAAATCTCTCAGCATTTGCTTATCTGTAAAGGATTTTATTTCTCTTTCACTTATGAAGCTTAGTTTGGCTGGATATGAAATTCTGGGTTGAAAATTCTTTTCTTGAAGAATGTTGAATATTGGCCTTGACTCTCTTCTGGCTTGTAGAGTCTCTGCCAAGAGATCCGCTGTTAGTCTGATGGGCTTCCCTTTGTGGGTAACCCAACCTTTCTCTCTGGCTGCCCTTAACATTTTTTCCTTCATTTCAACTTTGGTGAATCTGACAATTATGTGTCTTGGAGTTACTCTTCTCAAGGAGTATCTTTGTGGCATTCTCTGTATTTCCTGAATTTGAATGTTGGCCTGCCTTGCTAGTTGGGGAAGTTCTCCTGGATAATATCCTGAAGAGAGTTTTCCAACTTGGTTCCATTCTCCTCATCACTTTCAGGTACACCAATCAAATGTAGATTTGGTCTTTTCACATAGTCCCATATTTCTTGGAGGCTTTGTTCACTTCTTTCTACTCTTTTTTCTCTAAACTTCTCTTCTTGCTTCATTTCATTCATTTGATCTTCAATCACTGATACCCTTTCTTCCAGTTGATTGAATGGGCTACTGAAGCTTGTGCATGCGTCACGTAGTTCTTGTGCCATGGTTTTCAGCTCCATCAGGTCATTTAAGGTCTTCTCTACACTGTTGATTCTACTTAGGCATTCATCTAATCTTTTTTCAAGGTTTTTAGCTTCTTTGTGATGGGGTTGAACATCCTCCTTTAGCTCAGAGGAGTTTGTTATTACTGGTCATCTGAAGCCTTCTTCTCTCAACTTGTCAAAGTCATTCTCTGTTCAGCTTTGTTCCATTGTTGGTGAGGAGCTGCATTCCTTTGGAGGAGAAGAGGAGCTTGATTTTTAGAATTGTCAGCTTTTCTTCTCTGGTTTCTCCCCATTTTTGTGGTTTTCTCTACCTTTGGTCTTTGATGATGATGACGTACAGATGGGGTTTTGGTGTGGATGTCCTTTCTGTTTGTTAGTTTCCCTCGTAACAGTCAGGACCCTCAGCTGCAGGTCTATTGGAGTTCGCTGAAGGTCCACTCCAGACCCTGTTTGCCTGGGTATCAGCAGTGGAGGCTGCAGAACAGCAAATATTGCAGAACGACAAATGTTGCTGCCTGATCGTTCATCTGGAAGCTTCGTCTCAGAGGGGCACCCGGCTGTATGAGGTGTCAGTCGGCCCCTACCAGGAAGTGCCTACTAGTTAGGCTACTTGAGGGTCAGGGACCCACTTGAGGAGGCAGTCTGTCTGTTCTTAGATCTCAAACTCCATGCTGGGAGAACCACTACTCTATTCAAAGCTGTCAGACAGGGACGTTTAAGTCTGCAGAAGTTTCTGCTGCCTTTTGCTCAGCTATGCCCTGCCCTCAGAAGTGGCATCTACAGAGGCAGGCAGGCCTCCTTTAGCTGTGGTGGGCTCCACCCAGTTTGAGCTTCCCAGCCACTTTGTTTACCTACTCAAGCCTCGGCAATGGCAGGCACCCCTCCCCCAGCCCCGCTGCTGCCTTGCAGTTCGATCTCAGACTGCTGTGCTAGCAGTGAGCAAGGCTCTGTGGGCATGGGACCCTCCGAGCCAGGTGCGGGATATAATCTCCTGGTGTGTCATTTGCTAAGAGTGTTGGAAAAGTGCAGTATTAGGGTAGGAGTGATCCGATTTTCCAGGTGCTGTCTGTCATGACTTCCCTTGGCTAGGAAATGGAATTCCCCGAATCCTTGCTCTTTCCAGGTGAGGCGATGCCTCACCCTGCTTTGGCTCACACTCCATGGGCTGCATCCACTGTCCGGCACCCACAGTCCGGCAAGCCCCAGTGAGATGAACCCGGTACCTCAGTCGGAAATGCAGAAATCACCCATCTTCTGCATCGCTGATGCTGGGAGCTGTAGACTAGAGCTGTTCCTATTCAGCCATCTTGGAACCTCTCTCTGCCTTTAACATTTTTTCTTTCATTTTGACCTTGGAGAATCTGATGATTATGTGTCTTGGGCATGATCTTCTTGTGAAGTATTTTACTGGGGTTTTCTGCATTTCCTGAATTTGAATATTTGCCTTTCTAGCTAAGTTGGAGAAGTTCTCATGGATTATATCCTGAAATATGTTTTCCAAGTTGGTTCCATTTTTCCCCATCTCTTTCAGGGACATCAGTGAGTCATAGATTTGGTCTCTTTACCTAATCACCTATTTCTCAGAGGTTTTTTCATTCCTTCTCATTCTTTTTTCTCTATTCTTGTCTGACTGTTTTATTTCAGAAAGGCAGTCTTCAAGCTCTGAGATTGTTTCCTCTGCTTGGTCTATTCTGCTATTAATACTTGTGATTGCATTAATTCTTGTAGTGTGTTTTTCAGCTCTATCAGGTTGGTTACATTCTTTTCTATACTGGCTATTTTGTCTGTCAGTTTCTGCATTGTTTTATTATGATTCTTAGCTTCCTTGGATTGGGTTTCAACATACTCCTGTAGTTCAGTGATCTTCATTCCTATCCATATTCTGAATTCTATTTCTGTCATTTCAGCCATCTCAGCTCAGTTCAGAATCCTTGCCGGAGAGGTGATTTGGTCATTTGGAGGAAAGAAGTCACTCTGGCTTTTTGAGTTGTAAGGGTTCTTGTGCTGGTTTTTCTCATCTTTGTGGGCTTATGTTACTTTAATCTTTCAAGTTGCTGACCTTTGAACTTTTTTAAAAATTATATTTGATGTCCTTGAGGGTTTGGTTGTGGCATAAGGTGTATTCAACCTCCTGGCTTTGTTTCTGGAAGATTTTAGGGGGCCAGTGCTCAGCTTCCAACTCCTGGACTGCATGCTCTAATTCTGTGGGTGTTGTGCTGGGTCCCAACATTGTTCTCTGACTCCTTGAGGTTAGGAATCCATTGTACTTGAGGGCTGAAGTGCCTCTGAACCACTGGTCACTACACTTCAATGGGTGGTGTCAGCCAAATTGTTTCAGTGTGGTGACAGCGGGATCCATCCCTGTTTGCATGTGCCAGCAGCAGTGGTAGCAGCAGCTGCAGCAGGATGCTAGCAGGTACTGGGATGCTTGCCTCTCTGTGGGCATTCACCGCAGTTGCAGAAGCAATGCAGCTGTGGGAGTGCAGGGGTCCCCTGCTGGTGACTGTGTGCCTGGTCACACTGATGGTGGTGAAATAACACACTTTTTAGATAAATGTAAGAATAATGTTTTAGTTTAACTTTGTTACCTACCTTAGAGATATTTTTTAAAATTAGCAGGAGTCCACTGGGCATGGTGTCATGTGCCTATAATCCCAGCTACTCAGGAGGCTGAGGCAGGAGGATTGCTTGAGACCAGGAGTTTGAGGCCAGCCTGCACAACATAGCAAGACCCCGTCTCAACAACAACAACAACAACAACAACAACAACAACAACAACAGTATCAGGAGTCATTGTTAAGGTATACCTGAGCAAAAAAAGAAAGCTACATATACTGAATTATAGAATCTGCTCTGTTTCCTATCATCACTCCTAAAACTCATGTATACTAAAGTGTGAACAATGATAGGCATGGGTTATAAGAGTAGAAACAGCTCCTTAACGAGAATGAACTGACTGTAGGTGGAAGGGTGTCTTTCTTCTAGCCCAATTTGTCCAGGCTGATTGATGAGCTTTAAAAAGCTGTCCCCAATCTGGGGACAATATGCTCAATAAATAGTTCTTTCTTTTTTTTCTTTCTTGTCCATTTTGCTTCCTTTTGCCTTTCACCATTGGTGTCAATATGGTTCCACTGTATCTGAGGGTTTAAATTATGAGTCACCTGGCTTCATTCACCCCACACTCTGTTCTTTGATATATTTTCAACCCCCTTTCAATGCACCCTCCAGTTACAGCTCAGCCTAAACTGATTCAGTTTGCTCTTTACTTTTGCACGTCCTGGCCTCAGGCCTTGCTCTGATTCTCAGCTATTGTTTTCATCTCTTTTCCACAGTTCAGGGAATCAGTGAACAGTTTCTCAGGCAACACCACTCTTGATCTATTTATATGCCTTAGGTCCTCCCCTTTCAGCTTTTGTTTTTAAATAGCCCCCCACCCAGATCCATCCTGGCCTTCTGCATTTATTTGTAAGTCAGCGGATTAAAACTCAGTATGCATTTTCTCACTAACACTGCACAAAACTGTTTGTACCTCAGGCACATCTATAAAAGCAAATGAGAGCATTTTTTTAGCAAAAGAAACATGGGCTTCTGAATAATATGGCAGACCTGAGTAGTATGAAGATAAAAATGAGCAAATATTATAAATCTTATGTATTGTATGACTCAGACTAGGGCTTAGTAGATAAGAGGTTTTTCCTTCATCATGACCTACTGCCAAATAAAATAGACTCTCATAGCTTTTCCCCTATACTTCAGTCCCTGAAATAAGCACATAATCCTCTTGAGGATGTCTAGTGTTTTAAACTGTTAGTAACAATGGGAAAATATGAAGTATATGAGTGCTTGTAAACTTTTATGGACATCCGCTTAGATCGTGAAGTGAAAAGCCAGTGTAACATATTGATATCAACGTTGAAAGGGAGAAGCAAAATGGAAGAGATGGGAAAGAAGGAAGGAAACATTTATTGAGTACATATTCAGTGGTAGGCACTTTCAGGTATGACCTCACTTAATCATCTTGTGTTATCTCTGTTCTATACAGAGGAGAACGTCGTACTTCCAAGTTGATGAATCTCACCTAAGTTCTGGCAACTGGTAAGTGGTGGAGCTGAAATTTAAAGCCGATTTTGTCTGACTTCTAAGACTGTAATATTTAATATGTTTAATAGACATAAAAATGTGTATAAATAATATCTGACATTTTTATTAAAATAAACATTTTTCTGTCTCTCATAATCTTAATTATCTACCTTCTTTACCCAGGTAAACACTATGCCATTGTTCTCCCAGAGTAATTTTAAATTGCAATCATAATATGGCAGCCAGGTGTGGTGGCTCACCCCTGTTATCCCAGCACTTTGGGAGGCCAAGGCAGGCAGATCACTTGAGGTCAGGAGTTCAAGACCAGCCTGGCCAACATGATGAAATCCCGTCTATACTAAAAATACAAAAATTAGCTGGGTGTGGTGGTGGGCACCTGTAGTCCCAGCTACTCTGGAGGCTGAGGCATAAGAATCGCTTGAACCTTGGAGGAGGAGGTTGCAGTGAGCTGAAATTGCACCACTGTACTCCAGCCTGGGCAACAGAGTGAGACTCTATCTCAAAAAAAAAAATTATAATATGCCTAATTAATATGAGAAATTTGAGTAAAATGGTAATTTAGCTTTGTTTTTCACAGACTTACTTTATAAGGAATTTATAATAAAAATGCCTTTCTAAATTTAACCGTGGTATAATTTCCTCAGTTCTTTAATAGCTTCCAGATGTTTGGATAATTTTGTTTAAAAATCTTTAAAATTATCGAAGTTATTTGCTGTTTAAATAGTGCTTATAATAAAGTAAGTCTTCTCTCCCCTGTTAGGCTTTGTGATGTTGAAAACTTTTTGAAGTCATAACTTCAAAGTAGTTTACGTGGTTATAGTCTCATAATAAACACACGATTATAGACTTTTCTGTGAGATTATAAAGGAAATTAAAAATAAATAATGACAAAGTGACTTCCCATGTTCATATTCTTCCTTTAAATGTTTACCAATTGGCTGATAAACTTGATAGACTGAAAAGTCTTATTGACATCAAAGGATATTTTCTCTAGGACAAAGGGCCAAGTGCAGTACCTTAATTGTCAACTCACAGATCACTGGCAATATAGTTAAACAATTTACTTGGACTTCAGATAAAGTGAATGACAATTTGTGCAGTGGGAAGTAAAAAAATCTAGGTTTGTAGTTTGGAGGCATGGACAGCAAAGTTCCCTTTTGTTAACAGTCAAAAGAGTTATTATTTTTTATTTTTTAGTTTGTATTTTTTTGAGATGGAGTTTTGCTCTTGTTGCCTAGGCTGGAGTGCAATGGTGCGATCTCAGCTCACTGCAACCTCTGCCTCCTGGGTTCAAGCGATTCTCCTGCCTCAGCCTTCCAAGGAGCTGGGATTACAGGTGCCTGCCACCATGCCCGGCTAATTTTTTTTTTTAGTAGAGACAGGGTTTCACCATGTTGGCCAGTCTGGTCTCAAACTCCTGACCTCAGGTCATCCACCCACCTAGGCCTCCCAAATTGCTGAGATTACAGGCGCAAGCCACTGCGCCTGGCCCAAAACAGTTACTGAAAGGTGAGGAGAAATATGGAACCAACTGAAAAAAGGGTGGAGAAATAGGAATGAGACATTTAAAGACGATGTTAATGCCTTAAATCACTACAGTCTGAAGATTAGAGAAGGGATCTGATTTAAACAACAAAAAACAAAAATGGCTTGTGACTGAGGGTGAGAGAAAAACTTTTTAAGTTTGCTTTCTCTGTTTTAAAAAGAGATAATAGCTTAAGGCTGCAGAAAATAACAACAAAAAGGGATAGCTTGAACTTCAGTTAAGTAATAGTATGGCAGAGAGAGTGACACATGGCTGTTGCCATTGTGTGTGTGTGGTAAACTCCCGTGATTACCATACTTTTGGATGGAGCTCTGTTATACAGATGTGTTCTTTTTATTAGTCATCACCTACCTTCCATCTGAATTGGTGCGAGTACAAAAACACACACTTCTTTTATATGACTTACACGTTAGCGCTAAGCCAATAAGAACTGTTGAGAACTAAGACTTAAACCGTCTCATAGTAAACTTGCTTTTCAAGGGTAGCTTTAAAAAAATTAAAAAGAGGCACACATTGTAAAATATTATTGCAGTAGAAGATTCCACCTGCTTAGAGATAATACCATTATATTCCAAACAATTGGTTAGATACTTATTTAGAAGTGGTTTTCAGTGGTTTCATTATATTGTTTCCTGGATCTTTTTCATCCTTTCCTCTAGTAATTCTCTTTACTAAAATTGTTTCATGATCCGATAAAAGGACCATGTCATCAGGCTGGAAAAAATAATTTGTTTACTTTTCTCAGCCTGTTATTTTTTGCCTTGATTTGTCTTCTATCCGTTTTTCCCTTTCTTTTTCTTTTCCTTTTCTTTCTTTTTTTTTTTTTTAGACAGGATTTCACTCATTTCACTCTGTCACCCAGACTGGTGTTCAGTAGTATAATCCTAGCTTACTGCAGCCTTGAACTCCTGGGCTCAAGGATCCTCCTGGCTCAGCCTTCTGAGGAGCTAGGACTACAGGCTCGTGCCATCACACCCAGCTAATTTTTATTATTATTTTGTGCGTGTAGGAATGGTGTCTTGCTTTATTGCCCAGGCTAGTCTTGAACTCTGGGTCTCAAGTGATCCTCTTACCTTGGCCTCTCGAAGTGCTGGGATTACAGACATGAGCCACCATGTCCAGCCCCTTTTTTTCTTGATGGATAAAAAGGAGGATATAATAAGGCAGGCCTTCCTTTGCCTACATATATTCTCCCACAGGCTATGCAACCCATATTCTGTGAGTGAGTTTTTAAAAAATACTTTTTACTTTATAACCTATATTTATTGAGAAATGTATTTCTTCACTTGTGCATATGTACAAAAACATAATTATGTTATTGCTGTAATTCCTCAACTACTCACAAGAACAATCATATCCCATTCACATTGTTATGTTGAAAATTAAAGAATACATACATTGGAGATGGACATTTCTACAACATATTTATTTTAAAGTCCATCATTGATCTCCCTGAATACAAAGTGAAACTGCTGTTGAAAAACATTAAATAGACTGGTCGTGGTGGCTCATGCCTGTAATCCCAGCAATTTCAGACGCCAAGGCAGGCAGATCACTTGAGTTCAGGAATTTGAGACCAGCCTAGGCAACATGGTGAAACCCCATCTCTTCAAAAATAAAAAATAAAAAAATAATAAGCCGGGCATGCGGGACATGCTTGTGGTCCCAGCTACTCAGGTGGCTGAGGTGGGAGGATCACTTGAGCCTGGGAGGCGGAGGTTGCAGTGAGCTATGATCTCACCACTACACTCCAGCCTGGGTGACGGTGAGATATCCTTGCAAAAACAAAAGAAAAGTAAAATAAAAAGAAGCAAATTTGATTTTCAAAATTAAATGCTGGATACAGATATTCGACATTTAATTTTGAAAACCAAGCTTGCTTCTTTTAAAAAAATTTTTCAGAAATGAAAATAAAAGTTGGTAATTACTTAGGTAACAGTAATTAACAGATTGGAGTTAAGGAGATAGGCCAATCCTATCAAACCTAATGTTAAGGTTAGGATCTGCATTGTTTTTAAATGGATTTAATATTTTAATACAATTTGAAATACACACACAGAGTGAGGAGTTTAATTCTTTCTGCCAGGAAGGCCTACGATAAAAGCAGAGAAATGCTGCTACTTAGAGTTGGTATAGACGCATATTTTTTCCTTAGCTTTTTTTTTTTTTTTTTTTGAGATGGAGTTTCACTGTTCTTGCCCAGGCTGGAGTGCAATGGCGCGATCTCGGCTCACCGCAACCTCTGCCTCCTGGGTTCAAGCGATTCTCCTGCCTCAGCCTCCCGAGTAGCTGGGATTACAGGCATGCACCACCATGCCAGGCTAATTTTGTATTTTTAGTAGAGACGGGCTTTCTCCATGTTTGTCAGGCTGGTCTTGAATTCCCGACCTCAGGTAATCTGCCCACCTCAGCCTCCCAAAGTGTGGGATTATAGGCATGAGCCACTGCGCCCAGCCAGCATTTGTTTCATTCAACACTTTTTTTTTTTTTTTTTTTTTTTTTGAGACAGAGTCTCACTCTGTCGCCCAGCCTGGAGTGCAATGGCACGATCTTGGCTAACTGCAACCTCCACCTTCCAGGTTCAAGCGATTCTCCTGCTTCAGCCTCCCAAGTAGCTGGGATTACAGGTGCCCGCCACCACGCCCAGCTAATTTTTGAAGTATAACATTCATACAGAAAAGTGCACAAATTATAAACCTACCACTCAATGAATTTTTACAAACTTAACACACTTGTGTAACCACCACCCGTATCAGAAAATACATCACTGACATCACCCCAAAACCCCCTTTCAGTCATTCCTTCACAAGCATGTGAAGGAATATGTTTTTGTACATATGCACATGTGAAAACATACCATGTTTGGTTAACCATTATCCTTGATTGATATCACCATAGATTATTATTGCCTGCTTTTGTGCTTTATATATATAGACTCGTATTGTGTATATTCTTCTATTGGGCTTTTTTCACTCATCATTACATTTTTGAGGTACATCCATGTTTGATTGTAGCAACAATTTACTCATTTTCATTGCTGTATTATAACTGATTATATGAGCATACCATAATTCTATTATTTGGGCATATTCCGTTATTTGAGTTATTTCAAAAATGCTGTTATGCACATTTGCATATGTGTCTTTCGGTGTGTTTATGTACACGTTTCTTTAGAACATATTCCTTGGAGTAGAATTTTTGGGCCATAAGATATGCATATGCCTGGCTTTAGTATATTCAGCCAGACAGTTTTCCAGATTAGTTTTACCAGTTTGGACTCTCATCATCCTTAACATTTAGTATTCATTCTTTTTATTTTTAGCCATTTTGGTGGCTACATAGTGGTAATACAACATGATTTTAATTTGCATTCCTCTGGTGACTAATGATGTTAACTTTTCTTTTTTATTTTATTTTATTTCCATAGGATTTGGCGGAACAGGTAGTGATTGGTTACACGAGTAAGTTCTTTAGTGGTGATTTGTAAGATTCGGTGCACCCATCACCTGAGCAGTATGCCCTGTACCTAACTTGTGGTATTTTATCCTTTACCCTACTCCCACCCTTTCCCCCAAGTCCCCGAAGTCCATTGTATCATTCCTATGCCTTTGCATCCTCATAACTTAGCTCCCACTTATGAGTGAAAACATACGATGTTTGGTTTTCCATTCCTGAGTTAGATGTTGAGAAACTTTTTATATGTTTGTTAATCCTTTGAGTATCCTGTTTTTATGAAGTTGCCATGTCTTTGGCCCATTTTCCACTGGGTGTTTTGGCTTATTTTTATTGATTTGTAGATGTTCTTTATATATTCTACACAAGGATATTTTGTCAGATATGTGAATTCCAAATATCTACTTCCACCCTGCAACTTGCCTTTTCACTGTCTTAAAGATATCTTCTCCTGAACAATTGTTCTTAATTATTAATGAATGCAACAGATCAGTCTGTTTCTTTATGGGGTGTGTGTGTGTGTACATGCACACATATGTTAATTCTAAGAAATTGCTGCCTATCCCAAGATTATGAAGACATTCTTTCATATTACCTTTTGTAGATAGGAGCTTTAAATACTTCCATTTACATTAGGTCTATTATACAATCTAGCCACAACTGGTTTTTATATGGACAGGGAGGAATGGATCAGGATTCATTTATTTTTTCTTATGGATATCCAATAGACCCAATACCATTTATTTGATAAGAACATTCTTTCTCCGTTTCCCTACAGCAGCACCTTTCTCATAAATTGAGTGACTATACATGTGTGGGTCTGGTTTCCAACACTCTGTTCTGTTCCAGTGGCCTATTTGTCTATCCTTCTGGCAATATCGCATATCTTACAGCTTTACAATAAGTCTTGGTATCAAATAGTGCCAAATACACCCAGATTTTGAACCAAAAGAATATTTTTAACTGAACGAAAGCAAAAATATAATATCAAAATGCATGAAAGGTTAAGAATTTTATAGCCATAAATGCATATATAAGGAAAAAAGAAATACTGAAAAATCAATAATCTAAGTAGCTTTTTTAAGATTTTAGAAGAACAACAAATGAAAGAAATAAGAAGAATAAGGGCAGATACCAATTAGATTAAAACAAAAAAAAACACCAGCCGGGAGCGGTGGCTCTCGCCTGTAATCCCAGCATTTTGGGAGGCCTAGGCGGGTGGATCACCTGAGGTCAGGAGTTTGAGACCAGCCTGACTAACATGGAGAAACCCCATCTCTACTAAAAATAATTAGCCAGGCATGGTGGCGCATACCTGCAATCCCAGCTACTTGGGAGGCTGATGCAGGAGAATCACTTGAACCCAGGAGGCAGAGGTTGTGGTGAGCCGAGATTGCGCCATTGCACTCCAGCCTGGGCAACAAGAGCAAAACTCCATCTCAAACAAACAAAGAAACAAACAAAAAACACTCGGGGGACTGAGCGTGGTGGCTCATGCCTATAATCCCAGAGCTTTGGGAGGCCGAGGTGAGAGGATTGCTTGAAGCCAGGAGTTTGACACCACTCTGGGCAACATAGCAAGACTCTGTCACTATAAAACAATAATAATGTAGCCAGGCGTGGTGGTAAGCACCTGTAGTCCTAGCTACTCAGAAGGCTCAGGTGGCAGGATCAATTGAACCCAGGAGTTTGAGGTTTCAGTGAACTATAACTGCACTATTGCACCCAAACCTGGGCAACAGAGTAACACCCTGTCTCTTAAAAAAAAGGCACTGGGAAAAAAATTAAAGCCAAAAGGTCTTCTTTAAAATGACTAATAAAATTGATTAACCCCCAGCAAGAATGATCAAGAAAAAAAGAGAAAGCATCCAGCCTGGGTCACATAGGGAGACCTCATCTCCACAAAAAATACAAAAAATTAGTTGGGTGTGGTGGCACACACTGTGGCCCCAGCTACTTGGGAGGCTGAGGTGAGAGGATCGCTTGAGCCCAGGAGGCAGAGGTTGCAATGAGCCAAGATTGTACCACTGCATTCCATCCTGGGCAGTAGAGTAAGACTGTCTCAAAAAAACAAAACAAACAACAACAAAAAGAGACAGCACAATGACCTAGGTCAGAAATAAAGAGACAGCACTACAGATCCTTTTGACATTAAAAGGCTAATAAAAACATGAACAATTTATGCCAATACATTTGAAAATTCAGAAGAAATTTTGATTCCTTTAAAAACGCAACTTACCAAAACCTTTTTTGATTTAAAAAGCCCTGTAATTAAAAACCTTTCCACAAAATTTTCTGAGACTATATGTCTTTATTGGTAAATTATTATACACTTAAGAAAAAATAACACCAATCTTATAAGAACCCTTTCAGAAAATAGAAAATGAGTGTAAACTTTGCAACTTAATAAGGCTAACATCACCTTGGTACCAAAATTTAATTAAGGACATTACTAAAGAGGAAATATTACAGTTCAATATCTCTCATGAATGAAAATGCAAAAATTCTAAATACAGTATTAACAAATTGAATATAGCAGTGTGTACAAAGGTAATACATTATGATCAAATTGAATTTATTTTTTATTTATTTATTTTTTGAGATGGAGTCTTGCTCTGTCACCCAGGCTGTAGTGCAGTGGCGCCATCTCAGCTCATTGCAACCTCTGCCTCCCGGGCTTAGGCAATTCTCCCACCTCAGCCTCTTGAGTAGCTGGGACTACAGTCATGTGCTACCACATCTGACTAATTTTTTGTATTTTTTGGTAGAGACAGGGTTTCATCATGTTGCCTAGTCTGGCCTCCAACTCCTGAGCTCAAGTGATCCTCCCACCTCCCAAAGTTCTGGAATTATAGGCGTGATCCACCGTGCCTGGCCTAAACTGAATTTATTATAGGAGCACAAAGTTGACTTAACATTTGAAAATCAATTAATGTAATTCACTTCATAAAGGAAAGAAATCATATATGATCATCTTAATAGATTCAGAGGAAAAAAACTCATTTGATTAAATTTAACAGCTGCTCATTATTTTAAAAAAAAAAGAAAAAGAAGAGAACTCTTCATAATTTAGGACTAGAAATAAACATTCTTAGTTTGATAAAAGGTATTTACCCAAAAAGCTAAAGCTAAACATAGGCATTGTACTTAATAATGAATGAAATATTCTCCTTGAAACTAGGAATGAGATATAGAGCCACATTGTCATTAGTTCTATTCAACATTGTCCCAGCTAGTATAGTAAGTGAAGAATAAGGAATAAAGAAGAAAATGAGAAGAATGAAATAAAACTATTATTTGAAAATAAAATGTGGGTAGTACACATTTTAATTATCTATTGCTGTATAACAAATTACCCAAAAACTTAACAGCTTGAAGCAACAAGTATTTATTTTTTTATTTTTTTGAGATGGAGTTTTACTCTTGTTGCCCAGGCTGGAGTGCAATGGTGTGATCTCGGCTCACCACAACCTCCGCCTCTGAGGTTCAAGCGATTCTCCTGCCTCAGCCTCCCAAGTAACTGGGATTACAGGCTAATTGCCCGGCTAATTGTTTTTTATATTTTTAGTAGAGACGGGGTTTCTCCATGTAGGTCAGGCTGGTCTCGAACTCCTGAGCTCAGGTGATCCACCCACCTAGGCCTCCCAAAGTGTTGGGATTATAGGCGTGAGCCACAGGGCCTGGCCTAACGAATATTTATTATCTCACAGGTTCTGTGGGTCAGGAATTCGGGAGTGGCTTTGCTGATCGATTTTGGTTTAAGGTCTTTCATGACATCAATTAGGGTTGCAGTTATCCAAAGCTTTCCTGGGGCTGCAGGATCCACTTCTAAGATTGCTCACTCACTTGGTTGTTGGCACATTGGCCTCTGCCCTGGGCTGTTTGAGGGTCTTCACCATATGGCAGCTGGCTTCCCAGAACCAATGGTCTAAGAGAGAGCAAGATAGAAACCACAACATCTTTTACAATCTTGCCTTGGAAATCATACTCTGTAATTTTCTGCCATATCCCTTTAGTTAAAAGCAAGTTACCAAGTATGTCTCACACTCAGTGGAAGGAAATTAGTCTCTGCCAGACAAAGGTACGTTAAAAAAATTTGTGGGCAGATTATTTTTATTTTTATTTTTTTTGTAGAAAAGGGGTATGACACAGGGAGGGGAGCACCACACACTGCGGCCTGTTGAGGGGTAGGGGGGCAAGGGGAGAAAGAGCATTAGGACAAATATGTAATGCATGCGGGGCTTAAAACCTAGATGGCAGGTTGGTAGGTGCAGCAAACCACCATGGCACATGTATACCTATGTAACAAACCTGCACGTTCAGCACATGTATCCCAGAACTTAAAATAAAAAAAATAAAAAAAAATAAAAAGAAAGAAATGGGGTCCAGCTATGTTGCCCAGGCTGGTCTCAATTCCTGGGCTCAGGCGACCCTCTCATCTCAGCTTCCCAAAGTGCTGTGATTATAGTTGTGAGCCACTATGCTAGGCCTGTGGGCAGATTTTTAAAACCATCATAGTGTACACTGAAAATTCAAAAGAGTTGTATTAGTCTGTTCTCACACTGCTATAAAGAGATATCTGACACTGGGTAATTTATAAAGGAAAGAGTTTTAATTGACTCACAGTTCCACTTGGCTGGGGAGGCCTGAGGGAACTTACAATCATGGCAGAAGGGGAAGCAAGCATGTTTTACATGGTGGCAGGAGAGAGACAGCATGAGCGTGTGTAGGAGGAAATGTCAAACACCTATAAAACCATCAGATCTTGTGAGAACTGACTCACTATCACAAGAACAGCAGGGGGAAACCACCCCATGATCCAGTCACTTCTAACCAGGTCCCGCACTTGACATGTGGGGATTTTGAGGATTATAATTTAAGATGAGATTTGGGTGGGGACACAAAGCCAAAACCATATCAAGAGTCTACAGAATAACTGTTAGAATTAACAGTAGATTTATTAAGATCACAGGATACAAAGCACACATACTAATATCAATTGCATTTCCATTTAATATATAAATTACTTAAAAAACAAAATGTACAAAATGATACTATTTATAATAACATGAAAAAAATCAAATACCTAGCAACAAGTACAATTAAAGCTAAGAAAGATGTCTATGTGGAAAACTACGAAATATTTAGAGAAATTACAGATACTGAATTGAATTTATGAGATTAAATAACTAGCTATGTTTTCTTCTAAATGCCATCCAATTAAAGATCCTCAGCTACAAAATGAATTGCATCTTTTGCTAAAGGTTAAAGAAACTTGTGTGTGAAAGCAAAAGAGAAATCTCTATCATCTTCAATTTTCTTTCTTTGGCCTACAAGGTTTGTCTCCCAACTGTGCCAAGTAGTCAGCCTCCTGTGGTTTTCTGGATCTCCTGATGTTCTACTAATGTTGTCTCTGTTATATCTGGAAGCAACTGGCTTTCCATTTCCTTGGCCTGTTACTTAGGTTTTATCAAAATCTTCCCTTATTTTTTTTCCTTCACTGTAGTTCTGGCAGATGTTTAAAATAGATAGCAATAAAAATAAATCTAAACTAAAATCAAAACTCAATTTAAAAAATTCAAAAGCATAAAAACAAGCAAGTTTAGAAAATTCAAATTTCCAAATATAATAAAGTCAAAATTGACTAAACACACAGATGTCTACTCTTTTTCTGACCCTACCTAAGAGATCTCCATCTTGAAGTAGCTTTGCATTGGCACAGTAATTATGCCTGGAGTAAATGTAATCATTCAAAGAACCTGTTTCCTTGTTCTCTCTTTGTATGTTCTAGGGTATTCAAGACCCAGATCTTCCCGTGGGTCTAATAATATTGAGCTATTCAAACACAGTACCTGTAGTATTTACAGTTTCTACAGAGGGAATGGGCCCCAGGATATTCCTTGAACAGGAATATTCTTGGTAAATTTGCCACCCTCACCTCTCACCCCCAGTACATGCACAGCCATATTGTATCCCCAAACATCTGAACCACAGCCTTCCAGCCAATCCACAGTCCAGCCAGTGACCTATGAGGTAATTTGCCATAAAATTTGTCATCAAATATGGCAACACATATGAAGAATTTCTTCAAATATTCTTCCACCCAATAGTTATACTTCTGGAAATTTATCCTACATATATACTTGTACATTTTACTTACAGACATTTAGACAAGAATATTAATTTTATTATAAGCATTATTTATAGGAGCAAAAAGTTTTAACTACATATAATTCAATAAGGGACAAGTTAAATGCATTGTAACTTTACAATACAGCTGTTGAAAAAAAGACACAGATTAATATGTTGCTTTCACTCTGTCATGTTTGCATGCATGGTATAAACGCCTCCTCATGGGGAAGTTTGAGTTCTTCACTGCAGGTTTTGTCTTCCCCAACCCTAACCTCAGCTAACTTCTGGATTAATTAATTAATCCATTTATGTCTAGTGTTCCATTATTGGGATGCTAAGCTTGTGGGGGTTATTTATGTCCTACTGCTCAAGGTCATTGCCAAGGTTTGATTTTTCAAAAAATAAATTTGCAACCTTTGGTATAAGTGGGTTAATTTTCTTTGCGGTATAAGATGTTAGATACGACTTCTATCTTTGGGAGCCTACTCTTGCCTGTTAGCCTTTTCCAAAACAGACAAAAACTTATTTTTAAATATTAGAACTAGAAATGAAACCAACTGGGAAAGCTGTTTGTTGAGGTCAGAGCTTTTGGAGATCTGAAGAAATACTGGTGAGGAAGCAAGGCAAAGTGTTTGACCAGGCAGATCAGATCAGTTCAGACTGGTGGTGAATTTGCTTGATAGATCTCATAACCAGCCTATTCTCACATCTTAAACTTTTCTTCTTGGAAAAACCTCATGCATCTGAAATTCTCCCACTGTGTTCCTACTCCAGGTGGTAGAATGTCGAGTGTTATTAACTTGGCAAGAAAGCTGTGATTGACACCACTGAGCTCACATGAAGAGTCAGACCCTACTTATCCCAAAGGCTCACCTCCACCCACTTTTGGAGGATTCTACTTAGTTCACTCTTTTTTTTTGGGTGGGGGGGGGGCAGATATTTTGGAATATTAAATACTTGACATAAGCAACATATCAGGATGAGTATTATTCTTTCACAAGGGATGTATGAAGCTCTTAGAGAAAAACCGAATTTTTTTAATGTAAAAATTTCACCAAACCTCTTTTTATTTAGACATAATTGAGCAATGGGTTAAGAAGTTACAAGCCAAGCACTCATTTTTTTTGAGGGGTGGAGGGAGGGACCGGCTTGCAAGTCTACTTAGCTTATGGCACATTGCGATAAAAATATTTGCTCAATTTACTGAATTTAGACTTTAATGAATTGAGTTATTATACTTTGAAGTTTTGCTTAAGTAAGACTTTATAGGAAAGCTATATTTACAGTAATAAATGAATAAAACATTTAATAAAAGACAATTCTTCTGGAAATCTGTAGTGATTCCTTATTGCATATAGGCAATCAGGAACAAACTCAAGCTCCTCTTTGAAGTCTCAACACCCTTGCTCATGAAGTTCCTCTCAAAAGCCACCAACTCTGTCAAATTTCCATGATACTCTTCATCACAATTTATCATTTCTTTCTTTATTATGCTAATACCTTTAATTCAGATTTTAGCTATTTTCCCTGTTGTGTATATTTCCCTGTTGTTGAGATTGATCTGAAGATTTTCCTCATTGTAGTGTTCCTGTGTTTTGGAATTATAAAATGACTTGGAGTGTGTTTCCTCTTTTCCTGTTTTCTAGGTGAGTTGGTTTAGCACTGCTATATTTTTGGGGTAGGCTAACTGCTGTTAAAAACAACAACAACAACAACAACAAAACAAAACCCCTCAAATCTTAGTGGCTCGACAATATAAGGGTTTATTTCTCCCTCATTTCTTACTCACACTTCAGTATTGGTTATGGGTGGGCATGGGGGAGGACTCTGCTCCATATAGTCATTAAGGGATCCAGGCTTCTTACATTTTAGAGGCTCTTATATCCCCTAGGGCTTCAGAGTCCTCCTCTGGGTCCTCTGCATTTAACAAACAAAGGAAGAGACAGAGAGTGATAGATCATACAAGAGATTTTTTTAATAGGGACTAGGCCTACAGACAGCGTACATCATCTCTAACACACATCCCATTGGCGAGAACCCACTCACATGACCACACTTAAATGCAAAGGATGCTGGGAGATATAGACAGTTTTGTGCTCCAGTGGAAAAGAAAATATGATTTGGTGATTACATAGCCTTGTCTCCAGTGATCTCTTCTTCTGGTAGGGAAACATCTGCTTCCCCTTCTTTCCACACAAAGAACATACTCACCTTTTCCACAAGGAAAACAACCCTAAGTCCCACAATGTCACGTAATCTAGCTCACAATACATGATCTCTAGGTCTAGATGTGCAGCCTCTCCTTCAGTTTCAGATACAGCTTCTCATGATCTAGCAAGCTATCACCTAAAAAGCCAAGTGGTCTGTAGGCCGAACATGCAGTGCTATAGCAGCAGAGCAAGGACAATTTGTTATTTCTTGTTTCTTGACTCTGTTTGGTAGATCTCATCTATAAACTACCTAACTCTGGTGCTTTCTTTTTGGGAAGTTTTAAACTTCTGATTCAATTTCAATAATGTTCACAGAAAAGTTTAGCTTTTCTATTTCTTCTTTAGTTGAATTTAGCAATTTATAATTTTTCTAAGAATTTTTCCCTTTCCCTAAGCTTTCACATTTGTCTTAAAGTTAATAGTATTTTTGGGTTATCTTTTAAATCGCTGCTTCTTCTTTTTCCCTTTTGGTATTCCTACTATTGCTCATTTGTGCCATCTCACTTTTCTAGTTTTTCTACTTTTTTTCTAGATTGGTCTTGCCAGAGATTATTAATTTTATAAGTGTTTTCATAGAACCAAATTTTGACTGTGATGATCCTCTCTTCCCAATGTTTTCTAGATCACTAATTTCTTCTTATATTTATTACTTTCTTAGAGAATATTCTTTTCAAACTAATTTTGTAAGTTGGATGATTATCTTATTAATTTTCAGCCTTCCTTCTTTTTACTACATACATCAAAGGCTATGATTTTTTTTGAAGCACTGTTTTAGCTGAATTCCACAATCATTCTAATCATGTCATTACGTTGTTCTGAGCATTTTAATAATTTTTATTATGTTTTTTCTTCTCTGCCCATGAAATATTAGGAAGTTCCCTCCTCCTGAAAATAAATGGAGTTTTAAAAGTTATTTAGTTATTATTCATTCATTACCTAATTGCAATGAAGTCAGTGTGCGGTATGCTAGACTATATCAGTTGTATGAAATTTGAGGCTTCGGTTTAAACCTGAAATTTGAAAGTTGTAAACTGGCTGAGCACGGTTGCTTATGCTTGTAATCTAGCACTTTGGGAAGCCAGGTGGTATAGGATTACTTGAGGCCAGGAGTTTAAGACCAGCCTGGGCAACCGAGCAAGACCCAGTCTCTATAAAATATTTAAAAAAGAAAAAATTAGCTTTGTATGGTGGCACATACCTGTAGTCCCAGCTACTTGGGAGGCTGAAGTGGGAGAATCACCTGAGCCCAGAAGAACTGTGGGGACTGTTGGGTGATCACACAACTGCACTCTAGCCTGGGTGATAGAGTGAGACTCTGTTTCAAATTTAAAAAAAGAAAAGAAGGAAGGTAGTTAGTTGAAACTCATTTTATAGCCTACTATGTAATTTTCATAAAGAGTCCTTGTATGCTTGAGAAGAATGCATATTCTGAGTTGCTGAGTGAAATTTTCTACGTATGTTCATTATTTCAATATTGTTAATTATATTTTAAAAATCTTATGTATTCCTATTGACTTCTGTCTCCTGCCTCAGCCTCCCGAGGAGCTGAGACTATAGGCTGATGCCACCGCACCCAGCTAATTTTTGTATTTTTAGTAGAGACAGGGTTTCACTATGTTGGCCAGGCTGATCTCGAACTCCTGATCTCAAGTGATCCGCCTGCCTCGGCCTCCCAAAGTGTTGGGTTTACAGGCATGAGCCACTGTGCCCTGCCGGATGAATATCAAAAACACATTTCTTCTTCCGGGCTGAGTCAAGCCTTGAGAAGCTAAGTGTGGATTAAACATCGCTTCACTGTTCACCTTGACTGGGTGCTCTTGCACAAGGCACAGCCTTATCAATGTGTGCAGAGCCTGTGCCTGCTTTAGCATCTGCTTATCTTTTGGGATTTGCTCTTCCTCACAGATTCTAGCCTCTCACAATTACTTTACCTTTTCTACCAGGCTCAGCCATGTATTTTTTAAATGCTTTAAAAAATTACATTCATCATTTTTAGGTGTTATGCCCTGGGAATTTTCCTCCGAATACCGGATCTATCAAATTGTAGGAAATTGAAGGTACCTCACTCATTTTCAATTAGGTTCACTCTTTCAACAAATGTTTACTGAAGAAGCCCTTTATGAGTTGCAGTGCTTGGAACTAAAATACAATGGTACAGAAAGCGAAGTCCCTGCCTTTGCAAAACCTATGGTTGAGTCGTCCTTTTTCATTTTCTGGGTGTGTTCTTCTTCTCAGCTATTGCACCCTCCTGGAAGGTTTTCCTCTGGAGAGAGTGGGATTATAAGCAGTAAGAGCATACATATAACCTTAAAACCCCTATCCTTCTAAGTGTTTTCTAATAAGTAGAACACATTTGTGTGCCTTGGGAAACCACACAAAACTAAACTGAAGAATGGTACTTTGCTAATACCAACCTTCCGCCACACATCTGTTTTGAATAAACGAAGGACCACTCTCTAAGATGGTCCATTTTCCAAAGGGAGGAATTTGTTTGCTTAGAAACGGCAACATTCCAGCTCCAATCCCACTGTCGCCACTATTTCCGGGGGCTATTTTACAAACTAGCCAATCAAGTCTGGGCTATGTAAATATTTCAAGGATATAATCCAGGGGATTACTCTTCTAATTTTCCCCCTGGTACTGTAATTCAACAGCCTCTTCTGCTGCTCTGATTGTCGCTGTTGATGGATTTTACCACCATTTGCTGAGACCACTTACAAATTATGCTCCTCAGGCAAGGCTCCCCAGCGTGGGCCCAAGGAATTTGGCTCGCCTTGTCACACCACATCAGAAGTTGTCTATGGTATTGTGGGGGTAATTCTGTCTGTCCAGCAAAGTCCAATGACACTGCTTAAAGGTCATTTTACCTTCCTCATCCCCACATCTAATTAAGTGGGCAGTCTGCTGACTGCAGGCATGTAGTGGAGTGGGGTGGTCACATGCCAGTCCACTTTTATTAAAGTTTGGTGTTCTGTCTCAATCATTTTCCATAGCAGGACTTCTGCGTATTCCCTGCAAAATAGGAATCTAAAGAGCCCTTTAGGCTCTTTTCAGAGTCTCCTCTTTGCTTTGACTATGTCTATGAATGAGCCTGGAGCCTTCTCTTTTGATGTCTCTTTGTTTTTTTGTTTTTTGTTTTTTGTTTTTTTTTGAGCGGGAGTCTGGCTCTGACGCCCAGGCTGGGGTGCAGTGGCGCCATCTTGTCTCACTGCAACCTCTGCCTCCTGGGTTGAAGCCATTCTCCTGCCTCAGCCTCCCGAGTAGCTGGAATTACAGGTGTGTGCCACCACGCGCTAAAATAATATACATATGTGCTTTCCAAATGTAGCTTTTCTGGGACTTTTATTGGATCTGTACCATTTCTGTTTTCAGCTCTAGGGAGCAATTGATTATGAGATGTCATGAGGAGCAACTCTGAAGACTCTGTTCCAGCTTAAGGGAATCAGCCAGTCCATCCCTGTTTCTCTGTCATTGAGCCTAATTAAGTAGGGTGTGTGTGTGTGTGTGTGTGTGTGTGTGTGTGTGGCAAAACTCCAACTACAATTGAGAGAATACCTCAGTTTGGCAGGCTTGAGATGCATATACCTGTTATTAGCCATAGTTGGGAGTGGCTTTTCCAAAGATGACATCACTTGGTGTGTCTTAGATGGAAAGGAGGTCCTGTGATGCTTTTGATAAAAAATCTGTATAAAGAGTTGCTTGAGGGCCAACTTGAATACCAGACTAGAAAAACATGGTGCCTGTAGTGAATTGCTTACAAGATGTCTGTCAACAATTTTCCCCCTCACTGTACAGACATTCCACGCCTCCTACCAAGAAGCAAAGTCTATGACCCCTCTCCTTGAATTGCGGCTGGCCCTCTGATTTGCTTTGACCAACAGAATGGAGCATAAGTGATGCTGTGTGACTTCTGGGCAAAGCCCTTGCAGGCCTTGCAGCATTTGTTTTTGTTCTCTTGGAAGCTGGGTGTCATGTAAAGAAGTCTGGGTTATCCTACTAGATAGGCCACATAGAGGATGGAGGGAGGGAGCGCGTGCAGAAAACAAAGGGAGACAGAGGGAGAGAGAGAGAAACAGAGAGAGAGGGAGAGAGAGAAAGAGTCTGGAGGATGAGAGTCCATGTGGAGGAGAAATTAGGTGCCCCAGTTGACAGGCAGCACCAACTGCCAGACATGTGAGTGAAGCCATCTTAGATCCTTTATCCACAGTTGAGCCTCCCAGCTGAGCATTGCTTGAATTCCTGCCCCAAAGAACCACAAGCAATAAAATGGTTGTTTTAAGTCACTAAAGCAGGGTCTTGTAGTCCAGTTGAAACTGAGCCAAAGTTGGCCAGGTGACAGAGTGACTCCTGCAGTCATTTGTGTGATATGTTTGTTGCTGTGGCAGTGGAACTGGGATTGCATGAATTCACGATGAAGCTTGAGAATGCCTTAGAAATAGTAGGAGAGGGCATTTTCAGGTCTTGCTGCCTGTGGACCACGTAAAGGAAGGGCAGGTCCTCAACCCAGAGCCACTCCAACCTGGTTTGGGCTTGGCACACAGAAGGCACAAAGATAAAATGATGACTCATGGATATAGTGAGATCAAGCTCTTCCAGAGGCCACGCCTATGGGGGTGAGTTGGTAAGTAAGGGCACTAAGGAGGTCCTGGGTACATTTCTAGTCCATACTTCCAGACTAACTTTGCTTGCACATAGTGCCCAGGATTGAGGCTATTATGGTAAATTTGGATGTGGTAGCTCTCAGGACTAGTACCTATATTCTTCTCTTGTTCTCTGTGTCAGTCCTTTGCCTGTTACTACAGTGTGTCTAGCAGGAAGACCCAATCTTGTTCTACCTAGAGTGTTTTCCTGGGGATTAACATTCTGCCCTTGAACTGCAGCCTGGTAGTCCTGACAGTGCTTCCGCCTGCCTGAGTCTTTGGATGTCACCTATTCCAGGACTTTGTCCTTCTTTCTGTTCAAACCCCTCTTCTCTTCTTGTTAGACTTCCCTGGTTGTCTGGACTACCACCTGTTGTTTGCTAAATCTCTATGATGCCACTTCCATCAGTTTTCTTCACTTCCTTATAGCTTCTGGGACTTGATTTTTCTGCCCTCAGTTCCTGCTAGGTCCTCACTGAATCTGTTCCATTCCATTAAAATGCCAGGGCTATGTAAGGCTGTGTCCAAAAACAGAGTTCAATTCTTCTTTCACACAATAGCCTTTATACATTTGACAACCTTTTTATCACCTTTAATCATCTCTTTAGGCTAAATCTTGCTGGTTCCCACATTTTCAAGGTCACCCATTTATGGTTATAATTTAGCTTATCAATATTTTCTTTTGGAGGGAAAAATTTCTTCTTAAGAGGTGGCATATAGGAGTGATTCATGTACTTCAACGCAGAGTATAGTAAGCATATCCTTTCTTATGAGAAGGGCATTATATTTTATTAACTATGCCTATATTTATGTTATTTTGCACTAGCATTTTAAAGGGGGCTCCATCAGGGTGGTTCAATGTTTTATGGGCCCAAAAGCTTATATGACTTTAGGGACTCTTTAAAAAACACAAAATGAAATACAAAATTATAAAGTTAGTTTCAAGGCTTGTGAAAATGAGAGATCCCGAAGTTTGTTTCATTAGTTTCGTTGTAAATCTGCTGCATATTTCTTATTATGAGAAAATAATAGTATTTTCTCATTAAATTCCCAGGTCTCCTTTACCAGAATTGCTGTCTAATCAGATTTCTGCTCTGTTTTAGCACACCTTATAAAATTTAACTTGTATACTTAGCATATGGGATTGTGATTAAATTAATACATGTAAGGGACTTAGAACAATGCCTAGCACATAAAGCACACAATCAACCTTAACTATTATTATTTGTATTATTTACTAGAAGGACCTTGGCAAATAATTTATCTTCCCAAATCTTTTTGATGTAATGGAGCTCAAACGTGCCTGCCTTTTTCATAGGGTGATTGTGAGGATCAAATGATGATAAAATATGTGAATGTATTTTGTTAACTGGAAGGTATTGTTACTGAGGTTTCATTTGACATTGTTAATTTTGGAAAAGGTTCTGTTTAGGAAAGAAAGGGAGACGACTTTGGCTGTGGTGGAATCACTAAAGACCTCAATAAAAGTGGGAGGAGTAAAAGGGATAAGAGGTGCGTGTGAGGCAGATGCTGGAGGCAGTGAGCTGGACACGTTGTTTGACACCAGCTTGACGTGCAAACCTTCAAAAGATGAAATATATTGAATCTGAAACATATTGACCTCATTGTACAAAAGAAAAGAACCAGAAGGGTAGCGTGTGTGTGCTTGTGGCTTTCCACAATTTAGCCCCAAACTAGGTTTTTTCCAGACTCTTCTTCACCCGTGGTCATGCTCTGCAATCCAGATTCCCAGGCCTCTGCCCAGAGAAATCCTACTTACTCTGGGGAGGCCTTTCCTCCACGGGGTTTCCCCAACCCCTCCTGTCCCTCCCACAGGAAGAATAAATGGTTCCTTTTCAATGCCCTTCCTGTGAAAGCACTTTTTCCACTCTAGACTGAGGGAGACCCAGTTTTCCTTATTCTGCATCTCCAGGCTCTGCTCCAGTGTTTACCTCTAGGAAGGCGCTCAGTGAAGGTTTAGTCAGCAAATGCACTTTGAATAAATAACTTTTAAAAGTTGAGAGGACATTTAAGGCCGGGAATCGCAGTTGAGAACGCCTTGCCCAGGCGCATTAGCTGTCATCCGGGCTGCCCTGAGGGCGAAAGACGTCCTCCACCCCCGGGTCTCCGCGGCCGCGCTTGCCGAATCCCGCGGGAAAGGTCCCCCGCCCGCGCAGGGGCGGGGCCTGGGCGTCGGGGGCGGGACCGCCCGCGGGGGTTTCCGCGCCGGGGGCTCGTCCGGCGGGGTCGCGGGAGGGGCTTCCGCCGCGAGGGGGCGGGGCCGGCCCTCAGAGTCCTCTGACGGCCCCAGTCAGGGAATTTCAATTTGAAACCTAGCGGAGGGAGGAGGCAGGCGCGGCTGCCGGCGGCTGGGACTGAAGAGGGACGGGTCCCGCGGCGAGCGAGCTCCTGAGGTACGGCGTCGGGGTAAGGAGGCGTGCGGGGCTGCACGGGCCGGGCGACTGGTCAGTGTGGGGTTGCAGGGGCGGCTCAGATTTTTCCTCTGGCTGCAGCTGGGAAGCTGATTCCGGGCAGGAAGCGGTGGCGGGACGGTCCCACCGGGATGGGGGGCGGGGAGAGGGGGCCCGGCTTTGGGATTTTCTGCGGCTCCCTCTCTCCTTTCCTTCCCGGTCTCTGCCCGACCCGATTCTTGCCCGGGGGTCCGGGTCCTGTTGCTCCGGGCCGGATCCCGGCTTCGCTGCTCCCCGCGGTCCCCCTCTTCCCTCTTCCGGGGGACCGGGGCCGCGTCCCGGCGGAGCCAGGAAAGGCGGGGGCACGGGGAGGACGCCGTCCCCCCCGGGGTGCCGTGGGCTCAGGTCACGCGTCCGGGCCCCGTGGAGCAACAGCGGGAAAAATCCGGCTCCATCCCCCCCGCGGGGAGGGGGTCGGCCGCGGCGTCGCCCTTCAGGAGGAAGGTTTTAGGAGGGGAAGCGCGGGCCGGCCGCGCGCGTGGGGACTGCGGGAAGCCGGGCGAGGGCGGCGCGCCAGCCCCACGCGCGGTGCGGGTCGGGCCCGCTGTAGGCTCGCGTCCGCGCCCCCAGCTGCCGCCTGCGCCGTCTGGGAGCTGCGGAGAGGGACGCGTGTTTCGTGCTCCGATCCTTACAATTCCCACACCCAGGCCATCTCACCACAGATGGCTTGTTTTTTCTCCTCCTGCGCCTGGGGGCCGAGGGTTGGGAGCATTTTTAGGTGAGCAGCGGGGAAGGGCGAGGAGAACCTAAAGGAGCGCGACAGGGTTGAAGTCGGCGTCTGGGGACGCCATCCCCAGGCGCAGACGCTGCCCCCAGCAGCCTGAGGTCTGTGGTGGGACATCAGTTATGCTTCTCTAGATCGCTCACCTCCCCTGAGGTCAAGTTTTTTTTTTTATATATATGTATAAATAAAATGAGGTTTGGTGAGAAGAACTACTGCCTAGAGTCTATTATTTTGGGGAGGGGTCTGCGTATGGAGCCCTCCCTACGGACCCGGGTAGTCTTTCATTGAATTGCCCCATCAACACCACAGCTGCCCTTAATTTTAAGATCCCTGGGTGGATGGGAGAGAAGGTGGAATCTAGAGGAGCTGTGGCTATATTTTCGCTTTTCTGAATCACATCTTTCCCCAGTTTCTTGAACTTCTTGCCTCTGAAATGGCATGTGTGTGCCAGGCGTCTTGTTCCTCTTGTTACTGTTATTTAAGCTGTTTTAAAAAAACGACTTTCGCGGTTTTCCCCTCAGTTTTTCAGTCTTTATTTCCTCCCCCACCCTACGTTTTTATTGTTTTTTTCAACGGAATACATTATTTATCTGGTCTCTTTATAACGCTGTTGAGAATTAGCATTTCAGTTGGTGTTCTGTCAGATTTCACCTTGGACTTAGCAGTTGAGGGAAACTGAGTCAGTTTCTATGCTGCAGGGGCTAGGATTTAGAATTCTCAAGCTTTGAACAGGTTTCAGTGGGGGAACGAATAGTGCTTAATCCTATTCAGTTTCCCTTTGCAGGCTCATTGCTGTGAGAAATCACTGGGTGGCTGTTGCAGCCACTGATGGGGGCTGCATTGCAATGCAATCTTGAATTGTGATAAGGGCCAACTGGCTCCATCCGTTAGGCTGTGAGTTTGACACAACTTTTGAAGAGCTATGCTGTGTCACCTGTCAGAGCTCGAGTGGTCATTCTTTTAATTCAATTTAAGAACCACCATCAAACTTCAGATATCTATTCTTTGGAGGTTATTGGAGAACTGTACAAGTGGTAATGGCTTGGAACAATGGTGTGGATTTAGCGCTAATTTAATCCTATCCTGTCTTCCTCACTTCTTGGGCAGAATTCCCACTGAAGTCAGTAGTGGTCTTGTGTGCAGACAGACTGCCGAGAACAAGAGGCTGCTCATTTAGAGTAACGGGAAGGGACGGTTTCTTTCCTTTTAAAACATCCCTCTGTAAGAAAGACTTAGTCATAACAGTTCTTTAATCTTTAACCACTAGTCCAAGTAGTTGAGAGCACTTTTTGCAAAAACCTTCGAAAGAAAATTCGTGGATGAATTGAGCCACGTCCCTCGAACTCTTCATATATCTACGTTGCATGGTGATCCTTAAAAAAGATTAAAAGTGATTTTAAAAAATCAGTTAAAGCTATAATTTCAGTAAAATTTTTCCTAACTTTTGTAAAAAATGTAAACTGCCAGGGAGCATTTTGTAGCAACTAAGTGTGTATATTTCAAATCTGAAATTTAAGTCCAAGTAGAAAGAAGCAAATTTAATTTAGGGGATGAATCTGAAGAGAGGCCACCAAAAAAATAACCATCTAAATATAAAAGAAGGAAGTTCAGATATCTCTTGCTGTTTTTCAGGAGATAGCTTTAGGGCAGTTTGCTCACTTTCATACCTGTTCTTAACGATTTACTGACTGCCTGGGTCCATCATTAGATAATGCTAGCACTTGGAGGTTTCCAAATGAGTTTTGTGCTGATCTGAGTTGCTGAGCTAGTTAGATCCTTGGCTTCTTAACGTAACATTCTTGTGGCTTACCCTTTCCAAATTACTAGTTCTAAGGAATTGAGTTTAGAAAACCTAACCAGTGACCAGAATGTAAAAATAGGTATTTAAAAATCAGAACCATGTCCACGTGTACTACCCAACCACTTGCTTTCAACTAAAAATACTTGCAAAGATGACAAAGCAGTCCACAACCAAAATATTTATTGGTACAATTTCTCTGTAATTAGTAATATTGTACAGTTATGTTTAACATCAGGTTCTGCCCTGAATCACCCCTCTCATATTACTGTGGCTGGTGAACTACAAAGGTTGTATCTTTGCCATTTCATTTAGGAATATAGGGTTTATATTTTATATAGCAGAATGCTAAATATTTTTGAAGGTTTTGTTTTGTTTCTGTTTCTACTCTGTCTCTACTAAAAATACAAAAATTAGCCGGGCATGGTGGCGCACGCCTGTAATCCCAGCTGAAGACATGGGCCTTTTTCTTTCTTTTTTGAACTGAAGTAGCCTGTTTAAAAGCTATGTGTGGGCTTTTTATTGAAAAGTGTGAATTGCTACTAGTTTTATAAGGCAAATAAACAGTTTATAGGGATCAATACCACTGAGTCACATTTTGCATTTCTAAAATCTGTGCTGTTTACTTGGAGAAAACAAAAGAAATGTGCCTACCTCCTCCATCCCACCTTTATTTAGAAACATTTCCAGTGGGCTTGTTTTTTTCAGATTCAGAATTACTGTACCTAACCACTGGGTACCCTTACAGATTTCAAAGCCTGAAGTAAATGTTTATGCTGGCTTTCGTAGTCAGCAAATAATAGCCAAACCCTAATTCACTGCTCTTTTATAGAATCTTGGAATCTCAGGGCTGAACCGTTAGGAGTCAGCAGATCCACTCTTAGCCCTAGTCTCTTCCTCTCAACATGCAAACAGTTCTAATGTCTTTGGAATGTCTGAGCAAATAGAAGATTTGTATGCGATTCTGTCACCAATTCTAGACAGAACATCCTTTGGGATGCCATGTTTTGGCATAAACCAGCAACTTGATATTATGAGATTTGTATCATTTCTCTGCGTGGGCAGTGCCCTAGACTAAAATCTAAAATGGAGTCAATGCCTGATGTCATTAACTATAGGGAAATGGCCTCCAAGTTAGCTATTAGAGTTGTTTAGGAATTATAGCTGGGCGCGATGGCTCACGCCTGTAATCCCACCTCTTTGGGAGGCTGAGGCGGGTGGATCATGAGGTCAGGAGATCGAGACCATCCTGGCTAACACGGTGAAACCCCGTCTCTACTAAAAATACAGAAAATTAGCCAGGCGTGGTGGCAGGCATCTGTAGTCCCAGCTACTCGGGAGGCTGAGGCAGGAGAATGGCGTGAACCCGGGAGGCAGAGCTTGCTGTGAGCGGAGATTGCGCCACTGCACGCCAGCCTGGGTGACAGAGCCAGACTCCATCTCAAAAAAAAAAAAAAAAAAGTTATAGGTAAGCCAAGAAGGAAAGAAATAAATAATCTCAGTTATCATCTAGAAATGATTTATAGTTTTTGTTGCTGTTGTTGTTTTTATTTTGTTTTTGAGACACAGTTTCACTCTGTCGTTCAGGCTGGAGTGCAGTGACGTGATCTTGGCTCACTGCAACCTCCGTCTTCCCAGTTCAAGTAATTCTCGTGCTTCAGCCTTCCAAGTAGCTGGAATTACAGGCGTGTGCCACCATGCCCGGCTAATTTTTGTATTTTTAGTAGAGACAGGGTTTCACCATGTTGACCAGGCTGTTCTTGAACTCCTGACCTCAAGTGATCCACCCGACTTGGCCTCCCAAAGTGTTGGGATTACAGGTGTGAGCCACCGCACCCAGCCGGTTTATAGTTATAGCTAATAGATTTTGGTAGCTTTTTCTATAAAGTATGTGTATGTGTGTGTATTTCATATGAGAGAGGGAATATTATAGGTATTTGTGATGTGAAGCACCTACTCATTGTATTTAATAAATATTTGATGAATTAATTCATTGAACCTTTAATATATTAGAGGTGAAGAATCTTTAGTGAAGATTCTTTGATAGAGTTGACATAGAAATGGGTAATGTTTCATGTAGAAATATCATGTCGGTAATGTTTATTTGCTTTTCTAACCACTGATATTGTTTCTCCTGGTTTTGTGGTTGGCTTGGGATCTGTGTTGTAAGTTTCTTAGAGGCATGTTTTTCATGTCTAGGAGAGTAGATAGGCTATATATTTCCATGGTGTTGGGATAGTATTAATTTTAATTAGAATTTCAGAGGCTTTCTGAATTTTCTTATTTTAAAGTGATGTCTCTTACTTCTTGGCATTGGAATAGATTTCATGTGATCTATGAGTGCATTCATACTGCTTCTGGATATTTTTTCTTCAAAGATTGCAATTGAGCTAATTTCATATTCTCAGTTATCTTTAAAATGGAAACATGTTTTCACTTCACAGATACCTCTCTGAATTTTGCATATTTTCACTCTACCTTATTAGAGCCATAAAGTCAAAAAGTACATAGATTGTCTCCCAAATAATCTGGAATAAATTGAAGGATAAGAACAATCTTTCCTGAGATCTGACCTGTATCTTAAATAAGGTTTTGCTTTAGATAGCCAAGTTGAAATTTTGCATAGATAACTAAGTTCGGCATCATGGGGATCATTTTAGTTCTTTCCAGGTTAGGAGGCATGGAAAGGCTCCCAAAGTGGTTTTGTCACTGTTCATCTATCGGACCTTATTGCCTAGGTCAGGTAGGGTAGTTCATGCATTTAAATCAAATCTTTCTGAAGAGACCAGTTTCCTCTTGCTTTGCTCTTAGGGCCTCACCATCAACCTTCATGAAAGAATTTTCAAATACTTAAAAACTTATGTTACCCTTCAGTTGCCTTTTTCCAGGATAATTGTGGTTTTAAAAAGCTTGTCATATAGTTCTGATTACCAACTCTGAAGTCACCTTTTCCAAGCCCTTGTATTTACGTTTCCAGACCTGCTGATGAGCTTCAGGGCTGGGCCATTATAACAACAGTGCTGAATTCACTCATATTTTTCAGAGTTTCCTACATTCTACTGATATATGTACATATCCCAGTAGCTTGAAGACATAAAATTAAAATGTGATTTACACTCTGCCATAATTCTTTGTTTCTTTCTCTTTTTGTCCAGAAGCTACTTGTTTTTCACCCTAGATTCATTTACCTTGAGGGAGATTATTTGGTTCAGACTCCTGACCTGGGGTGGAGAGTGGGGTTCTTGGGCCTCATGGGTGCATAAACTGCCTGAGACTGTAAGTGAGGTATTGTGTTCCCATGTGCATGCACTCCTGTGTGTGTGCAGCATCTCTGTGTGTGTGTGCACAAGTGGATGAGAGAGACAGGTTAAGGGAGAAAGAGAACTTTAGGAGTGGTTTTTGAAAGGGTTTTGGGAAACAGAAAAGATTGAGAACTGATGTTTCAGTTCTTATTTTCGAGATTAGAAGATGGAAGTTTTAAGAGTATTTTGTTTTTCTCTTTTTTTTTAATTTTTTCACCCTATTGCACTTTTCATCATTTATTCTCCCCTATCTCCCATTGTACTTCTTTCCATTCAATTGAATTCATTTAGTTGACCCCCATTTACCTAACTGTCAAGGTTAAACTGAATTCTGATATAATCCTGGCCACTCATATTCTTACCTGTGAACTTAATGAATGTGCATTTATTTCCTTACAAATTTCTTTGATGGAATATTGATTAGAAGGAATCAGTAACATGTCCACTCTATTTGATGCTGGTTAGACTGCCACATATGCCATTGTGACCTTGGGCAAATTATTTCTCAAAGCCTCGTTTGCTGTAGTAAGGGGTTAAAAATCATACCTACCTCAGAGTTACATGAGGATTAAATGAACTAATGCTTATAAAATGCTTCATAGAGTGCCTGGCATCTGTAAAAATTGTTAGGTTAAGAAGAGACCTAGTGGGTTGGTTACTGGTGAATATGTGGTAAGCAGATTTTTTGCAGTGGTCAGGAATAATTATCTGTGTGGAAGTACAGTCTTTGAAATGAAACAGTAATTTCCTATGGTGATCACAAGTTAAAACCACTTTTTAACAATTTCAGTCCAGTATCTATAATGTTTGAGCTTTTAGAAACTCTTGTCTTAACTTCATTCTTTTTGTTAATTTACAAAAGAGCATATATATGGGAAAACAGTTGGGATCTAGTTTCAACAGCACAGGGATAATGTAGTCTTTTTTGTTATGTTGCCAGAGGTAACTGATTATAAATGTAAAATTGTGTGCATATGTTCTAACTTCTTCTCTCTATAACCACAGTAAACTTGTTGAAAAAAGCCTATTAGTGAGTAGAATTTTTGTTGACAATGTTTAAACCTCTGCATATGGCATTAAAATGTAACCTTTATAAATCTTTGTGTGAAATATACCTGCACACATATTTTCCAGCAACATCGTGTTTTAACTTGTTAGTTGCCAACATTAAGAAATCAGGTTTCATATAAATATCCTTATTTTAGGCTAGAAAAATTAGATGATGGTGTAGCACTTGGTCCACTGGGTCCACTGGGTCTATTGTGTCTATTGCTTCTGGTGCTGTCACGCATCAGCTGCTTTGCTTAACCTGTCCCTGACGCACGCATTTTATGCTCAGTTCTAGCTTTGTTCTAGGTTCCATTGTAAGTAATCCTGTAAGGCCTGAAGCTTTGATAATCAATAACCATGTAAAAAAAAAATAAGGAAGCTAATGGTTTTGCAGCACAGACTACACACCAGGTGCTATAATTGGTACTTTACATATGTTAATAACCCTGCTTCTTTTTTGCAGCACCATCTTGGAGTAGCTGGTGTGCTTATTTTACGGATGAGAAACTGAGGCTTAAAAATTGAATAAATGGCTCAAGGGCACCCAGCTTGTGTATGGCTAAAACCCTTGTTTTTTCTGTGAGTTCCAGTTATTGCTTTTAATTGTTCGATGTTATTACTCAGTAGAAGTTGAAGTTTTTTGCAATTTGTTGGCATCTGCAGTATCTAACTTTTATAAAAGACAGGATTGCTTTCCTGACTGGGTTCGCCCATGTAGTTTTTTGTGTAAAGGTATGATTATGAAGCAGACCTGAGTACTACTTTTAGTTGTGTGATTCTTGAATCATGCTGGAACAGGGAGTACCCTTCATCTTGTTTTTCAGACTAGAGACATTTAAAGTAATGTTTCTAGCCTGATTTTTCAATATTAGAAAAATATACCAGAGGATAAAACACATCAGAATAAAATGTGGCTCTCCCCCGACCTTTAGTTTCTGCCTTTCCTGTGGTTTTGCACTTTTTGCTTTCATTTAAAGTGCAAATGGCATTCTCCAGGGTGCTTTATATGATTTAGAAAGTCAGGTAGTACTGCAGGGATTATGAAAAAAAGCAGCAGACCAGTGCCCTAGCTCCCTTCTTGACAGATTTCTGCTCCCCTGAGGCAACTACTTGTTGGAGGCCAAAAGAATGAGGGTCATGATCAACTCAGTATACCACTGGAGGTTATATGAGTAAGCAGCAAACTGTTTTTCATAAATGCAGAATGTTGGCAAACTGACAGACTGCGTATGCCACCCAGAAGGAATGCTGAAGGCAGTCATGCCCAAAGCACAGTGTTTCTTGTGATTAGGTACATCTGAAGCCTGTTAGTAACAATATGAACCTGTGATCAATTAAGCAGCTGACCAATCCTTACCTCCTTCTCCCTGCTCTTGTTACCCAATAAATATGAAGGGCTGTGGAAGCTCAGGGGCTGCCTTTGCTCACTAGAAGCAGGGAGCTCTTTTCTTCTTCCCCTGGCCCTTCCTTTAAAACAGTTCCTTTTGTTTTTTTGTTATTTCCATGTTTGTCCCTTCCTTCAGTCTCGTAATGACGGTCTCAAGTAGTAACAGTAGTAACTGTTGTAGTGAAGGTCTCAAGTAGTAACTGTGGCAATGTGCCACAAGTGGCGCCCGAACAGGGACTATCAGTGACAAACAGAGACCTGAAGAGACCTGAAGGGACCTGAGGAGGCCTACAGGGACACATAGAGATAAGTAGGGATAAATAGAGATAGAGACAGATAGGGAAAGATAGGGACTTGCACCAACTTGGAGGAACTAACAGGGACCGTAGAGACAGACAGGGACAGACAGGGATAGATAAAGACTAGCAAATACTAGCAGAGACTAGCAAAGACTAGCAGAGACCAGCAGAAGCTAGCAGAAACTTGCAGGGACAGACAGGGACAGATAGAGACAGGGTCCTATAGGGACTTGAATGAGGAAGTTCTGCTGGAACAGAAAAAACTAAAACCAACCAGACAAATGAGAAACCCCGTTACAAGTCTGCTTGACAACATAAGGAGATGAACAAACTGTGTGGGTGCCCTCAAGGTGTGTGCGACCATGGAATGGAAGACTGGAGAGATCCATGGATTCTAGCTACAGGCCTTGTTCCCCTAATACGAGCCATGAGCCAGTTGAATCTGAATGCGAAGATGGAATGAGGACCGACCGGAGTCACACTGACATCAACCCTCATGACATGGGGATAGATCAAGAAAACCACACAGGAAGCTGAGACACTGTTAGTGTCAGGGTCAGGCAAAGACCCCTGACTCCATGTTTGTGGCCATGCTGGCCATGGTTTCCTGTGCCTCCCGTTGTAAGATCAGCTGGACCACCAACTGGCAATTAAGGGCTGCACAGCCTGTAGTTGCCTTTCTCAATTAATTAAAAAACAAAAAGGGAGAAACGTTGGAGGTCGAAAGAATGAGGGTTATGATCAACTCAGTATACCACTGGAGGCTATATGAGTAAGCAACAAAATGTTTCTCATAAATGTAGAATGTTGGCAAACTGACAAACTGTGTATGCCACCCAGAAGGAATGCTGAAGGCAGTCACGCCCCAAGTGCAGTGTTTCTTGTGATTAGGTACATCTGAAGCCTGTTAGTAACAATATGAACCTGCGATCAGTTAAGCAGCTGACCAGTTGCTACCTCCTCCTCCCTGTTCTTGTTACCCAATAAATACGAAGGGCTGTGGAGCTCAGGGGGGCTGCCTTTGCTGACTAGAAGCAGGGAGCTTTTCTTCCCCTGGCCTTTCCTTTAAAACAGTTTCTTTTTTTTTTTTTTTTTTTTTTTTTATCATTTCCATGTTCGTCCCTTCGTCCCGTCTCCTAATGAGGGTCTCAAGTAGTAACAGTAGTAACTGTTGTAGTGATGGTCTCAAGTAGTAACCGTGACAGTCTGCCACAACTACTTTCACTAGTTTTGGTTTTATTTTCTGGTGTTTTGTCTCTAAATAACATGATTTTCTTGTTTCTTGATTTTTTTTTTAAAGTTTCAGAATATTTTTATGTTTTATTATTTGTTAAAATTTACTTGCTGGGCACGGTGATTCATGCCTGTAATCCCAGCACTTTGGGAGGCCGAGGCGGGCAGATCACCTGAGGTCAGGAGTTTGAGACCAGCCTAGCCAACATGGTGAAACCCCATCTCTACTAAAAATACAAAATTAGCCAGGCGTGGTGGTGCATGCCTGTAATCCCAGCTGCTCAGGAGGCGGAGACAAGGAGAATCGCTTGAACCCAGGAGGTGGAAGTTTCAGTGAGCCAAGATCGCACCATAGCACTCCAGCCTGGGCAACAAGAGCGAAACTCCTCAAAAAAAAAAATTTATATTTTTGTGTGTAGATAGTTGTTCAAATTGATGTTTCTGTAGGGGGTGAGGTTAGCAGGGCGAGTGGGGCAGAGAAGCACTAGAAAAGCCTATTCTGCCACCTTGCTGAGGTCTGCTTACTCCTGTTTCTTGATTTTTACATTTTAAATGTAATACCTGTTTGACTTTCTACCTCTAGTTAGCTTCCTTACTAACTCCCTCTTCCCATTTTCTCCTCTCTTCCAATTTCCAACTTATATATACAAAAGCTAAGTCATGTAAAGTGCTTTGATTACATGTACTTTCTTTTACAACTTTATGTTTTATCCTGAAGTTATCCTGATCCTTATCCTTTTCCTTATTCGTTTTCTTTGCACCCATCCTTGGTTCAGCTTTAAACTATGTTAGAAACTGTGAAATTCTTGCCAGTAGGATCAAACATGATATAATCTTTTGGTTCCGTTTTCTTTTTTTGTTAAAGCTATCCTTCCTGGCTGGGCCCTCCATCATCCTGGACTGGTTTTATTTCTAGAATTGCTATATAACTGTGTGCAGGGAATTCCTTCGCCTCTTTTTCTGGGCTCTATATTTCTATCTTGGTTCATTGACAAAAAGTTAGGAGTTTATCCATGAACTTGTAACCAGAACTGTTTTTGGATCTTGGCCATTAAAATCAACATCAGTGGCTGGGTGCAGTGGCTCATGCCTGTAATCTTAGCACTTCGGGAGGCTGAGGCAGTTGGATTGCCTGAGGTCAGGAGTTTGAGACCAGCCTGGCCAACATGGCAAAACCCCATCTGTACTAAAAATATAAAAATCAGCTGGGTGTGGTGGTGGGCGCCTGTAGTCCCAGCTACTTGGCAGGCTGAGGCAGGAGAATTGCTTGAACCCAGGAGGTGGAGGTTGCAGTGAGCCGAGATCATGCCACTGCACTCCAGCCTGGGTGACAGAGTAAGACTCCGTCTCAAAAAAAAAAAGAAAAAAAAAATCAACACAGCACAGGCTACATCCTAATTTCCTTAATGAAGACTTCTAGTATTTGCCCAAAAAAGTGTAAATGGCAGGTGAGTTTCTTGAGGCTTGCATGTCTTAAAATGTCTTTCTCCACTCTCAGTTTGGTTGCTCTTATAGTTTGGTTGTATATAGAATTCTGTTAGTGATTACCTTCCCTTCAAATTTTGAAGGCATCTTTTGAAGCCATTTGAAGGATGCTCTTTCTCTCACCTCAGTCCTCAAAGATATCTGGAACCTCCAATTCTTCAGGCTCTCAGGGCTTTTCCAACAATCAACTTGTTTCTCGTAGGCCCCCCACCAAAACAGTAACAGTTTTCTGCTTCCTCTGCTCTGCTAAGTCAGTTACTTTGTACATCTGCTTTCCATCTTCTAAAATTTTGTTGACATATCTGCTGGCCTGACCCCTCCCATTGTTGCTGTTGTGTGTGTGTGTGTGTGTGTTTTTTTTTTTTTTGCTTTACTTTTGTGAATTTGTTCCTTGTAAGAAAACTTTTCTCACTTCATTTTAGTGTGGTTGTGGGAGGAAACAGAAATTAGCTCATGTTAAATATATTGGATTTTGGAATTTAAATTGATTAAAAACAAAATTCCACAAGATTGCCACGGTACTCACATTTGGTAAGGACTGCAGCCATAATAAAATTATACTTGTTTCCCCATGCCAGCTGCTGGGTTGAACTTCATTTATATAGAGGGAGGTAGAAAAGTCAGGTGATTGAGTGAACATCTAGGGTGCCTGGGAGTGGATGACTGATATGTTATTGGTCAAGAAGCTACTTCCTAGGAAAAGTTCAGTAAATGTATTATATTTTTTTCCTGTGGTCTTTCAAGGAGTTCATTATAAACTCTTAGAAATATTATATACTTGAACTAGACTTAACAATACATACTCACCAAATTTGTTTTTGTTATGTATCAGAGGTGACAGCATTAGTTTAGATTTATTGAGTATCTTGGTTTGTCTGTCTTTAGACAGACATATTGTTGTCACACATATACTTGAATATTCTTTGGACCAGGCACGATGGCTCATGCCTGTAATCCCAGCACTTTGGGAGGCCAAGGCGGACAGATCATTTAAGCTCAGGAATTCAAGACCAGCCTGGGCAACATGGGGAAACCCCATCTCTATTAAATAAATAAAAGAATATTGTTTGAATATGATTTGGGGATTAGAGTAAGTTTTGAACATATGCAGGTTCTGTTAAATATTGTAAGGGTGAAAATTTCATTACTAGGTGGGACATAATTAGGGATTTACATTAATGTGAAGGTATGGATGTTAGGGATTTTCGAGTGTGGGTTTTAGGGATGGTAAAACAAAAAGGAAGGTTCTGAATATTGTAGTGAGTCAGTAGTGACTGTGAGGTCTGAGGAAATGACAGGATGATCTAATGCCTGTTATGTGATCAGTGTTAGTTAAGTTGGTTGCCCAGTGGGTTTTAGAGATTTAGACATTCAAATCTATTATGCATTAATATAGAAGATGTTGCAGGGAATAAATAAGGAAAGTATTTCCCCAGAGTATGTTGGTATACTAAATGATTTGAGTCTTTCATTTTTTTTTGGAGACAGAGTCTCGCTCTGTTGCCCAGGCTGGGGTGCAATGGCGCAATCTTGGCTCACTGCAACCTCTGCCTCCCGGGTTCAAGCGATTTTCCTGCCTTAGCCTCCTGAGTAGCTGAGATTACAGGTGCCCGCCACCACGCCCAGCTAATTTTTGTGTTTTTAGTAGAGATGGGGTTTTGCCATGTTGGCCAGGCTGGTCTCAAACTCCTGACCTCAGGTGATCTGCCCTCCTTGACCTCCCAAAGTGCTGGGATTACAGGTGTGAGCCACCGCACCCGGTCCCCATTTGATTTTTAAAACAATTTTGTACCACGGGTCTGACAAGTAAGAAGAGCGAAGAGTTTAAACTTAACCAAAGTCCTGGAGCAGTTACTAATGGAGCTTCAGGCACAGCCAAGGTCTCTTGTGTCCAGAGTTGTTCCCTCTATACTGTGCACTTTTGCCAGTTGAAGTTTTCTTGGAAAACTCAGGAAGTCTGCCAAGTTTTGTAGCTAAAGAGATGTCCTGTAGCTTTTATATATTTGTGTCTTGAGCCCTGAAGGTAGACAGAGCTCAGTCTTCCAAAAATAGTTCAATAAATGTGTCAACATTTTGAAATACTACTGAAAAAACAAGTAAAAGTCCTATGGGATTATTGGAAAATGATGCCAAATGCCTCCACAAGTATTTGAAAAGCAAATGTGGCAGTGGTTATACGCTAGACAATGGTTCATATTCAGCCTTCGCTTTTGGGGACCATTTTTATTATGATAATCTTTTACTGTTTCCCAGTACTCTGTTTAGTTGCTTCTAGACTCTGGTAGAAAAGCTACTAAGTGTCTACACTCTGGTAGAAAAGCTACTAAATGAACATCTTCTTTGGAAAATTTTCTTTAATCCACTTCTCTTAAAGAGAAAAAGGAAAACTTTTTTTCCTTAATAAAGTGGGTGAAAGTTGTGTATGGGAAAGGTCAGAATGTCAAGTACTGAGTTGGGTCTGTCCACTGCAAAGAAATCAAATTTATCCATGAACTTGTAACTAGAACTGTTTCTGGATCTTGGCCATTGAAATCAACATCAGTAAAGCCTACATCTTAATTTCCTTAATGCCAAGATTGTCTGTTTTAAATTATACACATATGGGAATGTGAATACATTCGTCTTCCCCCACCTCCCTCTGCCCGAAAACAGGAGGAAAATAAAGGTACGTTGAAGATATTCTAAACTTTTGCAGCTCTGCAATGAAGAGCTGTGGATGTGGGCTGCATATGTGGTGCAGATGTGGCTCCTACCAATTGAGGTCATTTTACCTTCATCTTCAGTGCTGCAAGCTTAAATCGAAAGAGGGTAGATTCTAGAATAGTCTATAGATCTATGATTTATGTGTTACTTGCTCTGTGTAGAACACATAATAGCAGTGAAGGATAATGTGGCATTTTTTTAAGGACTTTTTTTTTTCTGGTTAGGTTTTTTAAAGCCATGTTTGGTTAGGTTTTTTTAAAGCCATGTAGTATCTGATTATCGAAGTGTTTTTGGAAGAAAGAATGTACCATTATCAGTTACAGAAAAGTGTTCTTCTTTTTTAAACTTTTTACTATGGAAAATTTTCAATATATTCAGAAGTAGAGAATAGTAGTATAATGAACCTCGCGTATCCTCGCCTGGCTTCAACAGTTACCAGTCACATGACCAGTCTTGTTTCATCTGTATTTCCCTTTGACTCCCTGACCCACTCTCATCTTTATTTTGAAGCAAACTCCAGACATCATATAATTTTATTTGTGAATAAGTGAGATTCCCCTGCTCCCCTTTTCTTGGCATGTACTTCTTGGTCTCCCAAATAAAGCTCATATTTATTACGGATTTTGTGGAATAACAGAAAATAGATCATTTGTGACATACTGTTGTGATGTTTTTGGAATAAATATCTGAATATTGTTTTAGTCAGTAAAAGCAGTTTCACCTAAATGTAGCATTGTGGACATAGAGAATGCTTTAACCAGTGCTAAAAACAAGGAACATAAAACAAAAAATACAACAAAAACCCCAACAATTTCTAAACCAAATCTGAACTGATATTCAAATTCTAGTATGTTCTCAAGGTAATGTTAAAGTTGATGTTGTATAATTTTTTTTCCTATGAATCCTGCTTATGTTTATGTTAGATTTTATTGTTTTTAGATTTTTCTTTTCTTTTTTTCTTTTTTTTTTTTTTTTTTTGAGACAGAGTCTTGCTCTGTCGCCCAGGCCTGAGGTACAGTGGCGCGATCTCGGCTCACTGCAACCTCTGCCCCACAGATTCAAGCAGTTCTCTGCCTCAGCCTCCTGAGTAGCTGGGATTACATGTACCCGCCACTATGCCTGGCTTATTTTTGTATTTTTAGTAGAGACAGGGTTTCACCATCTTGGCCAGGCTGATTTTGAACTCCTGACCTCGTGATCCACCTGCCTTGGCCTCCCAAGTGCTGGGATTACAGGCATGAGCCACCGCGCCCAGCCGATTTTTCTTTTTTCTTTTCTTCCTCCCACCCTGCCTTCTTTCTTCCCTTCTTTTGCCTAACGTAGTTTAGAGGCAATATGTTGGAACTAGACCAAGCAAAATATTCTTTTTTAGCTGACTGAATTTTAATGGGACTATACAGTTATAAAAATCAAAGCAACCTGTTTGTATATGGTTCTGTCTGGCAGTATCGAGGGGAAGGTACATGCCTTAAACATTGATGATACACTAATTTAGAAATCGTTGTGTAAATTGTTGGCATTATAGCTGTAGCTGACAATCACTTAATGGTCGAAGTGCTTTTCCTAAATAACAGGCAGGATTTTTATGTTGGAGATAGTTTATTTTATATATTAATTTGTACTTTCAATTAAGATGTAATTATTTAATATAATTTCCTTGCAAAGACATTGAATTATAAAATATTGATAACAATAAGCACCATGTTTTGAGTACTTAATATATGTCAGACACTGTTCTATAGGCACTTTTATTTTTAAATATTTTTTTTAGAGATGGGGTCTTGCTGTGTTGTCTGGGCCGGAGTACACTGGGTACTCACAGATGTGATCATTGCATACTACAGCCTTGAACTCCTGGGCTCAAGTGATCCTTCTGTCTCAGTTTCCTGAGTACCTGGGACTAGAGGTGTGTGCCACCATGCTGGTTATCTATAAGCACTTTTACATTTATTTATTTATTTAATTCTTGTAGTAACTCTTTGTGGTAGGTACTATTATCCTAAGTATCCTATAAGAAAACTGAGGCACTGCAGTTTGAAGTAACTTGCTCAGGGTCACTCAGCCAATTAATGGTGGAGCAGCGGTTTGAACCCAGGCTGTCTAGTTCCAGAGCCTATAGCCATAACTACTGTCTTATATTATCCCTAAGAATATGTAAACGACGTCAAACCCCGATCCTATTTGCATTCCCCTCCCCACGGGTAACTATCTTGAATCAGAGCCAATACTACACTATTGCATTAGGGTATAATTTAATCATTAGGGGATAGTTTTCATGCAGAAACTAGAAAGCACTGATGAGATTCTACTCATGTTCCTTTACCAGCTTTAGTTATAAAGGGGAAGCGGGAAAATGGAAGCACGTAGAGGATAAGGTGATAACCTCCACCTTACCATCTTCCTTCTTCCCCCTTAAAAAAGAAATGGAATGTTGAGTCTATCTGGAATGTTGACAGGTTAAAAAGGAGCTGTTGAAGCCTGTCGTTCACAGTAGCATCGAAAGGTGAAAATTTGTCTCCACTTGAGTACCTTGAAATGGCAGGTGTGTTATTGGAATATTGGGCTATTGTTGGTCAGTACTGCTGAGTATAGACTTTTGTAGGTGTTTATCCTGAATCTGTAGTGACCGGAATTTCAACAAATGAGGTATTTAATACTGTTTTTTCCCTTTTGTTTCTGAAAGGAGCAGAGGATAGAAAGACAATTGTTCTAGCCTCAAGTCCCAGTACACTCATTAGTTAAGTGTGACGGTGGTCAAGTGATGTTGCTTTGTGTGTCTGTTTTCTCTTAGGTGGTTCAGGTACCCTGAAATAAATCCTAACTTATATGTCTGTTGCTCATTCATCTCTGTGTGTGGAGAAAGTGATTTAAAGTGTCCTTTCTTTAAGAAGGAAAGAGCCAGGGCATAGTGGCTCGTATCTGTAATCCTAGCACTTTGGGAGGCTGAGGCAGGAGGATTGCTTCAGTCAGGAGGTTGAGACTGGCCTGGGCAACATAGTGAAACCATGTCTCTACTAAAAAAAAAAAAAAAAAAAAAATTAGCTTCGGAGACTGAGGCGGGAGGATCCCTTGAACTCCAGAGATGGAGGCTACAGTGAGCTATGATCTTGCCACTGCACTCCAGCCTTGGTGACAGAGTCACACACTATCTCAAAAAAAAAAAAAAAAGAGAGAAAGAAAAATATAGGCGTAGATCTTGGCAAAACATTTGATAAAGTTTTCATGGTATCTTTATATCTTTATAAACAACTTTGGAAAAAATCTCTTGTGGTTTTTGTTACTGAAATTTTAACCTTGGTCATCTCCTATGCAAGATATTTTTGCCAGTGATTTTTAATGGTAACAAACAAGGATTGCTTATCAGATATACAGATTTCACAGAAGTTTATAGGGAAACCGAGTAAGCTGTTCCTAGATTGTCTTATTAGCTACAAAATGGGCTGAAATAAATAACATGAAATTTGTTGGGATGTCATTGAAAGTCTTTGAGTCTCTCCTGACATGTTTTGGCTCTTTGTTCTCCTTTTCCTTCTGTTCTTTGCAGACTTCTTTTCCTCTGACTATCCTTTCAATTTTCCTGTTTCCCAGGGTTCTGTCCTTAGCCTTTGATTCGTAGCCCTAATTTTTATCACCCAAGACTTTACCTATTTTAATCTGTTAACTCATATCTCTCTCCAGGCTAAGTCTTTCTCTTGAGTTCTGCATTTCAGTGACTTAGAAGAATCTCTGCCAGCATCTCATCATTTTTAAATGAATATTTAAATATTAAATATTCATATTAAATGAATATTTAAATATGAAATATTTTGTGTAAAATGTGGGCTGTAATGGATTATTTTGCATTGACTTAGAATATTTAGATACCTCATTTTAAGGGGTACATAGTATGCACTAATAGATATTTGTTCAATAAAGACGAGTGGAAACCATGTCCATGAAGGGTTACTGGGATGTTGAGATGAGGAGAAACTATAGCACCTGAAGAACTAGCCGTAGAAATAACTGAAGGGATAAAACTTACTGGGGGGCAACTTGTTGAGAGCTGGTGTTTGAGCACTGCCTTTCTGATTTTGTTTTTGACAAAATCTGCTGGAAGAAATATATTTTACATCTTGACCCTTTATTCAGTATGGATGTGTGTATATGTATATATATGTATGAATAACAGAAACAAGTTTCACAAATTAGTTCTTAACCTTACTGTGTATTGTGCTCTGAGATTTTCTTTTCTACTTAATAATAATAAAATTCCAGTCAATAGTCCACAAACTTAATTTCACAACTCACCAGTGGACTGTCACTGCAACTTGAAAAATTCTTTTTCCATGGATAAAACTAAGAAATTTGGAGAAGGGAAGTTTTCTGCCTGGTAGCAGAGGAACTTTTTAACAGTTGGAGAAGGCTGATGATGGAATGGGGCTGCCTTGGAATGGAGTGCTTTCCCAAGGCTTGAAGGACCCAGGCAACAGGCTGTTGGAAGGTGGGAGGAAGATTCACTGGGTGGGAGATGGAGCTTTGTGACCACCGGGGTATCTTCCAAGCTAAAGATTTTATGATTCCCATTTTATGACTTGCTGAAATTTTAAGATGATTAAAGTTATTTGAAGATGAAAAAGATTCTGAATTTTGTTTACCACGATTCTACTTTTTTGTCAAAAATGTCTCAATTGTTTTAGAAATTAATTTTTAAATTAAAAAGTTTTAAGAATTTTGTATGCTAACTGTATTTCCATTATTAACTTACTTCCATTTCCATTATTTCAATTTTTTTTTAAACAAAAAAGCATTATTGGCTGGGTGCTGTGGCTCATGCCTGTGATCCCAGCGCTTTGGGAGGCTGATGCCAGAGGATCACTTCGGCCCAGGAGTTTGAGACCAGCCGGGGCAACATGGTGAAACTCCATCTCTACAAAAAATACAAAGTAAACTTAGTTAGGCATGGTGACCAGTGCCTGTGGTCCCAGCTACTTGGGAGGCTAAGGTGGGAGAATCTCCTGAGCTCAGGAGGTCAAGGCTGCAGTGAGTGGTGATTTCACTACTGCACTCCAACCTGGACAGCAGAGTGAGACCCTGTCTCAAAAAAAAAAAAAAAAAAAAGCATTATTTAGAAAGTTTTAAATATATACAAAACTAAACTGAATAGCATATTGATTCCCCGTTCCTTTCCCACCATTCAGCTTTAACATCTGTCAGCTCATGGCTGGCTTTCTTTTATCTGTCTCTCTATTCACTTCACTTCTTACTATATTATTTGGAAGCAATTCCCAGGCATGTCATCATTCCATCTACATATACTTCACTACGTATCTATAAAAGATGAGACTCTTTAGAATACCATTATAATAACTAAATAAATTAACAGCAAATCCTTAATGTCATCACATATTCACTGTGTTCAGATTTCCATTTGTCTTTGTTTCTTTCATAGTCTCTTATTTGAATCAGGATCCAAGTTAGGTACATACATTGCGATTGTGATAGGTCTCTTCAAATCTCTTTAATCTATTGGTTCTGTCCCTTTCTTTCTTTTATATTTCCTTGCAATTTTTGTTGTTGTTGAAGAAATTGGGTTGTCCTATATCCTTCCTGCAATTTCTGTTTTTCTGATTCCATCCCTATGTAGTTTAACCTGTGCCTTCATCCTATGAATTGGTAGTACATGCAGAGGCTTTTCATCATCTTCTGGTTCAGTTTTTTTTGTTGTTGTTAATACTTCATTGGTTTTGTTATTTCTTAAAACCACTCAAAGAGTATACCTAAATACTAAATGTAAGGATGTTTGGATTTATTTATTTATTTATTTATCTTTATTTTTTAAGACAGAGTCTTACTCTGTCACCCAGGCTGGAGTGCAGCGGCGAGATTTTGGCTCACTGCAACCTCTGCATCCCGGGTTCAAGCGATTCTGCTGCCTCAGCCTCCTAAGTAGCTGGAATTACAGGAGTGTGCCACTACACCCAGCTAATTTTTTTGTATTCTTAGTAGAGACAGGGTTTTGCCATGTTTACCAGGCTGGTCTTGAACTCCTGACCTCAAGTAATCTGCCTGCCTCGGCCTCTCAAACTGTTGGGATTACAGGCCTGAGCCACCTTGCCCAGCCTCGGATTTCTTACTTGGTTCTTCATTTTTAAAATCAGCCTAAGCCAAATTCCCCATAAAAACAGATGGAACCACTTAGAAATTTGGGAAGATAATAATCCTCTGCAAACACCACATCCAAATACAGATTACACAAGAATTTCTACTCCAGCTTCATTTCCAAAAAAGAAAGGGAGAAAGCAGCTGTCTTAGTAATTTCCATGTACCACAAACCAGGTTTTCCGTTCAAGTGAGACATTTTACAGTAAAATCAGTCTTGATTTTTCTAGCACAATGATGGAAACTTTTTGGTTTTGCTAGTTAGATTTCTTACCCAGTAAGCAAGTATCCTTAGTGACTCTTTTTTTCCCCCTCTTCTTCCTTGACAGTTAGAAGTAGAAGGATAAAAGTGAGAAGATGTGAAATCAGAAAGCAACCAATTTATGTGGGAAATTAAATAAATGTGTTCTATAGTGATCCTTTGAAGGATTTTGTAATCATTTGTTTTTACTACTTATTGTGGAAATTTTTCTATGTATAAATAAAGAGGGCAGAATAATACCATCCATTTCCTCACCACCTTGTTTTTCCCCTAATGTTTAGTGCATTAAGAGATGGGGATGAAGTCACACTGCTATTCACTGGAATCTTCTTTATTATTTCATTTGTTGTATCAGGCTTGTAGTGTAGGTTTTACATCTTTTTCTTTCTTTTGTTAATGCTAGTAAATCTTTTGCTAGTTTTTATTTTAAGGTCTTTTGGCTGGTACTCATTTTGCTAGGTATTAGATGAAGATTCTATGATGAGGTGAAGATGCTGGGATTAGGGGTCATTCCCTGCATTCTTACTGAGTTTCTTTTTAAAAAAATACTTTTTATAATGGAGGTGTATGCAAACATAGAGTAGAATAATGAATCCCCACGTACCCGCCTTCCAACTAATTACTCCCATATGGCCAGTTTTCATCTGTGGACCTTCCAAACCCATGTTCCCCATTCCATGCTGGATTGTCTTAAAGCACAGTTTATCACTTCATTCACTCTTTTTAAAATAGGTCTGTGATGAGTAAGCATTAAACAAAATGAAAACCACAATACTGTTGTTACATCTAAAAAACTTACTTTCTTAAATTATCAAATATTCAATGTGTGTTCATATTTATCCAGTTGTTTCATAAATGCTTCTATAGTTAAAGTTAGAATCCAGATAAGATCTATATTATGTTTGGTTTATATGTCTCTTGAACACAGTATCTTAATATGTACTTTGTTTCTCTTCTTTTTCTTTCAGTTTATTTGTTGAAACTGTGTTGTTTTTTCTATATTCAATTGATTTGTTGAAACTCTATTGTTTGCTCTATAGAGTTTCCCACATTCTGGAATTTGTTGATTGCATCCCTGCCTGTGGTGCTGTTTAGTATGTTTCTCCCTTCTGAATTTCCTATAAATTGGTAGTAGATCTGGGGCTTACTCAGATTCAAGATTAATTGGGAGTTAGGAGTATAGAATCCTTCCTAGTTATCAGTGTATATTTCTTACTGCTTCCTATCAAGTGATACAATATAGGATTAGTTTTCTTTTTGGCATGAAGATTGATCAGTGAGCTCAGGTGTTTCTAGCTGGACTGATCCATCCATCAGTCTGATGGGAAAAGCTTGATTTCCCATTAAGCTTTTTTGCCTAATGGTTTTTAACAGCCATCGGTGATTATTGCCTAGATACATTATTTCCTTACATTAACTTTTTCCCATATGTTTTTTCCTGAAGTAATTTAAATTATGAAACATCACATTTCAGCCCTAACTTTTTTGTTATGTATTTGTAAAAAACATGGACAGTTTCCCGTTTAACCAGCACACTATTATATCAGTTGACAGTAGTTCTCTAATATTTTCTAATATCTGTGCTATGTTAAAGTCTCTCCAGTCATTCCCGTGATGTCTTGTATAGTGTGTTTGGCAAACTGGGATCCTGCCAAGGATTGCATTTAATTATGGTTATGTCACTTAAGTCACTTACAATCTAAAATAGTTCTTCTCCTTCCTTTTTCATTCCCTTTTCATGACGGTGAACTGTTGGAGAGATGCAAGATGTTACAGGTCTTGGAGAATCTTTGTTTTTCTTGGTTGGCTTAATTGTTTCTATGTGAGGGTATTTAATTCATTCGTCTAAACTCTGTATTTTCTGTAAGTAGAATTTAGATCTAAATTCTTGATTAGATTCAGAACAAACATTTTTGGTAAGGGTATTTTCATAGCCAATTTTGTATGGTTTACATTGCTTCATATCAGGCACCACATAATGCAGTTATCTCACTATTAGTGAAGCTAAGATTGAGTAAGGTGATGACAGATCTCCCTGTTGTAAAATTATAGTTTTCCCTTTGATACTGGCATATAATCTGGGAGGAGTGAGATGTTGGTACCATACAAATAGTTAGTTCCTTGACGTCTTTGACATAATAGTGTTAGTATCCATTGGTGATTTTACCTGAATCAGTTATCTCTTTGGGAATAGCAAAATGGTGATAAAATGGGATTTTTAAAGAATTGTGGTAAAATACACATACCTAAAATTAACCATTTTAGCCTTTTTTATGTGGAGACAGAGTCTCGTTCTGTTGCCCAGGCTGGAGTGCAGTGGCGCAATCCCGGCTCACTGCAACCTCTGCCTTCTGGTTTCAAGCGATTCTCATGCCTCAGCCTCCCAAGCAGCTGGGATTACAGGTGCGCACCTCCACGCCTGACTAATTCATTGTATTTTTAGTAGAGATGGGGTTTCGCCATGTTGGCCAGGCTGGTCTCGAATCCCTGGCCTCAGGTGATCTGCCTGCCTTGGCCACCCAAAGTGCTGGAATTGCAGGTGTGAGCCACTGCACCCGGCCACCATCTTGGCCATTTTTAAGTATATAGTTTAGTAGGGGTAAACCCATTCACATTGTTGTGCAACCAGTCTCTAGAACTCTTGCAACGTTAACACTCTATACCCTAAAATGGAATTTTTAAGTTTTATTATTTCTTCAATTTCATTAGGTTGCAATTTTCTGAGCAAAATAGCTTTCCCTCATTAATGTGGGCTATTTGATTACTGTGAAATACAGCCTTTTATTTGAAATGCAGGATAAATACTTAATTTTCCCCTTTATCAAATTTCAGAATAAGCTCTTGGTATAATAGTTACCTCAAGTTTTTTTTTTTTGGTTGTGTTTCTCTTTTTGAGTATCATTTTTGACTTAAGGATTTTTATATATTCAGTGTTTCAGTCAATTACAGGCATTCTTTTTGATGTTCAGATTGTCCCAACTTTGGCCATCCTCTTCAAACTGGCTCCTGTATCCTTTTGACACAACCTTGTCAGGCCTTGGAAGCAAGGAGTATGTTTATTTAAAGGCAATAATATTTCTTTTGGGGAATAACATCAAATCTCCATTGACCGTGGCACAGAAAGCATTTACATTATAGGAAAGTGCTACAGAGCACGGTGAAACCTTGATACTGAGGCCCTAATTCAGCAAATGGAAAAACAGGGTAAAGTTAGATGATCTCTAAGGCCTCTGGTCTGTGATCTTTTACTACCTATAAAACTGTTTCGCTATTTGGTTATTTTTGGAACAAAATATTTCAAGGGTTTGCGTGTTGTTAAATTTTGTGTTAAACAGCATCTTCATTACTTTCTTCCTATTCTGATAGTTTCCTGGGCCATGGATTAAAGGATTGGAAATTTGGAAATGTAGGAGTTCCCACGTATTTTACAGTTACAAAGTCCATACCCAGAGGAAGTGAGAAGGGGTTTGCGTCCTAACCTTTGCCTTTTATTCCAACATAACATAGCTAAACATTCTGTTGAGAGAAGGTCAACCTTGTAATGCTGGATCAATAAGCTGCTGTCTTGTTTCCTGCAGACAGCTTTATTTCCTCTGGTTTGGGTAAACAGATGAGGTTTCATCGAGAGTTTAAATGTATAACTGAATTTGTGAAGAACCGTTTTCTAATGGAATAACATAATACTTATATCATGTTTCTAAGCCTCTGGGAAGTCACTGTCTGACACTTAAAAAAAAATGTTGGTTTTGTAAATTGACTTTTCTTTTCTTAATGTAGAGTTTAATGTGGAAAATGGTCACTCTTTTCAGTTTTGTAAGTTTTTTCCCCAGAATAAATGTGGCTCAGTTTTATCCTTATGCTCCCAGTAGTCACTATCATGACTCTTTTGTTAGGCATTAAATACGAATTGCCAGTTTGAAATACTTTGAACACTTACTGAATGTTGGGCAGCAGTACAAATAATACAGCTGCATACCATATTAATAAAAACAAAATGCTGTGCCTTGAAAAACCATTTCTTCTCTAAGAATGAAAGAAGTATTATGGAATTCTGTGTTTATTTACCAGTGACTTACATTTTGGAGTAAATAAAAGGTTATACTGTATTTTAGTTAAAAGTATTCCTTTTCAGTGTTAGGAGGCATGGTTGATTTGTGAAATAACTTTACAAGATTATTTTTATAACTATAAGTAGACCATTACTTATTTTTAAAGAACCAGCATTTAAAAAATGTGTGAAATTGCTTTAACTGTGAATACTGTTATATCTAGTAAATAAAGTTATTCTATGAATTTTCCAGATGGTGATAGCAACTAGAATAATTTGATTCATCATTTCTGTCTCATTCATGATATTAATGAATTGTGAATAAGTACAATTAAAATCTGCACTGGATTGTCCCATATAAGACTCTACAGGCTTGGTGTTTCTTAAATGAGAAATATCAGTATATATTTTTAGAGAAGTAGTTATTTTCTGCATCACTGTATGAAGGATTTAAGGCATTGAATAGGGAATAACTATGATAAATTGCTTAAAATTTTATTATATTGCTTAAATTGCTTATATTTCTTTTTTATTTTGAAGGTACCTGGCCTTCAAAACAAATCAAGCTGAAATACATTAAAAATAAAAAGAAATATAAAAATGAAGATCCACATACGTGTTTATTGATACTGTTTATGTGTATTTTTGTATGTATATACACAAGAAACATTTTTAAAGGACATAATGCTTGATAAATCTCTCTTTTCTGAAATGTCTACTGTAAATTTTTGCAGATTTTTTCCACCTTGAATATAATCCTTAAATGTTTTAGGTTTTTAGGGCTGGGTGCGATGGCTCATGCCTGTAATCCTAGCAGTTTTGGAGGCTGAGCTGTGCAAATCACTTGAGCTCAAGAGTTTGAGACCAGCTTGGCCAAGATGGTGAAACCCTGTCACTACAAAAATGAGAAAAACTAGTCAGGCGTGGTGACGCATGCCTGTTGTCCCAGCTACTCTGGAGGCTGAGGCAGGAGAATCGCTTGAGCCCAGGAAGTGGAGGTTGCAGTGAGCCAAGGTTGCACCAGTGCACACCAGCCTGTGCAACAGAGTGAGACTTCATCTTAAAAAAAAAAAAAAAAAAAAATTTTAGGTTTTCAAAGTATAAAGATGAATAACATTTTTGAAAAAAAAATTACCATAATTATAGCTGAGACTAATTTTTTCAGTTTTATTTTCTTAAAGCATTTTATAAGCATTTATATGCTTTAGAGCCACTTTTTTTCAAACCCTGGGCCCTGTGTAAGTGAGTCATATCATCTAAGGCACAGCTCATATGTCAGCTTTTCTAAGTCTTTTCTAACTCCCACAAGTAGCGTTAATACCTCTGTCTTTTGTGGCACTTACCAGGTTGGATTTTGAAATCCTTAAAATGTCAGTTTTCTCCGCTTATATAAATTTTTCCAGGGCAGCAGCCCTAATTTATTCATGTATTCCCAATGATCGGCATATACTAAGCTTAGCGTTCTGTAGATGCTTGTGGAATGATGAAAACCGGTAAATGAAATGAAAGTTGTAATAAAGTTCAGATTGTTTAATAGTTTGCTTGTTTTGGAATAAGCAAATACATTAGCTGCCTTTGGCAATATTTTTATTGTACAGAAATTTCTGAAGTGCTAATCGTAATGTGAATTGGCTTATAGTTGAATTTGAGACAGATTCTTCAATGGAGAAGGTGGAGGAGATCAGCTCACAACTTCTGCTTTGCAACCTAAGAGCGACTTACCCAACCATACCTCTTTCCTGCCCCTCTCAGTGGAAAAGATGGCCTTGTTTCAGTCTGTGCATAAGTACGCTTATCCTGGCTGTGCCCTAGAATTCTGTCTCATCACTTCTGGCCTATTCTCAGATGTCCTATTAGTTAACCCATAACTGTTTTTTTCTCCTTTGTTTAGGCAATGGTATTCAACCCTGGCTTGTACAATAGAAACATTTGGGGATCTTAAAAAAAACCTGGGCCTCAATCCAGATAAATTGTATCAGAATCTTAGAATCATAGTTGGAGGAGATAAAAGTTATTTTATGAAGGAATTGAGACCTAGAGACTTTAGGGGACTTTTCTAAGCTAATGCTTCTAATTAGTTTAAAAACTTGAGGCAAGAACTGTGGTTGCCATTCCCATCCCATTGTCCCAGAATCATTGAATCCCATTCGTTTGATTTCTCCTTGGTTTTCATCCTCTTACTCTTCCTTTTCCCAGTTTATTCTACTCTTTATGCTGTTTTTTTATTACATCCGTCTTCTGCTCTTTAAGATGCTATTATTGTTTTATTATGCCACTCTCTTGCTCAGTAACCTCTAGTAGCTCCTTTCTACCTATGGTGGAGGTAAAAATGAGCAGTTCATGTTTTCTCCTCCCTTTTCCCCCATTGGATCTTATGCTGTAGCTAGGGGATCGTTTCCTGACTTCTATACAGCTATATATTTTTGAGAATTTTACAACATTCCATAAACTGTACCTGGAATTCCTTCCTCCTTTCACTTTGCCTACCTGGTTCCTACACCAAATAACAGAATGTTAGCTCTGGAAGATTATAATCATCCTTTAAGTCAGTTTTTGAAATTACAAATAGAAAAATTGAGACCCTGAAATTTTAAATGATTCCCCACTGCCCATCACCCAGGTCACAAAGCAAATTAGCCTCAGATCCAGGTTATAACTAATGTCTCTCTGTTCACTTTTCACTTTGAAGATGTAACTGAGATTTGACCGTTTCTCTCAAACCTTCTCTAATCAACTTAGAGGGTCTATTCTGGCCTCCAAACTTTGGTGCCATTTTTTAAATCATGGGAGCATTTGTGCTTTCTCTTGTAGTAATAATTAGCAGTGACATTGCTAACCTCTCACTTCTGAACTCTGGACTGTTAAGCATATTGCTTATCTCATTTAACCTCACAAGCACACATAGATATTGTTATCCACATTATAGAAGTAAGGAAGCTGAAATTTAGAGAGGTAAAGTCTTAAAGGGTCAAAGTTTACATTTGAATCCAGGTCTATCTGGTCACAGAACTGGACTCAATACCCTGTATTGTAATCTTTTACACAGAAAGTTTGAAATGTAAGGCTCTGGATAACAATAAATAGGTCACTAAATGTCTTTAAATTTTCTACTACATCATCCCAGAAGAGCTCAGTAAATATTTATTGACTTCAGTTGGAAAGATCATAACTTTTGACTGCATCTTGAAGGTAAAGGTGTTGGTGTATGTCAGGGAAGGAAGCAGAAGAGGAGATGGGAAGTACAAGAGTAGGACTACATTTAGGCTCTAGATCTAGGAAGAAGGCAAAGGTGTGGAGGTGATTGAAGTTTCTTTGGAATGATATGGACAGCAGAGGTTCATAACTGTTCTCATTTGCTGGTGGTAACCCAATATTACATATTGATTCACCTGTAAGAGTTTGCGATAGCATCTCAGTTGCCATTGTCATTGCTGGCTTTGCTCACTGTTGTATTTGGCATTTCCTTCCTTAAGTAGTCCTGAAACTGTCTCACAACAAGAGTATTAACAAATACCTTTCCGTGTAAGATTGGTTGTTTTAGCCAACAGAGGTCTCGGATGCTTTTCTTAGGTAGGATCTTGAACTTTGTCTTCTTAACTAAGAGCTCCCAAACTGGTAGCATGCTTAAGCTGTGCAAGTCATTTTCTTGTGGATGTGGGATGTGTGAATGATTGTCCTTTTGTAGTCAGGCAGTTAGGTGTGAAGAATCTTTTCTCCCTTCTTCTGCGTGTTAGGAAAGTGAAACCCTTAAGCTGTTTAAGTATATTGATTTTGCATTTTTCTAGGATTTAAGTTTAGTCTTGTTTGTTCTTTTGAACTAACCCCTGTAGGATATTGTGCCAGCTTAATTCTTTAGTGATCACAGGAATATGGGAATGAACCCAACCTTCAGATAGATTCAGGAGTTGTAGGGTGATCTTTCAAGTATAGTTTTCAGGACATTTCAATAACCTTTTTTAAAATGAATGCCATTACTTGAAAGCGAGGATAAGTGACATGTTCAAGCCAAACTAAGTGTAGGAAGAGCACCAGTCTAGGGATAAGAGACCTGAGTTGTTCTAGTCCTTATTTTGTTATAACCAGTTGTATGATTTTGGAAAAGTAATTTTGAGTTTAATTTTCTTCATTTCTTTTTTTGACACAGGGTCTCAATTTGTTGCCCAGGCTGGAGTGGAGTGGCGCCATCTTGGCTCACTGTAGCCCCGGCTAATTTTCGCACTTTTTGTAGATACGAGGTTTCACCATGCTGCCCAGACTGATCTCGAATTCCTGGGCTCAGGCAATGTGCTTGCCTTGGCTTCCCAAATTTCTGGGATTACAGGCGTATGACACTACACCTGACCAATTTTTGTCATTTCTAAACTTTTAATGAGTTGGATTATATTATACTGTCCCCCCCAACCCCCAATATGTTTATTGGTCTCAGACCCCAAATTCAGTTTGTTTCTCGTAGATAGGAAACCATAGTTAACATTCCCTTTGTGTGGTTAAGAAAATAGGTCTCTAGTGTCAACTTGCAGTAGTATTACACCTTGTAGTATGTTCAGAAACTGGCATGCTGACTTTATGGTTCTCCATATTCATTAGATGTTTTAACAGTCATAAGCTCTTTCTATGCTTATGTCTTCAAGTAATTGTTGGTGATGATAGATTTAGCCCTTCAGTTTCATTTTTTATTGTGGTAAAATACATATAAAGATATATTAAAAACTATACAAAAATATGTAAAAAATTTGCCATTTTAACCATTTGTAAATGTGCAGCTCAGAAGCATGAAGTATGTTCACAATGCTGTGCAACCATCACCACTGTCTATTTCCAGAACTTTTTCATCATCACAAACACAGACTCTGTACCCGTTAAACAGTAACTCCTCTTCCTTTTTCCTTGCAGCCCCAGGTAACTTTTATTTTACTTTCTGTTTATATGAATTTGCCTATTCTCAGTACTTCATAAAAGTGGAATCATACAATATTTGTCTTTCTTTATCTGGCTTATTTCACTTAGCATAGTGTTTTCAAAATTCATTCATGTTGTAGCATGTGTCAGAATTTTATTCCTTTTTAAGGCTGAATGATATTTCATTGTATGTATATGTCTTACTTATCCATTCATCTATTGTTGGACATTTTTGTTTCTACCTTTTGTCTATTGTGAATAATGCTGTTATGAACATTGGTGCACAAATATCTATTTGGGTCCCTGCTTTCACTTCTTTTGAGTGCATACCTATGTGTGGAATTGCTAGGTCATATGGTAATTCTTAAATTTGTGGGGAACAAACAGACAATTCTACAAGGGATGTGCCATTCATTCTATATTCCTGCCAGCAACTCATAAGGGTTTTATTTCCTCTACCTCCTTGCCTATACTTGTTTTGCTCCTTCCTTCCTTCCTTCTTTCCTTCTCCCTCCCTCCCTTCTTTCTTTCTCTCTCTCCTGTCTTTCTTTGTCTTTCTCTGTCTCTTTTTTTCTTTTTTAAATCATAGCCATCCTGGCCAGGCACAGTGGCTCACGCATGTAATCCTAGCACTTTGGGAGGCCGAGGCAGATGAATCACGAGGTCAGGAGTTCAAGACCAGCCTTGCCAAGATGGTGAAACCCTGTCTCTACTAAAACTACAAAAATTAGCCAGGTGTGGTGGCAAGCGCCTGTAATCCCAGCTACTCGGGAGGCTGAGGCAGGAGAATTGCTTGAATCCGGGTGACAGAGGTTGCAGTAAGCTGAGATTGTGCCACTGCACTCCCAAAGTGCTGGGATTTCCCAGAGTGCTGGGATTTCAAGCGTGAGCCACCGTGCCCAGCCTTAAATTTTTTTTTGTTATTGTTAGTCTTTGATTTTTAAATGTAACATTGAATAAAGAGGTACCATTATGAGGTTAGTACACTTAACTTCAGCATTGGTATATATAAAATTGTTACCTTATGGTTATTATTTTGGCAGGACTGGTAGATAAGAATACATCCTCTTTCATACAGTTTTTAACAAATAATAATTCTTTTGTGACTTGAGAGATTAAGAGCTGTAGTAAACAGAATTTTTTTCTGTTACTTTTCTGTAAAGTTCCAGGCTCGAGTCCTTGGGCAAGCTAACCTAGCAAGTGAGCATACGTTGTAATATCCTGGGATGATGGTCACTCTGCCTCACTACTGGTTCTTGAGATTAAAGTATAAATCTGAAAGTGCTTTGTGAACTGAATAATGCCAATTTTTATTTTTTACTTTGGCCCACTGAGATACTGTGACCTTCTGTGCAAGCGAGTTTTTAATCATGAGGGAAAAAAGTGAAGGTTTATGTAGCACTTGTCTTTAAAAGAACCAAAATTATTTCATTTATTCCCTTTACATTCTCGGGAGCTGAAAGAAGATAAATGCTACTGCATTTTAGGGATGAAAAAACTGAAGGAAGGATGAAACCCTTGTATTTTTCCATAGCTTTGTAAACCACTATACCAGTCCCTCTTCAAGCAAGACTTTATTGTGCTGGCTAGGGCTGTCTCTGTGGTTCTTGACATGGTAATATATAGGAATATTATATATGATATATGAGACTATATGGGACTATAACTGATGTAAGCTTGGTTTATGAGCTTATCTGATAAGCATTTCTTTGAGTAGTTTTCTCTTCAAATGTGTTTTTAGGGATATTTTCTCAGGGTTGAAGCCATTTTGAAATTTGCTGTATAGTTTAAACAAATGCCTTGCTTCCTCTCCCTTTTATACCCTCTTCACTTTGGAGTAAGTGTAGCTATGCTCTCTTCAAGAAAGAGTTTCATGGCATTTAAAGAGGAAAATATTATCTTCTGCCAATGTTAACATTAACATAGCATTTCTTTTTCTAATTTTTTTCTAGTTCTCATTTGTGTACATCGATAAATGCCGCCTTCAGAATTGGAGAAAGGTTGAGATAGAAAACATATATTATCAGAGCTTCATGGTCAAAAGATTCATTTTATAGTGACAATTACTATCTCACAGGTTGGATTATTTGTTTCTTTTGGTTGTAAATGTTTACAATTCTACTGAATTTTCAGCTAGTGTGCTTATAAGTTATTTTCTTTTTTGTGTGGCAATTCATATGACAGAAGAATTGAATGAGGAAATTAGGAAGTTTTGAACTGTCACATTTGCTAGGAGTTGGATTTAATTTATTATTAGTAAAATTTCCAGTTAAATAAGATAATTCTAATATTTATAGGTTACTGTGTATTCTTTCAGCATGCTCCTTGGTACAAAACTATTCAATTGAATTTACTAACTATATATGATTATCTTGGAGCCTTTTTTGGTACTCTATCAGCTGTTTCTATGGTAATTTTTTGTTCATTGTTATCACTTATAGCTTACTCTATTATGGCTTTTTAAAAAAAAAATCTCTGTATATTTTCTTATCCTTACTTGTTTGCTTACTTTTCTAACCATTAGTCTAAATTGACATTTAGGTAAATTTGCTTTTAAGTTGAATACTTAAGCCAATGATTCAGTCATTTTGTCTTTTCTGGGGTGGGTAGTGCCTACTAGACATTTAATTGTGCTGCATTTTAATATTTCTTACCATTCATTATAAACTTTTTTTTTTTAGACAGGCTCTCCCTCCGTTGCCCAGACTGGAGTGCAGTGGCACCATTTTGGCTCATTGCATCCTTAACCTCTTGGGCTCAGGCGATCCCCCCACCTTAGCCTCCTGAGTAGCTGGGACTACTGGTGCGTGCCACTGCCATGCCTTGCTAATTTTTGTACCTTTTTTTTTTTTTTCTGTAGAGATGGGATTTTGCCATGTTGCTCGGGCTGGTCCTCGAGCTCCTGAGCTCAAGCGATCTGCCTGCCTTGGCCTCCCAAAGTGCTGGGATTACAGGCGTGAGACACACCATGCCCTGCCTCTCAATACACTATTTAATACATCAGACCCTTTGGTACCTCTAGGCAGAGGACCGCAATTAATTTATGAGCAGCTGTTGCTGTATACATGTAATTATGTTTGACTACAAATGCATCTTTACAAAATGGGCCTAGTGGAATCATAATATAAATGGTTCAGATTAACTTAATTCAGATTAAGAAAATTGTTTCATACTGAGGTAAGCGATTGAAAAATTGTCTATTTAAAAATGCAGTGCATTTTAAAGAGTTACTATTTGAGGATCTAAAATATACAGAGAAGGCTGCATATTTTACTTTGATCTTATTACCATCCAAAAGAAAGCTTACATAGAAATGATTTGTCACTTTCTGCTTTCTGAAGAAGATATATGAGTCTTTTAGCCAGGTCCTGGCTATTTAGTCAGTTGAGAAATACTTTCATTAAAAACCTATTGGTAGAAATTTGCCAGTTTATTGAGCACTTGCTCAAGTAGTTGCTTTTCTGAGAGGCAGTGGTGAGACCAGGATGTTCCAGCCCCAAGGAGGGCCCTGTAGCCCATCTCAGCCTGGCCATGTCGTGCTATGAGAGGTTCCTCTATCCATTGGTCAAGGAAGGGATCAGGCCCTGCAGTCACACTGCCTTTGCCTCTTGCCGACTTTATTCTTGAGCGAGTCACTTGGCAGAGCCTCTGGTTTCTCTTAGGGTTGCTGTAAGCATAGAGCACGGGGTCCTGGTAGGGAGCAGATAACAGTAGGGCCCTGAACCATTTGTTAAAGTCATTGAGGAACTGCGAACAGTGGTTCTGAATAGTTTTTAGTGTGTGTGAAACTGTGATTGAAACTGTACATGTGTGGAAAGCCACAATCCAATTGTGCAGGCTGGGGTGCTGCATAAAAAAAAAAAAAAGAAAAAAAGAGAAAAATCCTCCCTTGAGGATTCCATTGTTGGATAAAGGGCTCAGAACAATCAGATCTTGCTTTGGGCTTTCAGGTATTGTGGCACCAACAGCTGTATTCTGTTAAAGATCAACTTTCAACTGTTTGATAGCAGTTAAATGTCACTGGAATGTTTAGGCAATTGCTTTGTAATTTGACAGGCATCTCTAAGTTTTTCCGAAGTAAATGTATTAAATCTGAGTCAGCCTTTGACATGTAAATCACATTCAGGATTCCATGGGCGTTGAGGTGGGAGAATGAACTTTTAATTTCTGGAATTAATTTGGCAGTTTAAAAATAGAGCTGTGATAGTTCTAATGTTGAATCCTTTCTGCGTGTTTAAAAAATTATTTCTATAGAATGAAATTGTAGAATGTAAGTATAGCTTCTGAAAGGACAGTTATTAATGTGCTATTTAGCCAGGTGGTTTTCAGAATTTGACTAGTGGAATTAAGCATGCTTTTTTTTTTTTTTTTTTTTTTTAAACAAATGCTGAAGTAGGGTGGGTGTGATATTTTCAGGTTTTTGCAAAACCCTAAACTGTTATGCTTTTCAGTCCTAAGCAAAACAGAAAAAAACATCAGTATTCCCTTGATGCTTTTCCCAAGTATAGCCCACTAAAGGAGGAAGTTGTAAGGAGACAAAGTCTTGTATTTCCTTACCAGAATTTTGGGAAGTAGAGAGATGTTAGGGAGGAAAATACCCATGCAAATATGAAATATTCAAGATTTTTTTCCCTTTAGCATTCTCTGTCCATTGTTACCACTGATGAGTTATACTGAGTGGAAGATGGGAAGGTTGAAACGTTTGCTATTTGATAGAAGCAATTGATCTCCTAGAGAGAATTGTGGTAGCTTTGCAGAATTCTTTGTAACCCTCTAAAGCCAAGTTGATCAGTCATTTTGGTGTACCCTTAGTAATCTGGCTATTCAAAAATGCAACAAGGGTTTTATAGCATTTGTATGTATACATGGAGATAAAAGGAATGAAGACATGGCAAGTGTAGATTATTTTAGAGTGAGAAATGTTGCTTTAGATAATTATTACTTAGAGCATTTGAGTCACCTAGTTACCCAAGTATGATTGGAGGTCAATAATGAAGTGAAAAACATGTATATATAAATACATACTTATCTGTGGTAGGTAATGTACCCTGAAGAATTTTCCATGAAACTGGTTTTATGCGATATTAATACATATTTAGATAATTTGGTATATGATTTAGAGACTGTATGATCTTTTTTTCTTGTGATGATGGGAACAAAAATCTTGTGTTGTTTGAGGGCTACTTCAGTGAGGTATGTGTACTTAGACAATGTAGTATTATAGTGTTCAAAGTATGGAATCAGATTTAATGATTTATCATATATGTAATTAACATTTTCTCTTTTAAAATAATAAAACAGCTAGAGTCAACTTTTCATATAGTCTAGTATGTCCCGAGCACCAGACATTGGGATATTTTTAGTTCATTGCTTTATTCCTTGGAGAGCAAAATTGTTGCACTAAGGGATGACCCAATCCATTCGTGACAAATAAATAGAACATGGCCAGGTAGGCTCAGAAGGGGAAATGAGTTCTGTACCAGCCTAGAAAACTGCTTTGTGCCCATCATGAAAGGCTTGTTTGGCATATACTCTTCTAAGTGGCCTAATAATCATTTTGTCCACTCCAGAAATAGTATTTTAAAACACGTTAATTCTTAGAAGGTGTCGGTAATCCTGATGTTGCTCTAGATTGGTAGTGTTAGTTGGTGAATTGACATCATCTTTTTACTGATAGTGGTAATGAGGGGTAGATTGACTTCATGTATTATAACTGCTAACTTTTAAACTCAGATATCTAATTTTAAAACATGTTGAAACCTTGCTTTCTGTTTACTGGTATTTGCTTTTTGTCAGGTCTTTTGAAATGATCTCGGCAGACACCAAATAAGTATATTATATGTTGGATATTTGAATTTTGCTTAGGCACTTATGAGAGAAGTTATAATGTAAAATTTTCATTTTGCCTTCCTTGGGAATAGTTCAAGTCCTTGCAGTTTGGTTTTAATTTTTAAAATTTTTAAAAACTTTAAATTTTTGTGGGTATGTAGTTGGTGTATATGTTTATGGGGTACATGAGATGTTTTTATAGGCATGCAATGTGAAATAATCACATCATGGAGAATGGGGTATCCATTCCTTCAAGCATTTATTCTCTGTGTTATAAAAGTTTCATATAAACTTTTCAGAATGATGCCAGCCCTATTGCTATGACGGTTGGCTCCTGGTGCCACTATTAATCATTGGCTGCATTAAGCATTGGCCTTGTATCTTTTTGGCAAACATTTGAGTCTCTGCAGGTTTGTGAGGTAATGGATAATTGTTGGACTTGCTAGGCAACAGCCCGCTGAGACCCAATCTGTTGTGTTCCAGGGGGAGCTATAACAGCTATGTTGGGGCCTGTCCCTGTGGAAAGGAGCTTATTTGCCTTATTGTCAGCTTTTATTGTATTAAAATACACACTTGGATGTGGGTGATGCACATTTAGATGTGAGTCTAACTTGTAAGGCTTGCTGTTATGACTTGAGTATATTTCAGATTTAATAGAATCAGTTATACCTGATGGTTCTGGCTTGCAGAAAGAAAAGACAAAAAAACAAACAAAAAAACCAATAACTCCAAACCCAGCCCTGATACAGATAGAAAATTTAACTTTTTAAATATTTAGTTATCAAATAATTTCCATTTATTAGGAAAAATGTGTTTTTTCCAATGTATTTTGCCTGCTCAATCTCTTACGTAGTAAGTATTTGGAATGAGGGCTGTAAAAGTCATAAGCATTCTTGTACTTGAGCTTATTTAGTAAGTCAGACAAATGAGTTATGTAGATAAAACAATGACAGAGTAAGTTTTAGACCAGTAACATGTATTACATGCATTGAGGTACCTAAAGGAATATGTAGTAAGGGAAGAAGTCTGGGAAACATTGATGAATGGGGCTAGAAAAGGCGAGGGAAGAGAAGAGTGGAGGTGAGATGAATGCAGAGGGGCCATCTTGCACATACCGTAGAGGGCTGTATGGCTTTCCATACAGACTAGAGGAGTTAAAATTTCATCTGCAGGCCAGAGGGATTCCGTTGTAGCTGTTAAGGTGTGGTATGGTGAAAGTAGCATTGAAACAAATGAATAGCATTTGCAGAGATGTCCAGTATGGTTTGTGCGAAAGGCCTAAACTGGTGGTGTATACCAGGAAAGATGGGTTTATTGGTACAAAGTGACTACCCTCATAAAGTGACATTTACTTTGTTCAGTTCTCTTTAGCCCAGAGTTTGAGCCTCTGCTTTAGATACACAGATTCAGTCTTGTCAGCGTCTTGTTAATAGGGCTTAGGAAAGCTGAACCATTCCTTTCCTGCTCTCCCCCAAGCAAGAAAAACAAAAACTGAAAACCCAACTCCCACAAACAAATAATGAGCCTTTAGAGGAGATGGGAGGGTATGAATTAGAATGCCAATAAATACACACATCATCTTGTCTACTGTGTGTGTTCTGCTTGTTGGCCACATGGCACATTGTCAGATGGTGTATTATGGGGGTTGAATCAGAACTGGAAGGTTGGTTATAATGATAAAGCTTATGAGCAATTCCTTGTTATTTCTTGTATCTGTTATCTGTTTGTTCCTGGGCTAGGTGCTTCCTCTTGTTCATACAGCTTCAATAAAATGAATCTAGTCCCTGCCCTTGCCTGTCCACTCAATAAGGCTATTCTTGCTAGAAGGGACTAAGTTCCTAAATTCCTTCTGTCTTTCCTCATTGCTGGCTGGCCACTCTTCAGATTTACAAATGTATAAAAAGTCTTTTTAATAATTTCAATCATAGTATCTTTAGCCTCAGTGACCTGGGGGCTGTTTGGTATTTTTTTTAGGTGACTTTGAACGGCTTTGCTTTGATCCACTTTGTGATGACTTTTGTATACTCTTAAAGGATAATCTTACATTTAGATTTCATTTTGCCCCTGTGTACTGCATACAATTTGAAGTGGACCAAGATTGCTGGCAGGGAAGTAAATCAGGAAGTCAGCTCATGGGTTCAGCTTCTGACTGTGAGCTTGCTTTGCTGCTTGTACGGTATTTCCATACTTTAGGGGGTTTGGAGTAGAGAGTTTGCTATAGGAACAAAGACAGGGATCAATCTACCAACCTTTGCAAGGAATAGATGACAGACACTAATGAGGACAAATGTGTTTTAAAGAAAGGATGGAGTCAGAGGCAACTCTGGAGTGAAAGCCCAAGGGGGAGTCAGTTTTGTGGGAAGATGATTAATTTTTGACAGAGCCACAGTAGATCATCCAAGTGGAGATGACTATAGGCCAGTGGTTTGGTGTGGTTTGATACTGTGACTTTGCCGATTGATCAAGGCCAGAAATGTACATTTGGGCAGTGTAATATGAAATAATCGCTGTCTGATCTCGATCAAATCTGTTATTTTTTCTGAGCATCTTTAAAACAAGTCTATAAAAAAGGCAACAATTCATGCCGTAAGTTCCTTAGGATGTTGGTTTCATGATTAATAATAAAATAGCTAGCACTATTGTGGTATTATGCTAAGTACTTTTGGATGTAGTATCTCATTTAGCCTTCAAAACAAGTTAGGAATTGGATTCATTTGTCCCAGTCATACCGGGGGGGAAACAGGCCTTAGAAAGGCACCTACAGTCACCATTACCAAGAGTGGTCTTGGAACTTGTGGGTATCTGGCTGCTATTCTTAACTACTACACTGCATTTCCCCTCAGATAATTTATATAAAAGCAATCTAAAAAGCATAGGCTTAAAAAAAAAACCCTGAAATAAGCAGAGTAGAGTGAGGCCTCCAATGAGAAGATGGTGGGCTGAACTGAGTTTTGGAATGATACCCATAGAATGAAGAATAGAGAGGAAGAAGACTGTTCTTAGGAGAATAAAGGGAATTAAGGGAAGAATGGCTTTGAATCCAAATAAAAGTGTATTAAAGAGAAGATTTAATGTTAAACATCAGCTGAGGATATAAGGAGAGGGTAGGAACCAAAAATTCTAGAAGCTAACCTTTTTTTATTCTCAGGTATCAGTTCCTCAGAGAAGGCTCTAAGGTTAGTTGGGACAGGGTAGTCTACGATCTGTGACTACCCAGTGTTTAGTATAACACCTAGTGCGTCGTATGTGCTTGGCATTTGTTAAGTAAGGGAATTATGTTAGTAGACATCTGGGAGATAACTTGAGTAAGACACGGTCGGTCCTTGCGCTCAAAGAGCTCTTGGTGCAGTCAGGGAATTTGATTGTTAAAGCATAAATAAATTACTGTGTGCTGGTGAATAGCTCTTGTGGTTGATATGGTGCTTTGGCTTGTGCTCCTCATTTCTGTCATAGAATGGCTTATGACATGCCATTCTACGACAGAGATGCTTAGTTTTGGGAACCTCTTGCAGCTGGAAGGCTTAGCCGTGCCACACCTCTTCCTTGGCCTGGATACAAGACCCCTTATACTGAACACACCTCTTTCCTGGCAGCTCTGCCACACTCTTAACCATAAACCCAACACACGAGTGATATCAAATGACTCATTTACTTCTTCAGCATGCCATATTGTTTCATCACACATGGGCTTTTGTATATTTGTTCCTCCCTCTGCCTGCTTTCTCTTCTCCTCACCTGTCAACCTTCTGCTGATCTTCAGAGTTTAGTTAAAAAAAAAAGTGTTCATTCTGCTGAGTTTTTGGCCTGCCCTCACCCTTACAGCATTTGGCTTCTCCTTCCTTTGTGATTCTGCCTCTGTTGTAGACCTAGAGCTCTGTAAAATTATGTGTTTCCATGTCCATCTTTCACAGTGACTGCAGGGCTTTGTCCACTTTCCTCCTTTTTTTTCCAGTGTTCAGCCTAATGCCTGAGTCATAGGGGGAGTATCCAATACACAGATCCTGAATGAGTGAAATAATAATGGCTGACTGTCTCTCAGAAAATGACAGTTTTCTCCAATATTTGTTTTAAAAAAGGTTTATTTATTTGATATGGGAAAAAAGAGTTAAATACTCCTATAGACATAGAGTTCTTTTCAGGAAAGGGATATATCTATATATCTATATATCTATATATCTATATATCTATATATAGATATATAGATATATATACACACACACACACACGCACACATTTTTTTTTCTTCTTCTGTTTTTGAGACGAAGTCTCACTCTGTTGCCCAGGCTGGAGTGCAGTGGCACGATCTTGGCTCACTGCAACCTCTGCCTCCTGAGTTCAAGCGATTCTCCTGCCTCAGCCTCCTGAATAGCTGGGATTACAGGTGTGTGCACCACCATGCCCGGCTAATTTTTGTATTTTTAGTAGAGACAGGGTTTCCCCATGTTGGTCAGGCTGGTCTCGAACTTCTGACCTTGTGATCCACCCGCCTCGGCCTCCCAAAGTGCTGGGATTACAGGCGTGAGCCACCGTGCCCAGCCTATATTTTTATCTACTGAAATCTTTGGCTTACTAAATAGTAGATGGAATTAATTTTGGAGGGAAGATGAAGGACAACACAGGAAAATAAATAAGAAATAATAGGAAATAAATTAGGCCGTTGACATCCTAAGAAGTCTTTATAAACGTTTAGGGTAGCAGATGAAATAATAAAGTCTTTAAATATTGCATTTATTACATAGTAGTCACATACACATGTGAAAATAGCAATATATCATTATATGGAAGGAATACTTTGCATTATTTTATGAAACTTTATGTAAAATTGTGTAAAACTTATCTAACGTAGTTTTTTAGGACATACTATATTCATTTTCTTTTATATTGTTTGAGATTCAATACTTTTTACTAATTTATTCAACAAACATATATTGATGCCAAGCAATATTGTAGGTAACGGAAATAAGGTGGTTTACAAAACAGACAAAAATTCCTGCCCTTGTGGAAATCGTCTTCTAGAGTTGAGTCTGGTATGATGATGTCACAAGAATTTTATCCAGAAACATGTTTGATTACTTAATATCTACGATGTCTCCAAGAGGTTAGTGTTACAGAATTCCATTTAAAAAATATTTTTAAAAGGCTTATATACAATGGTATTATTTACAGTTTGAAAGGAAATAATAACCTAGGAGCACTAGCACTGGATGATGATGATGATGACACTGTTTTTATGATAGCAGCGAGCACAGTTTACTTACCTGGCACAGTGATATAACTAGAGTGCTTTGATTCATTTGAACCCCACACTTAATTTTGACATAGGTGCTATCAGTTATTTTCCTTTTACAGTTGAGGAAACCAAGGCAAGGAGATTAAATGACTTGGACAGCAGATAAATATGGAGCCAGGATTTGAACTCAAGCCTGTTAGTAATTTATTATTCAAAATAAAGCAATGGAGAGATTTTTCCCTTTAATAAGAGACTTTGTGAAGATTTGAATATAAAGCTGGTGGAGGGTTATCTATATATAGGAGATAGATAGCTCCTATAGATAACTAGGAGTAGAAAGAATGTAGTAGAAAGAATGCAGTGTCACGTTACCATGTGACAGGAGTAGCAGGGCTTCCCAATCTCCAGGCCATGGACTGCACAGCAGGAGGTAAGGGGTAGGTGGCCATTACCTCCTGAACTCTGCCTCTTGTCAGTGGCATTAGAGTCTCATAGGAGCATGAACCCTATTGTGAACTGCACATGTGAGGGATCTAGGTTGCGTACTCCTTATGAAAATCTAATGCCTGATGATCAGTAACGGTCTCCCATCACCCCCGTGATGGGACTGCCTAGTTGTAGGAAAACAAGTCCAGGGGTCCCACTGATTCTACATTATGGTGAGTTGTGTAATTATTTCATTATATATTACAATGTAATAATAATAGAATTAAAGTGCACAATAAATGTAATGCACTTGAAGCATCCCAAAACCATCCCCCGGCCCTGGTCTGTGAAAAAATTATCTTCCACGAAACCAGTCCCTGGTACCAAAAAGGTTGGGACTGCCGGCTTATAGTGTGGTAATTATGAGCACTACTGGAGCTTGACTGTCTGGGTTCGTCCTTACCAACTAGGTGCCTTAGTTTCATCTATAAAATGGGAGTAAGAATAGTTTTTACTTCATAGGGTTTTTGTAAGGATTAAATTAGTATATACAACAGAATGGTGCATGGGAAGTGTTAGCTAATGCTCTTGCTATTATTGTTTGTATTACTTTTTTTTTTTCCCAGACGGAATCTCACTCTTGTTGCCCAGGCAGGAGTGCAATGGTGCGATCTTGGCTCACTGCAACCTCTGCCTCCCGGGTTCAAGGGATTCTCCTGCCTCAGGCTCCTGAGTAGCTGGGATTACAGGCACCTGCCACCACGCCTGCCTAATTTTTTGTTTATTGCCATTTTTAAATAGGATTCCCTTTTTCCTGAGGGTTTTTATTTTGAAAAAGTTGCCATATTTTGGGGTGTATACCTTGCTTGCTTCCCTGATTCATTTTTTTGTTTTGTATCAACTGGGAGGTTTTGGCCAGCATTTTGTTCAGAGGGTAGTGGTGTGCAGTTCTTTAAGTTTATGTGGGTTTTTAAATGTTTTCCATTAATTCTCGTTTGCTATACCTGCTAATAGTTAGAGCCATCAGTAGGTGTTGTAACCTAGGAAGTCCGGCAGTCTTGAAATGATGTTTGTTGAAATGATATTCTTCTGCATGAGCTCCTTCTGTGGAAAGATCACAGCACTAACTAAACTCCCATGAAGTGATAAGAAAGGGAGAGGTCAGAGTGAACTTAAGAATTGTTCCAAGCCTAGTGTGGTGGCTCATGCCTGTAATCCCAGTGCTGTGGGAGGCCAAGGCAGAAGGATCACTTGAGGCTAGGAGTTTGAGACCAGCTTGGGAAATAAAACAAGACCCTGTCTCTACAAAAAAAGTTAAAAAAAAAAAATTAGCCTGGTGGGGTGGCACATGCCTGTAGTTCCAGCTCCTTGGGAGGCTGAGGCGGGAGGATCGCTTGAGCCCAGGAATTCAAGGCTTTAGTAAGCTATAATCATGCTACTGCATTCCAGCCTGGGTGACAGAACAAGACTCTGTCTCTTAACAACAAAAAATTGTTCCAAGAGCATTACTGGCACAATGAGTGCTGAAGAGCTGAAGAGCCGAAGACTCATGGGAAACCCCCCTCAGTGAACTGAGCAACTTTGATGGAAATCATCAGTAATGGCTTGGTTGACCCCATCTAAAGAATGAGCCAAAATTATTGATTGGCATCTCTCACCAAATAAACTTTAGATATCTAGCATGAAAAATCAATCCATCAGTCTTTTCACTGTCATTTCATTCAACTGTGAATAACTCCAGTGATGGGAATATCTTGAAATGTGTGGAAGCAGTAGATAGAGGGAATCACTTTGGGTCAAGGAGGATGTAAAAGGTAGACTTGCAGATGATTTAGAACATATTAACAGTGAGAACACTACATAGCAAAACTTGAGAGAGGCTGCAGAAACTGATATGAGATGCTTAGCTTTAAATTACAGACATATTAAATGAAAAAAATGTAAAGGAGCTCAGCCTTATATTTAAGACAATAGAAAAAACACCAATAATTTATGTACATAAATATGAGGGAGTTAATGATATGAACAAATATTGTATGAAAAAAAGCGAAAATGCAAAGTGCTAATTCTTGGGCAGGGTGGGAGAAGGCAAATCACCCAATAAAGGATAACCCTTTAACATTTTATCTAAGAAAAAAGAAGGAAGAGAAAAATATTTACCATCTCAGATTAGAAGACAATATAAATATATACATCTATGTTAATACTTTTGAAAATACCAGCAAAATAGAAACATATGTTTTCCTCCAGAAAAACAGAAAACCTTGGAAATTAGTAACCATGTTTCCATGGTTATTAGACTAAAAAATAGTGGTTGTTGGACCTAGACTATGGGAAAGTGTTTTCATACTGCCATGGAGGAGAAACTCCCACACTGTTCCAGAAAATAGAAATATATTAAAGCATTCTTGAATTTTTAAGCTAACATAACCCTGGTAACAGTACTGACCAGAACAGTGAAAACAGGAAAACTACAGGTAAATGTCACCCATAAATATATGTAATGCCCCAGTAAAACAGAAAAAAAATCTATTATACATAGTATATTAACTGTAATTCATTTTAGAAATGAAGAAATAATATACAATTTCACACTTCTTTAAAGAATTGATTGTTAACTAAAAGGAAAACATAAAATAGTTTTGCTAGATAAAGCATTTTATGAAATTCCAATATTCATTCAGGAAAATGCTAACTAATTTAGGAATGCAGTATAATTCTCTACCATGCTAAATAATGTCTTTGAAAATAAAATCCAACATTATACTTAGCAATATGATAATAGCACAGATTTCTTAAGTTCAAGATACAAAATTACTACTTTTAGTCATTTATATAGTTGTTGAAATTTGGCAGTACAATATGACAAGAATAGAAATGATCATAAATATTGGAAAGGAGGAATCAAAATTATTCTTTGCAGTTTATATAATATACTGTGTGCAAAACTTAAGTGAGTCTAGGGATAACCAACTAGAAAATTTATGTAAAGAAGATCAAGATCATATTTCCAGTTTCTAAAAATGCAAAACTCTGTTTCCTAGGAACAAATCTAACAAAATATGTAAAATCTTTATGGATAAATCTTGAAACATTGAAGGATGTGAAAGAAGGGCTGGATAAATGGAGAAATGTTCATTGTCCACAAATGGGAATGCTTGATATTGTAAAGATAACAGTTTTCCCCAAATAAATGGGTAATTTCAGTGAAAATTCACGCATATCCCAAGTAGGGTTTTTATGGGTCAGCCAGTCCTAAAGTTAATATGCAAATGAGCATGTGTTGAAGAATAGTCAAAATAATTTTGAAGAACAAGTTGGGAAGATTTTGTCCCTACCACATATCAAGGCTGTTGAAACTATTGTGGCAAGGATAGAGAATTACACCAGTAAACCTGATTTGAACGGATACAAGCCTAGAAACTTAATATAAACGAATATAACGAAGCTTGTTACACTATAGGAGCAGTGTTATAAATCAGTAGGGAAAGGTAAACTATTAAATAAATGGGGTAAACATCCACTGATTGGTCTATATAAAAAAAATTCATTCCCTACTTCATACCATATACAAAATGCATTATAGATGTATTTATGGATGCATTACATTTAGACTTAAAGGCAAGAAGCCAATCTTTAAAATATTTAGCAGTAAATATAAGCATTGTTGATGAGTTGGCGGGGAGGGGACACACAGAACATCATAAAGAAAAGGATTCAGAAATTTGATTCTATTAAAATAAACTTCCATACGAAAAAATTACCACAGTGAAAAGAAAAGGTTCACATTGGTGTCATACATTTGTAAGGCATGTTTGAAAAACATTGCTAGCTGCCTACCTCGCCTGTTCCCCTTTCTTTACCAACACAACCCTGATTTTGTGCCCATTTAGAAATAGCTGTCTCATCTGATGTCCTTTAGAGGTCTCAGTGGTGGCCAATGAGATGTGAGCTTAGGATTTCTGAGAAAGTTTTACTCCTTGAATATGGGGTCCGGTCTTTCTTCCCCCACCCTTGAAGTGGACATAATGTTTAGAGCTGCGGCAGCTGTCTTGCAGAGGTGAAAATGAGGCTAGTGTTAAAGACGGCAGAGCAGGAGGGCAAAAGGAGGCTAGTTTCTTGATGACATCCTTGACTGTGTACAACAGCCATGGCTTGCTTACTCCTGTACTTGTAGTCAGAATGTACTTGGGTCTGTTCTAGCTAGGCCTTTAGGTAGCCTTGGCCAAGTGGCAATCCTGTTGAAAATAGCCTATATGCTACAAGGATTAAAAATCTAGATTATATGAAAAACTGTTACAAATTAATAAGAAAAAGGCAGATAACCTAGTAGCAAAATAGAGCATAATTGTACACAATGCAGAGAAATGGAAACTCAAATGGCCAATAACCCTGAGTCTCACTAGTAGTTAGGCAAATGTAAGTTAAAATGGAGATGTTTTAATAACCATCATAATATGAGTATAAAAATACCAGTGTTGGGGAAGATTCATTGTTGGTGAGAGCCTAAGTTGGCATAACCATCTTGGAGAACAGTTTGGCAGTGTAAAACTGACCATACCATACTAGCTAGCAATTGCACTAGGTATGAACTCTTGAGATTCCTGTACCTGTAGGTGAAGGGAAACTCAGAAGGCATGCTTATTGACACATTGATAATAGCAAAACTTTGGAACCAACCTATCCTTCAATTAGGAAAAATAAAGTATATTTTATAATGAAGTACTGTATAGGAGTTAAAATGAGTGAGCTGCATATGAACTACATAGAGCTACATATATTAACATAATGTACTAAAATACAAAAAAACTGTGAATATGGTGAGAATTTATATAAAATATGAAAACAATAATGAAACTATGTGAAGTACTGTTATCATCCATTGAGAGATGTGCAAACTCTGATAAATGATTTCTACTCATCAGTGAATTTTCTGGAAGCCTAAAAATTGATTTTTAAAATCCAGCCAATGTTAGTTTGTTTTATTCCCAACAAGGTTTTACTTGCTGGGATACTGAAACCACTGAGCTGCTCCTAGTCCAGTGGTATAATGTTAAAATGTAAAACACTTTGCAAAACATGTTTATGTATATTTTTATTTAAGTATTCTAATAACTTTATGAGATAATATGACAGGTAGGATTTTTATTGTAACTCAAATTAAGTGATGGTAGTTGGACTTGAACTTACCATTTCCGATGCCTAGTTTAGTTCTTTTTATAATAGTTTCATAGTGTTTTTCCAACACACAATTTAATGTCTAGGTATACTTCATTTATGCAGCAGATTTATTGCTGAAAAAGTCATGTGCAAATAAGTGTTTAGAACAAGTGTTATTTTAAATGTAACTATAGTGGCTTTCTAATTTAAGAGACCCAGTGGTGAGTCTCTTAAAGTAAATAATGGCTTACTAATTTATTGCCAGGTTTTTTTTTTGTGTGCGAATATAGTAGTGCTTTTTTTTTTTCTTTTAGAGACAGAGAGTCTCCCTATGTCACCCAGGCTGGAGTTCAGTGGCATGATCTCAGCTCACTGCAACCTCTGCCTCCCGGGCTCCAGTGATTCTCGTGCCTCAGCCTCCCGAGTAGCTGGGATTACAGGCACATGCCATCACCTTAGTATGTACAGGAATCATCCTGGGAATTTATGAAAAACACAGATTTTCTGACCCCCTTGTTTCTCTCTGTTATTATGTTGGTTTGTTAAGGGCTGTGAGTTTTTCCCATTCATTTTGGTATTCTCTACAGTGACCAGCCTGGTGGAGTGTGTGTGTGTGTGTGTGTGTGTGTGTGTGTGTGTGTGTGTGTTTCCTTATTAAATGCTTAATAAATATTTGCAGGATGATTTCAGGAAGAGCTTTCCAGAAGCGAATACCTGAACAAAATGAATACTGTGTTAATTGTGGATGGAGAATACTAGAAATAATTCAATGCTGTTTCTAGTGTGTGCTGAAATTGGTTTTCAGTTAAGCTGTTAAGCATTATTTTTGAAACATTCTTTTTACTGGAAAGATCATTTAAAAACATGATTATTTTAAAATTCCACAGAATAATTTTGCTGGAAAAGGTATAACAGAAAATAACTGAATGGAAAAAAATCACGTTGTTTCAAACAATTATCCCAAGCCAGCTTGGAAGTTACAGTTCTCTTCTCATAGAAGATTTCTTTAGCCACAAGCTACTGGGAATTGTTCAGCCCATTGGCAGCTACACAGAACATTGCCCTTTTCACCCTGTCCAGCACACAAACCTAGACGATTCATAGCTGGAACCTATCTTCAAGAAAGTGATGGCTTTATTGAAGCCAAATGTCCAGACTTTTTCATTTAGACACATGAAGGACCTTCAGTGCTTTTGCCATATAAAAGTGAACCACAGAGACATTCTTAAAAACAACACCCGGAAGCAAATAAAACACCTGAACTTACTGTGTGCAAATTACAGATGCAGACATAGCCTATTTGGCAGTAAGTACATCTCTCTGTCTAGCTCACTCTATCCCTCTTCAGTACTAGCTGTGTGCTTTTTAATATAGTAACTGTACAATAAATATTAGTTGAATGTAGGTGGAAGTAGGATGAGAATGAACAGAAATCAGTGACCAATTCTGTATTTTTCATCTCTTTTGTTTTTTAGAAGAGTCCAGTTTTGTTTTAAGATGAGTGTTCTAATAGGGTGAATTTAAAAATGTAACAGTAGTAAAGAGATTCCTTAATTGCTCATTTAGTTTGATTTGAAGTAAATCTTCCCCAGGCTGAAGTTTTCTACTGTGGGCCAGGAAACCCATGTTTAAACTGTGAACTCGAGTGCTTTATCTTCTTATGCCAGACCTCTGGATAACGTTGGCCTAGTTGTTCTGTTGTTGTTTACTTATTCGAAAGTTATTCTTGTGAAGATGTGGACCATTAACTCAAGAAATCTCTGTTTTTACTTTTTGGTGATTGTCTTACAGGCTATTTTATGATAGTGGTGAACAGCACACAAAACTCCTTCAGACCCTCCCAAGTGAGTTTCCAACACAGACTCTTTCTTCTTGCTCTTTCCACAGATGCTTTCTCATAAGTAGTATCGATTACAGATGTACTTTGATGATGCTGATAAGCTGATAAACAATAATGTGAAATCTCTTTGATATTCTGTTTTGTTTATGGAGATGAAAGATAGCCTGGTTTACCAACATTTTCTTAAGGCAAGCAGGGAATGAAAGCATGTTTACAGTTGGTTCCTGCTCCACTGTGCAGTTTATTTAAGTTGGAAAAATTACCTAAAATAACAAGATGTGCCTTTTGTACCTAGATATAGGCAAGCAGGTCTCTTTACCTACCAGACACCCAAACATTTTCCTTTGAATTTCTATTTTGAATTCCTTGGTTTGCTTTCCGGATTTCTTCCCTGTGTAATCTATAGGATTTATTATGCTGGAATAATTTAAATTCAGAAAAGAAGTTCTGAATTTGAGCATATTTTACATTAGTGTTTATGTTGGACTCTGACTGAAAAATACTCTTTTATCTTCTCTTGAATCAAAGTGTAATGGGTCTTGTGTAATTGAATCGAGGTTCCTTTGCTTATTGTTTTTGTGTATGGGGTTTTTGGACAGTTTCTGAAATTGTACCCTTTTGGAGAGGTTGCCTTTGCGTCATTGTTGGAACTTGTTTGCAGTTGCAAGTCATTTTTGGAGACAGAAAACGTCCCTTGGAAAATATTGTGCTGATTTTTCTTTTTACACAATCTATGAATTGTGGAGCTTGGGTCACAGATTGAATTTTGGCATTCAACTCTCCCAGGACAGGGTAGTATCCAGCTTCATTTTGTGAGTGATTACAGATGCCTTTTTACCATTTGGACTTCCTTGTGTTCTAAATAAATGACCAGTCTGTGAAATTTTAAGCCAAATGGGATACAAAGGGATTCCTGGTTTTTAAAGGGTCATCTTTAATTTTGCATTTAAAAGGCAGCATTGGCTTCATTTTTAGAAATTAAATACGTTATAGCTGTTGCATAATTTACCACCTCCTACCCTCACCTCCCCTTAAATAACTGAAGGAGAAAAATGTGGGTTGATTTTGTATACTTGAATAAGAAATGTGAGAAGAACTTCGGCTTCATCCTGTGACTTGCTCAGATGTCTTTATGTGATCCATAGTATTGTAGAAAAACCTCAGATTCAAATGAAAGATATGGTGAGTGAGTGGGCTGCCTGAGTTTTTTTTTTTTTTTTAATCACACCTATTTTAACTATTTATTTGAAACATGGCAAGTTGAGAATAGTGGGACACCAAGGCACAATTAAGCATCAGGAAATAGCTTCACGTGTTGCCCATTGCATCCTGGACGATTTGGATATAAAACAGAAACAGCTGTGATTCCGAATGTCCTATAAATTTCAAATGTTGGTGTGGCACACTTTATGAGCTGATTTAATAAATAACTTTGCCCGTATGTCTTTGGTGACTTGCTTTCAATTTTCTTTACAAAAATGCAAAATATATGGGGCCCTTTCTTAATGCTAAATGAAAAATTGTGTGCATTTGGCTCTATAAAGCAAAGTAGCCTTGAGATATGGGCTTGCCTAGAAATTGACTACATTTTTGTGGGAGAACGGGTGAAAAGGGCAGTTTCCTGTGTTGCTGCCAAAAGGTCTGAACAATCTGTAGTAGCTTGTGGCTGGAAAACAACTTCTGTGAGGCAAAAACAGCAACTCTAAACTGGCTCTGGATATGTGTGAGAAAATACTCTTTTTTCTACTTGATTATTAGGCTTCATAGAAAATTTCTTTTATAAAGTGAATTTTTAATCTCAACCCCTTGAAAATGGTATTTTAGCTGATTTGGATAAAAGTCTGGGGAAATATATTTGGAGTGAGTGCAAGTGGGAAATAATGTGATACTTAAAAAAAAAGTAGCATTTATATTTTGCTTTTATTATAGCCATGTGCTTGGTTGGTAATCCATGTTTTTCTCCTGCCTTTAGAGTGAAGTAAATTTTGGCATCTTAGGCATGTATTTTACAGGATTGGGTCTTATATATATATATTTTTTTTTTTCTTTAGTTAACTGATTAGAAGTGTGTTTTCTTCTTAGTTCCTCTTGGGCAATGTCTTCCATTTTGTAGTAAAAACATGTTTACAAAATAATATGTGTAACTACTGGTAATTGCCATTTATTAGTACTTACAGTGTGCCAGGCACTGTGCTCATGTTCTTACATTGGTTACACCTTTTACTTCTCTGGATAGGGGAAATAGCTTAGAGAGGGTGTCATGTAGTTAGAAGATAGTTGGAACCGGGATTTGGAGTCCTGTCTATGTGTTGCTAATTATTATTAATACAAAATAGTTACTATTACAAATGTTCATTTTGTAGAATCAAATCAGTTAAAGAAGATTCTTGTAGAATGGGCTTGGATATGTGGAATGAAGATAGAGTTGGTTTGACTTGGTTTTAATGTTTTTACTAAACTCTTTCTTTGTTGCACTTCCGCCATGCCTGAGCACCTGTGTACCTAATCATTTAATGTAATTTTGTGGTCTCAGTTAGCAATTAGCATCACATACACTCAATCATGTTTTTATTTAAATGCTGCAGACTTTGCTTTGCTTTACTTTGTTGGACTTAATTTTCATTTTTTTTCCCTCTTCTATTGGGGATATCTATTGGCTTTTCATTAAAATGCAGGCAGTAGACCAATATGGCATAATCTTTTTCTCATCTCAATATTTTGTCCTATTCATCAACATCAGTTTCTTCTTCATTGTATAGTTAATAAGTAGCCTGATGTTCATCATCTAGTATGGTGGTTCCCAGCCCAGGTGATGTTCCGTAGGGGACATTTTTTATTTCCACAACTTGAAGGTGTGCTAGTGGTATCTAGTATGTGGTAGCCCGCCATGCTGCTAAACATCCTACAGTTCACAGGGACAGCTCCTCACAATAAAATGTTGGTAGTGCGGAGGTTGAGAAACCCTGACTTAGCTAACACAGGGCCCAGGCTAAATCTAATCCGTTAGAAGCTCTGACTTCATGAGATTTTTTTTCATAACAAAACAACTCAGTAGTAACTAGGGAAGCTCCCCCCGCCCCCATCTAGAGTCTCCCTCAGTTGCCCAGCCTGGAGTGCAGTGACTCAGTCTCGGCTCACTGCAGACTCTGCCTCCTGGGTTAAAGTGATTCTCATGCCTCAGCCTCCCGAGTAGCTGGGACTACAGGTGCGTGCCACCACGCCCAGCTAATTTTTGTATTTTTAGTAGAGATGGGGTATTGCCATGTTGGCCAGGCTGGTCTTGAACTCCTGACCTCAAGTGAGCCACCTGCCTTGGTCTCCCAAAGTGCTGGATTATAGGCTTGAGCCACTGTGCTTGGCCTGGAAAGTTGTTCTCTTCTAGAGGTGGAGGAAGAGGATATCCATCTGTTTTCTCACCCAGTCCTAACTTAGCACCCATTTACTGTACACTGGATTCTCTTTCACTTGCTTCCTGTCTTCACCCCTACTTAGGGGAGGTCACCCTTTAAACTGTTACCTGCCATTCTATTAGCCACGGTAGTCGACTGCCTATTAAGAGTGGTACCTGAACTACCTTGGCTTGGGGTGGGAGAGAAGCCAAAGAATGAAAGGAATACCCATCAAAGATATATTTCACTTAAGACAGTTTTGGCTTGAATGAAGGTCCTAGTCTGCCTCTCAGAATTATACTGAGTACCAGAGAATGCAGTTGTGATTAAGACATAAGTTTGAAGTACATGTCTATAGAGTCAAGTGTTGATTTGTAAATAGAAAGCCGAAATACAATGGTTACATGGAATTTTCAGAAGATCTTGAAGAAACTTCTCAGTTAATATCTACAAAATATCCACCTTGTTAGTGGAAAAATGGACTGATTTATTACCTCAGAAGTTCTTGGGCCTACCGTTTGTAATTTTGACTAAATTTGAAAAGTTGAAAAGAGCAACTTGTAGTGGTCTTTTATGCTTGATGCCTTTGCAGGTACTTGGGAATCTGTACCTCCTTTCTTCCCTCCATCCTTTATGAATGGCTCCAGTTTTATCCTACTTCATCCTCTATTCTTATGCTACTTTGCATATGGCTTTCTGTAGATAGTTCTCAGAATGGATTGTGATTATGCACTTACTCCCTGTGTCCCTTACTAGGCTATGAGGTCCTGGCACAGTGCTGATTACATAATAGCCAGTCGCTAAATTTTGAGTGAATGAATGGTAGAGGAGAAAAAGAAGCAAACATCTTAGCAGTCTTAACACTGGATCAGGGAAAATGGTCTGTAGGCTGATGAAAAGTCAGGGTGCTGAGGAGGCTCTTGAGTAAGTGAAGGTAGGAATTGTTGCCTTAGCTTGATCATCTTGGTGCTGTGCACGTTCCTTTTTGATGCTGGAGGTCTGGATGAGTGAGGCTAGGAGGCTGGCAGGCTAGTGTGTGGTCTTGGCTATATCTGCAGGTCCAGGAGGTGTTAATGTTTTTCACCTGAGGTTGCTCCAAGCTGAAGAATGATCTGCCTATTTGCTGGTATATGGATTTACACACTCAAATCTGATGTTTTTAAAAAATTGATGATTTAATTCTGGCCAGGTGCAGTGGCTCACGCCTGTAATTCCAGCACATTGGGAGGCTGAGGTGGGAGGATCACTTGAGGTCAGGAGTTCGAGACCAGCCTGGCCAACATGGTGAAACCCCGTCTCTACTAAAAATACAAAAATTAGCTGGGCATGGTGGTGTGTACCCATAATCCCAGCTACTTGGGAGGCTGAGACACGAGAATTACCTGAACCCAGGAGGCAGAGGTTGCAGTGAGCCGAGATTGCACCACTGTACTCCAGCCTGGGTGACAGTGTGAAACTGCGTTTCAAAAAAAAAAAAAAAATTAATTAATTCTTTATTTCTATCAGGAAGAAAGGAGTTGCAAAGCAATAGAAATGGCCCTTGATGTCCAGCAGTGATTGTACAATGACAGCACTCTTGTAGCACCTGGAATTCTGGGCAGTGCTTCTTACTCTGTCTTTGGGCAGACATGCTTCCTTAGCCTTCACTTCTACTGGCCCTTGAATTTGAAGAAACACAGCTCCATTTTACTCTGGGGTTTATATGCTTATGTGCATTAGTGTTACCATTAGTGACTTGGGTTAGAATAAATAGTAACTCTATAATGTAAATGTTTTGTTTTTGTTGAATTACATGAAAGCATTAATTAGACACTTGAATTCAATCTAGAGATAATTGTGGGAAAAGCTGTTTCTTTCAGCGAAAGGCCCACTAACAGAGCATTGGTGCTTATCACTTGTGGCCATGTCACTGGACTTGTCCCTGGCAAATTGAACATGCCTGATTGCACAGATGTTTGCATGGTTGAACAAATTATATTTGGACAATAAACTGTTAGGCCCATCAGTGATTACGGTGGCAGAACATAGTTGCATATGGACTGATTTGGTAAGAGAATTAAGAGAGAATATTACCAAACATTTTCATAAAAGGGGAGAAAACAAAAGCACTCTCTGAAAGTAAATTTTCCTGTATTTAATGGTTATGTGGCCTTCAACTTATTAATATTACTGGGGCAGATTTACCTTTTTTTTCTAAATGACTAGTTTGGTTTTTTTTTTTTGGTGGGGGTGGGTGACAGTTTGTTAAACAGAGTTTAGATTTTTCCTATTGGAGGATAGCTGTGGTTGGATTATGGCTGGGAATATGGGAACATCCAGTTACCAGTGTTACATCTTTTTAAGTCTATAATTTTTTTTTGCTTTATGTACAGGTGTGAAATATGTACAGGTACGAAATAAGTTTCTAAGAGCCTGGGAGTGTGGATTGAGTAGGGAATTCTCATAGGATTTCTGAGAATTGCTAAGGGTCTGTGTATTAGTCTGTTCTCATGCTGCTATGAACAAATACCCGAGACTGGGTAATTTATAAGGAAAAGAGGTTTAATTGACTCACAATTCCACATGGCTGGGGAGGCCTCAGGAAGCTTACAATCATGGTGGAAGGCAGCTCTTCACAGGGCAGCAGGAGAGTGAATGAGTGCCGACTGAAGGGGGAAAGCCCCTTATAAAACCATCAGACCTCGTGAGAACTCACTATCACAAGAACAGCTTGGGGAACTGCCCCTGTGATTCACTTAACTCCACCTGGCCCCACCCTTGACACATAGGGATTATTACAATTCAAGGTGAGATTGGAGTGGGGACACAGAGGCAAACCATATAATTCCAACCTGGTCCCTCCCAAATCTCATATCCTCACATTTCAAAACACAGTCATGTCCTTCCAACAATCCCCCAAAGTCTTAACTCATTCCAGCATTAATTTCAAAGTCCAAGTCCAAAGTCTTATCTGAGACAAGGCAAATCCCTTCGGCCTATGAGCCTGTAAAATCAAAAGCAAGTTAGTTAATCCTAGATAAAATGGGGGTACAGGCATTGGGTATTTACCATTCCAAACGGGAGAAATGACCAAAACAAAGGGGCTACAGGCCCCACCTAAGTTTGAAATCCAATAGGGCAGTAATTAAACTTTAAAGTTCCAAAACGATCTCCTTTGACTCCATGTCTCACATCCAGATCATGATGCAAGAGTTGGGCTCCCATGGCCTTGGGAAGTTCCACCCCTGTGGCTTTGCAGGGTACAGCCCCACTCCCGGCTGCTTTCATGGGCTTGCATTGAGTGTCTGTGGCTTTTCCAGGGACAAGGTGCAAGCTGTTGGTGAATCTACCGTTCTGGGGTCTGGAGGACAGTGGCTGTCTTCTCACAGCTTCACCATGCAGTGCCCCAGAGGGGACTCTGTGTGGGGTTCCAACCCTATATTTCCCTTCCGCACTGCCCTAGCAGAGGTTCTTTCTGAGAGCTCGACTTCTGCAGCAAACTTCTGCCTAGACATCCAGGTGTTTCCATACATCCTCTGAAATCTAGGTGGAAGTTCCCAAACCTCAATTTTTAACTTCTGCGCGCCCGCAGGGTCAACACCACGTGGATGCCACCAAGGCTTGGGGCTTGCACCTCTGAAGCAATGGCCTGAGCTGTACCTTGGCCCCTTTTAGCCACCACAGCTGGAGCTGAAGCAGCTGGGATGCAGGGCACATGTCCAGAGGCTGCACAGAGCAGGGGACCCTGGGCCCAGCCCACAAAACCATTTTTCCCTCCTAGGCCTCTGGGCCTGTGACGGGAAGCACCTGCTGTGAAGGTCTCTCACATACCCTGGAGACATTTTTCCCATTGTCTTGGGATTAACATTTGGCTCCTTGTTGCTCATGCAAATTTCTGCAGCCAGCTTGAATTTCTCCCCAGAAAATTGGTTTTTCTTTTTTATTGCATTGTCAGGCTGCAAATTTTCCAAACTTTAATGCTCTGCTTCCCTTTTAAACATAAATTCAAATTTTAAACCACCTCTTTGTGAACACATACAACTGAATGCTTTCAGAATAATCCAGGTCACATCTTGAATGCTTTGCTGCCTGGAAATTTCTTCCACCAGATACCCTAAATAATCTCTCTTAAGTTCAAAGTTCCACAGATCTCTAGGGCAGGGGCAAAATGTCACCAGTCTCTTTGCTAAAGCATAGAAACAGTGACCTTTACTTCAGTTCCCAACACATTCCTCATCTCCATCTGAGACCACCTCAGCTTGGACTTCATTGTCCCATATTACTATCAGCATTTTGGTCTAAGCCATTCAACAAGTCTCTAGGAGGTTCCAGACTTTCTCACATTTTCCTATCTTCTTCTGAGTCCTCCTAACTGTTCCAACCTCTGCCTGTTACCCATTTCCAAAGTTCCTTCCACATTTTCGGTTATCTTTACAGCGGCACCCCACTCCCGGTACCAATTTACTGTATTAGTTCATTTGCATGCTGCTATAAAGAGATACCCAAGACTGGGTAATTTTTAAAAAAAAGAAGTTTAATTGACTCACAGTTCCATTTGGCTGGGGAAGCCTCAGGAAACAAAGTTACGGTGGAAGACACCTCCTCACAGGGCGGCAGGAGAGAGAATGAGTGCTGAGCGAAGGGGGAAGCCCCTTATAAAACTACAATATCTTATGAGAACTCACTGTCACGAGAACAGAATCGGGGAAACTGCCCACCTGGTCCTACCCTTGACACATGGGGATTATTACTATTCAAGGTGAGATCTGAGTGGGGACACAGAGCCAAACCATATCCGTCTGCTTAAAGTTTGTGGCTGTGGATTTAAATTGAGAAAAGTTACTGTGGCTATTTTCATTTGGCTGCTTGGGTGCACATCTGAAGTAAGGCCAAGGTAAATGTAACCATAAATAGGGCGAGTGTGTTGGAGGTAGGGAGGGGCAAAGGAGTTAAGATGTGATTGGGGCCCATGGGATCCAAGCTGCTTAAGGAAGGGAGTGAAGACTGGGGCACTGGGAAGGTGGTATGGGCACAGGATCCTCAGGGTTAGAGAATTGTTGGAGAAGAGGGATTGAGCTGGAAAGATAGATATTCAGAGGTCGGGGTGCATGAAATTGAGATAATTGTAGAGTAATAGGTCTAGGGCAGGATTTTTCAAAACCTAGTATTAGAGAGTCATGACCAGCATTTTTAAAAAATGCTAAAAAATCTAACTCATGGAACTTGTAATGAATCTTTTTTTTTTTTTTGAGATAGAGTCTCAGTCCGTCACCCAGTCGGGTTCAGTGGTGCGATCTCGGCTCACTGCAACCTCTGCCTCCTGGGTTCAAGCGATTCTCCTGCCTTAGCCTCCTGAGTAGCTGGAAATACAGGCGCGCACCACCACACTTGGCTAAATTTTTTGTTTGTTTGTTTTTAGTAGAGACGGGGTTTTGTCGTGTTGACTAGGCTCGTCTCGAGCTCCTGACCTCAAATGATCTGCCTGCCTCGGCCTCCCAAAGTGTTGGGATTACAGGCGTGAGCCACCGTGCCCAGCCTTAAGTGAACTTAAAAAGAAGTTCGTCGGGTGCGGTGGCTCATGCCTGTAATCCCAGCACTTTGGGAGGCAGAGGCAGGCAGATCATTTGAGGTCAGGAGTTCGAGACCAGCCTGGCCAACCTGGTGAAACCTTGTCTCTACTAAAAAATACAAAATTACCCTAGTGTGGTGGTGGGTGCCTGTAATCCCAGCTACTCAGGAGGCTGAGGCATGAGAATCGCTTGAACCTGGGAGGCAGAGGTTGCAGTGAGCCGAGATCGAGCCAGTGCACTTCAGCGTGGTTGACAGAGCGAAACTCCATCTCAAAAAAAAGAACAAACAAAAGAAAACCTAACACACAACAAGAAGGACTTCTTTTTGGGAAAGGAAAGAAATAAGGAAGGAGAGGAAAGAGATGCACCTTTTTTTTCTGGCTGAGGCTATCTGCTGTCAGGGAGAAGGCTTTTTGAGTGGAAGGGTTGGGGCTGGATTTAGCATGAACTCCTCCCCAAGCTTAGCCTTGAGTCTTGATCAGAGTGATCACATAGTCATTTAAAAATGTTGTTTTCATTAAAACTGGGTGTGTTTACTGTGTATTTGTGAACTGCGTTGGGATGTAAATATTTCCCTCTGGGTCACAGTTGGAAAAAATTGAAAGCCAGTTCTTGGTGCATGACCGTGGGAATGGGTAACTGAGATAGTGAGAAAAAACAGGATTACTGAGATTTGCCTTTTAAGTAGGAATGCATACACACTCGCATAGTCTTCTGCCCTGTGCCTTATAGAAGGGAGCAGGAATATGGGTAATAACTAAGAAATGTTTACATTTGGAATACATTATACATGTGAAGGCTTGGCTTTAGATTCTGGCTCCCCCCAACACTCCCCTTTCCACTGACTTTAAACATTCTAGAGTGGTGGGGAAAAGCATGGCCCAGAGGTATTGGTTGAACTTCTGGCTCCACACAGATAGCTCCAGCTTCATTGTCAGACTGGGAAAAATAGATTAGACAAATGTCAGGTTCTAGGGCATCTCTAAGATCTTGTGAGTCTGTAAAAGCTGTGCAATGAGGAGAGGGGACTTTGGATGTGCTTTGGGTCACAGGGAGAGAGCTTTCTGGGACATAGCTATGTTGTTGCCTATAAACCACATCACCAGCAGTAGATAATTGAAAACTGACTACTTTTTAGAGGTTTTTGAAGGTTAAAAAAAAAAAAAAACTCTGTAAAAGATCAAGTAAGCACCGTCTTGGGAATTGCAAGATAGAAGTTGCAGCTTCTTCCTTTTTCTGTTGTCTTGACTACTTTAAATGTATCTATATTAGCATTGACGTCTGAGTGTGTTTTTGCCTTTGCCTTTGGAATGTAAGTAAAAACAGACAAACATATTTAGGCTTTTCTTATCCATTTCTTGATTGTTATGAATAGTAAAATCTTGATAGAAAGTTGCAAAGCTTTATGTTGCTTTCTTGACTGAATTTGGAAGGTGAAGAGTCTAGTTCCTGTTTGTACATGACCGTCCTGGACAGATGCTGGCAGTGGGAAGCAGGAGGGCTACATTCGGTGGCTACTAAAAAGGAAGGGAAAGGTGACCAGGGAGTTGTGTAGTGGGGAGTTGGGTGATTTGGGCAGAGGCTTAAATTTCTGTAGCCCTTCACCCCTAGTCTGTTGGAGTTCAGAGTTCACACCCCATCTCCTTTACAGGCACCTCATTTCTGGGTGGGCTTCTTGCTGGAGGAGTGGTGGGGGTAAGGATTCTGCATTGCACTGTCTGGTGTGAATGGAGGGTGCACTTCTTCCTCTGGAGAGCACATGTGTGCTAGTCGGAACTCCTTACTGCATGCTTTCCTTAGAAGTGTTGTTAGGATTTGTGGTTTTCAAGTACTTTCAGGTGTGTTAATAGGTTAATTGACCTTCCTTTGGTAGGCCTAGGGAATTAATACTCCCTTTAATGACTGTTTCTGTGAAGAGAGAAAATGATAACAGTAGCTAACATATATTGGTGTTTACTTTATGTCAAGAAACTGTTATTCTACCTGCTTTGTTTTAGATTTCCTTAACCTCATTTTACAGATTGAGGATTGGAGCTTACACCCCCAGGTTCACTTTTGTCATTCCCTGTCGGTCTTACTCCCCCACTGTGCCCACCCCTTCTTCAATCAAGCCTTCACTCCATCTGTTGTTGGGAGTATGTATAGTTCTTTTTTCAAGCTGGTGACTCAAAATCAGGCTTTTGGAATACAACCTATCATGAAGCAGGGACTGTCTATAGATAGGCAGGCAGAACAAGTCGTTCACAGGCCTGCCAGATATTAAATAAAGGTTTAGAGCTGTAAAGTTTGGCCTTCCAAGGATGATCCTTGACAATATTTGATGCTATGTTCTATAAAAAGTTTAAAGCTGATAAGTTGTAAGTACAGGGCTTCCTAAGCAGAGCCAGTCAAATATGAGTGTGTTTTATGTTCAACAGCGTTGGGTGGGCTCAGAGATTCAAGCTGCAAGCTGCATTCCAGGGACAGTTCAGACCCATGGCTGGTAATGACATCACCTCCACAGGTGCCAAATTATTCTCCTCTTTTTTTCCGATATAACCTGCCCATGCTTTTGAAAAAAGGAAAAAGAAAATGTTTAAGTACTACTGGGAGATTTTGTTGTGAAAATAAGTATGAAATCCAATTCTGGGCATGTGTGTAGAAGTAGGGAGATGACAATATGATGGTTTTTGAAAACCATACAGTTCCAGAAATTCCAGTTTTAGGTTACTTGCGTTCAGTCACTCCCAAGAGGTTTTTGTGAGGAGGGGTGGGGATGGAGAAAGGGATTTTAGACTAGATGAGAAAAGTAGTAGTGGAAAAACAAAACTGTGGTTTTGCCCTTTCTCTTTTCCCCCTAATTGAAGACTGGGCTTACAGTGTTTCTAAGACAACTCTGATTGGCAGTGTATTTCGAAGAGGCTGAAGAGCTCTGATTGAAAATGTCAAGCTTGGATTCAAAGGATTGGATCTTTTTATATGTTTATTGACTACAATTGGAAATAGAGATCATAAATAATAAAATGAGACCTGGCCTCATTTCCACCTTCACTGTTAAAATTATATCGTTTTTATCTTTGTATGCTACATTCATGGCTTATGGAATAAATCTTTAAGTAAACACATATTTTTGTACATTTCACAAAGTGAGGCTCGTATTCTGGTTTTGTTGTCATTTTTCACTCAGTGTTATTTTGTGTACTCTTTGCAGTGCCAAGTGATTTTTTTTTAAATGTAGAATTTTATAACTAAGTGACACTTAAAAAGAGATAACTAATCCCTCCTGCTTTAATTTTACTGATTAGGAAATTTAGTAAAGTGAAATCAAATAACTTGCTTAAAACTACTATTATTTTCATAGCTGGAATTAGAATTGGTTCCACCTATTCCAGAACATTTTTCACTATACCATTCTGCCTGTTTTACTTTATCTACTGGGAAAAGTTTATAAAGTATTGTTTTCCTGTAGGATGACTTAAAAGATCATTGACCCCGAGGGTTAAATCCATCTAACTGTAACGTTGAGTGAAAAATTGAGACCACCCAAACACAGCTGTTTAGTTAATTTGGCCCAAGCGATTGGAAGAAGTTTGAAAACCATTATGATGTGGCTGGATTGTTGCCATTTTAGGGTTGTTTGATGTGAACCTGAAAGAAATAGAGGTTAAAAACACACAGTCATATCTGAAGTATTTCTCTTCCACCATATTAAAACTAATAAATCCATTAACCTTTTAAAATGATTTTGCCAAAGTAACTATCATCTCACATGCCAGATTCCTTTTACTCTGGAATGTATTCACTTCATTTTGCTGAATTCCTGTAGGAATTCGTAGCTGTGTAATTCCTTTAGCAATTGCTCATACACAGACTTACGGCATTTATTCTAATGTCACCTTGAAATTTGACCTGTTTATTAATGTTAACTTTCCATGAGGTTGTCTGTGTTAGCGGTCTAGGTTATCAGCTCCTCAGGGACAAGGCTGTTGTATTGCCATTCCCCTTCTTTCTTCTCTCTCCCCTCCACTTTCCCTCGACTCCATAGTGCTAGCAGAGGGCCTTGTACGTTCTCAGTATTATTGCTAGGACTGGTGAAAAACGTTCTGAGTGCATTTGGGGCTAATTTGAGGACAAGGTCTCTTCTCTGTGTGAGTTTATAGTTGTGCTGGCACTGGTGATCGAAGGAATGCCTCTGAAAAAAAAGCAAGTCTGGCATGATTGGCACACTTTGAATCAACAGGTAGTTAAAGTTCTTTTTGAGGCAGTAATCATGGCTTCAGACTCACCTTTATTTGCATTTGACTTTAGTCTAAATCTAGACAAATCTATATGTGACGGCTCAGGTGAATTTGGTGAGATGAGAAGGAATGTCTGAAAAATAGATGATTGAGAATCATTAGTTTTTGTTTTGCTTGGAAATATTCTTCCACAGAAATCTTTAGAATATTAAATTTGGCATCCTAAAGACTTATGGACAATTTTGTGCATTTCTCGGCTTTCTTTATCTTGAGGGAAGAATTGAAGCTGGCATGGGGGCAATGGAGAAATTTAGTTTTGAAAGTCTAAGGAGAGCAGGGAAAAAAGGAAGTAACTTTCGTTGCTAGGATCTACTTATAGGTAGGGAAAGAAGGACAGGAAGAAAGAATGGAAAGAGATCAAGAAATAAGGGGGATAAACAGCCAAATATTAGGGTGGGATTAATTCTGAATGTCATTTTGCAAAGTTGGTTATACTTTTCGTTCTTTTCCAGGAGGTTTTCAAACGCATGGGGTGGGTGGGGAAACTCCGGTAGAGATGACAGCTTAAGTGTTGGAGAAAGATGACGGAAACTGTCCTGAGTGACTAGATAGAGTAGGAAGAAACAGAACTAAAAAAATAAATTCTTTTTTTTCTGGCAGCACTCTGCGCTTCTTATAATGCTGTACTTAACTTGTTCTCTAGTGTTGTACCAAAAAGTTTGTTCCATGTAATATAAAGAATCTCTGTTTTGACTGACTGCTTGCCTGCACATGCTTGTTCGCGCTCACGTGCTCTCTTTCTCTTTCCCTTGCCCTCTCTCTTGCTCTCTCTCAGCTGCTTGTCTCAGAGTAGGCATTGGAGCTCTCCCTGTCCCTCAACTTGTTCACCATGGAAGTGTCAGGACGTAGACGTGACTGATTCTATGAGCTTCATGGAGAAGCAGCCACATCACTTTATAGTCTAAGCACACTTGAGTGATAGCATGTACGCACTCATTTACGCTCTCTTCTCTTAAAATAAAAGAGAAGTGTCTAGTTGTATAGTTGGAATATACTTGGCAGAAAGTTTCTTGTGTTGCTAGAGCGGGATCTCATTTCTCTTTAGTCTTTGTTTATTATTCATTATATTTAAGTAATAATGGAGCTGCACTCCAGATCATTTGGAATTATTTTTCATCTGTTTTTGTTTGGCTCTGGAAAAAAAGAAGTGAAATAATTTGGGAATTCATTTCATGATTGGAAAAGCAATGCTGCTTCCTAAGGATATTTATGTTTACCTTTGGGCTCTATTATCAGTCTCATTATCTCCTGACCCAGGGCTGGGCCCCTCTGACTTAAGCACTAGGACTGGATTGTGTCAGCACTGTACTTAAGGCGTTTATCCTAATCCAGGCGTCCTTGGATTGCACGGTGCCAGCAAGCAAGGTGGTAACAGTGATCACAGCCTGGGCTGCAGGTGTGAGTTCTGAGGAGATCTATGGTTTACCCAGCGAATTTATTACTGATAAATGTGAGTCGATTTTTCCTTGGGATGCTCCGTTGTGGGGCAAGTGGTATTTCTGTTTTTTACTGTGTTATTCTCCTCAAACGGAAGGAATACCTGTGAATTTTGTTTCATAGGGTGCCATTAACCCGTTGATGTATGGTTCAGATTTGGATTTTTGGTAGTTGCGTTGGTCAGATTTCCTGGGAGACAGCTTGTATTTTTCTTCCTAAAAGTTATGTGTAACCATTACAAATTATATTTGAGGGGGTGCAGAAGAAAACAATAAGAGCGGATTTCTTGTTTTATGCCTCAGTTGTGAGCTTTCCTGGATAGGCACCCTTCGCTTTTCCAGGCATTCTGTGTTCCTATTTTCTGCTGTGATTTTAACACCAACTTGAACAGTGAAGGAAGAAGATCCTCCCTACCCAGTCTAGTAAAGGTTATACACAGATGAGAGATTATAGTGATGCCTGTATTTTTTTTTTTTAAAAAGCCACTATTCCACATCTTTATACGGTATTTACATCTATAGGAAATTGGAAGGTCAACAGTGAGATGTGCATTGGGAAAACAAAGATAACAAGAGGAAAGTATATTTGGCAAAAGTGAGCTCCATTTGAGAAAACACTGAGGGGTAAATTCATTCAGAAATGTGAGCTTATCACCTAATTAATTTCAGCTCATTGCCTGGTTGATTTAACATGTTTATGCAAATGAGAAATACCTGGCAACTATTTTTTGCCAGGAGGTTAGGTTTCTGCCTTTGCTCAGGATATTCTAAAAAGCTGATCTTTCAGTCAGTTAGCTCAGTCTAAAATTTCTTTGATTCTCTAATATCTGCATAATAAAGGGTTGGCTAAGTTATTTTCTTGGGTCCCTTCCAGATCTAAAATTAATATGATTCAGGAGGATTGTATACCCCTCCCAAATTAATTTTAGCATGTTTTCTGGAGACATTTCTAGTTTCTTCTTGCTTTTCTTAGAATTTGATACCTTTTTGAAGCTAGTGACCCAGTAGGCCAATCTTAATCCATGAGAAGCAATCATGCAGGGTGAAGATAGTAAATACCATGCTTCCCCCATTTTCTTGAAAGGAATCTTAAAAGACGACATGAGATTTCTTACTACAAATGTGCCGAAATAATATTTGTTCCAGTAGAGTGCTGTTTGACTTAATATTACAATAACTTTATTGAATCATTAAGATGGTTATCTTGGATAATAGAAAAGTAAGATTATAATGCCTAGAATGGTTTGAAAACTTAGGCATGCTGGATTTTTCTTATTGTTTCTTTCTGCCCAACATATATTAAGTAGAACTTTGTGCAAAAGGGTATGGTTGGTTGCTGTGGTGCATACAGAAATAAGTAAGACAGACTTGCTTGGTAAGGTGGATAAGATGGGCGCATTGGGCCTAGAGTGTAGAAAAGTGCTGAGCTCTGAAAGAGGGGTAGGGGACACTAGGGGATCTGGGAGAGAGAAGAACAGCATTGAGCTGGGGTAGGCAGGGAAGTCTGGCAAAGTCATAGCCTGGTAACTGGACTCTACGGTGGTGCTCGTCATTATGGGCATTCTACTTGGTTGGCTGTCTTTTGAGAAGAGGCTTGAGGATTGAGCCTGGAGACAGTGGCTCTTACCTCCAGAATGATAGCTTTCATCCTGGGCAGAACTGAGTAGAAAGGCTGGAAAAGGAGAGTCAGGCCAGAGTGTGGAGGACTCTATTCGAGGTAGAAGAATTGCTTTCTGGGTTTGCTTTCCTCTCTCAGTGGAGTCACTGAGGTTTCCTGTACAGGTGAATGATATGATCAGAACTGGAGTTCAGGAAGATTAGTTGGGTAGCAGTGTCCTGGGATTCAAAGTAGGATTGACAATTTATGAAACAAATAGTCATAGGGAGAAAAATTTACCTGTTGCTAACTTATTTACTGGTTTTATTTACTGTAATCAGAGTCTACTGTTTGTAACTATGGCTGAAGTTGTTTTTTCACAATATAGAAATCATCAAATAGTTTTTCAGAGTACTGTCCACTGAAGATAACTAAGCACATACACCTCAGATAAAGTGAGGAATAATCAGTTTAGTATCCTGATTATCATCTTTCCCCATCCAGTCTATTCAGATATGCTATTTATTTTGTAATTAATCCTAACTCTCATCATTCCTTCTCTTCGTTTTTTTCCTAAGGCATTCTTAAGCTACTCTTTTAACAGTGTTTTGCAAGTGTTACTTGGTTGATCTTGGGTGGGTGTATCCCAATTTCCCCTACACCCCCAATTCATTAAGCAACTAGCTCCATTTTTGTATGGTGTTATAGGAAAGTTCTTGTCCCATTTTTGAAAAGAATTTGTCCTTAATCCATGTGAAAATTATTTGATTTTCATAGTCTTGGAATTCAAAAGATCTTGGAAAGAAAGTCAAAGTCTCATAGCTAGTAAGTGAAGGAGTTGGAATTGAAACTCAGATCTGTCTGATGCTGAGCTATGTTATATCTCTAAGACTCAATTTCCTTACTTATAAAATGGAGTCATTGGTAGTACATTTCTCATAGAGTGGTCGTGAGAAATTAAATGAAATGATACACATAGATTGCTTATCATAATACTGTTATTGCTTGTTTATAAACTACCTTTTAACAGGAATTATAGAAATACAGTGCTTATGAATCAAATTAATTCAGTTGATAAGTAAGGTTATTTTGTGATTTTTTTTAGTTATAATTTTATTTGCAAACTTAACAGTTGCAATAACTCGATTTTTAAAACATTAGGTGCTCTTATATACAATAATGAGTGAAACTTGTGTCCAATAGTTTCTTTTAATTCTTCCCTACAGACTGTCATTCTCCATGTTTAGCTCTGTTTTGTGTTAATTTTCACTGCCTTTTCCCCCCTGAAATGCAATAGTCCTGTAGTGTCCTACTGGAAACATTGTTCTCTTTGTTAGGGCTAAAGAAGTGCCTTTGTCACTCCTTTGAGACATTCTGCAGATGCCATTTTGCAGTCCTGAAAAACACGTCCCTGTCCGCCTTGTGCTGTGTTAAATTGTGCGTGTATTGTGCTTGATATTTTAATGAAGTCGTAGAGAAAATTTGACAGTAACAGTTGTCATATAACAAAGAAAGGCTCTTTCTTGATCTAATGTAGATATGTGTTCCCTGATCCCTTCGTAGCTCTGTGTGGTCTGAAAGTAGATCCCCCCTGCACTTAGATGTGACCTCAGATGGTTGATGCTTTTTGACTACCTTCATAGGAAACTGTTAAAACAACTTCTGAGCAGGAACTCTTAAGTCTTTTGTTGATGTGCATTGCTTTTTAAAGACCTCTTAATTTACATGATCTTAATAGCGTTTTAAGTGGCAAGTACACTCTCTAATTTGCTAAGTGGCTTTAATCCTTGTATGAAGAACTGAGGGAAAAATCTCCTGGGAAATTGCTGTGATAAAATCCAGGAAATTCCTTTCATTCTTTTAAATCCAGTTCAAATCTAACTTAAAGAAAAGTCCTCTAATGTAACAGTGTCTGAAAGCTTCTCAGAGTCCAGTGATTTCTTGTGTATAGTGCCAAGCTCAAAGAGGAATAGTATGAATGTACCTCTGTGTTTTTGGTAAATCTATACCACATGGCACAATACCAATTTATTATAACTTTGCTGGGACTTAGTTATCCTGTTTTGTACTGCCCTTAAAACTGTTAAGGAGTATAGAGTTAAAGGGAGAAAACCCTACATTTTTCCATTTTAATGGACTTTATTTAAATTTTTGAAAATTATAACACATGTTCAGTGCAGAAAACTTGGTAACAGAAAAATGCAAATAAAGCAAAATTTCCAGGTACCCACATTTCAGGAATAATTACCGTTACCATTTTGGTTGAACATTTCCAGTCTCTTGTCTGTGAATATGTTCACATAGGTTAAAGCAACAGCATTATCCTTTTAAATTCACTTGTTTTCCCTTTGCAAAATAGGGTGATGCATTGCCACAAATTCTTAAGGTAGTAGAACTTAATTTTGGAAGTGTTAATCTATAGGGCATTCATTCATTCATTCATTAGATGGACTCATTTGAAAGTTCACAGTTTGTAGAAAGTGTGTACATTTATTGCCTACAGAAGATGTGCATCAGAAAGACATAGGCTAGTCATTTTGGATGTTTTCCAGGATCATATAAGTGTAACAAGTCTATATTATAACTCTTAAGAAGGCTTTGAAACAAGTAAAGATCAGATCACATAAGCCCTGACCCGTCCTGGAGGGGCCAGCTCACTGATTTCCAACAAGAGCTGATCTGTGCTGGCCTGACTCCTGTCATCTGGGGCAGAGGTACACAGGGGTTCCAGTGTTTGTTTATGTCTGGGCATCAGTTGGGCTTGTTTTATAGAATGATTCCAAGCTCTTGGTCATGCCATTCCATCTGTGTCTTTTAAAGATAAATACACAATTGGTATAGGACAGATCCTGTTACAGTAAACTTTATGGCAGAAACCAACTCTTTATATGGATGTTCTTTTGTAACTAAGGGGTATAAGTGAGAGGAAACCCTCCAAGGAGACTCAGATACTGGGGCCAGTCCCTCTCCAAAGAAGAGACAGAGTATCTCTGGCTCCCTTATTACTCTGAGGTCCAGTGGGAAGAATATTTACTTATGATATACAGATAATAGAACAGGAAAAACAAGTTTCCTTATCTATTCATAACTGTGCTATTGAATTTATATGTTCCAATATGGTTAACCTGGAATTTTAGGGGACAGTGGGAGGAGATAGAAAAGGATTGGGAAGGAGGATATGACAGCGTTCCAAAATATGGCTGAACTCAAACTGCTTGAACAGAGCTAGTGTAAATCATGGGAGTGAGGCTGACCATAGGAGGAGGAAAGGATCAGGCAGATCATGACAAAGGGAAAGTTAGCTATGGCAGCTAAGTTAATTTTTATGAGTGCTACATTTCACATTTTGGTTCAGATATATACTATGTACTATGAACCCCGAATATCTGAGACAGGTCTCAGTCAATTTAGAAAGCTTGTTTTGCCAAGGTTGAAGACCTGCACCCATGACGCAGCCCCAGGAGGTCCTGAAGACATGTGCCCGTGGTGGTCAGAGCACAGTTTGGTTTTATACATTTTATTTTATTATTATTTTTGAGACAGGGTCTCACTCTGTCACCCAGGCTGGAGTGGTTTCACCATATTGGCCAGGCTGGACTCGAATTCCTGACCTCAGGTGATCTGCCTGCCTAGGCCTCCCAGAGTGCTGGGATTACAGGCATGAGCCACTGTGCCTGGCCTGTTTTTTTTGTTTGTTTTTTTGAGACGGAGTCTCGCTTAGTCGCCCAGGCTGGAGTGCTGTGGTGCGATCTCGGCTCACTGCAAGCTCCGCCTCCCAGGTTCATGCCATTCTCCTCCTCAGCCTCCCGAGTAGCTGGGACTACAGGCGCCCATCACCACACCTGGCTAATTTTTTGTATTTTTGGTAGAGATGGGGTTCCACCGTGTTAGCCAGGATGGTCTTGATCTCCTGACCTCGTGATCCACCCGCCTTGGCCTCCCAAAGTGCTGGGATTACAGGTGTGAGCCACCACGCCTGGCCGGCCTGTTTTATGTATTTTAGAGAGACCTAAGACATCAGTCAACATATGTAGGATGAATATAGGTTCTGTCTGGAAAGGTGGGGTGGGACAACTTGAAGCAAAGGCGGGAGAACTCAGCGGGGAGGGGGCTTCCTGGTCATAGGTAGATAAGAGACAAATGGTTGCATTCTTTTGAGTTTCTGATTAGCCTCTCCAAAGGAGGCAATCGGATACGCTTTTATCTCAGTGAGCAGAGGCGTGACTTTAAAAAGAACGGGAGTCAGGTTTGCCCTAAGCAATTCCCAGCTTGACTTTTCCTTTGAGCTTACTGATTTGGGGGCCCCAAGATTTATGTTTTTCACAGTACCTATACTTTTCTATATGTTTAAGTATAATATATAAACATGTATATATCCTTTCAGTGAGTGTAGTCATAGATATGTGCTTGTCTGTCATACTTCAGCTTTTATAGGTACAACTGCAGACACAGTCCTTTTGTCGCCTGGGGCAGACCATGCAAAGTCCAGTTGACCTGTTGCATCTGGAGGCCCTGTCTTTTCTCATAGAATGCAGTCTGCAGGGGCTGTTCATTCCTCTGGTTCCATTTCTATCTAGCCTATGTGTCAGTGGTGAGTCCCAGCGTTAGGTTTTCCCCAGGACACACTCTGCCCTGCCCTCTCCTGTTGCACAGCCATATCCCAATTCTGTAGGTCATTAGTTGTGTGGCTCATGGGTAGATGATCAGGTAAGTGAGAACAGTGGTTTTTCTGGGTCTCAGCTTGTCCTTGAAGTGTGATTCCTGATCAGATCTAACCGCCCCTGGTTCCTTCATGCACTACGTTACAGCTCAGGGTCATCTTGGAAAAGGGGCTACATTACTCTTAGCCCATTTTAGTCTTTCACATTCTTAGCATCCTGCTTACTCTGCCAGTGGATTTTGCTGGAGTGGTAGACTCCCTGCTGGGTTGGTTTGCCATCTACTAGATGTCTCTTTCACAGCCTTGTGATTTGTGAATGTGTGTACCATAAACTCACAAATAACTTCATGACGTTTCTCCCAACCCCAAGTTTTATTCCCGGTATACTGTGGCTTAAAGTCGGTAACAGAGCTATTGTTAGGTTAGGTCATATACTGCCTATTTTTAACCTTATACCTGGAAGCTTGGGTTGGTTTTTAAACATTTTTCATCCGAGCCAAGGGTAACCCTGATGGTGGCAGGTAGGCCAATATATTTTTTAAAATTAATACTGGGGCAACCTACTCTGCTTTACCTTTTCTATAACCAAATAGATAGGAATGAAAGATTCTCCCCAGGGCCTGAAAGCTTAAGGGAATGAATAACTCCTCCCTCCTCACGCCCAGTTCCAAGGAGCAAGGTCACTTGCGCCAGCAGCCGGTGTCAGCAAGATAGCAGAAGCAGGAAGAGAGCTGGCCGGAAGACACATACCCCCTGAAGATCGAGAGGGAGGCCGTCTGGGTACTACCTAGCAGTTACATCAGACTGAGACACTTCCTGTTTACAGCAGACTATAAAACCCCTGCCCCATCCTCTTTGGTGCTGACGCCATTTTAAGCCTCAGCCCACCTGCACCCAGGCGCTCATTAAAACAGTGTGTTGCTACACACCGCCTTGTGTTGTTTGTTGGCACGCTCTCAGGGTTTGAACCGATACAAGAGCCTTGCAGAGACAATTATAAGTACCTGTGTTTTAGAAATATATGTTGGGTTTCCTAGAAAATTACCTAATTTCCCTGGGACAAGGAAGCCTCATTTCATATTTCTCTTATCTATAGCCACTAGATGTCATTTCTGGGTCCAATAATGATCTTGTATTTCTCTCTGTGCGGTAACACCTGGTGGTATATATACCTTTTTGGGGTATTTATTGTAAAGGTGACTAGGATCAAATATTTAATTGTAATAGTGAATTTTGTTGTTGCCAATTAAATTCATTATGCTTACCACTGTAAAATAACACAAAGATTGAGAAAACTGATTTAAGGAGCTATCTTTGGTATTTGTTTTTCCTTATTATGAAATAAATTTGTGCCCAGTCTTAGTGTGTGCCAGGCTAGGGATTCAAAGGTGAGTAAGAAGACTGAGCTGCTGAGTTCACAGTAAGACAGACTGATACTAAGAATTGGAATTGGGGCTGGGTGCGGTGGCTCATGCCTGTAATCCCAGCACTTTGGGAGGCTGGAAGCTGAGGCAGGTGTATCAAGAGGTCAAGACCGTCCTGGCCAATATGGTGAAACCCCATCTCTACTAAAAATAACAAAAATTAGCTGGGCGTGGTGGCCCTGTAGTGCCAGCTGCTTGGGAGGCTGAGGCAGGAGAATTGCTTGAACCTGGGAGGCGTAGGTTGCAGTGAGCTGAGATGGCGCCACTGCATTCCAGCCTGGCGACTGAGCGAGGCTCTGTCTCAAAAAAAAAAAAAGAATTTGAATTGGTAATTTCAGCAGTAGAAATACATACAGAGAAAGGACAACAAAGCGAGTCCCCATAGAGAGGAAAGGATGAGGAATGATGGCTGTATTGAGTTCATTTTCTGTTTGTTTTACTGGGATTTGGTTTGTAGCTGTACACCACTTAATGAATTAGGTGCAATTATTGATTAACTCATAAAATGTTCCATTGACTACCTACCACAAGCCTAAGTTATTAGGGTATGGGGGGTATGGATGTAAGATTGCTGGCTTTCCCCTAGGGATTTGATTACTTGAGTGGCAGCCAGTCAACAGCAATTTAGTGGTAAGGAGAAGGATGCTGGTGATAGGAATTTGACCAGCAAAACTGTAGATACATAAATTTTTCATACTGAACCATTTTGCTTAATATTTAACAGAATCTTTTCATAATCTTATCACACTCACACATATCAAATGTGTGAGTGTGAATCTTTTCGCAAATCACCCTCTTAATAATTACTGAAGAAACGTGTTGAGTCAATGAATATATCTTTTGTGTAAGAATAGATTTTTACAAATTGGTATTTACTCAACATGTGTGTAATTTGCTACTGGCTGTCCTTCCATAGAAAGATTTTCTTTTTTTTCTTTTTTTTCTTCCCCTAATTGAAACTTCCAGGAAGTATCACTCTCCTAGGATTTCTATCCAAGTACTTTTCTGAAGCCAACGGGTGGGTGTATGTTTAGATCCAAGAGAAACAAATTATAACCATGGATGTGAACTTTTCACAGTCTTCTCAAAATAAAAGCTTGAAAAAATATTTTTTTATATTTTTCTTCTACAAAGACCAAATCTCCTTCTGAAGAGGAATAAAGCAAAGACAACATGTTAAGCACATATGCATCTTCATGTTGTTGACACCTTCCCTAAAATTAGCGGAACACCTCAAAATGTTTATTATTTTTGGCCATGATTTTAAACTTTAAAAACCAGTACAAAGATGTAGCTATATCAAGTCCAACAGAGCTGAACGGTAAAAAAATAAAAAAAGAAGTAGATACGTAGTGGAGTTCAAGTAATATTGGACATTGCTGTTTTAACGAATGTGTTTTGAGTGTGAAGGAACAAAATACTGTAGGATTAGATTTATGAGGGTAAGCCAAGTAAAATGTGGATGCCCAGTAGTAAGACCTTTCTACTGTATCAAACATGAATTAGACATGTTGAAAGCCTCTTAAATTTATTAAATAAGAATATGATTGGGAAAGGGTGAAGGCTCTGTAAACTGTAAAGCCCCTGTAAATGTCTCCTTGGTATACTACACTGATTGGTTTCTTAAGCTACTTAGCACCCATATGACTACCATTGTGTTTTGTGTGTGTGGAAGAGGACATAGCTGTGGGGGTACACATTACTAACATGGCAGATGGGGGCAGTGGAAATCAGGGTAGAAAAGGAGTATGACAGACGCAAAATTGACATTTTAAGTTCAGAACTACTGGTGTTTCCAAGTCATGGCCTTGAACCAAGATTGTACTGTTTGGTAAGTGGCTCATGCCTGTAATCTTAGCACTTTGGGAGGCTGAAGCTGGCGGATCACGAGGTTACGAGATTGAGACCATCCTGGATAACATGGTGAAACTCCGTCTCTACTAAAAATACAAAAAAACATTAGCCAGGCTTGGTGGCATGCGCCTGTAGTCCCAGCTACTTGGGAGGCTGAGGCAGGAGAATTGCTTGAACCCTGGAGGTGGAGGTTGCAGTGAGCCAAGATCATGCCACTGCACTCCAGCCTGGGCGGCAGAGCGAGACTCCACCTCAAAAAAAAAAAAAAAAATTACCTGTATAGTTAATAAGGTTATAAGCACCTTTAGAACATTTAATTATATGTCCTCGGCATAGTATACCAACCATACTCATTCGTATTATTATGAGATCTTTGTCTAGACTTTTACAGACTATCCTTCACTCTTGCACTAAACAAAGCACTTTATTTTTGCTGTTTAGGGTTATCTCTTTATTTTACAATCAAAGTTAATTCTGTATATCACAATTTGCTGCTTCGTACCATCTCTCTTTTCCCATATTTTTATCTTTAAAATAGGTTTCTTGTACATAGACTGGAATTGATTCTTTCTTTTTAAACCAGCCTGACAATCTCTGCCTTTTAATTTGTGTCTTGAGACCATTTACATTTAATTATTGATATATTTGAGTACCATCTTGCTATGTGTTATGTATTTCTCCCATCTAGTCTTCGTTTCTTTTTCTCTTTTACAGGCTTCCTCTAGATATGTTTTTCTCTGACTTCATTTTGTCTTTCCACTATTGGCTTTTTTTTTTTGAGACAGAGTCTTGCTTTGTTACCCAGGCTGGAGTGCAATGGTGTGATCTTGGCTCACTGCAACCTCTGCCTCCCAGGTTCCAGCGATTCTCTTGCCTCAGCCTCCTGTGTAGCTGGACCTGCAGTCATGTACCACCACACTCGGCCAATTTTTGCATTTTCAGTAGAGGCAGGGTTTCGCCATTTTAGCCAGGCTGGTCTTAAACTCCTGACCTCAGGTGATCCACCTGCCTTGGCCTCCCAAAGTGCAGGGATTACAGGTGTGAGCCACTGTGCCCTGCTGATCCACTATTGTGTTTTATTAGTTATATGTCTTTATGTTGTTGTTACCCAGTCTAAATTGAACTCATTAGCTTGCCTCCAAAAGAGCCTAGTCCTTCCTTGTTAACTATTTCAGTGAATGGCTTTACTGTCCCATTTCTAATTGTTCTTTCTTTAGCTTTCCCTTGCTCTCTTAATTCCCAAATGTCTTTGGCCATGTGTCTTACCATTCTACTAACTGAATATTTCTTGAATTTATCCACTTCGTTCCACTGACACTTTCCCTATTCAGATACTGTAACTTGCATAAAGATGAGCTCACTCAGGGCCTAGTTTTAATTTTGATAACGAAGAAAACACAGATCCCAACATTGACAAATAATTGACAAACCATTTAAGTTTTTAGTCTCTAGAGAAGCAGAAGGTTTCGTTATAACAGCAAAACTTAAGAAAAATTATCTTCATCAACTTACCTTTTTTGATTCTTCGTCACAGTATAGAGCAGACCTCAAACGCTCTCCCTTAAACCAGTTTCTCTCCCACCAAATATCAACTCTCCCGCAGTTCTTTTAGCAGCTATTTTTTTTTTCTACTCAGCCCATTCCATAATACATCAGTCAAGCTGTGTTCAAAATTGAGATTATAAAGGCATACTTCTCTTTGAGGGAGAGAGAGCAGAGGCTGTGACTACCTATTTGTCAACCTTATATTTTATTTTAAACATTATACAGCCTTGTGGAGCTTGTAACCTGATAGGGGAGAAAGGCAAGTAGAGAGTCAATTGGGGAGAATAGAGGTTGTTCAGAAGAGTATGTATTAGGTGTGTGTACCTAAGGCAGTTATCACATGTGTCCACAATTGTCTGGCACTTAATGGGCTATCAATAGTTATTTGCTGAATGAGTGAATGTTCAATGAATGATCTGATATTGGGCTTCCTGTCCTTCATTCTTTGTTTGTTTGTTTGTTTTTGAGACAGAGTCTCACTTTATCTCCCAGGCTGGAGTGCAGTGGCGTGATCTTGGCTCACTGCAACCTCTGCCTCCTGGGTTCAAGCAATTCTCCCACCTCAGCCTGCTGAGTAGCTGGGACTACAGGCATGCACCACCATGCCCAGCTTATTTTTGGATTTTTAGTAGAGATAGGGTTTCACCATGTTGGCTAGGCTGGTCTTGAACTCCTGACCTCAGGTGATCCGCCTGCCTCGGCCTCCCAAAGTGCTGGGATTACAGGCATGAGTCACTGTGCCCAGCCTCCTTTCCTTCATTCTTAGCACTTATCTTGCCTGTTGAGCTGATTTGTAGCTAGTGTTGTAGCAGGTAGATTAGTTTACCACTGAGATTTCCCTCCAAATATTTTTTCATTAGGCACATGGAGATGACTGTACCTTCTTAAGAAGGTAGACTTGGTCTACCATGTTTAGTTCTTAGAGCACCTTGATGCTATTCTTGTTATGCAGACTTTTACATATTTACAGCCCCTTCGGATGCCCTGCTGTAGTCTCCCCCGCCACCCCTCAGGAAAGCCTGGCTTTAAGGTGCTTTTCCTCTATTTTTGTATTACTAAAACTTTTCAGGAATAGTCACTTGTTTGGAAAAAAGTTTTGAGATTAATACTAGTAGCAAATGATAGGATCAGGGTTAATCTCTCATACCTCTGGGGTGACCCCTAAGTTGTCATCTTTACTCTTGATTTCTGTAATCTTTTCTAAGAATTTAGGTGTTACATCACTTCAAACTCAGTATGCCTGAAAGTTCCAGAATCTTGCAGTCTTCTTGTCTTCTGGCCTTGAATCTTGGCATTATTTTTTAGTTATTCTTCTTTATCTGCTATTTAGACTTCAACTCCTATGGATTATTTTCTCTAAAATGTGTTTAATACCTATTCTTTATTTGTTATTTTGACTGGTACTTCCACCTGAGCCTATTTTTATTTATTTATTTTTGAGACAGGGTCTTGCTCTGTCACTCCAGCTGGAGTGCAGTAGCCCAGTCAGGGCTCACTGCAGCTTCCACCTCCTGGGTGCAAGCAACTTTTCCACCTCAGCCTCCTGAGTAGCTGGGACCACAGGCATGTACCACCAACACTCAGCTAATTTTTAATTTTTTTTGTAGAGATAGGGATCTCACCATGTTGCCCAGGCTGGTCTTGAACCCCTGGGCTCAAGCAGTCCTCCTGCTTAGGGCTCCCAAAGTATTGGGATTATAGGTGTGAGCCACTGCACCTAGCCCACCTGAGCCTATTTACCTTGCTGTCTGCATTCTCCCTGTTTCTACTGACTACCTTTCCCAATTTTAGCCTCCTAAATTTTTCTTCTCAGAACAACATTCATTCATTCATTCATTCATTCATTCATTCATTCATTTATGAGACAGAGTCTTGCTCTGTTGCCCAGGCTGGAGTTCTGTGGCACGATCTCGGCTTACTGCAGCCTCTGCCTCCCGGGTTCAAGTGATTCTCCTGCCTCAGCCTCCGGAGTAGCTGGGACTACAGGTGCATGCTACCACACCCGGCTAATTTTTGTATTTTTAGTAGAGACAGGGTTTCACCATGTTGGGCAGACTGGTCTTGAACTCCAGCAATCAAGTGATCCACCTGTCTTGGCCTCCCAAAGGGCTGGGATTACAGGCATGAGCCACCACGCTTGACCCTCAGAACAACATTTAGTGTTCATCCTGCTTGGCCACAGTAGGCCCAGGAGATTGGAACCCACGTATACTACTGGTGGGAATGTAAGTGCAGTCATGTTGGAAAGTAGTCTGGTGTGTCCTCAGAAACTTAACATAGAGTAATTATTCGATCCAGCAGTTCTGCTCATAAGTATATGCCCAGCAGAAATGAAAACGTATGACCACACAATAAATTATACACGGATGTTCATAGTGGCTATTCATACTAACCAAAAGGCAGACACAACCCAAATATCCATCAATTGATGAATGGATAAACACCCTCTGATATAGCCATAGAATTTAATATTATTGGGGCATACAGATGAAGGAAGTACTGATATGTTACAACATGTATGAACCTTGAAAACATAAGTGAAAGAAACCAGACACAAAAGGCCACATACAAGAATCCATTTATGTAAAATGTCCAGGATCGGGAAATTTATAGAAACAGAAAGTAGATTAGTGATTGCTGGGGGTACTGGGGTGTGACAGCTGGAGTATGAGGTTTCTTTTTTCTTTAATGAGATCAAAATCATATAACATAAAATTTATTATTTTACCCATTTTAAAATATACAGTTCAGTGGTTTTTATTACATTTGAAATGTTCAACCATTACTACTATCTCAGAACATGAGCCGGGTGTGGTGGCACGTGCCTATAATCTCAGCTACTCGGGAGGCTGAGGCAGGAGAATCGCTTGAACCTGGGAGGTGGAGGTTGCAGTGAGCCAAGATCGTGCCACTGCACTCCAGCCTCCTGGGCAACAGAGCAAGACTCCATCTCAAAAAAAAAAAAAGAAAAAAATCCTATACCTCTTAAGTTGTCACTTCCTACTCTTCACTTTCCCTAGAACCTTCTGAATCTGCTACACCATTTTACATTCCTGCCAGCAATGCATAAGGATTCAAATTCTCCAAATCCTTGCCAACAGTTCTTTTTTTTTTCTTTTTTAAATATTGCTATCCTGGTGGGTTTGAAGTGGTATATGAATGTGATTTTGATTTCCACTTTCTAATGACTAATGATGTTTAATATCTTTTCATGTTATGATTGGCCATTTGTATATCTTCCTTGGAGAAATGTTACTCCTAGTTTATTGAGTATTTTTATTGTGAAAAGGATGCTGGCTTTTGTCAAATGCTTTTTCTGTGTCTATTGAGGTGATCATGTGGGTTCCCCTGCTTGGTTTCTATTAATATGGTTTATTGGTTCATTTTCTTTTGTTACACTACTCTTGTATTTCTGGAATAAATCCCACTTGCCCACGACATATGATCCCTTAATATCCTGCTGGATTTGGTTTGCCAGTATTTTGCCAAGGATTTTTGCCCGTATGTTTATAGGGATGTTGGTCTGTAGTTTACTTTTCTTGTGGTGGTTTTTTTTGGCTTTTGTATCAGGCCCTATAGAATGGGTTAGGAAGGGTTTCTTTTCGGGGTGATAAATATGGTCTAAAATTGTTTGTGGTGCTGGTTGTACACCTCTGTGACTATACTCAAAACTATTTAATTGTACACCTATAATGGGTGACTTGTATATCTCCAAGCTGCTACCAAAAAAGCAAAACAAAAGAAAAACATCTTCAAGGAGCTTCTCACCTATATTCTTTAGCCCAAGGTTCTTTTTCTGTTCTTCAAAGCCCTCAGCACTCTTTCTAGCTGTCATATTTCAGCATTACCTCTGATTTATCTTTGTGTATAATTCTGATCCAGTGACAGTGGTCATTTCACTGCCCAGGTCACCAACTCCTACTCACAATGACACAGGATTCTTTTCCTGGTCACTTTGCAAGCTGGGGACCTTCAGCTGGCGATGTCCCATCTGGACCTCACTTGGCCATGCTACCTGCTGCAGGAGACGTCACATTCACTTGGCCCTTCCAGGTCGAATCTAGCTTATGCACTGGTTCCCGAGTTCTTGTCCCACGCACTGGTTCCCGAGTTCTTGTCGCGCACCCAAGAAGAATGAGGTGCACTGACAGTTGAAGAGTGAGCTAGGCAGGGAGTTTTACTGAGTGAAGAAAACAGCTTTCAGTGGAGAGGAGATGCGGGATGGTCCTACTACTTGAAGGTGGGAAAGTCCCCCCCCAAATGTGGCTGAGTCCAGGGCTTTTATGGGCTCAGAGTGGGGGAGGAGCAGGCCAAAGGTAGTATTGGAAAAGACAACATTCAATTGGTTAAAAAGCATTATTCAGAAAGAATCAGTCAGGAAAGGGTGGGCAAACAGGAACAGAAGATCTCACTCTGGGTTGTGCGTTTCATTCAGGACCAGCAGTCCTGGTCTTTCAGCTTTCAGGCTGGTTTTTTTGGCTTGAAGGTGAGGGTTCACTGGGGATCTGTCTAGGCATTTGGCTGCCTCCTGTCACTATCACCAAGATCTTCGAGAGCATATTGTCCATTCTTCATCTTCACCCTGCCTTAGGGCTGTTCCCATCTCTCTTGAAGGTTCTTGTCCCTTTTTCCTACCAATGGCAATTCATTCTCCCTTTCAGAGTTTTATTCAAGTTTCTTCTATTTACCATTCTAGCCAATAGTAATCTCTTGGTCCCAAGCCCGTAAATCTGTTGATTATGTTGTTTCAGTTAAAAAATAGAAAGGATAAGTGTGATCTAGAATGTATGTATTTTCTTAAGGAGACAGTGGGACAGAATATTTGAAACTAGAGCTGTTCTGGGAAACCTGGTATATGTGTTGGTAGTCCTTTAGGCATCTTTTTAAAAATGCATTTACAGTTACCTCGAGTTTATAGAGAAAGCTTTTCATTTGGACTTCTCTGATCTCCCCAAATACAGTCATGTGATACATAACAACATTTTGGTCAACAACAGACCACATATAGGATGGAGGTCCCATAAGATTCTAGTGGAGGTGAATAATTCCTATTATCTGGTGACATTGTTCCCATGGTAATGTCATAGCACAATGCATTACTCACATGTTTGTGGTGATGTTGGTGTTAACAAACCTACTGTACAGCCAATCACATAAAGATCTAGCACATACAGTTAGGTACAGTACATAATACTTGATAATGATAGATGATTATGTTACTGGTTTATGTATTTACTATACTTTTTATCATTATTTTAGGGTATACTTCTTCTACTTACAAAAAACAAACTTTAACTGTAAAATAGCCTCAGACATGTCCTTCAGCAGGTATTTGAGAAGAAAGCATTGTTATCATGGGAGATGACAGCTCCATGTTATTGCCCCTGCGGACCTTCTAAAAGCACAAGATATGGAGGTGGAAGACAGTGATAGTGATGATTCTGACCCTGTATGGGCCTATGCTAGTATGTGTGTTTTTATCTTAGTTTTTAACAAAAGAGTTTAAAAATAGAAAAAGGCTTATAGAATAGGGATATAAAGAAAGAATATTTTTGTACAGCTGTACAATATGTTTGCATTTTAAGCTAAGTGTTACAAGAGTAAAAAAGCTTTAAAAAATGCAAGTTTATAAAGTAAAAAGACAGCTAAGGTTAATTCATTGAATAAAAATATTAAAAAAAATTTATGTGGCCTAAGTGTACAGTGTTTATAAAATCTGTAGTCAGGCTGGGCATGGTATCCCATGCCAGTAATCTCAGCACTTTGAGAGGCCTAGGCAGGAGGATTGCTTGAACCCAGGAGCTTGAGACCAGCCTGCACAACATGGTGCAATCCCATCTCTACAAAAAATAAAAAAAATCAGCAGGGCAGGTGGTGTGTGCCTGTAGTCCCAGCTACTTGGGAGGCTGAGGTGGGAGGATCACTGGAGCCCGGGAAGTTGAGGCTGCAGTGAGCCATGATCACACCACTGTACTGCAGCCTGGGTGAACTTTCAGGTGAACTCAAGACTCTGTCTCAAAAAAAAAAAAAAAAAGTCTATAGTAGTGTACAAGTGTATAGTAACATGCCGTAAAAATTTGTAGGCTAGAAGTAATAGACTATGCCATCTAGCCTAGATGTGTAGTAGGCTATACCATGTACGTTGTAAGTACACTCTGTGATGCTGGCACAAGGATGAAATCACCAATCACCTTAAGGATACATTTCTCAAAAACATGATCCTCATTGACACATTACTGTAGTTCTCAGTGTTCTGAAGAAAGGCATATACTGATATATCTAGCCAGTAACATTAAATGCCAGGCAAGCCTCTGTTGATACGTATATGTGTGTTTGGAAGATAGAAACATCTGCAACTTTCATTTGCGGTTCCTGGTTTCTCTTATGAAATCTTTTTGAGAACTTTATGGTACTAGAGTGGAAACAGTTGAATAAAGTCCTGATGATTATAGTAAAGTCCGTGGGCAAATGTGAGACACCGGAATGTGAGGCTGTTTACCTAAAGGCTGCTTTTTGTAGTTGAGGCTATATAAGCATCATGGTGTGATGTCAAGAATTTATCTCACATAAACTAGAATTGGATTTACACATGGTTGTTAGGCGGTTGAGCCAGAATCCAAATTCAGGTTTGTCTAACTCCAGGACTGTTGATTAACCACTGTATGATTTTTGCATTTTATGCTTATTAAGGGAAGTTATTTAATTTCTCCGAGCCTCATTTTCTTTGACTACAAAATGAACTTGATAATATGTGCCTTACAGAGATGTTTCAAAGCATAAATATGTTTGTAAAGCATTTAGCAGAAAGCTTTCTCACCAGGTAGATAGGTCTTTTATTATTAGTAAAATATTTTCTTCAAAACAATGACTCCAACAAAAAATGGTTTTTGAAAGAAAGTCTGAAACTTCTGCAGAGAACGTTGCATAATTCTTGGAATATTGAGTTCTTTACGTTTTGACACAAAGTTTTCATGTCCGTTTCTCTAGAATTTAGATAATGTTCCAAGTAAGTCATTTGTTGGTCATTACTTTATTTCCCCCTATTTTTTTATTTGTTATTCTGAATGAATTGCTGTCAAAAAGGTAACAGAATTATACCCTGTCTGTCATTAACTTCCCTTCCAAAGAATTGGAGAATATCTGACACTTGTGGTTAACTGCAACTGTTATATATTTAAGCCTTAGGTTTTGAAGTTTATAGAATGAGGTTTAGAAAGGCTGATTTTTTGTAGTTGTTGTTGGAAGCCATAATAGAAATAAACTAGAGAAGTGGTTATTGGTTTTCATCTTGGCTGCAGAAGAAGTATTTGTTGGTGTTGCTATAGAAACATAGTCAAAACTACAGTATTGAAAGCATCACAAAATAAAGCATTGATTTGGTTTCCTAAATTGTGTTTCTTGTTTCGGAGTTATTCCTAATTGACTTAAAAATGCTTTTTTTTTTTTTTAATTCTTAGCTGTCATAAATATCCAGATATAAGTTTAAATGAAATAAAGCTCAAAATAAATCAGTGTTCTGAATATGAATGCTAATCATCAAAACTTTTAAAATCACTATTATTCCTTAGTAGTTTGAAAACATAATTCTGTTATAATAAATTCAAATTTCCTGCTGGTGATGGTGATAAATAGTAATTTTAAAAATGTATATCTTTATATATTTTAGCATAATTTTGGTTCAGTTAGGGATTTTGCATAATGAAAACCACATATACTTTTTTCTCCAAATTTTATTTATATTTTTATTTTACAAATTTAAATGGACATGCTATTTTAGCTTTTTTAATAAAGCTACAATTTGGATCAGTAGAAGACAGTTCCACTAAACAGTTTGTAGGGAAAAATAGCTCTGCTTCTGGCTTTTATAGACTCTCTTGCTCAAAGGAAGAACTGCTATTGAGTCAGTTACAACTTCAGTGGAAGATGTCTTGCAGCTGTGCCTTTTTGGTTTTGTTCCAGAGATAGTATTTGTGTGCACTGTCAGAATGTCTTAAAGGCCCACCCTGGAAAGGATTCAACCCTATAAAAGGAGTTTTGTTTTATAACCTTTCACATATTCTTATGGAGTTCTGGTGGTGATGGTGGTCTTCATTATCTTGTCTTTTAAACTGGCATTTTATTGAGACACAGGCTTCACAGTTTGAGAATAGGAGCTACAGTTGTAGGTATTGTATCTAATAAAATAAATTTAGTCAAGCCCTTGGCACACACTATGATGAAAACAAAACACCCCTCCCCAAACTTTGCAATTTCAGTGAATTATTTTTAACAACTTTTCTGCCTCTGTACTGATAAGGAGATTGGCACTCATTTGATTATTCTCCTGGGTAACTTATTTAATAGATATTGATTTACAAATCAAGTTACTATGTAAGAAGAGTTTAAAACACCAATGACTTCTCATATTGAAAATTGTTCGGCCTGTTTTAAGCCATATGTTTATATAAATGCTAGGAGAATTATCATTGAATATATTCTGGGTGGTTGACCATATTTTCTCCAAAATTTCCCCCTTTCTCCTTAGTTTTTTTCCTTTACATTGTTAAAATTACAGTAAATTTATTTTAAAGATTTTAATTGGTTTTTATTTGCCATTCAAGACTGGAGCAACACCTCATTCTATAAAATAGAATGAATGTCCGATAAGCTGAACAGAGGAAGTTGCTTTTATAGACAGAAAAGAGCTGACGGAAGCAGAAACAGAGAACAAAAGCATGTTGGTTGTTTCAAAGTGACTTTTCTTATAGTGTTAAAACAGAGGGGACTTCCTTATCATGCCTACCCCTTTGGATTGGTTGTTGTGAATTCCTTTCTTCCTTTTTAAACAACTGCCCCGTTTCAGAGTTTAGTTTGATTACCTAGCTCCATTCTGGTGTGGTATGGTCTGCTGGAGCCTAGTGCAGGAGGCTAGTCCAAAACAATGGCCTCCTATAAATTTCATTTAACAAAATGCTCCAAAGTTGTTAGATCCACCCCACCCCTGCCCCTCCCCCAATCTTTCTAGCTTCCTTAAACCCCTTCCTCTCCCAGCCGATGTCTATTTCCCATTACTGTTCTCTTTGGCCTGTGGGGTCAGGATGTTCCTCCTGCTATTGAAGGTTAAACTCTTCTCTGTGGTTTTGATCCTTTTCCTCCATCTTTTTTGAACTACATGCCATTCATTTTCCTTTCTTTCTACTTTGTGTGTTGAACCTCTCCTCTCTATCTCTCCCACCGAAAGACTGCACCAAACAAAAACAGCCTAAACATACATCTCCCCTGAATCCTAGACTTTTTGTAGTTATTACTTGCCTTTTCTTCATTGCTAAACTTCAGATATTAATTTACACTTACCTCTTTCCCTCCCCTCTTCTGATATTTTATCTGTAGCCATTAGATTTTTCTTCTCCTAGCCACTGAACTTGCTCTTTGAGGTTAGTAGCCATCTTATGACCCTTTTAACCCTTATTGTTCCCTGAAGCAATCTGCCCTTGCCCCTGTTGGTCATGCCTCCCCGTTAGACTCTTCTTTCTCGTCAGTAGTTTCTTGTTTTCCTTTCTCTTAATGCTGATCCTTCTTAGCCTCCTTGATAGGTTCTTTGGTCTCTCTGCCTGGAGATTTTTGATGAGCATTTATCCTACTGCTTGTTTTCTCTACAGTTTCATCTACCTCTGATACCATTGATTGGCTGAGCAGTTCCACATTTCAGTCTGGAAACCAGGCTCTGTCATTCAGACACATACCTTCAACCATCTTCGGATTTCCACCTGGATGTCACACATTTTCAGCCCAGATGTATTCAAAGTGGAAGCTTTTCCTTCCTTCCTTTCTGTTTCTTACTTTGTTTGGAAGTCTCTTTCTAACTTCATGGTACCACTATCTAACCTTTGACTCACAGGAACTTGGGAGCTTTATTTTTCATTACTCCCACAATCCAATTAATTATCAAGTCCCATTCATTTTATCCATTAAATATTTATTGATACCATCTCTTCATTTGCATTCTTATTGCTTCTATCTTAGTCTCCTGGATCCCTGGAACATCATCTTAACCAGTTTCCTTTTTTTTTTTTTTTTTTTTTGACAGAGTCTCGCTCCATCATCCAGGCTGGAGTGCAGTGGCACAATCTTGGCTCACTGCAGCCTCCACCTCCTGGGTTCAAGCAATTCTCATGTCTCAGCCTCCCAAGTAGCTGGGATTACAGGCGTGTGCCACTTTTTTTGTATTTTTAGGCTAATTTTTATATTTTTAGGAGAGATGGGGTTTTGCTATGTTGGCCAGGCTGGTCTCAAACTTCCGACCTCAAGTGGTCAACCCACCACAGCCTCCCAAAGTGCTGGGGTGACAGGCATGAAACACCACACCCGGCCAGTCAGTTTCCTTTCATTGTGTCAGTTGGTCTCATGTGGCTGCCAAAGTCATCTTCCAGAAATACAAAGTTAATAGCATTTTCTTATTGCCTGCAGAATAGAGTAAAAACATCTGAGCTTAGCATATTGATCATGCATTATTTGGGTGTTGCTTCCCTTGTCCTGTCTCCTCCACTCCCCACCCCTGTGTTCCAGGCACTTGAAGTTCTCAGTGTTCTCTACAATGCATTTATCTTTCATGATTCTGTGTCCTTCACTTACTGTTCCCACGGTGAAGAGTGTGCTTCTACCCACTTATAATAAGCCCAGTAAGCTCCTTCTTATCCTTCAAGGTCAGGTCAAGTGTCACCTCGGGAAGCATTCTTCCTTCATCAAGTCTGTTAAGTGCTAAATTGTTTATGCTTCCATTATAGCTCTTATTCCCTTTGTAGTTAGCTATTTAAATGCCCTGCTCTCACACTGCTGGAGCCACATTTTATACAGGTCTGTGTCCTCAGCAGCTATCAGCAAGCACAAAGCAATTCCTCATGGAATGAATGGATCTTTACAAAACCCAAAAGTACAGTATTAAAATCAAGATTTCATGGGCAGAGGTAATGGTGAGTATAATGGCTTGATATTAGATATTTTTTATTTATTGTTTTGAGTAGGTGTGGTTGTGGATTGAGAACATCTTGGCACTTGTGGTTAGGATTTTCTAATTCAAATTTAGAGAGTTAGGTTTTGAAAGTGAAGCGACAGAGCTGTAGTCTCAAATTATGGAGAGCTAATAAAGTTATGAAGGACTGGAAGTACACTGGGTTCTCAACAAGTGGCCACACCATTGCAGATCATGTATCAGGCAGAAGGAGGATAGTGAGACAGGTGAAGTGAGGAGAGGGCCCCAGATTGGGGCTGTACCTCCCCACCACACTCTGGGTTTGTAGCTGGGCATTGCTTATTACAATACACCTTAATGTTTCCCCAGCTTGCCCTGGTAGAAGCAGCATTCAACTTTATACAACATGTTTTTTGATAAAAGCTTTGTGTTTACACGTTTGATGTTTATATGGTTCTAGCAGAGCCTCTTGGAATGGTGGTGGCTGTTTTAAAGTAAAGGAGAGAAAAGAAAGAAGGGAAATTATAGGGGATGGGTTAGGTAGGGATAGAATTTTCCTTCTACAAATTGAGAAAGAAATAGATACATTGGATTGGTAGGAAATTATTATACATTAATGTTTGCTTTTTAAAAATAAAGTTAAACCATAATGATACCTTCCACCACTTTTAGGGGAAAAGGCGTAGATGAACCTTTTGACCATGGAAATTCTGTGTTTAACAGTAAATTGCATTCATTTAGTGTTTTGCACTTTACCAGTAGCTATTATGATTCTTTTTTGATCTTTAAAACAATCCCATTATATAGGTAGGTTAGCAGCTGCTACTTTTATGTTATACGTGTAGCTAACTGGCAACATGGGAGCATATCTCAAGCTGTTTGAGGACGTTTGATGTTCCTTAAGGTTAAGAAGAGTAGATAATTTCTTGACAATTGCCCTTTTATTTTTGGAGACTTAGAATTTTGGGGGAGGAGGGAGGTTATGGCATTTTTCATGAGTACAGAAGTTGGAGCAGAGCTGGGGAGCATTGTAGATCTCTTGGATTCCTAGTCTTAGGGCTGTTTTGTTTCTTCTGGCCCTTGGACAACAATGAAGGGTCTCTATTCTTTTTTTCTTTTTTCTCTCCTTAACAGTGTGTCTCCCCTTCTCATCCAGGCAGGACAGTTTGCTACAGGAAAAGGCATTGAGATTATTAGTAAGAATCTGACATCTATCCTGGTGAGATCTTGCTACTGATTTGCTATGTAAATAATCTAACTGCTGGGCCTTAGATTTCCCATCTAATTAAAGGCAAGAGGTAGAGGTACATGAACATTGAGATCCTTTTAGCTCTGAACTACTTTGATTCTTTACAAATTCCATTTTGCTCAGTCATATGTAGAGTATTATACAGCTGCTAGCAAGATTGTTGTTTCTGCTTTGTATGTAGTGGACTTTGTGGTAGGTGCTTTTGTTTTATTTCTTTCATCCCTAAGGCAAGGTGGGTGTCATTATGACCGAGTGGTAGCATCTGCTCCTTCAAAGTGTGAGAGAAGAATGATCTTATAATTGTAAGCTTTATAACGCTTTCTTTGACCACCCAAAGGAGGTGACCATTTCCTTTGTGCCCTTCTTGTACCTCTCTTACAGCCCTTATCACATATGGTGTAATGATTTGTTTATGTGTCTGACTTGCCTGCTAGACTGTAAATGTCCAGTAGATTCTTGTGGGCAAGAACTTTCCCTAGGTCTTTAGGGCCTAGACCAGTGTCTGGTGTAAAGCAGGAATGCAGCACATATTTCTTAGACATAAAATAGAATGAAAATAATACAGTTTAATGTACCTGCTGGATTACTATACTTGTCTGATTGTGTAATTTAAAAAGTGGTGCTTTTGACTTTTGTAGTTAATTAAAAGCAGACAAGAAGGATTTGTTAAGAGTTTTATCCTAATACTTTTTAGATGCTTCCTTGGTTCAAAACAGTAACTTTTTGATTAGAGATTCTCAGCCACCACTCTTTTATTCTTTTGTCCATTTTCCTCCTTCTGTACCTGCTTCCACTTTCTCTCTATACCCCTTGTAAAAATCTGGGGTCATGCAGTATCTTTCTTTCCTAGAGTCCCATAAATCTACAGTACTTTTCAACATTACATCTTAAAAATGTAATTGTTTTTAATGTAATTGAACATATGAGTCTAACATTGCTAAGATGTCTGGTAGGGAAGAAACTTTGCAGGTGACGCATGTGCAGTTGTATACATTATTCTGGTTTAGAGCCTGAGAGAAGTTAAACTGTGGTATGTGGTCAAAGAAGAACTTGCACATTAGAGCCAAGGTGCTAGTGAAAAAAATTAGTTTTTCTGCCTACATCAGATATGTCAGTATCAATGATCCTATGAAATGTGGACCATTTTTAAAAACGTTAAAAAAATTTTATAGACCGACTGGGAAGTTCATTCATATTGAAGAGTCATGAAACTCCTGTCCATGTTTGTTCAGGAAGTAATCTTGCATGACGATTGGTAGATGGGAAGATTGGATTCCCTGTACAATCAGAATAAAAAAAAAGAGTTTTGTTTTGTTTTGTTTTGTTTTTGAGACGGAGTCTTGCTTTGTTGCCCAGGCTGGAGTGCAATGGTGCAATCTTGGTTCACTGCAACCTCCACCTCCCAGGCTCAAGTGATTCTCCTGCCTCAGCCTCCCGACTAGCTGGGATTACAGGCACATGCCACCGCGCCCAGCTAATTTTTTTTTGTATTTTTAGTAGAGACGGGGTTTTACCATGTTGGCCAGGATGGTCTTGAACTCCTGACCTCAGGTGATCCACCCACCTTGGCCTCCCAAAGTGCTGGGATTACAGGCGTGAGCTACCACGCCTGGCCAGAGGTTTTTTACAAAATTTCTTCTGAGTACTTTTTAGGTTATTTTAGTTTTTTTCCAGAAAATTGTGTTGTCTGGTTCTTTTCTTAGTAGGATAGATGATAATCACTTTACAGATGGGGGCTAGATGAGCAGAAGTGAGATAACCAAAAGGAATTCTTCTTCCTCATTGTCTTTTCTGTGATATTGATAACTGTACTTTCTGCCTAGAGTTTGTGTCTCTTAAGGTTTTTGAGCCATGAGTGACTCATCAGATTATTGGGTTCTCTGTATCTTACTCATTCTTTGTCCTCATAAAGTAGGAGGTAGGATGATTTTTAAAAGTCAAATTATGATACTGGGTTTAAGATAAAATTCTGTGTCTACACAAACTCACATACACAAATGTAGGGAAAGTGTTCCCCTCCTAACCTTAACCAACTTCCTTGAATATTTTAAAATTAACTTTTGGAGGATAAACCTAATTTCCTGTTTTAATGAAATAATGAGACATTGTCGAAACATGACCTTTTTTGGTCTTCTCAAAATACATGTAATAGATATAAATTCATATAATAACAATGTTTGAATATTAAGACATTTGTAGATGTTTCCTATATATTTTGTGTACTCAAATGTATTTAAATCATATTGGAAATAAGTAAATGACACTGGACGTGCTTTGTGTACTTCTCTGCTAATAACCCATCAAGTAACCTCACATGTTATTTCACCTCTCTGGGTTCACTTGACTTATCTGGAAAACAAGAGTGTTAAAACGGCTGCCTTGCCAGCCTGGCCAATATGGTGAAACCCCGTCTCTCCTAAAAATAACAAAAATTAGCCAGGTGTGGTGGCGGGCACCTGTAGTCCCAGGTACTCGGGAGGCTGAGGCAGGAGAATCGCTTGAACTCGGGAGCCTGAGGCAGAAGAATCACTTGAACCTGGGAGGCAGAGGTTGTAGTGAACTGAGATCGCGCCACTGTACTCCAGCCTGGGAGTCAGAGCAAGACTCCATCTCAAAAAAAAAAAAAAAAAAAAAAAAAAGAAAAGAAAAGAAAAAAGAGGCTGCCTTAGTGGAAAAGTCTATTGGCTTTGAGGGCAGACCAAATTGATGTGAATTTTGGCTCTACCACTCATAAGTGGGTATATGAGTTTGAGATTCAATTTCTCTAGGTTCTAATAGTCTAATTTTTAAATTCACTCTATTAATAGTTCTCTTTCAAAATCATAGTGCCACAAAACTCATTCTCTCTGAATTCTCCCAACGTTTTTTTGAACAATGAGATTCACAGGTCTCCTGAGTAGGATCTTTTGAAGCCAGGGAGGAGCTGAGCAGTAGCATTGGGTTCCATAGCTAAGAAGTAGGCATCTTAGCTCGTGCTGCCATAATAAAATACCATAGACTGGGTGACTTACACAACAGGTACTTATTTCTCACAGTTACTCTAAGTTGTAGAATTTCTGGTAAGGGCTCTTCTTTGCTTACTGACAACTGCCTTCTACTGTGCCCTTCATGGTAGAGAGAGAATGAGAGACTGCACAAGTTCTCTGGTGCTTCTTTTTATGAGTACACTGATTTCATCATGAGGGCCCCACCCTCATGACCTTATCTAAACCTATCTCCCAAAGCTCCTACCTCCATCACATTGTGGGTTAGATTTAACATAGGAATTTTAGGGTGATGCAATTCAGTTTATAGCAGTAGGAGAGTAAGAGAGTAAGAGAAGAGAGCAGGAGACACAGGGGTGTTAAGAAATGCGTAGGATGGACCAGAAGATCTACCACTGTTGAATTCATAGGGCCCAGTGCTGCTATAGGTTAGAAGTTTTCACATTTCTGGATTACATGGAGTTACAAATTTCAGAAAAAAGGTTGAAAGTGTGAACCCTGAATACCTGACGACATGTGCCCATGGTGGTCAGAGCACAGTTTGGTTTTATACATTTTAGGGAGACAGGAAACATCAGTCAACATATGTAAGATGAACATTGATTTGATCTAGAAAGGCAGTGGGGAGGGGGCTTCCTGGTCACAGGTAGATAAGAGACAAATGGTTGCATTCTTCTGAGTTTCTGATTAGCCTCTCCAAAAGAGGCAATCGGATATGCATTTATCTCAGTGAGCAGAGGGGTGACTTTGAATAGAAAGGAAGGAGGCAGGTTTGCCCTAAGCAGTTCCTAGCTTGACTTTTCCCTTTAGCTTAGTGACTTGGGGGCCTCAAGATTTATTTTCCTTTCACAAAGGCAATATTTTTCCAAGTTAAGTATATTGTAACAAATTTACAGTTACACTAGCAGTATTTATTAAAAAACACATTTAACATAAAAAGGTGGGAAGAACTTAATCTGCATAAGGGATGATGCTCTGAATTGAATAAAATTGGCTCTACTAAAAAACTCACCAAATTGCCCCTTTGTGAACCAATGAAAACTTTATGATGGGTAGTAAAATTTACTTCCACTATGTAGAATGACTTAAAAAAAAAAAAAGTTTTGTGTCTGCCCATTTTGACAAAGATGAATATCTCTTCAGAGGTGCCATGGAAACTTTTACCAAAATAAAATTTTTAAAAAAGTGAAAAAGTGAAGAAGAGAAGTGAAGACTTCCATCAAGTCTTCCCATTAAGCAAACCTTACTTTTTAAAATTTTTTATTTTTTTTGAGATGGAGCCACTCAGGCTGGAGTGCAATGGCACGATCTCGGCTCACTGCAACCTCCGCCTCCCGGGTTCAAGCGATTCTTCTGCCTCAGACTCCCGAGTAGCTGGGATTACAGGCGTGCGCCACCACACCCGGCTGTTTTTTTTTTTTTTTTTTTTTTTTTTGTATCTTTAGTAGAGATGGGGTTTCACCATGGTGGCCAGGCTGGTTTCGAATCCCTGACCTCGTGATCCACCCACCTTGGCCTCACAAAGTGCTGGGATTACATTACAGGCGTGAGCCACCACGCCTGGCTGCAAACCTTACTTTTTCTGCTAGTTGGTACTGGTGACATCTTGTTTATCTGTTAATAAATATCTAAAGCATTTTCTTTGCGATTTACAAGAGACCCATTAAAGACTTTGCTGTAGGTGAATGTGAACAGATAATTACTACTGCTTTGCAGGAGAGTAACACAGTAGTTGGGTAAAGCTGTAGAAATGCACAAGTGCACTTATAGTCTATCTGAGTCCTGAATTGTCAAGGCAAATATGTGTGTTGGGAAAAAAAAAAACCCAGAATTTAAATTGTGGAAATGTAAAGGGTGGTTGGTACTGTAGAGTTAAGGAACATTAGTTATTTCTCAGATTGTGCTGAGCTGAATCTTAGAATTGACACATTTTCTTTTAGTGACTTTACATTTATGTTGCTTCCATATTTCTTTAGAGTCATATGATAGGTGGATGTAGTATTATCTTATTTTTAGTCATTTCTCCTTTTTTTTTTTTTTTTTTTTTTTGAGATGGAGTCTCATTCTGCTGCCCAGGCTGGAGTGCAATGGCGCAATCTTGGCTTACTGCAACCTCCACCTCCTGAGTTCAAGCAATTCTCCTGCCTCAGCCTCCTGAGTAGCTGGGACCACAGGCATGCGCTACGACACCCTGCCAATTTTTGTATTTTTAGTAGAAATGGGGTTTTGCCATGTTGGCCAGGCTGGTCTAGAACTCTTGATCTCAAGTGATTCGTCCACATCGGCCTCACAAAATTCTGGTGTTACAGGCATGAGCTACTGGACCTGGCCATTTTTAGTCATGTCTCAATTTAGGATTGAAATATGAAACAAGGATTTAACAGCTTTATAGCTACATCACGGTAACTATACTATCTAGGTTAAAATGCACCTCCATTTTTATGTACAGGTTGAATGAATAGACATTCTTGTATAAATGAGTTGAAATGAATATTTTATTTTTTAATGTTGAAATATGGATGATATATTTGCAGTTTTTCTATATCTGAAAGTTTGTCTATAGTAATTTATAGATAAAAATGAGTAGGCTGTACAGTAGGCCTCCCCTTATTCATAGTTTTGCTTTCTGCAGTTCAGTTACCTGCAGTCATCTGTGGTCTGAAAATATTACATGGAAAATTCCAGAAACAAGCGATTCATAAGTTTTCAGTTGCAAACCATTTTTAGTAGCATGATGAAATAATCACACTCTCTGCTCCATCCTGTGCAGGATGTGAATTATCCATTTGCCCAGTGGCTCCATGTTGTAGAAGCAGCCACTTGTCAGTTACTTAGTAGCCGGCTTGGTGATCAGACTGACTATCGTGATATCACAGTGCTTGTGTTCAAATCACCCTTATTCTACGTAATAAAAGTACAAGAATAGTGATAGTGGCCATTTGAATATGTCAAAGAGAAGCCATCAGGTGCTTCCGTTAAGTGAAAAGGGGAAAGTTCTTAAGGAAAAGGAAAAAAATCGCATGCTGAGGTTGCTAAGATCTATGGTAAGAACCTAATCTTCAACCTGTGAAATTGTGAAAAAAGAAAAATAAATTTGTGCTAGTTTGGCTGTCGCACCTCAAACTGCAAAAGTTATGGCCACAGTGCATAAGTGCTTAGTTAGGATGTAACAGGGTGGCCGGACGCGGTGGCTCACACCTGTAATCCCAACATTTTGGGAGGCCAAGGCAGAATGATCACTTGAGTCCTGGAGTTGGAGATCAGCCTGGTCTGTAACATAGTGAGACTCTATCTCTACAAAAACGTAAAAAAATCAGCTGGGCGTGGCAGTGCATGCCTGTGGTCCCAGCTACTTGAGAGGCTGGGGTGGGAGTGGGAGGATTGTTTGAGCCCAGGAGGTCGAGGCTGCAGTGAGCCATGAGTGTGCCACTGCACTCCAGCCTGGGTGACAGGGTGAGACCCTGTCTCTGAAAATAAGTAAGAAAATTTAAAAAGTACAAGGCATTAAATTTGTGGGTGGAAGACATGAACAGAAGAAACACATTCCAATTGATGAGTTGGGTTTGGTACTGTCAATGGTTTCAGGCATTTACTGGGCTTCTTTCCCCGAGGATAAGGGGGACTACTTTATGTTGTGTACATATACTTTTGGTGTCTATTCTGGGATGAATTAAAATGACAAAAATAAAAACAAAGTTGCAGGATGGAGACTCAAAGCAAAGCAAAAGTCATAACCAGGAAAACTAAATGAGAAAAAATCTCAGGATAGAAGAATTTTATAAAAATTATAGAATTACAGTTGTGTCATTAAAACTGGTTTCTATGCCGAAGGTTCTTCATTCAGTGGGTAAAACAGGCAGCAGGAAGCTGACTTTTTTCTTTGACCCATGTGCATTTTCTAGCTGAGGAATGAAGTGACTTGGAACCAAACTGGGCTTTTCTACTGAGCATGTCCCTCTCCAGCAGGGTCTGGCTTGGGTGGAGCCAGTCTTGCTCGTTAAGCTTTTGGACGCTGGATTTCCATCAGCTTTCCACAGTTTTCCAATGACAGGAAATAGCAGACAGCGGGCTTGATGTGCTTAAAAGCTGCGTATGTATTTCAAGGGGGGCGATTATTAGGACATTTTTGTTGCAGTGGTTGGGTTTTGTGATACATGCTTGTTTGTTTCTGCTTGTGGAGGAAGTTTGCTATTGAAAGTGTGACTAGTCAGGGGACTGAAAATTAGGAAAATACTAATGTACAGAGTAGATGGAATCTGGGTACGTACACTGTTTCGCAAGGGAATATGTTGTGATATTTGAACTAAGCCCTGTGAAAAATACATTTTTCCATTGGGCCGAGTTTAGTTTTAGATGACTTGTTTGCATTTTTCTAGGCAAATGTTGACTTTTGTCAGGCTATCTTTAACATGATAGCTTTTTCAGGTTTGACCTATGAGAATAATGAAGCTAGTTGGTTTCTTTTATATGCTTGTCTGGTTGTTTCACAATTTTTTCAGTGGTATGACATAATACTGTACAAAATCAGTATGATATTATTTCTGGAAGCACAGTGAGGACTATGTAAGGTTAATAGTGTGCAGTTACTTTCTTTTTAGCATCTTAAAGAGTAATAACTTTCAATTTACTTATAAAGTGCTTCATTTTCACCCTAACTTGTTTGATTAAAAGAAGTTGTACTGTAGCTATCAGAGATTTGAGTTCACAGTTTTTAGCTAATAATCTGTAGATTATTAGCCATTAACAGTTACCAAAGTCTGGTTATTGGTTTGATATTGTCACACCCTAAGTAAATACTGATAGAATAAGAATAGGTATCAACATCTTCTTTTATTACTGAATATTTAATTGGTTGTCACATTGAATAAATGTGAAAATGCATATTGCCCAGATTCTGACATCCAGACTTGGGAAAAAATCTTCTTGCGTGTTCTTTATATAATCTAACAGTCTAGCAGTCTTTAAAAAGATCCTTGCTTCATTGCGACTTACTGACAAAATGAAAAACAGGGCCACTGTAATTAGCAGATGACCTCTGCGATTCCTTTTTTATTGTTGACACTGTTAGGGATGCTCTATATCACTGAAGTATTTATGGTATTTTGAGGGGGGTACATGTGTACTTGGGAAGTTTAAGTTTTCCATTTTTTTTTTTGTCACAAGGAAGAATTGTCTCTTCAAATTATTTGCAACGTGGGTGTGGGTGCTGAATAAATGATAACTGTTGAGGTGATGCTGATGACCTGGACAGCCAATCATCCCCCACATCTGCTTTGTAGTGTTCCTGTACGGATGATATAATATATTGGTGATCTATAGTTTAGTATCATAGCAGGATCACAAGGAAAGTTACATTGGAAAGGTAAATTTTAAACTTTGACGTTGGTTTTGCTTGCATTTTTTGGTGGACTCCAGACGTTGAATGCCTGACATATTCTCCAGCATGATTCTCTACCAAATCACTTTTGCAAATGTTGAACTTCAAGAATTTTACCTCTAAAAAAACAAATACATTTCACTGAAGTAAAAACGTATTCTAGCCACCACCACCTAAAAATAGTTATTTGAAGTTCTTGCTAAGTAGTTCTGAACTAAGTGAATCCTCGGAGTAGAAATACTTAACTTTAAAAAAAAAAAAAAAAGGTTTTATAGCACTCCAAATGGCATGTCTGTAATTCCATTGTAGTTACAGCTTTTCCCGCCGAGGGAAAGTTGCTCTTATCAAGCCAGGCTTGGAGGGTCCATAATTTGGATACTCTCTGGCACCTTCTGCTGATCAGCCAGTGGACTGGGGCCAACATTTGGATATGCTTGCTTAAGCTAGAAGTGTCATTCAGTTTATAGTCTTAGTTTTTAGAATATATGCTATGTATTGGTAGAACTCTTTAGTAGTGCTATAATTACTTAAAATGGCAGAAGAACTAACGGCCAAAATTTAAAAAGTGAATTATATTTTTTTATGAGGTTTAGGTATTTATGCCTGTTGACTACAGCATTCCAAAGCTTATAGAGAAGAGGATTTGAAAGTATGAGATCAGTGTAGGCTCCAGCTTGGTGGACTTGTCATAGTGTGGGGGAGTTGATTGACTTTGACAAGCTTTTGTCTTATGACCTATTAAAATGCAGCGTCTGCAGCCTGTGCGTTTATCCTGTGCAGTTAACCTTGGTGGATTTGTCGTTTGCTTATTTGGGAAATGCCTCTTGTACCACTACTGTTATTTTTTTGAGTTTGATTCACACAGAAATAGTATTAGACTGGTTGTTGATTACTGTTGGATACCAAGTGGGCACGAGTTTTATGATGGGGCTGAGGAGCCATTTTATGCATAAGATAGTTGTGGGGTGAGCTTAGGAAAAATAGACTCGCTGGCATCTGTCATGATCATGGGAGTTTGTTGGTATTGGCCGTGCTCTGGTTTGAGCTTGGTTATGATGTCACTGGAATAAACTGCACGTTAGCATTTTTTTTTCTATAGAGCATTAATAGGGGGGTGGCCCAAATAAATGTTCCCTAAATACTAGGAACATCACAAAAGATATTTATCAGGAAGCCACTGGATGCAAACACTGTGCTAGGAACATGTAGTTGTTTTATCTGCACAAAAGCTTTACCCTCTTCATATGAATATAGTAGCAGATGGGCAGGGAAGAGGTGTGGACAGGAAACTGATGACAAGCTTGTGCTTTCAGGCCAATTTTATTCCTGCTTTTCCCTGTGAGGAGGAAGCTGCTGAAAGAGATTGGGGAATGTTTATGTATGACCAGCTTAGACATTTAATAGGACTCTTCCCATTCTGTTTACTCTGCCTTTAAAAAAAAATGTCCCCAACTTTCAGAGAACTCTATTTCCAAGTGCCCCATTCCCAGCCCTCCAGCAGAGAATACGAATAATCTTTTTACGCTGCCTGCATATGCACCGGTATTATTGTTAGCAAAAGCCAGTTGTTTGTTTCAAGTCCACACTGAGGAAAAAAGGATAAAAAACAAGCAACGTTTTCTCAGGAACTGTAATTGACTCTTGAACAACATGAGCCCACACTGCATAGGTCCACTTATATGTGAGTTTTTTTTTCAGTAAATCTAATCAGCCCTCCATATAGGCAACTTCTGTATCTGCAACCAAATTCAGGTTGAAAATAACTGTGTTTGTAGGGTGCTAAACTTGGATATAGATGGCTGACTTTTCCTGTCCACAGGTTCGGTAAGGCTGACAGCAGGACTTGAGTATGTGTGGATTTGGGTATCTGTGGACCAATCCCCCACAGATACTGAGGGACAACTGTATTTTTTTAAATGAAGAACTGATACACTTCTTAAAAAAAATGTTGCTGCACTAAAAGCTTGGGTGTTGAGCTTAAACTACTTAGGGGAACAATCTAGATTGGGGGTAAGTGGTGGGTTTGTGAAATATACTGAAGTGAAGGCTGGCAGAAATCAGATTCTTTGAGGATATAGAAACAGTCTTAACCTTCATACGCTAGGAAATCCAAAGCTTAGGCCATCTTAATGCTACTGCTGAGCTGGAGTCGATGTTCATTTGTGTGGCTAGAGCTGTGTGACAAGGCAAATTGGCATCGTGGCTTGTGGGAGTCATATTGGCACGTGTTGTCTCCAAGGAAGCTGGCTAACCAAGCTGGGTTCACTTAATGCATAAATATTGTTCTCCTAGTAAAGTACTTAAGTGTTTAAGTTTATGAAAACTTCTGTTCATTAAAAACATTGTCTCCCATATCTGTACCTCGGCAGTCATCTACCCAGCACCACCCTCCATTCCCCATAATCACTGTTGTTACTCTCTTGCATTCTTCCCCAGTTTCTTTACTCATTTAAAGGAAAATGTGTGTGTGTATGTGTGCATATTCACATATGCATATTCGCATCCTTTATTTGTGTATCTCCCACACGCTTTGCTTTCAACCTATAAGATGTGATGTCTGTATAAGGTATCCTATCCATATAAAGTGACCTATCACTTATACCGTCTGAATCTTGCTGTTTGTACTTAACAATGTACTTAATAATTGGAGTTATTATCCCAAGTGGGGCGGCAGCCTTTCTCATCTTTTCTCTTTACAGTTGCATAGTATTTTGTTGTATGAATGTGTGGTATAAGACCCCCTGTTGATGGACATGGATCCTGAGCTTTTACAGTGTTGTAGTGAGTCACCTTTACATAATTATTTTACATATGCACAGATATATCTGTAGGATACCTTACCACAAGCTTGTCCAACCTGTGGCCTGCAGGCCGCAGGAGGCCCAGGAAAGCTTTGAATCCTGCCCAACACAAATTTGTAAACTTTCTTAGATCATTATTAGATTTTTTTTTTGCAATTTTTTTTTTAAAGCTCATCAGCTATTGTTAGTGTATTTTATGTGTGGCCCAAGACATTCTTCTTCTTCCATTGTGGCCCAGGGAAGCCACAAGATTGGACACCCCTGCATTACCACAAGCAGGATTACTAGTTTAAAGTGTGGACACATTTGGAATTTTGAAAGCTATTGGCAAATTGACTTCCACTGGGCCCATACCAGTTTATTCTTCTGCTAGCAATTGTTTGAGAATGCCTGCATTCCCATAGTCTTGCTCAATGAGTGCATGATTAAACTTTTGGATGTCTCCATTCTGAATTTTTAGTTTCATTTCTTTTACTAAGAGTGTGACAAGTACCTCTTCATATGTTTATGTGCCACTTGTGTTTCTTTCTTTCTTTTTTTTTTTTTTTTTGATAACTGTTTATCCATTGGCCACTTTCCCCACCATTGGACCGATGATTTAAATTGGCCTAGCCAAAAATTTAAAAATAAAATTTGTTTTTTATTTTTTTGATGTTGAGGCAACTTACACCAGACTTGTTTTATTGGGCTTTTTTATTCAAGTTACTTGAATTCAGATAGAGACCAAATAAAATTGAGAAGGAGAATTAGTCCTCTCCAAAAATCATGTAATGACTATTTTGTATGTTATGAGTGTTTAACCAGTATTTCCTATGAAGGACCATTCATTGTGTGATTTCCTGAAGAGATAACAAGAAAATCGTGGCTGCTTTTCAAACTAGTAGTAATTTTTAAATCTAAATTACCAAGATTTATGAATTGGTTACAAGTTGTTTGACTATGAATGCTAATCTTATTACCTATGTCTCCCACTATACTGAGAGCAGGATTCTTTCATCTGTATTACTGGTGCCTGGTGCATATGCTTTGAGAGTACTCAATAAACACTTGTCTTGAAAGAAGGGGATAAGATACTGACCCCACTCACATCCTGATGGTCACTAAAATTCATGAGGGGTGGTCCATTAGAACATGCTGCTAATGATTATAAAGCCCCAAAAGGTAGTGGTAATTATCAGTTTCACTTTTCAGCAAATCATTAACTGTCGGGCATCATGCTAGGTGCAAGTTATATAGTAGTGAAGTCGTTTTGGGATTGAAGGCAGTGTTGTACAAGGTCTTTAGAGCTGGACGGCCTGGGTTTGAATTCTGGCACTTCTCTTTATTGGTTATATGGCTTTGACCAACCCATCTATCCTCTTTTTACCTTCTTCATCTGTAACATGAGAATAATTTCAGTTCCTTCCTAGAAGAGTTGAGAAGGTTCGAGTTGCTGCATGCCATGTTTCTAGAGCAGTGTTTAACAAATAGCTGATATTATCATGATTATTTCTGTTGTGATTACTGTTATTACTACCATTATTATTATTATTATTATTTTAGTAAACAAATATAGTTATTTTCTTGGCAGAATCTCTATGTGATGACAGTAGCTGATCATTTATTATGAATTTATTATGTGCCAGGCACTTTATGTATTATAGCATCTAATCTAATGCTTAGAATCAACCAGTGAGTACATTTTGTATCCTTTTTTTTTTTTGCTTATGAGGAAGCTGAAACTCAGCAAGGCTAAAATAACTTGTCTGCGGTTACATGGCTAATAAGCAGAGCTGAAATTCTAATCCTGTTTTATTTCACAGTCTTCATCTCCAAGCCACCAGGCTATTTTATTCAGACATAGGTAACTTCTCACAGAAAGAATATAGCTTCAGGCTGGGCGCAGTGGTTCATGCCTGTAATCCCAGCATTTTGGGAGACTGAGGCGGGTGGATCACTTGAGGTCAGGAGTTTGAGACCAGCCAGGCCAACATGGTGAAACCCCATCTCTACTAAAAATACAAAAATTAGCCGGGCATGGTGGCATGCACCTGTAATCCCAGCTACTTGGGAGGCTGAGGCAGGAGAGTCGCTTGAACCCGGCAGGCGGAGATTGCAGTGAGCTGATATCATGCCATGGCACTTCAGCCCTGGGCGACAGAGGGAGACTTCGTGTGAAAAAAAAAAAAGGAAAAGAAAAGAAAGAATATAGCTTCAGCTTTGATTATTACACAGAATTGGGCCTCTACCTGAGAGAAGGAATTAGAGCAGATGCAGTTCACCAAGATTTCTGACCATACAACTCAGTGTGCATAATTGATTGATGAGAACTCAGCAGGGTTCTGGATGTCTCTAGATAATCTCTGCTAGTGTGTGTTGTTGGATTGCCAGTATTACAAGGTTTATATGCATTATGGTTATGTGAATAAAAATACCCAATATTAGAGTCCTTCATGATTTATATATGGCCTCTGGTTGTTTAGCTTTAACTTCAGGAAATCGTATCTATTTCCAAGATTGCCTTAGTTGCTGGTGGAGAATGCTTTGCCTGGCACAGGTCTTTTTCTTGTCTCCATCCTTAGTGACAGCAGTAGGGGCTTTCTTTCAACAAAGAAGATTGTTACCTTGATTGTTATTGCAACTGGATGTTATTGAAAATTATGCCTTAGTTTTCATATACCCCTGTCTCCAACATATGAAGAAAGGGACTCATATGTTGATAAAGTAAGATTTTTTTTGGTTTCATTCTTATTTAGAGTTGTTAGAGTAAAGAATTAGTGATTTATCTCACTAATATTAACTCAAGTATTAGGTTTTTAAAAATTGAACATCATTTGGAAAAAATGGAATACTTTGACAACCATAGCTCTTAGTTATGAGGGTTGTAAAATGCAGTGGGAGTAATAATGACCCAAGATCTATATGTACTCTCAGTTTCTTAATCCTTATTTTCTAATGCTCTCCTCAGAATATGCAGAAGTCAACATCAAGATGTTTTTGACTACAAGTAACTGAATCCCTGGCTCATTGAGCCAGAGAGGAGTATGTGATTTCACAAACAGGAAGCTCCAGCACAGGACTGGGCCATGTGTGGCGCGATCAAGGAGCTGGTCCTCTTCTCTGTGATTCTCTTGCCAGTGTCCTTTGTTGTGTGTCAGTGTGTCATCAGGCTTATTCTTCTCTGTGGATTCAAGATGACAACAGCATTTAACAGAGTTATGTATACAATGTTCAGAGACAGCAGAAGGGGCCTCCTCTTCCTCTGGCTCTTTTTAGAGGGAGAGATCCTTTTCCAGAAGCCCACCAGTGGACTTCGTGCATATTTTCTTGCCAAGGGGTGGGAGACTACCATGATTGCCCTAGACCAATAGAAGCTACCCTTGAGGCCAATCTGGAGCTAGCCTCTATTGAAACACATGTGGAAGGGGGGAAAGTGGAACAAAATTTAGGTTCTATTAAAAAGGAGAAAGAGTGGAAGAAATATATCTGAATGTCACCTGATCCCATCTAGACTTGAACTAGGGAAGATTGTAGTTCATATGTTTTGTATGTGTGGGTTTAATTTAAACCGGATATTAGTTTACATCTTTATAGTAATAGCTCTGTCTAATAGGTCCCTTATCCTTTTAAAAATAAATAAACAAGTGATATAGTGGGTTATAAAGGTAACTAGGGTGAGCAGCATTGGATTACTTGTTCATCCTCCCCATATAGATAATATGAACTAACAAATAGTCCCTTTGGAATGTATTTATACTTACTTGAATATGAAGTATGGTATTTTCTAGACCATCTGACACTTAAGAAACATAAACCTGTGAGGGTAAGGACTTACTTGCACTCTGCTCTAAGTCTGCCTGTTTTTGTTATTCCTTCTTCCTCTCCAGATATTTCTTCTTCCTTGTTCCCCTTCCCACCCCACTTCCTCCTTCCCCTCTGCCCCACCTCTCCTGCCTCTTCCCCTTCTCCTTTTAAATGATGAATATATTTGAGAAGCATCACCTCTTTATTTCCCAAGTAGAGTTAGGTGGCTGCTGAATCATTTCTACATTTGTTTTTTTTCCCTCACGTTTGATGGCATCAAATAGTGCATTATTAAAAGACCTTCTCTTTCAATAGCTATAGGCCCTTCGGGGAGGTGAACATACAAGCACGTGATTGTGGGTATCAGCAGGATGCTCTACATATCCTCTACCCACAAGCAGATGAAAACTAGTTTTATCCGATGTAGAAAATGGCCAGAACTGTCTACACATTGCCAATATGTTTTAAGTTCAATGGTTATTTGTTGCAAAGTTTTGTTGTTTTCTCAAAGCTCAAATGAAAGCCTCCCTCCATCCTCTTGCTACCATTTTTGAAGCTTAGAAATACATACCTTCCCATTTTGTGAATCTTGGATCCTTACAAAATGGGTTGAGCTCTCTTGGTAGAAATTAAAGACTCTCATATTGCTTGTGATCTCAGCAAAGAATGGGAGCTACTCAGCTGGCAGCAGCACCTACCCTGTTCCCTGCTCAGGGGTTTTGTTAACAGTAAGGTCCCAGTTTCCTCAATGTTTTAAGGAAACATCTGAACCCAAGAATTAGCATGAACCCCTTGCTTGAAGTTGTTTGTGTGTTTGTGAGGTTGTGTATCTGCTTTGCTTTGCTTGCTGTAGTATTCTGATTAAGGGCCAATGTTTTAAGTAGCATGATGTTATATGGTTGGCAGTTCAGCCTAGTGATAGAGATAGCACATTAGAATTTACCTCCTTTTTTAAACGTTGGAAAAAAAAGAATGGGTTTATGTAACACAGCTCCTTACCTAACCAGTACTGATCCTCTATTGATGATGGTTTTCTGCTTCATTGCATGTTAAATGATGCATGCTTTTTCTCATGAAGCTGTCACAATGACGAACACTTTTATCAACCCAGATGGAGCATGCCAACATGGTAATTGTGTCAAAACCACATGCTTGTCTAATGGGCGGGCTGTTCACAGCAGTGTTCTTTTTAGTTGATGATAAGTAGAAAGATCATTACTTAATGTATTATATAACTATACTAATGATGGATTTTGGGTAATTATAATTAAATATTAGTCAATGAGCATTGCCAGAGTTTGGGAAACCTTAGTTCCAGTTTTGGCTTGCCCATCTGACTTTACCATCTCAGGCAAATCTCCTGGTCTTTCTGATCCTCAGTTTGGTTGTTGATAAAATAAAGTGAGGATATTAGACTAGATGATTGAACAATACTCATTTAGTAAGTACTTAATAGATACCTATTATGTGCCAGTCTAGATGCTGGGAACATAGCAGTATATAAAAGAGAGATCCCAGCCCTCATGGAGTTTTCATTTTAGTGGGAATGTCAGCATTCCACTACAAGAGTTCTCATTTTCATGGGTGATAGAGTTTAAAGGCTTATCCACATATGAAAGAAACTCAGGGTTATAGGCATGATAATTAGGGTGAGTGGATGTACTGTAATCATGTTTTCTTGATGGTGGTAATTTGTTCAAGAAGCCATTTTATCAACAAAGAAGGTAGTGTTTTGTTTTGAGCTCTGTTGAACTCTTGAAACTGTTTCAAGAATATGTTGAGTAATGATCCAATTAGTCTTTTCCATTGTTTTCTGTCTTGTAACTTCCATTTGGATGGGTGACACTGATCATCACTTTTGAGGCTCTTAACCCTTATGGGTGTTGTGAATACAGTGGTGATTGAGGATGACTTCGTGAGGCTTAACCATATGGTTTTGTCGGTGCTCTTCCTGTCTGTATTTGTACTTTGTCTTCAGTGTCTGTCAACCAGCTCAGTTATGATTACATGGTCAAGCAATAACGTACAAATGGGATTTTCTTTGTTATTTAAATTCATCTATAAATTTCTTACTTTTAAGAGAGAATATTTTGAATAAATCTGAGAATACATTTATGTTATTTCATAGTCATTTTCACTAACTGGCAGGAACCTTCTTTGAGTACTAGGCCAAGGACTCTGTGGTTGAGTAGGTCATTCGTGCATAATGGAGCTGTGATTGCATTATGAAGTGTGTGTGAGGGAAGGTATACACAGCTGTGTGGTTCTCCATTAGTGGCTTTGGATAAGTGACTACTGTTTATTATTTGTAAAACAGGGATAATACATACTTTGTAGAATATTTTGAGAAACAGATTATGGGCACTGTGTCAGACAGTAAACAGTGAGTGGAAACCCTTATGATTAAAATATAAACAACTATTAATGCTTTTAACATAATAGTGGAAACTCAAGTTTTATATTTCACTGCTTCTAAAATATTTTGGCCAAAAATCAGCCTTAGTTGATTGGTTCCCAGACTATTTCTCACAGCCAAAGTAATTAGAGAGCTGCCAATTTATCTTGGTTAGCTTAGACAAGTATGGGGCATTTTGGTTTTAATTTTACCAGGACATTTATTCAGCTCTCAGAATGTAATTAGAGAGCATATACTAGAAATACACTTTGGTTATTTCATGATTAAAGTAAATAATATTGTCCACTTAAATAGTACATGGGAAATGGTATGTTAAAGAAGGAAAAAAGGTTTTCTGTGCAATATGGAGCCAGTTTACCTGTCCTCGGGTCTTGCTGGAAGACATACTTTTGAATTTCAGATGCCTGAGAATGAGAAGCAGCAAAGAATATGTGGGTATAATAGTTAACTATTCCCTCTTACGTAGCATTGCTGTCAGGGATATTACTGTCTCCTGATCTCCCTGCCTCACTACATATTTCTTCTGGCCCTCATGCCTTTTCTTCTGCCTCACCTTATATGTTGATGGTGATAAGAGCTCTTTTAAGGATCCTCTCAGTTTAAGCTACCCTTTTTCTCTAGGTGATGTATCCCCATGTGATGACAACATCCAAACCCTATCTCTAGTGTGTATCTAGTCTCCAATCAAAACCTGTGTGTCTTGGGGTCATCTAGACATCTCCACAACCTCTCAATCACAATGAATTCAAAATTGAATTATATGTGTCAGCCAGACCCACTTTTACAGGTGTTCCCCATTTCCATGAATGGTTCTACCATCACCCTAGTCTTCCTTGACCTGGGCCTTTTCCTTAGCTCTTTCCTCTCTTTGACTTTCTATATTCAGCCCGGACATCAAGTCATATCCACTCTACCTCTTTACCATTAGATTAATTTCTTGTTCTTTACCCTACTGTTTCTGCTGTAGTATATATAGACCATCGTCTTCTCAGGTCTGGATCAACCAGAGATCAGATCAACCCAATCTCCTGGATGTCTTTCTGCTTCAGTCTTTTCTTTCATCCTGTGCTTTACAGCCAGGTTGCGCTAAGTGAAATGAGAATCTTATTACATTTCTCCTCTACTTCAAGTACTTATGTAACTTCTCATTGCTTTTCAAATAACCCCCACATTGCCTTTAAAATAACACAAAATCTTTTATGTTTTGGCTTCTGCCTTCCTTTCTTACTTCATTATTACCAGTTCAGCTTCCGCCTGTCCTGTCTTCACTCATAAGCCCCCACTTCACTTGTACAGTGGATTATTGTTCTGTGCCTGTGGTTTCCTTTTTTATGAGGAATGTTCTCATGTTTCCACACAACTCCCTATGCCTGACACATACCTTCCATTCTGGCTATTTTGTCTGAATAATGAGTACCCATTTAAAAAATAAACTCAAATGTCAACTTCTGCAGAAACGCCTGCCTGGTGACCCTCTTCTTCTCCTAACCTGGCTTAAGTCCTTTGCTTTTTTTTTTTTTTTTTTTTGTTGTTGTTGTTGTTTTGAGACAGGGTCTTGTTTTGTCGCCTAGACTGGAGTGCAGTGACACAATCTCGGCTCACTGCAACCTCTGCCTCCTGAGTTCAAGCTATTCTCTTGCCTCAGCCTTCCGAGTAGCTGGGATTACAGAGACGTGCCACCACGCTCAGCTAAGTTTTGTATTTTTAGTAGAGATGGGGTTTCGCCATGTTGGCCAGGATGGTCTCGAACTCCTGACCTCAAGTGGTCCACCCTCCTCGACCTCCCAAAGTGCTGGGATTACAGGCATGAGCCACTGCACCTGGCCTAGTCCTGTGTTTTTTGTGCAACATGCTATTGACTTAATGTATGCTTATTTGTAGCCCTCACTCCCTTAGCTCCTCAAAGGTTGTCTTTATTCATGTGCCCATGAACTTACCACATCGTAGAAGCCATTATATAGGTGAATTGACTTGACTGTTTTTGTGGTTGCATATTAGATGTGAAAAACATTTTTAAGTTATTTTTATTGAGAAAATTTACATATCACAAAATTCACCCTTTTAAAGTATACAATCCAGTGGTTTTGGATATATTCGTAAGGTTGCCAGGGGGCGACGGGGAATGCAGAGTGACTACTAATGGGCACAGGATTTCTTTTTGGAGTGATGAAAATGCTCTAGAATTAGTGGTGGTGGTTGTACCACTTTGTGAGTATACTCAAAATCACTAACTGTATACTTTAAGAGGGTGAAATTTATGGTACATGAATTATATCTTAATAAAGCTTTAAAACAAGTGTACTTTTTTTTTTGACTTATTCAAGTTTGTACCACTTAAAAAGTTAACACAATTTTTTTTTTTTTTAAGAGATGGGGTCTCACTCTGTTTCTCAGGCTGGCCTCAGACTCCTGGGCTCAAGCATGTTTCTTGTCTCAGACTCCCAAGTAGCTGTGACTACAGGAATAACCATGTCCGTCTCTTAAGTTTTTACCACCTTTGAAGATAGCTGGGACACTACTCGTTGTCCAGGGTGCCAGGACTCTGGGCACTTATTATTGGCAAGGGAGGGGAGAGCGAATGTGATCGGCTATCTCCGCAGGCCCCGCCTGTTGTTCTTTATGTCAGCGTGCTGTAACACTTTAAAAGTCCCTCTTTGCTTATGTAAAATTTAGTTATTTTCAGAATTTATTTAAATTTTGTTCTAATTAGTTATGATAAGAACAATCGTCAGATGCATTTTTTCCACCTCATAATGTCCTCATTTGGTTTGGATTATGGCCCTTAAATATTTTTCTTATATATAGAAAGAAAAGTGTGATTATGGTTGGGTGGGATGGAGGTTCGGAGTTTTGATTAGAATTTGAGTACCTTTTCCAAGATTAACTTTTGCATTGGAACAGTGATGGTGAATTACGGGATTTAATATTGGAACACAGAATAATACATTTTTGTTATTTTACCTTCTTGGCTGTTACACACCATACACTTAAAACTGTTTTTTCTAATACCTAACATTTTGATAGATTTTGGGTTTAATGTATGAAATTGTAGTGAAATGTGTCTCATTGCTTTCTAGCACTGTTGATAACATCTTCCTGTTACAGAATAAAGAATACCAAGTACAGATAAAAGTAATTTTTCTTAAAAAACTTGGATTTTAGATATCAATTATTGTTTATAACAAGTTGAAACCAAATAAAAGTAATCCCTGTTTCTTGAGTTCTTGATGATTTTAAGTTCTAGCTATATGGAACTCAGAACACACAGAGTTCTATTGTGATGCTAGTTTTGGGTCTGTGATGCTGATAGAGAATTCTAAAAGTTCGAGCAACAGTCTCCATTTTGTCTTGTGCTTTTGAATCTTCTTTCTTGATGTGCTTTCTCCCTGTCATCTGTTACTCTTCTTCTCATCTTTCCTTACCATGCCCCTCGCAACCAAACTAAATTTGAGAGAACTTACAAAATGACATTTTATGATTTTTGTTTTGATTACAGCATAAGCTGTGGCCATGACTACTGAAGTAGGCTCTGTGTCTGAAGTGAAGAAGGACTCTAGCCAGTTAGGAACAGATGCAACCAAGGAAAAACCTAAAGAAGTAGCAGAAAATCAGCAGAATCAGTCTTCCGATCCAGAGGAGGAAAAAGGTTCCCAGCCACCTCCTGCAGCTGAAAGCCAAAGTAGTCTACGCCGCCAGAAGAGAGAGAAGGAAACATCGGAGAGCAGGGGTATTTCTCGGTTCATACCGCCATGGCTTAAGAAGCAAAAGTCATATACCTTAGTAGTGGCCAAAGATGGAGGAGATAAAAAAGAGCCTACCCAAGCTGTTGTTGAAGAACAGGTCTTAGATAAAGAGGAACCCCTTCCAGAAGAACAGAGACAGGCTAAGGGTGATGCTGAAGAAATGGCTCAGAAGAAACAAGAGATTAAAGTTGAAGTCAAGGAAGAAAAACCCTCAGTGAGCAAGGAAGAAAAACCCTCAGTGAGCAAAGTGGAGATGCAGGTATGTTTGGGAATAATTGCCTGGAAATGAAAACCTGATAGCGTAACCACATAATAAAAAGGGTTTGTTTGTTTTGGATCATTTCCAGATTTCTTGTACTGAGATACTGCTTTAGCTTAATGTATACGGAATGGGTCTTAGATTGGTCTACCATAGCCTTTCCCTGTTACTCCTTGAAAAAAAAGTCCCCTATATATACCAATTACTAAAAAATTCATGTCTGTAACCTGTTTAGGTGAGGTAGATACTCCGAGCCCTGCCATCTCTTTTTTAAACAGAATGCTCTTTTATGCCTCTTTAAGTTTTCACTGGACAGTAAGTAGTAGATTTGTGTGTGCGCATTTTAGTTGCCTAACAAAGCCTAGGTTTTGCCATGGTATAAGATTTTAATTGGAAATGTTATTATTTGAGATGATACTTAAATTGTAGTTGCTGGGATGTAGTTTCTTTGATTCATTTAATGCCAAATAACCAACTTGGCAAAATGAGAATTTTGGCCATGAAAAGAGGATGAGGGGAAATATCCTTTCTATTGGAATTTTCAAGTCTTTAAAAATCTGAAAGTTACAGTGTTTAAAGTAACGATCCTAATTCTTATGAAAGATTTTCCTTTTAGTATGTTGTCATCTGCAAGGTGGTTGACTATAGTATGAATTTATTTTTTTTTCCTCAACAGCCTACTGAATTAGTAAGTAAGGAGAGAGAAGAGAAGGTAAAAGAAACACAGGAAGACAAATTAGAAGGAGGAGCAGCAAAAAGGGAGACCAAGGAAGTGCAGACCAATGAGCTGAAAGCAGAGAAGGCATCTCAAAAAGTCACCAAGAAGACCAAAACTGTCCAGTGTAAAGTGACCCTCTTAGATGGCACCGAATACAGCTGTGACCTGGAGGTGAGATAGGGAGCTGAGTGAGAGCTAGCTTGATATGTGGATTGTGGCATGGCATGATGAATAGATTTTTGTGTTTTATTAAGTTCCTGTAAGCCAGTTGATTACAGTTTTGCACTAAAAAAAATACATTGAAGTGGGTCATCATTTCTGTCACAAATATTTCATGACCTTGGGATAAGCAGGGATGCTATTCTGCCAGTCTGCACTAGCCGTGTTTACTGGTTCGTGTGTTAATGACTGGGTGTTAAATATTTGGAATATTGCTTTTGGCTAGAAGATGTTTTTCTTGAGGAAAAATGATAGCACTAGGCTGACATTTCAGAATAAAGAAGTTTCAGCAGTAAACTTAGCCCCAAGTGTTTTATCCTGAGACAGATACTGGCTTAACATCTAATTTATTTACTTTCATTTAATTAAAAAACATCTATGATTTGCAAAACATACAGTTCATTAGCGCTGGTGCTGACAGAAGTCACTTTAATCTTTTAACGCATCTAGTACCTTATAATTTTATGTCAATCAGAAGAGTTTGTTGCTTTCCACAAATTATTTACGTAACGTATACTAATAGCTAATGTTTGCTGAAGAACTGTGTGAAGTGCTTTGAATGGATTATCTTGTTTAATGGATTATCTTGTTTTATTGATTAAGAATCAATAAAGGTAGATATTATCATTGCTATTTTCAGTGTTACATGTTACAACGGGGAACTTAGGGCTTAGAGAAGTTAAATTCCTTGCCCAAAGTTTTAGGGCTGGGTGCGGTGGCTCAAGCCTGTAATCCCAGCACTTTGGGAGGCCAAGGCGGGCGGATCACGAGGTCAGGAGATCCAGACCATCCTGGCTAACATGGTGAAACCCTGTCTCTACTAAAAATACAAAAAAATTAGCCAGGCGTAGTGGCGGGCGCCAGTATTCCCAGCTACTGGGGAGGCTGAGGCAGGAGAATGGCGTGAACCCGGGAGGCGGAGCTTGTGGTGAGCTGAGATTGCGCCACTGCACTCCAGCCTGGGCGACAGAGCGAGACTCCGTCTCAAAAAAAAAAAAAAAAAAAAAAAAAAAAAAGAAAGAAAAGGACTAGCAAAAGAGGATTAAAAATCCTTGTCTTAGTTGTCTTAGTTTTTGCTGTTGTAACAAAATACCGTCAACTGGGTAATTTAAAAACAACATGAATTTATTGCCCACAGCTCTGGAGGCTAGGAAGTCCCAGATCAAGGCACCAGAAAATTTGGTGTCTGGTGAGGGGCTTGATCTCTGCTTCCAGGATGGCCCCTCCTTTCTGGATCTTCACATGGTGGAAAGGCCAAGTGCTGTGTCCTCACCTGATGGAAGGACAAGGCAGCTCCCTTCAACCTCAGTTACAGGGGCACTAATCCCAGTCATGAAGGCAGAGTGATTAAGTCATTTCCTAAAGACGCCACCTCTTTTTTGTTTTTTTTTTAATACTTTAAGTTCTAGGGTACATGTGCACAATGTGCAGGTTTGTTACATATGTATACATGCGCCGTGTTGGTGTGCTGCACCCATTAACTCATCATTTAAATTAAGTATATCTCCTAATGCTATCCCTCCCCCATCTGCGCACCCCATGATAGGCCCCAGTGTGTGATGTTCCCCTTCCTGTGTCCAAGTGTTCTCATTGTTCAATTCCCACCTGTGAGTGAGAACACGTAAGACACCACCTCTTAATGCCACCACCATAGGGATTAGGTTTCAGCGTGAATTTTGGAGGGAAGCATTGAGACCATGGCAGTCCTTAAAGCTTTCTTTTCTTCTCCTGCTCTTTTTAACACTTTGTTTGCCCTTTCCTGAGACTCCCTTTCTATCCCAGGGAGAGAGGAGAGGTCTTAGGGATAGGAGTAAGAGACCATAAAGAAAGGGACAGAATGGTTTTTTGAACTTGATTACATTATATTTGATTGCATGTCCCTTGTCTTTCCTACCTATCCTAGAAATTAGGGGATGTAGATTTTTGAGAACCAACTTGATGTTAATGTGACCTTAAGTCATTTGCTCAACCTCTGTAGACCTCAGTTTCTTCATCTGTAGAATATAGAATTATTTAGATCATCTAGAATGCCCTTTTATTTCTGAAGTTCTTTATATCACTAAACCACAAGACTGACCAACGTACTTTATGGTTTAAATCTATCTTTGTTCTCTTTTTTAAAAAAAATCATAAAATATTTTAAAAATACAAAAATATAAAAATAATAGAGGAGACAGTTGTGTATCCAGCACAAAAATTTCTATCATTTGTTACCATTTTGCCATGTGTTTTAGATTTTTTTTTTTTGAGATGGAGTCTTGCTCTGTGGCCCAGGCTGGAGTGCAGTGGCACGATCTCGGCTCACTGCATCCTCTGACTTTCTGGTTCAAGCGATTCTTCTGCCTCAGCGTCCTGTGTAGCTGGGATTACAGGCATGAGCCACCACACCCAGCTAATTTTTGTATTTTTAGTAGAGACGGGGTTCCACCATGGCCAGGATGGTCTCGATCACCTGACCTCGTGATCCGCCCACCTTGGCCTCCCAAGTGCTGGGATTACAGTGTTTTAGATCTTTAACAAAATAGAACATTTAAGACATTGCCAAAGTCTCATTCTCATCTTTTCCTTCTTGTCCTGCATGTATCTTTTTGTGATATATAAATCTATTCATTTAGACTGTTGTATAGTATTTCTTTGACTAAACTAGTTTATTCCCCTCCTGAGTCACAGTTTCTTTGTATACTATAAGAAATAGTTCTTTAGTGAACATTTTAAGACATGTTTCCTTGTGTAAGAGTTTCTTCAGGGTAGATACCTAGTGGCGGAATTGCTAGATTGATGGAATCCAGTTTTACTTCTTCAGTTTCCCCAGATATTGCCAAAATAATAAATGAAATTGATAAAATTGACCATTTACATTTCAACCAGCAACCATTAAGTTTGATTTTGCCACATTGTCATCGGTGATTCTTGTTACCAGACTTATTAATTTGGACCAATCAAATGTATGTGAAATACCTTCTCAGTATTTTAACTTGCATTTGTTTGATCACTGTCAGCTTTCACTAGGTTATGTTGCAGTAGCCAAAAAATCTGCAAATCTTCACGACTTTTAATAAAAATGGTTTATTTCTTGCTCATGTTACATGTGCTTGGTGGGTTTGTTATGGCTCTTTTCCACACCATCTTTATTTCTGATCAAGACTGAAAGAATAGCCTCTACCTGGGATATGCTGGTTTCATGATAAAGGGAAGAGAAAACATGGTAGAACCATACTACAGTTCTTGAATCTTCTGCTTGGAAGTGGTATATATTACTTTAACTCACATTTCATTGGCCAATTAAGTCTCATGGCCAAGGCTGATAACAGTATAGTGGGCAAGTATGATCCTCTCATGGGAAGGATACTCAAAACCATGAAAACAGTACTACAGCTTATATTAGGCTGGTGCAAAAGTAATTGCAGTTTTTGCCATTAAAATTAATGAGGCTGGCCGGGCACAGTGGGTCATGCCTGTAATCCTAGCACTTTGGGAGGCTGAGGCAGGCGGACCTGAGGTCAGGGGCTCGAGACCAACCTGACCAACATGATGAAACTCCATCTTTACCAAAAATACAAAAATTTTAGCCGGGCGTGGTGGTGAGTGCCTATAATCCCAGCTACTGGGGAGACTGAGGCAGGAGAATCACTTGACTCCATGGGGCAGAGGTTGCAGTGAGCCAAGGTTGCGCCACTGTACTTCAGCCTGGGCGACAGAGTGAGACTTTTGTCTCAAAAAAAAAAAAAAAAAAAAAAAAAAAAAGTACTGAGGCTGAGCATCTTTTTTCTCCTCCCCTCCCCCCCTCCCCCTCCTTTTTTTTTGGAGACAGTTGCTCTGTCACCCAAGCTGGAGTGCAGTGGCATGATCTTGGCTCACTGAAACCTCCACCTCCTGGGTTCAAGCAATTTTCCTGCCTCAGCCTCCCAAGTAGCTGGGATTACAGATGCATGCCACCATGCCTGGCTAATTTTTGTATTTTTGGTAGAGACGGGGTTTCACCACATTGGCCAGGCTGGTCTCAAACTCCTCACCATCTTTTTATGTTTTATTTAGGTTTATATGATCACTCTGAAATTTTTAAAAATAAATATTATTTCTCAGATTAAGGACTTTCTCCCCTAGTTTCTAGACTTACTCATGAGTAGGTGGTGAATTTTATCAAATGTATTTTTTGCATCAACTAAGAGGATCATGTATTTTTCTAACCCGCTAATGTTGTAATCTACATTATTTTCTACTGTTAAACCATCTGAATTTCTAATGTAAACTTGGTAGTGATGATTCTGCATTCATTTTGTATTATTTTTATTTAGGACTTTTGCATATATTGCCTTTAATTTTCTTTTATCGAATTGTCTTCCTCAGATTTTGTTATCTGGGTTGTATTCTATCCTCATAAAGTTGCTTCCCTTTTACCATTACCTAGAAAAGCCTTGGATAAATTACTGTTGGTCTATTTTTGGTGATCTGGTAGAACTTGACTTTAAAACTGTCTTGGATGGTAGCCTTTTTGGGAGAAGAGTGGAAGTGGAAGGTAGTTTTTGTTTTTTTTAAATCGTTGATTCAAATTTTTAAATTTTTTTTTCCCGAGTTAGTTACAGCAATTAATATTTTTGGTAGAGATTGTCCATTTCATCTAATTTGACAAATTTATTGGCATGAAGGTTTTCATAATATTCTTGTTTTGTGCATTTGATTTTTATTTCTTATTTCTAGTGTCGTTTGCCTTTTTAAAATTATTCTTACTATAGATTTACCATTATATATTTTTTCCCAAAGGAAACAACTTGGTTTTATCATTTCTATTGTATCTTCTCTATTTTGTAACATTTCATCTCGTTTTGCTCTTTTTCTTTGGGATAACTGTGCTTTTTCTAATTTCTTAACACTTAAAACATTGCTTTCATAGCTCTAATTTTCCCTTGAAGTACCTCTGATTGATTGTACAAATTTGAAATACAGTTGACCCTTGAACAAGGAGGGAGTTAGGGGTACCAGCCTTCTGCACAGTTGAAATTTTACATATAACTCTTGACTGCCCCCACATGTAACTACTAATAATCAGTCTCCTGTTGCCTGGAGCCTTTCCAATAACGTAAACAGTCAACACAATTTTGTGTGTTGTATTATATACTGTATTCTTAACAATAAGGTAGAGAAAAGATGTTCTTAAAAAATAAGAAGGAGAGAAAATATATTTACTATTCATTAAGTGGAAGTGGATTATCATTAAGGTCTCCATTCTAATTGTCTTCATATTGCCTGAGGAAGAGGAGGAGGAAGAGGAGGGACTGGTCTTGCTGTCTGTTTCTTGGTGGAAGAAAATCTAGGTGTAAGTGGATCCATGCAGTTCAGACCTGTGTTGTTCAAGAGTCAACTATATAGTGCTTTCATTACCATTCAGTTTTAATTTTCTCGTCCTATCCCATTTGGGTCTCCCCTCTCCTCCACTCTCCTCCCCTCCCCTCCTCTTCCCTCCTCTTCCCTTCCCTGTCCCTTTTCTTCTTTTTTCAACAGGATCTCTCTCTGTTGCCCAGACTGGAGTGCAGTGGCAGTCCCTCTTCTTGCCTCAGCCTCCAGAATATATGGGGCTACAGATATATGCCACCATGCCTAGCTTATCTTTAAATTCCTTTTATAGAGATGAAGTCTTGCTTTGTTGCCCAGGTAGGTCTCAATTACTGGGCTCAAGCAATTCTCCCTCCTTGGCCTCCCAAGGTGCTGGGATTACAGGCATGAGCCACTGTCTCTGGCCCCATTATGTATCATTTTTGACCACTGGATTTTTTATAGGTGTGATTTAAAATTTCCAAAAGTGTGTGCATTTGTGTTTATGTATGCATGTTTTGTGGGAAGAGAGAATTTTTTTGTTTGTTCATATTTCCAGTTTTATGTTACAGCGTGGTCAGAATGTGGTCTAAATAATAGAGATTCTTAAATTTATTAAGACTTTGAAATATATAGTCAATTTTTATAAGGGTTCTTTTTGAATTTGGAAAGCATGATCTTCTTATTGTTGATACCGGTTTCTAGGTCTGTCCACTTGGTCAGACAATTATGTGGGTCATGTTATCTATCTCTATTAATTGTTTAACTGCTTAGTTTATCAGTTAATAAGAGAGGTGTGTTCAAACCTTTCCTTGTAATTGTTGATTTGATAATTTCTCTTGGTATTCCTGTAAGTTTATGCTTTACAAAATTTGAGGCTAGATTGTTAGATGCACACATGTGCAGAATTATATATTCGTGGATAGCCCTTTCTTTTTTTACCATCATATAATACCTTGAAATTTATTTTATTTGATATTTATGTTATTGTACTAGCTTTATTTTAGTTAGAATTTCTCATGACTCTCTTCTGCCTTTTATCTCCTGACCTTTTTTTTGCGTTTAAACATTGTATCCTTATGTCTTTGAGATGACTTTTTAATCACATTTGAGAATTCTGTCTTTAAACTGGTAAATTTAGACCATTTATTTTTAGTACTACTGAGATTAGTGACTCTATTTTGCCATTTAATTTTGGATTGTCTATTTTTCTTCGTTTACTTGAATTTGCTTTTTTCCCTTTTACTGCTGCTCTTTTAGAAATTAAGTATATTACAGACACACTTGAGTTAATAAAGTCTAATGCTAATCACTATGCCTACTCGCCTCTTTCCCCATCTTATTTAGTATGCATTTCGTAGATCTCGGATCTCGTTTTGGAATGATACAAAAACAACAATTTCTTATCTGTGTAACTAGTCCTTCTATGATCTACTACCTGTAGGGAATCAACTTACTGTGTTGCCTGAAGCAGAGTTGAGATAGTATCCAAAGCGAAAAGCAGCAGTTTAGTCTTCTAATTCACCAAGATTTAAATTGGGAAAGCATAGGAGTCTTCATTTTTATGACTGTATTAATTTATAGTTAGAGTATCTTTTCATTTAATAGATGATTACTTAATATTGCCATTATAAGAATGAACTTTGGAGGACAAGACATGATGAAATAAGCTTAAAAACAGCATTTGTGTTGAGTAATCCTTTCTTTTTCTTTTGAGTTCATAGCAAAATGGAGTTTGAATAGATTTTAGTGATGCTATCCCACAGCAGATCTTATGTACCAGCAGTTCACTTGAATTCTAAGCTGTGACTTTACATCTCAACATAGGCCATAATTCATCAATATCCTAATAGCTATTATAACAATGCAGAAGTTATAAATTATATTCCCCATTTTATTGCATTTTCCTTTTATACAAGTTTTCCTCTTATTTTGATTTTCCCGTTGCTTGCTTAGTATCATTAGTTTGGGTCTGTTACTCATCAGACCTGTTCTTGTTTCCTCCTCAGGAGTGGAGCCCAGAGTACAGCCATCATGGGGTTGAGCAGGCTAATGTTTCCCAATTCCAGTGTTGACCTTAGGCAGATTGGATGATATGCTGATGCTGCTTATCGGTGGTTCTGTATCTCTACACCGGAAATCACCGTCTGAGGACTATTTGGGGAAGTAGATATGGGAAACTGTAGCTATTAATGAACTTTTGAGCACTCAAGGAAGGAGAATAGAATATGGGAAAGAAATACTTGTATTTGGTTTGAGAGAATAGATTTGTTTCCATCTGTTTACTCTCAGCAAATATTGTATTTCTTTATGGCTCTTCAGAGGACTGTAGTTATTGTTTGTTCTTTTTCTTTCTATATGTACATGTGTCTAATTTTCAATTAAACCTTGATATAACATGCCCACTGAAGAAGACCTAATTGTCTTCACTTAGGGTGTTTACAACAATGGAGAGAAGCCACTCAAAGCATGGGCTGTGCAGGAAGTCATGAGGTGATAGCTTGGCTTACAGGGATCTTATAGAGAGTAGGGTGAGGTTCTAAAAGGCCTCAAATGCCAGGATGAGAAGATTAAAACTGATCCATAGCAAAAAGGAGCTGCTTAGTAATGGACCAGAGGTTGTAAAGTCATTGGTATACAGGACCTAGCAAAGTCAAGGGCGCTGTTTAGATTTTGGAACATTGTAGCTAGCTATATGGCTGCAGTAATTTAAGGGGCTGGGGGGGGGGTCTTCTTTATTCAGTGCATTGCTTATGATGCACATCAGTGGTCTCTATAGATAATTTTTTTTTGTGATGCGATTAGAACATTGGGTATGTTAGGCACTTTCCTGTTCTTGTTACCTATCAGTACCTTTGGTCAACAAAAGTACCCCCTTTAAACCATTTAATGTGAATATTGCTATATCAATGGAATAATTTTTTTAAAATCAAAAAACATAATTCATGGGGGCATTTTTGTTTGACATCTGAACATCATCTCTGCTTCCTAGCTTACTCACTCTATATAATTAATATATTCTGTATAATCTATATTAACATGTTGTTATATATTTATATGTATTTTATGTGTCTATATCCCCATGTATCTGTTCATATCCCTTCTTTCTCCCCTCATCCTCTACTTTTTATGGCTTCCTGTTTCCACATTGTTTTTCCTGTGGGCTATCAACCTATTCTTTATCTCCTAAACTTCAGGAATTAGATAAAGACAACTGTCCAAGGAACCAATACAGTACTGTTTTTAAAAACAAATCGCCATCTTTGAAATTTGTGTTCTTTTAAGGAAAGAGGGCATTTGCTAATATTAAGTGGATAAAAAATTTTTATGCCACACAGAATTTTCTGGATTCCCCAAGGCTGGAAATAATAAATGAACATAAACATTGAGTAACAGTGCATTTTTAAATGATGATTATAGTTAAGTTAAAAAAAATACTATGGAAATGGCCCAACTTTAATGTTATTTTTGGCTTATGTAACAATAGGTTTATTGCTAAGCCATGCGTTAATTTTGACCTGAGGCCTAGGCTCTCTTTGTGCATTTGTTCCAAATCTTTGTGGTAGGTACTGTTTCATTGTTGTCACTGATAATTACAATTTACATTCTATACTAATTTATCATCTATTGATAGTCAACTGAGATCTCAAAAATTTTTCGAAAAAACTTTGAAGATTTTTTAATGAAGAAACTTTATAACTTGATTTTTTTGGAAATGTTTTTATCTCATTGAGATATTTAAATGGTATGTGCCAACCTTCTTTGGTTCCAGAGTTAAATTGTAGAGAATTTTTGGGTGTCTCTTGGATCCTGCATGTTTACTTCAGGGACTTGACTCTAGCACTCTTTATGATGTTGCTGCTAAGGTCATTTACATACTCAGTGTGTTAAAACAGCAGAGCTCTTTCCTCTAAGCGGGGGAAAAAAACAATAAGGTTTAGTTGAAGCCATGGATATAAAGTCAGGCGATCTATGTTTACTTTTCTTTTTACTCTTTGGGTATCTTGGGGGAGTCACTTCCTCTCTTCTATTCTCAGATTGCAAAGAGAATGAAAATATTTGCTTCCTCCATTTCTAGAATTGAGCTGGTTTTACTACAACTGATAAGTCGGTATATGTGTTTTAAAGTTTGCAAATAAGTGTGAAAGTTCCTGCAAGACTTTGGAAGCTTGAGTGAATGTGCATTCTGAGTTAGAGTTGCTCACATTTTCCTCTGGCATCTCAAAGTTGTTCCCACATGTTGATTTTGTCTGAGAATCAAGGGCATTGTTTCTGCCTACACAGGAATGTCAGTACCGTTTTTTCTTAGTTATGAATAAGGCTAACAATGTAGGCTCTCTTCATCAGTGTTCTGTTGATAAAAGTATTTCTCAGAGAGCAGAATGTGTCGAGGTCTTTTTGCCTTTCTTGTGTTGAGTTCGGGTCTCGGAAATCCAATTTGCTATCATTACTTTGAGTGTGTTTTATTTGCTTGTTTGTTTATTGTTGTTTCTTTTCACCCTCCAAGGTGGTATTTCAGACCTATAGTACTGACACTTACTAAGTTTACTAGTTAAACAGTTTCAACTATCTACATATTTGTAGAGGATCTGGAAGTTATGGCACTCTATAAGATTCCATAAAAATAGTGGCAGATTTATATGTCATTTTGGGAACTAGGAATAATTTAATGGGCATGTATTATGTGCAATTTAAAATTCCAGTGACATTGGTCAAGGTGGCATGTCTTTATCCTTTTAGCTTAAAACAGGATTTAGGGTGGTAATTCTATTCAAAACTTAATTTGTATTTACTAAATGGGAAAAGACTGCCGTGCCATGTAAGTGATAGAATATTTTGGTCCAGCTTGAAGAACACAAGGAGCTCACAGCAGCAGAGCCTGGCCTCATAATCAAGTCACTCCTTAGCTGGACCTCGGCCCCCCTCCCTCCTCCACTCTTGGTCACGTATAACCTCAGGCTATCTTTTGACCTCTGTTACCACTTGATTTTCTGAGTCTTCCCTTGTGTCAAGTTGGTCCTCTAATCAGACATATGCTGAGTTGCCTGGCCTTCCTTCCAGTTTCTGACCCTACCAACTCCACATTTTGCTTTCCCCATCACATGATTCCTGCCTATCTTAGTTTCCAACTCAAATCCAGCTCTCAGAATGTTCTTTTCTTCCTTGGAACTTGTTTGCACCATTAGTTTGGCAATTAAGCATGCACTGCCTTGTGAAAGACTCTCTTGTATTGCTGTGTTGAACAACTGCTAAACTCTTGTATTGTTTGATTTTTCTCATGCTGATGTTGTTTCTTCACCTGGTTTATTATTAGTTTCTCTGGAAAAATAACTTTCTTCTCTCTCCCCATAGAGTCTTAACGGAGGACTTTGCCTAAAATACTTCTCATAGAAAGTAATTTTGATTTATTTCCCTGTACTTTCTTGTACATTTATAAAGTTTTTATCTTTCTATCCAAGATAAATGATAGCATTTGTTTATTTATGTTCCTAAGTCTTCTCTCCATCCCCTCTAATTAGAAAACAAAGATTTGGGCATTTGTGTGTGTGTGTGTGTGTGTGTGTGTGTGTGTGTATGTGTGTGTATGTACGTATATATATATAATCCACCCACCCTCATCATTGCGACTGCTGTCCATTATTGCCCTGCTTTTCAGATGCTTGGAAACAGCAGACCGACTTGTTATATAAATACTTCAAAGGCTTATTGTAAATGAAAACTATTATGTTTCTACAAAAGATTGTGAAACTCTAGGCATGAGAGCCATATAGAAGTTACTATGGTGTGACCCTGGCCCTTTAGGAGCTCACATTCACAGCTCAGAGGGAATTGCAGGCTCCCGGAAGCTCTGTTCTTTCACTTCTGTTGGAGCTGCTATCAGACCAGGTTGTTTGCTGGCTGGGCGTAGGCTGGGCTTGAAGATACTATAATTCTTATTCTTTGTCCCTTGTTTTCTAATAATGCCTCCTCTTCTCTTGAGGAAACTAAAGAATGATAGGCCATTTTATTTCTCAGCATTCGAGGAATTCTTTCACATGCTTTTTTTCTTCTCTGTCTTCTCCACATTTGGTTTCAAAACCAGGGGATTACTTTGTTTGCCCCTGCATCACTGGTATTTTAAAAGCATTAAACTTGAAAGTAATTTCTAACTGTGAGCAGCCATCCTGACATACTTTTGAAGAAACTGTCCACCTCTTGCTGGATAGGCATGCTACACACTGGCAGCCATGCCAACTCCTTGGTGATTTACCACTTAGTAAGTTTTTACCCTCATCAGAGGGTGGTAGTAGAACAGGAACTAGATCTTTGAATTATTTCTCTGTTTTGGAATGAAAATTACTTCAGGGTCGAGTAAGGTTAGAAATGTTGGGAAAAGTTATTTTCAGAATAAAATTTATGCTTTAAAATCAGTTTGGACACATTTTTGTTACTTTAAAATATGTACTCACGCCAGTTAGAATGGCGATCATTAAAAAGTCAGGAGACAACAGATGCTGGAGAGGATGTGGAGAAATAGGAACGCTTTTACACTGTTGGTGGGAGCATGAATTAGTTCAACCATTGTGGAAGACAGTGTGGAAGATCCTTAAGGATCTAGAACCAGAAATACCATTTGACCCAGCAATCCCATTACTGGGTATATACCCAAAGGATTATCAATCATTCTACCAAAAAGACACATGCACATGTATGTTTATTGCAGCACTATTCACAGTAGCAAAGACTTGGAACCAACCCAAATGCCCATCAATGATAGACTGGATAAAGAAAATGTGGCACATATACACCGTAGAATACTATGCAGCCATAAAAAAGCATCAGTTCGTGTCCTTTGCAGGGACATGGATGAAGCTGGAAACCATCATTCTCAGCAAAACAGGAACAGAAAACCAAACACCGCATGTTCTCACTCATAAGTGGGAGTTGAACAATGAGAACACATGGACACAGAGAGGGGAACATCACACACCAGGGCCTGTCAGGTGGTGGAAGCTAGGGGAGGGATAGCATTAGGAGAAATACCTAATGTAGATGACAGGTTAATGGGTGCAGCAAACCACCATGGCACATGTATACCTATGTAACAAACCTGCACGTTCTGCACACATATCCCAGAACTTAAAAGTATAATTTAAAAAAATATATGTAGGCAGTAAAATTTAAAAAATCTTTGCCAGAGTTCATCAAATGAAGGGATGTAATCTAATTACACTCTCTCATGCAACAACAATTATCAGTATCTTTTGTTAAATCCACTGTGTTTAGAATCATTCTGTCATCATTACTGTTTTATTTCTAGTCTTTGATTTCTTTTCTATTGCTTCCTGTTCTTCTGAACAAATTTAAGATGATGTTACTGACATAGTTTTTGTTTTTCAGCTATCAGGAAATTTTACCAATTATTTGCTTTCCTCATCCTACCTCCACCTTCCCAGCTGCCAGGCATGATATGGGGGACAGGGATTTGAGAATCTTGTCTCCACCTGTGAATGTTGTTTAATTTATCACACAAAAGCTGGAATTAGGTGCATTCTATTCATCCATTCCCTTAGCAGGAGCACATACTCTGTGGCCAAGTGGAAACATGGACAGAATTTATCATTAGTATTTATAGCACTATAACATAATATGCCAGCATTTGGAGCTTAAAGGGATTGAATGCGGTATAACATAATAAAATACAGTCTGTAAAAATCCGTGGATTATTCAGAAAAATAGTTTTATGATGCAAGGTGGCTAAATTATTAAAGCACTGACATAAATGATCTGTCAGTTTGCTATTTAAATATTTATTTAATTATGCTCTACAATGGAGTTATACATCAACTCTGAACTGTGTTAGAAAAATTATGATTAGGAGTATTAATTTATCTTTTATTTTGTTTTGACTCTTATATTCTGGAGAGGCACCTGAGGGCACAAGCTCCATTCTGTCTAGTAATCAAACTACATCTCATAAGTGTACTTCATTTGCAGAATATGCCATTTTAGCCTGTTTTGAGATTAAGCCTGATTTTGTGCATCAGTCTGGTTATTTGCACAGAGAGGAAACTTAATCTGAGTGTTACCACCATCTACTTGTTGTATTCACTGACATCTCCTTCCAGATTTCTGTCAGCAACAATTTCAAGTGAATCAAATAGGACTGCTCTGATAAGCTATTCTTCCGTAGCACAGAAAGCCTGTATGAATCAAATGTCAAAATTCATTCTAGGCAAATAGTTTACAGAGAATGTGCTAGCCTACAGAAGTTTGCTGCTCATGGTTTTTGAAATAAGTTTTCATGGAAATATGGTGCTTAGCAACTTTTATGAAAGATACTTAAAAAAATTTGGTGTGCGCTTCTGGCTAGAAGTTCGATACTAGCCTCTTTATTATCTAACAGTTATAGTCAATTCTCCGTCTTTTAAAAGAGATTATAATTCATTAGAGACTTAAGCTAAGTCTTGCTGTTTAAAGTGAGTAGTAGAAAAAGTTGGACAAAAATCCTGGGTTTTCATTTTTAAAAAATTAATGACAGGGTTGCTAGTCTCCCTTTGTGATGGTATATAATTTTTAAGAAAAATGAGAAGTTAAGGAAGTCATATTTTCACACTATTTTACAAATTTCCTCTCAAAATAGTATTTATTTAAATATATCCTATGTGTTCAGAAATAATTTTTATCCCCAGATATTGATTTGGTTCCTACTTGAGCTGAGAAGATAAAAAGAAAAGTATGAAGTATCATTTTTCCTTTTATTTATGAATTTTACTTTCAGAGATAAGCTTTACATATAAGACAGTAATAGCAGGTGTTTATACACACACACACTTATATCCACATACATAAACATATGAGTCAAATTGATAAAGTATTGTTTATAGTTCTGAAAAGTAATACAAAAGCACAGAAGTGCCAAGTTACTATAGGCTGGAGTCGGTATGCATGTCTTCACTGAGGAGAAACTTTTGGATTTCAAAGAATGATATATTTAGGGCTGAGCACGCTGGCTTATGCTTGTAATCCCAGGACTTTGGGAGGCCGAGGCGGGCAGATCACACTTGAGGTCAGGAATTTGAGACTAACCTGGCCAATGTGATGAAACCCCATCTCTACTAAAAATACAAAAATTAACTGAGCATGGTGAGGGGGCACCTGTAGTCTCAGCTACTTGGGAGGCTGAGGCACAAGAATTGCTTGAACCCAGGAGGTAGAGTCTACAGTGAACCAGGATCATGCCACTGCAGTGCAGCCTGGGCGACAGAGTGAGACTCCATCTCCCAAAAGAAAAAAAAAAAAGATATATTTAGGAAAAACTCAGCTATACCCTAACCTAACCTATTACATTTTTCATTTTAAAACTGCTTAAATAGTAGCATCCAAGCAAAAATTGGGGGTTACAAGAAAGAAAAGGTTTTAATATATCCTTGCGTATCAAGGATGACATAAAAAAAATGTACCAGAAACATTTGTTCAGGGCAAACCACTTTCCTGGCTTTACAGGGCTAGTGTTGCCATTTTTGATCCAGGCTTTCTTTGGCTTGGCATTAACTAGGAATCTTCATCTTGCAAAGCCAGTGTATTTATTGGGGTTTAAATAAATTAAGCTCTTTGCTTCTGCTAAATCTATGGAGAAGTGGATTCCCACCCATGGGAAAGAAAGCATAAAATACAAATGCACTGATCCTACCTCCTATCCTTTTTCAGTCTGCTTATCCTAATTTTGCTTTTCCCAGGTTCCTTGCATTGGGGGAAGAATCACGTGTGCATATGTACACAGTAACATGTACACTCTGCATTGTCTTAGAACAGATTTTGTAGGGAACAGAGCTAAGTGTGCATGTTCATTCTACCATCTTTAATTGGAAGTCTATTTTCTACTTAATAAAAGTTGAACGATGAGCATGTTTTGTCACATACTAAAATAAAGTGGACTCTTCCCCTGAATATAGCACATGTCAAAGTTACCATTAGGCTCTCTGGATATCTTCTAAAAAGACTTTTGATTGTGGTAGCTTTAGTAGCATCTGTTTTGACATAGTTCATTGTTTTCTTGCAGATGCTTTTCATTAGTTTTCATTTTGTTGCTTTAGTATTCCCTGCTGGTGTCTAGATAATCCGTTTTATTTTGCATGTGTGTTTAATTGGGGGGTGGGTCCTAGGAGATGAAAGAGGATAGAAATGCTTTTCTCCTTAAAATATGTTATTTGGGGCCGGGCGCGGTGTCTTACATCTGTAATCCTAGCACTTTGGGAGGCCGAGGTGGGCGGATCACGAGGTCAGGAGTTTGAGACCAGCCTGGCCAACATGGAGAAACCACATCTCTACTAAAGATACAAAAAATTAGCCGGGCTTGGTGGCACACGCCTGTAATCCCAGCTACTTGGGAGGCTGAGGCAGGAGAATTGCTTGAACCCGACAGGCGGAGGTTGTAGTGAGCGGTGATCACACCACTGCACTCCAGCCTGGGTGATAGAGTGAGACTCAGCCTCAAAAAAAAAAAAAAGTTATTTGGGTTTTTGGCAAATAGGTGCAATTCATTTGTTATTCACTTGGTTTGGGTCACTATTTATTATATATAGTTTTGTGGCTTTATTCATTAAACATTTCTGGACCAAGCATTGGTGATATCATGAGGGATTTTTAGTCTCCTCTGCCCCTGGTTGGAGCCTGTGCAGTAAAGGGGAAAGATTTCATTCCTGTGTTCATGGTTGGGTTTCACACTGATTTACTTTTCTATTTCTTGGTGCTTTTCGCCGTTAGACTTTCTTGTTACTAGTTCCATGATGATATCCAGGTGTTCCTTTATAGTATTATAATACAAAAAATGTTCTAAGCTTCCTGCCTACTTTTTCTTCCTCTGGAAACAAAATCCCTACTTTTTCAAATCTAGCAGATAAGCAGCTAAGTAACAGAGGATCAGCAGTTTGAGTGAATGACTTTAGTGTGTGAATTACCTGTACTGCCTTCTAAGAGATCTCTGTATTTTAAAAGAAGATACCTGTTTACTCTAAAGAATCTAGTGGTCGAATTCTAGTGGTAGAATTTCACTATTGAAGCCAAGAGAAGTAAAAAAATAAAGGCATTTTGGGGTGGGAGGAGGCTAGAGGGCTGGATTTTTGGCATCTTTGGATCAGGTGGGCACACTACCAGTAGTACAGCCTTTTTGAAAGGCACGGTTCAGGGCCATGTTCACCCAAAGCTGCTTAACTTTCCTGCTTCTGAATTCTAGGTTCTTTCTGATGCCTCAGAGTTTCCTCCTTACATAGTTGTAGCATTTTTTGTGTATGTGTGTTTTAAATCAAGCAAGACCTTAAAGATTCACCCAGCCAGGTCCCCCTCCCTCCACACTCCAGTGGTGAACAAAGACCTTGTTGTCACTTTGTCTTTTATTTTACTTTGTTAGTCATCCACCAGGAATGAAAAACTTTTACTTGGAAAAAATGTCAAATTGAATAGAAACACTGTTGCCCCAAGTAGATCAATGTTTAAAAACTGAGATATCTCAAAATGAAGTGGATTTTTCCCTAGATTGCCTAGAAGTTGCTTGTCATCAAATTCAAGAATCAGAAATTCAGGTGGTGAAGTATATGGCAACTACTGTTGTTAGGAAACTCATCGAGACCTCTCCTTTTGTGTCACGTCCTATCTCCCTCTGCTTTACAACCATAATAAAGTAAGCGTTTAAGTGATATAAGATTATTCTGCATTGTAACTTGTCTTCTACTTTGGTTAGTTTTTAAAAGAATAAGCACTCCTGGCTAATAGAGGTAAGAACAGTTTCAATGGGTCTGGCTTGTGATAAGATGTAGGATCTCCAGTCGTCTTGTGTTTTTCCACCTGATGATTTCTTTCACAAAGGTAGACTCAAATATAGTTGTCATTGAAGATTGTCAGATAAATCTTATTTTAGCAGGCTGTGTTAATCTTTTTTTTTTTTTTCTTTTTGAGATGGAGTCTCACTCTGTCACCCAGGCCGGAGGGCAGTGGCACGATCTTGGCTCACTGCAACTTTTGCTGTCCTGGTTCAAGCAATTCTGCCTCAGCCTCCCGAGTAGCTGGGATTACAGCCACCTGCCACTGCAACTGGCAATTTTTTGTAGTTTCTGTAGAGACATGGTTTCACCATCTTGGCCAGGCTGGTCTTGAACTCCTGACCTCACGGTCCACCTGCTTCGGCCTCCCAAAGTGCTGGGATTACAGGCATGAGCCACCGCGCCCAGCCAATCATTTTTTTTTTAAAGCATTTTAAGTGAATAATTGAGCATTTGATTTATTATCCTGGCTTTTCTATCTGGGTCTTTGAAAGGGACAAAAGGAGCACATATACACCATGGGATGTAGCCTGGCCAGATTGAAAACTGAAAATTGATGGATTTGGAGTATGCAGGCAGATAGTTGAATGCTGGGACAGGGATCCTCTTTGCTGACTGCCTCATGGTTAAGCTTTTAAAAATTTGTTGGTTAAGCTTTTAAAAAAATTTTAGGGTTTTTAGGGCAATGAAGTTACTCTGTATGATGCTATAATACATCGTGGATACGTGTCATTGTACATTTGTCCAAACACATAGAATGCAGGACACCAAGAGTGAACCCTGACATAAACTGTGGACTTTGGGTGATAACGACATGTCAGTGGAGGTTCACCAGTTGTAACAAATGTACCCACTGTGTGGGATGTTGGTAATTATCCCAATGGGGGAGGTTATGCATGTGTGAAAGCAGGGAATATATGGAAAACTTCTGTACCTTATGCGCAATTTTGCTGCGAACCTAAAACTGGTCTAAATAAAAAGTTACAGATGCCCAGGTTCTTCTTTTGTAGATTCTAATTCAGCGGGTCTGATGCCGGCTGGAGCATTTGTGCAGCCAGAGTTAAGAACTGCTTTGAGAGGCCTCACGTTAAGACTGTAGGAGGTCTTACTAAGTGCATGTTTGGGTTCCTTTACTTCACAGCTGTTTGCTAACTAATCGATAGCTGAATTTGGTTATGATTTGTTTTGAGCAATGCCTAGGACATAGTAAGGGCTTGATAAATATTAACTCTAATTGTTATTATATTTTAAAATCCTGATTATATATTTTTCTCAGGATTTTACCAGCTTTCTTAAATTTCTGATGAAAATACTTAAGTCGTATGCCTTGGATAAATTTCTAGTATTCTTGTATTTTATCACTATTTGGCTTAGAAGGGCCTTAATGTAAACGTATGCCACTTATATATTTGCAATGTCTTTGTAATTTAAATAACTTGGTTAGACTGAAAAATTAAACCCTATTTAGTACTTTTACAAGTAAGAAAAACCCCACAAGATTTAAAAATAGTATATTTTATCTTGTAATTTTGAATAAACCAATCCCTAGTGTCCAAGGACTTACCCTTCTGTTGGAGGGTCAGAAGAGAGACATTGGCTATAACCAGTTGTGTTACAAAAATGTAGAATGTCAAAGGTGAACTTATTTCCCACTGAAATAAACTCTAAGAGTAGAAATATTTGTTTTTTGCAGATAAGAAGTTGCAAATTTAGCAGGCTATTTAGCAGCTGTTTACTTAGAGCAAATGAAGATTTAGATAATTCTTCCTCATAAGCTAGAATACTATTCCATTAAACTTTTATTACCAAAGGAAGGCATTTATGGAATGCCTGCAGGGCTGTATTTTATGAATGGCTGAGCAACTGACATACTAGAACTGACAGAGGTGTTTATTGTCTTGTTTAAGCAAAAAAACTTTTTTTGTATAAAATTTGTGGGTATTTACATGTCATCAAATATGGTTTTCTTAGCAAGCTTTAAGATCCATTGCTCTGGGGGCTTTTTTGAGGTTTTCTGCATCTTCATTCCAGAGGTTGGCTTTGGGTTTGTTGTGGAGCTAGAATGTAAATGTGAGGAGTGGGAATTGGTTCCTGGAATAGCCTTCTGCATACCTGTTTGGAGATAGAAGTCCTCCAAGTGGGCACACCCTAGTCTACTAGCTGATTCTTGTGTCTTGAAAACTATTGAAAATTTCTGGGCTGCAGGAGATAAAAACTACAACTGCCTAAGAAATAAATTCGTGTGTAGTTATGAATGAGATATTAAAAGGTTGATATTGTTTAAAACTAAAAATTAGCATTTATTTTCTTTTTAAAAAAAGGGGCCATATCATAGACTTCAACTGTTATTGACAGTGGGTTTTTTTGTGTTAATAATGTTGGTAGCAGGATTTCAGATTTTTTTGGTGCCATTTTCCACATAGCATAAAAATGAAATATATTTTTGCATCTTGTTTAAGCTTACCGAGTTGCTTATGAGATTAATTATATGCTCAGTTAAGAATTCTGAAATATTTCAAAACCCAGCAGACTGGGGTGGAAGAACATTCCATTGAATACTGCTCTTAGACTTGATGGGCTTGGAAGCATCGTGCTCATGAAATAAGGGCCTTACTTATATAACAAGTAAGAAGGGCAAGTAAGGAGTCAAAGTATCTATGTGATTTTATTAAAGGTGAACCTGTGTGCTTATAGCTTTACTAGGATTTCCTTTTAAATGATTGCAGGTTACAGTTACTGGAGGGTATCTTTGCAGTCTGTTCTAGTCTAGTGTGTGTTTTTCTAAGCAGCAGCTTTTTAATTTTAATTTTTAGCAACTGAAACTACATTGAATGGTATTTTGTGTCATTCCTGTCAACAACACTGCAAAATTCCCCCAATATTCTGTCATAATCCTTTGAATCCTGTGGAATGGAAAAGATGTGGCAATCCTTAATGAACTGTGAGAAGTTTTCCTTTCTCCCTCCCTTCCTTTTTTTGGTTTATTCTCTAAGGAATAGTATACAAGAAAAATATGTTGTAAGAATCCAACATGTTTACGTAAATCTCTTATCTATCTTAACTGTTTACTTGTATACGTATATACAAAGTTTTCCTGATTAATGAAAATTAAGTTTGAAAAAAATTTTTCAGTTACAAAAAAAAAAAAAAAAGAAAACAAAAAGAAAGGGACGGGTGCTGTGGCTCACACCTGTAATGCCAGCACTTTGGGAGGCCAAGGTGGGAGAATTGCTTGAGCCCAGAGGTTTTAGAGACCAGCCTGGGTAAGATGATGAAACCCCATCTGCCTCTACCAAAACATTTTAAAAATTAGCCAGGCATGGTGGCATGCACCTGTAGTCTCAGATACTCAGGAGGCTGAGGCAGGAAGATCGTTTGAGCCTAGAAGTTTGAGGCTGCAGTGAGCCAGGATTGTGCCACTTCACTCCAGGCTCAGCAACAGAGCAAGACCCCATCTCTTAGAAAAGAGAAATATGTATTTATGTATATGTCTTCTATATTTATGTATCTACATGCATATGTTTGTATATTATATATAATATGTATCTTTTTTGAGTATTTGGAAAAAACGTTTTCAAACTTAATTCTTACTAATGATCAGGGAAGCTTTTCTTAAGAATCTTCCTTTACTATATCAATGTCTCATTTACTACTGGAATTATGTTTTTAACACACACACAAAATTGACCAGGGTTTCTTTTTCCTGGGGTTTGAATGAACTTTGGGAAAGAGATGTGTTGACAGCTCCCTTAGATTGGTAAGAAAATAATTATCTGATAAATCACAGCCTTGGATTTGAGACACTCTCTCTTCTTCCGTATGGTTTTATTGGATTCCCATCCTCCTCCCCCAACAATGTATCAGTTGTTGTGTTTGCTCTGTGCATACCTTTCTTTCCTTGGCCTTTTATATTTGCATAGTGTTGTTTGGAGCTAGTGCAAAATACATAGCTTCAGGGCTGTAATGTATAGATTGCATTGTGCGCTTCCCATCATCGTCTCCTCAGCACACAATAACTGCAGTGTGGAGGGCCCTACACGGAGACAGTGATGGTGTTTATAAAACGCCAGTGGTGTGTGGCATTCACTACAATCTGCCGGGTAAGCAGTTGCACAAATTCCTCCAAGTTGAGAGGCCTCCAGAAATGTCATGTTTTGGCCTCAGTGTTGAATGCCACAAATAACAGCACAGGCATGGGGGACTTTGCTCAGCCTCTCAGATTCCAGCCTGCCTTCCTTGGGCTGCATCTGCAGTAGATTTCATTTACTCTTTTTCTTTTTAAATGAAAGTTCCCAAAAGCTAGCATTCTAATTTTTGAATAATGTATTTTGAGCCCATCCAAATTGTCTTGTTTTGTCTCTCTTTTGTGGGTATCTATAATATATAGGTTTTTAAAAAAACTAAAACTCTGATACCTGGAAAGTAGACCAAAGGGCTTTTTTTGTTTATTGTTTTAAAGTTTTCAACCCGTTAACTTTATATTGCTAGTGAGTGGTATAAGTAGGGTTAGGGAGAGGCAGACAGACGAAAAATAGATAGCTAAGCTTGTTGATATTTAATATAGAAAGTTATATTCAAAATATTTCTTTTTGAAGTGTATTTGGCAAGTTTTATTAACAGTTGCATGGTTTTTATTGTTTAATAAACTTGATATCATATTATTAGAATAGAGATTGACTCGGATTGTACTTTATGAAGATTCTACTGTAAGAACAGAAACAAAGCAAAGGCATGCTTCAGATAGCAAGAAGAAATGACAGCGAAAGTGATGTCTTAGTGGAGGAATGTGCAAGACTAGGAAACCCCCTGTCCTTTCTGCATAAAGATGAGGTATGGCCTACTCTTAAGAGGAAGGGGCAGATTGGCTTTTTCCCTCTAGTTCCCAAAATGTATTTGGAAATGCCCTAGTTTACTAAGGAAGAGTATAAGCATAATGTAGAATTGTGAAAATGAAGTGTTGGTCTGTGCTGGTCTTCTCCCAGAAACTAGTTGGCAGTGTGTGTTTGGTTTAGGTCCTTGAACATTATGGGTTGGTAGTCCATCAGCTAGGTAAGGAAGATTGTGTAAGAAACCAGCAGGCCTGAATTCTAGACTCAACTCTGCCAACTTTTTGACTGGCCTTATGGCATTGAGCCGTTCCATCAGCAGCTATCTTTTGGCCTACTAGTCAGCTAATTACTCAGTAGGAGGCATTGAAGTAAGATGTCCTCTTTCTTAAAGAACTCAGTATCTGAAAGTAATAAGTATCAAAAGGAGTAGAATAGAAGAATAAGTGCCATAGATGTGAATAATGCTCTTGAAGGAGAATGATGCAATATTGAGAGATTGGAACAGGCTTCATAGGGAAGGATATTTTGGAGATTTGTATACAAGTAGAGGTAGTTTTGACACTTGTAAATAAATCAGAGGAAAAAAATTAGAATATGTCTTGATAAGTCAGTAAGTGGTTCTCTTTATCTGGGGCAATACCCCAAAATTGCTGTGACAACTAATGAAGCAACTACGTGTACTGGTATCTTAGGTGAAAGTTATGAAGCAAAATTATGTGTATATTTTGCTTGGTTAACAAATGTATATTTGTAGTCCTTTTTATACAGTAGAATTCAAGTTGTTGATTTTTTTTTTTTTAAAAGCAATGTTAATGGAAGAAAATTACTTTCCTGGATAGAAGTGTGGAATATTAGTGTATATTAAGAGCATACATAATAATTTAATTATTTTAAAAGAAATTCAGAAATCAGACTGAAAAATTAGATAAACTTTCTATAACCTTATTTTTCTTATTTGTGAAATAAGAAAGTTTGATTAGATAATGGAAAACTTTAAAATCATATTTAAAATCAATTATTATTTTAGAGCAGCTCAAAAAGGTCTTGTAATTTCAGCTGGCTTTAATGAATCCATGTAATAAGCCAAACATTTTATTGATCACTTTAAACATACTTCATTTAATTATCTCATCACCATTATAAGGTGGGTACTTTTAAAGAGCGGAACTGAGGCATAGAGAAGTTACGTAACTTACTGTGGTTACAGAGCTGTTAAGAGTAGGGCTGGGGGTCAAGCCCAGGACACTGTGATTATACTGCAGTACTTTTCTTCCGTATTGTTAAGAATTGGTGATTCTCAAGAAAGATGGAACATACCAGAATCTCGGGGGAAAGGAAGAACTATTTTGAGGAACAATTTCAACTTACATGCCCCTGTACATTTTTATGTGCTACCATTATGCATTGTGCCTTGGTTCTTCACCCCCACCCCAAAGAGAATTATTATTTATGGAATGTGTTGTGAACAGTGTGAAGACAAAGTTGTGAGCCACTAGATGGTGTTGCTGTCTGAGCCGACCCAATCGAGTTTGATTGAACATTAGTGCTATAAATGTTATAACTTGGAACATTCATATGTAGCATTTAATATGTGTCACCTGATAATCTGATGCTTTTTAGAATATAAGAAGAAATGTACTACTTATTTTGTTTGCCTTTTTGAATAAGCCTCCAAAGCACATCTGTTTTAGGTTTCTTAGGAGTGACTTTTCTGTGTTTTTTTGTTACAATTTTCCTTCTCAGTCCTTCTTTTTATTCCCTAGCTTATGTTTCATTCCCTCTTGTCTTGATGACTTTATTATAGCTATTTAAAAAAATAATGCGTGTTAGAACCTTTTATATGTTGAGTATAAATAATAAATTAGTAGAATAAAATCATTGTAGATTAATAAATTTTATTAATTTTGCTAGGGATTCATTGAGCTTTCTTAATTTGAAGTTTTATAGCGTTGTTTCTTTTAATATTGCCTTTCCCTTATTCTCTCTCATCTCCATCTAGGACTCTGATGAGATATTTGTAGACCCCTCATTCTGTTCTCCATGTCTGTGAAGTTCTTTCATATTGTCCTTCCCTTTGTCTTTCTCAGCCACATTCTGGATAGTTTTTTTCAGATCTATCTTCCAGTTCACTGGTTTTCTCTTCAGCTTTGTCATATCCTGTCCATTTGGATTATAATTTAGTTACTATAGTTTTCATTTCTAGGTGTTTTATTTGATTATTTTCAAAACCTGCTTTTTCATATTCACTTTTTCCTTAGTCATATTTTAAAATATTTCTTATAAACACATAAAACATATATATTTTGTGTTTTGTTCTTGATAATTCTACTATGTGCAGTCTCTGAAGATCTGATTCTGATACTGTGTCTCTCAATAATGGTGTCTGGTTTCCTTGTCGTTTTGTGATTTTTAATGTATGTTTTTTGAGATTTTTGTCTATGAGAATTTCTTGCTTCTCCCAGGCAGCTGGGCATATCTAATCTTGGACCAGTTTAAACTGGATTATCTTTTGGCATTTTTGAATCAAACAGATGTGAATACCAGTGTCTACATCTGCGTTAGAGTCAGATGGTGGTACAGGTTGAGTATCTTTTATCTGAAATGCTTGGGACCAGAAATATTTTGTATTTCAAGTTTTTTCAGATTTTGTAATACTTGAGCACTCCAAATCAAGAAATTGGAAATCCGAAATGCTCCAATGAGCATTTTCTTTGAGCATAATGTTGGCGTTAAAAAACTTTTGGATTTTGGAGCATTTCATATTTTGGGTTTTTGGATTTGGGATGCTCAACCTGTAATTCTTTCCTACCTCATTTAGTGAGGTGTGGTCTTTAAAACAAAAATTCTGTTGTAGAATACATTAGTAAATGTTGTATTAAAAAATAGTGGGCTCTTTTGCTAAATAGTTTTGGGAAACATCAGGTTTCCCAAGTGAAAGGAATAATGGGAAACAGGGTTTTTGCATTGCAGGACTCCTCAGGGTGTCTGTTATACAAATAGGTGTTTTGGTGCTCAGTAATCATATGCAACAAGGAGAATTTTTCTTGTCTCACTCTGCTGCTCTTTTTGGGAATGAGTGGTGTATATAACTCATGGGATGAGTGGGACCAGTGGAAAATAACTTTGGCAAATATAGGTTGGCCTCGTGATACCTTTGGCTTCTGCTAATTGCCTTCTCGCTGTCTTTCCTACTGTTTATACCACTTTATGACTGTGCGTGTATGTGTGTGTGTGTGTGTGTGTGTGTGTGTGTGTGTGTGTGACTGTCTGTCTTGTATTTAATCTCCCTGAGGGAAGTCGTGATTCTATCTGCTATTCCTCATCCCCAGAGCAAAAGATTGTTGTTGTGCAGAGCTCTTGTATCAGGCTATCTTGTAGGCTACTGGTCACTTTTCTTTGAGCCAATTGGGCCAGGTACCTAATTATGTCCAAATTGGTAGATACATAATGCTTTATTTTTGGCTTCCCATTCATTCTCTTTCTCTGCCAGTTGCATATAAATTTCCTGAGACCATGTTTGTCGTGCTCATCATTGATTCCCTGGTATCTTAACATAGGAACTGACACATATGGGTCAATAAAGATTGAGTGCTAGCTTGGCAAGTCCTCACAGTCATCTGAGAGTCGGACAGGGTAACCAGCAGTCATATCGCATGGCTTGTTTATTCTGGATGGCTTCCTTTTTTCATTTTACTGTATCCTCCAGTATCTTTTGAACAGAAATTCACTCAGTCTCTATAAACATCCGAAGTAAAAAGTAAGCTCTATAAACATCCAAAGTAAAAAGTAAGTTATTTTGAATATCTGTTTTCTCTACCTCAAAAAATCATTTCCTCCTCTAAGATTCCCTTCAGATATCATATTCTTGGCGCAGCTGTGATTTCTGTTAGTCACATTTACTCATTCCATTCCTGGTGTTCTGATAGCACTTTGTACATCGCTCTCTCAACATGTGCTTCATGTGTTGTTGCATTTTTGCTTTTCCTTCCAGATTTTGAGTTCGTTGAGGGTGGAGAGGCAGATGGAAGCTTAAGTAATGTGTATGTGCAATCAGGATCTCATCAAGCATTGAGAATATCTGTTCCCTGGAGAGAGAAGGAAAGAATAGTAGAGAAGCAGCTTTAGCATCTAGAAACATTTTGGTGTTTGTTAGATGTGGACTAGTGAAGGAATAGTTGACAGTAGAGTACTGCTATGGTTGGTTGAGGCATATTCCATCTCACTGGGTTAATTTTATTCTCACGTGAGCTCTGAGGTAGCTATTACCCTCATTTTACAGACAGGGAGACTTAAGTGGTTTTACTTTGTCACACTGGTGCGGTGCAGTAATAGTAAATGCTTACAAAATGTTGAATGATAGAGGAACTAGGTCCGATAGAGGAACTGGTCCAGCCATCATGCTGATACCTCATGTACTGCCAAATTGTAGTGGTGAGCTGTGTGGATGTTTTTTCCTCTTAATCTTGTAAGGAAATTCTGCCCATGAGGGCATGTTCCTATTTTTGAAATGGAAACCAATGAGAACATGTGAATTATTAGTAAGAGTTGACTTGAAGCTAGTGTTGGAATTGGAACGTGTTTTCTCCTTGAACTGAGGTGTATTTTTGTAGACATCAGTTGTCTTAAATATCCTTTTTACCCTAATTTCAAATAGCATCATAACCAATTGTTATGTACTGCAACTCTTTTAGTACTCACCGCACCTCCTGTGGTATCTGCTATCTGTTATCCCCATTTCACAGATGAGCAGATTAAGGCAAGCAGACGTTAAGTGTCTTGCCATGGGTCACATAGCTTGTAAGTAGTGGAAGTGTATTTAGAACTTTGGTGTTTGACATACAGAGCCCAATACTCTTATTCTCTATGCTGTATTTGTATATACTTTTAATATGTAGACAAACAAGCACATATCTATCTTAAACATGCTCAGTAATTTAATTGACTATTAAATCCTCATTGCAAACCTGTAATATGTATGTGACACATTGTTTTATTTTTAAATTTTTTATTATTTATGTATTTATTTATTGAGACAGGGTCTCACTGTCACCCAGCCTGGATTGCAGTGGCGTGAACACAGCTCACTGCAGCCTCAGCCTCCCAGGCTTAAGCAATCCTTCCACCCCAGCCTCCGGAGTAGCTGAGACTACAAGCACACGCCACCACACCTGGCTAACGTTTGTATTTTTTGTAGAGATGAGGTTTCACCATGTTGCCCAGGCTGATCTTGAACTCCTGAGCTCAAGAGATATGCCTGCCTCAGCCTCCCAAAGTGCTGGGATTACAGGCGTGAGCTACCATGCCAGGCCTTACACTGCTTATTATGTTGAAATAATGTTATCTGTGTGGCATTCTCCTTCTTCCCTTTACAATTTGATGCAATTCTATTCTTTTCAGAAATGTTACCATAAGAGGCTTAATAATAAAAATACCAGATTCTCCTCCTCAAGATACATGTGTGGGGAACATTAATTTTCACACACTGGATGAGCTAGTACACATTTTGATAGTGAGAGGGCATTCGTTTTGAGGATGGAAAAGTCTGATGGCTTTTTCTTTTTCACTAGCAGTGCATTGGTGGCTTTTATCAGTGCACCTGGGGAGGAGGCGTGTGTCTGACCTGACCTCACAGTTGGGTTGTTCCAGGGGTGTGCATCTTAATTGGAGATGAGTCACCACTCTGCTTATGTTTTGCCATTGAAGAGACAATGAGCTTTTCTTCTATGGCTGTCAAAGGCTCTTACATCTCTGTTCACAGCAGCTTCTTAAATTTATATATATATATTCAAGGTAAAAATATGTTAAGTCCTTAGGGGCAGTTGATTTCTTGTCCCACTTCCATTATCTTGTATTTTTAGAATTTATCCCAAGGAGCGAACACCATATCATTTTCTAGGAAATTGTAAATAGGAGCATAGCTCATATAGAAAATAAAATTCTATTCTACAGATATCATGGAACAAAAAATCAAACATGAAACCAAAGTGTTGATAGGATAAATTATGTTAGGATCTACTGAATAATAGGGCTAAATGATTTTCCTGGGGAGTAGTGTACTTTATAGATATGAGCCACCTTGAGGAATTGATGGAAGCAGTTTGAACATTTTTGAAATAAGAAAATGAACAGCTAACATTTCGCCTTTTTCGTCCTTTTTATGTCTATATTGAGTAGCAGTAAAGCAGACGGTGCTTGCTTATGCTTTTGTTTCAGATTTTATGCTTTGTATATGTGTGCAGGGTGGGAGGGCTAAAGTTAAAAAATTAATCACTTTTATATTGTTAGAAAATGAGAAAACAAATATTTAATGTTAATTTATAATAAATCATGTATCTGATATGATGTCTTAAATTTATAGCAGTCTTGGAATCTTTAGTACTTGAAAAGTAAAGTTATTATTTTTTCTCCAGAAACATGCCAAGGGACAAGTGTTATTTGACAAAGTGTGTGAACACCTCAATCTCTTGGAGAAAGACTACTTTGGACTTTTGTTTCAGGAAAGCCCTGAGCAGAAAGTAAGTGATTTCAAGTTTATTTTTATCTTTTTAGAACATATTGTATTTTTTTATTAACCAGTTTATCTCAGTTTAAAATTTAGCTTTAAAATAACTTAGGTGTTTATTATGACTTCACTGTGAAATTTGGTAAATACTGAAAAACTATCTTGTGTAGAGAGAAACCACCTGTAGCTTTTTGGTGTATGTGTATTTGTGTGTGTGCATGCATATGTGTACATGCTTTGCACTTACATCATGAGCAGACAGAATAGAATGTCATCAGTGGAAAAGTGATGTTCTGGCATAAAGAGAACACAGAATAAATGGTATTATTTTAATCACTTTTGGCTCTCAATCACTCAGTCTGGCCTTTCGGTACTAAATAAGTAAAGAAGCTGGTCACATCTGCTCATATTGTGCAGTCACCTGTATGCTAGGTATTAAAGCATACCTGAAAGGCAGGGAAGGCGGCACATTGGAACGATTCTGTCTGAGGATACCAAGAACACTTGGTCACAGTGAAAGGGATTACTCTCCATGATCTAACATTCAAATCACAGTCAGCAGAACAGAGCAATCAATAGAAGAACAGAAGTGTGAATTTTATTTGCCTACATTGCTATCGTTGTTAGTATTTACATGTCCTACTAATGAAATATAAGATAATAAGAGTGATAATTATATATACTTTAAGTTTTCTCAACTTGCTTAGCTTTAAATACTTGATATCTAATTTGTGGTTTAATTCTTTGTTTAGACTAAAGACAGTTAAATTACATGCCTGCCTGCTGAATACTACATGAGTATTCTTAATAGAACTCTGTTTAGAGTACTGTTTTCAGACGTAATAGCACATTTGACTGAATAAACTAGGTTTTTTAGACTGTAAATTATAAGGTGGTCTTGATAATGTTTCCAATTATGTGCTCTTCTGTTTGTCCTAAAAGCTGCAAAAGAGAAAGTGGTGGGAATTTGGCTAGGATTACCTCCTTTTTTTGAGATCACATACTGGTAGATTCATAGGAGCATATAATATAATCTTTGTAAAGTAGAGGGACAATTCAGTATGTTGTACAATATGTAGAATAACATGTTCTCTTAGTAGGCATAGGATATACTACATTAAGAAATCTGGGCTAAGCGTGGTGGTTCATGCCTGTAATCCCAGCACTTTGGGAGGCCGAGGCGGGCGGATCACTTGAGGTCAGGAGTTCAAGACCAGCCTGGCCAACATGGTGAAACCCCGTCTTTACTAAAAATACAAAAATTAGCCGGGCATGGTGGTGGGCACCTGTAATCTCAGCTACTCGGGAGGCTGAGGCAGGAGAATCACTTGAACCCAGGAGGCAAAGGTTGCAGTGAGCCAAGATCACGCCACTGCACTCCAGCCTGGATGACAGAGTGAGACTCTGTCTCAAAAAAAAAAAAAAAAGAAAAGAAATCTGATATTTTTGAAATACTAGTTTTGCATAAGAAAAGGTAGTATTTAGTAGTATTTATTTAGATAGTAGGATATACTGTTTTTTTATTTTGACAACTCTCAATTTATGTCAATTCAGCTTTCACTGAATCTCAGACTCATATTCTTAATTGCCTACTGGATGTAGGAGTTGGCAATTCCCTCTGTCTGTCATCTACACATTTAGTACACACCTTGTTTGTTACTCTTTCTCCCCATTATTCTATGAATTCCTCGAGGGTAGAGGCCATGACTTACTTATCTGTATAGCCTCCGTATATGTAGACATTAACTGCTATTTATTACGTGTGTGTTATATCACACCTATAAGGATCTCCACTCTCATGAAAATAGAAAATAGCAAGTGTTGGCAAGGATGTGGAGAGACTGGAGATGCTGTGTACTATGGGTAGGAAGGTAAACTGATACAACCACTCTGGAAAACAGTGTGGAAGTTCCACAGAAAATTAAAAATAGAACTAGTGGCCGGGCATGGTGGCTCACACCTGTAATCCCAGCACTTTGGGAGGCTGAGGCGGGCAGATCATGAGGTCAGGAGCTCGAGATCAGCCTGGCCAACATGGTGAAACCCCGTCTCTACTATTAAAAATACAAAAATTAGTCGGGCATGGTGGCATGCGCCTGTAGTCCCAGCTACTTGGGATGCTGAGGCAGGAGAATCGTTTGAACCCGGGAGGTAGAGGTTGCAGTGAGCCGAGATTGTGGCATTGCACTCCAGCCTGGGCAACAAGAGCGAAACTGCATCTCAAAAAAAAAAAGAACTCCATGATCTAGCAGTCCCACTTCTGAGTATATATACAAAATAATTGAAAGCAAGGTCTTGAAGAGATATTTGTTTACCCATGTTTATTGCAGCATTATTCATAACAGCCAAGAGATGAAAGCAACATAAATGTCCATTAATGGGTGAATAAAGAAAATGTGGTGTATACATACAATGGAATATGTATGTACATATCAATACCTACTCAGCCTTGAGAAAGAAGGAAATCCTGTCACATGTTGTATCATGGATTAACCTAGAGGACACCATGTTAAGTGAGTTAAAGCAGTCACTAAAAGACAAGCACTATAGGATTCCACTTATATGAGGTATCTAAAGTAGTCAGACTCATAGAAACAAAGAGTAGAATGGTGGTTGCTAGGGGCTGGGGGAGGGGGAGTTGAGGAATTGTTTAATGGGTAGTGTTTCAGTTTTGCAAGATGTAAAAGTTCTAGAGCTCTGTTGGACAATGAGAATGTAGTTTACATTACTCAACTGTATATTAATAAATGGTTAAAATGGCAAATTTTATGTTATGTGTTTTTTACTACAATTAAAAATAATCCCACTACCTGTGTACAAACCAGCGTGCTCGCTGCTGAGGCTCTAACCGTAAACGGTGAGGACGTGACTCTGCCCTCAGAGATGCCCCTGCTTATGTTTTAGTTGAGAAGGCAGAGTGGAAAAGCTAATTCTGCAGTTAGTGAATTTTGATTACTACTCTGCAGGAAAAAGTCAGGATGCTAACAGGAGGACTCTGCTTAGGAGGAAGTGATCCTTAAGCAGAAACCTCATGTGTGAGTGGACTTTGGCTGGGTGATGGGACATGGGAAGCACATACACGAGGCCCTGAGACTGGAGCAGCTGTCTGCTTAAAAACTGGAAAGAAGCCTGGTGTGGGTTAGTAAGGGGAGAATGAGATTAGGCTAGGGGAAAGACTGGGTGTTAACAAGGCTCAGATCATGCAGGGCCACTTAAGGCTATATGTTAAGGCTTGGGACATTTCCTTTTTGCTAAGAAAAATGGCAAACCATTGATAGGCTGAAGCAAGGATATGAGATGACCAGTTTTGTCTTTAAAAAGGTCACTTTGGTTGATGGGTGGCATGGGATGAGAGGGGACTTGAGTAGGGCTGTACACCCAAAGCACAAAAGTAGCCTTGAGTAAGGTTTTGGCAGTGGAAGTAGAAAAGCGAATGATTGAAGAGAGAATGAGGAAGGAGGCTGACTCAATCTGATGAATGATTGAACATGAAGGATGACAGATACCAAGAATTAAGGCCTGGGTTTCTGGATGGTTGGAGTTGTTCAGTAAGAAGGGTAGGAGGACTCGACTGGGGGGTTGGTAGGGGATATCATGAGTGTAGTTTCTGACATATTGAGTTTTAGGTTCAATAACTTACGGAAAGAGCAAGTAAATAAATGAATTTAGTTTTGGAGGTGTCTTAAAGAATGACAGCTTGCATGGAACAAATACTCCACTCTAGGTATAATCTGTCTTAGCAGTGCAGGGTGCATGGGGTAGCTTTATTTCCTGATGTGAATATCATATTCATATGGAGGCTTGTAACCAGGAGTACTTCTTTGTAACTTACTTGTTTTTAAAAAAATCAGAGGTGGCTTTTACCTTGCAAATATTCCAAATAAAATATAAATGGCTGTTAACAGCTGATCATTCTGGTATTCTCACTAGGCAGCAGGCACCTTCCCTGTGTTGTCTCATGTAGTTCTCAGAATAACCCTAAAAGGTAGGTACTATTAACTACACTTATAGATGCAGAAATTTGAGGCATAGAGGAAGTTAAAGAAGTCACCCAAGGTCACCTAGCCAATAAATGTTGGTGATAAGATTCAAATTCAGGCAAAAAACTGAGAAGGAAAAAATACATTTTAGATTTTAAGGAAAATGCCAACAGTTGTAAACCTTCTGTCAGTCAAGGTAAAAATGGGCACAGTTTTTCATAGCTATCACAACTGGAAGTAGAAGAATACCATGTTGCCTCAGAGGAATTTTTCATGTTCTCAAATTCTGAAAGTCACCTTGCAAGACTTTAAACATAGTGTGTTGAAGGACATTGTAAGCTGAGTTCCTAGGATGAGTTTCACAGTTGTCATTTCTATTATATTGTCAACAAATTTAAGGGCATGAGCTAACTTATTGATGGTGATTCTGTGATGGTCTGTGCCAGTGCTGCTCAAAAGAGACTTCTTCCTTTGTGTTAGAATCACCTGGGAGACAGATTTTCAATTAGGAATCTTATTTATCTCTCTTCTTCCTCCATTGTTCGTAAACACACGTGCGTGCGTGTGCGCATATGCACACACACATAGAAATGCACATTCATTGGGTATGCCATGATTCCTTCCTTTCCAGTTAAAAAATAGTGCCATTACTGTTTAATTTACATATAGGATGTTGAAGGATGTTATGGGCTGTGCTTCCAGCAGGGATATGTCCTATTCCTCAGATATGTTGGGACAGAAAACAGATTAACCTTTGGTCAGGTTGATATTTTCAAGTATATAGCTTTCCAGTAATCTAATTCAGTGATAGAGCTTAATATACCCTGTCCTAAATACCAGCTGGACATTTATTAGGGACTAGATAGGAGAGACACTTGCAAGTTTTACTACCTGACAAGGGCCTGTGGTATGAATATTTTATATTGGTATATTAAAGCAGATCTATAAATTTTGGAAATCATATGAGCAGTTTAGTGTTGACATTCTATTATAGCTATTGAGAATTACGGCCAGTATTCTGGATGTGGGCAGGGAAGGGACATTTTGCACAGAAGAAAAGTAATCGTTCCAGCATGAATGATCATGATGTGGGTGCGGAGTTTAAAGTTTGTCCGGAGGGCTGGAGGATGTGGCAGTTCCAGCCTCTCTTAATAGGAAAGACCTGTGAGGGGTAGGCAAGCTGGCAGGGGGAGGTAGGGACTCGTGTTTTCTCATGAGCACACTGTTTTAACTTAGATCATGGGTTAATTTGGGATGACTTTGTGGGGAGTGCTAATGGAGTTTATGGGAAAGCAGCTGGAAAAATAAGCAAATATCATTCTTTGGATCTTGTATCTCATGCTGAGGAATCTAGATTTTAAGTAGGAAGTAACGTGGTCAGATTTGCATATCAGAAAGAACCTGTTGATGGTGTGGAGCGAGATGATAGGGGACTGAGACCAGAGGCAGGAAGGTCAGGAGACAGTTGCGGTAGTCTAGTCTAGAGGTGATGAAAACCAGGGCAGTGGTACTAGGAGTGAAGAGGAAAGGACAGAGATTCTGTGTAGGTAATGTCTGCAGTCACTTTGTGACTGCCACCTGTTAGCTATGACAGCGAGGGGAGAGTTGAGGAAAAGTCCTAGGTTTCAGGGTTGGGTAGCTGGGGAGCTTGATGGAGACTTTTACACAGGGACCTTGGAGGAAGAGCAGCAGTTTGAGGTATGCTAGGGAGCGGAGATGGAACTTAATTTTTATTTTGCCAAGTTGGACACGTTTGTAAGCTGTTGGCTAGATTGGGGATCAGGGAGTAGGTGAAGGATGAAGAAATTTAAAAGTAAAGAATTTGAGAGGCCAGGTATGGTGGCTCATACCTGTAATCCCAGCACTTTAAGAGGCCCAGGCGGGAGGATCAGTTGAGCCCTGGAATTTGAGACCAGCCTGGGCAACATAGTGAGACTCTGTCTCTAGAAAAAAATTAAAAAATTAGCCAGGCATAGTGGCATATACCTTTAGTTCCAGCTATTCGGAGGAGGGGAGAGGGGTGCTGAGGTGGGAGGATCACTTGAGCCCAGTAGGTCAAGGCAGCAATGAGCTGTGATTGCACCACTGCACTTTCGCCTAGGTGACAGAGCAAGACCTTGCCTAAAAAGAAGAAAGAAAAAAAGAGAAATTTGACAGTGAGTGTAAATTGTTGTTTAAAGAAGTGTTTGGCTGTGGAGAAAAGAACAGATGGGAGAATGATACTAGAGGATGTAAACCTGCAATGTCCAGTACAAGTTTTCATGATGATGAAATGTTTGATACCTACACTGTCCAGCATGGCAGCCATTAGCTGCATATGGCTATTGATCACTTGAAAGAGTGCTAGTGTGTACGAGGAAATAGACTTAAATTTTATTTACTGTAAGTAATTTAAATTGAAATAGCCTCGTGTGACCAGTGGCTATCATATTGCACAGTGGTGACAGTTGACTGAGAGTTTTGGGGTTGGCAGATTTACTTTGATGGAAATAACTTTGACTTTAGCTATGAGAAAACCCAAGAGAAGTTATGTTTGAAGAAAGAGGAGAGTGACTATGATGATGAAAGTCATGAAGAGGATTAGTCTTGAATAAAGATGTTATGTCATCCTGAGTCTGCAAGAAACAGAATAAAAGGTGGTGCAGTTGTTAAAAAAAAAAATCTTAGTTGAGCAAATTGTAGTCTCCAATCTCTGTGAAATAGAGGGTAAAAGCATTTGCTTAAGAGTGACTAGGGTAGCAGTGGGACAAGAGAAGGAGCCAACCAAGAATTAGTATGTGGATTGCTGTTAATAGTTCTGCTGAGATTGTGGGGGTCATACATTTGGGATGGCAGCAGAATATATTTGTGTGTGTTTTTCTCTAATTGCCATTAGCAACCTTAGTGTCATAGCTGAAAAAATGGAGTATTAGCAGGGTTCTCAGTTGACTATGTTCATGGAGGCAATAGTAAGAGGATGCAGGATTGTGAAATCTGAAGTTGCTGATGAGATGTAATTAAGCTGATTATTCACAGGGTCACAGGAAAGAAAATTACTGAAGCTGTAATAGGCTGATACATTGGGAGAACGTGGCTGGGGCAAAGGATGAATGTTCAAAGATGTTGAAGAGTAGGTACAGTGGTACAGTGGGGATACATGGGTAGAAAATTAGAGGGAGAGGAAATGATTGCATCTGAGAATGAGCTGATGAAGTCTAATGAGGTGAAGAACTATGTGATGATGACAAGACCCAGGGTGTGGCTGTGAAAGGGGATGGCTGAAGTCAAGGAGACAGATTAAGGTCATTAAGGAAGAAAATACTAAGATAAAGGTACATTTGTTTGGGTCTACTGTAGCGTTCTTATTGACAGAAAGACACTAATGCTAAATAAGGAATTCATAATTCCTTATTATACGTGGTAGTTTCTCTTATGAAAGGTAAGATGAACATATAAAATTAGACACATGCTTTGTATATAGACTTTAACTCAAAAACTTTGGGAACTTAAGAATGAGGTGTCCTTTCTGAGACATTCACTTTTCAGGTGTGAATATTTAAATACAATTAGCAATATCTTTAATTATTCATATATAATCTGATTTGCTATAACTTTTATGTTGTGTAATTTTTAAAAATTTCTATCTGCTTATGTAGACAAAATCCAGTCCTCAAGACATCTAGGCAAAACAACTCTTATTCTTCCACTATAGATTTGTATGGTATCCTATTTTTTCCCCCACATAAATTTATTACTATTATACTAACTCAGCTCAATCAGTCCTGCTTTGTTTAAATCCCATGCAGTTTTAACAACAGAATATAATGATGTAAGGATCTTTCCTTTCCATGCCGAATATTATCTGTACTTATGGGAAATTTTGATTCTTAATTCAACCCATTATAAAGTAAAGGTGAGTGAAAACCACGATTATTTGTATACAAATTTTTCATGGAGAGAAAATCTACACATTTGTTTGGTTTTAATACAGTACTATATCTCTCATGGTTGAGACACTGAGGTGAAAGTCTTTTTAGTTCATTCTAGGTATGAAAAATCTGTCATTGTTAGTGTTAAAGCTTTTTTAATGTCTATTGAGAGTGCTTATATAAACTTTACTATGGAAAATGTTGTTAAAAATACGTGGAATCAGGCAACATGTTATTCAATATGGAATTCCAAGTCCATATAGTTCTTGTATTCATGTCTAAATGAAACCATCGTTAAGGGTTTTGGACTCTCTTTAAAGGGAAAAATATTGTCTTGAATTTTTGATGTTAATAGTTTGGCATTTGGCCCAAAATGACATTATAACGTCATTTTGCTGCAAGCTATATTGAAAAAGGAGCTTGTTAGAAATGTAGTTGATATTCACGGCTAACTTTATGAAAATTAGTTGAAGCAGTCATCTAATAGACCATTTTGTTCCAGAAACTAGAACTAAAAACTCAAATATTAAACTGTTTGCATATATAAACTATTCTTTAATAAAGTTCTACATTCAATCTAGTTAAACTTTATAATCCCACATTCTCCCAGATGTGTAGTGAATGTTTCACTGTGATACAGTGCCTGTAACTTTTCTCCTAACACCAGCATTATGGTAGAGTTCTCTTAAACCCAATTTAGGCAAAGGTATATTAAAGGGGATCTGTTTCAGCACTATAAATTCCTGTGAGAAAATGCAGATTCTAGACAAAACTACTTTTAACATTTAGTCATACACTGTGAATTGGGTTGAATTTGTTAATTTCTCTTACCTGGCCAAATTAGAGATCACCTAAAGCAAGTGAGGAAGGCATGGCGAGGCATTTGAGAAACTTCGAACTCTGGGGTCTTAGGGTCTAACTTAAAGGAGAATTAAATGAATGAGATAGATTTTTTTGGGGGGAAAGGAACTGTTAAAGAAAAACTTATTCTAACACTTGTTAAAATGGTAAGGCAGACTTTATTCAGGACTGTTGTAATAGGTATAAGGACCTTTGCAGTGGGGTTTTGCAGTAGGCAAGAGAGATTGGGCTCAGCTCCAGATACGACAAGGAGAAGTGGAAATTTATAGTCAAGGAGCAGGGTGGGGGTTAGTAGATGGGAAACTAATAAGAGGAAACATCAGGGGTGCACTTAGGGGAATTCTGGTTAAACCAAGCTAACAGGATTCTTGTTGAAGGCAGGTGAGGGTGATCTGATATCACTTGGGGGATGGTGGAGGATGAGGAACCCCATCAGATATCAAGGGTAATTAGTTATCAAGGATGGGGGTTTCCCACTAAACCAACTTATTAACAGGATTCTTGCTAAAGTTGGATGGTGTGTAGATGGACACAGAAGTCTAAAACCTGAAGCCTAATTGGGAAGAGGATTCAGAGGAGCCTGACTAAAGTTTGGTCAAGAAAAGACTCTTTGTCTTAACTAGAAGATGGATTTTATGACTGTATTTTGGGTTGTTATCCAGGTCAAGCATGGTTAGGACCCTGCTGTGGACAACTGCACACCCAGACTACTAATGCCAGTTGATGACTGTGGTTGCATATCTCTTCTCAGGTGAAAGTGGTTAGCAAGTAGAATAAAAAGACCTGGAATTCTTTGGTACAGCTGCTTATTGTGATGGGGAGGAGTTCAAAGGAACACTTAGATATGGGAATGTGGAAACTGTGCCCTGCCAGGGCTTTCTGCAGGAAGCTGTCAAAAATTAGAAGGTTTACTCAGTGAAGGCTGACAAGCCAGTAGGACTTGAAAAATGTCTCTCTATATTGAGCTTTCAGGAAAAGAAAGAAATTTCTACATAAAAAGAACTCTAGGGCTATCCTACTCAAAGAGTGGTCCAAGGACCAGCAGCGTTGGCTCCACGCAGAAGCTTCTTAGAAATGAAGAACTCTAGCGCTCACCCTAGACCTGCTGAAATAGACTTTATTTTGGCTAGATGTTCAGGTGATTCATACGCACCTTTAAAGTTTGAGAAGCATTGATGTAGGGATAAACTGTTCTTTTGATGTAGCAGAGAGCATTACAGGAGTTTGAAATGTCATGAAAGCCACGGGAGGAGGGGAGTCCTAGTGGGCCCATGTGGTTCATGGTCCCAGAAGTGTTCAAATATTCGTAGCCACTGAGGCAAGAGTTAGGCCGTTCCCCAAATATGGACATTTGGACCATTATTCTGAGGTTCTTTCTAACACTGGTATTCTATGAATATAAATACAGTATTAGGATTCATAATTAAGCTTTTTTTTTCCCCCTAGATGTTTCTGTCACTAGAGCATAATTGAGAATCATGTTTAACACTTTTTCTGGGAACCCGTAATGAAAATGTTGTAGGGGAAATGTCATAAGACAAGACTTTCATCCTCAGATTTGTGGCAAATAAAGAGTAAGATTAAGGAGATTCTCTAATTAACTAATAGAAAGATTTTAGTGTAAAATACATATAAGTACAGCTATTCACTGTGCTGCTTAGTTTAAAAAAAATTCTGTAACCTTTTAAGGCAGGAAAAAAAAATCCCACCTCTTTTTGTGCCTTGAATTCCTTTGGCAGTCTGCTGAATTCTATAGGCTGCTTCTCAGAACAGTGTTTTCAATGTATAACTATAATAAAAGTACACAGGGCTACAAAGAAAGCCAATAACTAAATAACATTCCCAAAATAGTAATCTAAAATTGGAGACAAAGTAATAGGTATGTATATTAGTCTGTTTTCATACTGCTGATAAAGACATACCTGAGGCTGGGCAATTTACAAAAGAAAGAGGTTTACAATTCCACATGGCTGGGGAGGCCTCACAATCATGGCAGAAGGCAAGGAGGAGCAAGTCACATCTTACATGGATGGTGGCAGGCAGAGAGAGAGAGCTTGTGCAGAGAAACTCCCGTTTTTAAAACTATTAGATCTCGTGAGACCCATTCACTATCATGAGACAGCATGAAGATCTGCCCCCATGATTCACTCATCTCCCACCAGGCCCCTCCCACAACAAGTCAGAATCATGGGAGCTACAAGATGAGATTTGGGTAGGGACTCAGAGCCAAACCATATCATTATGTGTTTTTATTTATATATTAATCATCAGTATCAAATCTAGTAGCTACTGTGACTTCAAAATATTGGCTAGCATAAATGGTATTTTAAGATCTGCAGCTACTACAATGTGATGTGGAAATGTTTTTGATTTCTGCAGGTGACAAAGAGGTTCTGCTGATATTAACCAGGTTTTTTTCTGCTATGTTCCTAATTGACAGTGATGCTAAGTTTCAGTTAGAAGTTAGTAAAAATAAAGATGGAACATATTTCCCCAAACTTGAGTTCATTACCTCCCAATTTCATGTTTGAAGGTGATTTAACAATACTTGATATTCTTTTTTTTTGAGACGGAGTCTCGCTCTGTCGCCCAGGCTGGAGTGCAGTGGCGGGATCTCGGCTCACTGCAAGCTCCGCCTCCCGGGTTCACGCCATTCTCCTGCCTCAGCCTCCCAAGTAGCTGGGACTACAGGCGCCCGCCACTACGCCCGGCTAATTTTTTGTATTTTTAGTAGAGACGGGGTTTCACCGTTTTAGCCGGGATGGTCTCGATCTCCTGACCTCGTGATCCGCCCGCCTCGGCCTCCCAAAGTGCTGGGATTACAGGCGTGAGCCACCGCGCCCGGCCGGTGATTTAACAATACTTGATATTCTAAGGCCACATTTTAATTTTATTTTACTTCTGTTGGAAGCCTGTTTTAGGATTCCTTATAACTTTTATTATTAGTCTCTTATTTTACCTGATGTTCATTTAGGAGATAAATATTTACTGTGTTCATGTTTTGGGTTTGGATTAGGGAATGGAGAGGAGAAAGTAAGGAGAATACTGAATTGAGTAAGTGACTGTTCCTGCTCTTAAGTAGTTGGCAAAATCCTTGTTTTATTTTTTTTAATAAAACAAGATAAATTTTATTGAAATCTGATATAGGTCAGCTCTCGAGTTTTGCATGGTTGCTTATACCTTAATGTTTGGGAAACACTGAGAAGATCCCTGTCTTGCCTGATCTTGAATTGCCTGAAGCTGTCACTTTCCTGAGTTCCTTCCCTGGAGAATGTTTTAGGATGTTCTGGGCAGTTGTCCATGGACAAAGAGCTGTCTTTTAAAAAATTTGCCGGGTGGATTTTTACCATCGGCCAAACTGGATAATACTTTAACATGTACATAGAAGCTCTTAGACTAGTCATATAGAAAGGGCTTGGTTTTCATGTCATCTCGCCTGTGAATACAGTGACCCTATTTTGTGAACCGAAAGTCTGATTTATTAACTTTTTGTGGGTAGAAATATTCATATAGAGATTAAATTCTTTAATGTATATAACACATCACCTATGGATATATAAAATTATGTGAAGAAGATATATATACCAAAAGATGATAATTTAGTTTTATTATTGCAAATAGTGATCTACTAATGATGATCTGCTGGGGAAGGTACTTGTATGCATATTTATTCTTCAGGCTTGAATATTGTTTGAAAAGAACTACCCTATGAGGTAGATGTTGTGATCCCCATTTTGTGTTTGAGGAAATTGAGGCTTAAAGAAGCCAAGGAATGTGCCCAAGTTAGAGTTGATAGAAAACCAGAATTTTACTGCGTGTATTTCTGATTCCACGGTTTATATATGTGGCCACAGCAGACAAATCTTTAAGTCTAAAACCTGGCAATGAATACTGTAGTGTATCATGGGGTGAGGGCGGTTGTTGTATGTTGTGCACACACACCCTCATGCATTTTTCTCATTCTCTGATGGCATTTTCCATCTTTTTGTGTCTGCTTCTTGGTCTGCTCAACCCTCCTCCTTAAGTGTCAAACCAAGAAATTAATTTTTATTATTTACTGTATTTATTTAAAAGTTTTGTTTGTTATTTCTTTGTAACTGGTAATGCAGATCATTAACTTGTATTTCTTTTAAGTCATTTAAGTCATTTTTTTTTTACTTAGGAATTTATGATGCTATACCCCACTTACCATCTAAGTACTCATTAGAGATATGTATTCAAGTAAAAATAAATGTAATAAAAGTAATATAACGTGATCATTTAAGATGATCACAGCGTGGAGAGGAAGGAGGCAAGCAAGGGGCATATATCAGTCAGCAGGTATTAATTTAGTTCTCACTGGTTGCCTAAAACTGTATTAAGTACCCTGGAAGATATAAATAATATGGTCTGTTCCAGCCCTTGCAAAGTTGTAGTACTGGGGAGTGAGAAGACAGCCTAATGCTTGGCAGGAATGGAACTTACAGTGTGAAAGTGAGTGTGGTTAGGAAAGGGAAAACGCGGTGAGGAAGTCATGCTGCTGTTTGATCACATCAGGTAAACCCCGCCCACTTAGTCTTTGGATGGTTGAAAGTAAGCCATTTCAGCCTTCAGTAATCTGTCTGGCAGTGTTGTGGAAAGTGGCCTGAGAATGACACCAAGTCTGAATTTGGCTGTCTGACTTTTCACTCATATTGCTGGGTTTATAGAGCTGACTCTTACCATGCCCTATAGAAACTGTTAGGTAATTTGTACAAGGGCCGGGTGCTTTAGGTGAGAATAGAAGGTGCCAGGTGGCTGGGACACAGGGTTAGTCCTTGGGTTCACAAGCTTCCACCATCTTCTGGAACAGAGAAGGGTCCTTTGTTGCTCTTCTGTACTGGGGATCTGTATCACTGCTCACACTTAATGAAATTGGGGATTTGGAAGGGTCTGTCTTTAAGACCAGCACTTTCTCTTAATTTCTCTGTGTTAATATTCTGGGGACTTTTTTTTTCTTTTCAATTTGGCGCCATTCAATTTCGTTTTTCTTGCTATGGTTGTTCCTTGGGTGAAAATTCCACCCATTTGCCCCTTTCTCACCTCTCTCCCAGCCTCCAACCAGTGTGGGCTAGAGGCTGAATGATGTGTTTTTTCATTCCTGTGCACTTATCGAGGCTGGCCATTTGTGAGCCAGCTGTTGGGTGGGACAGCAGCTGCAGTGCATGCAAACTGAATGGCAGGCTCTCTTCTGAAGGGGTAATTAGAGCTGCTCCCTCACATGGCACTGGAGGCACCCTTAGAGAGGCCTGCTGCCCCTCACGTCAGTAGTGCATGCAGCTGGGACACCAGTAATATGAAACTAGACCATGCTCTGGTAGTTCTTTATTGAGAGGTTTGAATATAACCAGTGTTAGAACAGAGCCATGTACACCTTGGATCCTTGCTACCCCGAGTGCGGGCCATGAACAGTAGTGAAACCCGAGGGGCCATGCGGCTCTGCTTTCACAGCATCTTACTGTTTTACTTTTTAATAGTGTCAGTTAATGTTCCGTTATACCATTTTAATATGGTATTAAGACAGCAGGTTATTTTCTGTGTACTAATAAGCATTTTAATTGTTTGCTTTATATATCTGAATAAAATTCTGTTTAAGCACAGATGTTGTAATACAGTGGTCCCCAACCTGTTTGGCAACAGGGACCGGTTTTGTGGAAGACAATTTTTCCACATACCGGGGTGGGGGTGAGGGAATGGTTTTGGCATGAAACTGCTCCACCTGAGATCATCAAGCGTTAGTCAGAGTCTCATAAGGAGTGTGCAGCCTAGATCCCTCTCTTGTGCAGTTCACAATAGGGTTTGTGCTCCTCTGAGAATCTAACGCGGGTGGTGATCTGACAGGAGGCGGTGCTCAGGTGGTAATGCCCACTTACCTGCTGTTCACGTCCTGCTGTGCAGCCCAGTTCCTAATAGGCCACGATCGGTACCAGTCCGTGGGATGGGGGTTGAGGACCCCTGTTATATTATTTTGGACACTGCTTAGAATGAGTAAAACTTAATTAGACTCATTTATTTGAATTAGTTTATTGTACCTCAAAAATTGCACTTCTCCTATGTTAGTGATAACTTGAGGGTAGAAAAATGTAAATATAAAAATATAAACAAAAAAATCTAAATTTTTTATTGGACTTTTGCTTGTAGCTTCGAAAAACAAAAATTTAATGTCCTTGGGTGGTTCGAACCTAGTGGTTTAAATTTGGTCTTTTTTGCTTTAAGATGCTGTAACAGTTTCCTAGCATTTTTTTAAAGCTTTCTTTTTTGTTGTTTAGTTGGAGAGTTTATTTAACCATTGGATGTAACTATTGACTTGTTTTCTTTTTTTTTATTATTATTGTACTTTAAGTTCTGGGATACATGTGCAGAACGTGCAGGTTTGTTACATAGGTATACACGTGCCATGGTGGTTTGCTGCACCCATCAACCCCCGTCATCTACATTAAGTATTTCTCCTAATGCTGTCCCTCCCCTAGCCCCCCACACCCCAACAGGCCCTGGTGTGTGATGTTCCCCTCTCCGTGTCCATGTGTTCTCATTGTTCAGCTCCCACTTATGAGTGCGAATATGCAGGTTTTCTGTTCCTGTGTTAGTTTGCTGAGAATGATGGTTTCCAGCTTCATCCATGTCCCTGCAAAGGACATGAACTCATCCTTTTTTATGGCTGCATAGTATTTCGTGGTGTATATGTGCCACATTTTCTTTATCCAGTCTATCATTGATAGGCATTTGAGTTGGTTCCAAGTCATTGCTATTGTGAATAGTGCTGCAATAAACATACGTGTGCATGTGTCCTTATAAAAGAACGATTTATAATCCTTTGGGTATATACCCAGTAATGGGATGGCTGGGTCAAATGGTGTTTCTAGTTCTAGAGCCTTGAGGAATCACCACACCGTCTTCCACAATGGTTGAACTAATTTACACTCCCACCAACAGTGTAAAAGTGTTCCTGTTTCTCCACATCCTCTCCAGCATCTGTTGTTTTCCTGACTTTTTAACGATCGCCATTCTAACTGGCGTGAGATGGTGTCTCATTGTGGATTTGATTTGCATTTCTCTAATGACCAGTGATGATGAGCTTTTTTTCATATGTTTGTTGGCCACATAAATGTCTTCTTTTGAGAAGTGTCTATTCATATCCTTCACCCACTTTTTGATGGAGTTATTTTTTTCTTGTAAATTTGTTTAAGTTCCTTGTAGATTCTGGATATTAGCCCTTTGTCAGATGGATAGATTGCAAAAATTTTCTCCCATTCTGTAGGTTACCTGTTCACTCTGATGATAGTTTCTTTTGCTGTGCAGAAGCTCTTTAGTTTAATTAGATCTCATTTGTCAATTTTGGCTTTTGTTGCCATTGCTTTTGGTGTTTTAGAAATGAAGGCTTTGCCCATGCCTATGTCCTGAATGGTATTGCCTAGGTTTTCTTCTAGGATTGTTATGGTTTTAGTCTTATGTTTAAGTCTTTAATCCATCTTGAGTTAATTTTCTATAAGGTGTAAGGAAGGAGTCCAGTTTCAGTTTTCGGCATATGGCTAGCCAGTTTTCCCAACATCATTTATTAAATAGGGAATCCTTTCCTCATTGCTTGTTTTTGTCACATTTGTCAAAAATCAGATGGTTGTAGATGTGTGGTGTTATTTCTGAGGCATCTGTTCTGTTCCATTGGTCTATATATCTGTTTTGGTACCAGTACCATGCTGTTTTGGTTACTGTAGCCTTGTAATGTAGTTTGAAGTCAGGTAGTGTGATACCTCCAGCTTTGTTCTTTTTGTTTAGGATTGTCTTGGCTATATGGGCTCCTTTTTGGTTCCATATGAAATTTAAGGTAGTTTTTTCTAATTCTGTGAAGAAAGTCAATGGTAGCTTGATGGAGATAGCATTGAATCTATAAATTATTTTGGGCAGTATGATCATTTTCACGATATTGATTCTTCCTATCCATGAGCATGGGATGTTTTTCCATTTGTTTGTGTCCTCTCTTATTTCCTTGTGCAGTGCTTTGTAGTTCTCCTTGAAGAGGTCCTTCACATTCCTTGTAAGTTGTATTCCTAGGTATTTTTTTCTCTTAGTAGCAATTGTGAATGGGAGTTCACTCATCATTTGGCTCTCTATTATTGGTGTATAGGAATGCTTGTGATTTTCGCACATTGATTTTGTATCCTGAGACTTTGCTGAAGTTGCTTATCAGCTTAAGTAGATTTTGGGCTGAGACAATGGGGTTTTCTAAATATACAATCATGTCATCTGCAAACAGAGACAATTTGACTTCCTTTCTTCCTATTTGAATACCCTTTATTTGTTTCTCTTGCCTGATTGGCCTGGCCAGAGCTGCCAGCACAGCAGTCTGAGTAAAGCTTTCTTAAGGAGTTCCTTGTGATTGCTACTTCCAACTTAGAATGAGGTTAAGAAGAAAGAAGGGTGTTATATTAAGACCAGGAAGGGAAATATTGTCTCCAACCTGACCTTACCTCTCCTTACAATTATAGAGTTGGAGGGAAAGGGAGGATTAAGGAGGAGGAGTAGTTCGTTTTAGGAGTTGAGATAATTGTGTTCGCTTGGTATGTATATACTTTTAGCCAACAGTTTCAATTTTCACACTTTATCCTTCATGACTAGGAATCCATTATTGTCCTTGAAGAGCTCTCATTTCAGTGTCTGCAGGGGCTATTTGTTGGCAGTTCTACAGAATAAGACTGTGTGAAGATATGTCTCATCATTTGGACCATTTTAGATGCAGGAGAATGAGGCCCATGGGACCCACCTTAAAAGCATGTGAATATTTTACTTATAGTACACACTTACCACATTTACACACATATGTCCCCAAGGACAAAGCAATACTTAGCCCAGTGGAATGCTGATAGGTGCAAGTTGCTTTGAATAATACTTTATTAAAATGTGTTTACACTTAAATAATTATGTGAACTGTAAACTGTTCTATTTTAGACTCTAGAATATTTCTTATGAATTAATTTTTTTCCCTCATGCAGAACTGGTTAGATCCTGCTAAAGAAATAAAGAGACAACTGAGAAGTAAGTATATAAATAATCATTCTTTGAAGTTAAGGTGTCTTGATATCTATTTGTGATATAAATGATCAGTAATAGAATGGTCAGTTCTATTTTGCATTTATGCCATCTTAGAAGTTAATAATACTAATAATATTTTTGTGGAATTGTGACTGTTTCGTACATGGCTCAGGTGCTCCTACTTTTGGGAAGGTTCTAGACTCACATTCCTAAATATTCACTCAGAATGTCCTACCAAGTAACATCTGACATTTTTTTTCTGGGAAAGAAAGAGAAACTACTTTTCTGTAAATTTTACTTTCTATGTAAATTTTACTCCAGTGAGACCTGATACTATTGCTTTGTCTGCTTCATTTTGAAAGTGCATAATTAGTTCAATATGCACATCTTTGGCCACAGAGACATAGAGACACTGTTCCTGGATGTACTGGAGTGAGGACTCTTTGGGGAGAAGCAAGGGGAACAATCTTTTCAGTTCTCTGAGGTCACTGCCATCTCTGCTCATTGGTTCTACAATCCAAGGCCACTTTGCATACTCTTTGAGCCTGGGCTTGTAGTTAGGCCTCATTGTTCATTTCTTCCCCTTTTCCCATTTGTTCTTGTACAATCCCAAAATGACTCCAAGAGTCCCACTCTAACCAGCTTCAGTTCTCTCTATACGTTCTGCCTCTGCAGGTTGTTTTGCCTGTGGCTGTTTTTTTGGTATCTGTGCCAAGAAACATGATAAATAGAGAGAAATCTCTGTTAGGGGATCTGGATACTTAATTTACTTCAGGGTCTGTGAATGACTGAAGCAGAGAAGGTAGGCAGCTACAGGCAGTTGGAATTTTCGGTCTGGAGAATAAAATCTGAAGGCTGGTAAATTCCTAACAGCCTTCCTCGACTGTGGAGCCCAGAGTTGTCCCAGGAGAAACCTCTTCTCCAGGTGCCAGCATGCAAGATGCCCTTTGTACTGTTGATTTCATTTCCTTACTTACTTATTATTCCTAAGGTCAAAATACTGAAACCAATCTGTCCTTTCCCTTCTTGCCCTTTTCATCTACCATCTAGCTCCCATTTTAGGTTCTTCACATTTGTTTTCTTTATTTCTTTCTCTCTCGAATTATTTATCTTTTTGGTAGTCTTCCTGTCATTTCTTTGCTTCCCTACTCTCTTTTTTTATTCTGAGCATATACCTTATTTTTCCCATTTCCTCTTCCTGTAGACTCATCTTTCTTTTCCTTTTTAAAAACGTCTTTGATTAGAGTGACCAACCTCCTGATTTGCCCAGGACTGAGGGGCTTCTCAGGATATGAGACTTTAAGTGCTAAAGCTGGAACCAGTCCCAGGCAGGCTGGAATGGTTGGTCACTATCCTTTTGATTATTATTCCTGGTTTCCCACATTCTCTTTCTTGCATTTATTTTCTTGGTGTTTCATCCATTTATGCTTGCTTCATGATGGAAAAGGGAGAAAAAGAAGAGGAATAAGTAGACACCAGATACATTATGCTTACCTTATGGAAGAAACAGTACCAGAGCTTTGAAACTTTTTCCTTTGTCCCTTCTGCAGTTGTTACTTTGCAAAGTGCATGCATTCAAAAAGGTTACGGATGCTTAGTTCTTACACTTTCTCTGAAACCAGACCTGCCAAGTGACCCAAACAGAGAGAACAGGGCAACCTCTGAAACATGATTGATGTTCCATTGAGTTGTTTCCTATGGTTTTGTTTGGGTTCTTGTTTGATTATTATTATTATTTTTTTTTTGTGCCACTCTCTTCAGAGTCATGGAGATTTCCTAACTTTTGGAAGCCAAACCTCTTGCCGATTATGAATCATGTTCTTATGTTTTGATTATCTGTGAAGTTTCAAAAAGTTATTTCAGAACTTTTACCCTTGTGGTTTGGCAATATGAGTAACAGTAAGATTAGACTTTTTAAAACTGTTGGAACCAGTTCTTTAAATGGCATCCTGTACTGTACCCATCATGAAAGCAGGCTGAGGAAATGAAGCTTTAGCAGTTGTATCTACCTCTTTCTTTCTGTATTAAAATGGACCAAAAAACCTGCCTATTCTATCCTTGGTGTCTGCTATAATTTTATTTTTATTTTTCAGCTCATAGGCAGTTAGCGAAGATAAATATTAATCTTTTTTGAGCTACCTATGACAACCAACAACTTAATGATTCTCATTTAAAATTTGCCTTAAAACCTTTATTTTCTGAAACATAAATAAGACTATATGTCTAAGGCTTGCGTATGACTAGTATGTAAACATTTCTGTAGCTAGAAGGACTGTTTATAAACAGCTAGGTAAAAATTATGATGATAATATGTAATCAAATTAAAAGTTTAACTTGAAAACTGCTAAGGGAGTAGATTTTAAGTGCTCTCACTGCAAAAATAGTATGTGAAGAGTAATGCATATGTTAATTAGGTCAATTTAGCCATTCCACAATGTATACGTATTTTAAAATATCATATTTTGTACCAAAATGTATACCATTTTTAATTGTCAGTTTTAAAAAAGCTTAGCATTATTGGTACATTTCAACAGCTTTTAGATTTGGAAGTATATTAGAAAATATGTGGTCTAGTAGAAATGTCTCCGAGTCCTGTCCAGGCAAGCATGTTCTAGTGTTATTACCTAGAAAACAAACAAGGAGCCATTAAGAAATGATAATCCTGTGATAACTTTACTTAATTCGAGACTAGCAGTCACCTTGAAGAAATGCTTACACAAACACGATGCATGGATATTTGACAGTCATCATGGCGCTATAGGCCAAGAAACCTCATATATCTTGATATTCAGGAAAATCTTATATCCCATTATTATGTTTTAAATGTGTAAAGCAGAACTGAAATCTGCTTCTTAAGTTCAGCAGGATTGACTTCATTGGTTGAATCAGTGGTGCATTGAGCCAAAATCCAGCAAAAAATGCATTTGTATACAACAGTAGCCATTTAATAAATATTTGAGTGAGTGAAAAGGTAGTGTGCTGATGGTAAGACAAAGGACAAAATGCCACACTGAACAAGAGAATGGGATTCAAGGAATTTTTCTTCAGGTTCATAAATTAAACATCTCATAAGGTCTTTAAATATGTATAGAATGGAATAACTTGGCTGGGCGTGGTGGTTCATGCCTGTAATCCCAACACTTTGAGAGGCTGAGGCCGGGAGATTGCTTAAGCCCAGGGATTCGAGACAAGCCTGGCAACATAGGGAGACCCCGTCTCTGAAAGAGTAAAAAATAAGTTAGCCGGACATCGTAGCGCATGCCTGTGGTCCCAGCTACTTGGGAGGCTAGGATGGGAGGATCACTTAGGCCTGGGACGTTGAGGTTGCAGTGAGCCATGATCATGCCACGGCACTGCAACCTGGGCGACAGAGTGAGACTCTGTCTCAGAAAAAAAAAAAAGGAATAACATATATACACACACACATTTTTTTAATTTAAAAATATTATGAACTTGAAGTCAAACTCTAAATTCAGGCTAGTGGAATTATTTGGATTCCATTAGGAAAATAATACCTGCCCTTTCCCCCATAGTTTTACTTTTTTAAAGTTATCCTACACATGATCTATCAAAATAGCAGTTAAATTTTACGTATAAATAGCAGTGTTTTAACTTTTAACAAGCCATTTATGATATGGTTGCTTGACTTATTCATTCTTTATGGCACAATACAGCCAAGTGTATGTTATATACGAATATACTTACACCTACTCTACTAAAACCTGGGAAATAATTGTATTGTCCTAAAGTATCATGAAATTATACCATGCTTTCCCTTCTTGGGATCTCTTTTAACACCTTCTTCAAATAGCCCATTAATAATTTTTTGAATAGCTATTATCTCTTGATCATTACTCTCCTTCCCCACAACAATGTAGAAAATCCTGAATTTTAAAAAAAAAAAAAAGGGTGGAGAATATTTGGCAACAGGAGATCCTGTGGTTAAATTGAATCTTATCTCAGAACTATTACATGGAGGTTATATTAAAATTTTTGTATAATAGATCACCATATAAAACACATGTTGAGGTATCAGTAAATGTTTATAAGAAAGAGAACCTATTACTCTTTAATGGTGGCTTATTTATGTAATTGATTTCTATTTTATTTTTTATTTCATTTTTATTTTATAAACAATTTTAATTTTATTTAAATAAAAAAATTCTGCATGCTGATTTATAGTTGGATTAGTCTGTACTGTTTGATCCTTGACCTTTAAATTTTATCACAATAGTCATTCTTCTGTTAATTGGGTGCATAACTGTGATATTTAATAATTACAGACCTTCCATGGCTATTCACTTTTAATGTGAAGTTTTATCCTCCTGATCCTTCTCAATTGACTGAAGATATCACCAGGTACTTTATATTTGCATTTTTAAATGAACCTTTCCTTACAGCTCTCGTTTATTTTTGTGCCCTGGGAGCATAGTGGTAATTTCAGGATTGAAAACCAAAACAGTTTTTCTTAAGTTTTAGAAGTTTCCTTGAAAATGGGTACATCCAAATAGTTTGAAATGTTGCCAGTTTCAAAAATTTTATTCACTTTCTTTAATATCTTCATTTATATTCTAGTAATGAAAATTTTAAAAATGATACTGCTGACAACTTTGTTTTCTATGTTATACTTTTAAAAGTCACTAATATTTAATATTTGAGATTTTAATACCAAGGTCATTTTTATTGTATATAACTCATGTGTGCTTATATACTAGTCTCATATTACAAAGATGATATGAGGTTAGCAAAATGAAATTATTTTAAAAGTCCAATTGAACTGGTAATTTCTTTCTCTCTTCTCCCTCCAGAACCAAACAAGGTAGGATTTCTTATGTAGAGTCAATAGCTAGTTCATTTCCATCTCCTTGGAGATTGTGTGAGCTATAAGAACATACACTTGAATTGCAAAGAAAGGATTCTGTTTAGGAGCAAGAGAATATTTATTGATTCTGAGTACCTGAATGGCAACCAAGAAACATTGTGAATCAACAAGTACCTTGAAATCTTAGCCCAGTTAGACTGGGTACCAGAAACATTGTGAATCAATCAACAAGTAGCTTGAAATCTTAGCCTGATTACACTGGGTACCAGGGATAGCATTTCTTAGCTTTGGTGAGAGGAAGTATAAAGGGTTGATTTTTTTTTTTAAAGGATGATTTTTATATACCATATTTTTAAAAGGTTACTTACATGGTCAAGTACAACTGTGTGCAGTGCATGACTTTTAGAAAACTAGAGGGGCTTAGCAAAAGAGTCTGCTTGTCTTTAGTTCCTGTATCTTTGATGCTTTCTGCTGGGCCAGTTTTGTTGTCAGACATCAAGTTGTGGAAGTGGTTAAGAGTTCATAATATCCATGTGAAATAGCAAGGATGGAAATTTCTTTCCAATATTGGGTACATAGCAGGCCGGCCTTTTTTTTTTTTTTAAACTACTTGTTGCTGAATATGAATGCACTAATTAAGCTCTGAATGAATTAGCTTCACCTAGTAAATAATAAATAGTAGCTTTTGTAACTGCACAGTGAGCTACTTAGAGCATAAAACCTGACCGAATGGCATGTGTAGGATGCAGAGCTTCACTGCAGGGGTGCCTCTGAACAATGCATGTAACTGGGGCTTTGTGACCCAACACTCTGTACATACACTCCTCCTGGCAGTAATTTGTTTGGAGAATGATAATCCTTTGGTGATTGCAAGTTTGTAGCATCAGTACTTTGGTTTTCCATATAAATGGAACTTGAACAGTCTCCCTGTCTAGTGGGAGGAACAATATAGTCTGCTCAGCTAACTAAAGTTCTCAGTGGTGCAGCCTGAGACCAGCCACCTGCCTGTACTTGTGGCCTGGAAGCTTAAATGTCATGATCGAAATCTTCACCATGACTTGAGTGAACATTTAGAAGCTGGGGTAGGCTTCTGAGAAGGGCAAGAACACTATTTCGAATAATGTTTGAAGAATGCTTCATAGTGCTGTGTGAAGGTACAGTTGGGTAATTCAGGAAGCTCATGCCATTTTTTGTTTGAAGTTTTTAGGATTTAGACTTAGGCTTTGAAAACAGAGGAAAGGACCAATGTGAAAAGCAGAGACAATAATATAAAAGGAAGCAACAAGATGAAATCTTTGTGTTTAGGTTCTAAAACTTCCATAAAATGTGGAGAAACATCACTGTTGTTTATTAGAGAATTTGAGGATAACCTGGACCCATGGTTGAAAATTCAGTTGTCTGAAGTATGTACTGTTAATGCTTATGTTTTTCTACGGGTCAAGGAAACATATAATCCTCCTTAAAAGGAGATCTGCAAGGCATAAAATACTCAAAATACTGTAGTGATAGCGAGAAGACTTTCAGTCTCTCAATTACCGAGCACTTGTCATGTGGCAAGCCCTCCAGTAACTGTGGGACTATAGTGATGATAAACAGAGTCCCCGCCCTGCCTGATGATGTATTTGGGTGGTAATCCAGGTTCTGAACTGACCTGGCCCCATGTGCTGGGTTGTGCTCTCTGACCCAGTAACAACAAGGCCTGGACCAGAGGCCAGCACTCCCCATTTGATTGTGTAGGGTAGAGAGCAGGAAGAGGATTGGGCCCTAAAACCCAGGCCAGGCAAGTGTCCACAGGACTAAGATGGCCAGCTGCCAGTATGAATGCCAGTCTCTAAAAGGTCTTAAAGAATGAGGACTCTGCTGTTGATTTGGGAGGATCCATGGTGACCATAGCAAGTGGTGAAGTTAAAGAGTAGAAATCACATTTTAAAATGTTACCAAGAGGAATTGATAGTGGGGCTTAAAAGGTGGGGGAAACCCACAGGGTATATATGACATGTTTCTGCATTTTATTTCATGGAAAACGGAAATTCTTTTATAACCGTAGTGAGCCACATGGAACATTGAATGAGAAACATTATAGCCACTAATTATTATAGCTACTAGTTATTGATTCTTAAGCATGTACCAGATATTTTATTTATATTATCTAATGTTCATGCTCATCTTCAAAGGGAGGTAGAGTTCTTAGCGTCTTATAGGTGGGAAATTACCCTTAGGCAAGTAAATTAACTTGCTCAAGGTCATATAGAGTCAGGTCTTCCTGGCTTCAAAGCCCAGGCCTTTTCTGCTAAACTGAGCTAGCTACTGCTTTAAATGGGGTAAATGGAAAAGTAAGGGCTTCAAAGTAGAGATTTACCAATAACTGTTGTTAAAGGTGTTTCTGGAAAAGAAGAAATGTCAAGATGATAAAGGGTGGGTGACCTTAGCTTTTCTTACAAATGATTAAGACTAGTTTTTTTTTTTAATCTATTAATCCTTACATCTTTTGAGGGGCGTGCTAATTTTTATTACAGTTTGAAATCCAAGGAGACAGTTTAAGTGATTGAAATTTTTACTTCAGTTATAAAACTCTTATATATATACACACACACATATAAATTAGCCTTCTGGACTCAGTTTCTATAAATAAGCCACAAGTTTAGAAGCCCAAGGAGCAAGTTGAGGCTTTTTATTAGAGAAGATGATTTTTGCTGTTTATATGAAGAGTGCCTATATTGTATATTTGTTTTCAAAGGGGTACTAGCTTTTAAGGACTGTGAGTGCTCCAATCTCACCTAATGGTTCTCCCCTGACCCATTTCTCCCTCTGCTCCTCACAGATACTTCTTGTGCCTTCAGCTCCGGCAGGACATTGCCTCTGGCCGCCTGCCCTGCTCTTTTGTGACTCATGCTCTCCTGGGATCCTACACCCTGCAGGCTGAACTTGGTGACTATGACCCAGAAGAACATGGCAGCATCGACCTCAGTGAATTCCAGTTTGCCCCTACTCAGACTAAGGAGCTGGAAGAGAAGGTGGCAGAGCTGCACAAAACCCACAGGTCTGTTGCCTTGCTTACTGGAGAGAATGGCCATGGGAGATTTAAATAGCTTCTCTTGTAGCACTTACTAGACATTTGAGCATGATTTACAGGATTATCCAATTTTTCCTTTTGGAGTTTCACCTAGCACTAATCAAGGCAACGTGGAGCCCTTGAGGTATCCTTTCATTATTTTTATAACTACCGTCTGAGAAACTATACTTGTAAGACTGTATGTTTTCATGTATTGGAAAAATGTACTTTTCCCCATGACACCTTCTTCTCCCTATCCCCCTAACACATACACATTGGAGACAAACATGTCCACATACTTATTTGACATTTACTTTATATTTCTTCTGCCTTATAATTGTCCTTATTACTATATGTGGTAAGAAAGCTAGGGAGATAAGGAGGCATTGGGATTTGAATTACCAGTGTAGGTGGTGATGGACGTAGGAATAGTAACTGAAATGTACAGGTGATTCCGTTGGAAGATGACCCGTTGGTTTAGCTAAGATTACTTAACATTACATTAATACCATATTACGCTTCTAGAACATTTATATGTGTGTGAAAAGAAAATGGACTTTTTACACAAATTTTTATAACGCTAGCTACAAAATGATAATTTGTTCTATATTGCAAAATTACAGTTTTATTAAATATTACTAAAGTGATCTGAAAGGAACTTTCAAAAATTAGGTTTTTAAACAGGCCACATTCATTGATTTTTCTTTAAAAAAAATATGGTATTTGACTCTAAATGTTTTCTTATTAATTTACTTAAATTCTACTCAATAGACATTTGTTGTATAATTCTGATGTGAAATATCAGGTACTGACATGCCATGGGGAATGTGAAAATTAATGGGACATGATCTTGCTCTTTAGGAGCTTAAAGTTTACTTAGTTGGGTATATAGATAGGAATGGAAATAATTTTAGTATGGACAATTGATTTGTGTTACCTATCATAGGTATAAAATCAAATACAAGTAATTTCAATCTTTATTATGATCAACTCTAGTGAAATAAAATGAAGGAGTAAGAATGTGTTTATCACAGAAAGATGAGATCACTGTTTTTTATTCTCCAGTACTTATGTTGTACACTATTGCTGGGGCTTTTTTCCTCAGTGAAAATAATCAAAAGCAACTTTTTAAGATAAAATGGGTAAGAGTGGAGGTATACCTCCATGCAGTTTAGCAGGTTTACATTATAGGATCTTAAGGGAAAAATGTTAGAGGTTGAGAGTTGTTTTCTTACCATTTCCTACTTTTCTGCAAACTTGGCTGGGTAACTTTCTCTCCTCCAAACCCTCTGAGCACAGACACTCCTCCCATTCTGACTACATTTGCTCTGCATCCATTAATAAGATAATACTGTTTCTTTTGATTCTCAGGGGCTTATCGCCAGCACAAGCTGATTCCCAGTTCTTAGAAAATGCAAAGAGGCTTTCCATGTATGGTGTTGACCTACATCATGCCAAGGTACTGTAAATGTAACGGGGAGTAGCATCATAGTAGTCTGTTGACTGAGGTTTTGAGAGGGCTCCAGTTTCAGGATAGCACAGCTTATTTTTGGGAAAAGGATATTTGCTTTCAATTGAGGGTCTCTGGAATATTTCCTTGGTGACTAATTATGGGGTGTTTGGTTGTGGGAGGGACCATGTATTCTGTCTCTACCACTTGTTTTCCCAGTCTTTTTAATTAATGCCCTTTCATAGGTACTTACTATGACACACCTTGTCAGCCTTTTTTTTTTCACCGCTTATCCTGGTTTATTTTGCATTGCAGCTTCTGCTAGGCCAAGTGCTGTGTCTGTCCCAGTTCCCTCTCCCACCTCTGTCTTGGGAGAGGAGAGAAGACCTTAGCAACCATAAAAGGGCAAAAGTAGCATGGGACCACTTTCCAAAAAGCTTATGTTTGATGAAGGAGCCCTAGAGTTGGTCTTTTCCCTGTAGGTGTGTTTTGTACTTTGTGAAAGATAACGTAGGTGGGCCCAGGCTCTGGGTGATAAAGCACCTTCAGTCTAATTTGAAAGATGGTAAAAGAGTGGGACAATGGGGACATGGGAAGCCAGTCATAATCCTGAACACCGTAATCCCAAAAGATCAAAATCTCAAAAATATAATGCTCGAAAAAATAATTTTAAAAGTTATTTAAAAGACATTTATTTACGTTTTTAAGGGGGGATTTGAGAAACATAAAACACAACAGAAGTTCATAGGCCACTTTACACGATAAATTAGGCAGTAGTAACATACATTTTTTTTGCAAGCATAAACGTTCGGTATACTAACGAGAGTCACAGGGTATGAGTTATGAATAGACAAATCCTGTTCATAAAGAAATAAGTCAAAAAGTGAAATGTGTAAGCGCACATCGCTATAGTTGGTTGCCAGTAACAATATCACTTACATCATGGTTCTAGTTTAGATGATTATGTAGTGGGGAGAGTCGAGGAGAATGACAAGCAAGGTGAAATATGAATTTGGTTTTAAAAAATATGTCCAGAGTCAACATTTCCTTATGGTAGCCTGCTTTTAAAAGACCCTGCCAATCTGTAGATGTTGTTTAGAAGCCCAGATTATATGATTTGAGAAATCTCTAGGAAAGCTCCCCACACAATGATGTCTTTCCTCCCTAGGCCTCTGATTAATAATTCTTGCATTTGTGTTATTAATCATACTTCATATTTACAAAGCACTCTTTTTCTCCTCAGTGGCTTCCTTTATTTAAATATTTTTCTTTATTACAAAACTAATACATGTTCATCATAGAAAATAGAGGCAAACAGAAGGAAATAAAGATCACTTAAATCTTTTTATGCAGAAATAAGCATTCTTAATACCTTTTTTCTTTTCTTTTTTTTTTTTTAGACCCCTGGGCAGTTGAATTCACATGCCTTCTAAAAATGGGGTCATACTATGAGCATCATTTTTGTTAGTTTTTTTTTTTTAACTTACTATTATAAGATTTTTCTGTCAGTAAGTAGTCTCTGGCAGCATCATTTTTAACCACTAGATGCTGTATGCCCTTAATTTTAAAAAGTACTTTCATACCATCTCATTTTTTACAAGTATACCATCTCATTTAAAGTTTGAATGTTTTTTAATTTTACAGCTACATAAAACAGTGCAGAGAATGACTTGTTTAAAGCCATGTATTGTTAAATGGTCTATCTGCCTGATACCGTCTGGTAAATCCTAGTAGGAGGTGAAACAGATTGTCTTAACACTCCAGTGTTTTTCAGATCATTTTCTATGTAATGGGGACAGGCTAGGTTAGCCAAGAAACAGAAATAGGGAGGAAGGAAAAAATATGTTTGAGACCAAAAAGAGCTCCCAAACCTCTCCTCCTCTAGACCCTGCCATTCTTACCACATGCAAATCTTGCATCTCTACTTTGTTGATTGTTAGTTAGAAACCAATTCTTAAATGGCAATGCTGTATGTAAGGTTTCAGGATTCTTGTTTTTAATGTTGTCTCTTAGAAAAGTAAGAAATTGTGGACTCTGTTCTAAGTATAATACTCTTTCTTGCTGTGTAGTTAGGAGCAGAACACTAAAAAAATTCAAGATAACCTTCATTCTGTTTATCATCCGATAGACTCCTTAGGTAATATTTGATAAGCAAGATATTTGTGGCTTATTGAAAAGAATATATGTGGCAGTTTAAAAGAACTTTTCATATTTCATGTCGTTTAAAGTTTTGTGTCTTTATTTTTCATTGCCTTAAAATCAGATTTTTTTTTTTAATTAGAAGAGTTTGTAATGTCATATTCATGTTAGGATGAGTTGGAGAGAGTTAAATAAAAGGAATCTCAACAAAGGTGCAGAGAAACCATAAGAGAAGCGGGACACCCGTGGTAGCCCCAGGATAGTATCTGCAGCTATCCTAATCTCTCTAGGTCTGTCTGAAGGAGGGAGGGCAGAGTGGTTTCCAAAACTCCCAAGGAGAGATATGTGTGGAGAGGGCCGTCTTGTGGGGAGCCATTGTCAGAGGGACATAGTCAGCCTGAGGTGACCACGTAGGGAGGGAATCTGGATATTAAACACCCTGACCTCCCTTTCCTTTCTCTCCTGATCCTTTGCAAGAACTCCCTTTATACTGAACTCATTTGAAAGCCAGCCATCTCCATGCATTGCCCCATGCATTGCTCCATGGAGCAGTGAGCAATGCAGAGAAGGTGCTCCTTTCCATTAGTTTATTTTTCTGATTTTGATACCATGTGGCATAACTTACATGTGAAGGATCAAGGCCTGCCTTTTCCTCTTTCACTTCCTACCCTTCATCTGTCGTTTCTATTCACACAAATACTGGTAATTCTAAAATAATTACATAGAACAACAAAAATCAACTGATTTACTTGAATCTGCGTTGTGTCTATTTTTAAGTCAGATAAAATAGCTTCCTTGTCCTGTCCAAAGATTGCTTCAGACTAGAGATGGCTCATTCAATGTTTCAAATGCGGGTTGCCTCCCCACTTGTGGTAAGAACATGCCGTCTCGGGCAATCTTCTGCCTTGCTCCCGGTGGCCATGGGCAGTGATGGTTTTGGCAAACACACCATGGGGTCTGGTGCCAAGTTGCTTGGGCACCTGTGCCTGATTCACCCCAGCTTTTTAGTCTATTCCTAGAGAGAGTTGTGGCTGCCAAGATAAGGGTGAGTAAAGCAATTGATTGGATTTTTTAAAATGGCTCAAGTTGGTCTAATGTAATTTTATTTGTATATATGAATTACTCAAGTGTCACAGCAGAGAAAGCAACTGGCATCAATTAGCTAATACTATACTTTTATTTATAAAAAACTGATTTAAATGGTATCAAAATGTTCTGAGTAATAAGATAGACAAAATGTCCTTTTATTAAATTGGGAGTTAGACTAAATATGGGGTTTGTTGCAACATTTTTTGTGAGAATTTGTTTCGTATTGTTTGTGATTTCTGAAAATGTGAATGTCTTTGAGCGGTAGTCTTCAATTTTACATATGTTGAATGAGAGCCAGCTCTCCTCTTAGAGATAAACAATAATTTGTATGTTTTGAATACATGCATCTTAGATCTTCACTACTTGAAATGTGAGGAGACAGGTTTTCACTTTTGCCTGTAAATTTGTTTGGTTTTTAAAACATAATTTAGGCCTGTGATTATTCTAGATTGTCATCGATTCCAGATTAAAGCTCTAGGGAAAGAAAACTATTAATAACTTCAAGAATAGTCTGCAGTCCTTTGAAACGTGCCAGCCAAAGGAATGCCTAATGAGAACTGGATGTCAGCATTCTAAGTTAATGAAAAACTGCTTGAAAGAATTCAGAGATTTCAGCACTGTCAGCCTGGAAGAGAAATTATCTGCAAGGGATTGGTGTTTTGCAAAATATTGGCATAATTTTAAGAGCTATTAGCTAGGGTAATCCATCTGAGGTAAATGCACCTAAAGGAAAATGGTTGAACACATCTTAGGGTAGGCCAACAGACTGTCCCTGAGGCTGGACTAGCCTACGGGAAAAGCTCATTTTATTTCCCGTATCTTCAGGATCTCTAGTTCTGCTTCCTTTCTTCTCTGTTAGCTCCTACAGTGGAGCTTGAGAACATATGCATTACGCCTTTTGAAGGACACTGTGTCTTATGGTCATGTTGCCGTAACTCTTCGGCAAATCACACCTGATCCCTGAAGATGAATAAATTTAACATGTATGTGTGTGCGCCATAGTTTTCATTAACGTGCGTACTTGTCACTAAACTTTAAATACAAACCTGTTAAACTGTCATTCCTGATCATGATTTGAGGGAGCTAATTAGCTTCTTGATTTGTGTAACTTTCACAGCTCTTAACCATGGTTAATTGGGTTATGCTTGGCAGGACTCAGAAGGTGTGGACATCAAGCTGGGCGTGTGTGCTAATGGACTTCTCATTTACAAAGACAGACTGCGAATCAATCGTTTTGCTTGGCCGAAAATCTTAAAAATTTCCTATAAACGCAGTAACTTCTACATTAAAGTCAGACCGGCAGAGGTAAGCCAAGACATTTCTAATCAGTTGTTGTTAGTCGGCCTGTTTACGACCATGAATTTAAAAATTCTTTTCTATTAATTCTAAAATTTTAAGAAAATAAACTATTTATTCTTCCATTGTAAAAGGTCAGGGTTCTTAATGGTAAAATTGCAGTATATATACGTCTGGTCTGTTTTTAAAAAAAGCAACCATCACGCTTTTTACAAAAAAGAAAATGTGATAAGGTGTGGGCTCGTTTTTTCTTGTTGAATCAATTAAGTTGTGATCATTAGGAAAGCAATAAGATGAGTTTTAGTGAACATTGAAGGATAGTTGGTTTATGTGAGCCGTTGTTACTTGCTTTTTGTAGAAAATAGTATTGCAGTCTATGAAATTCATCTTTATATGATTATATTAGATATGCAATATTTACCTTTTTTGAGAAGAATAATTGCTTCTCACAGAAACATCTGAATGCATGCTTTTCAGTAACTTCTAGTCAGTTCTTAAGGAAATATGCTGATTTGTTTTACGGATTTATTCCAGCTGGAACAGTTTGAGAGTACCATTGGATTCAAACTGCCAAACCACCGGGCAGCGAAAAGACTATGGAAAGTGTGCGTGGAGCATCATACTTTCTACAGGTAATTTTAGGAAAACAGCTCGGAAGCCGGGCATGATCGCACATGCCTGTAATTCCACTGACTCAGGAGGCAGAGGTGGGAGGATCACTTGACCCCAGGAGTTTGAGACCAGCCTGGGGAACATACTGAGACTCCATCTCTCTTTTTTTCTAAGAAAGAAAGAAAACAGCTTGGTATTGCTTTTAGTAACCTCTGTGAATTAGGAGGTGGTAGTGGTGGGGAATGTGGCAGATGCATTAACCCACTGTCTTTGAACTCTTTTCTCCCCTCCTTGCCTCATCTCCTTTGTCTGCAGTCCCTCCCAGGTCCATTTCTGTCCATGCATTGTCATTTATAACTGAGCTGCCCCTGCAGCTGTCTAGAGCTCCACTTTCTGACTCTAACCACCTTTCCTTCCACCACAGCCACACTGCCTCATGCCTGCTACCATTCTTCTTTCCACTATCCCTCCTCTTAGGTTTCACTTCGATATTCTCATCAGCTGCCTCCTGACTTAACTTCTTTCCCAAACCAACTTGAACCCTATGGTCTGACTGCTTTGTCAGGAACGTTCTGACCCCCTCAAACTACTCTCCTCTTTGCACATTTACCTTCTCTGTCTGCTAGTCCTGGATTAGTCCTGTGTCCTGACCTCACCAGTTTTGGACCTGTGCTGTCCAAGTGCTACCTTAAAAATAGTACAACCATTGTGACACATGCAGTTACTCTATATAACAAAAAATAGCACAACTCTATGGATTAGTGCTATTACAGATAAATAATTTCCAGCATGAGCTGGATCCTCAGTGCTGCTAGGCAAGCAATTTGTCTTTTGACTTCCTTTGCCACTCCAAATGCTCATGGTCCTCGTGAGTCCCTAGGCACCCCTGCTTCCTCTTCTGATGCCCTCCACTGTGTGGGTCACTGAAAGAAGAAGCTGTGCATGAGTGTTCTTGGTTTCATGCACCTTCCCTTCTTCCCTTTTGCCTTTAATGAAGCATCGCTCCTCTCTCCTCCCATTCATTCTTTCCCACTTCTCCTGTCTCAAGGAGGAGATAATCATTCCTCTGCTTTGATCCCTCATTTTGTGCCTCTTAAATTATCCTGCTTTGTAAATTATTTGTTCCCTAGTGGGTACCTTTAGGTTCTTTGGCCAATAAATATGTCCACATCTTGCTCTTTAAAAAACAACAACAAATATGTATATATGGTTATATAAGATTTTGTATATAAAATCTTTGATCATCTAACCATCTTTAGCTTGTATCTTGTCTCTTTTTATACTTTTCTTCAAGGACATGTTTTTTACATGTAGTTTGCTTATCTTTGTTTTCTCCGTTTCCTCAGTTTTCTCTCACTGCAGTTTAGCTAGCTGTGTATCTAGATCCTTCATCTTTAAGGTTTTTGCTCTGGACTTATGGTCTAATACTGTTCTACCAAATACGAGCTGTGTCACCGTGATACCAACCTCTCTGCTTCACTTCCATCATCCATATATGATAGTAATACTAGTATCTACCTCATAGGATTGTTTTGAAAATTAAATGAGATAACACACATGAAACAACTTAGAACCATTTCTGGCATATCATAAAATTTATCTTCACCATTATCATTATTCTTCGTTTGGTATCACAGTTTGCTATTTTTAATGTGAATTATCAGCTGGCACACATGATTCTTTCTTGACGTTAAATTGATAATATCTATTTTTCAAGACTAATATGTTAATTTTTGAGGAGAAATATAACTCATAAAATATGCTTGAATCCCTCAAGTTACACTGATCATATAAATCTTTGAAAACTTTATAATTTTTCTTGGTAGCCATAACAAATTTCTCCTCCAGACAACATGAGCCAGCTCATATAAAGCTAGTAGATGACATTTATGACACAGGTCCAAGCTGGGCAGACAACAGCTTTCCCTGTCACATAATGATAAAAAAAAAAAAAAAAAAAGCAATAATCTGTTCAGAAATGGCAAGTGCTAGCATTCATTGAACACTTATTAGAGTCAGACACAGAATTGATTGCTTTATATCGTGGTCTATTTCTCGCCCTAGGCAAGACAACTGATGCTTAGAGATCGGTGCCTGTGGAGGAGCACAGCAGCCAGGCATCTGAGCAGAGATGGGGACCGGGCTTCCTGATTCTGACACCTGTATTCCTCACCTCTGTGCTGTCCTCTTCTTGTATTCTTGTAGCAGGAGTTTCCGAGGTGCATTAGCTGTGCAAAGCCTCAGGCCTCCTCATTTTTGCTAATGTACCATGGACTCCAGTTTAAAAGTAGACCAATTTGCTCCTGCAAACTTTTGATATAATGGTTAACAAAAGCAGTTTTAAATTTTTAAACCTTGCATAACGCTGCTTACAAAGCTATATAAAAGAATATATCTAACACAAAGGGCCAGTCATACTTTGTCTATAGATTGCTTTGAATCAGGTCAGTGGAATTTATTCTGTTTCAGTTTATCATGAAAGGTACAAATGATTTCTTTAGAAAATTACGGTGGCTTGCAGATTGAAGCCATTAATCTGTAAACAGATCTATTAATTGATAGCCAATCAGCTAGATTGATACTAGTGGAATAAGAATGTAGTAATAAAACTGATATGGCCGGGCACAGTGGCTCATGCCTGTAATCCCAGCACATTGGGAGGCTGAGGCGGGTGGATCACAAGGTCAGGAGTTTGAGACCAGCCTGACCTGGTGAAACTGTGTCTCTACTTAAAAAAATACAAAAATTAGCTGGGCATGGTGGCATGTACCTTTGTAATCCCAGCTACTCAGGAGGCTGAGGCAGGAGAATCACTCGAACCCGGGAGGCGGAGGTTGCAGTGAGCCGAGATTGCAACACTGCACTCTAGCCTGGGTGACAGAGCGAGACTCCTTCTCAAAAAATTAAATAAGTAAGTAAGTAAGTAAGTAAGTAAATAAATAAATAAATAAAGCTGACACCCTTGCTTGGAGCATTTAATAGAGCCTGTCACCATTCTGAGTGTTGTACAGGGATTCTTTTTTTTTTCTTTATTGCAGAAGATGATTTCTAAAAAAATTGTACAGAAAGTCTAGAAATACTTGAAATGATAGTGTTCTTTAAGAAATCACTCTTCCATAGTAAATGATAGGAAAAGTTTCGGTGGAATTCTTCATGTTTTTGAGTTGTCAACAAAAGTCTTCCTATTTAATAAATTAAGAGCTCTGAGATTATGTTTCTGTTAAGATATTTGTCAACTTTTGATCAAAGAGAGCAAAATAATTTCAGTTGAACTCCCAAAAAGATTGGTCCATTTGCTAAAAACATGCTTTTGTATAAGCCTAGAAATATTTGACATCAAGAAAGTTTGATTTCATTCTTTATGAACCCAGGGATTAAGCAGTAGAATTGTGCTGGCAAGAAGGGGTGTTAGCCATCTCTACAGATCCACTGTGTGGCATGTTCTTCATGGGAAAGAATCACTTAATGGAACAGATTCCTGAGTTAGATGTTTTCTTCCCAGGAGAAATAGGCATAAATATTAAGAATTACTAATGGTAATGGATTGTTACTTGGCGCTTATAGCTAGAAGCAAAAATTCAGACATGTGTTTATATAAATGATTTAAGCTAATACAAATAAATAACCTTTGATATACTGAGAACAGCTGTTTCTTTGCTTAGGTGGAGAAGAACATTATTCATGAATACATGAATGTGGATTTACTCATCACCATCATAAAGCTGTGTGTGTAGGAGGGTTTATAAATAATGTTCTTTAGAAAGTTTAGTTTTTGAGTAATCATACTTAAAATGAGATATGAAAGTACATAGCTTTAAAGTTTTTTTAAAAAATTCCGTAAAGTCTAATTTTGCTTCCCCTTTCTCTCTCTCTTTTTTTTTTTTTTTCCTCCCATAGGCTTGTTTCTCCAGAGCAGCCACCAAAAGCCAAGTTCCTGACCTTGGGGTCCAAATTTCGCTATAGTGGCCGCACCCAAGCACAGACCCGCCAGGCCAGCACCCTCATAGATAGGCCAGCACCACACTTTGAGCGCACTTCTAGTAAACGGGTCTCCAGGAGTCTAGATGGAGGTAAACACATTTATGATAATTTTGATTTTCATTCATCTTTCTCTAATCCCATGAGGTCAGAAAATGTTAATCCAGTTAATAAAGCCACCAGAAATACCCTACAGGGATAGCCATTTTTTCCCGAGTAAATAAAATGCTATTACTTACACCTACAAGAGAATAATTTTGTTGTGTTTTAGAGTTGTTACTCTTTTTTGAAGCTGTCACACTTTTTTCTTTTTTTTTGTTTTAAAACAGGTTGAACATTCCATATCTCAAAATCTGAAATGCTCCAAAATCAGAAAGCCTTTGAGCACTGACATATGCTCTAAGGAAATGCTTATTGGAGCATTTCAGATTTCATATGTTCAGATTTGGGGTGTTCAGCTGCTAAGTATATATATTGCATATTTCAGAATACAAAAAATATTAGAAATCCGCAACACTTCTGGTCCCTAACATTTCAGATAAGGGATACTCAACCTGTATTGTCAGTGCACACAAATATTTGTTAAGAGTTCTCATTTATGAGATGTTGGACACATATGTTTTACTGATTTCTCTTGATCATGATGTGTTTTATGTGGTTCAATTTCCTGAACCTTTTAATTAATGGCAAAATGTAATTCTAAGGATTTTTTCGTATGGTAGCATATGAACCTTAATCCAGACGAACATAAAACATTCCCTGCATCAGCAAATTTTCATGAGTGAAACAACTTACCAAACTTTCCATCTTATGAGAAAGCTTTAGTAGCTTCAAAGGATTCATTTTAAATACAGCATTTTAACAAAAAGTAAATATAATGTGTTTGTTTGTTCTTTAGCCCAAGGGAAAATATGTATAAATGTGAATTTTTTTCTATTAGAATTCTAATTAGCTACATTTTGTAGTTTTATATAAACTACACATGAAATAAGTTTTATATAAACTACACATGGAAAAATATATATATAAATTACCTGGTCCAAAATGGGTTAATAATAGGTTTTCTATAAAAGAGCTAAGGTTAAATTTATATTAGAATGCCTTGTGAAGGAATATTCTTTCTTTGTAATAGAAAATGATTAGTATGGATGATTTTCTACCCAAAGAAATAGTTTTCCAACATTTTTGGTTGATTGAACTAAAATATATATATAATAATAATACTAAATTTGAAAATTGTATTTTACTACTAGTTATTAGCAGAAACATTTTTTCTTGTCTATTGTATTTTTCTGAAATATATGCTCGAACAACTTATATTTTAAATAATTGGAGTAAAACAGATCAAATAATGCTAACAGATGAAAAAGCTTTCTTAATAGTGAAGGATTCATATGGATTGCCTTCATCTGCTTTTTCTAGAAGAAAAACTTGGAAAACAAATGCAGGTGGACACATAGAGATATTTGCCAGGATTTGTTGGTTGGGATTTTGGTATATAGTTATTAAATCCTGAAATGTGCAAGGGGGTGGTGAACTGTGCTTTAAACAAATTTCCAGAATTGTGGAAATGATTTAAATTCAGTTGATTGTTAATGTACTATCACTGCTAAAGTATCTTTTAGGTCTTCAACAACTGAGCACTTTTCCAAGTAAATCTGAAAAATGTGCCAACCCATGTAAATATTTCCCAAGCCTTGCCCCTTGCCACAGAGAATTTATACAAGTGCCGAATAAATGCAGTCACTGTTGTTTAGTACCCTGAGAGAAATGATTGCTCTTTCTGGAACACTGTCTGTTTTCAGCATTTGTTTGAAACTGTGAGGCTGTATAACTCTTATATTGCAAAGTTTAGCATTTAAAAAGAGCAGTAAAACAGCATTTTCTTTGAGGTATACAAACTGTGCTCAAGGAAATCCACCATCTTGTATGGGCAGTTAGTGCAGAGGGTTACAGGAGGTCTGTATCTGAAAACAATGATTTTTCCAAGTGAAAACAACAAACATGGCACAGTAATCCATTATTTTTCTCTTTGTGTTTTGGAGGCCGTAATTCATCAGATGGGTAAGTCATCAAAAGGATTATTGTGTTATTGTGAAAAATAGGAGGCTTTTAACGCCAATACATGACCAGACAGCCAGTGAACTCTTTGATTAGGGCTTATATTCTCCGTTTTTTCCCCCAGAGCAAAGCTAGGCTGTAACCTGGCACTGAGCTTTTATTTTCTTTACCACTCCTTATCAACATACCATTTGTTGTTGTAGTCTTCATGTATTGTATTTTCTTTTTCCTGTTTACTTTTTAAGTAAGGCTAGAATAATTTAGGTATATTAGCCTCACTTTAAAGTTTGGCAAATTAAAATAAATCCTCTTATGATTACATAGCAAGTGAAAAGTGGGATTCAATCTAAAGATCAAATATCAAAATGAAAATCAATCTAGAACAGCTGTTTTAGGACAGGGAGTCCCCTCCGAGATTAGAAAATCAAACCCCAAAGAAGACAAATCAGTCATTTAAGAGAACCAACAACCAAGATGCATTTGGGGGTTGAGGAACCAAGTGATTTCCTGAAGGTGGAAAGTAAAATGAACAGGGACGTTACTTAAATAGGATCATCAGGGAAGGAAGGCCTATTTGAGGAAGAACCAGGTCAGTTGAGACTTGAAGGATGAGAAGGAGGCAGCCAAGGAAAGGACAAGAGATATTTAATAATAAAGCATTCCAGGTAGCAGAGGCGGCAACGATGAAGCTATAAGGTGAGGGAGAGCTGGATACATTCCTGGAACAGAGAGAAGGCAAGTGCAGTCAGAGCTTAGGAAGTGGCGGGAGAGGTAAGCCTGGGTCAGATCATGCAGGGCCTTGGAGGCCATGGTGAAGAATGTGGTTTTTATTTATTCCATATGCTCTAGGAAACCATTGAAGGGTTTATGTGGGTTTATGTGCCCGCAAGAGCACAGCGTTATCTTTTAAAAAAAAAATCATTTGATGCAAGAGAACAATTAGATTGAGCAAGGAAGCAGGCAGGCTGGTTAGGAATGGTCCAGGTGAAAGCGATGGTGGTCTTCCCTTTAGTGGGAGTAGGCCAATTAGCCATTTGGTATCTTGGGCTCTGCCAGGGCCTACAAGCTTCTCAGATGTTTAAGACCTGAATAAATGTATCGGCTTCAAAATACAAGAAACTGCATGCTGAAATTAATAAGTGTTTAAAAGTATGCAAAGTCAGCATTTTGTCAACTTTAATAACTTTTAATTTGATATTCAAATTTTAATATCATTACATTTGAAGCCATTTCTAGGTCAGATTTTTTTCATTTTGCAAAATTTCTGAGTATGTATAATAGGTGTGTAGAAATCATAATTGTAAGCAAAAGAATTAATCATAGCCATATACTTTCCAAGGGAAACTTATTTAGATCTTGTTAGAAGTTTCTTTATTAAAAAAAACTGCTGGAGGCTGGGCACGGTGGCTCACACCTCTAACCACAGCACTTTAGGAGGCCAAGGAGGGCAGATCACAAGGTCAGGAGTTTGAGACCAGCCTGACCAACATGGTGAAACCCCATCTCTACTAAAAATACAAAGAATTAGCCAGGCGTGGTGGCGCGTGCCTGTAATCCCAGCTACTCAGGAGGCTGAGGCAGGAGAATCGCTTGAACCTAGGAAATGGAGGTTGCAGTGAGCCAAGATTGCACCACTGCACTCCAGCCTGGGTGACAGAGCGAGACTGTGTCTCAAAAACAAACAACAACAACAACAACAACAAAAACCGCTGGAAAATAACTATACTTAATGTAAAATGCAAATTTATTCTAATGTTGACTATGATTTGATATGGGCATTCAAAGTGTGAGTATTTAAGGGCTGGGAAAATCTCCACAAGGTGAGGTAGTAGAATTAGAAATGGAAAGAACTGGCCACATTTAGAAATATATACAAGGACCTTGTTGGACTTGCTGGTGTTGAGGGGTGAAGAGTCTTGGAAGATGTTCACGTTCCCAGTTCAAGCAAATGGGAGCAAATATGAGAAGAGCGTTTTGTGAAAAGGGCAAGACTGGAAAAGAATTAAGTTTTGGACAGGGCAGGTGAAGGCTGTGGATTGAGAGGTAGCTTGGGATACATGTATTCAAAGTGCTTGAGGCCTCTCAAGTTCAGTATGGTAGTTCACACACAATCCTGCCCTCCAAGAGCTTGCAGTCTAAAGGTGTTTGTGTTGACCAGGCTTCCCTTAGGACATGGAACCAGAGTAAACTTCATGGTGTCCGTAGAGTACTTTTTATGTAAAGTGAAATGACCTTGTGGTAGTTCTGTTGTTTGGGGAGGAGCTACAGATGGACAGAGGTCCTGCCACCTACTACTCACTTTGCCTTGCTGATGTTTGAGGTAGTCTTGGTTTGATCTGCACTATGACAGAATTTTCAATACAATGTACATTTCTGCCTATCTGTAGGAGAGAAGAAGAGAGCACATGAGGGCCAGGTTTTCTGGGATGAGGGAGGTGTCTATGTATAGATTTACCATAGTTCGTGTTAAGGCATTGAGGAAGGGGATTAAAAAATAAAAAATATTAAACATAAATATAGAAGTTAAAATCCCTAAAATTTACCTTTACTGTCTTTTATTTACTATTTTTTCTTTTGAAGGGTATTCAAATTAAAGGTTCCTTTATGGAGCAATTCTTAAAACTTATTGGAGCAAATCATCTTAATAATTGCATAATCATTTGTTGCAATAGATAGATTCAGAAATAAATCGTAGGAGACCAAAGAGTTAAAATACTGCTTACCTTGTAATTCTGTTTGCCTTAACTCTGGTGTTTCAGCTGGTCTTAGAGCTCCTCCTACTGGCCAGTTCCATGATCTGAGTTTATCCTTCCAATACCTGTGGTTTGAGACCCTGGTGTAGCTCAGTGCATTAAAATTCAGAATACTTTCAGAATTTGGTAAACGTTTAAAAATTAGTTTATTTTATATGGTGGGTATTTTCAGAGCTCAAGCAATGTCTCTGTTCCTGTTCACTATTTATATGCTGCCTGTTTATCTCCTGTAAGGGGGAAATTTTCCATAAAGTTTATGATTCATATGTCCTAAAATAATCCAAAATTGTCACTCTTTACTAGCTCCGATTGGTGTCATGGACCAAAGTCTTATGAAGGATTTTCCTGGCGCTGCTGGGGAGATTTCAGCCTATGGACCTGGACTTGTCAGCATTGCCGTGGTACAAGATGGGGACGGCAGGAGGGAAGTGAGAAGCCCAACTAAAGCCCCACATTTGCAGCTCATTGAAGGAAAGGTATGGTAAATTAGCACAGTATGTGGTTTTAAACATTTACTTAACCTAGAGGGTATCTGTTGTATTTTCTGTTTCAGAAATCAAGTATTTAAAATTAGTTGTTCTATGTTCTCTGCTGGTCATTTATGTTTTCAAATATGCATAGTGGTCTCTAACCTTTGATTGTTGTTCAAAGCAGAATATTTCAATGTAAGTTATTTTAATGCAAGTAAGTAATTTACTGGCCTTTTTGACTGTCCTCATAATCACCTTATCTAATTGAATCCTCAAAGTAGAAAAGCTATGATGATTTGAAATTTATTTTTGGTTTGGTCCAAGTAAAATTTAAAATGTAGCTTCTTGATTATTTTAATTATTGACTTGAATTTTTTTACATCACCAAAGATAATCTTTATGAACAAATGTATTCATTAATGATCTATAATTAATGAAATTCTCAAGAAAAGGTAATTGTTTTGTGAATAGAGAGTGAGAACATGGTGTGTTGCTTTTGGCTTTATCTTGTGCGTACACCATGGTGAAATGGAGAAGTAACCCATATTGTGTTCTCAAATGTGTCACTGTTATCTTTTGTTACCTTGGGCAGTAACATCACTTGAATATTGATTTGAGAAGCCTTTGAATTCTTCAGATCTCTTTTCTGTGTCTGCACAAAGCGACTTTTTTTTGCATGCAACATTGGAAGTAAGCACAGATAAAAACAAATGAATCCATCATATTGATTTCATAGTGTTTTCTATTTTATTTTTTTTATTTTTTCGAGATGAAGTTTCGCTCTTGTTGCCCAGGCTGGAGTGCAATGGCTCGATCTCAGCTCACTGCAGCCTCTGCCTCCCAGGTTCAAGTGATTCTCCTGCCTCAGCCTCCCAAGTAGCTGGGATTACAGGCGCCTGCCACCACGTGCCCGGCTAATTTTGTATTTTTAGAGAGACGGGGTTTCACCGTGTTGGTCAGGCTCATCTTGAACTCCTGACCTCAAGTGATCCACCTGCCTCAGCTTCCCAAAGTGCTGGGATTACAGGTATGAGCCACTGAGCCCGGCCGTATAGTGTTTTCTAAATTTTAACTTTGAAAATTTTTAAAAGACATAAATGTATAAAGACATGCTAGATGAAGTAGCTGCCAGTGCCTCAGGAATTCCTACACTGATAGCCTCTGAGGCCCAGCATGGAGAAGGTCTCAGGGACCACCACATGGGCCCAGTCTTGTGCCACAAGGTCAAGTGCTACCTGTATAGCAAGTGACATCAAATCATCGACATTCCATCGTTAAAGAATTTGTGACTGTCATATGGAAAAATTATTTGGTGGGGAATTCAGATAAAAATAACAGAAATTGTGACCAACAAGGTTTCTTTCAATTGCTGACAAGTTGTCAGGATAGTTCTTTAAAAATTTTGCTAACAAGGCACCCAGGAGAGTGACTGCTTACATCTGAAACAGAAGAGCTCAGCATTTCAGAATATCTCTGTTCCATTTTGCCTAGTTAACTTGACATATCTAGTTATTTTCCTTAAAAAATGAAAAAGTTCTTTTAAATTTCAAAGGAAATCCTCCTTGTCTGCGGTGAACAACTGGGTACACTGGCATTTTTGCTAATGCTTTGAATGTCTGTCAGCAACCAGGTTTAAAAGTAAATAATGCTGTTTGAGTTTCATGGGATCTATTTGCAACTAGTTTGAAAATAATTAAATGAGTCATATGTATAAATTTTATGTGACACAAGTAGTCTAGTCTTTTCTCTTTAAAAATGGGTCATTTAATTCATTTCTAACTACACTGTGTTAATATGGTCCCTCCTTTAAAGTAAACGTTTTCACTAACTACTCATTTTTTCTTTTGTCCTCTTTCTCTCTTGCATCTGTTTTTCCTTTGATTGTATCTGTTGTGTAATTTCATATTCAATCATGGGTTTGCACTTGAGAATAGACTGTTTCCATGTGCCCACCTTCACCTCTCATCCACCGTACTTCATCTTTTTCCCCAAACCTATTGCCTGTCCCTGAAATGGACTTGCTTTCAGACATTTCAGAGGAAGACCCCTTTGGGGAGGCTGACCAGATCACACTAGACAGCTTAGAGCACCTTTCCACAGGTGAAATATCGGAGCAGGGGGATTCTGAAGTTGCTATGCCTGATTTGGTCTTGGATTCTGCCATAGCCCCTTCTCAGCCTGACTGTCCTTCTCCCATCCATGGGAAGACTCTTAAAGCAGCTGACGACAGTGATTCTGAGTTTGGTTACTTCTCCTTCAGTTTCTCCAAATGTTTTCCCTCCGGCTTCCCCTCCCTTCTTGATGAAGATGGATATCTTGCTTTCCCCAGCCTCCCCAAGGTCTGGGTCTCCTTCCTCCCCGCTGGTGTGCAGCACTATGTCCCAATCACCTCCCCTTCATTCATTCCTTCCCTTATCCTCATCTTTGGGCTACTTCTGTCTGCTTCTCAGTCAGTTCCTTTTTCTCTTGCCTTTTCCCTTCCTCTGGCTCTATCCCTCTGCTATCTGGAGGCTAAAGCCGCCTCCTTTAATGTTTCTTATGACTGTGACTTGAATGACAAGCTCGAGGAAGAGGAAGTAGTTGCTGGCATGCCTACGTAAGCTCAGTTTGTGGAGTCAACACAATACACTTTATCTTAAACCCTTCCTAATATAGAGTGTAAATGTGTGCATACATTTCACCACTGATTACCCTCAACATAGTAGTACCTGCACATTTTCACACACACAATATTTTAGTGCATGAGAAATAAGTGTAGACACTTCTCCTTCATTGATACCATTGACCAGTTCCACACATTCTAAGTTAGGAGCGAAATTGTAGGATTATTTTACAAATATCTAGATCAAAGTAGATTTGTAACAGAAGGTGTGGGGGAGGAGGGAAGGAGGAGGGAACCTGTATTGCCCGTAACAATCCATACAGGGTCTCTCCATTTTGCAAACAGATATTAATGCTGTTCCTTTAGGATGACATCTTTTTGTTTTGATATAGAATTTAGGATGCAGTGGACATAACTGTTCCTGATGTATATTAGTAGAATTCCTTAGTACTGTTATTTCTCTTGTTGGAAACCCAAGTGTGTTCTAGCATCTATGAGGATGTATCTGTAACCTTTACTCCTGACATTTGTAAGTCTAATCTCAAAAGCTCCTTATCTCCCTATTATTGTAGTATTTGGAGACCAGATGAATTTTAGCTAGTTTTTTTTTCTAACCTTAAATTATGTAATTATATATAAGAGTCACTATAGGGTATTTTATAAGGAAGGTACTATTCTGTTGTCTTTAACAAATGTATGTGAAAAGTGAAACATGGCTTTTTGAAAATTTAGACTATATAACACTAAGATTGGGCCTCATAGTGCTCCTTTATTTAAAATTAGGTGTTTGGTTTGAGGATTTTTACCCCTATATAAGGCAAATTTTTTTCAAGTATCCTACCTCTGTGCTACTAAGTCAGCATTAACATGTACAATATATTTTTGATTATTTTGTTAAATGTGGCCTGGTGATTTAGTGCCTCATATTCTATGGATCCTACCAATACATACAGTAAATCACAAAATTTAGAGCAAACCTAAAGAAAAATGTAAAGATAATTGCAGTGAGTATGCATTGTAGGACAATTGTTAAAAGTTTACCTGAGGAATGTCAAAGATCAACATTTTAGGGAATTAAATGTTGACCAAGGAGTTGGAAGATGTTTCTTAACAGATTATTGAATGTCTGTGTCTCATTTTTCACATCTGATAAAGACTCTGAGCTCCTTGCTTACCTCTGAAAAATACTATGAATGGTTAAAAAGGTAAGCCGTTTGAACTCTCAGATTTGACACTATCATCCTAATTAAGAAGGAAAAGGATATATATTAGGAATTAACCTATAAAGGTTAAATGATTTGCCTTTGATAAGGGAGTCAATATTTTTATTCTCACCATTTTTTCCCTTGAGTCAAAATTCAGTCAGTATTTGTTAGTTTTAAACTTCTACATTCATTCTTTTGAATCATCAGATATTGAGAAATGTCCAACTATGAAAAACTGTTCTTATTTAAAGAATTTTATGTAAGTGGTTATATTTCAAAGATTATTTTTAAATACCCACCATTTTAATATGAAACTAGTTAAATAAGCCAATCCCCCTCCCCCAGCCAGAAAAGAAATCCATATTTAACAAACTGAATCATAGGTTGAACATTTGTTCCCCAATATAAAGCTAAAAACGAATTTTACATCATTATACTTTACCCCATCACTAGTTGCTTTAGACATTTCAAATTAGAACAGATTGAATTATGCCATTTTTGCACTCTCATATTCTTGTTCCTGAGTACAAAATATTCAAAAGCAGAGCATAATCTAGGGACTGAGAAAGAGTGAAGCTTCCATCCTCCATTCCACCTTTGCAAAGGATCATTTCCATCATTCGTACAACACTGTAGGTGAAGAAAGACCAAAGAGGCTTAATATTCTGCATCTTCTGAGGGCCTCACAGTAAAGGTTGGTAACACTGGTTCACCATTTAAGTTCAAATACAGCTTCTTTGCACTGATGGTAGAGTTTCCACTAATACTCCCCTTCTTTCTGGCCGTTTGCTGTGTGACTTTTCAGGCGAAGATGGAAGAAGAGGAAACGCAGCTGGAAGAGGTGGCTGAGTTTTCCCTAAAGTTAAACATCTCATGACTGCTGCCTGCCATTAGTATTGTGTGGGGAGGGTCCACTCTCAGGGTTTATTTGTGAGTTGTGTTTGTTGTGGCTTTAAGTTCATAAGATTTGTATTCCTCTTTTATTTTAATGTCTTAGACTGTCGAACTCTGGGTCATTTTGGTGCTTGCTGATTGATACACTTATGTTTATTTGCCTTTTCCCCCCTGTGTGTGATTTAATTTCACAGAAAAATTCCTTGAGAGTAGAAGGGGATAATATTTATGTCAGACATAGCAATTTAATGTTGGAGGTTTGTATAATCTAAGAAAACAACTCTGTCCTAATGGCTGCCCGGCTGCTGTGGACGGGAGGTCACGCCTAGGCTGGCTGGCAATGTTCTTCAAGCACGGTGCATGCAGTGCATGGGGGAATTCAGCTCGGGAGTGCATGTTACCAGCCTGACGGTGTTCCTTTCAAGTGGCTTAGGCAGGACTGTATCTACTAGAAGTTCTCAAAGTGACAAGTGGGAAAAAAAAGTTTAGTCAAATGAATCAAGTTTTTATCCAGTACTCTTGAAGTTGTTCTACAAGTAAACCTATTCTCTCCTAAAGGGTTAACTCTAGGGCATCAACCTGAGGTAACACAATCTCATCCTTAATATGTATTAACTAGAACAGAGATTTGTTTATTGATCTGGCATTAAATCATGTGACTCTTGATCTTGATCTGTGCCCACTTTTTTTGTTTTTTTTGGTTAAAATCCATGATTGGGAATGTGGTCCACTTTCAGTATTCTGTTTGAGAATATGCTAATTAAAGAAATTATTTTAATTAGAAAGAACAAGCAAAAGTGAGAGAGAAGGAAAGGAGAAAAAGAAAGCCCAATCACCCAATTATGAATGTAAAGTGTAAAATATGTTCCCCGTGTCACGTGAGAACATTTTTTTTTCCCTTCTTATTTTACAGTAGTATGTGGCAATGTATTCAATGGAGAACTGCAGCTCTCAGTAATCTGACTAATCTGTTTGGTTGCTTTTGGCAGCTTGGTAACTGATGGAAATGTATTTTTGCTTAACTTACTAAAATGCTGTACAGTGTAATAAGTAACATTGCTTTGAACCAATGCAAGAAATGTGCCTGATCTCAAGCCACAGTCATTTTTCCATGCCATGCAAAGATTTTTAGATTTTCATGAGTTTTTGCAAATGGCTATAGAAGCTCATAGATGAGCTACTATGCTTGTGCATGAATATGGAATATCTAATTTTATTGGTTGCATGACCTGTTCCTTAAAGTGGGATGAAAGCTATAATCCACAGGTGGCCCTATGATTTTTGAAATATAAATAAATATTTAAAATTTGGTTAAAACAAATACTATTTATGAGAGCCAGTCGAAAAAAATTCCACAAATACCATTTATCAGGGCCTGCTCCCATGAAAATGGACCTGGTAGTTTTTCTTGTATATTTGTCTGTATAAGGACGATCTGGCAGTTGCGGAGGCTAGACCCCACTTTTGTGCTTGGCAAGTACATGAGACCAGTCTGTGGTTTATTTATTCTATAAAGAGGCTAAACAGAAGCAGCCTCTGGAAGCAGTAATTTTTATTCCTTAAGAATTAAAAGCCATCACTGGAATTTCCTGAAAACAAACAAACAAACAAAAAACCTTGGCTTTTCCAGCTGGGGGTTGATCCTGGTCTGGCTTTTTCTTCCAGCCAGTGTGCTTCTGAGTCTCTACCTTCCTCTATTTTGTACTTGATTTCCTATATTCACAGAATGCAATTTTAGGAGTAGTCCTAATCAGAAAGGTAAATTTGCTGGAACAAAGTCATAGTCTGAGTTTCAAATCCAGGTACTGGAAGGAAGTGTTATTAGCCATTTTGATGATCAGTTCCATGTCATCTTTCTGATAATGTAAATAATTATTCCTTTAAAAATCCTAAATAGAGAAGAAATCAGAACCCTTTAAAATGTAAATCATTGAAGAAGTACGCATTGACTTTATTTTCAAATTTTGATGAATTCATGAACTTACTCATAGATAATAATATGGCTTTAGAGACTTGGCATTTTTCTTGCTTTACTATGGTTTTTTTTTTAATCGTAAGTTTGCTTTGTCTTATTTTTTGGTTTTATTTTTGTCCTACTGGGTTTTTTCCTTTTGGATTTTTCCCCCCTTTGTTACGTTACATATTGCTAGGAACTGGATAAGGCCCAGGAGGACATACTGAAACATCAGGCTAGCATTAGTGAACTCAAGCGCAATTTTATGGAATCCACACCTGAGCCGCGCCCTAATGAATGGGAAAAACGACGTATCACACCTCTGTCCCTACAGACACAAGGGGTATGTCATTAGCTATTTGTTGGCTCTGTCTCACTTCAGTTGCTCAATAAAACTTAAATTGTTAATCTCTATGTTGAGTCTAGGGAAGTTACAAAATGTTCCCATTTAATTATTTTTATGTAATTACTAACAATTTTGTAAATACTAAATATTAACAATGTAATAGTTATTGGCCTAGTTCTTAGGTAAATTGCATGAGTTTCAAAATACTTTTGAAATAGTTTTAGGATAATTTCACTATTTTACTCAGGTAAATTGTAGTAATGAATTGTTATATAGGACAATTTAGAAACTAACATACTGTATTTAATAAGCTTTTTAGTTACTGATATCTGAAATAGGGACATTTACTTAGTATAAATAATTAATAAATAAAGAAATATAGGCTATCTTTAGAGTGGTTTAAAGTTATTACTGTGAGGAAAATGAGTTTAACTTAGCTTTAAAGACCGATGAGCCCTGTTGAAAGCTTGAAAAATATTATATATAATATGACTTAGTATTGAAACTTCCTTATAATGAAATGTTAGAATTGTGTTTTAAAAACGTTTTTTCAATCATAACATTTCTCCTCACTTACTCTATTTCTTTTCATGGTTTACTTCTCCCCACCACTGATATGAGTACATATTGCCTTCAGGATATATTCTCAATACATTTCTCCATTCATTGTCATCCACATCTGTGCCTCTAGGATTCTTCCAAATCCCTCCTGTTATTGACCAAGAACTTCCATGGGCTCGTTTATCATACTTGAGCGGACAGTGATCATACTATATTTAATCTGTAGTTTAAAAAATGGTATAAAGATGTTACCCTACAATTTCATCTTTTTCCTTTCAGCATCTAGTCTGGCTTGAATGTTGCCAAATTGTAGACATTGATTTAGATATTCTAGTGCTATTTTTATTCACCTTTCCTTAAAAAGAAAAGCTGTTAGTTGCTTTAAATTTCTAAGTTTGTGCCATTGAAAAAGAAAGCTCTTTAAGAACAGATGAGCAAAAAGAATTGCTGAACTGAAACACAGAACTTTTGAAAATATTAAGACATGCTTGGTAGAGTCTTATGAAGTTGAATACAACTTCAGTTCTTAGTTTCAGATTTTTCTGAAGATGATAAAAAATGTCAATTTCAGCAGTCTATTCCAGAATGTTGTGTTTTCTGGAGAAAGGGTCTGATGCCATGCCAAGGTTTTCACCTTCCATTATGTGCCACTTCTCCTGGTGTGTGTCATTGACCCACACTGGGTCAGTATTTTGTGTTTGTGTTGCTATAGGTGTAATGTATGTGTCTTATTTGTTGATTATGTCTATTGTTTAAAACAATAGAGAAAAGGAGACCATCTTTTCAAGGATATTTTATCCGTGAAGGAGAAGTACCTGATGCCGACAATATGGACAGTTGAAGAAAAAGCTCAGGAGACGGACAAGGTGTTCACCTTGCACCCTTGGATCTACTCTTGCTTTTTCCCCCTTTCCTTTTGTTTCTATCCACAGCCATAAGATTTCTTTTTTCCTGTGTGTCATACTAAAATTTTTTTGAAATGATTTTTGAGCATTTAAAAAGTTAAATCCCCTGTGTATAGAAGCATAGGATTGTTGGATGAGAAATACCATATTGCAGAAGCACTTGAAAAGTCAAAATTTGAAATACAGAAACATCAACCAATTTAGGTGATAACTGATTCCTAATTTGATGTATGTGGCTGACAGTTGGGAAACTGATTTCATGTGAAAGTGCACTGTTTGTACAATACTTATGCATGTCGTGTTGTTAAAATAACCACTTATGTGCCTTAGATGATGAGTTTACTAATTACATATGGAAACCTTTTGAGTTTTCACTTGTAAGATTTTTAATGGGAACAAAGATTTTGATGCACCATAGCAGCCCCTCACCTCTCTCTCTGCTCCTGCATGTGTGACATTTCTGACACTGGTGAGGAAGTTCACTTTCCATTGCTTTTACATCCTCATTCTTCTCTTTCTACTGATTTTACTTAGCCAGGTGGTCAGTCTGTTATTTGCTGGGACTGGAGAGCTTGGAGTCTAGTGGAGGAGACATGGAAATAGTTAATTAGAAAAGTTTCTTTTTTTTCTTTCTTCTTTTTTTTTTTTTTGAGATGCACTCTTGCACATTCGCCCGGGCTGGAGTGCAATGGCATGATCTTGGCTCACTGCAACCTCCATCTCCTGGGTTCAAGCAACTTTCCTGTTTAGCTGGGATTACAGGTGCCTGCTACCAAGTCTGGCTAATTTTTTTGTGTTTTTAGTTGAGACGGGGTTTCACTATGTTGACCAGACTGGTCTTGACTCCTGACCACGTGATTTGCCCTTCTTGGTCTCCCAAAGTGCTAGGATTACAGGCGTGAGCCACCACACCCGGCTGGTGATTAGAAAATTTTCTAATTGGTACTTGGAAAGTTTCAGACACTAGGAAGTAAATGTTAAGAAGGTGAAATACAATGTTGTGTTAGGAGGGGATTAGGAAGACCGTTTTGTCATTGTGGTCAGGAGGAGATGACATTTGAGTTGAAACCTTAATGATAACCAGGTGGACATGTGAAAATGTATCCACGTGTAAGGACGAGCCACAACACAGGAACTGAAAGACCAAATGACAGGGGCTTGGTGAGCAAGGGGGAGCACGAAGGAAGGAAAATTCAAAGAGGTTAGACCCTAGGTCATGTCACGATCTTAAAGGCCATGCTAACAGTTTGGAATTGTACAATAAGAATGATGGGAAAGCATTGGAGAGTTTGAAGGTGAGTAGTGGCAGAATCCCACCTGTTTCTGACAGAAGTCCCCCTGGCACTGGATGAGGAATAGATTATAGGGGCTGTGAATGAGAACAGAGATTATTAATAAGGAAACAGTGATTCCCTTCCACAAAGTAGATTCTGTTAATTGGTAGAGAGTATTCATCAGAACACGTAGCAGGGTTGGGAAAGGAGGCAAAATAAGTAGAAATAAGGAGTTTATGGTCTAGTTGAGATGAAATATTTTCAGAACATTGCAAATGAGAAAGATAATGTCATGAAGCTAAACCAAGTGACATATTTATATACTTTAAAGGTTAGCCTGAAACCAAAGCCAATTAGACTCCATGTGTATAATGAGGACTTTAATATCACATGCTTTGAAATATTACGTATTTTTCATAACCTGTCCTTCAGAAGCAATCACATGGTATCATTCGATCAAATTTAAAGTGATGTCCTTGGATTTTTGCAGTAGGAAACTTTGACATTTTAGTGGAGATGTTTAAAATTATTATCATTTTTCTGGATCTCATGTTTTAGGAATGTACAGTGTAAAATATCTTGTCATAGAAGTCACATTAAAGTGATGTTAATGTGAAATTTAAATCTGGAAAAGCCCCCAAGTGGTTTATCTGTACTTGAAGTTACTTGTTTTTCTGTTCTTTTCCTCTCCAATACATGCAGGAAAATACATACTTTTTTGACATTCATATAGATTGTTCTTATTACAATCATCCATTCATCCGTTTGCCCAACAAACATTTATTGACCACCTACATTGTATCTTTTTTGTTTTTCTTTAAATAACATACTACTATTAGTTGAAAGTATGTGAGCATTTGTCTACGGGAGTGTTTTGACTTTACCAGAGTACCTTTTCAATTTCTGTCTTTGTTGTATCTTCATTTTACTGTTAATTCTGCAGGGGTTCTCGTTTATCTTTGAATTGTAATTCTTATTGAAAGTAAAATAAAAAAATTATGCATAAGTATATAATTTGACCACTTTTCCAAATTTCTATAATATGGGCTTTTATAGCTTTTTAAAAAAGCAGGAATAGTTTCTTTTTAAAAAAAAAAAATACATTGCATTTTCAAAGTGGCTGTAGTTTGAACAATTTTGAGAGTAGAGCAGAAAATTGGAAACCAAGTCATTTAATCTTTAATGGGTAAATAACTCTATTGTAATCCTCTTAACGTGTTGTATGAATTATGATGACTTAAATTTGCATAGACTATTCTCTCCTGAGTCTAAGAGATTATGTACATTGAGTTGTAAGGTACTTTTGAAGGTATGTCATTGGATAACGAAATGTGTGGCACTTCTTTAAATTCCCCAGTGATCTCTCACTGGGAAGGGCATCCCACCCACCCCCACTTCCCCAAGGGACGATGTAATCATAGAGATGGTAATGAAGTTAAGTCAGTCCAAAAGCTTTTTCCTCTGCTGAATATTGCAAGTGCCTACTCCCCTCACCCTCCTCACCTCACTTTCTGCGCTCCTCACCCTTCTTAGCTCACAGTATGAAGGGGCCCCTTAGGAGCGTCATTGATTTTTCTTTAAGATTTCTGAATAGTGACTGGGTGCGGTGGCTCACGCCTGTATTCCCAGCACTTTGGGAGGCCGAGGAGGATAGATCACCTGAAGTCAGGAGTTAGAGACCAGCCTGGCCAACATGGCAAAACCCCGTCTCTACTAAAAATATAAAAATTAGCTGGGCATGGTGCTGCACGCCTATAATCCCAGCTACTGGGGAGGCTGAGGCAGGAAAATCACTTAAACCTGGGAGGTAGAGGTTGCAGTGAGCCGAGATCGCGGCACACTGCACTCCAGCCTGAGTGACAGAGCGAGACTCCGTCTCAAAAAAAAAAAAAAACCTGAATAGTGGGGTTTATTAGGAATTATTCTCACACTTCTGACATGAGGGGGTGCTTCATGATGACTCTTGAATATTGACATTTCAAGTTTCTAAGGACAGTTCTGCTGTCCCTCAGGCAGGTTGGGAGCCATTGTTTAAGAGCCAGACACAGCAAAGTTAAATTTGCTTTAATGGTTTAATTTAGGGAGAAATAATTTTCACGTTGCTCATTGAGCTTTCAACTCTGAGTTTGTCTTCCTATTTTGAATTGTTTTTCTTTACCTGTTTCTTTTTGCAAAAAAAGGGGACAGGGTAATTTACTCTGTGGCATATTTAGCACGCCTGAGGGAATGAATGTGGGCTGCTGTCAGAATGTTTGTTGTACAGAGAGTTAAGGTGGTATTGAGGAGGGAGATTGTAGGAGTTGGAGTGGTGAGGGAAGGCCTTACAGAAAATGCAGACTATGAAGTGGGCCTCAGGGAGGTTAGAAAACTGGAAAGGCCCAGAATGTGCAGATAAGGGCAAAGAAGGGCCTTGGAGGCAGGAGAGGGAGGACTGCCCAAGCTGTAACACAGGAATAAGCATTTCAAGTGTAGGGGCCACTGAAGAGGCCATTCCGTGCAGAGAAAGGCCAAGGAACTACCTCAAGAATATATGAAATGGCGTTTGGGTGGGTCGGTTGTGCTCAGTTGGTGATCAGCCAAGCAGTTTTCACTGGTTTCTGGAGGTCGCAACTATCAAAGATTCTCAAGCAGGGTGGAAAAGCTGGCGCTCACAAACCTCTTCATAAGCCTGCTCCAGAATCTGTCAGAATTCTCATCTTTTCTTTCATTTTATGCTGTTCTGTTGTTCTTTCTTGTGTAACCTTTCCTTTCTTCCAATAGGTCACTGCTGTCTGTTCTGACTTATTGCTAATTCTTTGCTCTTCCTTTTCTGACCTCTCTAGAGCCTAGAAGAGGAGATAACATCAATTTTGTTTAGTGAAAAGGGCTTTTCTGATAGCATGAAAGCCACCTTCACTTCAGCCACCACTTGGACAGCAGAGGGCGCTGTTGTGAGCGCTAATGCACCTTCTGAAAAGCTTTCTTCCTCGCCCTTCTCACACTTGCTTGAGGTGCATTTTACTTTGTTTCCCCTGTTACTAAAAGCCACATATGAGAGAGATTTTCATTTTTTTAAATATTCAGGCACCATTCCCTCCAGTGCTTTCATTGGTGAAATTAATTCTTCCTGGGAGAAACATTCAAGAAACAATGACTGAATTGGAACATGAAGAAAAGATATAGATTGGATGTTTCTCCTGCTTCTTTGGTCAAAGAAAAAAAAAATCTGCCTAAATTCAGAGAATAATTTAAATCATTAAGTTCCAGAGTCTGGGCTGTTAAGCAGAGGGAAACCCTCAACCAGATATGCTTTGCAGAGTTGACATTTTCAAAACCCCAAATTTCAGGCATCCTCTGATGGCATGTTATTTTTAAAATTCTGTTTATATGGAAAAAATCTGAAGTGCCTCCCATGCTCCATGACATAATTGCTTTTGAATGACCCTAAGGAATTCCCTGAACTTGGGCAGAACCTATCCAGCTAATTGAGGTTAAGATATAACAATAATAATAATTCACTGATCTATAATAATAATGAAATGTGTGTTTCAGAAATGTTCTGGTCACTGGATATGTTTATTATATGTAGTCATGGTTAAATTTTACCTGCTTATCAAAATAGATTGAGAGTTTTTTCAGTTTAATATCTAGAAACCTCTGAGTTTTCAATAAAACTGGAAAGATAGCTGTCTTCTGTTAGTAATGTGATTTACATGGTATTAATTTGGGTCAATGAAACCATGCCCTTACCATGTGTTTAAGAATAATAGGGCAGGTCCAAGAGAGTTTGTGAGTAGACGTTGACAGTGCTGCAGAGACGTGTGTGTGTGATGTTAGGATCTTCAGCTCATGGTTGTCCAAGTGTCTGGGAGAGATGAACTCAGCCCTGCTGTCTATTAGAGGCTCCAGTCCAGTTAGTACCTTGGCAGCTTCACAACAATATCCAGAGGGCTCAGTGGTGTGGTGCCCTTCTCCATCCAGAATGGAGTCACTTTCGTGAATAAATAGGGCTCCTGGCTCTAGCTGAATTATTTTTAAGTTAGATCATAGGCAGTAGTACCACCTAGAAGTCAAAAAGTTGGCCATGCTTGAGTTATATCATTGTAAAGCAGACTTTTTGTAAGTGTGAGAAAAATGTGAAGCTTTAAAAACCCCTCTGTACAAAAAGGTTTCCACCCTAGTTAATAATATCATAACATAGTAATTTGTTCCTAATGTATTAAGTCAACAGATATTTATTGAACATTTAGGTGCTATATTACTCAACTGGAGTAAATTACTTTACTCCCAAGAAGTAGATGTCTGAAGGGGATAGGAGTGAACATGTCAAATAATAAACTTGACTGAGTTTAGATTTCAAAGATGCTAGTAGAGGAGCTAAATTGTAAAAGGAAACACTTGGAGTCACCATTGACACCCACCCTATTGTATAATATAGCCTTTGCCAACCTATGATACGAATTGGAAAGTTAATAACCATTTCTGGAATGAACATTTTCATGTTAATAGCCTTCTGAGGCTAACTATAATTTTGCCAATTAAAACTTTTTTTTTTTTTTTAAAGAAAACCAGCAAAAAATAAAAGTGCCATCTCCTTGGTGCTGTGTTCATTTAAGAATCAGCGTTCCAGGCTAGACTTTATAGTCTGATTAAAACCAAAACTGTTACTAGGTTTTAAAAGTTAAATTTTTTTCTTTAAAATGATGAGTCAGCTTTGGTATAATTCAATTTTTGTAAACTGTTTTAACTACATAGGTAGAGCTTATAGGTATATCTATAATAAAAGCATTTTACTTCTTTGGGAGGATGCTGGCTGTTTTTGTGTCTTTTTGTAAGCTTTTTGGCATTTGTCTTGATTGTCCTCTATGTGACCTTGAGCAGAGGTTTCTGTAGATGTTGATTCTTGCTGTTTTGTCTTTGCAGTGTCAGATGTTTGTTTCAGTGGTTGTTGAGGTAAAACTGTATTGATTTTGTGTCCTCGGTTGCTTTTTGTTCTGCAGACACGTGCTCCCGAGTCAGAAGGGCCTTGCACTGGAGCCAGGGATGCTGTTAAGGTTCTCCCCTTTTTCCATGTTAACACCATTGCCTCACGTTTCTCATTGCCCTCACGTTTGCCCCGCTTCCCTTTCAGTCAGCCATCATAATCATCTTTGTTTTTCTCCATGACATGAATCTGCCATCGGTTAATTTGGGTTTCCGTTGTTTTTATTTATTCATATATTTTTGTTTTCCCTCATCCATCTTTTTTTGTACAGAGTTCACATGAGACTCTGAATATAGTGGAGGAGAAGAAGCGGGCAGAGGTTGGGAAAGACGAAAGAGTAATCACAGAAGAAATGAATGGTAAAGAGATATCACCTGGGAGTGGTCCTGGGGAGATTCGTAAGGTGGAGCCTGTGACACAAAAAGACTCCACCTCCCTGTCTTCTGAGAGCAGCAGCAGCAGCAGTGAGAGTGAGGAGGAAGACGTGGGAGAGTACCGTCCCCACCACCGAGTGACCGAGGGCACCATCAGGGAGGAACAGGAGTATGAAGAAGAGGTGGAGGAAGAACCCCGCCCGGCAGCCAAGGTAGTAGAGAGGGAGGAAGCAGTGCCCGAAGCCAGCCCAGTCACACAAGCAGGTGCCAGTGTAATCACAGTAGAAACAGTGATCCAGGAAAATGTAGGTGCCCAAAAGATACCCGGAGAGAAGAGTGTACACGAAGGCGCTCTTAAGCAAGACATGGGAGAAGAAGCAGAGGAAGAGCCACAGAAAGTTAACGGAGAGGTGTCCCATGTTGACATTGATGTTTTGCCACAAATTATTTGTTGTTCAGAGGTAAATGGGAGTCCCAGGTGGGAGCCAAACTCTAGAGCTGCTTCTCAGATGGGGAACTCCTGCCTTTCTTCTCCTGTCCTCCCAGTTCTTCAGCTTTTTTCAACAAGAATCTGATTTTTCTCTCTCATGGGAGGAAGGGGGAAGCACTGCTTTGTGGATTTTCTGCCCGCCCAGTTCATGGGTTCCAGCTTCTCTGCGGCCACTGGACACCTGTAGGGTAAACTTTCCTAGAAGCACCACATCAATTTTTCCTTCCCTTTTCACATTTAAATTTTTCTTTGCATGTTTTGGGTGTTTTCAACTGTTTTGTCTTCAGTTGCACTGCTTCCTCACACTAAATGCCTTTTTTTCCCCTTTTGGTTTAATTAGAAAAATGTATATGTAATGTTGAAAAAAAAAATGGTCACTGCTGAGTGTGTGTGCCCCTGATGTCATGATTGGGTTTGACTTCTTGGCTCATTCTTCAGCTTCAGAGTTTTAGAAATGACAGCAGTCTCTGATTACCGTGGTTCTCTGAATGCAGTATCCAGCAGTGATGAGAATGTTATTTCTTGAATGCCACTGTGATTTCTGTTTTGGGATTGCAGGGGTTGTATGGTTTTGTTAAGAGCCTTTCTTTTCTTCCAGGCAGCCAGAGGCTAGGCTATTTGATAGGAGGATATCCTCGCTTCTCATTCTATCCTGATGTCAATTCTGGAGTATTTGCCAGATGATTATATGTTTTGTGGATTATCTATACATTGGACATGAATCTTTTTCTTTTCAAAGAAGAGAACTTTTTGGTCACTAAGTGCAGTGTCTCTCATTTGGGAGTTAGGCTGAGGGAGGGTTTATTTCCTTGGGAATATTTCTTGATTTTAATATTAAATGCCCACAGTACAGAGATTTATTTTGTTCTCTTCGATGGGATGGAAAATGTTGAAGTGACTTTGTCTTAAAATAATTAAGTGGATTTTAACCATGTTACTTTTAAACTTCTGTTTCACTTTAGAGAAGATTTTTCAAGAGTCTTTGAACACTTTGAACTATTCTGTATTTAACATATCGTTACTCCTCTTTAAATAATTATGCCTGTTGAGAATGTTCTCTCAAAGAAAGTACTGCAGTATTTTGGTAGTAGTATAGTCTGGTGTTGCATTAATATTAAGCATGCATACTCGGCAGACTAAAATGTTAATAAGCCGTTGAATATTTCCTTTAATGTTTTAAATTGTTCAAAGCATTGGTGTAACATTGATGGAGTAATTTTAGATAGAGCATTTTAACTTAGGTAATACAGAAGAAACACTGCAAATTTTAGACAGGTATAACTGAAAACAGTAATACTTGAAGACATCCTTTCTGAAAATGGTGTGTCTGTTAACAATAAGGCAGAAAAGGTATTGTGGGCAGAAGAACAAATCTTAGCCTACCTAGCTGGCATGCCAGTTAAAGGCAGTGAGCCTTCACACAAACTATGTGGTCCTTTAAATTATAATAAAAATAGAGACAAGTCACTTCACATAGTTCATTCTATTTTCTTTTCAATTTATTATTACTTGCCCAAAGCTAAGGAGGGAGGAGGAGAGAGAGAGAGAGAGAGAGAGAGAGTGTGTGTGTGTGTGTGTGTGTGTGTGTGTGTGTGTCACTATACACTAGGCTTGACATAAAAGTAGTTTGGGACCATCTTAATTTAAAGAGTAACATAATTTAGGAAGCCATCATGTCAACTTATTTTTCATATATGTGTATGTACACATACACACATTCATATATATGTACGTATCTATGTGCACATGTATGTATGTGTATATATGATATATTTGAAGGAAAATTTTTCTTTTATTTCTTTTGTTTGTTTTAGGTTGTTTGCTTTTACTCTTTTCTTTTGTGCATGAGTGTGTGTTTGGATATGTTTCTTACTATTATTTGTGAAGGTTCCATTAAACACTTTTACTTTATTACCTCTAGAATTTATTTTTCCCTTCCTTTTCCACCTCAGCCACCAGTGGTAAAAACAGAGATGGTAACAATTTCTGATGCCTCACAAAGGACAGAAATCTCCACCAAGGAAGTCCCCATTGTCCAAACTGAGACCAAAACCATCACATATGAGTCTCCACAGGTACAAAAGCTCTAGACTTGGACTGTTCGAGCTCTTTTTTCCCTTAGTGTATCTATGTTTTCATTCTTTCTTCTCTTAGTTTACATGTTTCTGGCTTTGATGTAGCTTTTTGTATCTGCACTTTGTAAGTGTACTTCAACAACATAATTTGCTATGTTCTCTTAGATTGAGACAGAGAGCTGCAATTAAATTGGTAACCCAGTAATTATAGGGGAACTGTACATATGATTATTTAGGACAGACAGTATCAATCTTGTTCATATGATTGAAAGCCATTTCTGAGTTGACATATCTAAGAATGTTTGTGTACACTTAGGAAACAAATTGTCTTGCAAAGTTTATCTGATATAATTCATCGATTAATAATAATCCGATCTAATTGTGGATGTGATTTAGGCTTCTTTCCCTCTCTAACTCCGTGAAGATTGACCCAATCAACTCATTCTTGCTTGTAATAACACACATACACACACACACACACACAAACACACACAGGCACACACACCTGTGCTTCTCCTTCGTGTGGAATTATTTTCTAAAGACCTATGTAGTCATTCATATGTGAATGGTGATACCATGTGTCTAAATAATTATCAGATTTGTGTGTTTGATTTTAGGTTTTCACACATTGGTTCTGTAAAGATTTGGAATAAGCATTAAGATGTTTAACCTTAAGAATAACAAAAAAAGATAAAGCATTCATGATTTCAAAATAGAATATAAAATAAATATTTTCTCCACTTAGAAGATGAACCTTCTGTGGTAGAATTGTATCATGGTGGAGGATGTCAGGTTATTGACCTCTCAGAATATTTTTTAAAAGGTTTAATGCATGCATGTGTGAAACACATCTGAAAATTATTTTGGATATGGCATCCTTGTGTGTGCCTTGATCCCACATAAGCACAAATAGGTTTCTTATGAACAGCTTGGCGGGGGAGCATTAGTGATGTGTCTGTGCTGTGATAAGTTGCCAGAATGAAGACATACAGGTGCATGACCCAAGTTTGAAAGAGATTTCCTCTTACAGTCAGAAAGGCTCTGGACCGTCCAGTTATTTCCTCGTGTCAGTGTCAGGAAACAGAGGGCAAATATGTTTCGTGATCTTAACATAAACTGTTAGGCTATTAATTTGCTTCATTGATTCCCCTTGGAAACTCTAGAATCTTCTGCATCTTTCAATATCAAAGCAAACAAGTTAAAATCTATTTTAACATATGTATGGGATTTATATATATGTAGGAGCACATGCGTATGTGCAGTATTGAAATATATGTGCCCGTATATATGCTCACAACATGCAAACTATTACAGGAACAATGTAGTTGATGAAAACAATCGCTAGAGGTAAGCAGATAACCAAATCATGCAGATTCAGTTTGTCCTGGTCAGGTTCTGTTGCTTGGTAATTTGATAAAATGTTTATCTATTTTTACCCACCTGTGCTTAAAAAACAACAAACTCAGCGCTTCTGGTCACTGTGGAAACTTCTCTGCCTGGCTCTCTAGTTTCATTTTCTAGCTTGTGCAAAAGTCCTTCAGACAAATTCTGTCATAATTCCCTTGTAGCTTTCAGTCCCACCTACTATGTCCATTCTCCTCTCTTTTCTCCACTCACACAGTTGAGTTTGCTTCTCCATGTGCACCTAGCCTTTTGCCTCTACTCGGTTTCAAATACCAGCCGCTCTCCTGGATGGTAATTACTACTGCAAACACGCAAACCACATGGATTTTAAAAGATGCATATTCGATGGGGCGGGGATCTTCTCTGACAACATAACAGAAGTTAAGCATTACTTTGTATTTTTCCCCCAACTATCCAAAGATTGATGGCGGGGCTGGTGGTGATTCGGGCACGTTACTGACCGCACAAACCATCACATCTGAGTCCGTGTCAACAACGACAACCACACACATCACCAAGGTAAAGCAATGCAGGGGATCATATGGAGAGGATGGTACATTACAGACAGAATCTTTTCTGAATTGTTTCTCTCTTCCTGTACACACTTCCAAGTAAGATACAGACAGTGCCAGCGGAATCAAAATGCCTTGGTTTAAAGTATCCAAGAAATTAGGCTCCATTGACAAATGCATTCAAGCCAAATTGCAATTTTGTGAAGTACAAGGGGGTAAAAATATGTTACGAATAGCTATATGTAAGATAGCTACAAAACCATAAATAATTTAATAAAATTTATAATTTATAAAAACAAACTTGTGCTTCTACTTTTATTAAACCAGCCCTCCTGACTAAAGCGAATGAATGAAGGCCATCATTCAGAATTTTCAGCAAGTTGTTCAAATAATGTAGAATTTCCCTCATTTAAGATCGCTAGTATACTGATTTGGGGCATTCCCCTGTTCCTCCCTGCATAATTCTCTAAATGTTTAGCACTGGGTAACCAGTCATCCCTGGATCAGCAGCATCAGCTTCACCCGGGGCATTGTTAGAAGTATAAATAGCGTGGCCCCACTCCAGTCCTCCTGAAACCTTAGAATTGTCTTAAGAAGCTTCCAGTGATTCTGATGCATGCTGAAGTCATCAGCTTTCTAACTCCAGCCTTATTTTCCACTATTTCCTTCTTCTGTTTTTTACTTTGGATAAGTGTCTAAAGGTCTTAAAGGTGTCCCTTGTGCCCTTCCCAACCCATGTTTCAACAACAATTTAAAAAACAGCAAAAGTAATTTGTAAATTTAAAAATGCCGCATAAATGCAAGGTACTGTTGGTGCTCATTTTAAAGCATATCCAGTTATTAAGCATAGTGATAAGCCTGGTTTGTTATGGTAAAATGCTGTCACTTGTGACTGAGAGTGTACATTTATCAGAGTTGTAAATGTTGGATGTGCGCTTTCCCAGGACCGTGTGGTATTTGCTTATTGACTGTTTAGAAGGTCACAGCCAGATGATCTCCTCAGCCTCATCCAGTGTGCCCCAGGCACTCGCAGCTTGTACGGAGCCCATAACGCTGTGAGGCAGTTCCCCCAGGAGCTCCCTCCTCCAGCCCCGCTCGCAGCCTTTGTCTAGCCATGCGCCATGTCTACGTGTATGACTACTTACGCAGGGTGTCATCAAATCAAACATTCAACAAAAATCTCATCCATCTTCCGTATCTGAAACCAAAGCAAATCCTTTTTAAAATTATTGCACTAAATGCAATAAACAAAATCAGCAAATAAATTTGTATGCTCAGAATCCATCAGTCAAAACCATCACATCATACAGAAGTCTTCTGTGATGGGAAAAAAATATATATCACATCAAACAGTTTCTCAAACCAAAAACAGATACCTAAATTCTTATAATTTCTTGTAATTCTGCAAGTAACTGATTTCTCCCTACTCTCCTTTTTAAAAATTGGCCAGCTAGGAGTAAAGAAACTCGGGAAACTATAACAGAATTCCCTTAAAGGAACTACTTGGATTAAATAATATCTGTCCTATCTTAATCAAGTGAGATTAAGATGGGACAGATGCCATCTTGAATATTGATAAATGAGTTTTAAGGTTGCTCTCAGCTGAGGGATACTTGTGGATGCTATAACTTTAGTAATAGGATTCTCTATTGAGCCTAAAAATAAAGCACAAAGTGTTTCTAGAATATCAGTCTTTTGCTGCTTGTTGTGTGTGGCCTTACAATGATCCACAGGTCTAGGTGGACTCCCATCTCTGTTTGCTCTGACTGTGTAAACGTGCTTCAGTGATTGCTGTTTTTTCTTCTTCTCCTTTATGACCTTTAGACTGTAAAAGGTGGAATTTCTGAAACAAGAATTGAGAAACGCATTGTGATCACAGGAGATGGAGATATTGATCATGACCAGGTAAATAAGTTAAGTTCTAGTTTTGGAAATGGCCCTGTTTGTTTTCTAAGTTTCACATTTGTCATCATGTCGCATACCTGTGTAAACCTCTTCTCCCCAAACCTCCTGGATGAAGTCCACCTCCTAAGCAGGACATAAAGACACAGCCTGGATACAAGCTTTCCTACCTCTGAATCAGAATAAAACACAGATTTCTCTTTATTTCCCACTGGCTTTACATGCACTTTTGGGTCAACGTAATCTGGAGGATTTCTGGAAAACATAAGATTCGTGTGGGCCTGGTTTAAAGGCAAGTGATCAAATATTTAAAAATGAATGGCAGTTCAATGCACCAGTTTCCAAAAAATGAAGAAAGCCACTAAGCTTGACCTATGCCTACTTTTAGGAACTTTTCAAGTATATTTATGGCATTAGAAAAGTTGAGCTATTTACTTCCAGGTGTTTTCTCCTATTGCGATTATTGGGGGAGGGGAGGTAATACAAGGTTTCTTACAAAGTGAAAATTTACATTGATTCTGAAAATTTTTTAAAAGAATCATGCCTCCATTCTAATGTTAAATTTGGCAGCATGCATGGCTTTGAGCAGGTGATGAATGGAACTGCTGGAGACTTTGAGAGCAGTTTTAATTTTAGACTGCAGTCCCAAGTGATGCTGACAATTTTTTTAAAAGTGATTTTAACTCAGCTTTAAAGGAGACCAAGCTGTTTTCCTTTTATAACAACTTGAAGAAAAGGAAAAGAAATATTCAATTGACTATCTCAGCTGGGGAGTAGGAGCTAACGATAGTTACACAGCTTTGGACACAATACTGAGCTCAGGAAAGAAAATTTTAGAGAACAAAATTCCTCATTTGAGAAAGGCAGCCTATATGTGATCAGAGATAAATGGATTTTTCATGCCTAAGAAGAAAATTACTCCCAATTTTTTTGACCTTTGTAAGTATGATTTGACTTACATATTCGTAATGTACTTTTAAAATTTTCTTAAGAGTTATTAGAGGTTAAAAGGTTGCCTTGACTCTGGATTTTGACATAGGACATAGGACTGGAGATTCCTAGAGAGCATTAGTACACTTGTCTGCTTACCATGGGAAAATGAGTGACTTATGTGGAAACAAGCCTCCAGTTTTCCAGAGGGGATTTATTCTACTATCCACTGGAACAGTCTTGAGTTTCGCCTGAGAAATTGGAGTAAACCTGCTTCTTTCTCTCTGGGACTCTTCTCAATAAGCACTCATTGAATTCCTAGAATATGTGAAGCACAAGCTCACATTTTTTGGCATGGTGGAAAGTGCAAACTAGGGTCTTCTCCCAGCCATTGTTTCTTCCACCCCCCTCTCCCCATTGAACCTAGGCCCTTTACACACTTTAAAATGCCACCTTTCCAGTACTCAGGTTTTACTTATGTGTATTGTTTTGCCTTTTATAACAAAAGCCAAAATAATTTTGTTATAAAAGGCAAAAGAATATTTTGGCCTGTTTTACCCCAAAATTCAAATCTAGATAGTACTGCTTCTGAAAGGCAAATATTAAAAACACAATCTGAAATACAAGTGCCAAAATAACATATACACCTGACTCTTAAAAAATCATGATGACCCAGCAGCCTTAACTGCTGCTGTTGCAAGGACAGTAATCTCCTTTTTTGTATATGATGTCATGTTTCAGCCCTTTCTAAAACTGAGGTCAGATATCCAAATGAAGAGAACAGAGATTTTGCCTTTTTATGTTTGTGAGATAGCATAAACTTTTTTTTTTTTTTTGGGGAGATGGAGTCTCCCTCTGGTGCCCAGACTGGAGTGCAGTGGCACGATCTGGACTCACTGCAACCTCTGCCTCCTGGGTTCAAGTGATTCTCCTGCCTCAGCCTCCTGAGTAGCTGGGATTATAGGCACCCGCCACCACGCCCGGCTAGTTTTTGTGTTTTTAGTAGAGATGGGGTTTCACTGTGTTGGCCAGGCTGGTCTCGAACTCCTGACCTCAGGTTATCCACACTCCTCGGCATCCCAAAGTGCTGGGATTACAGTCGTGAGCTACCACACCTGGCCAACATTTTTGAGTAAATGTGATTGTGGCTTTTGGTCTGCTTGTCACCAGAAGCTGTTGGGGGTTCACTTTCTCCTTTAAGCCTGTAATGAGATGACAGAGCTACTTTAAATTAAATGATGAAATCGCTTTGCTGTCAAAATCCGATGTTGATCATAGAGTGACCTTCATAACATTGACATCTTTTTCAGTTCCTTGCCTACGTTAAAAGGAATCTTCAGGCTGGGGGCGGTGGCTCACGCCTGTAATCTCAGCACTTTGGGAGGCCGAGGTGGGCAGATCACGAGGTCAGGAGATGGAGACCATCCTGGCTAACACAGCGAAACCCTGTCTCTACTAAAAATACAAAAAATTAGCCGGGTGTAGTGGCGGGCACCTGTAGTTGCAGCTACTTGGGAGGCTGAGGCAGGAGAATGGTGTGAACCTGGGAGGCAGAGCTTACAGTGAGCGGAGATGGCGCCACTGCACTCCAGCCTGGGCGACAGAGCAAGATTCCATCTCAAAATTAAAAAAATTAAAAATAAAAAAGGCATCTTAAAATGGAAGGACACTTTCACTGGGCCAGACAGAAAACAAGAAATCTTTTTTGTGTTGGCAAATCAAAGAGGCATGCTTTTACAGAAACTTGCTTTGCAGATTCTTCACCCTGTGCTGGTCATGATACTTTCAGCTCCATACCAAGGAGAGGTAAAATACACTGCAGTGTCTCTTCAGAGTGTATTTCTTTCTAAGAAATAATTGCTCAATTTGGCAGTAAGAGCCGGGCGCGGTGGCTCAAGCCTGTAATCCCAGCACTTTGGGAGGCCGAGGCGGGCAGATCATGAGGTCAGGAGATCGAGACCATCCTGGCTAACACGATGAAACCCCGTCTCTACTAAAAATAGAAAAAAAATTAGCCGGGCGCAGTGGCAGGCGCCTGTAGTCGCAGCTATTCGGGAGGCTGAGGCAGGAGAATGGTGTGAACCCGGGAGGCGGAGCTTGCAGTGAGCCGAGATCGCGCCACTGCACTCCAGCCTGGGCGACAGAGCGAGACTCCGTCTCAAAAAAATAAAAATAAAAATAAAAATAAAATTTGGCAGTAAGATGTGATGTTTTCTCATAATCCTTATTATTGCCATAATAAATTAACATTTTACAGTATTTAATTTTGCATGCTGATATTATGGAATGAAAGGAGTTTTAACAAACTGATTTTGAATGTGTTTCAAGATGACTGTAGCAGTTTTTGCTTTTCCCAATCTTTCTGTGAATTAGAGTGTATTTCATATGTGTTGCCTTCCCTTGGGCATCATCTACATTTTCTCTTGAACAGTTGCCCTGCTTTATTGTAGGCAGATCTTTGTAGATCAGATACTCAAAGTATTTGATCATTTGTCTGTAGCTACGTTTGGCTCCCATCAGAGCTTGTCCTTGTCTTTGACTTTTCCCAGTGTGGACTGCACAAACCAACATGTAGTAAATGGCTTGGATCATTCCAATCTCCTTCCCTCTGAAGACACACACAAACACAATGTAGAACTGCACCCCTGTGCCTCCTCTCCCTTTCCTATTCCCATTCCAGTCAACACGTTGAAAAGCTTCTCTGCCCTTCCCTGGAACCAGATACCTGCTCCCACTCCTGCTCCACGCTAGCCCTCCAGCCATTCACTCTCCCGCCTTGACAAACACTTCTGCTACTGCCCAGATTGGAGTCTGGTTCCATGTTTTATTTCTCTATTGTCCCAACACAGGTCACTCACAAGAGTTTGTTCCCTGGTGGAAATTTAAGCACCCTCAAATGTCTTCCAAGTTTCTGTGCAAAAAATTTTCTGTATGAAAATGATGTCTTTTTTTTTTTTTTGGTAGCTTTACCTTTTTTTAAACGAAACGAGGCTTAGGGTTTCTGTTTAGTATCCTTACAGCTGACAGAAACTATCATGCAAACAAGAAATGCAGTTGTCCCCTTAGGCAGCTGACAGCAAAAGAAAAAATTGCATGGCTTTATTTCAAATGCAGTTTCCTTATGAGATATGGTATTCTCTGTCCTAGTAAAATTTTCTCTTTGTTTTAGCATTCTTTCCTAGACTTTTTTTTTTTTTTTTGAGACAAAGTCTCACTCTGTTGCCCAGGCTGGAGTGCAGTGGTGCAGTCTTGGCTCACTGCAGCCTCCACTTCCCGGTTCAGGCAATTCTCCTGCCTCAGCCACCTAAGTAGCTGGGATTACAGGCGTGCGCCAGCCAAGCCTGGTGTTTTTAGTAGAGACTGGGTTTCACCATGTTGGCCAGGCTGGTTTCGAACTCCTGTCCTCAAGTGATCGCCCGCGTTGGCGTCCCAAAGTGCTGGGATTACAGGCCTGAGCCACCACGCCTGGCCTTTAGAATTCTTTCCTAGACTTCAAGGGTTCTCTGATGTTTTGTTTTCTCACCCATACTTTAAAAACAAAATGAGTAATAATTAGGAAAGCTATTTTCCTCCTCTGAAAAATAGGATCTTTCCATTGTGCCACAACACTCTTACAGTTTACTTTCTGATAAAACACAGAGAAACTTTGCTTTCTTACCACGTGGTCCAAGGAAGGACCATAAACCACTGGAGTCAGCCCTCTGGGTCCTCCCTGCTCCTATCCTGCTGCTCACAGGCTGGATGGCCTTGAGAAAGACCCATTAATCTTTGTGCCTGCAGTTTTGTCAACTGTCAAATAGGGACCTGTATTTTATAACCTGAAGATTAGTCAGTCTCTGTTCTTTAGCTTTACTAATTGTATGTTGTTGCTACTGCTCTTTAGTTCTGTGTCTTAGAGGTTTATAGACATCTTTCCTGCAGTCTTTTAGTTCAGCAAACATTTTAGTTCAAACAATTACTGAGAGCCTAAGAAGATAAAGATGAGCAAGGCCTGGTCCTCTGCCTTGCAGTTTCAGGCAATTGGGTGACAGCTAGTATCACCTGAATGTCTAGATCAGGCACTGTGCTGGCTGCTTTACAGCATTACTTTAGTTCACACAGAAAACCTTAAAATGATCGTTACAACTCTGCATTAGTCTCAGGTTACAGGTAAGAATGCTAAGCTCCAAAGAACTGTTTTCTCCAAATCTCACAGTGAGTATAATAAGCCTGGGATTCAAAGCCAACATGTTTCCTCTACGTGTCATTATTTGAAAGTGGACTGAAGAATTGGGAGATTTAGGAAATGAGAAGCAGTCTGTAAAATGACAGTGAACCCATTTCAAATCTTCCTGCTTTCTCAAATACAGAAGTGAGTGCCTCTTGGCTTGAGGTTGGGTCCGAGGTGATCAGTGTGTGTGTGTTTTGCCATTGTGAGGTGGAGGCTGTTCCCCAGCTCACAGCCGTTCTCTGTCCTGACCCTGGCAGGCACTGGCTCAGGCGATCAGGGAAGCCAGAGAGCAGCACCCTGACATGTCGGTCACAAGAGTGGTGGTACACAAAGAAACAGAGTTGGCTGAGGAAGGGGAAGATTAAGTAAGGTAAGAGAGCCCTCATTGTCTGTGGCCTTTCTAGTGACTGCTCTGTACTCCTGAACTTGTGAAAGGATGTGAAATGAAAGTTCATATCAGTGTCTTCTTCCTATAGTACATTTGACTTTCTAGACTGTTATCATCCCCAGGTGCATCTGCTCGGGTGTATATAATCTCTGTGAACTGATGGTCATGTGGTGTCAATAACTCTGATTTATTGAGGGGCTGCTAATGATTGACATTCATATATTGCTTTACTGTTTATCAAGCACATTACTGTAAGTTACATTAATTAATATTCACATTGACCCTTTCTGGAAGATGCTATTAACCTTCTTTGGATGAGAGATTTTTATTGTAGGAGAGATAAGAGGGAGATGAGCTGATTCCACCTATCTCTACTAAAAACACAAAAATGAGATGGGCATGTTGGTGCATGCCTGTAATCCCATACTTGGGAGCCTGAGGCAGGAGAATCATTTCAACCTGGGAGGCGGAGGTTGCAGTGAGCCAACATTGCGCCACTGAACTCTATCCTGGGCAACAGAAGTGAGACTCCATCTCAAAAAAAAAAAAAAAAAAAAAAAAAAGATACATCTGAGAATGAACCAGAAAGGAAAAGATTTCTTTGACTGTGTAAAAATGGAAATAAATACTTCAGTTAAGCCAATAGAAACAAAAGCAAAGGATTAATAAATGATTAAGTTTAATGTGCTTGGCAGAGAAAGGAATAGTATCCTGAGTATATTAAGAACTCTACTGTGTCATTAAGAAAATTTAAACACTTTTGTAGAAAAATGGGCAGAGAATTAAATGAGTAAACTATGTGCAAACTAAAAGATCAATAAACAAAAAATGTGCAGCCTCACTATTACTTAAATCAATGCATACTAAAAACTCAGTGGACAAGTTTTCACCTATAAATTTGGCAAAACTTATGTTTTTAATAGTGTTGGGAAGGCTGCAGGAAATATATACTGCTGTATAAATTAGTAATATTTTATGGAGGACAATTTGACACAAATATATCTAAAAAATATCCACATTAAACATGTCTACCATTAAACTACTTATAAGAATTTATCTTAATCAGAAATATATACAAATATTCACCTACAAGGGTATTTGTCACATTTTAATATTTATATTTGTATAAATTTATATTTGCTAGTATTAGTAACAGGCAAAAGATTTACACACCCTGAAGAGAAACCAGAGTATTATATTTGCTAGTATTAGCCAAAAAAAAAATTGAAATAATCTAAATGGTCAAGAGTAGGGGATTAGTTAACACATTATGCTGTTTCCATGTGATAACTAAATCTTGATGAAGTGGGTAAATGTTTATAATTATCTATTAGGGCTTTAAGAAGCAGGTCTTATCACACAATAACACATACTAAGATTACTTTCTGTTGTTAAAATAATCTGTATGTTGAACAGTCAATAGATAGGTAACCCACAGGAATGGCTGGGTCACAGGTTACACATTTTCATTTTCTACCTTGCGTGGCACAGCCACCTGCTGTTGCATCCACTAGGAGGCAAGGATTCCTACCATTTTACAGCTGCCTCTCTGACTTTTTAATTTTTGCTAGTTTGGTAAATATGTGTAACTGTGATTATAATTCTCACTTTCTTCATTAATATATTTTCATATGGTTATTAGCCATTCTTGTTTTCTCTTCTATGAAAATACAGATGGCCAAAAACTTCAAAACCTTAAATGCTTGTTCACCTCTCTTGCCTGCTTTTGCTTTCATTCTTTCTTTCATTGTTAATTGATTCTTGATAGATTCTACATACTGATCCTTTGTCAATTTTATATGTTGCAAATATCTTCAGGCTTGTGGTTTGTCTTTCATTATTAAAATAGTTGAATAGGGTTAATATTGTTGAATTTATCAAGCTTTTCCTTTATGACTTATGTTTTTTCCATACCCCTAGGTGATAAAGATATTTTTTATGTAGAAATTTAACATTGTTTTTCATATATTCTTAATCCATCTGAAATCATTTTTTCTAAATGATGAGAAAGTTTCCTACATAAGTAGCCAGCATTCCAGCACTGTATTGAAGAGCCCTTCTTTCCCCCATCTCATCTGCAGCATCCTATATCAAGTTTCTTATGTGTGGGGGTGTTTCTGACACTATTTCTATTGGTCCATGCGTCTATCCCTGCTCCAGTGCCAGAATTACTATAACTTTATAATGGGTCTTGATACATGGTATGCATGTCTCTATCCCCCTGCACCCCCTCCCCCCACCACCGATAGTGTTCTTTTTCTTCATTCTTGGCTCTTCCTGTTACATACAAATTTTAGAATCAGATTGCTGTGTTCTAAGATTAAATCCTGCAGTACTTCAGTTGGCATTGTATCTACTCTGTAGTTCAATATGGGGAGAATTACATCTTTTTAATATTGCCTTCTTTTCCTTGAACATAAGATGTCTCTATTTGTATATATCTTCTTTAATGTCTTTCATTAAAATTATATAGTTTTTTAATCAAATGAGGTCTTACAAATCTTTTCTAGCTTTTGCTAGCATAGAGAGATACAGTTGACTTTTCTATATTTATCTTATATCTAGCAACCTGACTCTTCATATCTGAGATTCTATTTTAAACACAGGGTATATAATGGGCCCATAAGCAGAAATCATTAACAATTTTAGTAAAAATAAAACATCCAGTGGCCTGAGTAAATGTACTGTGCTGTATGTGGATATTGATCTTTTTATCTTTGAGATGTATTTCCCTAATGGTTTTATTTATTTTTTATTTTTTTGTGACGGAGTCTCGCTCTGTCGCCCAGGCTGGAGTGCAGTGGCGCAATCTCGGTTCACTTCAACCTCCGCCTCCCAGGTTCAAGCAATTCTGCCTGCCTCAGCCTCCCAAGTAGCTTGAATTACAGGCGCCCACCATCACGCCCAGCTAATTTTTGTATTTTTTAGTAGAGACAGGGTTTCGCCATGTTGGCCAGGCTGGTCTTAAACTCCTGTTCTCAAGTGATCTGCCTGCCTCGGCTTCCCAAAGTGCTGAGTTTACAGGCGTGAGCCACTGTGCCTGGCCCCCTAATGGTTTTATTTATTTATTTATTTGAGACAAAGTATCCCTCTGTCTCCCAGGCTGGAGTGCAGTGGTGTGATCTCAACCCACTGCAACCTCTGCCTCCTCGGTTCAAGCAATTCTTCTCCTTCATCCTCCCGAGTAGCTGGGACTACAGGCGCTCACCACCACGCCTGGCTCCTAATGGTTTTAAATAGGGAAGGCTAAAAGCATTCTTACTTAGGAGTCAGAAGGCTGAAGGCTATGTTTTCATCTTGCCAGATATCCAACTATATTGACATTAGGCAAGTCAGTGAATGGTATGATCTACCTTTCCTAACTCATAGGACTTATTCTAAGGATAGAATAAGATAATGAATGAGAAAAGTGAGTGTTATACAAACATAAGGTAATAGCACTGGATGTTTTTTTCTCTAAATTTTATGAATCAGTTGCTTCTTAATCAGGAATACTAGCAAAAAATTGGTGACACTCTAAGCGTTACCAGTAGCTCCACCTTCACTTGTGGCATTTTAATAAGTTTTTAAATGAATTCATTGTATCACTTATTCCTAGCACCTTATGTTCATTTTTACAATGGACACACACAGACACACACACAACTTTTGAAGTTTGCCCATCTCAGAGGCTAACTTTTATGAGAAGCCTTGTTAAACAGATTTAGGAAGTTAAAGTATAAACTTACATATAAGGTGAACAAACTAGATAAATTTGGAAAGATTCATTCATGCATTCAAAAAGTATTTAATGAGTGCCTAAATGTGCTAGGGTAGGGCTGGGTATTGAGGATTCCGTGATAGACAAAGCAAACATGGTCCCCCTCCTTGGCAGAGAGGATGTGCTCCAGGAAGGTAGGTGTGAATATTAACAAATGAACAAAATGTAAATGTGATCAGCCCTCTGAAGGAAATAAAATGCTATGAGAGAACAAAATAGGAGACTTGAACTATCATAAATTTAACCAATTTCCTTTAGAAACCAGTTTACTTGAGAAACGAAGTTTGAGTTTAAAATCTGAAGGATGACTAGGAATGACCTCAGTGTCTCAAAGTCATTTTGGCATCTCCACCCCCCACTGGCTGCAGCTCACTCTTAAAAAATTTCCTTTGCTGGTGACTGTCAGATCTGGGAAGAGTGTGTTTTCACTGCTTCAGCTACTGTCTGGCTGCCCTGCCAGAATCCCACAGAGGCAGCAGGTGGGCTGAGGCAAAGAGCAGGATCAGGACAATATCGGAATGTCAAAAAAGAAGGGGAACTGTCTGCAATGTATCTGCTCCGTCTCCCTTTTTCAGGCACATAAAGCTCTCCTCCTGACCTGATCTTGCCCTTTGGAGTAGCTCTGAGCTTTTGATCAAGTGTTGAAAGTAGGGGGAGGGGAGAGCAAACAGAAAGATGGTAAAAGAACAACCTGCAGAGGACGAACCTCCCAAGTCCACCTTTCTCAGTGGATGGCAGCCAGCTGTGAGGCAGAGAGGAGCTAAATGCAAACCCCGTTAAAAAGAAAACACACTTCAGATGAGGACTTCACTAAATCTTTGTAACTTTTTAATGTCCTTTCAAGGACTACTCCCTCCTGCCGGCTTAGCCCAAATGCATATTTATGAGCCCTCACATGGATGAAAAATATTGCTGACCTTATCACCACTGCAGTGGTATTCCCAAACGGTCCCGATCAGGAGGAAGAAGGGTTCCAGGCTTGGTGGTGTGATCTGTGTGGTCTCAGAAAGAATGAGCCACAGGAGAGGGAGCTCTCCCAACCCAGACTTCACAGGAGCCTCTCTGACTCTTAGAGTAATAATTGATGTCAGGTAAAAAAGTGAATGAAGCCTCCTGTTCATCCAAAATCAGTGAGCACCTGAAGGATGAAACGACAGAGGAGTGGCTGCTCATCCTTTCACTCATCCATTCATTTATTTGTTCATTGCATAAATATGTATGGAATGCCCACTGGGTATCGTCTGCTGTTTTCCCATGGAAATATCAAATAAAATAAGGTCTGCTCTTCAGACAATAAATCAGTGGTAGCAGAAGAATTTCAAGTTTTGTGATAATATTCTGAACCTCGTGTAATGGGAACAAGAAGGAGAGACCTCTGAATCAGAATAGAGCATCAGAGATGTTTCACTTAAGCTTCGTGCTGGGTAGGAGTTAGCTCTGTGAAGAAGGAGTAAAGGGGGCCATTCCAGGCAGGATTGGAAGCATTGAACCTGATGCTCCAAGAACAGTGCAAAATCAGATGTAGCTGGATTGTGGGATACTTGTAGGAGAGCGATGGAGATGCAGGAGGAAGGAGGCAGAGGCCCAATGTTAAGGAGTCTTCTAAGCCAAGCTGAGGAGGCTAAACTATCCTGAAAGTGATGGGGTTGCTCCTCCTGTGTTTGAGAGATGGTAAGGATGTAACTTACCTTCTTTGTGACTTGTTGACGGTCAGCATGAGGCTGTGGAAGTTAGTGCATTGGGAAGATGGGAGCAGAGGAGAATCACACATCATATTTAGGTTTTTGGCTTGGGCAGGGAGTTGATGTTGGCACCTATAATTTGAATCGTGCAATACATGAGTTTTGTCTTTTGCATGTCATGGCCACGTTACTATGGCTGGTCTTCTCTGCTTGGCTACCTTAAAGCAAAGGTGTATTTTTGGTTCTGCGGTACTGCCGGAGAGACCAACTGTCATGGGAATTCTGGAGGAAACTTAGAAATGAATCTATAAGGCCCCATCTTATAACATGACATGATTAATTGGAAGTTTTCTGGATCGTCTGCATGTTAAGAGGGAGCATAGGATAGCAGATTTGCTGGGTTCATATCTACTTCTTAGTTGTTTGACCTTGGCTGGTCTCATCCCTTTGTCCCAGAGCTGTCATCTGTAAACTGGGGATGATAATAGAAGCAGAAGGGCTTGTTTCCAAGGCAGGTTGTTAAGAACTTTTTATAACTTACAAGGTCGGCCATGAACCCTTTTTGCTCTTAAGAGTCCAATAAAAATGAGAATTTTCTACCCCAGAGATAATGAGTTTGAGATGCATGTGAAATGCAGAAATGGCACATTTGGGAGCACAAGAGCTTTGAGAGTGCAACAGGCTTCTGAGCAGGAGAGAGATTTGTGAGTCCCCTGAATGAATTGTGTACTGATGAAGCCTGTGTTTTGAGCTGTGTTATCCAGGGCTAGCTCAGAGCTGAGGTCTGGGAAACAGAGGCCATAAAGAAGGAGGAGCCAGGAGGCAGAAAGGAAACAGGGAAAAGGCGGAGGTGACACAAGCTGCAAGGCAAGATAACTTCAAGAAGGAGAGAGTAACCAAGTATTAAATATGGCAGAAAAACCAAATGAGCATGTTTTTGGAAATTGATGAACAGAAGTCAGCCTGGAGGCTTTGTCAGAGCTGTTTCAGTGTGGTAGTAGGGAGAGAGCCCTGTAACAGGTTGAAAACACATGAAAACATATTAAGTTGAAAACCCAGTGACAGGACCTTTTGCTCTTCCATGAGCTCTGCCTGCCTTCATCTGAGAAGATGGGAGAACATTAGGTGTCATGGAGCCACTGGAGCTAGTGCTGTGATTATTAAAAGCAGGGTCAGTTCACCATTCACTGGAACCTCTTAGACATCCCACCCGTTAACCTGCAGTGAATACCTCTAAATTAGTCGTGTTGCTTTTTCCACTGTTGTGGGTACACGAATGCCAATTTCTAAACAAAACAATCTTGTGTTTGTTTCAAAGTCAGGGTGATGTGCAGGGTTTCAAAACATGAACTCATAAGCCAAACAGGAAATTAACATTAGCTGCCTAGCTGACTTGATGAGAGAAAAGAACCCTGTTGGCTGAACTGAGCTCTAGCTAATCATGAGCCACTCATTTACATGTGGGCCCTGATGAGTGTCACCCCTGACCTTCAAAGAGAACAAACCTATTGACTTCCAGATGACTATTTCAGTTCTGCAGGCATATCAGGTGTGTTGCATTTTTATTTTATTCTGTTTGCCTAGTTGTGTTAGTCTCATACCTAAAATTAGCATCTTATTACTGCTTCATTTTCAATATAGATTAATCACACCTCAGATGAGGACTGACTTCTGCATAGAAATAAAAAGCTAGTTTTGGTTTAGTGAGTTTTAGGCATAGCCAGTTTTCACTCTGAAATGCTGTGGAATGTTCTCATTTAACATTGCTAAATCTACCAGGTGTTATCAATGAGTCAGTTACAATCTATTTGAACTCCCCCCACACAAGAGGTGCTGGGTACCACTGCTCTAATGCGTACATTAAGACCAGGCAGTAGTCACTCATTCCCCAAGGCTTGCTCTTGGACATAACCATTACTGACTATTATTTTTTCAAATGAAACTATCTTTATTGTTTTTTTCTGGTAATAAAAGAGGGGTTATAACTTTTTAAAAGGGAGAGATAGTAGGAAATGTCAGTGACCCATAAGTCCCATGCTCCCAGAGATAGAGAATTTCTTTCCAGTGTGTATGTGTGTACTTATAAATATACACACATGTAGACACTCACATACACACACCCCCCCTTTCCATATAGGCTGATATTGTGATTCTTGCTTTTTCCTCCACTTAATAGTACTTTATAGTTATTGGTCCTTGTCGTTACCTCATCATTTTTCAGCAGCTGTTGAATGGATGAGTGATGGTTTACTTAAATAACCCCTATTAATGGGCATTTAAATTACCCCTCAGTTTTCACAATTATTACACAGCTTCAAAGATTATACTTGTTTGTACATTTTTGTATGTTGATCTCATTGTTTCTCCAGGGCAAATATGTTTAAAAGTGGAGTTGGTATGCCACGAAGGTTGTTTTTTGTCTTTGTTTTTTTGAGACAGAGTTTCCCTCTTGTCGCGCAGACTGGAGTGCAGTGGCACGATCTTGGTTCACTGTAACTTCCGCCTCCCAGGTTCAAGCGTTTCTCCTACCTCAGCCTCCCGAGTAGCTGGAATTACAGGCGTGTGCTACCATGCCCAGCTAATTTTTGTATTTTTAGTAGAGACGGGGTTTCCCTATGTTGGCCAGGCTGGTCTCGAACTCCTGACTGACCTCAGGTGATCCACCCGCCTTGGCTTCCCAAAGTGCTGGGATTACAGGCATAAGCCACCACTGCTTGCCCACCAAGGGTTTTTGACATATTACCAAATTGTCCTCCTTAATGGTTCTGCAAACATAGACCGCCACTAGCAGTTTGTGAGCATATGTTTCCCCACAGCCTTGGCAACAACTAAACATTATTAAACATTAAAAAAAAGCTTTGCTAGTCTGATCAGGAAAGAGCATTTGTTTCTCCCTTGTTTAAACTGTGAGGAAAGAACCTTCTTTGTGTTTTTTCAATGCTAGTGAAGTTGGAATACATGCATACATATGCTACACACAGGGACAGACACACACATATAATTTGCATTTCTTTTGGTTGCCAGTTTGTGTCCTTTGTCCATTTTCCTATTCAGGTGTCTATTTTTTTCTCTTATAGAGATTAGTTGAATGGACGCATGATGGTTTACTTAATCCCTACTAATGGGCATTTAAATTATCCCTCAGTTTTCACGGTTATCACACAGCCTAGTAACTTGAAAAGATGAGTAACTAATCTTTTCAGATTAAAGTTATTAACCTCTTAGTCACAAATGCTACATTTTCCCTCCAATTTAAAAAATTGGCACCAAAAGTGGGGAGAGGGGCAAGACAGAACTGACCGCTTAGAGACAAGCAGGCCATATCCACAGTTTTGTTTTTTGTTTTGGCCTAAAGGGTATATCTTAGAATTTGAATCAATTATTAGTGCTTAAACATTAGAAGATAGTCAGCAATTTTAGAAAAATCAGAAGCTCTGATGACATTGAGCCTGCTCTCCCTGTGGTTACTATGCTGGAGCTTAGTAGGTGTGGCCAGCATCAGGCTGGGAGGAGCTCTCTAGGTCACCACAGTGCTACTGCCTGTCATATCCTGTCTTTATGTTGAGGCCCTTGGGGCCCAGTCTCCTTATGCATATATGTTACCCATCTGGCCTCTGACCGTGTTGGGGTGGTGGTTATGACTTTGTTACCCTGTCCTAGGCTGTGTTTGAGAGTCTGGAAATGTAAAGAATATTTAATGTTAAACTGCCTGTAGAGCATCTTCGTGTCTCTCCTCTAACCTTCTTTATAAGGAAATAGGATCCTAGACATTAACGTAACTGTCATAGGTCACCTGTGCTAAGTATAGATTGATTTATCTCAAGGCTTTTCTGTTAGATACCCCAGATACCAATTGTTTAAACATGTAAATTTTGTGGGTGGCATCAGAGGGGAATTTTACTATGGCAACTAATTAACAAGTTTGTGTATGTGTGTGTTTTTGTAAAGATACTCCTGTCCTTACGAGGATTACAGTCCAAGGACATATTGATGCTTTCTTGCATCAAAATAGTTGAGTTAGCATTAGAGCACATGGAAGTCTGGACCTGTTCTGTCCAGTATGGTAGCCAATACCCACTTGTGGCTATTGAGCACTTGAAATGTGGCTAGTTCAAATTGAGATATGTTGTAAGTATAAGATATTTACTGGATTTCAGACATGAGAAAAAAGTAAATTATTTCTAATTTTTAAATTAATTACTTATTGAAATAATAATTTGGATATATTGGGTTTAATAACTACATTAAAATTACATATACATGTTCCTTTTTATTTTTTGAAATGTGGCTTCTAGAAAATTTACATATGTGGCTCACATTCATTGCTTGCAGTATATTTCTCTTGGACAGTGTTGATCTGTGGAGGGTAGGAGGGATGAAGTGAGAGGACAACCTTAAACTAATATGGCACGATGCAGTTTAGATTCTGTGTGTGTGTGTGTGTGTGTGTGTGTGTGTGTGTGTGTGTGTGAGAGAGAGAGAGAGAGACAGAGAGAGACAGAGACTGTTAGGGGGCAGGGAATAGTGTTTTAAGCTATCTTTATTTAACTTTGAGGAAAAGTGATTTTTTTCCCATGTTCCCTCAGATAAAAAGTGAGAAAGTTGGGTCTAGAAATTTCTTTTGATTCCCACTAACCTTCCTTTTTTCTAAAAGATGAAAGCTTTGTTAGTTTGTATTTTTAAGCTCTTATTTGATGCTACAGAGAAATGTTTTCTCATTACTACCCATCTTATGAACCTAAGTGACAAAAGCTCAGCTCTAATAGAGTATACTGAGTGGAGCCTGACCATAGTTCATTTGTTATTTAAAAGAAGCTTTAAGATTTTGTAGAACGCTTTTATATCAAATTCCCAGAAGATTTGACCTAGCAGAGTGAACCAGAAGACCTTAACAGCTTTAGGGCCGGCACTACTACTTTTAGAAACTTGTGTTACGGCTTCAGTGATTTGAGGAAACCAGTTTTTTAAAGAAGTAAGAGTCCTCATGGGATATCATAGATATAGTTAATCAACAAAAGAGAACAGAAAAATGAACCTGATGTTTTTCTACTTAAACAAGAAAATTGGCAGATGAGAGTAATGGTAAACATGGGAATTAGTGCTTCTTCCTAAAGATATAATGCAATTCTGTTGTTTTTTTTCCCTGCCGTTTCCTCAAGCTCTTATTCTTCAGTCTTACGTTACAAATTAGTCCCTGATACTTTCACTTCTGGATTCATTAATCTATATTATGAGCCTGTTATGTTCAAGGGACTATTATAGTTGTGTGTGAGAGGGGAAGGCATAGGAACATGCATAAAAATAATGTTCAGGGCACAAAAATAGTATATTTGAAGAGAAGCCTAGATAAAGGGCTGTGGAAGTTGACAGGAGAAATGCTTCTGATTGGCCAAACAAGACAAAGCTCTCCAGAAAGGTTGCAGGAAAGCTCCTCTGTGCAAAGCACCAAGGGCAATCTGGATAGTTGGAGATTGGGGAGGGAAGAAAGAGCACATGGGAAAACAATGGGAAGGATGTCGGGAAAAGCAAACCTCCATCGTGGTTATGTATAGAGTTCTCAGCACAGCTGGAAACATTTGTTGAAGGCAAATTGCAGATGGTCTTACATGCCATGTCCTTTAGTAATATGAATTTATCAGTAGTGTGTATGATTGACTGAAAAGCTTCTAGATTAGATGAAGTACCCTGTAAAGAAATCAAGATACTGGTTCAGACAGTTAGTAATGGGGATACTGAACTGGACATCTCTAAGAGTAAGATTGAATTTAACTTGGAAGCAAAGCCAGGAGTAAAATATCATAGGAACATCTATAAAAGTTAAATCCGATATTTTTTTGCTTTTCAGTCAGATGAAGCTCAGTATCTTTATTACTATTTGAAGTAAAGTTATATTAGCATGTAGGCCTTTGAGAGTAATACAGTTCATTCAGAGGACACAGGGCTCAGGAAGGTCAACCCAGTCCCAAAAGGCCTGAAGATGGGACTTGGGCCTTAAAGGACCCACAGAAGAGCCTCCTAAGAAGGTGGGGTCTCCAAACAGCATGAACATGTTCCAGCAAACCAGGAAAAGCAAAAGCATTTTGCTGAATTATTTGTAGAACAGATACTGTGCTTCATTTGACTGCAGAGAAAAACACTGGATTTAATTTCTCCCTGTACTCAGCAGATACACAAATATCTGTGACAGAAGAAAACGGCAGTAGTTTAGTGATAGCAGATTGGACATAAGCAGTTCTCAAACTGAATGGTCTCAGGACCACTTTATACACCTAAAAATTATTGAAGGCCCAAAGAGATTTTGTTCATGTGAATTGTATCTATTGAAATTTATCATAAGTCAAAACTGAGAAGTTTTATAAATATTTATTAAGTTAAAAATCATCACATAGTGAAAGAAGTCTGTCTAGAAAGACTATATATGTTGTATGATCAAACTGTATGACATCCTGGAAAAGGTAAAATGATGGAGACAGTAAAAGGGTCATTCGCTGCCACTGATCTCCTCAAGAGTCTTAATATCGGGAAGCTATCAAGCTCATGGTGGCCAAAACACCATTTTCCAAATTCTAATGTTCACCTAAAAGCTTGCATTTTATCATTGGCAACAAGTACTGTCAATTGTTTCTCTTGAGGCGACAGGCTCAACTTCATTTTCAATAAAAGGTTTACCTAGTATCCAAATTGAATAACATCCCTTGTCTGTCAGTGATTCTCTCAAGTAAGAAAGGTGGTTGATGAAAAAGCAGCTGCTTCAACTCACAGTTCAGACATTCCCATAGATGCTTTTCCTCTAGACATTGTTGTACTTCTGTATGCAGCGGGAATGGCGTGTGCATACTTCCCATTTCATCACACAGAATATTAAAAAGATGCACTCAGGCTTGAGATGTAGGAAAATTAATATTTCTTCTGTGTCCTCAAGGACTTCCTTAAGTGAAACTGTCTTCTCTATTTTACTGCAAGTGCACACTGGTAAAGAATAAGGTGCCAGGCCAGGCCTGGTGGCTCACGCCTGTAATCCGAACACGTTGGGAGGTTGAGGTGAGAGGATTGCTTGAGGCCTGGAGTTCGAGACCAGACTGGGCAGTATAGCAAGAGCTTGTGTCCACAAAAAACTTTTTAAAAATTAGCTGGGTGTGATGGTATGTGCCTGTAGTCCTAGCTACTTGGGAGGCTGAGGCAGGAGGATCCCTTGAGTCCAGGAGTTCAAGGCTGCAGTGAGCTATGATTGCACCACTGCACCCCAGCCTGGGTGACAGAGCAAGACCCTGCCTCTAAAAAAAAAAGAATAAGGTTACCTCAAATATAGTTTGATTCCTCTGCTTCGACTTATGTAGGCTGAGCTGCCAGTAGATTTACTCACCATTATTTGTTTACACCATTGGTGAAAATGCCAACACACTGAAAAGGACATAATGTCTTAGTATGATAATGAAAACAGTTTTGACTCTATGGTCCCCTTAAAGAGACTCAGCAGTCCTCAGGGGCTGCAGGCTACACTTCGTGTATATTTTAATGGTAATACAGACATTTTAAGAATTGACTTTTTTCTGGGTTTAACCAAATGGAAATTTAGCATGCTTGCATTTTTGGCTCTGGGATTTTTATTTTATTTATTTATTTGTTTATTTGAGACAGTCTCGTTCTGGCAGCCAGGCTGGAGTGCAGTGGCATGATCTCAGCTCACTGCAACTTCTGCCTCGTGGGTTCAAGCGATTCTCCTGCCTCAGCCCCCCAGTAGCTGGGATTACAGGCGTGTGCCACCATGCCCAGCTAATTTTTATGTCTTTAGTAGAGATTGGGTTTCGCCATGTTGGCCAGGCTGGTCCCAAACTCCTGATCTCAGGTGATCTGCCCTTCTCGACCTCCCAAAGTGCTGGGATTACAGGAGTGAACCACCGTGCCCAGCTGATTTTTATAATTTAAACAATGGAAATTCTGTTTAGAAATTAAAATCAAATATGCAAATTGAGGATAAAAGAAGAATAAAATGAAAAGTTCAGCATTTGAAATAACTGTCAAATCCATAAAGTATCATATTTAAAATTTAATTTTACACCTGAGTGCACAGAGTTCATTTTTGCTTAGGAAATGCAGTGTCTTAAGACAGTCTTGCTCTGTGGCCAGGCTGGAGTACAGTGGCACGATCCCAGCTTGCGCAACCTTCGACTCCCAGCTTCAAGTGATTCTCCTGCCTCAGCCTCCTGAGTAGCTGGGACTACAGGCGCCCACCACCATGCCCAGCTAATTTTTTTTTGTATTTTTAGTAGAGACGGGATTTCACCATGTTGGCCACATGGTTTCACCATGTGAAACCCCTGACCTCGTGATCTGCCTGCCTCAGCCTCCCAAAATGCTGGGATTACAGGCGTCAGCCACCATGCCCAGCCTTAAGTAAATATTTCATTCCCGTTTTCAGAATATTTGATTATGTTATTGCTCTGTGGTAATTGAATGTTCATTAATCTGAAGAAATGTTGTTTTCTTGTATTATTTGCATTGTTGTATTATCTGGGGGAAAACCACATTTTTGCATTTTTATTGAGACTTCTCTCTAGATGAGTGCTGTACCACTTAAAGGCAGCATTGCTAGTATTTTCTGTCAAATGCTTTTTGAAATCAGTTTACTGAGTCAATTTCTGGAGTAGAGCACTCAAGATTGAGATCAATACATGAGCCCTTTGTCTCTAGAAACTCAAAGATTGTGCTTTTCGGGCAAGATCATAGAACTTGTATGTATGGACTTTTTTCACCACTGCTCATTGGGTGCACTGAGAGGGTAAATAACTCTCTGATCCCTCTGTGAGTGCTTAAGACAAGGCATGCAACCAACATATATCCTTGAAGAACTTGAACATAGAATTACTCCTGTGATTAGATGAAATTGAGCCACATTGATCTATTCTCACATTGGCCAAAAGAGGGGGACATAGACTAAGGAATGTGACTATAGTAGTTAGAATGTTTACTGACATTGTATAGGCCAGGGTGGAACAGTGACACTTGGAAACAGAACAGTGGTATGAATGCTTTTATTTTTGTTGACTTCACCACAATTCTAATACATAAAGTATAATCCATATGCTTAACAGCTATGATCTTACCCAAACTCAGGATGAACCTGTGATAGTGTAAAAGTGAAAGCAGGTTGAATTAATGTCTATAATTAATGCCTGCCAATTTGTATTGACAAAGATGCCCAGACTTCTATGAATATGAGTAGAATTCAAGCTTAGAGAAAGAAAAGAATGTTCTTGAAACTTTTACAGCTTTTACATGAAGAGCCATTGCCTAGTTTTCAGTTTGGTTGGAATATGTAATAAATCATTTAGTCCCAAATTCTAGCCTGTAAAAAATTGTCAGATATTAAGTTTATTTCTCACAGACACCTGCCAGAGGACAGAAAAGTACAGTATTTCTGATGCTTATGTAGCAGTGACATTGGTGATTCTGTCTTTATCTTTTCTCTTTTCTAGCTCAAAAGCTAACTGTTTAGTACTTAGGAACGTATTTCTACATGTGTTTAAGTGCAAGAAACAGTCAAAAAAGATAAGTGGATATGTAAATAAAGTCTTCGTACAATAAGTTACTTCTTGTTCATCCACGCCAATAAGGAACTGGGATGTTTTGACACAATATCTAATAACTCAGAGTTAAACTTGATTTACTGATTTTTAAAGAATGAGAAAATAAATAAGTTTTAACATTAAAATGGCAATAAAATGATTCTGAAAGCTGTTTGGAATCCTAAGAGCACATGAAGGTTATCATTTATAATATTCATTACCAGAAAAAAAGTTTATTAATGGAAATAAATTACATTTTGAGTTTATTTGGGTAACTATGTCTTTTTCTCTATATTTAGCTCAGTAAATGTTGAAGTTTTTTGAGATCAAGATCCCTTCAATTCCAACATATGCTTAGTTTCCTGTAATAACTTTGAAACAAGTTTAATTTTAGCTTTTCTTTACAAATTTATGACTCATTACAAAGTGAAATTTTTATTTTTGATGAAAACAGATGCAAAGCAATAAAGTGACATAGGGCCTAGAGAAAATGGAGACTAGAATCCTAAACATTGTTCTCTCTGTAGGTTTTCAGGCCCTGATAGCATCAGGGGTTTGTTTTTTTAATAACATAAACTAGGCAAAATGGCAGCTGTGTTCAACAAATGATGCATATTTACTAAACAAAGCAAATGGAAATACCAGCTCTGAAGGAACAAGAACAGGTTCCATGACTGAAGGTGTCATATAACTGCCAAATCCAATTTGATTGGTAATTGTATCCATTTCCCTTCATCATCCCCCACATTTCTTTTCATAATTACTAACCTAAAAAAAGACTTTCTATTTTCTCCATTGATTTTTTTTTCCCCCAGCCTAGAATCAAACAGAAGTACTAATGAGTAATGAAATAACCTAAGGCAGACAACAGGGTAGAAAACAATGAAGTTGATTAATCAATCTGTCCTGAATAATCAAGAGGCTTTAATATTATCTGTGATAAATCTAAATGGTAGGAACTTTTTTCATTAAAGCAAGACTTAATTTTACCTAACCAAAAGAGTGTACATTCTAATTGACTTTGGGAGCAGTGTCTCTTGGAAAAGACGTTAATTACCACTCTGCACTGTCCTTTGTGATTACCTATCATTTGCCAAAACTTCCAACCAAGTTCAAATATAAAATGAAACAATTGCCACCTTAAAACCCTTTTCTCTTTCAGGGCCATTGCACCATCATGGGTTTTTTAAAAAGTCTTCTCCACTTACCTTTGATTGTGGACTTCTGCAAGACTCTGTGGCTTTCATTTATTCCTATGCTCACATGAGACTTAGTTCTATCTGTTGGTTTCACTTATCCCTTGTTCTGATGCCCAAATCTATATCCCTAGGTCTAATGCTTCACCCAGGCTGTAAGCCTTCATTCTCTCCTTTTTTTGAGGTCCCAGACTCCAAACCTTATCATCCTGTCTTATACTTACTTCTTAACCACCACACTCTGATTATTCTCCTTAGTGGTGCCTCTCAAATTTCTCTCCCACCTGATTTCTGTGGTGACCACTCAAGTCTGGGTCCTGGCCATCTGGCAGGAATGCCTGACATTTGTCATCTTCCTCATCCAGCTGGACTCCTGCACTGGTCTCCTGACTGTTGTTCCTGCCTCTACTCCTTGCCGGCTTCAGCTTATTCATCACACTGAAGCCACAGCAGTGTTTTCAAAACGTAAATCACACCATGACAAACCCTTCCTCAAAACCAAAGAAGAAACGATCCCAACCTCCTTTCCTGGGCTTATCATGCCCTGCATGACTGGCCAACCCCAAGTTCTTTGACCAGTCTTCTATCTCTCTGTGGCTCTTGCACTCTGCCCTGGACCATTGTAGTAGATTGCCAACTGGTCTTTTCGTCCAAATGTTTTTTCTTAATTCATTTTTTTTTTTTTTTGGTCAATTAGATCAAGCTGGTACTTCTCAGTCTATTAAAGAATAGACCTAATATTTTGTACCTTTATTTACTACTCACTATACCAATGCTCAACTTTAGTAATGTCCCTTTCTTCACCGTCCTATTCCTTCCATTCGTTTCTGCCTCCTCCCCCAACATACATCTTACTGTCATAATACTGTGTACTTCTTCACCTCCATGCCTCTTTCCTCATTGTGTTTTTCCACCTGAAGCACCATTTCCATTCGTTTTAGCACAAAGAAAATAGACTTTGACTTTCCCTTTCCCTGAGTATAGCTTTAAAACCTACCTTGGTTTCTGTCTTTAAATTCTTACATATGAATTGTCTCTGTTTTATGCTAATAAATTCTTTTGCAGTGAACTCTTATTTGCCAGTTGCTTCTAGCGTACTTGTCAATTCTCCAGGTATTTTAAGGCCCTCGAGAGTGGAATAGTGTCTCATGCTTGTCTTCTGGTAAACATACTATTTAATGTAAGACTAGGCAGACAGTAACTGTTGATTACTTGATTGAAAACTTGATGAATGTTACTTAACATTTTTTTCAAGCCTGTGTTTTTGGAATATTTAAGCCTTCTGTTTTTTTTTTTTTTTTCTCTTCTAGAAAGTCATTTTTTAAACAACACTCAACTTTGTGAACCCCTGAAGATTTTTTGACCGTTCCAAGTCTTAATGCCACACCACTATTCCAGCGAATTTATGCTACAACTGGTAACAATGACCAGAAGCCTGAAGAATTAAAATGCCAACACCAAACCTTTCCTTACCAGCTCTGGTCTATATTGCTCCCATGCATTTAATATATTATTTTGTTTTATAACCACTTCTAAATATTCTCAGTTCTTTCTTTTTGTTGTTGTTAATTAAGGGGTTTTGGTTTTGTTTTCTGTTTACTTTGTGTGCAACTACCTGCTTTTAATGACTCACTTTGATCAAATGACAGTGAACAAAGCCAGCCCAAGCTGGTAAGGTGCTGTTCACTTGAACAGGTGCTGTTGCGCAGAAAGGAAACTCTGTGACTAATTTAGATAGTGGCTTTCCTTCTTCTGGATTCTTTTCATTGAATTCTCACAGTAAATATTTACGGAGTTTTCAAATTGCAGCAAATATACTGTATGAGAAAATATTAATACAGATTAAAAGCCTTTCTTACATCTTGAAAATTTTCTAATATTTGAGAATTTCACAGGGATGTTTTTTATATTGGACCCTTTTGACTTTCCAGTCCTGTGACTTTCTACTTTTAGTAGAGAGTCAGAATCTCTGGACTGGAGAATAATGAAGAAGTTCACTGACTGTGCACTGTGCTTAGAGACCCTGCCGCACCACAGTGCCAATGCTTGTCAGACACATGCCCTTCGGCAGCATTCCAGAACAGGAGGGAAGAGAAAGAGAAAACTTTCTTCCCTTCTACTAAAAGATTCAGGCAGCTTAAAACCTTAGTGCTTTCTTTCTTAACATACCCACATTTCAATTCTTTCCATTATTTGAACACTTGGGTAGAACTCTTGCTTTGTATTAAACCTCTTTGTCTACACATGTAAAACTTACCTTTTGTTATTGAGCAGGCCTATCTCTTTCAGATAGTTTTATGATTCACACAGGTTTGAGGATGCTGGGGAGAGGGGGAGGGGGCTGTGGTGGTGTTCTGTTGGTTACAAGAAAGTTATACCATTTAAAGCTGGCACCAGAGACCCGATAGGGACTTATTAACTATATTGAACATTTTTTCCTTTGCCTTTGACCCTATGTATAGTTACGATGCCAGATTAGATTTATAGCAGCCTCAAGTTGTATTAAATGATATTTTGCTTCCTGTAATACTATTATAAAATAAAGTTTGTTTATTCTCTAAACTTGTCACTTCTCTTTTTCTAAAGGGTTAAAAAAACAAACTTGAGTGATATTTTTCATCAGAAGTCTTAGTATTTTGTGAAAAGTAGCATTTCAAAATCTGTTTTCAGCTCTTCTGTAATTTGATGATGCTGCCAACATCACTATTTGAAACGGTGAAAGCGACGTTGAAAGTTTGTAAATCTAATGTTGAGAGTGCCAGATTCCTTCTGCCTGGTTACATAATCCATTCCAGCTTTTACGAATTCTCCGAGGGATATTTTTGCTTGTTTTCTTTGTGCATTTTTCATTTTGTTTTCAGGAAATATTTTAGCTGTACCATCTGAATCTTGCTCCTCTGCTTCATGTCCTTCTTTACTTTGTGTCCACTGGCCCTCTGTATATCAGGCAAACTAGGCCACTGAGGGGCTGCATCCCAGTCTGATTGGGATGCTTTCTTGTGAAACTTTTGTTGGGGCACACCAGGTTATGGTGTTATTATAGAGCAAATAACCAACAGGGTACATTTCTTGTAAAGTGTTATATAGAATTTTTTTCTCTAGTCATTTAAAGTAAGTACATTAAATACAATTTGCATAACTGTCGTCTTTGAGATCTGTTTCCACTAAATTATCTCTCGCCTTGTGAAAGGCCTTTCTCACTTTCTCTATAATTATTACAAAAACAACAACTCCCTGGAGAATCCGATTCAGCAAGCCAAGCCTTAGAAATATTGTGGAACCAAATGTGATTTTGCAAATGTATGCCTCATCAGAAAGTTTGTATAACACTCACATTGAAATCATAGGTTGCGCTTCCCTGGGTGTTTTGAAGACCATATTTGCAGTGACAGGAAGAAAGTTTGTCTTCACAGGTCCCATGGACTAAGAAAGGTGGTGTGCGGGGATTAGGGCTCGGTTTTATTTAGCTGAGACAGCAAGAACAGGGTTTAGGGTCCTGGGGGCATTGAGAGAATCTATGGGAATTAATACCCACAGAGCCACTTGAAACAATGTTTATACTTATTCCCACCTGTAGCTACAGGAGCAAGGCTGTCTTTTAAAAAAATATTTTGTATTATAAAGTATTTCTCTGGCTGTTATAATCTCATCTGGTAAATTGGGCTAAATGATAGAATAAATAGGAAAGTAGATCAAACAAGGTTTTGGAAATTGGATTTGAAAAATTTGAAAAGTGGAAAGAATATTTTTAAATCCCCAATCTGTTTGATGGTAATTATACATTGGATGGTATTTTTGAATACATGTTTTCTGCTGTCTTCTGCTTGTCACTCACATGTTAGACTGTATGTCATTGAATACATTGTGATAAATTCAGAGGCCTCTTCTGACTGGCACACCAATTACAAAGTCAGAAAGTAAGAATCTTGTGAGCATGCTTTGAAAATTCTAACAACTTTTTGATAAATAGAAATCAGAAAATTTATTTCCAAAATGTGCTTAATGTCATGAATTCTGAGAGTTATCAGAGTTCTGAATTTTGATGGTTATCAGAGTTGTGAACTCTGATTTCTGATATTCAGTCTTGCCAAAGAACTTGAGATTTCACCAAAAAGCTGTTCTTATTGTCTAGGAGTGTTTACCTCTTCTGAATTTTCCAATCGCTAAATTATGTCTGGAAAATTCTGGAGGCTGTTACCTGGCCAGATTATTTTTAAAAAACTTTTGCAAATAACATTTCAGAAAACATAATATGGGCTTTTTCTTGCCCAAATTGTTTTTCAGCTAGGTTTAGGATGTGCAGCAGTCATGGACCTGCAGTTTCCCAACACCAAATTGCCAAATTACCAACATGATTATCAAGAGAGATGAAAAGATAGTATTTACAGCTTTGAGTTCATTCTGTTAAATTTTTAGCTGGTCACAGTGGGTCACACCTGTAATCCCAGCATTTTGGGAGGTAGAGGCAGGAGCATAGCTTGAGGCCAGGAATTCAAGAATAGCATGGTCAACCTACTGAGACCCTGTATCTACCAAAAACAAAAAACAAAACAAAAAAACCCAAGTGAGGCTGTGCACTCCTGTCCTGTAGCCAGAGGCTGAGGTAGTAGGATCATTTGAGCCCCAAGAGTTTGAGGTTTCAGTGAGCTATGATTGCACAACTTCACCCCAGCCTGAGTGACATAGCAAGACCTGTCTCCAAAATAATATATATATTTATATATGTTTTTTGGTAAATTTATTGAATAATAAATAATGACAATGTGACAGAAATTAAAGCACCTATTGAAGTGTTTTATTGAAGGTCTCCAGTTGGAGAAACATTATCCCTATTGGTGAACCGTTTCAGATACTATAGCATTTGGAATAAGATTCGGAACTGTTGTAGTGAGACCATTGAGGGTTGTGGGAGCATTTCTGGCCCCTGGTGAAAGGCCTTGGAGCATAGGATGCAGCTGAATGTAGGGTAATGTAGGGAGACTGCCGACTTGGTCTAGGTGGAGGCCAAGACAGCAGGAATGCAAAGGACCGAAGCAGTTCAGGACTGAATGAGATCTTAAACTGGACCTATGAGAATGAGAAGTGCAAAGGCCTGACTGTGCAGCTGCTTGGTAAAGCTGTGCTGGATAAAGGATTTGACAAATTCGTTAGCAGTGCCTTCAGGCAGATGATAAACCCTTGGGACTTGTTCCTTCATGGGAAAATGAACATGTTTCTGCCCCTCTCTACATATAAAAAACATTCATAAATCTAGTCAGTTTCATTGGAGATTCTCTGCTCTCATTGGATGGCAGAAAAGAAACAGGCCTTGTTCTAAAGTACTTGGTAGTGCTTGGTGCTGAAAACATGTCTATATAGAGCTCATGTGTTATCACAATAGCTGAGATGGTGGACCAGCACCCACCAGAGCTGGAACTGGCCTTCTGAAGTGCCCATTATTGGAGGAAGATGGAGCAAACCTTGATAGCTGAGCCACAAATGTGGCTGGCAGCTGCCTGAGATAGGAATACGATCTGTCCTTTCACACTTTCTGTTAAAGAAAGCATTTTTACATAAGCTGATTTCCCCCAGGGGCTAAAAAGAGATCTCTCCCAAAACTGAAAGAATATTGTTATTCCTTCCATATGGCAAGAGCACTGTTACTCTGAATTAGTTCAGTCTGAAAACCCCGGCAGACATTTTCATTGTAATCAAGTGCAGTAAAATGCAGAAGTGAGTGTCTTTATTCTAGCAATAAGTTTTATATTATGCAAGAAGTGCAAATGGAAACTACTCACGGAATGGGTATCAAGAATTTTAGGGTGGGGCTGAGGGGAAGAAGCAGTAAAAATCCAGCACTGATGGTATATTTTTGCTTTGGGTCATCCACACAACCTTTAGTATGACTGTAAGCCACTACTGAAACAGGTGCATTTCTTACAGGTGACCCCATTCATTATGTTTTATAAAGTGGATCACTCAGCCTGTTAATGTCCTGCACAAAGATTGGAATGTAACCAGTCTTACACTTAGAATGCATTGAACATCTTTGATTTATGTTAACTGGAAGAATGTGGGGAGCACAACAGTAACCACAATCTCGTTTAACTACCCCTAGAATTAAGTTTCTTTTCAATTACCTATGTTGTCTCTTTGGGGCTCCCACTGAAAAAGAACTGTAGTGAAATGTTGACTTATCCGCATAGTTAGATATAGCTCCCTGTATTTTGGTATTACAGGCAAAGACTTGTATTCTCCTCCTCAGGAATTATGTGAACATTCTGCCCTTTCCTTTTCCCATTACCAAATTGCCAACATTTCCAGGTCGCATCATGCTGAAAGCTACATTTGTGGGTGATCCATACCTAGTGTGGGGATACTCCACTTGTTTTGTGCATATTTGTGACAATAATGATTTGTGAAAGCAATCAGGAAAAGGAGAGAAGCAAAGTCAGGTCCAAAAATGATACCTGAACTGTGTCACTTAAGAGTTGCTGAACTGCAAGAAGAACGTGGAAATATTCTTGCATATGGAATCTACTGAGCTCTCTCCAAGGCATTCATCTTTTGCTATTCATTGGATCTCTACCAAGGTTTCTTCACCTCTAAAATCGGAATAATAGGGGTTCCTATGGGATTATGTAGTAAGATGCTGCAGAATTTTATTTTTTAAATATGCCGTTTAGAGCAGACACAGTCACAATAAAAGTTAAAAAGTTACAATGTGTCCAGTGTATATACCCAGGAAATCCATTCTTGGTACTTTTCAAGAGCTGCTGTTATACTGAGTCTCTGAGAAGTCCCCTTAGATAATAGCTGCCACTTTTCAGTATGGTTCAGAATGAGTATCTTAGTATTCTTTCTATTTTGCTATGGTTCTAGTTTATCAACCTACTTTATTAGCTGAACTGTTGGCCATTGCTTGCTGACCAGTAGAAACTCATTGTGCTTTAGTTATTGGAAAGTCCCCAACTTCACGTCCATTTCATTCTCTGGTACAGGGAAGAGCCATCCTTGGGATTATGTTGGCGATCACAGTTCTGGGACAGTTCTTCATTAACTGAAAGGAAAAATATTAGTTAATAATTTGGAGACATCTGAGTGCCATTGGTCATTTAGAGTTCATAAGGGCTGTTGGCCAGCATATCTGACACTGGTGGCCTTGGCGAGTCACAGAAGTCCAGGTCTTCCAAGCAGATCCTATTACAGGATCGATCCTTATCTCCTCAACCACATCCAGTGGAAATGTAAAGGCTTCTTTCTAAAGAATGGCCCTGGTTAGAGCAAACAAACTACCACTGTAATGAGAATTGTTACATGCTAAGTATATTTAGATTTTGTTGATTAAGTTGAAACTCCCACAGCAAGTCACAGTGTCTGCCCCTGCTCATCCCTCCCAAAAATGTGTCTGGGCACTTACAGTCTTTAGACAAGTCAAATTAGTTTTCTCCCTTTTACCTTTTGGTATATTTTACTGATGACTCTATTTCAGCTTTTTGCAACCTGCTCATTCCTTAACCCCTTAATATATAATTTCAGTTAAAGCTACTCTACTAAAATATTAAAACTCACCATGCCATCGAATTACTGAATCTAGTGGCATTTTCCAATCCCTAGTTTTCTTCCTCAGTAGCATTTGACACAACCCCTCTCTCTGTCTGCCCCCACCATTCTCCTCCCTTTGGCTTTTATTGTATGCCACCTGTGTGCTTTTATCTGCTCCTTAGCTTCAACTATTATGTCTCTGGCAATAACTAGATTTGATTTTTAGCCCTGAGATGCCTTCTGAGATCCTGACACATATTCGTTGGGATCTTCCTCGTACATCAGAAGACACAGCTCTCTTCCTGAAACCAGGAACAACTGATCCTGCTTTCATCCTCAAAAGTTTTGTTTTCAGAAGTATAATTAATCAAGCCAGAGACCAGGAGCTTCTAATCTCATGGGAGGTAATAAACATGTTTGTAGGCTTGAACCTGAAAATGCTCTCTTAGGCTCCCACATAAAGCCCATGCAATTTATCCCTTACTTGATACATTGTATGCCATGTACCCCAGGACACATGCACTTTCCCTGACCAGGCCTACACAAATGCTTATCATGTTAGGGAGGGTGCATATGTGTTGGAGAGTGACAAGTCCCTGACAACATGGGCCTCAAGATTTAGTAGCCAATACTTGCACTTGCTCTGTGCCAGGTGCTGTGTGAAGCCCTTTGCAATCTTTCTCGTTCAATTCTTGTGATGACATGATGAGCTAGTCATCATTATTATTAAATTGCTGATGAGCAAACTGGGGCAGAAAGAAATCATGATGAAGTAATTTGCCCAAGATCAGAGAAACTGATGAATTCAGGATTTGATTCCAGGCAATCTGACTTCAGAGACCACAGTTTCAGCTACTGAGTCACACTGACTTTCCGTAGATTATCGCTATTTCAAAGGTATTCCTTGGAGATGGCCCATGGCTTAGACTTTTAACTCACTGAAATATGAGTACTTTATTCCCTTTTACTCTTATTACCAATGGCTAACTGCACAATAGGGTGCTTTGAATGAGGGACCAGGATACAGATTGTAGAGCTGAAAATGGGTGACCTGAATAACGAGACAGAAAAAAAGTGAACTCTTAAGAGTGGAGAGAGAACTAGAATGGAGAGGCCAAGAGGAAGCTCGTCAATCTACAGTGAATCATCTACCCAGTGAATTAAGTGTCTTTGCTAGGCACCATATGGAGAGTGAGAGAAGTAAAATAATGCCTCCCTAACCTAAAAGAGCTTGCAATTTGGCTGTCATTTCATTTCATTGGGTCTATTAAGGAGGATGTGCAGAGAGATTCGATAGGCAGTTGGCCTTGAGAACACCCAAGGTCGTGGTTGTGGAAAATCCTGCAAGCAATGCAGTGTGCCCTGTTAGTTCCCAGGTAAAGAAATGTGATTTGACTCAGGCAGATCTTTATGTGGAGGAATCACCATCATCAATAACTATTATGACCCCCGTTATATTAAGAGATTGATCAAATTCTTCAAAGATGTTGTAAAATTTTTGCCTTGTTTAAAACTGTCCCACAATTGGTGGTAAGTTTATCTGTCTGGACCAAAAGGACTCAACAGATAGAACCCCTACTGAGGACTCGATACTCCAGAGGTGGTGCGTCGGTGAAGAGGGGCTATCTCTGGAGCCAGCCAGGGTTCGAATGCTCTTTCTACCACTTTGTGGGTAGGTAACCTTGGGCAATGTACTTAATTATCCCAAGACTATTTTAATAATAGCTACTGTAATGCTATAATGACACAAACAGTGCCTTCTTAGAATTCTCAAGCTAGCAGGATAATAATGACTAACAGTTGTTCAGAACAGGCACTGTTAAGAACCTTATATGTATTACCTCGCTTAATCACCATACCCGTCCTATAGTATGTCCTGCTGTTATTTCTATTTTACAGACCAGGAGGCCGAAGCTTCAAGAGGTTGAGTAGAGTGAGTATGAAGTTCAGTGGAAGATGCCTAGCCAGCCTGTATATTATCAGTACTTTAGTTATTTGTTTTAGGATGTGCGTTGCTGAAGGCCAAGACCTGGTTAACTACCTGACTTTCTTTTTGGGTCCAACTCCGTGCAAAAACATTTAGGCATTTCAGTAGACACGTTTTAAAATTTAATTAAATAATGACTATTTTTGGCCATGTTTGTCATTTTAGACAACAATTTGTTCCTGATCAGGGCGATGGTGTTTTGGGGGTGGGGTGGCCTGGAAGTAAAGGTTTGGGAATCTCAGGACTTAGGGAAATAAGATAATGAAAACTTCCAACCTAGAAGATGCAAAATGTCCATGACAATGGCTGATGCAGGGATTGGCTATGGGAAGTTCATGACACATACTTCCACCCCAAGAGCTACTCCTCAAGGAAATTGACACAGATTGAAGAGTGCGGGATGTTAGAGAATTTTCTTTCTTCCTTTGCGAGAAAATTGATGTTCCCTACATACTAATTAAATTTATGTGCACCATTACCTCCTAAGGCTTGAAGTGTGGGGATTAATGTTGAGTGATTACAATACCTCCACATGCTTTCCATCACATCTTAAAATGGCTCTCTTGTCTGACAGACCCAGCTGTATGAGACAGGCAAGCTGGTTTTCTGTTTTAGAATGCAGGACTCTGGGGTTCTGCGAACATGCCAGTTAATCTATCAATGTCCCTCTCTTTACAGGAATAAAACAGAAATGATTACATTTGCCATAACCCTGGTTGGAAGATTAACGACATGACATTTGACCATCTGTTGACAGTTTTTTAAGTGGATGCTGCGAAATGGAGATACAAACTGGTGATATTTTATTTCGAGTCCAGTGATCTCATTTGCCCTCAAACTGGAGAGAAGACAGTACTACTTACCCTTAGGAAAATGGTGCCAGAACTATAATTTTTTCAAAGGTACATGTTCTTAGAGTTTGGGTGGCTTTTCTTCTTAGGAGAAAGACTATTTGGAATTAAAGGGACCAGATCAACCTAAAAACGAAAATATCCATAGTCTATAGTTGGCTGCTAACACTGGAAAATATAATCAAGAATTACTCCAAAAAAAAATAGATGCACTGATTCCATGTGGGAGAGGAGGGAAATACAACCGAAAGATGGTTTGAATATAAACTTCTGGAGGGAATGTATAGTGCAGCTTGCCCATCAGCTGCTACCCTGACCAGGAATCTGTCAAGGACACCATCCAGGGCCCCCACATTTCTCACCCGGTTTGCTTTGGGCTCAGTCTCAACAGAACAAAAACTGCCATCAGGGAGGACTACTTTGATCCACTCAGCTATGCTGTCCTTCTTACAGGAAAGGGGTCCAGATCCAGACCCCGAGAGAGTTCTTGGATCTTGCACAAGAAAGAATTAAGGGCGAGTTCGTAAAGTGAAAGCAAGTTTATTAAGAAAGTAAAGGAATAAAAGAATGGCTACTCCACAGGCAGAGCAGCCCCGAGGGCTGCTGGTTGCCCATTTTTATGGTTAGTTCTTGATTATATGCTAAACGCGGGGGGGCGGTTATTTATGCCACCCCTTTTTAGGCCATGTAGGGTAACTTCCTGACATTGCCAGGGCATTTGTAAACTGTCGTGCTGGTGGGAGTGTAGCAGTAAGGGCGACCAGAGGTCACTGTCATCACCATCTTGGTTTTGGTGGGTGGGTTTTGGGTGGCTTCTTTCTGCAACCTATTTTATCAGCAAGGTCTTTATGACCTGTATCTTGTGCTGACCTCCTATCTCATCCTGTGACTTAGAATGCCTCAACTGTCTGGGAATGCAGCCCAGTAGGTCTCAGCCTCATTTTACCTAGCCCCTATTCAAGATGGAGTTGCTCTCGTTTAAATGCCTTTGACATCCTCACTGAGCATCTTCCAGATGGTTGGCAGTAATAGTGTTTCTAGTCATTAGTATTCTTTCCAACAATAAATTTCAGATGGGACCCCCATTGCGTTAAGTAACGGATGCACACATTTTTGTTCTGCCATGGTAAATAGCTCCTTCTGCCTCCTCACTCACTCTTCCTGTAATTCCTACCTGCAGCCTGGAAGCTCCAGGCACACTTCAATTAGAGCAAGCCCAAGTAGGAGACAATGGGGAAAAACCACAGAAAATGGAGGCTCATAACCTGGCTGGGGGTGCCCCTTCACTGTAGAGGATCCTGCCTCTGGTGAAGTGCTCAGCCCTGACACTGAGGGAAAAGTCCAGGTTATTATTATAGCTCTTTGATCAGACATTTAATGAGGCCAGAATCAGAAACATACAGATTTGCAACACCTCCTCTAACTTCTGCTGATTTTGCCAGATGCCTTCTGTGGTTTTCTAGAACTGGGATTATTTTCTCTTAGTCTTAAAAACTCATAGTAAAAATCTGTCCCAGTATCTGGGACAGTCTGTGGTATATGATAGACTAACAAATATTCGTTGAATAAATGAATGAGAATTATCGCTATCCAGAATATGACATAAGTTTGGAGTAAGCTTTAAAGTTGGTGTAATGACTCTACCCAGTGAGCATGGACCCTCATCGTGTGAGGCTGACATGCTTGCTTTCCCTTGGGTTAGATCCTATGCTACAAAAATAAAGGCTCTGAGATGGAAGGGACAGACTTAACAGTTGTGGGCAAGTCTAGAAGTCAAGAAAAGCTCAGTAGCATGTCAGAATTTGGAATGAAGAAAGGGGAAGGAAGTGTGAAGAAACAAGAGGTTATTGGGAGCCTCTGCTCCCTTCACTCAAATCCTTCAGAAGTAGTTTCAATTGTATTGAGTTACAAACTTAAGGTAGTAACTTTTTTCTGAGACTTGATCTCTAGATAACTTGCACGGGCAGGGAAGTGCTGAAGATAGGAGGGCATCAGCGTGCAATCATCACAGAGGTGTACACACATGGAGCACTTCCTCTGGGGCTGGCACTTGGACTGCATTTCCCCTGCATCAGCCCCTGTGATGCCAGGCCATACCCTGCACGTTGACTTTTCCAGGGTATTCTAAAGCAATGTGATTCATACATTTATACCTCAGAATTATCTAAATAAAATACCATAGACCCATTTACATGTTACATATTACAGATGTTTTTCCAGGAATGAGTAAAACTATAAAACAGATTCACCCTCTTTTTGCAGAGTCTATCCCAAATACCAGATGTCCCACTGAATTAACTGGCCTGTAATAGCTGTGAAGTAGAGGCCAATAAGGGATCTTGATATCCATGAGGCTATCTAGACCTGTACTTGCTGCAGTTTTTGAAATACTGAAAATTTCATCCAGCCAGAGATGAAACTTGGAAACTACAGGAAGTCTCCAAGTCCCCGATGATGACATCAGCATCGTTTTATTGTCCCTGGGACGTTCAATGTCAATGGGAGGCTGAGATGCAGTGAGTGTTACGGATGGGAATCTTTGCAACAACTCTGAAAAACATTTCGACTTGGAAGACACTGAAGGGAAGCCATGGTTATGATCTTGGGGATTTCTTATTTTCTCTTCCTTTTTGGAGGCTACTTCCGGGGTTCAGTGGTAATGAATGGCTGGGTGACAAGAGCATCCAACAGACTGGTCTTAGGGCAGTGGAGGATAAACTGACTTAACAAAGAAAAGGATTTATCACATGAATATTATAGAGTGAGGCAGAATATGGCTTGACCCCTCAGCAAAAGGGCTGTTCATAAAAATGAGACACACGAAAAATGAAAGGCTAGGGGCATATTTGAGTAAGTTGTGATGAAAAACTTGATTCCATGACATACTGTCTGTGTCTCCTAGGATTTCTTTATGTTCCAAATCTCATCTTAGGAAGAAATATCCCTCATTGCACTTCTGTTAGGTTATATATTATAGCATTAGTGATCTAAGATTACCACAAAAGCTTGGCAAGTCCAAGAAATGCCTTCATGTATGTTATTACATAAACAGATGTTCAAAGAGGAGGGTTTTTCAAATTTGTTTTAATATGACACTATCCAAATTAAGAAATATGACTGGTCTTTGTTGATTTTGCTAAAATAGTTATTAACCTTGATGATATTAATCTCATGTGTACTTGGCACAGTATTAACACATAGTCTATCTAGTTACAGCCCAGTTTCATTAATTTTAATTATAGCAGAATAAACAGTGTCAATCCAAGACCCGAATGTCCATTCCAAATCACCTTAAGCTTCCTGAGTTATTTGTTTGGTTTGGTTTTTTTCCACCTTAAGACTATAATCCCATGGAACGTTTACACCAAGGTCAAGTATTTATCTATCAGGGCTTTACATTTACAAAGACTGTGACAGCAGAATGTTTGGAACATTCCCTGACCAGAAGTTCAGTGGATGAGAAAGTTGTGTGTGTGCACACACGGGCGCATACACACGCACGGACATGCACACACATGGCCACATAAACACATCTGTCATGTAAAGAAGGCAGACCATGAACAATGTTTTCACATATGTGACTCTATTGCCTTGAGAGAGAGAGACAAGCAACCATATGTCAAAATTGCTGATTCACAGTATGTCTGTGAGGTGCTACACGTGAGGGCCCCCTACAGCAGACCTTCACATCTCAGCACAAGATCCACACAGTGGAAAGGATCAAACTTGGCCAAATTGATCAAGGAACTTGAGAGAACACTGATTGAGAAGTACCTACAAAATATATATATATATGTTTCTCCTGGCCAGAAAACACTGACAGTGCATCGGTATATTTCAAGATGTGCTGTGGGAAAGGATGCCCAAGTTCTTCCTTGTGTGGCCTCACACTTACCCTCAATCAGTTTGATCCTGAAGTAGGCGATGAGGAGGAGCAGCAGCAAAGTCACGGGGAGGAAGACCCCAAAGAACAGGAACCAGCCAGGGAGCTCCCTCATGAAAGCTGACAGCACAGAGCTCATTGCCAACCACACAGACCCCACGGGGACCATGGGAGTCACACTCAGGACCAGGGCAGCTTTCCTCTGAGTCTGTACTTGTTTTCTTCTGGGGCTCCGGCCTTTGCTCAGCATGTCTCAGTGGAATTTTTTGTGGACTTTGCTCTATTTAAATAGTCTGATGAATGCTGATAGGATTGCTGGCAGGTTACTCTGTAACTCAGCTACTAATTGTAGAGGAATTGAAAGGTCCATCTTCCAAGCTCTTTCAGAGATAAGTATGTATCTGGCAGCGGGGGAATGACCTTGGGAAGCTGAGTTTTTTTGTGATAAGTTTATTTGGAATGAAAATTACCCAACCAAGCAAAACTTGTTGTTATGTATATTCTTTCTATGTATTCTCAGACACAGAAGAGTTTTCCCTGTATTTCCTAAATTTTAGAGTTAAAAATTTCTTAATAGTTATGCCACTGTACCTAAGTACTTATGTCTAGAAAAAAGTGAATGTTCCTTTATACATAGTTGATACAATTAATACCAAGGAAAGAGAAACAAGGCTTTTCCCACAAGTAGAAATTCTTCCTCATATATCCTACTCAGAATACTTCTCTGAGAAGTGCATTGGTTTATTCATTTATTCAACAAACATTTAATTCTACTAGAACCCAACTTCTGAACTAGATGCTGGGTATACAAAGAAGAGTAAGTCATGGCCCCTGGCCTTTAAGAGTGGAGATAGACAAACAGAGAATGGCCACAGTGTCCGTGGCGGAGTGGCCCATGATGTAGCCCCATCTCCTTCTTCCTGAGGTACATTCGTCCTTGCTGGCTGCATGAGGTCATATACTCTCCTCTGCTCTACTGGGCCTTTCCTGTGGTCCACCATTCGCAGTTAGAAGGTGGCCTCTCATTGATAGTGGTATGGGTTGTGTGGTAACTCCAGAGTTTCTGGGAAAAGAAAGGGCAATCAATGGACCAATGTCAAAGTTGACATTGACTTGTTGACTATGTTGAGTTGTCATTGACTGCTTTAGTGAAAAATTTCCAAAAATATTGGTCTAAAAATGAAAACTGACTAAAAGAGTCATATTCAAAAGATGCCCTGGAGAATTTGGAAGAATGTGGGGAAGAGAAACTGGCAGCCACCTTCTTGGGCTCATTCCTTCTGTCACACTCTAACCCTGTCCCTGGCGCCCTTTAGTGGTGGCTGGAGGAGTCTATCAAGGGCAAGCCGCTGTCAGTGCCTCCCACATTCTTGCATCAGGGACTTTGCATGGTCATGCAGTCTTAGCCCCAGCTGTAAAGTTTGCACCCTAATTTACAAAATAATAAGACTGGAGAGGGTCTCAGGGTACATGCCTGCATTCCTGATCAATGAAGAGTTAGCAACTTCTCTTTCAGAAGAGAGACATCTTAATTTCAGGAGGAACCCTTCAGAATACCTGAGTTTAAGTCAGCATTCATTTACTCACGTATTTCTCTTCTCCCACTCTGCAAACCTGTGAATGGTGTTACTGCTATTATACTTGCATGCCTTCCATTGAGATGTTTCTCTGGTGCTCTTTCAGTTTGAACAGGATGCTAATTTGTAAAGTGTCAATCTTCAAAGAACCTCTGTGAGCAAGTGACATTACCAGGGAGATGTCAGGCAGCTGTTAGGCAGACTGTTTGTCATATTCTTTCTTCCTGTTTCATTTCCATTCAGCAAGCCTTCATTGAATGCCTAAACAAAGGTAAGTTAGGGGAACAGGAAAATAAATGACAATAATGTTAGCTTCCAGATCAACATATAAACAAAGTATAGTGGAAGCACTGAAGAGAGACTGATTAATTCCAGCCATGGAATTGGGCTGGGCACAGTGGCTCATGCCTGTAATCTCAGCACTTTGGGAGGCTGAGGTGGGTGGATTGCTTGAGCTCAGGAGTTTGAGACCAGCCTGGGAAACATGGTGAAATCCTGTCTCTACAAAAGATAAAACATTAGCCAAGTGCCGTGGCATACACCTGTAGTCCTAGCTACTCGGGAGGCTGAGGTGGGAGGATTGCTTGAGCCTGGGGAGGTCAAGGCTGCAGTGAGCCATGATCGTGCCACTGCACTCCACAGCCTGGGTGACAGAATGAGACCTGGCTAAGAAAAAAAGAAAGAGGGATATTTGAGCTGATCCTGGAAGGTGGGTAGCTGAAGAATGCCCTCCTCAAACACATGACAGGAGCGCTGGTTAGGGTTTAAGGAGGATAGGGCAGAATAATTGAGAGTAGCTGGGTGATGTGGGGTTCAGGCCAGAGAGTGTCTTACACGTTGAGGCTGGAAGAGTGGGGTGGTGTTAGAGCTATTAGACTCTGGAATGTCCTGTTATGTCCCATGCTATTTGAACAAAGGTGACCAATTAAAGGTCTTTGATCATGGAAGTACATGACCTGACCTGAGCTCAGTGGTCACTTAGGTAGGACTTTAAAGAAGGGACTGAAGAGAAGAGATCAGAATAGGCTGTCTCATCATGGTAGCAAGATATAATGAGTTTGGGATTAGAGATGGCAGAGGGAGAGAGAAGGGGACAAGAAAGCTGCAGAAATGAAACAAACAGCTGTGACACATGCAATTCAAAGATTACCACAAAGTAATCTTTGAACACTTACTATTTGTCAGGCACGATATACAACAGTTTATGTTTATAATCTTATTTAATCCTCACAGTAATCTTATGTGGAACAGACTCATAAAGATGAAGAAGCAAAGCAAAGAGAAGGTAAATGACTTGCCCAAGAAACAAATCTGATAAGTGACAAAGTTAGGACTCAAATCCAGTGCCCATGCTCTCATCCACTGTGCAATGGTTAACTGCAGAGATGGTGGTGCTGCAAACCGAGACCTCAACACATGCTGGGCAGCAGGTGTGGATGGGGGAAGATATGTCATTTTGCAGTCTTAAGTTGGAAGTGGTGTAGAGGTGTTTGATCGGAGCCTGGTAGGAATATGGAGAGGCCAAGTCTTGCCATGTAGATTTGGGATTTATTATTGTATAGATAGTAGCTGAGGTGGAAGGATGGAGAGATGCCTCAGAAAGGAGTATATATCAGAATAAAAGAGAAACCAACTACAGACCCTAAAGAATGCTCTTGTTTAAGACATAGGAGGAAGGATAAGAACCAAGAAAAAAACAGAGAAGACAGGAGGCTCTGAGAGGTGAGAAAGGAGCCTAGAGGGAATAATGTTAGGAAAATGGTGGCAAAAGAAAGTTTCAAGAAAGAGAGGAGATAAGTAGTACCATCTACAGGATCCAAGGTAATCCCGATCCACACAGAAAGTTTTGAGAACATAATTGTAAAGTTTTTCCTTTTTTTGTCTCTTTAAGTAGCTCATCTGGGGTACAATTGCATACAACGAACTGCACATATCTCAAGTGTACAATTTGATATGTTTTGACATATGGATATGCCCACAAATTCATCAACACAATCAAATGGTGAACATACCCACCACCCCCAAAGTTTTCTTGTGTCCTTTCCTATCCCTGTCCCCCACCCCTCCCACTCCCTCAATCCTCAGGCAATCACTCATTTATTATCTGTTACTGTACATTCATTTGCACTTTCTAGAATTTTATATGAATGGAGTCATGCAATATGTCTCTTTCTACCTAGCTTCCTTCACTCATCATAATTATTTGAAATTCATTCATATTGTCATATATGTCAATTTCATTGTTTTGTATTGCTGAATACCATTTCATTGTATAGATATCCATTTGTTTATTCATTCACCTGTTCGTGGACATTTGGGCTGCTTCCCATTTTAGGCTACTACAAATAAAGCTGCTATGAACATTCCTGTACTAGTCTTTATACATACATGTGCTTCCATTTCTCTTGGAGAAATACCTAGTAGAAATGCTGGATCATATGGTAAATGTATGTTGACATTTTAAGAAATTGTCAGACTGTTTTCCGAAGTGGTTATACAATTTCGTAACCCCACCAGCAGTGTATGGGAGTTCCAGTTCCTTCACATACTCAGCTTTTCTTGGTATGGTGACTCTTTTTAATTTTAGCCATTCCGATGGTGGGAAGGGATATCTCATTGTGGTTTTAGTATGTATTTCCCTAATGATGTTGAGCATCTTTTCATGTGCTTATTTAATAATTGTGTATCATATTTGGTGAAATGCCTGTTGAACTATTTTACTGATTTTTTAAAAATTGTGTTGTTGTTTTTAATTTTAAGAGTTCTTTATATATTCTAGATACAAGTCATTTATCTGACATACGACATGATTTGCAAATATTTTCTCCCAGTCTATGTCTTGTCTTTTCATTTACCTAACAATATCTTTCAAATAATGTAAGTTTTAAATTATGATGAAGTTTAAATTATGATGAACAACTTGTCAGTTTGTTATTTTACGGATTGTATTTTTCATGTCTGAGAAATCTTTGCCCAACCTAAGATCACAGGGATCTATATTTTCTTCCAGCAGTTTTATAGTTTTAGGCTTTATGTTTAGGTCTATGGTCTATTGTAAGTTAATTTTTGTGAATGATGCGAGGTAGGGGTTAAAGTTCTTTTCTTCTTTTGCAGATGGATTTTCAACTGTTTCAGCACTATTTGTTGAAAAGATTACTGTTGCTTCACTGAATTGCCTGTGCACCTTTGTCAAAAATCAGAAGTCAATAATGTGTGGGTCTATTTCTGCACTCCCTATCCTGCCTTACTGATCTAATTGTTAATCATTGCACAAATACCAATCTGTCTTGATTACTGTAACTTTATTTTTTAGTTTTTTTATTAATTTTTTTTATTTCCATAGGTTATTGGGGAACAGGTGGTGTTTGGTTACATAAGTTCTTTAGTGGTGATTTGTGAGATTTTGTTGCACCCATCACCCGAGCAGTATATGCTGCACTCAATTTATAGTCTTTTATCCCTCACCCCCTTCCCACCCTTTCCCCGTGAGTCCCCAAAGTCCATTGTGTCACTCTTATGTGACACATAAGAGTCACATAAGAGTGACACATAGCTTAGCTCTCACTTATGAGTGAGAACCTATGATGTTTGGTTTTACATTCCTGAGTTACTTCACTTAGAATAATAGTCTCCGGGTCACTGTGAATGCCATTAATTCATTCCTTTTTATGGCTGAGTAGTATTCCATTGTGTGTGTGTGTGTGTGTGTGTGTATCACAGTTTCTTTATCCACTTGTTGATTGATGGGCATGTAGGTTGGTTCCCCATTTTTCAATTGTAAATTATGCTGCTATAAACATGCGTGTGCATGTATCTTTTTCATATAATGACTTCTTTCCCTCCAGGTAGATACCCAACCCAGTAGTGGGATTGCTAGATCAAATGGTAATTCTACTTTTAGTTCTTTAAGGAGTCTCCACACTGTTTTCCATAATGGCTGTACTAGTTTACATTCCCACCAGCAGTGTAGAAGTGTTCCCTAACCACCGCATCCACACCAACATCTCCTGTTTTTTTATTTTTTTGATTATGGCCATTCTTGCAGGAGTGAGTTAGTATTGCATTGTGGTTTTGATTTGCATTTCCCTGATCATTAGTGATGCTGAGCATTTTTTCATGTTTGTTGGCCATTTGTCTTTTGAGAACTGTTTCATATGTTTGTTGGCCATATCTTCTTTTGAGAACTGTTGATTCATGTCCTTAGCCCACTTTTTGATGGGAATTTTTTTTTTTTTTTCCGAGACAGAGTTTCACTCTTGTTGCCCAGGCTGGAGTGCAATGGCATGATCTTGGCTCACTGCAACCTCCACCTCCCAGATTCAAGCAAGTCTCAAGTCTCCTGCCTTGGCCTCCTGAGTAGCTAGGATTACAGACGCCCATGACCATGCCCAGCTAATATTTTGTATTTTTAGTAGATTGATGGGAGTTTCACCATGTTGGCCAGACTGGTCTTGAACCCCTGACCTCAAGTGATCTGTGTGACTTGGCCTCCCAAGGATTGTTTGTTTTTTTTTTCTTGCTAGTTTGTTTGAGTTCATTGTAGATTCTGAATATTAGTTCTTTGTCAGATGTATAGATTGTGACGATTTTCTCCCACTTTGTGGGTTGTCTGTTTACTGTGTTGACTGTTCCTTTTGCTGTGCAAAAGCTCTTTAGTTTAACTAAGTCTCAGCTATTTATCTTTGTTTTTATTACATTTGCTTTTGGGTTCTTGGTCATGAAATCCTTGCCTAAGTCAATGTCTAGAAGGGTTTTTCCAATGTTATCTTCTAGAATTTTTAGTTTCATGTATTAGATTTAAGTTTTTAATCCATCTTGAGTTGATTTTTGTATAAGGTGAGAGATGAGGATCCAGTTTCATTCTCCTACATGTGTACAGCCAATTGTCCCAGCACTAAATATTGAAAAGGGCGTCCTTTCCCCACTTTATGTTTTTGTTTGCTTTGTCGAAGATCAGTTGTCAAAGATCGGAACTATTTGGGTTTATTTCTGGGTTCTCTCTTCTGTTCTATTGGTCTATGTGCCTATTTTTATACCACTACCACACTGTTTTGGTGACTATGACCTTATACTATAGTTTGAAATCAGGTAATGTGATGCCTCCAGATTTGTTCTTTTTGCTTAGTCTTCCTTTGGCTATGCAGCCTCTTTTTTGGTTCCATATGAATTTTATAATTTTTTTTTCTAATTCTATGAAGAATGATGGTGGTATTTTGATGGGAATTCTGTTGAATTTATAGACTACTTTTGGCAGTATGGTCATTTTCACAATATTGATTCTACTCATCCATGAGCAAGAGATGTGTTTCCATTTGTTTGTGCTGTCTGTGATTTCTTTCAGCAGTGTTTTGTAGTTTTCCTTGTAGAGGTCTTTCACCTCCTTGGTTAGGTATATTCCTAAGTATTTTATTTTCTTTTTTTGCAGCTATTGTAAAAGGGGTTGAGTTCTTGATTTGATTCTCTGCTTGGTTGCTGTTGTTGTATAGGAGAGCTATTGATTTGTGTACATTAATTTTGTATCTGGAAACTTTGCTGAATTCTCTTATCAGTTCTAGGAGCTTTCTGGAGAAATATTTAGGGTTTTCTAGACAAACAATCATATAATCAGCAAACAACGACAGTATGACTTCCTCTTTACCGATTTGGATGCTTTTTATTTCTTTCTCTTGTCTGATTGCTCTGGCTAGGACTTCCAGTACTATGTTGAAGAGGAGTAGTGAGAGTGGGAATCCTTGTCTTGTTCCAGTTCTCAAAGCGAACACTTTCAACTTTCCCCCGTTCAGTATTATGTTGACTGTGGGTTTGTCATAGATGGCTTTCATTATATTGAGGTATGTCCCTTGTATGCTGATTTTGCTGAGAGTTTTAATCATAAAGCGATGCTGGATTTTGTCGAATGCTTTTTCTGCATCTATTGAGATGATCATGTGATTTTTGTTTTTAATTCTGTTCATGTGGTGTAACACATTTATTGACTTGCATGTGTTAAACCAGCCCTGCATCCCTGGTATGAAACCCATTTGATCATGGCGGATTATCTTTTTGATATGTTGCTGGATTTGGTTAGCTAGTATTTTGTTGAGGATTTTAGCATCTATATTCATCAGGGATATTGGTCTGTAGTTTTTGTTTTTGGTTATGTCCCTGGTTTTGGTATTAGTGTGATACTGGCTTCATAGAATGGTTGAGGAATGGTTCTCTCTTTCTCTGTCTTGTGGAAAAGTGTCAATGGGATTGGTACCAATTCTTCTTTGAATGTCTGGTAGAATTCTGCTGTGAATCCATCTGGTCCTGGACTTTTTTTAAATTGTTGTTGGTAATTGTTAAATTACCACTTCAATCTTCTTATTGATCTGTTCAGGGTAGCTATTCTTCCTGATTTAAGTTAGGAGGGTTGTTTCTTTCCAGGAATTTATCCATCTCCTCTAGCTTTTCTAGTTTATGTGTGTAAAGGTGTTCTTAGCAGCTTTGAAGAATCTTTTGTATTTCTGTGGTGCCAGTTGTAATATCTCCTGCTTCATTTCTAATTGAGTTTATTTGGATTTTCTTTCTTCTTTTCCTGGTTAATCTTGCTAATGGTCTATCAATTTTATTTATCTTTTCAAAGAACCAGCTTTTTGTTTCATTTATCTTTTGTATTTTTTTTGTTTCAATTTCATTTGGTTCTGCTCTGATCGTGGTTATTTTCTTTCTTCTGCTGGGTATGGGTTTTGTGTGTTCTTGTTTCTCTGTTTCCTTGAGGTACAACCTTAGATTGTCTGTTTGTGCTCTTTCGACTTTTTGATGTAGGTATTTAAGACTATGAACTTCCCCCTTAGCACCGCCTTTGCTGTATCCCAGAGGCTTTGATAAGTTGTGCCACTATTGTTGTTCAGTTTGAAGAATTTTTTAATTTCCATCTTGATTTCATTTTTGACTCGATCATTTGGGAGCAGGTTATTTAATTTCCACGTATTTGTATGGTTTTGAAGGTTCCTTTTGGAATTGATTTCCAGTTGTATTCCACTGTGGTCTGAGAGGGTGCTTGATATAATATCAATTTTCTTAAGTATGTTGAGGCTTCTTTTGTGGCCTATCATATGATCCATCATAGAAAAAGTTCCATACTGTTGAATAGAATGTATATTCTGTGGCTGTTGGGTGGAATGTTCTGTATATACCTGTTAAGTCCATTTGTTCCAGAGTATAGTTTAAATCCATTGTTTCTTTGTTGACTTTCTGTATTGAAGACCTGTCTAGTGCTGTCTGCAGAGTATTGAAGTCCCCCACTATTATGATGTTGCTGTCTATTTCATTTCTTAGGTCTATTAGTAATTGTTTTATAAATTTGGGAGCTCCAGTGTTAGGTGCATGTATATTTAGGACTGTGATATTTTCCTGTTGGACAAGGCCTTATATCATTATATAATGTCCCTCTTTGTCTTTTTTAACTGCAGTTGCTTTAAAATTTGCTTTGTCTGATATAAGAATAGCAACTTCTGCTCACTTTTGGTGTCCATTTGCATGGAATGTCTTTTTCCACCCCTTTATGTGAGTCCTTATATCTTAGGTGAATCTCTTGAAGGCAACAGATGGTTGGTGAATTCTTATCCATTCTGCAATTCTGTATCTTTTAAGTGGAGCATTTAGGCCATTTACATTCAAAATTAGTATTGAAATGTGAGGTACCATTCCATTCATCGTGCTATTTGTTGCCTGTATACCTTGGTTTTTTGTTTGTTTGTTTTTTTAATTGTATTTTTGTTTTATAGGACCTGTGAGATTTATGCATTAAGGAGGTTCTGTTTTGATGTTTTTCTAGGATTTGTTTCAAGATTTAGAGCTCCTTTTAGCAGTTCTTGTAGTGGTGGCTTGATAATGGTGAATTCTCTCAGCATTTGTCTGAAAAAGACTGTATCTTTCCTTCATATATGAAGCTTAGTTTTGCTGGATACAAAATTCTTGGCTGATAACTGTTTTGTTTGAGGAGGCTGAGGATACGGCCCCAATCCCTTCTAGCTTGTAGGGTTTCTGCTGAGAAATCTGCTGTTAATCTGATAGGTTTTCCTTTTATAGGTTACCTGGTGCTTTTGCCTCGCAGCTCTTAAGATTCTTTCCTTCATCTTAACTTTAGATAATCTGATGACAATGTGCCTAGGCGATGATCTTTTTCAATGAATGTCCCAGGTGTTCTGTGAGCTTCTTGTATTTGGATGTCTAGGTCTTTAGCAAGGCCGGGGAAGTTTTTCTCAAGTATTCCCTGAAATATGTTTTCCAAACTTTTAGATTTCTTTTCTTCCTCAGGAACACCAATTATTCTTAGGTTTGGTCATTTAACATAATCCTAGACTTCTTGGAGGCTTTATTCATATTTTCTTATTCTTTTTTCTTTGTCTTTGTTGGATTGGGTTAATAAAAAGACCTTGTCTTCGAGCTCTGAAGTTCTTTCTTCTGCTTGTTTGATTCTATTGCTGAGACTTTCCAGAGCATTTTGCATTTCCATAAGTGTGTCCATTGTTTCCTGAAGTTTTGATTGTTTTTTATTTATGCTATCTATTTCACTGAATATTTCTCCCTTCACTTATTGTATTTTTTTTTTTTTATTTCCTTGCACTGGGCTTCGCCTGTCTCCAGTGCCTCCCTGATAAGTTTAATAACTAACCTTCTGATTCTTTTTTAGGTAAATGAAAGGATTTCTTCTTGGTTTGGGCCCATTGCTGGTGAGCTAGAGTGATTTTTGGGGGGTGTTAAAGAACCTTGTTTTGTCATATTACCAGAGTTGGTTTTCTGGTTGCTTCTTGTTTGGGTAGGCTTTGTCAGAGGGAAGGTCTAGGGCTGAAGGCTGTTGTTCAGATTCTTTTGTCCCATGGGGTGTTCCCTTGATGTAGTATTCTCCCCCTTTTCCTAGGAATGTGGCTTCCTGACAGCCAAGTTGCAGTGATCGTTATCTCTCTTCTGGATCTAGTCACCCAGCAAGTCTACCAGGCTCCAGGCTGGTACTGGGGGTTGTCTACACAGAGTTCTGTGATGTGAACCATTTGTGGGTCTCTCAGCCGTGGAAACCAGCACAGTATTTGGGGTGTCTTTAGGGTCCTGCAGGAGCAATCTGCTTCCTTCAGAGGGTCTGTGGATTCTCTCCTTGATTACTGTAACTTTAAATGAAGTCTTGAAATCAGATACTGTTAGTCTTCCAACTTTGTTCTTTTTCAAATTTGTTTCAGCTAGTGAAGGACATTTTAATTTTCCTTTGAATTTTAGAGTCAGCTTATCAATTTTTACAAAAAGGCCTGCTGGGATTTTGACTGGAATTGTGTTGAACCCATAGATCAATGTGAAGAGAGAATTAGTATTTTAACAATATTGAGTATTACGACCTGTGAGCATGTTATATTTTTCCATTTATTTGGGTCTTCTTTAACTTCTCTCAACAATGTTTTGTAGTTTTCAATATATCAGTCTTAAACATCTTCAGATTTATCATGAGGTTATTTTTATATTTTTATGCTATTGTAAAATGTATTGCTTTAAAAATGTCAATTTCTGATTCTTCGTTGCTAGTATAAAAGGTTTTCTTAATTTACAAAACATATCTCATAATGGGAACTTCTAGAAGGCTAAATATTATAATATTTTAAAACATCCTGCAGTGCCTAAGAACTTTTATCTACAAAGGCTCTTATTCCAATTCAAAAATGGTTGCTTGAAGTTCCACCTAGTAGGCACAGTTAGAAAGAAGGAGATGTTTGAAACACTGGTAATGTCTATTTGATTTGCCATAATTTTTGGGTGGAGTTCCATAGAGAATGTGCAACTTGCTACCACAATGACAGCAAATTCTTTACCAGGCTTTTTACCAGGTGGGAATAATAATTAATTTCACTGGAAATATCTACACTGGTGAAAACAAGGAACATATCTCATTGGGAATTAAACTCTCTTGCTGATTTTCTTAGTAGTGATTGCTCCCAGTGTTGATTTACATGATGATATAAGGCACAAGTAATTGTAAAAGTTGATTTTCAGGAGAATATTACTTGGGGACTACTGTCTTACCACCTATTATACTGGCCTCTTAGTGACTGCTGGCCACTAACATCGCGAATTGTGACCTATTGAAGGTAATGCCAAACCCACCAGGCTTCTGTTATGGTTTCTGCATTTGTTTGACTGAGCCATAAAGAATTACACATTGCAAAGACATACTGTTGAGCAACACAAGTTCTGAAGTTCATCAGCAGAAGGTGTCAAAGAGCCATTGACTGATACCTGGAATATCAAATTATGTACTACTGTACAACCAATACAAGCAAAACTACAAAGCTCATGATTTCAAATGAAGTGGTTTGATTTAATTATATAGGTGATGTTTTATTGAAATGAAGCATCACTCACGACTTAAATGTAGTACTGACTGTTCCAATGTGAACTCAGATTCTGAATATGAAAGCCGATATTCCTCTGGCTGTTAACTGCCCCTCTGAACTTTGCTCATTAGCCTATGTCAACTAGGTACTATCACTTGGCAGCAGTACTAAACACAAAAATAAGGGCTCTGAAATCATGTGGCAATGTTAGGTAATGAGGTGCTCATTCAATAACAAAAAGATAATCTTAGCATTGTGAGCTTTGAGAAAAGGCCCACGAGCTTTCATTATTCATATTTGCTGGTAACAAATATTTACTGAAGGCTTAACATGTGCCCCAGAGGCCCTGATCTGGGGGCTGTGAACATATCCTTCTATAAGACAAGGTCCTTATCCTTATGGAGTTTACATTCCAGGGAGGTAGACAGACAACAAGCACTAGCAGGTAATAGTTATTGTGTGTGCATTTTGTTCCAGGTACTAGTTTAAGTACTTTACAGGTCATAGCTCATTACATTATTATAATAATACCTTCAAGCAAGGACTATTTTTGTCATCACCATTTTACCAATTGAGAAGTTCAAGGAGCTTTCATAACTGCTCAAGGATCACACACTAGAAAGTGGCAGTCAGGATTTGAACCCAGAGCCCAAAACCTTCTGCACTGTATTCCACTATATTCCACTGCCTCTCAATCTCCAGGAGATACACATATAGAATGTTGAGTAGTGATAAGTGCTCTGCAGAAAAATAAAGCAGGACAAGGAGAAGAGAGAATAATAGAAATGCTCATCTTAGCTGGGATTGTCAGGAAGGCATATAAGTCTGCTAGGGCTGCCATAACAGAACACCACAGGATGGGTGGCTTAAATAACTGAAAATTACTTCCTCGCAGTTCTGGAGGCAGGAAGTCCAAGATCAAAATGCTGGCAGGGTTAGTTTCTGGTGAAGCCTCTTTACTTGTCTTGGAGGTGGCCACCTTCTCACTGTGTCCTCACATGGTGGAGAATGAAGTCTCTGGCATCTCTTCTCTTCTTATAAGGATGCCAATCCTATCAGATTAGGGCCCCGCTCTTATGATCTCAGTGAACCTTAATTACGTCCTTAAAGGGCCTGTCTCTAAATACAGTCACATTGTGAGTTAGGGCTTCAACATATCACTTATGGGAAGATACAACTCAGCTCATAACAGAAAGTTTCCCTGAAAAGCTGACTTTTGAGTAGGCACTTGAATGACATGAGAGAAAGAATAAGCCACTACATATTTAGAGGAACAGAGTTCTAGGCAGAGGGAGTAGGCAGTACTAAGTTTCTGAAATGGGAGTATTTTTGGCCAGATAGAGGATGAAGAAAGAGGCCTGTTATGGCAGGAGCCCACTAAGGAAGAAAAAATTGTGGTGGAAAATACACTTTTGAGAAATGCTAATCTAGAAACTCAACAACAGTGACAATAGGTTAAGGAAATATGCCCAAAGTATGATCTACAAAACAAACTTTACTGCATTTTATTAGACATTGCTTGGAAAATGGTTCCATTTATGGAGAGAATATACTGGGGTTTAAGTAGGTTCTTTACTGCAAAGTTCCTTAGAGCCTTTATTTCATAAGGTGGCATTTTAAATCCCCAAGGGAGATACAATATGCAGTCTTTCCCAAACTCATTTTTGTGGGGAGAATCTCAGGAGATGAGGGGTCTGCAGGATATACTTTTGGGTAAGGGACTCTATGTAAAGAGGTTTGTCTGAACATGAGTATCAACATACAGGTTTGGGGTTCTTAAGCAGGGAACAAGTGGATAGGGGACAAATTATTTTGATAATTTATTGGTTTTTTTTTTTTTTTTTTTTTTTTGGAGACGGAGTCTCGCTCTGTGGCCCAGGCTAGAGTGCAGTGGCGCGATCTTGGCTGACTGCTAACTCCACCTCCCAGGTTCACACCATTCTCCTGCCTCAGCCTCCCGAGTAGCTGGGACTACAGGTGCCTGCCACCACGCCCAGCTATTTTTTTGTATTTTTAGTAGAGACGGGGTTTCACCGTGTTATCCAGGATGGTCTCAATCTCCTGACCTTGTGATCTGCCCGCCTCAGTCTCCCAAAGTGCTGGGATTACAGGCGTGAGCCACCACACCCGGCCAGTAATTTATTGTTTTGTGGGTTTTATTAGTGTTTGTTTTTGTAAATGTTGCTAGCACAGTCTGGCCCCAACAATTCAAGGAACATCAACTTTGTCTCACAGTTTATGAAATTTCCCAGTGTCAACTCATCCCACTTTGCAAAGATATTTTGTTTATAGAAAAATGAACATTGGAACAAACCCACCTGAACATGGCTTCCTTGTGATCCTAACCTATCTGTGGTAGCAGAACAAATTCGATATTTCCAGTCATTAGCAATAGGCTGTGACAGAAATGGTAGCTCTCTGGAAATGATACAAGGATGAGTGTTTATTCTCCAGGGTCTTCAGGGAGATGAGGGCACTTTGACACACCAGTTATTTGTTCTTTGAACTAATTTGGAGTATCATATATGGAAGTTCTGGTTGATTCAGGGTTTCTTTCCCTTTACCCATTATGTTTTGGCCAATCAACATGTTTATGAAATAAGAGAGAAGAACAGAGGTTGATTTACCATGAAGCCAATGAAGTTTAAATGTCAGCAACCCTCATTTGCATGGGCCCCTCTAATTCCCAGGAGGGATGCTGGAAATATATACACATGGTCATAGGTTTTTAAAAGTTTGCAAGAGAAAGACTTATTCACTGCAATTGGTTAATATTCTCTTTTCACTCCACTTCCCCTCTGTCACGTTTCTTGTGCCAAGAAGTATTGTAGGCCGGGCACAGTGGCTCATGGCTGTAATCTCAGCACTTTGGGAGGCTGAGGCGGGTGGATCACCTAAGGTCAGGAGTTTGAGACCAGCCTGGCCAACATGGTGAAACCCCATCTCTACTAAAAATATAAAAAATTAGCTGGGTATGGTGGCAGGCTCCTGTTATGCCAGCTACTCAGGAGGCTGAGGCAGGAGAATCGCTTGAACCCAGGAGGTGGAGGTTGCAGTGAGCCGAGATCACACCATAGCACTCCAGCCTGGGCAACAAGAGTGAAACCCTGTGTCAAAAAAAAAAAAAAAGAGTAGCTGCTGTAGAAATTTTGGGGACAGGTATATAGGGAAGATGACTTGGGACGTATTTAGTTTAGGTTAGTAAAATGTTTACGTGGTTTGCAGTTATTTCTTTATATAGTTAAGCAGTAGTTAGCTGTCGTGGTGTAGGAATGGCTTCCAGAAATACTCCTACCACCCACCGTGCCAACTCTCATGCAGTCGCGACTCAAAGGTGCGAGGACAAAAGGTCATATCACCATATAAACATGTCCTGTGCACTTGACTTCAGAAGATTGTGAGAAGTACAGGAGAAATAAGGTTTGAAATGAATGGACCCAATAGTTGCTCTGGAAATTGTTTTTGTAAATGTAAAATGATAAGCAGTAGATTTGATTCTCATTGATGTCCAGTGAAAATGAAAGCTGTCCGCTGCAGTGAATACAATTATAAACACAGTATGTACTTTCGTGTGAGTCATGTATAATGCAATTGGTCAGAGCGCCTGTGTTTGAGGACAAGAACTGTAGCAGTAGTACTACTACGATGAGTGTACCTTTGTGTGGTGTTGCATGTTTTATGTGTCCAAACTATTGGATTGCACGTTAGCATGTACAATGGACCTTGTCCTCACAAAATATGGTGGTTCTGGACAAAATAACAAGAAGAATTTCTACCTAGTAGTGCAGGGGCCTGAAGAAAAAAATGTTCCAGCAACAAAGCTATATGTATTTATGAAAGTTGAATGTATGCAATATAAAAGTAATTTAATAACATAATTACATAGTTCTATACAACATAATGGAAAGTTAAAAATAAATGTAATTCCTCTTATGAATGCCTTCATTCCAAATTAATTTTGTATGGTTTTCAAAATCATTGATTGGACCAAAATTCAAATATGATGAAAAAAATTCCTAGTGGAGGCCAAAAGCAAAAATGGAAAGATTGTTAGAAGCTTCAAAATATAAAAAAAGTACTGATTTGTTAACCTGAAAAAATTTGTAATTTGTAATTTCTTTTTTCAGTCTAAGCAAATATTCAATTCACACAGAATTTTGTTTTTTCAATTTTGTATTCTTCTCTCTTAAATAGGACCCCTTCCCCACAAAATGTGTAAGTTTCAATACCCAAAACCTAGATCTGCTGCTGAGTAAGAAATGACATTGTCCAGAAGAATAAACCCTGAGAGAAGTGACCAGCTTTGCAGCCCATTTTATGATTTCTATTCCCTCATTTGTGCTTCCTGCCATAATTTTGGTAGGAGGCTGACCTCCTCTAATTGGTCTCACTGAGTATTTGGAGGTTCTGGAAGGCATTTCTAATTCAGTAGGCCCCCACTAGAGGAGCATTTATCAAACGTGGTCGTATTCAATATTATAAAGAGAGTAAAAGTAATGCTAGAGAATGGAATAAATCAGAGAGGAGCTTCAACTGAGCAGGAATTCAATTTAATTTAGATACTACCAATTGAGTTGATATTTCATTTTTAATTGAAGGTCAGCCTTTTTCTACAATTTAGTATTATTCCTAAATACATGTCACAGAGGAGATAATCTAACATGATGCCATTACACAGAATTATAGCTGAGCTTTGATATATAAATCAGAAAACTTTTGTAAAAAAGAACCCATAATTTTTCTATTTCCCTTTAGGAAAAAAAAATCCTTGCAACTTCTGCAATATCCAGTTAATCCTCAGTGCTCATTTAAGCCTGAGCGTTTGCAGACAACTGACTAATCAGACTATTGGTTTACACAAGCCCTTCTTTCTGTCAGAAGGCTGCCGCTTAGAGATTCATGGCTACCATATAGACTACGTTCTTTCCTTAGCAGAGCGAGTTTAAAGCGCAAGTCTGTATTAATCACTAGGGGTAACTTACCAGGCCATCGCTAGAATTTTTTGCCAAAGTAGTAACGTCAAAATGACAGTTGTTTGTATAAAGAAACGAGGAGCTCATTTGCACAGCTACTGGAGGCAATGGGAGATTAATGTGTGTTGTCAGTTCTACAGGTTTAATTTGACTTGGGCTAAAATAGCATCGATACACATCTCCCCTTGCCATTAATTCCTCCTGAATGCTGATTAATTTACTCTTATTTCATCCTGAATACTGCCAGGCAGTAATGAGTTGTAGCCATCTGGCAGTTCTGTTTTATCTTCCCCACTCACCTAAAAAAGAAGCAGAGATGGGGACATTCTTTTCCTGGGCATCTCTCCAGCTGCTTAGGGTTCCTAACCTTCCTCTTGGGAATGCAGGGCAAATGTTGGTCCAGACAGTGCATTCCTGAACTGGCATGCAGTTTTTCTGTCATTGCTGGTGAGCAAAAGCCTCCTGTATGTCAGAACTGGAGGGACGCATAACAGGGTCTGTATGTCAGAATCAATGGTTAAGCCATGTAAAAGGATATTTGCAATGTACAGCTATTGCTACAAAGTGGCATTTTATAGATACATAATAACACGAAGTAACAGAGATAAGACTCTATAGACACATAAAGCAATACTGTTAATATTGTCAACTCTTCAAAGAGCAGAAAACCATCTGGTCTCAATAATTACTTCCACATATAGCTTTTTTCTTTTCATAACATTTTCAGAGTAGTCAGACATATTAACTCATTATGGGCAAAATAATAGTAAATAAAACTGACAAAATCGATTCTATTTCAAGGATAATGTTTTTTTAAAAATCAACTTTATTGAGGTGTAGTTAACATACAGTAAAATGTAACCATGTAAGTTTGTATTTCAATGAATTTTGACACATTCACATACTCAGGTAATCATTACCACAATCAAGATATAGAATATTTCTATCATCCCCCAAAATTGTTCTTGTGCCTCTTCACACTCGTCCCCACTCCTGACACCAGGCAAACTGATATTCTGTCAATGTAAATTAAATTGATCTTTTCTAGAATTTTATAGAAATGGAGTCTTACAGTATGTATGCTTTTGTGTCTGGCTTTTTTGCATAGCATAATTTATTCATGTGTTGCATCTTTCAGTAATTAATTCCTCTTGATTGCTGAGTAGTATTTTATGCCATATCATTCCATATCACTATGGATATGCTGTAATTTGTTTATCTATTCACCTATTGATGGACACTTAATTTTCAGTTTTTGGTTATCATGAATAAATTTGCAGACAATTTGTGTAGACATATATTTTCATTTCTTTTGAGTAAATACTTAGGATTGGAATTGCTGGGTCGTATGGTAAGTGTATGTTTAAAATTATAGGAAACTGTCAAACAGCTTTCCAAAATGATTATACTATTTTGCAGTCTCACCAGCAATGTATGAAGGTGCCAGTTGCTCACTGTCCTCACCCATACTTGATATTATCATCTTCTTAAAATTTTATATATGCTAGTAAGTATGTAGTTTTATTTCATTGTGCATTTAATTTGAATTTCCATGTGTTTTAAAATATAAAATTTTATTATCTTTGAGGTATGGCAAGGACAATGGATCAGGATGACTGCCATTAAAAAGATACTTTGAGCCAGGCACAGTGGCTCATGCCTATAATGCCAGCACTTTGGGAGGCCGAGGCAGGCGGATCACTTGAAGTCAGGAGTTCGAGACCAGCCTGGCCAACGCGGAGAAACCCTGTCTCTACTAAAACTACAAAAATTAGCTGGCCATGGTTGTGGGCACCTGTAATCCCAGCTACTCAGGAGGCTGAGGCAGGAGAATTGCCTGAACCCAGGAGATGGAGGTTGCAGTGAGCCGAGATCATGCCACTGCACTCCAGCCTGGGCGACAGAGCGAGACTCTGTCTCAAAAAAAAAAAAAAAAAAAAGATAGTTTGTTGTCACTTGTGAGGTGCTTTTCATATGCAAACCAACCAATTCAGAGCCCCACCCTCAACTATATGTTTTGTAGAATTTTGGTTTCGTTAGACTGCTATCTTTGGGAATTAGCATTAGGTAGCCCTAGGAGGAACAGTCCCCTCCAAGGTCAACAAGATGTCAAAGCATCAAAACTACAGAATAAAAAAAACATGATGAATACATCTGATTACTAAAGATGTTGAGCATCTTTCCATACTCTTGCTGGTTACTCATATAACTTCTTTTGTAAAATGTTCAAACCTTTGCTCATTTTTTATTGTGTTACCTTCCTATTGAGTTTTAGCTGATTAAGTTCTTTTTTAAAAAAAAAAAATAATTTTTTAAAAATTTAATTAAGACAAGATCTTGCTCTGTTGCCCAGGCTGGAGTGTAGTGGTGCAATCATGGCTCACTGCAGCCTCAACCTCCCTAGCTCAAGCAGTCCTCCCATCTCAGCCTCCCAAGTACCTGGGACTGTACATGCAAGACACCACACCTGGCTAATTATTATTTTTTTATTTTTTGTAGAGACAGGGTTTCACTTTGTTGTCCAGGCTGGTCTTAAACTCCTGGACTCAAGCGATCCTCCCATCTCAGTCTCTCAAAGTGTTGGGGTTGCAGGCGTGAGCCACCATCCTCAGCCCAAATTCTTGTATCTTCTGGATATAAGTCCTTTGTAATGTATTTTTATTGCAAATAATTTCTCCCATTCTGTGGTGTGCCTTTTTATTTTGTTAACATCTTTCAAAGTGTTTAGGTTTTTAAATTTTGATGAAGTCTTATTTATCAATTTTTTTATGCTTCATTCATTTTGTGTTTTAGCTAAGAAATCTTCTCCTACTCCAAGATCATAAAGATTTTCTCATATGTTTTTTTCTTGAAGTTTAATAGTTTTAAATATTGAATTTAGGTGTATGATCTGTTTTGTGGTAAACTTTTATATGGCCTGAGATGGCAAGGGTCAAGGTTAATTTTCCCCCCACTGATGATTGTTAAAAAGACTTTCCTTTTCTGTTTGAACTACTTGGCATTTAAATTTTATTCACAATCAATTGACCACATATGTGTCAGTCTGCATCTGAATTCTGTATTCTCTTCCATTGATCCATAGGTCTATTCTTCTGCTACTACCATATTCTCTTTTTACTAAAGCTTTGTGGTATTGAAATCAAGTAGTGTAAGTCACCCAACTTTGAATTGTTTGACGACTCTGAGTCTCTTTATTTTTCAAATAACTTAAAAATCAGATTTACAACAACAATAATAACAAAAAACCTACTGGGATTTTGAGGGGGATTTTGTTGAATCTACAGATGAATTTGGAGAGAATAGAAATCTTAATAGCATTGAGTATTCAAATTCATAAACATGGTCTACAACTCTAGTTCTTCAGTCCTTTTTACCTTTCAGTAACCTTTTGTAGTTTTCAGAGTACAAGCTTATACACATTTTGTTTAATTTATTTCTAAGTATTTCATGTTTTGGATGTTATTGTAAATAGAATTTTTTAAAAATTTCAATTTCCAGTTGATTGTTGTTAATATATAGAATATAATTAATTTTTTGTATCTTGGTCTTGTGTCTTGAGACCATTCTAAATTTGCTTGTTAGTTTTAAGACCTTATTTTTTGTGGATTCCTTAGAGGTTTTTATGTGTCTTCTGTACAGAAAAATAATTTTCTTTCTTTCCAACATGCTTACCTGTTCTTCCTTTTTTTTTTTTTTTTTTTTTTTTTGCCTAATTGCACTGGCTAGGGCCTCCACTACAATGTTGAGCAAGTAATGAGTGGGCAATTGCTCATTCCTTGGAAGTTGTTTCACCTGCTTCTCTAGTTTGCAACCTATGCATATATAGATTTGTATTTAGCAAAGACTCAAGGGGTTCTCTGTAGAGATCCTTGGAATTCTTTCTCTGGTTAGTTCCCTCCTCCTGGAGACTCTGTCTCACGAATTCTAACTGCCTTGTCTTCCCCAATCACCAGTTTGAATCCTTAACACAGCCAGATTGCCACTCTGTTTGGGTTCCTCCTCCACATCTTGCTGTCCTATGGTTGTCTACTGGCAGAAATCCTGGGCTCACCTTATTTTTTCCTGTACACCTAAGGATCATAGTCCTCCACTGTCCACTATATGAAAATAAAATTTTCTATATTTTGTCTAGTTTTTTAGCTGTTTATAGCAGGAGGGTAATTCTAGACTCCGTTACTCCTTCATGGCTAGAATTGGAAGTAGATGCCATTTAATATTTAATTATCCATTAAATTATTGGATTGTTTATTATTGTTGTTGTTTTTAATTTTGAAACTTGTTATGTGACTCAGCCATTTTGTTCTAGTAGGAGAAGAAAAATTTTGACCAGTGATGCTCAGCCTGTCTCACATTAGGCTTATTGGAGATATCCAAAAAGATACCCACGTTCAGGCTGTTCCTTATAGGCTGGATTTAAATGACATCTGTATTTTTTAAAAATATCATAGTTGATTATATAGTGTGTTGCTGGGGTTGAGAACTACCCATTTACTCTTGGAATGCTACAGCACTTTCCAATATGTGTTCCGTGGCACCCAGCTATGACCAAAATGGATTTCTTCATTCCTGGGGATGGCCAGTCTTATCCCTTCCCAGTTGACCCGGCAGGAATCAGCTCCCTCAGTTTACTGCCACACAAATGTCATTTCCTGGATGTGTTGTGACAGGAGAACACTGAGCTTTAGAGGCTAGTCCTCCTGTGGTCTCTCTCATCTTCAGTTCCCAGCTCAAATGTTACAAAACCCTTCTCTGACCCCTCGGGGGCCATTCTTTTTCCTTCTCACCTATTCCCATTGCATGACATGTGTATCTGTATGACAGCAATATTTGATTCAAAATATGTTTCTACCTAATATTTTAGTCCTTGAAGGGTAGGGAGAGGTGTCTTTAATGTCTTCTTATTCTTCCTTACTAAAATAAGAAATGAAAGTGGAGACATTAGTCTGCATTCTTCCTGCAGAGTAGAGTGTTTTGCACTTAATATTTATTAAATTTGAGTAGGCTACTTTGGAGCTTGATGTTTGAAAGTATACTGTGGGGAAAAGTATCTCCTGTCCTGTGGAAAATATATTCTGTCAAAGTATGTTTTCAAATGTTCCATAAGTCAGTTGGGTGGGGGAGGAATGCAAACCTCATATTTCAAATGACATTATTTATAGTGGTTCTTGAACTCATTTCATGCCTCTAATCTTTTTTCACATAATTAAATTTGTCCTTTAGGGACAAGAATTTGGTTATGCCTTTCTACCTTTAGGCATTTATATTTCAGAAATAAAATTACTTGACTTTGATGAATTTTGCTATTTATACCATTTCAGCTGATAAGTCCAGAAAACTTTATTAGGTTGGATTATTTTTAAAATAAATAAATAGGATGGAAAATTAATTTCTAGAGGGATAATGTGGAAGAATGTGCAAAAGGTAATTGCTATTATTAGCATATCACATTATGTTACCTAACACCTAGTGCATCATATGTTTATTCCATCTTTTAAATATTAATACTGATATGACCATAATTCAAATGGGCCTAACAGACATATAAAGAACACTCTACCCAAAAACAACAACATACACATTCATCTCAAGTGCATATGGGAATGGGACACTTTTCAGGAAAGATCATATGTTAGGTCACAATTAAGTATCATTAGAATACTTAAAGAATCTTATTGATATTTAAAATGTAGATATAATAGAAATATCTTCTTTGACCACAATGGGATAAAGTTAGAAATCAATAACAGAAGTAAAACTAGAAAATTCACAATGTTTTGGAAATTAAACACCTTCTTAATCAATGGATCAAAGAAGAAATCACAAGGAATGTTAGAAAATCCTTAAAGATGAATGAAAATGAAAATACAACCCACCAAAACCTATGTGACCAGTGAAAGCAATGGCCAAAGGGAACATTAAAAAGCAAGAACGATCTCAAATCAACAACCTAATTTTACAAGTTAAGGAACTGGAAAAATAAGAACAAATTAAACCCAAAGATAGCAGAAGAAAGAGAATAAAAAGATTAAAGATAGACAAAATATATACTAGAGACAATAGAGAAAATTAATGAAAACAAAAGTTAACTCTTTGAAAAGATCAACAAAAATTTACAAAACTTTGCTAGATGGACTAATAACAAAAGAGAAGACTCAAAATACTAAAATAAGAAATAAAAATGGAGACATTACTACTGACTATAGAAATAAAAAAGGATTATAAGAGGGTACTATGAATAATTGAATGCCAAAAAATTGAATATCCTAGATAAAATGGGTAAATTCCTAGAAATATATAACCTACCAAGACAAAATCATGAAGAAATAGAATGTCTGAATAGACCTGTAGCTAGTAAGGAGATTCAACCAGTAACTAAAAATATCCCAGAAAGCAAAAGCCTTGGACCAGATGGTTTCACTGTGATTTCTGTCAAACATTTAAGGAACTAATACCGGTCCTTCTCAAACTTTTCAAAGAAGGGAAGGGGAAAGAATACTTCGTAATTCATTCTATGATGCTACCATTACACTGATACCAAAGTGACACAAATACACTACAAGAAAAGAAAACTACATAACAATATCCCTTATCAACATTGATTCAAAAATCCTCAACAAAATACTAGCAAACCAAACTCAATGTTATGTTAAAAATATTATAGACCATGACCAAAGGGTATTTATTCCCGGAATGCAACAGTGGTTCAACATACAAAAAGTAATCAATGTAATACACTACATTAACAGAATGAAAGGGAAGAAAATCACGTGATTATCTCAAATGATACAGAAAAAGCATTTGACAAAATTCAACACCCCTTAATGATAAAAAAAAAAAACACTCAATAAACTGGAATAGAAGGAAACTAGCTCAACGTAATAAAAGCCTTATGTGGAAAGCACACAACAAACATATTCAGTCGTGAAAGACTGAAAGCTTTTTTTCCAAAATCAGGAAGAAGGCAAGATGCCACTCACCCCTCTTCTATTCAACATAGTGCTGAAAATCCTAGTCAGGGCAATTATACCAAAAAAAAAAAAAAAAAAAAAAAAAAGAAAAGGCATCCATGTTGTAAAAGAAGAACTGAAATGATCTCTGTTCACAGGTAATATGATCTTACATCTAGAAAACCCCAAAATTTCACCAAAAAACCCCTGCAATAACTAATAAATGAAATTACCTAAGTAGCAGCATACAAAGTTAACACACAAAATCTAGTTAACATTTTTAGACACTAATAATAAGCAATCTGAAAACAAAATTATGAAAGCAATTCAATTGACAGTAGCACTGGAAAGAAAAAAAATACTTAGGACTTAACCAAGGAGACAAAAGGCTTCTTCAATGAAAACTACAAAATATTACTGAAAGACAAATTTAAGAAAACATAAATAAATTGAAATATATTCCACATTTATTAATTGGAAGACTTAATATTGTTTTTTTTTTTTTTTTTTTTTTTTTATTGATCATTCTTGGGTGTTTCTCGCAGAGGGGGATTTGGCAGGGTCACAGGACAATAGTGGAGGGAAGGTCAGCAGATAAACAAGTGAACAAAGGTCTCTGGTTTTCCTAGGCAGAGGACCCTGCGGCCTTCCACAGTGTTTGTGTCCCTGGGTACTTGAGATTAGGGAGTGGTGATGACTCTTAAGGAGCATGCTGCCTTCAAGCATCTGTTTAACAAAGCACATCTTGTACCGCCCTTAATCCATTCAACCCTGAGAGGATACAGCACATGTTTCAGAGAGCACGGGGTTGGGGGTAAGGTCACCGATCAACAGGATCCCAAGGCAGAAGAATTTTTCTTAGTACAGAACAAAATGAAAAGTCTCCCATGTCTACCTCTTTCTACACAGACACGGCAACCATCCGATTTCTCAATCTTTTCCCCACCTTTCCCCCCTTTCTATTCCACAAAACTGCCATTGTCATCATGGCCCGTTCTCAATGAGCTGTTGGGTACACCTCCCAGACGGGGTGGTGGCCGGGCAGAGGGGTTCCTCACTTCCCAGTAGGGGCGGCCGGGCAGAGGCGCCCCTCACTTCCCGGATGGGGCGGCTGGCTGGGTGGGGGGCTGACCCCCCCACCTCCCTCCCAGACGGGGCAGCTGGCCGGGCGGGGGGCTGACCCCCCCACCTCCCTCCCGGACGGGGTGGCTGGCCGGGCAGAGGGGCTCCTCACTTCCCAGTAGGGGCGGCCAGGCAGAGGCACCCCTCACCTGCCGGATGGGGTGGCTGGCCGGGCGGGGGGCTGACCCCCCCACCTCCCTCCCGGACGAGGTGGCTGCCAGGTGGAGACGCTCCTCACTTCCCAGATGGGGTGGCTGCTGGGCGGAGGGGCTCCTCACTTCTCAGACGGGGCGGTTGCTGGGCGGAGGGGCTCCTCACTTCTCAGACGGGGCGGTTGCCGGGCAGAGGGTCTCCTCACTTCTCAGACGGGGCGGCCGGGCAGAGACGCTCCTCACATCCCGGACGGGGCGGCAGGGCAGAGGTGCTCCCCACATCTCAGACGATGGGCGGCTGGGCAGAGATGCTCCTCACTTCCCAGATGTGATGGCGGCTGGGAAGAGGCGCTCCTCACTTCCTAGATGGGATGGCGGCCGGGCAGAGACGCTCCTCACTTTCCAGACTGGGCAGCCAGGCAGAGGGGCTCCTCACATCCCAGACGATGGGCGGTCAGGCGGAGACGCTCCTCACTTCCCAGACGGGGTGGCGGCCGGGCAGAGGCTGCAATCTCGGCACTTTGGGAGGCCAAGGCAGGCGGCTGGGAGGTGGAGGTTGTAGCGAGCCGAGATCATGCCACTGCACTCCAGCCTGGGCACCATTGAGCACTGAGTGAACGAGACTCCGTCTGCAATCCCAGCACCTCGGGAGGCCGAGGCTGGCGGATCACTCGCGGTCAGGAGCTGGAGACCAGCCCGGCCAACACAGCGAAACCCCGTCATGGTCCAGAAGGTAAGATTTGGCTCTTTCAGGCTCTTCTTTGTCTCCCACGTTGGCCTTTCAGTTTCTCTGCTTTTTCTCAGTTCCAGCTCCTTTCTCTTTCACGGTACCTCAGTTGCTTCTACTTTATCGGATAGTGTTGGAGATCATGGAGGGAAGGCAAATATACGCGCGGCCCAGCCGTGGCTAATACGGAGTGCGAATCCGGGGCTCCGGCCCGTGGCCCCGCGGCGGTCCGGGAGGTCGGGGCGGGCGGTGGCGGCTGCGACCGCGGGGCCAGGCCTCCTCCCCTCCCCTGCCGCACCCCTCCCCCGCCGCTGCCGCCGCTGCCGCCGCCACCGCCACCGCCGCCGCCACCCCGGCTGGAGAGCGCTGGGCGCGAGCCTTAATATTGTTAAAATGCCAATATTACCTAAAGCAATCTACAGATTCAATGTTATTCTTATCAAAATACAATGATGTTTCTTGCAGAAATAGAAAAACCCATCCTATAATTCATATGGAATCTCAAGGGAACCCGAGTAGCCAAAACAATTTTGAGAGAGAAAATCGAAGCTGGAAGACTCACATTTTCAGATTTTAAAACTTATGACAAAGCTACTCTAATCAAAGCAGTGTGGTACTGGCATAAAAAAGACATGTAGATCAATGGAATATAATAGAAATTGTGCAAATATATCACCACATATGTGATCAAATGACTTTTGACAAAGGTACCAAGACCATTCAGTGGATAAAGGACAGTCTTTCCAACAAATGGTGCTGGAAAAAGTTGGATAAACACATGCAAGAGTGAAATTGGACCCTTACCTAATACTGTGTACAAAAATTAACTGAAAATTGGTCAAATACCTAAATGTAAGACCTAAAATAATAAAACTTTTAGGAGAAAATGTAGGGCAAAACCTTTATGAGATTGGACTTGCCAATAATTTCTTGGATATGACACCATAAGCACAGTCAACAAAAGAAGAGATATGCAAATCAGACTCCATAAAATTTAAAACATTTTGTGCTTCAAAAGACACTAACAACTGAGTAAACAGGCAACCTATAGAATGCGAGAAAATATTTGCAAATTATGTATCTCATAAGGTATTAATATGCAGAATATATAGAGAATTCCTAAAACTCAACTATGAAAGAAACAAATCAGTTCAAACATGATCGAAGGACTTAGACATACATCCAAAGAAGACATACAAATGGCCAATAAGCACATGAAAAAATGCTCAGTATCAGTAATAATTAGGGAAATGTGAATCAAAACTACAATGAGATACCACTACCACACACACACACACACACACACACACACACAAATTAGGATTGCTACTAGCAAAAATCAGAAAATAACAAGTGTTTTAGAGGATGTAAAGAAAATGGATCCCTTGTGCTTTGTTGGTGGAAATGTAAAATGGTGCAGCCACTGTGGAAAACAGTATGGCAGTTCCTGAAAAAATTAAAAATAGAATTACCGTATGATCCAGCAATTCCATTTCTGGGCATATACCTAAAAGAATTAAAAGCAGGATCTTGCAGAAATATTTGTATACTTATGCTCACAGCAGCATTATTCACAATAGGTAAAACATGGAAGCAATTCATGGATAGATGAATGGATAAGCAAAACATGATATATTCATACAATGAAATATTATTTAATCTTAGAAAGGAAGGAAAGTCTTCAATGTGTTACAACATGAATGGATTTTGATAAATAATTCTAAGTGAGATAAGCTAATTATTAATAGATACTGTGTGATTCCACTTATATGAGATATTTAGAGTAGTCAAAATCATACAGAAAATTGAATGGTGTTTGACAGGGGTAAGGGTGGAGGAAATGAGAGTTATTGTTTAATGGGTATAGGGTTTCAGTTATATAAGATGAAAAGAACTATGGAGATGGATGGTGGTGATGGTTGCACACATTATGAATGTATTTAATACCACCGAATTGTATACTTAAAAATGGTTAAGTGGGTAAATTTCATGTTATGTGTATTTTATCACAATAAAATTCAAAAAAATCCCAATTAAAAAAAAGACCTGGGACCAGATGGCTTCACTGGTGAAACTTACCAAACATTTACAAAACTAATACCACTTATTCTCAAATTGTCACAGAAACTAAAGAGGAGCCAATATTTCCAAACTCATTTTATGAGTCTAGCACTCCCCTGAAACTAAAGCCAGATAAATGCACTACAAGAAAAGAAAATAACAGACCAATATGAACTTAGATGCAAAAATCCACAATGAAATACTTGCAAACTAAATTTAACAGAATGTTAAAAGCATCATATACCATGATCAATTTAGATTTATCTCTGGGATGCAAGGATGGTTCACCGGATGCAAGGATGGTTCACCAGATGCAAATCAATAAATATGATACACCATAGTAACAAAATGAAGGATACAAATTATATGACTATCCCAACAGGTGCCGAAGAAGTATTTAACAAAATTCAACATCCTTTCATGATAAACTTCTCAACAAATTAGGTATACAAGGAACTTGCCTCAACACAATAAGGACATCTATGACAAGCCCACAACAAACATCATATTCAATAGTGAAAAACTGAAAACTTTTCTTCTAAGATCAGGAACAAGGAAAGAATTTCCACTCACCAATTCTATTCAGTATAGTACTGTAAATCCTAGCCAGATATATTAGGCAAGAAAAAGGAATAAAAGACATCCAAATTGGAAAAGAGAAAGTCAAATTGTTTGCAGATAATGTGATATTATATAGAGAAAACCCTAAAGACTTCATCAAAAAACTGTTCGAACAAGTAACAAATTCAGTAAAATTGCAGGATACAAAATCAACACATAAAAATCAGTTGCATTTCTATACAGTAACAATGAACTATCCAAAAAAGAAACGATGAAAACAATCCCATTTATAACAGTATCAAAAATGATAAAATAGGAATAAATTAAACCAAGAAGGTGAAAGACTTGTACAGCGAAAATCACAAATCACTTATGAAAGAAATTGAAGAAGACACAAATAACTAGAAAGGTATTTCACATTTATGGATTGAAAGAATTTATACTGTTAAAATGTCCATATTATCCAATGTTATCTGCATATTCAATGCAATCCCAATCAAAATTTCAATTATGTTTTTCACAGCAATAGAAATAACAATCATAAATTTGTATGAAACCACAAAGGATCCCAAATAACTAAAGCAATCTTGAGAAAGAAGAAGAATGTTGAAGGCATCTCACTTCCTGATTTCAGGCTATATCACAAAGCCATAATAATCAAAACAGTATAGTACCTGTATAAATCAGGAACATAGATGAAGGGAACATAATAGAAATCCCAGAAATAAACCCACACATATATAGTCAAATAATCTTTAGCAAGCAGTGCCACAAATTCATAACAAGGAAAGGACTATCTCTTCAATAAATGATGTTGAGAAAACTGGGTATCCATGTGGGAAAGAATGAAATTAGATTCTTGGCTTACATCATACACAAAAAATCAACTCAAGATGGATTAAACACTTAAACATAGACATGAAACTGTAAAACTCCTAGAAAAAAACATAGAGAAATAGCTCCTTGATATTGGTCTTGGCAAAATTTTTTGGATATGACATCAAAAACATAAGCAATGAAAGCACAAATAAACAAGTGAGACTACATCAAACTAAAAAGATTATACACAGCAAAGGAAACAGTCAATAAAATGAAAAGGCAACCTGTGGAATGGGAGAAAATATTTGCAAACCATGTATCTGATGAAGGGTTAATTTTGAAAAAATGTGGAATGGGAGAAAATATTTGCAAACCGTGTATCTGATGAACGGTTAATTTTGAAAAAATGTAAGGAACTGCTATAATGCAAAAGTAAAACAAAACAATACGAACAAAAAACAGAAAAACAAATAACTGTGAGAAATGATAAAAGGACTTCAATAGACATTTTTTCAAAGAAGACATACAAATGGCCAACAGGTATATGAAAAGGTGCTCAATATCACTAATCATTAGGGAAATGCAAATCAAAACCATGCGCTATCACCTCACATCTGTTATTGATAGAATGGCTACTATCAAAATAACAGAAGATAAGTGTTGGTGAAGATGTGGAGGAAAGGGAAACTTTGCACGCTGTTGCTGGGAATGTAAATTGGTACAATAGCTTTTATGGGATAGAGTATGGGGGTACCTCAAATAATTAAAAATAGAGCTAGCATATGATCTAGCAATCCAATTCCTGGCTATATATCCAAAGAAAAAGAAGTCGGTATGTCAAAGAGATATCTGTACTCCCGTATTTATTGCAGCATTATTTATAATAGCCAAGATATGGAAACAACCGAAGTGTCAATCAAAGAATGAATACATAAAGATAATGTTGTGTATTTATACGTATACACAACATACACACAATGGAATATTATTCAGCCTTAATAAAAGAAAGAAATCCTGCCATTTGTGACAATATGGATAAACTAGAGATGTTATGCTAAGTGAAATAATCTAGACACAGAATGACACATATTGCATGATCTCACTTATGCGTGGAATCTAAAAAAGGCCAACTTATAAAAACAGAGAGCAAGCTATTCTGCCTATGGGATAGCCCTGCTTTGTCTGTGGAGCAGCCATTTTCCTGTACTCTGTTGCTCTAATAAACTTGCTTTGATTTCACTTAAAACACAAAACAAAGAGTAGAGTGGTGGTCTCTAGGGGTGGAGGGGTGGGAGAAATGGGGAAATGTTGGACAAAAGGTACAAAATTTCAGTTATATAATGAATAATTTCTGGAGATCAAATGTACAACATGACTACAGTGAATAATAATATATTAAATCCTTGAAATTTGCTAAGAAAGGAGATCTGAAGGGTACTCATCTTACACACACACACACACACACACACACAGTAACTGAGGTGATAGGTATGTAAATTAGCTTGATTGTTGTGATCATCTCACAATGTATATGTATACCAAATTATCACATTGTACACCCTAAATATATAGAATTTTTGTTTATCAGTCATTCCTCAAGCTGGAAGTAGAAAAAGCAGTATTTCAGTAGAGTCATCTAAATCTCAGTTACATGGTTACTCTTTGTGGAAAGAAGCTCAATGGAACTCAAAGGTAAAAAATGAAATAAATAATGTTTCCCTTCATAACCCAAATATTAAGGGAAGGAAGAGGGACATATGGGAAAGGAGCCAGGATACTGAAAATGCTTTGCCTGATGGCTTCCATTAATGGCATGTTTTGGTTGGCTAAGATACAAGAGAAACATCACATTTGCCAAGTGGATGAACTTGTATTTGCTCAGTCTCTGGCCATAAAGACAAAGGCAGAGGTTGTTGGCTGTCAGTGAGGAATTGCTGAGGGCCATGCCAGAAAGTGCCAGAGTAATAGTAGGAAAGGACCACACAGTGAGTCCCTTTGTGAACTAATCACTCTGAGATCTTGGATTTCTCACCAACCATAAAATTCAATTTGGTGAGATAAATATATTGTTTATCTGTTGACCATGGAATTTGATGACTGTCAGGCCTCTGAGCCCAAGCTAAGCCATCATATCCCCTGTGACCTGCAGGTATACATCCAGATGGCCTGAAGTAACTGAAGAATCACAAAAGAAGTGATATTTAAATGGCCTGCTCCTGCCTTAACTGATCACATTCCACCACAAAAGAAGTGAAAGTGGCCGGTCCTTGCCTTAACTGATGACATTACCTTGTGAAATTCCTTCTCCTGGCTCATCCTGGCTCAAAAATCTCCCCCGTTGAACACCTTGTGACCCCGACTCCTGCCCGCCAGAGAACAACCCCCCTTTTTCCTTTACCTACCCAAATCTTATTAAACGGCCCCACCCCTATCTTCCTTCACTGACTCTCTTTTCAGACTCAGCCCGCCTGCACCCAGGTGAAATAAACAGCCTTGCTGCTCACACAAAGCTTGTTTGGTGGTCTCTTCACAGGGACGCGAGTGAAAATGAGTTTGGAGTCATTTCTGAAATTGCATACAGGGAAGGAAATGGAACACTCACATTTATTGAATAGCCTCATTTCCTCTTTGGTGTGTTAGGTGCTTTCACATATATTGTCTTGTTTAAAAGAATCCTTAAGTGGTTTCATTGGACCTAAAGAGGAGGCTGTAAAATTGGCAGAAAGAACGAATTGGATGTTTTGGCTATAGATTTAGCTTGATGGAAGCAATGCATTTCACTTAGGCTTGACTGTGTTTTTTTAGTTGCCAATCACAGTGAGTGACTGTTGTTGGTAAATGAATGACCTAATTCATTAGTGTATGTGTTCCTTTCTTTTTTCACCTACTGGTCCTTGTTCTGTTTTCTTCCCCGCTGCTGATTTTCTTGAACTGCTTTGTCCCACTCTTTATTTTTGGTTAATGTCATGTATTGGTAACCTGCTATGTCCCCCAAGCACTCGGCCCCCACTTATTCTGTAGTGCTCTCCTCCAATCAGAGACACACACTGCTCTCTGGGGGTCTTATTTAATGGGCTACAATCAAAGGCATTAAAAGAGTTCTATTCTGCATTATTTTTGCTTATTTTTTCTCTTGTTTCTTAAAAGGGAAATATCTTGACAGAAAAATGGAAGTCTATCTCATATTATCTCTCAGTTTATTATTCTTGTTAAAACTGAGTATGAGCTAAAGGATATTCATCTAAGGTGGCTGAGTGAAGAACATAAAGAAAGAATAGAGGTTTGCTGTTCTGATTGATTTACTCTGTATGAAGATACAGAAGAATGTGCTGCTCAGTTTACACATGTGATGGATGGCCCAGCCCACAGGCCTGAAGGAAATCGTATCTCAAGAAGTGCTTATTTGGGTCTTGTGACTTGGCAGGTGCTGCACAGACTTGCCTTGGACATCCAACGGCCAAATATGTAGACATTATGTACAAGTGTTCCCAGATGCAAAGTCATCATTTTAACCTTTGTAATATCGAAATCTCTGGAAAGTTCAGTGTTAGGAGATTATCTAATATACTCATCTCTGGTTCTTTGTCAGGCACAATCTGCTTGCATTCACTCACTGTTTCCATTTAGATCTTTGCATGTTCCAAAGTTGGGGTCTCTGTTCTTGAGGAAGCAGACAGAAATAAACAATTTAAATGCAATGTTTTATGTAAGTATTGTACAAATTACAGTAGGGAGGGGTGTATTAATTCTGCCTTTTTGTTTTCTGTAATTCTGATGCTTTGATATCTTGGAGCCTTGCTAATTCTGGAAGACTGACTGCTTTTCCCAGGAGTAGCCAAATCCTAGAGATAGTAAACAACTCATCACCAGGGAGTGTGACTTTCATATGCAAACCAACCAATCCAGAGCCCACAGACCCAACCACCTCCTCTACTGGGCTGTCACACTCAAGGCTAATATTCTCCACTCTGATCACTCCAGGACCAGGGACCAGACAACTAAGGACACCCCCTATACCCCAGAGTATGCTGAAATTATTCAAACCAGCCAATCCTAAGCCTTCTTACCTTGCCCAGCCTTGTCTTTCCTGCAGAAACCACTATAAAGGCTCTTGCCCTCCTTTTTTTGTGACCTACCTTGGTGCTTCCCCATATGGCCCTGTGTGGCGTGGCTTGCCCCCTCCTCTTGGGAACTGTGAGTAACAAACTCTTTCCAATGGCAGTCATCTCCTTATCTGTTGTTCTCACCATACCTGAGTAATAACAAAACTTGCATTTCAAAACAAAGGGCTACACTGGCCTGGGAGCTTGGAGAAGGTGTCCCCAGGGTGACTGTAATGTTACAATGGAGATGTAGGGAAAGGGAAAGAAAAGGATTCAGAGAGTGAAGACAGCACATAAAAAAGCAAAAGTGTGGTTTGTTCAGGGAACAGTGGATACGCAGGATAGTATGAGGGTGGGAAGAGGAAGGAGGTAGAAGATAAAGACGCAAAGAACAGCTGGGTTAGATTGCCAAGGGCCTTGTTGGGCCTCCTGAGGAGCTGGATTTTATCCTGTCTGTTTGAGAAGGCAGCAGACGTTTTAATCATGATAGCAGGATGAAGACGTACATGTTATCAAAAGATAACTGGCAGCCACGTGGACGATGACTGTGAGCAGAGAAAACACTGGAGCCTGGGAGGCTACTTCAAGATTGCCTCAAAACTTCAATTATAAATGTAAAAACAGGGAGCAAGAAAAGCTAAAGGTCAGACAGGTCAGTAGGAATGGAATCAGGAGCAACATTTACATCTCTGTACTCTCCCATATATTGTCTGCTGTCATGATATACTCCTCAGCTTCAGAAAAGTCTTCCTTGCAAAACATGAGTGGGTGAAAGTACTGGTAAGGCTACCACACATTACTTGAGTGCCTTCTGTATTTTCCTCATCTCCAGCTGAATTTGGAAATTCGTGGCAACCATTTACAAGAGTAAAGGGAATTTTAAAAGTTGATATATTAGAATCAAAAGGAAAAAAGTGTTTTACATTTTGCATTATCTTAACTCTTATGTAGGACATTATTTTCTTCCCCTTTTTTCTTCTATTTCTCATTCTCCCTTTTTCCTTCTTCCTTGCCCTGAAAAAGTATTTATTACAATCCCATATTCCTTTGCTTTAGAAAAAGTTGTGTTTCTTTTAAAGTTAAAATGATTTTATCTGCAAATATTAGATGAGTTCAATAGTACCTTCTTCAAAGCCAAAAACATTTCAGAGCTGACAAGAAAGGATTTTGAATATCTTCACAACAGTTATTTAGAATTGTCTGCTTTTATATACATCAGATGCCATGACTAGCAAAAGAAAGATTGATGAATAATGATCATAGTTTGCCAATAGGAAGGGAGAATAAATCACAGAATAATTTAATTCCTCTCTCTATCAACTTGTCTTATTCAAAAGTTTCCTGGCTGAAGAAGGTCTTATTAGGTGCATTGTTATGGTGCAAATAAAATGACATACTGGTTTATTCACACCACTGCTAAAAATTGATTTTGTTTCTCCTACTTGCTGAATTCTAATGAGATTTGACTGTTACACAACTGGAACTGTTGTCATGTAACTTTACAATTACCAGAGCTAGACTTATGAAAAACCACCCAGTATATTGTTCTTTAATATTTGACGTATTTTTCTTTCTTTGTTCACTTTTCTTTATCGTTTCTCAATTAAGTGCTCTGGCAGTATACCAAACAAGTAACAGCAGATTTTCCCCATAAGAAGATTTTTAAAAGTGAGGCAATAAATATTGATATTACAAATGTGGCAGTACAAATATTTTCCTTCTGAAAGATTAGAAAGGATTAGTCACTTTGTTTTTGGATTGAATTAAGTTAATATAACGCAAGCTCCCCATAGTGTTTTGTGGTGTTTACAGTTATCCTTGTTTAAATGCAAAAATTCACAACTCCTGGAATGGTGACTAGCAGTGGCATAGACTTTCAGGATGACCCAAGCAAAGGTTTCTGTGAGGCACTTTGATCCCGTGTTAATCATCAAATCATCAGCTTGCTTGCCGATTTCTCTCCCTGTCTGTTTCCAATTTGTTATTGATAGCAACTGTATATTTTCTTTTTGCAAACTCCAGCTATGTGGATTCCCTACCTTTGTCATGACATGAGGCTTACCGACTTTCAGCTGAGTGGAAGTTTGACTAAATAAAGAATTCTTCACAATATCATAAAGTCCTTGAAGGCCGGGATTCTTGGCCTTGAGATTTTGAGATTCTTTTAGATACACAAATCCTGTTTAGCACACGGTCGGTGTAATGTGTAGTGAAGATTGGTGTCACGGTCATTAATCTTAGTAAGTTAGGGGACGTTGCAGAGAGATAAGTCTACGGCCCTGTTTCTGTGACTTCTGAGTATTAATCTTTGAGGGTTGTTGGATTGAGTTGTTGGATCCTTAATCCTTATGAGGCTGTTCCAAGGTAAATATATTTAATGAAAAACATTTTAAGGCTTAGCTTCTCAGGCTGTCTAGGTATTTATTTACATGTAGGAAATTAATTTATACTTATAATTTGTATACACAATGCAAAACCAAATGCAGGCTGTGGACCAAGGGTGTGGTGCCTTGTACAACGCCTAACATACAGTTAATCCTAAAGCAATATTCGTCCAATGGAAATAGATTTGAAACATAGTAGAAATGAAAATGGGAAATGATCAGTCTTTTGAGTCCATTAATGTTTCTGTTGGTTGAAGTTTCCATGATTCCTTATCTGTTGGACAAAATTAACTCTTTGGAGGAAACCCACCTACAGTGATATGTAAATTCAATTTATTGATAAAAGAACTCTTAGCTGTCTAGAGAAAACAGCCTATCTTAAATGTTCTCAATTTAAAAAATCATTTGTAAACATAGACATTTTAGCATTTTCTGAAAGCATGTTAAAAAAAAAAAAAAAAGATCCCAGCACTTTGGGAGGCCGAGGCGGGCGGGTCATGAGGTCAGGAGATCAAGACCATCCTGGCTAATATGGTGAAACCCCATCTCTGCTAAAAATACAAAAATTAGCCAGGCTTCGTAGTGGGCGCCTGTAATCCCAGCTACTCGGGAGACTGAGGCAAGAGAATGGCATGAACCCGGGAGGCGGAGCTTGCAGTGAGCCAAGATCGCGCCACTGCATTCCAGCCTGGGTGACAGAGCAAGAGTCTGTCTCCAAAAAAAAAAAAAAAAAGGGGCCATCCAATTACCAATATAAATGAAGAGTTAATGATTGACAGGGAAGCTATGGTCAGAGGAGTGTAGGAGCATATAACTCTTGAAGCAAACTTTCAAGATCATCTAGTATCAACTCTATCACAGTAAAGATGAAGATACTGAGAGCCAGAGTGAGCATTGCTTTCCTGGGATTAGGTAGGTAGTTCAATCTTTTCTATCTTTCTTGCTTTTTTATCAGTTCATTTACTCCTTATAATTTTTTTGCATCTCTGCTGTGTGCCAATCATTGTCTAATATATAAAGAAGATGGATTTTTTTTTTTTTACCCACACCAAGAATCTAGAAAAAGGAAAATTGGAAAGAAAAACTTTAATTATAATCATGTAGTACTTTACAGTTTTCCCAGTATTTTTGCATAGTTAATTCTGTATAACCATGACAAACAACTGTTTGCTTTAAGCATCACTCACTCCATATTTCTTTAAACTTAACTTGGGGAGAGCCTTCTCTGAATGATAGACACATGTTAGGGAGCATCCTTCTATCTAAGAATGATCTAAGAAGAATTATTCATCTGACTCATAAATAGCATTTGAAACTGTGCAAGACCAGTGGAATTTAACACATTTTTCTCTTCTGATATTAATCAGACTTGTATAAATTGGAGCAGTATAAGCTAATCCTCCCTGAATTGGTCGACCATCAATGATTGAAATAATTTGTTAGGAATTTATCTTTAATGGTAGTCTTTCAATCTCCAAGGCAGTTATCACAATGCAAATCTCTCAAATAGGCAATGAATGGCTAACCATATCTATAAGCAAGGCCAATTTCACTCAAGATACTTTAAATATTTAACTTACGCACTGCCCAAAATTGTTCTCTGACTGGCTATGGAATCTCATGGTTAAGATTTTAGGGTGTCCAAAAATGGGTTGTGATATGCAACTTATTGTCTCATAAGCAATGATCAGATGATGTAACTACAACCTAATCAAGATGTTCCATGGCAGTGACTGCAGCTAATGGTGAATGTTTCTTGAGGATTAACTGCCCAATAGCTTGGGCAGAGAAGCTTGGTCAGGATCAGAGTCTGAAGACATAATGTGTTTGCTGATCTCCTGGACTCTTTTATTGTTATGGTTTGGAGGAACTTACAATTTAGTGGGAGGAGACGTGGAAGTCATTTTAATGCATGAAATGTTTTGTCTTAAAGAAGTCCACTTCTCACAGCCAATGGATCGAGGAGAAGAGAACTGAGAAGACTTTCTGAAAGGTCAGACCTGAGCTTAGTCCCCAAGGATGCTTGAGAGTTGGCCAAGTGCAGAATGATGGGAGGAGTGTTCTAAGCAGAGGAAACAATATGAGCAAACTCAGGGAGGCACAAAACAGGAAGGTAGTTATGTCGGACTCTGATTTGATGTTAGCAAAGTGGAAAATGCAAGATGAGGAGGACTAGGAGGTGAAGCTAGAGAGGTAACTAGGTATTATCATGAAGGACCCATAGCAATAGAACTAGCTGATGATGGCCTGAACTGGGGTAGAAGAAGTAGGAATACAGGAGGGACCACTTTTGCCTACGAAGCCCTTGATCTCTTATAGTAGTTGTCAGCAGTTTCACTGGAAAAAGAAAATGTCCTCTGCATAGACCCTTACTTTATTTATTTATTTATTTTTGAGACGGAGTCTCACTCTTTCGCCCAGGCTGGAGTGCAGTGGTGCGATCTCGGCTCACTGCAGCCTCCACCTCCCGGGTTCAAGCAATTCTCCTACCGCAGCCTCCCGAATAGCTGGAGACCCTTATTTTATTTTAGTCAAACTTTGCACTTAACCAGCTCCCCAAAAAACGAGGCCAAAGAAGTTAATGTTTAAGTTTACATTGGAAGTCTGTGCATTTTTTTTTACTAACCTGGTGTTTGTGAAGGACCAAATGATATTTGGGAAGGGCCACTGAGTACCTCTATCTAGAACCTGCACTGTGTAGTTCCAGAAGGGGACATGCTGTAGACTACAATAGGAATGATGCCCTCTGGAGTTGTGTAGTGCAACTGCCCCTGTTTGGAACTGAATTTGCTTTAACAGGAAGAGAAACAAATTACGCACAGAATTTGCAGCACTTTGATTTCCTTTAAAGTTTCACAATTCGCCTCTTAAAAATGTTGACACCAGCTGACGGAGACATTGAATCACTTCATCATTTGTCTAGTTAGCTGGGTTTCCTCGGTAAAACGACGGTATTGTCTAAGATAATCTTCTGGACTTTTTGTTTAGAAGAGTCTATATTTATGGAGATTAATGTGTTTTCTATTGCTCAGGTTATAGGAGTTATAGTTCAGATAAAAACAAAGCACAACTTGCCTTTCTCCCCTTGTTCCACTTGCCCCCACAAAAATGGTTGAGAATGTATAGGTGATTTCTTTTAAAAAAATACAAAATGTGGTATCTTAAGACTGCTAAGACAGCTACGTATAGGTTGATGAAAAAGCAATTGCGGTTTTTGCCACTAAAAGTAATGGGAAAACCCACAATTACTTTTGCACCAACCTAATACCTGTGGGCTGCATAGCTGTAAAGGAAATGTCACATAAAAGATACTTGGATGGGCTGTTCCAGGTGTACAAGGCTAACTCTCCTGAGGCCAACTGCATAGGTTCTGTTCTGACCCAGGAGTTTTCTGACTTGCAATTATGAATTGTAGAGACTATAAATCTTTATTTCATCTGAAGAAGAAAATTACAGGAAGGGTTTCTGGTTCAAGGTGAGTACTTTGCCTAAGAGACTAGAACTTGTGCAAGCTTCCTCTTTCCATTGCTGCCAATCTAATGGCTCTCCTCTGGGTGAGTAGAGCAGGCTCAAAACTGTCATATGAAGGACCACATCAAAGGCTGCTTGTCTTCTGGGTCACGTTGTTTCTTTGACAGGCCATGCTTTTGAATGCTTTTTCAAAACAAGGAGATATTCTCCTCTTTTCTTAATGTTTCAGTTTAATTTTTAACATTGTCTTGTTCAAAGTGAAAAATGGTCCCGTGGCCCAGTTTTTTTTTTTTTTTTCTTTTTCTTAATACTGCTGACAGGATAAAAGACGCTGAGGCATCTTGGTGCTCAGATGTTCCCCCTGCACCCACCATGTCAACTGGAAGTCTATTCTTCCTTGCTCCCACTCCTTCCCAGAGTGACAGTGGGCCAGGTGACATTTTAAAATTAGCTCACTTTGATTTATGAATGGGCTTTATTCTTTCACCTTTAAAAATGCATTAATGCCATTCTCCTGTCAGAGTTCTGGCAAGCCCTTCTATTTATTGATATGCAGTTTTCCTAGATTGTGTGAGAGTAACCAGGGGAAGGGAGGAGGATGTGCCTGCTTGTATGTGGAAATGATGATAAACTTCCTTAGGCAATGCCAATACCTGTGGTCCTCAAGTTAGAAATCATGGTGGAGCTGAACCATCCAGTCACTGAGACTCTACGTAGGGGAGGAAAGAACATTTCTGGTTGTTGTTGCCTGTTCACTGTCAGTAAAAGATGGTTTCACGGTAGCCTACAGGGCCCTAAAGGATCTCGTTCCCGGTCTGTCTCTGAACTTGTCTTCTCCTCTCTCCTCACTCTCTCTGCCTCCGCCACCCTGGCCTCCTTGTCATTCCCTGGACGTGCCAGCTACACTCTGCCTTAGGACCCTTGCACTGGCTCTTCTCTTTGCCTATACATCTGCCTGGCTAATGTTTTCAGTTCTTTGCTCAATTCTCACCTTCTCAATGATACCATCTCTGAATGGACACTTAGGCATCCTCCTTTTTTCTTTTCTACTTTTCCTTTTTCCCATAGAACTTACTTATTATAAAATAGTAAATAATTCACTTATTGGACCTATTATTGTCTGTTGTGCCTGGCATATAGTAAGCCCTCAAAAAAAATTGTTGAATAAAGAACATATATGAGCAGGGAGGTCTTTACCATTTGCACTCTCTGTTCGACCCCACCCTTGCTGTTACCCTATATATTTTCTTTTTTAAAACATTCTTTTTTGCTTGAAATAACTTATTCAATGTCAGTATTTCCCCATAGAAATACTGTGCATAGTCCTGTGCACACTTCCCTAGCACAGGACTATGTCTATTTTTAAAATCTCCAACATTTCATAATAAGATGAATGCAATAATTATTATATGAAGAAATACAGTGTGGACAATGTTGACTTAAATGAAGTTTGTTATCTATTTCCTGGATAAGTGATTTATTTTATAATTTTATTTTAATCTTAAGTATATGCTATGGCCACAACTTAGAGCAATTTGCACTGTTGTTTCCAGGTCATCAGGTACATGCTAATGATGCTCTAGAGCAGATATCTGGAAATACTAATATCTCACTTACACTTTAAAATGAACTGAAGAAACTACTGCACAGTCCACCAATTCCACTGCTGGGTATATAGCCAAATAAAGGAAATCAGTATATCAAAGAGATATCTGCACTCCCATATTTACTGCAGCACTATTCATAATAGCTAAGACATCAAATCAACCCAAGTATCCAGCAGTAGACGAACTGATAAAAAAAATGTAGTATACATACTCAATGGAATATTATACAGCCACAAAAAGAATGAAATCCTGTTATTTGCAGCAACATGGATGGAACTGGAGGTCATTATGTTTAGTAAAATAAGCCAGGCATTGAAATACAAATATCACATTATCACTCTTATGTGGGAGCAAAAAAAGTAGATCTCCTAGAGATAAAGAGTAGAATGATGATTATCAGAGGCTGGGAAGGGAAGTACGGGGATGAAAATAAGTAAGTTAATGAGTAGAGACATACAATTATGTTGAGGAGATAAGTTATAGTATTCAATAGTACAGTAGGGAAATTACAGTTAACAATAATTTATTGTATATTTTAAAATAGCTAGAAGAAAAAATTTGTCCTGATCCCAACACAAAGAAAAGATAAATATTTGAGGTGATGGATATTTCAATTACCATGATTTTATCATTATACATTGTATAGATGTATCAAAATATCCCATATACCCCTAAAATATGTACAACTATGATCTATCAATTAAACATGTAAAAAAAAGAAAACTACACTGAGGTGGGAGGATTGCCTGAGGCCAGGAATTCAATACCAGCCTAAGCAACATGGGGAAACCCCATCTCTACCAAAAAAAAAAAAAAAAAAAAAAAAAAAAAAAAAAAAAAATTAGCCGAGTGTGCTGTGCACCTGTGGTCCCAGCACAGGAGGCTGAGGTGGGAGGATGGCTTGAACCTGGGAGGCAGAGGTTGCAGTGAAGCAAGACCATGCCACTGCCCTCCAGCCTGGGTGACATACAAAGACCTGTTTCGAAAAAAAGAAAATTACAATAAAAATGAACTGAAGAAAATAATATTTAATATGAGCGTGGAAAAACTGCTTAACAAATTAATGAATTTGGATATTATAATTTTTTTTTCTAGGAACACTGGAAGAGAGTAAATGGAGGCTTCCTTACCATCTAATTGAAAGTAGCTCTTAGTGACATTCTTTCACATTAGCCTGTTTTGTTTTCTTACTGCGCTCACTACTATATTATACTTTCTTTTTAGTGTATTTTGTCTCTTTACTAAAATGTAAAGTTCCACAAGGGACTATATTAGTTTCCTATAGCTTATGTAACAAATTACCACAAACTTGGTGGCTTAAAGCAACAGGAATTTATTGTCTCACAGTTTTAGAGGCCAGGAGTCCAAAATCAAATGCTGGCAGTGCCCTGTTTCTTCTGAGAGCTCTTAGGGAGAATCCTTCCTGTCTCTTCCAGCTTGTGGTGGCTGCTGGCCATCCTTGGCATTGCATGGCCCATAGGCTTGTCACCCTCATCCCTGCTTCTGTCTTTGCATGGACTTCTCCCCCATGTCTGTTTCTGTTTCTTCTTCTTTCATAAAGACTTGTCATTGAATTTAAGACTCACTGAATTTGAATCCCTCAACTCCAGCTCTTTCCTTGTGCTACTGCTCTGGTTCCAAAGGGGGAGAACTGCCAAGAAAATAAAAACATTTTCAGGTGTCAATGTTAGATTGTTAGTGGGGAGAGTTAATAATTGCATGTATTAAGTGTCATACAAAGAGAAAAAGGGAAAACACATACATAGAAGTATAGGGTCTGGGTTGCCTTCTCTACAGCTGACACTAATCTGTGCTGGGCTTGTATGAGGCACAGTAGGTCCTCAGAGACATGGAAAGTGGCTTCTGTGCCGAGGCGGCTTCCCCTCTAGTTCCAAGACCAACATATGTAAAACAACCTGAAATACTATCAGTCTGTACATAATTAAGTGCTGTGTTGTGTCGCAGAGCCTGAGTGCTGGAGAATTTAAAGAAAAGATTGTATTGAGGCCAGTAACTGTCAGAAAATATAAGGCTTTAGATGGTCCTGGAAGGATGGTTAAGGTACAGCTATGTGAAAACTTCCTAAGGAGGGAAGACCATGAGAGAAGACACAAAGATGGTTCTATGCACTGCGCAGTTGTGGAGTTGCAAGGAAACAGGTCAATATAGAGGCAGAGTGTGTGATGGGAAATCAGGATAGATACGTGTGTCAGTCTGTTCTCACACTGCTATAAAGATACTACCTGAGACTGGGTAATTTATAAAGAAGGGAGGTTTAATTGACTCACAGTTCCTTGTGGCTGGGGAGGCCTCAGGAAACTTACAATCATGGCTGAAGGTGAAGGGGAAGCAGATATGTCTTACATGGTGGCAGGAGAGAGAGAGAGGAAGTGCCACACTTAAAAGCCATCAGCTCTCATGATAACTCACTCACTATCATGAGAACAGCATGGGGGAAACTGCCCCCATGATCCAATCACCTCCCACCAGGTGCCTCCCTTGACACATGGGGATTTCAATGTGAGATGAAATTTGGGTGGGGACACAGAGCCAAACCATATCAATATGTGAGGTAAAGGGAAAAGACAGAAGATTCGTTTTTAATCACCGGTTTTCTTTCTAGATAAAGATGGTCAGAATTCATTTTCTTGCCTCACCTTATTCCTTCATCTCTTAATATGTTTTCTCTGACAATGAATAGCTGAGAAAAAAAGAATTGTCTTCATTTGTCCTAAACAGAGAAACCCTACTATTTAGCCTTTTAAAAAAAATGCTATGACCACTGAGCAATTCTCATGTTATCTTTTCTAGCATTTTGCCCTCTAAATAACCTCATAGGTCTCATTCTGTTTTTTAATCTTATGAATTTTTCCATTTCTCTTGTGATTTTTTCTCTCTCAAATGTCCATTTTATTAAAGGTATTCGTGTAACAATTCCTGTTTCTTGTCAGATTAGATTTAGTTTCTTGAAAGTACTTGGCTACAATTCAATTCTAGTTCTGAAAATTTTTACAAGGCTTTAATGTTTCTTAAAATGGATTTCACTATAGTTTGTTGCTTACTCCGTTGCATCATATTTGAATAAAAACTCTTTATTGTATTTCCAGATCTTAAAACATCACTGGCATTAGTTTCATGGTAGCTCTCTTCATATAGTGCCTTGGAAGCTAAATTTTGCAATTACCTAGTAATTATTTAAGCATTGGAGCATTGGAGCCAAAGAACAGTTCAAAGGAATTCACTGAACAAGTGCCAAATCTTTGGATTGATTTGTTATTTCAGCTTCCTTAAACTTCCAAAAGAGTCTCACATGCAAATGTCTTAAGAATTATTAATACAAGAACAAAAGTATAAGAGCCAATTGATAAAATGTTTGGGAAATGATTGTATCTAAAATTTAGACTAAGGATGATGTTAAAATTGATTGCAAAATGGCTAGCCAAAGCAAAATATGATGAAATAAAAAATACACCTTTTATCTAATAAAAGGGGAAACAAACCAAAAAAATCCCTTCAACCAGGAGAGAGGGATTTTTGGTCTGGCACTAATTTATTGCCTAAGTCATGGACCATTGAGGATTTTGGATGATATATTAATAATTTCTTAAAAGATGCAAAAATACTCTTTATTTGACCATTTATTATGCCACTGATCAATTAAAAACCAAAGATATGAAATTTCACAATGAATTTTGTTTTTTGAGGCCGAGTCTTTTTCTGTCACCCAGGCTGGAGTGCAGTGGTGCAATCTTGGCTCACTGCAACCTCCACCTCCCTGGTTCAAGTGATTCTCCTGCCTTAGTCTCCCGAGTAGCTGGAATTGCAGGTGCCCACCACCAAGCCTGGCTAATTTTTGTATTTTTAGTACAGACAGGGTTTTGCTATGTTGGCCGGGCTGGTCTTGAACTCCTGCACTCAAGGGATCCTCCTGTCTCAACCTCCCAAAGTGCTGGGATTATAGGTGTGAGCCACTGCACTCAGCCCCACAATGAATATTTTTATATTGAGAGAGAAGGGGACTAACATTTAATAAAATTTTTAGCAGACAGTGCTAATTACTAACAAATGTCCATTTTTCCTTTTTTGTAAAAGAACCCAGGGCAGTGTGCCCAGCTAAAAACTAGATTTTCAGCTAGATCTGTATACTTCGCAATTAGATATTGTATTAGGCCATTCTTGCATTGCTATAAAGAAATACCTGAGACTGGATAATTTATAAAGAAAAGAGGTTTAATTGGCTCACGGTTCTGCAGGCTGTACAAACATGGTGCCGGTATCTGCTTAGCTTTTGGGGAGACCTCAGGGAGTTTTTACTCATGGTGGAGGGTGGATGGGGAGAAGGCACTTCACATGGGGAAAGGAGAGCTAGAGAGAGGTGTTGGGGAAGAGGTACCACACACTTAACCAGATCGGAGGAGAATTCACTCACTACTGTGAGAGCAGCACCAAGCCATGAGGGATCTGCCTCATGACCCAATCACCTTGCCCTAGGCCTCACCTCCAACACTGGGGATTACATTTCAATAAATGATTTAGAGGAGACACGTATCCCAACTATATCAGATATGATCGTGTGACTAAGTTCCGATCAGTGAGTCGTAATTGAAAGTTACTTCCTTTTAGAAGGAAGGCATGCATTCTTCCTTCCTGTGCCCAGCAGCCATCTTGGCCCTGAGGTGACTTTCAAGGTGGAAGAAAAGGGACCTCTGGGTCTCTAACGACTTCTTCAGTTGTCTTGCCTGCCTGGACTGCCTACCTCTGGACTTCTTCTCTGTAAGAGAACAAACCCTTGTGTGGATTTATAAATAAACCCACTGGAGTTGGGTCTCTTGCTAGCAGTGAAATTAAGTTACTAACAGATACACATGCTCATATAGTGCCAGTTGCTTTTCAAACGTTGTCTCTTAAGTTGTGTCCACTTTCCTTGGAATCATATATGACTGATCTAGAGCATTGAAGGAACTGGCTAAGGTCATAAGACTATTTAGAAGAGAGAGGATTTGAATATAACCCAGGGCAGTGTCAATTCAGACTCTGAAGGTTTCTACCACACTTGTGGTCTGACCTGACAGCTTGCTATAGGGTGGCGCTTAGAGGATATGGTATCTCTTTCAAGTTTTTCCTTTTGATTCTCAGTTGCCAGTGCATTTTTTTTTGTCATTGCTAAGGCGAAGCATGGAAAGAGCTCTCTGGGTACAATCAAAATTTAAAGGTAGACTACCATGTCTACCTTGTCATACTCCCAACATGTGGAACCCATGTGTTGGGAATATGACAATCAAAAGAGAAACTCTCAAAAGGAAGAGGACATTGAGGGTGATGGCATCAGGACTCCATGTATTAGCACTTTTTTTTTTTTCCTTTGAGACAGGGTCTCTCTCTGTCACCCAGGCTGGAGTGCAATGACACTCAGGTCTCACTGCAGCCTCAACCAGGAGAGCTCAAGCCATCCTCCCACCTTAGTACTCCTGAGTAGTTGGACTACAGGCAAGCATCGCCATGCCTGGCTAACTTATTTTTAAAATTCTTTTTAGAAATGGGGTCTCCTTTTGTTGCCCAGGTTGATCTTGAACTCTTGGGCTCGAGCAATCCTTGGCCTCCCAAAGTGCTGAGATTACAGGTATGAGCCACTGCGCTTGGCCTATGAGCACCTCTCTTAAGCACTACAGTAAGCCCTGGAGGTTCTACATTCTATTTTGCTGAGCAAGGTGGTATTGCTTACATATGTGCTTCCTCCTCACCTCTGAGAAATTGTATTCCCTGGCTGGCTGATTTATACAAAGGCAGAAAGTTAAAAAGAGGAATGGTGGCTCAAAAGTTGACTGTAAGAGAACTGCTTTCTAAAGTCCATGACTATACTGAAAGAATAATGCTACATATCTTCCCGCCACACCCTCATTCTCCTATGGCTTCCTTAGCATAGGCCCTCATCAGCTCCATTGCAAAAACTTCTAACTGGCCTCCCTCCTGCTGGAATCTGGCAAGGTGGTGTGTGCATCTACACTGGAGTCCTATTTTCCAACATAAATAGGAATTTGTTGTTTTCCCTTTCTTACAAATTTCTGATCAAATCCATTACCTATGAGGTGGAGCCCAAACTCTTTGGCCCGTCATCTAATCTTCAAGTCTCAGTTTTGTCTTCTGTAGTTTCTTCTCTACAATCCTGACCTCCATCTTCCTATAGGTCACACTGAACTTCCCAATCTGCAACATTCTCTTTTGCACTCAGCCAGGTTCAGACTAACCAGTTCCAATGATAGCCCATGAACACCAGGCTATTTTTGAGTGTAATTTATGTGGCTCTTTTATCATGTGTCTGAGTCCCACATTTCAAAGGTCTTACCTTTGCTATAAAGATACTAGCATTACCTCTATTTCCTCCTTTTCTCTCATTCTCTTAGTGATTTTAACAGAGGGCTGTGGCTTCCCACGGTATGAGCTTTTTTCTCTTGACACTGAATACTATTTGCCATATAAGGTATCACTAGACAACCTTGAGGCACTGCCTCCTCTTCATTTTCCCCAGCTGAGCTGGCAGTATTGCTCTTTTGTTACTCCCTAAGGAATGTTTTCCCAGTTTATGGATAACATACATTTTCTTCCCTTTTTTAGCTTCTCTGCATCATTATTTATTACCCACTTGCCAAAAAAAAAAAAACAAAAAAACCCAAAACAAAGCAATGATTACTCATTAACTCTCTAATCTGGTAATGAAGCATTGAAAGACCATTCTAAATTTAGTCTTTGTGGGACTGAGAGAAGGCATCAATTTCGATGGCAGTAAGTGTCCTATTGGTCCCCATGCCCTCTAATTCAGAACTTAACCTGTCTCTTCGTGGAGTCTCCGCCCTCTGGGGTTATTTTAAATATTTGTTGAAGGAGAAGGAGCCCAGAGCACTCATCTTTTCTTATTGCTTCTTTAATGCTCTTTTATATGGATAATTTCCAAAAATCTGTCTTGCTGACAAGCTCCAGGCTCCTATCTCACAATCTACTGGGCATTTCCACTAAGATACCCGGCTGGGACTTAAATTTTAATGTCTAAAAACAAACTTGCACCATCCATACAACACGTGAACTATCCTCCAGAGAAATGTAGATCTGCTGATGGTGGCATCTTGGTCATAATTATCTAGACAATTTCATCAGCCACTTCCCTGCTCAAAAATTACTTAGAGGCTAGAAATTAAACTCATGAACTTGATATTTAAAGCACTCTAGTACTGACCCTGATGCCTGTGCAGCTTCATGCTCCATTCTTTGCCCCAAGCAGTCCTTCTTTATGGTCAGGCATGTATTCTTATTACAGAGAAGATTCCTTTACTAAATTTGTTCAAGGAATAATCCTGCAGAAATGTCCTCCTTTCTCCAGTCTGAATGCTGTGATGAAATCACTAAAGGCTTGACCCCTCGGTCCACGGAATTGTCCTGATCCCCTGAAGTGCCCTTTATACTTGGCGTACGTATCACCCCTTTAGTGCATATTACATGTATTATATAACCTCTTCATCTAAGAGGATTTAATATGATATAAAAGTTAGTGCAGAATTAATGATGAAGTTAAAAGAAAACTGTTTATAAAGAGCAGGAAGAGATGTTAACAAATAGTCTCAGGCAGAATGTTTGCTATAATGGGTCACAAATGTGACTGACTTTCCAAGCAGCTAAGCCAAACCACAAGGCGCATTGGGGTTACATCATCCTGATTTTATGCTTTAATTTTTAGAAAAAGGAAGCATATGAAAAAGCTTTGCAGAGAGTGACTTTTTTTCTAGAACAAAACCTCATAACACATTTACAATGCGAGTCTTTTTTTCATAGGTAAATCTGGCTCACAATGAAAAAGGAAAAAAGTGCTTTTTGCACGAAATCGTCCAGTATCAACCCTTTATACAGAATATAGTGTGACATTGGAGAGCTGAGATCGTGTGATTCTGAAACTTCACTTTCTGATGATCTAGCAATACCAAGATAGAGCTTGGAAAACCCAAAAGAATAGGTGGTTTGCTTGTCTATTTGACTCTCATATTGGATATACGGGAGCTTTTGAATTACAGTTGGTTTCTCTGATACGTACTTGTCCTGAATAAAGTCTATGTTGCTGATAAAAGGGAGAACCATGTGCTTAGAGACCAGATGCACAGAAGGCAGTGTTGTCACTTTGTTGTGAAAATTTAAAAGCCAGGGTTGTGTTCCACCCAGACAGTGCAGCCCACTTGGATAACCAGAAATGAAGCCAACTCTCTCCTCCTCCTCCAAAAAAAAAAGAAAAGAAAATCTTCATAAGAATATGAGATTGTACCTATAAAATTATTACAACAATTTTACTTATAAGTGAGACTATATAAAAAGATTAGAAATGACAATAGAAAAAATTTAAATTTATATTGTATTCAATTTTATTAAAATGATGGAATTATGGGTCAATTATTTCTGGTCTCAACATTTGTTTGGTTATTGAGATAATGCTTAATAATACATAAAAATGTTAAAGAGCTTTCCATCTTCTCCCATTCACTTAGTTGGATAAGACCCAGGGTCAGCTTTAATGCCTTTATTAAAAACTTCCAGCAGGAGCTAATATTAGACATTCCTGTGTCTTCACATCCAGTGGAAAAACAGAACCAAGGCAAAAAGGTGTGGATCACGTTTGTCCTCTTCTTCTGTTGATCTCTAAATGACATCCTTTCCCTAGGTAAGGCCCTAATACTCTCACGAGATCTGATGCTGGTTACCTGGAGGATCTTTTTTCTCCCTTCTCCCACCTCTCTCTATTCTAGGGCTCACGGGTGCATAAAATGTGTTTTCTGGTGCATTTGATATTACAGTTGACCCTTGAACCACACAGGTTTGAGCTGCACAGGTCCACTTATATGTGGATTTTTTTTCCACAAAAGTTATACTGAGTGTCCCTGCCTCTCCGGCCTTCCGTTTTCCCTCCTCCACCTCTTCCACCTCTGCCACCTCTGAAAGCCCAATACCAACCCCTATATTCTCCTCCTCCTCAGCCTACTCAATGTGAAGACAGTGAGGATGAAGACTTTTATGATGATCCACTTCCAGTTTATAAAGAGTAAGCGTGTTTTCTCTTCCTTATGAGTTTCTTAATAACATTTTCTTTTCTCTAGCTTAAATACAGTATATAATACATATAACATACCTAATATGTGTTAATTGACTGTTTACATAGTCATCAAGGCTTCCAGTCAACAGTTGGCTATTAGTGGTTATGTTTTTGTGGAGTCAAAACTTATACATGGATTTTTTATTTTTGAGATGGAGTCTCGCTTTGTCACCCAGGCTGGAGTGCAGTGGCACCATCTCAGTTCACTGCAACCTCCGCCTCCTGGGTTCAAGCAATCCTCTCGTGTCAGCCTCCCTAGTAGCTGGAATTACAGGCGCTTGCCGCCACACCTGGCTAATTTTTGTTTTAGTCCATGTTGGCCAGGCTGGTCTCGAACTCCTAACCTCAAGTGATCCACCTGCCTCGGCCTCCCAGAGTGTTGGGATTACAAGCGTGAGCCACTGTGCCTGGCCTTACCTGGATTTTTGGTTACCAGAGGGGTTGGTGCCCTTAACTCTTGCATTGTTCAAGGCTCAATTAGTAATAACAATATTTAATCCCCTAATCCCATGATCTGATGTTCTAGAATTATTCTCTATTCTTTCTTTGTTATTTCTACCTCTGATAAGATGACTATGTTGGAAATGACATGACAGGGCTGAGAAAACACAGTGACATAATGTGTCCTACACATTGTTGTGAAGTTGGTGAACATCCATTACTGAGAAGCTGAGATAAGTGATTCTGGGAGCATGCTTTCTGCTACTCTAACTGTCTTAAGATCAATCTAGGAGAACATACATGATTGGATAGTTATTTATTTTGCTCACAGGACTCCCAGCCTTAGTTTCCCTCAGCTCTTACGTCCAGATGACTGTGGGGGGATCTTATAGACCCTTTCAGTTCCTTCCCCTCATTGGCCTCCTCAGTTCTGGCTGCTCTGATGCACTCTGTCCTTCAGATGGGCCACTCGTTCCTTTGCCTTTGTGGTTTCCTCTGCCTGAAACATTCTACCCCTGGGTGTCCAAGCTGTTGGTTTTCTTTCACTTTCTAAGTGTGATCTCAGCAACACTTTCTATAGTCAGTAATAGAAAATAATCTTTATTTTTGTACTCTCTGTCCTATTACCCTGTTTCACTTTTGGCCATGTCTGAGAACATGCATTTAATTCTCCCTTCCTATCTCTAGGTACCCACTAGAATGGGCTCTTTTCTGTCTTGTTAACTGCTCGTTTCCAGCTCTTTACAACAGTGCCTGGTAGAAGGAAAGGGCTCAGTAAATATTTGTTGAATGCTGAGTGATTGCATGAATATAGGAGGCTCACCTAAATGTGGGTTACTCTAAGATAAGCAGAAGTCTTCAACTGGGCAGAGTATAACAGTTGTATTTTTTATCTTATTGGAGAAGGTTCACAAATATTATAATTTTAGTAGACAAGGAGATGCAGAATAAAGATGTAGCTGGAATAGAACCCAAGAGATCAGGAAAATGAGCTTTGTGAGCACATGAATAAATGTAGAACAAGGGAAAGATAATTTTATTTAGAATATAAAATAACTTACAGAATAATAGCTAGAGTCCCAATCAATCACCCTATAGATGTCTTCCGAAAATTTTCTCTCTTTAGTCTTGCCCCAGGCCTTTCAATGAATATTCATTAAATGAATAAATTAGCAAAAGAAATGTTCAAAGGCATAAAATATAGACTTTAGCTTTTTTTCGGAAAGAGGTAGGCAGGCCTGGTCTCAAACACAGTTATGGAGTTTGTCTTTACTACTTGAGTCTATTCAGAATTTCCATGTCAGTGCTTAGTTTTGGCCAGTGCTTCCAGACACCATCCCATTTCTTTTCTGATCCTTCTCCTTTCAATACATTCCTCTGTTCAATAGCTTAACACCTGGTTGAACCAATGTTGGGATCAGTTTTGGGGTGGAGAGGGAAAGTGTAATTATTAGCCACTTCCTCAATTGTATTGTTAAGAACTGTAAATGGTCTGAGATTTTATCCTACTTACAAACTTACGAGTTAGCCTTTTTCTTACTTCATGAATATTGGCAGAAGACATGAGACTTGTGGGTCAGAGCTAAAAAACTTTATTACAAAAGCAAAAGCAGTAGCCAGAGCTTCGTGCCCCTGAGTCACACACAGCAGATGGCAGAGGTGGGCCCAGATGGATGCCTGCACATGCAGTGGGTTGCATTACAGGAGAGGAACTCTGAACTTGGAGAATCTGCCACTTTTGTAATAAGCAGAAGCAAGCCTGCTCTTTGTCTTAGGAGAGGTGTTGCCCTCGTTTCTCAAGGTTACAAACCCAGCTCTGAGAAATGCCTTGGGTAAAGAGTAGTCAGGGCCTTGTATTTTTGGTGTGTTCAGCAAGCAAATGCAGAGATTCTTGAGGCCAATAGTGGATTGCTTTTCCCAAGATGTACCGCATGAACTGAAGAGAACTGAGTTTTGATAGACGCACATGGCAAAGAGGAGACAGAATGGTTGGATAAGTAACACAGCAAAGGCTGACAAATGTTTAAAGTTCTTTTTTAACACCAAGTAGAAAGATATTTGAGCTCTTGGAAACTTGTAATTCTAAATGGTTTTTTTCTATACTCAGATTTACAGTAAGAAAAATTTTCCTTAGCAGAATGTCAAAAAATCTAATTCCTGAATATCTGAAATTCAGATTACGGCATTTTCTCCAAATCTCTCAGCTATGTCTTTGTCATTGCCCCCTCATATAGATCTATTAAATAGTATAATAAACATATATACTTATTTCAGTATTTGGGGTGTATATCAGAATCTCAATATTGTATTCTTGGTGGTGCCTCAAAATTGGCAAATTTACCATATTCTTTTGCCTCCTGAAAAGCTACAGCACTTCTTTGACGTCTTGGCATCTGCCAACATCTTCTATGTCAGGATCTCATTGATCCTGAGCAGGTGTGTTTTTTGATGTCAGTTCACTGCCTAAGAGGAATCCTTTTGAAGATAATAACAATTTCTCATTATAGACTATTTAAACTTAAATGGTTAGAATTGAGAAGGAACTTAGAAGTCATGTAGAGTTTATCCTTCCACACATCACGATACCACTCAAAAAGGTTATTCAAATCTGTTAGATTCTTCCAAAGACAGTGAGCTCACAACTTCGTGAATTCCACTCGTCTATTGCACTCCAGTAACTGGGAAATTCTTCCTCACACCACACCAAAATATACTGCCCTAACACTTTGGCATTTGAAGACATCTATATATTCATGCTATCTAGATGGTCCCTGTTGCCATGATATTTCTTGCTATATTTTTCTAAAAGCTCTGTGCTTCATCAAGACCTCTCAAAATGTGCTCAGAACCAAACAAAACAGGGAAATTACAATCTGGCTAGCAAAAAATGTAGAGAAACTATTATCTCCCTTGCTCAAGGTAATCTACTTTTCCTAGAGCAGTCTTTGTTTGCATTTTGTTGTTGTTGTTGTTTCTTTTTGGTAACAGCAATATCAGGCGTATCTATAAGGGATTAATTTAAACCCCCAAGTTTTTCTCACATGAACTGTTGTCAATACCTGAAATTAAATCTCTTTCTCTCTATGTATACACGTCCTATTGCTTCTATTTCTCTGGAGAACTCTGACTAATACAGTAGCTATAGAACTACTGTCTTCTTCTTACTGCATTCAGTTAAAAGTCTATTAAAATAGCAGGTCAGCCTCTCTCATGAATAGGTCACTGTATTAGTCAGTGTTCTCTAGAGGGTTAGGACTAATAGGATAGATGTATATATAGAGGGGAGTTTATTAAGGAGTATTGACTCACACGATCACAAGGTGAAGTCCCACAATAGGCCATCTGCAAGCTGAGGAGCAGGGAAGCCAGTCTGAGACCCAAAACCTCAAAAGTAGGGAAACTGACAGTGCAGCCTTCAGTCTGTGGTTGAAGGCTCGAGAGCCCCTGGCAAACCACTGGTGTAGGTCCAAGAGTCCAAAAGCTGAAGAACTTGGAGTCCGATGTTCAAGGGCAAGAAGCATCCAGCACAGGAAAATAAAGAAGGCTGGAAGTCTCAGCCAGTTTAGTCCCTCCACATTCCTCTGCCTGCTTTTATTCTAGCCACACTGGCGGCTGATTAGATGGTGCCCACCCAGATTGAGGGTGGGTCTGCCTCTCCCAGTCCAGTGACTCAAATGTTGATCTCCTTTGGCAACACCCTCACAGACACACCCAGGAACAATACTTTACATCCTTCAATCCAATCAAGTTGACACTCAGTATTAACCATGCCAGTGACATTATTATTTATTGCCCCGAAGGGGATGCTCTTGAGAGTGAAAGGGGGAGCTATCAATAATTTGCTGGTAAAAGAGGTGTAACCTGGGATTGCTGGAGGCAATTGGCACATATGGCCAATCCACTAATAAAGCATTAAAGCCATGTGATAATGCTGCCCAATGCAAATTTTGAAATGCTAGTACGGGTGATAACTGACAGACTGACATTTTGTAGGAGTGAGCAGGGGAGAAGTGATTAGCACAGTCTAATTCACTGAGGACTTTAGCCCCATTGGCCTGTTAGCTGAGAGGTGTTCTAGCACCGTCTAGACTCAACTCTTAAAGCACTTACCTGTCGTCATCACTGGGGACTATCCCAAAGTCTAGAATTCACAGATATGGAACGTTTTGACTAGTAGCACCTGACTGGCCACTTACTCATGATGTTTTCAAAAGTGGGATGCCTGGTTACTTTGCTGAGTTTGTGAGATGATGAATGGGAAGGGTTGATGGTGACAGCTCAGAGGAGACCAAAGGCCCAGAGGGTGCCCTGCTTTAGAAACTCACCTCCGCACACCTTTGAGGTTTGCATTAACACGATTCTCACTTTGTAGAAATTTCAGTCATTCATACATACTTCAAATTGTTTAAATCTCATGATTAGATTGATTCTCCTTCCCCATCCTCCACAAGCAAAGGAGTTGCTTAGGGGTGAGGAGAAGAAGAGAGTGAGAAGATATTCATGGAAAGTTGTGAAAATTGAGAATGAATTGGAAAATATAGGGCTTTCTGAAGGAGCAAAAGGTAAGATAAGGGGTTGCTATGCAGGGCTTTGTGAAATTTGAGAGCCTTGGTCTATAGACTGTTCACAGATTATTTGCAATCAAAGTAGAAATAAGACATTAGGATTTTAAAAAATTATTAAACTTTATTTTTCAGCTTAGTTTTAGGTTTAGCAAGATTGAGCATAAAATGCAGAGAGTTCTGTTATGTTCCTCCTTCTCCCTCAACATGCTCTCCCTCCCTCACTATGGACATCCTCACCACAGTGGTACATTTGTCACAATCAATGAACGGACACTGACACATCATTATCACGGAGAGTCTGAAGGTAACATTAAGGCTCACTCTTGCTGTTGCACATCCTATGGGTTTAGATACATGTATTATGACATGTATCCGCAATTACAGTCTCTTACGCAGTTGTTTCACTGCATCCCAAATCCCCTCTGCTCCACCTATTCATCCCTTCCTCTCCACTAAATCCCAATAACTACTAATATTTTTATTGCCGTAATATTTTATTGGCAAATAAATATTTTTATTTGCCTTTTGCAGAATGTCTTATAGTTAGAATTATATAAAATGTAGCCGTTTCACATTGGCTTCTTCAACTTAGTAATATGCATTTAAGTTTCCTTCGTGTCTTTTCATGGCTTGTTAGCTCATTTTTTTTTTGTAGTGCTGAATATTTCATTGTCTGCATGTACCACAGTTTATCCATTCACTTACTGAAGCAAATCTTCGTTGCTTCCAAGTTTTGGCAATTATAAAGCAGCTGTAAACATGCATATGCAGGTTTTTGTTTAGACATATGTTTTTAATTAATTTGCATAAATACCAGAGAGCAGAATTGCTGGATCAAATGGTAAGAATTTCATTTTGGAAAAAATTGCCAAACTGTCTTCCAAAGTGGCTGTACCATTTTGCATGCTCACCAGCAATGATTGAGAGTTCTTATCACTCCACATCCTTGCCAGCATTTGGTGTTGTCACTGTTTTGGATTTTGGCCTTTACAACAGGTGTGTAGTGATAGCTTCTTGTTTTAATTTGCAGTTCTCTAATGACGTGATGTTTACTATCTTTTCTTATGCTTACTTGCCACCTTTATCTTCTTTGGTGAAATGTTTGTTCAGGTTTTTTCCCATTTTAAAAATCAAGTTGTTTGTTTTCTTATTGTTGAGTTTCAAGATTTCTTTGTATATTGGATAACAGTCCTTTATCAGACATTAGACTTTTTATATAACGTTTCCTTTATTATTGATTTTTCTTCTGGGTTATGTATCCCATTGATTAATTATGATTAAGCAACTACAAATCTCAACTTTGTCTGCTGTGATATAAAGGGGAGGTACGGCTGAGTTTGCCAAATTTAAAAATGTTTTGCAAAAAAGCGTAAGGGTGTGGTTAAAAGGAGGGTGAAACAGGGAAAATGAAACAAGTTAGCCTTTAAAAATCCCTTGTTAAAATAAAATTGCCTCTCTAATAAGGCACATGGCAGCCTTTCTTATGTGTATAACATTGGAAAACCATAATTTTCTGTCCTGATTTAGATTGGGATCTTTTCAATTCTTCCTGAGGTATTCTCAAGGGAGTTTTTGTGAAGCAGGTTTTTGATCAACTTGCAAGATTAGTTTTGCCCAAGTTTAACTAGGTCATGCTTTCTCTTCTATCTCAGTGAGGGAAGAGAGAGACCCTCTCATATTATTTTATATTGTTTTATACTCAGAAAAGGAGAGAAGTGAAACTAAAGGCAGGTAGCCCGGCGCCCAGGAACCAGACCCGAAACCAGGCCTGGGCCTGCCTGACCTAAGCCTAGTAGTTAACATTTGACCCCTGACCTAGCAACTGATGTTTTCTATAGATTCCAGACATTGTATGGAAGAACATCGTGAAACCTCCCATTCTATTCTGTTTCACACTGACCACCGGTGCTTGCAGCCCCTGTCACATACCCGCTGGCTTGCTCAATTGATCACGACCCTCTCAGGTGGACTCCCTTAGAGTTGTGAGCCCTTAAAAGGGACAGAAGTTGAGCACCTGAGGAGCTCGGACTTTAAGACGCTAGCTAGCCTGCCGGTGCTCCCAGCTGATTAAAGCCACTTCCTTCACTATCTCGGTGTCTGAGGGGTTTTGTCCACGGCTCGTCCTGCTACATCAGCAGAAGCATAATTTGTCAAAAGCTGAAACAGACCAAATGTAGGATGTGATTTTTAAGAAGGTAAGTTTGGGATGTTAACAAATTAGTTTTATAATTTTAAATAGTTTCAAATTTAAACACCACAATGTTTGAGTGCTTGGGCTTTCATTTGGATAACTAGCCGATTGTGATTTATCTTTCTTCTCAACACCTGAGCATGTCGGGGGGGTCTGGAGTTTGAATTTGACAGTTACAATTTAATGATTTATTTTTGCAACACATTGTCTTGTGCCATCATTTAACTTTCCAAGTTTTCCTGCTTAATCTGCACAACTGAAAGAAAAACTCTTGTGCATTAGGGCTCTCCAGAGAAGCAGAGCCAATAGGATATAGATATATGCATGTATAGATAGATAGATATTTATTTTAAGAAATTGGCTCACAGAATTGTGGGGGCTGGCAAGTCCAAAATCTGTAAGGCAGGCTGGGTAGCTGGAAATTCAGTTAAGAGTTTATGTTGCAATCTTGAGTCTGAAATCTGCAGGGAAAGCCAACAGACTGGAAACTCAGGCAGAATTTCTATGCTGCGGTCTTGAGGCAGAATTCCTTCCTCCTTTGGAAACCTCAGTCTTTGTTCATCAGGCCTTCAACTGATTGGATAAAACTCACCCACATTATGAAAGATAATCTGCTTTATGAAAAGTCAACTAAGTGTAAAGGTTAATGACATCTGAAACAAACCTTCACTGCAACATCTAGACTTGTGTTTGATGAAAGAGCTGGGCACCATAGCCTACCCAAGGTGACACATAAAATTAACCATCCCATCTTGAAAACAGGAATTACAGCCTCTACTTCTTTGTGTTCACCAGTGTTTATGGTCTACTGAGTAAGGACATCCTGAGTACAGTAGCACCTCCTTATTCATGGAGGATATGTTCCAAGACCCCCAGTAGATGCCTGAAACTGTGAATAGTACCAAACCGTACATATACTATGTTTTCTCCCCATACATACATACCTATGATAAAGTTTAATTTAGTTAAAGGGCTTTAGTAGTTAAAATAGTTAAATTATGCACAGTAAGAGATTAACAGTAATATCTAACAATAAAATAGAACAATTATAACAATAGGATGAAATAAAATTTATGTGAATGCGATCTCTCTGTCTCAAAATATCTTAAGATTTTCAGATTGCAGGTAACTAAAACCACAAAAATCAAAATCTGATAAGGGGGTACTACTGTAACTTCACACTGGTTAAATAAATATTGAACTTAAATATTGTACACTAGTTTATCTTCTGAAAATTACATGCATAGTTTCTTACATGAATATGCCAGTGGTATCCAGTATAATTTAAAAATATTAAATGTACAGATAGGAAATACTAGTAGTGACTCTTAAAAAATTAACCTCAAATAGAGAAATGGAAAGAAATAGCATTTTGGGAAATAGGAACAGCATGAGCAATTGAAGGTGGTAAAAAAATGAGGTTGATTGGTTTGTAGGACAATGAGGGGACCTACCTGCCTTGAGGGAGGTGTGTGTGGGAGTGCTCGAAGTAAAACTGCCTAGGTAGAGGATAGCAATATTGTGGAAGCCACTGGAAATCAAGTGGAGAGATTTTCCTCTAAATGGCGGGTGGCCACTGAAGTATTTTGAGCAGGAGAGTGATATAATGACAATTTTTTTTCTTTAATCTGCACCTGTTAACAGTATTTGGAGCAGAAGTAATGAGGCAAACTGTGCCCGTTCATGACCTCCAAGAAGCAGATGCTAAGACAGAGTTAGACACGTGAAAGATTTGTGGAGGAGAGTAGGAATGTGAAAGATGAAGGGGAATGGAGCAGTAAGAACCTTGGGAACTGCACTGTCCAACAGGGTAGGTAGCCAATAGCCACATGGGACTGTGGCATTGAACATTTGCAATGTGACCATGTTGAGGTGAAATGTATGAAAAACACTCTGGATTTATAAGACTTAGTACCAAAAATCAAAAACAACCCCCCGCCCCCACATATATGAGAATGTAAAATATCTCCTAAATGACTTTTAAAATATTGGCTGTAGGCTGAAATAGTATTTGAAAATAAATAAAATATACCATTGGCAAGTATAAATGTATATACTTAAAACTTATTTTGCTTATTTCTTTTTATTTTTTCAATGTGGCTACTTTGAAAATTTAAAATTATGTGTATGGCTCACTTTGTATTTCTGAGTTAGTTCTGCTTCAGACCAAATTGTTGGTCTGATACTCATGAAAAGAGAGAGGGAAGAAGGATTAAGGAGGAAGTGTTGACAACTCAACTCTAAGAAAGTTTTGGCCAGGTGATGGGGAGTCCCTGATACGGTTTGGTTGTGTCCCCATCCAAAATTTCATCTCGAATTGTAATCTAAATTGTAATCCCCATGTGTTGGGGGCAGGACCTTGTTAGAGGTGATTAGATCATGGGGGCAACTCCCCCATGATGTTCTCATGATAGTGAGTGAGTTCTCACTAGATCTGATGGTATTATCAGGGGCTTTTCCTCCCTTCACTTGGCACTTCTCTCTTCTGCCACCATGTGAAGAAGGATGTGTTTGCTTCCCTTTTTGCCATGATTGTAAGTTTCCTGAGGCCTCCTAAGCCATGCTGAACTGCAAGTCAATTACATCTCTCTTCTTTATAAATTATCCAATCTTGGGAAGTTCTTTACAACAGTATGAGAATGGATTAATACAGTCCCAGAGCAAAGGCTGGCCTTTGGAAGAATCCTTCACTGCCCTGGAATAGGTTGACACTAGTATCCCAACCATGCTTAATCATTGGCTGGGACCATCTTGGGGAAAGCATGATCAGGATGCTACAGCAGCAATGGATGCAAAAGGGCAACAGCCTGTGGCTGTCAGCCAACTATGTAACCCACAGTGGATTCTTTGGAAGGAGGTCTGAGTGTACCAAATTTTCAGGGCTACTTCCAAAACCAGTACAGGGGGCTGGGCGTGGTGGCTCATGCCTGTAATCCCAGCACTTTGGGAGGCCGAGGCGGGTGGATCACGAGGTCAGGAGATCGAGACCACGGTGAAATCCCGTCTCTACTAAAAATACAAAAAAAAATTAGCCGGGCGCGGTGGCAGGCACCTGTAGTCCCAGCTACTCAGGAGGCTGAGGCAGGAGAATGGCGTGAACCCGGGAGGCGGAGCTTGCAGTGAGCCGAGATCTCGCCACTGCACTCCAGCCTGGGCGACAGAGCGAGACTCCATCTCAAAACAAAACAAAACAACAAAACAAAACCAGTACAGACAGTTCCCAACTTATGATGGTTTGACATGTGATTTTTCCACCTTACAATGATGCAAAAGCAATATTCATTCTGTACACTCCTTGATTTATGATGGGGTTACATCCGGATGAATTTTTTGTAAGTTGAAAATATCCTAAATTGAAAACACAGTTTGGGCATAAGATACTTTCAACTTATCATGGGTTTACTGAGATGTAACCCCATTGTAAGTCAAAGAGCAGCTGTACTTCTTACAGTAATTTAGGTAAACATCAGCTGGTTTACTTGCCAATGCTGTTCGGCCTGATGTCATGGCTCTTCAGTCATGTTTCCCAGCCTCTGTGTCTTATCTTATGTGACCCAGCCCCATTTGTGTGGAGAGCAGCAACCCTGAGTGCTACATGAGACAGACCCGTCCTCAGAAACTCTGAAACTTCACTCTAAGCATGATAACTTTCTAAGGCTCTGTGACAGGAAGGCAGTCAAACTGCCTCTTCGGTAGGTTAATGTGATTGTGTTTTTAACGCCTCTCCTGTGACACCACAACTTGCTGTTCTGGAGCCATTACTCAGTCAAAATTGAGATTTCTGACCCTTGAAGCCTTATTTGATCCTAGTTCTCTAAAAAAACACTGGTGAACTGAGAACACTATAGAATTTCAACTATTTTCATCCTAAATTCTCAATTTTAGAGTATTCCTGTAAAATGTTTGCAATCTTTAAAAATGATAAGCCAATCCTGTACAACCGTGCACTGCATAATGACATTTCAGCCAATGACAGACAGCCTCTATGACTGTGGTCCCATAGATTGTAATGGAGCTGAAAAATTCCTATCAGCTGGTGTTGTCATAGTCTTCACAACGTTGTAGTGCAGTGGATTACTCATGTGTTTGTAATGGTGCTGGTATAAACAAACCTACTGTGCTGCCAGTCATTTAAACGTATAGCACATGCAATTATATACAGTGCATCATATTTGATAATGAATGGCTATGTCAAGCCTGACTGAGCAGCTGTATGTGGTTCCAACAATTTGTTTGGCTGGTTAAGCCCAACCTGGTCTCAACTCTGGACCACAGCATTTTGGGCCCAGTGATGATAAGAAGGAATGTATTCAAAACTTCAAGCCATGAGAAATACCAAGTGATGTTTTGTGAGCATCTTGTCTGACTATATCCTACGTATAACCCCCCAAGCAGCCTCAAATCCACTCCCTTCACCGACATCTTCGGACATACATTGGTAAAGGAAATGCCATTTCTGGGATGGGCCATTTTTGGAAGACTGGGGATTCTGGTAGGAGACCACATAGTTGAAATGGGCTACCTGATTTCAGTGTTAACAAGAGGATCCAGGGGTGGCAGAGGCCAAGTAGCTCCACAAAAGACAAAATCTCTTCACAGAGATAAAATGGGCATTATTTGCATAATTATCAGTAGGGTCAGCATGCTAATATAAATGTTCTGACTCAAATAGATTTTCAATAGAGATTATTGATATTAGGGTCTCTGGGACCAAACTAGACAGATTACACAGGTCTGAAGACTAAAGGATAATTACTCCTAAAAATCTGCAAATCTGCTTGCAATTTTTTTTGTTTAATTTCTCATCCTTGCATGCTTGATTAAGTTGCTTGAGAACAAGACATTGGCCTCAGTCAGTACCACCAGGGGATCAGCTACCTCAGTTTGTAAGTTTTAGATAGTTCCACAAAACAGTGAGCTCCTGCAAACTGCTGACTGAAGCAGAAGGACCTTGGAATGCACTGAGGAGGAGGAGGGTCTATGTCCCTGCACATCACAGCTAGGGAATTGCATGTGACTCAGTTTGACAGTTAGGTACTCTCTCTGGAACTTCTACCTTGAAAGATGACTCAAGAATCCAGAGATGGAATAGATTCATTCATCTCAGTAGTAGCGATGGTCATCTGTGCCTTGGGCTGATACTGTTCCGTAATCTGGTCTGAAATTCCTGTAGCCTAGCAGGAATCCTTGGTTACTTCTTGTTTTCCAAATAAGGCTGTTTTCTCCAGCCTTGCTTCAATTCCATGAGCTCTCAATCTTTCCATTACACTGCCTTTTGCTTAAGATAGCCCGATTTAGGTTCTGTTGCTCCAACCAAAAATGCAGTTAATTAAATGCAAAAGATAATTTTAGTTTTTTAAATTTAAACAATTATTGTAGTTGAAAATATCTCTCTGCCAAAGTTGAAAACTTTAATTTATTTTCTACTAAGAGGTCTTCAAATACTGTGGAGAATCGAGTTATCTGAGTTCAACTGAATATTGTTTTATATTTCTGGGATTTCATGTTTCTAATTTCACCTTTTCTCTTTCTCAGTACATTATCATACTCATCGGAGAATCAGAAGTACAGAATATCACATTTCTGTGTTATCACATTGTTGACAAAATTCTTTCCCAGAAGCATTAAAAAAAAAAAAAAAGCCAAGTATTTACTTACAGTTCTGGAACTGGAGTGTATGACTGGATTGATCACTTGTGATTTATAACCTCAAGCCTAATACTCATTAGTTCACTAATTCAGTTGCTCCTTTCATGAAATGGAGAATTTCATAGCATGCATTCTTCCAAACACGTCCCTCATAATTCTTTTTTGAATTTTTAAAGCATCCATAGATATGCATACAAATTTCATAAATGTTTCTCTACTCAAATGCATTGTACTAATCACATCAAAAGGATCGAGTCTGAAGTTTCATGTTTGTATTTCCTTTCAGATACATTTTTACCTGTGAAATGTTTCCACTTTTCCTCCCTATTTTAAGGATAAATGACAGATCTGTTTTCTTTAGCCTTACACTGACACATCTCTGAGAATAAAACAATAGGGAGATATGTAATATTCAGAAGTGTGACTCTCAGCTTTTTGTTGAATGACTGACTTTCTGGGTTCATTCAGAAACCTATGGACAAATAGTGCCTTTTTTTTTCTTTGCTTGCTTGCTTGTTGTTTTTTCTTCCTCCAGCTCCCTCTTCTCCTTCTTTTTGGATCTTAAATTTGTCTTCTTGTATTTACTAGCTTGAACTGGAATATGGGTGTTTTCAATCAGGACAACACAATAAACCCATTTAAAAATGAATGGTATAACACTCCTTTGGCTACTCAGAGCATCAACCACAGCTCACAGTTTGGAGGAGAGACTGTGCCAACATAAAAATTTTGGGTAGTTGGTTTTCTGTCTTGTTCTCTGTGCCTCAGAGCCTGCTGTTAACCTGAGTAGGCTCTGCTAGAGGAGAGTCTCTATAATATAGGGACCTCTCTAGGGTCACCTGCTGCCCTTTTCTTAAATTGGTGACTTGTTTCTGAATGCAAGCCCTATGGAAAGAGCTCTTCTGTGTGACAACAGACTGTGCTGGTGCCCATGTGGCCTGCCTCTTTGCTTATATATTTGATTATTGGCTATTTCTGGATTCTCCTATTCCTGCTCTGGCTAAAGGTAGGGCACAGTGTGACTGTGTGTTGGATTCCCTGAGAGTGAGATGGCTTATCTGGATTTTTTTCCTTTAGTGGGTGGTTGGACTTTGTAGAGTCTATATTCTTTTTACCAGACTGGACTTTCTCTTCCACCTGAAGCTGAGTTTGTCTGTTCCATATGTCTCTGTCCCAGCAGTTGTGTTGATGTCTAAGCTCCAGCTGCTCCTAGCCTGCCCTGTTCAGCTACTGTTGGCCAAGTGGTACCAGGACGTGCCCTGGAAGATGGAAAATTCCTCTATAGCATCTACTTTATTCTAGCTTATATTTTGGTGGTTTTTATGTGCTTTGATTTTCACTGAGGGTCAAGCCCTTTGATTACCAGATGCCACTTGTGTTTATATGCAAATCAACCCAAACCCTGGGGGCGTTCAGTATATAACTTTAGACACTTATGGAGTTCCTTAGCAGGATCTTCCTAGGAATTAACTCTGCCTTCTATTGCAGTATCATCCATGTTTAATCTCTGTCATGCTGTGATCCTCCAGGAAGGCAGTGTGTTTTCACATGTGACTCTGGATTGAGGTCCCTCTTGCTGCTAGCCCATCTGCCACATTCATCTTCCCCAAGAATGTAGCTTGATTCTGCCAGACCCCTGGCAGGTGGAAAATGACTTCCCATAACCTACAGAATAACATTCTGAATCTTTGGGATGACCTATACATCCCCTCACAGGATGCCTCAATTTGCCTACCCAAGATATTTCTGACAACTCCTCTGGTAGTCACTGGTGATAGAGATGAACTGAATAATTGGATTATGCCCTCTTCCACTCCATGGTTTTCTACTTTTCTGCCTCTGTGCACACTGTCTGCTCCATGCTCTTCCCTAAGAAAATTCTACTCATCCTTCAAGGTCCATCTCAAATGCTCTGAAGATTTCCTTAATCTCTATAACTAGAGACGGTCTCGTGCTCCTTTAAACTTGATGATATTTTTGGCCAGGCACTGTGGCTCATGCCTGTAATCCCAGCACTTTGGGAGGCTGAGACAGGTGGATCACCTGAGGTCAGCAGTTCAAGACCAGCCTGGCCAACATGGTGAAACCCTGTCTCTATTAAAAACACAAAAAAATTAGCTGGGCGTGGTGGTACATGCCTGCAATCCCAGCACTTGGGAGGCTGAGGCAGAAGAATCGCTTGAACCTGGGAGGCAGAGGTTGCAGTGAGCCGAGACTGCTCCACTGCACTCCAGCCTGGGCGACAGAGTGAGACTCCATCTCAAAAACAAACAAAAAACAACAATTTTTTTGTTGGATTTTTGTTTTTGCATTATGTCTTGAATTATAGTTGTGTATTTAATTTCTCTTATTTTTAAATTCTTAACAAAATTTTGTGGATATATAGTAGGTGTATATATTTATGAGGTAAATAAGATGTTTTGAGACAGGCACGCAATGTGAAATAAGCACATCACGGAGAATGGGGTATCCATTCTGTTAAGCATTTATCCTTCGCGTTAAAACAATCCAATTACATTCTTTAAGCTATTTAAAAATATACAGTTAAGTTATTTATGATTGTCACCCTATTGTGCTATCAAATAGTAGGTCTTATTCATTCTTTCTATTTTTTTGTACCCATTAATCATCTGATAAGGTTTGGCTGTGTCCTCACCCAAATCTCATCTTGAATTCCCATGTGTTGTGGGAGGAACCCGGTGGGAGGTGATTGAATCATGTGGACAGGTCTTTCCTGTGCTGTTCTCGTGATAGTGAATGGGTCTCATGAGATCTGATGGTTTTATAAGGGGGAGTTTCCCTGCACAGTCTCTCTCTCTTTGCCTACTGCTATTCATATAAGATGTGACTTGCTCCTCCTTGCCTTCTGCCATGATTGTGAGGTCTCCCCAGCCATGTGGAACTGTAAGTCCATTAAACCTCTTTCTCTTGTAAATAGCCCAGCATCGGGTATGTCTTTTTTAGCAGCATGAGAACGGACTTAGCAGAACATCTTTGAGTCTCATTTTTCTGTTGAAAATATTTATATCTTATCATAATTTTATGGTGTGGTGTTTTCCAGTAAGTTGCATTGCTCCTTTTTTTTTTTTTTTTTTTTTTTTTGAGACAAGGTCTCCTTCTGTCACCTACGCTGGAGTGCAGTGGCAGAATCTCAGCTCACTGCAACCTCCACCTCCTGGGTTCAAGTGATTCTTGTGCCTCAGCTTCCCAAGTAGCTGAGACTATAATTACACACCACCATGCCTGGCTAAGTTTTGAATGTTTTGGTAGAGATGGGGTTTCATCATGTTGGCCAGACTGGTCTTAAATTCTTGACCTCATGTGATCCACCCTCCTCAGCCTCCCAAAGTACTGGGATTACTGGTGTGAGCCACTGAACCCGGCCAAGTTATATTGCTTCTTAAGTAACTTGCATGTGATGTTTCTTAAATAGTTTTAGTGGAAATATCATTAAATTGAACCAGTAGCTAATCCACCATAAAGAATTTTTCCAGGAATAGATGTTCCATTGTCATCTGGATTCTACTCTTTCTAAAGAAAAGAAAACCATAATTATTATGATTGATCCCTTTATGGGATGAATCTTTTGAAACTCTGGCTGCTTTTAAGAGTTTTCACTTCATTTTTTTTTCTTTAAGTTTTCTTATAATGTTACCAGTTGTGGTTTTATTTGTTTTTATCCTATTTGGAATTCACTAAGCTTCCCAAATCTGTTTTTGCTTAAATATAGAAAAATTTTGGCCCATGTTTCTTCAAATGTAATTTTTTGCTTGACTTTTTTTTTTTCTCTCCTTTCTTTCTGGGGCTCCAGTTACATATATGTTAAATGCTTGATATTATTCCACAAGTAAATCAGGTTCTGTTTATTTTAAAAAATATTTACCTTTTCTGTGCTTCAATTTAGATGACTTTCGTTCACTTGTCTTCAAATTCACTAACTCTTTTTTCGTGATGGCCAATTTTTTAAATTTTTGCATAATACATGCTCATGTCTTGGGGGTACATGTTACAATTTAATACATTCATATAATTTGTACAGATCAAATCAGTGTAATTGGGATACACATCATCTTAAATATTTGTCTTTCTTTATTCTAGAAACATTCAAATTATTCTCTTCTAGCTATGTTGAAATATATAATGGATTATTATAAACTAGAGCTACCCTACTTATCTGTCAAACATTAGGTCTTATTTCTTCTATCAAGCTGTATATCTGTATCCATTAATAACTTCTCTTCATCTTCCCCTTATCCTTCTCAGGTTCTGGTAAGCACCAGTCTACTCTTTACCTTCATGAGACCCACTGTTTTAGCTCCCAAATATGAGTGAGAACATGCAATATTTGTCTTTCTGTGCTTGGCTTATTTCACTTAAAATAATGACCTCTAAGTCTATCCATGTTGCTGCAAATGACAGGACTTCATTCTTTTTTACGACTAAATAATATTCCATTGTGTATATGCAGCCAAATTTTCTTTATTCATCCACTGATAGACACAGGTTAATTTCAATATTTTGTATGTTGTGAATAGTGCTGCAGTAAATAAGGGAGTGCTCTTTCTTTATAATTTACCAGTTGATTTTCTCTTTCCTCCCAACCCCGACCAGGTCACTGCCTCCCTTTGAGCACTAGATGGTGCTTTAAGCACAGGTTGTCTAGGTTCTAGTAAATGTCCCAAAGGGAATATCCTGATAGAGTGGGAAGACTGGCTAGGGTGTCATGCCCAGGAAACCTGCAGGACAATCCTATAGCATGGTGCTGCTGAATAGCCACTCTGATTTGGCATCTCCTTTGGCTGAATTACAGAGCAGTTTCCAGGCCTAGGATGGTAGTCCTGCCTCCCCTCTTTGTTTTTGGCTGTCCTCAGGGCTATTTCTCCCTTCAGGCACTCCTGTTGATTCCTGGGGCTGAGGCAAGGACAGATCTTCTGCCAGGAAACCCAAGATGATGGGGAAGCCAGTTGTCCATCTTCACCTCACTTTTTGAGAAACCATGAGTCAGGGAAAAATTTTCTGTGCACTTGGTGCTAGGCAGATTGGGGGAAGGATGTCACAGACATGGAAGTCTGATTCTCTTACTGTCTACTAAGAGATTCTGAGTTTCTTCATTTCTTTGTGGCCTCAGGAACTGTCTCATTCTCATATTTTAGTTTTGGATATTATTGCTGGTGATAATCTTGGGGCTGTATATTTGTTTTTGGTTTTCTGTTGGGAGAGTGGTGCCAGCTAGCTTCTATGCTTCCATTTTGGAATGAGAAATTTCTCAAGAGATTTATTGTATATCATGGTGACTACAGTTAATAACAATATATTGTATATTTGAAAATTGCTAAGACAGTAGTTTTTAAGTGTCTGTACCACAAAAAATATAAGTATATGAAGTATTGCATATATTAAATAACTTGATTTAGCCATTCCTCAATGTATACATGTATTAAAACATCATGTTGCACACCATAAACATATACAGTGTTTTATTGTCAATTAAAATAATTAAGTAAAGAAAACCCCCAAATAAATTACTGTGCTAGGTACTATGAAGCAGTTCAAAATAGAATAAGTTCTCAAGAAGCTTTCAATTCCATATAGATGATAAGAGAATCAAGTTAAAAGATAAATTCAGAAAACAGAACAGCTGTGTTGCTGCTTGTTTTCTTTGTCAGACTTGGATCTCTCATCCAACAAATGAGAGTACTAATGCCTATTCCATAGGATCATTGTGAGAAATTTGTCAGATTAATGTTTATAAAATGCCTAGGGTAGTGTTTGGCGCTTAATTGGCATTCATTAGATGACAGGGTGGCTTGTGGCTGATGTGGCCTCTGCTGTTCTTCCTGTTGGTGTTGTTGATGCTCACCAATGAAAGCAGTCAGGAAACCTCCATTTTACACATGATTGAACTGGAAGGACATTGTATTTGAATTCTAAATAAATGGGAGTACGCATTGGTGTGTTCTAAAGATCTTCCCGAGAAGAAGGTGTGGGGAGAGACAATGCAGGAAATACCCATTTTGACTTCCTTATAGGTCTGCCCTAAGGAGAAACCATATACCCAGGGCCTGGGGAAGTTGAGTAAGGGATTCAAGACCAGGAGAGGTTGAACCTCCCTTCACAGCTACACATCTCTTCTTGTTATTTCAGGAATTGAAAGGCCTGAAAAACAAACAAGACAGATATTTTTCTAATCTTTCAGAAGCTGACTCTCCCACAGTCCCCTAGAGCTAGGCCCAAAGCACAGTCCAGTGGAGAATGGGTAGGGAAACAAATTGGGTCTCTGCTTTTCCCAATCTCTCTTCCTTCGTCTATTGTTCTCTATTTCTCTGTTTCACCCAGAAAACCTCCGCTTCTGTACTGTAACCCCCAGATTCTGAACTCAAAACTGACTTATCTTGATACCAGTCCTCACTATCAAATGCTCCAGAAAGGGGAAAATTTTGGCATGGATTTTTCAATGATGTAAGGGAGGAACATATTTTTCCTCTACTCTCAGGTTCATTGACTGGAGCCCTGCAAATTAGATTGACAAAAGACAGATTAACAGGATAAAAGGCATATAAGTTCTATTGGATTTTTTTTGCGACACAGGGACCTTCCTAGAAAACACATGAAAATCTCAAGAAACAGATAGGCCTGAGAGCTTATATACCTATTTAACAAAGAGTCATACATTGTGGAGGCATGTCAAGGCAAAGGAAAGGGGTTTTTAGACTTCTAGGGGCTGAAAACTGAGGAATGGTAATGACATGGAGGAAACTTACAGAAGATAAAAGCTATCTAAGCAAGGTTTGTTTGTGCAGATCCATCTCAGTGTCATCTTTCCATCTTCTTCATGGCCATAAACCTTCCCTGGGAGAAGGGCTCTATGGCAGTCCTTATTATTGAGGAGTTTCTGCTTTTAGTCAGATCAGGGAGGCTCTGAGAAAGCTTCCTTCTACATCTGTTGAATCTCACACGTTTTCAGCTCAAAATAATCTTTATGCCAAAGCACATATTTTGGAGTAGCATATTCTGATCCCCTTCAATTACAGTGACATACATAAACAATACTGAGCATTAACACTTCTTATTCTTAATTGCTTTGTCCAGGCTTACCCTGTTATTACCATATACCCCCTATGAAAAGGACAGTAAAATTATCACCAAGATAATATTTTTGTTGTTGAGTGTTATTTTAAGGTGTCTGCAGGGCATATCTTTAGAAGGAGCTTCTAAATGGCACCTTTAGTAATAAAACCTGAACTAGAAATGCACATAAAATCTTTTCGATGGACTCTGTTAAGGTTCTGAGTCCTTTCGTTATTTTGTGTATTTAACCACGTAGGCATATGGCGTAAGTTCTGAAATTTTAGAGAACAGGGATGCAGAACATTATTTTATTTTATCAAAGTATTTATGTCATTTCTTTTTTCCCTTATAATCTTTTATAGAACTATAGCTCCAGATTTGTTTCTTTAAGTACATTCCTGATACAGAAAGAGAAATCATCAAGTAGGGATCAAACATAACCTTTGGAAATTATTTTTCATGCTTAACTTCTAGAAGCATGAAACCAAACTTTTCTTATTTGGATGATACAAATAACTGTATCTAAATTTTCAGTAATTTCTGGTTTAGTTTTAGATCTGTATTTGGTTTAGTTAAGGTGTTGCATTTTCAAGATAAAACAAAATGACTTTTGCTTTTTAAAATGCTCATTAGAATTTCCATGTCAAGGCTACAGCATGTCAGTTGTAGTATATGTGTCTTTCTGTATTCCAATATCACCAACATTTTTCTAGTTACCTTACCACTTTGGGTTAAACTCACACTGCAAGTTGCTATGACAACAGAGATATTGTGAATGCTTAACCCAGTATGCTCTCTGTAAATCACACTTTTAAGGGTAATTTTTCTAACAAAGCATTGTTTAAATTGCTTCGAAGTTACAGCAATTAAGTCTTTGATTATAAATATCAGAGTGGAAAGAAAAGCAAATTTTGGAACTCCAAAGCAGGGTTATAATGCTAACAGCAGACAGATACAGTTTTAATGGGTGGGGCATCACATATTTTGCATATGTTTCTATTGATTTTGGGCAGGGTAATGCAGGCATCTCACTTAACCCATTTATAGACTGGTAAAATTGTTCACTCTGTCCTTTCTTCTATTTAAACTTATCTTCATTATTATAATTTTTCAGTATGTTGCCATGAAAATGGCCTCTTCTGACCAACTGACATGGAAATAACTTATTTTCTACTGGTAATTTAATTTCATCCATTAAAATTGTGTCTGTCTTAGATTGCCACCTTTGGTTCCAACTCGTTTTATGTATGTATGTAGCTGGGTGGTCTCTTGTGAGATTTTTGTCAAATAGGGCTGCGATCATCTCATATCTCAACTGGGGCTGAAGAATCCACTTCCAAACTCACTCATGTAGTTGTTGACAGACCTCAGTTCCTCAGAAGCTGTTGGCCAGAGGCCTCCCTCTGTTCCTCTCCAGTGGGCTTCTCCACAGGCCAGCTTGAAACATGGCAGCTGGCTTCCCCCAGAGCAAATAATCCAAGGAAGAGAGAGTATGAGAGAGAGAGAGAGAAAGAGAGAAAGAGAGACAGTGTGAGAGAGAGCTAGCCAAGACCACCCAAGACAGAAGCCTCCGTCTTTTCATAACCTCACTTCAGTGACATTTCATCATTTCTGCAATTTTCTATTCATTACATGCTGGTCATTAAGGCCACCGTATACTTGAGGGGAGGGAAATTAAGTTCCACCTCTAGAAAGTAAGAATATCAAAGAATTGTAGACCTATTTTTAAAAACCACAACGGCAGAACTATGTGGAATGTTAATTATTATTTCTCTTCTGATGCTTTTTACCAAATCTACTGTGGCTACATAATCGTTTAAGACATTAATTTGTTTTTGTGGTTCTCTTATATTTTTCCATTTCTCTTTTCGTTTTCTTTTTTAGGAAGTAGATAATAAGACTGTTGCCTCTAGGGATTTATGTGGCTGAGGGGAAAACAGTACTGGCTTACAAGTGTTCCTGGCTTTTGCTTTACAAAAGCCTAATCACTTAGAAAAACACTGAGTATTTTCGTAGACACTAAGAAGGGTGGGTTATTTGTGGAAACAACCAACATATTTGGCAGGTGAATACAGGAGGGGAAAAAAAAGAAAGGAAGCTTCTAGAGGGCATGAGAGACCTGGGAACCGGCACCAAACTTTCTAACCCATCACCTAGTTGGGTCTCCCATGAGATGCTGGAGAGGTATGGTTATGCAGTTTATCTGTAAGAGGGACCTGGGTTGCCTCCCAGAAGATCCCCACAGCCGTGGGTGGCAGAGGAAGCTCAGAGAGCCTCCAGAGCCAAGAGGGCCAAGCAGACAAGGGCAGTGACATGTGGGAACCACCACCATCCTTTTAGTCATGTGTAAAAATACAGAAAGATCAGCATAACCTAGGGATGCCCCAGTGAAATGGGGGCCTAGGGCCAGAAATTGAGTTATAGAAAATTAAAAAATATTTTCTTCAGCCTTGAGTTGTGACCAAGTCCCTGACAACCACACTTCTGTAGTACCAAGCCTTGGCCTGGTCTGTGCCAGGGCCTTCCTGTGTAATCTCCACTGATCTCTGCTGCAGCCCCTTACAGATGACACCACAGGCTTAAACAGGTTCTGCAACTTAACCAAACTCTGAGGGCCATAAGAGGCAGGGCTAGGATTCAAGCCTAACCTCCACTCCAAGGACTGGACCTTTACATAAAACTGGATGGAGATTAAGAGCTTTCAAAGTACTTATTAAATATGTATCACTCATCCATGAGAGCTCCTGAAGGCCAAAGAGGATTTCAAATACAAGTGACTGTGCACAAATAGAAAAGGAGGCCGGATGATGGTTCTTGGCTGAAAAGTTCCACTCTTGGCTAGGGCAATGAGCACATGTGTAACTATTTCCATGTACCTGTCTCTCCACTAGACTGAAGAGCCTTCCGGGCAGAGACTGGGTTATAGTTAGCTCTTTTCCCTCAAACCCATCATGGTTGGAGTTGAGTGCTCCGATTGGCTTTGTTGCCATTATTTTTCAGCTTGATCACTTTATAATTCCTCAAATGTCTTACTATGCTTTCGAAGGGGAGAGGAGGAAGAGGCTAAATAGTGATGTGTATTTATATACAGATGTTTAATTTTTCTGAGTGATTGCTCATTTATATGAATATGAACAATAAAAATATTTTTTCTAGCATTCTATCCATTGGAAATAGCTATGATCTCCTTTAACTCTGATATTTGACTCACTAGAACATATCTTCATTTATCATATAAGTTGGAGCTTGCTGTATATTAAAATAGAGATTGAGAAGTTGGGTGCAGTAGCTCATGCCTGTAATCCAAGCACTTTGGGAAGCAGAGGCGGACAGATTGCCTTGAGCTCAGAAGTTTGAAACCAGTCTAGGCAACCCGGCGAAACCCAGTCTCTACAAAAACATAAAAATTAGCCAGGCATTGGTGGCCCATGCCTGTGGTCCCAGCTACTCAGGAGGCTGAGGCTATAGAATCCTTTGAGCCTGGGAAGTGGAGGTTGCAGTGAGCAGAGATTGTGCCATGCACTTCAGCCTAAGTGACAGAGATCTAAAAAAAAAAAAAAAAAAACAGTGAGAGATTGAGAAGATATGTTACACAGAATAGAGATAAATATGGAGCTAGAGATCTGGTTAATAAAATGTTAAATAAAATGACTTTTATTATATCAGGTTACTCTACATGTTTCAGTAAAATAACGATTCATCACAACCCAACTTTATTTAGAGCCTGTTACTGTTGTTCTCTTATTTTACTTTAAAGAGAAAAATCTCATTCTTTCTCTCTCTCACATACACATATATATGCACACACATACAAGGACTACAAATTTTTTTTCTTAAATATTTTTCTGATTACAAAAGTAAATATTCTGAGGGCCAAAAATGTCAAAAATCCAGAAAAGCCAAAAGCAGAGGAAAGAAATCATTTAATCACCCAGAGATAAGTATTTCTAACCTTTTCCTGATACTAGTTGAAATTATATAGTATATGTAATTTTGTATTCTGATTGACATCTTAACATACATTTTCTTCTTCATTAAGAACCTTCAGATATATTACTAAATCAAGAAAGTTAATGAGGCTTAAAACAAAAATAATTCCTTCATTTATGCTTTTAGCCAGAACATAAAAAGAATTTGAATACCTTGATTCCCTGAGTGTGTAGGAACATTTTTATATGTTGTCAGTTGCATGCGCTTCTGCTTGACTCAACAAATGTTTATTGAACACCTAATATATGAGAGATATACAAAAGAGTTTCATAGGTTCTGCCGCTGACACTCAGGACTGAAAATTTAGTTGAAAAGGCAAAATTTTAATATACCGAAGAGTTATATAATAATGCAAACAATAGATAACAGGACTCCAGAGATGACAGCCATGGAGGGCAAGAATACAATTATAGGCATAATCACAAGCCAGCCTGTCAGGGTATACATCCATTCACCTAGGACCTTTCTGCCAATCTACTATTCCCCAGTTCCTTGAAGAAGCATGCAGATAGTAGGGGAACAAGAATAGGCACAGCCCTTGAGTATGACAGCAGGGATGGGACAGTGGGAGATTATTATTTATTTTCTTTTTGTCCACATTCCTTCCATTAATTGGCACAACAGGTTGAAGACACATGCAAACCTAGATTTGTAAACCAATGGTAAAACCATGCATTCATGATTGAAAATACACAAAAGGATAAGCTACTGTTATGGATTCCACTTAAGTACATTGACTACTCCCAAGGTTAATGCAGATCAGTTTTCCTTAACTTCTAATGTAAACATGTGTTCTTCTCTGAACTCAGAATGGCTTAGGTCTTTTCTAAAAGTATGGAAAATATATTTTTAATGTACTTCAAATAGCTGAAAGGAATATTTTTTAAAAATTCTTTGAGAAGCTAAAAATCAATGTAGAAACTTTAAAAGATGAATTTTTCAGGAAGAGAATTGAAAACTGGCTTGAACAAACACTACAGTTGATCAATTATTATAGTTAGAGTCACAGTCATTACAATTAAACTGTAACCACATCACACTCAATATAAGCATCAACAGAAGCAGTAAGAAATCTACACTTAAAGTGTTATCTTTTTGTCTTCAGCTTTCCGAGATTCCCTGCAGCGTTGGATTCAAATACTGGTTCTACGACACATTAAGAATTACCAGCAGTGCTTATAATCCCTGTGAAACATGGGTAAGATTTTTCTTGCTTAACATCCTTTACAAACTGTAATTTCCATGAAGTTAAAGTATTTTACACTGTGACCTTGAGCATCAAGTTGTGGCCTTAGCAAGTGAAGAATTATGCCATTGCACAATGTCTAGAAATGCAACATGAACATATTAGCAATGAATCTTGTTTCACATCATTGAGTAATTGTTACAGATTGTCTTTACACTGTATTATCACCCAAAAGATGCAACACAGAAAAAATAAGACCACTCAGAGACTCAGTAGCCAAAGTGACAACTATAAATCGGATTTCATTTATGGTATTTATCTGTGTTTAATGCTGTAAATATTCAATTTTTAGTATTAGAAGGACTACTAGAAAAGACACCTGAATGGATAGGAAAAGAGTTTCAGTACTTTTATTGATCCATTAATTCTGAAGTGAGCAATACTTCCTTGATGTCTAGATGGTAACCTCTAATGAAGGAGGCTGCCACGCCTGTGACCCCCACCCTCTGTTCTGCATCCATTCAGAAATTACACCTCCTTAATGCACTAGGGTAAAAGTAGGAGGAGATGAGTTGACACGAGGGAGGGGGGATTTCCCACTATTTTGTAGATTCTGACAGAAACAAAAAGCTTGGTGTAAGCACAGTCAGCCTTTGTGTCCATGGGTTTTGCATCTATGAATTCAACCAACTGCGAATTGATTTTTTTTTAAAAAAAGGACATTTGTGTCTGTAGTGAAATGTGCAGATTTTTCTCCTTGTCATTTTTCCCTAAATAATACAAAACTACTATTTACATAGTATTTACTTTGCACTAGGTATTATATGTAATCCAGAGAGATTGAAAGTATATGGGAGGATATACATAGGTTATACACAAATACTATGGCCATTTTATATCAGGAACTTGAGCATCTGAGAATTTTGCTATCTGTGAGGGGTTCTGTAACAAATCCCTCAAGGATATTGAGGAATTACTATATTTTTCTCTACTATTACAACTATATACTTTTTTGTTGTATCTCATTTGTTCAGATTATCAGGTTGAAAGGAATTAGAGCCAGGGTAAAATATCCCATCTCAGCACTGCAGAGTCACCCTGGAACAAGATGAGCATGCCAAGGTCCAGACATTTGGGTGGAAGGTGTACATGTTGACTTTGTCCACAACATGGATTGCTTGTTTCAAGGATAAATTTTAAAACTTGCCTAGGACTGTTATCCTTAAGATTCACAGTAAGAGTAAACTTAAAAAAATATATAGTGCATGAGCCAAACATTTTCAGAATTGTTTGGTATCCTCAATAGATTGCAAAAATACACTGCCTATATGGAAGAGAAGCCAACAGACATAGAAAACCAGCTGGGATTAAGGGAAAATTAGAATGAAATGAAAAAAGAATTTTCATTTAAAATTGGCTGGGGTGGTAAAGAATGTCAAGAAAATAAAATTAAAATAGAACTAAAATTTACCTTTTTGTCAGTAAAAAGCATAGCTCAGAAGAAAAGTGAATCAGTGATATGGAGAACAAACTTAAGAAGATCTCCCAGATTGCAAAAGAAAGGGAAAAACAGGTTTTTGAACATTAGAGGATAATAGTCATTTGGAACATAGAGACAAGGTGTTTTGTAAGGATTATATTTGTGTTTCTGAGAAAGAAACAAGAAAGTAAGTGTATTAAGAACAGTAAATAGGCAGGTGCGGTGGTTCACACTTTTAATCCCAGCACTTAGGGAGGCCAAGGCAGGCAGATCGCTTGAGCCTGGGAGTTTGAGACCAGCCTGGGCAATATAGGGCAGAGATCCTGTATCTACAAAAAAATATATATATATATAAATGAGCCTGGTGTGGTGTTGCATGCCTGTAGTCCCAGCTACTCAAGGGCTGAGGTGAGAGGATCACTTGAGCCCAGGAGATCAAAGTTGCAGTGAACCATGATTGTGCCACTGCACTCCAGCCTGGGTGGCAGAATAAGACCCTGTCTCAAAAGAAAAATGAGTGAAGGCACAAAATTAAAGATATTTTTGAAATTGATAAAATTCCTTAAAGGAGTTTACTGAGATCTAAGCTAAATCAATTAAAGGAGAGTGCTACATCCTGAGGAAAAATTTCAACCATTGCTGTATAATTAAACCAAATTTTATGTGATCCCCAACCTTTCCCACATACATTCAGCTGTTGCTTTTCTTTGTAACATTCAGGAGTTCATTTTAGAGGGTGTTAGATTCCAAGTCAGATGTTCTTCCCTCCCTGATTGGCTAGGATTTCATGGCAAAATATTCTTCTCAATCTTGGCATAAATTCCATCAATCAAGAGGTGAAGCATTGCAGTCAAAAAGAGCACTCCAAGGTTGTCATCATTTTCTAGAAAAATAATTAAACTTTGGTCTTCCTGTGGCTCAGAAAACCCACTATGGCCAGACACCACTGGAATGGCAATACTTGTCTTTGAAACAGCATATCGAACCCATTTAGCTGAGGGCTGGTGAGGGTGTCATGCCTAGTCATGAGAGCACAGGTGCATCACATGCCATTGGGTAGTATTCTTGTTGCATATAAATACCAAATGATCACCTTAGGATTTAAAGGTGATAGCAGCAAGAGGGAAACAGAGGCTGATCCCCAGTGAAACCCAACCTTCAAACTAAAGACAAACTAAAGCCTGAAAATCAAGCTGCCAGTTCCGGGTAAAGCCTCTGACTGGAGTAAGAACTTCCTTGATGCCTTTTAGCCAATCAAATGGTGCTTTTTCTAGGCTCACCCAGGGACCAGTCAAACACACTCCCCTATTCTGAGCCCATAAAAACCCTGGACTCAGCCACACATTGGCACTACCTGCCTTGGGTAGGGGCTACCCACATTGGGTCCATTCTCTGCTGAGAGTTATTCTGTTGTTCAATAAAACTCTTCTCTGCCTCACTCACTCTTCAGTCATCCATGTAACCTCATTCTTCTTGGACACGGGACAAGAACCTGGGACTGCTGAACAGTGGGTGTGAAAGGAGCTGTAACCCTGTAGTACTCCTGTCCACTGCCAGCAGGGGGTGTGTACCCCACATGATGGGAAGTGGCAGTGGGACTGGGCCTGCCCAGGAGCTGTGGGCCGAGATGGGGCAGTGAGACCGAAGGAGCTGGGACATGCCCCTGTTTGCTGAAGTGTGTGGATGGTGGGAAAGAATGAACTGTGACATGAACAAGCTGCAACCCTTCTGGGGCCCAGAACTTGGGACTCCCTGAGCCAGAGCTGTGACATGCATAACACCCCCTTTGCATCTCTGTGGTTGCTGGCATCTCTGAGATTTTCAGATGCCACCGTATTCCCCTCATCCAGATGCTGGTGCCCAGGCTGGAAGCTGCTTGCAGTATGCTTGGTCCAGCCACAGTCTCGCATGGAGCTGGCACCTGTTATGGGACCTGTAGCTGCCCGTCATGCTGCAGCAGCCAGAGCACCTGGCTTGCCCTTGGTGGGTGTGAGATCTGGGCTGGTAGCAGGAGCCAAGAGCAACCTGCCAGGCTGAGTGGGCAGAGCAAGTCCAGCGGTGAGCCTGGAGCCGAGTGAAGCTCTGGAAGGAGCACTGCCGACCATGGAAATTTCTGGCTGGCAAAGTGGCACCCCAAAGAATCCTTTGTCAATTCAGTTCTTTAGTTTCAATATCAGAATCCAATGACAGTTAATGGATGAAGACAGAAAAATAAAGGGGAAAAAAACCTATGAGATCAAGCAGAAATAATTCATTGTTTACAGAAATACAAAAATTACTGACTTAAGATATTTCTCCAGCAATACCAATTAGCAAAAAGCTGTGGAGCAATGTCTACAGAATTTACAACAAAAAGATCATGAACTGAGAATGTCTGCAAAGTCGTCCTCAGGTATGAAAATGCCCAGAGAGCCTACATGTGTACCTTTCTTGGAAAAATTACTTAAAGGATTACTCCAGCCAAGATGAATTACGTTAAAAAAAAATTCAGCAATAGTCCAACTTTATAAAGAGGCTCTTGAACTTAAATTACTTAGTTTGAATTCCAAATGTAGAAATAAAATTGCATAGGTGGTGTCATTGAATATTGAATAGTCTGGGACAAACCTTCATAGAATTGGGCTCTCTCAACTGTTTCTCTTCTGCTTCTGCGTTTCCCACAACAGTTCCAGAAAATGTGTTTCTTGAGTGCCATCCTTCACCCCAGAGTTCAGGGGGAATCCCTCACTATATCTGATGATTGTTTAAAACATTACTTGATGAGGCTGGGTTCCAGTTCTTGCTAACAGTAGCTAAATGCAGTTACGACACTGAACTTAGGAAAAGCAACAAAACCAGAAGTTTCTTTTCTCCAAGCTCTGTCTCCTCACCCCTCAATACACATAACAGAGTTTCCTGGAAAAATAGTGGAAACCATTCTTATTGCCAAGTAATCTGCAAACATTTTCTATTTCCTTAGAATTCATTTTTAATGACCTGAATAATTTACTTTTTTCTAAGGAAAAAAGATAAATAAGTGAATATATTACCTGCTACTAGCCTCTCTGCACAGCATCTTCCACCAAAGTTTTACACTATTTCTCTGCTCATTATGCCAAAAAATTATTACCTATTGTGTACTTCTAAATATATAAAATATGCAAAGAAAAAAGGTCATATTTAAAATTATGAAAATATTAAATAGTGATTATCTCTGGGTGGGACCCTCAATTATTTTCATCTTCTTTATTTTCCAAATGTTCAATAATGTCACTATATTACTTTTATAATCAGAAAAAGATGTTTTAAAATCAATTTATGCAATTTTTTGTTTTATGTCATATGGTTACAATTATTTCAGAATAAATAGCAAAACGTCTGGACCTAAATACACACACACACACACACACACACACACACACCCATGATTAATAGTGATTATCTCAGGGTGATGAATTATGGGGAGTCACTTCCTCATGTGTATTAAAAATATGTTCTATAATCATAACAAGTTATCTGATTATAGAAAATGCTGTGATAAAACTCAAGGGTGCAGGAGACCTTTGAGGAGCATATATTCACCCATACCATAAAATATTTATTGTGTTGTATTTCTGTTTCACTTTTAGAATTTCATGAACTATAAGACACCCTACAGAATAAGCCACCTGGTGCCCAGTCAGATATAATAAAACAGGCAGAAGCAGAGAGGTAACATATTAGGACTCTTTCGTCACGCTGCATGTGTCACAAGAGAGCAAGGACTCTTTTAATTACTAGTCATTTAAATTTCTGATAGATAGTATCACAAAATTTAATCTTGTTAATTTACTTTGGCAGCTTGACACTGGGCTCATTTACAATCCTTTGAGGGAATTGCAAATTTCCCGTGCTTGGATTTGGGGTGAAGAGGCACTATTCATATAAGCTGATGTGGTGGAATTCATGGCTAAACATTAGTTAGGATATATTTTTAGCCCATCAGAAGCCTAAGTCATGAGTTTTAATGTTTGAAAGAAATAGTACAGTAAAAAAAAAAAAAAAAAACAGTTTTAAATGTATAAAAATTCAAACATGATTCAACACCTAAACTTACAACTTAAAAGAATACGGTTCTTTAAGACAGGTCTTAAAGCCTAAGTTCTGTTGCTCAGACTAGAGTGCAATAATGCAATCACAACTCACTGCAACCTCAAACTCCTGGGCTCCAGTGATGCTTCCACCTCAGCCTCCTGAGCAGCTAGGACTACAGATGCATGCACCAAGCCTGGCTGATTTATTTTTATTTTTTTTTGGAGAAATGCAGGTCTTGCTTTATGTTGCCCAGGCTGGTCTCAAACTCCTGATCTCAAGTGATTCTTCCATTTTGGTTTCTCAAAGTACTAGCATTTCCGGCATGAGCCACCATGCCTGGCTATTTAAAACTTTTTAAATCTAAAATGTTATCATTGGAATATTTTTACATAGTTATAGGTTATGGTTATGAATGCTAAATTATACTGACCCCTCCCAGAAAATTATCTTGACTACTATTGTAAGCAGTGTAGTTTCTTTAAAAACTAAGCTCTTGGCTGGGTGTGGTGGCTCATGCCTGTAATCCCAGCACTTTGGGAGGCTGAGGTGGGTGGATCATTTGGGTTCAGGAGTTCAAGACCAGCCTAGCCAACATGGTGAAAACCTATCTCTACTAGAAACACAAAAATTAGCTGGATGTGGTGTCAGTTGCCTGTAATCCCAGCTACTCCGGAGGCTGAGGCAGGAGAATCGTTTGAACTCAGGAGATGGAGGTTGTAGAGAGCCAAGATCGCACCACGGCATTCCAGCCTAGGTGACAGAGCAAGACTCTGTCTCAAACAACCAACCAACCAACCAACCAAAAAACTAAGCTCTCATCCAGTTGTGGCTCATGCCTGTAATCCCAGCGCTTTGGGAGGATGAAGTGAGAGGATTGCTTAAGGCCAGGAGTTCAAGACCAGCCTGGACAACAGTGACCCCATACACACACACACACAAAGCCTGTCACAATAATGCATGCTTGTAGTCCCAGCTACTTAGGGGATTGATATGGAAGGATCATTTGAGACCAAGAGTTCGAGGCTGCAGTGAATTGTAATTGTGCCACTGCACTCCAGCCTGGGTGAGAGAGCGAGACTGCATATCTTAAAACTAAATACTAAAAATAAAAATCTAAGCTAATCCAGTCTTAGAATGTAAACTTCACCAACACTGGAAGTTTTCTTCATTTCACCTCCATCTAGGCCTGCAGTTTAGCACCAGGAGCATTTGGGATTTGAACAAACTCCATGTGTCAGGCATGGGACAAAGTGGGTAACCAGGTCAAGTTAAAGAGCAAAAAAAGAAAAAAAAATGTGAAAAGAGTAAAAAGTTTTAAAAGTGTATTTGTGGATATTTTGAGAACCATCAGCAAAGACTTTTCAGTCATGGAAGAGATTTTTAACTTCCAGGTTGTGTTTTTACAAACTTCACACAGGTCAAATGTCAAAAAGGCCTTGAGTGAATATTTATCAAGCATGAATATTCATCTCCAGGGGAGAAAGGATTCAAAACAAGGGAATTTAAATATTTTCTTTTTCAAAATGCAAATATATCTTTTTCATGGCTGTTGCATCCGTGGGTGGTCCCTTTCATATCAGTACTAGTCTCTTTTCTTGAAAGCCAATAAAGCGCAATTTCATAGAGTGATAAAATAGGTAGTAAAGATGATCATGTTTCAAATATTTGGATCATAAGGAAATCAACCCATTAAACATAAGACCAGTGGACAAATAAACCTTATACCTAAATAAATGTTGGAGCAAGTTATTTGCTCTCTGATGGGAGTGTTTTCAACTTTATCACCACTGTCTCTGATTTCTAGGCACATCTTGATGTTGTTAACTGCATATGCTCTTTATTATTAAAAATTGAGAACCTGAAAAAGCTGCCAGCACACAGGAAAAATATGAATTGGTTCATTACATCTGTTCATTTCCTCTTCTGAATCTCTGCTCTCAGAGGACTCTCAGCTAACCTAGGAAGGCAAGGCAGAAGAAAGTGCTGACCTTTATCTTCTTAATAAGTAACTGAAAAGCAAATCCAGACAAATAAATAATCAGTTTTATTATTTAGACATCAATATTGTCACATGATTAACTTGAACTATGCAAAGTTTAAGTTCAATCTGCCAGCTTTGAAATTTGTTGTAGGTTTAAGCCTGTATTTTATTTTATTTTACTCTGGGTTTGGGGTTTTTGACATAACAGAACAAGTTATCTAATGGCCATCTCATTTCTTTGATGCGGTGAAAGCCCTGGCTCAGCTGCTGAGACTTACAGTGTCCTTGCCACAAGGAATCTTTTCATCTTGCTTTCACTGAGCATCAGTCTCAGCTGGAGAGTGCAACACTGTGGAATACAAAAGAGTCAATTAGTTGATATTTGTAAGGACACTCAATTCTTCAGAAACCAAGACCCGTGAAATGATTTCCCCAATATCTCAAGGCAGCTGTGAATTGAGGGATGAATGCATCCTCTATAATGAGAACAATAACTATATTTCCACTTTGATGTGGATCTGGGATAAAAACAAAAACAAAACCAAACAAGTACTGTGAGAAGATCTCAAAAAGCTCCTAGGGATGCAAAGGGATCAGTAAGAAAATTAAGAGCCTCTATTGACTCTAAACCCTTTAATGGAATAAGCATTGTAATCCACACAGAAGTCCATTAAGAGAATCTGATTCTCATCCCCATTCTACATATGAGGAGATCAAGGTCCTGTAGAGTTAGGTAATCTCTCCATGGTCACACAGGTAATAAGCAAGCATTAGAAGCCTGGATTTAAACCCAGATCTAGCCCTAGATCCTGTTCTCTGGACCACTGCTGTGCAATTACCTTGTTTTTTGAGACAGGGTCTCACTTGGTCACCAGGCTGGAGTCCAGTGACATGATCTCAGCTCACTGCAACCTCCGCCTCCCAGGTTCAAGTGATCCTCCCACCTCGGCCTCCCGAGTAGCTGCGATTACAGGTGTGCACCACCACGTCTGGCTAATTTTTTGTATTTTTTGTAGAGACTGGGTTTCACCATGTTGGCCAGGCTGGTCTCGAACTCCTAGGCTCGAGGGATCTGCCAGCCTCGGCCTCCCAAAGTGCTGGGATTACAGGCATGAGCCACTGTGCCCAGCCTGCAGTGCACTACCTTCCGATGGCCATATACAAACACATTTTTAAAAAATGTAAGTCATATACTCTATTGTCAATACATGAAAAGCTAGAATGTTTTGTTGCCAGAGTCACAGGGAAGGCATACAATTGCAAATTCAAATGTATGTCAGCAACATAGCACTAAATTTTGCTCAGAGATGTGTTTTTTTTTCTTTTTTTGAAAAAGAAAGCAAGCATGTTATCAGCAGACATGAAGAAGCTGAAAACATTTTCATTAGATTCTATTAACCTCTACTATTAGATAACATTAAGCTCTTCATTGTCCGGCATTTATTCTGGCCTCAGTTCACTCACTTAATGTCCCAGATCCTTAGTGCCTGAGGATTGTGGAATGGCTTTGAGAAAATGGGTGTGAAGGGCTTATATGGGACCTGCATATAATAATTGCAGTTGTGATAAGTGTTATAATTTTTGTTCACAATGTTTCTCTCTAGAGGATTTGTTAGTTTTCTCTGCCCAAACTGCCTCCCCGCTTACTTCTGGTAACTGCACTTCCACTTTTATCCTCTAAGGGATTCTTTCCAGCTCCATGGGTTTGGAGGGACTCTCAGAGTCACAGTGCCCTCCCAAGTTAGCTACCGGGGTGGGCTTATGACTCATGCTAGTTCAGGTAAAGACTTACTGGGATTCCTAGATTGGGAGTGAAGCAAAGCTCTTCTCTTACTTTGCATTGAAAGCTCTAAGAATGTAACCCCAGAACTGTCTAGAGTTACATCTGTGTGACAAGCCTGTAAAGAAGCCAGAGAGGATTTGAAGCCAATTCATAGACAGCTATAACATAAGGAAAATACACCTGAGTCCAGCTTGACCTTTATCCTAATAGGTATAGTAACTGATAATGTTGCCTTTATGTTAGATTTTCAGAAACTTGTAATTGAAAAACTCCTGATTAAATATATTATTTCTTCTTTCATCCACTCATTCACTTATTCTTTCATGCATTTATTCAAGAGATGTTTATTATATATCTATCATGCGCTGGGCTTAAATGGAAAATTATATATCCTGTTCTCGATATTTATAAGAAACTAAGAAGCTAGACACGTTTTAGAAGAAATTTACAATTCTGGGTCAGTTTACACTTTTATTTTAGGGATTATTTAGATTTTAGGGATGGTTTAAGGCTTTCTGAGGGAAGACTCTGAGCATCATCTGTATACTGAAAGGAGGACAGCAAGGGATATATCTACCCTATACCTCATCTTAAAAAAAAATCATAATCCAAAAGTAATTTGTATTTTTTTTTAGAATACAGAAAGTACAGAAAAGCACAAACAAGAAAATAAAAATGTTCTATAGAGCAACCACCCAGAAGTAACCTCTGTTAATATATTGACATATCTATTTCCAGTAAGATCTTATTTTGCCGGGGGAATGTTTAGGTCTGCAAGTTGGCATTATTCTGACCCATCAAGACATTCCATTCATTTTTTCCCTCTTCTGTCACAACTAAATTAGACGGCTGTTTAGCATCTAATGAAAATGCTTCCAGTGGATAATCAGAGCAGCATTTAGCTGTGCCTTCTCATTAGGGGCACAGGTTCTGCCTAACTGACAACTGTCAGGGGTCAATTGGTTATGTTCGGCAGGAATAATTAGAAAAGCTGCTTCAGTTGCTGCTTGAGCGGTTAAGGACGACGCATGTGAAAAATGGTTCCTCCCAGAAGACCAAAGAGAAGGCAGCAGAATCCTGGAACATCTCAGTTGTGAAGCTTAACAAGTGTTCCAGCTTCTTCTTCCTTCATACACAGAAAACCAACGGATCCATTAGTGTGCTCATAAAGTAGCTCCATCAGAAACGGATTCATTTGTCCTCTCAAGGAATTCAGGTCACCCAATCTTGTCTAGATCTATCCAGAAACATGAAAGGTGGGCATGCCTAGCCCATTTCAGGACTGGGTCAACTAGCAGATGTCAAGAGTGAACAACCTGTCCTCAAGTTCTCATCCTGGTGAGATATTCCCGATAGCGAAATGGCTAAATGGACAGGTGCTACGCGCAGATCCCTGGGATCTGGGATCCCTAAAGCTGCTACTAGCTGGGTGAACTCTCTTTTGGAAATATTAAGAGTTAATACATCAAAGCTTTTATAACAGTATTTGCACATAATAAGTGCTCAACCAATGTTAGCTGTTCTCATTAGTATCTATTTATCCAATGGCAGTTAAATGCTTAGAAATATCTATCACAAAGAATTAAGTGTTTTAAAACAAAGAAAAATGCAAAATGACCAGAAGCCTATAGAACTTTTCCCCACAGGTAGTTAAGTACTATTCTTGTAAACTTAATTGTAATATTCATTTTCTTAAAGAAATTATAGCTAAAGTTTTCGCCATTTCAGAAGTGATGATATCCTAATTACGCAGTCCTGAATCTCTTTTTAAATTCTATTCTTCCCACTAATGGAAAAACAGCTTGCCATAAAGTCTTCTGGTGGTGGTGCAGTACCTTCTTTGGGACTTACCCTCCTACCAACTACAGTGGTATATTCTGGACAAAACGTAGAAAGCAAATGTTTAAAATAATTGGAGAGTGATCAAAAGGAGGTAGAATCGGGAAGGCATTCAACATTTAGAAGAAGCAACCACAGTAAGTAAGACTCATATTATTCAGCTTTTCCTCTGGAGGCATGCTCCCATCCAGGGCATGGAGGATCATCTCCAGGAGACAGCCTTAATCTTATTAGCCTGAGCACCAGAATAGCTGGAAATTGAGAGGATAAATCTCAGAAAGGAGGAAGTCTTTCAGAAAGACTGGGAGCCCCCAAATCTTTCTATTAACTATCCCCACTTCATGGTTAACTTTTCAGTTTACTTGTGTAGCATGAGATTCCAAGGAACTCAGAAGAAAAAGTATAGCTGGAAAGTTGAAAGACCTGTGGATAAATTTCAGCAGCCACCCACCATAGGGGAGACAGAGTTTGGAGATCAAGACCCACTTTTGGTTTTGTAAATGTCTCAGGATTCCATTAAAATTCCAGCAGGGCCATGTCTTAGAAGTGAAGACCTCCTCTCCAAACTCTTAAACATCATGGTAAGTGAGAGAAGCAAGATGTAAAAGACTACCTACTGTATGATTCCATTTATGTGAATCGTTAGATGAAGCAAACTTGGAGGCAGAAAGCAGATCAGTGGTTGCCTAGGGTTGGCGGGGGGGAGTGGCAATCAATTATAAACAGGAAAAAAAGGGAACTTTATGGGGTGATGGAAATGTTCTAAAACCAGATTTTGGATAAACAATGTGGTATATACACACAGTGAAATATTTTTAGCCTTCAAAAAAGGAGGAAATTCTGATGCATGCTACAACATGAATGAATCTTGGAGGACATTATGTGAAATGAGCCAGTCACAAATGGACAAATATTGTATGATTCACTTATATGAAGTACCTAGAGTAGTCAAATTCATGAAGACAGAAAGTAGCATGGTGGTTGTCAGGAGCTTGAAGGAGCAGGAAAGGGGAGTTGTTTAGCAGATACAGAGTTTCAGTTTTGTAAGATGTAAAAAAGTTCTGGAGATGAATGGTGGTGAGGGTTGCACAACAATGTGAATGTATTTAATGTCACTGAACTGTACACTTAAAGATGGGTCAGATGGCAAATTTTATGTTATATTGAGTTTGCCAGAAGCAACAAAAAACTGGGCTCACTCCTGTAATTGCAGCACTCTGGGAGGCTGAGGCAGAAGGATCGCTTGAGCCCAGGAGTTTGAGATTAGCCTGGGTAACATAGCAAGAAGGGTCTCTATGAAAAAATACAAAAATTAGCCAGGTGTGGTGGTGAGTGCCTGTAGTCTCAGGTACTCAGGATGCTGAGATAGGAGGATGGCTTGAATCCAGGAGTTCGAGGCGGCAGTGATCCATGATTGCACCACTGCACTCCAGCCTGGGTGATAGAGAGAGACCCTGTTTCAAAAAACAAAAACAAAAAAAGGAAAATTCTAAATTCTAAATTAAAAATTCTGGATTGTGATTATGGTTACACAACTCTATAAATGTATCAAAAATTACTGAATTATATACTTACAATGCATAAATTTTATGATTCATAAATTTTATTTCAATGAAGCTATTAAAAGGGCCCTAGAGGAGAAAAAAGACCTTCTCTCTAGATTGAGAGATTTGCCCAGGGACTAAGGACAAAATTAAAATAGACCTACTCTAAGAAGGACTAAAACCAAGATTTCCCAGGCTCAAGGTATTCATTCAGTAATACGATTGTCTGTTAGAACAAAATTGAACACCCTTCAGAGGAAGATAATGAAATTTATATTCTCTGTAATATATTATTTACAATGTCAGGTATGCAATATAAAACGCCACACATTTGAAAAATAGAAAAATGTGACCTATAGTTGAGAAAAATTAGTCAATGGAAATAGACCAACAGATGGCCCAGATGTTGGAATTAGCAGAAAGCGGCTTTGTTTATTGCAGCACTATTCATGATAGTCAAAATATTGAAATCAACCTAAGTGCTCATCAATGGATGAATGAATAAAGTGTGATATATATACACAATGGAATATTATTCAGGCATAGGAAGAATAAAATCCTGTCATTTGCAGCAACATGGATGGACCTAGAGGTCATTATTTTAAGTGAAATAAGCCAAGCACAGAAAGACAAATATTGCATGTTCTCACTCGTGTGGGAGCTAAAACAGTGGATCTCGTGAAGATAGAGGGTAGATTGCTGCTTCCAGAGGCTGGGAAGGATAATGGGAAGATAAAGAGAGGTTGATTAATGGGTACAAATATACAATAATTGGATAGAAGAAATAAGACCTAATTTTTGATAGATGAGTAGGTGAATATAGTTTACCACAGTTTATTGCATATTTCAAAATAGATAGAAGAGGATAATTTGAATGTTTCCAGCATAAAACAAAGACAAATATGTAAGATAATGGATATCCCAATTACACTGAATTGATATTTGCAAATTATATGAATGTATTAAATTATCACATACACCAAAAACATGTGCATCCATTTTGTATTGAAAAAATCTCTTGATCTTATTTCTCCTATCTAACTAAAACATTGTATCATTTGGCCAATATCTCCCTAATCCTTTCTTCCTCTTCACACCCATCCCAGTCCATGGTAACCACCATTATACTGTCTGTTAATTTGAGTTCAACCTTTTTACACTCTACATATAAATGAGATCATGTGGTATTCGTCTTTCTGTGCCTGGCTTATTTCACTTAACAATGTCCTCTAGGTTTATCCATGTTGTCACTGTGACAGAATTTCCTTCTTACTTAAGGCTGAATAGTATTCCATCTCATATGAGATAAATAAATAAATATATATATATACACACACACATATATCGATTCAATATATATCACATATATTCAATATTTATATCTATAAATATTAAATATATATTTATAAATATATATCTCTATAAATATTGAATATATATTCATCTGTATATATTGATATGCATATATTGAATATATATATATGAGAGAGAGAATTTGTTTTATTTATTCATCTGTTGATGGACACAAGTTGATTCCCTATCTTGATAGCTTGGCTATTGTGAATAGTACTGTGTTTTGTTCATAGGCACTCAATAGCTGTTAGTTGGTTGTTATAGTTTGTACATGGACATAGTTTACCTAGCCTTATTCTTTCTATATTTGCTATGTCATCCATCTCAAGCAAAATTTCCCCCTGAACTATTTTGAGTTTGAATTGTAATATAGGTGGTTAGAGGGTTTTGAAGGGGAGGGGTTATTTTGAAAAGTATTTGAAAGATTTTATTTATTCCTAGCAGTAGTAGATTTTAAAATCTTTCTCTTTTGATTGTAAAGCCTTAATATATATTATAATTTGAGGATTTTTATCCCCCTTTACAAAAGCAAACTGTTAAGAGAGACAGTATTTCACTTTAAAACTAAACCCTACTGCAAAGCAGATGCTTCGAGCTTCTTGAATTTTACAGTAAGTGGTTTGAAAAATGATCTTTCCATTTCAGTTATTTTAGATGGCAAGTTCAGAGTTCAGGTTCTCAAGTTTGAAATGTGATATAGTTTGGCTCTGCGTTCCCACAAAATCTCATCTCGAATTGTAATCCCCACATTTTGAGAAAGGGTCCTGGTGGGAGGTGATTGGATTATGGGGGCGGTTTCTCTCAGGCTGTTCTCATCATAATGAGTGAGTTCTCACAAGAGCTGATGGTTTTAAAGTGTGGCACTTTCCCTTTGCTCTTTTTCTCTCCTTCCTGCCACCTTATGAAGAAGGTGCCTGCTTCCCCTTTGCCTTCCGCCATGACTGTAAGTTTCCTGAGGCTTCCCCAGCCATGCTGAACTGTGAGTCAATAAAGCCTCTTTGTTTATAAATTACCCAGTCACAGGTAGTATCTTTATAGCAGTGTAAAAATGGACTAATACAAAATGTTTGCATTTTTCAAGCTGCTGCAAAGGAAAAAGGATCCAGAAACTTCATAACCAGGACCTGATGATTTGAGGGCTCTGTTGCAATCACTTGGGGATCGCTATTACTCAAGGTTGTTGAAGTGTCAGAAATTTCTCCCTCAACCCACTAGTTACTCCCTTTGAATTTAATGGTTTGTCACTCACATGACTCCATCTGATTAAAAGTTCAGACTCACAAATCAAAAGTTCACAATCAGGGCCAGGTGCAATGGCTCACGCCTGTAATCCCAGCACTATAGGAGGCTGAGGTGGGTGGACCACTTCAAGTCAGGAATTTGAGACCAGCCTGGCCAACATGGCAAAACTCTGTCTCTACTAAAAATACAAAAATTAGCTGGGCATGATGGCACATGTCTGTAGTCCCAGCTACTCTGGAGGCTGAGGCAGGAGAATTGCTTGAGCCCAAGAGGCAGACGTTGCGGTGAGCCGAGACTGTACCACTGCACTCCAGCCTGTGCGACAGAGACCCTGTCTCAAAAAAAAAAAAGTTCACAATCAGAATATTTATCATATTTTAAGAATACCTTTCCTCTCCAGCATTACCAAAATAACACTAAAATGTGAAATTTTACTTAGACTGATAGAGACGTTTTTTGTTAAGTCATTTTAGAATGACAAGGTCATTATAAAAAGGAACACAAAGGTCAGTATTTTATCATGCTTAACATGATACAAAATTCTGTTTTTGAATAGCTAATTGCTGCTTTAGTGTAATCTGGCAGCTTACAAGTAAATGAAGACACACATAAATGTGATCTAAAATGAAATTGTCTAAAGATATAAAAGTAGCTGTATTAGGGAGTATCACAATTACTCTTTCTTAGCCTCTTTGTTTAAATTTTTCAGATGTGTTAGTTTGTTGATGGATGATGTCAAGTTCTAACACAAAAAATTAAACATAAACATAACCGTTGTTCTTAAATGGCACACCTTTTCTTTTTTCTTGTTCTTAAGAAAGCACTTCTTTTATGACATTTTCTACCTTTGAAATATCATTACTGGTGCACTGTAGATAGTTCTCTTAAAAAAGGAGATACTACCAACATCCCTAATTGAACTCAAATCAGTATGTCCTTGAAACAACAAAAAATTGTAATAGATAACCAGTACATTATGAGACTCAGACAATGTAAAGGGATTTAGTATTGTAATCAGATATAACTTACAACAAAGTGTATTGGCTCATAATTACTACTGAGCTGCAAGTAACTTCCATGGCAGTAGAAATCTGCTTATGGAAATGACTCTAACTAGCCTTCTTTTACAGGGTCAACCCAGGTAAATGTGGGGGCTGCCGAATAAATGGAAAAGGGACCTGAGAAGATGCCAAACTTGCTCTGGGCCATAACCAAGAGACCCAGGTGCTGTGGTCTTGTATGCTTTTTGATTAGGGATGATGCTTCTGCTCCAGGCTCTTGGTAGGTGGCCCAGGGCAGAACCTAGTATACCATAAGGCAGAATGGTACCTGTCCTTGTGTAAAGATAGTTGTCCCATTTCATTGGGCTATAAAAGCATTGCACTGAGGGTTATTGTAGGCTGCATTGTGGGAGTCAAGGAGGACTGTCCTATAGCTGAGTATGCTTTTGAGAGTTCCTCCAGTAGAAAATCAATTCATCAATAATTGATTTTACACAAGATGCTGTGCTTGGTCCTGTTATGGACACAAAGACGAGAATGATTCCATTCCTATTGTACAAGGAATTCATTTCCTCTGCACCACCTATCTAGGCCACTTTACTCCCTATCACAGAGTCTAGGGCTATCTGCTGGGTTACAGTAATAAAATGCATGGTGGCTAAAAGGGAATTTGATGCAACTCTTAACTCCCCTTTGGGAGAGGAAATTGATTTGCGAACACTTTTCCCTCTTATACTCCCTGGTTCTTTATAGACAGAAGGAGAGTATAGCCTGACGGTAAAATTTAGGTAACTGTCTCTTTTCCACCATCAGTTACTCCCTCCTTCTTCCTATTGCATCCACACATCACAGAGTTTAAAATTTTACCAACTGAAAATCATTTGGGTTGACAACACTTTTGGGAGTTGGATAACTCTATTTATAAATCTCCTGGCCAGGTGTGGTGGCTTAGGCCTGTAATCCCAGCACTTTGGGAGGCCAAGGTGACAGGATCACTTTAGGTCAGGAGTTTGAGACCAGCCTGGCCAACATAGTAAAACCCTGTCTCTACTAAAAATACAAAAATTAGCTGGGTGTGGTGGCGGGTGCCTGTAATCCAAGCTACTTGGGAGGCTGAGACAGGAGAATTGCTTGAACCTGGGAGGCGGAGGTCGTAGTGAGCCAAGATTGTGCCACTACACTCCAGCCTGGGCGACAGAGCGAGACTCCGTCTTAAAACACAAAACAAAACCAAAAACAAACAAACAAACAAACAAACAAAAAATCCCCAGTTGATAAATATCATTTACATTCATCTTTCTATATCATATTAACCGTTCATCATTTGACATAAACGTAAGAAATGCGTTGAATGATATCTTAATCACAGGATCTCTCAAGAAATGCAAATGGAATGAATGAATAAATGATGTGAATTAATGGAATTAAATTGTTTTCCTTCCACCGTCTAGCTGAGATTCAGGGAATGCAATTTGAAGTTTTCAGTGGTTGGCAGTATAGAAAGAGTGGCAATTTGAGATAATGAATAGGAGGGTCAGACGGCAGGCAAAGGCAGTGAAAACCTCACTGGCCTCTAGGAGATGGGAGGGCTTTACTCTGGAAGGGAAAATGGACTAGGGACAAGGGAAGAAAAGGGGCTGGGAAGAATTAGCCCAACGCAGCCTTGCCCCACAGACCAAATGCTGTACTCCTAATCTCTGTCCATTCCTCGTCAGCTGAAATAACAGAGAGAGGCTCTCTGAAAGAAAAGATTTTTATTTGGTAACAGAGCATTGCTGTGGGAATATGTGTACCATAGTAATCTGTGTGCATATTCAGAGAGGTAAAGAAAGACAAAGGTTTTTAAAGGAAAAATGAGGATTACATAATTGTTTTAAAATAGTTTCTCTTGGCCACAACGATTCATAATAAGGGTGACTCCAGTCTGAGCTTGGACAGGCAGTTGCTGGGCCAATGTCCTTGCAGAAGTATTTTTGCTGGAAGGTTGCGATGGCCTTTATGCAAGGTTGTGTTTTGTGTAGTCTTTTATGATAGTTCTTATTATCAGGCATACAAGCACGAGAACCCTCTCTTCATGGCCTTCTCCATCTCTATCTGTCAGTTTGTTTGTTTTTTAAACACACAAGTGACCTCAGTTTTATTCTGACAGTTTTCACAAGGCATAGCGTTAGCTTTCCTAGAGAATACTGAAGGGAGAGGTAACATCAGAGCGGGAGAGAATGGAGGCTGCTTTACAGCAGAAGCCTAATAGATGCTTAGGGAGGGGCAGTTTGTGCCAGAAATGGAAGGTATCCGGGGGTACTCTTTGACACACTTGCTTGATCATATTCCCAACTTATCAGCAACTTCAGTCTTAGGTAGTATTCACACAAAATGTACTATCTGGGGGCTTTTATTAGCTTGGGTGACTTAGAGAACAAACAGGATTCTTTGCTAGCAAGCATACAGGTACCCCTAAATCAGGGGCTAATCCCCTTAGTTGGCCATGGAGGAGAGCTCAAGGAGGGAGAGTTTTGTTGCTAGGTCTGAGAGGAGAGAAGATTGGAACTCCCTCATTTGTTAAACTCAGAGCATAAGATCTTGCCTACATTTAGGAGTTGACCAAGTTTTATTACTGAAGGAGTAAGGAAATGGAAGCCACAATTGACTGATCTATGGAATGAGGATGAAAATAACAGTGTCTACAATTTGTGTTGTTTCTTTAGCTTTTTGTAATCAGACAAGTCATATAATCCCATGGATCTCAGTTTCTTCATTTAAAAAATACTAGTAATTTTATATACTAAGGTTAGGTGGCTAACTGGCAGCATAGCCAAGATTAGAAAGTAGGTCTCTGCCTTTCGAATTCCAGTCTCTTTCCCCTGACCTGTAGTCCAGGGCCACAGCAGGGCAGGAGACAATAACAGCATAACTATTAAAAGAGGCAATAGAGAAAGGATATTATTGAACCATCATAGTAAGTGTAAGGCTAGAAGAAAAATCACAATCACAAAGCAAATTCTGTTATTAAAAACTTAAAAACCAGAATTACAGTATTTAACAAGGTAAAAAAGAGAGTGAAATTAGTAAGGAAATTTGGTGAGGGCAAGGGGTGGTCATTTATTGGCTTTAAAAGCATGCCACGGTCCATAGGCTCAAAAACTATGGCTTCAGAAGGCTTCCGAGAAATTGGGGGCATAAAATATGAAGTTTTTATTATAACTTAAAATGAAAGGAATTCATGTTCATTTTAAGGAAAAACTGGAATAGACATCTCTGCTAAAAGCATTCCTTAGAACCAAAAAAACAAATGTTAGAGAAAGGTCATCCCAGCTATCACATGTCATTTTATCTGCCTTCTGTAGTTTGATAAGCATAAAAGGTTTGTGATAAAGTCCTAAAGGTTAAAATAGCATACAGAATTATGCGACTGCTTTCTGAGTTACTGTTTTAATACAGTGGATTTTTTCCTGGGAAACAATTGTGATTTTCTTTGGAAAGTATTTCCCTGTTAATCTGCATGGGAGAGAATCTGTGAAATTTACAAACGCTTCTCTGTGAAAGTTAAAGACATAAAATCCAACACTATAGATCCTTTATTTCTTCTGTTAAAATAGTTAAATGGAGGGTCATTAGACTGAGGTGGCTTTAATGCCCTGAGTTTCTCTGTAAACAAAATGAAATTTAAGCACAGGAAATCGCAAGTGACCAACGGAGCATTAACTATATCATCAGGGATTCCCACCAAAATGGTCCAAATAAAGCGAAAGTACAAACTTTAATCAAATAATTTCTATGCTCTGTGTCTGCATTCACACTATAAAAGCCTTTCTTTCAAATTCCTCCAGCAGAGCCCAAACCAATAATTAACTACTGTTGCTCAAATAAACTCTTAAAATTTTTAATGTGCCTCAGTTTATCTTTTAACACTTGTCTCATTGATGAGTTTAGCACTCATGTACTGAGTACAGCACTGGCCACCTAACTTTCGGGGTTGGATGCAAAATGAAAATGCAGGAGATGTCAGGTTGGAGATATCCATTTGGGGGTCACTTGCATCTCGACTATATTTAAAGGCATCCGTCTGTCAAGAGATCAGCTTGGAATGGAGTGCAGGTGGAAAAGCCAAGGGAGCATAGCATTCCTGTGCACACCAGCAACTGGAGTTTGAGGCCGGATGCGGTGGCTCACGCTTGTAATCCCAGCATTTCGGGAGGCCAAGACAGGCGGATCGCTTGAGTCTAGGAGTTTCAGACTAGTCTGGGCAACATGGAGAAACCCCATCTTTACAAAAAAATAAAAATTAGCCAGGTGTGGTGGTGCGCATCTGTGGTCCCAGCTACTTAGGAAGCTGAGGTGGGAGGATCGCTTGAGTCCAGGAGGTCCAGGCTGCAGTGAGCCATGATTGTGCTACTGCACTCCAGCCTGGGTGACAGAGAGAGAACCTGTCTCAGAAACAAAGCACAACCAAAACCAAAACCAAAAACAATTGGAGTTTGAGCCTTGGAAAAAAGAGGAGCCAGCAAAGGATGCCCTGAAGGAGAAGCTGATGAGGTATGAGTAAAACCTGCAGTTTAAAAAGTCACAGAAGCCAAGAGAATGAAGTGCAAAATTTGTCAGACTGGGGTGGATGAAGAGTGAGAGAAAGGAGGGAAATGGGATGGAACCTGGAGGGGCTGAGGGATCAAGAGAGTTTTTGTTTTGTTTTGTTTTGTATTTTGTTTTTTGTTTTTGTTTTAAGATGGGAGGAACCAGAGCAGACAAAACTATGACAGAATGTGGCATTTGTGGGCCTTTGCTGGAAGACTCCATACAAGTTTATTTGGGTATGACAAGGGAGATGATGGGGATCTTCCTCTTCTGAGCTTGTAAGAAAAGGGGCATAGGCCACCCTGCCCCAAGTATTTCAAAATAGTTTTTCTTGGCCACAAAGATTCATAATAAGGGTGACACCAGTCTGAGCTCGGACAGGCAGTTGCTGGGCCAATGTCCTTGCAGAAGTATTTTTGCTGTAAGGTTGCGATGGCCTTTATGCAAGGTTGTGTTTTGTGTAGTCTTTTATGATAGTTCTTATTATCAGGCATATAAGCACGAGAACCCTCTCTTCATGGCCTTCTCCATCTCTATTTGTCAGTGTGTTTGCTTTTTAAACACACAAGTGACCTCAGTTTTATTCTGACAGTTTTCACAAGGCATAGCATTAGCTTTCTTAGGGAATACTGAAGGGAGAGGTAAGATCAGAGTGGGAGAGAATGGAGGCTGCTTAACATCAGAAGCGTAATAGATGCTTAGGGATGGGCAGTTTGTGCCAGAAATGGAAGGTATCCAGGGGTGCTCTTTGACACACTTGTTTTTAGGATGTACATCTAATCATGTGACTCTCCTCCTTAAACTCTTTAACAGTTTCTGTTATTTTCAGGATAAATCCCAGCCTCTTTGATTCATCTCTTGTCATTTTCTTCCTCTTGCAGCACAAATCAGACACCAGACTGCTCTTGGGTTTTCTCTTGCTGATGGCCTTTGCTAATGACATTTACCACTTTTGCTAACTCTTACTCATCTTTCAGATCTCAATTTAAGTGCCACTTCCTCTGGGAGGTCTTTTGTAACCTCTAGACTAGATTACCTTCTTTACATTTTAACTACTTGTTTGTTTATTTAGTTACTTTCTTTACTAGACTATAAGCCCATCAAGGCAAGTATTCTGTTGGCCTTGTTTATGTGGTATTTCCAGTGCCTTATGCACAGTGCCTTGTGCATAAAATGCTCCCCCCACCCACTCAGCCCCAATAGTTTTTTTAAAGAGAAAATATTTCTTTATTTTATGAAGCTAGTACAACACTGATATCAAAACCAAAGACATAACAAGAATGCAATATTACAGTCCTATCATAAATATAAATTTAAAAAGCCAAAACAAAATGCTTGCAAACCAAATACAGAAATGTGTAGAAGACATACACTCATCTCAATGCATGCAAAATAGCATTAAATAATTTTTTAAACATTTAATAAAAACTCCTAGTAAACTAAAAATGACTTTCTTAACCTACAACAAACATTGGCCTTTCAAATCAGAAACATGGCAAGGTTTTGGCTATCGCCACTTCTTATTTATTTATTTTTAAATTTATTTGTTTATTTATTTAACTATCATACTTTTGGTTCTGGGATACATGTGCACAACGTGTAGATTTGTTACATAGGTATACACGTGCCATGGTGATTTGCTGCACCCATCAACCCGTCATCTACATTAGGTATTTCTCCTAATGCTATCCCTCCCCTAGTCCCTCACCCCCGACAGGCCCTAGTGTGTGATGTTCCCCTCCCTGTGTCCATGTGTTCTCATTGTTCAACTCCCACTTATGAGTGAGAACATGCAGTGTTTGGTTTTCTGTTCTTTTGTTAGTTTGCTGAGTATGATGGTTTCCAGCTTCATCCATGTCCCCGCAAAGGACATGAACTCATCCTTTTTATGGCTGCATAGTATTCCATGGTGTATATGTGCCACATTTTCTTTATCCAGTCTATCATTGATGGGCATTTGGATTGGTTCCAAGTCTTTGCTATTGTGAATAGTGCTGCAATAAACATACATGTGCATGTGTCTTTATGGTAGAATGATTTATAATCCTTTGGGTATATACCCAGTAATGGGATTGCTGGGTCAAATGGTGTTTCCGGTTCTAGATCCTTGAGGAATCGCCACACTGTCTTCCACAATGGTTGAACTAATTTACATTTTCACCAACAATGTAAAAGCATTCCTACTGCTCCACATCCTCTCCAGCATCTGTTGTTTCCTGACTTTTTAATGATCAGCATTCTAACTGGCGTGAGATGGTATCTCGTTGTGGTTTTGATTTGCATTTCTCTAATGACCAGTGATGATGAGCTTTTTTCATATGTTTGGTGACTGCATAAATGTCTTCTTTTGAGAGTGTCTGTTCATATCCTTGCCAACTTTTTGATGGGGTTGTTTGTTTTTTTCTTGTAAATTTGTTTAAGTTCCTTGTAGATTCTGGATATTAGCCCTTTGTCAGATGAATAGATTGCAAATATTTTCTGCCATTCTGTAGGTTGCCTGTTCACTCTGATGGTAGTTTCTTTTGCTGTGCAGAAGCTCTTTAGTTTAATTAGATCCCATTTGTCAATTTTGGCTTTTGTTGCCATTGCTTTTGGTGTTTTAGAAATGAAGTCTTTGCCCATGCCTATGTCCTGAATTGTATTGCCTAGGTTTTCTTCTAGAGTTTTTTATGGTTTTAGGTCTTACATTTAAGTCTTTAATTCATCTTGAGTTGGTTTTTGTATAAGGTGTAAGGAAGGCATCCAGTTTCAGTTTTCTGCATATGGCTAGCGAGTTTTCCCAACATTTCTTATTAAATAGAGAATCCTTTCCCCATTGCTTGTTTTTGTCAGGTTTGTGGAAGATCACATGGTTGTAGATGTGTGGCGTTATTTCTGAGGACTCTGTTCTGTTCCATTGGTCTATATATCTGTTTTGGTACCAGTACCATGCTGTTTTCCTTACTGTAGCCTTGTTGTATAGTTTGAAGTCAGGTAGCATGATGCCTCCTGCTTGGTTTTTTTTTTTGCTTAGGATTGTCTTAGCTATATGGGCTCTTTTTCAGTTCCATATGAAATTTAAAGTAGTTTTTTTCTAATTCTGTGAAGAAAGTCAATGTTGGCTTGTGGGAATAGCATTGAATCTATAAATTACTTTGCGCAGTGCAGTATGGCCATTTTCATGATATTGATTCTTCCTACCAATGAGCATGAAATGTTTTTCCATTTGTTTGTGTCCTCTCTTATTTCCTTGATCAGTAGTTTGTAGTTCTTCTTGAAGGAGGTCCTTCACATCCCTTGTAAGTTTTATTCCTAGGTATTTTATTCTCTTTGTAGCAATTGTGAATGGGGGTTCACTCATGATTTGGCTCTCTGTTTGTCTATTACTGGTGATAGGAATGCTTGTGATTTTTGCACATTGATTTTGTATCCTGAGATTTTGCTGAAGTTGCTCATCAGCTTAAGGAGATTTTGGCCTGAGATAATGGGGTTTTCTAAATATACAATTACGTCATCTGCAAACAGAGATAATTTGACTTCCTCTGTTCCAATTGAATATCTTTAATTTCTTTCCCTTGCCTGATTGCCCTGTCCAGAACTTCCAATACTATGACGAATAGGAGTGGTGACAGAGGGCATCCCTGTCTTGTGCTGGTTTTCAAGAGAATGCTTCTAGCTTTTGCCCATTCAAAATGATATTGGCTGTGGGTTTGTCATAAATAGCTCTTACTATTTTGAGATACTTTCCATCAATACCTAGTTTATTGAGAGTTTTTAGCATGAAGGGGTGTTGAATTTTATTGAAGGCCTTTTCTGCATCTATTGTGATAATCATGTGGTTTTTGTCATTGGTTCCATTTATGTGATGGATTACGTTTATTGATTTGTCCATGTTGAACCAGGCTTGCCTCCAAGGGATGCTCCTGCAGACTGGAGCTGTTCCTATTCGGCCATCTTGCCAGATCTCCCCTGGCTATCACCATTTCTAATCGCCATTGCATTGGAGGTCCTAGAATCATAGCGGAAGGCAAAGAAGAAGAAGGCACCTTCTTTACAGGGTAGCAGGATGGAGTGAGTGCCAGCCCCAATATTTTTGTTAAGTGTTAGTGAGTCAATCTGAATACATTAAAAGGATATGCAGCAGGGAAGGGCCAGGCAGTTTTTTGTTTCTTTGAGGGCTGGGCCAGGCAGTCCAGCCTAGCAGTCTAAGCAAAGACTCTGGAGCCAGATTTTCTGCTTTAAATTCTGGCTCTACTATTTATTAGCTCTGTGACCCTGAGCAACTTACTTAGACCATTCCATGTCCCAGTCTCCTTTTTTATAAAAGGAGATGGTACTAGCACCTATATCACAAGGTGGTTGTAATAATTTTATACATTTAAACATGTGAAATACGTTGAACCGCTGTTATTATTTTACTTAAATTTTCTTATTAAGATAATCATAGTTTTTGTCTTGGAGAAAATAATATTAAAAAATATCGTATAAACAACTGCTATGGCTTGAATATAGTTTGTCCCCACCAAAACTCACTCATGTTAAGAGTTCTTTCCTAATATGGTGGTTTTGTGGGGGGTGGCTTTAAGAGGAGATTAGGTTGTTAAAGTGGATTAATCTCATGAGACTGGGTTAGTTCTTGCTGAAATGGATTAATTCCCATGAGAGCAAATTATTTTCAAGCCAGAGCCTTTTTTTCATGTTTGGTCCCTTTCACACACATCTGCTTCCCCTTCTGCTTCTCTGCTATGTTGTGATGCAGTATGAGGCCCTCACCTGAGCAGATGCTGGTGCCATGCTTCTTGGACTTCCCAGCCTCCACAATTGTGAGTCAAATAAACCTCTTTTCTTTCTAAATTACCCAGTATCAGGTATTCTGCTATAACAATGAAAAACAGACGAAGACAGAAAATCTCTTGGATTTAGCAGGGTTAGCTGTTTAAGAACATTTTTGTAGGAAAGAAATTTGTAAGGCTTATCTACAAGGGAAATTAGCATTAAGAAATGATTAAGACTGTTATTTCATTGTTGATGAAATTACTGTGGATTTTGAATATAAGATCATATTTACACAGAAAGTTATCTGAAAAGGGTTTTTAAAAATTAATCTTCTTTCATATTTGTTTACCCAAATCCCTTCACAGCTCCCAGAGTAATGTCTGTTGCTCTCTTATCACACACTGAACTCATGGCTTTTCTGGGGAAATTGGGAAGAGAAAACTCCCAGCAGCTATGGAGGAAAGAAAAAAATTTAGTCAAAATTTATTGTTAGTGGAAAGAGTTCAGTCTTAGCACCATCGCTATAAAAATACACTGATTTTTTTTCCTGTGTTTTCTTCTAGGATTTAAGTGATAACTGCCTTTCAATTTTATCTCCTTATCTGTCTAAAATCTTCAGATATTGCATAGTATCAGAATCTTTGAAGACCTTTGTAAACTCCAAGTCTTTTTAAATGTGAATCTATACAAACTAATGCTTTCAACATAAGAAATCAGAATTAAACACAACTGGATATAGGAAAGTACTTGGTAGAGACCCTGGCTCTTTGTCTTGGCATTACCAGGCCCTTGATAGACTGTGAGCCCTGGTGCAGAGCTCTTCATTAAGTCTGTGTTCCCAGGGTCTGCTGTTATTATGTTCATGGGTCAGTCAATGTTTCTTGTATTGAACTAATCCAGAGCTTGATAGATGATGTAACATGATAATGTTGATTCTTAAGGAAATTATTCTATAGTTTATAGTTATAAAGTTATAATGCTAGCTGATTTTGAAAATTATTTGTGTATTAATGAGGAATTCTATTGTGTATATAAAACTTTACTTTTCAAGAAAAAAAATGGGAAGTAATAGTACATATATATAAGTTAGCTGTCTTATGTAACCAATCACCTTAAAACTCAATGGCTTATAATAATCATATACTGTTGTAGCTTACATGCCTGTGGGTATGCCTGGGCTTGGCTAGAGAATCTAATCTGAGGTAGCTCTACCTCATGCTTACCTTCCTCCTACTGGGAATATAGGCCAACCCAGGCATGCTCTTTCTTGGTGACAACAGAAGCTCAAGTGAAAAACAAGTAAAAGCATGTAAGAGCTTTCACATGCTTTACTTATTAACAAGTTACATGACTGAACTTAGGGTCAAGGAGTTGGAAAATACACAGTTTTCTGGGGATAATTGCATTCTCATGGCAAAGGGTGTAACTATAAGGGGAAATGAAGAATTGAAGCCATTAATGTAATCTACCACATTATATTTTAAAGTCTATAGAGATGAAATATAGATGAACTAATTATCATTACACATCTGAAAAGACTTTCCACTTTCATTATTATCCTATAAAGAAGTGTTATTTAAAGCAGATAATTTCATTAAACATTAACTGTTTAGTCTTGGTCACCAAATAAACATTTAATTAGTCCAATGGTTCATTTAGTCTTTGCCCTTCAATAATAGGGTAATTGAAATCTAACCCAAACATTTTCAGAATAAATGTATACCATGTATTTTGTTTGACTGTTTAGTTCTATAGATAAGGTCTTAAAGAGAGTGCACTCTATATTAATGTCTCAGGCTTATAACTTCCTGCATTGTTTACTTTCTATTTTTTCCAGTGTCACAAAAACATTTACCTGCTAGTAAGCAAAGAAAGAAAAATAAATAATTTAGAAGTCATACCTGTCATCTCAAGTATAGCTCAGGTTGTCCGTCATAGTTAAAGTAGTGAATAGCATGAAATAATGGTTTTTTATGAGCAGGTTATTACTTTTCACCATCTCAAGAACTCAATTAATTCAGCAACTAAAATAAAATATAGGCAGGCATTGGGTTTCTAAAACCAGCAGCTTGACACATAGATGAATAGTTTTCTTATATTTTATAGGAAAAAAATAAAAATGAACTATTGCTATATTCTCATACAGGTTTTTTTAAAATAAAAAATTCAAATCAGTTTGAAGATACATGGTATTATATTTTGGAAAGATGATTTAATGTGGAATATATTAATACAAGTTTTATCTGGGTAAAACTTGGGAAGAGAAAACACCCAGCAGTTGTGAGAAAATAAAATCTACAGCTTTTGTAAATGTCTTTGGAGATAGCTGATAAATTTCAAGTTTCAGGTGGACATAGGAATGAATGTGGTAGGTGAGTGTGAAACAGGAGGGCCCTAGAATCTGGAGAGGGGCATCTGGGGAGACAGTTCAAGAGAAATGGCAAAGCAGGGGTGGTATTCTTTGTCTTGGGCCTCTTTTTTTTATGGACCTCTTTTCTACCATTTTCCCATCTCCAACCCTATCATTTCCTTTTTCTGCTTGAGCACCTGGTACCTTCATGTTGCTCATACTCACCTTCATTACAACTAGTGGCATACTGATAAGTATTTAACAACTAGCTATCTTAAAAAAAAAAAGCTCCTTGGTTTGTGGCATTTGCCATTTCCTGTGGTGTCAATATTTCCACCAAGTCTGACTTCAAGCTACCAGTCTTGTCAATGGAATGCAGAGTTGGGAAGAGAGTCACACCACTGACTCTGTGAGCCAACTCCAACATGTTGCTGCTTAAATCCCACCCCTTACAGGTAAAGGCTACACTGGCTCACATAGAGACTTAGACATAGAGACTTTAAAAATGCCAGATTTGTGTCATGTCTGGGGGCTGGTGTATACAACATTTGTTGTAATCTAAGATTTCCAGTGACCAAAGTCAAGGTGCGAATTTGCCACTTCCCCTCTCACCTTTGATTTGTTTTTCAAGACATAGATACAACTTCAGTTTCTCTTGATAAAGACCTCAAAATTAAAAGCAATTTCCCTCTGTATCATCAGAGCTGCCACATTCTCACTCTTCCCTGAAGAGATTCGATGACATGTAAATTGTGATTTTCCATTTTTAATGCCCTCATTGAAATTAGGTCAATGGAGAAGGGTCACCATCTCATTGAGCTCCCACAGCAATGTCGTGAGCTCCCGGAATGGACTGCAAGCCAGGATGGTGACAGGCCCACTAGAGTGCGCCAGCTCAGGTGAAGGCTGGCAGGTGTCCCAATTCATATTTTAGCAGCGGCAAGCTGACTTTTTTTTTTTTTTTTTAAAGAAAAGGCAAAATAAAGCTGAAAATAGTACGTGAGTCTGTAGCAATGGCAAATCTCATAATGAAATTTATATAGGCTTTCAGTGTCTGTGGATTTGAGAAAATGTATCTTTTCTTTTTGCTCCTTTGCTCCATGTCCAGGCCTTTATGCTTCCTGACAACCTACTGCTTATGGAGTGGGCTGCTGACCTGCTCCTATGAGCTGAGGACAAGGGTAACTGTGGGATTGGGCTGGAGTTTTTTCTGTACTGATTTCATCCTTAAGACACCAGCAGTTTGATGCATGAGTATTTCTGTCTTATAAAAACAACAATGGCAACATAATTTACTGAGCTCCTATCATGTGCTAGCATTGTTCTAAATTCTTCAAATGCGTAATCCGATTTAATTAATCTTAATAGGCGGAGGCAAGGGGAAAAGGGGTTAACGTCTTTCAGAAGGACATCTAATATATTTTCCGGCAAATTTTTTCTATTGGCAGAGGCAAACTGTGATTCTAAGTATGACACAGAGTCCTGAGATGCAATGAAGACAATCTCCATCAATTCTGTAAGTTCAAAAACCCATGTATAATTTATTTCCTTGTTGTTTCCCACATGCTCATTATCTCATTTTCTGGCCATGATGGAAAGGGGCATGCTCTGAATCAGCTGCTATAACAAACCTCTGAGATGTAACTGAACTACAGGAGCAGGATGTTTGTCTGAAGGTTTATGGAGTAGGGATCTAAAAAGTTCATTCTGATTCAAAAGGAACCAAGAAAACAGGATTGATGCTCATTCATACATTCAGTAAGGTAGAAGGCATGATATGTCTGCAAGTGAGGTGGTATGAATCACTATCCACAAACCAGGGTGTGCAAGATATTGCCATTTCTTGATCTTCATTTAATAAATCCACATCGGAGACCTCATACCCACATCCTATCAGTATTGGGCCTGCCTCTTCTCCCAGAGTCACATCAGAATTCATGGAGTCCCGACGAACTGGAGGAATTCTAATTCTGCTGACATTTTCTTTATTGAGGCCCTTAGTCATCCCCCAGTTCTGGCTCTGGGCTTCTACACAGGAGGCATGGGAATTGTTTCTGAGGCTGGGACCACTGCTGCCTAAACCTCACCATTTCTGGTTGCACCCTGTAGCATCCATTCTAAGTTCTTGCCACTTCCATGAGTGGCGGGAGACAGGGTGGGCAAAGGTCCCGCTGGTCACCGTATCTGCTGACTTTCACTCCTTCCTCCTTCTCTTGCCCTCTCTGTCCTCTTCTCCCTTCCTTTTTTTTTTCTTTTTGCCCTCATGCTTCATTTCCCCTTTGCTTCCAGGACTCCTGGGAAGCATAATATTTTTAATGGCTGAAACATTCGGAAAACCATAGTTGCCTTTGCAAGTAACATCTGCTTTGGGGCCTGTATATATACCCGTATGTATATATACCTGCCCCTCTGCCCTGCAAAGGGGGCCAAAGTGAAACACATGGAGAAAACCACACGATATTATGAAAATGATCCTGCTGGGATATTTATTAGAGTGGGCTACAGACAATGTTTATAGATTCTGTTTTTATCTCAAAAAAAAAAAAAAAGACTCTTCCGCTCACCCCATGGGGCACCTCCCTGTTTCCTCCAGCTGACACACATACACTGGAGTCTCCAGGAGGTGTCAGTCCTCACTGATGAGAAAAGTGGAGACCTCTTGGTCCACAGAAACCTCAGTCTCCAATAGCTCTCACCCATGACTGACAGTGACTGACAGTCTGGCCATCAAACTCTCTAGTAGAGGAATCCCACCTATGCAAACCAGGGTGGGGAAGGACAAGGGAGGAGGCTGGGAGCAGAGGCAGCTCGTCCCCCCATTGGACCTCCGTCTCAGTTTCTCATCCTGCCACACAGCACAGTGGGTGCAGGAGCAGGGAAATGGTCGCAGCATGGAGTTGGGGAGGGGAAGGTGGGTAGGTAGAGGGGAGAGATGTTGTTTTTCCAGTGTCTATCCTTTTTATTTATTTATTTGTTCATTTATTTTGGAGACAGAGTCTCACTCTATCACCCAGGCTGAAGTGCAGTGGCACAATCTCAGCTCACTGCAACCTCTGCCTTCCAGGTTCAAGCAATTCTCCTGCCTCAGCCTTCCCAGTAGCTGGGATTATAGGCACGTGCCACCATGCCCAGCTAATTTTTGTATTTTTAGTAGAGATGGGGTTTCTCCGTGTTGGCCAGGCTGGTCTCGAACTCCTGACCTCGGGTGATCCACCCACTTTGGCCTCCCAAAGTGCTGGGATTACAGGCATCAGCTACCATGCCCGGCCCTTTTCTTTGTTTTAGATTCGGTGGTGAAAGAAACAGGAAAAAAAGGGAGACAAACACTATCTCACTGCTGCTTTTCACTCCCCATTAGTCCAACTTCCACCCATTTTTTCTCCCAATTTCTTTTTCTTTTTTTTTTTTTTTTTGAGACAGAGTCTCGCTCTGTTGCCCAGGCTGGAGCGCAGTGGCGTGATCTCGGCTCACTGGAAGCTCCGCCTCCCAGGTTCACACCATTATCCTGCCTCAGCCTCCCAAGTAGCTGGGACTACAGGCGCCTGCCACCATGCCTGGTTAATTTTTTGTACTTTTAGTAGAGACGGGGTTTCACCGTGTTAGCCAGGATGGTCTCGATCTCCTGACCTTGTGATCCACCAGCCTCGGCCTCCCAATGTGCTGGGATTACAGGTGTGAGCCACTGCACTCAGCCTTTTCTTCAAATTTCTATTAAAATTCCTCATCATGCTCCATCCCCAGGCTGAATTTTGATTCCAGCTCCAGCCCCCTGTGGCACTGTGTCAGGTTCTCACTGTCTTCCGCTCTATTTGCAGCTCCTCATATCTTTTTCTAGACCCCTCAATCCCCAGTCGACTTCTCTGTGCGAGGTCCAAGGGTCAGTGTCAGTGTAAGCGATGAGAGTGGAGAATGTGAGAGTCCTAAATGTGGGCCTGCAGTAAAGGGAGATGTGTTCCCATCATTCCATGAGAAACTCTGAAGGAAGATTCCTTGGGAGCACTGGCACACTTGGAGATACTGTGCTATTGGAGAGTAAGTAGATGTTGGGGCCAACCTGGAAAACCTAACCTCCCTCCAAGTATAAATTTTCTCAAAGAAGGTTGTATCAGAGTCCAAGACTTACAGATGGTTTTAGAAAATGACATATTCTCAGATTTGGGATTTCCAGAGTAGAATGTTATTTTATCACTTGGCTATTGCTGTGCAATGAGCCATTCCAAAACTCAGTGGATTAGAACAATAAATGTTTATAACATCAACTTGGCCTTAGCTTGACTAGATTCTATCATGCAACTATGAATAGTTTGTAGATCAGCTGGGGACTAGGATGGCTTCACTCACATGTCAGCTGGTCAGCTGCAGCCAAGGTAGGGGTGTGGTGGGGAGAACTGAGTCACTTCTCTCAATCTTCAGCAGAGGTTTCATGGAGGTGGCAGGTTTCCAAGAAATAGAGGAACCACAGGCACCCCATGAGGCCTAGGCACAGTGTTACTTTTGCCCCATTCTTTTGGCCAAAGTTAGACACAAGATGGCTCAGATTCAAGAACTGGGAAAACAGACCAAACCTCTTGATGAGAGGAGTTACAGAGTCACATGGTAAAAGGCATGGATCCAGAGAGGCCATTCATTGGGCTATCCATGCCATCAGTCTTCCATGGCATGATTCCATAATTCCCCAGAAGTACTAGACCAGCTCTCAAATAAATAGAGAAGAGGTTGAAATTAATATTTCTGTCCTCCCATTTCCCATGTCTGTGATTCTTCCCTTAGTCCTTCAAAAAGTGACTACTTTATAAATCATTAAGAAGAGTCTAGCTCTCTAAGGTCTGTTAAAGTAGTTCCTGTTTTTCTTTTTGCAGGAAGATTATATTGAATGGAGTGTTCCTAATGTCTGTAGTGATGGAATTCCAGACACACAAGTTAGTGGTAAGAAGATGAATTCAGAGGGTAGCAAATACATTTCTACAATTTTCAAATCATGCTAGTCACTTGTAAGACTAACCCAGTTTTGTGCCATATTGGATTCATTAGTTAATTTATACACTTATTCATTCAGTTTTTCATTCTCTTATCTTTTCCGCTAAGATGTTGGAGCTCCTACTAAATATCATGTATACTAAGTTTATTGTTTAGTTAAAAGAAACATAAACCAACTCAAACTGGCTTAAGTTTAGGAGAGCACATTTCATCAGAATGTCCCTCAGAAGCCAAGGGCAGAAATATGGCAGGCCTCAGGAAAGATCAAAACAGGGAACTGGAATGCTGATGGAAACTTGAGCTCTTCATCTTTTGCCTTGATATCTTTTTTTCAGATCAGCTTTGTCTGTCTTCCTGTAGATCTACTGTGCATGAGTCCAAATTTGAGGTACAGGAAACACAGGAGTCAACCAAACAGGCCAAGTCCCTGCTTTCATGGAGACTACATTCTTTGTTTTTTTCTTCAACTTTTGTTTTAAGTTCCAGGGTACATGTGCAGGGTGTGCAGGTTTGTTACATAGTAAACCTGTGCCATGGTGATTTGCTGCACAGATCGTCCCATCACCTAGGTATTAAGCCCAGCATCCATTAGCTATTATTCCTGATGCTGTCCCTCCTCCCGCCTTCCTCCCGACAGGCTCCAGTGTGTGTTGTTCTCCTCTATGTGTCCATGTGTTCTCATCGTTCAGCTCCCACTTATAAGCGAGAACATGTGGTGTTTGGTTTTCTGTTCCCACGTTAGTTTGCTGAGGATAACGACTTTCAGGTCCATCCATGTCCCTACAAAGGACATGATTTCATTCCTTTTTATGGCTGCATAGTATTCCATGTACCTCATTTTCTTCATCCAGTCTATCATTGATGGACATTTGGGTTGACACCATGTCTTTGCTGTTGTGAATAGTGCTGCAATGAACATATGTGTGCATGTATTTTCATAATAGAATGATTTATATTCCTTTGGGTCAATACCCAGTAATGGGATTTCTGAGTCTAATTGTATTTCTGATTCTAGATCATTGAGGAATTGCCACACTGTCTTCTACAATGGTTAAACTAATTTATACTCTCATAAATTAAGTGTAAAAGCATTCCTTTTTTCTCTGCAACTTCATCAGCATCTGTTATTTCTTGACTTTTTAATAAGTGCCATTCTGACTGGCATGAGATGGTGTCTCATTGTGGTTTTGATTTGCATTTCCCTAATGATCAGTGATGCTGAGCTTTTTTTCGTGTGTCATGTGTTTTTTGGCTACATGAATGTCTTCTTTTGAGAAATGTCTGTTCATGTAGTTTGCCCACTTTTTAATGGTTTAATGGGATTGTTTTCTCTTGTATTCTTTTTAAGTTCCTTGTGGACTCTGGTTATTAGACCTTTGTCAGATGGATAGATTGCAAAAATGTTTTCCCATTCTGTAGGTTGTCTGTTCACTCTGGTGACAGTTTCTTTTGCTGTGCAGAAACTCTTTAATTAGATCTCGTTTGGAAGACTACATGCTTATGGCGAGATCAGGGGAACAAAAAGAAAAAAAGTACAAAATAATATAAAGTCAGATAGAAATAAGGTGGTAAAAGATGTTGAGTCATAAAAAGTAGAATTTTGATAGGATTTCAAGGAATGTGTCAATGAGATGACCTTTCAGCAGGCTTGAATGAGATAGGAGAGTGGAGAAAGAAGGTTTTTCTCTCATTATCCCCAAACTTCCAAGGAATGAATGCTGTTGGCCCAACTTAGATCAGTGCCCAGTACTGCGAGGAGGGTGGGGCTGGGGGTAATGATCAGAGTCTTGTGGTACCAGCATGGCTAAACCCATGTGGCTTGGTAGGAAGCCAGTTTCCAGAAACAGGAAGTCTATTAGTTTCCTAGAGCTGCTGTAACAAATTACCACAAATTTGGTGTCTTAAAACAACAGACAGCATAAATTTACCCTCTTACAGTTCTGGAGGCCAGAAGTCCAAGGTGCTAACAGAGCCATGTTCCCTTGAAAGTCCCTAGGAGAGAATCCTTTCTTGCCTCTTCCAGCTTCTGGTGGCTCTTGGTGTTCCTTGGCTTGTGGCACCATTGCTCCAATCTCCTCCTCTGTCTTCACATGGACCTCTCCTCTGTGTGTCTTTCTCCTCTGTGTGTCTCCTCTGTCTGTCCTTTTCTGTCTCTTATACGGACACTGTCATTAGACTTAAGGCCCACCCTAAACCAGCATGATCTCATCTCAATCCTTACCTTAACTATATCTGTAAAGACCCCTATTTTCAAATAAGGCCACATTCTGAGGCTCAGGGAGTATATGAATTTTGGGTGACACTGTTCAACCCCCTAGAGTTGGGGAGAGTGGCTGTTGGTCTAGGGCTGAGAGAATGCCTGAGAAAGTGTCCCGTGCCTGTGCACTGTACTGGGTAAAGAGTACATAGGTTCCTGCCCTAAAGCGCTCACAGCCTATAAGTGAAGATATGTTGGTAAATTCTGGTAGAACAGTGATAAAAGTAGTAGTAGATCATATAACACTATGGAAACCCAGACAAAAGTATGGTATAACTCTACCTAGGAGTGCTAGGGAAGGCTACCCCAACATCTGGACCTGGAATTATCTTAGGTAAAGAGTAGAAATACAGCTGGTGGTTGCTGGGATTCAGACTTGAAATAGGTATTAGGAAAAGAAAGATGGTTTCTATAGCTCACAAAATTCCTATCCCTCTTTTTAAAGGGGGAGAAAGGCCGAGAAACTTGAGCACATGTTGTAGAATCAGCATGGATTTGAAACCTTGAATATTGCTAGGTGAGCTTTTGGCAGAGAAGTGCCTTGCCCCATAGATTTGTGGTTGTTTCCATGATGTTCCTTCTCAGCCAATTGTCCCTTCCCCATTCCCCTATTAACCTACTTCATTTAGTGCAGCTGTTGTTAAACAGCAAGAGCTAAAGTGACTGATAGGGAATGTATTAATTTTCTTAGCGTCATGCTGAGAGGCCTTTAACACGGTGGCTAGTAGTCAGGTCTTCCATATACCAGAATCATTTCTACTGACGCAGGGATATAAAAGGCTTTTTTGCTTCCTGCTAGGTCTGTTTCTCAGGGAGGGTAATGAGGTTCAAAAAATGCCAAGCTAGATGCTTTGTGCAATTTTGTATAGCTCAATCCATTTGCCCACAGCATGCAAAGGTCTCAGATTTTAAGAGAAATTGGAGACCTGCTCTGAATCTGAAGCACTAAGCTGCTTGTTTGAAATATTTTCTATTCCCTCGTTTCATTTGCTATCAGAAGGAATTAACCTGAATAATATTATCGTTAATATGAGTGTCTGTAGACACAGTACTTCCGTTTATTTATTGCTAGGTATTCAGGTCTTTAGTCCCAGTCTCTGGATAAATTTTTCTTAATTATTTTCTTAGCTTTATTGACAATAGTATTTGCATGAAGAAATTTACTTATTTGAGATATACAGTGAGTTGATGTAACTTCACTACAAAATGAAAGAGATCGTCAAGGAAGAAGTTTGTTTCAAGAAAATCAGTGAGACTGGCTGCTTGATTTGAGAAAAAAGAAAGAATTAGCACAGGTACATTTAAGAGAATTCACGTAATTACAAAGTAGTTTTAATGTGGTGTTTAAATATAAACTTAGTTTAGACAATTGAAGTAAACAAGACCAATGAAAACACAGTGTAAATTAAAAGACAGATCATTCCTTTTGTATTTATTTTTTTTCCTTTTAGTCTTTATTGTATTTGGTATTATCTGTTGTATCCATAATCAAAAGCAAAGGAACTCATATATTTTTCATTTGAAATAAATTATTATGCATCTTTATATTAAACACTGAGGGTTTGAAGAGAGAGATTCCTGGGATTCCCAGTTTTCCAGATCCCAAGCTCTGGATCCAATTCTGGATGCCTGCCTTCCTACCTCAGGGAAGGGCCGCCCTGACAGAAACCAGAAACCAGAAACCAGAAATGAGAACGACTAGGAAGAAATTATTGTGAGGCTTTTCGAAGGCTTAGGGATGCTTTGGCATATTCTTCCAAATTTTCCCCAACCATTGGTCAATGTCTGAAATGAGCTGTTACAGGATAACACCCACGGAGGGGTAGCTATTTAAGCAGTGACTATAGCTTTTTTCTTGAAGGTGATGTGAGGATTACAGAACAGTTTGCAGAGTCAGGCAGAGTACCTGATGGCTCTGAGGGTTTGGGGAAATTTGGGAAAACCCGCAGAAGGACCCTTTTGTAGTTGGAGTTGTGTTTATAGCGTGGGCGTTGTACTGGCTCACTGGGCTTCAGTCCTGGCTCTGGGCTGTTCTAGCTGTGTCCTTCTGTAAGCCATTTATCCTGTCTATTTTTTCTGCTCTCGAGGGGAGGTTTCAGTCTCACTGTGATCATGAAATGCAGTGTCAGAGCACTTGGGATGTAGCAAGCTCAGCATAAATGAATATTCCCCTCTCTTTCCCAATTTCCGCTGAGCCAGCCCACCTTCTTTTCAGGAGGCCAGTTTCACACCTTGCCAGCATCTAATGGTTTTCTTTGTTTTATTTATTGCACATGTCAAGAGTGAAGATAGCTTCATTTTTCCCATCAGTGTGAGAGAGACACCACCACCCTGTCGCCTCTATTACTTCCATGCAGCCCAGTCACCAACTCTATTGTTTTGACTCTAGTTCCCTCCTGGATTCTGGTCCTATATCTCCAAGGACTTGCTGGGCATTTCTACCTGGATGCTCTGCCATCTCATCAAATTCATCATCTGTTTAATCTCAAACTGAATTTACCACTTTATCCCCAAAGCTGATTTTCCCTCCTATTTTCGTGTGCGTCAATTCCATCATTCTTCTGGCCATCCAAAAGGGAATGATTAGAATTATCTTTGATGCCTCCTTCTCCTTTGAATCTTTTATATTAGACCCTGAGTGCCATTGATTTTTCTTCTCCCTCATGCTCTTTGTACTTGTTATTTCCTTTTTTGTCTTTTCTTTCATTCATTATTTACTCATCAAATACATTTATGGAGCACCTTGCAGGTGCCACTGCAACAAGGCTAACTGAATTCTTATCTCAATTTTATACTTTGATATAATTTGTAACTGGGTACAGAAGTTGGACTCTGGAGCCACAACATCTGGATTTAAATCCTGGCTTTGCAAATTTCTATCTGTAGGACTTTGACTACTTAACCACTTTGGCCACAGATTTCTCATCTGCAAAGTAGCAATCATAGTAGTTTACCTCATAGGGTTGTTAGTAGGATTAAGTGAGTTAATGCATGTTAGGAACTTAGAGTAGCTTCTGGCACACAACAAGCATAACATAGATGACAGATATTAATGAACTGGCTTCCCTCTCTTCCTTCTCCCATTCTCTGTAGCTAATCCTTCATCTGATTTTCTGGATTTGCCTTAAACAAAGCTCTCATCCTATCAGTTTATAGTTTAGTGGGTGCTCATTCCCTATAGAAGAAGGTCATTTCCTTTGCCCGACTTTCATGAGCCTATGTATCTTTGGCCCTAACCTTACTTCCTGCTATTCACAAACCTCTCCTCCCATTGTTGAGAACTTGTGCTCACCATGAGAGCAGCACCTCAAGTTTGCGTGGTCCTTTCCAGTGTTCATGGGTTTCTTATGTGTCCCTTCACCATCCTCCGCTGGCTCTTATCTAGAACACCTCCCTGTCCCTTAAAACGTGTCTTTCCTAAGGCTTCCTATCTTTTCAGTCTCACCTTTAGAAGAGATTCTTCTCAGAACAGTCTGGGCCTGAGGGATACAGAGGAATTCTTACTAGCATTCATTTAGTTCTCTCTATTTACTATAGCATACTGTGCCTACTTCAGTATTTGGCAGTCTTCTCTACCACGTTTTGGCTCCACATCATCTACAATAGGTATTGGCAAACTTTGTCTCTAAAGGGTCAGATAGTCAATGTTTTTTGGACTTTCGGGCCATATGGTGTCTGTCTGTCCTGTCAACTAGTCAGTTAAGCCACTGAAACATAGAAGCATCCGTGGCAGTACATAACCACCTGAGTGTGACCATCTTTCCATAAAGCTTTGCTTAGAAACACACGTGGCAGGCCAGGTTTGGCCTCTGGGCTGTAGTCGCTGACCTTTGACCTAGGAAGTGTCTGTTCATAAACTGAGATGTTAAAGAAAATGCTATTGATGTAGTGATTTGAATGTGAGAAGGTTGGATTCTAATGGGTCTGTGAACCTCTCCACATGTGGGCAGAGGAGATTCACCTACTGCTTATAAACATGCAGCCGATGCATTTGAAAAAAACACAAAATGCTTGCTCTATCACCATCGCTGCTCTTTGCAGAAATCCTATCTCAACTCCTGACAGCGTAGAAAGATGGGAGGTGGGGGAGGGGTGGTTGCCAGGAGGAAAGTCTCATTGCCATGGAAACAGCTTTCTGCATTCCTGCATTGGTCTGTGAACACCAGGTGGTTCACAAACAACCAAGAAGCCTCTGCCTTACATTATGAAGATAAAACTGCTTTTGACAACATTCAGAAAAATGCATATGCCTTGGCCACAGGTCCATGGGTTTCCGAATGATTTCTCACATACCTGAACATCACTGTTTTCTGAACAGCCTTGGGGAACATTTTTTCTTTAACTGATTAAGCACAGGAAACAACAGTGATTGAAATTTTAGATATTCTTTCTTTCCTTTCAGACTGTAGGTTAATGCTAGAAAAGCGTGGCTAATCAGATTTACCATTTCTTCACACTTTATTACTTCAACAAATGAGACAGGGAAACCTTCCTAATATCCAAAGCGTTCCAGGGTTTCATAAAACCGTTTACAAGATTTATTATTATTATTTTCTCCCCAGAGTTTCTTGCTCAATTTCAAATAGTAAACATCCCAATTTTGACCTTCTAAATGCAAAATGACTCTTCCTAATTGTCCCTCCCCCTTTATGCTGTGTGACAAATTGCAGATCAAATTTTTTGAGGTATAGCATGTAATAATTACTTTCTATAATTAATTTAATTATCAAACTATAAGCTTTTGTTTTCCTGCAAGGAGACACAGCTGGGGACTAAAAAAATTAGAGGCTAATGCTAGGTACTGGGAAATAGTGCCCAGATTAGAGGAAGTCCTCTCCAAGTATAGCCATGTGACACATAATGATGTTTTGGTCAATGTTGGATTGCATCTATGACCCATAATAAGATTATATCATAATTTTACTGTACCTTACCTTTTCTATGTTTAGATATGTTTAGAGACATAAATACTTACCATTGTCTTCCAGTTCCCTACAGTATTCAGTACAGTAACATGCTGTAAAGGTTTGTAGCCTAGGTAGGAGCAATAGGCTATACCATCTAGCCTAGGTGTGTAGTAGGCTGAACCAGCTAGGTTTGTGTAAGTACACTCTATGATGTTCATTTCATGGGCATCCGTGTGAAGAGACCACCAAACAGGCTTTGTGTGAGCAATAAAGCTTTTAATCACCTGGGTACAGGCGGGCTGAGTCCGAAAAGAGAGTCAGCGAAGGGAGATAAGGGTGGGGCCGTTTTATAGGATTTGGGTAGATAAAAGAAAATTACAGTCAAAGGGGATTTGTTCTCTGGCGGGCAGGAGTGAGGGTCGCAAGATGCTCGGTGGGGGAGATTTTTGAGCCAGAACGAGCCAGGAAAAGGACTTTCACAAGATAATGTCATCACTTAAGGCAAGGACCAGCCGTTTACACTTCTTTTGTGGTGGAATGTCATCAGTTAAGGTGGGGCAGGGCATTTTCACTTCTTTTGTGATTCTTCAGTTACTTCAGGCCATCTGGGCGTATATGTGCAAGTCACCGGGGATGTGATGGCTTGGCTTGGGCTCAGAGGCCTGACAGTTCATACCACAACTAAATCACCTAATAACCATTTCCTCATCTTTAAGTGATGCATGACTATACAAGGATGGTCATTTTTGGCTAGAAATATTATTGAAATTAAATTCTACCTTGGAGACATCAATTATTAGAAGAAGGCTAAATGCTCAGAGAAATATAAAAAATGTGTGTTGCCTCCATTTGACAACACCACTGACTATACATGTATTTTGGATTGTTTTTCCAGCAGCATCAATATTTTGATTCCTTTTTTATGTTCTGACTACATAATTTTCAGATATGACTTGCTAAGGTTAGGAGTCTAGAGGGGTGTTAGCAAATGTTGATCACATTCTGAGAAATCACAATACATTGCTTGACTTGAAGCTCGTGGGCCTGTGTGTAACTGAACATATGTCCTGGTTCCTTTATACACCCCTCTTTCCATTGTAGTAGTATCCTCAGAGTTTCAAAATGCTCTTTATATCCCACTTTCATGACTTCTGCTGTATCTGAATATCACTTGTTTTGTGGGTTGAATTGTGCCCTCCCAAAAGATATGCTGAAGTCCTAATCCTCAGTATGTGTGAATGTGACCTTGCTTGGAAATGGTCTTTGCAAGTATATTCACGTGAAGATGAGGTAGTACAGGGTAAGAGTGAACTCTAGGCCAATGACCAATGTCCTTACAAGAAGATGGAAATATGGACAAATATGGACACAGATACACAGAGAGAAGGATGTTATGTGAAGACTCAGACACACACACGCACACACACACACACACACACACACGAAGGACACGTGAAGATGGAGATAGAGACTGAAGTGATGCATCTATAGTCCAAGGAATGCGAAGGATTCTGGCAACCACCAGAAACTAGGAAGAGGTAAAGAAAAATCCTCCTCTAGATCCTCCAGGAGGGGCATGGCCCTACTGACAACTCAATTTCAGATTTCTGATATCTAGACGGTGAAATAATAAATTTCTGTTGTTTTAAGCCATCCAGTTTGTGGTATTTTGTTACAGCATCCCAAGGAAAATACTATGACTTGTGATATTTTCTTCAAGTTGATTCCTTTTTACATAAACACATTCATTTAAAAGTAAACTTTATAGCAGTACTGTGCATGGGAAAGCAATATTTTCCACATGTGAAGTAACTATAAGATAAATATAAAATTATTTCTCTACAACCTGTTAATGGACTACCTAATGACCTGCATTCCCAGTCCTCTGCATAACTTCTGGTTTAGCAGCCTGGTGCCCTTTGTGTTGGTTTAACCCTCCCTGTCCCAGTCTTTGAGGCAGAGAAGATTGGGCTGAAAACCTTGTTTCTACTTAGTTCATGTATCAGGATGCTTTTGGCAGAAACTAACAGAAACCTCAGTTTAAACTGTGTCGAACAATAAGGAAATGTGTTATCTCAAGGAAGAAATCCAGAGATAATGTAGGCCTCAGGTACAGTACGATTATGGCTCTGGCTCAAATTTGTTGCCCTTTTCTTCACTCTGTCTTTCTCTGTGTGTTTATAAGTAGGCTTCTCTCAGGATTACAATCTAGTTCCTAAGGGGTATATGGTGAATTGAAGGAGGGATATATGAGTAGGTAGGAGGGGGAAAGAGCCTCTCCCACATCATAGGTTATAATGACCTTCTCTTCAGTTGATTGGGTCTACTTAGGACATATGCTCATCCTCAAACCGGCAACACTTGCCAGGAGAATGTTGTGCTCTGGGTTCCTGAACCCACCATTGACAATCTTGGTATGGGTTGGTTAAGACTGATTTACGTATGCTTGGGCTGCTTGAAGAAGGACTAAATATCTAAACTAAATTGGGTCTCTGTTAAAAAATGTCATAGGGGGATTAGATGCCAAGTAGGCAAATAACAAGCTCCTCACATCCCTTTGGCAACATAATATATAATCATACCCCATCTTTACATGAATAAGCCTTCAAAAGTGTGAATGTCTACATGAAATGCGCTGGGCCTTTCCCAAAGGGAGCAAACTGAAAGCCTCATCCAGATCCTGCATCTAGTTCTAAGTTCATTATCTCTCAAGAACCTCTACCTTTTGATCTAGAAATCGCCAGTTACAAGTTAAATCACTCACCACCCTCCCCAGCATTATCTCACACAATGGTAGAAGTAAAAACCACAGTAAGTACTCATTTGGGAAGAGGGAAGAATGGAAGCTGCTCCCAATAGTCATTGGTTCAAAGCACATGTCCCACCTTGTTGGATAATAAGAGTTCATGGTTCATGTCCTGGCAGCCATTCTGAGTGCCCGTTTCTGCACTGCAAAAGAGTCTCCCATACATTGTTCTCTGCAAGCACATCTGAGATGGGCATTAAGGAGAGAGAAGAAGGATGTCCTTTCTGGGAGCTGCAAAGTTTTAGCAGTTTTTTTCTTTAGGTGTAACTTCAGACCTCTTGTGATTGCTTTAAGGTCTACACCATCACATGATGTTTTTGGCTGCAAGGGGGGGCATTTTTAATACTATCGTGGCCTTAAAAATGTAATAGGCATTTTGTTTACTTAATTCTGGTTAATTCTATTGATTAGAAAACACAACCAGAGATATTACTCAGACACGGTCTTTGTGTCTAGGATTTTTTCCCACCAGCTTTACTGAAGCATAACTTAAAATTAAATTGTATATATTTATGTTGTTACAATATGATGTTTTGATACATACATATATTGTGAGGTGATTACCACAGTCAAGCTAATTAACACATCCATCACATCACATAGCTATTTTGTGTGTGTGGTGAGAACATTTAAGATCTATGCTCTTAGCAATTTTCAAGTATACAACTTCTTATTAACTACAGTCACCACTGTTTGATAGATCTCCAGAACTTATTCCTCCTGTCTAACTGAAACTTTGTACCCTTTGATCAATATCTCCACAACCCTCTTCCCTCCACCCTCTGGCCCCTGAATACCACCATTCTAATCTGTTTCTTTGAGTTCGGATTTTTTAGATTCCACATGGAAGTGAGTCTGTGCAGTGTGATAGTTTGCATGTTGTCCCCTCCAAATCTCATGTTGAAATTTAACCCCCAATGCTGGAGATGGGGCCTAATGAGAATGTTTGTGTTATAGGGGAGGATCCCTGATGAATAGATTGATGCCCTTCTGGGGGAAAAGGTAAATAAGTTCTTTCTCTTTTAGTTCCTGAGAAAGCTGATTGTGAGTAACAGCCTGGCCTCTCCCTGCCCCTTCTTCCTTCCTCTCTCACCATGTGATCTCTGCATACACCGGCTCCCCTCCACCTTCTGCAATGAGTGGAAGCAGATGCTGGCACCATGCTTCTCGTAAAGCCTGTAGAGCTGTGAGCTAAACAAACCTATTTACTTTATAAATTACCCAGCCTCAGGCATTTCCTTATAGCAACACAAACAGACTAAGACATGCAGTATTTATCTTTCTATCCTTGGCTTATTAAATTTAGTTTCCTGTCCTCCAGCTTCATCCACATTGTTGCAAATGACAAGATTTTCCTTATTAAGGATGAATAATATTGTATGTATGTCTATATATGTATGTGTACATATGTACATATTATCAAATGTGTAGTTTACAAATAATTTCTCCCATTCCTTAGGCTGTCTCTTGTCTCTGTTGATTGTTTCCTTTGCTGTGTAGAAGTATTTTCATTTCATGCATGTTTTGGATTATCTGTCTGCTTGCTATCTGCTTCTGTGCCTTGCCCTATAGCTCTAGCCTGCAGTTGAAAGGCTGATGCTCTATGATACTTCAAAGCAATAATCTAATCTGTAACTCCAGGCTGCATCCATTCCAGTTGCTGCTTCACATTGAACCTATTTAACTCTTAGGCCTGTAGAGAAGGCTAAATGGTGGTGTACAAGAAGGGCCTGAGTGATCATGCATGTCTTTTGCTCCAATTTTTTCTCCTGACAAGTCTCCTTAGTCTCTGTCTCTGTTGAAAAACTTTAGTTTGTAATAGAGAATTTTAATTTTACAATCTTGAAAGGCAGACAATTATCAGACTCCCAGTCATTTTGGCTTGCAGGCTATAGGCAAAAATAATTTTTTTGAGCACATATGACATATACTTATTCATTTTACTTATTTATTATATTTTAAGTTCTGGGATACATGCGCAGAACATGCAGGTTTGTTACATAGGTATACATGTGCCACGGTAGTTTGCTGCACCCATCAACCTGTCACCTACATTAGGTATTTATCCTAATGCTATCCCTCCCCTTGCCTCCCACCCCCTGACAGGCCCCGGTGTGTACTGTTCCCTCCCTGTGCCCATATGTTCTCATTGTTCAACTCCCACTTATAAGTGAGAACATGTGGTGTTTGGTTTTCTGTTCCTGTGTTAGTTTGCTGAGAATGATGATTTCCAGCTTCATCTATGTCCCTGCAAAGGACATGAACTCATCCTTTTTTATGGCTGCATAGTATTCCATGGTGTATATGTGCCACATTTGCTTTATCCAGTCTATCACTGATGGGCATTTGAGTTGGTTCCAAGTCATTGCTATTGTGAATAGTGCTGCAATAAACATACGTGTGCATGTGTCCTTATAAAAGAACGATTTATAATCCTTTGGGTATATACCCAGTAATGGGATTGCTGGGTCAAATTGTGTTTCTAGTTCTAGATCCTTGAGGAATCACCACACCATCTTCCACAATGGTTGAACTAATTTACACTCCCACCAAAAGTGTAAAAGTGTTCCTGTTTCTCCACATCCTCTCCAGCATCTGTTGTTTCCTGACTTTTTAACAATCGCCATTCTAACTGGCGTGAGATGGTGTCTCATTGTGGTTTTGATTTGTGTTTCTCTAATGACCAGTGATGATGAGCTTTTTTTCATATGTTTTTTGGCCACATAAATGTCTTCTTTTGAGAAGCGTCTGTTCATATCCTTCACCCACTTTTTGATGGAGTTATTTTTTTCTTGTAAATTTGTTTAAGTTCCTTGTAGATTCTGGATATTAGCCCTTTGTCAGACGGATAGATTGCAAAAATGTTCTCCCATTCTGTAGGTTGCTTGTTCACTCTGATGATAGTTTCTTTTGCTGTGCAGAAGCTCTTTAGTTTAATTAGATCCCATTTATCAATTTTGGATTTTGTCACCATTGCTTTTGGTATTTTAGTCATGAATCCTTTGCCCACGCCTATGTCCTGAATGGTATTGCCTAGGTTTTCTTATAGGGTTTTTATGGTTTTAGGTCTTACATTTAAAGCTTTAATCCATCTTGAGTTGATTTTTGTATAAGGTGTAAGAAAGGGGTACAGTTTCTGTTTTCTGCATATGGCTAGCCAGTTTTCCCAACATCATCTGTTAAATAGGGAATCCTTTCCTCATTGCTTGTTTTTGTCAGGTTTGTCAAAGATCAGATGGTTGTAGATGTATGGTGTTATTTCTGAGGCCTCTGTTCTATTCCGTTGGTCTATCTATCTGTTTTGGTACCAATACCATGCTGTTTTGGTTACAGTAGCCTTGCAGTGTAGTTTGAAGTCAGGTTGCGTGATGCCTCAGCTTTGTTCTTTTTGCTTAGGATTGTCTTGGCTATACAGGGTCTTTTTTGGTTACATATAAAATTTAACGTAGGTTTTTCTAATTCTGTGAAGAAAGTCAATGGTAGTTTGATGGGAATAGCATTGGATCTATAAGTTACTTTGGTTAGTATAGCCATTTTCACGATATTTATTCTTCCTATCCATGAACATGGAATGTCTTTCCATTCCTTTGTATCCTCTATTATTTCCTTGATCAGTGGTTTGTATTTCTCCTTGAAGGAGGTCCTTCAGATCCCTTGTAAGTTTTATTCCTACGTATTTTATTCTCTTTGTAGCAATTGTGAATGAGAGTTCACTTATGATTTGGCTCTCTGATTGTCTATTATTGGCGTACAGGAATGTTTGTGATTTTTGCACACTGGTATTGTATCCTGAGACTTTGCTGAAGTTGCTTATCAGCTTAAGGAGATTATGGCCTGACATGATGGGGTTTTCTAAATATGCAGTCATGTCATCTGCAAATAGAGATAATTTGACTTCCTCTGTTCCTATTTGAATACCCTTTATTTCTTTCTCTTGCCTGATTGCCCTAGTCAGAAATTCCAATACTATGTTGAATAGGAGTGGTGAGAGAGGGCATCCTTGTCTTGTGCTGGTTTTCTAAGGGAATGCTTCCAGCTTTTGCCCATTCAGTATGATTTTGGCTGTGGGTTTGTCATAAATAGCTGTTACTATTTTGAGATGTGTTCCATCAATACCTAGTTTATTGAGTGTGTTTAGCATGAAGGGGTGTTGAATTTTATTGAAGGCCTTTTCTGCATCTATTAATATAATCATGTGGTTTTTGTCTTTGGTTCTGTTTATGTGACGGATTATATTTATTGATTTGCATATGTTGAACCAACCTTGCATCCCAGGGAGGAAGCCGACTTGATCGTGGTGGACAAGCTTTTTAATGTGCTGCTGGATTCGGTTTGCCAGTATTACATTGAGGATTTTGCATCGATGTTCATCAGGGATATTGGCCTGAAATTTTCTTTTTTTGTTGTGTCTCTGCCAGGTTTTGGTATCAGGATGATGCTGCACCATAAAATGAGTTAGGGAGGAGTCCCTCATTTTCTATTGTTAGGAATAGTTTCAGAAGGAATGGTACCAGCTCCTCTTTGTACCTCTGGTAGAATTTGGCTGTGAATTCTTCTGGTCCTTGGCTTTTTTTGGTTGATAGGCTATTAATTATTGCCTCAACTTCAGAACGTGTTATTGGTCTATTCAGGGATTTGACTTCTTCCTTGTTTATTCTTGGGAGGGTGTATATGTCCAGGAATTTATCCATTTCTTCTAGATTTTCTGGTTTATTTGCATAGAGGTGTTTATAATATTCTCTGATGGTAGTTTGTATTTCTGTGTAATCATTGGTGATCTTCCCTTTATCATTTTTTATTGTGTCTATTTGATTCTTCTCTCTTTTCTTCCTTATTAGTCTGGCTAGCAGTCTATCTATTCTATTAATCTTTTCCAAAAACCAGCTCCTGGATTCATTCATTTTTTCAAGTGTTTTCGTGTCTCTATCTTTTTCAGTTCTGCTCTGATTTTAGTTATTTCTTGTCTTCTGCTGGCTTTTGAATTTGTTTGCTCTTGCTTCTCTAGTTCTTTTAATTGTGATGTTAGAGTGTCGATTGTAGATTTTTCCTGCTTTCTGATGTGGGCATTTAGTGCTATAAGTTTCCCTCTAAACACTGCTGTAGCTGTGTCCCAGAGATTCTGGCGTGTTGTGTGTTTGTTCTCATTGGTTTCAAAGAACTTAATTATTTCTGCCTTGATTTCATTATTTACCCAGTAGTTATTCAGGAGCAGGTTGTTCCATTTCCATGTAGTTTTGCAGTTTTGAGTGAGTTTCTTAATCCTGAGTTCCAATTTGATTGCACTGTGGTGTGAGAGACTGTTATGATTTCCTTTCTTTTGCATTTGCTGAGGATTGTTTTACTTCCAATTTTGTGGTCGATTTTAGAATAAGTGAGACGTGGTGCTGAGAAGAATGTATATTCTGTTGATTTGAGGGGGAGAGTCTGTAGATGTCTCTTAGGTCCACTTGGTTCAGAGCTGAGTTCAAGTCCTGAATATCCTTGTTACTTTTCTGTCTCATTGATCTGTCTGATATTGACAGTCGGGTGTTATAGTCTCCCACTATTATTGTGTGGGAGTCTAAGTCTCTTTGTAGGTCTCTAAGAACTTGCTTTATGGATCTGGATGCTCCTGTATTGGGTGCATATATATTTAGTATAGTTAGCTCTTCTTATTGCATTAATCCTTTTACCATTCTGTAATGCCCTTCTTTGTCTTTTTGATCATTGTTGGTTTAAAGTGTATTTTTTCATAGACTAGGATTGCAACCTCTGCTTTTTTTTTGCTTTCCATTTGCTTGATAAATATTCCTCCATCTCTTTATTTTGAGACTATGTTTGTCTTTGCGCATGAGATGGGTCTCCTGAATATAGCACACTGATGGGTCATGACTCTTTATCCAATTTGTCAGTCTGTGTCTTTTAATTGGGACATTTAGCTCGTTTCCATTTAAGGTTATTATTGTTATGTGTGAATTTAATCCTGTTGTTATGATGCTAGCTGGTTATTTTGCCCATTAGTTGATGCGGTTTCCTCATAGTGTCAATGGTCTTTACGTTTTGGTTTGTTTTTGCAGTGGCTGGTACTGGTTTTTTCTTTCCATATTTTGTGCTTCCTTCAGGAGCTCTTGTAAGGCAGCCCTGGTGGTGACAAAATCCCTCAGCATTTGCTTGTCTGTAAAGGATTTTATTTCTTCTTCACTTGTGAAGCATAGTTTGGCTGGATATGAAATTCTGGATTGAAAATTCTTTTCTTTACCAATGTTAACTATCAGCCCCCACTCTCTTCTGGCTTGTCGGGTTTCTGCAGAGAGATCCACTGTTAGTCTGGTGAGCTTTCCTTTGTGGGTAACCTGACCTTTCTCTCTGGCTACCCTTAACATTTTTTCCTTCATTTTCACCTTGGAGAATCTGATGATTATGTGTCTTGGGGTTGCTCTTCTCGAGGAATATCTTTGTGATGTTCTCTGTATTTCCTGAATTTGATGTTGGCCTGTCTTGCTAGTTTGGGGAAGTTCTCCTGGATAATATCCTGAAGTGTGTTTTCCAAGTTGGTTCCATTCTCCCCGTCACTTTCAGGTACACCAATCAAGTGTAGGTTTGGTCTTTTCACACAGTCCCATATTTCTTGGAGGCTTTTTTCACTCCTTTTCATTCTTTTTTCTCTAATCTTGTCTTTTTGCTTTAGTTTATTAAGTTGATCTTCAATTTTTGTTACCCTTTCTTCTGCTTGATCGATTTGGCTATTGATACTTGTGTATGCTTCACGAAGTTCTTGTGCTGTGTTTTTCAGCTCCATCAGGTCATTTATGTTCTCTAAACCGGTTATTATAGTTAGCAATTCCTCTAACCTTTTTCAAGGTTCTTAGCTTCCTTGCATTGGGTTAGAACCTGCTCCTTTAGCTCAGAGTAGTTTATTATTACCCACCTTCTGAAGCCTACTTCTGTCAATTCATCAAACTCATTCTCCATCCAGTTTTGTTCCCTTGCTGCTAAGGAGTTCTGATCCTTTGGAGGAGAAGAGGCTTTCTGGTTTTTGGAATTTTCAGCCTTTTTGTGCTGGTTTTTCCTCATCTTTGTGGATTTGTCTACCTTTGGTCTTTGCTGTTGGGACCTTCAGATGAAGCTTTTGCATGGTGGTCCTCTTTGTTGATGTTGATGCTATTGCTTTATGTTTGTTAGTTTTCTTCTCACAGTCGGGCCCCTGTTCTGCAGGTCTGCTGGAGTTTGCTGGGGGTCCACTCCAGACCCTGTTTTCCTGGGTATCACTGGTGGAGGCTGCAGAACAGCAAAGATTGCTGCCTGTTCCTTCCTCTGGAAGCTTTGTAGAGGGGCACCAGCCAGAAGCCAGTTGGAGTTCTCCTGTATGAGGTGTGTGTCAACCCCTGCTGGGAGGTATCTCCCCGTCAGGAGGCATGGGGGTCAGGGACCCACTTGAGGTGGCAGTCTGTACCTTAGCAGAGCTCGAGCGCTGTGCTGGGAGACCCGCTGCTCTCTTCAGAGCCGTAGGCAGGAACGTTTAAGTCTGCTGAGGCTGTGCCCACAGCTGACCCGGCACCCACGTGTTCTGTCGCATGGAGATGGAGCTTTTATCTATAAGCTCGTGACTGAGGCTGCTTTCTTTATTTCAGAGATGCCCTGCCCAGAAAGGATGAATCTAGGGAGGCAGTCTGGCTGCAGTGGCTTTGCCGAGCTGTGGTGGGCTCCGCCCAGTTCGAACTTCCTGGTGGCTTTGTTTACACTGTGAGGGGAAAACCACCTACTCAAGCCTCAGTAATGGTGGACGCCCCTCCTCACACCAAGCTCAACCATCTCAGGTTGACTTCAGACTGCCGTCCTGGCAGCGAGAATTTAAAGCCAGTGGATCTTAGCTTGCTGGGCTCCATGGTTGTGGGATCCACTGAGCTAGACCACTTGGCTCCCTGGTTTCAGCCCCCTTTCCAGGGTAGTGAACGGTTCTGTCTCACTGGCATTCCAGGTGCCGCTGGGGTATGAAAAAAAAACAAAACTCCTGCAGCTAGCTTGGTGTCTGCCCAAACAGCCATCCGGTTTTGTGCTTGAAACCCCAGACCCTGGTGGCGTAGGCACCCGAGGGAATCTCCTGGTCTGTTGGTTGTGAAGACTGTGGGAAAAGCATAGTATTTGGGCCAGAGTGCACCATTCTTCACAGCACGGTCCCTCACAGCTTCCCTTGGCTGGAGGAGGGAGTTTGCCAACCCCCTGCACTTCCCGGGTGAGGCAATGCCCCACCCTGCTTTGGCTCACCCTCCATGGGCTGCACCCACTGTCTAATCAGTCCCAATGAGTTGAGCCGTGTACCTCAGTTGGAAATGCAGAAATCACCTCCCTTCTACATTGGTCTTGCTGGGAGCTACAGACCCGAGCTCTTCCTATTCGACCATCTTGACCAGGAATACCATATATTTTTTTTAACATTTTAGATTTGGGAGTACATGTGCAGGTGTGTTACATGGATATATCGTGTGATGCTGAGGTTTGGGCTTCTATTGAACCCATAACCCGAATAGTAAACATAGTACTCAGTAGGTAATTTTTCAACACTTCCTTCCTCCCTCCCCTCTTTCAGACTTCCCAGTGTTTTTTGTTTCCATCAGAAAGAACTTTCAATATTAAAGCCATACTTACATTTTTTCTCTCCTTTAAAAATAGCTACTTTCAACTTTTTCCAAGTTTTATAACTGCATAATAAGGCTTACCATTTCCTAGTTCAGAATAAGTTTGCAAACACAATGCCTGGGGGTGCCATTCATGTTGTGAATAATCATAATCCTCATGGCTATCCACTCTTCCCTGCAAGGAATTGTGGAGTCCTTACTGTATTACTTCCATTCCTTTAGTCAGTGCCCCATTTGGAGGTCAACTACCTCCAGCACCCCACTGCCTATTACCAATTTCCATGTCAGTCTCAGTGGCAATCAGCAGAAATGGATTCTGCTTAACTTAAGCAGAATTGCAATTTATTGAAAGGGTGCTGTGTAGCTCACATAATTGTTGAGAAGGTTAGAGTACAAGGTTTGACAAACAGTCAAGAAAAAGGAGGCTACACATCTAGAGCCATAGCAAATTCTTGCCATGATCACATGAGTAAGATCCGCTAAAGCGACTGCTACTGACCACCGGATGTCACACTTTGTAGCAGCAGCATTGCTGCACCTGGAAAGTGGATGCTGATGCATCTTCTGCGTCCCTCAGCATGATTTCTTGTCCTTGTTTCACTAGATCACAATCTTTAATGCAAAAATAGATAGGTGCATCTGATTGGCTTAATTTAGTTCATGTGCTTAAGCTTTGCTTTCAGGGAGAACCATGAAAGGAGCTTTTTAAGTGTTTTCAGCTTCTATGAGAAGAGGTTGGCTCTGCATTCTCCAGAAATTTTAAAATGCAGAGTTCCCTATACATGGGAAGGAGATGAGGACACTGGGTCAATAAAAAGAAATGACATGTCTATTTCAGTTGAGTATGCATCTGTTGGTTGCATTTGCTCTGAATTCACAAACTAAGGTTGTATTTATAGCATTTTGCAAAGTTCTACAGGTGGCTAGGTAATATCAACTAACATTGATTAAATGGACACAAAATGTTTTTAAGTGATACTGATAGGTAATCTCCAATTTGTAGACTCGTCAAAGTAGATATTATGATCCTAATATTATTGAAGATGATCACAGTAACTATAGTAAACTAGGATTTACTGAGTGTATACTACAGGACACTCCCTGTGCTCAGTGCATTATCTGCGCAGCCTCAATCAGTCTTCTGAGTTTATTGTTCCTGTTTTTTCATGAGGAAATTGAAGCCTGAGAGCTTGTGCAACTTGCCTAAGATTAAACAAGTAGAAAAAGTTAGAGGTAAGACTGGAATCTGGATGACTCCATTGCCTGGACAATTACCCCTGTATCACACTTCCAGAGTACCTTCATAAGGGCTGCACTAAAGTCAAGTGTTGGCCTTGAGTTTGGCTCCAATTTGTAGTTCAAGTTTGCTTTGACTTTGGGCTTTGGAAGGCCAAGTAGCTAAAGGCTCATTGTAGTGTCATTTGTGGCATCCTTGAACTCTCCATGAACAAATCATCATCACGTAGTTTTCATTGTCTCTAATCAATATAATCAACATTAGTAGTGTGAACAAAACTTGTCATTTGTATTTATTGTCAGTGTCTGAATAGTCACATTCAAGCATAATAACCATTTCAAATGTAATGTGAACATTTCCTTATCAGCTAAATGTTTAAATTCTCTCAGTTGAAGTATTTATTATTGTAAGACTAAAATGCTTCAGATTAATGGGGATTGTTAGAGCTATTAACTTTATGTAGCAAAACAGTTGTTATGAACTTTAAAATGGTCAAATAAAAACCTAGATTGGTAGTTACCATGAATTAGTAGATTCATGAGTTAGATAACTTTACAAATGTTTATAAAATTTTAAATAATAATATAAGAGGAAATAAAATTAAATTATACCATAATTCTCTTCACTGACTTGTTTGGTATACTGCCATTTATATTTTCAAAATATAATTTTTAGGAACTATATTTAATTTTCAGTGATTTAATTCTGTTTAGATCTTGAGTCTTTTAAGAACAAAAATCCTCTTTGGATTTTTTTTTTATTTTGAAGGAAACATTTTACAAAGTGAAATTTCACCTCAAAATTTTACAAGAAGGAAAAACTAAAAAATTGTATACAATAATATCCAGAATGAATAATCCTTGACCAAGATAGAATAAAGAATGTAAAAGATTATAAAGAAAAGAAAAAAGGATTAGGGAAAAATGAGACACCTCAAATGCATAACATTCTCACTAATCAAAGCTTAAAACAATAGACTTTACCAAAAAATAAGATTTTTAAAAATAATTTTCATTATATAGAAGCTGGAAATGAAACAAAAAATGGTGAATTGATTGTTCTAGAGTCTAGACTGCCCATCACTTTTAGTAGTTGAAGGTTTCTTTTAGGTTTTCCAAATCTATAAATTCAAAGGTACAAAGTTCTTTGTAAAAGACATGTTTCTGAAAAAAATTTTTTCCATTATATTCTGCTGTTCATGAAAAGGTTAAAAATGTTATTAGATGAACAATTTGAAAGTGACTATTCACTATGGCAATTTTTTGGCTAAAATTTTATGTTTATTCTTTTATTTTAAGATTTTTTTCTTTGAGAGCTATATTTCACTTTGGTCATCAAATTTCCAGGCAAATATTGTTATTAGCACTTGAGCGTTCATTCAAAATGTGTATATTGTTTACACTACTAATGGTTCCTGTCTATCCAGAAGACCAGACATGCATTTCTTAAAACTCAGAAATAAGAAAGTGCTTTCCAGGCATGGAAGGAAGGGCTGAAGCTCAGCCAACACCAACACTTAACTACTTCTCTTTTTCAGGAATGATTTTCTTCATTTCCAGTGTACTGGAGAGCCACTGGTAACTTTTGCTTCCTTGCTCAACCCAGAGTACTACTCATTAATTGATGAGCATTGAAAAGCTTTTGAAGGCTGTCTGAAACAGAGCTTATGCTATAAAAATTGGGGTTCCCTCTGGGGGATGTATCACTGCGCCATTAAACTTGGCCACTTGGTGGCACCAAAAAGTAAGAGCAGCACTGTACGGAGGTAACCAGTGTCTACTGCGTTACAAAGAAAAAGTAAAAAATAAACAATCACTTCTTGGAAAAAAAAAAAAACCCTCTGAATTAAATTGTTTTCTTCCTTTGTAAAATTAGGGGTGGCCAGTGGTGGAGGAAGGGGGATTGTACCAAAGAGAAAGTCCCTTAAATTCCTTTAACCTTGACATTCTATGACCCTCATGTACTGTGAGTTCCCAGTATGCTCTTTGTTAATGAGACTGAAAATGATGGTAACAGGCAACACTTACCATGTGCTTATTATGTGGCAGGGCACTGAACTACGTGTGTCATAGAGATTAGCATGAGTTTATTTTTCTTTCTTATTTTACATGAGAATTGTATAAATCCTCACAACACTATAATAGTTATTATTATTATTATTTTACACATAAGGAAAATATATAGAGGCAGAAGGACTTCTACATAGCCAGTAAGCAGTGCAGCTGGGATTTGAACTCCACAGTCAGTCTTCAGAGTCAGGGACTTCATTGCAACACTCTATTTCTGAATGACTCTTCTTATTTATAAGGGGGAGGTTTACTTCCATTCTTCTGGCCCTTAAGAAAGGAAAAACTGTTAAGGAAAAGCCTCCAACACATGCATATCCTACACAGATATGTAATCCATTTGAAAAATAATGCTTATTACTACAGCATTACCATTGGGGAATAAAAAATGATGTTCACTTACTGTACTTATTTCCAAATTTTAAGTTGCAACCCTGTCTTTAACAATTCAGAAGCACCAGAGTTTTGGTCAGGGACTCCCTTTGGAGTTCAACAGTGTTAGTAACATTTTATTGTTAGCCCATGGTCCCTGGAGAGCGTAATTACAGACCTGCAGTTTTTAAACAATGGAATGAAATGATTTAATACGGGGAGAAGAGGGGAAAAGGACAATGAGAATTAGAAAGTGCTGGAAATCACAAGAGAGGTAATAAGGGCTCAGACTGAAATGGCAGCTGTGATATTAGAGACAGAAGATGAGACACAGCACAAAAGAATAAAGAGATCTGATGAATGAATGACTTGGAGATAAGAGCCAAGGAAGAAATTCGCTATTTCCTTACTAGAGATGACTGGTGATGGTATTGTGAGTAATTCTCTGTGTTTCCTGCCCAAATGGCTGAGGCAAATAATTTTGGATAATAAGTAGAACATATCGTTAGTGGCATATGTCCTTTGGAGGCAAAACAAAACAAAAAATAAATAAACCCAACAAAAAACCCAACTGTCCACAGAATAATCTACTAAAAAAATGATCAAGTGCTAGCCATTAAAAATACAGGTTGTTCAATGTCCCTTTAAAGTTTTTTGTTGTTGTAATTTCTTGGCTATAGGGGGTGTATTTGTGGGAGCTCTTGGGGGCTATCTTAGAGGGTGCCAACAACAAGTGGTTCCTGTCTTTTTAGCTAGTTAACCAGTTTGCACAACCATCAATCAAATACACATGGGAAGCCCTGTGAGAGACCAAAATCAACTCAGGAAGCCCATTGCTAAAGTTGCTTAAAGTACAAAGACAATGTTCCATTTTTAGGAGAATAGCTTTGCAGATTCTTTTCTCTTTCTCTTTCCTCCTAACACACGAATTCTGCTGTTTTGCTAAGTAAGTGTCTATGCTGGAAAACTGATGCAGTGGTGGGGTGAATAGCAGGAGAAAAATAGAAGGTTGGCAGGTTTGTTGGAAGAATGAAAAGAAGTTGACCATTGAAGCTGCGTGGCTCTGCAATTTGATTTCTTGCTGGGATGCTCTGATCAAAGATTTGTGGGCATTAAGGTAGTAACTACTGGCCAAGATTTTGGGTTGGGGATTATCTGTGAATTTCAATTATCTATTATACTTCTTCCCTGTCCTCCATTACCAAAATAATGGAAATTTGGCTACATAAACAGAACATATGAAAGCTAGAATACCACAATACCTCTTGCAATCAGCTTTCACACTTACCAAGTAGGACAATGGCCTTTGGATATATGGACATAAATCTTATTTTATCCTTTTCTAAGATTCTCTGCATTAACTGAAGCTTCTGCCCAGTTTGAACAGAAGATTATTGAACTGGAAGCTTATTGCTGTTTGTGGCATTTTTGCATCTCTGAGAGGCATGCAGGCAAGTGGTAGAAGGGAGTCGTAGACCACTCTGGTAGGGGCACTATCTGTCTGCAGGGAGAAAGGACAGATCAGCAGGCAGGGCCTTCCTTTCCAAGGAGGGCTTTTGGTCCTGATCTGGAATGGGTGGTGGAGCTGGGGGTAGGGAGTCAGGATGTGATACAAGGCTGCCCTCTAATCGGAGGACTTGGATGGAATCTGTTGCTTAAGATTTATTGGCAGTCATAGACACTAACTAGATTAGTGCGATTATTGAATATAGGTAACATTTCATCTCATTGTCAAAAGAGATAATAATCACCTTATCAATAATTGTGATTTGGTGGCTTTGTTTTGTTTGTATAAGAAGTTGAACAAAGATAGATAATAATCCCTCTGGCATCCCTTACCCCTAATCATTTTCCTGGGTGTACCAAAATGGAAGGTACGCTCATTAGAGGTTATTCAAATGCAATATTTGGTGTCATTTCTTTCATTCAACAAATATTTATTGGGGTCTACTATGCTTGGGACTCATTGCTAGGTAAGGACTGACAACTAGACAGAGGTTCTTACCTCAGAAACCTTTTTAAACCTTTTGGGAAGAGTTTGATTATATATACATGTTATATTAGTCAATTTTCACACTGCTGTAAAGAACTGCCTAAGACTGGGTAATTTATAAAGGAAAGAGGTTTAATTGACTCACAGTTCTGCATGGCTGGGGAGGCCTCAGGAAACTTACAATCATGGCAAAGGTGAAGGGGAAGCAAGGCACATCTTACATGGCAGCAGGAGAGAGACAAAGTGAGCAAAGGGGAAATGCCACACTTTAAAACCATTGGCTCTCATGAGAACTCACTCACTATCATGAGAACAGCATGGGGAGAGCGCCCCCATAATCCAATCACCTCCCACCAGGTCCTCCCTTAACATGTGGGGATTACAATTCTAGATGAGATGTGGGTGAGGACACAGAGCCAAACTATATCACATGTAATGGAAACAAGCCACGGAGTTGCTCTATTTCACTGTTCTCCCAGATATTTGAGAATTTTCATTTTTTAAAGCCTTCTTTATGCTTCTTAACTTATTCTGTCCTTCCTGCTGCTGCTTCTCCATGTTTCTCCTTGGCTGGGTCTGCTTTTCTCCTTTCCTAATTGATTGAGTCATAGCTGAGCGGCTCCTTGCTTTGTAAAGTTCTGTCATTGTAATGAGATATGCACAATATACGGATGCTCCAACTTCACTACTGAAAAGCTACGGGAAGACACAGTTGTTCTAAACTGAAGTATTTTAAATGTAGTAGAAGAGCTTGCCCTTTAAAAGAATCTTCTTTGCAATGAATCTTTTGATAAACAGCATCTTTTGTTATGTAAATAATGATCCTTTATTTCATCTGTTGGCAAGATCTAATTTTAAGGCAGGATGAACCTCCATTATATTAGAATAAGATTACAAAACTCATCACTCCAAAAAGAATTTTGTTGTAATAAAAATCGTTTGTAAAACACAATTGTCATGTGATTTTAAGGTTAAATGATGAGTGTGGAAAGTAGGTGGTAAACAATGGGATCACGTTATGTGCTATTTTAAGGCCCCAGAAAAAATTTTTGTGTTTAATCTTTTGGAAAAATTACTCCAGGAAAGCAGTGATGAAATATGAATATGAATTGGTATGTTAAAATGAGAGTGAACTCTAATAGTACATATTTCTAGTGAATCAATATCTGTCTTTCTAATACGGTTGTTATAGTCATCAGTTTTGCTGGTGGTGAATATAATTGTTGGGAAAGTGTTAGTGGAGTAACGTGTGCAGAGGCCTGGAGCTCTTCAGGGGCAGACAGTCACATTTCTTAGAATTCTTAGAATTTAGAGTTCCCTAACTACTGTCATTTTTTTGTGTGTGACTCTTCTTTGAAACTATTCTGAGTGTTATCTTTCCTTTGTACATCTGAGAAAAGCAAAGTCTAGAAAAGTTTCAAAATATTATCTTCTAAGTCATTTGAAAGAACCTGCATTAATTAGAAGTTGAGTTGTCTGTTTTTCTGTTTCAAATCTTTTCCTTAACAAAGAAACACAGTGGTATTTAACAGCTAATCAGTATCAGTCTGTCTGTGTGGTAATATGCATATGGACTAGGGTATGTTTAGTTTTGCCCAATTATGAAAAAAGACTTTAGTTGAGGATATAGAGTTAACAAGCTAAAAAACTATTTAGGATCTCTAAAAGTACTTTATTTAACATCTGCTTATTATTTAAACTGTGCTAATCGAGGTAATTCTTAGATAATTAATAAAGGTTAGCTCTCTACTTGACAACACTAATTATTCTTTCCTTTAATTGGAGAAAGTTTAGAAAAATCACCAGACATGCCATCCAGAGAGAATTCTTATTTGTATGTTGGCACATTTGCTTTCAATATTTTTTTCTGTTCTGTTTTTTCAATTTTTTTCTATTATTATTTTACACATAAGGAATATATATAGAGGTGGAAGGACTTGTACATAGCTAGTAAGCAGTGCAGCTGGGATTTGAACCCCAAAGTAAGCCTTCAGAGCCTGGGACTTCATTGCAACACTCTATTCCTGAATGACTCGTCTTATTTATAAGGGGGAGGTTTACTTCCATGATTCTGGCTTTTTTTTTTTTTTTTTTTTTTGAGATGGTGTCTCGCTCTGTTGCCTAGGATGGAGTGCGGTGGCGCGATCTTGGCTCACCACAACCTTTGTCTCCTGGATTCATGTGATTCTCCTGCCTCAGCCTCCTGAGTAACTGGGACTACAGGCGTGCGCCACCATGCCCGGCTAATTTTTGTATTTTTAGTAGAGACGTGGTTTCACTATGCTGGCCAGGCTGGTCTCAAGCTCCTGACCTTGTGAAACACCTGCCTCGGCCTCCCAAAGTGCTGGGATTACAGGCATGAACCTCTGTGCTCAGCCAGATTCTGGCTCTTAAGAAAGGAGAGACTGTTAAGGAAAAGCCTCCAACACATGCATATCTCACATAGATATATAATCCATTTAAGAAATAATACTTATTACTACATTGTTACCATTGGGGAAATAAAAAATGACACTCACTTACTGTACTTATTTCCATATCCTTGATGTGCTAATGGATTTGGTTTGCTAGTATTTTGTTGAAGATTTTTGCATCTATGTTAATCAGGGATATTGGCCTGTAGTTCTCTTTTTTGTTGTCTGTTTGCCAGGTTTTGGTATCAGGATGATGGTGGCTTCATAGAATGAGTTAGAGAGGAGTTCTTCCTCTTCGATTTTTTGGATAGTTTCAGTAGAATCGGTGCTAGCTCTTCTTTGTACATCTGGTAGGATTTGACTGTGAATCCATGTGGTCCAGGGTTTTTTTGGTTGGTAGGATTTTTGTTATGATTCAATGTCAGAACTTGATCTTGTCTCCTCATTTCTTCCTGATTTATCCTTGGGAGATTGTGTGTTTCCAGGAATTTATTCATTTCCTCTCAGTATTCTAGTTTGTGTGCATGAGGTGTTCAGAATAGTCTCTGAAAATCCTTTGTATTTCTGTAGGATCGGTTGTAATGTCATCTTTGTGTTTCTGGTTGTGCTTATATGGATCTTCTCTCTTTTTTTCTTTGTTAATCTAGCTAGTGGTCTATGGATCTTGTTTATCCTTTCAAAGAACCCACTTTTGGTTTCATTGCTTCTTTGTATAGATTTTTGGGTCTCAATTTTGTTCAGGTCTGTGTTGATTTTAGTATTTCTTTGCTACTGCTAGTTTTGGGGTTATTTTTCTAGTTCCTCTAACTGTGATGTGAGATTATTAACTTTATAACTTTTTGAGACAGGCACTTAGTGCTATAACTGTCTTCTTAACACTGCATTTGTTGCATCCCAGAGATTTTGGTATGTTGTTTCTAAGTTTACATTTATTTAAAATAATTTTTAAATTTTATTGTTTCTCCAAAAGTTGTTCAACAGCAAGTTGTTTAGTTTTCATGTAATTGTGTGGTTTTGAGGGATCTTCTCATATTCATTTCTATTTTTATTCCACTGTAGTTCAAGACGATGGTTGGCATTATGTCAGTATTTTTGAATTCACTGAGACTTTCTTTATGACCAAACATGTGATTGATCTTGGAGTATGTCCCATGTGCAGAGGAAAAGAATGTATATTCTATGGCTGATGGGTGGATTATTCTATAGGTGTCTATTAGGTCCGATTGGTTAGGTGGCAAATTTAAATCCAAAATTTTTCCAGTTTTCCACCTCAATGATCTGTTGAATGCTGTCAGTGGGATGTTGAAGTCTCCACTGTTATTGTGTGGCTAAGTCTTTTTGTAGGTCAAGAAGTACTTGTTGTATGAATCTGGGTGCTCCAATGTTGAGCGCATATGTATTTAGTTAAGACTTCTTGTTGAATTGTGTGGTTTATCATTATATAATGCCCTTTTTTGTTTATTTTTACTGTTGTTGACTTAAGAACTTTTACCTGACATAATAATAGTGACTTCTGCTTTGTTTTTGTTTTTCACTTGTATAGTAAATCTTTCTCCAAGCCTTTACTTTGGGTCTATGGGTGTTGTTACATGTGAGATGGGTCTCTTCAAGACTGCATATGAATGGGTCTTGTTTTTGTACTCAGTTTGCTTTTGTTTATGAAGTCTCAGGATGTATGGAAATGTTAACTTCCATGCAGTCAAATAGAAATGGTTTTTAAATTTGTGTTCTTTTCTTTTGCAGAAATTCTACATAAAAATATCCAATGTCGCTGTCTCTCTCATGTAATGGGGCTCCACTCACTTTTATCAGCCAGCCGAGCTGTTTGCTGGCATTCTCCTCCCTGGGATCTTCCCTTATTTATTTCTAATGTTCTTTTTATATTGTAGATACAGACTTTGCCAACATTTTACAATATTCATGTCCAGTCAACCATTTGCTTTTGTTTATAAAGTCTTAAGATATATGAAAATGTTAATTTTCTGGTCTTTTATCATTCAGAAATTCTACATTAAAATATCCAATAACAACTCACAAGTATTTTTTTAGTCCTTATGATTATTAAAATATTTACCATTTTAATATATCCTCTTTCCCAATTCTGTCTTTGTTGATCTTAGTTCTGTAGAATGATGATAGATGAGAGGCAGAAAATTTTCTATGGTCACAAAGAAATACAAGGCTACACGTTAGGCTCATTTTTGAAAAAGCTTTAGGACTTCTCCGAGTATTTAGCTTGCTAATGTACATTATTTACTTTATGTGAGGGAAGCAGAGGAAAGACACAACCAGAGTTGTTTAATGAACACATTGTTTCTATTTTCCTGAGCACATATGAGATGTGATTCCTCAGAGCTTGCTTTGGGAAACATGTTCTGATACATCTAATATGTTATAATTACAGGACAAGGTGAGCCTCTAACTTTATTTTTTCCCCTAACTCATTAATCAATTGTTTGAGCATCAGAGCATCACTTGTTCAATAATTATTGATTTCCTTATTGGTTCATGAATTGGAACTTTTTTCTTTTTTTAGCCTAAGTTGAGAGTGATGGAACAGGATAAATAGAAGACAATGTAGAGAAGCAGCAGGCTTGCATCCCAGAGAACAAAATCTGAAGGAAATTACATTTCCAAGTATTATGTTAATAACACAAACTGTGTTCAATAGTCAGAAACAGTAAAACAGCAGACGGGCTTTAATTAAAGCTTCACATCACTCTTTTCAATGTCCTTCTCTTCACATGAACAGCTGCTTCATGGCACCCACAGAAGAAAAATGTTTCCATTTGAAACTTTCTCGAACAAAATGTAAAATTTCAACCAACGGTATTTCTAAAAATTTGAGCTCTTCAATGTGGCTTGTATCTCCTGCATGATATATTACATTTTGTTTATTTTGGAAGCTCTTGAGTATGTTATTTGTGTCTATTTCTGATTGAGTGCCTTATATCTCTAAGACTTAAAACTATCATTCTGTATAAAGTTCTTAGATTAGAAGTAAAATATAAATATGAGTTCAAATATAAGGATCATCCGCTTTAGAATGAATGACCTAATGAAGGAAAAAGGCATTACATGATGACTGCACAACTAGGGCGTTTGATAGTTTGCTTGCTATCAATTATTTTGTGCAGTTAACATCTCTCTGGAGTAGCCGCCTGTTCAAACAGCCTGGTCATCAAGAATCTTGAGTTGGATTTGCCAAACATTTCAGAAGGACACACCAGTTATATAGAGAAAACCTTCCACATAAATCTTAAGACATTTTACCTGTTAATGGATTCTCAGGACTTTTACCTTCACTTGCTTGAAACAAAAAATGAGAGGTAGTAGGGTAAGTGACTCAATCCTTGCTACTCATCAAATGAAGTCACTTTTCACTTATGTTCCCATGTAGCACCTAATGCCTTGTTAGGATGCAGAACCCAGATGGTGTTGTGCTGGTAAATATGCTAGAGCAATTTATAACCTCTGTATGTCATCTACATATCAATAGCAAGAAAATAAATAACTGTATTTAAATATGGGCAAGGAACCTGACTAGACAGTTATCAAAAGAACACATACGAATGGCCAACAGGTATATGAAAATACTTTCAACATCACTAATCATCAGGGAAATGCAAATTAAAACCATAATGAGATATCACCTCACACCTGTTAGGGTGGCTATTAACAAAAAGACAGAATCCTTGAGTTCTGTTGGTGGGAATGTAAATTAGTATAGCCCTTCTGGAAAACAGTATGGAGTTTCTTCAAAAAACTAAAAATGGAACTACCATATGATCCAGCAATCCCGCTGCTGGGTGTATATTTGAAGGAATTGAAATCTGCATGTTGAAGAGGTATCTTCACTACCAAATTCATTACAGCATTATTCACAATAGCCAATATATTGGAATCAACCCCAGTGTTCATCAATGGATGAATGGATAAAGAAAATGTGGCAATATACACAATGGAATAATAGCCTTTAAAAAGAAGGAAATTCTATCATATGTAACAACATGGATAAACCTAGAAGACATTTTTCTAAGCAAAATAAGCCAAGCACAGAACAACAAATTTTTTATGATCTCACTTATAAATGCAATCTAAAAAAGCCAAACTAATAGAAGTAGAGAGTAGAATGGAGGTTACCAGAGGCTGGGGGTTGGGGAATAGGAAGACGCTGGTCAAAGCCTACAAAATTTTAGTAGGATGAATACATTTTTGAGATCTATTGCACAGAATAGTGACTGTAACTAATAATAATGTGTACTTCAGCATTGCTAAAAGAGTACATTTTAAATGTTCTCACCACAGAAATGATGTGTGTGAGGTGATGCATTTGTCAATTAGCTTGATGTATCCATTTACATGAATGCATATATTAAAACATCACGTATCCCATATTACCATTTGTCAGTTAAAAAAATACTTGTAACTGGGCCAGATAAAGAAGTTTAGTGTGACATATAATGTGAGAAGCCCCAGAGGTGAGGATAAGTGGGGCATCAAAACCAGTTTAGGAAATGCTTTCATTGTGTGCCAAGATGAGGAGTAACAGTAACTTTTTTAGCATAATGATTGAGACCATGAGCTTCAGAGCCAATTTTGCACCTCACTGGCTGTGTGACCTTGGGTAAGTTACCGAACCTCTCTGTGTCTCTGTAAAATGGAAATAACAATAGAATTTATCATCTCTATTTATACTATGTGTGTGTATATATGTGTATATATATTCTTATATATGTACACACACATATACTCACTTAACAATCATGCCTCACATGAAATAGATAAGATCATCTGAGTGTAGTAAATTATTATAAAGTCCACTGTCTGGCATATAATAAGCATCATCTATGTGTTAGTTATTCTGATTACGGGAGATGAAAGTTTTCCATATGGTAATCAAACTATTCCCTCCCTACTCACACACAGAGTTTGCACACAGTTAAAAAATATACACTGTCTACCTCACCAGCCTCCCACCTGACTTACCCTACTTGGGCACAATCTCTTTTGAGACCCTGTATCATCTCCAACATAACTCCAACCAACTTCCCAATCTATCTGAGTATAATAGGATATGTTTTGCAACTTTTCCCTACCTCCATGCATTGCGGGTACTCTTTTCCCATGGCTGTATTTGTTGATTATAATTTCCTGATGGGCATGGATATACAGTTTCTGGTGAAATAAACAAAAATAACACACACAGACTGAGGACAGAATTCAGTTCTTAATTTCCTTGAAAATTCATGGAGGATTTCAATACTTAACAAGTCGGATAAGCCAATTGTGTTCTGTCTGCACGCACTAGAGCGTTGATCTTTTCTGCTGGTAGGTGAAGTAAGACTCTGTGTATCACTCTGTCAAAGGCATTCTGGCTGTTTGTTGAAGGTCGTATTTCCTATCAGATGGTAAAAACACCAATTAGAGATTCTCAGGAGAGCAATAGGCCTGTCCAAAAGGTATAGAGTAAATGCTAAAAAGAAGCAAGGCTAAGGTGACCATGTGGTGCAGAAGAGGAGAACTGGCCTGAGAATTCAGTGACCAGGCTCTGGATCCTGAGCTGAACTTGCCCCAAACTCTGAACCACTCTGCAGTGGACTGAATGTATCCTCTCAAAATTCATATGTTAAAATACGAATCCCCAGCATGATAGGATTAGGAAGTTGGGCCTTTGGGTGGTGAGTAGCTCATAAGGGTGGATGAATGGGATTAGTGCTCTGATTTAAGAAAGATCCCTGGTGCCTTCTGCCATGTGAGGACACAGCAGCAAGGAGGCCCCGACTATGAGGCTGGAAGTGGGCCCTCCGCAGACGCGGAATCTGCTGACACTTTGATCTGGGACTTCTCAGCCTCCAGAACTGTGGGAAATCAATTTCTGTTGTTTATAATCCACCTAGTTTATGGTATTTTGTTATGACATCCTCGCTTATCTTTTCTGCATGGTTTTCCAGCTCTGAGCTCCATGATTCTGTGTTGACTTCTTAGATCTGTATCTCATGGATATTATTATTCATTTATCATAGACAATCTCTGCAGGATGACTGCAGGACACAATTCCAGGTGCTTTTATCAGAAACTTAAAGGAGGAGAAAGCAAAGCCATCTCTTCCCCCAGCTTGCTCTTAAGAGCCAGGACTTTTTTTTTTCTTTTTTTTTTTTTTTTGGAGCTTCCTGGATAACTTTTGATTTTTCACTGACTGAAAGTCACATTTCCATATGGAGGCAAGAGGGAATGGGATCATCCTTAGGCCAGACAGCACCAAGCCTGGAGCTTACCTGAAGCATGTAGTTATGGAAGAAAGGGGTGGAGGCCTGAGTTTAAACAGTGTTCAGTTAGAAAGGCAGGGATTGCATATATACTTCCCTAGTTTAATAAAAGATGGTGACGGGATAGGATCAGGACCATAGCTTCAGTTTTCCATGAATTAGCTCCCTCCACAGAACCATTTGATAATAATTTGTCTTGTAAGTTTGACTCTAGTTGTGTCATTAGTGAAGGCTCCTTACCAACCTTCTTTTAATGGGAGAATGACGAATGCATTACTGAAATCCAGACGTACCACATCTACTGTATTGATTCATCCTCAAGCTGTAGTAACTCAGGGCTTAGTCCTTGGATCTCTTCTTCTTTCTGGATAACTCAGTTCCTTGAAGGTGCTATCCAGACTTACGGCTTTAAATGCTGCCTTTTGTTGAAGCCAAAATTTATATTTCCAGCACTGACTTGTCTCTGAACTCTATTCCAAACTCATTTCCACTACTTCAACTAAGCAACTAAAGATAGCATGTCTGAAACTGGGCTCATAATATTTCTCCCTGTTATAACCTGACCTTTCTCTAGTCTTTCCCATCCTTGTAGAGGAAATTTCATTTGTGCCAATTGCTCAGAGTGAAAACCTTGAAGACATCATTGACTTCTTTTTTTCTTTCACCACCCCCCCAGATCAAATCCATCAGCAAATCATGTTGACTCTGCCTTAAAAATATGTCCAGCATTGTACCATGTTCTACCACCTCTGTGGCTACCATCCCTAGTCCCAGCCACCAGAGACTGGGTTATATAAATTGATTTTTAAGAGGTTTTCTTGCTTTCTCTTTAACTCCCATTCTGTCCTTTTTCATAAAAGCAGCCAGAGGGACACTGTATAAGTTAGAGTAGATCATTCATGTGTTCAAACCCTTCCAAGAGTAAATACTAATGTCTATACATTGACCTACAAGGTCCTTCATTATCTCTGCCTTCATTTCCCACTATTCTTCCATGCCTTCTATTTACTTCAGCCTGCATTGCTGTTCCTTGGACACATTCCTACCCCAGGACCTTTGCACAAGCTGTTTCAACCACCTGTAATACCTCTCCTCCCACCCTCAGGTTTCTGCTTGGTTTCTACCCTAAGTTCTTTTCTAAAAATGTCATTTTCCCATCTACTCCATTTAAAATTCTGCTCCATTTGAAGCTTCATATTCTCCTCTTCTGCCTAATTTTTCTCCTTAGCATTTATTACTTCCTAATATGCTATACTTATTTATCTTATTTAATGTGTGCCTCCCTTATTAGATGTAAACTCCATAAAGGATAAGATTACTGTTTTTGTTTTATTCACTGCTATATGCCGAGAACCTTGACTCATAATAAGTTCTCAACAAGTCTACTAAATGACTGTTGAATGAATGAATTTATCAGGTTTAATAAATATGAATGCCTTGAACCTAGGCAGGTAAATTCAATCAGGATATCTGGCATGGAGAATGGACATATGTAGTTTTTTGTTTGTTTGTTTGTTTGTTTGTTTGTTTTCGAGATGGAGTTTTGTTCTTGTTGCCTAGGCTGGAGTGCAATGGCATGATCTTGGCTCACCGCAACCTCTGCCTCCCAGGTTCAAGGGATTCTCCTACCTCAGCCTCCCGAGTAGCTGGGATTACAGGCATACGCCATCATGCCCGGCTAATTTTGTATTTTTAGTAGAGACGGGGTTTCTTCATGTTGGTCAGGCTGGTCTCGAACTCCTGACCTCAGGTGATCCGCCCACCTCGGCCTCCCAAAGTGCTGGGGCATATGTAGTTTTAAAAAGCTTCCTAGGTGATCTGAGAGTGTTGTCTTGATGGACCCAAGGTATTCTCTGACAACAGCAACTATTTATTTGTCCCCATTAGTCTGTGTGCCTATTTCACACAGATATGGCACAGGCTATTTGTCTCTCTTATTACATTAAACATCCCGGGCAAAAGCCTGTGATTTAACAAAGAAAGGAAGAGTTCCAACCAAAGTAAGTAAATTAAAGAAAGCAGAAAACCTGCTTTTGTTTTCACTGATAACAGTTCTTGCCATGTCGATAGGTTACCAAGCTGAAGGCATTTTCAGTATCTCAGTGGAATTAGTTCTGTAATTACTCTCACCAACACACACCTACAATATCTTGGGGCTATAAGTTTCAATAATATTTTTCAGAACACATTTGTTCATTTGTTTGCTCGAGGAGGCCAAAATATTGATTTGTTTCATCAGGCTTGAACATTCTCATTTGTCCCGGGCTGTCCTGCAGCTTTGACTCATGCAGTTCACATGCGTGCACACACATGCACAAACACACATGCATGCACACACACATGCACACACATGGATGCACATATACATGCACAAACATGCATGCACACACACATGGATGCACACACACGTGCACAAACACATGCACACACATGCACAAACACACATGGATGCACACACACAAACACGCATGCACACACACATGCACAAACACACATGGATGCACACATGCATGTGTGCACACACAACCTTTACATTGGGGTTTTTCATCTCTAGATAAATTATCCTCTATAGTTACAGTTTAATGCTAGGTTACAAAAAGAATATCAGATACGCCCTTCTGTTTCCTTTCACTCTGGTTAGTTCTGGCTCTATTTTATTCCATGTTGTTTTTTCTCAGCCCTTACAAAGTTAGACGCCTTACCACATAAAATATTCTGGTCATAAGGCCTCCGTTTCCATGAATGGTTCCACATTTGGCTTCTCACCCATGCCTCTTGTTTTGAAGAAGCAGTGGCTACTGTTTGTGATAAAGCAGTGTTGCAAAGACAAAGAACCCAAGTACTACATTTCCCCTTTCTCACCCCTTCCCTTGTTTATCTGAAACTCACAAGTCCCTGCAGGAAAAAAAGGATAATAAATTTGCCTCCATTTCTTCCTATGGAGACCCTATTTGGATCCTGGGTCTGAGAGAGAAGCTTGCTGTATTTCCGCAATTCTTTCTCAGCTACAGAGGAAGGGAAATCAGGAAAAGAAGAAGCTCTACCCAGAAGCAAAGTGCATCCACAGGCTCCACTACCCAAACCTTCCCTCTTTGGCAATTGTTGGGTCAGCTCTTCACTGTCTCTGGAAAAAGACAGGGGCACTTTTTTGTTCTGCCAAGAGCATGTGCCTTTTTATGACTTCATAATATCTTGAGATGTATTAGAAGAGGCTCTGAAGTTGCTGCTCATTTGATGGGGAAAGGGAGGTGTGGGTCAATATTGTGGCATTTCATCTCGCTTTGCTCTCCCAGTTTTATCTGCACTTCTCCCCCAGGATTCTGTTTTCTCCCTCCCATCACTTGATGGTGGACAGCTAGTTTAGCCTGTGGATGGGCAGCTAGTGGGAAACTCTAGCTTCTGTGATTTTCTGCTTCTGGGTTAGCAGGGAGGGATCTAGTGGCACAAGACAGCACATATGCTATGCGGGAAACTCTCTTACTGGGGCTCCTCTTTGTCCCTTGCAAAACATCCAACTTTGGGTGTGAGGTTGGGAATTGTGTGTGTGTGTGTGTGTGTGTGTGTGTGTAGAAAGGGCTCAGAAACTCTCATCTCCTAATTCCAACACTCAGCACTCCCTTCCCTATGCTCTCTTTCTAGAGAACGGCACATTTGAGGTCTCCTGTCAGCATCTACCTAGGCTCAAAGTCAGAGCTGCCTCACTTTTTCAGGGATTTTTAAAGAATAAGTTTTGAGGAAGCAAGGATACTTTGATTTTGCATTTTTTCTTTTGGCTTCCTTGATTCTGGCAAATTTTATCTGGTTGATTGCTTCAGATTCCTCCATTGTCTAAAACGGCAACTGCTCTAACATTTTTGTTTGTTTGTTTGAGACGGAGTCTTGTTCTGTCGCTCAGGCTGGAGTGCAGTAGCACAATCTCGGCGTACTGCAACCTCCACCTTCCCAGGTTCAAGCGATTCTCCTGCCTCAGCCTCCCGAGTAGCTGGGGTTACAGGCACCCGCCACCACGCCCGGCTAATTTTTTGTATTTTTAGTAGAGACAGGGTTTCACTAGGTTGGCCAGGCTGGTCTCCAACGCCTGACCTTGTGATCCATCCGCCTTGGCTCTCCAAAGTGCTGGGATTACAGGCGTGAGCCACCGCGCCCTGCCAACACTTTCTTAAAGGAATAGACTGGAGGAATATGAACCAGAATCATCCTCTTGGATATTTGGGACACTCTACCAGGATGATTTCTGGTTATTGCTTTGTACAGAGCATAGAAAAGTTAACGTGCTTGTTGAAGTTCTCTCTCTCTTTTTTTTGAACAAGATGGTGGCAATGATGAATTGATTTGTTAACATGAGGCTTTGAAATTACAGTGCTTTTTACAGACTTCATATATCTATATTGTCTCCCCAGAGACAAAGAAATAAAATTGACTGCACCTCTATTCAAATGATGCTATTATATTCCCATTCCAGAAGTGTACTTCTGGTGGTGCACTGTTCATCACTTGATAGATGTTCTTACGGTAAATCACTGTAAAATGAAGAAAGGGCCAGGGGAGGGAACTTGGCAAATTGTTAAGAATTCTGCGATGTTATTGCATTCTGTTCAGCTTATGATTCAGAATTTGAACGACGACGTGTGCTGATTTATTAATCATGATATAAGGGACAAATTGTCAGACATTAGCATTGGAAATCATTGTTTTAGACATTTCATAATTTTAACAAAGCTAAAGATTAAAAAACTGCTTTATTAGATGACCTTTTTCTATTTGTAGTGGTGCAACCTGTTCTTGCCATTCTGTCAAACACGTTGAATGTGAATAGATGGAATAAATGCCCAGTTACTGTCTAATAAAAATAGCAATTAAACAATTACTATTATTGGTTAAAAACCATTGTATTCTTTTCATAATCATCAGCTACTAATGGATGAGCAATAAGACGCAGAGTTTCAGAAGTACAGCTAAGCATTATAAATATCAAGTGTTTATAAGCAGTTGACCTGCATGCATACACATTTATCAACTAGAAGTTAGGTAAAAATAAATTAGACTTGTAGTGTTTTTGTTCTGTTTGGTTTCCAGTCTCTCCTGAGATAGAATTATCCTTTAATACAAAAAGGCTGTTCATGGTATTTCACCTTTTTTTCCTTCTCAGGGAAAAATTCAATTGTGAAAATGGAAAAAAAAGCCACAAATGTTTAAAAAAAATGAGTTTTGGCTTTGAAACAAATTTTAAACTTAATATTTTATTTAATCCTATAATAACTATATAATATAGAGTAGGTCTTATTATCTTTACTTACAATAAACATAACTGAATTATTTCAGATTAAGTTAATATCAAAATAGTTCCTCAACCTTCCCAGAAAAACAGGGATGAATTTCAGCACTTATGACTCAATGCCTTTATGACCTATTCCTGTTATTGTTGTTATTATTTCACCATCGGGCTATTTATATCTTAGTGTGGGATGACTTAGGAAAATATTTCCCTAAGGTTTTTGGTCTCTCAATTAACATCAAACTGTTTGAGTGAAGTTTCATTGCCAGAATTCCCCAAACTACCAAGAAGTTCTATTCAGATTTTTCTAACCATAAATGAGCCTGTTTAGTGTTTCCCATGACCATATATCAAGATATTTTCAGTTTCAGGCTGGACTAGTACACAAAAGGACTTAAAAGCCACAAAGGAAAATCTGCCACCCCTTATGGCACTAGAGTTTTCAGATAAAATTTCTATAAAATGCTAGTTTGTATCTTAATGAACGTTAGACTGTTCTAATTATTTGGAGTCACATTACTATTTATCTTGTGGTAACGAAAGATTCCATTCAGATACAGTTTTTTTTCAGGGTACACCAGAAATTCTTAGCAGTGTTTCAGCCTTTAAGGAGAGGGAAGGGAGATTACTTTTTCCTTTTTGTACTATTTAAAGATATCCATGTATTACTTTTATAAAGTTTAAAAATGTACAATACTCATGTAAAGAAGTGAAAAATGCTTTGGGAGGCTGAGGTGGGCGGATCACTTGAGGCCAGGAGTTTGAGACCAGCCTGGCCAACATGGTAAAACCCTGTTTCTACTAAAAAAAAAAAAAAATACAGAAATTAGCTGCGCGTGGTGGCACATGCCTATAATCCCAGCTACTCGAGAGGCTTGAGGCATGAGAATCACTTGAACCTGGGAGATGGAGGTTGCAGTGAGATGAGATGCCCCTGCACTCCATTGAGCTACAGAGTGAGACTCTGTAAAAAAAAAAAAAAAAAAAAAAAAAAAAAAAGTGAAAAATGAGAATTGTAAATTCATCTTCAGGCGATTCAAGAATATGTTGTGATGAAGGATTTTCCAGGCAGCCTATATCTACAAGTTCAGACTAGTCTGAGAAGTAAGAATTAGAGCTGCCGGGCTACCATCAAGCATCCAATTTTCTGAGTAATCAACTTGGCAAGAAAGTAAAAATGAAGGGGTGCTCATGGTGAAAGTGACGAGGGAAATCAGCACTTTCACATTCAAAAGAATGTATGTCAGATATTCTAAAAGTTAAAATCACAGCTAACAAGAATATCCTTAATGATTTATTCCCTCAATAAATCACTTTGTTCTTGTGAAACAAATGCTGCAATGTACTTTCTTTTTAAATCTATGTCTCTGTCTCCTTTTGGCTGAATATTTTAACTCAGTTTTGCTCTTACTGCCTTAGTTTTCTAAATGCACATTTGAATCATTGTTCAATGGCAAAAGTCATATTACAAAGTGTTCCACGTCTGTGGCAAGGCTAAGGACCACAATTCCTGGGAACTGGAGTTGCACTTTAATCCCTCAAATTAGGGAGGAAAGGCACTGCTTACCCTGACATGAGAAAATGCAAAGTTATGATGTGGAAATAATCTTCGGGCACTTACTGAAGGGTTTATCAAGTGAGTAATTTGTAAAAGCTATACACATAGTATTAATGTTAGTTGAGTTTACCTCTGTACCAGGCCCTGTGCTAAGTAGTTGTATTAGTCAGGGTTCTCCAGAAAAACAGAACCAGTAGGATATGCATTTATCTATCTATATAAATATATATGTGTTAGTTATATAGATACATGGGGATTAATTATGAGGGATTGGCTCAAGAGATCATGGAGGTTGAGAAATCCCACTACTTGTTGTCTGCAAGATGGAGTCCAAAGAAAGCCAGCGTTGTACTTCCAGTCCAAGTCCAAAGGCCTGGAAAACAGGGGAGCCAATGTGTAACTCCCATCTAAGTCTGAAGGCCTGAGAATCAGTAGCTCTGATGTCCAAGGGCAGGAGCAGATGAATATACCAGCTCAAGAAGAGAGAATGAAATCACCCCTCATCCAACTTTTGTTCTTTTTGAGGACTCAACAGATTGGATGATGCCTACACATATTGGTGAAGGTGATCTTCTTTACTTAGTCTGTTGATTTAGATGCTAATGTCTTCTGAAAATACCTTCATAGACACACCCAAATATAATGTTTTACCAGCTATCTGGGCATCCCTTATCCCAGACAAGTTGACACATAACATTGACCATGAGAGTGCTTTAGCTGCATTATTTCCTTTCATCTTTACAAGTGATGTGATGGGAGGTTTTTATTTTCCTTATTTTATAGATGAGTTGAGAATCCCAGAGGAATAGTAACTTGTTTTAAGGTCACGTAATTAGCAAATGGCCAACCTCCAGGGTCTTAAAATACATAAAGACCCAAGCAAAAAACATTTTAATTTCTACCAAAGTTATTCATGCCCTTCCTCTTCCTACATCCCTTCTCTCTCATTCTTGTATTCTCCCAAAGTAAACTCCTTATTGTTCCTACATCTTTATTTTTTAGAGGACAAAACTCTTTAATTTCCCTTGTCTTTTCTCTCATATTTTCTGACTATCTTTTAGCTCTATATTCTGGGGGTTTAAAAAATTGTGTTCACTAATTATATTGGATATTTCTGCTGAGTTATTAAAATGTAACTAACCAAACTTAATCTTTCAGATGTATGGCAGACAGACTCTAAGTTGATCACTCCGTGATACTGCCTCCTGATGTTCATGCCTCTAAATGTGGACAGGCTGTCATTTGCTTCAAAACAACAGATAGGAAGCCACTTCTATGATTATAATATGTCATGTAATATTTCATCTTGCTGGTTGACTTCCTCTACAAACTTTCCTTACTGGCTTGATGAAGTAAGTGGTACTGTTGGGGAAGCTCTCTTTGGAAGGAACTGTAGAGAGACTTAGTAACAGTGAACAGCCTCTAACTGATGAAAACAGGCTCTAGAGGATGGAAGGTGGCCTTAGTCAAGTCAGCAAAGAGTCAGAGCTCTTAGTCCTACAACCAAAAGGAAATTAATTCTGCAACAACCCCAGTGAGCCCAAAAGTAGACTCTCCCCCAGTGTGTGTATGTATGTATGTATGTATGTGTGTATGTGTGTGTGTGTATTGAGGCCTGGTCTCACTCTGTAACCCAGGCTGGAGTGCAGTGGTGCAATCTTGGCTCACTGCAACCTCCACCTCTGGGGTTCAAGCAATTCACCTGCCTTAGCCTCCCGAGTAGCTGGGATTACAGGCACGTGCCACCACGTCCGGCTAAATTTTTGTATTTTTAGTAAAGACAAGGTTTCACCATGTTGGCCAGGCTGGTCTCAAACTCCTAACTCAAGTGATCCACCTGCCTCAGCCTCCCCAGTTTAGACTCCTGATGAATATGTGGCCCAGTCAACACCTTGACTGCAACCTTGTGAAACCCTAAACAGAAGGCTCAATTGAGCTGTGGCCAGACTCCCAACGTGCAGAAACTGTTACACAACAGATAGGTATTGTTATAAACTGCCATGTTCATGGTAATTTGTTATGCATTGTTATGCAATGATGGATAACTAATACAAGAAGGTTTTGTTCTTTTTTCATAATATCCTGTTCATGTTTTATGGCTCATCTTTTAAAAAGCATATACATTTGAATATTTCTTAAAAGTTTTCTTCTTTTTCCTGAATTATCTCTATTTCTTCCAGTGTCATTTTTTATTTATGTTATTGATTTTCTTTACTGCTGCTAGTTCAATACCTGGTAACCATTGCTTATGCACTTGTTTTAAGTCAGAAAGACTGCATATATTTGAGTTTTCTCTGCTCTTGTTTAAGATTTCCTACCTCAAAATCTCTCTTCTCAGTATGAATTCTGTCTAGAAACTCTGTGTGGTGTTGACTAATAGCATTTGTGTTCAGGTAAATGTGTAAGAAGTCAGTTGTTAGGCTACAGAGGTTCACATGTTAGAAAGAGAGAGTTTTCATTTTGAGTCACTAAGCTAAAAAGTTTAATTATCTTCAAATGTTTTATTCAGTCTTTAGGGGAAAATGCTAACAGACTTTGCTTTAGATGCAGGATTTGGGGAGGAGGATGAAAGTGTAACTTCTCACTTCCATCCTGCAGGAGTTACAACAGGGCATTTCTTGTCATCTATACTGCTGCCTCCTCATAATTATGTCTGGGCTGTGGACCTCTTTGGTCATTTCATCTATCTGTAAGTTTTTGTCCATCTTCGGTTTTCCAGAAATGTTGTGAAGTTTTTCTGTCCATTATAACGACTCCTCCTGTTCTCTTGGCTCTCCTTTTTGTACATTTGTTTCAGAGGGGATAATAGTCAGCAAGGGGTGACTTAAACAACAGAAATTTATTTTCTCACAGTTCTGGCGTCTATAAGTCCAAGAACAAGGTGCTGCAGGGTTGGTTTTTGGTAAGCCCTCCCTCTTTGGATTGCAAACAGTCACCTTCTCACTGTGTCCTCATGTGGACTTTCCTTTGTGTACATGTGCTCTTTGTGTCTCATCCTTTTCTTATAAGGACACTAATCTTACTATATTTATGGTTCCACTCTCATGACCTCATTTAATCTTAATTACCTCCTTTAAGGCCCTATCTCCAAATATAGTCATCTTGAGAGTTGAGACTTCAATGATTTTTGGGGAGACACAGTTCAGTCCACAATAATGAAGAATCTCAAGGAGTTTACCCACTGACACTGAACTAAAAGGCAATCAACCCCTTTGTTTAAGAACACTGTGTTGTGTTGCTGAATTGTTTTGAAGTCTGGAACTCTTTGGATAACTGCTAGAATCCTTAGAAGAGTAGAGCTATTTAAAAGGAGCAAAACAACAACAAAAAGCACATGAGCCACAAAAAATGCATGACTGGCAGAGCTGCTGTCTTACTTCAACTTGGGACATAAAAACAGAAGAGGAAAATGACCAGATCAAAGAAAGTGAAGGCATGTGGCCTTCCTGGAAAACAGTGTGGGCAGCAGGGTGGGCAAGAGCAGCTCAAAGATTTTCTGGGTGTAGGCTGGGGAAGTGGGAGCCAGGAGCCAGCAGCTGGAAAAGGCAGCAGGTGCTGGAAAATCTTGATATTTTCTGTGAGCCAGAAGAAGGGATTTGGAAGTGCTGCATTCCAGGGAGCCAGCTGGTGGAGCCAAGTCACAAATTTCTGCTCTTTTCTTTCTGAGGATGACCCTCTGTGGCTCTTGGCTGGTAGCCTGAGAAACACCTGTTGCAGTTATTAGGGCCCGGGGACTTGTTTGGGTTGCTTAAGCTTAGAGACTAGATAGTTACCATCAATAAAAATAAACTTATCTTGGCCAATGGAAGACTCCATTAGCTGACATCTTTTAGTAAAACTCATTTCCCTCCACAAAAGAGTCTGCTGTTCAGGTACATATTCCAAATCATGCCTCTAATATGAAATAATGTCTTTTAAAGCAATAAACAAATTAAATAAAACACATTAAGGGGATAAGATGCTCTGGACTATAAAAATAGCTGATTGTTTTCACTTATTTCCTAGCAACACTCTTGTTTTTCCATTTCAAGCTTAGTGTTCACAAGTAGCTTCAAATTATGATGTTTTCTCTCTTATATAAATGCATTAATTCACAACACCAATTTATCTTTAATTGATCATAGTTGGGTATTGCTAGAATCCTAGAATGCTTTTCAAGGGGATCAAGTTTCAGTTTTTACAGTTTAAAATCATAGCTAATTTTGTATATAGAAAGAAGCAAAGGAGGCTATCCAAATTCTTTTAATAAGTTGGAATTTTGTTGTAAATATTTCTTAAAATATTTGTGTAACCTCTTAGAATTTTCAAATAGCCTTATTTTTACAGGGATCAGTAAATATAAAGATATTTTGGGTATTTTATCTTCACAAATTTCTAAATGTTTTTACTTTTCTGCCCTTATAACTCATCTGGCACTTTAATAAAATCAGAATATATAATTTTTCTATTTGGGGTGCATATCCTAACTCTCCAGTGATATAGTTAGTTCTTTGAGGGAACAGGTTATACCAATTGAGCTTGGAACTCAATAATCAATGTTTGTTAAGCACCAGTACATGCTACATTCTGTGCTTGGTACGTGAGGCACAATGACACGTCATTTGTGGTTTGCATCAGTCATTCACAGCCGGAGTGGAAAGATAAACACAAAGAAAGATAATTTCAGTATAATACAAATCTCAAGATGGATGCAAAGGTCAGCAGTTCTCAAATCTTTGGGTCTCAGTACCTTCTTACATTCTTAAAAATTATTGAGAACCCCATAGAGCTTTTGTTTGTATGAGTTATAATTGTCAATCTATCAATCAGAAATTAAAACTGAGAAATTAAAATGTTTATTGATTAAAAATAATAAACCCATTGTCCATTAATAGAAGAAACATATTTTATGAAAAATAACTACATTTTCCAAAACCAAAAGATTATTGGTAAGAATAACATTATTTTACATTTTGGGAAACCTTTTTATTATTTAGATTAATAAAAAACAATTTAAGATTTAGATTAATTAAAAAAAACAGTTGAATTCCCATATCTGTGTCTGCATTCAGTCCATTGCATTCCATTGCAATTGTTTTAAGTAGATGAAGAAATTCTGGCATCATGCCAATAGAAGATTGCCTAAGTGAGAAATATTTTAATAGCCATTTCAGATAATTGCATATATTCTTCTTTGATAATACATAAAAATTCAATAGTAGTAGTTTCCTTCATGTCTTTTGTTTTTTATAGTTACCTTGTGTGTGTGTGCATGTGTGTGTGTGTGTGGTTAGAACATTTAAGATCTACTTTTTCAGCAAATTTCAAGTGTGCAGTATTGCATACTTAAAATTATTAACTATTATTATTATAACAATTATTAAATACAATCATCATGCTGTGCATTAGGACTCCAGAACTTTCTCATCTTATTACTGAAAGTTTGTACCCTTTGACCAACATCTCCCGTTTTAGGATTCCATATATAAGTGAGATCATGTAGTATGTATCTTTTTGTGTCTGGCTTATTTCACTCACCATAATGTCCTCTAGATTCATCCATGCTGTGCAAATGACAGAATTTTCTTCTTATTAAAGGCTGAATAGTATTCCATTGTGTATATATACCACATTTTCTTTGTCTATTCATTCACTGATGGACACTTAGGTTGATTCCATATCACGGCTGTTTAGAATAATACTGCAATGAACAAGGGAGTGCAGATGTCTCTTCAATATACTGATTTCATTTCCATTTGACAAATAACCACAAGTGGGATTGCCAGATCATATGGTAGCTCTATTTTTAATTTTTTGAGGAACTTCCATATGTTTTTCATAATGGCTGTGCTAATTTACATTCTCACCAACACTGTAAGCGTTCTCCATTGTCTACATTCTTTTTAACACTTGCTAGCTTAACAAATGTGAGGTGATATCTTGCTGTGGCTTTGATTTGCATTTCCTTGATGATTAGTGATATTGAGCATTTTTCCATATATCTGTTGTTGGCTATTTGTATGCCTTCTTTGAAAAAATGTCTATTCAAGTCTTTTGCCTATTTTCTAATTAGGTTAATTCTTTTTTATTTTTTTCTATTTTGTTGTACAACAAGTAGTAGTTTATCAAAGGTTACTTATAATATAAAATCTAAAACTGTATTAGTGAACTTTCTGTACTCTTACAATGAATTCTGTTAATCTATTTTGCATTTTGAATTGCTCTTTTTCCCATGTATGATTTTATGACACAGTCTTTTAGAAAATACAGTTTCACTGAATTACACAGAATTTTCAAATATTGACACATTTTATTATGCAACATTTTTGAAAACCACATTCATCAATATTGTTGCTGTAATCTCATCACAGATTAGAATTGTCTTTAAATTCGTTGTGGCAGATACATGTCTACCAAAATTCTAGTTTTCCCTTGAAAGCTCAAATTTTATAATTGGCAACAAATACTGCCAATAGTTTTTTTTTTTTTGAAGTGAGAATTTTCCTTGAAATGTCTGCCAAGTACCCAAGTCTGAATAACCATAGTGTGTCTCTCAATTATTCTTTCGAGTAAAAATGGTGTTCCATGAGAAAAAAATAACTAGTTCTGCTTTCAACTCAGACATCATGCACATCTTTAAGACAATATCAAACTTCAGTATGCAGCAGGAATGTTTTATGTTATATCCTATTTAGGTACTCAGAATATTAAAAGATGTATACTTGAGGGCCAAAATTTAATAAAATTAATATTTTTCATTGTGGGTACATCATGATGATTACTACAGTAACTATTGGTTCATTTTGGTGCCACTGCCTTGACTCCTGCTGGGCACCAGCAGTTTCGCCCACTGATGCTTCAGAATCATGAGAGCAAATGTCAACACAGTGAAAAAGGCAAATGTTGTGTTAGCATTTGTGTGAAGATAGTTTTATCCTGGTGGACCCAATGAAACTCTCTTGGAGACTTTGAGAACTGCCACTCTAGGAAAACAACGGAGAGGCACTTAGCTGGGCCTGGTTGGAGAAAGGATGAGGGGGCGGGAGGAGAGGGCTGAGAGACTGGCTGGTGGACGCATAGTTCTCCAGAAGATCTCAGAGGCTGAGGAGGGGTTATTCAGTGGAAGAAGGCCAAGGATGGTGTGTCGAAAGTGGATTGCTTTTTATATCATTATATAATAATTTTCCACAGATGGAATGGCTTAAACCTATTTATTGATCTCACAGTTGGATAGGTCTTAAGTCCGGGCATGACGTAGCTAGGTTCTCTACTTAGGGTCTCACAAAGCTGAAATTAAGGTGTCCCCTTCGCCGTGTTCTCAGCTGAGGCTCGGGATCCTTTTCCAAGCTCATGTGGTTGTTGGAAGAATATAATATGATGTGGTTATAGGACTAAGGTCCCTCTTTTCTGGCTAGCTGTCAGCCAGGAGCTGTTCTCTGCTGCTAGAAACTGCCCGTGATCTCCTGCTATGTGGCTGTCTCCAAAACATGGCAGTTTGTTTCTTTAAAACCAGAAGGTGAATCGTTTTCCCTACAATCTCCCCCTTTAGAAAGGGGCACAATCCCTTTTCAGGGGTCACCTGATTAGGTCAGACCCACCCAGGATAATCTCTTTTTCAAGTATATCAAAGTCAGCTTATTTGGGATCTTCACCTTTTTCATGTAATGAAGCCTAATCATGGAATGAAATTCATCATATTTACTACCCCTCCCACGTTGAAGGTGGATGGCGTTATACGGGCTGTGTATACCACAGGGCGAGAATCTTGCAGGAGTCTCTCTGAATTCTACCACCGAAGGACACAAGGACAGTTCAGGCAGAGACAGAAACTAGGAGGAAATCAAAGCCTCGTTGGGGGCATATTTTCAGTAGGAACTAAGGGTGGAGTGGGGAGGGAATAGACCAGAAAGGGGAGAGGAAAATTGCCCACTTCGAAATTGTCCTGCTGGCTGTTCCCTGAGCTGCCACACCAGACCGCCCCCCCCAAACAAATCCTCCACCTTACCCCACTGGTGCTGGCAAGCACTCTAAGGATGGCTCAGAGGAGAGGTAAGCTGTTTTTCAAATTTCGTGGAGGAACTTTCTGGAACTGTTTCAAAAGAAAGCGTCAGCTGTCATGGATTACTTAATTTGGAAAAGAGAAAGGTCTTCCCGACCTCTGGCAACAAACTGGGATTCGACACGTACTCCGTCTGTGGGAGGGATCCTTTCAGCTTTCATTCTGCAGAGGCTCTGTCTCTGCCCGAGAGAGTGTGAGGATCTTCGCCCGCCCACTCTCCAGCCTCCCCAGCCCCACTTGATCTTCCCACAGGGCCACCAGAAGCCTGCCCGTCAAGATGTTGCTTTTTATCAAGTTACTCGTCTGCTCAGAAGTCTGGGAAGCCTCCTGAAAGTCGCTCAGGTCAAACCAGAATTTCTGATGGTGGATTCTGAGGCCTCTGATCAGACAGGCCCTTTGTTCCTAGCCCATCTTCCTCATTTTTTCAGGCACTGTTTTGTTCATCACAAAGTACCAAGTGGGACTGTTGTGTTAACAACCAAAAAAAAAGTTTCAAAAGTTATCTCATCTTCTCTGTGAAATCATAGCCCTCTTCTCCTTCAAAACACTTCTGTATCATATTTTAGATGGCCTTTCCAGAATAGTTCAATTTAGCACGAGTTATTTGTAGACATTAGAAAGGAATGCAGAGAGCAAGCAAGAAACAACCGACTGAAAAAACACAGCAAGGCCATTAAAAAAGTGATTTTTTTTTTTTGGAATGCCCTCTGACCTTGATCATAAATGTAAATGGAGCCACATCCAAATACTCCTCCATTTTAGGTTGAATTATTTTCTCTCCATCTCTTCAATGTCTTCTTTTCTTCCTCTTTCCCTCCTTCCTCCCTCCCTTCTTTCATTTCAACATGTACTAATGGCGACTGGCATTGGTATAGAGATGAATATAACAGAGTCTCTCCCAATAAGAAGGATAGTTTCCATGGGGGAAGACACAAAGAAATGTCACAATTCAGTGTGATGCAGTGGAGCAAGTGGCTACTTCTTCCTTAAGGGGTGTTGTGGTCAGCAAAGGCTCCATAGGGGATTCAACCTTTTCAGCTGGACCTGGAAGAATTAGTATTTTCCAGGGGGACTAGTGGAAAGGTTTTCCAGGAAAGGAAATCGTATGTATAGAGCATGAAACTGCAGCAGTGACAGGGAATTATCCATTCAAGTCTAATTAGTCATATCTAGTTACCTAGGTAGTGATTTATATATCATTAGATTCTAGAAAGGATTTAAGGTCATTTATAAAATATGTGCACTATAATAAGATAAACCAAAATGAAAAAAAATAAGTGGGTAAGAAAATCAGGACAGAGAAAAATTAAGAATAGGTAAAATAAGATGATGGCAGGACTGAATTTATACAAAACACATGCTGTACAATTCTGTCTTTGCCAGAGGAAGGCCATCAATTTGGATCTAAGCCTTTTGGTGTCAGCTCAGCAAGAGAGAGATGCAATCAGTAACATTCAGTGTCCACGTGATCAGATGAGCCAGTTGTTCAGGAGCAGCACTACTATTCCCGGTGTTGACAACAAAGATTAATTTCTCCCACGGGCCTGTACAAAGAGGACAGTCAGTCATTGTGTGAACGATGCCCTCAGCAGCATCTTTAGAGCAATGCAGGGTAGAGGGGTCATAAAAAACGATTTCTTATAATGCCTTCAGTGTAGGCTGATGACATGTATCCAAGGTACCAGTGAATAAAAATATTTCTACGCTTCTCAAGGTTAAACTTCTGTTAAACCTTTTTACTGTTTTTGTTGTTTTTTTTTTAATCCAAGGAAGGGGTTGAGTTACATGAACTTTAACATTTTTTTCCAGGCCAAAATTCTTGCAGTGATGTCACATGGTACAGGCTAGATTGTCCATTGATCTGGGTGCTAGTTGGTTTTATAATCTTCTAATTGGGCTCTTTAAAAATTTATTTTTAAATTTTTAATTATTATGAATACATAGTAATTGTACATATTTATGGGGGTACCACTGATACAAGCATACAATGTGTAATGATCAAATCAAAGTAATTGGTATATCTAAGACCCCAAGCATTTTCTTTGTGTTACAAACATTTCAAGTCCATTCTTTTAGTTATTTTGAAAAATACAGTAAATTGTTGTCAACTATAATCTTCCTATTGTACTAACAAACACTAGATCTTATTTCCTCTATCTATCTGTGTTTTTGTACCCATTAATCATTCCTTCTTTGTTCCCTTGGCCTCCCCACTACCATTCCCAGCTTCTGGTAACTATCGTTCTACTCTCTATTTCCATGATTCAATTTTTTTTTTTTTTTTTTTTTTTTTAGCTCCCACGTTTTGAGTGAGAACGTGTGTTGTTTGTCTTTCTGTGCCTGGCTTATTTCACCTAACATAATGTCCTCCAATTCCATTCATGTTGTTCCAATGACAGAATTTCATTTTTTTATGGCTGAACAATATTCCATGGTGTACATGTACCATATTTTCTTTATCTATTCATCCATTGACAGACCATTTAGGTTGATCCCGTATCTTGGCTATTGTGCATACTGTTGCAATAAACACAGGAGTGCAGATATATCTTTGCTGTACTAATTTCCTGTTTTGTGTATATACCCAGCAATGTGATTGCTGGATCATATGGTAGTTCTATTTTTAGTTTTTTAGGGAACCTCCTGTTTTTCATAGTGGCTGTACTAATTTAAATTCCTACCAACAGTCTACGAAGGTTTCCCTTTCTCCACATCGTTGCCAGCATCCATTATTGCCTGTCTTTTTGATAAAAGCCATTTAAACTGGAGTGAGATGATCTCTCATTGTGGTTTTGATTTGCGTTTCTCTGATGATCAGTAATGTTGAACATTTTTTTTCATCTATCATTGGGCTCTTGAATTAATGCTTATAATTATCTTATCAACTTACCTATCAGTTATTTTACAATTTTTTGCTCTATTTGCTCCATTGCAATGGAGACAGGGGAGTCCATGACAACATATTGTTCTGAGGCTTGACCTACAGTGTGTGTCCAGCTGATGAGGCTGGCTTATTCCTTAATAAAGTATTATAGGTTCTAATACCTTTAATCTCTCCTGATCTTATTGTCCTTGGAAACATTGCCTGATACATTAATTCTTTCATTAGAAACCATTGCAACTTTAATTTTCATATCCTTCAAATTCAACACCATTTAAGGTATATCTAAAAAAATAGAAATTCTAGAATATTTCAGATTCTTAGAAAAGAAAATAATAAAAACCTTAGTCATTTTCAAATATGATGTTTCATTTAACTGTAAATTTAAAAGGTTTTAATTGTAAGATAAATATAGCTATTATTAATTTCAGTGTATTAATTCTGCAACATTAACAACTCAGATTTATAGTATAATTTCTTTCCAAATGTATAAATCTATTCTTTTTTTATAAGTCTAGATTTTTTTTAAATAAATATTATATACTAACCAAAATAATACTTAGATATAAATATGTCAACTTCAAGTTAATATACATGCAGGACTATTCATGAGATAGCCAAATAAAGTATTTTAGAAATGCATCAAAACAAAATAATACAATAGAAAGCTCTGTTATAGGTTTCATTGGGTAGCAGTTTAAGCTATAATCTTAGCTGTACAAAGGGCCAAAGATGGGCTATTTATAAAATGATTACAAAATGATGTATAACAAACCTATTTCTCCATGGGAGTTCAGCTGAGGGGAAATGCTTCTCTTCTGTGAGGGCCTCAGCATTCCAACCAAAGATTTTCCAAAAGAAATAGACTCTTTCTTTCTTTCTTTCTTTCTTTTCTTTCTCTCTCTCTTTCTTTCCTTCCTTCCCTCTCTCTCTCTCCTTCCTCTTTCTTTCTTTCTTTCTTTCTTTCTTTCTTTCTTTCTTTCTTTCTTTCTTTCTTTCTTTCTTTCCTTCTTTCTTTCTCTTCCTTCCTTCCTTCCTTTCTTTTTCTTTTTCTTTCTTTCTTTTTCTTTCTTTCTTTTTCTTTCTTTCTCTCTTTCTTCCTTCCTTTCTTCCTCTTTCCTTCCCTCCCTCCCTCCCTCCCTTCCTTCTTTTTTTTGTGTATGTGGGGGCACAGTCTCACTCTTCTGCCCAGGCTGGTGTGCAGTGGAGCGATCACAGTTCACTGCAGCTTTGATCTCCTAGGCTCAAGTGATCCTCTCACCTCAGCATCCCAATTAGCTAAGATTACAGGTGCATGCCACCATGCCCCACTAATTAAAAAAAATTTTTTATAGAGATTGTTTTGCTATGTTGCCTAATGCCCAACTCCTGGCCTTCCAAAATGCTAGGATTACAGGCCTGAGCCACTGCGCCTGGCCAAGATGAATAATTCTTAATTGTTCCTATTCCTAAGACCTATCCCAACCTACTTGATGAATTAGTATAAAACTGAAAAAAAAAAAACAAATATCCTTCTGAAAATAAACAATAAAAGGCAAAAAAGAAAGTTATGAATGATGTAATATAAAAAATAATCAAGAAGATTGTTCATTGAAGAGTGGAAATAAATGAAGGCCAACCAAATGAGAGAAGCAGAGGCTATTTATTCAGAGCTTGCTATAGCAAGGGAGTCAGCCACCATCATTTGCATTTGGCAGAGACTCCAAGGCAGGCAGAGGAGTGCGAAAGCTTCATGGCAGAGAACGGTGAATGCTTCAGGTGTTTGTGCCCCAACTGCCGGCTGTTGGCCCGGGGAGGCTGGAGGCAGCTATTGAGTAGGGGGTGTCCTATGTGATTGGTTAGGGGCACATATATGGCTTTTTCTGGTTGGTCTTAAATTAAAAATAGGGATAAGAATTAAGGAAGCTGCCAGTTATTAATCAAGTCCTGGCCATTCTGGGCCAACAGAAGTTATTGTTTAGCTCCCTGGATAGTTACTAGAGATAGTAATCTGGCTTTCCGCTAGCTGGGCTGACAGCAGGCTGGCTTCATGGGCTGCGTATTGTAGATAAGGGGGCTGGTTTCCTGGGCACATTGCTGCAGCTTTTGGATCAGAGTTCTATTTTTATCTATGGTCTAGCCATTGTCTATTTGTATAGGCTTTTAGAGACCAAAAAAGCCTTATAATGTACTTCTGTCTCCCTGAACTTCAGGATATGGCCTTCTAGCTCTGCAGAGATGATTATATCCTAGGAAAAAAACTTGCACAATAAAATTAAAACAAAAATTATGCTTATTCACTCATTTACCATGGGAATTGTTTCTTTCCAGTAGCGAAGACAGTCTAGGGAGCCCAAATAGAAACTAGAAATTATCTTGCTCTCAAATGATGGTGGAGGTGGTGGAGGAGGGATGGGTATAAGATCATTTTAATTTGTTCTGTCTCCACCTCTGCTTGCAGAATATCTCAGCTATGGTGTGGTTTGTATAGTTTTAAAAGGCTTCTCAGATGGTTCCTGAATATGCTTTGGGCTATTGGTCTCCTCCACCCCCACACCCATGTCATGCCCAGGACAGGAAGGAGCTCTCTCTGTCTGATGATGGGCACTCTCATCCTCAAGCTCTCTTGGAGCTACCCCTCTCATTTTCCCAAAAGTTGACAGGATAACACTTAGAAAATTTTCAGAGTGCCTCAGTTTCCTTCTTACATACAGAGAAGGGGAGGGTGAAGGAGATTTAGTTTTTTACGATACGAATACAAAGAAGAAAAATAGGATAACATCCAGATTCTTAGGATTTTGCAGCAAAGCGATTGGCTTGAGAGGCAGGCATTGTGGAAAGAGAAAGGCATATTGAAGTGCCTTTGGATCCTCGTGTAGTGCATCCGCAACCAAACCTGCAGACTTATGCTCACAACATTTGCCCTACACCTTAACCCCAGTGTCCTGGGAAGAAGAGCCAGGGGCAGGAAGACAGAGGTGGGGCATTTTTGTCCAAGAAATAGTAAAAATAACCAAATGGACTGTTTAAATCACAATCTTTTCCATTATTTCAGTGATTCCACTGTAAGATGTGAATTTTCCAGTAAGAACCAACACACACACACACACACACACACAAAACCAAAAAACAATCATCAAACAACGCTGATTTTATGTATAGTACACCATTACATTTTCTTTATTATAGCCTCTCTCTCTCTTTTTTTAAACAAATGATTTTGATAACCCACTAAGCTAAGGGTCATGACCCAACTAATGGGTCATGCTCCTCGGTTTGATAATACTGATTAAATTTCAGCTTGCTGTAAGCTATAATTCACATTTGACATTTAGATAATTTTTTTTCTGTTAACTACCATGTAGGAGCTGAGAGGCAATCCTAAATAAATACAGGGAAAAAATGAAGAACAGGAAAGAAAATTGACATTTATAACACAACCAAGTTATAATGTGAATCAAATTTTAAGACCTCATCTCTCAGCCTTCCTCTTTTCGGTAATTCAATGCTCCTCTTTTTCCCCTGAGACCGACTTCCTTCCCTCTTTCCTTCCTACCTTCCTTCCTTCTTTCCTTCCTTCCTTCCTTCTTTCCTTTCTTCTTTCCTTCTTTCCTTCCTTCCTTCCTTCCTTTCTTCTTTCCTTCTTTCCTTTCTTCCTTCCTTTTTTTCTTCATCGTAGAATGTTTTGAACTACTCTTATGTAACAACACTGTACAGGGCCTTAAAGATACAATGGTGAACAAGACAAAGAGCAACTCTCATGGTGCTTATAGTGTCTTAAATCAATATTTGCACCACTCATGATGGCTTTAGGAAAAACAAAGCCCCCAGATGGTGTTATTCTCTTTTCAAACACACTTATTCAAGATCATGATTTTAACTTTTCCATCAGAATTTTAGAGAAAACAGTATGGATAGAAAAAAGCACCATCATGGCGTCAGAAGCCGGTACCAGCCTGGCCAATGAATTCAGCGTGACTTTCCTGATGAGGAGAAGGAGCACCATCTATGTTTATTGAACATAATCTATGTGCATTATTTCATGAGCTTTTACAATGGCCCAGTGAAATAGGCATGATTAATTGTGCTATAACTTGCTAAGGTCACATAGCTGGTAAAAAGCAAAGTCAGGATTGAATGCAGGACTGTTTCTGGTTCACAACCATCCATGTGCTTTCCACTGTCATGCTGCATGCAGGATTGAACTATTGGATGAGGCTGGTGAGACTCAAAGTATTTAAACTCCAGTATGGGTAGGCTATATCTGTCTGTCATCTATCTATCTATCTATCTATCTATCTATCTATCTATGCGTCTATTTATCCTCTATTAGGATAAATATTTATCAATATAAACACCGATATTTATGTATTTTTCCATCTATCTTTCCCAAGAAATATAATTTACAGTGCAGATCATTCATCAAAACATTCTAGTAATTATGAAGTCATTTGTTAATTTCTAGAAATTGTGGATCTGATTTTCTGGCCATTTCCATAAAATGAAAACATTTTTCATTAAAGCCATTTTTCCTGAGCTCTGATCATATATTTGACAAATCATTATTTAAATATGTATTTTCATGAGATACACAAAAAACATTAAACTATCCTTAAATACTGAATGGCCATTGCTAGATAGATGACATCTTTATCTGAACCATGATCTGAAATCAACTCTTTTAAAAATGTCCTCAGAGTATTGTGGTCTTAGTAAGTAGAAATTTCTCCTATCATCAATGATAGTGTTTACAGTATTGAATCTTCTTTCAACTTCTGCTGAGCCAACATCAATCACATTAAGTAATTTCTAGCCTTCAATATAGTGTCTGAGAATTTTATATATTCTGCATCTCTTTTGTGGAGTATGTAAAAAACTTATTTAAAGGTATGTTATATTTAGAATTCAGTAATTTGAAAAAAATTAAAAATTCTTTATCTGCTTACTTTTGTTATCAAATGATAGAATATTTTATGTAATTTACTCTCTACACCTAATTGTTTTACTCTTGTGATTGATATTTTAGACGATTTATTGTGCTTTATCTTAAAAATAGAATCTCTAATTTCCCTTAAAAGTTTCCTTTTTTAGATTTATGTGCTCAATCTATTTTATTAATTGTAGAATTAATATCACCTTTAATAATCAAAACATATCTTTGAAGCTAAAAACATTGAAATCTCTAATAGAACATCATTTATTAAAACCATATTTCTAAAAACATAATTTTCCAAATGTCTGTAAATATTCTACATCTTTTCCTACCATTCACTCATTCATTCATTCACTCGCTCATTGTAGGATGTATTGAACTCCTCTTATATATGAGACACTGTCCCAGACCTTAAGGATAAATTGTAACTAAGACACACAAGGAGAGACTCTTATGAAGCATATATTCTATTAAATCAATATTTGCACCCACCTTGATAGCTTTAGGATAAAATACCTATTTTTTTAAGTAGGCCTTTTCACAATAACTGTTAAGATGAAAATACTACACTCAGTACAATTTCCAGATTACTTTTGTAGTCCTAACATGAGAGAGTCATCAACAGATCCAAATAATCTTCCTGTGTTTATTATTTCAAATCTTAGCTCTCATATTATTTAATTCTATGTGATGTTTAATTCACTTTTTAAACACAGGATTTAAAAAGATTTACTTGATTACACCTTTTATTGCATCATTACAGATAATGAACTGCCAAACTAGAACAACCGGAATTTTTGTAAAATTGAAACTCCAGACTTTCTTCACTGGCCATCTCCACAAAATTCAATAAAGTTCCCATAAAATGAAAACATTGTTCGTTAAAGCCATTTTTCCTGAGCTCTGATCATATATTTGATAAATCATTATTTAAATATATATTTTCCACCTTTGTGAGATACACAAAAAACATTAAACTATCCTCAAATACTGAATTTCATGTTTCAATTAAAATATTAAAACTATTAAATATGAAAGTCAAAACAGCTGATAATGTAAAATTTTTTTCTTATTTCAGTGTGTGTGTGTATATATATATGTATACACACATACTGAAACTTCAAAAAATGAATAATATGGATATATCATTGCAAACAATGTATGGCAGATATACGTGTATATACATGTACATATATGTATATATGTAGATATATATAAAAATGTATATATTTATTTATCTACATACACATATATCTGACATAAATCAAGTTTGCAATGCTATACTCAACTTAACCTTTTTCAAAAAGTTCTAAACTGAGCGCAGTGGCTCATACCTGTAATCCTAGCACTTTGGGAGGCCAAAGTGGGAGGAACACTTGAGGCCAGGTGCTCAAGACTGGCCTGGGCAACATAGCAAAATCCTGTCTCCACAAATAAGTAAAGGTAAAAAATTAGCTGGGTGTGGTGGTGAACACATGTAGTCCTAGCTCCTCAGGAGGCTGAGGCAGGAGGATTGCTTGGGCCCAGGAATTTGAGGCTGCAGTGAGCCATCATCACTCCACTGCACACCAGCCTAGGTGATACAGCAAGACTTTATCTCTAAAAAATGAAAAGTTTTAGTAAACCTGAAAATGCAGTATTACTTTTACTGTGGAATAGATAGTATCGTAATTTAAAAATTTTCCTTATTTGATCCATGACCTTTAACAGGCTGTGATTACCATTTTTATATAAATGTATATAGCGAATTCAATTTTTGGTGATATTATTTGCATACAATATTTTTCAATATTAATAATAATCCACTCACATTTATGTTGAGATGATCATTCTCACTTCAGAAATACAAACTATCTGTTGAAATGTCTCCTGACCCTGAAACTGTATGAGAGAAATTTTGAGCTGTTCTAATTTTTGCACCAAAACCACAGATAACCTAGGTTGAGGCTCATTATAAATCTCATTTTTCCTTTGTTCCGTTGCACATTCAGAAGAGCATGCTTAGGAAAGAAAAGTTATAAACATGTCCAAATTTTGTTGCCTCTCCATTCTTAAGGCTTTAAAGAATATTTATTTATATAAATGTATAACTTTAAAAAACTGCACATTTATTATATACACAAGAATTACAAGGCATTGACAATAACCTAAGAAAAAAACCACTTGGAAGCAGCAGCAGCTGTGCAATTGAAGATGATGTTAAATGGATGATTTTTCTGGGGCACAGAGGGTCTTGAAAGAACGTGCCACGAAGGCTGTGTGAAATCGGCTGGTCTGACAGACGTGTTGGGGATGTTTCTCGGATGTTGCTATGTGTGACAGGAGGCTCATTTACAAATGTTTGTTGTGACAGTCTTCAAATATTAGCTTGAACTAATGAATTCATATTAGAATATTTACTATCAGTGACTATTGCTTATTGCAGTTACTTTTACACTACTTACCAACTGATACGGAAAACTCAGTATTTCAACAGCTGCTACCACTATATAGATTTGCACCAGCTGATGTCAGCCCTGGACATCGGCTCTTGGAACCCTGAATTTCCTTGTTAAATTTACCTTCCTGACTATTTCTTTCACACACCTCATAGCCAAACTGAGTTATTTGTTCTGCCCTAAACACTTCACCCGATTTCCTACCTTACAGTCTCTGCTAATGGTTTTCTCTCATTTAGATGTCTTTCTCCCATAGCCTAGGCCTGTTTCCTTCCATTCCATTATAATGTGACTCAAATACTATTTGTCTGTTTCATGACCCCGCACCTACCCACTCATCTATCCAATATCTGATTTTATTTTTGAGTATGAGGTACTGCTAAACATAAGAGAAATACGGTAATGCCACTCTCCTTTATGAAAACCCACCTCAGCTCAATCTAATGAAGTTCCTCCCTCCCTGGAAGGAGAACTCATGGGACTTTATGTATTTTATCTTGACTCATTCTAAAGTTAGTGGTTTGATCTGTAAATTATTGCAGGCAGAGACGTTTTACATTTATTTTTAATCCCTGTACCGCCTCATATATTAACCTGCACAAAATGGTCAGTTAAGGAGTGTCTGTTATGAACTGAATGAAAGAGGATAAAAGCTACGTAAACATGAATTCCTTCAAAACATTTGCTCTTCAAGTGCTCTTTTAATTTATATCCCATTCTATCTAGAAAGTTTTACCTCAGATAACTTAAAAATATTCACTTGCATGTGTTTATATTCATTTCTGTATTTATCATTTCATACATGATTCATTGCATGAATTTCATACGTGATTCATACATGATACATACATTTCATACTGTATTCATTTCATACATGTATCTCTATGTATGGATTCTAAGACCAGTTCATACCCTCAACTCTTCTATCCCTGTGTTAGTCCTGATCACCTTTCTGTAGTTACATCACTGTCTGAGCTCAAGATTCTGCTGAAATAGCTCAGTTTATGTGCTTCCGTGTAAGATATCTCACAGTACTGGGGAAGTGCTCAAATTCTTTAATATATATGTGAAATTTGGAAAATTAAAGACTGAAATAGGCTTTGAAATTATCCATTTGCAGAGGATTTGAAAGCATAACAAGTTGTTCAAAAAAGAATTCTTTTTTAGGGTGTGTATTAGGCTGTTCTTGCATTGCTATAAAGAAATACCTGAGACTGGGTAATTTTAAAGAAAAAAGGCTCAATTGGCCCACAGCTCTGCAGGCTGTACGGGAAGCATGGTACTGGCATCTGCTGGGCTTCTCGTGAAGCCTGTGGGAGCTTTCAATCACGGCAGAGGGTGAAGTGGGAGTAGGCACCTCACATGGTGAAAGCAGGAGCAAGAGAGAATGAGTGAGGGTGGGGGCGAGGTGCCACACACTTTTAAATGACCAGATTTTATGAGAACTCACTATCATGAAAACAGTGCCAAGCCATGAGGGATCCACCCCCATGATCCAAACACCTCCCATCAGGCCCCACCTCCAGCATTGGGGATTACAATTCAACATGAGATTTGGATAGGGACAGATATCCAAATTATATGAGGGTGATAAAAATAAGGTGAGAAAATTTGGGATACATTTTATAAAAATCTTAGAACTAGAGAGTTAGTAAAAGATGGTTGGGGGTCACCTACATATAGGTAGTAACATAAAAAATTAAATAAAATATTCATAAATTGAATTCAGCCAATTAGGGTGTTCTATTTTCATTTTCCCTAATTACTGTTTTTTTGCTTTATTATTTTTAACACATAATAATCATACATATTTATGGGATACAGTGTGATATTTTTATACATGTATACAATGTATAGTGATCAAACCATGGTAATTTGTATATTCATTACCTCACATATTTATCATTTCTTTGTGTTGAGAACATTCAAAATCTGCTCTTCCAGCTATCTGAAAACGTATATTGTTGAAAATATAAATGGTGTTACAGTTAGGGTTTTTGAAACTCTAAAATAATGTAAAACAAGAGTAGGCAAGGAAAACACAAAAGGCCTTTTCTTAAAAGCCATAGTAAGTCATTGTAAATACTGGGAGTTTAGGGTGTCCATGAAGTTGATGCCGATCAGAAGATTAGAAAAGTAATATACTCAGGGATCTGATAAGAAGGTGAGGAAAGTCTAAAAGGAAATGAAAGAAGACATTAGATTTGAGCCAGAGGATGTCACTGGCTACAGCAGAAAGAGCAATTTCAGAGGAGTGATCAACATGGACATCAGGTTGCGTGAAGCATAGAAATGAATCAGAGGAAAACAAATTTTAATAGGGAGTGGAACTAATATGCTGCAGGTGTAGGAATTTGAAATGGAAATGGGAGATGAGATAGAAATATGGTCAAAATTAGCTATATGTAGTGTATAGAACCATATGAGAAAATTTTAAAGTTCTATTCATGACTTCCCCAACTTTAATGGTTGAGACAAAAAATAAATTGGTAAGCAGTTGTCAACTTTGATGGGCATTTCTCTATATACAGAATATTCTTATACTATTCTTTTTTGGGAAAGATAAGCACACACATAATTATATGCTTAGCTTTTATATACTGAGTATATTTTGACTTAAAACTTACTTTGAATTAAAATCAGCTTTTCAAGGTGGTGAGAGGCTAGGTAGAGAAATATTTTGAAGAAATTTTGGGATGTGATGGATATATTTATGGCCTTGATGGTGATGATAGTTTCATGGGTATATATTTATTCCCTGATGTATCACATTGTATTCATTACATATATACAACTTTTTATGTGTCATGCCTCAATAAAGTTGTTAAAAAAAATATATTATCCCAGCACTTTGGGAGGCTGAGGCGGGTGGATCACGAGGTCAGGAGATCGAGACCATTCTGGCTAACATGGTGAAACCCCGTCCCTACTAAAAAATACAAGAAAAATTAGCCGAGCGTGGTTGCGGGCTCCTGTAGTTCCAGCTACTCTGGAGGCTGAGGCAGGAGAATGGCGTGAACCCGGGAGGCGGAGCTTGCAGTGAGCCGAGATGGCGCCACTGCACTCCAGCCTGGGCAACAGAGCGAGACTCCATCTCAAAACAAAACACAACAAACAAACAAAAAAGAAATATTTTGATTTGTTCTCTAACGTCTAATGCAGATGTTAACTTGGGTCCCTTATCGAGATCCATATAAGATCAGTTCAAAGCCTCATCCGTTCTGTTCCCTGTGTTAGTCCTCATCACTTTTTTTGTGGGTACATCACTCTCTGAGCTTAAGCTTCTGCTGAAATAACTCAGTTTCTTTGCTGTTCTGGAACACCTCTCATGGAGCAGGTGAAGTGCTCAGGCTTTTCACTGTTTCCACAATAAACAAACCAAATACACCCTTTGCTCCACAAGAGGCTTTTAGTGGGTAACAGATTTTACTGATGATTTCAAGAACATAAAGAGAGTGTTCACATCTCAACAGTGTCAACAACTTCAGGTTGAACCTGCGACAGCTTTCTTTTTAGCAGTTCTTTATCTCTACCACCTTGTGAACATTTATCCAACTTTCCAAAATAGTTACTGAAAGTAAAGAAAAAAGTACATGCAAAAATCATGGGTAGAAGGAAAGAGCTATTGCTTTATGTACTCTACAAGTACTCTTAATATGAGATCAATGTAGATGATTGGTTTGAACAGAGCATGTTTCCAAAAGCTCTGCATACTCTGTTATTAGATGTTAGCAGAATTCAGTACATTATGCAATACAGTTGTGTAAGCAAACAGCTTTCTTTAAAACTATAAGAGAAAATATATGCAATTGAATCATAAATGGAAAGAGAAAACTGCATAAAATTCTGTACCATTTTACAAGTTGAAAACAAATGGAAAAGAAAATGATGCTTGGGTAATGAAAGAGCTTCGTAAAGTTGCTGAACTTCAGGAGTCAAATAAGGGGTGGCTTTTGTATTTCTTTCCTTGCAGGCCTTATAAGAACACATTTCACAATACTGTGTTCCTCAGACATTCTCAGATACCTGAGTTGCCTGATATGGCAGAAATTAAGGCTCTGTGTATTTCAGGATAATGCTTCAGAGATTATTTGATGTGGTGCATGCTGATCTCTTAAAAACGGTTTTTTGTTTATTCATTTTTAAACAACACCAGAAATATCATTTTAAGATTCTTATTTGAATCAGGAGATTGAAATATAACTTTAAAATTTCCAAGTTTCAAAATATAGTCTAAAATAACCAAAATAGAAATGTGTTGGGAATTCTAAAGAGGAAAAATACCTTTTTCTTTACCAAGGATTTCTCATTTCTCATAATAATCTCCTCCACATAAGCCTTATTTTCCAGATGTTAAACATGAAATCAAGAGAATATTTGAAGAGCCCTTGATTCTTCTAATATATATATATATATATATATATATGCATGAGTTGCTATACTTTTTAATACTTCCTCTTGACTGTGGTGACTTACGTTGTTGATGGCAAAACATGTCAGGCTGTGCCCACCCTTTTTACTGATTTGTTACTAAAGCATTTCATTGGGACCTTCTTTTTTTGTTTTCTTTTGCCTGCTGCATAGCTTTATCATATAAACTTCTCTTCAAGATGAATACATGACTATGACCCAGGATAATAATTGCACATTTTGTGTCCCTGTGATAGGCAGAATAATAGCCCCTCAAAGATGTCCACGTCCAAATCCCTGGGACTGGTAAATGAATTACCTTGCATAGCAAAAGGGACTTTGTAGGTGTGATTAAGTTAAGCACTTTGACTTTGGGATGGGGAGAGCTTTATGGATTATACAGGTGAGTCCAATTTAATCACATGGGTCCTTAAAAGTGGAGGATCTTCCCTGGTTGGGGCCTAGGGAGATGTGACTAGGGGAGAATAGTTAGAGACGGGATGACGCTGGCTTTGCAGTTGCAGCAAGGAGCCATCTCTAGAAGCTTGAAAGACAAGGAAATAGATTCTCCCCTAGAGCCTTCAGAAGGGAATGCAACCCTGCCCACACCCTGATTTTAGCCTGGTCAGAACTGTATCAAACTCTGACCTGCAGTATTATGAATTGATACATTCATTTTGTTTGAAGCCACTAAATTTATGGTAATTTGTTATAGCAGCGATAGAAAACTAATATAGCACCCTTCAAAGATGGCCCAATATGTCCCTGCAGAGAAAATGAGCAGAAGTTGGGAAATTAACTTCTTTTCCTTCTCTCTCTCCCCTGTTTTGAAATTTTTAATTTTAATGTTTGTTGGTACATATAGGTATACATATTTATGGGATACATGAGATGTTTTGCTATAAGCATACAATGTATAATAGTCACATCATGGAGAATGGGGTATTCATTCCCTCAAGCATTTATTGTTTGTTTTACAAATAATCCAGTTATACTCTTTTAGTTACTTTCAAATGTATGTTTAAAATATTGTTGACTATAGTCACCCTCTGTGCTATCAAATAGTAGGTCTTATTAATTCTTTCTCACAATGGCATACAGAGCAGTGAAGGGGAGGTAGCTCCTGTTTTCTCTTTGCTTTGGGGTGAATCAAAGAAGAAACAATTTTGAGAGTCACTTTGCAGGAGGCTTTCATTGTTTTAACTTGACTTCAAGTGATATAACCATGGAATTTGGACCATAGATAGAGCCTCTTAAGCAAACCACATATTTGGATATTGAAATTATAGCAGTTTAAACATTTTGGATCAGTATTCTTTGACCAGTTTTGATATATACAGGAATCCTGAAGCTTTATACTTAAGAATTGGCTTGCAAGGTCTATCAGTCATCAAACAAACATTTGGGGAAAACATTCCTCTCTTGTCCTGCCCTTCCTCACCATTAAAATGCCAAAGATGCTGGAGAGAAGATAACCGTGGGGCACCAAAGGTATTTGTGGTTATGTTGTTAATATAAATCACTTACCCCACATTTTATTTCAAAACTAACAAAATTCTCTATACCCCAATAAGGAAAATATGATCATTTACAGTGAAGTGACCAGAGATGCAGAAAGGCCATGATAAATCTAAGCCTAAATGTAAGCCTTCTCTTGGGCATCATTGGGCATTAAAATTGAGGTGAGGAGAAACCTTAAGAGTTGTCCAGTCTAACTACCTCATTTTGTTGATGCTCAAGAAGGCTAAGACAGTTACTCAAGTTCAAATAGCTATTCAGTGGCAGGGCTGGTAATGAACTCACCCCTGGTTTCTGCACTTAGTTCTTCATCACATTGCACCTCTATCTGTTTCCTGCTTGTTTATCTCCCACATTAAATCTGCCATGGGGACCGGTTGATCCTTCTTTGGAATTACCTCTCAGAGTTAGTCTTTCTTCACTCTCTGCCACATCTTCCTCATTTCATGCTTTAATTGCCACAACTGCCCTCTAACTAGTTTTCCTGGGTGCCACTCATCAAACACCCTTCCACCGGCCTGATCCGCCCAACCCATCATGTTCATTATCCCACGCCAGGACTTCCAGAACCTTTCACAGATGACCTTCAAAGGTCTCACCCTGGCATTCACTCTTCCGTACAGTCTGGTCTTTATCTCTCCAGCTTGACCTCCTGATGCCTAACACACGCTTGCTGTGCCAGCTGGGATGGTCTCCTTATGACCTTCCACACGCTCTTTCTCATTTCCACTTTCCTGCATAGTTCATGGGGTTCTCATGGTCTCAAATGTCTTTTCTCTTATTCTCCCTGCAAAAATCATACTAACTGGTGATTTTTAAACACACTCTTTCTTCCTGTGGCTCTTTCCAGTAACTTGGGACACAAAGAATTGCTCCCTTTCCTGAGTACTTTCAGCAAACATTTTTTTTTGTTTTATGTATTATGCTTGATTACATCTACTTTAGCTCTTCAGTGTACATGGCCTGTTTCTTGTATATAATGGAAAGATGGGTCCATTTCATAGGAAATTGTCAGGTTTTGGAGTTGATTTGTGAGTTGTGAGTTAATGACACCCTGGAATGGGATGATGTCCCTCGAGGAAACCATGGGTAGAAAGACTGAGAATAGAATCCCTCAAAGGGAAGAAGGAAACCAGGAACCTGAGAAAGATTGTGAAAGAGAGTTCAGGGGAAAGTCAGTAGGAGAACCAGAGAAAGGATGTCATGGAAGGGAAGAATAAGCAAGTTTCCAAAGAAGGCGTCTCTCTGCATTAGGAGTGCTAAGTATTATTGCCTTTATTTAAGACAAAAGAATTCATGAATCACTAATCAGTTTGGGATTTAAATTAGCTTCCTCCCAAAATTAGCTTGTATCTAAGAACTGTAAATGTAGAAAAAAATAAATATAAAGCTACAATCTAAATAATTCTTATTTTTAAAATTTTTTTATAGCTACAGTGTTGATTGATGTTTCAAATACATAACTGAAATAGATAAAAAGACACATTTCTTTGAGTCAAAGAACTGCTTTAAGAACAAAAAAGAAGAAAAGAGAGAAAGAAAAATAATTTAGGCAGCAAAAAATGGAGGATAATAGCTAGGCTGTTTATTATAACAACACAGCATGTTGTTGCCAAATTACTTCTCCCACCATGGAGCAATTCAGTCTGGCCAGACTATTTCTTCAGGGCGACAAGCTGCTAATTGTAGACACCTTGGAAGTGACCTTTAAAAAGTGCTGTGGCATTGAGAACAACCAAATTAGTGGTGTTTGATTTATTATACTAGCTAATTAGATGAGTCTTTGACTCAATGATATTCTAGTTTAATTGAGTAAATAGACTACCTACAGAAATCAACCACGTCACCTGCCGTTATAAGTATACAAAGAGTCTAACGGTGCTCTTTGGAAAATGAAATCAAGCGGTACACAATCATGTCCTTACTACCAGGAGAGAAAAATCAGGAAAGCAGTATAGGTCTGAATCTAGATGCCCCAAATGTATTCCACTGCATGTTTAGCTGGTACAGCATTTATTCTCAATATAGTCAGTTACTTCAATTGAAGAACATTAGATGACATTTGAGCTTCCTATTTAATGCATGATTTTGCTGGAAGCCAAGACAGGAACATTACAACTTTCGTATTTGCATACAAAACTATTTTCTATGTTTTTTAATCTCTCAAAAGACACCATAGTACAATATATTTTATACTTTCCTATTGGAAGATGAAGCATATATTTATATTCTGAATTTCCAATATAAAATTCGGATCAGAACCCCTGCTTTTGTTGTTTGTGGCAAACTAAGGATACCTACTATTAATGCTTATAGTTGAATAGTGTTCTCCCAAAATTCATGTCCACTAGGAACCTCAGAATGTGACCTTATTTAGAAATACCATCTTTGTGGATATATGTGGCTTAAATGAGGTCATACTGGATTAGAGTGGGTCCTAAATTCAATAACTGGTGTCCTTATAAGAAGAGGAGAGGACACACAGAAATATGTACAAGAAAGAAAAGCGACTGTGTTTTGACTCTTGTTTACCATCCATTTTTTCAGAGTTTCTGGGGAGTCCTTTCACTGAAATGCCATCTCAGCTTGACCCCCACCCTGCTAACTGCCTCCTGTGTGTGCTCAGCAGACACATCCTTTGAGTATCATTATGTGTGTCCAACAGCCCAGGGAATGTGATTTCTTTTCTGTGACTTTCCTAACCCTTAAAGGTCATGCAGAAGTCTCATGTAAGCCTGCTGGAGTTCCTTCAGTGGGGCCCAAGAGCCACTGGGGATTTTCCTTGGACAAAAGGCCTTTACTTTTTATTGCCTTTGGAAGGTGTTGTGCTAGTCAAAGCCTGACCTCTAAGCTTACTGCTTTAATATTCTTTCAAGCTCTTAGTTGTATATTCTCCATTTAAGATCTTTGTGGCTGGAGGTGGGTCTCTGGGTTTGGAGATTGTTGGTTTGAGAAGACAAAGAACTGCTGCTTCTTTCAATGCCATGTGGTATAATGCAATGGGTCCTGGGTAGCTCACAGGCCCAGAGGGCATGTGTTCAAAGCTTGTTTCCTTGCTGTCTGCTCTTCAGCATGTTATTTAACACTGTCTGCCCTCAGTTTCTGTCTACCTCATAAGGTTGTTGTAAATTTTAAATGACTTTAAACATAAAAAGGGCTTAGATCAGTGCCTGGCACTTTAGAAATACCAGACACATGGGATCTCTTATATTAACCATATGCATTACATCTCAGATAGAGATACTCTTAGATACTCAGCCACTAACACATAGGCACATTTTAAAGCCAGTGAGTAGTGTTCAAGTTTCTCGTGATTCACCCTCATCTACTTGTTTTCAGAGGTCCATGTTGGAGCTAGGGGTAGCGATGCTGTGCTGGGAGAAAAGTGAGGACCGTCCTCTCAAAACTTCTCAGGAAAGACTCTTTATCCAAGTCTGATCCAGTAACAAATGTCTAGTTATCAGTTTTTCTGGTTAGTAGGGAAATGTCATTGAAAGCACATATGTATTGTTAAAACACTGCAATAAACAGAATAAAGAGGTCTGTAAACAAGACACCTGACAAAATACGAATATGAAGAGGCTTACATGAAAAGGAAATTTGTTCTGATGAGGCACTGTGAAAAGCTGTGAAGTATAGGTAAAATAAAACATTGTTCCTGGTCTCTAAAGAGGGAGAAAGTCATGAGGAGGAGCCAGAGTATTCTTATTTACTACATGAATATTCATTCAGTTGTTCATTCATTCATCCACTCATTCATCTAGTGAAATATTTAGCCCCAGCTTCATATGAGGTTTGGTGCTAGGCCCTCAGAATTCAAAAGTGACTGAGTCTCTGTCCCTGGTCTCAAAGAGCTAATTCAGAAGCAGGACAACCTGAGGCATTGGAAAGAGGTGATTCCAGTGGCCTGTGCCTAGTACATACCACAGCCAAGATGTCTTCTGCTCTAATATCTGAGGTTGATTTCCTAGGGTGACCATCTGTAGAGAACCATTTTCATACAAAGTAAACCCAGAAGAATGTTTGTGTCACACTTTGTGTCATTCTTGAAGCCTGGAGCTTCTAAAAGGTCTTGGAGCCTATCAAAAAGAGGAGATCCTCTCCGGCTCAGGATTGACCTCTCTCCCACCCAGGGACTTCTTCCTTTTTTTGAGACAAAGTCTCACTATGTTGTGCAGGCTGGAGTGCAGTAGTGCCATCTCGGCTCACTGCAACTTCAGCCTCCCAGGTTTGAGCGATTCTCCTGCCTCAGCCTCCTGAATAGCTGGGATTATAGGCACGTGCCACTACGCCCAGATAATTTTTGTGTTTTTAGTAGAGACGGGGTTTCACCATGTTGGCCAGGATGTTCCCGGACTTCTGACCTCGTAATCTGCCCACCTCAGCCTCCCAAAGTGCTGGGACTGCAGGCGTCACCGCACCTGGCCTGTGGTTTTTAAACGTAGAGTCCATGCCCACAGCAGAAACTCTGGTCGCCATGATTTGGATGTTCTTCCTCTCTAAACCACATGTTGAAATTTGATTCCCAGTGTTGGAGGTGGGGCCCAATGGGAGCTATTTAGGTCATGAAGGTGGATCCCTCATGAATAGATTAATGCCCTCCCTCCAGGATAAGTGAATTCTCACTCTGTTAGTTCCCACTCAAGAGGTGGTTGCCAAAAAGAGCCTCGTGCCTCCCCCTACCCTTGCTTCTTCTTTCACTGTGTGATCTCTGCACACACAGCTCCTCTTCTCCTTCTGCCATGAGTGGAAGCAAACTGAAGCCCTCACCAAATGCCCAATCTTGACCTTTCTGACCATCAGAATCATAAACTAAATAAACATTTCTTTATCCATAACTTACCCAGCCTTGGGTATTCCTTTATAGCAACACAAAATGAGCTAAGACACTGGTCCAGACTGGCACACCAGGACAGACCATCTGGTCTCATCTCTTCAACAGTTTCTGAAGCAGAAGTAGCAGGAACTCAAGGTGGTAATGATAAAGCCACATTGGGCAGCAAAGTAGTTTCTGTAGCAGAGAAGGTGGGATAGGGGAGATAATGAAACTAGAAATAGATTGAATTGAGTTTTTGGACTCTTCCCAAACAAAACAAATTCTATGTTCCTGAATTAGATAATTCCATCTTCTAAGGATTTGAAGATGTTGAATAGCGAGACCCTTCCTCTTGCTACTTATTTTGACTTATCATGCTAGCTTTCTAGGGATTTTGATGTAAGAATATAGATCAAGGTCCCACCAGGAAGCAAATGACACACTGAAATTTAGACAATTTGGGGAGAATCTATTAATAAAGAGGGTAATTACAAAGGTATAGGTGGGGTACAGGGGAACCACAGAAATAGTGCAGGTATCTGGGGCTAGGGGGCAGTGGGGCTGAATTTCTAGGCTTGAAGGGGTGATGGGGCAGAGTGGTTACCAGAAGCCAGAGGAGAGAAAGTGATACAAAGTAGGTCCCTTTGAGGGTAGTAGTGATCTTTTGTCCAAGGATACAATCATCCTGAGGGGATCCTGAATGAAGGGAGTCAGGGTAATAACTACCCTGACTTCATTCTCCTCCTTTCCTCCAATTTTTACTAGTGTTCTTCAATGCCTGAATGAAAGCAGAAGCCAGGAAGTGTGGAAGTCTGTCAAAGTAGTTCATACAGATCAGGCTCCATGGAAAAGAGCGCAGCAGGGAGGCAAGGCAAGAGCGGATCTGGAGGGCAAATGAAAGACACAACAGCTAGTTTTGGTAAATTTCAGTTACACTGTGATTTTATGGCTAGCAGTAGCAGTAGAAGCAAGTTTAATGCCTATAAATCCATGATCCACATGGGTCCATTCCAGCATGTGGCCATGGGCAAAAAAGAACCATCCTTGCAATCAATAGTCATTTCAAAATGACTAGCCCTTTACTTGAGCAGATACAAGAATATTCCTCAAATATCTACATTTTAGTTATAGTTTCTACTATGGATTTTTTCTGCCTCTCTCTTTAGTACCTGCCCTCCTTCCGCTTATAATATTCTCCAGCCACCAATTTCACATTTTACCTGTTGCCCATCTGTTTCCCCACATTCATCTCCTGTTCTTACAACACAAAAGCTGAATGTACTTTGATCTGCTAATGTAGGGAGGAGGACCCTTGTTAGGGGTGAAAGAGGGGGGAAATACTGAGGAGTAGGGTTATGGTGGGCAAATGGGGCAAAGCTTTGGAGTACTCACATATTGTTATCCCATCTTGTAAGCATAGGAGTTAGCTCAGGAGGCAGGACGGTCAAGCACTGGACCACTGTGCCAAAGGTACTTTTCTGGGACTAAGTACAGTCTTAACATTGATGACTTCACCTGTACCTCTGAGATAAGATGACAAATGATACGGTCTTTTCAAAAGATTCACTGGAGATCAATGCCTTTTGGGGCAAAGCATGTGACCATTTGAATGTTTATCATTGAGATTTACTTACAAATGAAATGATGCACCCCACCCAGCTCTATGAGGCCTGCAGCAGGAGCCGACTGCAGCAGTACTGGTCTTCCTCTCTCTGGGTCCAGAGGTTGAATAAACAAGGCTAGGAAAGCAAGTGGCCGTCGAAGACTGTCAAAATCATTACTATAAACTTACCTTTTTATGAGGATGAAGTCCTAAGGCAAGGCAAAATCAATGATAGTAGTACTGACAATCTCTAGAAACTGCTATAATAGACTTATTTTTAAAAATAACCACAACAGTTATAGCTATATGTGTTGGGATCTGTATTTACTTCTCCAGTTCAACTAATGTTCACCAAAGTAATTTTACATATTAGGAAGTGTAGCCTCAGAAAAAATATCTGCCCCTTATTGACAGCCTTTTGCATCACAGTAATTATAATGCATTTTCTAGTTAAGCACAGCTAGCTTATGAAGCGTGTATAGAGATATTCGCATTTTACAGATAAGGAAAGCCAGACTTAGAGTGTTACATGTCTCACTTAAGTCTGCACATCTAGTAAATAGCAGAATTGAGATGTAAAACCGTAAGGTCAGTTGAAAACCTGTGTTCTTTTTATCATGGCTATGTTTTGCTGCTAGAAGCATAAATCCATATTGGTCAATTATATTAGTTTCAATATTGAGTGATAAGGAACAAGTGAGACTTCTTTAAAACCTGAGTTAGATGTTAGAAAAGCTGCTCCTCCTACATTGTGTTAAGAGCACTCATGCTCACATCTTTCTTTTACCTTGTTATTTTTCACTCAATTCTGGTATATTATACTTTAGTGGATGGAATAGGCTTTGGGGCCAGATATAATTCTTCTGGAACTTACTAGGTCAATAGCAAAATCTCTGAGACCGTTTCCTCATATATAAAAGAGAGGTAACTTTTCACATTTCATATAAGGATTAGAAGTAATAAATGTAAAGCATCTAGCACAATTTGCGTAGCTCAAAAACCATAGCTATTATTGTGGCTTATGAAGTCACTTTGTCAAAGAGACTGGAGCCTGCTATCTGCTTACTTGCTTTGGAGGCCTATGTTAGTGTGTAAGGTTGTGAGTATTCTAACTCCAGCCTTGCCGTGCCCCAGACCTATACATATTATGCATGCATATCACTGCAAGTCTCAAATACAACATACACTTTTACAAATGTTCTAAAATAGTGTACATTTTATAAAGCTCTAAAGTAAACATTGGATTTATCTGTGGACTCTGACACTGAATAGCAGATTAATAGAAAGATCTTCATTGAAAGATAGCAATCAAAGAAATAGAATACCCCACAGATCTGTCTGTTGACATATCCATAAAATAAAATTAAACAATTACAGGTTTTTATTTCAGAGACTAAAGGTCTTCAAGGTTTTTTAATAATATAATATAAAATGTAACAACAAATAAGTACCTAATATAAGTGGCAATATGTTGTCTGGCACAAAATTACTTGCAATAGATTTTAATATCGCAAATTGTTACTAGTAATATCTCATATATATGTATATATACACATATATATACAGTACATGCCAACACAAAATTAATATAAGTAGACTAACTCTTCAGAATATTTAGCTGTAGAGCTTAAAAAAGTCCAAAGGAATTTGGCAGCACACTTCCATTGCCCTGATGCAAGTCAACTGCACAATGCTTTCTTTTCCCAACTAATCATTTTTTAAAATTTTATCATTTCTGTCTCTTTTCCTCTTCCTGCTGATTTTTAGCATAGCTGAAAATTATGTGGGGTCTTATAAGTGAGTCATGGTTTTTAAAAGAATGTAGAATAATTTTGGGAGCATTAATTTAAGCTGACTGATAGAAGAATATTATATTTTGACTGCATTTTGCTTTCTATAAATAAAAGCATTCCAAAAGAATGTGGAAATACTGAAGGGAAAGAAAAGGAACACATTTGAAATTTGAAAGGGCAAATACCTAAAGGATAGTAAGTCTCCAAACTAATCAAACCACAACTCAGAGGGGAAATAAATGCACCTCAAAAATCCTTCTCTGTGTTTGTTTTCAAGATTAAAGCTGAACAAAAGATAAATAATACAGGATGAATGAAATGAACTGAGTCTGAAAAGTTTTAGAAGGTCAAGTAGGAGAAATTCAAAGAAAAAAAGATTATTTCAAACTAGTTAGGCTTTTCCTTTTTATAGCCAACTCTATGGGTATTCCTTTTCTGCTTCTTTTATGGTGAACACAACATTTATAGACTTCTGCTCTTCTATGGGCAAATATTACTCAAATTATCATCTACCTGAGAGAGTGTAAAATGAACATTTTGTATTCTATACCAGTTTTACCCTAGGTTCAATATACTTCAACACATAATAGCTTCCATTCTCATCTGTCAGCATATGGTGTTGATCATACGGTGCACAGTAAGACAGACACAAGGTTTCCAAATGCCATGAAGTATTTTAGAGGCCCGAATTTTACAAAATAAAAAGTCACATTAGAGCCCTGTTGCTAGGCAAGTCGAACCCAGCTGTGCTCAGTCTCTAACAACAGGACACTTCATTCACTGCTCTACAGTGAACATCGATGTCGCTTAGTAGGAGTGAAACCTATTACCCAAAATGCCAGGATGACAGATCTCTTCAGAAATGCTCTAGAGATGTATACATAGAAATTTGGGGACCGACACATACTCAAATTCACTTGCTTCTTTAAGCCTAAACCTTCCTACTCCTTTTCAAAACTATAAATTTGCAGTGTGAATGAGGATGCTAATAGCCTAAGACACAATCTGTAGTCTCATTTTTCTTTATTAAGACAGAAGGGAGCAGTCAATGTAATAGCATTCAAGAAATTCTCAGATGAGGGACTTTCCTCCTAGGGAAAAAGAATGTAAATAGGTCAACAAAAGCTTCTGTTCATAGAAAATACAACTGATAAGATGTTCACTGCTAAAATAAATATAGAAGGCAGGCATAGTGGCTAGTACCTGTAGTCTCAACTACTAAGGAGGCTGAGATGGGGGGATTCCTTGAGTCCAGGAATCCAGCCTGGATGATGGACCAAGATCTTGTTCTCAAGAGATAAAGAACATTATTCACTAAAAGCATTTTATTCATCAAACATTTTGCACTGCTAGGAAAGCCATTCATTGACTATTGTACAGTTGGCACACTTACACTTGACTGTTGAGTATGGAGTCCTAGGTTCACCTCTGGCTCTGCTACTAGCTCTGTGACAGTAGGCAAATCACCTTACCTTTCTGGGTCTTTCCCAGCTCTAAAAATGAAAAGATTAAAGTTTCATGTCTAACATCCTTTTCTACCCTGAGTTTTAAATGACTGCTTACATTTTAAGGAACATATTAATTCAGGCATGTGATTTTTCCCAGGAAGATGATTTATTTTTGGGGGAATGTATGAACATTTATGTGTATGTATAACAATTCAATTATTTTCTTTTGTTACATAAAAAAGAAAGAAAATTAAAATAAGCATTATCTAAAAATAAGCAGTATTTCCACACATTTAAACAAATTCTAAAATACAGGAGACTATTTCTAAAGGAGTTCATTCTAAAAAATCTTTCACATCTATGCATTTATGTATAAAGACAAAAGATGGGTTTGCAAGAAATATAAATTTTAAGACTATATTTTTAACAACTGTGATGAACACTTACCTTCATTTCTTTTGAGAATGACCATATGCGTCTTTGTGTTCATGTATCATTCATGTACTAAGGTACCTGTTGTGGGAAGTCAGAGACCCTGAGCGGAGGGACTGGCTGAAGCCATGGCAGAAGAACATGAATTGTGAAGATTTCATGGACATTTATTAGTTCCCCAAATTAATACTTTTATAATTTCTTATACCTGTCTTTACTGCAATCTCTGAACATAAATTGTGAAGATTTCATGGACATTTATCGCTTCCCCAACCAATACTCTTGTGATTTCCTATGCCTGTCTTTAATCTCTTAATCCCATCGTCTTCATAAGCTGAGGATGAATGTCGCCTCAGGACCCTGTGATGATTGTGCTAACTGCACAAATTGTTTAAACAATATGAAATCTGGGCACCTTGAAAAAAGAACAGGGTAACAGCGATGTTCAGGAAACAAGGGAGATAACCTTAAAGTCTGGCTGCCTGTGGGCTGGGTGGAACAGAGCCACATTTCTCTTCTTTCAAAAGCAAATAGGAGAAATACTGCTGAACTCTTTTTCTCAACAAGGAACATCCCTGAGAGGGAGAATGCGTTCCCAAGGGGAGGTCTCTAAAATGGCCACTTTGGGAATGTCTGTCTTTTATGGTTGTTAATAAGGGATGAAATAAGCCCTGGTCTCCCGTAGTGCTTCCAGGCTTATTAGGATAAGGAAATTCCCACCTAATAAATTTTGGTCAGACTGGTTGTCTGCTCTCAAACCCTGTCTCCTGATAAGATGTTATCAATGGCAATGTGTACCTGAAACTTCATTGGAAATTTTAATTTCGCCCCAGTCCTATGATCTCACCCTGCCTCCATGTGCCTTGTGATATTTTATTACCTTGTGAAGCATGTGATCTCTGTGACCCACACCCTATTCGTACACTCCCTCCCCTTTTGAAAATCACTAATAAAAACTTGCTGATTTTGTGGTTTGGGGGCATCACGGAACCTGCCGACATGTGATGTCTTCCCTGGACACCCAACTTTAAAATTTCTCTCTTTTGTACTCTTTCCCTTTATTTCTCAGACCAGCCAACACTTAGGGAAAATAGAAAAGGACCCATGTTGAATATCGGGGGCTGGATTCCCCCAACAGTACCAAGCTACATGTTTATGGCAGCTAGCCTCTAGGATGGCCCCCAGTGATTCTCACATAATCTCATTATCTGTGAATGTGACCTCATTTGCAAATAGGGTCTTAGTTATGATGAGGTCATACTGAATTAGGGTGGGCCCTAACTACAATACGACTAGTGTTCTTGGAGGTAGAGGAAAATTTAGATACAGAGTTTGAGACACACAGGTAGATCATCATGTGATTGTCACAGGCAGAGGATGGAGTGCAGCAGCTGCAAGCCAAGGAGCACCAAGGATCTCCAGCCACTGCCAGAAGTTGCAAGGAAAGCAGGATTCTCCCCTAGAGCCTGCAGAGACAGCACAGCACTGACAGCAGCTTGCTTTCACATTTCTTGCCTCAGAACTAAAAGCAAATAAATTCGTATTGTTTTAAGCCATTCTGTTTTTGGTACTTTGTTTCAGAAGCCCAAGGAAACTAATAAAGATGGCATCATAGAGGAGTGGAAAATGAATAGTCTTTTCAATAAATAATGCTGGGATAAATCTATATCCACTTAGAAAAAGAGAAATTGGATCCTATTTCAAACCATACACAAAAATCAATTTTATCTATATTGTAGATGTGAATATAAAAAGCAAAATAATAAAACTTTTAGAAGATATGACAAACCTTCATTATACAAGGGTAGGAACAGATTTTTTTTAAAAAAAAGGACACAAAAATATTAGCTATAAAAAATTGATAAACTTTACTACAATAAAATTACCATCTTTGGTTCCTTAAAAGATACTATTAAATGAGTGAAAAAGCAATCCATAGAGTGGGCAAACGTGCTAGCAACATATGTCACCAACAAAGTGCTGTGATGCAGAACATTTACAGGACTACTACAGATGCTACAATATCAAATGTGGGTGAGGATGTGAGCCATGGGGCTCCCACACACTGCTCCTGGAGGTGTAAATTGGAGCAACTGCTTTGGAAGATGGTTAGGGATGATGAGTTATGGTTGCAGACATGCATTCCCTCTGATCAGCAAATTCCACTTTTAGAAATGAGGGTTTATGTATAGCCAGAAACACCTTCAAGAATATTCATAGCAATGTGATTTGTAAAGTTCACCAACAGTTGAGGGCAAAAATAAATTGTGGTATAAACGTATAAAAAAACACTCTAAAAGCAATAAAACTAAAAGAACTACAGCTTCATGCAATTAAGTGGGTTTTGTAAAACACAATGTTTAGCCAAAGAACCCAGACACAAAAGGATACATTCTATACAATTTAAATTACATAAAGTTTGAAACAAGGCAAAATTGAACTGTAGTGTTTAAGGATATGTGCTTAGGTATTAAACTCATATTATTAACGGAAGCATGTGATTGATTTAAATGTCAAGATAGTTGATTACCTTTGAGGGGTAGGAAAGGTAGGGATGGTAATCATGTATGGAATCATGTGTGGGCTTCTGAATGACAGGCAATATTCTATTTTTTCTAGAGATTATTAGAGTGTTTGCTTTGTGATAAATCAAAGTATTATACATACCTTTGTTGTGCATTTTTTGGTATAGGTATTTTATTTCACAAAAAATGTTAACCAAGAAAAGTCAGGTATATGAGACAGAAATTCTGATTTAGTTTTTAAAATGCTTAAACTACTGGGAATAGGACTGGTAGTACTCCCTACTGTTTTTGCTTTGGTGTTTTCACTGAGTTCTTTAATTTCCCCCATGCCAAGTATGGCTATGGAGATGATATGGTTTGGCTCTATGTCCTCACACAAATCTCATTTCAAACTGTAATCCCCATGTGTCCAGGAGGGACCTGGTGGGAGGTGATTGGATCATGGGGGCAGTTCTCCCCATGCTGTTCTCATGATAGTGAATGAGTTCTTATGAGATCTAATGGTTTTATAAGGGGCTCTTCCCACTTCACTTTCTCTCTCTCTCTTTCCTGCCACCTTGGGAAGAAGGTGCCTGCTTCCCCTTCCCCCATTATTGTAAGTTTCCTGAGGCCATCTCAGCCATGTGAAGCTGCAAATCAATTAAACCTCTTTCCTTCATGAATTACCCAGTCTCAGGTATGTCTTTATAGCAGTGTGAAAATGGACTAATACAGAAAGAAGCAGTGTTGGGGGGTTTCTAATCAGTTTTACCAACATGTTTCTTGAATGAATATGATGACAAGCTGAAAATGCAACTCTTTACTGAGCAAAACACATGTGGTGCTATGTTCTAAATAAATCACAGTTTTCAGTGGAACCATCAAAATAATATTATGTTTATAAAAATGTTATCACTAATTTGCTAGAAGTGTTTTTGCACGGTTTTAGCTTGTGTTTTCTCATCTCATCCATTCCACACTTAGAGACTCGCCATGCAATTACAGAAAGCCTCCAATTAAAGGAGCTTCCATCACTACCAAAACTGAAATTCATATCAGAGGATTGTAATTAACATCTATAAATTAACTGGACTCTCTTTCCCTGTATATGTGAACTAAAGATCAAATACTACAATTAATGCAGCCAAGAGAAAAAAAAAGTAGTATATGTGTAACTTGTTCTTTTGATTTCACTCTTCAGTATTTCCTAAACTGTTTCCTTTTTCACTTTGAAGAAAGAACTTCTGGTTTGTTCACAAGCCACTGTCACATGTGAATTTGCTTAACGTCTTTTGTTAATAAAATAATTACAAAACTGTTAAGTCCCTTTTATTTTTTCTTAGTGATATATGTTTTTACTTCCATTACTTTCATTTTTAAGCAGCCTATAGCTTTCAAAATTCACATTTCCTATGTTTAGAGCACATTACCAAAGTCTTTTTGAAAAGATAATTAGAGAAAAGTTATGAAATTATTGAAGCTAGAATTTTATTTTCATAAGGCTCCGTGTTACGTTTTGTAAAATGTATTGTGTCATCACTCAATGATTGAAATTATGAAACATAAAAATTAGCATCTACAACCAACAGAAGGATGTTTTAAAAAATCTTCAGTAGTTAAATTGTTTGTTATGATAACACAAGTAAAACAAGTCTGAAGAAAAACTAGATATCTCAAAAAAACCAAACAAATAAAGATATCTCCAAGAGACACTACCTTTTTAGTGTGTATTATTTCAAATTCTTTGCTACAAATACATGTACCTCTACTTGCATATATAGATATATATATTCACAACATTAAAGTAATAGCAACTTATTACTTAATAATAAATTACTGTTATTTATTAATTATTTAAACACTGCTTTTAAAAACATTTCAGGTGTTCAGTCATAAAACAAGGCAAGAGCGGATCTGGAGGGCAAATGAAAGACACAGCAGCTAGTTTTGGTAAACTTCAGTTACACTGTGTTTTTTATGGCTAGCAGTGGCAGGAGAAGCAAGTTTAATACCTATAAATCCATGATCCACATGGGTCCATTCCTCAAAGCATTGAATGGCAGGTAGAAAGTGAAAGCCCATATTCTCTGATTACCTTGAAATTCTACAATCCTACAACAGGCTGAATTGGTGAGCAACCTACCATGGTTTTACAGTTAAATCTGCAGAGTTGAACCACCTTCTTGAAAGAAATTATTTTATTTTGTGTCTTTAGAGTGCTTGGCTCAATAGCAAAGCCAGTGTTCAAGCCCCTACTGATAATGAACAATAAGAAGAAAATGATTTTAGACAAGGAGTGAAGGAAGTTTGTAGAGATTATAAATGCAAAGTAGGCAGATCAATAGCTCTCGTAAGTAAGCAGGAGAAGGTCATTTTAAATCTGTTGTATAACATAATAGAACGTATATAATATAAAAATTATAATAAATAATATAATCTCTGGGTATGGCATGGCAGTTACTATACCTCACATTTGCAAAATGTTTGATACTAAACATCCTGAAAATGTGATCTTTATATAACTCTGTGCCATATGTAGCAATGAAGATATTTAAGTTAGGAATAATTATTCCCATTTTACATGTTTTCAAGGGATGGCAGGCCATTTTTTTAAATACATCTTTTAATTTAATTTTATCTTTATTCTTAATTTTACTTTAAGTTCTGGGATACATGAGCAGAATGTTCAGGTTTGTTACATAGGTATACTTGTGCCATGGTGGTTTGCTGCAACTATCAACCCGTCACTTAGATATTAAGCCCCGCATGCATTAGGTAATTGTCCTAATGCTCTCCCTCCCCTTGTCCCCCACCCCACAACAGGTCCCAGTGTATGATGTTCCCCTCCACGTGTTCATGTGTCCTCATTGTTTAACTCCCACTTGTGAGTGAGAACATGCAGTGTTTGGTTTTCTGTTTCTGTGTTAGTTTGCTGAGAATGATGGTTTCCAGCTTCATCCACGTCCCTGCAAAGAACATGAACTCATTCTTTTTTATGGCTGCATAGTGTCCTATGGTGTATATGTGCCACATTTTCTTTACCCATTCTATTATTGATAGGAATTTGAGTTGGTTCCAAGTCTTTGCTATTGTAAATAGTGCTGCAATAAACATATGTGTGCATGTGTCTTTATAGTAGAAGAATTTATAATACTTAGGGTATATACCCAGTAATGGGACTGCTGTGTCAAATGGTATTTTTGGTTCTAGATCCTTGAGGAATCACCACACTGTCTTCCACAATAGTTGAACTAATTTACACTCCCACCAAAAGTGTAAAAGCTTTCCTATTTCTTCACATCCTCTCTAGCATCTGTTGTTTTCTGACTTTTTAATGACCCTCATTCTAACTGGTGTGAGATGGCATCTCATTGTGGTTTGGATTTGCATTTCTCTAATGACCAGTGATGATGAGCTTTTTTTCATATGATGTTGGCCACATAAATGTCTCTTTTGAAAAGTGTCTATTCATATCCTTCACCCACTTTTTGATGGGGTTGTTTTTTCTTGTGAATTTGTTTTAGTTCCTTGCAGATTCTGGATATTAGCTCTTTGGCAGATGGATAGATTGCAAAAACGTTCTTCCACTCTGTAGGGTGCCTGTTCACTCTGATGATAGTTTCTTTTGCTGTGCAGAAGTTCTTTAGTTTAATGAGATCCATTTGTCAATTTTGACTTTTGTTGCAATTGCTTTGGTGTTCTAGTCATGAAGTCTTTGCCCATGCCTATGTCCTGAATTGTATTGCCTAGGTTTTCTTCTAGGGTTTTTATGGTTTTAGGTTTTATGTTTAAGTCTTTAATATATCTTGAGTTAATTTTTGTATAAGGCATAAGGAAGAGGTCCAGTTTCAGTTTGCTGCATATGGCTAGCCTGTTTTCCAGCACCATTTATTAAATAGTGAATCCTTTCCCCATTGCTTGTTTTTGTCAGGTTTGTCAAAGATCATATTATTGTAGATGTGTGGTTTTATTTCTGAGGCCTCTGTTCTGTTTCATTGGTCTATATATCTGTTTTGGTACCAGTACCATGCTGTTTTGGTTACTGTAGCCTTGTAGTATAGTTTGAAGTCAGGTAGTATTATGCCTCCAGCTTTGTTCATTTTGCTTAGGATTGTCTTGGCTATATGGGCTCTTTTTAAGTTCCATATGAAATTTAAAGTAGCTTTTTTCTAATTCTGTGAAGAAAGTCACTGGTAGCTTGATAGGAATAGCATTGAATCTACAAATTACTTTGGGCAGTATGGCCATTTTCATGATATTGATTCTTCCTATCCATGAGCATGGAATGTTTTTCTATTTGTTTGTCTCCTCCCTTATTTCCCTGAGCAGTGATTTGTAGTTCTCCTTGAAGAGGTCCTTCACGTACCTTGTAAGTTGTATCCCTAGGTATTTTATTCTCTGTAGCAATTGTACATGGGAGTTCACTCATGATTTGGCTCTCTGCTTGTATATTGTTGGTGTATAGAAATGCTTGTGATTTTGCAGATTGATTTTGTATCCTGAGACTTAGCTGAAATGGCTTATCAGCTTAAGAAGTTTTGGGGGCCGGGCGCGGTGGCTCACGCCTGTAATCCCAGCACTTTGGGAGGCCGAGGCGGGCGGATCACGAGGTCAGGAGATCGAGACCATCCTGGCTAACACGGTGAAACCCCGTCTCTACTAAAAATACAAAAAATTAGCCGGGCGTGGTGGTGGGCGCCTGTAGTCCCAGCTACTCGGGAGGCTGAGGCAGGAGAATGACGTGAACCTGGGAGGCGGAGCTTGCAGTGAGCCGAGATCGCACCACTGCACTCCAGCCTGGGCGACAGAGCGAGACTCCGTCTCAAAAAAAAAAAAAAAAAAAAAAAAAAAAGAAGTTTTGGGGCTGAGACTATGGGGTTTTCTAAATATATAATCACGTCATCTGCAAACAGAGGGACAATTTGACTTCCTCTCTTGATATTTGAATACACTTTATTTCTTTCTCTTGCCTAATTGCCCTGGCCAGAACTTCCAATACTATGTTGAATCGGAGTGGTGAGAGAGGGCATCCTTGTCTTGTGTCAGTTTTCAAAGGGGATGCTTCCAGCATTTGCCCATTTCATATGATATTAGCTATGAGTTTGTCATAAACAGCTCTTATTATTTTGAGATATGTTCCACAAATACCTAGTTTATTGAGAGTTTTTAGCATGAAGGGGTGTTGAATTTTATTGAAGGCCTTTTCTGCATCTATTGAGATAATCACGTGATTTTGTCATTTGTTCTGTTTATGTGGTGGATTATGTTTATTGATTTGCATATGTTGAACTAGCCTAGTATCCTAAGTCTGAAGCCAACTTGATTGTGGTGGATAAGCTTTTTGATGTGCTGCTGGATTCGGTTTGCCAGTATTATATTGAGGATTTTCACATCAATCTTCATCAGGGATGTTGTCCTAAAATTTTCTTTTTTCGCTGTGTCTCTGCCAGGTTTTGGTATCAGGATGATGCTGCACCATAAAATGAGTTAGGGAGGAGTCCCTCATTTTCTATTGTTAGGAATAGTTTCAGAAGGAATGGTACCAGCTCCTCATTGTACCTCTGGTAGAATTTGGCTGTGAATCCATCTGGTCCTGGGCTTTTTTTTTTTTTGGTTGGTAGGCTATTAATTACTGCCTCAATTTCAGAACTTGTTATTGGTAAATTCAGGGATTTGACTTCTTTCTGGTTTAGTCTTAGGAGGGTGTATGTGTCCATTTCTTCTAGATTTTGTATCCATTTCTTCTAGATTTTGTAGTTTATTTGCATAGAGGTGTTTATAGTATTCTCTGATGGTTGTTTGTATTTCTGTGGGATCAGTGGTGATCTCCCCTTTATCATTTTTTATTGTGTCATTTGATTCTTCTCTTTTTTCTTCTTTATTAGTCTGGCTAGTGGTCTATCTACTTTATTAATCTTTTCAAAAAACCAGCTCCTGTATTCATTGATTCTTTTGAAGGGTTTTTTTGTGTTTCTATCTCCTTCAGTTCTGCTCTGATCTTAGTTATTTGTTGTCTTCTGCAAGCTTTTGAATTTTTTCCTCTTGCTTCTCTAGTTCTTTTAATTGTTTCTCTAGTTCTTTTAATTGTGATGTTAGGGTGTCTATTTCAGATCTTTCCCACTTTCCAATGTGGGAACTTAATGCTATAAATTTCCCTCTTAACACTGCTTTAGCTGTGTCCCAGAGATTCTGGTGTGGTCTCTTTGTTCTCATTGGTTTCAAAGAACTTCTTTATTTCTGTCTTAATTTCATTATTTACCCAGCAGTCATTCAGGAGCAGACTCTTCAGTTTCCATGTAGTTGTGTGGTTTTGAGTGAGTTTCTTAATCCTAGGTTCTAATTTGATTGCACTGTGGTCTGAGAGACTGTTTGTTATGAGTTCTATTCTTTTGCATTTGTTGAGGACTGTTTTACTTCCAATTATGTGGTCAATTTTAGAATATGTGTTATGTGGTGCCAAGAAGAATGTATGTTCTGTTGATCTGGGGTGGAGAGATCTGTAGATGTCTATTAAGTCCACTTGGTTCAGAGCTGAGTTCAAGTCCTGAATATCCTCATTAATTTTCTGTCTCATTTGTCTGTCTAATATTGACAGTGGGGCATTAAAGTCTCCCACTATTATTGTGTGGGAGTCTAAGTCTCTTTGTAGGTCTCTAAGAACTTGTTTTATGTATCTGGGTGCTCCTGTATTGGGTGCATATATATTTAGGATAGTTAGTTCTTCTTGTTGCATTGATCCCTTAATCATATGTAATGTCCTTCTGTGTCTTTTTTGATCTTTGTTGGTTTAAAGTGTGTTTCATCAGAGACTAGGATTGCAACCTCTGCTTTTTTTGCTTTCCATTTGCTTGGTAAATAATCCTCCATCCCTTTATTTTGAGCCTATGTGTGTTTGAGCACATGAGATGGGTCACCTGAATACAGCACACCAATGGGTCTTGACTCCTTATCCAACTTGGCAGGCCCTTTTTTTATGTGATGAAAGTTTTGGTGCTTGTTACTCAGTGAGTGGTGGCTAGGAGTTGGCATAACTGAATTTAATGAACAGGGAAATTATTGCTGTTATAGGCATATGGGTCCCTATACAGATGGTAAAAACCACTACGTGATTTATATGGCAAATTCACCCAGAAATTTTTCTACTCTATTATTAGAAACTCATTATTTACTAGATAGGTTATCACAGATTGTGAGACACTATAACAAAGTCTTGATGGATGTTTTTACTAAATACTGTATGTGTGCATGTGTGTATATTTGTGCATGATGTAATATACAAAAAAAAGGTAGGCATGTGACCATTAAGAGGCCTGAGAGGAAGAAAGGGGAAAACCAGAAAGAATCAAAACATGTAACTTTATGAATTACAAGGTATTTCATTGTGTTCATCTCTAATAAAGAAGGGCTTCATTCTGATCCTGAGTTTGGTTCACCTCAATCAGTAGCAGCAATTTCTACTGGTATCTGGCCCACAGAGACAAGAAAGCTGTAATTTTTCATATTTCTCCTCCTTCATGAAGGGTGCCACATAGAGGGAGCTTCTTATATAAAAGGATCGATATTTAGAGGGCACTTTCTTTTTAGAGAGGTTGAGATCAACCTAAGCCAAGTATGTCTGAGATATAACTTTTTCTCATGGGATACCTTATTGTTTCAACTGAAATACATTTTTCCCTTGGAATGAACAAACTTTGCTCATGAGAAAACTGTCCAAGATGAAGACAGAAAATGTGTGGCCTTAGGAAATGCTACAGCTCTACAGCTGGTGCAGAAAATTCCATTTGGGATATTTGGTCCAATTCGGCATCACAATTCCAACATCATCTACTTGTGGACACTACAAGTGTAAATATATCTGTTGCTTATTTATGAAGCCTAAATTTAAAATAAGAAAACACAGAAGGTTTGGTCTGATAATTTTCTGAAATGAAGAATCTATTTTTAAAATCTTTACTGGAGGTCATACCCTGTTCTTGATCTCATTTAAACTGGTAGGAAATAATTTTTTTCCCTCTGAAACCATTCTACTCCCAACCCTTGCCTTTAGAAAATGCTTCTCTTTCTCTTTGATTGATGTGCACACTCATTCATTTGCTCCACATCCCCCCACACAAGCCTTTTCGTGATTGAAAGGGGGCTTGAGTGACAGCTATGACCTGGGCTTCAGGCCTTCTGTTCCTGCTTTATAGATGGGGCTTGTCAACTGCCTGACACGTGCAATTTGTTTCCCGAGCACCTTAATTTCCAGCTTTTTATTTTTGCTGAAATTATTTTATTTTGGATCGTTCTCTTGTCCTCTTTAAATATTTTGTTTTTTTGTATAACTTAGTGATGGCACACTTTTGTTAATTTCTACTGAGTTGTAGGGTGGCAATATACTCCTATACTTTTAACGACATTTTTTATTATAAAATAATAAAAATGTATGGCTTTCTTAAAAAAGGGTAGCAAAGATTATAAAATAAAATGTAAAAGTTCACATCTCTACCCCGTATTCCTTTAATCAGAGGCAACTGTAGCAAATTACACTTATATATATTTTATATATATATATATATATACACACACACACATACACTTTTTAATTATAAGAATAAACATGCTCATTATTCTTTTCTGTTTGGTAACCTAATAACCTTCTATTAGTGGACATATATTTATGTCAGTAAATAAATGAACTATCAATTCCTAGAAGTGTAATTGCAGTGTCAGGTATATCTGCATTTAAAAGTTTGGAAGATCCTGACAGATAGCTTCCTAACACTAATCTATGCTCTATCAAAAGTTTATGACAGGGTTGTTTTTTCCACTTCCTAACAAACAAATGTGTACTGGTAATCTTTGTAACTGTAGTGAATGAAAACGGCATTTTGCAGTTTTAATTTGCCTTTGCTTAATTTTTAGTGACATTAAAAATCTTTCTATATACTTATTGACCGTATGTGTTTATTTCCCTATAAAATAGATTTTTGTATCCTTTGTTCACTATTCTCTTTTTGATCATTTTTGAATTGATTTGTGAGACCTTCTTTTATACTACAGAAATTAGGCCTTTGTCATAATGGTTGCCGTTTTTTGTTAAATTGTAATGCTTAAATAAAAACTTTGTGTATGGTGTTATTCTCAGATCATTTTTTTTTTAAATTTTGACATGACAAATCTTCCTTTAGAGTTTCTGAGTTTTATATTGTACCTAGAAAACTTCCCCCATTCAAAAAATATGAATACATTTCCCATTATTGGTCTCTGGGTCTCTAATGGCTTGCTTCCCTTTTCTCCTTTCCTTCCTTTCTCCTTCCTTCATTTCCTTCTAATATTTAAATATTTATCTCACTTGGAATATATTTTGACATAAGAAGTAAGACAGGGATTCATTCCATTAAAATGACACAATATCAATTTTTAAAGATAAATTATTTGGCCTGTACTTTTAAAAATGGATTTTTGTCTTAGTCATCTTGGGATGCAATAACAAAATATCATAGACTTGGTGGCTTAAACAACAGGAATTTATTTCTTACAGTTGTGGAGGCTAGAAGTCTGAGCTAAGTGTGGCAGCCTGGTTGGGTTCTGGTGAAGGCTCTCTTCTTGGCTTGCAGACAACCACTTTTTTGCTGTGTTATGGTCTCTTCCTTTTTTATAAGGACAGTAATTCCATTATGCGGGCCTTACCCTATGACCTCATCTAAACCTAATTATCTCCCAAAGGCCCTATCCTATTGGAAATTAGGGCTTCAACATAAGATTTTTCGGGAAACACCAACATTCAGTCTGTATTCATTTCTAAGAGGTATTAAATCAAAGTTATCAGATATGTTCAAGCAGAAAAAAGGCCTTATTTCATCCCTTCAAAATCTATTGGTCACATATTGTATCCCAGTCAAGATGCTCCAAAAATTAATCTGCCACTTCCCTTTGACAAGTAACTCCTGGTCTTTGTGGCAACACAAAATCTACCAACAATTGCAACACAGTGTGTTAACAAGTAGAACAAAGCCATGCATTCATTCAGCAATCAACTTGACAAGGTGCCTGTGGAGAGGGGCACTTGGAACTTCGTCCTATGGTATTAGGAAGGGCCCTCCTGGAGTCGTTTCTCTTCTGAGCCTTGAGGAATGTCTAGGATGATCTTTTCAGGGTACAACATGCCCAGCATAATGACTGGAGAAGACTTAAGTGAATATGCTTTTGCCCCAACTTATGATTATTCTAGCCACGAAGTAAATGTCACATGTAAATACTGCTGGACACAGGAAGGAATGTTACAAAATCTAGTGGTTATCGGGAGTTCACAAGCTTATCTGCAGGAAAGATTTCTATTAAACATGAACTAAAAATAAAACTTGAGGGGCTTTCGAATTTCCTATTGGAACGTATTATCACTCCTTTTCAAAGGTTCCTAGTTAAAAAAAATATTTCCAGGAATAATGATGGATAATTAAGAAAAACAAATTTCTGTTCTGCAGGGTATGATAGGGTCCAATTCTGTCTGAGAAACTAGCGAGCCATATAAATATTGTATCTGGGTCAACAAACAGCTGTTCAAAAATATCTGTGGCATTTGCTGTTTACTTTGATTGCCTTGGATAATAGTCACTAGGCAACAGGACGGTTTGCTCTTTCGTGCATGGCGGCCGTTAGTTAAGTTGTTATATAACATGCCAAGACCTGCCGTCCATCACTGAGACCGACTGAGATGAACGGTCATGCAGGGAAGTGTGGATGCAGAGCCTTCAGCTGAGGGTACTTTGCATTCTCCAGAGCCTTCCACAAATATATTAGTAACGTTACTCATTTACTCTGATTAAGATGAGTTATGGCAGATTAAAGGGAAATAACCTATAAGTTTTTAAAGCTGAATATGTGTCTTACCTACGTCTGCAAATGTCTGGGGAAAGTAACATGTGAATGTCTTAGAAACCATATTTTTTTCTGCTACATTATAATATGTATGAATCTAGTAATCAGAAAAATCCTGGCAGGGCAGAAGGCAGTATTTTTTAAAAAAATTTTCATTGAAAATAAGCTTTTAAAAAAATCCAGCAGTCACAAGTATACAGCTTAATGAATTTCACAAACTGAATACACCTTTATAACTGGCACTCAGTTCAAGAAACAAAATGTGACCCTCATGGGAACAGTTCCAACCACACCGCAGGCTTGGGGGTGGGGATATTTCATGGCGAGGCAAAGGGAGCACAGAATAAAAGAAGTTAAGGACTCCCAGCCCAGAAAAGAGTCTTTCCATCTCTTCTCCTTAAAAGACAGAAATGCTCACAATATTCACAAAAGAACACAGAGAGGGTGAAAGTGTTTCCGGCCATTCCTGGGGGACACAATTGCAGAACTGGAGCACCTCATTTTGAGCGCTTGCGTGTACTCTGCTCAAGAAACACCGACAACTGATGAACCTGTCTCCCAAAAACCACAATTAGAGCATCTTGAAGCAGATTGAGAATGCTGCACAATTAATATCACAATAGAGGACAACTCAAGAAATGACTGGTCCAATGTGAGTACTGGCCCATGTGTCTGGCAGGTAGAAGCAGATCAGCAGAGCAGGATGAGAACAGCAAGAAAGGAAACAGAGGAGACCCTTTCCAGAAGAGTATTCCAGGGCCCTAAAAAGGAGAAATTGTTGGTCCATTAAATACACACACACACACACAAAGACCAAAAATCACACTGTCATCCTATTACTGTATTTTGTGTATATATTTTTGCTTCATGTATTTACAGGAACTAGTCATTTTGTAATATAAGTTCTTTTTTTAATAGTCTTTTCTTTCAAACGTTCAAAATGTTTTTAAGTTTTCAAAAAGCAGCTTTTGTGCTGCTTTTTAAAGTCCTCTATGAAAAATGGTTTCTAGCTGTATTAGGGTTCTCCAGAGGGACAGAACTAATGGAATAGAAGTATATATATATAAAGGGGAGTTTTTTCAGTATTGACTCACAGGATCACAAGGTCCCACAATAGGCTGGCTGTCTGCAGGCTGAGGAGTAAGGAGAGCTAGTCCGAGTTCCAAAACTGAAGAACCTGGAGTCCGATGTTCGAGGGCAGGGAGCTTCCAGCATGGGACAAAGATGTAGGCTGGGAGGCTAGGCCAGTCTCTCTTTTCACATTTTTCTGCCTGCTTATATTCTAGCCGTGCTGGCAGCTGATTAGATTGTGCTCCCCCAGATTAAGGGTGGGTCTGCCTTTCCCAGCCCACTGACTCAAATGTTAATTTCCTTTGGCAATACCCTCACAGACACACCCAGGATCAATACTTTGTATCCTTCAGTCCAATCAAGTTGACACTCAGTATTAACCATCATACCAGCATTGCTTGGAAGTGATATTTGAGCCAGGTAGGCCTACCCATCAGATACCTACAGTAAAGAATATGGAAGTAAAATGTGGATACGTAAAATTACCCCTGCACCTAGTATGAAAATAGTCTCTTCTTGTTTGTACATATGGATTGTTTACATAATAAAGTTTAATGCCAGCTTTATTAGATTAAATCTATTTATTTATTTAGTCTCTGTAGAACAATGTGTTCTTTAGTACAGTAGACAAAGACATCAATATAAGAGCTATGCTGATAGAGCGAATCAAAGCTCTGCATCAGAGAGAATATTTGAATCAGGCAAACACTTAATGTATGAAGGAAAATGTGGTCATTGTTTTCTTAATTCTGTTACTCATACAAAGCAAGAAGTACATTTATGATTTAACCAAAGCAGTATTTAGTTAAAAGATGCTATTCCACATATTAAACTACTCAAAACAAGCTTTTATTTTGTTATTAGTGTTTGGTTACATTAAGAATTTATTACTATCATTTAGAACATAATTACACTTTAGAGATAAGGAATTTTACTATACGTTAGAGTAGAAACCTTAATTATCTATACTAAGAAGTCCTGATGAAATTATATGTTAAAGCAATAATTACAGTACTAAGGAATCTAGTACCCAATGTTCTTTAGAATTCTAATCTGTACTGTTAGTTAAAACAACAATATATTTTAAGACATTTGGGTAAAAAGTACACTCTTGAATAACAAGGATTTTTAGAATGAGTTTATTGGGGTCAAAGGAATAAATTTAAGATTACAACATTAATAAATATACATTGCATATTTATAAATCAAGTACAATATACTAAGTACTTCTTTGGTTTATTGAAGTGAATTCAAATATTTATAAATCTGTATAATCCATAGAGATGTTAAGGAAAACAAATGCCTTAAAAATGTCAGACTTAAGAACATCCAGTTTAGCTTGACACTTGGCTTCATTCAAGCTTCATTGTTAAAGTTGATTGTGGTTTCCTATCAGTTTTGTTCTTTGCTCTTCTTTCTGTCTTCCTTTTCCCTTCCTTTTTCCCTCCCTCCCCCTCTCTCTCCCCCATATCCCCACTTTCTTTCTTTCTTGACAATTTTTTATCTGTTCAATATTTTCAGCATCTTGTGGTTCCAGGGAAAAATGATTCATGCATCTGTTTCTCAGTATTTCAGTCTCACAGATCAGAGTGTATGGTTCTATGTTTGTGAAGAAATAAAAGTCTATAAGAACAAGAATCTATTCCATTTACAACTTTACATGAGTAAAAGAAGTTTCAAAACCAAGCCTACCAAGTCCCAAATTGCAATACATCAGCTGAGGAGTTCTTGGCTACTACAGCTTTTTGTAAAACACAAATAGTACAAAAATCTGTGGTATACCAACCTTGTTTAAGATGTCTAGCAATTCTCCTTGCCTTGGATCTAAATATATATGTGAAGTCCACGTTCACCTCAGTGTGTGACTAGGGAAATTTCCACATGAGAGGAGGTTTTTCTTTGATTTAGGTATCTTCAAAATATAATAGAAAATTGTTCTTTAAATCATAAATTATCTTTAAAAGAAGAGTGTTCTTTAAACTACTAATTAAGACACCTTTCATTCAGATTGACTAAGAACTCCCACCTAGAAGACAGTAGAGTGTAACAGCTAGGGCAAAATTAGGAATACCACCTCACTGGAAACAGTGATGAAATAAGGCATTATATTAGGTTGGTGCAAAAGTAATTGCGGTTTTGCCATAAAATTAACGGTTAAACCTGATTCACCATGGGCTATCATCCATCAGAGCTGGATTTAAATTCCATGTCCTCCTCAGAGCCGCGTCTGATCTACCAAAATCAATTCCTCCCACCCTTATAATTCTAGCTGCTTTCTCTTACAGGCATTGTTACATTTTGCCCTCTGTTAAAAAATTATTTTATTCATCTCTGAATCCTCAGTATATGAGTGAGCATGAGAGGCAAAGTCGTCAATATAAGCATAAAGGGTCAGGGTTGCTGGAGGGACAGTGACCCTGCACACTCTGGTGCACACTTGCAGGTTGGAGGCGGCCCTCTGGGCCCTGAACTAAGAAACCTAGAGAGTCCCAAATTTGAGAAGAGGTTTTCCGGAGGTATTTGCTTTTCATTTACGCCCCTTTTCAGAAGTCTTGCTAATTTCAAGCAGTGTACTTTATAGTTTCTTGTGAAAATATTTTCTCAGTAGTATTTTCTGTCATTAGTCCAAGTAAGATTAATTAAAATACATGCATGTTTGGCCTTGTTAAGCAGTTTTGAGACAGATTATTCTAAGATTAAATCTGTCATGTTTAAAGCAAGATCACAGATAGAAATTGTATACTTTATTGATCAACTGTATAGTGTGTTAATATGGCTTTTAATTGATCCTTCTGAAAAAGGGAGGTTACCAGAAAGAAAACATTATAGTTATTCTTATCACCCTCTTCCCCATCCCATGAAGTTTTAGTGGGATCTTTGAATCACAAGTTGTCATGGATTCAGTTCTTTTAATTTTTAAATTTGCCACACATGCCTTTCAATGATTGACATCCCATCGCTCATTACAGGATGGCTACCAAGTCTGGAAACATGGATAAATTCACAATTGATGAATTATTGATATTACATTAAGATATGTGATAAATAATACACATTTATTTCTAGACTTTGTGGTCACCCTCTATAATGAATATTTTTCCAAGTATAATAAACACATTGTTCAAACTGTTCTTAAATCCAATTATAGTTCTTCAAGACATGTATTTATTTTCTGCTACTACTTTTGCAAATGTCACAGGTGTAATATGTGTTTTTTAAAATTAAAGTGAGCATTTTGATACACATTTAAACTAAGGCTTATTTTTTCCTGAATACTAAAGTAACACATGCCTATTGTGAGGAAATTAAAAAATATAAGAATGTACGAAGAAGGGGGACTGTCTTGTATAGTGAATTACCAAGTAATAATCATCACTTGTGTAAGTATAGTTACAGTATTTTTCTATGGGTATATTTTTTCATATTTAGGATTATATTTTTATAAAATGTATACACTTTTTCTTGATAATATGTCATAAATATGTTTCCTTATAATTAAAATACTTTGCAGGTATACTTTTAAATTCTTACATAGTTGTACACAATATAGGATATGTATATTTCATAATCAATTTAAATATTCCTCTATTTTTGAACATCTAGGTTGGTTCGGACATTTTACTCTTATAAAGAACATAGCAATAATGATCTTTGTATGTAAAACTTTCCTGGTCTAAAGCATGTACATATTTTTAAGGCTCCAAGTAAAAAATGCCAATGCATTTTTTTTTTAGCAAGATGGGACTAATTTATAATTCTACTAATTCTAATACTGAGAGTACTAACATAATACTACTAATACTAATGCCAAGAATAAATGATATTTATATTAAAAATAATATATTTATAAAATAGTGTCAATTTATTAAAAGAAAGATAACACCTTGTCAGTTTAATTGATAGGTTGAACACTTTTTTCTTAAATGTACTTGCTACTTATATTTCCTTACCTGTGAATTTCTTGCTCATGTCTTTTGTATAATGATATTTTGGTGGTCATTTATCAATTTAAATTAAGAATGCAACCCTTTGCAATATTCATCATAAATATTTACTCAGTTTTATATGTTTCTTAATTTTTGAATGACACTTTTTAGATACATATATTTTACATTTTTAGGAAAGCAAATACAGTGATTATTTTCCTTTCTGATACCTTCCAATGCTTTCAAGTTTAGAGAGTCCTCCTGATCGAGAGATCAGATCTTCGTCTTTTAAAAAATTAAGTTAAATTAGAATTTACACAGAACTGTTCACTCTCCCATAACTTAATTTGGAATGTGTTTTTAAATAAGATTTGGAAACTTAAATAAAGTCTTTGAGCTTAAGTAAAAAATAATATGTAATGATAAATTTCTGATAGCGCTTGATGATTCTGATCAAATGATCAAATTCATCTAGCCAAATTTGCATTGTCTATTTTAGACTTTAAGGACCAAATTATGTCCATATTCTATAGATCTTTAGAAGTAGAATGAGTTTTGAAGAAAAGTAACTGCGAGGGCAGTTATTAGGTGCTCTGTCTGAGTCCCGTTTCTAAGCTTGTTTGCAGCTATTGCACTTGATTTTAGAGTGAAGCTCTGTAGTTATTATTGGGCAAGCTGAACTAACGCAGTGGTGAGTCAATGGTCACTGTTCTTGCAGACATGAAATGAAGCTTAATTTTCTGAAGAAGCCACTGTCACTGATGTGAAATGGCATTCTAGTGACATTTTCTTCTCAGAAGTTAGTGCTGCTGCCTGTGTTCTGAAATTTAATCTGAGGCCCAGTGGGCAAGTGCTCCGACAGGAGTTAAGAATAATGAGTCATCCCAAGTGCCAACATCTGTTTCAAGTTGGAAATTGATGCACTGTTATTTAAAAACAGGGCTTCTGGCTTTTCACAAATGAACAATTAGCATCTCACTGCTTTAAGAATTTGAAAAATGTTTTTATTTTGCCATCTTATAACTGACTATATAGTGGTGAAATTCTCAAAATTATTTTGAATTTGTGGGAAGAACATTAACGTTATTTGCTTTCTGAATCATTTTTCCCTGGAAATTGAAATTAATTTAAAGGAAATTGTATAGGTCCAGGCACATTTTCAATGAGTGTCACTGAAGATGACAGTTTTATGTGACTAAATTTATGACTCTATGACTCAGACCAGGAGTTGTTTCTTTGGTTGGTAAGGCTAAGTCCCAACCTCAGACCCTCTGGGGCCGAGGTTATAGAATGACTATTGTACAGATGGAACAAGAGTGGGAAATAGTCCCAGGCAGGGAATGGCATCTCCATTTCATGATGAACTTCCTGTCACATTTTATTTCCCAGGTAAGTGGCAGTAATCATAACACTTTAATGAAGAAAATAAACCTTAGGCATGGAAAGATTCCAAATATTTGTATAAAAAGTGAAATGTCTACTTAATTACCCAACCACTTTTAAATAGTCAGGTTTGAGGTATTATGCAGATGAAATGTTTGAATTAATCTCTTTGTTTTTATGTGCCTGTAGTCTTAACATGGCAGATTAATAAATATTTTTATTGATTCTATTCTTGATTGACAACTTATTATTTTCATAAATATGGATTAACTGTGAGAAAACCGAACTACTGATAACTTCAGATAATGAGTTCTGTTTATTATCTTCAGCACTCCCTATCACTCACTTTACCTATTCCACTGTAAATATCTTAAGAATATTCTCAGGGGCCGGTCACGGTGGCTCACACCTGAAATCCCAGCACTTTGGGAGGCCAAGGCAGGTGAATTGCTTGAGCCCAGGAGTTTGAGACAAGCCTGGGCAACATAGTGAAAACCCACCTCTGTGAAAAATACAAAAATTAACAGAGTGTGGTGGTGCACACCTGTAGTCCCAGCTACTTGGCAGGCTGACTTGGGAGGATTGCTTGAGCCTGGGAGGTGGAGGTTGCAGTAAGCTGAGTGACAGAGCAAGACCCCATATCAAAAAAAAAAAAAAAAAAAAAAAAAAAGAATATTCTTAGAAATCTAGTTTGTAGAGAGAAAAATTCTAAAGCTCCAAAATAATTATCAACTTCGCTATCTAACTTCAATTACTGTAAAATCTATTTTATTAATTACTGGTTAAATTTGCTCTAAATTATTCTAAACAAAGGATTTCAATACTAGCAGCTGTGAATTAAGCTTCAGGATCTAGAATTCATTTCAAGATGTGTATATGCTTGTTTGTGCACATTGTACCTTTTTCCTTTCACTCATTTACAGGTATTAAATTCCCTAAGGATGTTCCAGAGAAGTTTCCATTATTCTTTCAGCAGTTAGAGAACTGCTTCCAGCTGAGCACCAGCTTATCCCACCAGCAGGAAAAAGTTTGTTCTTCCTATTATTCTAGCCGTTCACTCATCAATCTTGCTTTAGCAACTTGTTGGGCATGAAAAATTGGTTAGATGAAAGTATTCTCTTGCTTTTGGTATATTTGTTGTCTTACAGGCAGCAATAACAATGACAACAATAAACAGAAAACTAGAGAATTTTGAATATATGCTCTCTCAGGAAAAGTCTGAAAGAAAAAACAGTTATTTTTGGTGTGTTTTAAGAAGCAGCAGCGAGTGTTAACCTTAATAACAAGCAGAGAGACGCTCTATAAAAGAAAATATTTATTTTCTTGAAATAGGGCATTGCAAAGGGAATATGTGTGCCACAGTAAACTATGTGCGTATTCAGGAAGGTAAAAGAAGACCAGGATTTTTAAAAGAAAAATGATAAAGTTTACATAATTGTTTTAAGGTAATTATCCTTGGCTAAAAAAGTCAATAACCTTGCTGGTCTGAGGTTGGACAGGTAGTTGCTGGGCAGATGTCCTTGCAGAAGTATATTTTTGTGTAAAGTTGCCATGGCCTTTGTGCAAAGTTGTGGTTTTGCAGCGTCTTTTGTGATAGTTCTTGCTATTAGTCATTTATGCATGAGAACCCTTCCTTCGTGGACTTTCCCAGCTCTATTTGCCAGAATTTTAAACACAATTTACTCCATTTTGACTCTGACAATGTTCACAGGAGTGTGGGCATTGAAGCAGACTAATACTCTAATTTTTCTAGGTTCAAGATTGAATTTAAATTGACTTAAAATATAAAAATGAAATTATCATTTTTGGGGGATCTGTACAAAAATGCTATTTGTTTCTTTCAAAGGATACTTGGAAAATAAATCTGAAAGTCAACATTTATAGATTTTTCTATAGCTAGTGGAATTATCTGTTTGCAATCCAAACATCTCTGGGGAATTAAAGAAATTAAGGAAACAACCCCATTTACAATGGCTATAGAAAGGACTCAGGAAATGACTTAGCCAAGGAGGTGGAAGACTTGTACATTGAAATTTAGAAAACAATGATGAAAGAAGTTAAAGCAGACACAAATAAATGTAAAGATATCCCATGTTCATGGATTGGAAGAATTAATGTTAAAATGTCTGCACTACTCAAAGTGATTTATAGATTCAATGCAATCTCTATTAAAATCCCAATGGCATTTTTCAAACAAATAGGAAAACAATCCTAAAATTCATATGGAACACATGACCCTAAATAGAGGGATTTCCAGCAAGAAGGGCAAAGTTGGACGTATTGTACTTCCTGACTTCAAAATATATCCCAACACTATAGTAATCAAAACAATATGGTACTGGCATAAAAAAAAAACCAGACAAATAGATCAATTGGAACAGAATAGGAAACTCAGAAATAAAATCAAGCATATAACATCAACTGATTTTCAACAAGGGTGCCAAAAATACACAATAAGGAAAGGATAGTCCCTTCAATAATTACTGTTGGAAAAACTGGATAAACACATGCAAAAGAATGAAATTGGACTTACAGCATGCACAAAACTCATGTTGGATTAAATGGATTAAAGACTTAAACATAAGACCTGAAACTGCAAAGCTATTAAAAGAAAACATAAGAGAAAATCTCCATGACATTGGTCTTGGCAATGGTTTCTTGAATATGACACTAAAAACAGACAAGGAGGACTACATCAAACTAAAAACCTTCTTCACAACAAAGGAAATATGGAAAATGGAAAGGCAACCTACAGAATGGGATAAAATATTTGCAATCATATATCTGAAAAAGGATTAATATCCAAATATATAAGAAAGTCGAACTCAATAGCAAAGATAAAAGTAATCCAATTAAAAATGGGCAAAAGATCTGAATAGGCATTTCTCCGGAGGAGAAATGACCAGCAGGTATAGGAAAAAATGCTTAACACTACTGATCAGGAAAATGTAAATCAAAACCACAGTGAGATATCACCACACATATGTTATGACTGCTATTATAAACAACAACCCCCCCCCCCAAAAAAAAAACCCAAAAGATAACAAGTGTTAGTGACTATGTGGTAAAAAGGGAAATCCTTATATACTATTGGCGGGAATATATATTGGTGCAACCATTACAGAAACAGTATGGAGATTCCCTGGGGAAAAAAAAACTGCCATGTAGCAATCTCACTTCTGGGAATATACTCAAAGGAATTGAAATCAGATTCTCAAAGAGATAATTGCATTCCCATGTTCATGGCAGCATTATTCCCAGTAGCAAGATATAGAAACAACCTTAATGTCCAAGCAGACACATGAATAAAGAAAATGTGATATTTACATAAAATGACATATTTTTTAGTCTTAAGAAAATCTTGCTATCTGCAACAACATGGATGAACCTAGAGGACATTATACTAAGTGAAATAAGCCAGGCACAGAAGGACAAATGCTACATGATATCACTTATATGAGGAATCTAAAATAGTCAAACTCATAGAACAGAGAGTAGAATGGTGGTTTCCAGAGGTCATGGAGAGAGGGAAATGGGGAGATTTTAGTCATAGGGCACAAAGTTTCAGCTATGCAAGATGAGTAAGTCCTAGAGATATACTGAATAGTATAATGCCTATAGTTAAGAATACTTTATTGTACATGTAAAAATTTTCTAGGAGAGTAGATTCTACATTAAATGTTCTTATAAAAATATATACAGACAGACATATATACATGCATACAAACTTTTGGAGATGATGGCTATGTTCACAGCATAGATTGTGATGACAGTTTCATAGCTGTATGTTATCTCTAAACCCATCAGGTTTATTCATTAAACATGTACAACTTTTTGTGTATCAACCATACTTTAATAAAGTGGTTTAAAAACTACAACAGCTGGTTTTCATTTATTATATATTTGTGTTTAGCAAAGTAATAATAAATTTGTGTCAAACACAAATATATAATGAATGAAAGCCAGCTAAATTGTAGTAATGTAAGAAAAAGTTAAGGGAAAATACTAGAATTCTATAGTCCTTTCTATGAAACCTTTGGAGCAGATGCATTCAGATATTGGAAAGACACTGTGGTGCATATACTGTGTACTATGTTCCACCCTTAGTAGTTTCTACAGCAATGTTCTTTATCACTTTACTGTTTCTGCAGCAAAACCTGTAAGCATTCATGCTAAATGAAATAAAATAAAGTTATAAATAGTATACATTAGTTCAGGTTAAGTTTTACCACCCAAAGATTGGAGATAAAAAACAACAATCTTACAGATCTCTCAGAGCTTTGGATTTAAGAATTCTCAACATGGTGTTATAAATGGTATAAGACAACATATATGCACAGCTTGGTTGATGATGCTTGTACTAACAGGATCAATGACAGAAAATGTATACACCAGCAAGTGAAAATTATATTAGCTCTCTCTTACAGTGTGTCTCTAACTTTCTATTAGTTGTTTCTCATACGTTCCATCTAACCCTCAAAGCAGCTTTGCACATTTGGAATAATTTATCTCATTTTGTAAATAAGGAGGCCGAGGATCAGAGAAGTCAAGTAATTTGCTCAAGGTCAGATAAATCAGACAGATTCAAAGACAAGTTTTTCAAATTTCAGAAGCCTTTGCTCTTTCTATAGCATAATAATAAGCTAGTGAAAGAAGGCATATTCCCTGAATCAGCTGAGAAACAGGATCCTAAAACAGGTTTTCAGATGCTTGCTACCAGGCTAGATATTTTTCTGTCTGTTAAAAATCTCATGAACGACTATTTCTTTATGGTAGATATTAACAGAATAATCTCAACCTATATACAAAGAAATAAAGTCATTACGTGGCTCTAACATAGGTATTCAAACAAGTGAAAGATGTTCAAGCCATACCATCTCAGAAGGACGAGTTTAAGCATCTTAAAGGCATCGGGTATCTCTAAGCACTAGCAGAAGTTCAGATAATGATACTCAAATTACTTGCCAGAAAAACTGATAACTAATTAATAGGTGATTTTAATGGCTTTAAGCAATGATTTATTTTAAAGTATTTAGTCCTCTATTAATAAAAATAAAATTATTTAATGCAAATGTTTGCAGCTTAATAGCTCCTATAACTCTAGTCTTGTTTTCTGTTTTTCCATGGGATTAAGCACATGACTCATCTATTTTGGCACTTAGTTCTAAGTTGTATACTTCTCTATTTTATGAGAATGTAATTTGTCTTCTTGGTTAGATTGCAATCTTTCAGAGGCTAAGAATTTCATGATGTGCTCTCTTTAAATTCCAGTGACCCTAGGCTGGGCGTGTGGTCTGTATTTAATATGTAAAAATAATTAAATCTGATCCAGCCATTTTGGTAAAGATCACGTTTTTAAACATTAGGTAAACAGTAGGGTTTCTTCTTTTTACAAATGTGTTCTTGAATGACTCAGATTTTGAAATGAAATCTCAACCTCACACCCTGGCATACATATCAAAGAGTTCTGGTTGCTTGGTGTTGCTTTAAAGCTGAGTTTGATCATATCAAGAACAATTTATGAAGCCTTCTTCTTATCACCTTTCTGACAAGTACAATAGTTATGCTTTGAATTTACTTTATTAAATGCTTATGAAGATTTTCTTTTTAGAGTGCCTCATCTTAAAATAAGAATAAGAAAACCTTAATAATCTTCCATGATCAGAGTATTTTACAAAATGCAGCGCCATTGCATGGAACAGAATTGCTGCCTATGCTAAAACAAATCTTGTGGATATATGAGCATTAACTCTAGCCTGCTGTAGATGAAAAAGTTAAATTTGATGAATCTTTCTCTTGAAGGCTGTTCCAAGCTAACAGGTAAATCTTAATGGAGAATCGGTGACATGAACAGTGAAACAAGTGGTGTTTCAGGCTTCCTAAACAACTGAATTATTTAGATGTTTTCTAATATAAAATTGTTACTGCATTTCTATTTCTGAATCCCCTGCCAGGAATATCGTCATCCTAAAGTATTCTTTGAAAAGAGCTGAATGATTCCCTCCAGGTGTTACAGCCCAAGGCAACTGGAATGAGGGAGTCTCCTTATTTAGAGTAGATACCCGATTAGTCCAAATGGGTAGCACCCACCACTGACTGAGTCCTTGTGGTGTTCTAGCTCCCATGTCACACAATTTTTGCCTTATCTCATTTAATCCTTACCATAGTCCTCCAGTGTCATTAGCCTGTTGTTATTGATGATGTGATGAAGGCTCACTGCTGCTCATCAACAAGCTGCAGACTTTCAAAGGCAAGTGTTCTTAGAGGAAAGAAATTTTAATTCTAATATGACAACTTTAATTGCTAAAAAATTTTGCATGTTTTACAGGAAAAAGAAAGTTTGCTCATGAAGGGATCTAAAATCTATCAACATATATTAAATGGAACAAATTTTATAAAAACTTGGTCATTTAAAATATTTTCTCTATCTTATTAAGGAAAGTGTTTCTGTTTTAATAATTGTCTTTTCATGAAAATTTGAGCAGCTTCTGTAATATTGATTTTAGTCCAGTTTCTGTGTTCCTGGACCGAACTGAGGGTTGGGCTGCTTAATCTCGCTGCCCAGTAACGAGATGCAGATGAACTGGGAAAGAAGAGAGCTTATTTCTATAACCGGGTACAGGGAGAAGGCCGGGAAAATATCACCAGATCAACTCAAAATTACAAAGTTTTCCAGAGCGCTATACGTGCTATGTGTGAGTGTGCATTCACCTAAAGACGTAAGTGATTAACTTCTTCGAGTCTATAACTAAGGTCTAAGTCCTGAAGACCTTCCTCTGGAGTCTCAGTGAATTTACTTAATCTAGATGGGTGCAGGCACCAGGGGTGATTACCCTTATCTTGTTTCCTGCTAAATCAGGGAGGTCTGGGGAGTGCCTTTAGGCCTCCCATAAACTTGTCTGTGGAGGTCTGGGGAGTTTCTTCAGACCCCCAATAAAACTTGTTTAATCCTAAACAGGTCCTGTTAAGAATTCCTTCGTTATCTTGTCATGCTTCAAGGCCCAGGAAAGGCCTAGGCAAGACTCTTGGTGGGCTTTTGTTACATCCCAGCCTTTGTATAAGGACACTGGCTCCCTCAGCTTTTAATATTTAATGTAACCATTCAGTCAGAGCTGAAACAGTTGTCATGGAGGCCTACCTGTTCTGCTGTTAATGAGACCTGGCTTGCCACACCTGAAGTAGATATAGCCTCTTAAAATTTGTTGAATAAAAATAGACTGGGAGCAGTGGCACACGCCTGTAATCCCAGCACTTTGGGAGGCCGAGATGGGCAGATCATGAGGTCAGGAGTTTGAGACCAGTCTGGCCAACATAGTGAAACCTCATCTCTACTAAAAATACAAAAAATCAGCTGGCTGTGGTGGCAGCTCCTGTAATCCCAGCTACTTGGGAGGCTGAGGCAGGAGAATTGCTTGAACCCAGGAACCCAGAAGGCGGAAGTTGCAGTGAGCTGAGATCGCGCCACTGCACTCCAGCCTGGATGACAGAGCAACACTCCGTCTCAAAAAAAAAAAAAATTCCCTTTCTTCCAGTTCCTATCAATCCATTCCCCTCACCAAGGTACCCACTGTGAACAGTTTTTTACCAATAAACTTACCCATTTTCTTGTACAATATTATTCATATATGTACACACAGAATAAGATATAATTTTACATTACTGACTCATACCAAATGGATTGTTCCATAACTAGATTTTTAAATTTAAAAATATATCTTGAATATATCTTCATGCCAGATTAAATGGGTCTATTTACTTTTTTTTTTTTAACTTATTCCAGTATGTTCCAAAGTGTGGGTGAACCATGGTTGATTTAACCATTCCTCTACTAATGAACAATCCATAGGTCGAATGTTTATGTTTCCTCCAAAATTTATGTTGAAACTTAATCTCCATTGAGGTGCTATTTAGAGATGAGGCCTCTGAGGAAGAGATTAAGTCATGAAGGCTTTGCCCTCATGAATGAATTAGTGCCTTATAAAAGAGCTGGGAATTAGTGAGGCCCTTTTGCCTGTGTGCCTTTGAGGACGCAGCATTCCTCCCTTTTGCCTTGCCACCTTCTGACACAGTGTTTGTGCCCTCCAGAGGACACAGCAACAAGTGTCATGCTGGAAGCAGAGAGGGCAGCCTTCCACCAGACACCAAACCTGCCAGCACCTTGATCTGGGACTTCTCAGCCTTCAGAATGGTGAAAAATAAATTTCTATTATTTATAAATTACCCAGTATATGGTATTTTATTATAATAGCACAAATGAACCAAGACAGACTTTTTTTAGTTGTTCCTAATTTTTGCCATTACAAGTAGTGCCGAAATGAACATTTATATATGTATATCTTGGTTCAAATATTGCTATAATATAAGCAACAGATATTTTGAGATCTCACACTGTATTTTAGAGTTTGATTTGGGCAGTTGGCAAAAATATAAAGAATAAAACATTTCCTACCCTCAAGGGATTTTAACTACATGGAAAGATAAGCTGCAAGCCTATAAAAAACAAAATAATAAAAACGTAGATAAAGATGATTCCAATATTTAGATTTAAGGGCAATCATGAGATATGATAAATTGCTAACTATGTTTTCCATTCATACAACAGTTATTCAAAATGAAAGTCACATTTCTTGCTCTCATATGCTTATAAGCCTAGAAGAGCACATGGAGAGATGGTTGTAGGGCAAAGTGGAATTCTGGAAGTATTCATAGGGTGCCTTTGGAGGCCCAGTGAAGAGAGTTCCTGGTGAGCCTGGGAAATGAGGGAAGGATTTGTTGAAGAGCTGACATAGGAGCCATGTCTTGAGGAGTAAGTGGGATTTAGCTGTACAGAGAAAAAGAAGACAAAATTTATTTAGAGATGTTCCCTTGTAAACAGACACGTCAGAGCATTACTTTCAGCTGGAAGGCCAAGAAAGGTTTTCTGGAGGTGGGTTTGAGTTGGATCTCTAAGGGATACAGGTCCAAAAGGACAGTGTAGAGTGAGGATGGCTCCAATGGAATGGCCTGAACAGAAGCAGTGGACAGTGGCAAGTATATCCAAAGAATACTGAATAATATAGTTTGGCTGCAGCAAAAGGTTTGTGTGAGGGAGTATAAGATCCAAGGAAGAGAAAGTGGATTAAGGCCACATCAGGAAGGCTTTTAATTTTTGGTTAATGCATTTGGACATTATCTTATAGGGCATGGGGAACACTTTGGGGGAAAAATATTTGGTAGCCATATTATAAAATTACGGTAGAACTCTGGAGAGTGGACTTGTGTTAAAAGTGGAAATGTATTATAATTACATGTCATTTCTTAGACTATTTAAAGCATTTTTTCTCATAGTTAAAAATTACATCATATTTTTAAGTGCTTATATACCTAGCACATTTTCAGAGTTGCTAATTCATTCCCTAATAAATCTAAAACTCCTCTCAATTGAGAAAGGAGTGGCATCTTCCTGTTTTCATCCCAAGAGGATTTCATGAGCTGCCATGTGGGAGGCAGAGCAGAGGAGGATAAAAGATTATAAGGAATTATGCTGGTTTGGGCCAGGAGGTGTGATGCAGGTGGTAGGACATGGTGAAAGAGGTATCTCTGGGGGAATGAAAAGAGCAGTGTCAAGGATGACTCCAATTGGGAATGAAAACACAGGAAAACAGGGGTAGAGATGGGCAGAGAGGCGGAGAGGCAAAGAGGATTACTCATTGATTTTATTAGTAACAGTGGCATACAGGTTTGTTCAATAGTGAGAATATTTGTTAGTTGAATTTATTCCTGTTTTCCTCAAAAAATGATACAGTAGGAAGGAGGACAAGACCTTGGAAATGCATGCCCACTCCCTGGCCCCAAGGCCCATAGCATTTCCCCTTATATCTCACTGGTGAGAAATGTCACATGGCCACACTCTGCAAGGGAGTCTGGGAAGTGTAGTTCAACCATGTGTCAGGGTACAATTCTTTTGCTGTAGAAGACTCTAAGGAGCACATTTTGGTGGACATCTGGAAGTATCTGTTTTCTAAATACATTATTCACTCATTACATTGAGGGCTGATTATGTCAAGGTCTGGCTATATTCTGGGGAGTCTATGAAATAACTATCAGATATTATATGCATATGGCAATAAAAATTTGAGAACTGATACTTTGAGATTATCCAACTACTTATTTCCTGACTTCCTATTTAAAACCTTGGTAATGAATGATTTGGATTCCTGGCTAAAATTACCTGTCCAAGGAATTATCTAGCATGGAGGACAAGAATATTATCCTGAAATCAGATCAATCTCACTGTAAAGTAACACATTGACAACCTGATTTACAAGGCAGTCTCATGTGAACTTTTTTTTACTGGGAACCTGGTTCACTCCTGAGCAAGCTGACAATGAAGTGTTAAGACTGGAGATGCTGTGGGCCAGACCTGTGTGACCACAGGCAGCATTCTGCATGCTTACCTGCTTGCCTCCTCCCCTCCTTCTTGTCAGTTCCCAATAGTCAATGACTGTGAGCCCTGAAAGCATTCTTTTGAGAGATCTGTCCTTTAGTTTAAATCAGCTATTCACATTACATACACATGTAATGTATTTCACAGGCAAGGCCCTGCTATCTTGACCTTATAGACTGTAGAACTCGTTTACCTTGTCATGATTGCTCAGTGAGTCTGTACTTCAGTGAATGTTCCTGCTATCATATCTTCCCTTTCTTCTCTTTCTCTTTCCACGACGACAAAGATGTAACATGGAAATGTAGAGTTAGCAAGCAGCACTTTCTCTAAGCCCTGCGTATCCTGTCCCCTGTTGAGTGCAGCTGGCGGGTGATGTGTTTCATGATGGTAGCTTGCACCTAAAAACAGTGTTTAAAATACACAAATATGTGATTATTTCTTTTTTCTTTTGCTATTGTCTCTGCTTTTCTCTATCTTTCTATTAAGGATAGATGGGTTTACCTCTAAGTTGCTTCTGTCCTATTAATTTCCCATTATCTTTTTGCAAATGCCAATGCATAATTATTGTGCATGCTACTGTTTCCAGAAAGTCAAATAGTAGCTACCTAGGTGTCTCACAGGGAGGTACCAGAAGACTTTGCTCCTCTCCAAGAAACCTTGTTCAAATACCCATCTTTGATATCTTCTATTGTTAAGTTAGTCACCAGGAGGGTCCTTGCCTTTTTCATGCTTATCTTCTCAGGGAGACCAAACCTGAATGCCAAAAGATATAAAGAAAATGCAGATTGCTGTACCCATCCTGAGTCACATGAAAAATAAACCATCTGCTAACACACAAGAAAAGACTTACATGCACAATGTAGGGTGGTAAGTAACGTGTTTAGACTCAAGAGGGAGACACTTAAAATTTGGATTCATTCTATACACAGTCTCCAGAGAGATCAATTTAAAAAGATAAAGCACCAAGGGTAAATTCTAAATGTCTTGCCATGGTATACACGTCTCTATTTGGTCAGTCTATCTGCCCCTCAGCCTCGCTGCTGTGGTATGCCCCCCCACCCACGTTTTCCCCACTCACTCTCCCATGTTCTATATCCCAGTATTTGGCACAAAACAAATATTGGCTGAATGAATGAAATTAATTAATGTTCCTTACATTTGTGCTTTTCCTCAGCCTAGCGTGCCTCTCCCCCAACCTCCATCTGGTTGACTCTTACTTGTGAAGCCTTCATTCAAGCAGTGTCCTTTTTGCCACCTGGGATGAGCAGGGATTCACCTCCTCGCTTCTCCTGTCATTTTTACCAGGGTTGCATTTATCATACATATCACTCCATAACTTTCTATCTACACGTTTGTTTTCCTCACAGGTTGTGAACTCTTCACGGGCAAAGATGGGATCTGATTGTCATTCAAAACGCAGTGCCTAATTCAATGCCTGGCACATTGTCCGGTGAATGAACTTATTAACCCACAACAAAATGTAACTGCAGGAGAGACCAGAATATTCTTGGCCATTGGTAAGCTCATTCTCTCCCCAGCAGATAAATTTTCTTGGGAAATTTAATGGCTACAAAAAATTTCTGGGTGAATATGAATCAAACCCAAGGCAGCTGGACAGCCTTCATGGACACTTTTATTAAATTTAGTGAGTCACCCTTCTCTTTCTATAATAACACGTTGAACCTGTCAAGCAGAATGAAATACCCATGTCAGGAAGCACATATCTTCCATGAAGAGTGACGGACACATCCTGAGGGGTTCTTCACTTGCCCTAACACCTTTACCTAATAAAAATGGGCATTCGTTATTGTGACTGTTCCAAAGCTTATACTTTGGGCAATTCCAGATTATGAGTTTTAGCTATAAACCTCTTTTAAAAAAAAAAGTCGTAAAGAATCCCAAACCCAGATTTCCTTGAAGCTTGAAACAGGCATGTGGCTTAGGTTCTACTAATCAGCTCATACTCATCTAGGCGTGGATTTGGAAATGAGAAATGTGGAAAAGCAGCCCTGTGCAGGGACACACATCTGGCAAGCATGGCGGTGACGGCCTTCAGCTCATCAGGGTGGAGATCCTGGCACCCAGTCCCCTGTGTCTTCTGGGCATAGTGAGCTTGGCTGTGGTGTCCTTGGTCCCGAAAGTGTTTTTGGGTATCTGCCCTAATTGCTCGACTTTTCTGGCTCACCTGGGATTTCTCTGAGTAGCCAAGTATCATTTAATAAAGTTATTTTCTGCCTACGCTAGACAGGATAACTTGTTTTTGCAACTAACATTCTTATTCAACATTCACAGCGTTGCTCTAATTTCAACAGCCATTTCCAGAGAAATGTTGCCTTGTAATTGTTCTGATGAAGGCTTCTGTACAGAATAGTTAGATACTTTAAGTAATATGGAAGTTATTCCTTTAATGATCTTGCTCAATTTCCCTAATTTCTGTTGCTTCTCTCATTTACTAACCCCTCCCACCTTTTTAAAAACCATTTAACCAGGGTAGGTTAGTAAAAACATAGGCTTTGGAGATGCAAAGGACTGTGTGCGGGTGCTGGCTCTGCTATTTATTAGTCACATGACCTTGGACATTTTCCTAACCTTTCTGAGCCTTCCTCAGAAGATATGAAAACAGTATTTATCCTGTAGAATTCTTGTTAAAATGAGACAAGGCCTGGCATATTGACTGCCATCAATAGGAACTCTTATCAGAGGGCTCTTGTCAGTCTTGCTCAGTTAACTTTGAAAGGCATCCAGGAAGACCAAGTTTGTTTTTCTTTTACGTTAAGTTTTCCTGCGCAAGACTCTATAATAGCTTCCTTACTGAAGCTATTTATTGCCTATTGAGTTAATTCTCAAATTCTTACCCTGGAATTAAAAATTTTCTTTTACCTGGTCCTATCTTTCCTGTCCAGCTTCATCTCTTACAATTAGTTTGCAAGAGCCTTTTGTATTCATGAGCTCAGCCCCTTTATCCTCACAACACACTGTGTGCATTCCCACTGCTCCCCCAACTTCCTTGTCCCTATTCAGGTGACCCCCTTTCTCGAGCTTACCCCTCCCTTTCTCTCTGCCAAGCCAAATCAAACCTTTCTGTTAAAATACATTGTATATATAACATTTTGTATGTATCACATATGCATGCAGTACAAACACACATGTAACACATTATATGTATTGCACTTGGTGTAACGTTCTGTATGCATAGCTCAAGACCTTTCCGGAGCAAACACTGTGATGTCTCACCATATATTGATCAATTTTGATGCCGACTACTTATGTCAGGAGTTCTTTCTATTGCCAGATAAATGCCTTACATGGACTGTCTCATGAACCCCATCAGGTAGGGACTAGTATTTGGCTAGTTTTGCAGATGAGGCAAGAGAGGCACAGAAAAGTTAGCAATAGAATCAATTAAATTTAGTCTGAAGTCACACACAGTAAATGGCAAAGCCAGGATTCAAACCCAGGCAATCTCGTGTTAGAATCCAACCCCTTAACTACATTGCAATTTTGAAGGAAGGGACACTTCTTCAATAATATGGAATTTCTTCCTATTATTTCCTTTTGTGCCTGGTATAGAAATGATAAAAATAAACAAATCAATTTATTATGTGGAGCATAGTGAACACAGGGGAGAGAGAAATGAAATGAAGTTGGAGGCCTGATCAAGTGAAGCCTTGAGGGCCGTGATCTTAATGTCACCACGACAGCCATCTCCACAACCACCACTGATAGAGTGTGGGGCAGCAACATGCAGTGCACACACTGTCCCCAGAGCACAGCGTCTGGGAGCATGTCCTCCCCTCCTTCCTGTGAAGGACGTCATTGCTACTCTGACAGGCTACTCAGTTCAGTCCCTGCTTGAAGGAAAACCCTAGGAGTTGGTACGTCTGGGTGGTAGTGTAGCTCAGTGGAAACTTCCCATGACTGACATGGGAAACACATGACTGAGGACGTGTGTTTCAGTCCAGCTCGTCCTTTTGTTAACTGTGACATTTGGGCAAGACCTTTCGGCTTCTGGAATCTTAGATTCCTTGTCTACAAAGTGATCATGCAAATGTCAGTATCACAGTTGTGAAGGTCAAATGAGATAGTGTACAGCTTTCGATTTTTGTTTTAAAAGTGAAGGTGTGATTATTGTAAACATGAAAATTACTTTCATGCTCACAATCTTTATATATCCTATCCCCTATTTGACAGTAAGAGAAGTAATCCTCTTTCTGCCATACGAAAGAGAACATATACAACAAGACTCACTCTTCCAGCACTAAGATGAGATGTTTCACAGACACATGTGACTTCTTAGAGTATACAGAAAAGGTAACAGCCTTAAAAGGAAATTTTGGGCTAAACACTGAATTGTAGACTTTATTTGTGGAGCGAAGTAACACATATGACACATCATTTTCTAGGTGGTTTGGACCCACGGGGATGTTCTTTAGCATAGGAAATTTTTCCATTCTGGGTAGTAATTATAAACTCTGACAGTCTGAGTCAAATAATTATTTCGTATTCTTCTAAAAGCGTTTTAGCACTTTTGTGTATAACATTTGTTTTGTTCAAGGCTATTTTCTTAAGGCATTTTTTTCCATTTTGATAATATAAGCTGATAAAAATCATTGATTCAGTGGAAAAAGTTTGCTTTATAACCAAAATTTTCAAAGTTGAAAAAGAAATCAGACACTTACATTATGGTTATTTCAATTTTAGCATGGAAATGAACAACTCTCCCTAGGAAATCAAGATGAAATGGTTTTACTTTTAAATTTCAATTTAAAATAAAATCCCAAATTAGTTAGCCTGCAATGTAATTTACATCAACCTTTCCCTTGTGATGATCAGATGCCAAGTGAAGTCTTTATCAGGCATTACTAATGTTAACTAGCATCAGGTGGCATAATTCACATATACGACTTATTCAAGGAACTGGTTGCAAATGAGGGTCCCCGAGGAAAAAAGTTCCAGCTTGGCTCATTCCTTTTTAATAATATTAGCTTCTGTTTCTATGGAAACTGCACATCCTGTTTGGCTGTTTGCATAAGATGTCTTTAGATTTATTGAAATAGATTCAAATAGTTAAAACTAATAGAAGTGTTCTGCTTTGAGGATAATATCATATAGACATTTTCACAGATGAGTTAACAAATCACACTTTATTGTAGGAAACTATGCTAATATAAAGTGCAAATTACTATGTTTTTGAATTTCTGTATGTTTCTAAAATACTAACATTGGAACTCAAAGGGGGAAATGATTGTTTAAATATCATCTGAATAAAATATACCAATAGAAAAATGGGCAAAGAATGAAAACCAGTATATGTTTGTGTGTATATATACACTATATTTATAAATATATATAAATGGCTAATACACATAAAGTGTATGCAAAATATATATTTATATAATAGGTATATTATATAAAAATAGTGTGTTATTATATAAAATATAAACATTATATAAAAATGTATTTTGCTAAAAAATATAAAAATATATTCCACATCAGCAGTAATCAGGAAATGCAATTTATAATGATAAAATATCAGTGTTTACCTCTTGATTAGCCAAGATGTAAAAGAATGATAAAATCCAGGTTGGGAGAGTTGTGAGGACATAGGCACAGGAGGGGAATGTTGATGGGAAGAATATGAATTGCTGCATTTCTGAAGGGAACATTGACAATATGTATCAAAATCCTTAAATATGTGTAACATAGGCAAGCCACTTGGCCCAGACGTTATACTTTTAGGAACTTTTTTTTTTTTTTTTCAGATGGTGTCTCACTCTGTTACCCAGGCTGGAGTGCTGTGGCGCTATCTTGGCTCACTGCAGCCTCTACCTCCTTGGCTCAAGTGATCCTCAGCCTCCTGAATAGCTAGGACTACAAGGAAGCTTACCATGGGATTTATAAAGAGATAAACTAATAAGGAAATTCATCATAATATTATAATAAAAAAACCCAAATCTAGAAGGAAAGAAAATGTGTGCCACCAGGAAATTCTTTACTTTGGTCACACTCCACCAGAGTGACACCCCCACCTACTTTTACTCCTCAGTGTTTCCCTAGTACCTCGCCCAAGGCCTAGATGCTCAGTAATAGTTGTTGAATGAATTTAAATGATGGTATCAAACTACAATTAATTAACTGAAAAGATGTCTATGGTATGTTAAGTAAAAAAAAAAGTGACAAAATAAAATATAAAATGTGATTATTTAAAAATCATCACCCTATGTATATGTGGATGAACTCTATAATAATATACACCATAATGACTAAATCAAAAAGTGATTGAGAAGAAGTGGACTGTGAATGTGAGTTTCAGAAATACCTTAACTGCTGTATTTCCCTCAGATTGTCTATGTTAATACAAAGAGTGACATATAAAACACAATGATGCCTAAAAACTTCTCAAATAGTTCTTTCAGTAAGTATAAAATTAAAATTCTATTAAATAAAATGTTACATTGTAAATCAATGGAAGCACTTTCTTCTTTAGAATTAAATTTAAAAAATGATGTGTCTAATGATGTTACAGGTTTTATAAAATATGGTGCTTCTATATTGAACTATTGTAGCAACATTTTAGCTGGTCTCTTTGTCTCCTTTCAATTCTTCACACTTATTCACACCAGATTAACCTTCCTAAGCAATCTCATGATTTTATTTGCCTCCTCACAATTGTCAGTGTTTCTCTTTGTGTATAGGTTAAGACATTATGAATGTTTGTGCTCCCCCAAATTCACATGTGGAGGCCCTTAATCCCTAGTGTGATGATATTTGGAGGTGGGACTTTGGGAGGTAATTACAATTAGATGATGTCATGAGGGTGGATCCCCTATAACAGAATTAGTGTCCCCATAAGAAGAGGAAGAGAAGTCAGATCTCTCTCTGTTTGTATGTGTGTGTGTGTGTGTGTGTGTGTGTGTGTGTGTGTGTGTCTTTGCCATGTGAAGAGACACAGTGAGAAGGTGTCTGTCTACAAACCAGGAAGAGGGCCCTCATCAGAAACCTAATCAACCTGTATTTTGATTTTGGACTTTCTGGTCTCCAGAACTGTGAGGAATAAATTATTGTTGTTTAAGCAACCCAGTCTATGGTATTTTTGTTAGGGCAACTAGACCTGAGGCTAGATCTAAACTCTTTAACAGGGCCCACGAAGAGCCCTTCATTATAGAGCCTTCATGATTTCCTCAGCCAGTCCCCACACACCCAGCAAGTCTCTCATTCTATACCCAATTCTCTTGACATCTTCTATACCTTTCTACTTCTGTTCTTTTTTTAAATGTTAATTTGTCTACTCATGTTGTTATTCCAGACCCACAATCCCAATCTTTGCCTGAGGAAATCCCACTCTTGTTTCAATATCACCACCTCCATGAGGCCTCCTAGACTGTCTTATTCATAATTGAACTTTTCTTTTCCTAGGATAACATTGTTGGAAATTGATTATAGTACTTACAAAGTCAGTCATATTTTACTGTTAATTTTGAACTTGTCTGTATCTAAATAATATCTTATTTGGCTTTCTCTTCTCTAATCCTTCGCCTGCCCGGATACAAAGCATAAGGCTAAGCAAATACAGAGTGAATGTTTATTAAGTGCTAGATTTATTAAAGTCTTCTATCAGAGTTCCAAACCTAATGTTAAAATATATTTAAATATATATATATATATATAGTTTTCTTCACAAAGGTAATATAGCTTGAGTCTTCAAAATCCTTTATTTCAGATTGAAGATTTCTGTACTTGATTGAACACAGGTGACAACACAATCACAACAGTAATCATAGCACTTACTGTGTGCCAGACACTGAGCTGAACATTTACAGGCACCACGGCATTGAATTCAATAAGAACTCTCTTGTGTAGATACTATTATTATGTCCATTTCACTGATGAGGAAACAGGTTTTGAGAGTTTCAAGTAACTTGCCCATAGTCACTGTTTTAGTCTGTTTTCTGGTGCTAGAACAGAATACCACAGACTGAGTAATTTATAAACAATAGAAGTTTATTTGGCCCACAGTTCTGGAGACTGGGAAGTCTAAAAGCATGGTGCTTGCATCTGACAAGGGCCTTTGTGCTACATCATCATATGGCAGAACGTTGGAAGGGCAAGAGAGTGTGATTAAATAAGAGACTAAGAGAGAGCCAGAGGTCAAGAGGGAACCAAACTTTCTTGTATAGTAAGCCCTCTCTGGCAATAACTAGCCCATTCCCTTGATAATGATATTAATCCACTCATGAGGGAAGAGCTCTTATGATCTAATAACCTCTTATTAGATCTCACCTCCTAACACTGTTGTACAGAGGACTTTTCCAACACATAAACTTTGGGAGACACATCCAAATCACAGCAGTCATGTTCTGTGAAAGCAACAGAGTCAGGCTGAAAACCCAAGTCTGTTTAAATGTAGTCTATGTTCTTAATCTTCACACTATATTGCCTGTTAATGCTTTTTTTTTTTTTTTTTTTTTGACTGAGTCTTGTTCTATTGCCAGGCTGGAGCATAGTGGCACATTCTTGGCTCACTGCAACCTCTGCCTTCCAGGTTTAAGCAATTTCCCTGCTTCAGCCTCCCAAGTAGCTGGGACTACAGGCATGCGCCACCACACCCAGCTAATTTTTTTGTATTTTTTCAGTAGAGATGGGGTTTCACCACGTTGGCCAGGATGGTCTCGATCTCCTGACCTTGTGATCTGCCCGTCTTCGCCTCCCAACGTGCTGGGATTACAGGTATGAGCCACTGCGCCTGGCCCAATACATGTTTTTATGTAACATTTTACTTGACATTTGTAAAAAATCAAAATTAAAATAAACTTAAAAAACAAGAAGCTACTACTTGGAACTATCAGTTGGAGCAACACTATCCTCACTGTGCCTGTTTAGTTAGGGTTGGCACCTCTTAGACTGTGAGTTTCTCTGACTGTAGCATGGAATGTCTTTGTTATAATGCTCTGATGTTCTCAGATTAAGTATACCATTATAAAAAAGATACATAGACTTAGTATTATTCCTTTAATTATTGGATAAATCAGATTTCCCTCTGTCTGTTTGCTTAAAAATATATCACAGAGGAATACTTTCCTTAGATTATTCTAAACCTTTTTGGGTAAAACTTAAGACTTAAACCTGAGACTTGGATAACAGTGCCTTTATAGATATGTAAAGACCAAAAAAAAAGTCCGCATATACCATTGAACTAAATCAGATGAAATTTAAGTAAGTGAATAACATATTCTACAATAGAGAAGAAAACAGACTGTTTAGGTAAAGGCATATGCAGGAAAGCACGATGCCTGTGGCCTTGCAAAACCATATCGCCTGCATAGTTCTATGCCTGAGCTTTGGCCCTAATACTCAGGGCTCACCTTGTTCCTCGGAGGCCACTCTTCTCCTATTCCCCATGACAACTGTGCTTCACCAGGACTCGACTCTACTTAATGGTCTTGACAATTGCTACTTAAAAGGTTATAGTCCTTTTGTTTCCCTATTTATTATATTTCCTGACTTTCCATCATTTATCGTTTCCTATCTGAGATACAGGAAGGACTTGATTCATAATTTGTTTTGCCCCAAATGTTTACTACACTATGAAATTATTGGTTTGGCTTTAGAGTGAAGGTGTGGAAATAAGTGTGTATATTTCAAGTTTAAATATTTAATAAAGGCAATTTGACTGTAACCATATCTTCTCTAAATGTTACTTCTTTCTCTGTTGAGAGTTGTCTATGGCCCCCAATGAAAGACCACCTGCAGTACAACCATAGCTAAACCAAATGGAGTTTATTGACTTGTTCCAATGAGGAAGACCATATACCATGGAGAGCTGTGGGGTGACTCAATAAGAACGTGGTAGAAAGGACCCACATGATCTGGGCTTGTGTTAGACAATTTTTGAGAAGATTCAAGGAAGTAGGTTTTGCTCCAGATTGGATGCTGTTGGGAAGCAATTCTATGACTGGGTATCTTTTATAAATCTTATCTATATGGCAGGAGGAATGAAGTGAGGCTAAAGCTGTAATTGGTAAAGAAGCAGCTTTCATATCAGCTAGGGTAGGGGATGTTTAATATTTTGGGGGGTTTGGACAATGTTCTTGTTTTTGTACAAGTTCAGACATCTTTTGGAAGTGTCTTGATTTTGTCATGATCTATCAAAGTCATACAGGGGACTTGACTGATGTGGGTGTTCTGTGAAATTGTGTTCAGCAGGACAGCACCACAACCTAGCTCTGAGTGCCAGGACAGTACTGACAGCACCAGGCAAGCTCCGGCCTGTCAAGATCTGGCTTTTCTCTTCTCTTTTTCAGAGTCCTTAACAAGATTTTAGAATCATTCAGCAACCTCCGAGACTATATCTCTCCTGACACCAATGACCTTGGCTTTGAATTCCTTGCTCAGTGAATGTGCTTAGAAAATGCTGGTTGGAGAGTAATTTCTCCCTTTTCTCTGGCCAGCTTGACCTTTAGGGTGACATTTGGCTGGATAAACAAAAATATCTTAAAATAACATAAATCTAATTTTAAATCTGCTTGGGAAATCATAAACCATTAGTAAAATATGTTCTCTTGGTTCTAAATATACTTTTTTAGTTTAGTTGTCTTAATTAGCATAATTTACCGACACTAAAAATAATTTCTAGAACAAAAGTCTCTGAAAGTAGAAGTAAAAAGAGCTCTTTTCCTCTGCATTTTAGAGCTCAATCTCCCACAACTTTACTACAAACACTTTAAAAGACTTTGGTGAAGTAGTGATCCTGATTTTAATACTGAGCTATTTTATTGTTATTGTCCATTAGCTATTTGGAATTCCTACCATGAAAGTACAGTGCTGAGGATGCATACATTTCTCTTGTTTTCAGCCTCAACATTCTTAGATGATTAGCATTTGACAGATGAAACATACAATGCTTAAGATGATCTTGGTAAAGACAATAATTACAGCTTATCACATGGTTGCACTTTAAAAACCTCACAGTGAGGAATGGTCACCAGAAAATGGGGCTCCCTGTTATCAGGAAGATGAATCAGAAAAAGAAAGGACTTTGATGGCAGAGGCCATTCACTCCACCAATCAATCAATTAATCCACCAGACAATTTAATGTCTATTCGTTGAATTCCAAACTTGAGCCAGATTCATTGCTGTATGCTGGAACACCAATGTGAGAAGGAACAGAGCTCCTTCTCTCATGGAGTTTACTGGAGTAGGTAAGGCAGACATGCAAATTAATGTCTGCATAATTGCAAATGGAAGCCCTATAAAGAAAGGGAACTGGTTTCCACGAAAGCATAGAACAGTGGGACCTGAATTAGACTGGACTTTCAGGAAAGACATTCTTGGAAAAGTGACCCCAGAACTAAGAAAGAGGAGTAGGTGAGACACTTGGGGAAAGAGGGAAAGGAGGATGGCTGAAGAATGTTTCAGACAGAGGGAAGAACAGAAACAAAGGCTTTGGGGCAGGCATGAGGAGGGCTTGTGTCCTGGTGTGGGCTCCCTGGAAACAGACTCTGAAACAGAGATTTGTGGCCAGGTGTTTATCGGGTGTGCTTTCACGAATAACACCTGTAAGGAAAGGAGGAGGCTCTGGAGTTGGAGTGTCCTTTGGAGCTGCCTAAAATTCAGGCCTCTGAGGCTACTTATGGACCAATCTTCTGTCCCGAGGTGGGGGCATGACCTTAGGAGAACCAGGTGAGGGCAATTCCCAAAGTGGGACTCAGGTGTGAGCTAAGCAGCTTAAATTCCTAGCAGCTGGGGGAAATGAGTGCCTTGGGCTTGAAAGGGGAGCTGGGTGGGATGCCACACAGGGCTCTGCTGCGATGACCTGCGATGCTCTGTGGGGATGGAGGTCAGATTGCTGAAAGGTAAGTGAGTGATGGGACAAGAATCTGGAAGTGGGAGCAGGATCCACACACACAGGGCCTGGCCTCCTAAGACTTTTTAGGGATTGTACCTTAAGAGCTATTAAGGGGAATAATAAGGGTTAGGGCCAGCATGGCTTCAGAGGGATGATGCATATCCTGGGCAGGGAGATACTCTAAGCTGCAGGGCGACCCTCCTGTGTTTCTGTCTCCTTTCAAATTAGCTCAGTGACTTGTATTAATTGTTCTCAAGGATACCCATTTTAGCACTCTTTTTGCTTCTGTTTTTTGTTTTTGAGACGGAGTCTCGCTCTTTTCCCCCAGGCTGGAGTGCAATGGCGCAATCTCGTCTCACTGCAACCTCTGCCTCCCAGGTTCAAGCAATTCTCCTGCCTCAGCCTGCCGAGTAGCTGGGATTACAGGTGTGTGACACCATGCCTGGCTAATTTTTGTATTTTTAGTAGAGACAGGGTTTCACCATGTTGACCTCAGGTAATCTGCCTGGCTCGGCCTCCAAAGTGCTGGGATTATAGTCGTGAGCCACCGCGCCCTGCCCCATTTCAGCATTCTTGGTTGTTCTCCTTCAGATTTCCCAACTCAGAAGCCAGGCAATACTATCGGTGAGAGAATTAAGCATATCTGTGGCTGTGGGCTGAAAGATACTTGCTTCCTCTCAGGGTATCCAAATGCAAATGTTTAAAAAACTCCCTGGAAGATATGCTGTATTTTATTGGCCATTTCCCCACCAGTACTCAAATGTACCATGTAATATAAGAACCCTTAATCACGTGAAGCATGTTATATGTGAGACTGTCATAATTGGTGTCAACTATGTTTAGTTAGAAAGATTTTGTGTTATATGTGGCTATCTTCTGTATCTCTATCATCCCTACCCTCAGATGAAAGGGCGTTCATAATACTAACCAGAACAATCAAGTTGATTTAGTAAAACCTCATCACATGCCTGATAATCACATATCAAGCATGCACACTTTGTATTTAGATGTTTGATTTGATATTTGGTGCTATCATTATGAATCAGTCTTTCCGCTTTCATGCTGTAGCGTGTGATCTTTCAGGAACTCCTGAGAAGCCACGGAAATGATTCTTGCTCAGCTCCTTCCCCTGGAACGATGAATCATGGTAACTCATAAAAACCAGGGAGAGCTCTTGTCTGACAGTTTAATAGCTTTCCCTTTAGTCAGTCGGTGTAAGAATCTAATTTTGAGCCTATTCATTTGTGAAAAAAGGTCAGCGTAATTTCCTGATAGCTCCTGTGGCCTCTCTCCAGAATGGGCTGTCTTCCATACATGACAATGATGCTGGTACCATGTTGTGCAAAGTTCATGCTCTAAGGTGTTTTTCCCCACTGAGTCCTGATCCTAGGTCCAGATTCACAGGCACAAAACCCTCACCGGGGCATCATTCCAGACCTTCAGCTCTCTCCCTCACAATCAATCATCATGTCTGGCCAGTTCTACCCCCTGAGCAACTCTCTTCTTTCCATCTTTTCTGCCTTCACTGTAGACAAGCGTACCACCATCACCCGTTGGTTTGACTTCTGTCCCCGTCCAATTCAGACAGGTAGCCTGTAATTCCCTCAGAGGCAATTCCTCCAAATAAAAATCTGATCAGGTACTTCCCTTGTAAAAACCCTTTAGGGGCTCCCATCACCCTAGATTTTAACACGTTTATAAGCCACACTTACGAGCCTTCACCACTTCCATCTCCATGCACATTTCTAGGTTCCATTGTAAAAGGAGACTGTCCCATCTGTCTGTAGGAAAAGTCTTTCAAATGAAAATATAGCCTGGATATTGTAGGCTACTTTTCCAACTAGAAACTTTGTAGGAAGGGCTACTCTTTAGGGGAATAGTCATGATTATTTCAAACTTAAATACCTTTCCTTTGCATTGTTGAGAATAGTATGAATCATCTCTCACATGAAAGGGCCTATTGAAATTATATATTTTAATTCAACAAACCCTAATATTGTATTGATAATAAAGATAACTGAAAACCCCTAACCCTGGGGAGATTAAAATCTGTAGGTGAAATAGGGACTCTTAAACAACTAACTACAGCTGCAACTAATTCTGTATTGGAGGTATAACATGCCGTGGATGATAATAATTCATTCTGACTGGAATATCAGTAAAGACAGCATCTGATCTTGGCTTTGGAGTAGAAAGAGGTTGTTCTGGATAAATAGAATATCAAAAGAGCTTTGCTAGAAACAAAGAGTTGGGGAAGATATCCAATCATTGGCCTGGAGAGAGAAGAATGAAGAGTTATAGCAGGAAATGGTCCTGGGAAGACAGATTATACTTAGGTCAGAGGAAGCTGTAAATGCCATTCTAAGTAAGAATCACTTACTTGATAGGAAGCAAGAGAGGTTTTGAAGGTCTGTTGTGGCAAATCTGGCTTGTATTTTAGGAATGTTACCCAGCTGTGAGAAGGAATGTTGGAATAGTATAGAGATTGGAGGCAAGATAGTGAGATAGAAGAGTGAGTCAGGAAAAGTACTACAATGAAGGGGACAGGCATGGGAGATACTGAATAATTGATGAGTCTTGGCTATGGGTTGTATATAACAGTGAGAGTAAGAGAGTTGGAAATCTCCTGGTAATACTTGTCTGGGCACGGTTAACGCTTCCAAGATGACTCCCAATGATCCCCACCTCCTGGTAGTCTCATGCTCATGTCATCCCCTCCCACATTGTACCAGGATTGGCCTCATTGACCAATAATGGCAGAAGTGATGGTGTGTGGTTTTTGATATTAGGTTATAAAATCAGTGTGCCCTTTTTCCTTGGTTGCTTATTCTTGAATATTTGCTTGGGGGAAGTGGCTGCCTTCTAGTAATTAGCCCTATGGTAGGCACACGTGGTAAGGAACTGGGGCCTCTTGACAATACCCATGTGAGTGAGCTTGAAAGTCATTTCTCTAGCCCAAAGAAGTCTTTATATAACTATGGCCCCAGCTGACATCTTTTTTTCTTTTCTTTTCTCTCTTTTTTTTTTTTTTTTGAGACGGAGCCTCGCTCTGTCACCCAGGCTGGAGTGCAGTGGGGCGATCTCAGCTCACTGCAAGCTCCACCTCCCGGGTTCATGCCATTCTCCTGCCTCAGCCTCCCGAGTAGCTGGGACTACAGGTGCCCGCCACTGCACCGGGCTAATTTTTTTTTTTTTGTATTTTTAGTAGAGATGGGGTTTCACCGTGGTCTTGATCTCCTGACCTCGTGATCTGCCCACCTTGGCCTCCCAAAATGCTGGGATTACAGGTGTGAGCCACCGCACCCGGCCCCAGCTGACATCTTGACCACCACAACCTCACAGGAGATCCTGAGCCTGAACCACTCAGCTAAGCTGTTCGCAGAATTCCAACTCTCAGAAACTATGTGAGCTGAGTTTGGGGAATTTTTAATGCAACAATCAATAGAAAACTAACACACTTGGTAATTAGACAGCTCTGATTAGCTAAGGAGTACAGGTAGTATTAGGGAGTATTAGGGAGTACAGGGAAGGGAAACTGGTTTTATCAAGGAGATGACAAACTTGAATTTTGAGATATTTGGATTGTGCTATATCTCTAAGTCTGTGTTCATTAGGCATTTGGAAACAGATGTCGATTTGGAAGTCATCTGCAAGGTGTAGAATGGTGGCTCTTAAGCTGAAGCATTCATCAGAATCAGAATTTGTTGTTAAACAGAATGCTGGGCCCTACCCCCCGAGTTTCTGGTTCTGTAAGTTTGGGCCTGGGCCCACAATTTGTATTTCTAACAAAGTTGCTGGTGATACTATTTTGGGTTCAGGGACCACACTTTGATAACCACTGATGTTGAATCACTGAGAAGAAAACACAAAGTAATGACATTTATTATAACTAATAGTTCTCTTCTCTCTCTCAAGTATTATATATCTACATATACATTGTAGACCTGAAATATTTAGTAATTAAAGAACATGAAATAAATTTACATTATTGACCAAAATCAGGGGTTGGAGATTTTTGTAGACAACAATAAATTGAAACCATGTACAAGGTAAAAATTGAGTTTCCTTGTTTTATAAGGTATATATGTAATCAACACTTCTATGGATTCACAGTAGACACCTTTTCCTTACTCTCTCTGATTTTTGCTCTTAGTTTTGTATTTATGACCTGAAAATGGATTTCAGTTAATCAGCAAGCAAATATGAAAAGGAAATCCAAAAGGAACTTTAAAATATTCAATTATGTGCTACAAACAGGACTTTCATGTTTCTTCTTAGATTACTGGAATAAATCTCAAGAGATGATGCTTTGACAACCAGGAGGACTGATTACATAGATCCCACAGCAAAACTGTGGTATTGGGTGGTGCATCTCGGCAGATAGGACATAACAACCAACTAGATTAAAGGACATTTTCATAAGGAATAGCTGCTGCTCAATAATAAAGAGTTGTATTTCTTAACTCCTTTGAAAGTTCACATATACAGTATACCAATTAATTTTTGACTTACATAATTAGCTAAGTGGGGAAAGACAATGAATTGAGTTTTGTCTTCTCTCTCTCTCTCTTTCTCTCTCTCTCTCTCTCTCTACATATATATATATATTTTATATAGAGGCCCTTATGGGTTGACATTTTCTTTGCATATCCAGGATTTAGTTTAAATGTCTACTTCCTTAGCATAATGCATAAAAATGAGGACAGAGTATATAACCTCTGATGTTTCGGTAAAGAAAGCTGATCTCTCTCTAACTTGGGTACCCTGGTTTCCTAGTAACTGATCTCTTGCCTTGCTGTTTGAGATAGAGTTCCAACCTTGTTGCCTGGTGACTGTGCTTATCTAGATTTCCTGCCAGTGAATGCTAGATTCGTTGTGCCTGAATTCTAATGCCAACCACCTGCCTTCTAACACTATCACCTATTGTCTCTTGCTTAAAAATCCATACATTACATACCCTTACCATGCATTATATCTCCCTTTCCTCCTGAACATTTTCTATAGATGCACCTTCTAGATGGAACCTGTGGACTCACACCTCTGTAGACCTGTCCTTTGACTAACCCATTCCATATGTTGTTCTCATGGGCTGGTGCCTATCCTTTGTTTGATCAGTTGTGTCTCACTAGACTCTTAGCTTCTACCTTCTTTAGTCTGGTTTATTCCATCACAGCCAAACCACAATATTCCCCTGGGGGGAATATAGATAAAAGAACAAGTAAAGGAATGTGCAGATTATAGAGAATCAAGGATGAAAAAACCCTCTTGCAATGGCATTGTTTCACTCTGAAAGCTGAAACCTAGAGCTACACTGGATCACCATATTTTGTCATCACTGTGTTTTGTTCTGTCATATTCTCTTGCCTATAAAGAAAAGAGACCTACTTGAAGCTATCATCTAAGGTCAGTGAGGCAGTTAAAAAGTCTCATTTTAGCTGACATTTTCTATTAATCACTTAATTTTTTTTCTAACCATTACTTGATAACAGACAAGTCAGACTCCCCACCAGAAGGTTTTTGTTAATGTGTGCTGATAAAGGAAATGACTGCCTTTGCAAAGACCTGCTCAAGAGATCTTCAAAACAGCTCCTGACCTCTACGGTTTTCTTCTCCCCCTTCATTAGAGGCATAGACTGTGTCATCCAGAGTGCTTTTGGCATAGAAGTTAGAGCATGATCAGCTCCCATAGGCTGGATGAGAAATGCAGCTCCTCAGCAGCCACTCATTAGAGTAATATATGGATATATCAAAAAAAGTCCCCCAAACCCAGGAGTTTTGGGAGCAGAACCCAGCTACACTCAGATTTTGTGTGTGTGTGTGTTCAAAGGCTTTATGGTCTCTAATACAATAAGAGTGTAACATTATCAATTACAACTGCTGCATGAGAAATGATTTTTGTTTTGAATATGCATGAAGAGCATGAAAAGGTTAATACTACCTTCCAATTTTGGCTAAAAGGCTCAGCTAATATATATATATATATTTTGGAAAGCTTTCATCTTATTGACAGTATCACCAATAGCAGTCCTGCAGGATTTAGGTCATAGGCAGCATAATTGTCCATATCATGGAGTAGAGGGTGTGTGTGTGTGTGTTTGTGTGTGTAAGTAAGCATGCATTCACACATGTAAGTGTGTGTGTTTTATTTCCCAAGTGGTCACACAGTAGTGGGATCTTCATGACCTCTGAATATTTTTTAAAAATGAATCTCTTCTCTTGAAAACTTATCTTTTAATTAACCTACTTTCTCCTAAATGTCAGCATGTCTCTAGTTACTTTTAATCAGTTTATGTGAAAAATATATTATGTGGATTTTGGCATTTTTTCCAGCTATTTCACCATAATAGTAAAAGAGAGTCTCTTATTTTCAGTTTCAGAGTAAAACAGGTGAAAACTATAAAACACAGAAAAAGGCTTCAGGAGTGTTTCTCACATTTGCCTGAGCAGATCCCCCTGGGCCTTTACGCTCTTCTCTGTATTCTGTACCACACCCTGTCATTAATGCACTAAAATCTCCAGGAAGGTCATGTAACTTACAGGTGGAGGGTCTGACGATTCCTATGATCAGACAAGTGGAAGAACTCCTGTGACAGTGAGTAATTTATGGACTCTGCAGACCATCTCTTAAAGATCTTGAAGACTTGATGGTCGATTCTAGCAAGAACACACATGGACTTGGTGGTTGCTTGGATATGAAGCAGATACAGTGATACAATCACAGAGATGGGTTGCCCCAATTACTGCAGGTTTAGCCCTCAGGAATAACTGAAAATAGAATGGTGCTTCTAGATGAAATGAGAAATGAAGATAAAGATGGGAACTGTATTCTCTCAATTTCCAAGAACCTTCAGAAAAGCTCACTTAAACTTGCTCTAAGGAAGACAGTAGTTGAGGAAAGGGCAGTATTTCCGAAGAGCATCAATAGTAAGTCCCATGGAAAATTCTGATTCTGCATCCAAACAGCTATTAGAGACCAGAGTGAACAGAACACACAAGAAGACTCAGAGAAGCCAGAGGAGGCCATTTTACCTGTTTAGTTTTGTGGCAGGGGTGTAGAGCTCTTCCTTTCAAATCATTTCCTAACGTTGTCATTTGCCTATTTTCTTTAACTGAATTGTGAATTCCAATCTTGCCTCATGCCAGGCCCCATACATACATACATACCACCTTCCTTTCAAGGAAAATCTAAAGGAAGGAATAATAAAAACAATGTTAGTTGCCAGGTCAAAGACAAATTGTAGAAAGGCTAAGATAGGAGGGGGAATTGCTCATGTCTAAAGCAGTGGCGATTTTTAACATGGTTTTTATTATCAGTTTGAACTCTACAAAGTTGCCAATACTTGGCCATCTAGGATCAGCATAATCAATAACTTCCTAAGAAGGAACCTGACGGTACCTATCCCCACTGCAGGGTGCTATTTAAGCCTCAGCACAGCAGAGCAGAAAGCTAGAGGGACTTGGGGCCAGGCAGTTCTTAATTTGAATTTATGTTCCCTTCAGTTAACTATCTTGTTAAATTGCTTACCATCTTCAACAGTTTCTTCATGTGTAAAACTAGTACATTATAATAACTCCCTTTCAGAGTTAGGTATTAGATGAACTAATATAAGGTCATTTGTTCAGGGCCCGATACATGGTAAAAGCTCAATAAATGCTAAGTCCAGATAGAACCAGCTACATAAATTATAGGGCCCAGAGAAAAGGGAAAATGTAGGACCCTTTGTTCAAACATTTACATACTTAAAACAGCAATAGCAAAGCACTAAACCAAGCATGGGACTCTTCTAAGAACTGGGCAGCCTGTGACGGCACAGGCTGCCCAGGAAGCCAATCCTTATTGCAGTCTGGTGACCAACTATCCCAGTTTGCCTGGGACAGAAGAGTTTCCTGGGACACAGAGCTTCTTATGCTAAAACCACAAAAAATCCCAGGCAAACCAGACAGGGGGTCACCCTGTGATATCATTTCACATTCATGAGCCTTGAAGACAGATCTCAAGATACTCAGACTTGTATCAGAGCATGTCTGATCAGTGAATCTTTCCTGAAATGGGCCTTCCACTCTTCTCTGGAAGGTTCATCATCAGGTATTATTGAAAACAAAATAGTGCTTTTAAATGCAATTAATGCAAATACAGGTGAGACACTTACTCTCTCAGTTTTGTCTGATCACAAGTTCTCTTTAAGGATTTCCCACACTCTAACCCAGAGAGTACCTATAACTCAGAGCATTTCATGTTTGACAAAATAATCTTGAATTTGAAAAAAATTGTGCCAGTTTTTCAGCATATACAAAATATTGATATAGTGCTTTAATCCTTGAAAGAGCTAGCACCTCCAGAAATTGTTGTCTTGTCATACATATGATTGAGGAGGCTGGGTTTATTTGCATGCCAAAGAATCAATTTTTAACACCTGTAAAATGTATTCACTATCTAATTTATAGCTATGTCTTACATTTGCACAGATCAAACCAAGATATCTTAGACGTCTGTAATGCCTTAGGGAAAAATTAAGATTGAAAACAGCCTCAGGACTTTCAAAGAGTGTTTTTGTGCTCTTTCTACATGAGATGTTCTTCCCCAACTCTTTCTCTGGAAAACACAAAAAAACAAAAACAGAAAAGGGAAATACCTACTCACCCTTTAGATCTCAGATTGATGTCACTTTTCTGACTCTTCAAATTAGGCATTGCCCTGCCCTAGTTTTACTTTTCAGAATGCCCTATTCCCATTTGCCACAACACGCATCCCAACCCCTGAATATTATACAATGGTGTATGTATGCTGACTTGGGCAGTATCCATTTCTCCATGGGGCTATAACCTGTGAAGACAAGAATCTTGTGGATTTTGTTGACTACTCTAGCCTGTGTATCCAACACAATGCCCAGCACATGGAGACACTCATTACATATTTGTTGAATGAATGAAGGAGTGTAAAATCAAAACAATCAAAGATATGGGATCCACGAGAAATACTTAGGTTCTACTATGACAGTTCCAGTTACACCATCAGATGCATTCCTGGGAAAATGGCTCTTAAAAGGCATTAACATTTAAATCCTTTGAAGGTAGCTGCGTTGAAAACCTATATTTTATTTCTATAAAAAGGCAATAAAATACTTAATAAAAAGCACATTGAAAGCTATTTACAGCCTGTGCATTGTATTTAAATGACAAGGTAAGTGACCCCTTGGTCTTCTACTCAATGGCCACAGGTAGTAGTAGCAAAGACAAGATTATGCTATAGTCCTTTAGAGCAAGATTTGCGTGGCACAGTCGACCTCTTAGTAGCAGATGTGGATGCTATAAAAAGCCAGAATGGCTACTGAATTTATGAAAAAGCTGATAACCAGGTCACTGTGAGGATAACAATCAGCTCCCTCAAGAGAGATCTCTCCACATTAAGTAGTCTTAGTGTTCCTTTGTGGTAGTCAGTGAACTTTGTCATGCTTGACAGGACCAGAGGCAAAGTACAGCTTTTTTTTTTTTTTAACTGTTTATTTGACAATGGGCTCATGCTATGTTAACAGAAATTCAGATCATAGGCAGTAACAGTCCTGCTGTTTTCAGCACTAACAATGTGACATTTAAGATGTTGCTTTTAATTATATAGTTGGATGCACTAATCTTTAAAATGGATATTCATAAACGAAGATTCCCCCAGAACGGAGCACCCTGGATGGTGGGGAGGGCTCAGATTGGAAGAACTGAGGACACACAATGGTTCTATTCACATATGGTACCAGAAGGCAGAACTGTAGCTAAGGGTCCTTTACATCATGACAAGGCGTGCTTGCGCCATTTTAAGAAGATGCTTTTTAAATGACACAGTGGTCTAGTGATGCAATCAGGGCCCTTATGAAGTAGTGAGCCCCCATCACAGAAAGTGTCTGGACAACCGTCTAACAGGGATTCTATGAGAAGGATGCCTGTAGTAGACAGAAATTTAATTTACCTTTAAGATTCCTTTCCACGATTCTAAAATTATAAAGTCTATATGAATACCAGGTATATTGATTTATTTTTTTAAAAGACGACCCTGATTATTAGCATCTCAGACCTCTTCCATCTTAAAAACAAAGCAAATGTTCAGATTCTCCATTTTCTCTTTTTTTTCCCCTTCCTAGCTAAATCACTTACCAGAGTTGACCACACCTGCTACTCACTTCACTTTTCCACCCCACTATGACTCAACCTGCTGAAGTTGGGCTTTTGTCTCCTCTGCTCTATTTAGAACATCTCACCAAGTCCACCAATCATCTCCTGGTCAATAAATGCTCTGGAAAATTCTGAGTTATTACAGTACTATCTGGAGCATCTAACACAGCTGCACACTCCTGTCTTCATAATCTGGCCTTCCTTTGGCCATGGACTCAATTTAGAATCTATCCCAGATAATTCAGGATGTTCTCTCCGTCTCAAATCTGGCCTGTCTTTGTGATACTATACTTTTCTGGTTTTCCTCCTGTTTCTTTGGCTACTCATTCTGTCACCTTTGGGGGTTCTTCTTTCTCTGTCTATCTATACAATGTGGTATTCCTGCAAGTTCCATCTGTGTCCCTTCTAATTTTTACTGCACTTGTTCTTTCTGGGATTTCCCAGTTACTCCTATGGCTTCAGCAATCATCTATGTGCTGATGACTTACAAATCTGTGTCTCTAACCCAGGTATCTCTGGTTTGAGCTACAAACCAACATTTCCAATTGCTTTTCTTCTTCCACTGGGGTGGCTCTCCTACTCGCCTTCTCTGAGCTCATCATATCCTCCCCCAAGATATGCCCCTCAGCCCACTTTCCAGAATTGAGAAATAATACTACCATCCCCTCAGCTGCTCAAGGTAGAAACCCAGATGTCTCTTCTATTCCTCATATACATACTTACCCAAGTGTTGATTCCTTTCTATTTTACCCCCTTCATGACTCCATGGAAATGTCCTATCTGTTCATCCCTGTATCACTCCTCTAATCCAGAGCATCCTTATCTCTTGCCTGGGCTGCCACTGTTGTCTCATAAAAAGTATCTCTGGCTCCAATTTTTTCTGATGTTAGTTAACACCATAGATAGTGATTTTAATGATTTTTTAAAATCCCCTTATGTCTCTTGTGCTTAAAACCCTCCAATAACACCCAATGCCTTTATGATAGAGTATAAACTTCTTAGAATGACTTACAAGGTTCATCATTCTCTGCTCTCTGCCTACATCTTGGTCTCATCCCTTGCCTCTTTCACACCCACTGCTATCTCACAGAACTTGTTTCATGTATATTTTGTTCTCTCAGCCTGAACCTTCTCTGTTCTTCCCCTATGCCGTCTAAACCCTTGCTCCATGTCATTGTGCCACCACTGGTACAATAGATGAGTTTGCATGCCATTGTACCAGCATTACCATGCAAACTCATCTTTCAGGTTTTACTAACTTTAGGTGTTTGTTTTTCTGGAAAACTCCCTGTGATCTCTGTTCCTGCCCCCTCCGATACTGAGCTGTATGTTCTTTTTCGGGCTCCCATGCATCCATACCTAGAAAGAGTTATCTTAGTGTATTCCATGTTTGTTCACTTGTCGATATTCCACTGGGATGCTTCATGAGTACAGGTGGTGTCTGACTTATTGTTGTTTCCAGAGGGCCTAGCACAGTACTTGGCATGTCAATTATATTCAACAAATAGCATAAACTAAACTTGACTTTAAGACATAATATTCCAGAGATTTTTCAACTCCATTTAATGGAATCTCATGTGATATGGTATATGTGAAGGGGTACTAGCAGTGTCTTAGTGCATGAGTACATACATACATATATGTGTTATAAACACAGACACACACAGCATATACACATTGTCTTCTTTTCCTGTGGCTACTGTAATAAATTATCACAAACTAATTGCTTAAAACAACAGACATTTATTCTGTCACCATTCTGGACACCTGAATTCCAACATCTAGGTAGGTTTTGGCAGGGTTGTGCTGCTTCCCAACGCTCTAGGAAAGGTGCTATTTCTTGGCACCAGCTACTGGTGGCTGTCAGCTTTCCTTGGCTTGTGGCCCCATCACTTCAGCCTCTGACTCTGTCTTCACATGGCTTTCTCCTCTGTGTCTGTCTTCTGTGTGTTTCTTATAAGGACACTTGTCCCTCAATTTAGAACCTATCTCAGATAATCCAGAATGTTCTCTTTATCTCAAAATCCTTAACATAATTACATCTGCAAATACTCTGTTTTCCAAATAAGGTTACATTTACAGGTTCCAGGAATTAGGAATTGGACATATCTTTTTGGGGGCCATCATTCCATTTGCTGTAATATGTTATCCTGGTATAACTTAAAGACAAAATCTTAACAACTTTTGTTTTTCTCCTAGAAAATCAAAATGCTCTATTCCCTACCTGCCCTGCTCTATCCTGACTTTAAATATATATATATTTTATATATGTAACATACACAGACTATATATGTTTATTTTTATATTTATATATATATATATATATTTTTTTTTTTTTTTTTTGAGACGGAGTCTCATTCTTTCACCAGGCTGGGGTGCAGTGGCGTGATCTCAGCTCACTGCAACTTCCATCTCCCAGGTTCAAGCGATTATCCTGCCTCAACCTCCCTAGTAGCTGAGACTACAGGCATGCACCACCACACCCAGCTAATTTTTGTATTTTTAGTAGAGATGGGGTTTCACAATGTTAGCCAGAATGTTCTCGATCTCTTGACCTTGTGATCTGCCAGCCTTGGCCTACCAAAGTGCTGGGATTACAGGCGTGAGCCACCATGCCTGGCCACATATATATATATTTTTGTGTAATATATTCCTTAGTTTGGAGGAAAATAACAAAAGGCCTATAGGTATATGTGTACTGTAGTCATTCCTTTTGTTATTTTTCTTCAAACTAAGCTTTCTAAACTCTACCATTTTAGAGTTATTAAAAACAATTCTGTGTCTTCTGGATAGAATCCCAAGGAAGTGAACAGGTTGTTCCATAAATTTAGGCTTCTTTTAGTATGTGTGCCATTTTATCTACTGAAATATCTGTTCCTTCTCATTTTCAAAGAAGGAAGGGATTAGCTGGTAGCACAACTGGTGCTACAGTGCAGATATTTCTGACTAAATAGGATTATTTTTGCATATCTGCAGACATTTTACATGATTTTTTTCTTCCTAAATTATATTCTTACCATTCTATAATTCAAACTTGGCTAAACATTTTTGCATATAAAACTGTTCCTAGACAATGAAGTTAAGAATATATGTTCTCAAACAGGTTCATATATTTATAAATCTTACTTTTCTTGTAGTGTGAGCTTTTGTTAAAAACTATTCAATCTAAAAATTAAAACTAGCCCAGGATTTAAATTGTGACAAATTTAATTACTGCTTTTTAAATTTTACTTATAAACAAGTATGTTAATTAAGATGACCACAGCTCTCTACTACATATTATGAAGAGTTGGTATCTCTATTTTCAATAATGGTAAGCTACACATAAAATAAAAGGCTTATAAAGATAGTGCAAGAGGAAAAATATCTGTCTGCATATTCAAATAGTAATGACAACTCTTAGCATTATATCATGTTTATAACCAGCTTTCTCTGAACCAGTTACCTTGAATTTCATTTCATTAGTGGAAGCATAGCATCCAAGTCCTAGAAAAAACTGGTGAATTTTACAACTCAAAATAACAATATAGTCCTATAGATTATTGATTTGTGTTCCTAAATTCTTCTTGTAAGGAATGCTAGACATGAATAATATATTTTTAAAAATTAAAAATATTTTCTCTTATTTTTTGAATAAGAATAAAATGGAGCCTCTTTAAGGTTGTGAAGAGGGGCACTTACACAGAGGAGAAGGGGTCTTATCTCATAGATTATATCTTCAAATGCTCTTTATCATTTCTACCCTCTTTTTGATGATTTAAAGTGGTTGCACATTTTTTTTCCAAGAAGGGGCTTATTTTTAAAAAGTTTTTTATTTGTCTAAAGTTCTGATTTAAGCCACTGAAAAATGCATGAACACTTGTTGTTAGTTCCATTGTGTTGTTGCTCCTTTGATAAATGTCTAATAAATAATGATATTCCATAAGTGTAATTATTTCAAATTGCCTATTATGTGTTGTGAGTTATTACTCAAGAATAGATCTTCTATACTTGGTCTAGAAAAGTGATGGACTGACTTCTGTTTTGATGTCATATGGTTTTTCTTTACCAAATTATTCCCTTTAGCATTATGAGTTTTTGGAAAATGAACTAATGATAGCCCTGGGGAAAAAGTAATATACTCTAGAAAGAATTCTTTTAAATGTATATTCTAAAAAGAATTCTTTTGTCAGAAAAAAAGAGGAACAAGAGGGAAATTATTTGAAGAATGAAAACTGTGAGGCTATATAGATTGATTTTGGTAGCAATGACTGCACTTTACTGGAGGAAATTAATTAGGTAATATTTTGGGTGGATAGGCTTATTCTTAAGGTCTAATTAAATAGAAAATCTCTCTGGACAAAAAAAGTAAACCTTAGGATATTCAAGAATCAAAAAAGATTCAACTGCCTTGTTTGAAAACTGACATTAAAAAGTTAGTAAAGGTAACATACCTTTGTTCTTTTGTGAATTTATAAATATCCTCAGGAAAAGTTTATATATATTTAGTAACCTGGTAGGTTTATTTCATTTTGTCTCACTCAAATACAACCTTAGCTTTCATTAAGTATATTTTAATAATACAACACTATACAACATTGTAAAACCCTTTTCTTCAATTCTGGATTTTAGTTGTTTATCTTAACTTAGTTTTATAGTATAAAAGTATGTAAAGTCTATGGCACAAAATATGCTTTATGAATCAGGAAAAGATAAAAATATAGTATTAAGCTTTCTACATAAAATAGAGAGCACTTTTTCCTCTAAAAAGCATATTTTACTTTTATTGTTTAGCTACAAAATCAGTGTGAGAAATAGTATTGTGCATGTCAAAGTTCTTCCATTGTGAATGTGCTTATCTTTGATTTTCACTCACAAAAGAGTAAGATAATGTGGATAAATGTTGTAAAGAAATCAATGACAGAAAAGATTGAGAAATAATATAAGATTAAGAAATTTGTCTATTAATGAAAGGATAATTTTCAAAGAGTTTTTTCTTTAGCTATATAATGGAAAAATCTCCTGAAACATTAATCATAGGTTATTTGCAATGTACGTGTTCCTTTGCAGTCAGTAGCTTTTGGCTAGGATACAAGGTATGTATAACACATGAAGGATTTATGTACTAGACCACAAGTATGTTTCATTGTTTGACACTGTGCCTGATGCAAAGTAGATGCTCAAGAAATGTTTCTTGAGTGAGTCAATTTCATTTCCTGCTACCCTCCAATCCCATCTCAACTCTTTTCCCTGACCCTGTCCAGGTAGCTTATAATATACATGACAGTCTTTTATTGAGTACTTCCCAATCTCAGACATATCATACTGTGTATGTACTTTTCACTATGGCACAAACTATTTAGGTTTTTATTACTTTCCACTTTACAGATGTGGAAACTGATGCTCAAAGAGATTAACTTCCCCAAAGTCACAGTTTTCTCTCTGTCTCTAATCTGATACTCTTCTATTCACTCTTCTCACAGCTGCCAGATTAATCTTTCTGAATCCAAAGTTTGACCACGTCATCCCATGAGTAAAATCTTTCTGTAGATCTTACAAACTTCAGAGTAAAATTCAAACTCCTTAATGTAGAAAAAATATGTTTTATAATTTGACCTTTGCCTTATCTTTCTTCTTCCTCACAACTCTGAGGTAGATATTTTATGATACTTCATCATCTATTTCAAACTTCTTTTAATTTCTTACTAATGGCAAGATTTTACTTCCTTTTTACCTCTGCATATATCGTTTCTTCTGTTTGAAATTTCCCTCTACCCTTCTACATTTGGCAAATGCCTATTTATAAATATCTCTACCAGAACTATTTCAAAATTTCAAAAATGGTACTATGATTTTAAAAGTTAAAACCATGATGAATTTGTTTTGTTCCAGCATGTATTGCTTTAAAGTGGCTCATGGGCAAATCTGTACTGATCACGAAGAACTTACTGTAAGAATGTTCTAGAATTATAAACTTTCCTCTCCACATCCAAGACAAAGCAGCTGATACAATAATTAGGCTACCCTCCTTTCGGCAGTTCTTAGGAGTAAAGAAACAAAAGGTAAGCCCCACAATCTTGGAGAAAATGAGCCATTGAGGAAAGACCCACCTTCTGATGGGCTGGGAACAAGAAAGTGATGGGGACATAGCTTCACATATGGGTGGGATTGTGGCAGCTGGTTTTTCCTTCTAGCCGGGCAGTCCTTCCTGAAGAATAACACAAGGCTAGGGCAGTCTTTTCGTATACAGGAAGCTTGACTCAAAATTATAGTCTAAAATCATGAAGACTTGGGTTAAGAACCTCTCTTTTTAGACATGCCCAGGACCTTTTCTTTATTTGTACATCTTAAAGTCAAGAATCAAGTATAATGACTCAGTCATATCAATCTTTTGCAATCTGGAAGCTGAAATATGACTTGATTTTATTATTATTATTATTATTTTAAAATTGGGCTCCTGCCAAATAAGCATCTTCTGTTCAATACTGGCTACTGTGAATAAAGGGTCTCCTGAGCCAATGAGTGAGTAGCTTCTCTTTATTAGAACAAGGGCTATTATAACAAAGAAAACTTCAACATATTCAAGAGTGCAAAAGGAGTCTCCAGAGAGGAAAAGCACATTGCATCTCAAAGATCTATGCAGATAAACTTACCTTATGATGAGTGAGTTAATCAACTTGAGAGAGCTCTTGAAATACTCATATGCCCACAGACTCCACACTAATTATTTCTGGATTAAAAAATATGTGTCGGGCAGTTATGTGAATAAAGATATGAAAGGGTAGGGAATGTATTCTTGTATATTTGATGGTGTTTGGAATAAAATATCAAGGAATTTATATCTGAGAGACAGAGCTAATAAAGCCATTGAACAAATTCCCAGAAAATGTGTGTGATCTGAAGAATGCAGCAGGGAGCCAGCAAAGGACCAGGAACCCCTGCCCAATGAGTCCAGTGCTTTCAAGTTGTGTTGAGCTTTGCTTCAAGGTTTTTAGGCCAGATATGTTCCAGAAATTTGTTGTGGGGTTTCTGTTCAATCACTTAGCATTCAGAAGGGCAAAGAGGTATTGAAACATCTAAGCTACCTGTACTTGACATTTGGAACCAAATTACAATCACTACTGCCTTAGTACCTTGGAGTTTTTCTCAACAGTTTTATTTTTTATATCTTGTTTACTCTTCCCTTTGTCGTGTCCTGTGACTGTATAGTTGTCTCCTACACGATACTGTGGCCCGAGGTTGTTGTAATGGGAAGCTCATTGCACTTGAGGTGAGTGGTTATAACAGAAGGTCTGTGATCCAGGTATACTACTTATCTGTTCCCTTCTTTTTCTAACTGGCTGTAGCACATAGCTAAAATGGAAAAAAAAAAGATGGGTGAGGGTGTGGATATCAGGAGAATGGGGCAGGGAGAGGTGGGCATCCTGAGCTGGGGTACAGCAGAGTCAATTTCCTGCTTCATGCTGCTGCCTCTGTGCCTCCAGTGCCTGCTCTTGACATCTGGGATCTTACTTCCACTCCAACTACTCCATGCAAACTGTTCTTGCCACGAGCTGCTTTTCTGTCTTAAATGTGGGTGCTATTCTTGGTTTGGGCCTCAGCTCTCTACTCTTCTCTTACTACATTACCTTCTTTGGAAATCTCTCTCACTACCAGATCGTAGGTTCTACGTGGCAAAGAATGATGGATACAAAGTGAAACCAACCAAATTGTTTAGTCAAGGAGAATGCTAAATGAGACCACAAAGGGTAGGACCAACGTTAGACGATGGTTCTCAACCAAGAGTGCACATCACAATTACCCAGGCAGCTTTTTCTAAATACAGACCATCTCATGGCCAGACTCCCTAGGATAGTCTAGGCATATGTATTTTTACAAAGCTTTCTCCCAAAAAAATGAAGTATGTTTCTGGTTAGAACTGCTGGTATAGGAGAATTTAAGCCCTGTTTAATCTATTTCCTCTCTGACTTTTTAAGCACTCTGCATTAAAGTTTGCCCCTGGTGAAGTAAAAAAATACTTTCAGGTGACCAATCATAGTATAGTAGTGTCTGGAAAGAATGATAGAAATAGATGAAAAGGCGAAGTATTGGATGAAAAGGCTGGAATGATAAATAGTTGTTTTTGTCACAAAAATCAGACTGCATGCATTATGTGGGAGGAATCCAAAGGTTTACTAGATGTGTGAACATATTAATTGTCAACCAAACATCAATGTCAGATGAATTACAGTCTTTAAAGTGGTACGCTTTCAAGGGTCAATGTTTGAGGTAAACATTCCAACTTTTAGTGCCAGATATTGATTTTGAATTTTAGGCAAAAGAGGCTGCCTGCATTTTAGGTCAAGTTGCAACTAACTCATCCCAGAATCCACCTATATAGACACTTCTTACTAGATCTCATCTATATGTGAATATAATACAAAGCAGCTAGAAAATTATCTGATATCTTCAAATACTTGCATATGGATAATATAGACAACACCACTGAGACTGCAGAAGTGGGATAAATAAGTGGATGTTACAGAAAGATTTGTGACTCAATAAAACTAGCAGTTATATTGAGCTGTCCAAGCATAGAATAAGCTGGCACCCAAGGCTTTTAGTTGCTTAACACTGAAGGCATCGGAGCGGAGGCTGTGTGGGGACTTGCAGGGACGTGTGAGAGGAGGGAGTATGGCAATATTTGGTCTCAAATGTGGTGTCAGTACGGGTGTGGGCTGTGGGTCAGAAGAGAGAGAGGGGGAAAGATATGTGGCTGCTCTACTTAAGCTTCTTCTTTTGGAATGATGCTTTACAGATCCCAAGATACCCTTGGTTCTTTGCTATGAGTTCTCTCTCCCTAATTGTAGAGACAGAACTGATCTGTCTATCCTTCTGACCTCCAATGAACCTTACAACTTTAAGGACCAACCATCCTTCAATTCCTAGTTTCCTATGGCTCTAGCATCAACTCTGATACCACCCCCGCTCTCTCTCATCACAAACTGCCCAAGGTCACAATCCCCCCATTTATCCATCTCAGAAGCAAACCTGCACTTCAAATGACATATATAGATTGTTATTTTGCTTTTACTCACCAACATAACATCAAAAGTTTGCTTTCCTACAAGTGTGTAAACTGAATTGAAAAGCCTTTGCCAACTTCAGGAAATATCCTTTATTGTTTCCTCTCAATCTGCAAGGCACTGACTCTGTCAAAGTAGATTAACACATCAGCAAGGAATTACTGTTAGAAAAGCCTTCTTGTCACACAAATCCCTGATCTCTGTGGAGTTTGATAATTTCTTTTGGAATTTGTTGGTATGTTTTCTGGTAGAAGTGGATCTCTACATACAATTAGATGTGTTTCTGATGACCAAGGTGTAAGGCAATTATCTGTAAGTAACTAGTATTTTCCTACTCACTTTTATAGCAGTGTTTCTCCACAAGAAAAGGATTCAATGTGCAATGAAATTTACTTTTAAGACTTCAAGCATCACCTTTAGAAGCACTCTATCCTTATTGTTCGTTACATTTAGTTCTTCATAGAGCCTGACCTTATAGGTAATAAATGAAATAAACAAAACATTACACAATGAATCAGGTACGTTGGAGCTCTGATCTCAGCCTACCTTTTTTCTTACTGTATGACTTTTTAATTAACTTCTCAGCTTTCTCATCTTAAACACAAAGATAATAACATCTACCCAGTAGTGTTGCTGTGAGGATTAAATGAGGTAAAATATGTAAAGCCCTTAGCATGAGGTCTGGCATTTGAGAAATATTATCTTCTTTACCTTGTCCCTGCTTTATTGAATGGGGTCAGCTTCATGGTTGGTCATTATTTCAGGTAAAAAAAGACTATAGAAATCACATAGACATAATTTTCAGATGACTTAGGCCAGGGGTCCCCAACCCCTGGGCTGTGAACCGCTACCAGTCCGTGGCCTGTTAGGAACTGGGCTGCACAGCAGGAGGCGGTTGGCTGGCAAGCGAGCATTACCACCTGAGCTCGGCCTCCTGCCAGATCACCGGCGGCATTAGATTCACACAGGAACGCGAATCCTGTTGTGAACTGCGCATGTGAGGAACCTAGGTTTGTGCATTCCTTATGAGAATCTAATGTCTGGTGATCTGAGGTGGAACAGTTTAATCCTGAAACCATCCCTGCCCCATCCTGTGGAAAAATTGTCTTCCACGAAACTGGTCCTTACTGCCAAAAAGGTTGGGGACCGCTGACTTAGGCAATGTCAACAGTATCTGATTTATAAGGATTACAGATCCCAACCCTTCAAACAGAAGTCACCCCACTGTGGTTTGTAGATGCTGACTGGTAATATTCCAAGGATCTCTAACCTGATTGAGACAAAGAAACTACAAAGACATTTGTGTTGCTCCCCAAGCTAACAGAGTTTCTGTGGATACTTATACAACAGTGTGTTCAAAGATATGATGTTTAAAACAAAGCACCAGCCACATCCCTGTCATATTGTAATCCAAAAGAGACATCCCCGCCCCGTGCAAGGGAATAGATACAATATATTTTTTAGAAGAAGCTAGTTTCTTCTCACCTCTTTTCTGGCTGCAAACAGTTTTCATTTAGTTTATTTTAAAAATTTACTTTTAAAAATATCTCATGTATTGTAAGTGCTATAGAACTTAAGGAATCAAGTAGTCCAATAAGTCGTATTGACTAAACCTCGCAGCCCCTCAATCCTAGCTCCCTCCTGCTCCTCAGAGACAGACTCTTTCACATCTTTAACTGATTAATGAGGCGTCTACCTCCCAGCTGCTACATTAAAAATTATGATTTAAAAAAGTTAGGGATCACTATACCTGCTGGTATAGACATAAAGAATTTATTTATATTAATATTTGGTGTTTAAATGAGTATAAATATGTAGATGATGTAGATAGCCGAGCTATGCAGTATACTAGGCATACCATTCCTTTCTTGAAGACACTTTATTTTCCCTGTATAATTGTGTGAGGGTTTTTGCTTGTTGTTATTATTATTATTATTATTTTTTTACGTTCTTTAGACTTTGTTTTCTTCAAACTGCTTTTTCCCCATTTTGGGCCACAGTTTTTCACGTTTGATGCCCTCCTCCAAACCCCCTAGAATGCTGGAGGGGTATTGGGCTTGTCAACTCTAGTCTTCAGTGGAGAAGTAGCTGGCTGGGACATTCTTTTGAGAACTTGGATGTCTGTATCCTTAAATGTTTTCCCTGCAGGTAATTAAATTACCCAGAGACGTCTTTTCTAGTCTCCTGTTAAATGTGTCGACACTGTTCCTTACATAACTCTTATTTAATCCTCCTGTTTCCCAATAGCAGTGCCTCCTCAACTGAGCCTGGTGTTCCCCAGTCCAGAAACCCTTTTTTATCCTCTCCAGAAGAGAAATCTTTAGGGTTCCATTGAGATAGAGAAGAAACATTAGCCTGTCACAGTAATTTAGGGTGCAAAAACCCTAAACACTTAAATATATTTATATTATTTAAATTATCAATGTTTTTTCAATTTTTGCTTCCTGTAATCCTGTAAGATTGGAAGAAAACATCTCAATTTCCTTCTGGAGCTAAAAGAACTAAACCACAATATGGCTGTAAATTATGTAACATGTTAATTCAAGAGCACAGAAGCCTGTACTTTTATTTATTGGTGTCTTGCAGTATTTTTGCTTTAATAACATAAAATGAAGCCTGATATGCATTAAGGTGAACTTTGGGAATTGTTGGGGTTTTTCCTGGCTTGGTTTCTTTTTTAAAATACCTTTTCAGTTTCATTGCAAGATGAGTGGTTAATCTACTCTAAGACAAACTATGTATTCAAAGTACAGCTTTATACCTTTTATCACCTACTCTTTCTTAAGTTGTAGAGTTTTGAAGCATTTATTCATATTTCATTCCACTTAAGCACTATAGAGTAGCTTCCTTTGAAGTAGGGTGGTTTATATTTTCAGACATAGAACTATTATGAACAATATACATATTTTTAAAAGACTTCTGTTTTTAGTACTTTAATTCATAACTACTTTCTTGGATGATAAAATCTCCATTCTGTTTTTAAAATGCATCTTTAGTTACATGAGTATATCTGAAAACTGCTAAACTTTTGTAAATTATGAAAAGAAATATACTTACTAGTTAAGAACTCTTACCAAAAGTAGTTTGATACAGGGCTTAAAAATCAATCAAAATAGACAAGATGAATAAGTCTTGGAGATTTATTTTCCACCATGATGACTAAAGTAAATAATAATGTATTGTATACTTGAAAATTGCTAAAAGAGTAGATCTTAAATATTCTCACCACAAAAATGTTAACTATGTAAAGTGAATATGTTAATTAGCTTGATTGTGTAATCATTTCACAATGTACATATATATGAAAACATATATACTGTAAATATATACAATTTTTATTTGCCAATTATACCTCAAGCTAGGGGGAAAATAAAGACAATCGCAAAAATTATGGGAGTACTAGAATTAACGTGGGGATTATAAAAAATTTAGATGCATCCTTAGATGTTTTATTTTGTGTGTGTGCTATTTTAAAGGGGATCACATTCTTAATTTGGCACTCAGCTTGAACATTATTGGTATATAGAAATGTTACTGATTTTTGTCCATCGATTTGTGTATTCTGAAACTTTACTGAGGTTCTCAGTTTTAGGAGACTTTTGGTGGAGTCTTTAGGGTTTTCTAGGTATAAAATTATATAGTATGTGAAGAGAGATAGTTCGACGTCTTCTTTTCCTATTTGGATGCCTTTTATTTCTTTCTCTTGTCTGATTTCTCTGGCTAGGACTTCCAGTACTCTGTTGAATAAACGTGGTGAGAGTGGGCATCCCTGTTTCCCAGTTCTCAAGGGGAATGCTTCTGACTTTTGCCCCTTCAGTATGACATTGGCTGGGGACTATTGGAGAGGGAGGGAGGGGGCAGAAGGGCTGAAAAACTAACTACTGGGCACTAGGCTCACTACCTGGGTGACGAGTTCAGTCATACCCAAGACCTCAGCATCACACAGTGTACATTTGTAACAAATTGTACATGTACCCCTTGATTCTAAAATAAAAGCTGAAAAATTATTTTGTGAGGCCATATACAAATCTTGACTAAGACTCAGAATCTATTTTAAAATACATTGTATTTTTTATTAAAAAAACTAAAAGACCTCTTTAAGGCATGAAACACAAAAACGTATGAAAGATAAATGAAAAGAAGACCAACCAAGAACTAATTTTCTTAATAAACAAAGAGTTCTTAATATCAGTGAGAAAAGGATGAGCAATACTCAACAGATCTTATGAAAAGATGATAAGCATTATCCATAATGTGAGAAATCCAGATTAAAGTGTGCTTATATATCATCTTCACCCATCAGATTTTTCATAACATAGCAAGTTAGTTAATGATTGAATAATAGGCATATTGATAATCCTTCTTAGTAAACTGGAGAGTCTCCTTGTGAAGATATTGATGATATTCATCACAATTTAAAAGGTACGTATTTTGTGAAGAAAATATACTCTACAGACATAATGTTATATATTCATAAAGATTTATATAAGGATATTTATTATGACATTGTTTGCAAGTAGCAAATCACTTTGAACAACTTGTCCATCAAGAGTGGAGTGGTAAAATAAATTTTGTTGGAGGCAGTCAATTCCCATGTAGCTGTTTAAAAAGGATAATGCAGGTGTAAATGTACTAATTTGAAAAAATCTTGGGAAATTTTATTTGAGAAAGGAAGCGAAATTCATAATATTTTATAACTATATTAAGTTTTGGGGTAAATGGTTAGGAATTAAGGGAGACACACATACATTTACTTCATTAGGCATGAAATTTCCAGGATATATTCAGCCATTTATCCACTCAATTTGACAAATATTTGTTGAGTATGAATAGCTGCTTTAAGCATATGAATAAAATATACAACCTCCCAGTACTCACACAACTTGGTTTCTAGTGTGAAAGACAGACGATAGACAAATCATAATAAGTCAATAATATGTATGTTAGAAGGGGATAAAAATTTATAACAGAAAAAACGAAGCATGATATGTGATACGGGGTTTGAGAGCCTAAGTGGGTTAACATTTTAAATAGAGTGGTCAAGATAAGTCTTATTGAAAGAAGCAAAAAAATATGATACAGCAAAAAGCTGGTAGCAACGATGTTTTTGAGAAGAGTATGTGGAAGGCTGGAACACAGGGATGGAATACTTTTTATCTGTAATATACTTTTATATATTGTTTGAAATATTGTGTAATTGTGTTATCTTAATGCAATGAAATTGTTTATACACACAAAAATTGCCCAAAGAAAATTATGCTAATGTATTCAATCCTTTCTCTATTCAATCGATATTCTCCTCCACACTTACATAAATGTAGTAGACAAACATGAATCTAATTCTTCCTCACTGTCACTAGCCTAGAGGATAATCACTTATTTTAGTCACAGTGGCATTGGTAGGTATTTTGTCCCTGGAATTGAACTAGAAAATCCAATCCGTTTTCACTGATGAGTTCTAAAGCCAATAACTATTTCACAAGCATGTCACAGGGGTTATTTGGCTAGTTTTTACTGGGAGAGTATACAAATAAAGAATTTCAACAGAGCACACATAATCAAATTGAAAATTCAACTAATGCTGCCTATAAGGTTTTACTTTGAAACAAATGTGTTTTACACAAAATGTTGATTACTCGAACTATAAAACTTTGTTTTATATTTCAGTGGCAACTTAATGATAACCGATCTATTCTCCCCTTTAGAGAATCAATAATATTGGTTGATTATTCTGTGTAGGGCACTTTTTTTGGACACAGTGGTCTCTTTAACTCCAAAACACTTAACACATAAGGAAGCCTAAATATAAACATCAATATACAGTTGACCCTCAAATAAGACCAGGTTTGAACTGAGTGGGTCCACTTGTATGAGGATTTTCTTACTCCTCTGCCACTCCTGAGACATGACCAACCTCTCCTCTTCTGCCCTGTCCTCAGCCTACTCAACATGAAGATAACAAGGATGAAGACCTTTACAATGATCCACTTCCACTTAATGAATAGTAAATATATTTCCTCTTCCTTATGATTTTCTTAATACATTTAATTTTCTTTAGCTTACTTTATTATAAGAATACAGTATGTAATACATATAACATATAAAACGTGTCAATCAATTATGTTATTAGTAAGGCTTGTAGTCAACAGTAAGGTATTAGAAGTTAAGTTTTTGGGGAGTCAAAAGTTATATATAAATTTTCTGCACAGGGGGTCATCCCTCTAACCGTCATGTTCAAGGGTCAACTGTAATCAGAAAGGGACATGTGGAGCATGAGGGTAAGGAATTTGCTTGTTTCAGAGGAGACTAAATTCCTTACCTCCCCACAGAGAGGAAAAGAAATGAAGCTTGGAGGTGTTTTTGTTTTGTTTTGTTTTGTTTTTTAATGAAGGAAAAATTTGGGAACAGATGAGAGCAATGATGAAGAAAAATCAGTTTTTGGAAGTGGTTTAGCTAGCGATAAGAGTCATTAAACAAAAGTATTTAACAGTTGTCCTCAATAATTATTGTTGTGGGAATGAGTTAATGAATGACTCGTGTATAAAACCCAATTTGGAGTCTCTGTAAGGCTTGAGTAATGGGAGTCACTAGTTTCAAACCTGTCTTGAAATGATTTCCACCCTGGTGGCTGGCCTGACCGAGGAAGGCTGCACTAGAAGGAGAAAGAGAGTGTGGACGTGTAATGGTGGACCAAGCCCAGACGACTGTCAGTGCAGCTCACCGTGGACTTTCTGAGAGCTGCAGGAGAGTAAGCCCTGGGTGTCAGGGACAGAGAGGGCTTAAAAATGTAAATGGAATACTCCTAAGAAGGTATAAATGTGCTATTGAGTATTTTTTCACTGTTATTTAGCTGCTAAGTAAACCATTTAATATTTTTGATGATTTTTGATGACAAGAACTAAAGATTCCATTGAGAGACTAGACTTGACTGTCATTTGTATTGAATTTCACCATTTTACATTTTTAAAAAGCAGTACATGGATTATACATAAATGCCACTTCCTGTACAACGGAACCACATCAATCCAATCGTTGCTTTTTGAATAATGCATATTAACAGCAGGAAACAAAGTCTGCAGAGATCTACACTTGTTGGCAACAAAAATTAGAAAAATGTTTCATGTGAATTTTTAAAAACATTGTTTAGGAGTAGGAAAAAGCAGACTAATATTTTTAGAAGCAGACTGACCTATAAATGTGTTGAGGGGGACGGGGCATCAGAAGCATTTGTTTCACACCCTTAAATTTTCATTAAGAAGAATATTAGCTGTTGAAATGTGACAGAAAACTGTCATCAGTAAATGTAATCAGATATATAAATTGGACTATCAGCTACAAGGCAGGGTCAAAATGCAAATTTGTCATTAAGATACAAAAAAGAAACCCACTATTACAAAAACAAAGGAATTTGTATCCCCATATGTGACACTGAAAATTTTTGGGCAAATCTATTCATTATAATAGCTGTTAACTAGATTAGAAATAATTTAACTTTAGAAATAATTTCTCGCTTATGCATGTAATGATTTCCTCCCCATTATTTACTTCTGAAAAGAAATAGAAAATCTACAATGAGATCAGAAACATTTATTAGCTTTTGAGCTTTTAATCACTTTTTTTTAATGGAAATACAAAACTGACTTAAAGTTATATGGCAGCCAATGGGAAAGCAAACTGAAATCCGAAATCCTCACATTGCTTCCATCATTCAGTCCAAGAGCCTTTATGAAAGGAGCCGGGTTTTATTGCCCATACAGTGTATGATAAATACAGCATATTATAAATATGCAAAGGAGCATGCATTCATTAGAGACATGAGGAAAGGGTGAGTTTATGTTCAAATCATTTTTTTTTCTTTCCAAATTAAGCTTTGTGATGAGTGGACGTGGTTCACAGGAAGACCAGGCTAGCTCCCTGCACCCCAGATTCCCTGGGGGTTGAAGGTACATCAGATTCAACAATAAATGGCCCAAACCTCTTGGAGGAATGCTGATGTAGAAGAGAACAATTGAAAAGATGGTTGATAAGTTAGGGAGGTGAGGGAACAGGTAGGAAAAAATGGAGAAAAATACTGACTTGCTTATTTGACCTTCACCCCATTCATGGGCAAATATTAACCTGCTGCTTTCAGTTGCTTTTTGTCTGCTCTAACAGGGGCAAACTGGAAGCGTATGTATATAGAGGCAATGCAGCACACCACAAAGCCCTATTAAGACAGGAAGCCAGAGAAATGTTCAACCACAGCTGCTGTAGCCGCAACAAGAAACCTCACAGGTTGTGGGGAAGACAGCTATGGCACAAAGGGTTTCTAAATGAAGGGGATGGAACTGCCTGTCAATCCCTAAAGCTTTTAACTCAGGGAGGTCTTTCAAACATATCTCACCTCAATAGTAGAAGAGATGTTCTTAAAGCCACTGGTAGATGCATTCACGTTGCATGTTATAGGTTTGTGGAATAGGAATAAAAATAGCTGAAGTCATTGTAATGTGGTCGGAGGTGTTTGTATCATCCAGTCTTAAAAAACGCTTACAATGTCAAGGCTAAAATTGATGATTGCAAATGGAGAAATTGAGAGGACTTTGAAAACAGTTTATCAGCTACAACTAGCCCAGACTAACCCAGAAGAAGGTGCTATGTGGTAGGATGTCTCAGGCCCTTCGTGATCTAACTCCTCCTTGCCTCCCCAGCCTGTAGCTCCTACCAAGTCTCCTTGGATTCTACACTAAGGCCTGTAAAACTACACAGTTCTCAGTCATTTGCTATCACTCCCTAACCTCAGAAATTTCTCCCTGTACTTTTTACCTTGCTAGTTGCTCTTCAATTTTCATGCTCCAGTTTGAAAATAATCTCCAGGGAGCTCTACAGTTACGTTAACCAAAATTTGATTCCCTTATTGTAATCTATTTACTTGATAATCTCCCTTACTAGACTGTCAGCTCATTTGTTCATCCATTTATTAATCTCTTGGACAAGTATTTAACTTTCTATGCATGTCACCAGCAGGATCTTATGTACAACAGTGAACCATGTGGAAATTGTCTTTACTTTCATAGACTTTCAATCTATGGAGAGGTCATGGAATCATTGACCTTTTCGGCAAACCTGCCTGATGTTGAGGATTCACTAAGTTGCCAGATACATCATGGAGAGACACAAAAGGGCTACGTTTGGCATATGGGATTTTATCACTTTGGTAATACAAAAAGCTATATCTAGTACTTGTAAAGTGTGGGTCAGGGTAATAACGATTAGGAATAGTTTTGGCTGCCTGTAACTGAAAATTCAATTTACAAATAAGGGTCTAGTGCTTTTTACATAACAAGTGTGTAACTAGACAGTTCATTGTCTCCACAATGCCATCAGGGATTCAGGCTCTTTCTGCTTTCAGCCACCCCTAACATGTGACTTTTATTTTCACGATTGTTGCCTCATGGTGGAAAAGTGGCTGCTCTACCTTCACCATTGTACTGCATTCCAGGCAGAAGAAGGAGAAGGGTGAAGAGCAAAAGATACAGGCTAAGCGAGACTACCTCTTCTTATATTTTCCTGAATGAAGCCACAGCCAGCACGTTCTGTCTACATCTCATTGGCCGGGAACTAAGTCACAAGACCACACTGCAACTGTAAGGTAGGCTGAAAAAAGTCTCTGTTTTAAATTGGGCATACATTGTCACCCTGAACAAAACTGTGGTTCTTTTGTAAAAAAGAAGAAAATAGATAGAAGGTAGCCAGTAGTGTCTGCTGTAAACATAAATCATTATTCAAAATCATTTTTAAGCCGGCAATTCCTAACTCTGGATTGACTGAAGTTCTGAAAATACTCATTTCTATTTATTGTTTGCAACTCAGGTTGTACTTACTTGTGGTGAAATTGTAAAATGGGTTTTGAGTGCTCATTTATTCCCAATGTGTTTCAAGCAATAGAGAACATATAGGGATTATATTGCACAGAGGCAAACTCCAAAGTGTTGGAGGATTTTAACTCCCCCGACAGCTGTGGTAAGCCTTATCCTGTTTGGCATAAAGCTGAACATCTGTTAATAAATAAATGTCTCAAAAGATAAACAATGAATGGAACTAACACAAAGGCTTAATTCTAACCAACAAGAAAGAATTAGACAAGTGGTATGGTGGAAATAGTCCAGCCTTTAAAATCAGACAGCCAGGTTTTAATTCCTGACTTTTATACTTATTGGCTATTTGGCCATAGGCTATTTTCTTAGTCTTTCCAAGCCTGTCTTCCCACCGGTCTGAGAGAACAGAACTGAGATAATATTTCATGGGGACTGGTCTGAGTGCAGTGGTGTTAACAACTAATTGATCTTAACCAGTTACTTAACCAGTTTCTTAACTAGTTACAGTTCCTTCTTCACTCCCACTACTTCACTTGACTAGACTTTATGAATTTTTTAAGTGAAAAATAAATACTTCATGGGGTTGTTGGAACAATTAAAAAAGATAATGTATGTTAAAGGCCTAGTGCATAACAACAACATACTTCTTAAACATAAAAGGCATATTTGATTTTTGAACCGGAAGCAATCAGAATATTTAGAGAGAAGTTATCCTTAAGAAAATTCTAGGAAAACAGAGGCTTCAGAAAATACAAATTTGCCTTGGTGAGCATAAAAATGATGGCATTTCTGCTTTTGGAATATAGATCTCAAAATTTTTCCAGGACAAAATGGTATGAATTTACAGCCAGAGATGAGAAGGTTGGTAAGCAACAACAACATTTAGATCACACCTTTACTGTGATGAGAAAGAAATAGGACTCCAAGAGTATCCTCATCATAGATTTTTAAAAACACACACAGAGGCTGGTGGAAGAGAGGCCCGTAAGAAAAGATGCTGTGTAGGTCTAGAACAGCCATGCTGTCCTGCAGATCAGATCCTTTTTGGGCTCTCTCTCTCTCAATCCTGCACTTCAGGAAGGTTTTTAGCAAATCAGAACAAGTCAGAAGATCATTCAGGATAGATAGAAGTTTGGAATCCTTATATACAGAATGGTCAATGAAGGTGGTGCCATTTGATCTGGAAGAAAAATATCCCTAGAGACCCACTGTCTGTCTTCAAAGGCTCACAGCTGTGACACAGTGCAGGCTTCAGACTGGAGGTGGTAGGATGGTGGCCTACAGATGCACTGTGTTGTTGGCCCAAACAAATTTTTTAAATGTTTTGAATTAGCAGCCAACTCTTAAAGTCATGAGATTTTGTGTAGAAATCTTGATTTCTGACTTCCAATTCTTTGAAGAATTAGAAATTCTATCTCCCTTTACAGCAGCCAATAGCCAGGGATGAGTAGAGGTTGCCCATTGTACAAGAGATGTGCTCTCTTTTTTACCGTTCTGTTATTTTCAACATATCCCTTAACAACTGAGCAATCTTCACAGCAATCTTTCGCCAGCTTTCTTTCCCCGTACTTTTTCTAATAGGAGATGTATATTGTTTTCACGTCTTTATCAAAATGTTTATTATTCCCAAACAGCACCACTAACTGGCATTTGAAGTTGTAGCCCATGGTGTAGGTTTACTCTGTATTGTGCTGGGTGTCAAACTAGAGCATATGGCAGATTTGAACTCAATTAAAGAGCTTCCTAACAGATTTGTTTGAAAATGGAGTGAGTGGCGTTTTCAGAGTGTGGCCATTGATTGTGAGCTGCCTATAACTATGAATATTCAAGAAAAGGCTGAATGCTCACTGATAGTGATGCTGTATGAGAAAGTCTTGCATGTCATACAACAGTTTCTCATTGTTATGCAATAACTCAGAGAGGTAACCATGACTCCCACCCAGTTGTGCCAGCACATTTTGATATATATATTTAAGTATACTTTAAGTTTTGGAGTACATGTGCACAATGTGCAGGTTTGTTACATAAGTATACATGTGCCATGTTGGTTTGCTACACCCATCAACTTGTCATTTACATTAGGTATTTCTCCTAATGCTATCCCTCCCCTGGCCCCCCATGCCCCCACAGGCCCTGGTGTGTGATGTTCCCCTCCCTGTGTCCATGTGTTCTCATTGTTTAACTCCCACTTACGAGTGAGAACATGCGGTGTTTGGTTTTCTCTTCTTCTGTTACTTTGCTGAGAATGATGGTTTCCAGTTTCATCCATGTCCCCGCGAAGGACATGAACTCATCCTTTTTTATGGCTGCATAGAATTCCATGGTGTATATTTGCCACATTTTCTTTATCCAGTCTATCATTGATGGGCATTTGGGTTGGCACCAAGATTTTGATATTGTGAACAGTGCTGCAATAAACATACATGTGCATGTGTCTTTATAGTGGAATGATTTATAATCTTTTTGGTATATACCCAATAATGGGATTGCTGGGTCAAATGGTATTTCTAGTTCTAGATCCTTGAGGAATCACCACACTGTCTTCCACAATGGTTGAACTAATTTGCACTCCCACCAAAAGTGTTCTACATACTCTCCAGCATCTGTTGTTTCCTAACTTTTTAATGATCACCATTCTAACTGGCGTGAGATGGTATCTCATTGTGGTTTTGATTTGCATTTCTCTAATGGCCAGTGATGATGAGCATTTTTTCATGTGTCTGCTGGCTGCATAAATGTCTTCCTTTGAGAAGTGTCTGTTCATATCTTTCACCTGTTTTTTTTTTCATGGGTTTGTTTGTTTTTTTTCTTGTAAATTTGTTTAAGTTCTTTGTCGATTCTGGATATTAGCCCTTTGTCAGATGGATAGATTGCAAAAATTTTCTCCCATTCTGTAGGTTGCCTGTTCACTCTGATGATAGTTTCTTTTGCTGTGCAGAAGCTCTTTAGTTTAATTAGATCCCATTTGTCTATTTTGGCTTTTGTTGCCATTGCTTTCGGTATTTTAGTCATGAAGCCTTTGCCCATGCCTATGTCCTGAATGGTATTGCCTAGGTTTTTTTCTAGGGTTTTTATGGTTTTAGGTCTTGTGTTTAAGTCTTTATCCATCTTGAGTTAATTTTTGTATAAGGTGTAAGGAAAGGATCCAGTTTCAGCTTTATGCATATGGCTAACCAGTTTTACCAGCACCTTTTATTAAGTAGGAAATCCTTTTCCCGTTGCTTTTGTCAGGTTTATCAAAGATCAGATGGCTGTACATGTGTGATGTTATTTCTGAGGCCTCTGTTCTGTTCCATTGGTCTATATATCTGTTTTGGTACCAGTACCATGCTGTTTTGGTTACTGTAGCCTTGTAGTATAGTTTGAAGTCAGGTAACATTATGCCTCTAGCTTTGTTCTTTTTGCTTAGGATTGCCTTCGCTATGCGGGCTCTTTTTTGGTTCCATATGAACTTTAAAGTAGTTTTTTCCAATTCTGTGAAGTCAGTGGTAGCTTGATGGGTCTAGCATTGAATCTATAAATTACTTTGGGCAGTATGGCCATTTTCATGATATTGATTCTTCCTATCCGTGGTTACGGAAAGTTCTTCCATTTGTTTGAGTCCTCTTTTATTTCATTGAGCAGGGGTTTGTAGTTCTCCTTGAAGAGGTCCTTCACATCCCTTGTAAGTTGGATTCCTAGGTACTTTATTCTCTTTGTAGCAATTGTGAATGGGAGTTCACTCATGATTTGGCTCTCTGTTTGTCTGTTATTGGTGTATAGGAATGCTTGTGATTTTTGCACATCGATTTTGTATCCTGAGACTTAGCTGAAGTTGCTTATCAGCTTGAGATTTTGGGCTGAGGTGATGGGGTTTTCTAAATATACAATCGTGTCATCTGCAAACAGAGACAATTTGACTTCCTCTTTTCCTAATTGAATACCCTTTATTTCTTTCTCTTGACTGATTGCCCTGGCCAGAACTTCCAATATTATGTTGAATAGGAGTGGTGAGAGAGGGCAACCTTGTCTTGTGCCAGTTTTCAAAGGGAATGCTTCCAGTTTTTGCTCATTCAGTATGATATTGGCTGTAAGTCTGTCATAAATAGCTCTTATTATTTTGAGATATGTTCCATCAATACCTAGTTTATTGAGAGTTTTTAGCATAGAGGGCTGTTGAATTTTGTCAAAGGCCTTTTCTGCATCTATTGAGATAATCATGTGGTTTTTGTCATTGGTTCTGTTTATGTGATGGATTACATTTATTGATTTGCATATGTTTAACCAGCCTTGCATCCCAGGGATGAAGCTGACTTGATCGTCGTGGATAAGCTTTTTGATGTGCTGCTGGATTCAGTTTGCCAGTACTTTATTGAGGATTTTCGCATCGATGTTCATTAGGGATATTGGCCTGAAATTTTCTTTTTTTGTTGTGTTTCTGCCAGGTTTTGGTATCAGGATGATGCTGGCCTCATAAAATGAGTTAGGGAGGATTCCCTCTTTTTCTATTGATTGGAATAGTTTCAGATGGAATGGTACCAGCTCCTCTTTGTACCTCTGGTAGAATTCAGCTCTGAATCTGTCTGGTCCTGGACTTTTTTTTGGTTGGTAGGCTATTACTGCCTCAATTTCAGAACCTGTTATTGGTCTATTCAGACAATCGACTTCTTCCTTGATAAATATCTTTTTAAAATCACTTAAGAAAACTATAACTGAGCATAAACCCTACACTATTAGAATGTTGGGCTAGAAGATAATGGTAGCGTAGAGTAAGGTTCAACCCACAGAAAGTACTTAATGAAGGCAAAAAAAAAAAAGATTGCGTGTTCCCAGGAAAACAAGAGAACTGTGCTCTGTGGGTCTCTAAGAAGGTATAATCAGGCCAGTAAACAATTCTACTCAAATAGAGATATAGCACTGAAGGGCAATGATCGTGATAGCCAGGGATGCTATAATAGATTCTATGAGACTTTGTTATATGAGATGGGGACTGCATTGCAACTGTTAATCTGTTTAGTACTCTTTGTAGTCTTTTGACCTCTTTAAATTTACTGATAAAATGATAAAATGTTCAGAATATTAAGTGTGCTGCAAATATCACTAAGGACTTGATAGAAAGCTGAACTGGACAGCCTCTTCTTTGTTCAAGGCTAGGTAGTAATACACTGTTCATCTAGGTTCTAAACCAAAGAAGACTCTACTGTGAACTCATCTCATTTTTCAAAAGGGATTTTAAAAATTTAGATAATGACGGGCCCAATTCTTTGAGGTATAATACAGACATGAGACTCCGTTGATGCATTTTTTTCCTACATTGAATGCTGAACTATGGACATAGCAAAATATGATTGTAGTCATGTGTGTTAAAATTACTATACACCGTGCATTTTTTTATTTGATTAAGAAAATATAGGAAGGTTTTTTGCCAGTTTATTATTCATGGTGTGCTGTACTACTGGTCCCACAACTGTTGTTGTTCCATGATGTGGGCCTCTAATATCCAATAACCTACATTACTCCTATTAACTTCAATCAATAGGCAGTAAGAGCAAAAGGCCAAGGGAAAACTTGCAAATAATCACAAACTAAAGTGCAAAATTCAAATCTGCAAAGCAAGTGGCAATAACGTTTTAGTCTGAAACAGCACTCAAGCTATCTTTCCTTTTCTCGTTCTGTTTAATTTAAAAAGGCAATAGGAATAGAGCATTTCAAATCACTTTGTTGTGGATTTATAAGGATGTTTCTTCGTTGGGACAAGTCATTCCTCCTGTGGAGGAACAATACCTCATTTTTGCATTAAGAAAATAGTATAAAGTTTCTGGTGAAAGATTAGACAATTATTCTCATTCATGGATCTACAAGGCCATCATGTCAAAACATTTATGAAAATGTTCCGTTCCTCCCTTTTCCAAAGGCCAGAAGTTTACCCCTGTATGTGGCAGGAGATATGAGTTTATCCTTGTTTTTATTATTTGATAAATGGATTTAAGTTAAAATATATTGCATTTAGCAAAATTATAGTATAATGTTATAGCTGGGATATTGACATTTATACAATCCCCCTCTATCCCTGGACTTACTTTGCACTAAGCTCTATATAATGTTATTACCTGTATAGGTTCATGTACTGGACAGTTACAACACCACAGTGATCTCCTATGCAGTCATTTACAGCCATCCTGTCACTCCTTCACACACTCCCTCTACAACCCCTCAGTCTTGCCCCTCACCTCTCCTTTAACTGGGGTCTTGAGATTGTTTGCATTTAAAGTAATGATATTTTGCATGTTCTTGTTTGTGGGATCTAAAAATACAAACAATTGAACTCAATGGACATGGAGAGTAGCAATATGGTTACAAGAGGCAGGGAAGGGTAGTGAGGTAGGTGGGGTGGGGTGGGACCGGGTGGATGGGTGGGAGGTGGAGATGGTTAATGGGTACAAAAAAATAGGATAAATAAGACCTACTATTTGATAGCACAACAAGGTGACTATAATCAGTAATAACTGTACATTTAAAAATAACTAAAAGAGTATAATTGGATCGTTTGCAACACTACGGATAAATGCTCGAGGGGATGGGAACCCCATTCTCCATGGTGTGATTATTACTCATTGCATGCCTGTATCAGAATGTCTCACGTATCCCATAAGTATATATACCTACTATGCACCCACAAAAAATTTTTTTAAACATTTCTTGTAAAAACTGAAGTAATTAATGATACTTAACACTTAAGTCTGCCATTTTATAATTTATTTTCTATTTGTTTCCTCTGGTTCTTGTGCCTCTATTTTTTTCTTGCCTCTTGCAGGTTATTTGAACTCTAAAAAATAATTCCATCCTGTTTAAATGTAATTTAAAAAAGAGTAATTTCAAGATAGTGATTTTGTGTGTATCTGTTTATGTTGTTTTCATGACAGTCACTCTGGGTTTTATAGGTATATGACATCAACTACTAGAACCAATATTTACTACTTTGAGTGAAGTATGGAAACCTCACTTCTATTTAGGTTCCTTTATCTTTCCCATGTTTAAATCTTGTCTTATGTATCAGATGGTGTTATATATTTGTTTCCATCATCAAATATAATTTATTAAACATATGAAGAAAAGGATAGTTTACTATATGTACCCGTATCTCTTCTCTTTTCTTTATTCATTGTTCCTTCCTGATGCTGAAACATTTCTTCTTTTATCATTGTCTGCCTATTAGAAGAACCTCCGTTAGTGGATCTTTAAGGGGATATCTATTAGAAACAAATTATTTTACTTTTCCTTTTTCCAAGAATGTTTTCATTTCCTCTCATTCCTGAAGGATATTTTTGCCAGATATAGTGAAATTCAGAGTTGACAATTCTTTTATTTCCGCACTAAAGATTGCACCACTTGCTTTTTGTCTCCAAGATTTCAGATGAGATACCTGCTATCATCTGAACTGGTATTTTTAAGTAACACATTGTTTCTCTCTAGTTGCTCTCAAGATTTTTATCTTTCATTTTCAAATGTTTAATTATCATGTGTCTTGGTATGAATTTCTTTGTTCATCCTGTGTGAGCTTCACTCAGGTTGGATGTATAGGTGATATGGTTTGGCCATGTCCCCACCCAGATCTCACCTTGAATTGTAATAGTCCCCACAAGTCAAAAGCGGGGCCAGGTGGAGATAATTAAATCACAGGGGTGGTTTCTCCCATACTGTCCTCACGGTAGTCAATAAGTCTCATGAAATCTGATGGTTTTATAAACAGGAGTTTCCCTGCATGAGCTCTCTTTCTTGCCACCATGTAAGACGTATCTTTGCTTCTCCTTTGCCCTCCACCATGATGGTGAGGCTTCTCCAGCCATGTGGAACCGTGAGGCCATTAAACCTCTTTCCTTTATAAATTACCCAGTCTCGGGTATGTCTTTATTAGCAGTGTGAGAACAGACTAATACAATAGGTTTATATCTTTTGCCAGATTTGAGGAGTGTTCAGCCATTGTTTTTCCAAGTGCTCTTTCTGCCTTGCTCTTGCTCTTTCTCCTCTTTCTCTGGGACTTGATGAAATGACTGTCAGATCTTTTGTTAGTATTCTACAGGTCCCTGAGGCTCTGTTCATTTATTTTTTTAGTCCATTTTTTCTCTGTGTTTTAGGTTGGGTTAATTCTATTGTTTTATCCTCAAGTCTACTGATTCTAACCTCTGTCCTCTCCCCTTTTCCATTGAGCCCAGCCAGCAAATTTGTCATTGTTTTGACATTTGTTATTGTATTTTTCAATTCTGTAAATCTCCATTTGATTCTCTTTTGTAACTTCTATTCTTTGCTGAGATTTTTTTTATTCTCATTTATTTCAAAAGAATTTTAATTGATTACTGAAGTGTTTTTATGATGGGTGTTTTAAAATCTTTGTCAGAGAATTCCAACATCTGATCCATGTAGGTGTTAGCATCAGTTGATTCCTTTTTCGCTTTCAAGTTGTGATTTTCTGGATTCTTGATGACAAGTGACTTTATATTATATCCTGGGCATCTTGTCAATTACGTTCAGGGACTCTGAGTCCTATTATTTCAGCAGCAGTTAATCTGTTTAGGTTCAGCATGCAGGTTTTGGCCTATTTTTGTGGGCTGTTCTTCCAATGGCCATTTACTTTGTAGAGCCTTTATGGGGTTATTTTGGTCTGTTTGTATATCAGGTGCCACTGGGGCTCTCACTGGTCCCTGCTGGTGCTGCCTATTGGAGCAGAAGGGCTAATTTGTGTGGAAGTGGCTTTCAGTAAGGGTGGGGCATGGCAGGATACCTCCTTTCTGCCCTGATGTCTCTGAACAGTGGGGACAGAGAAATTCTCAGAGCTGATGGGACAATGAAACTTGCCAGACCCGGCTGCTAGGCTGTTGCCTTTGCTGGGTCCCTCACCTGCCCACCCTGTGTCTTTGGCTGAAGTTGGAGAATTTCAGGCCCACAGGGACAGAAGGGCTTCCCAGACTAGGCTGCTTATTGGGACTGAGTCTCCTCACCTGCTTCTACACACCTTCCCTAGAAAAACGTATCATTTAAAAATTAACAGTGATATTAAGGAAAAGCCAGTTTAGTTATAGTTGGAACTATGCTCATGCTGTATTTGTGCAGCTGATTTTTTAAGTGTATTTTCTAGAACCTAAACTCCACAGGTTTTTCATATGGCAGGATCTAATATTCCTGCTCAGGACATTAGTTGTATTATCTGCTGAAATGGTGGTATCCAGAGAGTATTGATTGGGGGTTGATGGTAAGCTGGAGGGAGGCCCAGATGCGTGTTACAGGGTTTTACCTTGGCCATTGGTTTTGTCACAGATTTGGATATAGTAAATGATGGAGACATCAGATTTGAGGACAGCACAAAACTCAGTACAACAGATAAGAATTTGCGCTGCATGTCTCTGGTTCTTCAATATATCTAATTTCACTTTGACACCTCAGACTTTTCCCCACTTTGTTATGGCTATTTTGCATATGTTCCCACAATCAGGTTAATTTTGGTCCAAAAATGAAATTGTATAATTTAGAACTTCTTACGGACCCAAATTCTGCCTTGAATTCTTGTCCTCTAGCATAAGCTCAGAGCTTTTACTAGTGGGTCTCAAAGATTAAAGGAATCATAGCAGTGTGGTTAAAAGTTTGAACTTTAGAGTCAGACCTCTTAGGTTTCAATCTTGGCTTCATCACTTATCAGATATAGGATCTTGAATTAATTAAACTCTCCATGCCTTTTATTTTTTCAATCGGGTTAACAATAGGATCTACCTCATAGGCTGGTTGTGAGTGATATTTGAGAAAATATATGTGAAATATTTAACATAGTACCTGGCCCATAGTAATAGCTATTGATGTGATATAGTTGAAAGATCACAGGATTTCAAAACCTGGCTTCACTCTTATTGGTATGTTTGAGATTTCTTCACTTATAAATTAGAGGTAATAATAAAGAATGGCTTCTTAGTGTTGGCCGGGCGCGGTGGCTCATGCCTGTAATCCCAGCACTTTGGGAGGCCGAGGAGGGTGGATCACGAGATCAGGAGATCCAGACCATCCTGGCTAACACCGTGAAACCCCGTCTCTACTAAAAATACAAAAAATTAGCCAGGCTTGGTGGCGGGTGCCTGTAGTCCCAGCTACTCGGGAGGCTGAGGCAGGAGAATGGCATGAACCAGGGAGGCAGACCTTGCAGTGAGCCAAGATCCCGCCACTGCACTCCAGCCTGGGTGACAGAGTGAGACTCCATCTCAAAAAAAATAAAAATAAAAATAAATAAATAAATAAATAAATAAAAAGAATGGCTTCTTAGTGTTGTCATAAGACTTGTGAGAATACCCACGTAAAAGCACAATGTGAATGACACATGCTAGTCATTGTATTGCTCTTGGTGTGCATTGGTCTCGGTATGTTTCAATTGTGAGTCATATTATAACCAACATTCTGATACACAGTTTCTGCCCTCATACAAATTTCATGGATTCTCCATTCAATAGGGTCCCACAATTATTGAACTCATACTTGTGTTATTCCTCTATTCAAGAATTCACATTACAACCGGGGACTTTAGATTTGGATAATTTTAATAATTAATATTTCTTGAGTGCTTCCAGTTTATCAAACACTGATTAGCACTGCATATAATGTAATCTCACAGCCATCTTGGGAGGTAGCTTATCTTCGTTTTAGATGAGAGACTGAGGCTTAGAGAGGTAAGTAAGTTACCCAAAATCACATATCTTGTAAATAAGTGTCAGACTTGGCCCTTGAACCCATGTCTAATTGACTCAAAAGCTAAAATGTGTGTTACACCATTCTTTGGAGTCTCTCAAGCCATCAAATCAGAAGTCATCCTAGATTGTTCACTAGCTTCCCCCCTTTATCACTTCTTCCTCTGTCAGTCACTCACTGAGACTTGTCCTTTACCTGCCAATTGTCTTTCCCAGTTCTTAGCTCTTCTCCTCCTGTCACTACTGCCCACTACTGCCCATGCTGTCTCTTTTGATTTTTTCAATAATGAACTGATCTACCTGTGCAAGACTCCTTCCAGTCCTTTGTCCACAGCACCAACAGAGAAATCTTTCTAAAATGACAATTCTGTTCTCCTAGTAGTTCCCCCATTCCCATAGGGTAAGATCCAAGCTTTTGAGTATGACATACAAGGTGTCTGTCTTATCTAACTTAAGTTTCCACCATTCTCTCTCTCTACCTACCTCATCTTGCTTGAATTTTTAACAATATCAATCTAGTTCTATTGCATAATGAACTATGCTGCTCCTTCTACCTGGAATGTCTCCTTGACCCCACTGCCCCGCACTTCTACTCCGTGGTACAAGTTCAATACATCTTTCCAAGTTACTCCAGACATCACATCCTGACCTTCTCTTTCCTCATATAAAATTTAAAATATCATTTGAACTGTGTCTTTGACTTTGTATAAGATTCTGTTCTGAAGTTACTCTTTTGTTTTAACATGTCTGCCACCCCCATGACTCTCATTGATCAAAAGTCACTGGACTGCAGATTTAAAAAGAGTAAATTTTATTAAATGTAAATTGTACAACAAAAAATCGTAACTATAAAAAGAAACTTAAGAAACATCAATCAAATGTAGTGTGTGGACCCTATTTAGATCCCAATTTAAAAAAATCATCTATCTACAATTTTTTGAATAATTAGAGAAATTTGATTATTCACTGGGAATTCAGTTAAATTGAGGAAATAACGTTAATTTTGTCAGCTATGAGAGAAACATTGTAGTTGTGGTTTTTAAAAGTCTTTATCTGTTTTATATGTAAATGGAAGCATTTATGGATAAAATGATATGATGCCTGGGATGTTCTTTAAAAACACCTACAGAAAACATGAAGAGGTTAGGGAGATTAAATGAAACAAAACAAAACTGCAACATTTCTAATTATTGAAGCTGGGTGTTGAATACATGATGAGTTCATTATACTATCCGCTCTACTTTATGTTTGCAATTTTTCATAATAAAAGTTAAAACTCTAAAAAGAGATACTAATGAACAAACCAGCCCCCTATGGTCCATCCCACTAGCTACCAACAGCCCTAATTCTTTTAGCACTTTGTCTTCCTTGTGTCTTTGCCGGGAAACAATAACTGTGACGCTATACAAGCACTTGCAGTCTCTGCTCCTACCTCTGGGCTCATGACCAGGACAGGTGCTGTGGTTTAGCCTTTAGCCAGAGACTCTTCTCATACCCAACAAGGGTTATTGCAGAACATCACCCTTTTCAAGCTGTTACATTCCCCTCCACTCATTCCCAACAGATGACCTCTCCTCCTACTTTATGGGACGGACTCTGTGATCTTTATTTTTCCCAAATTAAAAATAAGAATACTATAGTACATCCAGACCATGGAATATTATTCAGTGCTAAAAAGGCATGAGCTATCAAGCCATGAAAAGACATGGAGGAAACTTAAATTCATGTTACTAAGTGAAAGGTGCCTACCTGAAAAGGCTACATACTGTATGATTCCAACTACATGACATTCTGGAAAAGGCAAAACTATGGAGAGTAAAAACACCAGAGGTTGCTGTGGTTAGGAGGTAGGGAGGGATGGGTAGGTGAAGTACAGGGGAATTTTAGGGCGTGGAAACAATAATGTTATATTGGTGAATATATATCTCTATACAGTTGTATAGAGATAGACTGGTAGAAGGTACAACACAAAGAGTGAACCCTAATGTTAACTATGGCCTTTGGTTAACATTGATGTGTCAATGTTGGTTTATTAGTTGCAACAAATATTCCACTTTGGTGGGGGATATTGATAGTAGGGAAGACTGTGCGTATGTTGTGGGAGGGGTATATGGGAGCTCTCTGTACTTCCTGCTAAATATTGCTGTAAACCTAAAAATGCTCTTTAAAAAAAGTCTCCTAATTAAAAAAAAACTGTACTGAGTTAGAATTTTGGGGGACTGTTGGGAAGTCTTGATTGTGTTTTGAAATGTGGGGCTATGAGATTTGGGAGAGGCCAGGAGCAGAATGATATGGTTTGGCTGTGTCTCCACCCAAATCTCATCTTAAACTGTAGTTCCCATAATCCCTACATGTCATGGAAGGAACCTGGTGGGAGGTAATTGAATCATGGGGCAGTTACTCCTATGCTGTTCTCATGATAGTGAGTTCTCATGAGAACTGATGGTTTTATAAGGGGATTTCCCACTTCACTCTGCACTTCTCACTTCCTCTGCCATGTGAAGAAAAACGTGTTTGCTTCCCCTTCCACCATGATTGTAAGTTTCCTGAGCCTGAACTGTGAATCAACTAAACCTCTTTCCTTTATAAATTAGCCAGTCTCAAGTATGTCTTTATTAGCAGCATGAGAATGGGTTAATACACATAGGATGTGCAATACTTCAACGGGCTCTAGGGATTGAGACACAGTTTATTCCTAGCCTCTACCTTTAAGATATCTCCATCCATTGATCCATCCATGCAATAATTACATCTTTTAATTCATGCAATTGATTTTTATTAGGTTACCTGGCTCTGTAGTTGGTTCAACAGGAAAGAGTACAAAGCAATCATAAAAATAAAACACTAGGAATTCCAATGAGCTCACTACAGAGTCATTTGACATGCTTCCTTTATGCCCCAAGTATAACCCTAATTTTTCAAACCCCTTTATTTAGGGAATGAGCCATTATTTCTGGCTTGAGACATCAAACAACACTTTAAGAATTCTTGCAATTTTTCTGCTAGGAGCAATAAATGGCATTGCATCCAATGTATATCTAAATAGGTTGGATAAATATTACAAGCACCGAGTGTATACATTTAAGCCTGGACTATGCACAGAAGAGAGAGTTCTAGGAGAGTGGCTTATACAAAAAAAAACAATGCTGCAAATGAAATGATTTGGTGTTTTTTTTTTTTTTTTTCTCATTATAAGTTACTCTAAAAACCCAAGAAATTGTTAGTGCCTGACCTAGAACTCTAGCTCTCTCACCTAGGAAAAAACTTGATGTGTCTTTATTTTAATCACTTGTACACTGGACTTGAAATGTACCAGGGCTTCCTGCTGCCAAAAATTAATTTGCACATGCATCAGGGCATGTACTGAGTGCATGGCCTGGTTTCAGGAGAAATGTGCCCGTGGTTATTTTGTGAGCTAATGTGAGCTTGTGCATCAGCACAGGGTCTGTCATTGGCTGGAACACTGGGCTATGACTCAGAAAACCCCCATTTCTATTTTTACCTTTTTACGGCCTTAATATGTGACCTCAATCCTTTAACCCCTTTCTTCCTCAGTATTCTCACCTGTTTTATGCTTTTCCCTTTACAGAGGATAAATAAGTTCATGAAATATTGCTTAATAGGAAAAATACGTGTTTCGTTACAGCAAAAATATTGATTTTTATAAATCAGTTCTATAAACAAGTCCTTTGTAAGCTGCCTTAAAAATGAGATGTCACAAAGGAACATGAGGATCTGCCAAATGGTATGTGAAGATAATCCTGGTAGTCACTGTGATAATTGTCCCTGATATTATTATTATTGCTCTTAATGCTGAATTCTTGGTGCTTTAGTATGGGAAATGTCACAGTTTGAATTTCCATCTAATTAGATATGTTATTCCTGTAGCAACATAATAGGAAGGAAGAAATTATTTTATTATATGTATATGTGTATATTCCTTCTCCCCTTCTCTCTCTCTTTTACACAGGGAGGAAAAATAGCTTATGATCAGTGTGCTCAGAGACAGAAGTATAAGGGTGAGGAAAGAGTCTTTAGGAGGGAGAAAGAGATGATGTGGCTGTTCCCCTGGAACTTAACAACTGGGAACTCTACTGATGAGTTTCCTCTCAAACTTAAGCAATAACATAGAACCTGATTCACTCAGCAATCAACCTCAATTTTCTAATGGACAGATACTAATCAAGTGGATTTTCCCCTTCCTTGTATTTGTTTAAAAATTATGAATGACCCTTCCCTATGAGCCAGGTCCCACTCAAGGCACTGAATAAACATAAATTAGTCTTTCTTTAGAATATAGCATTAGGCTATGTTTAAAAATAATATATAGTCCATAGAATTCCAAGTGTGGGCTTTGACTAATGTGTCTAATACAGGAAATGGGTTTGTATTTCTTCATTCACCTTCTCTTTGCTATGAACATTTCCCACTTGTAACCATGGGGGTTCTTTGCCCGTGGTGCAATGCAGAGCCACACCAACCCAGCCTACACATTCTTGGACTAACATCATGTTTTTTCTCTGACCAAAGGCATGTTAGGCACTGGCAGGCATCTAGTTAGAAAACACAGAATGCTGAAACCTAAAAGTATCTAAAAGTCAGCTCAATTCCACTTGCTTTTATTGAGCCCCTGACATTGTTCAGGAACAATGATTTGTTGAGGAACAAGAGGTGAACTGATTTGATTAAGGTCACATGGCTAGTGTCATCAATAAGACCTATATATATTTACTTTTATTAGTCTTTACTATGCCAATGAATTAAGCTTCTTTTATGTCCAAGGATATATATTTAGTTTATTAAATAAAGGTTCAGGCCAGGTTCCTCATGACTCTAATCCCAGAGCTTTGGGAGGCTGACGTTGGAGGGTTGCTTGAGGCCAACAGTTCAGACCAGCCCACACAACATAGTGAGACCCTGTCTCTACAAACAAAATGTAAAAATTATCTGGGCATGGTGGCATGCACCTGCAGTCCTCGCTATGTGGGAGGCGAGCCCAAGAGTTCAAGGCTGCAGTGAGCTATGAGTGTGCCTCTGCTCCAGCCTGGGTTACAGAGTAAAAAGAATGACATAAAAATAAAAATAAAAATAAATAAAGACAAGTTGGAATGTAATGTAAAAACTATAACTTGGTGATTAAGGACCTGGATCAAGAACTGGGCTGCCTGAGTTCAGATTCTGATGGTACGACTTAATGTGATAACTTGGGAAAGTTATTAATTGAGATGAACTTCTCAGTTCCTCCATCTGTAGATAGATAAATAATAATAACAAACTCAGGGATTTTTGTAAGAATAAATAATCCATATAATGTAGATAGCACAGTCTCTGGCTCTGTGTAAGCAGGAAATAAAGCAAGGTGTATAGCAAAAAGTAAGTATTTGTTTTCTTCTAGAGTATTTTGGTACAAGTCCAGTTAAATCACAGAGACATTCTAATGTTCACACAAGTTCTTGAAACTTGGGCTATAGATGTTATCTCAAATATAAAATTCAAAGAGCTGAAAGAAATTACTCTGAGAAATGTGTGGAAAGTTCCTTGAATGTTTGTTTATTTAAAATACATACTTGATTTCTGGACCCAAGCCCAGAGCAAATTTTAAATGACATGTAAAGAAACACAATAAATCTAAATTTAGAAGAAGAAAGGAGAACAGCAAATGAGGACAAGCTCTCAGCGAGAATTCCATTTATTTTCTTTTTTAAAATCTCTAGGGGCTAAACTCATCTCCCAAAGTTTTACACTTGGCCTTGATAATCTGTTTCACTGCCCTTCAGAACACAGAAATATGGCAAGACATATGAATCCAGCCTTTCTGCAGATCAAATAAACACCAGTGACAGATTTTGCATTTCTCCATCTTATTCTCTTGTCTGAGTTTGGTAGATCAGTTAAATGTCACTGGAGCCAGCTCTAGATTACAGAATGCAATTCTGAAGCTGCCCTGGGAAGGGAACTCTTCCACTTTGTCACTCACCTCTCTGATGTGTTTTCATTTGCTCTGCCAGGCTCAAGCGATTCTGTCTCCCTTGCCCTCATCCTCTCCGTGGGCTGCCATTGTGTACATACTCAAGTCTAAATTGCAATGTAAGTCATAAATCTCAAGCTACAGTCCTTTTGCATTATCATTTTCAGTTCCTTTCACCTTGACCATTATGCAACCTCTACATGAGTTTTCAATATAGAATATGAGTACACATTGGCCAAGGAAATGCACAAGCTAATTATGTGAGTGGTTCTTCTTTCTACTGAGTGAATTTATAGATAAGTAAACATATAGCCATCGAAACTGCTCTCTTTACATTTTCCTTCATTATAAACCTTGAAACTTTAAAAAGCAAAGCTTCATTTAAAAAATTCACTTGCTTCTCAATTGGAGAACCAAACAAGAACGAATAGGAAAAAGAAAAACGAAGAGGAAAACACCAGGATTTTACTTAATTACTTTGCTTTGAAAGAAAATAAGACTGCTAAGAAAATAAGAGTAGTCTCTGTAATACATTTTTGTAGTGCATTTTTCCCCAGGAAATAAATATTAAACAATGTATTTGCCCAATGAATCAGGGTAGAAGCAGAATGGTGACCAGCTATATCTGATGACAGTGGCACATGTGGCCTCTATGAGCAACTTTCTCTTCCATTGTTTTTTAAGACACTCAAATCCTATTTGTGCCCTTGGCAGGTGTCCAGAATTCTATGGCATATACACGTTATGCCCTCTGCCCTTATTCTATTATCTATTCGCATTTTTTTCTTTTTGTCTCAACTTCTTCATGTATCTTTTCCTGTTTGTGTGTTTTCTTAAAGACATTACTTTTCAGAGTGAAGCATGAATGAATGACAATTAAATGAATAAGCTTCTCAATGTGATGTACAAATTTGTCTTGCTTTCACATTTAGGTTTTAAAATTAATCAAAAACAACTACATTTTATTTGGTAATGACATAGTTCCTAAGGCAATTTGTGTTTAATTCATGTATTTGCTGAGTCCTTGCTTTGCAGCAGGTTCAGTATTATGTGCTAATACAGTGGTATATAAACACACATGGTTCCCGACCTCATGGTTCATACAATCTATATAAATGAAGCCTTCTACTAATCAATTACTACATCTGCATCAGTATTTTCTCTCAACATAACTTTATTTACTTCAATGTACCTTGCATGAATATGTGTTTGTTTGTATTTGTGATATATGTAGCTATTACATTATGTAGTTACTACATATGTAGTATTTACATTAAGCTTGTGTAGATTGACAGAGAATGCAGCATGCTACAAAATCTTCCACTTTTCTGCTGAAGGTTGCTAGAATCATTAATATAGAAATTATTGATTAAGATTCTGTCCTCACATAACTCTGCAACAGAATTTAGTCCCTGTTACTGCAATGATTTATAGGATAACATTTATTTTCTTTTGCTCATTATAAATGGAATTTCCTCTGAAATGTCATGGATATTTTCTACTACCTTGTAAATCACAGCTGAACTGTAGGCTGCTAAACTTAATTAAAGAATTGATCATATGATTCGATGTATGTACATGTGTGTATGATTAGATGTTTATAAATATGCAGACAGTAGTTAAATCCTGATTCTCTTAAGCCCACACATTTTCCTTATCTTCTCATTCTTTTCTTCCTCATCAAGTCGTTTATTTATCTACTTGCTTATAGACTAAGTGAGTTGAACAGGCATGACACCTGCCCTCTAGTATTACTGTCCAAAAGTGTTATTAAGTGCATAATTGCACAAGGCATGGGGTAGTTGCTGCACCAAGTGAGCTGCATACTCAAAGTGTCTGGATTTTTTGCTGTCAGAGATGACTCTTATGTAGCATAATCCCCATATTCATGGAGTTAAAATATTGTTTTTTTGTATGTTTCATAGAAGATTGATGTAGTGTATATCAAATACTGTATTCTTCCACATTAATCATCATCTGGAAGTAGCTATTTTCTTTTTCTGGTTCTTTTACGTTCATAGTAGCTTTTCTCTTCCATTCCCTGTCCCTGAGTCTGTCTCTCTCATATAAGAAATCCTTAAATATTTTAATGAACATTTTTGGGGAAATTCACAGGAAATTAGAATTCAGGTACATTTATGTATTTAACTTCAATAGTTTTAGCGGCACAAGAGGTTTTTGGTCACATGGATAATTGTGTAATGCTGACATCTGAGATTTTAGTGCACCCATCACCCACGTAGTTTACAGCATTTCCAGTATGCAGTCTTTTTATCCCTTACTGTCATTCCACTCTCCCCTCTTCTGAGTCTCCAATGTCTATCTTACCACTCTGTATGCCTTTGTGTACACAGAGCTTAGCTTCTACTTACAAATAAGAACATAGTATATGGTTTTCCACTCCTGAGTTACCTCACTTAGAATAATGGCCTCCAGCTCCATCCAAGTTGCTGCAAAAGGTATTATTTTGTTCTCTTTAATGGCTGAGTAGTATTCCATGGTGTATATATACCACATTTTCTTTATCCACGTATCAGTTGATAGGCACTTAGGTTGGTTCGGTATCTTTGCAATTGTGAATTGTGCCATGATATATGCATGTAGGTGTCTATTTTATGTTGTGACTTCTTTCCCTTTGGGTAGTTACCCAGTAGTGGGATTGTTGGATCAAATGGTAGATCGACTTTTAGTTCTTTGAGAAATAATTTTTATCTAACTGGTCATTTGTTCAAATCCAGCTGAGAAAAACATCTTCAACAATTACAACTTAAATACCTCTAACGCGTGCCACAGCGCTGCACAATTCCAGGGGACACCACAACCAGATGTGCACAGGAACCCCTACAGCCTCACCTCTGGCTCTAATCCTTCTACATTTCTAGTCCATACACTGACTTGTCTGAAATTCGATATGTCTAAAATGGACATTATCTTTTCATGCCTCACAACCTCAAGCAACTCGTTGCACTAATTTTCTTATTTTTTTCTTTCAGTTATCTCCTCCCCCAAAATTCAATATTTGGAAGTCATCCTTCGTGCTCCCATCCAATTAGTCACAAAAGCATATTAACTATTTTATCAAAACATTGTGGGCCTCTCTCCAGTCCTTTTTTTTCTTTCTTTCTTTCTTTCTTTTTCTTTTTTTTTTTTTTTTGCTGGTTCTAATGCTCCTAGTTTAGATTCCTTCCTAGATCACGTCTGGGCTATTCCCAGTCCTCGTGCTTAGCAGGGCCTTTCTGTTTCACTGATCAAAACTCTATCATTCAAGACTCACTTAAATTGTCTGGTTGCCATAACTCAAAAAGGTATCTCCTTCTAACTTCTTTAAGCGCCCCTGTGGAATCATGTGACTATTTCCTAAAATAGTCAATAAAGTTGTAAGCTTTTTGAGGGGTGGGGCTGCTCCAGATGCTTCTTGCATCATTCACACACCCAACACTGTAACTGTCACTGACTGCATCATCAGGAAATAAAGGCTTCCTCGAACTCCAAATATTCATCTCCAACTACCCTTCATACATTTCCATCTGAGAACATCAACTACAATAATCACTGAGTTCCCATCACATCCCTTTCCCCCTCATTTCCTATTTCTGTACATTATTCCACCCTCCATCCAGTTACCGAAGGCAGAAACCTTGGCTCATCATAAATATTCCCTTCCCTTCCCTTGCCCTGACATCCATTCAGTCACCAGACCCTGCTGAGTAAGTCCAGCATTCTGGTGTCTCTTTGAATTTTCCAAATCTATTCTCAGTACCATTATCTTAATTCAAACTCTATGTTTCTCTCTTGTATTGCTACAGTGATCACAATTGCTTCCCTTGTTTTCAGTCTTTCTATTCTCTATAATGTCATTTTAATGATCTCTAAACACCGGGAAACTGATTCTACAATTTCCTTGCTTGCAATTGTCATTGTTCACCAGTAGCCTTTATGGCAATGTTCAAACTCCATAGCATAACATGAAAGACTGATTCCTGCTTCCTTTCTAGTCTCACATCTCTCCACATCTTTCCTCCCCATACACCCAGCTCCAGTGTTAATGGTGATTGACTCCCTAAAGGTCTTTTCCCAAGGTGATTTGTCAAAGCAAATCATGGTAGTCATGCTAAAGCCTCCATCCTCTTTTCCAGTGATTATTTAGGAAAGGTTAAGTGAATCGGCTTGGGCCAATGGGATGTAAGAAAACATTTGATTATGGTGCCCTAGGAATTATTTCATAATAAATAGACTCAAGGAAAAAATGGCTTCATTCTGCTTCTGGACATTTCTGTGTCTGGACATGGCATCTGGACCTTCTGAAGCCATCTTGCTACAAGTATGAGGATAAAACCAATAGAGGGAGGAGGGCTGAGTCAGAAGAACTTCAGAAAAGCATCACTGGAGGCCTTATGAGTTGCTCTTAGAGCTTGCCCTACTTACTTAATTCCAGAAGAGCTGATAAATTTCCTTATTGCTTAAACCAACCCAAATTCAGATTCTCTATTATTTGCAGCTAAAGGCATCATGATTAGGAGTTGCTGCCAACATGCTGCCAACATGCAATATTTTTTCTTCCCTTCTGAACTGTCCACATTCTTCCAGAAATAATTCCCTTTCTCTAGCCTCCAGGTCTCAAAAAGAGAGTCAAGCCATTCACAACTGCCTGAAGTTTACGTGATAGAACTGTTTGCCTGCCTAGATCTTAGAGCTTATTACTCTCTTTAAGATTGCTCATCCATCTCCTCCAATAGCCTTGTTCTAGACACATCAATTACAGTCCATTCATGCCCACAATATCATGAATTAAAATTCATTCATTTGCACATTTATTTGACAAATCTTTATTGAGCACCTACTATGTACTAAGCATTGTTGTAAATACTAATATATAAGTAAATAAAACTAATAATTTCCCTGTTATCATGGAACTTAAATTCTAGTGGAAAAGGTAACCAATAAATAAAGAAGTAATTATACAATATAAGGAAGTCAGGGAGATAGTGATAGGTAGAAGAATAGTAATTTAGATAAAGACTCAGATAAGGCTTTTCTGAGAGAAGCCCCAAGTGAAATAAGGGAGTAGGCACATGTATATCTGAGACAGGAACAGGCCAGGGCATGGAAACTATGTGTGAAAGGATCATGAGGAGGGGGCTGTGTGTCCTAAGGAGCAGCAAGGTAGCTGGTGTGGCTGGAAAAGAGCAAGAGAAGGGCAGAATGGTGGGAGAAAAGAAGTAGCCTTGGAACAGATGATGTGGTATCCTGTATACATTTAAGTTTAGATTTTATTCAGATGAAGTATTTTCAGCAAAAGAATGAGATGATTTGAGCTGGGTTTTAAGTGTGTTACAGTGGCTGCTGGGTGAGGAAAGGGATATAGGGAGAAGAGAACAGAAGCAGGAGATGATCTGCTACTACTGTGGTCCAGGAGAGAGAAACAGTGGTGGGTGGGTCAGGACACAGCATGCCAGTTTCTAAGGGATGCTGCCATGCTCACTCCCTTGCAGAGAAAAGCAGCCCTGGGTTCAGGATCGGACAGCTCTGTTTTCACCACCACTCAGCTTCGGACTCAGCTACTGTATGTCCCATCCCAGGGCAACCTTTCCATAAACTGTTCACTGACCTATGAAGTAGCCTTAAAGGAAAAGCTACTTTCCAAGATATGAATGAATCATATGGTAAGCAGCAGAAGGAGAAGCAGGAAGAACCACAGGCAAGGACGTGGGAATGCAGTAGATGGGTTGTACTAATGGCAGAGCGTCCAGTAGGACCCATGCATTGAAGCTGCTGTGGGAGAGATAAGTTGACCTGGTCCTAGAGAAGCCTTGGGCACTGACTGACTTTGAGTTCCACTTTTGTGGGGCCCGCAGTGGGATTCCTGTTACCAGGAGTACTGTCTTTTCCTGATACCGTCTCCTATTACCACAGATAGACTTACTACAAACCCTTATTAATTGAAAAAACTTGAATGAATCTATGTTCCTTGCATCCAGAAAACCAGGACACTGGATTGCTCATAACAACCTCTTGGGGAATGTGAGATGTGTGACATTTGGTTGTGCACGTAGACTGAATGGGGCACTCCAAGACTCCAGCTCAAATCTCACTGTGGATGGCAAGATCCCATGGTTTGCAGTAGCAACTTAAGCTTTTGCTATGATTTCAAACACATTCCTTTTGAAAGAAGCACTTTGCATGATTTGATTGCTCCTGTGTTTGAGAGATGTCAAGGGGCATAGAAATATAAAGACAAAGGAGTTGGATGGTTGCTTCTCTCAGTTATGTGCCTTCAAATATAAATTTACAAGCTCTGTCCAGGGTTGCTCAACTAATGGCAGATAAGGAAACAAAATAACTACATAACCATTGCAAAATGAATTTCATCTTCTTGCATGTCCCAGGCTAGGAGCCGGCTGAATATTACATTTAGAAAATGGTTTTCTGAATTGAGGAAATGAAGCATGAAACACATTCTCTTTCTTAGTTATTTGACTGTGAGCTAAGAAAAAGTTGTTTAGTTGGTAGTGTGAATAGAAGCTGAAAAGATGCATAGGGTAGGGTTATGCTCAGATAAATTTCTGAGTAGAATCTAAGAGCCAGAGAAAAGAGTGTGGGCAATTGGTTAAGTGTGGCAGTTATAATAAAAACAAGATGGTAAAGGGTCCCATCATCATAGTAGTGGAGAAGCAGCAAACACTTTTTGCTCAGTGACAAAGGTGTATGCTGGCCTGTGAGCTGTGCTGGACTCTTAGAGTATGCAGACAACATACTTATCAGAACAAAGCCTGCCTTTCAGCTGTTCTTGGTGTCCATGTGTGTTTCTATTCCCTAGGAAATATAAAACATAAAACAGCCTAACGAACACAACAGCAAGTTCTCTGAGGACAAGGGTTCTGTCTTGTAAGACTTTGTATCTCCAGCACTTTGCATGGGCTTGGTAAAAAGCAGAGCTCAGAAAGTGTTTGGTTGACAAATAACAGGATGAATGAATGCATGTTCAATGAGCAGTATATGAAAAGGAAAGATACAGAAAAATTGTAGAGATATGTTTCCTACCAAATCAATTTCTGGAAACAAAATGTATTATTTCAAGAGCTTTCATCATAAGGATGTAATTAAAGCATCACAAGTTTGAGAGTTTACAGCTAAACACAAGCATCTCAGTCCATGATGAGGTTTATGTGGGGGTTTCTCTGGTATTAGAGAGCAATACACTTTCTGAATTGCTCTGAAAGCTTGTAATGAGATTAATATGAGGCTATTTTAATAGTCATTTCCAAAGTGATCTCATGTCTAATTTTCAACTGATATAAGAATCTTAATGAAGCACTTTGGAGGGATGGTATCTTCATCTGACAGGTTCGGATATGTGTCTTTCTATAAGGTTACACAGCTACTGGGTAGTATGACCTCACTACGTTCCATGCTCTTGCCAATATGCCACGGAACCGCATGGCTATCCAGGGAGCAATGGAGACCATTTAAGCTCCAGATTAAATTTGTGGATCATTTATCTTATATTTTACTTCTCATTAACAAGAATTCAATTATCAAGGTTTCAAACTATAGGTGCCTGATGATTAATAATTATATTGTTTGTTTCTTCTTTGAATGACAAGTTCCATTACTGGAGTCAGAATGTCATGAGTTTGCCTCTGGTAATGCATAGCAAGTGCAGGGGTTAGTTGATGCTCCAGGTCCTTGTGTGGTAAGCCCTGCTTGTATTTAATGACCCTTAGCAGATATGATAGCTGATAATATTCATAAGGAAATGAACTTGCTGTCTTAGGAAGACAACAAAACATAACTTCTTTTTTAAAAAATTCAAATCCACACAGAAGAGCAGTGAGATGACAACAAAGTGAATTTTTTAATAAATTAACCTTTACTTCTTCAAAATTACTCAGTGCCAAATTATCTTCTTTGTCTGTAAAGTACAAGGAGTACCAAAGAGATATCTTGTCACACACAATCCTTTTCTCTTAACTGATGTTATTGTTGAATTAGTAGAGGGACAGACATCCTGTTGTGTGAAATTTGCAAGAATTCATATAGAATTATAGATTTTCAGTGCTAGAAGAATCCTGATCATCTAGATCTATCGTCCTTCTCAAGCTTAGAATACCCTAGTGATTTCACTGTTTGCAAAGAGTAAATTATTGTGTCCTGACATTATATTCCTGGAAATTTCTAGGAAGTATAGACAAATAAACAAACACTCAGAATGAAACATACTAAACAGAACCCTATAACACTAGCAATCGGTAGGTGATGTGTTTGCGATCCCCTCTGGAAAATGACTTTGGTTGATCAATGTGATGTTGCCACATGAGCCTCATTATATGCAGGCCTCATGACCTCAACTGAGGCAAGACTCAACTCTATAGTTTCCTATAAAGACTAACACGAAATAACCCTAAAACATTGGTGCATACAGAGCAGAAATCTAGGATATATATTTTTTGGTCCAGTAAATTCTCAGTAAGTTTGGATAGGAAGATGGGAAGCTGCACTAGCAATTTAGCGAGATTGAATGATTGATTCAATAAAAGATTGACATGTTGAGCAATAGAAATCCAGGAACGTCCTCTTGTCAGGATATGCCAACAATCTTCTATGAGACATTCTTAGTTGCACCTTTCAAACACAGGATTTTAATGAGACACAGAGATGGTCTCCTAATCCTGCAAGTCATCTGAAGTAATTGCAAGAATAACAGCATGAAGGACTCCTCATGTTGCATAACTGCCAAGGAGTTGTGATTGTCTCAAGAAAGGATTTAGGAAATAAACAAACGAGGATTAGAGCCCACATCTACCTGACTCTAAAATCCATACTAAGAACCACAGCACTATATTCTCTCAGTCAACATGAATTGTATATTCAAAACGATGTGTTTTCAGCTTTCAGGAATAATTTACCAATATTTCCATCAAGTAAATTTCTATATAAATAGGCAACATATATTGACAAACATGTGAACAACTTGAAAATTGAGGTGTGACAGATGAGAAATCAAAGATAACAGGGTAATGCCAGCAATGATCATTTTCATGCACAGTGTTTAGCTGATTATAAACTACCTTCACGTACATTTTTTTTTTACCTGACCTTCGCAATAACACAACTGAGGGTCAGAGATACTGAATACCTTATTCAAGGTCACAGATCTAATAAAGGGAGTTAATGAGACCAAAATGCAACCATTTGCAGATTGCTTTCATATTGGTCAACACCTACCCCCCTGTATTTAGATTGAAGGAGGCCCTTCTGAGATGAAATCAGAGTTGATAAAATCATATTTGATGCTGCTTTTCCAATGTATGTAATCAATGCCTTGTGTTATTCAAGACATCAGATTCAAGTTTAGGAAAATTTCCCAGTGTACAAATACTTCTGATTTAAAGACAGAATGATCTGATTTCCAAATAGTAGGCTGAGCACACATTGAACCCTAATACGCTACAATAAACTCTAGAAATGAAAGTATGTATGCATACATATTTGTGTGTGTCTGTGTATATATATATGTATATGTATAGATATAAAAACAAATACATAGTCACACTCTCTCCCTTAAAAGATGAAACGTTTTCAAAAATCGTGATGAATCTCTAAATTACTTAAAACAAATTGGATCAGATTCTAAAGAGAAGAAAAGCAACCCCAAACATGTGCAGAAGTCTAGGGGAGAGTGACACCACAAAGAGTGAGAACAAAATCAGCGGCTGGATAAAGCCAAGAGGCAATAAGGAGGGATTTAATTGGATTATCGTAAAATCTACTTGGCTGGTGAACCCCTTAAAATCAGTCCCTCAGTCAATCTCTCTCTCTCTCTGTCTCTCTCTCTCTCTATTTTAGGACTAGGAAGCTCTGATAGGAGTATCTGTTTCCAGAAGAAGCAATTCTTTGGAACAGACAGCCAAGCCCTTGGTGACAGGTGGAGGAACAGGAACTGTTAAGCCCAGAAGGCCAGTTGCCAAGACATCCCATTAGGGGCATCCTGCCCTCTCCTTACGCTCCTGTAAAGCCCTGTGGAGCCCCATTCCCCTTGCCTTTTCCCCCAAGGCAGTCGTCTTATAGAGAGGCAGCTGTCCATCTGTGGAAATCACAGCAGAGAGATGAACTCAGGGTCAAGAATGAGAGACTACAGAAATGATAGCTGATAATATTCATAAGGAAATGAACTTGCTGCCTTAGGAAGACAACAAAACACAATTTATTTTTTTAAAAAAATTCAAATCCACACACAGAAGAGCAACAAAAGGAAGACAAATGCAAAACCTAGTCTGAAAAAACAGCTAATAAGGCATTAAGAACACATTGCTTACAATGAATCTGATGCTGTTATCAGAAAGATTAGGGAAAATATTGCACCCAGGAAACAAATTACAAGCAGCTAAAAGAAAAAACTAATTAGAAATTCAAAATTCAATACCTGTGCATGATTAAAATACACACATACACATACATACACAAAATAGCAAGCTAGGGATAGAAGAAACTATCCCTAGCCTGATGAAGGTTATTTACCAGATTTATCTAGCAAAGATTGTACTTAAAGTTGAAACTTAGAAGCATTACAAGTAAAGCAAGGAATAACACAAGGAAGCTGGCTGTCACAGCTAATATTCCAATTGTATTAGATGAAGGCAACAAGTCAAAAATAAGAAGTGAAAGGTATGATGATTAAAAAACAGAAAAACCATGGTTATTTATAGATAATATATTGTTTAGCTGGAAAACACATAATGAATGACTATTAGAAGTACGTGAGTTAGTCTGGAAGTGGATCTGATATGAAATCAATGTAGAAAAATAAATGGCTTCCATATACCTGGGCAATTACTCTTAAGAAAATACTATTTACAATAGCAACAAAGACATTGAAGTAACAAGAAGTACACTTAACAAGAAGAATACATTTCAGAAAAAAATATGAAATGTTATTGAAGGACATTAGACACCAATAAATGGTGAGATACCATTGAAAGAAAGACACATTATAATAAAAATGCTGCTTTTTTCCCAAATTAATACATAAAATAAATGTAGTTTCATTCAATAGCCCCATGAGACTTTTCATAATAATTGATAAACTGAATCTGACATTTTGACCATACTAAATATGGAAGGCTAATCAAAACAATCCTGAAAAGTAAGTCAAATGAGTTGGACTTAACCTATCAGATATTAAACTTTATTACAAAGGTAGGGTAAATAAAGTAGTATTATTGCTGGAGTAGACAAATAGATTAATGAACCAAAACGGCCAGAAAGAGATTCATATACACGTGGATACTTGGGATATGAGAGTGGGAAGGAAGAAAGGATGGACTACTTAATAACTTTGTCATGAAATCTTTGCCTTTCCTATGTCCAGGATGGTATTGCCTAGGTTGTCTTCCAGAGTTTTTATAGTTTTGAGTTTTGCATTTATGCCTTTAATCCATCTCGAGTTGATTTTTTTGTATGGTGTAAGGAAAGGGTTCAGCTTCTATCTTCCGCATATGGCTAGCCAGTTATCCCAGAACCATTTATGGAATAGTGAGTCTTTTCCCCATTGCTTGTTTTTGTCAGCTTTGTTGAAGATCAGATGGTCACAGGTGTATGGCCTTATTTCTGGGCTCTCTATTGTGTTCCATCGGTCTATGTGTCTGTTTTTGTACCAGTACCATGCTGTTTTGGTAAGCTTTGTAGTATAGTTTGAAGTCGGGTAATGTGATGTCTCCAGCTTTGTTCTTTTTGCTTAGGATTACCTTGGCTATTGGAGCTCTTTTTTAGTTCCATATGAAGTTTAAAATAGCTTTTTCTAGTTCTGTGAAGAATGTCAATAGTAGTTTGACAGGAATAGTATTTAATATATAAATTGTTCTGGGCAGTATAGCCATTTTAATGATACTGATTCTTCCTATCCATGATCATGGGATATTTTTCCATTTGTGTGTGTATTCTCTGATTTCTTTGAGTGGTGTTTTGTAATGCTCATTGTAGAGATCTTTCACCTCCCTGGTTAGCTGCATTCCTAGGTATTTTATTCTTTTTGTGGCAATTGTGAATGTGGTTGCCTTTCTGATTTGGCTCTTGGTTTGGCCATTGTTGGCGTATAGAAATGGTAGTGATTTTTGTACATTGATTTTGTATCCTGCAACTTTGCTGAAATTGTTTATCAGATGGAGGGGCTTTTGGGCTGAGACAATGGAGTTTTCTAGATACACAATCAAGTTGTCTGAAAACAGAGATAATTCGACTTCCTCTTTTCCTATTTGGATGCCCTTTATTTCTTTCTCCTGACTGATTTTTCTGGTTAGGACATCCAATACTATGTAGAATAGAAGTGGTGAGAGAGGGCATCCTTGTCTTGTGCCAGTTTTCAAGGGGAATGGTTCCAGCTTTTCCCCATTCAATATAATGTTGGCTATGGGTTTGTCATAGATGGCTCTTATTATTTTGAGGTATGTTCCTTCAATACCTAGTTTACTGAGAGTTTTTAACATGAAGAGGTGTTGAATTTTTTCAAAAGCATTTTCTGTATCCATTGAGATAAGCATGTGGTTTTGTCTTATTTATCTTTCTGTGATGAACCGCATTTATTAATTTGCATATGTTAAACCAACCTCGAATCCTGGGGATGAAGCCTACTTGATCATGGTGGATTAGCTTTTGGATATGCTGCTGGATTCAGTTTGCAAGTATTTTGTTGAGGATTTTTGCATCAATGTTCATCGAGGATATTGGTATGAAGGTTTTTTTAAAATTATTATTGCTGTGTGTCTACCAGATGTTAGTATCAAGATGATGCTGGCCTCATAGAATGAGTTGAGGTGGAGTCCTTCCTCCTCAATCATTAGGAATAGTTTCTCTAGGAATGGCACCAGCTCTTTTTTGTGCATCTGATAGAGTTCAGCTGTGAATCTGTCATGTCTTAAGCATTTTTTGGTTGGTCGGTTATTGATTACTGATTCAATTTTGGAGCTTGTTATTGGTCTATTCAGGGAACCAGTTTCTTCCTGGCTCAGTCTTGAGAGGATGTATGTGTCCAGGAATTTATCCATCTCTTCTAGGTTTTCTAGTTTGTGCGTGTAGAGGTGTACCCAGTAATTTTTGATGGTTATTTTTATTTTTATTTCATTTTTCTAATTATTATTATACTTTAAGTTTTAGGGTACATGTGCACAACGTGCAGGTTTGTTACATATGTGTACATGTGCCATGTTGGTGTGCTGCACCCATTAACTCGTCATTTAGCATTAGGTATATCTCCCAGTGCTATCCCTCCCCCCTCCCCTCACCCCACAACAGTCCCCAGTGTGTGATGTTCCCCTTCCTGTGTCCATGTGTTCTCATTGTTCAATTCCCACCTATGAGTGAAAACATGCGGTGTTTGGTTTTTTGTCCTTGTGATAGTTTGCTGAGAATGATGGTTTCCAGCTTCATCCATGTCCCTACAAAGGACATGAACTCATCATTTTTTATGGCTGCATAGTATTCCATGGTGTATATGTGCCATATTTTCTTAATCCAGTCTATCATTGTTGGACATTTGGGTTGGTTCCAAGTCTTTGCTATTGTGAATAGTGCCACAATAAACATACATGTGCATGTGTCTTTATAGCAGCATTATTTATAATCTTTTGGGTATATACCCAGTAATGGGATGGGTGGGTCAAATGGTATTTCTAGTTCTAGATCCCTGAGGAATTGCCACACTGACTTCCACAATGGTTGAACTAGTTTACAGTCCCACCAACAGTGTAAAAGTGTTCCTATTTCTCCATATCCTCTCCAGCACCTGTTGATTCCTGACTTTTTAATGATTGCCATTCTAACTGGTGTGAGATGGTATCTCATTGTGGTTTTGATTTGCATTTCTCTGATGGCCAGTGATGATGAGCATTTTTTCATGTATTTTTTGGCTGCATAAATGTCTTCTTCTGAGAAGTGTCTGTTCATATCCTTTGCCCACTTTTTGATGGGGTTCTTTGTTTTTTTCTTGTAAATTTGTTGGAGTTCATTGTAGATTCTGGATATTAGCCCTTTGTCAGATGAGTAGGTTGCAAAAATTTTCTCCCATTTTGTAGGTTGCCTGTTCACTCTGACGTTGGTTTCTTTTGCTGTGCAGAAGCTCTTTAGTTTAATTAGATCCCATTTATCAATTTCAGCTTTTGTTGCCATTGCTTTCGGTGTTTTAGACATGAAGTCCTTGCCCATGCCTATGTCCTGAATGGTATTGCCTAGGTTTTCTTCTAGGGTTTTTATGGTTTTAGGTCTAACATGTAAGTCTTTAATCCATCTTGAATTAATTTTTGTATAAGGTGTAAGGAAGGGTCCAGTTTTGGCTTTCTACATATGGCTAGCCAGTTTTCCCAGCACCATTTATTAAATAGGGAATCGGGAATCCTTTCCCCATTGCTTGTTTTTGTCAGGTTTGTCAAAGATCAGATGGTTGTAGATATGCAGCATTATTTCTGAGGGCTCTGTTCTGTTCCATTGGTCTACATCTCTGTTTTGGTACCAGTACCATGCTGTTTGGTTACTGTAGCCTTGTAGTATAGTTTGAAGTCAGGTAGCATGATGCCTCCAGCTTTGTTCTTTTGGCTTAGGATTGTCTTGGCAATGTGGGCTCTTTTTTGGTTCCATATGAACTTTAAAGTAGTTTTTTCCAATTCTGTGAAGAAAGGCATTGGTAGCTTGATGGGGATGGCATTGAATCTATAAATTACCTTGGGCAGTATGGCCATTTTCACGATGTTGATTCTTCCTACCCATGAGCATGGAATGTTCTTCCATTTGTTTGTATCCTCTTTTATTTCATTGAGCAGTGGTTTGTAGTTCTCCTTGAAGAGGTCCTTCACATCCCTTGTAAGTTGAATTCCTAGGTATTTTATTCTCTTTGAAGCAATTGTGAGTGGGAGTTCACTCATGATTTGGCTGTTTGTCTGTTATTGGTGTATAAGAATGCTTGTGATTTTTGCACATTGATTTTGTATCCTGAGACTTTGCTGAAGTTGCTTATCAGCTTAAGGAGATTTTGGGCTGAGATAATGGGGTTTTCTAGATATACAATCATGTCATCTGCAAACAGGGACAATTTGACTTCCTCTTTTCCTAATTGAATGCTCTTTATTTCCTTCTCCTGCCTGATTGCCCTGGCCAGAACTTCCAACACTATGTTGAATAGGAGTGGTGAGAGAGGGCATCCCTATCTTGTGCCAGTTTTCAAAGGGAATGCTTCCAGTTTTTGTCCATTCAGTATGATATTGGCTGTGGGTTTGTCATAGACAGCTCTTATTATTTTGAGATACGTCCCATCAATACCTAATTTATTGAGAGTTTTTAGCATGAAGGGTTGCTGAATTTTGTCAAAGGCCTTTTCTGCATCTATTGAGATAATCATGTGGTTTTGGTCTTTGGTTCTGTTTATATGCTAGATTATGTTTATTGATTTGCATATGTTGAACCAGCCTTTCATCCCAGGGATGAAGCCCACTTGATCATGGTGGATAAGCTATTTGATGTGTTGCTGGATTCAGCTTGCCAGTATTTTATTGAGGATTTTTGCATCAATGTTCATCAAGGATATTGGTCTAAAATTCTCTTTTTTGGTTGTGTCTCTGTGAGGCTTTGGTATCAGGATGATGCTGGCCTCATAACATGAGTTAGGGAGGATTCCCTCTTTTTCTATTGATTGGAATAGTTTCAGAAGGAATGGTACCAGTTCCTCCTTGTACCTCTGGTAGAATTCCGCTGTGAATCCATCTGGTCCTGGACTCCTTTTGGTTGGTAAGCTATGGATTATTGCCACAATTTCAGAGCCTGTTATTGGTCTATTCAGAGATTCAACTTCTTCCTGGTTTAGTTTTGGGAGAGTGTATGTATCGAGGAATTTATCCGTTTCTTCGAGATTTTCTAGTTTATTTGCGTAGAGGTATTTATAGTATTCTCTGATGGTAGTTTGTATTTCTGTGGGATCAGTGGTAATATCCCCTTTGTCATTTTTTATTGTGTCTATTTGATTCTTCTCTCTTTTCTTCTTCTTTAGTCTTGCTAGCAGTCTATCAATTATGTTGATCTTTTCAAAAAACCAGCTCCTGGATTCATCGATTTTTTGAAGGGTTTTTTGTGTCTCTATTTCCTTCAGTTCTGCTCTGATCTTAGTTATTTCTTGCCTTCTGCTAGCTTTTGAATGTGTTTGCTCTTGCTTCTCTAGTTCTTTTAATTGTGATGTTAGGGTGTCCGTTTTAGATCTTTCCTGCTTTCTCTTGTGGGCATTTAGTGCTATGAATTTCCCTCTACACACTGCTTTGAATGTGTCCTAGATATTCTGGTATGTTGTGTCTTTGTTCTCGTTGGTTTCAAAGAACATCTTTATTTCTGCCTTCATTTCGTTATGTACCCAGTAGTCATTCCAGAGCAGGTTGTTCAGTTTCCATGTAGTTGAGTGGTTTTGAGTGAGTTTCTTAATCCTGAGTTCTAGTTTGATTGCACTGTGGTCTGAGAGACAGTTTGTTATAATTTCTGTTCTTTTACATTTGCTGAGGAGTGCTTTACTTCCAACTATATGGTCAATTTTGGAATAGGTGTGGTGTGGTGCTGAAAAGACTGTATATTCTGTTGATTTGGGGTGGAGAGTTCTGTAGATGTCTATTAGGTCTGCTTGGTGCAGAGCTGAGTTCAATTCCCGGATATCCTTGTTAACCTTCTGCCTCCTTGATCTGTCTAATGTTGACAGTGGGGTGTTAAAGTCTCCCATTATTATTGTGTGGGAGTCTAAGTCTCTTTGTAGGTCACTAAGGACTTCCTTTATGAATCTGGGTGCTCCTGTATTGGGTGCATACATATTTAGGATAGTTAGCTCTTCTTGTTGAGTTGATCCCTTTACCATTATGTAATGGCCTTGTTTGTCTCTTTTGATCTTTGTTGGTTTAAAGTCTGTTTTATCCGAGACTAGGATTGCAACCCCTGCCTTTTTTTGTTTTCCATTTGCTTGGTAGATCTTCCTCCATCCCTTTATTTTGAGCCTATGTGTGTCTCTGCATGTGATATGGGTTTCCTGAATACAGCACACTGATGGTTCTTGACTCTTTATCCAATTTGTCAGTCTGTGCCTTTTAATTGGAGCATTTAGCCCATTTACATTTAAGGTTAGCATTGTTATGTGTGAATTTGATCCTGTCATTATGATGTTAGCTGGTTATTTTACTCATTAGTTGATGCAGTTTCTTCCTAGCCTTGACGGTCTTTACAATTTGGCATGTTTTTGCAGTGGCTGGTACCGGTTGTTCCTTTCCATGTTTAGCGCTTCCTTCAGGAGCTCTTGTAGGGCAGGCCTGGTGGTGACAAAATCTCTCAGCATTTGCTTGTCTGTAAAGTATTTTATTTCTCCTTCACTTATGAAGCTTAGTTTGGCTGGATATGAAATTCTGGGTTGAAAATTCTTTTCTTTAAGAATGTTGAATATTGGCCCCCACTCTCTTCTGGCTTGTAGAGTTTCTGCCGAGAGATTGGCTGTTAGTCTGATGGGCTTCCCTTTGTGGGTAACTGATGGTTATCTTTATTTCTGTGGGGTCAGTAGTAACATTCCCTTCATCATTTCTAATTGTGTTTATTTGGATCTTCTCTCTTTTCTTCTTTATTAGTCTAGCTAGTGGCTTATCTATTTTATTAATTTTTTCAAAAACCGAACTGCTGGATTCATTGGTCCCTTGAGTGGTTTTGTGTGACTTGGTTTCCTTCAGTTCATCTCTGATTTTTGTTATTTATTGTCTTCTGCTAGCTTTGGGGTTGATTTATTCTTGCTTCTCTAATTCATTCTTGTGAAGTTATGTTGTTAATATGAGATCTTTTAACTTTTTGATGTGGGCATTTAGTGCTATGAGTTTCTCTTTTAACACTGCCTTAGCTGTGTCCCAGAGATTCTGATATGTTTTATTTTTGTTCTCATTATTTTCAAATAATTTCTTGATTTCTGGCTTAATTTCATTATTTGCCCAAAAGTCGTTCAGGAGCATGTTGTTTAATTTCCATGTAATTTCATGGTTTTGAGTGACTTTTATACTCTTGACTTCTATTTTTATTGTGCTGTGGTCTGAGAGTGTCCTTGGCATGACTTTGGTTCTTTTACATTAGTTAAGGATTGTTTTATGTTCAATTATGTGATTGATTTTAGAGTATATGCCATGTGACAATGAGAAGAATGTATATTCTGTTGTTTTGGAGTGAAGAATTCTGCAAAGGTCTATCAGATCCATTTGGTCCAATATTGAGTTTAGGTCCTGAATATCTTTGCTAGTTTTCTGCCTTGATGATCTGTCTAATACTGTCAGTGGAGTGTTGAAGTCTCCTAATATTATTGTGTGGGAGTCTGTCTCTTCATAAGTCTCTAAGAACCTGCTTTATGAATCTAGGTGCTCCTGTGTTGGGTGCATATATATTTAGGATAGCTAGATCTTCCTGTTGAATTGAACCATCTACCATTATGTAATGTCTTTATTTCTCTTTTTTACCTTTGTTGGATTGAAATCTATTTTGTCTGAAATTAGGATTGCAACTCTTTCTTTTTTCTCTTTTTCATTTGCTTGGTAGATTTTCCTCCATTCCTTTATTTTGAGCCTATGAGTGTCATTAAGTGTGAGACGGATGTCTTGAAGACAGCATATCATGGGTTCTGGCTTTTTTATCAAGCTTGCCACTCTGTTCCTTTTAAGTGGTGCATTTAGCCTGTTTACAGTCAAGGTTAGTGTTGATATGTGTGGATTTGATACTGTCATTGTGCTGTTGGCTGGTTATTATGTTGACTTGCTTGTGTGGTTGCTTAACTGTGACACTGGTCTGTGTGGTTAAGTGTGTTTTTTGTATTAGCTAGTAGCAGTCTTTCCTTTCTATATTTAGTGCTCTTTTCAAGATCTCTTGTAGGGCAGGTCTGATGGTAATGAATTCCTTCAACATTTGCTTATCTGAAAAGGATCTTATTTCTCCTTCACTTAGAAAGCTTAGTTTGTCTGGGTATAAAATTCATAGTTGAAGATTCTTTTTTTCTTTAAGGATGTAGAATATAAGCCCCTAATCTCTTCTGGTTTGCAGGGTTTTAGCTGAAAGGTCTGCTTTAAGCCTGATGGGGCTCCCTTGTAGGTTACCTGCCCTTTTTTCTCTAGCAGCCTTTAACATTTTTTCTTTCTTTCATTTTGACCTTGGAAAATCTGAGGATTTTGTGTCTTGGGATGATCTTGTGTAGAATCTTGCAGGAGTTCTCTGTATTTCCTTAATTTGACTGTTGGCCTCTCTAGCAAAGTTGGAGAAGTTTTTATGGATGATATCCTGAAATATGTTTTCCAAGTTGTTTGCTTTCTCCCCCACCTTCGGTGATGCCAACAATTCATAGATTTGGCCTCTTTACATAATCCCATACTTCTTGGAGGTTTTGCTGATTTCTTTTTATTTAGTGTTTTTCTTTCTTTATTTTTGTCTGACTGTCTTATTTCAGAGAACCAATCTTCAAGTTCTGAGATTCTTTCCTCAGCTTGATTTATTCTGCTGTTAACACTTGTAATTGCATTGTGAAATTCTTGTATTGTGTTATTCAGCTCGTCGGACCTGTTAGATTCATTTTAATACTGGCTATTTTGTCCTTCAGCTCCAGTATCACTTTATTGTGATTCTTATTTTCCTTGGATTGGGTTTTGCTGTTCTCCTGAATCTCAATGATCTTTGTTCCTGTCCATATTCTGAATTCTATTTCTGTCATTCCAGCCAGTTCAGCCTGGTTAAGTACTCTTGTTGAAGAACTGGTATGGTCATTTGGAGAACATAAAACACTCTGACCATTCAAGTTACCGGAATTCTCACATTGCTTCTTTCTCATCTCTGGGTATGGGTGCTCCTTTAACTGCAGTGTAGACTTATTTTCTGGATGTTTTCACCAGGTCGAGGCTTTGTGCGGGGTCTTTATTTGAAGCTGCCTTTTTGTCTCTAGTTCATAGGGGGATATGTTAGTGAGGTATATTTGGTGTTGAAGCTTTGAGGTGTGATGCAGCCGGTGGCACTGGGCTTATTGGTCAATTAATAGACTCTTGCTCAGTTGTGTGGCTCCCTGATATTTCCTCACGGTTGCAGCCATGTTCCTTCTCAGTTCTCTGAAAGTGTAGGTTCCTTTCCACCTTGAGTGCTGGCTGTAGACCACAACTTGGCACTCCTGGGCTGCCTGCTGCAGAGGAAGGGATCTTAGTAGTGGTTGTGGCTGAGGTTCATTTGCTTGTTTCCTGGGGGTTCCACCAGAGAAATGCAGTTCAGCAATTGCTCAGTGCAACCAACCCAAGATGGAGGGTTTGTGCTGTAGGCCCAAGCCAGGAGTTCCCTATCTGGTGACAAGCAGTTTGTGGGGGTGGGTGGTGGCCCATAACAGATGGACTGGCCACCTCTCCTTTGGTTGGCTGGAGCTTGTTGAAGGTGTAGATAAAGTACTTAAGGTAATTGCTCCTTTTTTAGTCTGAAGGTAGCAAGGGCACTTCTGCTGCAGAGGCAGTGGCAGAGAGGCTTTCAGTTGCCCCTGGAGGCCCTGTCCAGGGAGTTGCTGGGCTGCTACTGACTCAATAGCTCTGGTGGGGGATGGCTGGAGGCCCAGGCCTGGAGGACCTGCCTGGTGAGGAGACATGGGAATGTGCACCCACATAACAGTCTGGTTACTTTTCCACAGGGCTGCTGTAGTATGCTTAGGGCCCACTCCAGTCCTTAGTCACCTCAGGTTTTCCAGCACCTTAAGGTATCACCAGTGAAGGCTGTGAAACAGCAAAGATGGCAGCCTGCCCCTCCCTCTGGAAGCTTTGTCTCAGGGAGGTACAGACTTGTTTCCAGCCCTGTAGGAGGTGGCTGAAGACCCCAGTTGGGAGTTCCTGCCCAGTGAGGAGGAACAGAATTGAGGGCCCACTTTAAAAAGCAGTGTGTCTATGTTTTGGTAGAACATCTATGCTATGCTGGGGGTCCACTTCAGCCCCCAGTCACCTCCAACATTCTGAAGCCCAAAGGCTGGAATGGCTAAGTTGCCTAAACAGCAAAGATGGTGGCCCACCTCTCCCTCTGGGAGCTCCAGCCTAGGGAGGTTACAAATCTCTGTTGGCTGGAGAACACCGACAGGGGCTGCTGGAGACCCCAGTTGGGAGGTCCTGCCCAGTTAAGAGGGATGGGATTGCGCACCCACTTAAAGAAGCAGTCTGGCCATGCTTGGGTAGACCAACTGTGTTATACTGTGGGATTCATTCTGCTCCATTTGGCTTAGACCAAAACAGTGCCTGAAGGCTGAAACTGCTAAGTTGCCCAAACAGGAAAGATGGTGGCCCTCCCCTCCCTCTGGGAGTGCTGTCACAGAAGAAATTCAAATCTCTGTTGGCTGGGGAACACAGGCGAGGGTGGCTGAAGGTCCTAGCTGGGAGGTCCTGCTGAGTTAGGGGTGCAATCAGGGACCAAGTTAAAGAAGCAGTCTGGCCATCTGTTGGCAGAGCAGCTGTGCTGTGTTGGGTGATCCCTTCTACCACCATTGGGATTGGACTCTCTAGAGCCCAAAGGCTGGAATGGCTAAGTCTTGATAATTTTTAAAGCATGTACTTTTACACACATATATGTTTAAATATAAAAATCTTGATTGGTTCTAGGAGGTAGAGAAGAAAATGGAATTAATGGGGAGTGGTAGTGAGTGGCCAAAATAAATTTTAATTTCTTCTATAATGTTCTATTTTCTTTTAAAAGGAGACTGTATTCTTCTATTAATTTGTATAATTAGGATTAATTTTCAAACTTACTATAAAAATACAATGCTATGAATGCACACACATACACATACTCTTTCACTTAGTGCTATACAATTGTTCTCATGATTTAGAGTTCATTCTTATAATAAAATTAATAGGTACTAGTCATTAGTCACCTACCACATGCTAGGAACTGTACCAGGAGCTCTATACACATTTCATTAATCCTATTGTTAATCCTGGGAGTTAAGTGTTATTACAATATCATAAGCGAAAAAAAATCTTCATAGAGACCAAGCGCCTGACCCAATATAAGGCAGAGGCTCCATTGCAGAACTAGGAGTCACACTCATTTCTGTAAGTCTTTAAAGCACATGCGATACCCATTGCCCAATGCTTGCTTTATGTCACAGACTGACACAAGCTGACTCCTCTTATTGGCTGATATGAAGATAAAGAGTATAGCATCACTTCTGCATGAAGTCTTCCTCAAAGTTATCTTTCTCTGGGCCTTATGTTATAAAGTCAGAATGGGAATGTACGGTCCCAATGCTCCTTGCATTTCAGCATTCACAATAAACTCAGCTAGTCTAAGGGCTTGTAAGTATGGCTCCCAGAGACTGGGAAAATGGCCCAACCTGCAGCATTAAGAATGTTCCTAGACCGGGATGTACCAGCCTGGAGAGAATGAGGGTGATGAATAAGGCTTTTGTCCATGACTGAACAAGCTGTGTATTATGTATTACATATCACAGAGACTGATGAAATATACCTGGATTGCATATGGTGACCTCTGGAATGTATCCCTGTGAAGCTGTGTGGAGAAACATGCTGGGCTGATGCCTATGAAGCTGGGGCTGGAGAGATGTAGTTGTGCTTCTAGAAAGTCACTCAAACATTATCATCTGCAACTTTGAAAACCCTATAGAGAGGTATTGGGGGTGAGTCTAAAGGCTGCATCTGTCTGAGATAATGCAACTCTGTCTTTCTAGCAGGGTGCCAAGTTGCAGAGGGTTCTAGTCACAGTGCATTGCGATTGAATTGTGACTCTGGAATTGGGCAGTGCACAGCCTGGGCAGCAATTGATGGTGATATTACTGTTGTATATCTTGACTAAGCTGACTTATTTGGTGTCCTCTGAAAAATAAGCCTTGTTTGATTGGTCCTAGAGGTGCATACATCTGGTCTTTTCAAAAACCTGCACCATCTATTGACATGGGCCAATGCAGTGGCTACGCACGTTTTCTTCTAGGCATTGGCCTTTGTTTTGATGGATGCTCTGGTTATTCATTGTGAAAGCACATTTGTCAAGTCAGCTCCTTATGTTTCCAACATAGCTGTTCACTTTATCTTTCCAACACGTGCAATCTTTCAGCATTTCATCAAAATCCTTCTGAGGGGATAAATTGGTCATATAGACAATAATCCAGTTACCAATGTAACTCATTATTTTATATATTCTCTCCTTCTATCCAGTTGAAATGGTTTTATCACACACTTCTATCATAATCATGCAAGCTAAATGCTACAAACCACATGATTAGTTCAAATTTTAAAAGTACCAAAGAATCATAGTGAGGGGAGGGGTTTTGGGAGAGAATTCTTCTTGATCCCTGGATAATATCAAAGCCTTTTTCATTTATTTGCAGTTTCATTATGTAAAAAGCATTTTTCTTGTGCTGTTGGCAAGTTATATCTTAGATCCATCAGACAATCTTGGCTAAGTAGTGTCCAATACTGTAAATTGATGCACAATTGATAGGAAATAGGAGCTTATCATGCAAGAATGCAGTCATCATGATGAACCAGCCCCGACTGGAAAGTCAGAAAATACTTGACATTCTAGAAATTTTCTTCAAGACAGTGATTTCTACTTCATCGATTTTTTTTTCTAGTGTGAGTTGTAGACACTCAAAAAGATTGCCTTTTAAAAATGTTAATAAGATAAACTAAACCTGGCAGATGTTGAATAGCCCCAAGAATGAAGCTATTGCTATAGTTGAAGGATACCTTCATCATGGATGACACATGGCTTATGTTGGATAGAGTGAGCTCACAGGAATGGCTGTGCACTGTGCCTAGAAGTTGTAGGTGAGATAGCAAAAATAGTGGCAGTGTTTATTTCACATGCCCCTTCAATGTGACATGTAGAAAACACAAACTGTTTACTGAAGTCTTTTTATGACTATATCTTCTGATAATTGCATTATTCAGAGATCACAACAATAAGATACCACACCTAGAAAACTAAAGGATATGATTTCACAGAGCTTATAAGAATATTGCACCCACACAGAATTTTAAAATAAAGACATTCTTCTCAGAATGTTTTTGGATGACAGACAACTGGCTGAGTGCAGGAACCACATAAGAATAGCTAGCTATTAGAAAGCTTGGGAAATGGCAAATTTGTGAAGATCTTTCCCCAGCTGTAACAATAAAGATGTAATTGACTGTTTGCCCTAGAAATGGATGCAGACAAAGAATCTTGTTCCCATTGCTCTTTGGTTTCATTTCCTTAGTTGGCCTTAGTACCTGCTGAACTGATCTGAGGGTGCCTGCCTGGCCTGACCAGATGCTGAAACATTTCATGCAAAAGCAACATTAATAGACTTCAAGAAAATTATTGAAAGGGAGGTGGCAATTAAGGTATCCTTGGCTCCCTTTTTAGCTGCCAGGTGCTTAGATAACACCTAGGCAAAGGTAATAATTGCTATTTTGAGTAGCTTCCACCTTGACCCTGGCAAATATGGAAACTATAGAAATCCAGACTCACAAGCATGAATAATGAATCCCAAAGTTATTTTTATAATACAAATACTTTGGGACACAGTAGATAATAATTAAAATTGCATAGCCTCTTCATATCTCTTATTTCATTTAACCCTACTGTCCTATGAGAGAAATAAATAAGTGCCATTTTATAGATGAGAAACTTGGAGTTCAAAAGAGTTGTGTAGTTTAAGCCCAAGTCCTCTGGCTTGGCATTTTTTATGTCCAAACCTGTACTATTTTCACTATGTTTTATTGGATCTTACTACTCAACATTATTGGATCTACTCAACATTTAAGTGATTTTTCAAAACTACTTTTCAAATTATCTTTCTTGAACAGATTAGTGTTTTATTACCACAGTAATAAATATAAGTAAGATATTTTTTCCTACTGTTTTTTAAAAAATATTAAAGTTGTAAATCAGGGTGCCCTAAAATTTGAGTTTTCTAAATTGAGTTAAAATCAAATGAGAGATTTTGTTTTAAACTTCCTTTCTATAATTCTATCAACTGTGGGAGAGGCTAAATTCCCAAAAGTCATTTTTTATTTCCATTGAGATGGGTTCTTTCTAAATATAAAAGAGGAAAGCAAAGGGATATGATGATAGGAAGATCAATACCTGTCTAGCTGTCAAGCACTTACTGTATGCCACAAACCATAGCTGAAGGTTACCTATTCTATCACTAATCCTTGCAAGAATCTTGCAAGACACCTTTTATTGACCTTATTTTACAGGAGATAAAACTGAAGTTCTGAGAGGTAAAAAGGTAAAGAGGAGACCAGATTTCTTTTTTGCACTGCACTTAGTGTGAATGGAAGGTAAAAAGAACACACTACTCATCAACAAATACTAACCATAAAATTGTGTTTGTACCTTTCTCATTTGATCATTTTGTTATCCTGAGAGATACGGAAACGTGAGTCTTAGGACTTTAAAACCAATGAGAAGGGAGCCCCTTCCTTCTCATGCAGCCTTCTTCCTAGTGATAGGACAGTGAGGGTCAGCTGCTTGTTTTGATGAAAGGAGAAGAGGAAAACATATTATTGGAAAATGGAAGCCAAATTCCGGCAGGTTGGTGTGGTACACATTCTGCTTATCAGATACAACCTGACTCAATTAGTTTCCCCTTGAAAAAATAGATGGAGTTAGGAGCCAATTCCAGCCAACTTGGGGAAAGTGCCTCCATTCAATACCATCCCATGATAGCTATAGAAAAAAGACAAAGGGCATACAGCATGCACATATTTGATGTGTTAGTCCATTCTCACATTGGTATAAGAAAATACCTGAGACTGGGTAATTTATAGGGTTTTCTATGTATATGATCGTATCATCAGCAAACAGGGACAGTTTGACTTCCTTTTTACCAATTTTGATAACCTTGATTTCTTTCTCTTGTTGGCTAGGACTTCCAGTATTATGTTGAATAGAAGTGGTGAGAGTGGGCATCCTTGTTTTGTTCCAGATCTCAGGGAGAATACTTTCAACTTTTTCCCAAACAGTATTATGTTGGCTGTGGGTCTGTCATAGATGGCTTTTATTACCTTAAGGCATATGTCCCTTCTATGCTGATTTTCCTGAGGGTTTTAATCATAAAAAGATACTGGGTTTTGTCAAATGCTATTTCTGAATCTATTGAGATGATCATATGATTTCAAGTCTGTTTATATGGTGCATCACATTTATTGACTTGTGTATGTTAAACTATTCCTGTATTTCTGGTATGAAACTCACTTGATCATGGTGGATTATCTTTTAGATATGCCATTGTATTCGACTAGCTAGTATTTTGTTAAGGATTTTTTCCAACTATGTTCATCAGGGATATTGGTCTGTGGTGTTTTTTTGTTGTTATATCCTTTCCTGATTTTGGTATTACGGTGATACTGGCTTCATAGATGATTTAGAGAAGATTTCCTCTTTCTCTGTGTTGTGGAATAGTGTCAATAGGATTGGTACCAATTCGTTTTTGAATGTCTGATAGAATTCAGCTGTGAATCTGTCTGCTTCTAGATGTTTTTGTTAGCAATTTATTTTATTACCATTTCAACCTTGCTGCTTGTTATTGGTCTGTTCAGAGTTTCTATTTCTTCCTAGTTTAATCTAGGAGGCTTGTATATTTCCAGGAATTTATTCATCTCCTCTAGGTTTTCTAGTTTATGCAAGTAAAGATGTTCATTGTAGCCTTGAATGATTTTTTTTGTATTTCTGTGGTATTGGTTGTGATATTTCCCATTTTGCTTCTAATTGAGCTTTTTTTTTTTTTTTTGGATCTTCTCTCTTCTTGGTTAATCTCACTGGTGGTCTATCAATGTTATTTATCTTTTCAAAGAAACAGCTTGTTGTTTTTGTATTTTTTTGTCTCAATTTCATTTAGTTCTGCTCTGATTTTTGTTATTTCTTTTCTTCTGCTGGGTTTGGGTTTGATTTGTTCTTGTTTTTCTATTTCCTTGAGGTTGACCTTAGATTGTCTGTTTGTGCTCTTTCAGACTTTTTGATGTAGGCATTTAAGGCTATGAACATTCCTCTTAGCACTGCCTTTGCTGTGTCCCAGAGGTTTTGATAGGTTGTATCACTATTATTGTCCAGTTAAAAGAATTTTTTTTTTGTGACAGAGTTTTGCTGCTCTTGTTGCCCAGGCTGGAGTGTAATGGCGTGATCTCCGCTCACTGCAACCTCTGCCTCCTGAGTTCAAGTGATTCTCCTGCCTCAGCTTCCTGAGTAGCTGGGATTACAGGCATGCACCCCCACGCCTGGCTAGTTTTGTATTTTTAGTAGAGACAGGGTTTCTCCATGTTGGTCAGGCTGGTCTCAAACTCCCAGCCTTAAGTGATCTGCCCGCCTTGGCCTCCCGAAGTGCTAGGATTACAGGTGTGAGCCACTGTGCCCTGCCAAAATAATTTTTAAATTTCTGTCTTGATTTCATTGTTGACCCAATGATCATTCAGGAGCAGGTTATTTATTTTCCATGTATTTGCATGGTTTTGAGGGTTCCTTTCAGAGTTGATTTCAAATTTTTTTCCACTGTGGTCTGAGAGAGTACTTGATGTAATTTTGATTTTCTTAAATTTACTGAGACTTGTGTTGTGGCCTATAATATGGTCTGTCTTGGCATGTCTGAGTTCAGAGTCTCCTTGGGTGGGACTTGCTATGGCTGCTGTGGGGAATGGCAGTGTGGTTCTCAGGCCAGTGGAGTTATGTTCCCAGTGGGTGATGGCTGCCTTTGCTGCGTCATGCAGGTCGCTAGAGAAGTGAGGGAAAGCCGGCAGCCACAGGCCTCACCCTGCTTCCACACAGCCCAAAAGGCCAGTCTCACTCCCACCGTGTCCCCCATCAGCACTGAGTTTATTTCCAGGCAGTGGGTGAGCAGGGCTGAGAACCTGCCCCAGGCTACCAGCCTCTTGGCTGAGAAAGCAAGCAGGGCTTTCAGGTTTCACGCCTCCCTGCCTGCTGTGGCTTCTGAGCTGCATCTGCATTCCTGATTCACCCCCTCCCCTGAGTTCTGTCCAGGTAACTTTGCCTTCTGTTGAAATTGTTACAAAGTTCAGCTCGAAGTTTCCTTCTCTCTGTAGTCTTTTCCCAGTTCCTCTGGCAGCCCTCCCCAAGGACCTCTGTGACACAGTCAGAAATGGCTTCCCTGGGGACTGAGAGAGCTCACAGGGCTCTTCCCACTGCTTCTACCCATATATTTTGCTCTCTAAATTTGTTTCAGGTCCAGGTAAGGTCAAATTCTTCTCCCGTGATCTGGACTTTTAGTTTTCCCAGTGAGGGTGTGTGTTTGGGGGCGGACAATTCCCCTTTCATATTTTCACACTTTGGGTACTCACAGTTTTTCAGCGTCTCCTGGGGCCTGCAGGAGCAATCCACTTCCATCAATGTGTCTGTGGATTCTCTCAGCTTTCCTGGTACATTCATGGGGTACTACTTGAAGCAAAAGTTTATGATGTGAGTCTCTACATGCTGCTCTGTCTGAGTGGGAGCTGCAATTTAGTCTTGCCTCCCATCCACCATTATCCTTCAGAACTCTGACACTGGGTATTTTATAAAGAAAAGAAGCTTACTGGGCTCATGGTTCTGTAGGCTATACAGGAAGCATGATACTGCCATCTACTCAGCTTCTAGGGAGGCCTCAGGAAACTTACAATCGTGGCAGAAAGTGAAGGCAGAGCAAGCACTGCATGTCACATGGCCAGAGCAGGAGCAAAAGAGTGAGGGGAGAGGTACCACACACTTTTAAGCCACGTCTCATGACAGTTCACTCACTGTGGCAAGGACGGCACCAAGGGGACGGTGCTAAACCATTCTTGAGAAATACGCTCCCATGATCCTATCAGCTCCCACCAGGTCCCACCTCCAACACTGGGGATTACATTTCAACATGAGATCTGGGCAGGGACACACATCCAAACTATATCATTTGGTGTCTTTAAAGAAAAAAACAAGGCAAAGGAATGGCATACCATAAATATTCAAAGAGATCACTCAAGAGAATTTTCCTGAAATGAGAGACTAAAATTTGTACATTTACATCTCCAGAGACATAAATGTGTTCCAGAGAAAGTTGGCCCAGATCAATCAACCCAAAGGCATATCTTATTTAAGTAATTGGACTTTAAAATGATAACAACAACAAAAAAGCCTTTGGTCAGCCAAGAAAAAAAGACCGAGCCTTTTCTTTAGCAGTAAAAGAAAACCAGCTGACTGCAGGTTTCTCCACAGTTGTATTTACTACCAGAGGATAATGGAGCCGTTTCTACAAAGTGTGCATCAAGAATTCTGTCTTTTGGTAAGTTGACCGATATGGTTTGGCTGTGTCCTCACCCAAATCTCATCTTGAATTGTAGCTCCCATAATCCCCACATGTCATGGGAGGGACCCAGTGGGAGGTAATTGAATCATGGGGGTTTGTTTTTCCCATGCTGTTCTCATGACAGTGAACAAATCTCACAAGAGCTGATGGTTTTATGAAGGGCAGTTCCCGGGCACATGCTCTTTCCTGCTGCCATGTAAGATGTGCCTTTGTACTTCTGTCTTCCACCATGATGGTGAGGCCTCCCCAGCCAAGTGGAACTGTGAGTCTGTTAAGCCACTTTTTCTTTATAAATTACCCAGTCTCAGGCATTTCTTCATAGCAGCATGAAAATGGACTAAATACACTGACATTCAAGCATATCAGCTATAGTAAAAGGTGCTTAAAGAAAGATCTCATGGATATTGTTCCCATAAGCCTTTCTTAAGGAATCTCCTCAAGGGAACCTTCAACTGATCAAGAGATGACTGGAAAAACCATGGCAAAAGCACTGATGCTGGACATTTAAAATATTTAACTGTAATGTCAAGGCTAGAGCAGATGTGAGAATCAGGATTTTTGAACAGTATGTAAATATTATTTACAACGCAGAAATGAAGTGGAAGGAAAGAGAAAATGAAGGGAGATGAACAAAGTTCATTGACTGTGTTATCTATAGTAGAGATTCAAAGGGTACCTTTTAAAAAGTTTTATTAGGAAGTAATTTCAAATTTATGGAAAGTTGCAAAAATACGAACGGTGCAAAGAACACCTATGATCCTCTTACCCTGATTCTCCTGTTATTAATATGTTACCTCATTTGCTTGTCATTAGTTCTCTCTCTTCTTTTTATGCACACATATATGTGTGTATGTGTACATACACACATACTTATATATGTAAATTTTTCTGAACCATTGGGAATAAGTTGCATATGTCTAGAGCAGTTTCCCTGGCCCTCAGTGCAGCCCAACTCTGGCCTGGATGTCCCTCTAGCCTGGTGCCACATCTTCCCTCCCACTATTCCCACTGCCCCAGTGCACCCTCAGTCCTCAGACCTAGCCTTTTTCCTCTCAGCAGAAAGCCCTTGCTCTACCCACCCAGACTAAAACTCCCCTGAATGTGCCTCTCCTTGAGTGTTAAAGAGACAAGCACTTAACTTGATTGGCAGGCTTGGGAGAAGGGGCCAGGTCCCCACTAGAGGGTGATCCCACTTGGACGGATGTGGTAAAAGGGCACTGCCCTGGTGCTTACCCTCAGCTCAGAGCCACCTGAACTGGAAGCCAGGGCCTCCTTATTTGCATAGTCTTTAGTAGTGATACTTTTATTGCAAAGGTTCATGATTTATTTAATAGAATGTTGACTGGAGCTGTTCTTATTATGTTTGATTGCATTTAGAGTCCTAAAAGTAAAAACAGTAAGTACCCAGGAGGAACAGGTCATAACCTGTTAAATAGCAGCAAAACCAGGCCAGCTACCACGAGCCTGGTCCTTGATTTAAACAGAAGTCTGGAGATACTTGAAATGAGTCATTTGAAAAAAAAGATGTCAGTCTATGAAGAGGGACACAGTGGCTTTTCCCTAGGGAAACGAAAGGAAAGCTTCCACCTTCCACCTTCAACCTATATGAAGGTGAGTTCTAAGAAAAATGCTCCTAGGATTTGGCACAAGGCACAGAAACAGCAATTCACTCTGTGCTAATCTATCCTCCATACTTTTTGAATCAGGCTAAAAGAACTGGGAGTGGTGGCAGGGCAGGAAAATCTCCCCTTCCCACTCTTTGGCATGGAAGGATGGTCTAGTGGCTACTTTGCAAGGTAGCCTGGCTTGAGCTGAGTCATCTTGTTAACAGTCTATGCAAGGTCACAGGCCTCCAGGAGGAAGAACCTCACCATGAGCTGCCAGGGCAGGAGGCCAAAGCAGATCTCTCGGGTCAGACCACTATGCGGTGGGGCACTCATTGACAACCAAGTGGGGAGATAAGAATCAACTAGGCAAGTAGAATCACTAACGCCTTCTCTCTCCCTCTTCCTCTGCCCCAATCCCAGTGGAGGAACTGACCAGGTGCCCTCCCAACTCCAGGACCTAAGGCTGACCCTTGGGGAGAGAGGAGCTGAACACTAGGTTGAACTGAAGTTTTAAAGGGACTAAACCAGACTGTAGTTTTTGTATTTGAAAATGGCCAGAAAGCTCTGGCTCCTGCATGAGATGTCTGGAGGGGGCCAGAAAGGGGACCATCTTACACCTCCTTTGGGGGCAGTGATGAAAGAAAAAAAATAAAGCAATTTCTTGCTCTAGTCTCCCGGGTTCAGGCTGCTCAATGACTTGTCTAACTGAAATAAATCTGGAAACAGGTTGTTGTGAACTTGGACACCTCAGACCACTTGTTTTTAGAAGCTGTTGAATTCAAGTTGATAGCTTATTGCTCAGCACGAACTGTTCCATGTTTCAACATTTGCAAGAAAATTAAATGTGAATGAGAAGCAGACTGATCTGAAACATGACTCTTTAGGACACTCTTTTGCCTTGAAATATGTACAATTCACAACCAGCAAATCCTAATTTGAACTAATTGACACATGTCCAACATCACTATTTTGTAATGTATTTCAGACGAGCCTATATTGCATCTGAATATCTAAGGCCATATTTCTGACTTATGAATTATTTTCTTTCAAATATGGAATGTATATTTGCCCTGAAAAAAGGAACTTTAGAAAAATGAGAAAAGGGATAAAAAGTCCCAGTTTCTTGTTACTATAGCAATAGCTACACACACTAATGTGAATTACCTGGATGCATTCTGCAGCGAGGACCATTTTATTGGTCAGGTGGGAGGTATCCAGAAATCTGTGCTCATAACCAATAAACAGAACTCCAAGCCAGTGTCTGGGAGGCCTCTGCCATTACCATAAGTGTAACCACTGCTTCCTTTTGAAACAGAAGCTTCTGGTCTCTCTGTAGAACTCCACAAGGCAGCAAGCAGGAACCTCCCCCTCTTTCCTTCCTACTCCACTTCAGAAAAGCAGACAGAAGCTGTGTTTCACTTGCTCAAGCTAAAAATAATTCATTTGTAAGTTGTGTTACTATGACTTAATCCTTCAAGGCAAAGTTAAAATAAAATTATACTTCCTGGTGGTGAAATTATACAGGCAGGGGCAGGCAGGTGTGAAGAAACCTCTTTTCCTGAGCACTGTTCTTCTGAGTGAATTTAATGTAGTGATAACAGCACAGCCTTTGGTAAAAATATCACCTTTGCACTTACTAGCTGGATAACTGTATCAGACGTATGGGCTGTTTTCCCTACCCCAACCCTCCCTTGAGGATTCATGAGCAAAGAAGAGAAAGGAAATACTAGTATAAAAACCCATTCTAACCACACAAACAGCAACAATTTCAAATATTTACAACACAGGGAATTTAATGAAGGGGATGAGTAGAACAGGTGTTGGAGGCTGCAAAGCCATGCAGAGGATAGTCAGAGACTCAGAGGTTACCTGCAGGCGGGAACTAGCACTCTTTGGCTACAGAGGCAGCCTAGGGGTGAAGAGAAGGTGCTATTACTACTTGGGTGACCAAGATGTTTGCTGAGAAATTTCTGAATTTTAGCACTGAAAGCCCTGTGTCCCAGGAAACTCCTCATTCCCAGGCAAACCTAGATGGTTGGTCATCCTCATTACTACATCCCAAAGCAGGGCCCCACAGAAACCAGGACTAGACTGCCTGTCTAGTGGGAGCTGGAGCCACACAGGAGATTCAGCAGCTGCCAGTGAAGCTGTCTTAGACAAAAGGGGTGACATCTTTCCCCTCCCCGCTCTCTCATTTCCTATCTGTGCCTCCTGTTGGCCAAACCAGCTGCCTGTCAGCTGATGTGAGAACCTCCCTTTGCCCTAAACAGAGCAGAACAGGGCATGGTTGAAGAATGGATCTGAGGGCAAAGGGGCCCAGGCTCGGCCCTGTGTCGGTAGGCAAGTCATTTCACCTCTCTGAGATTTGGTTTCCTTGTCGGCGCAGTGCTGACATAGTAGGTAGTTGTGGAAAACTAAAGAGATGTGCAAAGTGCCTAGTTTATATTTTGCACACTGTGGGCATTTGATAGACAGTAGAGTGGTAGAAAAAGATTTTTGAAATATTAGCCACTGGTTTTTATACTAGTAGTTTATTTCTCTTCTTTGCTCTTTGTATCTCAGGAGAGAGAGAAGGCAGGGGAAGTAGACTTGATCTGTTCCTAGCTTTTGCTTTCCAAAAATTTAGGCCTTTGGGTGGTGGAAAGAGTAGGACGTAGGTCTGCATGTCAGACTGCTGAAGGCATGCAATCTGATAGTCAACAAAGATTCCTCAGCAAAAGATGAGGAGAGGAGATCCAAGGAGAATCAATAACTCTGGTGGACGTTAGAGTAAAAGATCCTGTGGCTTCCTTCTGGTCAGAGCCATGTGGAGGCTCCAAAACCCAAATAGGATTCTGGTATCTGACAGGAGAAGGGAACTTGTATCCTGCTCCCTGAGCAGAGCCCCAGGGAGTTGGCAGTGCTCAAAGAGAGAGGGTGCATTTGCACATGGACAGTCCCATGGCCCGGCAGGGCCCTCACGTAGCAGAGGGAGTATGGACCTGGGAGGCAGGTGAACAGGAAGAGCATCCCTCAATAGCAACACAAGGGAATGCTTAAACACATGTTTTTCTCCTTGGATTTTAGTGGAAAGCTTTTAAACTGAAGGTTATATGAAGAAAACACTGTGGGATGCTAACAGAAAACACACCAATGTACTCACAAATAATCTGTTATTTATAGAGAGGCTGGCTAGCTGGGGTTTGATTTGCAGTTGGCATCTCTTATTTTTGGCTCTCAGTCTCTGTATCTGGGCTAAGCCAGTCATTATATTACACACCCTGCATGATTGTTTCAGTAGTAGGTGCATAGTCTCAGGGTAAAACCTTTTTCTTTTTAGCTATTGGGAAGTAGATTGTTTTCTGATTAAGGGGGTCTTCCCATGGAGCTCCGTGTGGGGACAGAGAATGAAATCAACACAGAGGTAGCTGAAGCACAGCCCAAGAAAATCGTGTTCCGGTCACATCATTTTATCCCTGGACTTTCCGGTTATTGAGCCAGTATATTCCTTTTTTGTTTAAGTCCATTACTATTGAATGTGTTGACACATCGAAAAGAGTCCTAAGTTATGATCAGGTGTGGTGGCTCACACCTGTAATCCCAGCACTTTGGGAGGCTGAGGTGGGAGGATCACTTGAGGTCAGGAGTTCAAGACTAGCCTGGCCAACATGGCGAAACCGCATCTCTGCTAAAAATACAAAAACTAGCCAGGCGTGGTGGTGCATGCCTGTAATCCCACCTACTTGGGAGGCTGGGGCAGGGGAATCCCTCGAACCCCGGAGGCGGAGGTTGCAGTGAGCCAAGATCGTGCCAGTGCACTCCATCTAGCCTGGGTGACAGAGTGAGACTCCATCTCAAAAAATAAAAATAAAAGTCCTAAGTTACACAGTAGTAAAACAATTTCTTCACCACTCCATGTGATTTTGGGTTAGTGACTCAAGAGCCTGAGCCTGTTTCATTTCTCCAGGAGGATTAAAGAAGGTAATACATTACATATAGCACCCTCAATTCTAGAATATTCGACAAATGCTCTCTACACAATATTGCATAGTGTTTAAAGAGCTCAGGTTTTGGAGCTGACCACCTGGGCTTTAATTTTAACCTTGTCCCTTACTAGCTGTGTGGCCCTGGGCAAGTTGCATATCCTTTCTGTTCTATGTTTGTTCCATGTATAAAATTGGGATAGTATTAATATCTACCCCATAGGTTTGTTCTGTGGATTAAATAATTTTTGTTAAGTGCCTAAAATGGTGCTCAGCACATAGTCAGAACTCAAAAACATGTTAACTACTACTGCATATGATAGGATGGTGTCTTTGACATAATAGGTGCTTGATTAAGTAGTTATCACGTAAATTGGAATGATAAGATGGTTTGGTGATATAGTGGATAAAGCACTGGATTTGAAGTCAGAATTTGGCTCATGCCCACCTCTGCTACTCACCTGTTCATTGACCTTTTAGAAGTCACTTAACAACCTGTATCCCAGAAATCTCGGATTGCTGTTACTGTTATTTTTGCCTGTAAAATGTAAACAATCCTTTCTGAAAAATTCAGTTTGTTGTCTCTTGACTTGGATCCAAGTTCTTGAAAGAGTTGTGGTTGTGAAATAATAATTTTAGAATTACTGTTAAAGCAGTAGTGCCCAACCTAGCAGATCATTAAAGTCATAGAAAGAGCTTTTATAATAAACCTATTCTGGGGCCCACCATCATAGATCTTTGCTGAGAGGCTGTGGGCAAGGCCTGGGCATATGCAATTTTACACAGTTCATCAGATGATATATTGATAATCACCTAGTCCTGGGAATCACTCTGCAAGGGGGCTTGGTAACTCATTGGTGAGTTTGAATTTAGCAATAGCATCTTAAATTTAAAAATATTAATTTAATGATGGTAAGTGATATGGTTTGCCTGTGTCCCCACCCAAATCTCATGTTGAATTGTAGCTCCCATAATTCCCAGATGTTGGGTGAGGGACCTGGTGAGAGAAAATTGAATCATGGGGGCGGTTTCCCCAATACTGTTCTTGTAGTAATGAATAAGTCTCACGAGATCTAGTGATTTTATAAGGGATTTCCCTTTTGTTTTTCTTCTCTCTTTTTTTTTTTTTTTTGAGATGTAGTCTCACTCTGTCACCCAGGCTGGAGTGCAGTGGCGCAATCTCGGCTCACTGCAAGCTCTGCCTCCTGGGTTCACGCCATTCTCCTGCCTCAGCCTCCCCAGTACTGGGACTACAGGCGCCCACCACTACGCCTGGCTAATTTTTTGTATTTTTAGTAGAGACAGGGTTTCACCGCATTAGCCAGGATGGTCTTGATCTCCTGACCTCGTGATCCGCCCACCTTGGCCTCCCAAGGGTTTCCCTTTTCCCTTGGTTCTCATTCTCTCTTGCTTGCTGCCATGTAAGATGTGCCTTTCACCTTCCATCATGGTTGTGAGGCCTCCCAGCCATGTGGAACTAGGGATCCATTAAATCTCTTTTTCTTTATAAATTACCCAGTCTTGGGTATGTCATTATCAGCAGTGTGATAATGACACTTTTAGCTTTTTAGATAAAGTTTTTTATGTATACATAATGATAGAATTTTAACTCTGAAATTAGGCAGAGATTATCTAGTTTCATCCACTGATTCACAAATTACTTATTGTCCAGATCTCTTGCTCTTCCTGAATCTTGGAGAGTTGCTTAAGGCCATACATTCTGTAAAATAGCTGGAATTAGAAACTGGGACTTGACTGCTCTTCCCCTTTCTCCATACAGTCATCACGACAGAACATCTATATAAGTGCCTCGAGATTTGTACCTGGGATGTGTTTTAATCATGTATGATAAGGTGACTGGTGCAGAACAACTGCCTTTGAAAGAAAAGTTGTAGTACTCAGAGTCCCCAAGAGAAGGGGGCATATGCCACACCATGCAGGGTCACATGGGGAAGCACCAGGTCAGTCGGAAGGCAGGAAGAGGAGGGAAAACATGACCACAGGCCTTTAATGTGGTTCCCACAGGAGTGCAGAACAGGGTGAACAGCTGAAGATTGGGTAGTTTAATTTTGGTGGGCTCTGGGCTATAGAGATGGTTTCTAGTCTTCTAAAACCTGGCCCTGGAATGATTCAGGGCAGGGAAACATTGGCTTGGTGTGTCAGTTAGATAAAGGAGACCGTGGGGATATCTGGATTGGTTAGTTTGCTTATGAAAAATGTGTTGGCAAGGTGGGGGAACGGGGTGGGAAATCTTGTGCTATTTCCAGGAATTAGCTGACCCCTGGAGGGGCAGTCTCTCCATATTAGCAAGACTCCCCAAGATATCAAAGCATCGTAAGATATAGAAAATAAAAAACCTGATTAATAATTTGACATGCTATTTACTTCAAGAAATAAAAGACATTGTTGTCAGTTTTCTAGCTTCAGCAAAGATAGCAGAGAGGGATATTGCCTTCTTTCCTTCCTGTGTTCTTTCTTAAACTCGAGGATGAGTCGCTAGTTTGGGAAAGGAAGGAGGCTGAGATTTACTAAATGCTGATTCTGTAATCTAATTTGTGACTAATGAGGGCAATAAAGAGTGATGAGACACATCATCAGGATCTTCGGGATGATCCTATTAGAACAAGTTTCCTATGGCATAGGAGGGGCTTCTGTGAATGTTTATTCTACCATTTCTGTTACCAGGCTTCAGAAATGTCATCTGCCAAGTACCATTTAATTTTCCCATATTTCACTCTCCCTGAGGACAGGGAATGGATGAATAATCTTTTTTTTTTTTCATGTGATGAGCAAAACAGATCCCTTAGCCCTGACCTTACTCATTCAAATACCAAATGTACTTTATTAATTAAAAAATTATACTTAAAAATATACACAGTATTCTAAGATTTGTACTATATTCTTACTTGTCAATAATAAGACACCTAATGAGCCTATATTTAAGAACCATCATCAAGCAAACCTATTATTCTTAAAAGGCTACTGATGTTTTATACAACCTGCCTGAAAAATGATTTCATTTAGATTTATTTCATCTGTATCTTTACATATGGTTTTAGTTGTAATTATTAAAGCTGCCATCTAATTCCGTATATCATTTTTGTTTTCATAATGAAGAAGTCTATTTAGTTAGCAAAATGGTGGAAATGTTCTTTATGGTAGTTAATAGCCTCTGTAGGAAATATTAATCAGCCTAACAGACACATGAATCTGAATGCAATCTTTTAATAATTTTCAAGGATAATTTGGTTTATGAAAGGGATCTGAGGATATTATATGCCCATAGGACATTTTTGTCTAGCACAAATAACAAAGTATTAAATGTAATGCTTTTAATCCAACTTTTTCTGCAATCCCTTTCTTGAAACAGTAGTATTGTAAAAAGAAAATGAGAGTCAAAAGACTTCAGTTAATATCTTGTAACCAGCTGAGCTGTCTTAAGTAGATTGACCTCATTGGAATTCAGTTTTCTCATTTTTTTAAATGGAAAAAATAATCACGCATAATTTGATGTCAATGTAAGGATTAAGTAGCATAATTTATGTAAAAGTGCTCTGTAAAACCCTTTAAAAGTGTTAAAGATTATGATCACTCTCTGAAGTTTCATAAGGCATTTGGGCTTTTTTTATTTTTTATTTTTGAGACAGAGTCTTGCTCTGTCACCCAGGCTGGAGTGCAGTGGCATGATCTAGGCTCACTGCAACCTCTGCCTCCCAGGTTCAAGCGATTCTCCTGTCTCAGCCTCCCGAGTAGCTAGGACAACAGGTGGGTGCCATCACACCTGGCTAATTTTTGTATTTTTAGTAGAGGCGGGGTTTCACCATGTTGGCCAGCCTGGTCTCAAACTCCTAACCTCAAGTGTTTCACCTGCCTCGGCCTCCCAAAGTGCTGGGATTACAGGTATCAGCCACCACGTTTGGGCACATTTGGGCTTTTGGAAAGATACGTTCCATATCTTTCTGCAACAATTATTATCTCAACAATGTCCCAATCCATTGTGCTTTTTGCAATCCCATAGTCAGTTCACATATATTATTGATTTTATCTTTAGTTTGCCCATCTGTCAAATAGGGTGGATTTTATTTTCCTTATTTTATAAAAGAAGAGACAAAAAGAAACTGCTAGTTAAGTAACAGTTCTATCATCTCAATTAGAGTCTAAGCTAAGACTTAGACCACAGGATTTCCACCCCCCTCAGTCCCCTGCTCTTCTCTGAGGTCATCTGTCTGTAAGAGCTAGCAGTCCTTGCTAGTACCATCCTCCAAATGATTTTCTAGGTGCAGAGTTAAGAAAAATATCTTTTTCAGGGATGTGACTGCTTGCTTTTTGGCTGTGAGAAAATGTCTTTTCTGGGACACAGTGTAGCCAGGAGCAGAAAGGCAGGCACTCCTCAGCACTGGCTGTCCCCTGTCCCCTGGTGAGTCTGAGCCATCTCTTGGGTGGCCAGATCTATACTGTGTAGAGCAATTGTGCATGTCCTTCCAAACTGTTAAATAAGTCAAGTAAAAATAGATGTGTGGCAGCATTCTTCTATCCGACAAAACCCTCTCTGTGTCACATCACCTAGCAGCACACATTTATTGAGTACTTTGAAGGGGGATTGGGAAGCTGACAGGAAACAGGTGGTCTCTACCCATGCTGTGCCAGCTGGGCTGCTCAGGCACAGGACCAGAGAAAACTCACTGGACTTGAGCCTGGGTTTGGATCCTTCGAAGATGATGCTGCCAAGTTTCCAAAGGCAAAAGGTTAAGGGCAGTGTTGCTAGAGTTGCTGAAGCTGGAATCTAGGTCAGTACTGAGTGTAGGAGGAGGGCGTAAGTCCCAGTATTTCCAAGAGTGGGGTCTTATAGGTGGATGCACAGGAGGAGGTTAGGTTGGCAAGGTAGGAGACAGCATGAGTAAAGAGATGCAGATATTCTCTCAGTAAAATGAGTATTACGGGGTACAGAGGTACTTGTGGCCATCAGATCATAGAAGACTTGAGTGTCAGGTTAAGAAATTACTTCGTCTGCTAATTCATCATATCAGAACATAAGTATCAATACAATTTCCTTACAGTTCCTTTGAAAATATTACTGGTCATGCATTGTTACTCAGTGGATTAGGAGAAGGGAGAGTCCTCCCAAATAAAACCATCCTACCTGCTGGCACCCTCACAACCACTTTTTCCAGCAGAACAGGCCGGATATCCTAGGTTTTCCATTTGATGATGAGTCATGATAATTGCCTCAGATGAATTTAATGTGTCACAAATACCTGGCATAGACTCATTTCTATTTCTACTGAGAATTTGTTTTTTCTGAACCTTCAAATGTACCAGCTCATTTGTCTGATTTTGGTTTGCAGGGGGATGCTGGTTTAACAAATTGCCTCATTAGTGGTTCTATAATGGGAACACTTACTAATGCTGCTGGTTTCTTCCAGGTGCTGAGACACCTTGCGTTGTCACAGCACTGATGTGAGTCAGATACTAACAATGGTGTCCTTTGTTTTTATGAGAGATGAAACTGAAACACTTCTCATGATGTCGCTAGGTAACAGAATATATCTGCAATTTTCACTCTATAGGCAGACTCTCTCTTTCTTCCTATTTGTACTCATAGATTTTAGTTATCCATGGAGAAAACAGCACTAGGCATAGATTCTGGACTCGAGGGGCCTTGTGTCTACCACACAATAAATGTAGATCTTTGGTAAGTCGACTTTGCTGATTTCTGCCCCAGTTATATTATTGGTAAAGTGAAGAATTTGAAAAGAATTTAAGGTGGAGTTTCCCTTCATTATTCACTCAGCAAACATTTATTAAGTGCCTACTATGTATCAGGAACAGGGCTAATTCCTGGGAGTATAAAGCAGAGAAAATGACAGTCCTTGCCCTCAACATGCCTCCTGTCTAGTAGAAGGATCCCACACATGCTACAGAGAACAGTTAGTGAAATTATGGAATAAAGCTCAGGGAACTATGTGAATGTAAAATGAATGCACCAAAAATTGAGGATACTTTCTGTATTAATCTGTTCTCACACTGCTATAATGAACTACCTGAGACAGGGTAATTTATCAAGAAAGAGGTTTAATTGACTCACAGTTCTTCAGGCTGTACAGGAAGCATTGTTGAGGAGGCCTCAGGAAACTTACAATCATGGTGGAAGGGTAAAGGGGAAGCAAGTACCTTCTTCACGTGGCGGCAGGAGAGAAAGAAAGTGTAGGGGGAAGTGTCACATATTTTTAAAACATCAGAGTACGTGAGAACTCACTATCATGAGAACAGCATGGGGGAAATCCACCCGCATGATCCAATAACCTCCCACCACATCTTGCCCCCAGCATTGGAAATTACAATTCAACATGAGATTTGGGTGGGGACACAGAGCCAAACCATAACACTTTCTCACTGTATGAACATTGATGGCAAGTTTGAGTTCAGACTGCTAGACTGGCTTCTCTATTAGAACATTCACAACTCAACACCATTGCCATGAAATAAAAACAAGGATGTTGGATATGTTAAAAGGAATAAAAATCATTAAAAATTGCACAAAGTTAAAAAAAAAAAAAGCCCAACAGCTTTTTAATTCACACAGGAAGCAACACCTAGTGGTCAAGACTTCATCCTTTCAAGAAGTCACCTGGGATTAAATCCTAGCTCTGCTTTATTAACTTGATTATTTATGCAAGTTCATCTGTACCTTATTTTCTTACCTATAAAATGAAGAAGACAACCTATCTCACAGGTTTGTTGGAAGTAACAAGTGAGACAATAAAGGTTAGGTGTTTTATAGGCAATTTATAGACCTCATTTATTTTTTAATTTATAAGATTTCAACACCTTTTTGTAGGCCCTCAAAGTAGGACAAAATGGCTTTTATTTATTTATTTATTTTTGAGACAGAGTTTCATTCTGTCACCCAGCCTGGAGTGCAATAGTGCGATCTCGGCTCACTGCAACCGCTGCCCCGCTGGGTTCAAGCGATTCTCCTGCCTCAGCCTCCCAAGTAGCTGGGATTACAGGCATGCACCACCACGCCCAGCTACTTTTTGTATTTTCAGTAGAGATGGGGTTTCACCATGTTGGCTAGACTGGTCTCCAACTCCTGACCTCAAGTGATCCACTTGCCTTGGCCTCCCAAAGTGTGGGATTACAGGCGTGAGCCACCATGCCAGGCCAAAAATGGCTTTTAAATTTCAGTTGTCTTTAATACACATTGCTGGAAATTCTGTCTCATTTTTCTCTACTCATCAGTAGGAACCCTGAGTTGATACAGAGCTGGCTGTTAAAGTGGTGTTAACAGTATCGACATTGGTCTGGGCTCTGTAGCTTTAAAATAAAGAAACCAATTAGTACCTTAAGAAAATAAGATGGTCAAGAGTTTCTATATATGGTAAAATTTGTCATGGAAGTTCTAACTGGGGAATCACATTTGCTATTAATACTCTCCACCACCGCATCATAAAGATCAAAGTGCTTCCCTTCCTTGGATTGCGTAGGTGGCACTCCCACTGTCGGGTTTTATAAGACACACACTGTCAGCTGTGTGAGGTACAATGGCTATTTTCCTAGGGAAAGGAAATCTCAAGGACCAGCTGCATAAACACAAGAATGTATAGATATTTAATTCAACTTATGGCCTCCAAAACCATTAGATTCTTATAGCTGTACCTCTGTTTCATGTTACAGCTAAGTAGCTCACTCTATAGCCCATCCATGGAGACATTCTATTCTTTCTCATTAAGCACCAGGTAAGCCATCTATATTCCAATTGGAAAGCGCTTCTCTGCAGATGTTTTAAACATGATCTGCCAGGTCTGTCCTTTCCAGAGGCCCATTTGTGCCCTCTCTAGCTATAGATACCTACCCAGAGAGGTCCCCTAAAATGGAGTACTTCCTTGTTTTGTAAAAACCTTCCTCTTTTCCATCATCCTTCCTGCCCTCACTATCTCAAAATAGCAACTTTTACAAGCCAATCCATGTTAATTCATTTTTAAGGATGAGGAAACTGAACCCCAGAGCGTTTGTGAATATTGCACCACTTCTCATGGTCCCTGAGTCAGTACTCCATGCTTTTGCCACAACCCCGTACTGACTAGTTATCTGACAGTCTTTCATGAGGTCTGAAACATGTCTGAAACTTTTGCTTGTGTTAATATGAGAAGTCAACATTCACACTATAACTAGAATAAAGGGTGACTAGCCCTACGAGAGATTAAGATATTAATTATAAAACTACAGAAATCATGACAGCATGGTATTAGGGCAGGGATAAACAAATAAATAGAATTAATTAAATCAAGGAACAGAATTACATAGATATCACATTACAGAGCAGTGGGGAAATGAATCAAGAAATAGTCCTGGAAAAATTGGGTTCTATCTCAATAGGATGTATTAACTTAATAGGAGGTAAATAACTTGGAGTCCTACTCCAGCCAATGTTCACAAATGAATTCCAGGTGGACCAAAGGCAGAAATATGGAAAGTAAACATTTTATATTTATAGATGTCAGAGAATACTTCTGTTACCTTAACATGGAAAATGGGTTCTTAAAAATACCCAAATATAAAGACAAATAAATATTAAAATTTAAAACTTCTTCACAACAAAAGACAACATAGACAGCTCAAAGGCAAAGCATAAATTGGCAGAGGGTATTTTCACACATTAGGCCCCACAAAGGAGTAATTACCAGACCATAAACTCTTTAAAATTTCTAAAACTCAATATGAAATAAATGTAAGTAACCCACTAAAAATGAGCAGCAAATACCAGTGGCCAATTCAAAAAAGAAGAAAACACTAAAGGCCAATAAATGTGAAAAGTTGGTTATCCTTTCTGTTGTCAACTCCAAAACAGCCAATCCTTCAAGGTGGATCCTGAGCGACTAATTGGGCTTAAATTCAAAATGCAGCCAAGTATCCATTTGCTGACTAGAGACCACACACATATCCTGCATTCTCAGAAAAACCACAGGCTAGGGGAACTTTGGGACTCTCATAGCTATCTGTTCCTGTTTACACTGCCTCAATCAACACTGCCAGAAAGTTCCTGGACCTAACCACTAGATTCTGGCACCTGGACCTAACCACTAGACTGTAACCTGTGATAAATCTTAACATCAACCAATCAGAACAAATAATCAGCCACCCCTTATTTGCACAGCAGACAAGCGGAAACCTGGGTGACAACTTTCTCTATAAAAAGCAACTTCTGTCTTTGTTCTGGCGGAGTGTACCTCTGTTTTGTACTGAAGGCTGCATCTCCCTGGTTTGCAAACTGCTTGCTGCAACAAAGTCTCTTTAATTTAAAACATTTTTGTTTCCTTTTCAGTGGATTTGTTAACACTATTAACTAAGGAAATGAAAACTAAAATCACAATAAGATGTAATCTCACACCCTTCAGATTGCTAAAAATGTCAGTCTGACAATTCCAAGACTTGGCAGAGATGTAGATCAACAGGATCTCTTACACACTGCAAGTGGGAATCTATATTGGCATAACCAACTTTGGACAGTAGTTTGGCAATATTTAGCTAAGTTGAAGATGCATATATCTTCAACTTGGCAATTACATTCTTAATACTATACCCTGGAGAAATTGTTGCACATATGTACAAGGAAACATACACAAATGTTTATGGCAGGATTGTTTGTATGGAAAAAGTAGCAGACTACCTATAAAAGACTATTAATAGAAGATCAGGTGATTACATTGTGAATCTTCATGGACCTGAATGTTGTACAGCAATGAAAAGGAATGAATAAGCTAGAAGTAATTAAATCAACCTAAATAAATCCCCTAAACATAATGCAGAATGTAAAAAAGAGCAGTTGTCGAAATACATAATAGCATGTTATATAGGGTTTAAAGCATATAAAATAATATAATGTTTTTTGATACGTACATATGTAATTATAAAGAAATCAAAAAGAAATATACTGAAACATTAAATATTAAATTAAAGTTAATTTGGTGGGAAATGGTATGGGATCTTGGAATGTTACACAGGTGCTAGTCTCGTTAGTGCTGGTAGCACTTCTCAAACAGAATCTTGAGTATATCTGGAATGTATCATCATAACTTTTCTAATTAGAGGGAAGACATACGAGCATGAATAACTTTTACTGGGTACATCACAAGTACTTGGTAATGTGCTACCTGTTTTTACATTTATCATTTCATTCAATGCTCACAGCTGTTCCTCTTCTAATTTCATGGTTTACAAGGAAAACATTTTATTTACATTCTAATATACATTCCACATTATTAGTGGAATCAATGTACTGGACAATCAGAGTTATAGATTCCAGTGTAGCCCCTGACACTGACTAGCTCTATGGCCTGAAGCAACTTACTTAATCTCTTTGGACCTCTGCTTCCTCATTTATAAAATGAGAGGGTTGAACTAGATGAATACTTAGACTCCTTCCATGATTGTTCCCTGAGTTAGGTTATTGATCTTAATAATTTATTAAGAATATTTTATTAAAATAATTAACCAAAGCAGAAATTATAGGAAACTTTCAGATGGGAGTAGTAACTTGCAGTTATCAAGGAACTGGCCTGAATATTACAATGAACATATAATCTGATAAAATACGCCTATTGTAAAAAATGTTTTAAAAAGACTTTTCTTAAATATAGGGTAGAAAATCTACTCCTACATGAACTGACCCAGATTCTAATTAGGCAGATTTTGCTGTGTCAGATTCTTTTTACTGCACTGCATTGTGCTATAAAACCGAATTAATTGGTACTATACTTTGAGAATTGGTCTCTATGGTTAGCCTATCTATTTTAAATAGAAATGGAATCGAAAAAGACTCTGTTAACATGACCCGATCACCACAATCAAGAAATCTCCACATAACGTTCTTAAAAAAACAGCTAACTAGTCTCTCCCTGAAGTTATTTCTTGTTGCATTTTTTCATTTCCGTTCCTTTTATAGGTATGCAATTTTATGACACAGTTATAGGATGTATAAATGTGTAGCTCTACAGAAATATTCATGAGGGATATGTCAGTCCGTCTATAGAATCTTACTAATTGTCTAGAAACAAAATGCCCCTGTCCTGGATACCAAGGGAAAAGTATTGACAAATTCTTGCTCAATAGCTCCCTTTTCTTTAGACCTCCAGTACTCCTCAGAAATGGTATTAATATATTACCATCCCAAATAGGCCAGCTGCAACACAATTTAGTAGATTAGAGTTTCCTTACATTTCAATCCAGTCTGGTTTTCCTGAAAATACAGTCTTACCCTTGATGGAACTCTGAGAAAGAAAACAAAGAATTAATATAGGAAACTAACATTTATTGAGCACTGATTTCCTTTGCACAACAGGAAGCACTTTTGCATTTTGTAGCATCTCATTAAAGCATCTCAACAACATATCCAAACAAGTAGTCTCGAATGAATTTAAAAATAAAACATTAATACCTAAAATAAAATAACAAGGATTATTTTAAAATAAAGATAGGCATTTGCAACAAAACAAGAACAAAAGAAAAGATAATGAAGACAAAAGAAAGTGGCTGTATTAGTCCATTCTCACACTGTTATAAAGAAACTTATGGAGACTGTGTAATTTCTTTTTCTTTTTTTTTCTTTTTTTGAGACGGAGTCTCGCTCTGTTGCCCAGGCTGGAGTGCAGTGACGCTATCTTGGCTCACTACAAGCTCTGCCTCCTGGGTTCATGCCATTCTCCTGCCTCAACCTCCTCAGTAGCTGGGACTACAGGCACCCGCCACCATGCCCGGCTAATTTTTTGTATTTTTAGTAGAGACGGGGTTTCACTGTGTTAGCCAGGATGGTCTTGATCTCCTGACCTCGTGATCTGCCCACCTTGGCCTCCTAAAGTGCTAGGATTACAGGCGTGAGCCACTGCGCCCAGCTGAGACTGTGTAATTTCTAATGGAAAGAGGTTTAATTGACTCAAAGTTCAGGAAACTTACCATCATGGTGAAGGGTGAAGGGGAAGTAAGGCACATCTTACATGGTGGCAGGAGAGAAGTGAGAGCACAGGAAAAACTGCCACTTTTGAAACCATCAGATCTCATAAGAACTCCCTTCACTATCAGGAGAACAGCATAGGTGAAACCTCCCCCATGATCCAGTCACCTTCCAACAGGTCCCTGCCTCAACATGTGAGGATTACAATTCCAGATGGGATTTGGGTGGGGACACAGAGCCAAACCATATCAGTGGCAATATTAATACCAATTAAAATATAGCTTAAAACCATAAGCCTGAAATGGGTCACAGTGATACAGATAGGAAGCAAGAAAATACTGGCTAGAAGAGGGCGGTTCCCTGGCAAAGACCCCACCCTCAAGCCTGGAAACTGCAGCCCTAAAGGAGAACAGTTATCCTTGTTTTCCCACCCTAATGTTGCTTTTTCTAAAACCACCCTGGCCTGCCATGCCCCCATCCTGTACCCATAAAATCCCCAAATTCCACTGTCAGAGGAGCAGAGTGGTGCGGCAGAGAAGGAGAAAGGAGGACAAGTGACTGAACGTTAAGAGGAGAAGAAGCAACTGAGTGTCAGAGAATATGGATAGATGAAGCTTAACTTCAGATGCCACAACTTCGGAGAGGAGCCCGGCTGTCTCTGGCTGGCCTTCTGGGAAATCTCCCCTTCTTCCCACACCATCCCCTTTTTAGCTCCCCTTCTGCAGAGGGCTACTTCCACCACTTAATAAAATCATCCGCGTTCATCACCTTTCAAACCATTCATGAGACCTGATTCTTCCCGGACGCCAAACAAGAACTTGGGTACCAAGAAGGCAGGGTGTAAAAGGCTGTCACCCTGACTCTTCACTGAGCTGGTTAACACTTAGCCATCTGCAGACAGCAACTGCTACAAGAGCATTAATTTTAACATACCCCAGACGCTGCCATGGGGACAAAGCCCAGAAGCACTTGCCCTGGCACCCACTCATCTGCATGCTCACCCTTCCACAAGCAGTTTGATTGCAGGCGGTGGCCAAGTAAGCGAGCCACCTCCTTGTTGCAAGTCCTGTGAAGGGGTAAAGGGAACTCTCTTGTCTCAAGAGGTATACTATATTATGATGAATATGCAATGCATAAAAAAGATATAATCTGAAAACTTTAAATACCAAACAATAAAGCTATGAAATACATAAAGACTCTCAGATATTCAAGATTCTGATAAAATTAATATAATAGCACAAAACATAGTCATCTCTTGTGGAATTTGACAAGTCATAACCAAAAATTTGTGTAATAAACAAGTTCAGTGTAAAGGTATTTATAGATATTTATTTCTTACAAACAAAAATACACATTATTCTCTTATGTCCATGAAGCATTCACAAAAATCAATTACATATTAACTCAGAAGTAAACGTTTAGTGCATTACTTAAGGTAGAGATTTTACAAGAACATTCTTGGAGAAAATACAACAAAACTATAAAGAAATAAGAAAAATATAAACACAGAAATTAAAAATATATTAATAGCAAACTTCTGGGAGGAAAAATAAAGACCAAAATAACAGTTTCTGAAAAAGATAAAGCTTCTTATAAAAATCGAGGAATATCAAGGCCTGAAAGCACAAATGTTGTTAGGGGCCAAGCAGAGAGTTACCTGCTTAAAACAAGAAACATCTTGTTTTAAGTCAATGGAGAATGGTGAGAACTAAGGGGAACTGGAGAATAGATACCGAGCCTAAGTAATTTGAAACTTAAGAGACAAATAATATTAGAAATAACAAAAAAGGAAGAAAGAGAGAATAGAAAAGAAAAATGTAAACCAAACGAAGCATTTTTGTGATTAGTCCATTTATGATACCTGTTCTATTAAATACAAAGGGAGAATAAAATCAAGCCAAAAGAAAGTAACATGACATAGTTAATAAATTGTTGGAATAATCTCTACCTTCTGGGGCTGCTATGACATTTCACTGGTTCCTCCATCAAGATACCAATGGAGAAGCTTCTCAAAGTTAATGTCCAGTCTACCATGCCATACACCAAGTGGGACTCCTTAGAATTACACACTTGGACACAGGAAGGGGAACATCACACACCGGGACCTGTCATGGGGTGGGGGGAGGGGGGAGGGATAGCATTAGGAGATATACCTAATGTAAATGACTAGTTAATGGGTGCAGCACACCAACATGGCGCATGTATACATATGTAACAAATCTGCACATTGTGCACATGTACCTAGAACTTAAAATATATATATATAAAAAAAGAGTTACACCCAGATTTTCACATCCCAAAGATCTTTTCACTCAAGTGGCTGGATAATCTTTCCACCTGCATTTTCTGCTTTGCCTTCTTTCTCATGATTGAGGCAGGTGGGCCCCATTGAGCTTTCTTGTATAACAGAACCTTGGGATGGGCATGAAAGAATTATGGTCTATAAGACTCCTTGACTTGTGTTAAAATCTGTGGAAGAGGGTCTGCAAAAGGTGGAGAGTGGCTTAGGGGAAACAGAGAAAGAAAAGGGCATCCCTTAAAGGCCACCTCAAAACAGAATGACTTCACCCAGCAGTCATTCTGAACAGCAGGTGCCTGAACAGCAGAGATGGACACTGGGTGAGCAGTTAAGGAGTGGGTTTGACATGCTGGAGTCTGTTGGGACCTGAAGGTCTGGCATGGGGCTAACTGCCTCCCCAGACATGCCTTCATGGGAAGCCTAGCTCGGGCTGCAGAGATGGGGCCACACAGACAGGTCAGCATCCCCAACACACACATACTTGTACTGCTTGTATGCCAATGGCCTAGAATGTACATACACACACATGCACACGCACATAGGTTAGAGGAAAAGGGAGGTGGAAAACTACAAAAATGCCTCACAATGAATAAACCAAAGTTTAAGAAAATTTTAAAATCCATAAAATTTAAAAATCCACATTCTGCTAGCCTGAAATATGGGGCTTCAGAATCCTATATGAAGTTGATTTATGGAAAATGGAGGAAGTCACATTTCTTGTGTGCCTGCTCTTGAGACTTACAACTGCCACTGTCGTTGTGTCTCCTCTCTGGGTGGCAGGGAATACTGAAGAAATTTCCTTACTTTTTGATACTAAGAGAAAAGCATCGCCTCTTCTCTTGACAGACAAAGCTTCAGGACTAGATGTGAAATTCAGCCAGTGAGTGTCTTTTGTCTCTCTCATCCCTGGCAAAGAATTAAAAGTTCTCAATCTGCTTCTAAGAAAATCTTCCTTTAATGGAAATTCAAAGGAAAATAAAAAAAGCATTTGGCTCTGAAGTTCACAGTGATTTTGCAATGTGAAACCACAGATAATAAATGAGATCTCGATTCCAGTTTTTCAGTTTGTAAAACGATTTCAAAGGTAGAAGGAACAACAGAGGAAAAGTAATCGTATTTTTAACTCCAAGTAAAATTCATCTCCTCAGCATTCCTGTCAGGTGATTGAAGAATCTGATGAAGTATAAGGAGCCCCATTCCTTCCCACACACCCAAGGCTGACTGAGAACATAAAGCAATGCTAAGCCGGGTCTTCCTTGCTCTGTCTTTGTTGTTTTTTTCTTTACCTAAGCCAAGGGTGTGGTATGTAACTTTACTGAATTCAATACGGTTGATTAAGACATATTCATTCAACATACTGTTATTAAGTATTATTCCAAGTCTTAGCAATAAAGCAGGTATTTCAAGAGTCAGTTTTGTTTTTTGATGAAGCTGGAAGCCATCATGCTCAGCAAACTAACACAGGAACAGAAAAACAAATACCACATGTTCTCACTCATAAGTGGGAGTTGAACAACGAGAACACATGGACACAGGGAGGGGAACATCACACACCGGGGCCTGTCAGGGGATGGGAGGCAAGGGGAGGGAGACCATTAGGACAAATACCTAATGCATGCAGGGCTTAAAACCTAGATGATGGGTTGATAGGTACAGCAAATCACCATGGCACATGTATACCTATGTAACAAACCTGCATGTTCTGCAGATGTATCCCAGAACTTAAAGTAAAATTAAAAAAAAAAATAGAAAACCTAGATTAAAATGTAAAAAAAGGTTTTTTTTTGTTTTTGTCTTTGTTTTTGTTTTCAGAGTGGTTAGGAGACTGTAAAATGGGGATTATAATAGTAACTACTTGAGATAGTTGTGAAGGTAAAATGAAATTCACCAAAGGCAACACAATCTCTAGAACATAGTAAATGCTAAATAAATATTAGTTGCCATTTTTATTATTATCTGTGTTTGACTAGCCTGTTTTTTCTCATTGTTGAAAATATCTGTTGAAGATATTCTCATTGTAAAAATATAGAAATTTCTGAAAAAATAAAACCCCATAATTCAGGAAAACCTGCTTCCCTCCATCTCTGTCTCTGTCTCTCTCTGTCTCTCTGTCTCTATTTCTCCCCGCACCCCCCCGCCCCCATCTTGGTTTGCACCACTGTAACAAAATACCACCAGTTAGGTGGCTTAAACAACAGACATTTATTTCTCATAATTCTGGAAGCTAAACATCTAAAATCAAGGAGCTGGCCAATCTGATTCCATGAGGAAACTTCCTGGTTTGCAGACAGCCACCTGCAAAGATGTTGCACAAAGATGTTGCAGTGCTAACATCTTTGTGTATTTCTTGGATCTCTGCTTATTTCCTTAGGAAAAATTCCTGTAAGTGAATTACTGGGCCAAAAATGGTGATCATTTTTAAGTATGATACTTTCTCAGAAAGATTGGACCCCCATCAATTTTCATGGCCAAATTTCACGAGGCATTTATGCTGTCATCGGTAGCTTGCCTGACCCTACCTTTCCCCAAATGAAGAACTGACCACATTTTTATACTTGCCTTTTTTTTATCAGTGTGGAAAAATCATGGTTATCAATTTTCGTTTGCATTTTTAAAAATTTTTAGTGGGTTTGAATGTTTTTCTTAGTCATTCTTCCTTATGTAAATTGCCTGTTTGTATCCTTGGGTTATTTTCTAGTTGGGATCTTAGTGTTTATCTTGGAACTCCTTGTATAATAATGATATTAGCCCACGTCATTTTGTAGCACATTCTCACTCCTCCCACACACTTGTTTTTGCCTTTTTGGTTTGTGATAGTTTTTGACATTGAAGTTGTTTAGTTCTAAATAGATAAATATATTGATGTTCTCTTTGTGAATGTTATAAATTTTTATTTTTTATCTTTATTTTAATGGGGTATCAATCACTACAAGCATTTATTCTTTGTATTACAAACAATCCAATTGTACTCTTTTAGTTATTTTAAAATGTACAATTAAATTATTATTGACTATAGTCACCCTGTTGTGCTATCAAATACTAGATCTTATTCATTCTTTATACCTTTGGTTAGAAAAATTAACCATCTCTACTCCCACCTACCCCCCACCCCAGCCCTCCTCCCTACTACCCTTCACAGACTCTGGTAACCATCCGTCTACTCTCTATCTCATGAGTTCAATTGTTTTAATTTTTAGCTCCCACAGATAAGTGAGAACATGAGAAGTTTGTCTTTCTGTGCCTGGCTTATTTCACTTAACATAATGACCTGCTGTTCCATCCATGTTGTAAATGAAAGGATCTCATTTTTTTATGGCTGAATATTACTCCACCACTGTGTATATATACCACATTTTCTTTATCCGTTTGTCTGTTGATGGACACTTAGGTTGTTTCCAAATCTTGCCTATTGTGAACAGTGCTGCAACAAACATGAGAGTGCAGGTATCTCTTCAATTTATTCTAATTTCTTTTATTTTGGTTATGTACCTCACAGTGGGATTGCTGGATCATATGGTAGCTCTATTTTTAGTTTTTTGAGGAACCTCCCTGCTGTTCTCCATAGTGATTGTACATTCACACCACTACAACCCACTAACAAGGGTTCCCTTTCCTCCACGTCGTCGCCAGAATTTGTTATTGCCTATCTTTTGGATAAAAGCCATTTTAACTGGGGTGAGGTGATATCTCATTGTAGTTTTGATTTCCATTTCTCTGATGATCAGTGATGTTGAGCACATTTTCATATGTCTGTCTGCCATTTGTATATCTTCTTTTAAGAAATATCTATTTGGATCTTTTGCCCATTTAAAAAATCAGATTGGGCCGGGCGCGGTGGCTCACGCCTGTAATCCCAGCACTTTGGGAGGCCGAGGCGGGCGGATCACGAGGTCAGGAGATCGAGACCATGCCGGCTAAAACGGTGAAACCCCGTCTCTACTAAAAATACAAAAAATTAGCCGGGCGTAGTGGCGGACGCCTGTAGTCCCAGCTACTTGGGAGGCTGAGGCAGGAGAATGGCGTGAACCCGGGAGGCGGAGCTTGCAGTGAGCCGAGATCCCGCCACTGCACTCCAGCCGGGGCGACAGAGCGAGACTCCGTCTCAAAAAAAAAAAAAAAAAAATCAGATTGTTAGATTTTTTTCCTATAGAGTTGTTTGAGCTTCTTATATATATATATTCTGGTTATTAATCCCTTGTCAGACAGGTAGTTTGCAAATATTTTCTCCCCTTCTGTGGGTTGTCTCTTTGTTGATTGTTTCCTTTGCTGTGCTGAAGCTTTTTAACTTGATATGATCCCATTTGTCCATATTTGCTTTGGTTGCCTTTGCCTGTGGGGTATTACTCAATAAATCTTTGCCCAGTTCAATGTCCTGGAGCATTTCCCCAATGTGTTCTTGAAGTAGTTTCATAGTTTGAAGTCTTAGATTTAAGTCTTTACCCATTTTGATTTGATTTTTGTATATGGCAAGAGACAGGAGTCTAGTTTCATTCTTCTGCATATGGATATCCAGTTTTCCCAGCATCGTTTACTGAAGAGAGTTTCTTTTCCTCAGTCCTGGACATCCTTGTCAAAAATGAGTTCGGTAGGTGTGTGGATTTGTTTCTGGGTTCTCTATTCTGTTGCATTGGTCAGTGTGTCTGTTTTTATGTCAGTCCCATGCTATTTTGGTTACTACAGCTCTGTAGTATACTTTGAAGTCAAGTAATATGATTCCTCCAGTTTTGTTCTTCTGCTCAGAAAAATTTTGGCTATTCTGGGTCTTTTGAGATTTCATATAAATTTTAGGATTTTTTTCTATTTTTGTGGAGAATATCATTGCTATTTTGATAGAGATTGTACTGAATCTATAGATTGCTTTGGGTAGTTGGACATTTTAACAATATTGATTCTTCCAATCCATAAACATGAAATATCTTTCTGTTTTTTTGGTGTCCTCCTCAAAGTCTTTCATCAGTGTTTTACAGTTTTCATTGTAGAGATCTTTTACTTCTTTGGTTAATTCCTAAGTATTTAACTGTATTTGTGGCTATTATAAATGGGATTATTTTCTCAATTTCTTTTTCAGATTTTTCACTCTTGGCATATAGAAATGCTAGATTTCTGTATGTTGATTTTGTATCCTGCAACTTCACTGAATTTGTTTTTTGGTTCTTATAGATTTTTGGTGGAGTCTTTAGGGTTTTCCAAATATAACATCATATCATCTGCAAACAAGGATAATTTGTAGTTATAAATGTTTTAAACCATCTATTTTATTTTACTATTTAAATCTTTTCCATTGTATTTATCATATTCAATTGATTTGAGATGTTTAATTTTGATTCTGTCACAGAGCCTCTTGCTAGCTTTCCTAGGGTTGCATCACAGTCATATGAGCTAAACATGCCTCTGTCATCATCCAAGTAAAACACTTCACAAGGCAAAACCACCTGGCATAACATCAGAAACCTCCTTTCAGTTTGACATGAGTCCATTTATCAATATTTTTTGGACAAGTTCTTTTAATTCTCTAAAAATTCCTTTGCTTTATGCACTTCTGTGATTATAATAGCCTTAATTAAATATTCATTGCTGTGTAAGTATTTATTGAGCCAGAGACTGTGCCAAAATGAAAGCACTTTCTAAGTAATGAGTTCCCTCAAATGCCAATCTCAAAATTCTTACACAGTTGTTAAGTATTGGGGGTAATTTATGCAAAATATTATGGCTTCCCTTTGAAAAAAGATATTTTCTGATTATAAATATGAATATTAATTATTATTATTTGTACTATAAATATGTGCAAAATATAGAGAAATGTGTAGAAACTTGATTATCCCACTACATAGAGGGTGAACAAAAACTGGTAATATTTTGCTATATTTTCAGGCTTTTATACATGTGTTATATATATGTTAAAATAATGTTTATTTTTCTTTGATTATGATAGACGTGCTCTTTGTAGAAAATACTATAAAGTATAAAGAAAAAATCATTCTTATTTTGGTCCTTAAAGTTTTATTCCTGCTTTTATTTATTAACTTGACATTGTAGTATGTGCATTCAAGTATTCAAGTGCTTTTGTACATTAAGAAGAAAATTCTTTCAGTATCACATTGGCATCTGCTATACTTAATAACTTCTCTATTGCTAAATGTTTAGATTCTTCCAAATTTTCATTATTTTAAACAATGTGAAATGAGTATCTTTGAACCTACAGCATTTTCTTAGTTTGTTTTTCAATTCACATTATTTCCTTAATGCAGATTCCTAGAAATGGATTGCTGGTATTGTATCTATTGCCAAATTACTTTTCAGAAAGGTCATATTATTTTAAATCCCTACAAATGTTCCTTTCTATGAGTGTATAAAATATCATTACCCTGCATTTTTTAGAATGTACATTTCTTGGTAAGTAGGGATATTTGCCCATCTTTAGGCCTCTCTGCTGTGTTCTTAAAAGATTTGACAACATTCAAGGAATTATAGCTATTAGTTGTTTCATTTCACCAGAGTCTGAAGACTTCCATTGTTGAGTCCATTGCTTTTAAAATATGAATTACCTGGGGAGCTTGTTAAACTGCAGATCCTAATTCAGGAGTCTAGGGTGGGCCCTGGAATTCTGTGTTTCTAAAAACTTCCAGGCTATGGGCCTGTGGCATGGTCTCCAGATACAGAAACGTATTCAGGTGCTCCACTACTTTCTTATTAAATCTTGGGCTCCACTTCCTTCCTGCCTATGTTTATCTTATTTTTTACAGTTTGAAAATTTTCTCCTTGATAGAGAAGACCTAAGAAAAAAAAGAAAAAGAAAACGCTGAGAAATGCCACTGATTGCTATATGTTAAAATTATACCACAAAACCCCAAAAAAGTGACCTTCTCCTTTCCTTTCCATGGTTTGAAATACTTTTTAATCCTTAGTATGAGTAGACCTCAGCACATTTTAGGATCGAATCTTACTAACGTAATTCTCATTTGTCCTTCTTTTGCTCTTATCCTGCCTTTGTCCCTCCTTTTGCCATTCATCAGTATACTTAAAAATTCTGGATGCATCAGCCACAGTGAGCAGTCAAATAACTTTTTTTTTTTTTTTTTTTTTTGAGACAGAGTCTCATGCTGTCGCCCAGGCTGGAGTGCAGTGGCGTAACCTCAGCTCACTGCAACCTCCATCTCCCAGGTTCAAGTGATTCTTCTGCCTCAGCCTCCTGAGTAGCTGGGATTACAGGCACCGACCACCGTGCCCAGCTAATTTTTATATTTTTAGTAGAGACAGGTTTTTGTCACGTTGGCCAGGCTGATCTCGAAGTCCTGACCTCAAGCGATCCACCCGCCTCAGCCTCCCAGAGTGTTGAGATTACAGGCATGAGCCACTGTGCCCAGTCCACAATGACTCTTTAAATGCCCTCACATATTCTTCCTCATTGTGATAATTGCATCATCAGAATATAGCTTTGAAGACACCCCCACCCTTGCCCCATAAACCTCTTGAGCCATCTTCTCTTTTTCTCTCTCACCTTCTAGTTATATTGAGCTTTTTGAAATCTACTTTACAAAGTCTGGCAAAATACATGATTTTATACCCAGACTCCCTTCCTTAACTATTATGACCCCTAAGATGGCATAGTCAACTACTCCCAAGATCACTGTCACTTGCATAACCTGAAACAGTTCTTCACTAATGAGATTGGTCAAAATTGAGATGAAACATTGAATGTGAAGGAGCTTGCTTTGCAAAATGTGAAGCACTTAATGCATTATATTGTATCCTGCTGAGGAGTGAGTCATTCCTCTTGTTCCTTCCTCAGTCTTGAAATTCTCAGCAAAGCAAGTAAAAATCTATCAGTCTGTTTTTATTAATACCAGACTGAGTCTTTCAGATGGCGAATACTTGAAATCCCTCCTGTGTTTCATTTTGCATGCACTTCAAATCTGTGGTCTGGACTGGGAAGGCATACATTTTTGCTGTAATAGCACTGCTATGGCTGGGCGCGGTGGCTCATGCCTATAATCCTAGCACTTTAGGAGGCCGAGGCAGGCGGATCACGAGGTCAGGAGTTTGAAACCAGTTTGGCTAGTGAAACCCTGCCTCTACTAAAAATACAAAAAATTAGCCAGGCGTGGTAGCGGGCACCTGTAATCCCAGCTACTTGGGAGGCTGAGGCAGGAGAATTGCTTGAACCCAGGAGGCGGAGATTGCAGTGAGCCAAGATCATGCCATTGCACTCCAGCCCAGGTGACAGTGCGAGATTCCGTCTCAAAAAAAAAAAAAAAAAAAAAAAAAAACACCACTGCTACTTCTATTTCTCTTTCTTCTAAATATTCTTCTTTTATTCTTTAATTACAATTTTGTATTTCATATATCATATGCATTTGACATATATAATTTCCAAGTATATTTTAATAGCTGTATTCCATACGGTGGATGTTCTGTGTAATTTACTTAAACATTTCCCTATGGTAGTAAACCTGGCCTTTTCAAATTTTTTAAATAAACAGTGATTACATTATTATTTATATAGCTTTCTTGTATCTCAGATTTTATTTCCTTAATATAGATTTCTAGGTTTGGTTCTTGATAAATAAGCTGCTACTGTATTTTAAGGATTAAGACAAAACATGCCTCTGACCCAGAAATCATAACATATTCTCTAAGATGAATTTTAGTACTGTAAAACTGTCAGATTAAATTATGTGTACATTTGAAAATGGAATGCGTGTTATATATTGCTCTCTAAACAATTCTCAATCTGTTTTTCAAAAGAAATAATTAATAATGCCTTAAAAATGTATGCAAGTTAGGGAGAAACTGTCATCAATGTTTGATATTACAAGCTGAATATATTCTTTCTAATTTAATAGTCACAAAAATGGCAGCTTGGTTTAATTTTCATATACCTGACTGCCAGCTAGGTTGTATATGTTTCAAAATTTGTTTCTAATTATATTTCTTAATTTGTGAATTACCTCTGTCCTCTGCTTACTTGTCTTTCTTATCAAATCCCAGAAAAATAATGGAAAAGACATAATTAATAAATAAGTATAACTCTTCATGCATTTGTTTTAAGTTCATCGATTTCTAACCTCATGCTTTTATGTATCTGCACCTAAGAAAAAAGACATGACTATTTTTTACATAGAGTACTAAATGGTTATTCTTTTATCAGGTCTGTTTCTTTAGAGAATCTTATAAAATTATCTTGTCATATTTGTAGTATGAACACTATCCAACAGGTGCATATTCCTTTGGACTTATATTTCAGTGTTGGTGTTTCTCGTTCACTTCATTATTCACACAGAGTGGCTGCTTATAGACTGTGCTTATGGACTATTCCTATAAACATTAGAAAATACCTCAAAGAACTGAGTCAAGAGCTGGAGAGACAATCTAAGGATATCGATATGCAAATTATATTAAATTAAGTCACATATCAGGATTTTCAAAAAGAAGTCTAAAAAATAGATAGATACACAAGAGTAGCATTTGGGTTTATGAGAAAGCCACAGCAATCAACCTGCTTTTAGAAACTAAGTCAATTTCTATTAAAGCGTCAAGAAAACCATTATGTGTTTGAATTATTCATTTCATGTAAATTATCTGTATTATGCTCAATTTATAAAGAGTTAGCATAGAGTTTTATATGAATTGCTATGCAAGTCTGGCAACACTGAGATTTTATATACATCAAGCGTCTCATGAAATGTAAATGTCAAACTGATGGCAAAATTTATCTTGCTTATTTCAAATACAATAGCAATAAAGTTTTAGTCATTAAGGGGATTTAAGTGCCAATCTAAACTTGGTCTTTGAACCTCCACGGATAGCTTTGAAGTCAAAGGAGCCTAGATTTCGGTATCTTTGCTGAGTGTTGAAGATTCCCCTCTCAGTCTCTTGGTAAATGGCACTCTCACATTGTTGTCCAAGGATGGTTGGTGGTGGGGTGACTAAACAGACCAGAATAGCTGGTTAATATCTCAGATTGCAAATTCATAACATTTATTATCTGTGTATAGAATAGAAAAAAACGGAGTGTTATGGGGGCTGGGTCTGCATAGACACAGTCTTAGGTCACATCTCTAATAGTAAATTGAAGGGATTGGAAGGTGAAAAACACTAATATCCTCCTGAAATAATACAAAATCCAAGCCATGTTTCTTATAGGAGGTGATTTTAACCCTCTTTCCAGAGAATATATGGCAATGTCCAGAGGCATTTTTGATTGTCCTAACTTGGGAGGAGACGGGGTGCTACTGGCATCTGAGGCTAGGGATGCTGCTAGCCATTCTACAATCACCAAAACAAAGTATTATCTGGCTTAAAATGCCAATAGTGCTATGATTGAGAAACCCTGAATTGAAGACGTATTTTTTAAAAACTGGGAATATGTACAATCTGTCTTGATTCTCTTGTTTTTATTGATTTGTCATAGGGATAAAACCAATAGGGGAAATATGATTGCTTCTTAGCAAATCTGTTTTACTTTTTTATTAATCCCTAAGATGTAGAACCCATATCCTAGAAAAATAGGTTCAGTTTCTGACCCTGCCAATTCTTTAAGTGAATGATGCTTATCTTGTGTTGTGGCAGTCAAACTAATCAGGTAAAAATGAATTTGCATAGAATAATAATAAAACATTAAGATTGCCTCAATACCATACAGGACAAAATGGGATTTGGCCATTATGTAGTTAATGTGATTAATATGAATAACAAACAAGATGCTTCAGGGCCCCAGTGGAACATTTGTCCTGAATTATCTGGGTTGACTGTCCACTCTTCTTATGGGAAGTGAAAGAGAGCCAGATCTCTCCATGCAGCCCATTTACATGAACAGTAGCAGAGGACACAGTATATTAGGGTATAAACAGGAGAGACTAGGGGTGTTATCGTTCTTAGCTAAGAGTGTAACTTCAAATAAGAAAACTAAAAATGAAGAGAGAAACGTGACAGAATACTCCATTTATCGTTTTTGTGTGCTTATAGAAGATATTCTGCAAAATTTGCAGTTCATTTTCTCAAATTCTTCTCCTGCACAGTTTCAGCACAATTCCTTCTAAAATATGGAACAGGCGTGAAATACGTGAGGAGTTCATAAGTACAGTGTCTTTCTGCCGCTGCCCCTAACTACCCGTCGTCAAGGATGGGCTTCTTTTCATTGTTGCTTTCATTTTTTCTAAATGTTTATCAACATCAGTTAATAGTAATGTATTAGTTGTGGGTAGGATAAATGAAATATCTTGTAAGCTTGGCAGATAGTTATAAATAATTTTGATGACACATTAATTGCATGGATATTTTATACTTTACAACATATTTTAGTATTTTAAAAAGGAGTGCCCCTAGGTAATACCCATAAGTGTTAGAAAACCCAGTTACACAGAAAGTTATAATAACTATATTATAATCAGAAAGTATATTTTACGTATTAGTATTTTAAGTATATTACAGTTAATTAAAAATTAAATTTAAAAATTGGACATACTATTTTTAGCAAGTTATGATATAAGATGGATTGTCCTCTCTTTTATTTGGTAGGTATTTTTCTTCTGTTTAGTAAGATCCATTCACCAATTCCCATTTAGCCTGAGCTAAATACATAACTCAACTATGCTATCTTACTGGGAAGGGCAACAGTCGACATTTTCTTTTTGCCTGCATTAAATACAAATGCAGGTGAAATATAAATTCAAATGCAGGTGAAAGGAAATGCCTACTGTTGCCAGTGCTTCTGGTCAAGATAGCATAGTTGAAATACATAGGAATAAAAAGGAAATCTCCTTATTTTATGGTATTAAATACAAACGCAGGTGAAAAGGAAATGTCTGTTGTTGTGCTTCCCAGTCAAGATAACATAGTTGAGTTATGCATTTAGCTTAGGCTTCGAACTGATAGCAGTGACAGAAAAAATAGAAAAATTGAAATCCAAAAATATATGTCCAGGCTCAAAAAAATAAGATAAAACATCTTCATGAACAAAAACTACACCAAAATGAACATAGGGCTGAAGCCACTGGTATTCTAAGATCTGGTACCAGAAGCAAGCAGTGGTGTCTAGATGTCTCATTTCTGCCAGTAAAGGGAGCCAGAGTTTCATATAAATATTTTAAAATTGATGATTTTTATAAATGTAAATCTTTTAAATATATATATATATAAATATATGTATAAATTTAAATTATATTTCTATAGTTGAGATATATAAGTGAGGGATTGGAAACAGGTTTGCTGTGTGAAGCCATGGGCTTAGGTACCTGGCAGAAGACCTGCACTATAGGAAATACTATTTTAATTTTATTTTTGTATTGATTAGAATGGGATTATGAGTGATTTTTTTTTTTTTTTTTTTTGAGACAAGGTCTTGCTCGGTCACCCAGGCTAGAGTGCAGTGGTGCAATCATGGCTCACTGCAGCCTTGACCTCCTGGGCTCAAGTGATCCTCCAACCTCAGCCTCCCACGTAGCTGAGACTACAGGTGTGTGCCATCATGCCCAGCTAATTTTTATGCTTTTTGTAGAGATAGGTTTCACCACATTGTCCAGGCTGATCTCAAACTCCTGGGTTCAAGCAATGAATCCACCTCAGCCTCCCAACGTTCTGGGATTACAGGCGTGAGCCATCATGCCTGGCCTACAAGAAATATTAAAGGAAGTTCTTCAGGTAGAAAAAAAATGATCCAGATGGAAGCTAAGATCTATACAATGAAGAGCAACACAAACGGTAAATATGTGGGTAAATGTCCTAGACAGTTTTATTTTTACTTTAAAAATATAAAGTGTGTTCAACTCAAGAGTGTGTTCAACAAGGTCACAGGGCACATGGTAAATATACAAAACATCTGCATTTCTGTGTACTAACAACAAAAGAAAATTTAAAATTTAAAAATGCCTTTGAATAGCATTAAAAATGAAATAATTAGAAATAAATTTAATAAAATATGTGTAAGACTTCTACAATAAAAATGATAGCATATCAATAATAAAAATTAGGTAAGACCTAAATTAATTGAGATATATCATGTTCATGGATTAAATAATTCAGTATAGCTAAGATGTCAATTCTCTTCAAAGAGATCTATATATTCAACACAATCTCAACCAAAATGAATAGCTTTTTTTGGTAGAAACTAGAAAGCAATTTAAAAATTTTTACGAATAAGCCAAAGACATAGAATAGCCAAAGCCATTTTGGAAATGAAGAACAAAGTTGTGGGACTCACACTCTCTGATTTCAAGATTTACCATAAGCTGTGATAATTGAGACAATGTGGTATTGTTGGAAAGACAGATCAGTTGAATGGAAAACTGCAACCAGAAAAAAGCCACACATATATAGTAATTGATTTTGCACAAAAGTGCCAAGGTAACTCAATGGGGAAAAGATAGTTTTTCAGCAAATGGTGCCAATGTCATTTGATATGTATGTATATGGAAATAAATTATAAATCATGTGCAAAAATTGCTTCAAATGGATCACAGACCTAAACAAATAAAGAAAAATTATAAAAACTCTGGAAGAAAATATAGCAGAAAATCTTAACCACCTTGGATTAGACAACCAGTTTTTAAATAGGACTCAAAAATCACAAAACATAAAATAATAAAAGCGATCAACTAGACTTCACTACAATTAAAAACTGCTGTTATTTTAAAGCCAGCATTAAGAAAACAAAAATGCAATGCACAGACTCGGAGAAAATATTTCCAGTTCCTATTTCTGACAAAAAAAGTAGACAAAAAGTGTGAGCAGACATTTTTCAAAAGAATTCAGGTCAATGGCCATAAACACAGGAAAAGATGTGCAACATCCTGGTCATCAGAGAAAAATGAAATAACACCACAATGACATACCACTATACACCCTATAGAATGTCTGAAATTACATGTTACTGGGGATGCAGAACTGCTGGAACTCTCTTTATGCAAGATGGAATTTAAAATGACATAAACACTTTGGAAACTAGTTTAACAGTTTCTTAAAAAGTTAAACATACATTTACCATATGACCCAGCAATTGTATTCCTAGGTATTTTACTCAAAAGAAATAAAAGTATTTCTACAAAAAGGCATGTACACGTATACAAACAGCAGTTTTATACATAATAGCCCCAAACTCTAAACAACCCAAATGTCTACTCAACAGGGGAAACAGGGTAAATTCAAAAATGTAAACTGTGTTATATCCAGATGATGGTATACTACTGAGCAATGAAAAGAAATTACTGACATATGCAACAGCATGAAGAGTTCCCAAAACATTACGCTAAGTGAAGAAAGGCAGGCATCAAAAGGTACACATTGTATAATTCCATTTGTATGAAAATCTAGAAAAGACAAATCTAATTTAGCGTAACAGAAGTCAAAAAAGTGGTTGCTTGATCCTAAAAAGATGGGAGTGTGAGGGAGCTTTACTGCAAGAAGGCATTAGGGAAATTTGGAGGGTGGAAATTTTCTATAAGATTGTGGCCAGGCACAGTGGCTGATGCCTGTAATCCCAGCACTTTGGGAGGCCGAGGTGGGTGGATCACCTGAGGTCAGAAGTTCAAGACCAGCCTGGTCAACATGGTAAAATCCCATCTTTACTAAAAAAAAAAAAAAAAAAAAATACAAAAATTAGATAGTCATGGTGGCAGGCACCTGTAATCCCAGCTACTGGAGAGGCTGAGGCAGGGAGAATTGCTTGAACTCAGGAGGCGGAGGTTGCAGTGAGCTGAGATTGTGCCACTGCACTCCAGCCTAAGCGATAGAGTGAGACTCCATCTCAAAAAAAAAAAAAAATGATTGTGATGGTGGGTTCACAACTACATACATTTGCAAACCTCATGGTACTATACACTTAAAATATGTGCATTCTTTTGAATATAAATTATGCTTATATTGTGAGTTGGTAGGCTAAATGGTTCATTAATTTACAGATCAGAAATGTACCTGCCCTTTAATCATATACAATTAAAACAATTTATCATTCACTTGCATATTTGTTTGGCATGGTTTTTCTGATCTAATGTGTGTCCGTATTAGTTTTGTATATCTTGGACATAACTAACTATGAGTTGAGAGAGAGTATATATAGTTATGTTTAAGATCAGTACAGGCCAGGCGGGATGGATCACGCCTGTAATCTCAGCACTTTGGGAGGCCGAGGCGGGTGGATCACTTGAGGTCAGGAGTTCAAGACCAGCCTAGTCAACATGGTGAAACCCCATCTTTACTAAAAATACAAAAATTAGCCAGGTGTGGTGGCAGGCGCCTGTAATCCCAGCTACTTGGGAGGCTGAGGCAGGAGAATCATTTGAACCTGGGAGGTGGAAGTTGCAGTGAGCCGAGATCACACCACTGTACTCCAGCCTGGGCAACAGAGTGAGACTCCATCTCAAATAAACAAACAAAAAATCAGCACAGCAAATAGGGACCTAAAATAGTTATAAGATGAAGCTTGCTTTTAGTAGAATAATGATTCATGATATACCCTCTTCCTAGGGTAGGTAATTTGTACCAATTAGAGGATTTTACCTGTATCCAGGCTGAATTTAAAGACTTCATTGTCCTAAATCCTTTATAATTTTGTCAGTTAACAAATACTCAGTAATATTAGAGTTTTTAAAGCCAAACTTTATGCAGCCATAAAAAGAAAACAAAATCATATCCTTTGCAGCAACATGGATGTGGCTAGAAGCCATTATTCTAAGTGAATTAGCACAGAAACAGCCAAATACTGAGTATTCTCACTTATAAGTGGGAGCTAGACATTGGGTGCACAGAGACACAAAGATGGGAACAATAAACACTAGAGATTCCAAAATGGGGGAGGTTTGGAGGAGAAAAAGAGCTGAAAAACTACCCATTAGGTACTATATTCAATACATGAGCAACAGGATCATTAGAAGCCCAAACCTTAATGTCATACAGTATACCCACATAACAAACCTGGACATGTACATCCTGAATCTAAAATTTAAAAAAATAAAAATTAAAACAAAAATTTAAAAATCTATTTGGAAATGCAAAAAAAGGCCTTCAATAAAATTCAACATCCCTTCATATTACAAACTCTCAATAAACTAGGTATTGAAGGAACATACCTCAAAATATTAAGAGCCGTATATGACATACCCCCAGTCAATATCATAGTGAATGGGCAAAAACTGGAAGCATTTCCCTTGAAAACTGGCACAAGACAAGGGTGTCCTCTCTCACCACTCCTATTCAACATAGTATTGGAAATTCTAGCCAGGATAATCAGGTAAGAGAAGGAAATAAAGAGTATTCAAATAGGAAGAGAGGAAGTCAAACTATCCTTGTTTGCAGATGACATGATCATATATCTAGAAAACCCCATCATCTCAGCCCCAAAGCTTCTTAAGCTGATAAGCAACTTCAGCAAAGTCTCAGGATACAAAATCAATGTGCAAAAATCACTAGCATTTCTATACACCAACAACAGGCAAGCAGAGCGCCAAATCATGAATGAACTCCCATTCACGATTGCCACAAAAAGAGTAAAATACCTAGGAACACAGCTAACAAGGCAAGTGAAGGACCTCTTCAAGGAGAACTACAAAACACTGCTCAAAGAAATCAGAGATAACACAAACAAATGAAAAACATTCCATGCTCAATGATAGGAAGAATCAATATCGTGAAAATGGCCATACTTCCCAAAGCAATGTATTGATTCAATGCTATTTCCATCAAACTACCATTGACATCCTTCACAGAACTAGAAAAAACTGTTTCAAAATTCATATGGAACCAAAAAAGAGCTCCAATAGCCAAGGCAATCCTAGGCAAAAAGAACAAAGTTGGAGGCATCACACTACCTGACTTCAAACTATACTACAAGGCTACAGTAAACAAAACAGCATGATACTGGTACAAGAACAGACACATAGACAAAGAGAACAGAATAGAGAACGCAGAAATAAGACCACACATCTACAACCATTTGATCTTTGACAAACCTGGCAAAAACAAGCAATAGAGAAGGGATTTCCTTTTCAATAAGTGGTTCTGGAAAAACTGGTGCAGAAAATTTAAACTGGACCCCTTCCTTACACCATATAAAAAAATCAACTCAAGATGGACTAGTGACTTAAATGTAAAACCTAAAACTATGAAAACCCTAGAAGAAAATCTAGGCAACATTATTTATGACATAGGCATGGGCAAAGATTTCATGACAAAAATGCCAAAAGCAATTGCAACAAAAGCAAAAATTGACAAATGGTATCTAATTGAACTAAAGCTCTTCTGCACAGCAAAAGAAACTATCAGAGTGAACAGACAACCTACAGGATGAGAGAAATGTTTTGTAATTTATCTGTCTGACAAAGGTCTAATATCTAGCATCTACAAGGAACTTAAACAAATTTACAAGACAAAAATAACCCCATTAAAAAGTGGGCAAAGGACATGAACAGACACTTCTCAAAAGAAGACATACATTCAGTCAAAAAACATATGAAAAAAAGCTCAACATCACTGATCATTAGAGAAATGCAAATCAAAACCACAATAAGACACCATCTCACTCCAGTTACAATGGCTATTATTAGAAAGTAAAAAACAAAAGAAAACAAAAAACAAAACAGATGCAGGAGAGGATGAGGAGAAAAAAGAACACTTTCACCTTGTTAGTGGGAGTGTAAATTAGTTTAACCATTGTGGAAGACAATGTGGTGATTCCACAGAGACCTAGAAGCAGAATAACCGTTTGACCCCGCAATCCCATTACTGGCTATATACCAAAAGGATATAAATCATTCTACTATAAAGATACATGCATGCATATGTTCATTGCAGCACTATTCACAAAAACAAAGACATGGAATCAACTTAAATGCTCATCAATGATAGACTGGATAAAGAAAATGTGGTACGTATACACATGGAATACTATGCAGTCATAAGAAGAAACAAGATCATGTCTTTTGCAGGGACATGGATGGAGCTGGAGGCCATTATCCTCAGCAAACTAGCACAGGAACAGAAAACGAAACACTGCATGTTCTCACTTATAAGTGGCAGCTGAAGGATGAGAACACATAGACACATGGCAAGGAACAACATACACTGGGGCCTGTCAGAGGGTAGGGGGTGGAAGGAAGGAGAGCATCAGGAAGGATAGCTAATGGATGCTGGGCTTAATACCTAGGTGATGGGATGATCCATATAGCAAACCACCATGGCACACCTTTACCTATCTAATACACCTGCACATCCTGTATATGTACCCCTGAACTTAAAAATTGGGAGAAAAAATAAAAATCTATTTGAAAGCATTAAAAATATTGGTAAATTATTTTTAAAAAATTGAACTCTGATACTTTTCTCCCATTTTATCCTTCCTTATTACCTGAAAAGCCTCCAACATTATATTTCTATAGTTTGGAATAAGGATGTATTCTGCCCTTAAAAACTAGGTATTTTAATTATATGTAAATAAGTTCACAGAAATAAATATCCATAGCTAAAGGGTAAAAATAAATAAATACATAAAGAAAGCTAATCTTTATATTTGTATGTCTCAGTATATACAAACCATCTGTTTTCTCTCCTACTCAAATCTTAAAAAGCAAAGTTGCTGTATCATAAAAAGACTTTTTGGCCCACTAAATATATCAAAAATTAAAGTGAAATATAGTCACATAGTCAGAAATATTCTTATGGGACCACATTTAAGGTGGTCTGGGACCTCATGGACAAAAGTAATCAGTGAGAAGTGGGTAGGATGAGGGTCATGACTAAGCAGGTGCCACCCAAGGGCCAGGCTTCAAAACAATGGTAAACTTGGATAGTGCAGCTTGGTAAGCATTAAGCATCCTAGGGTCTAAAATAGGCTTAGGGCAAAGAGTATTTCCAGATTCACCTGCTGGTAGGAATAGAACTGACAGAAGCCAGACAGGATTGACCGTAGGTTGTGAGGGACTTTTCAATATCTAATAAGATCAATGAGATAAAGCAGGAGTTTACATCTGAAGTCATATGAACTCTGCTATGACATCTAGGCTATCCCAGCTTGAAGACAGAGAACCAATGTTATCTGGAATACCTGCAGGCTCTTCTGTTCACATGCTGGCAGGCAGCAGCATTTCTGGGTGAGCAAGTACTAGTGTATCTGTTCTTTTATCTTTTTGGAGAAAGAGAAAAGGAAAATGCACTGCATTTACAACAAGCCCTCTATAGGCACTTTGCTTGTGATATCTCATCTTATCCCCACTTACTGCCCACATTTTCATAATAGGAAATCATGAAACTGAAGCTCAGAAAAATTGCCACCTCCTTCAGCTCACACATTCAGTCGTTAGAGTTAAGAATTAAACTCAGATCTGTCTGCCTCCAAAAATGATATTTTTTTCCTACAACTTTGCAAGGCTAAAAGGTCATTTTTGTCAGCACATCAAAAATTGGTAAGACATTTATGGATACGAGATTCATGCTCATCAAATTCACAGGAGACTGATTCATTAAAAGAGTTATAATTTATAAATATACAATGAGAAATAAAACTGACAAGAAAGACTAGAGCGCTTGAATCAATAATTTAGCACAGTCTCTTACTAAATTCAAGAGTTACCCAGGAAGCTAAATTCTATTCAAAATATTGCTTGGTCAGTATAAATCAGAAACAAAAGGAACTGGAGTGATCTATAGTATAAAGTGCCTCCATTAAGAGAGATTGAGGCTGTCTTCCTCACTTGTGAATAGGTTGCTACTGGTGATGTTCCTGGGTCCGGAGCTCACTTTCCAAGGACAGTGCTAAGTATTAGGGTGATGCAAAAAGAATTACCGTTTTGGCCATTACCTATAATGCAACTAGCATCACCATACTGCACATGAAAATGCTTCTCTTTCAGAATTATTCACATTCTTTCATTCTTTATGTAACTGAGTAGCTTTAGCTTCAAAATGCATTTTAAAACCTTTTTTCCCCCTCCTTTCTCTCTAGTCTTAAGATGTAATCTTGAATGAGTTCATGTCCTTTGCAGGGACATGGATGAAGCTAGAAGCCATCATTCTCAGAAAACTATCACAAGATCAGAAACCCAAACACTCATAAGTGGGAGTTGAACAATGAGAACACATGGACACAGGGAGGGGAATATCACACACCGGGGCCTGTATGGGGGTGGGGGGCTAGGGGAGGGATAGCATTAGGAGAAACACCTAATGTAGACAATGGGTTGGTGGATGCAGCAAACCACCATGGCACGTGTATACGTATGTAACAAAACTGCACGTTCTGCACATGTAACCCAGAACTTAAAGTATAATAAAAAAAAATACATTATTAATATTTGTATATTGATTACATGTTGAAATGATAGCATTTTGGATACACTGTGTTATATAAAATATATTATTAAAGATCATTTCACCAAAAAAAAAAGTAACCGTGAAACAGACTGTAGACACTTTTTTCTTTTTTTAATTTAATTTAATTTTATTTTATTATTATTATACTTTAAGTTTTAGGGTACATGTGCACAAGTTACATATGTATACATGTGCCATGTTGGTGTGCTGCACCCATTAACTCGTCATTTAGCATTAGGTATATCTCCAAATGCTATCCCTCCCCCCTCCCCCCACCCCACAACCGTCCCCAGTGTGTGATGTTCCCCTTCCTGTGTCCATGTGTTCTCATTGTTCAATTCCCACCTATGAGTGAGAACATGCAGTGTTTGGTTTTTTGTCCTTGCCATAGTTTGCTGAGAATGATGGTTTCCAGCTTCATCCATGTCCCTACAAAGGACGTGAACTCATCATTTTTTATGGCTGCATAGTATTCCATGGTGTATATGTGCCACATTTTCTTAATCCAGTCTATCAACGTTGGACATTTGGGTTGGTTCCAAGTCTTTGCTTTTGTGAATAGTGCCGCAATAAACATACGTGTGCATGTGTCTTTATAGCAGCATGATTTATAATCCTTTGGGTATATACCCAGTAATGGGATGGCTGGGTCAAATGGAATTTCTATTTCTAGATCCCTGAGGAATGGCCACACTGACTTCCACAATGGTTGAACTAGTTTACAGTCCCACCAACAGTGTAAAAGTGTTCCTATTTCTCCACAACCTCTCCAGCACCTGTTGTTTCCTGACTTTTTAGTGATCGCCATTCTAACTGGTGTGAGATGGTATCTCATTGTGGTTTTGATTTGCATTTCTCTGATGGCCAGTGATGATGAGCATTTTTTCACGTGTTTTTTGGCTGCATAAATGTCTTCTTTTGAGAAGTGTGTAGACACTTTTTTCTTAGTCTTAAAACGCAGCCTTAAAAAGTAATTTTCAACTCTGCTTCTTTCCCTTTCCCACCAGACATTCCCTTGCACCATACATACTTATCTAACTGCATGCTTGTTGAGAAATTCCAGGGGCTAATTTTTTTGGTTTTTGTTCTGAGACGAGTCTCGCTCTGTTGCCCAGCCTGGAGTGCAGTGGCGAGATTTCGGCTCACTGCAAGCTCTGCCTCCCGGGTTCACGCCATTCTCCTGCCTCAGCCTCCCGAGTAGCTGGGACTACAGGCGCCCGCCACCACGCCCGGCTAATTTTTTGTACTTTTAGTAGAGACAGGGTTTCCCCGTGTTGGCCAGGATGGTCTCGATCTCCTGACCTCGTGATCCTCCCGCCTTGGCCTCCCAAAGTGCTGGGATTACAGGCGTGAGCCACCACGCTTGGCCTTTTTTTGTTTTGTTTTGTTTGTTTGTGAGACGCAGTCTCTCGCACTGTCCCCCAGGCTGGAGTGCAGTGGCGCGATCTCGGCTCACTGCAAGCTCCGCCTTCCAGGTTCACGCCCTTCTCTCCAGGGGCTAATTTTATAACAAGTCAGGTAAGGAGGCCCAGCTGTGCAGTTCTCCCCACCTTCGAGTTTACCCTCAAGACGAATAATCTACAACATGGTTGCAACTGAGAAGGCAGCAGCCACCACTGCAAGTAGACAATAGTTCAAGGTAGCCCTTGAAGCAAGACACGCAGACCTGCATCCAGCATTACTCCTGCATATTTCCCGTGCCACGCCTCCCTTTTGAAAGCCCCTTCCCTCGGCCTAAGATTTGGAATGGTTTTTAAAGTGCATAAGCCGGGCCACTCCTCAACTGCTGGCATTTGAATAAAGTTGCTTTCCTTTCACCACACCTCCCTTCTCCTATTTTCTGCCTCTGAGTGGTGAGCAGCCAGACTTGAGCCAGTTATACATATTGTACATTTCTACGGGCCTGACTGTTCTTTGCACTGGGAATACACTAAATATTTAAAGTCCCTGCTTTTAATGGAGTGAGTGTTTTTCAAATGTCAAAACCAAGGAAATTAAAACGTTGACTTAGTTACAGCTTTAAAGATGCAAACAGAGTTGTTTTTATAAATGGATTTTATATAATGCTATTCTCCACAAATCACTATACTTCAAAAGTCTCTGGAAAGCATGCTGTCATCTCTGGTGTCACCTACATAAGGTAAATCAAAGGTTGAACACTAAGAATGCTTCCTGTAAAAACTAGTAGTTCTTAGGCAATTTTTATCTTGTGACATTTCTGAATGTCCCTGAAGCTCCTCTTAGAAGACATTAAATTCTTCGAAGATTCACTAAATCTCTGAAGAAGACTTATAAGCAAGACACTGTAGCCTTTGTTACACCTGTACAACAAATGTAATCTATTTTGAGTGCTGTCTGTTCCTCGGAGACTAGGGATTGGTTGTCAACTAGCTTTTGTGATTACGCCTTTCACAACAGACTTTACAGTGATTAATGTCAATGAAAATATACCTACTCAACTGAATTACTTCATAGACATGTCTATAAAGTAATACCAGGTGATCTTGGGGTTTTGTGTGGCACTGTTATCCTCTCATCACTAAGAGGACTCCATGGCCCTGATTCTGTCTTGTTTACTTTTTATTCTAGGATTTTGTTACTTATACCAGGAGAAATAAGTGGTCTGATGGCCTGAAAATCAATATTCTTTTGATTATCTAAGAATTTTGATCAGAATGCCACTTGCAAAAGAATATATCCTAAATATGAAAGCAGCCCTTGCTCTCTGCTCCTCAACTCCTGCCCAAATAAAACTTCAAAACAATCTGTAATACAATAGAAGTATTCTATTAAATTATTAAAGTACGTATTAAAGTATGTATTCTATTGTATCTAAGTATGCTTCTACTAGTGATTAGGTAGATTTCATATGGTAGATTTGAATGGAACATTTTCTGCCCTAAAGCAGCTTTCATTCAGGGTTTGGTGGTATATAATGTATATACATACTAATCAATGCTTCAGATTTGCCATGGGAGGATGGGCCAACCCCTGCCTCTTCTGCTTACCATCTGTGTGAAAGCTCCAGTACTAGAGAGCCAGGGGAGCAGAGGGGTTAAGTGTACAGTGTCTAGCATCATACAGCAGTCTTTAAGCTACAGCTTGGCACTTGCTAGCAGAGTGATCATGAGCAAGGTGTGTAACCTCTCTGCACCTTGGTTCCTTATTTGTATAAAATGAGAATAATTACATAGCTTATAGGGTTGTTGCAAGGGTTAAGAGTTATTACATGTAAAATCCTATAACAGTGCTTGACAAAGAGTATACCCTCAAATGCTGTCTTAGCTTGCTACAAAGCAGTGGCTGACTCAGTCACATACACTTTGGTTCTCACTCCTCTCCTGTCCAACTTCCCTTTTCCCTCACTCTTGCTTCCCTGGGATTGCAGGCCCTAATAAAAATCACAGAAGATTCACCATTGCCTGAGGTTTGTCTTCTGGAGCTTGGGCAGGATGATCTCCAAGATTTCTTCCTGAAAACACTCTTGGTACAAAGAGAGTGAATTGCAGTTAGAAGGCCTAGTTTATGTCCTGGTTTTATAATAACAGTGATACTGTGGTGACCTTGGGCTAGCCATGTAGCCTCCTCGGACTTTGGCTTTCTTTTCAGTAAAGGAGAATAAAATGTATTTGCTGTTTTCATAGGAAAAACAGTTATCTTCACAAAATGATTGCAAGGATTGACTAGATATTTATATGAAAGCAGTTTGTAACTGTAGATCTATACTAATCAGTATCTGTTAGTTATTTTTCCTTCCATCTAACATTCGCATAACTAAAGACTTCTGTTCCTCTATCCACAAGGGGTGAAGATCAGGGAGACCTATTCTGACCTCTTATACTTCCTGCCCCCAGGAAGCAGAATGTCCCAGGTTTTTGGTGGGTAGGGTACATGGTTCATGCGTGGCAGGCCCTTTTGCCCCCATGAACCTCCATGAAATCAGATGAGGGGCATGGTTATTCATTCAAGCCCTCATTTTAACTTCCTGCTACTCTCTTACCAGAAGCCCATCTGTTCCCCCATCATGGATAGGCCTATTCTTGGTCACTCTCTCCCTGTCCTGGAAGATGTTTTATGAAGCAAAGAACATACCAGCACAGGCTCGTACCACCACCCTTAATGAGGAGCTTGGCCAGGTCAAACATGAGTTCTCTGACAAAACAGGGACCCTGACTCAGAACATTATGGTTTTCAACAGTGACTGGGTACATGAGGCCAGCATGCTCATCTTGCAGGAGGTTAGAATAGACAAGTGATACACTGATAGCTGCACTGTATATTTGGTGTTCACAGCCAATCCCCAAGAATCAGGGGGAAGAAGGTCCCATTGGCTTAGTCTAAGCTATATGACCACCATAGTTTACAGAAGCCTCTAAGTCCAGGGGTGATTAACAACTAATGAAGCTGATAGTTTGTGAGCCTGTTCTCTATTTTGTTAGAATCTGGGAAGGAATAAGGATGTTTCTTCATGCCCCACTATCCCCGCTCAACTTCTAGCAATATCTATAACATAGGAATCAACATTGTCCTCAAGTAGGCATCACTTTTACCCCTTTACTGATGCTCGATCTTCACAATGGAAAAGTGAATTTGGAAAGGTAAATACACAAACACATTCCCTTTGAAAACAGAGAAAAAAAGTCTGTTTAGAGAGCAGATGTAAAAACTTTTAACAAGAAACGGATCCTATCTGCATTGAACTATATTTAGATAGCCATCTGGCCACAGTCCAATTATACCTCCATGTTCTGTTCAAAACAGCATACTCTCTCTGTCTATTCAACATAATATACTATAAACTGCAGAGATTGGGTTATTTAATGTGGGTTTTGACTGCTAGCAACAACAATTCTAAAAATAATCAGGATACCCGGTATACTTCACTGAATATCTATAAGACAGAAAAAGTGTTCACAACACTTACGACAGAAAAAGTTGAAACTGGCACACCACGGCTATCTGAAAGACTGCTATCTCATTAGTGAGATCTGTTTCAGTTCATCATATTCCCTCAAAGGTTACATATTCTGGTGGATTTGTATTATTCCAACTCAGTGACGATGAACTATATTTCCCACTATCACCTTCTCTGGATAGTTCCCTGTAGCATGGGCCATACGATATATTTTGCATGACATTTGGAAGGCAGAAGCAGGAGTCATATCCTTTTACACGTGGTAGTTGGTGAACCAAGCACTGATGCAGCTCTCACATATTATCGCTTATGTGCTGGCTCACCTCGTTGGTGTGTGGCAGGCAGTGCTGGGCACGCAGCTACTCTAGCTCCTACCAGATGCTCCATCAGCTTGTCTGACTTCTGGGCCAAATGCATCTGTACCTCCTATAGGACACCCAGGTCATCAAAATTGGAGGCTTGGAGCCAAGGAGAGAACAACACAGTTTCTAGCCCATCTTTGTGGGTTTCAGGTTTTCCTCTCTCTCCCATCTTCACATTCAATTTCCCTTTCCAGTGGCCTCAAATCCCCACCCTAGATATAAAGATAATAATGCTACATAGATTGTTTAAGAAGTTCCCACAAATATGTAAAGTCAAATTCTTTTAATAAATCCCAGTGGTTCTGTTTCTCTGATTGAACCCTGACTGCTACAGGAAGTGGTTTTGATACTGGAAGTGGTTTCACAACAGGATTTTAAGAGTAGATTCTTGGAAATGGTTTTGTGTTATCAAAATGGATTCTCCAATGTGACTGGATTGAGTCATTAATGACCTTGTTCCTGGTGATAACAGCTAATGAAGTATGGTGATGAGTTCAAACTCATGGAATTCACTGATACATTATTTTTTTTTCTTCACCAGAATTTTTTTTAACTTTTATTTTAGGTTTAAGGGTACATGTGCAGGTTTGTTATATAAGTAAACTGCATGTTGCAGGGGGTTGGTGAAAAGATTACACCAAACAGCTGTATTTTTTCATCCGGGTAATAAGCATAGTAATCAATTATTTTGTCACCTTAGTAGTAAGCATAGTATCCAATAGGTATTTGTCTCTGATCCTCTCCCTCCTCCCATCCTCCACCATCAATATGCCCCAGTGCCTATTATTCCTCTCTGTGTGTCCATGTGTTCTCATTGTTTAGCTCCCACTTGTAAGTAAGAATACATGGTATTTGGTTTTCTGTTCCTGCATTAGTTTGCTTAGGATAATGGCCTCCAGCTCCACCCATATTGCTGCAAAGGACATGATCTTGTTCTTCTTATGGCCATATAGTATTCCATGGTGTATATGTATCACGTTTTCATTATCCAGTCTACCATTGATAGGCATTTAGGTTGAATTCATGTCTTTACTATTGTAAATAGTGTTGCAATGAACATACTCATGCATGTGTCTTTATGGTAGAATGATTTATATTCCTTTGGGCATATACCCAATATTGGGATTGCTAGGTTGAATGGTAATTCTGTTTCAAGTTGTTTTTTTAAATTTTTTATTTTTTTATTTTATTTATTTATTTTTGAGACAGAGTCTCAGTCTGTCACCAGCCTGGAGTGCAGTGGTCTGATCTTGGCTCATTGTGACCTCCGACTCACTGGTTCAAGTGATTCTCCTGCCTCAGCCTCCCTAGTAGTTGGGGTTACAGGCACGCACCAACACGCCCAGATAATTTTTGTATTTTTAGTAGAGACAGGGTTTCTTCATGTTGGCCAGGGTGGTCTCTATCTCCTGTCCTTGTGATCTGCCTGCCTTGGCCTCCCAAAGTGCTGGGATTACAGTCGTAAGCCACTGCGCCTGGTGAGTTCTTCTTCTTCTTTTTATTTTATTTTATTATTATTATACTTTAAGTTTTAGGGTACAAGTGCACAACGTGCAGGTTAGTTACATATGTATACATGTGCCATGCTGGTGTGCTGCACCCATTAACTCATCATTTAGCATTAGGTATATCTCCTAATGCTATCCCTCCCCCTACCCCCCACCCTACAACCATCCCTGGTGTGTGATGTTCCCCTTCCTGTGTCCATGTGTTCTCATTGTTCAACTCTCACCTATGAGTGAGAACATGCGGAGTTTGGTTTTTGGTCCTTGCAATAGTTTGCTGAGAATGATGGTTTCCAGCTTCATCCATGTCCCTAAAAAGGACATGAACTTATCGTTTTTTATGGCGCATAGTATTCCATGGTGTATATGTGCCATATTTTCTTAATCCAGTCTATCGTTGATGGACATTTGGGTTGGTTCCAAGTCTTTGCTATTGTGAATAGTGCTGCAATAAACATACGTGTGCATATGTCTTTATAGCAGCATGATTTATAGTCCTTTGGGTATATACCCAGTAATGGGATGGCTGGGTCAAATGGTATTTCTAGTTCTAGATCCCTGAGGAATCGCTACACCGACTTCCACAATAGTTGAACTAGTTTACAGTCCCACCAACGGTGTAAAAGTGTTCCTATTTCTCCATATCCTCTCCAGCACCTGTCGTTTCCTGACTTTTTAATGATCGCCATTCTAACTGGTGTCAGATGATATCTCATTGTGGTTTTGATTTTAATTTCTCTGATGGCCAGTGATGATGAGCATTTTTTCATGTGTCTGCTGGCTGAATAAATGTCTTCTTTTGAGAAGTGTCTGTTAATACCCTTCACCCACTTTTTGATGGGGTTGTTTGTTTGTTTCTTGTAAAATTTTTTGAGTTCATTGTAGATTCTGGATATTAGCCCTTTGTCAGATGAGTAGGTTGCAAAAATTTTCTCCCATTTTGTAGGTTGCCTGTTCATGCTGATGGTAATTTCTTTTGCTGTGCAGAAGCTCTTTAGTTTAATTGGATCCCATTTGTCAATTTTGGCTTTTGTTGCCATTGCTTTCGGTGTTTTAGACATGAAGTCCTTGCCCATGCCTATGTCCTGAATGGTATTGCCTAGGTTTTCTTCTTGGGTTTTTATGGTTTTAGGTCTAACATGTAAGTCTTTAATCCATCTTGAATTAATTTTTGTATAAGGTGTAAGGAAGGGTCCAGTTTCAGCCTTCTACATATGGTCAGCCAGTTTTCCCAGTACCATTTATCAAATAGGGAATCCTTTCCCCATTGCTTGTTTTTGTCAGGTTTGTCAAAGATCAGATAGTTGTAGATATACGGCATTATTTCTGAGGGCTCTTTTCTGTTCCATTGGTCTATATCTCTGTTTTGGTACCAGTACTATGCTGTTTTGGTTACTGTAGCCTTGTAGTATAGTTTGAAGTCAGGTAGCGTGATGCCTCTGGCTTTGTTCTTTTGGCTCAGGATTGACTTGGCGATGTGGGCTCTTTTTTGGTTCCATATGAACTTTAAAGTAGTTTTTTCCAATTCTGTGAAGAAAGGCATTGGTAGCTTGATGGGGATGGCATTGAATCTATAAATTACCTTGGGCAGTATGGCCATTTTCACGATACTGATTCTTCCTACCTATGAGCATGGAATGTTCTTCCATTTGTTTGTATCCTCTTTTATTTCATTGAGCAGTGGTTTGTAGTTCTCCTTGAAGAGGTCCTTCACATCCCTTGTAAGTTGGATTCCTAGGTATTTTATTCTCTTTGAAGCAATTGTGAATGGGAGTTCACTCATGATTTGGCTCTCTGTTTGTCTGTTATTGGTGTATAAGAATGCTTGTGATTTTTGCACATTGATTTTGTATCCTGAGACTTTGCTGAAGTTGCTTATCAGCTTAAGGAGATTTTGGGCTGAGACCGATGGGGTTTTCTAGATATACAATCATGTCATCTGCAAACAGGGACAATTTGACTTTCTCTTTTCCTAATTGAATGCCCTTTATTTCCTTCTCCGGCCTGATTGCCCTGCCCAGAACTTCTAACACTATGTTGAATAGGAGTGGTGAGAGAGGGCATCCCTGTCTTGTGCCAGTTTTCAAAGGGAATGCTTCCAGTTTTTGTCCATTCAGTATGATATTGGCTGTGGGTTTGTCATAGATAGCTCTTGTTATTTTGAGATATGTCCCATCAGTACCTAATTTACTGAGAGTTTTTAGCATGGAGGGTTGTTGAATTTTGTCAAAGGCCTTTTCTGCATCTATTGAGATAATCATGTGGTTTTGGTCTTTGGTTCTGTTTATATGCTGGATTACATTTATTGATTTGCATATGTTGAACCAGCCTTTCATCCCAGGGATGAAGCCCACTTGATCATGGTGGATACGCTTTTTGATGTGCTGCTGGATTCGATTTGCCAGTATTTTATTGAGGATTTTTGCATCAATGTTCATCAAGGATATTGGTCTAAAATTCTCTTTTTTGGTTGTGTCTCTGCGAGGCTTTGGTATCAGGATGATGCTGGCCTCATAACATGAGTTAGGGAGGATTCCCTCTTTTTCTATTGATTGGAATAGTTTCAGAAGGAATGGTACCAGTTCCTCCTTGTACCTCTGGTAGAATTCTGCTGTGAATCCATCTGGTCCTGGACTCCTTTTGGTTGGTAAGCTCTGGATTATTGCCACAATTTCAGAGCCTGTTATTGGTCTATTCAGAGATTCAACTTCTTCCTGGTTTAGTCTTGGGAGGGTGTATGTGTCGAGGAATTTATCCATTTCTTCAAGATTTTCTAGTTTATTTGCGTAGAGGTGTTTATAGTATTCTCTGATGGTAGTTTGTATTTCTGTGGGATCGATGGTGATATCCCCTTTGTCATTTTTGATTGCGTCTATTTGATTCTTCTCTCCTTTCTTCTTTATTAGTCTTGCTAGCGGTCTATCAATTTTGTTGATCTTTTCAACACACCAGCTCCTGGATTCATTGATTTTTTAAAGGGTTTTTTGTGTCTCTATTTCCTTCAGTTCTGCTCTGATCTTAGTTATTTCTTGCCTTCTGCTGGCTTTTGAATGTGTTTGCTCTTGCTTCTCTAGTTCTTTTAATTGTGATGTTAGGGTGTCCATTTTAGATCTTTCCTGCTTTCTCTTGTGGGCATTTAGTGCTATAAATTTCCCTCTACACATTGCTTTGCATGTGTCCCAGAGATTCTGGTATGTTGTGTCTTTGTTCTCATTGGTTTCAAAGAACATCTTTATTTCTGCCTTCATTTCATTATGTACCCAGTAGTCATTCAGGAGCAGGTTGTTCAGTTTCCATGTAGTTGAGTGGTTTTGAGTGAGTTTCTTAATCCTGAGTTCTAGTTTGATTGCACTGTGGTCTGAGAGACAGTTTGTTATAATTTCTGTTCTTTTACATTTGCTGAGGAGTGCTTTACTTCCAACTATATGGTCAATTTTGGAATAGGTGTGGTGTGGTGCTGAAAAGACTGTATATTCTGTTGATTTGGGGTGGAGAGTTCTGTAGATGTCTATTAGGTCTGCTTGGTGCAGAGCTGAGTTCAATTCCTGGATATCCTTGTTAACTTTCTGTCTCATTTCTCTGTCTAATGTTGACAGTGGGGTGTTAAAGTCTCCCATTATTATTGTGTGGGAGTCTAAGTCTCTCTGTAGATCACTAAGGACTTGCTTTATGCATCTGGGTGCTCCCGTATTGGGTGCATATATATTTAGAATAGTTAGTTCTTCTTGTTGAATTGATCCCGTTACCATTATGTAATGGCCTTCTTTGTCTCTTTTGATCTCTGTTGGTTTAAAGTCTGTTTTATCCGAGACTAGGATTGCAACCCCTGCCTTTTTTTGTTTTCCATTTGCTTGGTAGATCTTCCTCCATCCCTTTATTTTGAGCCTATGTGTGTCTCTGCACGTGAGATGGGTTTCCTGAATACAGCACACTGATGGGTCGTGACTCTTTATACAGTTTGCCGGTCTGTGTCTTTTTAATTGGAGCATTTAGCCCATTTACATTTAAGGTTAATATTGTTATGTGTGAATCTGATCCTGTCATTATGATGTTAACTGGTTATTTTGCTTGTTAGTTGATGCAGTTTCTTCCTAGCCTTGACAGTCTTTACAGTTTGGCCTGATTTTGCACTGGCTGGTACCGGTTGTTCCTTTTTATGTTTAGTGCTTCCTTCAGGAGCTCTTTTAGGGGAGGCCTGGTGGTGACAAAATCTCTCAGCATTTGCTTGTCTGTAAAGTATTTTATTTCTCCTTCACTTATGAAGCTTAGTTTGGCTGGATAGGAAATTCTGGGTTGAAAATTCTTTTCTTTAAGAATATTGAATATTGGCCCCCACTCTCTTCTGGCTTGTAGAGTTTCTGCTGAGAGATCAGCTGTCAGTCTGATGGGCTGCCCTTGGTGGGTAACCTGATCTTTCTCTCTGGCTGCCCTTAGCATTTTTTCCTTCATTTCAACTTTGGTGAATCTGACAATTATGTGTCTTGGAGTTGCTCTTCTCGAGGAGTATCTTTGTGGCGTTCTCTGTATTTCCTGAATCTGAATGTTGGCCTGCCTTGCTAGATTGGGGAAGTTCTCCTGGATAATATCCTGCAGAGTGTGTTCCAACTTGATTCCATTCTCCCCGTCCCTTCCAGGTACACCAATCAGACGTAGATTTGGTCTTTTCACATAGTCCCATATTTCTTGGAGGCTTTGTTCGTTTCTTTTTATTCTTTTTTCTCTAAACTTCCCTTCTCCGCTGATTTCATTCATTTGATCTTCCATCACTGATACCCTTTCTTCCAGTTGATCGCATCGGCTCCTGAGGCTTCTGCATTCTTCACGTAGTTCTCGAGCCTTGGCTCTCAGGTCCGTCAGCTCCTTTAAGCACTTCTCTGTATTGGTTATTCTAGTTGTACATTCGTCTAAATTTTTTTCAAAGTTTTCAACTTCTTTGCCTTGGTTTGAATTTCCTCCTGTAGCTCGGAGTAGTTTGATCATCCGAAGCCTTCTTCTCTCAACTCGTCAAAGTCATCCTCCGTCCAGCTTTGTTCCATTGCTGGTGAGCTGTGTTCCTTTGGAGGAGGAGAGGCGCTCTGCTTTTTAGAGTTTCCAATTTTTCTGCTCTGTTTTTTCCCCCGTCTTTGTAGTTTTACCTACTTTTGGTCTTTGATGATGGTGATGTACAGATGGGTTTTTGGTGTGGATGTCCTTTCTGTTTGTTGGTTTTACTTCTAACAGACAGGACCCTCAGCTGCAGGTCTGTTGGAGTTTGCTAGAGGTCCACTCCCGACCCTGTTTGCCTGGGTACCAGCAGCGGTGGCTGCAGAACAGTGGATTTTCATGAATCGCGAATGCTGCTGTCTGATCGTTCCTCTGGAAGTTTTGTCTCAGAGGAGTACCCGGCCGTGTGAGGTGTCAGTCTGCCCCTAATGGGGGGTGCCTCCCAGTTAGGCTGCTCGGGGGTCAGGGGTCAGGGACCCACTTAAGGAGGCAGTCTGCCCGTTCTCAGATCTCCATCTGCATGCTGGGAGAACCACTGCTCTCTTCAAAGCTGTCAGACAGGGACATTTAAGTCTGCAGAGGTTACTGCTGTCTTTTTGTTTGTCTGTGCGCTGCCCCCAGAGGTGGAGCCTACAGAGGCAGGCAGGCCTCCTTGAGCTGTGGTGGGCTCCACCCAGTTCGAGCTTCTGGGCTGCTTTGTTTTCCTAAGCAAGCCTGGCAATGGTGGGCACCCCTCCCCCAGCCTCGCTGCCACCTTGCAGTTTGATCTCAGGCTGCTGTGCTAGCAATCAGCAAGACTCTGTGGGCGTAGGACCCTCGGAGCCAGGTGTGGGATATAATCTCCTGGTGCGCTTTTTTTTAAGCCCGTCAGAAATGCACAGTATTGGGGTGGGAGTAACCCGATTTTCCAGGTGCCATCTGTCACCCCTTTCTTTGACTAGGGAAGGGAACTCCCTGACCCCTTGCGCTTCCCAAGTGAGGCAATGCGTCGCCCTGCTTCAGCTCACGCACGATGCGCTACACCCACTGTCCTGTGCCCACTGTCTGGCACTCCCTAGTGAGATGAACCCAGTACCTCAGATGGAAATGCAGAAATCACCCGTCTTCTGCGTCGCTCACGCTGGGAGCTATAGACCGGAGCTGTTCCTATCCTGCCATCTTGGCTCCACCAATTCTGATTATATTCTTTATCATTGTGAAGCAGCTTGCCTGATGGAATGCAACAATGGCTTTTTGAAGACTCAATTATGGATAGCAACACAAGGGCTGGAGTAATGTCCTCCAGAATATGGTATATGCTTTATATCAGGGACCAATAAGTAGTGGCTATTTCTCCTATAGCTAGAATTCACACACCTAGGAATCAAAGGGCTAGAAATGGAGTAGCGCTTCTCATTAGCAATCAACTAGTGAAATTTTTGCTTCTTGTACTCAGGACTTATGACTCTGATGATCTTAGATATATTACATTCCAAGTGAGGAATGCTTCCACCAGGAGACACAGCAGTGGGTTCACAAAACTGAAAGTTGAAGCTGCCACCTGCCTCTTTGTACAACTCATGCCAGCCAATTTTCAGGCAAAGAAGGGAGCTACAGTGGTGGCTGGGAAGATCGATCCTGATTATCAAGAGGAAATGGGGCTGTTACTTAATGAGGTAAGGAGGAACATGTCTGGAAGGCAGGAGACCTCATAGGGCTTTTCTTCATTTTTCCTATGTTCTGGACTAAGTCAATCAAAAAAACTGTATCAACCTAATTTAGGCAGGACTGCTAATGGCCCAGACTCTTCAGGAATGAAGGCTAAGGTGACTCTCTCAGGCAAGGAACCATGACTATCTGAAGTGCTTGCTGAGGGCAAAGGGAATAGGAAATAGGTAGTGGAAGGTGGTAGTTTCATTTACAGCTATGACCACATGGTGTGTTATAGAAACAAAGACTGTAATAGCTCAATTATTTCTTATTTTGATGTAAAAAATGTCTTTGCTTCCTCTGTCCTATTCTTCTACCATGTGACATGTGTTAATAGTAGTTAAGCCCGTATCTCAGTTGTCAGCTAGAAGAGGAATGCACATCACCTAAAGATGGGTAAATACACTCAGTATTGTTGGGATAGAGGGTCACTATGTTTTCAGTTAGGCAGAAGCATGATCTTGTCATATTTGTAAGTTAAACATGGTAAAAGGAGGTAGATATCAATGGCAAGTTGACAGTGGAATATAGAGAATTTATACTATGTCAACTTAGCTAAGCCGAAACTACATCTCCCAAAATTTCATTCCCTCCATAGTTTCATGTTAGCATGGGTCACAAGAGACATTTTGGGCAAGATCTGGAAGGCAGAAGAGGCAATGATATTCTTTTAATGCTCAGAAAGTAGGTGCAGAGGCACCAGGTGCTGCTGCAGCTTATCCACGTTGGTGTTGCTGTTTATCCAGCTGCTAGCTCACCTTGTTAGCATCGGGCAACAATGGGCATGGAGCTGCTCCAGCTTCCACCAGATCCTCCTTCAGCTTCTCGGACTTCTCAGCCAGATGTGTGTTTAGTTTTGCCATAAAAAAACACCTCATCATCCTCTAGGAGGCCTGAGGGTGGTGAGTAATCACTGTGGGTTCCAGTGTGTCATGAGTTCCAGTTTGCGCTTCTGGGTTCCAGTTGGCCTTCTCTGTTCCTGTCACTTCACACGTTATTTTTCTCCTCCCAGTTGCTTGCCCTACTGACTTCAAGCTTCAACACAGATGCAAGATCTTTACCTAGACTGTTTAACCAGCTGTCATAATTGTGTAAGGTCAAATGTATATATGACCATGAGATCACATACACCTAGTGGTCATATATACAGCCATGTGCCACATAATGACATTTCTGTCAATGACAAACTGCATATACAATGGTTGCCCCATGAGATTACAATGGAGCTACCCTATACAGGTATACCATTTTTTTTTTATCTTTTATGCTGTATCTTTATTTTTTCTATGTTAGATATGTTTAGACACACAAATATTTATCATCGTGTTATAATACCCTATAATAGTATAGTAACATGCTGTACAGATTTGCAGCCTAGCAGCAATACATTATAGCATACAGCCCAGGTGTGTAGGAGGCCATACCATCTAGGTTCATATAAGTATGCTCTTTGATGTTTGCACAATGATGAAATCACCTAATGATGCATTTCTCAGAATATATCCCTGTCACTAAGTGATGCCTAAGTGTGTATGCACACACACACACACATACACACACACAGCAGCATTTAGCATAACACTCAGCAAGTAATAGGGACTCAAACATGTATGTTGAACTTAGAACATTGAATAGAATTAAAAAGATGGTTTGTATGAACATACTCAACATCTTAATACAAATTTATTATCCTATATCTCTTCAAGTCAGAAGTCTGATGGGCTTGGCTGGTTTCTGTGCTCCAGACCTCACAAGGCTGAAATGAAGGTATCAGGCAGCCTGGGCTCTTATCTGGAGGCTCTGGAGGAGACATTGCTTCTAGCTCTCCTTTGGGTTGTTGGTAGAATTCAGTTCTGCCTGTGGTCCCTGTTTCCTTCTGGACTATTGGATGAGGCAGTTCTCAGCCTGCTTTCCCTGGTTAATGGTCCCACTTATCTTCAAAGCCAGCAACTGTAGGTTGAGTCTTTCTTAGTCTTCAAATCTGTATACCTCATCTGGCCTTCCTCCAGCTGAAGAAAGTTCTGTGCTTTTAAGGCCTTGTGTGATTACACTAGGCCCACCGGAATAACCCAGGCTACTCTCTGTATCTTCAGGACAGCTGATTAGTAACCTTAATTACATCTGCAGGATCTATCACCACAGCAATATCTAGATTAGTATTTGACTGAATAACCAGGTGATGGGAATCTTGGGCGAACATATTTAGAATTCATCTACCATGAAGCCCACTCCCATTTGGTAATTTTAAAGCTTAAGGTATTAGAGACTGCAGAGAGAAAGAGCAGGACCAGGTCATAGGCAGATTCATATGCCATGCTATGGAAGAGTGCCTTTAATTTATACGTAATCAAGTAGGTTCCAGTAGGGAGTTCAGGTTTGTGATTTAGTTGAATTTCTGGCTGCAAAGAAAGAAGGCTGGAGTCTTACCATAGGTCAAGGATAAGATGAGCCTGAGTTATGAGAGTGATGGTAGAAACTAACAAAAATCTATGAATTCCAGAGGTATCTAGAGAGTAAAATTTCTGGGACTTGGATGCTGATGGCAAAGGAGAAAAAGCGTTCTGAGAGAGAATTTCTAAGTTTCTGGCTGAAGGAAGCAAAGAGTGTACTGGTGGTACGAAGACATGAGACTCAGGGAAGCAGGCAGATCTTGGAGAGGGTGGGGAGGAAATGAGAGTTTCCATTTAGGACAAAGAGCCTCACTTGACATTATGAGGAAAATACCTCTCTCCCTGTGTGTGTATGGGTGTGGTGGTTTTTTTTTTTTTTTCTTTTTTTACATGGTGGTAGGGTAACAGTTTAGAAAGAGCAAAGGAGCAGATTCATTATACCACTGAAAAACTATAGCTATTTGAAAATAAACATACAAACAACAATAACAAAATATCTTGTCAAATTAGTTTGTATAAATCTCATACAGATTACTAGCTAACCCTTAGTGATCAATTATGCTTAATCAGAATTTTCAGAAATTTTTCAACGCAAATTTCATCTGATTATAATATTAAACTCTGTTCTGCTGTGTTCAGCCTTCTGCTGCTCACAGATAATGTCCACCTGCTCACAACTTAAGTATATGGGTAATGAAGGTTAAAGGAGAGAAAAAAGGAAGTTGGTATATAAAAACATGGAGGCATTCTCCTTCCTATACCACACAATCACCCCAGTTTTATGATCCTCATTTTTTGTTTTCTGGTATCCAGGATGTCACTTATAAAGAAAAATGGAAACTGGGCGATAAGATTTAGCAACAAGCTACACAGTATGAGCCACTTGTAAGAGAATTAGAAAATTTAAAAGCAACTGTAAAATTCTGCTGCTATTACCCATCAGAGAGTTCCTCTGAACTAAGGAATTAATGGCAATGGTCGAATTCAACCTTTTCCAAACCAGAAGGTTATCAATGTTGATCACTGGGCCTATAAAGCATGACATATTTAATACATATTTAAGAATCAGAATAGAAACTGAGTGTAACTTAATTAAAAACATAATTATAATATGAATTAATCATGTTGCAGGTACTGGCCTTTCCTTCTGTTATAGGCATGGTCAGAAACTTCAATTTTCTTTCTTTGTGCATTTTGACAACTCAAAATCAGTTGTGATGTTGAACAAAAGGACAATCTTGTAAGAATTGTCTCCTCTTAACTATGCTTTTCTCAGAAAGTTAAATATAGCACAACTCTCTATTATATAGGCCACACACAGTCACACATACACATTGTAAAACAGGCTTTTTTGCCCACAGCATTCATTTAACCTTGGACTCCATACACTTGGCTCATTCTCTCGCTAATCCTCAGAGACAAACTAAGAAATTGGGGGTCTTTTTTTCAAATTCCGATTTCTATTTTTAAAGTTACTCTTGGAAAATTTCCTGTTGCTTCCATTAAAAGTAAACAACAAAGAAAAGCTTTACCCTGCACTGAAAATGGGAAGTGATCTGCTGAATTAAACATGAAATCATGAGGTGTTTTCCCAGCTTGGGAGGGCATTCCATGTCGTTTACCCATTAATTGAAGGGCTGCTGACGTGCTGCAGAGATCAGGGTTTCAGCCTCATGCCGCTGGTTCTTTCTCTACTTCTCATTATCACCACCACAGCCTTGGCCCGGGCCCTCATTATCTCTCACCTGAGCCATCTTAATAGGCTTCTAGCTGATTTCCTCCAAGTCAGTCCCCTTCTGAACCTGCGCCTTCGAAATATCCCTGCAGGATTCATTTTCCTTAAGTGCTGGGGTGATGCCATCATGTCCCTGCTTGGAAGCTTTCAAGTACCCCCCTACTTATCAAGCTCAACCCCAGCTCCTGGTCTGCTGCTTTGAGGACCCTTCGAAGCACTGGCCCAGCCCCCTCTTCCAGAATTTTTCCTCTGCTCTCCTTTACCTTTCCTCTAGCTGTCAACCAGACTAGATCTTGATGTTCATTGAAACCCCCATTCATTTCTTGCCCCCATAATTGTGCTGCTTCTGCTACATCAGTTGTTCTACCTTCTTGAGGTGTGCCAAATGTTGTCTGTAAAACAAACAAACAAACAAAATGCCACTGGCCATACAATGCTTTTCTCCACTGTGACCTCTTTCATGAGTATTTTTTTGACTACCTTTCTCCCCTTCTTGAGCCAGATGAGAACTTCTACTCATATATCTTTTGTGGCATTTATCTTTTTCTGCTTTTTATTATAATTATTTGTGTATTTATTTTATTCCCTCAATGTTTCTCAAACCTCTTCATCCCTGCTCCTTTTTTTTTGGGAAAAAAAATCCAACACTCTCGTAACATTTTGGGATTTCAAAAGAAATGAATTATTAAGGGTAATAAATCAAAGTATAGAATTAATTATGCTTTTTAAGACTGTAGTGATTACTGAGAATCTCCTTATCAGCTGGTAATTAAAACCCTAACTGATGATGCTGAAAATGTATATAAAATGCTTAGCAACAGTACTTGGCACATGGCAGGTGCTCAATAAATTTTAGCTGTTTTTATGATTGTGATTAGCTCCTCAACAGCAGGACTGTCAACTGTTGGTTGCAATATTCACAACTGGCTGATTCGTTAAATTATACAATTTTAGCTTTATGACAAATTCAAGATCATGTCTTGTTGATAATGATAATCAATAGTAACAAAGCACTCCACATTTTTTATGACATGGGGCTATGGGCTTGAATAAATGAAACAGTGGCCAAGAGGGGACAATGTAAGTTAGTGCTACGTGGGTAGCAAAGTACTGGTTAAGTGAACACTGGGCATTTCTGGGCATGACTGTGGGTTCAGAATTGTATTGTTTTCACATGGAAAGAGATGTACAAGATACTTTGATCAACAGTTCAGCAAATCAGGTAAATAGCCATTTCAGAACTTTAAATTGTTTAACCATAATCACCAACGTATAATTTCAGGGATTGGATAGGAAATATGTCTTATGATTCAAACAACCTGTTAAACTCACACAAGAGAATACATTTCAACGTTTCCAAATCAATTATCTTAAATGAGGGTTATGTAATAAGAGGACAAAGTAAGGATGTCAGACACCCACTTTAACTTAGTAAAAAATCATCCATGGTAAAATATTTATGTGCTTAGAATCATCACCCAAAACAGGACTTTTCTGAAGTTTTCAGTTACAATTGTTAGCTAAGAAGGCTCAGAAGTTGAGCCAACATCAGAAGACAAAGTTGGAGACTAAGTTACATCACTTGTGTTTTTAAAAAACACTATGAGCATTGTCTGGTCAGGCAGCTTAGAAGGATATCACATCAGAAAACCATGCTCATACCACAGTATATCATGAAATGCTGATGAAAATGCTATCAAACACTGCAGAAAACATGACGTTGCCTCCTATGGTTAATTTTATTATCATAAAATTATCGTAACCATCCACAGATACTATTTAAACTAATGCAGATATTGGCATGGGTAAGAGCTAGATAAAAAACTAGGAGTTCAAAGCAACACATTAACTTTGATTTGAATCTTATCAAAAAACTGAGTTCTCTACATCATTTTTTACTTCTTTATCTTTAAATTGCAAAGTAGTATAACACATAATTTTCACTAACTTGATTAAGCCTTTTAAACAAATACCCAAGCAGGCTTCCAGGAATCTCACGATGTGTTTTCTGTATTTATGCTCTGCTCACACTGCTTCCAGGGAAGGATGACATGAAAATGAGCTGAGCTCATAATAAAGAGCTTCTGTCCTCTGCTAATAGAGGACAGACTCTGATGGTTTCCCGGTGATCCTTAGCTAGGAAGACCTAGCCTAGGGTCTTCAGGGTCAAGAAAGGCTTCTAAAGGGAGGGAACCTGGGGGCTGAGATCGAAGTGATGAGGAGGCATGACCATTTAGTCTCCAACTTTGTCTTCCTTCTGAGGTTGGCTCGATTTCTGAGCCTTCTTAACTAACAGTAACTGAGAACTTCAGAAAAGTCCTGTTTTGGGTGATGATTCTAAGCACATAAATATTTTACCATGGATGATTTTCTTACTAAGTTAAAGTGGGTGTTTGACATCCTTACTTTGTCCTTTTGTTACATAACCCTCATTTAAGATAATTGATTTGGAAATATTGAAATGTTTTCTCTTGTGTGGGTTTAACAGGTTCTTCGAATCATACGGCATATTTCCTAACCAAGCCTTGAAATCATACGTTGGTGATTATGGTTAAACAATTTAAAGTGAGAGCAGAAGCATTGAAGAATGTTCCCTCTGATGAGGGGGCACCGGAGCAGAGGGCCTGGAAGGAGGCTGGTGTAGAGGCTGGAGAGTGACAAAGAATATCTCCCTGACCACCCTTAGGCTCTTCTGGATCCTTTTCTTTACTAGGCTCTGACCTTGGCCATGTCCTCTTTTTGACTGGCAAATGCAGTTTCAGGAAGAATCCTGTCAAGTCAGTTTAGAAAGTACCCTCCACTCTTGATACCTGATTCCCCTGGCCTGCCTTTGGCAAGAATCTCCCTACCCTTGCTGTCTCCTCTTTAATTTTCCATCCACTGACCCCCTTGCTCTGCTTGTTGGCTGTAAATCCCCAGCTGTCCTTATTGTACTTGGAATTGAACTCTGTCTCTCTCCCCTGTTGTGATAGTTTTGACATCTATTGTAGCAGCCCTGAACAAGACCTGCCTTCTTTACAGTTTTCACAATAGCAGAGTGAGCAGAGGGAGGGAGGAGGAAAAAGAGAGAACAGAGTCAGGGGAGGCAGGCCAGGCCCCACCAGACAGAAGCTCCTAGGCTACCTTAAAGACTGTGGCCTTGATTAAAAGAGAACAGGAGGGCATTGAAGAGTTCTGAGCCACTTAGTGACATGATCAGATTTTCATCTTTGAAAGACCTTTCTGGCCTTTAGCAAAGAGCAACAATAATGCTGTTTTTAAAATCTTGTACAATACATAAAGTGACATGAAAGAAAAATTGAGTTCACTTATACATATGCAAATGTGCCCCACAAGAGGCTGAGGCTGAATTAGAGCAGGGATTTGCAATCTTTGTCAGCCCACAGCTATTAGTGCCCTTCGATTCCATGCTCCCCAACCTCAGTCCTCCTGCAGCTATAAGATATTAACAGTGACTGGCTATGACCATCCTAGCTACCAAATCCTCCTGTTTACTGTGGGTGCTTTGGGGTTTTGTGGTCATTCTAGCAGCCCTGCTTGAGAAAGGTGTGGGGCTCCAGAGGCACAGTGCTTGCTCAAAGTACAATTCATAACCTGGGCTTTATTTTTAAGATGTGGTGACATTTTGATATTATTTTGAGAAAGCTCCTTTTTAACTTTACATACAAACCTGGTGGTAGTGGGAATGAGGGTGGGGTGTTATAACACAGTGAAGCCATTTAGGACCATAAACGCCTCAGGCAAAATGGGTTTGTTGAGGTTAACAGTGTAAGAGCATCTGCTGAGAAAAATAAAACAGAAAAAGTAACTCTTGGTTAAAGAAAGGTCTACATGTTCCATTTTGTGAAACCGTGTACAGGTTAAGGATGGGAAGAGAAGGGCAGGGACTCGAAGTGAGAGCTGGTTACCCTGACAATGGGCTCTGGCTAGGAAAGGAAATCAGAGTCCGCAAAGAACCAGATGGAAAGTATAACACTCAGACGATCTGCTGGCTAGGAATCCACAGGTGGCATGCCCTTATGTGTCTGATCGGATCAGCAACTGCAGTATCTCAGAGAAACCTCTGAATCAGCTCACTCCATCCCAGACTATGACTTCATTCTTGTTTGCAGGGACAAATATATTTATTCACATAGCTTCCCTTCTGCTTTTCAGAAGAGCACTTTCAAATAAATTTTCTTCTTATGTTTGGAATTTGCTTCAAAATACAAGTATGTGATCTTATGGCTAAACTTGCTTCGTCAACAAATTTGTTTTTCTCTGATGAAAAGAAATTGGCTCCTTGTATTATGCTCTATAAGATTTTGCTATTCTCTACTGGGTTCTGGGGTATTGCTTTTCTGTTCATGGTCAGCTAAGTAACAAAGCAGGTACAATTTCTAGCATAAAAATTAGGTAAGTATACAGAAGGGAGCATTCTGCTTCGTGATTTGGCAGCCAGCTCCTTTAAGATCTTTATTTTCTTCTGATTTGGTTACGGTATCTTATCTTGCTCCACAAGTGTTTGAAAATAAGACTGAATATTTGTCAGGTGGGAACATGAATCGGATCTGACAATGCTTTTCCAATGAGCAACAGAGGCATTTAAAGAAATCGAGCTGCACGTGTTTATGTACTCTTTATGTATGACTAACTGTGATGATGAGGACAACAAACCTAAGGACTCACTGTCCTGTTGCTATAGGCCAATATCATAGTATAACAGTTAAAAAGCAAACTTGCCTCTAATCCATTATAGAAAAACAGGCTGCAATCAAGGCCTCCCGGTGTAGTCATCACGCAGACGCAGGTATTTTTAAAAGCTGGAAAGCTGGGCAAGAATAACTGTCATCACATGCATTTTTTTCCCTCCCACCACTTTTCCTGTGGGTGGCAATCAGCTGTGGATATTATGTGGCAATTGACCTTTATATAAATGAATGAGCATTAGAGTGGAGCATCGATTGCTAGGAATTCTGCTTTCATTAAGCAGTAGGAATTGTGGCTTGCTATTTGGGTCAGAAAAGCTTGACGTGATTAGAGTTTTAATTAGAAACATGCTAGCCTTAATTACCTGTTTGTCACTCCTGTTTGATGTCAGTGGAAATAGTCCTACTTTTGATTCATAGTCTTTAGTTCTAACCCCAACTTACCCCCTATGACTAGTTCAATTTGTTGGACTGAAATCTAGGATTTTAGTAAAGGAAAATCACTTTCGTAGTGGAAAGAGCATCACAGGCTAAGAACACAAATTAGACTTCAGAAAAGTATCGCCTTTTGCAGGAAGTGGCTACCTAAGAGCATTGAAGTATCCTTCTGTGGTCCAACAGTAGGTAGACGATAAAGTTGACTGGTGCTGAACAGCCTGTTCCATTCCTGCCATCTAGTCCCCAAATGCAGCCGGTTATGTCCTCCAGAAGCCTCACAGAAGCCCAAAGTATCATTTCCCAACCTACTCAAAACACCTGCAAGTACTCAACTCCACCCAAGGCACTAGGTGGTCTATTTGGGTGGGCTGACCCTGGAGGGAGAAGCCCAGATGGCTTGTGGCAAGGTGAAATCCTAAGGGGAGAAAACACTCCTCATTCATCTGTGCCCCCTCACCACACACACACACACACACACACACACACACACACACACACACACACACCACACAACCCCCTCTCCACATATACATGATATAGTTTGGATATTTGTCCCCTCCAAATCTTCTGTTGAAATGTGAGCCCCAAAGTTGGAGGTGGGGCCTCCTGGAAGGTGTTTGGGTCATGGGGACAGATCCCTCCCTGCAGTGATGAGTGAGTTCTCATCACTCTGTTTGCTCTTGTAATAACTGGTTGTTTAAAAAAGAACCTGGAACCTTCTCCTTTCTCTCTCTTGTTCCCTCTCTTGAGATGAGACTTGCCTGCTCTCCCTTTACCTTCTGCCATGATTGTAAGCTCCCTGAGGCCTCATCAAAAGCAGGTGTTGACACTATGCTTCTTGCACAGTCTACAGAACCGTGAACCAAAATAAACCTGTTTTCTTTATAAGTTATCCAGTCTTAGGTATTTATTTATAGCAATGCCAAATGGACTAACACAACACACAAACATCCACACTCTGCCCCAGGGCTTACTGCATCACTGAGCATATTGAAGATGCCTAATGCATATAGATTGACCAATTCATCTGATGGGCCAAGGAAGAACTTCCTGGCCCCGATATCACCCAAACTAATTTGTGTTAATGTGGCATTTTGAGAGAGTTCTTTTTAAACTCCAGATGACTTGAGTGAAATAACACCAAGTCATCAGCACTTATTATTAATGTTTACTAAGGTTACTATGTTTCTATGCTAAATACTTTGCAAATATTTAAATCTCAATTCTATCCCTATAAGGTATTTGCTATTATCCCTATTTCCCAAATGAGGAAACTTACTATTTTGCCAAGGTTAATTTGTGTAAGACCACATGAATAGTAATTAGCCAAATCTTATCAGTCTAACTCCAAAGCCTGGACTCTTGAACGTTACTTTATACTGAGGAGTTCATTTATGAACTAGGATGCATGAGAAGCAGACCATATTACTAAGAAAATAGGAGAGAGACCTTGTACCAAAAGTGAAAGGATGAAAAGGCTGGGACCGGGGAGAGTGAGGGAGGCAGGGTAGGGAGGCCTGGGCCTCTGCAGAGAGTAAGGTCCCCTGTAGCCAAAGGAAGGTTCTGAAACAAGCCTGCCTGGTTATTACTTTAAAAATTGTCTAAGGTTGGCCCTGGGCATAACTTGGCTCTGCCAGCTTGGGAGGAATTATTATGATCAAAGTTTTAAAACTTGTGTTTGCTTTTAACCAACAATTTTTAAAGCACATGTTTCTCCAACTGTTCTGCTATTTTAGGTACAGTTCGTATGGAAGGGAAGGAAGAGGAGGGATTTACTCTCCCACCTCTCCCAGGAGGATCCTTCTCACTGTTTCACTCCCTTTTTCCATGGCTTTGTTCCTTCTCTACAAAGTAGCGGCATCCATTCTGCAGTTCTGTTTGGAACTGTTCTTGTGTTTGCTATGTATGTTATGAAATCTGTAGTTGTGAATAATGGCACTGAGGCATAGTGTTCTAAACATGGTTGTCCCCTTTCCCTACTTTAAGCCATGTGAGTTACAGCCCTGTTTGAACACCGTTTACAGAGTCCATATGTCTGAGTTAAAACTGTGTTTGGTTACAAGGAATAGAATGGCCAAAGCTCAAACCCATCAGGTGGGCCCCTTCCTTAGTGTGTGGCCTTGGTCTCATGCAATCAAGAGCATGCTGTACCTCTTGGCTTCACGTCGACATCTTATGAAGAGGAATGGCAGCTCACCTGTCTCTTCCATAGCATGTTCCCAAAGCCCTTCTCAGTCACTTCGGCTTAGATTCCATTGGCTAGAACTGGGCCACAGTGCCACTCTAGAAACAAGACTGCCTGGGGAGCTGAGTGTTTTAGCATTTTGGACTCTCATGGTAGAGGAAGACAAAGGAAGAGGTGGTTGTGACATAGCACCCACATCACCGTGCTCCAGGAATGCCTGACACAGAACTTTGGGTGCGTGAGCTGACAAAACTCACTCTTATCTGAGATGGGGCTCAGTTTACCTTATGAAGAAAAGCTCTGATGGTGAATCATGCCTGGATTATAGGTTCCCCTCAAAAGTTACTTTTTGTTAGTGATTGCCATAGTGATTGAAAATTTGTCAGAATTATAATGAGTTAGGGAAAAGTAGGATACATCTATATAGTACGATATCTCTAACAAATTTCATTAATACCATTATTATATAGCCTGACACTACAACAAAAAAGGGATTGAAGAACAGAAGGATACTTCAGAGCTTACCCAGATTTACTCTCATATTGCACAGATGAGGCAACGACAGGTGACATGATTGACTCAGGGTTATACAGTTAGGGAACGACAACACAGGGATGGGATTCAGAGTGCTTTGCTCTACCCAGGACAGCCTGAGGACTAGTCCTGGGACTCAGCACTGGGACAGCCAGGCTCAGATCTTACCCAGGGCCCTGCCCAGGAACCACATAAACAGTAGTTTGCACAATCTCAGTCTTTCTGTCCTTTCACACCCAAAAAATAATTTCATGCAATTACTGCTGTTTCAATCAGCACACATCCTATTTATATTGTTATAAATGCAAATGTGATTGTAAGGGGGAAAATTCTGAGTTAGAAGTGAGGAAATTTCAGCATTTGTGTGTCTATCTTAATGACAGCTAAAATATACTCCCTGGTCTACATATCTGCTTGTTAAAAATATAAATAGGAACATCTTGAATCTAATGTTTATTTTAAATACTGAAGATGCTAATATCTTTAGTGAACCACAAAATTAATATATACAATTTTGGTAGTAATGCTGCCATAGTAACTTTAGATTCAGGATCAACTTTGAGGTTCTTATATGGCCGTATTTTCTTTCATTCTAATAGCCTTCATTATTGATTTTCATTAAAGATAGTGAAATTTAGAACCTGTCTGATACACCATCCAGCTTTCTGTCAGATACTAAACAAAATAATCATAACAGTTCTCTATCTTCTAAAATAAGCCTCTAGGCAACATCAAAGTGTTAATTACTGCTTTGACATATTTTTTTGAAAAGTAAACATATTTAAAAGTAACTTAAAACATTGCTATAGTTATTGTTAAATAAAATTTTAAAACCATTCAAGTCAGTAAGCTGGGTCCCGTTCCTATACTTGCCAGTGTAGCTGGGTGATCTTGATAATGACCTGAACTGAATGTCCCTGCACTTCAGGTTCATCATCTATAAAATGAAACTGGTGGATTAGATGCTCTCTACGGTGCTTGCAGTCAATGCTTCAAAGAGAATGTCAGATTTGTGCTGTCTCTCTTTGGTCCTGAACACTGTTATCTATCATGGTATCAATCCAGGAAGCTGAACTACCAAGAATTATGAGACAATGGATTTATACAGGAATTAAACCTTTCACAATTGTGGGGAGGAGGAGGGTGCTGGGGGATGGATGGTCTGATAGGGGAGTGATGATCAAGAGTCCTTAGCCAGTCATTTCAAGAAGCCAAATATGTCCAGCCCCTAAGTGGGTTGCCAAGAGGGAGATTGTGGAAAAGCCTACAGGAAAAACATCTATGGCTCTGCAGCCAAGAGTCTAAGGAAAGGCTTGGGGCCGCTGCTGGTCAGAGGGTCAGAAGTCAGGAAGAATGGCTGGAATGGAAGCAGAGGAGAGTAAGTTGAAGCTAGAGCCTGCTAGCACCTCTGACCATATGACCTTCAGAAAAGGAGGCTGCTGCTTACTTCAGTCTCACAATTCTTGCACAAGGTTTCTTTTAACCCAGTTCTTACCCAGAGCTAGTCAAGTAAAGGCAGCACCTCAAGGATAGGGATTCTAGGAAATATAGTTCCAATTTAAGTTGATAACAGAGCAATTTAATACAAACACAACTGAGCAAAGTGGTGAGAACTATGTTCTGATTCTCTCAACTGTTATTTGCTCCTTCTATATTCTATGCACCTTTGTGAATAGTCTCAAATACTTGGTGCAGTTAGTTAGGTAATGGACACTTTTAAAGACGTATCATTATAATAATATCTGAGGATTTAGGGACCATGTGGACAATCTTAAAGTGAAACTTTGGTCTAGAATTAACCTGATGGTCTGCTCATACTAGCCCTTCCCTCCTCACAGATGCCCAGGCTGTGGGAGGAAAGAGTAGGAGGTTTTGCAGAAATGGGACACCCAGCCAGAAGGGAAAGGGAGGCAGTGGGAGGAAGTGGCAGGTGGAGATACAGGGGAGAGAGAAGAGGGAAAGGGAGGGAGAGAGAGAAAGAAAGGGAGGGAGGGAGGGAGAGAGAGAGAGTGAGAGTGTGTAAGTTCAGAAGATAGGTAATAGGGGCATAGGGGTTTGGAAAAAGAGCAGACTAATGAACCAACAGTTCAGGTACAATCTGGCTGACCATAAGAATTAACCTGGGAAACTTTTTTTTTTCATTTCATTACTATGAAATATTTTATATTTTCCAAGGAATATATGTAGCATATATTTAAAGGCTAGTATATTATCATACATCAAATACTAACAGACCCACAACCCACCTTAAGAAAATGAACAGGGAGCTGAAGCTCCCTGGATGCCCCTCTCAGCCTGTCCCTTTCTCCTCTTCTCTCCTGTTTACTACTTCTCCTATCCTGAATTCAGAGTCCAGAAGTTCGCAGCTGCTTTTACAAAGGAGGCAAAGGAGAGTGCATGGTGTGGGTGAGAAGAGAGTGGATGGGGTTTCGTTGAGTAATTTTTCTTCCTCAAGAAAACCTGCATGGAGTTTCTGTCTACACTGACTATAACCTAGCCTCTTAGTGCTGCGAGATCACTTGGGTGATCCTGGACGTATAGATAGGGTGTGCAGGAGGGGCTGGTAGGGGTCACTGTTTTTACTCTGACTCCTGTATGTTACAATTCAATGCTTTTGGCATTAAAGAACAAGAGTCTTATGACTACACTCAAACTAGCAGAGTAACCTCTTGACTGGGCACATTCTCCGAATTAGAGGCATTAACTGAGATCATTCTCCCGTGTGGAAATTTGGTATTTAATAGCTCCATTGAAGGCTGTTACTTTGCAAATGATAAGTTAGTGGAACTTTCCTATAAAGAGGGGCTTTTTTTGTTACCTTTTCTGGGACTTCTAGATTGGTCTCTTTGGGTCCTTTTAGCCTTGTTGATCCTAAGGAAGCAACAAATAGAAGTAAATCACAAGGAAGGGCATGTTTGTGGGGGTTAAGAAGAAGTACACAGCAGAGAGAAGACAGGTGAAGGAAGCTAACGCTGGATTCCTTGAGGAAATGACTGTCTGGTCCAATATTGAATCCTTCCCCATGCCTTCCACTTTGCCTGGCACAGAACAGTTTGTTGAATTGTTGAGTTGAAATGAGACAGACAGAAATGGTCAGCAAAGCCTCCACAGCTTTCTAGTTTAACCATGCTTTTCTATCATCTACGTTGATTCCAACTCCACTGTTTCAGAACTGCACGCAGAATGGAAATCCACAGAGAAATCTCTCCAGCATCAGCAGATCTGCCAAATGCAGTGATGTTTCAGGAGTGGCCTCAGAGGAGCTGATGGTCCTTCAAGCCCAGTAGCATAATTGCCACCAAAGGCTCAGAAATGAGACAGCATTTTCCAACCTAAATCTTTGAAGCAAGGTTGTCAGAATGTTCTATAGTAATCCCTGGGACTAAGCCAGCATGGATTGGGGAAACTGGTGATTGGGCACCATTCACAGGCTTGACCAACGGGGGAATGGCAGACGAAAAGCAGAATGTTCTGAGTCATAGACCGAGGTCTAACTAGGTCATTGTGGCTATAGGGTAGGTCTTCTCAATCTCAGCACCACTGACATTTTCGATCAGATAATTCTTTGTTGTGGGTGATTATAGTACTGTGCATTGTTGCATGGCTATCAGTCTCCTTGGCCTCTCCCCACTAGATGCTGGCAGCATCCTTCTCCCCTCAAGCTGTGACAGCCAAAAATATCTCCAGACATTGCCACACGTTCCCTGGTAGCAAATTCGCCCCCAGTTGAGAACTACGGCTATAGAGAATGAGTCTACAATAGTTTTTCTCAAAACACCATTCTTAAACCACCTGCAAGAGAAACATGTAGTGTACTCATTAAAATGCAGAGTCCTAGGGGCCATCCCAGAATCACTGGGATCCCAGCATTTGTATTTTTGATGAGCATCTGAAGAAATTCTTATATATGTGAAGTTTGCAACCCATAGTCTTCACTACTATTTGAAGCAGGGATTTTTGTTTTTGATAGTCCAATAATATATGTTCATCACATCTGCAAGGAAAATTCTATTTTAGTGAATTTCCTTTAAATGTAGGATTTTGTTTATGAAATCTATTTCTGTGTCCTGAAAGACAGGGCTTGTTGATATCACAAGTAACCCTTGTACAGCTGCTTAATATAGTATTTTCCAAAATAAAGTGTGGCCATCTACGTGGCACCGACACTCCTTCCTGTACCAATCAATGCCCCTTCTACTCTAGTTGGCCAGCACAGCTTGCAAGTCCCACCATTGGATGTTCATAGAAGTCTGGTCAAGGAAAGCCATTATTATACAAACATTAACTGGTAGAGAAAACTCTTTACAACTTAGTATCACTTAGTTTTGAGGTTAGTCCCAGCATAGTGCATGGAAGAATCGTAAATAGACATTTAAATCTAGATGAGGGATGAGATGGTTTTTGAGTTTTGAATATAAAGTAAGTTATTTTTAACTAGCCAACCTCAAGATATTTCTGTGGAGAAAACTTCAGTCTTAACATTCTTTGATAAATGGAGTGTATGATTCATGGGTACTATGTGCTTGATTAATTTGGGGAAGGGGTTTAGATGTTATTGGACGGCTGGGTAGTGATGGTTATGGGGACTGTAGTACATAGACAACAGAACCCTAGGAATTGGAGAATTAAAGTTGTCCAATAAGAAGTAGAAGAACTGAAAGAAGAGCAAAACGACTTTAAAAATTAGCAGAGCCTGCCTTAACATTTTTCTTCAGGCTGACTCAATGACTACAACTAATATTGCTAACACATTTACTATGTGTTTGCTGGGCATTATCTCATTTAATCCTCTCAACAGCACTAGGAGGAAGGCACTCTTATTATTTGCCATTGCGGTTAGGAAAACTCAAGTTTAGAGGCAAAGCTATGATCTGAATGTAGGTCTCTCTTTCTAACCCATGTTCTTAACCACACCACTATGGGCTGCCTAGATTCCAAATAATTCAACTTGCAAAACCTCCTCTAGGGGACAAAGGTTCACACAGGCTTCCATGGATGTAGTTGTTAATCTGTTATATGAAAACGGCTTTTGATATAGTTCACAATTTGAGCTCCTACTATATCAGCCTCATTATCTGCCTACCGTGGTCTTGAAGAAGTGGAGCAGTCCTGAGGGAAGTAGGGACTGAGAAGAAGGAGCTCCTCAGGACTGGGTGAAGACTGTGGCTGGAGTCACCGGGCCCATGCTCCAGGAGTCCAGCAGGAGGAGAGCAAGGGCCTGGCACCACAGGGATTGGGGAAGGAGGAGGCAGTTATCCCATCTGGTGCAAATATAGGCTGGAGCCCTTCCACCAGTTCATAGCAACCTGATTGCTTTCTCTACACTCTGTCTCCTGCAGCATACTCCCCTTCCTGTCTTCCTGTCTCCCTCTAAGACATTCTCTTTCATCTGAATTCATTCACTTAAAAGGGACAGCCGGGCACAGTGGCTCACACCTGTAATCCCAGCACTTTGGGAGGCCGAGGTGGGTGGATCACCTGAGGTCAGGAGTTCGAGACCAGCCTGACCAACAAGGTTAAACCCCGTCTCTACTAAAAATACAAAAATTAGCCAGGTGTGGTAGCAGGCACCTGTAGTCCCAGCTACTCGGGAGGCTGAGACAGGAGAATTGCTGGAACCCAGGAGATGGAGGTTGCAGTGAGCCGAGATCGCGCCAATGCACTCCAGCCTGGCTGACAGAACTAGACCCCATCTCAAAATAATAATAATAATAATAATAATAATAATAATAATAATAATAGGGCTAAGAGGAAGACCATTCAAAGTAATTCTTCCTGCTCTGCATCCCCTCATGGAAGGCCAAGGCTCTAGGGCCCTAAGGGACCCTAGGGGAATCCATCAGTCACTATAAAGGAGAGAGAGGTCAGGCCTGCAAGGAAGGTGGCTGTCAGAGCTGAGTGTCTTCAGAAAAGAGGCAGCAAGCTTGCTTTATTTAAAGGAGGAGGGAGAAAGAGAAAGGGAGGGAGAGAGAAAGAAAGAAGACATTGTATTTTGATCAGATCATATAATTTTAATATCCAATTAAGTATATTAGTATTAGAATTTACTTGTGTTGGTTTAGTCAGTGCTTTCATGATTTTTTTCATCTTTGAATCTTTCACTTCTTTTGGTTTTGCTTGCCCTGCTCACCTGGTCTGGAAAACACAATGCCTCCCAAGACAGGGACATAAAGTCAAGGCAATGTGACTTTTTTTTTTTTTTTTTTTTTTTTGAGATGCAGTCTTGCTCTGTCACCCAGGCTGGAGTGCAGTGGCACGATCTCAGCTCACTGCAACCTCCGCCTGCTGGGTTCAAGTGATTCTCCTGCCTCAGCCTCCTGAGTCACTGAGATTACAGGTGTCCGCCACCATGCCCGGCTAATTTTTTGTATTTTTAGTAGAGATGGAGTTTCACCATGTTGGCCAGGCTGGTCTCGAACTCCTGACCTCAACTGATCCATCCGCCTCGGCTTCCCCGGCTTCCCAAAGTGCCAGGATTACAGGTGTGAGCCACCGTGCCTGGCCGGCAATGTATCTTTTACACTTGCCAGTACACTGTATTACAGGGTGTCCTGCTTGTGGTCTCCAAAATTCAAGTTCTCCAAGTCACGTAGAAAGTGTCAGTCAGAACATAAAATCAAGCAATCACTGGTCTTCAAAATGTATCATGCACCTACAGCAGCACGCTTACCCCAAGAGGGCCAGTGCTTGGCCTAAGGCTTGGCTGCCGGTAGAGCTGTCAGAGGACAGGGTCCTGTGGCTGCTTCTCCTTTCTTTCTTTCTGACAAGGTCATCCTGTAAGACACCTGCAAATCCTAAATGCTGCTGTTCAGGGCTTTTCATGTAGTTGCTTCAAGATGTCTTGCTGTTTCAGGTTAATGTACTTATACTTGGGGTAGAATTTTTGGCTCTAAGTGAGCCACTTAGCATCCATGCTCGGGCGGACGAGTCAGCAGGGAGGCTTTCATTCCAAGGCCATCCTATCTGTACTTTGTAAGCACTCCACTTCAACAACTGTGAAGTGTTTTGTGGTGACTGTCCCTGTATTAGTGGCAGAGAAATATCCACTACACAACAAGAAAAATGCTCAAAGTTGAAGGGAAATAAAGGAAGCCGACTGCCCTTTGTTTCTACCTGTGAAAGGAATATAAATCTTGGGACCTCAACCTTACTAAGCCAAGGAAAAGTCAAGCTGGGAACTCTATCAGGCAAACTTGCCTCCTATTTTATTCCTAAATAAAATAGCTATAAAGACAAAAAAGCTACATACCTCCCTCACAATTTGCGCACAAGGAAATTGCTTGTGAGCCTCAAAATATTTACCCTAAAACAGTTCTGTTGAATTTCACCCTGGCAATGCGAACTGATAGCTTATCATCACAGGTGCAGGACAGAAAGTCATCACGGCTCTTCTCACTTGAGACAAATGCATATCTGATGGCTTCCATTATTTATGTAAAAATGCAGGTTTACTGGGCCCAGCTAAATTGTGTATTTAGTGTAAGGCCGATCAAGGACTCAAAAGAATGCAACATTTTGTCTCTTTATCTACCTATGACCTGGAAGCACTCACCCCCACCACTTCATCTTACACATATTTATTGATGTCTCATATCTCCCTAAAATGTCTAAAAGCAAGCTGTACCCAGACCACCTTGGGTACATATCGTCAGGACCTCCTGAGACCGTGTCAGTGGGGCATTTTTAACCTTGACAAAATAGACTTTGTAAATCAATTGAGACCTTCTCAGATATTTTGGGTTCACATACCCCAAAGGACTCATTTTCTAGGGTGGGGGGAAGACAAAATTGAAAGTGATGTCAGGAAATCCATATTTCCATTCACCAAGTAGAGAGCAGGCACCACCAGGAACCCAGATTCTGTATCACATCATCTTGCCTATTTTAAAGGCTTCCCGTGGGAGTGTCCACTCTCTGAATAGCCACCTCAAAGATAAAGTGCTCCCTTTAAAAGAACGAAGCTAATTATATTTATGTCTTATTCAAGTCATTTCTTTTATCATGATGACAGTGGACTTTGAAATCTGCCTAAGATTCTATGGGGATTTTCCTAGACAGGAGCATAAAAACATGACAGAGAAGCAGACCTAATTTCTGTGTCCAAATGCTGCCCCTCACTCCCTTTATGTTGGAAGCATTAAAAGAAATAAATAGGACAACTTAATCATAGCATTTCAACTTTTGGGGGAAGTAGCAGGGACTCAGGATGGGATTCATTCTGTTTGGGCATGTTTTCATGCCTGGAGATACTCACTGTCTCTGAATTAAGGAATGTAATAGAAAAAATCCAAAAGTCTGGATATGTGAAGACTGAGAGATTCCTCTTTGTTTGAAGCTGTGCCCTTTGCTTTGCTAGGTTTTTCTTCCATCTTCTTACAGTGTATCCTCTGGGCACCTGGTAGGTAAAGACTCCTGTTTGCTCAGCCTCCCTGAAGCTCTTATCCTCTACAACCACGACAGCACCAGATATGAACACTTAGGAATTTGATGAAGGTGGGGTAGGATGGGGACTCTCATTAGAGGGACAGGCTAGAGGTCCCAGTGCCCACAGCTGTGTGACCCTAGGAAGTGGCCATTCTGGCATTGGTGACTTCACCCAGTGTTCTCATGCTTCCCCCTCTTTATCTCTACTCAAACCTTTCCCTACTCTTGTATCCGGGATTATAAGAATAGGTTTCTAACAGGGCCATATGTCATTCTGTGCTACCATTCTCATCCTTGGCAAGAGAAAAAGATGGAGCCAATTTTGAGCACAGGCAGAATGAAAGATGCCTACATGCCATGATTTTTTTTTTGAAAGCCAGGAGAGCTGGCACATTAAGGTTTATCAGTCCAAGGGGTTTAGCAGGTATCTAAAAAGACATGCAGGATGAAAGGAACTTGAAGCAAAGTGACAGGAATAGAAACAGTGTTAATTCAAGGGGGCAAGAATCCAGAATTTTGCCCTAAGCCATCTTTCAAAAACAGCTTTCTGTCACCTTTGTGTCCACCTAAGTGTAAGGCAACCTGCTCTATTCCTTTGTTCCAGAGACTCTTTCTAGGAAAATCTTGATATCTAGTATAATTTGATTATTTCTGATGAAGACAGGAAAGATCAGTGACTTTTCCTCATTTATGATTCACTCTTGAATGTTATTAATTGTAACAAAATTCAGAAATTGTAGCTTAATTTCTTGGGTTTGATTGATATCTTTGACTGGAAGAATATATAAAGCTCTACTTAACATATATTTTCTTTTTCTTGTAGGAGTTATACCTAGAACTGCTCAGTCTATTTCCATATGATTGTGATAGTGATGCATTATGTATGTTTAAAATTGTTATTATGAAAATTTGGATGCAAATACCAAGAGCTTCTTTAGTCAGTGGAAATCCTTTGGACCTTAAAGCCTGGTAACCTGAAATCAAGCAACAGGGTTGGCTCAGAACACCTTTGTAATGCAATTGTCTGAGTACGGGTTAGTAATAACACTTGAATGTGGTGAAATGGTTTTCTAACATCAGGGATGTGAGAAATTTGTGACTGAGACTAAACATTTCAGCATTACTCTGTCATCCCAACCATCAGAGACCAGACAGTGCTATAGTGCAAAAATAAATATTAGAGTTGCCACGGAAACTGAGATCACCTTGGAGATGATTAATACCGGTAGGGCTAACAGTGGAGGTTGCAATCACATCATTTCCGGCCGCATTAATCATGACCAAATGAAGAACAGCAAACATTTTTATAAAGTCATAAGAGCCAAAGCCTCTTTTTCAGACCCTTTAAGAATTATTATCAAGATTTGTTCTATGTGAGTAGAAAGTCTCGTACTAAATGGATAGATTTTCAATTGCCAAACAACTTTTTACCAGATCAATTTTAGGGTCTTGAACGTCTTTTTCAGGGTGCAGTAGAGAAGGTTTGATAATGAAAATCTACTTTGTAAACTTACAAGCACCTTCCCCTTTTCTTCTCTGTTGTCTTTTCTTTGGTTCTTTTGAGAATCTTGTGACTCTAGATCACGGTCTTTAAAGTTTTAAATGCTTGTGGCTTTTACAGAGATTGTCTTGCTTCAGAGACCTTTGCCAAACCATCAAATACATGATGCTGTTATCAAAAAAGCTTATTATTGGACACGAAGAAATTGTTATTGCTTAAACAAAAGAGTTCTTAATGGAATGTAGAGACAATTTAAAAAATATTTGTTACCTGGTGTGGCTGGGTAGAGATTAGGCTGTCTTGGTTTTGAAAGACAATAAAATCATTAACAAGGATACTCTTCCAATCTCATACTTCTCTTAGAAATCTCCATATCAGAGGGAGAAATAATGATAAAAATAGTTATGCTTTTAAGGTAAAGAGGGTTCCATTATGAAAATATTATTAAAAATTGAATAATGTCAAAGATGATTATTTTGATGCCTGTAATTTAATTTGCGATACTTCTTCCTTGACAAAGTAATGTTATTATAGGTATATTAGTAATGATGAGTAACTTGGCTGTTGTCACAGAAAATCATGGAAATCTTGGAGGCTTAATTCAATAAAGAGTATTTCTCAAATCCAACAATATCCAATTTAATATTCATCTTGATATCAGAGAAAGAGACCACAGATATCATATGCTTCCTAAGGAGATCCAATAAGAAGTACACAATACCCTATATAAAATATTCTTGCCAAAAAAACCTACCTGCTCAAATGACCCATATGCAGAATATATGGGGCAGAGAAACTTGGTCAAACAACACTTAAATCAGTTAAGTCCAGAATGTGGAAAATGACACAGGACAAATTGGCCTGGTTTCTTTAACAAAGAAATCACAAAGAAAATTAAAGACGAGGAAAGAACTAAACGAGATATAAGTTAAAGAGATACGGTTAACCAACTATGATGTGTGTGGACCTTATTTGCATCCTGATATAAAGAAACCAACAGAAAAAAAAGACTTATAAAACTACTGGGGAAATTTTAATACCAAGTGTTTGATAATAAAAAATAATGTTAATTATTTAGTGGGACAATAGTACTGTGATTCAATTACAATGAGAGGAGACTCCTTTGGGGATACTGAGATATTTACAGATGAAATATAATATCTTGGATTAGTTCCAAAATAATTCAGTGTATAGTGGGGTGAGACCTTCACTTAAAAAAAAAGAATCTCATTAACAGCGAAGACTTTGCTAATAGTAGAATATAATAACATTACAAATAGTACTGAAGACAAGAATTGGTACTTTCAAAGATCTGGCAAGTATAAGAGATTTTGTGTATGCTTGCAAAGCATAAGTTACTAAAGAATCAGTAACATAAAGCTACTGAAGAACAAATATATTCATTTCACAGTTAGAGATAAAAGGCTCCAAATCAAAATGGAAGCAATTCATTAACAAGCATCAATGGTCATCTTAGATCTTTTTCTCTTGGGAGCTTAGGTGATGAAGGATGTTACTCTCATGACAGAGATAGGGAAGGGAGAGTAGTGAAGGCTGTAGAGCAAACACACATATATTAAAAATTCCCCTAGGGCCTCCTCCAGGCTGGGTCAAGTACACCTCCTGACCTGGGTGCTTTTACAAAGTGTAGCTAAGAATATGTGCTACCTTGCTTCTGAAGTTATGAGAAGATTATTTTAGCCTAAGGGACTTTTTCTTTCTTTTCTTTTCTTTTCTTTTTTTCAAATAATGATTTTAGTTCTCAGAAGATCTTTCACTGAGAAGGCAAAAAACTCCAGAAAATACTCAAAGCCATTCATTTACAGGTGACGTGACTTAATAATCTTTGAGTTTCTGGATCATCTCAGAAACAGTCTTTTCAAAATTGTTTGCCTTTGGTCTTCCTGGCCTTATCCAGCATCTTCATTCTGAATTCTTTGTTTCCTTTTCCTCATCCCTCATGCTGTCAGCAGAGTGTTCTCTGCATCCATGAGGCCAGCACAAGCCCCAAGGCAGGAGGATAATCCAGGCCAGAGGGAGTGGTTAGTGTCCAGCGCAGGGAGTGAGCTAAAGGTCATAGCACGTGGCCATATCCATGTACTAGTGGATGATTTGGTTATCGAAGTCTTGTAAGCTCCTTGAAGGATGGGGTAATGTCTTATTTGGCTTTGTTTTCACAACACCTTACACAATGCCTGATGTATAATGGGTTCTCAAAAAGCGATTGTGACAGTGGCTATCTGAGGGTGGGATCGTGGGGGACATTTCATTTTCTAAGTCACACAGTTCCATTTTATTTGAATGTGTTTTTATATAGTGACCACACATTATTTCCATAACCAGAGAAATTATGCAAATAATTTTAAGTATATCGATAATAATTAAAGTTTTTAAAGCAAAGGTGAATAGCTTCCTGTGTCAAATCAAGAGGAAAAACCTACACATTGTTGAGAGACTAAATAGATAGGGAACAGTTAATGGAAAGATTGGGTGTGGGGCATGAAATAAAATTTAGTCAATGATGACGCAAAGGGTTTTGAGCTAAACAATTTGAATGATGGAGTAATGTCATCACTGAGAAGAGAAAAACTATAAATGGACTAAATTTAGAAGGAAAGGTATAGAGTCCAGTTTTGGCTATGATAAATTTCATTGTCTATCAGACATCCAAGTAGAAAAAACAAGAGACTGAAATAAAGGAGAGTTTGGGAGTTGTGGGCATTAAATAGTTTTTAAAGCCATTACATCAGCAGTGAATGAGGGCAGATTCAGAAAAGAAACAAAGACTGAGCTCTAGAGCACTCCAATGTTAAGTGCTAGTGAAGACAGGGAAAAACCAGCGATGGAGACTGGGAAGAAAGGATTAGCTAAGTAGGAAAAAAAATCTGGGAAGATGTGGTGTCCTGGAAATCAAGATTGAGAGAGAGAAACGTGAAGAAAGGTAGCTAGTAGATTGAGATGACTGAGAATCTGAGAATCAAAAATGTTCCCATTTTCCTTGCTACTACTTTGGTCCATGTCCCAACTATACTTTATTTTTCTCTCTCCTTCCAATATTTTCCAAACCACTCTTCAGATCATGACCAAGTTTATATTCTTGAGAACCTCTCCTAATATATTTATCTTATGCTTAGAAAGTCTTACCACTACCACAAAACCTAGTTACTTGGCCTGGCTTTTAAAGTTATTACTAATCTGAACTCCAAGTATCTTTCCAAACTTATCTTCTTTTCCTCTCCAATTTAAAGTCAATACTCCAGGAAGGCCATGTGTCCTGCAAAAGGCTTTGCTTCTTCCCAATGCTAGGTCTTAACCTTGCCTGCTATTATCATCTATAAGATTGTCCTTGAAATATTTCCTTGGTTCATATAAATCCTTCAAGGTCTACCTCAAGTTGCTCCATCCAGACAGCAACACTTTCTTTTTAATATTCCTTCAGGATGTCAAGGATAGTACAAGTCTCATAGCTGGTTCCCAATGCCATACATAGAAGTCACGTGAGTGTGCATAAGGCACTTGAAAGTCTTTTTAAAAATCTGTTCTTTACCTGTTTAATAAAATTAATAATGTCAAAATATTTTTTCTACTCAAATTGAAAGAGGGAATATTTGCATCTAAAATGTATTTTCCTACTCTTCTGGTATCTGTTACCAGAACGTGTAAATGTGTAAAATTTCATAAAGAGTAGGTTTCTATTTTCAGGTTTACATCTAGGAAATGAAGGTAATTTGCATGCACAGGTAAATGTTGGAATTTCTGGGAGACTAGAGAATGAGAAAAATGTGCTGTACCAATGATAAGACCTTGGTAAATGAAACATCTGCAATTCTCATGAAACTAACTGAAAATGATCATTTTGACTTATAAAATCATGAAATTGAAATGTTATGTACACCCGAGTAATTGTTTCATTGATAAAATAGAGATAGTTCCTTTATTTCAAATAGGGGTTGGGCCTTAAGGTTAAACTGCAAATACATGGGACAAAAAGATAATACAAAGCTAATGTGTCAAAAAGGCCTTTGGCCAATTTTATAAGTATTGAATTCCTTTTGCATTTCAGAATTAGCTTTTATATTTTCTACATTTTTGAAAACATATACACAGCCACTGAAATTAAATTACTTTCCTCATTCATTCTAGGTTCAAATGAACCAGAGTACCATTGTATTCATGCCTCCTCTAACTCCCTGCAATTGGTGTATAACCCAGTTACCGCCTTATATCACTGTAAAACATAAAATTTTATAACCAGCCACATATGTTCTCCCTTTCCTGACATAGAGTCTTTGGCAAACTCACCCCTAAGTATAGCACAATAAAATTGATTATTCCTTTTATTTTCCACAATGAACTAAAAAGTAAATTAATTCCACTAACATTCATTGGGAACCCAATATGTACCAGCACTGTGTAAGCCCCTGATATGTTAAAATTAATTTCAGAATTTTCTGGACTTTTTGGTATACAAATTCAGAGACATATCTGGATTGACAGTAATCTCCTTTGACCAATGAGCCAACTCTTGATTGACTATGGCAATAGAAGGGGTGACTGAAAACAGCACATATAAAAGATATACTTAGTTATACCTCCTCAGCCCATTGGACTTTTTCACATTTTCTCCCTTTTCTTCCATTGGAAGCCCATGGCCAGTGTCACCATTACATTGCAAAATGGTCAACACTTGATTTTACCTCTCTTTTAACCTACCAACCAGAGAACACAGCTATAAAATTGGGTTAACAAAAGTAAATAAATAAAAAGTTGAAAGAGAAGGGCCTGAATGAACCACAGATTAAATATTAAATATTTAAATATTTGAGAGCAGGCAATATTTTTAGAACTAGACCCTTTTGGTGGAATTTCATAAACATCCAATACTTTTGTGTCAGAATTTCTTAGTGTATGTCATTGCCAGAAGAAACCTGAGTAAGAAAAGACTGGCTTATATTAAATGTCCTTCTTAAGTTGCTAAACATCTTGGTAACCAATATAAAACAGAATGTGGTATTCACATGCCAAAGAGAATATATTTCACTTACATTACTTCAGTAGAGAAATTTTTCCTATCACTTAAAGTATAGTGAGCACGTTACAGAGTAAGGAATAATTATATCCTATATTCAGTTTGATCCAGATTCTAAATGTCCTTCATATTTTTTGCTCATATGTATTTTATTTGATCCTCTTCAGGCCTTAAAACAGTAATAGACTTTAATAACAGACTCATAAAATGCAAGAGTCTTTGAAAGATAATTCCTTAACTGTTCAACTAACTGGCTGGAAAGTTAATTTGACTTTTCAGGTTATTAACATTGTAAATGATAACACAAGGTAACACACTTGGAATTTGGAAATGCTTTAGGGAAAAATACACACCTAATGAACATAGAAAATATCTGAGTATAGAAAAAAGTGATTTTATTTTTTAAAATAATAATTTCTTAACAGCTTTGAGCTATTGATGACTCATTAGCTGATGACTTCAAATGAATGATTAATTCACTAACCCTTAGGGTGACTGACTCAAATGAGCCAGATAATAAGCACTCTTAATGCCTACTAAAATGTATTTTAAAATCAACTAAGAATATTTTCTCACTGCCTCAGTGATTAAAAATTATAAGCTTGGTTTTATTCCAAAATTAAGCATAAATGGAATGCCTTTCCTATGCATGTGTTTTTAATAAGTAGGAAAAACATATGGCATTCTCTCCTCCTCTCTTATCTCCCAAATACCACACTCCTTCCTTCCTTCCCCCTTGTCTTTTTGCCTTCCTTCTTGTACATGTGGTTTATTGAATATGGATACAGACGTCTTATTTTAGTTCCGTACATCTTGCTGAAAGACAATATTATGATGTGGAAGGGCTTAATGGCATAATTTTCAATAGCAGTGCTAGATAGTTAATACTTTAAAACATGGGAAATCAAAGTTAAATACTAAAAATTCCCATTCTAATCTTGGTGCTGTCTGCAATATAGGTCCCAAGTATACCACCTTAACCCCAACCCAATGAGATGTGTTGGACATTTCAACACTAGGTTTTCCTCCAGAAATTATAGATGCGTCTCTCTTTACCAGCCCTAAGAAACCCAAAATCTAATCACCAGATTTTGCACATATGTGTTTTTAAAAACTTGATTTGATTCTAATTGATGGAAATACTAGGAATCAACAGTCCCGAATTCAGTTCTTGACTCTGCTAACTTCCGTGTTGCACTGGGTGTCAGCTCTAATGTCCACTGTCTTCAAAATTCCAGGTGTTTATGTTTCTGTTAGCAAATTATTCCATCTTTTGTACTATAAATACTGTGGCCTTGTCTACATTACAAACAACTGAAATGTACATATATCTCTACACTTAATTTGTAGAGTACACATGCTCCTGGGGACAGGATATATACTATTTGGTAATGAGAAAGAACTAAAAAATTATCATAAGTCTCAAACTTTTAAATTGTGAATTAATAAGGGAGAAGACCAAAATAAAAGTAATTTTTCTCTGTTATTTTTGTATTAAAGCAACTAATGAACCAACCAAGAATAAAGGATGGCAATAAGAAGGGAATAGCCCAAGCTGAAGATTCTGCCCAGTTTGCTGAAAACCACCTTGAATGTGAGAATAGCAAGATAGTATGTGTAGAGGTTTCTTTTTTTTTTTTTTTTTTTTTTTTTGAGACAGAGTCTCACTCTGTCACCCAGGCTGGAGTGCAGTGGCACGATCTTGGCTCACTGCAACCTCCATCTCCTGAGTTCAAGCAAGGATGTCCGGCTAGTTTTTGTATTTTTAGTAGAGACGGGTTTCACTATGTTGGCCAGGCTGGTCTTGGACTCCTGACCTCAAGTGATCCACCCGCCTTGGGTCCCAAAGTGCTGGGATTACAGGTGTGAGCCACTGTGCCCAGCAGAAGTTTCTTATATCCTCTTTATTACTTCTTTCATCTTATACACTGACAGTAAGAGAGGAAATATAAATGTAAATTAGTTTACATAAAATGTACCTCAAGAAGAGGAAATGATCTGCTGATATACGAGGGTTGATTCACTTCATTTTGTTACTTTAATGAGCCCTGTTCTTGGGCAGGCATTATTTTTAAATTATTATCTGTTATGAACTGAAGTGTTCCCCCACCTCAAACTGCTATTTGAACTAACCCCCAGTACTTAAGAATGTGACTGTATTCAGAGATAGGGCCTTTAATGAGGATGTTAAGTTAAAATAAGGCTGTCATGATGGGCCTTAATGCAATCTTACTGGTATCCTAATAAGAACAGGAAATTTGGATACACAGACACCAGGGATGCACAAAACCATGTGAGAACACATTGGCAAGCCAAGGAGAGGAGCCTCAAGAGAAATCAAAGCAACCAACACCTTATTCCTAGACTTGCAGCCTCCAGAACTATGAGAAAATAAATTTTATTGCTTAAGCCACCCAGTTTGTGGTATTTTATTATACCAGCCCTAGAAAACTAACCTGTTATCTTAAGACAGCATCAACTATTAAGTAAAAGGTACTTCAATGAAGTGGGCCTTTTTTCTCTTAGCCATCATCTGGAAAAAACAGCATACAGAGAGAAATCAATGAGTTACTTCAGTGTGAAAACACCTCACAAAGGACTTTAATCACCAAATGGGAGATTAAAGACAAAGTCCTTCAATAATCCAACATCAAGGTTATACACACTAAAACCTTGATATAAGGTCTAACATATGATTATATATAGGGTCAGGGAAGGGTGACAGAGCAATTTGCTGAAAGTAAGAGACAGGATAACCAAAGTACCACTTTCACAGTTCCTACTTAGAGAAGAAGTGATTAAGATCTCTGAACAACCTGAACACCACAGTAGGTGGATGTATGTCAGTGGTGGGCCCCCACTCTAATACTTAAAACGTTATAGGAAAATTATTGATAAACTGATGGGTCTTTTTCTTTTTTATGCTGTATTTTACTTCTTTTAGTTATCTGTGGTGAATTTAAGAGCTAAATGTGGGGCCGGGCACAGTGGCTCATGCCTGTAATCCCAGCACTTTGAGAGGCCAAGGTGGGTGGATCACCTGAGGTAGGAGTTCGAGACCAGCCTGGTCAACATGGTGAAACTACGTCTCTACTAAAAATACAAAAAATTAGCTTGGCGTGGTGGTGGGCTCTTGTAATCCCAGTTACTCGGGAGGCTGAGGCAGGAGAATTGCTTAAATCTGGGAAGAGGAGGTTGCAGTGAGCTGAGATCGCACCATTGTACTCCAGCCTGGGCGACAAGAGCAAAACTCTCTCAAAAAAAAAAAAAAAAAAAAAAAAGCTAAATTTGAACCGCCAAACAAGTAACTCAAAATTTGTCTTTAGTAAATTGTCAAGAGCTACTATAATATCCATTTTGATACAAACTTGTGCTAAACAATGTTTTTCTTTTTACTTATATTGCCATTGTTTCTTCGAAGATTATACAGATGGAAACATGTATTTAAGCCTGAAAGCTTCACAACTGATGGATGCCGGGTCTTCTGGCTCCACCATCCACACCTCCCACTGCTCTGCTCTCCTGGAAGTCCTGCCCTTATCCTTTGAGAAGTAATCTGCTACAAAGAGACAGGGACAGGCAGTAGATCTTCATCTGAGGGCATCAAGAACCCTGGACCTTTAGAGTTAGAAAGAACTTGATAGTTTCTGTTCTTACTCATCTCACTTCACAGGTGAGGAATTCAAAGCCATGGCATTAAGAAAGTAATTGAAATGGAGGCATTAAGTGATTGGCTCAAGGCTACATAGCCAGGGTGGCAATGTCATTAAGGGCATATTGCACTCTTCTCACCTAGTCTAGACTAAGAACCCTTACTCACCTCTCCACACCCCATCTTACGGGCTGAATTGTGTCCCCCTGAAATTCATATGCTGAAGTCCCAAACCCCTGCCCCTCAGAATACCCATATTTGGAGATTTAAAAAGGCAATTAAGGTGATTAAGATTAAACAAGGCATCTAGAGTAAAGTTCTAATCTAATATGGCAGGTGTATTTTCAAAATAATTTTCAATATTCATAAAAGCCTAAAGGAAATGCACAAAATATGGTCTATCTAGAATTCCAGGTTTCACTGCTTTTAGGTAGAATTATACCAATGTGGTGACACCAGCTATCTCATATGAATCTGAAACTTTAGTTAGTAATCGATGTCTTTCATTAATTTAAAATGAGAAAATTATTTATAATTTAACAAAGTTGATTTGCTTGATAAGTAAAAAACTCAGGCTTTTTGATGAAGAGAAGATTGAGCAGGAACCACTACTTTAAGCCCCCAATTCCTTTATTTGGATCATCTAAGACCCATGCTGTTTAATCCTCTTCAAATTTCTAGAGCTCTTTCAGGGATGAACTGAACAAATTATATGGCTCCAGTCATCTGTCACATCAGGGGTGTTGACAGCCACTGTTTTCAAATCTGAGTGCCGCTGACTTTTGCTGTATTTGGTTATTTTCCTGAGAGTCAATGAAACTTTAAGTGAAAACGATCCCAAGATAAGAAAATTTAAAAACAGTCTAATTAAATAGGTGGATAGACCTAGCTCTTTAACCGAATAGAAGCAAAATTTAAAAGCCGAGATACTCAGTACATGTACTAGGGTATCAAGTGCCCTCAGTAGAATATATCTGAAAGTGTGAAAAACAGTACTTTAAGCAGAAATGTACATTTTATTTAAAAAGCAATAGCAAAGGTGTGAAGAACACAAACTTCTATTAATAACAGTTTATTAAATGCTTTATAGTAAAATATTGAGCCCACTCTATTACAATACACAGACTTAATGTTCTAACAAAGAAAACTGCCTCAATTGAGGGAAGTTTGTGATGCAAATGCAAGGTGGAATTTTGGGGAGCAACACAAACAAATGTATCCTCCTTCTGCTCTTCCACAACTGCAATACTGATGTTCAGAAATGTTTAGGTATTGGGAGAAACCTTTAGAATTTCCTGAGTATTTTATTAAACAATTCTTACAATTATGTTACCTTAAAGGAAAACATGAAAATTTTCTGATGAAAACATCCATTTTAATATTTATTATCTTCAGTGACTAAGAAACACAATCCTAAACAACATGTATTATACCGTAAGAAAGTCTTTGGAGTTATCATAAGGCTCTCCAGCACAAGGTAAACTTCAAGGCAATTTATCAAGAACTAAATTTTTTTGAACTACCGAGATAGTGGCATATGAAGGTAAAAAGAAATGTCAAGGTTAGCCGATTGTTTTCCAAATACTAGGATCTAAAGAATACCGGGGGAAAATAGAATGTGGGAATGAGGTGCTATTGGACAGTAACAGATGGCTAAAAACAGGTACTGAGACTAGTTAGCATTAACTAGTATATAATGTATCTTAATTCATTAGTCAACATTGTCTTCATGTATATAATTATTTCAGGATAGCATTTCTACAAATTTTATTGGTTCATTTAGTTTATCAAGTCAGCTTGCAAATAAATTTTGATTCCGAGTATCTAACGTTATAGCAACTATAATTGCATTTTGATGTTTATCCCTAAGTATATCTGGCACTGTCAGCCATGGCTCTTGAATACGTTGTTTCTTGATATAATATCACTAAAAACAGAAGTGATATTGAAAAAAATAACTACTTATCTAAAACTCAAGATTCACAATGAACTTAACCAATTAACATTACTGAGCTCACACTAAAACTAGATCTTTTTCATTTTAAATAATGTAACCAAATCCTACAAAGAACAATTATTCAGAAAATCACATCCTAAGGTTTGCACTCATAGTCATCTATAATACGTATTGAGTATTGGGACTGAATTTGTACTCCTGGTCCACACTTTGGTACCCTATGTTTTCCATACTGGACATTTCATTTTATGAATAGGGCAATCAAAGAACTTAAAAGTAAAGAAAATAAGCTTTAATTTGGATGCAAGCATTTTGCATTCATATTAATAAAAGAGATCATGCTTTCAAAGGAAGAGAAAAATAAAATCATGTGTGGTAACATAGAGTACTGCAGTCACAAGTAACCCAAACATACAACCATCTTCATTACAGAACTAAGCAGCCAATTCTAATACACTACAAACCATTTGATTAAAAAGGCTTACAGCCAATACTTTAAGAAGGAAACACCAGTGAAAATCGTTTTAAAATATATACCCTTGTAAAATGATATATTCTTTTAACATTAAAACCTTGTTTCAGAAGTTCCCCTCTTTAGGTTGTTACTCAAAAACTCATCATGTTCAAAACTCAAATTATTGTGAGATCTTGAAATCATAAGAAGCTTCTCCTTATTGGTAAAGTCCTTTTTGATGGCAACTTGGGGCACAAGCAACCTATCCATCGGGTCTTCTTTGTTCTCTAGTTTCATATATCCCTTGCTGTTGTTCCGATCCAACCTAGGCCAACTTGGATGTTTCCGTTGTTCTGCCTGAACAGTTAGAGTGGAGGGACCCCGGTCTAAGTCCAAGGACTTTGAGTGTGACGAGAGCAAATGCAAGGATGTATTGGACCCAAACTGTCTTCTGGCAGCCCCAGGAGACAAGAGCTGTCCAGCCCCAGGTCCGAGAGCCATAGATGACTTGTACTGACTCGACAACGACTCCCCAATGGAATTATTCCTTGGTAGCACTGTGCTGACGGGCTGGAAGGATTCACTGGTGTTGGGCAAAGGAACCACAAGGGAATCCATTGACAAATTCCTTGACCTACTTTTGAGGTTGTCAGCATCTTCAGTGATGTTATCTATACTGGGCTCATCAATAACACAGTTATTAAGTTTGATCACAGGCAATGTAAAAGCACTGATGGACGATGACACAATTGACTTGGTTTCACATTTCTTAGAGCCGCTGGTCTTATCATCAGTTGTCTTGGAAGGAGGTGGATAGAGGCCAAAGACAGACACAGAGCTGTCAGAGAGCAAAGGGGGCATAAGATGCCCAGAACTCTTACCTTCATTTAACATAAGTTCATCCTCCTCCACGGAGCTGTCCATTCGAAAACTGCTCCGAAAACCCGAGAAAGAGGCGATCGTATTTGCTGCCAATCTCGAGGCACAGGAGCTCCCATTCTGTTTTACTTCTGTTTCTCCCATCAAACCAGTGTACATGCCGTTCATTTGCCTTTGCTCCTTGATTCTTAGCGTGTGAATGTCAATGACTGTGGAATAGATATCCCTCATGTGTATGATTTTGGTCTCTTTGTCACGGTTTTCATGAAGAATGGCATTAGCACAAATGAAAATGAAAATGCCAATCCCCATGGTGAATGGGCCAAGCATTTTCATCTTATCAGAATGCAAATGCTGCTCAAAGAAGCGAACCACCACACCGCCTTCATTCCGAATGACCTGAGTTTCATTTGTTGACAGTGTTGTTTCAGCATCAATAAAATGTTCTTTTTGGGGCCAATATCCAAGAACGGCCATAGCAATTCCTATAATGGAGATGAGCACTCCTAAAATAAGAAAAAAACCAGATGGGGAATAAAGCCGGATTTTGCCACGAACAACCACAACATCTGCCCGGGGCCGGCGCCTGATGGGCTTCTTCTCTTGGGTAGCAGGAGACGGGCTGAGGTTGACATGCTGCTGTGATCTGGCAGAGTCTTGCCTTTTCAAGGCGGCCAGGCCAGTTATCACTCCACCAGTTGCTATCATAGCTTGGCCTTTTACTCTGAAGAAGAAAAAAAAAAGGAAAAAGATGATGTAAATATGTTCCTGGGGTATGAGCATCAGTTCAATTAAACAACTGTTTACACAGAATTTTTGTTGCTGTTGCAGTTTCATGTGATTAAATGGGGCAGAATATTTTTTTAATTGACATAGTTTGGGTACAAATTTTATTTATTGACTAATGTAAATTTCTGGAGATTTCCTTTTTGGCTAAGTAAACATTTCTATTATTTTTTCAGTTACATTTCTGTTATTGATTAAATGTGAGCTCAAGGAATATTTAAATAATTTTATCACTTATTAATATAAAATAGTCCCCTGGCCACAAGACTGATGCTCACTCTTTCTCTTCTCTCTCTCTCTCTCACACACACACACACATACACACACACACACAGAGTTATCTGTGCTATTTTAAATCATTCATTGGACAAATCTAGAATACTTAATAGGTCAAAAACAAACACTCCAGACTGACAAAGAGGATACATTCCAGCAATTCATGGTTCTAAGACCTCTCTTGTGAAAGTCGTCAATGAATTCTTAGCTGCCACATTTAATTTCCCCCTCAATTTTCATCTTCCTTACCTCTCTGCTTCCATGGATATTACTGCCCCTCCTTTCTCCACACTCTCTCTTCCCCAGTCTTTTATGATGTTAAGTTCTCCTACTTCTACTCTGACCTCACTGACTATTTCAACAGACTCACCTAAAAGTAGAACTTCTCCCTAGAGTCTTGTTCTTGGTCATCTTCTCTTCCATACTCTCCCTTGGCATTCATATCTGTTCCTACATCTTCACTATTTCCTTGATGCTAATGAGTCCCAAGTCTATATTTCAGGTCATATCCTGAGTTTCAATTTCACACTTTCCACTGCCCATTAGGGAACATACACACATTCATGTACTGCTAGTAAAGCTGAACTTACCTTCTAGCACACACCAGCTGCACCACTTGACTTGTCTGACTTTTTTAGCAGGGTCAGTTCTCAGATTTGGCTCTTTACAGTTATTTTTAACTCCTCCCTTTCTTCTTCCTCTTCCAATCAGGTTCTAAATCCTAGAAATTTCCAATATACGATGTCCTTTAATTCCACCCCTCTGTTCTAATCCTACTCTTCCCAGCCTTGTGCAGATCTTATTAACTTTTACTAGACCATATGATAACCCCCTAACTGGTCTTCCAAAGAATTTCTCTTCCTTTACAATCAAGATTAATCAATCATCTCTGAAGTTGTTTAAAGAGCAGAATAATGATAAAATATTCTCCACTACCTACCAAAGTTTTAGCTGAAATTCTAGACCCATTGACTTTAACTTTGTCTCTAACTCTTCTCTTTAATTTGCATAAAAATAAAACCTAACAAATGTTCTGTATTTCTCATTCATATTCCATTTTGTACCATTTCTGAGATTTTGTTAACAATGTTTCAGCTGTCCAGAATCCACCCACTCCCCACTGCCCTGCCCTGTTCTTCACATACCCACATCTGGCTAGGCATCAAAGCTCATATTCCACTTTCTTTATAAAGCCTTCTCTAGCTGACCCACTGCACCCTATGCAAGCATTAACTCCTTACAGCATTTTATAATAGCAAGTTTTCTATGGCACTTACAATATTATAGTATCACAGTTCTTCTACTTATGATCAAACATCAAATTTAATTCATATTTTTATTAGCAGAAACACTCACTGTAATACCTTGCACATGGCTAGTGTTCAAGAAATATTTGCTAAAATGCTGAATGAGGGACAAATTCTCTTCTTGTGGTCTGTTGGATGACCACCATATTACTGTACTAACTTTCCTAGTTAAAAATATGAACAAACAAGATTAATATCCAAACAAAAAGCAACATTTTCTGAGTTGGTAAAATATCTATCTTGATTCATAATAAATAGTTCTCAAGCTGCCATATCTAGCTGGTAGGAAACAAGAAGATATTTTAAGTTCCACAAGGTCTTTGGCAAATTTCAGAGAGAGTTTCTTCAGGGCATCAAATCTCATCTTGCAGCATTGAGCTCTCCTTTTGAATTTCTATTTATGATTTCTGAATTGTGTTTAAATAACAGGCTTGTGGTTGTTATCTACAGTTTTAACAAGCCAGTGAGTAAATCCAGCCTTCAGTGAAATTATAACTAGGATTAAAATAGTTTTATGTTGGAAGAACAAACTAAATTGTAATCTGTTGCTCTAGTCTATGAAATTTATCAAAGTGTACATACTGCAGATTAGAACCTTTCCCAAACCTTTGCTAAAATAAAGCTTAGTGTCAACCTATGTTTTCTTGAAGCAAAAACCATTTCAAATGTTTGAATTAAATGCTTAGATTAGATAGCAGCCCTCTAGCCCAGTTATTTCCATATGGCAGGCTTAAGGATTTAGTCTGAAATCCTTCTGAGTAGAATGGAAACAAGGGCAAAAACGTTTCATTTAATTTAAAAGCAATAAAAGTGAATTACATTCCATACAGATTTCTAGTCCTCCCCCACTTTTTAAAACATTAGCACTACCATTTTCGCTTAGGAGGCTGATTGATAGAGGAAAGGAGATTAGATGAGAAAAGATATTTTAAGAAAAATATATGAGGACAGAAAGGTGAAAAAGAGAGATGGATGACTGGGCTTGCATGTGAGCATGTAAAGAAACGTTAGGAAGAAAAAAGGTATCTTAAAGTAAAAAAGGGTATCTTAAAAGTATGAAAATGGATAGAAACAAAAAGAGGCAAAAACTTCCAGAGTAGTTGAGAAATAAAGAATTTAATGGGTGGAGGAATCACATTTTCTTCAGCCATTCTACCCTGGTCAAGCCCAGACAGAGGCACCAAGACTCCCAAGGATTGGCAAAATCACATTTGGTGCCAATGTCCTTTAATTCTGTTTAAAGCAATTCAATACTACAGAAGGCTCTATTATCACTCAGGGTCCCAATGTAGACCCTGAGAGGAAAGCAAAGGTGAGCAAATTCAATCACTGTTTCAAACAGCTTGAAACCTAATGAAGGAGCTAACAGATCCACATAAAACAGAATGAGGTAACTCCTAGAATGAAAGTTTCCATTAGAGAAGGACCTTTCATTAGGCTTCACACAGGAGATAGCACATAGATCACAGTCAAAAGTCAGGTTAGCAGTATTTCAAGGAAGGTCAAGGGAAAGAAAGCAGTCCAGGAATAGGAACTTGGCCAGCACACAACTCAGTACTACAGGAGGTCAGTTAGGTAAGTAAGGCCAGAGCGAGAGGGACAGCCAAGTCTTGGGAGTTGGCAAATGCTATTCCTAAATGCTTGCAATTTATACACATCTGCCATGGAGTTGGAGTAAGACATAAATACTGCTGTTGTTATTTTAGAAAAAATTAATCTGAACTTGTAGATGAAAGCAGGAATTAGGGACCAATACCGGAAAATGGCATGGGGATGCTAACGGCAGTTGCACAATAAGGAGCCTAGTGAAGGCTGGGTGCAGTGGCTCACACCTGTAACTCCAGAGCTTTGGGAGGCCAAGGCTTTAGTGTCACTTGTGGCCAGCAGTTCAAGACCAGCACTGGCAACATAGCAAGACTCCATCTCTACAAAACATTTTTTTAGCAAGTTAGCCAGGCATGGTGGCAGATGCCTGTAGTCTCAGTTACTCAGGAGGCTGAGGCAGGAGGATTAATTGAGGCCAGGAGCTGGAGGCTGCAGTGAGTTATGATCATGCCACTACTTCAGCTTGGGTGATAGAGCAAGAACCTGTCTCTCTGAAAAAAAAAAAAAAAAAAAAAAAAAAAAAAAGGATAAAGAAAAACGAAGCCTAGTGAAACTATAAAATCTAGAATGAGTGAATCTACAGGCTCTGCATCTTCAAACTGTAATGCCAATTGGTACAAAGTGTTCAGTATATGCAAAAACAGCCTAAATCTACCTTTTTTTTTTTTTTTGGTCAATGCTGCAAAGCTACATGCCCTCCATCCTACACTTTTATGACTGTTTTTTTTTGTTTTGTTTTGCATGTTTTTCTAAGGCATGGGAAATGTAAGAATCCTGTTAACTAGTCTCCTCACTGTAACAAGCCATACTCTTCTAAGTTTTAATAATAATAGTAATAACAGCCCATACTGCTTATGGTCAGGCAATGTTCTAAGTGCTTTAGTACAAAAACATTTGTTCTCACAATAATTCTGGAGGAGTAATAATTGTAATATCTATTTTTCAGGTTACTGAGGCTAAGAGAGCTTAGGTAACTTGCCTAGAGTCACACAGCTAGGAGGTTACCCCAGAGCCTCCCATTTGAGATGGGGAGGGGCCTCCAGATTTGCTTTCATTTGAGGTTTTCTTTTTTCTTATTCTGATTCCTGTTTCCATAACACCAAATGCAAAAGAATGCTGCTCTGCCTTTAAAACTAGGCCTGTGGACCAATCAACTCCCATTTTCCAAATCTCAATGATTACCTGTGAAAAGCCATGGGGAGTACATAAGTTTGAAGGCCTCACCTTGGGTGAGTATCTGGCCTCTTGCACCTGTCCATATCCCTTCAGTGTATGAAGATGCAGACTCAAAGGAGACCACTTTTCTACCTCCACATCCTCCTCTTTGCTCTCCAGCATGCCTGACAGGGCAGGGCCGTGACTTATTCCCTCAAAGATTCAAGTGAAGGATTTTACTACACTGAATTTCATTTTGTTAACTTGGGAACAAAATTTCTGCTTATCAGTCTCTTTGGATCCTAAGCCTGGCTTCCAAAATCCTGTTGTCCCTCTCAGTTTATGTTCATTTGCAAATATTATAAATCTGACTTCCAAAGCTTCACCCAAGTGTTTGGAAATCGTAATTGAAGAAAGTATAGAGCAAAGAAAGCTCTGTGATATTCCACTACAGACCTCTTTCTAGGTACACATTGTTAATTTGTTTAGATATTCATGTAATTGCAATAAAAATGGACACCTGGCATTGAAGTAGACACTGGGCTCAAAATATGTTTCCTGGCCTGAGACTATATTGATCAGCAACCATCATTTTGATGACATCATTTAACTGGTTATAAATAAATCTAACTAGAAGGCCAGCCACACTTAATGTTTCCATATTCTTCAAAAAGAGATCATGATTTTGTCAAAGGCCAAGTTAAAAGACAAATATGGGCTGGGTGCGATGGCTCACATCTGTAATCCTAGCAACTTCCGAAGGCCAAGGCGGGTGAATTGCTTAAGCCCAGGAATTCGAGACCATCCTGGGCAACACATTAAGACCTTGTCTCTTAATTTGAAGAAAAAAAAAGAGACAAATATGTATATACCTGCAGACAACCAAAAATACAAAATTAGTTTGGGCTAACTTTTGGCTACATATTGATCATCTTTTTTTTTTTTTTCATTCCCAGTGCTCACAAACCAGCCACAATTTTGCTAAGCAATAGACATCAAGATTACCAGCTTGAAATTCACAAAACACACCTTCTTTTACTTTGCAAACTAGGATACTGTTGGGCTATCTCCAGGCCTTTCCCATCTTACATAAATCTGAGATTCATTGTGGGTCTTGGAGATCATCTGTAGAAAATCTTATTTTCCACCTTTCTCACTACAGAGAGATGTACTCTTGCCCGCACTCAAGCCCACTGTCTGCTTGCCTCTCTTGGGTTCACTTCCCTTTGAACCATTTGCCTTTGCAGACAAAAGCTCTTCTTGAAGAGAAGATTTCTGCTTTGTGAGTCATGTGTAATACTATACCACATACCGTCCGTTCTAATCTTCAGGCTTACCTCTCCTATTTTTGTTCTCATACTAATCTTAAAAGCCTTATTGCTGTCCTTTACCCTTTTTACAAGCTTAAGCACATTCTGGTATTTGCTTCTTATGGCACTAATCCATACCAGTTTTTAGTATTCTCACACTCACAGAAGTTTATTCCTATATATTTACATCACACTATTCTGACCACACTGTGAGCCTATAATACATTAGACATGGTTCAATTATATTTGAGATAATTATAATTACATAGACTTCCAGAGCTGAGAGACTTTAGACATCTTTGGATCCAGCCATTCCTTTTAGCCATCTAAAGGCCAGGAATGTTACTGAAGATCAAACACTGAATTAGCAGACAGAATAGAACTGGAATACAAGTTTTCAGACTCCCAGTCCAGTGTTCACTCTTGTTTATATATTCCCTTTTCTATTGTTTTTTCATGCTGTCCCAGTGCCTTGGCAGAGTGCCTGGCATATACTAAATGCTCAGTAAGTATCTGTTGACTGTGAACTGAGTTGATGAAGGTTTGAGTATGGTTGAAATGTTCTAGGCACTAGGGACACAAAGTTAATAAAACCTCATCCCTGATTTCAAGGAGTATGGAGTCCAGTAGGAAAACAGTAGAAATAAACATTTAAAATAAAAGAATTGCTATGATGGAGCTACAGGAGCATTGCAGAATGCTCTTCCATACTATCTGAAGGAGTCAGGACAGGCTTCCAAGAAGTGGTGGCAGTTAACGAAGGCTTGGCACATAAATGAGGGTATGCCATGCAGATAGATTCTAATTCATCCTTGTTCCTGACTATTGCATAAGGGTCCCTGCCCTCTGATTTTTCATCATCTTCCTAGTTGAAGTGTGACTATTATTTTAAATATATTTGATACTGTCTTATTTATATGTTTGAATTTTTATCTTTATCTGGAGGTTTAAAAATTCACCAGAATGTGAGGCTGTCTGCCCAAAGGAAGTAAAAATTAATCTATGCCTTGAGTACCAAACAAAAACATTATATAAAAACCCCATGTGGTATCCACAAATGTGACAGATGGAAATATTTTCTGTTCAAGCTAGAACAATTTTAGGACTTTCTTCCTGGTTGAGACATTTCAAACTTTTAGAATAGGATTTTTAATCTATATCTTTACCAGAATTGAAAAAAGAAAATTCATATGGGTGACTAAGAGTTCAATCACATAAAGTTTAAAAAATAAAAATAGAATAAAAATCATTTTTGGCTGGGCGTGGTGGCTCATGCCTGTAATCCCAAAACTTTGGGAGGCCGAGGCAGGCGGATCACCTGAGGTCAGGAGTTCAAGACCAGCCTGGCCAACACGGTGAAACCCTGTCTCTACTAAAGATACAAAAAATTAGTTGGGCATGGTGGTGGGCATCTGTAATCCCAGCTACTCAGGAGGCTGAGGCAGGAGAATCGCTTGAACCTGAGAGGTGGAGATAGCAGTGAGCCGAGATCTTGCCACTGCACTCCAGCCTGGGCAACAAGAGCGAAACTCCGTCTCAAAAAAAAAAAAAAAAAGATCATCTTTTAGCATGTAGCATAATTGTTTTTCACGTGGCCACTGGAATCAGAGAGACAGGGGCCCATGTCTTTGCTTCCTCATTTGATGCCATGCAAGTGGCTTTTCTTATCTCAGTTCCTCCATCTATAAAATGGCAAAGCCTTCTTTGATACACAGTATATGGTGCACTTGAGGCAGAAGACCTAGCAGGCTTGAATCCCTACACAGCCCTTAATACTTAATAACCACATTTGAACAATGAATCAACCTCTTGGAGCCCCAGTTCCTTCATTTGTAAAATGGGTATAGTAACAGTACCTGTAGGATTGTTGTGAAGAGGGGATAATAAATGCAAAGCACAGTTCAGTTCTGGCAATTAAGGTCTACGTGAGTGATATTAGTGATATCAGCTGGGTCTGACTACAAGGAATTTTCAAAGATAAGTTATGTATATAATGCTTACTTTTGTGTTGATTATAAGAAGTTCTCAAACAATAGCTATTACTAACTCTTCATAGCTCACATTGTTCTTTTACTGCTCTGCTAGGCAAATTAAAAATATACTAAGTAATTAATGATGACTTTCTGTCCATGGAGAGGTAGTTATGACTGCAAGTTTGTTCTGAGACTTAAGAGTCAAAAACTATCTGAATGGAATCTGTATATTTTAGTGGCAAAAGCATTAACAATTTGGAAGTTAAAAAGAACAGCTGAATTTATGTAAGAGACAGTTGGGAGATACAGAAAGAATAAAGCACGCCTTTCTTTTAAATTCATTCTATTTCTTCAGATTCGGAGACCTGTCTTGTGACAAACATAAAAGCAATAAGAAAAACAAGGTAGGAAAACCTAAACCCGTTCATCTGATGTTTTTAGTTAACTTCGTGATGCAATTGGATCGAATGAATGAGTAATCTGATCAATTCTGCACGCACTATTCTGTTTCCATTGGGACACCCAAGCATAAAACTAACTGAAAATGCAGAGGAACATGGTGCCTGGGCATATGGGGAGTACAGAAGATGCCATAAGAGTGATATAATGTGAAAATCTGCAAAATGTTAATTCTGTGGCAAGTTTAAGCTATGATTTTATGGACACATTCTGAAGATCTTTGCTGGTCTACCTTGGGGAGAATTGTTTCTCAATATTCAGTATAGTTCTACATTCACTTGAATGCTGGAACTAAAAGGAAGTACAAAATGTTTAGAAAATTTGCAAAATGATATTCAAGTCATTAAATGTAAAATATTACTTTATGGTCAAGTACATCTTGAGCCTGCAGAAAACGCTAGGAATAGAGACGAGACTGCCCTTAGAAATCTACACCTGTTCTGTTAGTAATGCCTTCAAAACCTGCCAGCCTGACAAACTGTAAAATATGGGCCCACACCAATTATGAGCTGCGTAACAATGACATAGAACAAGTGCTCTCCAAAGACTAAAAGCCAGAAGCCCGTAGAATACAGAAGTCTCCAGGAGGCCAAGTAACAGATCCATAATGAGCTCAGAAAACACCCTGCTGAGACCCTGTGGGAGATATTTTCTGCAGGAACAGAAGAAATTAGAAGGCCATTTCCCTCAAAGTAGAAATATGCTTTCCACCCCACATCCCAACTCCTCAAATCTGGACAAGCTCTTACACAATCACTGTCACACTCCCCATTCTCTGCATTTCCTGACAGGAAGGTGACTTGAAACTGGTGTAAAGAAACTATCACTAAAAATGTCACCAATTTACTAAGACACGGGAAATTAGCCAAGATATTCCTGGATGAAGAACTGAAGCATTTAAAATCACAAATTGGACTTTTTATAGAGACCCCTCCACTGCTGGAAAACATATAGTAACTTCACTTACAAGATAGTGGCTATGTTTTTGGAGACACCATTGAATAATGAGACTCTACTAAGTATTAATATCATTTCCGGTGATTTTAGATACCTGTAAATTCCCACACACTGTTGGCTTTCCTACAGGGCAAGGGGAAAGCTGGAGGACAATAGCAATTTCAATTCTAGTCGTTCCATGTACTATTAAATATCTTATATACATAAGTCTACACTTTGGCAAGTAACACAGTCGTGTCCGTATTGTTAAGGCTACTAAAGGTCTTACATTCTTAACTGCTCTAAATAAGGAGCCATCTCTCACCAAGATAGAATCACCATCTAAATGAACAGTGAGTTGTGCCATCTTTTAAGCCACAGACTAATATACTGTACATTAAATTTCTTAAGAAGTTTTCCAATTGATGGTAGCTCAATTAATAGTAAAGCGTTCTTAAAATTCTATACAAACATTAGAAAATTGTTCAAATTACATCATTTCTGCTAGAGAATTTTACATATTTTTCATAAGTAAAATCTAAGTAGGATCATCCTTAAAGCAAGGTAGAAACAGGTGTGAAGGGAGACTTCCTTGGGGATGGCAAGACCAAACTTCCCACCACTCACAGAAAGAATGATCTATTCCACTTGTAAATGCAAAATTCTTTTAGCATTTAAGGGACATCCAGGGGTTTTTCAGAGAAACCCCATGGATGAAACCTTAATGGTAAACGTATTAGAAAAAAAAGGAAGATGGTGGAGAAGGCTGCGACTATTTCTGGACTATTTCTGTTTTCATCTTTTTCCCTCTCTTCTCCTACTTGTGCAGGTTAGTGGCAGCAAGATGAATTCAAGAAAACATAGATTTTCAATTTTTAAAATGTATTTCTCGGTCTGTTTTTCTTTCATCTATTTCTCTTTGGAAACTACTTGCTATAGGCTGAATATGCCTCTCCAAAATTCCTATGTTGAAATCCTAGCCCCCAAGGTGGTGGTATTAGGAGACGGAGCCTTTGGGGGTGATTAGATCCTGAGGGTAGAGTCCATGATGGGATTAATATAAGTGGAATCCTAGAGAGCTCCCTTCCCCCTTCTACCATGTGAGGACACAGTAAGAAGACAGTATTTATAAACCAGGTAGTGGGTCCACACTAGATACTGAATCTGCTGGTATCTTGGACTTCCCAGCTTTCAGAACTGTGATAAATAAGTTTCTGTTGTTTATAAGCCATGTAGTCTATGATATTTTTGTTATAGCAGCCAGAACAAAGTAGGACACTCCACATGCTCATGGTAAAAACCCAGCAGTACAAAATGAAGAGGGAGTCGCTTCAGCCTCTGGTTCTCCTTCCCCAATGTAAGCATGGTGTTGGATTTCTTATAGCTATATCCAGAGAAGAATGTTTTCTCATTTGGTTTTCTAGAACTGATTTATACACGTTTTTTTTACGTATTGAGGAAATCAGGTTTCTGGTTGTAATATGTGTGAGAAGCATGTTTAATTTACATTTTTACTTTATTTGATTGTATCTTTTAGCATACAGAAAATTTCAATTGTATATGGTTAAACCTATCAGTATGTTCATGGATGGTTTCAAGTCATCATTAAAAAGACCTTCTGCAATCTAAGATTATATTTAAAACATTCTCCCATGTTTCTTTCCGGTAATTTTATGGTTTAATTCCTTGCATTCAAATTTTCTGATGCATCTGGGATTTCTTTTTGTGTAAGAATCAGGCAGGGATCTAACTATTGTTTACAGGTAAACAATCTCTCTTCCCTTGGTTTGAAATACTACCACCTATATTACATATCAATTTCATATATTTGTACTATATACCAAATCCAGTATGTATTTGGGTCAATATTAAGAGTTGTCATTCTGTGATTCTCCTGCCTCAGTCTCTGGAGTAGCTGGGATTACAGGCGCATGACACCATGCCTGGCTAATTTTTGTATTTTTAGTAGAGATGGGGTTTCACCATGTTGGCCAGGCTGATCTCGAACTCCTGACCTCAGGTGATCCGCCCACCTCGGCCTTCCAAAGTGCTGGGATTACAGGCATGAGCCACTGCTCCTGGCCTCATTATTTTTCTTTGTCAAAAGTTTCTAGTCTGTTCTTACACATTTTATGTTGCACATGAACTTTATAATTTGATTTTTTTAAATCCAGTTAGTAATTTTTATGGAATCATGCTAAATCTATACATAAATATATGGAAAATCGGTGTTGTTACACTGCTGTAGCATTTTATCTAAAAATACGTTTTATGCCATAGTTTTTTTAACATAGACCTTTCTCATTTCTTGTTACTTTTTATTTCCTGGGTATTCTGTCATTGAGTTTCTATTGTATATTGGTATACAATACAATTGGTATTGTATATTTCTTTTACTCCCATTTCTATCTTCAAGTAGTTGTTTGAATGTAGGAAGGCTACTGATTTTTGTGCATTGATTTTGTACTAAACCACATTATTAAACTTGCTAGCTGTTTAAGAAAAACAGTTTCCAGTTCATTCTCTCACGTGTTCTAGAAATACAATTATATCATCTTGACATAGTATTGTTTGCCTTCCTTTTCCTAATTTTAAAACCTACAATTGCTATTTTCTAACTGTATCACTTAGTGCCTCCAGAGCAAAGGTAAACACAACTGGGATGAAGGTGTACATCCTGGCTTCGCTCCTGAATTTAATGGGCACACCTATTGTTTCACCACTGAAGTATCAATCAATCAGTGCCTGCTTTATTAAGAGTTTTCACCTAGAATTCCAGGAGACAAAATTAATTGGTTCAGAGTTGCTGTCAGAGAGAAAGCTCTCTACTAGAGAGTAAAACAGAGAAAGTGAAATGAAGGAGCAGAGAAAGGGCAAAAGAAAGAAAGAAAAAAGGTGGAGGATAAAGAAAAAAGGAAAAGGTGGAGGATAAAGTATAGGAAGAGAAGGAGAAAGTTGTATTGGGGAAGAAAATTATGGATTAATGACAATATTAAATATCTGAAAGCATGAATAAGAATTCCCATATACCTTTTTAAATGTCCTTACTTGTTAAAAACAACCTCTTCTTTGAAAAAACACATGTATCTAAGGACAGAAATTTTCTGCCTGGGATTTTTGAGATTGCTGAATTATCTACCGAATATATGAGCTGAAAGGAAAAAATTGAGAAGAATGATTAATTGCCTAAGATGTCAGGAATATAACAAAAATCAGAAAGAATGCCTAGCAGTAAAAATGAGTTCAAGGGACGCCTAAGATAACAATAACAGGATAAAACCATGTTTGTAAAAACACCATACATACACCCTACCACTTTCTACAAGGATAGTGTAATTTGGAATCATGCCTCAGATATTTTTAGCTTCAAGTATCTTCTACACTTTATAATGGTTTGTTTCCTCTGCAATGTCCTGTTAGAGATAGCAAGCCAAGAGAAAAGTGGGTAGAAAACTTTGATAGTTGATTCACAGAAGAAAAAAACAGAAATGTTCTGTTAACAAATGAAAAGAAGAATGAGCAAAGAAATGCAAACTAAGGTAATCTCAAAAGTAAAAATATTAACTTCACTAGTAATTGGCAAAAATGAAAAAAAAAAAGACAAAAAGATTGATTATGACCATTATTGGTGAGGTATAAGGGAAGAAGGTCTAATAAGCTGTCAATGAGAGGACAAATGGGTACTTTTCTTGAGGGTAACATGAGAAAGACTTTCAAAAATCGAAATGTCCATTCCCTTTGCCACCCCCTGCCTGCTGACTGCCAATTTCCCTTCTATGAATTCTTTCAAAAGATTTGCCCAAGAATACATGAAACTATGTATAAGGATGTTCACTGCAGCACGATAGTAATGGCAACAACTTGGAAACAAATGCTCAGCAACAGAAAATTGGTTAAATCAATCATGCTGCCTCCATATAATGGAATATTATACAGATATTTAAAAGGATTAATATATACTAAAATGAAAAATGTTCACATGATATTTCTGAGTTTCTAGAGCAGAAATAGTTAGAATTCTGTTCATGGCAAACATACAGAATGTTGTTGGTGACACGTAACAGAACTCTCACTTATATGTAACTGTATTATTGACCTATGCAAGGAACATGTACTGCTTTTATCTCATTTCCAATATGGAACTCTAAGTACAGAGCAAAAAAGGATGTTGAAGCCTGGAACATAAGAGTAAAAGGCAAACCAGTCTGGTACATATTAGAGTAATTAGGTGCGCTTGCTAATTTAAAGCAGGTGGAGTGTAGCCTTCGAGGCAAAAATGCAGGATTGGAGCAACTAGAAAATAGCTAAAATCACAAACCAGACTAAATGATAAGTTCAGGAAAGAAAGACTTATTTATGACACATTATAATCTTGAAACACTGAAAACAATTCTACCCACTTGGACAACACCTGAATCTACTGGGTGTAAAGTAGAATAGAGGATGAATTTAGAATTGTTATCTGCCTTTATGAAGTTTATACTCAAGAATCTGTTTAAGCCTAATGCTGTGCATTGTAAAGCAAATGAGAAGTAAGCCTTAATCAGCATCGATGAACTTTCTCTGCACCTGGGTCATCCCGACTTATTGATAGCTTCCTCCTGGGCTCCAAAAGGGACATGGCTTTCTTTCTTTCCTTCCCCAAAGCTCAGTCCCCATTGTGTTTATGTCTACCTACCTTCATGCCAACTCATCAGTGATCTTTGCTTGCTCTAACCTTACAACTTTGATTCACAGATGGAAACGGCTTCTTTCTGAGAATATCCTGCGACTTCAGAATGATTACTCTCATAAAGCAGGCAGCCACAGAGGCTGGACAGAGATCTTCAGCCTTGTGATGAAGGGAAACTGAGGGGGGGGGGGCTGCAGAAAGGATTCTTCTCCTTAACCTAATTTACATTCATCTCCTCATAAAGATGATGAAGCGAGACTGAATTTTATTTAATTTTCATGCCTTGAAATTAAATCTCTAGTCCACTCCCTCCGTTTGTCCTGTTTCATCTTTTGCGTGCTGCACAGTCCTGTTTCTACAGAGACCATGAGTCATCCCAGTGGGCGAGGGTCTGTTTCATCAAGGCCTTAAGGCTGGAGCTGGGCGAGGTAGTGAGAGGCCACTGTCCCTGGCCCTCAAGGGTTACCCTACTGGTGGCTTTTCCCTGTCTACTCTCAACCTACAGAAGGAATATTTACATTTGACTTTTCTTCAAAGCATTACAATCCCTGGGGCTTATTTAAAATGAGTTTATGACAAGGGAGAGCAGTCCCCTACATTCAAGTTACTTCAACCGCAGTTTTCTTGATTTTTTTTCATCAAAATCAAATACTAATAGTGTTATGAGTTTTTGATATGTGTATGCTTTCTAAATAAATAATTAGCATTTGTTTACATTTCTTGATCCTCAATGGTATCAGATCCATAGACAAACATAACTTACTGTAACACACTATTTTTTAGCTTTGCTGTACTTTCATGTAAAACCATAGATTTATTTGTAGTCTTTTGGAGATTAATGGAATGTTTGTTGGCTTATTCACATACTGGCTCACTTAATCCTCATAACAACCCTGAAAAGTAGTTATCAACAGCCCCTTAGACAGATGAGCTAAGGTCCAAGAGGATATGTAATTGGTATGTAAGTGGCTGTTTTAGCAGCTCTTCCAACTCAAGTTCTGACTATACAATTTTTGCAGCCACTATATTACTTCCGAACTGGCTGTGTCTTCAAAATGAAAATGCTGTAGAGAACTGAAGTAATTGCTCAGCTTTCTCAGGCTTCAATATCCTTTGCTTTAATATATTTATGGTGTGTCTGGATTATTTTTATATTACTTTTTGAGTGATGAAGAGGACTCTCCTTTCTTCCTAAATCTGAATAAGATAATGAAATCAAGTAATTAGGTAAATCAAATAGCATTCTTAATTCTTCCAGAACGATGTTGATAATTGGTTCAAATTTCTAGTTTAGTATAATTAGAAAGCAGACTCCAACTCAACTTTATTTAGCTCTGCTTATATTGTTTTCAATCCAGACCAATTATAACTTCAAACTTCTATGCTCCTTTATCCAAGGGAACCATGACTTTTAAACTCTTGTGATGTTTAACATTGATTTCTGCAGAAATATTCAATAGATACTTGCTGAGCACTGCCATGAGTAGTGACCAGAATCTGTCACTGAATCCAACATCGTCTGTGCTCTTACTGGGCTGAGGGCCTAGAAGCAGGGAGATGAGCAAGTATTACTAGGCACAAGGATGGCAGTATTCATGGGGCACAGAGAACGGTCAGAAAAAGAACTCTGGGGATGGAGTAAGAGGGAGGGAGAGAGCAAGAGAGGTTTCACAAAGAAGGTGACCTTCAAGCTGTTTTCAAAGAAAGGAGGAGGAAAAGCAGAGAGGCAGAGAGGAATTCCCAGCCGGGAAAATCAAGGGAAGACAGCTACTAGCATAGCATGAATTGATTTGCATGCATTCAGACTGGCTGGGGTTTAGGCTTAAGAAGCATAACCTTCTATCAGCAACTCCCAAGCAAAAGACAGAATTCACTGGTAACATCTCTAGGTTTTACTTGATGAAGACACCAGTCACCATCATGGCTCCCCCACCCATCCTTGGTGATCCAGGGATAACAATTTCTTCCCATAATGTGGGGACTATCTACTGCTTAAAAGGTGATCTCAGGACTCATTCAAATTGAAATTAAATAAAGTTAACTAAGGTCTACAGCCTTACTTAGATCAAAGTAAATATTAGTTAAATGGTGACTTTTTAATAATGATTAACTCCAGAAAAAAAGAAAGAAAAAAGTTTTATCCTAAATCTTTCCCAAAAGAACTGCCAAGAAGTTTTAAATTATTCATCTGGAGACTTTGGGGGAAAGTATGAAAAATGAGAAGAAAGAGTGAAAATCAGAAATGAGAAGAGAACTAGCATTTATTGAGTCCTGATTTTAGTTTTTAGCAACTCAATATATATTATTGTATTTAGTTTCAGAAAAATGCAGGAGGAAAAATTGCTCCATTTCATTGAGGCTCAGAAAACGTCTGTAATTTGTTCAATGTCACACAGCCAGGAAGCAGAAGGAAAGCTTTCAAATTCAGATCCGTTTAGCTTAAAGAACACACAATTTCCCCTTCATAATGCCACAAATTAATTAACAGAAAAAGGATTAGGAGAAGGAAGCATAATTGAACATTTTTGGAGAAAACAGATGAGAAAGAAAGAAGACTTTATGAATTTAGAATGCAGTTAGAAAAAATATGCTAAAGAAAAAATTTTAAAAATATGTTATTTAAAGAAATCAAATGGGTCTCTGAATTGCATAGCACAGTGCCCTGTCTTTGATAACTTGCAACTGTTGGTGAGGACCAAATAAGTTCAACTTATAACCTTTATAGGAACTCACTTCTATAAGAAATTATCAAAACTGTATGTGAGAAGTATTCAAATAGCTCAAAACAGAAGCGAAAACAAACACATACCACCTAATGCGTAAATCAAGCTCAAACATTCCAAATAGCATGTAATGGTGGCAACATTTAATCTGTTTAGTTTCTTATGTATCTTATTATTTGGAGGCATAATTTCTGGTGTTTTTTCTCTTTATTGCTATAGATTGGATCATCTGTCTCCAAAGCTAAGAGAATACTAAAAAATGACCCCTATCACCCCAAACTGACAGATGTTTTTAAACCTAAGCAGGTTTAAAATTTCATTTTCTTCCTAAAGTATCACATGGAAATATTAACAAAAGGTTTTTTGTTAGCAACATTTGTATGTATATTTTTCTCCCTTTCTAGGGGGTAATTCGGCAACATGTACTTTTTTTCTTTCAATTATTTTAAAGCAACGATTTTCCAACTAATTAGGGTGTATTCAAATAAAGGAATTCTATGTAATCATTTAAATGTAAGAAATCATTTAGTGACAGGAAGAAATGTTCAGTAAATATGTTAAGTGAACATAAAGACAATGTGGTAAGCGATCTCATTTATTTGAGACTTTTTCACATGTACACATGGCTGGAATAATAGATAGATACCAAAATATACACAGCTGTCTATATTCAGCTGCTGACTCAGCAACACAAATGTCCCTGTAGTAACAAGAGGCACATGGAGAACAGATATACATAGAGAAAATACCCAGATAAGCCATTCGAAAAAGAGCTCACTCCGTGGTCTAACTAAATATAATTTTAATTTTCCTCATCTATTAAGTATTACCCCAGATAGAAGGCCACTTAAAATACAGCCTTTCATTTCTTCAAAGTCACATACATCTTTATTCTAAAAAGTCAAATTACTTTGTTGTTATGCCAAGTTCAATTTGAGAGCTACAACTATGAATTTCTAGCTTAGTCAACTAAATGATAAAATTCCATGTCAAAATTATAGATACATTAATCTTATCTTCTACAATACTTCTCTTTAATGATTTCAAAAATGCCAACTGGCTAACTAGCAAGATACCAGAAATATAATAAGAACACTCATATAAGTTTTTTAAATAGTTGGTTGAAAGGGTCCAAATGCCTTCACTATTTTGGCCATATGCAACTTGCATTAAATGCTGAGTGGGAAACCCTCTCTAAGGCCTTCTGGTACAAAACAGTTCCCATGTTTTGGAATTTGCAGTCCGTAACAATCAAAACAACATTCAGGAAGACACATAAAAGACACGAGTATTATGATATCCCAAGGAGAAATAATTAGGATCATTTCAACAGTTCAAAAGCAACATTAAAAAGTACAATAAGGCTGTGTGTGGTGGCTCATGCCTGTAATCCTAGCACTTTGGGAGGCCGAGGCAGGCAGATCACTTGAGGTAGGGAGTTCAAGACCAGCCTGGCCAACATGGTGAAACCCCCTCTACTAAAAATACAAAAATTAGCTGGGTGTGGTGGCATGCATTTTTAGTCCCAGCTGCTTAGGAGGCTGATGCAGTAGAATCACTTGAACCCCGGAGGCGGAAGTTGCAGTGAGTCGATATCGCACCACTACCTTCCAGCTTGGGCAACAGAGTGACACTCCATCTTAAAAAAAATAAAAAACTATAATGAGATATCTCCTCACACCTTTCAGGAAGGTTATTACCAAAAAGACAAAAGATAAGTGCTGGCAAGGATATGGAGAAAAGGGAACCCTTGTACACTGTAGGGATGTACATTAGTACAGCCATTATTAAAAAGTATGAAGGTTCCTCAAACAATCAAAAACAGGACTACCATACGATCCAGCAATCTCTCTTCTGTGTATTTATCCGAAGAAATAAAATCAGTATGTTGAAGAGATATCTGCAATCCCATTTTCATTGCTGCATTATTCACAATAGCCAAGATATATAGAATCAACCTAAATGTCCAGTGACACATGAATAAAGAAAATGTGATAAACATGTATATATACATATATACACACACCCACACAATAAAACATTACTTAGCTTTTAAAAAGAAAGCAAGCCTCCCATTTGTGGCAACATGAGTCAATCTGGAAGACATTATGTTAAGTGAAATAAGCCAGACAAAAAGAAAAATACTGTATGATCTCACTTACATGGAATCTAAAAACATCAAGTTCATAGAAGCAGAGAGTAGAATGGTGGTGACCAGGGGTGAAGGGAGGAATGGGAGATGGTCAAAGGGTACAAAGTCTTAGTTACGTTAAGATGAGTAAGTTCTAGAGATGTAATGTACACCAAGGGACTACATAGAGTTAAAAATACTATGTTACATATTTAAAATTTGCTAAGAGTAGATCTTAAGTGTTCTTAACATGTACGCATGCACACACACACACACACACACACACAAAGGTAACTGTGAAGGAATGGATGTGTTAATTAGCTTGACTATAGTAATCAGTTTACTGTGTATATGTATATCAAAACATCATGTTATGCACCTTAAATACATACAATTTCAATTTAAAAAACAAACAAAAAAATCTAAGTAAAACCAGTACCTGAGAATAAACTAACATCCGCGAGTCTTGGGACGTAAGGAGGTAAGAGAACAAGAAGAGTTCAGATGGAGTAATGCTGCCCAAAATACAATCCTCGGGCCAGCAACACTGGTATAACCTGTGAGCTTGTCGGGAATGCAAATTCATGGTTCCACTTCTCCCTACTGAATCAGAAGCGCTGGACCAAGCGGGCCCAGCAAACTGGTTTCATAAGTCCTCCAGGTGATTCTGATGCCTGCTGAGGTTTGAGAGCCACTGAGCTGAAAGAATTTCTGGCACAGATGCAGCCTCTACTCAGATGAAACAGAAGGGGAGGGGACTTTCTAAAACAAGAAAGATTCTTTTTGGAAGGTGGAAGGAGGTGGGGAAAGGAATGCTGTTACTAGAGAAACATGACTTGAGGCAGCAGTCTCCAGCATGTCCTCTAGGATCAGGGAGACTCCTTGGTGCTTGCCCAGTGGTCACAGCCTGGCCATGAAGGATGGAAGAAGAAATGAGTAGGAAGGGAAAGACAACAAGCGTGGGATTTCAGCGGGCCCTGCACTGAGAAAACGTCCCCTTGTGCTCTCCCTATACCTAGAATTCCTTTAAATGGGACAACGTTTTTTGTTGTTCACTCAGTCTGTTCTTCACTCACTGTTACTTGAAGACATTGCTGGGAGCTAAGGACCCGAGGCTGAAGAATGTCAGAATCTTTACTCCAGAGGAGCTCACAGGCCAGAATAATATATTTAAGATGAAAGTGCCAACTGAAGTCACATATTCCCGGAGGTCCATTGTTTAATTGCAATTTCCCAACTCCATGAAGTTAGGCATAGAGAGGTGACTTACTTTGGTCAGAAAAATGTGAGTGGAGAGATGTTCCTCTCTTCCTGGTGAAAAACTTTAAGAGCTAGTGTGTGACATGACATGATCCCTTCCCCTTGCCATGGTGACCAACAACCTTCCAGATAGCAATGGGTCAATCAACTCAAGTTCTCAGGTAAGGATGATGTGGAAGAGGGACTGGCCAAATCACAATGGACATGAGTAAGTGAGAAATTCACCTTTGTTGTTTTAAATACTGATATTTAGGGGTTGTTTTTACTGCACATAACCTATTCTGACTGATACAAGTAGGTATTAGTATTATTCCAATGTTATATATAAAGAAATAAAAGAGAGATTAAAACAACTTACTAAAATACAGAGAGGTGGTGCTATAGTCTGAATGTGTCCCCTCCACCAAAATTCAAATTCATATGTTGAAAGTTAATGACCAATGTGATAATGCTAAGAAGTGAGGCCTTTAGGAGGTGATTAGATCATGAGGGCTCCACTTTCATGGAGAGGATTAATGTCCTTATAAAAGAAGCTTCATATAGCCTTCATCCCTTTTGCCTTTCTACCTTCCACCATGTGTAGCACCACCTTCCACCATGTGTGGCACCATCTTGGAAGCTGAGAGCAGCTTTCACCAGACACTGAAACTGCTGGCCTTGATCTTGGAGTCTCCCAGCCTCCAGAGCTAAGAAAAATAAATTTCTGTTGTTCATAAATTAGTCTGTGGTATTTTGTTATAGGAGCAAGAACAGACTAAGACAAGTGGTGTCACTGAGTAAATGTTTTTGGTTTAATTCCTGATGCTCTGGTGTCAGGAGCCAAAGGAAATTCAATTACTTGATTCCACAAAGATTCCCTCTTGCAGCTCTAGTTCATACTTTGCCACATTGATATGTGTTTGTATCACATGACTAATAATTGATCAGAAATTGCCCACATCTAGACAAAAAATAATGAATGCTGGAGAGGCTGCACAGAAAAGGGAAGTCCTATACACTGTCAGTAAGAATGTAAATTAGTACATCCACTATGCGAAACAGTATGGACATTTCTCAAAAACATAAAAATAGAAATACCATATGATCCAGCAATCCCACTACTGGTTATTGATCCAAAGGAAAAGAAATTAGTATATCAAAAAGATGCCTGTACTCCCATGTTTATTGCAGCACTATTCACAATAGCAAAGATATGGAATCCACCTAACTGTCCATCCACAGATGAATGGATAAGGAAAACATGGTATATACACACAATGGAATACTATTTGGCCACAAAAAATAGTAAAACCATGTCATCTGCAGCAACATGAATGGGACTGGAGGTCATTATGTTAAGCGAAATAAGTCTGGCACAGAAAGACAAATATTGCATGCTATCACTCATATGTGGGAGCTAAAAAATTGGATCTCACAGAGGTAGAGACTAGGATGGTGGATTCCAGAGGCTAGGAAGAGACTGAGGGGGAGTGGTGGTATGTAGAAGTGTTGGTTAATGGGTATAAACATACAGTTAGATAGAAGAAATAAGTTCTCATGTTCAATAGCAGAGTAGGGCAGCTATAGTTAACAACAACGTATCGTACATTTCAAAATAGCTAGAAGAGAGGACTCGATATGTTCCCAATACATACAAATGAGAAAAATTTGAGGTGGTGGATACCCTAAATATTCTGAGTTGACCATTACACATTCTATGCATAACAAAATATCACATGTACCCCAGAAATATGTAAAATATTATATATTAATTTTATAAAAAGAAATTGCCCTTATCTAAAGAGGTTAAGCATATTGCCCACTGTGACTGTGTGACCAAAGGAAGGACCCAAACCCAGATCTTTCTGACTCTAAAGCCTGTGATTTTATCACAATGCTACATTGCTGTCATGACTAAATGTACTCTAAGCCAACTAAAAGTTCTCATCTCAACTCCACCCTTAATAGCAATAACCTTGAGGTAATAATTTAAGCAATGACTTCAGGTTTTTATTCGTAAAGTGGGAATATTTATCCTCCCTTCCTCACAGGTTGCTATGAACTAGACTGAATTTTAAAGGTTTGCAAATCATACATCTAAGAATTAGAAGTAGTAAATCATAAAATTTGAGCTCTGGGACACTCTCTGGTTCATGAGTGGCTCTAGAAAAAAGCAATAATTTTGTATTCATCTCTTTAGAATAAAAGCTTTTTACTTTCATTATTTGTGATGGAAATAATACTACTTCATTCTTGTCTCCTCAAACAATATTAAACATCATTTGATTTTCTTTTGATGACTCAGAGTTGTTTTGGTGTGTTTTGATTATGAATATCAACCAGGACATGGTTTTGTGCAATCCTCTGACAGCTGTGTGAAAAGCCAGTCTTTCCTTAAGAAGCTTATCTATATATGATCAAGAATGAGAAATGACTTTTTAAAGCATAATCATGCCAAGAGGTGAATGTGGTTAGTGTGCTCACACTAGTGAAGGTCTGCAGGAGTCTGGAGGAGGAAGAGATGGACACTAGGCCAATACTGCAACTGTCTTTTCCTGCCCAATTCATGACCAAGGGTTTTAATTTGCTGTGGCCCTGGAAATGAGATAACAAAGTAAACAGGCTTATGGATGTGTGCAAATTAAGAGCAAGCGAAGTTGGAGTGAAGACTTTGAGTATACATATGCGTTGGAGTTTATGACAACTATTTGACTTGTTTGATTATGAATATCAACCAGGACAAGGTTTTGTGCAATACTCTGAAAACGAAAAGCCAAGGTCTTTCCTTAAGAAGTTCATCTACATATGATCAAGAATGAGAAATGACTTTGGAGTTTTTAAAATTTTGTGTGTGTATGTCTACTTCCTGGTTTTGCTTCATCCTTAATAAGCAAAGGTCCATAAAGTGTAAAGTTATGATACTGGATAGCCTTTAAATGGTTAAAGAGTTGTTTGTTAGATATGTTGTAGCCTTTGAGTAGAGGAAAAATCTGTTCTAGATTTTACCTTCCATATAATACAAAGAATTCATAAAGAATCCTTTCCACTTGTTCAGGGCTTGCCAGTATATTTAAATTTCTCCACCTAAAAGATTCTTTCTATACACACTTACATGTTGCTAAATCAACTTCAACCTGGGTAGATAAAGCTGTTGATATTTTCAAACTAACTTTTAAAAAGCACCACCCATTTGTGCTCAAATTTTCATAATTTTATTTTTTTCAAACTCAGATTGTCAGAATAATTCAACACCAAAAGTGTTTGAGTGACATTCAAATCAGTCTTTCATACACTCACTCATTTGTTGCATTTATTTATTTTCATTCATCTAACAAATATTTAATTAGCATCTACTATGTGTCAATCACTCTGCCAGGGGCCCAGGGATAAAATGATGAACAACTCAGACTTGATCCTCACCTTCTTAGATCTAAATCTTGAGTGGAAAGGCAGAAATTAAACAAACAATTATACATATGATATGTATTAAAAAGAGAAAATGTAGCATGGTATGGAAGTGAATATCAAGGTGGGCAATCTTAGTCTGGAAGGTTTTAGAAGGCAGTTTGAGGAAGTGACTTGAAACTGAGATAGTGCAGGGAAGGAAGGGAAGACTAGCATGTGCCAAGTCTCAAATACTGGAGTACCTGGTTTCAAAGAAATGAATGAAAAACAATGTGGCTTGGGCAGGCAGGTGAGTGAAAAGATAGCAGGGCAAGACCATCTGAGATTTCATAGATCATATTAAGGAGTCTGAACTCTATCTTAGGAGACACCATGATGATCTCTTCTAGCAGAGATAGAAGAGGATCAGATTTGCATTTTTATAATATTCATGCTGCTGTATGGAAAGGGGCAAAAAATAGATGTAGGAAGGCCATTTAAGAAGCCCCTACAGTAACTCAGGAAAGAGATGATAGCAGCTTGAACCAGGGTGGCAGTCACTAGGGTGAACAGAGTAGACAGAACAGACAGCTATTTAGAAGACAGAATACGAAGACCTTGACACTGGGTGTGGGCAGTAAAGATGAGCAGCTATCAAGATGATGCCCAGTTGCTGGCTTGAGCAATTGGATGGATGATGGCACCTTTTACTGTAATAAGAACAAATGAAAAGAAGCTGTTTGAAGAAAGAGTTTAGTTTTGAATATGTTATTGGTTCTTACATTCCTAGAGACTTGCTGTTAATTGACTATATGTATAGACACACACACACACACAGAGAGAGAGACAGAGAGAGAGAAATCCATCCTATAATCAAAACTAAAAATTTAATCCACTAATAAGCATGAGGCTTAGTGACTATGAATCATAATAATGTTTTTCTTAGTGAAATACAATCTCTGAATCTTCACACTAGAATCAAATGCTGGCTGATGAGTATAATTTAGTACTAATTTCTGTTCTCTTACAGCATCATTTATTTGATAATGAAGAACTGTGGTAGCATTTAGTATAAAGTAATTGTTAAATTCAATATACTATTAAGAAAACAACAAGAAAAAGCCTGCGTCCAACTGCTTCCAAAATAAAAAATCTTAAATGTCATAATTACATTGATTTTTATTATCATTTTAATGATAAAAAGAAAAAAAGCCACAATATTTAGAAAATATTTGGTATATAAAACACTTTGAAACCCTGAAAGAAGAATTCAAAGTATCATTGTTACCAAATTATTACTAGTTTGATTTTCAAATGACTTGTTTCAACACAGATAATGAATTTTCACTAATAATGCTTGCATACTGTGACACTTCCTTACATACACATAGCACAATAATTCAGCTACACATCATATCACAGATTTTTCTTTTAGGTTTGGGCGCAACCTCAGACACCCTTCAATAACTGTCTAGTGGCAGCAGGAAAAGGAGGGTTTCATGACATGTGGGTAGAGGAAGGATATCTCGTGAGCATGGGAGGGGTGGATAGATTTCTCGTAATTTAGTAAACGACGAAAGTAGGGCTCAAAGAGACCCCCACATCCTTTCAAAATGTAAGGATCTGCCATGTTACGGAGACTTCAGCTCTTTCTCTAAGTACTGGTAAATAGTTTTGTTTTCATTATATAGAGCTGATTTCTTCACCAAGGAATGGTGCAATTCGTTAATAATGAAGCTTGTTATTGGCAAGTCAAGCACACGAAAGTGAGGAGAACATATTAAAGGATGCATCCCTCCAGGTTTGAATTTTATCTTTTAGTCTCACAGGGTACACAGGAACCTTCTGCTCATTCTCCCAAATCCCCCAGTCCTTAGTACCTTATTATGTGCTCACTAGGAAAAGAAAAACCCTCTCTTTGAGGTCAAACCTTTCTTCTTTCCAGCCCCTAATGGTCCCTAACTCCCTGCTTGCCCTCTGTTCCTCAGAGTAACCCCTTTCCTTCTGCTTCCCTTGAGGATAATTCTGCAAGTCCTTCCATTCCATTGAATTGCATTCCACATAGGGTGGTAGGGATGAGCTTTCAGTCCCTAGGGGGTAGATTATCTACAAAACAATAAAATATTTCATGCTGAACCAAATACTTGACGTCCTATGAATGAATATGCTAAGGAGCCTCTGACTCTTCCTTTCCTTTATATTTCATATCCAAAGGTGGGTTTGGAAGTTCAGTATGGTGCTGGCCCCATAAAAACAGTCTGTGCTGAGCAAAGAAAAACAGCCCTCAAACCATACATATGTATTTGCTGGTTTACCTGTTTATGATGTGTCTCCTCCACTAGATTATAAAGGGAACATTTTGTTCACAAGTTCCTAGCATAGTGCCTGACACATAGTATGCTTCAAATGACATTTATTGAATGAAGGTGGAATCCAGAGAACTGGACTTGGCCAAATGATGTTACAGGAGTCATTGAACTATTCTGTGCTCACGAGGTTGTGAATTTCAAGAGAGACCATGCATATATTCTTGTACTGAATTATAGATATGTGACAAATTATTACAGTATTTACAAGCACTCTTAATGAAAATTCATCTTTACTAGAATGAGTCATTTGAAAATTAAACTAGTAATAATTTGGTGGTAACAACACTTTAGGTTCCCTCTTCTTCCAGGGTTTTAAAGTGTTTCATATACCTAATATTTTCTAGATATTGCAGCTTTTTTTTTTTTTTTTTTTTGAGATGGAGTCTTGCTCTGTCACCCAGGCTGGAGTGCAGCAGCGCGATCTCAGCTTACTGCAACCTCCACCTCCTGGGTTCAAGTGATTCTCCTGCCTCGGCCTCCCTAGTAGCTGGGATTACAGGCGCCCAACACCACACCCAGCTAATTTTTGTATTTTTAGTAGAGATGGGGTTTCACCATGTTGGCCAGGCTGGTCTCAAACTCCTGACCTCAAGTGATCCACACACTTCAGGCTCCTAAAGTGCTGGGATTACAGGTGTGAGCCACCATGGCTGGCCTCTTTTTATATTTTTTAATGTCATAATTACATTCATTTTTATTAAGACTTTTGAGAACAGTGAGAAGCAGGTTTTGTTGTTTTCTTAATAGTAAATTAAGTTTAACAATTATTCCATATTGCCAAAGAGATTCTCCTTCAAGTAAAAAATAAATAATACTCTAACAGAAATTAGTCCCCAAATCATATACATCAGTTAGCTTTTAATTCTAGTGTGAGAATTTAAAACTCCTATTTGGAAGAGGGAAGATAATGATATTCTAAGCACATAACGTTCAAAAGCTCTAAAGCAGCAAAAAGTTTGATATGTTCTGGGAACAGAAAGAGGGCCAAAGTGGCTGAGGCAGAGATGGACAAGGGGCTGGTCATGCAGCCTAGATAAAAAGTGTGTGGTTTGTTAAGTGTGTTTAAGCTGGATTGTGACACAATCTGATATGCAGATATCACTTTGGCAGCTGTGAGGATAATTATTCCCAAAGTGGCAAGAATGGAAGCAAGAAGTAGACCAGGTGAAGGATGTTGGTGGCTTGGACTAGGGTTGTGATAGGAGATGCTGAAAGGAACAGAAGACAGGACGCACCACATGGCGGGTGAAAGGACAAGAATCAAGGGAATTTCCAGATCTCTAGTGGGGGGGATGGCTGTGCCATTTATTGACATAGGGAAGACTGAGCGTAGGAAGAAGATTTGGCCTGAGGAGAGCAGTCAGTATTGGGAATCATGAGTTCAGGAGTGGGCATGCGAGTCTGAAATGCCTGTGAGACATCAAAATGCAGATGTCACACAGACACTGGCTACAGGTGCATGAAGCCCGGGGATGCCTACTTGACATCTGTTTTGATATCTCACAGGCATCTCAATGACAAAGTTTTAACACAACACAATTGAGATAAAAGAGAAATCCAAAGTAGAGGGCTTCACAGCCAGTTCCAGGGGCAAGATCTGGGCTAGAATACAAACTTGGGATTATCAGTATAGATTCCATGTGTAGAATGAGAGCAACCTTACACTTTTGTTCTGTTTAAAAGACCACAGATATGATGCAAGGTAAATGAGAAACTGCTGGTACTTGATTCTGAAGTTTCCATCATGAATTACTTTGGACACAAAATCCTCTGAAGACAACTTACTCCTAAGTAATTTATTGTACATACATATTTTACAGAAGATATGTTATAAATATACATTCATTTCTCACTGAATGCAGAATTAATCAGACATCAAAGTTTTGCCTTATTAAAATATGTATCTTCACATTAAAAAATAAATTGATATGAGGACATTTAAGAAATAATTTCTCTTCAATTATGTGTTCCAGAATCTTGGTTTCAGAATATGACCACAGATGTTTTGTGTTTGGCAAACCATTAGGTAACTCCTAAGTCAACCTTCCAAACTAGCATTGAGCAACAGTTCATCCCTAAAGCATTCGAAGGGGGTGAAGACAGCAGGAATCCACAGCACAGCAGAGGATTCCTGGTGACCAAAAGTGGGGTGCTAGGGCTTGGCTAGCATGAGAAGGATAGTCACTCAAAGGGGTGGTAGCCCTAGTGGGGTATTCAAGTCTGAGCTGGGTAAAGAGGGTGTCTCCACAGGAAGGGGAGTGGGGGTGTCTAGGCACAGAGTTTCAGAGCCCAAGCCAAGAGAGGAGCACTTCATATGGGGCTGTGGGCCAGCACAAGGTGTTAGAATCTGAGAGAGCTGAGATGGGACTCCCTGTGGGAGGGGCAAGGTGGATGAGGAGTGGCAATGCAGAGCACAGCCACGCAGGGAATCAGCACTGACAGTGAGAGGCAGGAGTCCCTGTGGGGCAGAGTGAGGCAAGGGCTGCAGGGATGAGAGACTGTTTACACAGAGAGGGCCTGTGAGTGGCGGCAATACCCAGATAGCAATAAGCACACCCATCATTCAGACCTTGGTTTCTAAATACCATTTTCCACTAAAAAGAAAAAAAAAAAAAATCAGGCTTCTGGGAGAAGTAGCTAATTTCAGAGCTAGAGCAGGAAAAGGACAAGATGAGCTCACAACGATTAGTGCCAAAAAAAAAAAAAAGCCAAGGAAACGTTCAACAAATGATGGGGTATGTCAAAAAGGCTTGAATGAGCTTCCACTGGTCAAATATGGGATAATTGAGCATCAAAAGAAATAATGATAGTGTCAGATTTTAACCTACTAAACTACAAGACCATAATAATATAAACAAACAAACGTATACATTGATACTTTAATAAGGAACAAGATATTTACATACATTTGATGTACCCCCTTACAAAAAACAGTAATTAAAAATGGAAAATATCATGCAGTTTTACAGTGGCAGGCATGCCTAATCAAGTGACCAAAGTGAACATCATTATCATGGGACAAACTGAAATGCAGTAACCAACACAATGAGAAGACAGCACGACTTCTGTGATAATCCTGCCAAACCTGAATCTAACAACAAGCAAGCACCAAACAAACCAACCTTAGGAGACACTCTATGAAATAACTGGCCCTTCCAGTTTATGAAAGTCAAGCAAATACCGAAGAAACATTCCAGATTGAAGCAGAGTAAAGAGATACAACCACTAAATTCAACACATGATTTTGGATTGGATCCTTCTGCTATAAAAGGCATTACTGGAAAACTGGCAAAACTGAAGTGGGATCTGAGAATTCTGTGGTAGTAATATACCAATGTTAGTGCTTTGAATTTGAAGGTTATGTTGTAGTTATGTAAAGAATGTCTTTGTAAGAAATGCACACTAAGGTACCTGGAGGTGAGAGCAAGTTACTTTCAAGTGTTTTAGGAAAACAGCTTTTTGTACTGTACTTGCAAAATTTCTGTAATTATAAAATTTAAAAAAAACTCTTTTAAAAATGGCATTTATTTGTCTTAGCACCCCATAAGCTAAGACATTCATCCCAACACAGTCAACTACTGGTTTAAAACAAATCTCAAGCGTCAATGTAAGATGCCATATTGATTTTTTTTTTTTTTGAGATGGAGTTTCACTCCTCGCCCAAGCTGGAATGCAATGGCACAATCTCGGCTCACTGCAACCTCTGCCTCCCAGGTTCAAGCAATTCCCCTGCCCCAGCCTTCCGAGTAGATGGGATTACAAGCATGCATCACCATGCCTGGCTAATTTTTGTATTTTTAGTAGAGACAGGGTTTCACCATGTTGACCTGGCTGGTCTCAAACTCCTGACCTCAGGTGATCCACTTGCCTCAGCATCCCAAAGTGCTGGGATTATAGGCGTGAGCCACTGCACCTGGCCTGATTTTCCAAAACTTCTACTAAAGGCATTGCAGTCTCCCTACAATAGCCAAGTCTAGAGTCTACTGTGGCTTTCCTAGAGCTATGATAACACTGACAACTTATTCTTAATTAAATAAAGAAGGTCATGCCCCTAAATCCAATCTTATCAGAATTAAAACATAAGTTCATTAACATTTCACTTGGGCTTTTGAAGTGCTAATTCTTGTCATGTTTTCTGATTATCACTTAGCTTTGTTGAAACAACGGATCTGCCACACTCAACAGGAGCAATGACTCATTTTTGTACATGGGTTCTAAATACTACAAAATTATGATACCATATGAAATCTTTTCACCAAAAAGACTTGTAGCACTACTGGACAATTTCAGAGAAATATGAGGTTTTTCTTTACATGGTTCTTTTTCCATTTAAGCAACTGCTATATATTCCCTTAAAATAAAAACTGTCTAGAAAATGCCCACAATTACCATGAAATCATCTGGATTTAGACATTTCATTTAAAAATGAAAAAGTTAATGTTAAAAGCTCTTGTATCACTCCAGAGATTTTGAGTCCATCTGAATTTCATTGGCCCTTTAGTTGTCTCTTACTGAAGAGTTTCTAATATGTAAGATGAGAGCAAAGCAGTGAAGCCAAAGCGATGAGGTTGGTCTTCAGCCCCTTCCTAAATCAGCCAGACCACACAGGGAATTCCCACTCACAGAAAACTCACAAAGAAACTCTGATCACAGGAACACCCAAAAGTCTACCTAGGAGATAAGTTAAGGCTCAATTCCATAACTTAAACACATTCACTTTAGTTTCAAAATATATGATATTCAATCCAGCATTTTATTTTAAAGAAATGTAGTGTGCAATGTTGCTGTTAGAGTAGTGTGCAATTTTGCTGTTAGAGTCATACAAACTGCAATAAATACCATAGATCTTCTAAAAACTAAAAATTAACTTCTCATACTTTTCTGATATTTAAAGATTGCAACATACTTCAAGAACGTGATTCATTGTTTTTACTTAAACAGTGAGTTTTCATTAAAAAAAAAAAACTGAGAGACAGAAAGGAAGTGCCTTTCATACATAAGGCCATATTATTCCATAGAGAATAACTGCCTCAAAAATCATACTGAGATTCACTATAATTAATGCTGGCCTCCCAAATTCTAGGTCACTGGCTTTTAAGACACCGAATTATCCTCTTCTTTTGTCTAACCACCTGCTAGTCATGAGACATCAAAATACTTTGTATTATAAGAATGACAGTCAGGAAAAAAAATCCTATCTATCTGAAGCATTACCTGTCCATCAAATCTTTGAATTGGAGCCAATTCTGTCACAGATAGAATGTGGGAAATAGATCACTAAGCAGAATTAAGCAAAGGCTGGCACCTCCTCACTGGTCCCTGGAAGCCTGTCAGATCCCACATAGTTGCAGAGACAAACTTGTGTAGAGCAGCCTGGCATGGCCCAGAGGTCCAATCTGTCCTGAGACCAGGTATTTGAGATTATTTCTGACTTCATTTTATAAAGTTTATTTCATATAAAGGGAGGCATGCTCATTCAAAGGGTAAAACATAAATAACCACTTAAAGATAAATAATGAAATTTAAAAATAGGCTTTGAGGTATCATGGGTCAGTTCATGTCCAATGGGAAGCAGATGTCAAGAGAATTAGAAATGATTATTGGGGAAAACACCTGTGACAGATAAAGAAAAGAGGGTGCAGGAAAAGGTAGAGAAAACCTTAGACCACCATGAAGCCTTGGAAGCAACGAAAGGAAGGAAAGAAAGCAGGAATGAGTAGGAGGAGATTCAGATGCATGTGGCTCTGAGAAAGTATCAAACAAGGACTGCCCATTAGAGGAGTGCCATGTGAGACAGAGCTGGCCTGGCGTTCATATCTCACCATGCTCAGTCACTGTCTGGGAATATCCCAGGGTCAGGGAGGGGGTGGTGGTCCTGTGTGAATGCTGCAGTGGATCAGATGTGGCACCTACAGGCTGTTGGCCAACTACTCCTATGGCAGGTCTCCCCTAAAGGGAGATCTGAGTGGCACCCTCATCAATGGTGTCAATGCAGAAACAACCAAACTAGAAAAACAGTATGCATATACTACACAGGTCTTTTCATATCATTCTACTACTTGAAAGCCTGTCAAACTTCTCTGTGACCCACATCATAATACCCAAACCCCTCCACAAAACACATGGTCTTTCAGAATCTGGACCCTGCTTTTCTGGTCAACTCCATTTCCTACCTCTTCTCCATAAGCACCCTACTACCCACACTCAAGCCACAGATATTTCCTCATGCCCACCCCACATGTCTCATGTCCTCTTTGTTCCCTTGACCTTTCAAATGCTCCTTTCTTTGTCTATATCTGATTCCCCAACCCTGTCTAAGATGCAACACATGCCAAATCCATTCAGGCCTCTGGGGCCATCCAGAGATTTTGGAAAGTAGATAAGGAACAGGTCAGGGTCAGAGGATGGAGGCTAGAGACAAAAGCAGTGTCTCAAATACTCAGAGGGTCTGGGAAGAGGTTTATCATAGACTTTCTCTGGCCTCAAGTGTAGTTGGAGGAAAATATCTGGGAAAGTGCCTACCTGGGCAGAAAACCCAGAATGCTCCCTCCTGATCCTTCTGGTAAATTCCTATCCATCCTTCAAGACCCTCATTGGGTTTCGAAGCCTCTACAGTCTGCTCTGCCCAATCCATCAGGTTTCATAACTCCTTCCTTTGGGCCACTACAGTATTGTGCACTACGGGGCACTTTTATTACTATCCTGGGAATACTGTTTCCATATCTGCCTCCAGACTGCTCCAAACTCCTTGACCGTGCTTTACCAACCTTTGCATGCCCCACATTTTGCAGGTGGAGCATAGTAAGTGCTCAAAATAGGTTTGATGAATGAATGGCATTTACTACAAATATAACCATATAGATGATATGTAAATAATACATCAATATACTTGTTACATAAAAATAAAAAGGATAGCAGACGTAAAATTCAGAGATCAGGTCTGAGATGTAGCCTCTTAAATCTACTTCTAAGGAGAATAAATTTCAAAGTTTGTGAGAGTCAGGCTCCCTTCCTATGACCCTTTATATAACTTTTCTGTTTCTAAAATGTTATTTGTAGTCTGATTTGCAATATAAATCATTTGTCTGCTTAGTTTTTTCCCCTTCACATTAGAGGCACCTCGGAGCTTCTTGGCTCTTACTCATCTCTACATGTCTTGCAGCACCTGTCAGTGTTTTAAACATAGTAAGCATTTATGATATTGACCAAATCAAGTATCTCCGTGGACACACCTGTGTAAAAGTACATGAGTAAATGATTATTGAGATAATTCCTCCAAAGAGTGCTAATTGAGGCAACAAAGGTTTTGGTTTTGAATTATCTAGATGGTTATTTAAATCATCTCCTTGCTAAAGTCTGTAAATGCAGACAAAATATACCTCCCGACCATTAACAATCCTACTGTAGCAAGCTCCTTGTGCAAATGAGAAGAAACTACTAACCCTGTTGTCATGCAAGTGTGATATTTCACAATCTTGATGCCCAAACCACATTCCAAGATGAACCAAATCCCTAAATAAAACATTAGGTTAGATTTCATCCAATTAATTTTGCTTCTGTCACTGTATTTCAGATGGTACTTAAAATACATTTAAGCATTTTCAGATGCAGAGTCAAGCTTCTCTGCCTCCCCTCACCCCCTCATTCACATAGGCTTAATACAGCACCACAAGACTTCCAGAATACAATTATAATTCCAAGCGCCTTTCACATTATGTAATGGAGGCTTCACTCTCCCCGTATGAAAATAAAAGGAAAACTACACTAAAATCAGGTACAATGCGCTCAAAACCAAGAAAACTAGATTATAAACTCTTTAAGGTTTACATTTAACATTTAGCAGAGAGGAAAAAATAGCCTGTCATGAGCTTTGTTCAGGAAACGAAAGGAGAAAGTTTAAAAAACGTGGAGAGATCAGCCATCAAGAGATCAAACAAGGCCCAGATGGGAGGCTAAGACATAAAGACAGTGAGTATGAACTACTCTTGCTAAGATTTGAGTCTTAAAGGAAAAGAGAGCATTAGTTAGAGATGGGTACAAATTAAGGAGAGAGGACTGGGCTTCTGTTTAAGACAGAAGAACTGCTTCTGACAAGGCTGACAAAGTCAAACCAAACTATTTCCAGGCTGTAAGACTGAGAAGTAAAGTTCTTTCATTTGCAATTCAGGACATTATTTATCAGGTATAGAGTCTACAGCAATGCACCTGGAAAATGGGAACCGGATAAGAGAAAACTACTGTCACATGTATTAACATAACATAGATTAATCTCACAAACACAACAGAGAGTGGAAGAGCTAGTTTCAGAAGACTATATATATTTAGATTTCATTTATATTTAAAAATATGTGAGACTAAACAAGGTTTTTAAGGGATGCATACACGTGACTAAACTATAAAGAAATGCAAGGGGGAATCAACATAAAATCCAAGATATTGTTTAGGGGAATGTGGGAGGAGGGATCAGAGCACACAAGGGCTACAGATATATTTAAAAGGGTCTAGTCTTAAGCTGGATAGTGTTTTTCTAAGTATTACTCTTTAAGCTGCACATATATTTTATATTTCTCCTTTGTGCATGTAGTATATTCTATATATTTTTAAAAATCAAATAGAAATTAGACAGAAAAAAACTCGGCTATATATGTAAACGGAAAGGAGCCAAGAGGAAAAGTTAGATATTGAATATATGAAAAGACAAGGATCTGATGGAGACAAATCCTGGAGGAGAAATGATGTATGAGCTCCTTCCTAAAGAATGCATTAACTTTGGAGAAGAGGATCATCTATTCCCAGAAGCCAGGGAATGATAGAGGGTGAGGATAAGCTTGCATTAGTCTGAAGTAGATGAAATTGCTGGTTTTGCAAGTCAAAACCTAGTCAAACATGGGCAGGGTCATATGTGTCCACTCAAGACATGAAGAAGCAACCTGCCAGTGAAGTGTTAAGCATGTGCAGTGTCTATCATCTGGATTAGGAAGCAGCCCATCTACCGCAAGCTAGCAGTGGGTCAGGAAGCCTGGGGAGGGCAATGAGAACCAGCATAGGGAGAGGACACACCAGGTGTGCACAAGAGGGCTGCTGAGCAGTGCTGAAAGCACATAGGAGCTGGAAACCATGACTGTGTAATGACAATAACCCACTAAATTGCACGATTTTCTCCAGGAGCACTGAGCAACCCAGTTCCCAGAGGAAAGTGAGAGTTCCCAGGAATATGAAAATGCATGATTCCTCATTCTCAGTTAGAATGATTCTCCTACCATGATGCAAAGTCAACTAATGGAAAGTGAACTGTAAGAAGAGACCAAAATGAAACTGCTGCAGTAGTCGAATTTAAGTGATAAGAGCAATTCTTAAAAGTTTCTGAAAATGAATTTCCATTCATAGTTGCCACAAAAAAAAATAAAATACCCAGGAATACGGCTAACTAGGGAGGTGAAAGATCTCTACAAGGAGAACTACAAACCACTGCTCATAGAAATGAGAGATGACACAAACAAATGAAAAACATTCCATGCTCATGAACAGAAAGAATCAATATCATTAAAATGGCCACACTGCCCAAAGCAATTTACAGATTCAATGCTATTCCTATGAAACTACCATTGAGATTCTTCACAGAACTAGAAAAAAAAATTTTTAAATTCATATGGAACCAAAAAGAGCTCCAATAGCCAAGGCAATCCTAAGCAAAAAGAGCAAAGCTGGAGGCGTCATGCTACCCTACCTGACTTCAAACTATACTACAGGGCTACAGTAAAACAGCATGGTACTGGTACCAAAACAGACACAAAGACCAATGGAACAGAATAGAAATCCCAGAAATAACCGCACAACTATAACTATTTGATCTTTGACAAACCTGACAAAAACAATGGGGAAAGGATTCCCTATTCAATAAATGGTGCTGGGGTAACCGGCTAGTCATATGCAGAAGATTGAAAATGGACCCCTTCCTTACACCATATACAAAAATTAACTCAAGATGGATTAAAGACTTAAATGTAAAACCCAAAACTATAAAAAACCCTGGAAGACAACCATTCAGGACATAGGTAAGGGCAAAGATTCCATGACAAAGACGCCAAAAGCAATTGCAACTAAAGTAAAAATTGACAAATGGTATTTAATTTAACCAAAGAGCTTCTACACAGCAGAAGAAACTATCATCAGAGTGAACAGGCAACCTACAGAATGGAAGACAATTTTTGCAAACTATGCATCTGACAAAGGTCTTATATCCAGCAAATATAAGGAACTTAAATTTACAAGAGAAAAACAACCCCATTAAAAAGTGTGCAAAGGACATAAACAGGATATTATTTTTCAAAATAAGACATACATGCAGCCAACAAGCATATGTAAAACTCATCATCACTAATCATTAGAGAAATGCAAATCAGAGCCACAGTGAGATACCATCTCACACTAGTCAGAATGGCTATCATTAAAAAGTCAAAAAATAACAGATGCTGGAGAGATTGTGGAGAAAAAGGAACACTTATACACTGTTGGTGGGAATGTAAATTAGTTCATCCTCTGTGGAAGACAGTGTGGCAATTCTTCAGAGACATAAAGGCAGAAATACCATTGGACTCAGCAATCCCATTACTGGTTATATACACAAAGGAATATACATCATTCTATTATAAAGACACTTGCACATGTATTATGTTCATTGCAGCAGTATTCACAATAGCAGAGACATAGAATCAACCTAAATGCCCATCAATGATAGACTGAATAAAGAAAATGTGGTACATTTACACCATGGAATACTATGCAGTCATAAGAAAGAATAGGATCACATCCTTTGCAGGGAAATGGGTGGAGCTGGAGGCCATTATCCTCAGCAAACTAACATAGGAGCATAAAACCAAATACCGCATTTTCTCACTTATAAGTGAGAGCTAAATGATGAGAACACATGGACACATAGAGAGGAACAACACACACTGGGGCCTACTTGAGGTTGAAGGGTGGGAGAAGGGAGAGAATCAGGAAAAATAACTAATGGGTACTAGACTTAATACCTGGGTGATGAAATAATCTGTACAACAAACCCGCATGACACAAGTTTATCTAGGTAATAAGCCTGCACTTGTACCCCTGAACTTAAAATAAAAGTTTTAAAAATGCTGTAAGTCATGTTGAAAAAAAAATAGCAAAATGAAAACAAAGTTCCTGAAATAAGAAGGATTTACTCAAAAACTATAGATGATCCAGGCTTTTTTCACTGTAAAAATACATGTTATCAAATATAAATTTTTCATTCAAAATTCTATCATTTTTAGCATATAATCTGCCTCTTCTAATAATGTTCTGATTATATAAATAATCACCATTGTGAATCAGCAGGTTAAAAATACCTCAAAGTTAAAAAAGAACTAATTCTGGATACCGTTTATCGAAATAATAATAATTAAGAAGAATTCATTATTACAGTATCTAAAATCTACTTGGTATGAAAGTGCTATCTTCTATGGTCATAGATTCTGTCTGAACATCTGAAAAGAAAATCTGTGATCTACTGTAATCAAAATTAATTATAAAATGGCTTCTTATGAATATCTTGCTACATTTATCAAAAGAGTTCAATTTAGTAATTAGTGATCATTAATGTAGTCAAATGACAGGTGTCCCTCAGAATGGAAGGGACCATCTACTATCCAAATGCTTTTCCCTGCTAAAACAAGTGGTTTTACCTGGTGTTTCTGCACTTAGAGATATAAAGAAAGAAGCAGGACAGCCAGGGATGGAAACAATATGAAATTATGCCACTGAGGATTTGGAGGATGGAGAGTGGTAACTGGAGGCAAGATGCAGAAATTGCAGTTAAAAGTGATATGGGGGCATAAAGAAAAGAGATGGAGATGGACTCTTGCATACATGTAGATAACATAAAGAGGCTACATTTTTACAATGACAAGAAGTTATTCATGATATAATTTCTAATAGAGGATAGGGATATTTATAAATAAAACTTCTAATAGAGGTTAGGGATATTTCACTTTATCTAACATACATACTTTAAATAAACTTTGTATATCAACTTTCTGTAAAAGTAGATAAGTTGAAAACCAAGGATTTATAGAAATTCCTTGAGTTTGTTATGAGTTGTTTAAACTGCACACATTATATTCTTCTTTTGTGTCTGCAGTATATTCCATAGGTAGACAGCAAGAAAGAAAAGTCTTGGCTATGATATATGCTGAAGAATGGAAACCAAAAGGAAAGGGAAATATCAAAGGTATAGAAAGACAGGAATAATTGATAGAGTCAAGTTCTGGAAGAGAAGACAAATTATGGAATCTTGAGATGGAGACCCCAAGTAATTCTCATAAGCATAATAAAAGGTTCCTTTGTGGGTCTTATCCAGTTAGTAATAAAAATAGATAAACTGATTGTGGTTTTTAATTTAGATCTACTGAGTGTCAACCTTTTGTATTTTTTGCTCAACTGATTCCCATTTTCCATGAACAGCGTTGTCTCTCCTGCAGACACAGTGTTTCAGTTTTTATTTCTTGGAAATTGTTTGTTGTGTTTCACTTTAAAGTTTTCACCATTTCATCATTTTTATGTCTTTTTTCCATAATACTCTGTTTGTTTATTATATGAACTATTCTTATGGCAAATTGTGATATTTCTCCCATAAAAGCAATTCAGAAATTCATTCTTTTGAGTTTTGTAGTCATAGTAATAAAACCAAAAGCCTTAAGGTTTTTTTTTTTTAAGAAAGGCAGCTATGAAGATACAAAATTTTAAACTCCTGTAAGGCAAAGCCACGATAGTCAACATTAGGGCACAAACAGCAAACAGAAAGAAACTGCATGTCAGACAAAGGTACACTGTCCCTACCATATAAAGAGTTCTTAGAAATCAATGGTTTAAGAAAAATGGAAAAATAGGACATAAACAGGCAATTTACAAAAGAGAAAAACTGAAAAAAGCTCACAAACACACACACACAAACATTAAAGAAGAAATACTAAGTAAATAAGTGAGAGACCACTGTTTTTACCTATCAAATTTACACATTTAAAACAACTGAAAAGACCTACTAATGGCAAAGTATGGAAAAAGTGTGAAGTGGAAGTACAATGGGTACAAACCTTCAGGAAAACAATCTTGCAATACTTAATTTTTAAAAATGCATATAACCATAGACCCAATGAAGGCATTAAATATACAAAATTATTTGACAGGTATACAAAAATATATGTACAAGGATACCTGGTTGCAGCACTGTTTAATACAGTGAAAAAGACAAAAGAAAAGACAAAAAAGTAAAGAAAAAAGAAAGAGAGAAAGGAAGAGAGAGAAAAAGAAAGCAAGAAAAAGAAAGAAGGAAGGAAGGAAGGAAGGAAGGAAAGAGAGAAAGAAAGAAAGAGAAAGAAAGAAAAAGAAAGAAAGAAGCAAGCAAGCAAGCAGGGGGAGGGAGGAAGGAAGAAAGGAAGGGATCTAAATTATCTGTAATAGGGATTAGTCTAATAATTTATGGTCTAGCTGAACAATGGAATACTATGAGGCTAATAAAAATAATAATTTACTGCTGTGAAAAGATGCCTTCCATATAAGAAGTGAAAAGGCAAGATATTAATCAACATGACACCTGAATACAGTGAGGTGGCACTCTGAGGTAAGATGGACCTCCTTGCTAGAAAGACACAGAATTGCTGAATAAACTATAAAAACAAAAAAGGTTAATGCATAGCTGAGCTCTGATGAAGAAAAGAGACATCCCCACTCCCCATTTATTTCCAGAAATGAAGAGGTACCCAAAGTCAGAATGAAAAATTTCAGCTGATGTCAAGGCATCTCATGGAAATTTCAGACCTAGATGTAAGGTCCATCACTTAATGACTAAATTTTGTTTATTTATTTGTTTGTCTGCTTCTGTAACAACTGTGTGGGTTCAGGTGGTGTGATGAAAAGGAACACAAAGCAGGGGGTTGGACTTGGAACCCTAGAATAGAGTCTGTGCCCCGGACAGTCAATTATGTCAAAAAGAGGCAAGAAAACTTCAGTCACTGGCTCAGTGAAACAATAAGGAAGCTTATCTTTGCCTAAAGCTCCAAGTGTGTGGCTAGGCAGAACCCAAGTTAAACTCTCCATGAAGTACAAAAACCTTAGGTCACAAAATTATAGTGAAGAAAACTAATCTTGGACTAATGAAACCCCTCAAAACCCAGCAGAAATAAACATGTCCATTGAAACAACTGTAACTCAGGGCTTACATATGAAAACAGTGCCAGTTAAAGATAAGCTCACAATTAAAAAAAAAAAAAATCATAGGAGCTAAACTGTCACTATGACAGAGTCAGGAGATTCTCCAAACAGTAGGACTCATAACCCCAAGAACTGGAGATAATTAAAAAAATAGGAAAGTGACTAAAAAGAGAGCTGTGGATGTGGTGAACAGGGAACAATTCTACACTGCTGGTGGGAATGTAAACTAGTACAGCCACTATGGAAAGCAGTGTAGGGATTCCTTCAAGAACTAAAAGTAGAACTATCATTTGATCCAGCAATCCCACTAGTGGGTATCTACCCAGAGGAAAAGAAGTCATTATTCGAAAAATATACTTGCACATGCATGTTTACAGCAGCACAATTCACAACTGCAAAATCGTGGAACCAACCCAAATGCCCATCAATCAACGAGTGGATAAAGAAACTGTGGTGTGTGTGTGTGTGTATATATATATATGTATATCTGTACATATACATATATATGTGTGTGTATGTATATATATATGATGGAATACTATGCAGCCATAAAAAGGAATGCATTAACAGCATTTGCGATGACCTGGATGAGATTGGAAACTATTATTCTAAGTGATGTAACTCAGGAATGCAAAACCAAACATTGTATGTTCTCACTGATATGTGGGAGCTAAGCTATGAAGATGCAAAGGCATAAGAATGATACAATGGACTCTGGGGACTTAAGGGGAAGAGTAGGAGGGGGGCGAGGGACAAAACACTACAAATATGGTGCAGTGTATATTGCTTGGGTGGTGGGTGCACCAAAATCTCACAAATCACCACTATAAAGAACTTACTTATGTAATCAAATACCACCTGTACACCAATAACTTATGGAAAAATAAATAATAATAATAATAAATAAATTTGAATATAAATAGGGAATAAATAAAAGAAGAAATAAAAATAGAAAACATAAGTAGAAAATAGTATACTATGAAAAAAGAAATGGTGTTTTTAAACAAAATTTGTCGAATAAAAATATAATAATAAATTAAAAGCTCAATGGCTGGATTGAGCTACAGATGAGTCACTGCTAGGGATAAAAGTGGTGTACAAAGATGCTTCTGAGGAAAACGCCATGAATAAAGAATTAGAAAACACAGTAGCTAAAATCAAAAAGTCCAAATTGGTCTATTAAGAATTCCTGAAGGAATCAGTAGAAAGGATGGGAAACAGGCAATTCAAAGACATAGTGGTTGAAAACTTCCACAGCTGATGGAAAACATGAATTAGCAGGTTGAAGAAATATACTAAGTTCTGAAGAATTTTTTTAAATGCATACTTACTTACAATGAAGTAAAACATTACACAAGAAAAACAGAAAATCTTGAAAACAACCAAAAAAAGGTTAAATACAAAGGAACAATAATGTGAGTAAGTATAGACTTTCTATAAGAAATTGTAGAGTCAGAAGTTAAAGGGAGTGGGAACTTCAGGGTGTTGAGAAAAAGGAACCATTAACAATACCTGCATAACTAGCTAAACTATCATTGAAGTCGGAGAAAAAAATAAATATATTTTCAGACAAACTAAGATTGTGTTTACACTCATGGATCATCAATGAAATAACTACTATGAAATAACTACTAAAGGATAGACTTTAGTAGAAGGAAATTGGACAATGAAAAAAATGAGATATGAGAGGCAATTGGGAACTAAGAAAATGGTAAACTAATCACTAAATAGCAATAAGAATTTACTATAAAAATATTATAATATCATTAGATGGTGACAGTTCTCAGAAGAAGACACACATGAAGTCAACAAATATATACATGAAAAAATGCTCATCATCACTAATCATTACAGAAATTCGAATCAAAACCACAATGAGATACCATCTCACACCAGTCAGAATGGCCATTACTAAAAAGTCTTAAAACAACAGATGTTGGTGAGGTTGTGGAATAAAGGGAACAGTTATACACTACTGGTGGTAGTGTAAATTAGTTCAGCCACTGTGGAAAGCAGCGTGGAGATTCCTCAAATAACTTAGAACTACCATTCAACCCAGCAATCTGAGTATACTGAGTATATTCTACTGAGTGTATACCCAAAGGAAAAGAAATCATTGTATCAAAAAAAAAACCCACATGCACTGGTATGTTCATTACAGCACTATTCACAATAGCAAAGACATGGAATCAACCTAGTTGCCCATCAGTGGTAGACTGGATAAAGAAAATGTGGTACATATACACTGTGGAATACTATGCAGCCATACAAAAATTAAATAATGTCCTTTGCAATAACATGGATGCAGCTGGAGGCCATTAACCTGAGAGAACTACACAGGAATCGAAAACCAACCACATGTTCCTACTTCTAAGCAGGAGCTAAACATTGAATACACATGGACACAAATATGGGAACAACAGGCACCGGGGACTACTTGATGGAGAAGGGTGGGAGGGAAACACGGGTTGGAAAACTACCTATCAGGTACTATATCACTACCTGGGTGATAGAATCATTTGTACACCAAACCTTAGCAACATGGAATTTACCCATGTAACAAACCTACAAATGTACCCCCGAACCTAAAATAAAAGTTGAGAGAGAAAAAAGAAACGTTTATAAAGAAAAATAATTCATGTAAAAATCTAGAGCTACCCACTAAAATAAAAATATTACTATATTTTAAAATAATTATTATTATGAAATTATTATTATTGCAAAGGATATGATTATTATAAAAATGTATACCTTCCAAAGCAACAGAAGGAAAAAAATGAAAACCTATGAAAGGGTAATCAATGCAATAAATAAACATATAAAAAGCCTGGTGAAAAGACAAACAAAATAGGATGGTGGAAATAAATCCAAATGCCTCAGTAATCATAATAAAACCACACATACTAAATTTACCAGATAAAAGCCAGAAATTTTCAGATTGGATTTCAAAAAAAACCACAAATTTAAAACATAAATGACACAAAGTAAAAGAATGGAAAAAGGCAAATACTAGCCAAAAGAAAGCTTGTATAACAACATTAACATATAAAATAGACTCCAAAGAGGGGGAAAAACATTATTAAGGATGAAAAGGATTTTTACATCATGGCAAAATGAACAATTTGCCATTAAAATAAAGTAATCTTAAATCTGTTTATCCAACAACATGAGTTTAAAATATAGAAAGCAAAAATGGACTAAGTTACAAAAAAAACTGATCCTTGTTAATGGAGATACAAATTGGTACAATCACTTTAAATTTCATATTTGCAATTATTAGTTAAGTTTAAAGCTGCCCTTAATCTATGATTTTACTTGAAAATATAAATCTTAGGAAATCTTACATGTGTAAGGAGATATGAGGTCCTCTGCAATATTGTTTGTAATAAGGAAAAACTGAAAATGAATTATTAATAGTTGCCCATCAATAAGGGATGGATGATATAACCATGTAATCTACACAGCAGTTTAAATAATCAGCTAGAGCTACAAGTATTAATCTGATTAAATTCAAAAAATATATTTAATGACAAAATGTGCAAAGAGCATGTGAACTAGGAAATCATTTAAGTAAACTTAAACGTACATAAGACAATGCTATAAATAATTGTAAGTACAAACAGAAAGTAAAAGTATGAAGCAGAGGTGAAGGCTGCACAACATCCTACTGGTTCTGAGGAGGGTGAAACATGGAATGCCGGGGGAAGAAGCCTCCAACAGTACCTTCTGGACTCTCATTTTATTTCTTAAAAAGTATTTTTACAGTATTTTCTAATGACAAAATGTTAAATTTCACCTGGATGATGGGTAGGTGCCTTCTCTCCTCTGTATATTTTTGTATACCTGAAATATTTCACTATTAAATATAAAACCTTAGCATATTAAAAAGTATGAGTGATTTCACTTTTTAAAAATATACAAAGTATAAATGTGTGTGCATATATATACAATATGTGTGTATATATAATGTATATGGTTTTGATATTTTTTAAAGGCTATGCTCAAAATATGGATAGATTACTGCCAACATTTATTTACTTCTTTATATTTTTTCCAAAATATCTGATTTTTTAGAAAGAAAAGTATTATCTTCCTAAAACCAAGCTAATGACAAGAAGAACAAATTCCCTCCTTTCCTCCTGAGATATTTTATTCTTTACAACCTTTATCTCACCAATTGAAAATATTCTTAGTTTAAAAAAAAAAAAAAAACAGACTGGTCAGAATCCAAAATAAGTTCTGAGTCATTTTTTGAGGCTCCAATAAAAATATAAACAAACAAAAATACATAAATAAAAAACTAGTGCAGAAGGTTTTTCTTAAGTTTTTCTAAACCTCTATCATCACTAGCATTTTCAGAGCACCCATTACAGGCAACAACTGCTGGCCCCATGTTCATAAGCATTAGAAATACTAACGTAATAGATAAAAAATCTGAGAGTAGAGAAATTTGTAAAAGCTTTAGTTGATATTTTTAGGCAAAAAGAAAAAATAATTAAACCATACTGGCTTTGCATACAGTTTATAACTAAAGTATGTCTAAGACTGTTCTTTGAAAATGATTCCAACATCAAGTATCCCTTTTCACTATTTTCATATTTACTCCAGAGAGAAAGATGGAGCTGTTTAAATGTTAAGTTTTAGCCACTAAAGGCACTATGACCAACTGGATAGCCAAGCCCTCTTTAGAACTGCCATCACAAAATGATTGTCTTACATGACCACAGTACTATTAGTTCAGTATTTTAAACTGCTGTTAAGCGTAACACTTGCTTTAAATTCAACGACTTTGATCCACCTTGAATTATCTTCTTGGATACATAACGCAATCCCCTCAAGAAAGTGTGTGGGATGATCCTGTTCTGTCATTAACAAATAAAACCTTCTCCATCTGACCTGTGATCTAAAAGCAATTGTTATGAACAGAAATTTCGTTCTTTAACAATTTATTTGTTTAAATCACTTCCTAATATCAGGTTTAATGAAAGCTTTTTTAAAAAAATTACTTAGCTGACTACTTAAGATTCTCAACCATACCCGAAACATTTTCAGGGCTACTTTACCTCAAATTAGTTGTTTCGAATAATCATTCCCTCTGAAGAGACCATTTTTGAGATCTGTTCTTTCTTAGCATGACTTCACAAATCTGCTATTAATGTTTCAGAAAGTTTAATAGAACAGACTGTCCAGGGCAGGCGATTGGAGCTGCTTTTCCACAGCCTCCAAAATTACAGATTGATTTTGACACGGGCTCTTCAACTAAGGGTTCCATCCCACTTGGGAAAGGGAAAAACTACTGAAATGACCTCTTTTCTAGGCAACTCAATCTAGCTAGAAGAATTATAAGCAATCCAACCAGTATGGCTGGATAGCTTGTCAGAATCTTCTGTGTGCGTGTTTCTGAGGGAAATGGGGAGTGGAAATTTTCCCATCCTATATGCAGGAAGGAGCTATGAAGATAGGTATTGAGTAGACCTAATACATATTTCCTGAGTGTCTACTACTTTCAAAACATTGCAATACAGTGAAAATTACACAGGACAAAGAAAGAAGACTAGGATACCGATGGAGGCTCTATCAGGAGGCTCCTGATTGGTCAGCTGGCTGGACTTGAGCAAGCCATGTAACTGTTCCTGGCCTCAATTTCCAGGAGAAATGGGCAATAATCACATGAACTTTCATATCCTTACCCTCGTACAAGTTTAGGATTCTGTGATTCACTGTTCACTAAAGGGCCTTAAGGCTTTTGCAAGAAGGCAAGTAAACCATGCCCACTATCCTCTGTTTACCCTGCACCATACCTTCTATTCCAGAGAGATAGCTTCTAACATCTCATGCATGCCTACTGGAAGCTCCAGAATGTAAACGCAGTCTTCAATTCAGTGCTTTGTATGTACCTTTTGACATCTTAACAAATGCATAAGGGATGCCAAAAAATAAATTAGCAAGGGTTCTGTCAGCCAGACATGAAGAGAAGAGGATAATCTTTGCCAAAAAATGTCCTCCCACATATAAAGAAACTGGTAATTGGAAGTAAGAGGAATCCCCCACCTCCCCAGAGCAGACTGTGCAGAGGCGGGTGCCCCTGCCAATATTCGAGCCTCTGCCAAAAGCAGAAGCAGCGTGGGGAGAGAAGAAAGCTCTGCCACCCCTGCCACTCTGAGTATTTACGGGGATGCATTCCAGCTCCCAACAGAAACCTGCTGGCAGAGGTAAGTATTCCCTTCTGTGGGTGCGAAAGGGAATTTCAATATGACAGTTGTGAAACAGCAAAAATCACATCAAGCCTTGATAAAGGTTCTTTTTTGCATAGCAGTTCAGCATTTCTCTTTAAGCAGTCTCAGGCTTACAGACTCTAGGCTGGGTTCAGGAGAAGGATGTTGGCTCCCTCAATATAGAACAATCAAGATCCAAATCTGATGTTGGTATAAGGTTTGGAGAAATGGACAAATACTGACTTCAAACCCTAACAATGAAATCCCAAGTACAGTATATTGAATCACTAAATACAACTAGGGATGTGATTTGTTGCTATTTCAACTCAACAGCAGTGTAAAATAATGGGAACAGAAACTCATTCATCATTCCAATCAAAGAGGCATATGTGATATTCAATCTGTAGGATCAAGACAGGAAGAAAACTCTTTACTCAAAGGGTGGGATGAGATTCCAATAAATAAACCATGGTTAGAGATGTTTCAAATGTAATTTTAAAGATGATGTATTTGGACAATGCAGCAATTGTTTCCTGGATCAGGATTTCTTCTTTTCAGACATCATGGCATAAAATGGTTAGTGATGTTACTAAATGGTGTTTTGGTCATCTCTACAGTGCTGAGAAAACTGTACACCATTTCCCGTTTTACATGATGGGCCTGGAAAATAATCTTGAAAAAAGGACTCTTCAGACTATTGTTTTTAGCAGCAAACTAATTTACAAATTATGCTTACACAGAAAATGACAAAACACTATCACCATTGGCGGCTGAAGCAACGTGATCCCAACCCATTCGGACCCCATGAACATGATCTTTGCTCAGGCTCGCATGTGAAGCCGTGTTGACACTGGAGGACTTAAAACTGATGTAACACGTCTGCCCATTGCACACCCACCTCTGATATTTTAACTGGTCATTTCTGGCCCACAGGCAATGATGTGACAACATTTGTTGAAAAATTACTTCATTTTCTATTGCCATAACACTAGGTATATATTTTTAAATAGCACTCTATTGTCAGAATTAATTTTTTTTCTCTTCTGGTATTTCTCCCTTACAAGATCAAATTCCTTAAAATTAGGGACAATTAAAGAAGACAGCATGACTTAATACCCAGATCCCTTGGTCTTCCTCTCTCTACTACCTACTGCCGATTAACTTACTCAGCTAGGACCTCTGATAAGATCCCAGCTTTTAGCTTCTCTTTGGGTATCTACTGATCTCTCGCTTCTATCCAACAGAGATGCCTGCATGGTTTCTTCATTCACAATTTGGCTGGTTAATTCCATCAATGAATTCTTAAACAGTTTTGCTCCCATGATTTTGTAAGTCTATACTGTCTGATTCAATCTTATGGAATCCTAGCTGTATTGAACTACAAATAGTTATTAAACACCTACTACATGTCAAGAAATGTGCTACTCACTGTAAAAACCAAAATAAATGAGGAATCAAAATGAATGAGATGTCAAAAACTCACAATTTAGTGGGGGAAATAAATCAAGAAACACAAGTTATGCATCGTAAGTGCTAGAAAGTACATGTGCACAAAGTGCTATTGTGGTAAGAAGACAGGCACAAAGTATAGCAGTGATCTCAGGGAAGGGTGGTTAGGTGTTGCTTGTAAGATGAAGAAATGCTTGAGCTGTATCTTAAAAATGAGTACATGTTAGCTCAACAAAGAAAAGAGAAGAAAAAGAGGAGGGAACAGCTAACACAAAGGCATAGAAGCATGTTGGGATTTGAGTTACTAGGCGATGGGAGACACTAAAAAATATATCTCTGTACAGGCATCAAGAAAATGGACAGATAGGCTGACAGTGAAACCGGAGGCGGAAAGGCTTAAAAGGCTACTGCTGTAATGATTTGGGTAAAAAAGGATCAAGGCCTGCACTGAAGCTATTGCACTGGAAATGAAATGGGCAAGAATGAACTGTGCATACTGCACTGAAATGGGAGGCAGGATAAAGAAAATGTAGAAACTTGATGGGTGGGAACAGGGAAATAGTGAGGGCAAAAGTAAGAAACAGCTCTCAAGTATTTGGTTGAAGCTTGTTTTGAGATAATAACATCTACTTTTATTCAACAGGCTATGCATTGTTTTCTAGGTGATTTATATGCATTACCTCATTAAGTAACTTACATGCATCACCTAATTTGATCTTCACAATAACACTGGAAGATCAGTATCAATTTGACAGATAAGGAAAATGAGATAGAGGGTAGGTAATCTGTACAAGGTCACTGGGTTATTAAATAGCAAAGCAAGATTCTCACTCCAGAACCCCTACACCATTCCCTGGGATAAAGAATCTTGGCCGTGTGTGGTGGCTCACGCCTGTAATCCCAGCACTTTGGGAGGCCAAGGCAGGAGGATCACGAGGTCAGGAGATCGAGACCATCCTGGCTAACGCGGTGAAACTTTGTCTCTACTAAAAAATACAAAAAATTAGCCGGGCATGGTGGCGGGCACCCGTTATCCCAGCTACTCGGGAGGCTGAGGCAGGAGAATGGTGTTAACCCAGGAGGTGGAGCTTGCAGTGAGCCGAGATCGTGCCACTGCACTCTAGCCTGGGCGACAGAGCGAGACTCTGTCTCAAAAAAAAAAAAAAAAAAAAAAAAAAAAAGGAATCTTGAAGGTTTAAAAGAAGTGAAATAAGATGGTGAGTTTAGTTTTATGCATACTGGGTCTCTGTTTCTGGACCTTGTGAAATATACAAGAGGAGACCTCTAGTAATACTATGAGCTAACAGGTAGGTTCTAAGCTAGAGATAATATATTTGGGGATATTCCGGTTATTTGTTGGAGCCTGGGTATGGGAATTGCTACAGAGTTTAAGAGAGAGCGGGAGAGAGAGAGAAAGATGCCTTTAATTTCTGCCTGGTCCTTAAAGCCTAACATCTCAGGTATCCTATCCCAGATTTCCCTCTTCTTTGAGTGAACACATTGTCTAATTATATCAATGATGGGGCATAGGCAAGAGAAAGATCTGAGAAGGTGGTGGCATTAATGGTTTCAGGAAAGAAACCTGAGGTTATGGTGAGTCCTTGTCTTTTTGGTCCAGAACAAAATAAAAATCCACTGCATATAATGAATCAACATAGGTATTATAACTGATAACTTCTTTAAGTATTTCTTAAACCTTTTTCTCTTTCCACATTTATTGCACTTCTATGGGTGTCCGAGCTGTGGCACCAGAGAAAGACATCACACTACCCTCTAGGGGCTGGCAGTCTGGTGAGAAGGGGCACAGGTAAACTGATATTTACATCACAAAGCAGTGACTGCTGTATGTATGCAGTGGTGCTCATTCCGAGGCATTTTTGTCCCGCAGAGGACACTAGGCAATGTCTGGAGACAATTTTTTGCTACAACTTGGGGTAGAGCACTACTAGCACACAGTAGGTAGAGGTTACAGATGGAGCTAAACACCCTACAATGCATAAAAGTTATTCAGTCCAAACTGTCAATAGTGTAGAGGTTGAGAAACCCTATTGTGATGAAGGTGAGCTGACAGAGAGCAGAGCAGTGAACAAAAACTCAAAGGTGCCTGGGAGATTCAAAGCAGCCTCACCAACATGGAAGCTGACTTTAGAAGGAGCAATTTGCCAAGCTAATATGTCAATATCTGATTCTAGCAGATATCTCCTCCTTGCTATGCAGTATTTGCTTTTCATAGTCTCACTCCATTATCAGTATTAAGTAAGAAATACTATTATATGCAACACATTCCCCTCTATGCTATGGAGGAGAAATAGTCATAAAAAAGACAGGATTTGTACCTTTAAGGGTATAAAGAATACTAAGGTTTGTCAAGCTTTTTAACATACTTTATCATTTAATCCTCAGCAGTCCTATCAAGTAGGCAGTACTAGTTTCACTCTGTAAAGTCAGAAAGAGCTCACTGAGATTAAATGACATACTGTAGCCCACATAGGGCTGCTCTGATACACAACGTGTGTTACATTCAGATGATATGGTAAAAAGCCATGGTCATTTCACCAAAACACAACACATTTGAATTTGCTCTACAGCTATGGTTTTACAACTTCGGAATGCTTCTAGGTTAAAACTATAATAGATGACACAGAGGTATAATGAGATCTTATTTCTCCAACATTCAAACCACAAAGATTAATTAAACAAAACTGTATGACTTATAATCATATCTATCAGATCCTGAGATTTAGTAAGTGAAAAAACAGTTAAATTATATTCAAAAATAATTTGGGGGTTGTTGGGCATTTCATTTTTTATACTTTTTTTGAAAACTGATAAGCATTTACAGCAATTCATGGTTAAACAGAACATCTAAGAAACCAAAACACGTTTCTGGCCATTCTCGACAAGTGCCTAATGAACCTGTAAGCAAAATAACTTTTATTAGTAACTCTTCGTTATCAGTATGAGCAATTTTTACCCGGCTAATTGTTCTCATAAAGTAAAATATATTAACAAAGAACTGGATGGGGATCCTAGAACTTTAACAATGGAAGCCCATGTAATAAAATGAAACCAGGGAATCTCAATCTGAGTCCCTTAGTTAGCACAACTGGGCTGGAAATTTTACTGAGTAGTTTTGAAATTTCTGAGAAAATCTGAAGTTCTGTGGATCTCTCTGAACCCACTGCTGGTGTTAAAATCTGGCCTGTGATATTATGTATCTAAAATTAATGATTTCTCAAAATTCTAACAAGCTATATTATTGTTATTATTGGTGTTAAAATCTGGCCTGTGATATTATGTATCTAAAATTAATGATTTCTCATTAATTCTAACAAGCTATATTATTGTTAGAATTTCTCAAAATTCTAACAAGCTATATTATTGCTTTCCTCCTATTCAAAATATTTTGGTAGAGGGTCCTAGAATACATATTAACTTTATCACTTTCAAGCTTATAACCTCTTCTTTCTCTCACATTGTTCTTTACGTAGGATATAGAGTTGTGAGTTGAGGGAAGACGTGACACAGTGTCAAGAGACTGCCCGTTTCAAAATCTACACTTGACCTTCTGTTCAGTGCACTACAGGAGGGAGTGCCCAGGGCTGGAAATCAGGAGAGCCCATAACTGCTTCTGCTTCCACTTATATCTTGTTGTGTGACTGGGTAAAAAGCTGTGGTCATTTCACCAAAAACATTTAGTATTTTTATCAATACTAAATCTTCATTTGCTCATCTGTAAAATCAGGGGACTACATTACAAGATCTTCTAGTCTATCCAAATCTAACAATCTATAGTTCGAATCTAAAACTGTATTTTACAGTTCTACTTTGTTGAGAGTCAAAGACAATATCTTTGACTTATCTAAAGATAATAGAGCTAGACCGTAGTGCTACTTTCATATTATATGTATTTTATATTTTCTATAAAATTTATTTTATCTCATATCTATTCAAGAAATCATTGTTCAAAACATGATTTAGGTTTTGTAAGTAATTTCTCTTAAATATACTAATTAGTGTTAAAATTATTGCTACTTGCTGATGTGCCAAATGTCATGAGTTAGGTGATTTTATAAACACACTTATCTGCAGTGGTTGATGCAATTCCCACAAACTGGGGCAATGATACTTTCTGTAAGGATATTCTAATGTTTTATTTTTTCATTCTTGCCAATTTTAGTATTTACAATTGAGTAATGAACTATTTAATGTAAACATCAACTATATATTTACAAATATAAAAACAAATAGCCATCATTTCTGATGACAAGATTGAGAAATATGAGTATCTACTTATGCCACTCAGCAAAAGAACCAATCATCTTATTAGAAATATAAAAAAATAAGGATATATGAATTTAGATTGTGAAATACTATGCATGAATGAAAACATGTACAAGCGAGAATCCACATTTAACATCTACAGAAACAGAACTTATCTAAGCAATGAATTGTCACACCCTGAGGCTATGCCTCATGTTCCTTATTGAGGGCAGATATAACTCCTGTCTTGATAATTCATTCCAGGGGGTTATCACTTTGGGAAACATCTACACAGCTAATATCCTAATGTTGTAGTTTATTTTCTTTTTAATTGGTTATTCACTAGGAAAGTAGATATCTGAGTCCTACAGCATCTGAAAGCCATTATTATAAGCCTTCCCTTCTCCAGAATAATCCTAGTTCCTTTCACATTTTCCAACTTCTTAATCAAGCCTTATTGCTTGCCTAGAACTTCAACTCCTTCACTTCCTTCTTTTTGGTTAATTTCTAAAACCGATGCAGGAATCTCCAAGGGATCTCCACTAGTACAGAGTATAATAAACTTACTAAGTTTTAAACTGTTATTCTCCCCTTTCCTGAGCGGCACTTGCTATGCTACCTTCAACTCCCATCATGAAAACTTCCACCTGTGAAAGGAAAATTATTTTGAGAATCAGAAACTAACCGCAAATCAATTCTCTAAGACTTAGGAATACCTACCCTTACACTTTTGTATTCTTTCCTACCTTGAAAAAGGCAAACAGGATTTTAAAAGCTTTTTAAGAGAAAAGACACCAGAAGTTGGATAGGGCTCTAAACCACTCAAGTAAGAAATTTTAAACCTAAATATTCTCAAGTCTAGTTGCCAAAGAGCCTCATGCATAACTGTTTTGGGGAAACATAATTAAGAGTGTGGAAACTAAGTCACAATTTCAATCTAGAATTCCCTTAACATATTTGAGTGCTGTTGGCTTAAGCAAATGCAAACAAGACTTAAGAAGCCATGTGGCCAAGTCCACATGATTGCATTCAAACAGAAAAGAAAAGAGTTGTTTACCCTTTTAAGAACTCTATCCAGACTGGGTGTGGTGACTCATGCCTGTAATCCCAGCACTTTGGGAGGCCGAGGCAGGCGGATCACCTAAGATCAGGAGTTCGAGACCAGCCTGGCCAACATGGTGAAACCCCATCTCAACTAAAAATTCAAAAATTAGCCGTGCATGATGGAGGGTGCCTGTAATCCCAGCTACTCAGGAGGCTGAGGTGGGAGAATCACTTGAATCTGGGAGGCAGATGTTGCAGTCAGCCGAGATCACGCCATTGCACTCCAGCCTGGGTGACAGAGCGAGAGTCCGTCAAAAAACAAACAAACAAACACAACTCTATCCAAATAAAAATATCCATTCTGCTACAAAGAAATTATAGGAGATTTTGCAATAGACTTTAATGCTGTTATATTATTTTTACTATAAACACAGGTAAAAAACATCCTTTCCTCTTAGGCATCTCAGTGTCTTGCACTACCACCTTCATATAAGAAACACATATTGTCACAAAATGGCACAATTAGAAAGAATCTTAAAGATCAAGTCCTCTTAGCATTGATAATTAAAGGCCCTCTTCTGCCCACTCACTTCAACAGCATTAAAGGATTACTGATGAATGAACTGTGTGACTGCCTCCACCATAACTGGACGGTTTCAGGTTTAGAAATAGGTTCTCCATGAAAGAGTGCCTGGGAGTAATGCAGGAGTGCCTTATAAAAAGATCTGGCTTCCAAATGATGCTGGCGAAGAAAAAGGAATATGCCTTTGAGCATAGTTTTAAAGTAACAGTAAGTTAATGCAAGGCAAATTTGTTTTATTTGAAAATGCTCCAAGCTCCTATCTGTCGAAACGACATTCTTACAATTTCTTGGGGGTTTTTTGGTTTGTTTGTCGGAATTTTTTGGTGAAAACAAAATCTTAATGCTAATCACCTAGAGTATCTTTTAAAGATCTATGGTTTCCTTTCTGCACTAGAAGTTGATGTTTGAAAAGGGTAAGGACTGGAACAATTTTGCATCCATGTGGAAGGAAAAACCAGACATCTAAGATGAAGAGGGTAAACTTTCCTAATCTCTTCCCTAGGTTCTCTCTAAAGGTCTAAAAAGATCATCAATTTCAATTCCCAGGTGCCAGTCTTTGGCTGACAATAACATAGTTTCCTTTAGTGACTCTAAGAGTAGCTTATAAAAGGTGCATCTTTAGAGCAATCACAGTTGGCTCTGACAAGCAGAATTTTGGTCCACAGCAGTTTTCAGCCCCGTTCTAAGCAAACTCAGTGGCTACCCCTTTTAGCAAAGAAGACTTTGAAACACTCAAGTGCTGCACACAGAAAACATTCCCACATACCCCGACCCTTCCTCTGAGCTTCAGTGAATGAGGTTGGTCCCTGTTCAAGCTCCTGGATTTACTGTATTGGAGATCATTTATCTTAGAGGTATCTTAGAGGGGCTGTGATTACTCAGAGAATGAAAGCCAAAAAGCTCTCTCAATACAATAGATTATTTTCTCCCAAAACTGAATGTTAGTTGTTTTATAAACCAAGTTACACACCTAGATACATACACACAAGTGAAATAAAGAATAGAGAAAAATTCTAGATAATTGAAGTTTAAGAGTCCCCTTACCAATATACAAAACAATTTTCTTCAGGATATCAACATTATTTCAGAAACATGGGATTTTCTTCTTCAACTTAAGGATCGTTTTCTCAACTGTTCATTTTGCATTTCAAGGCACCTTTTGCCAAAGGGCAAAAGGTGATCCCTAAAAATTCATCTGCAAATTATTTCTGTAGTTTATGTAAAATAATATGAGATTACATAGCATCATGAAATGGTTAATGCTCAGACTCTTAGAAGTTTTCAAAAACAAAAACAGCATGAAAGATTACAGGTTACAAGGTATAAACCTCCTTTTATTCCAAGCAGAACAAATGTAATTTTGAAATTACAGAAGAGCAAAGAAAATTATTTTTTTCTGTAGTCAATGAGCTTCTAATTAAGGGCCTTTTCTCTTGGGGATTTGAGTGGAGAGAAAAGAATGAGAGGAATGAGGAGCTGTCTTGCTAAAACAGCCTACTCTATAAAATGACCTATACAATTATTTTTACAGTGAGTGTTTCACCAGAGCAGAGACCTATCTCTATCTTAATTTAAAAATGCTTATTGCAAGGAACTTTGAAATGTCCAAATAAGACATCTGGTTTATTTAACCAAGCTAAGGAAATAATTGCCTGACAAAGTCCCACTAATAAACTCTGTTAGCTCACTGGAAGAATAAACTCATTACAAAAAAATCATCATAAAAAGTCACCATCCAGGTGATCAGTCTCCCAGGTCCCTGACGTCATTCCCTGCTGTCGCTCACCTCCAGAGCCAGATGTCCCAGGAAATCCCTTGCTCTCTTCAGTCGTTTTCAGCGGCTCTGTGTGCTAAGAAATTAAGAATTTTTATTATGTGAGCTCCATAACTGACAATGTCGCAAATTTACATGCATGAAGCATAATGTCAACAAATCAAATCCTCTTTCTACTTTTTTCTGTCTGACTACTTTCTTCCACATTTATATCCAAAAGAATATATTAGAAATGACTGAATGGTCATGTGTTTCTTTCTGCCACCAGATGAGATGCTATGATAGAGATAAATCCATTTGCAAAAAGATAATAAATGTACTCCAAATGTAAATTTTTGTGTATTAGAAGAAAAGCAAAAACAATCCCAAACTGTCTAACATCCTCAAACTTCTAAAGAAAATGAAAAGAAATTCTGTCAGAAAATTTTATAGGAGAGTTACCTACCCATTGACCAGTTCATTGTAATGTGATTTGATCATCACTTCAAAGGTTAAGCTTGATAGAAAATACAAAATATCTAATGATACATATCAGAAACATGCTATTCCTTTCTGAATCAAGGAAACTACAAAGGAAAGTTTGAAGTGTCACAAGAATTAACATTTCCTTTTTTATTAATTAAAACAATAATTTTCTGGCCAGGCAGGATGGATCACACCTATAATTGCAGCACTTTGGAAGGCCAAGGTAGGAGGATCCCTTGAGGTCAGGAGTTCAAGACCAGCCTTGGCAACATAGCAAGACCCCATCTCTACAAAACATTAAAAAATTCACTGGGTGTGATGGCATACACTTGCAGTCTCACCTACTCGGGAGGCTGAGACAGGAGGATTACTTGAGCACAAGTATTTGAGGGTACAGTGAGCTATGATCATGCTACCGCTTTCTGGCCTGGGCAAACCTTTAAATAAATAAATAAAACAAAAATAAAAACACAGGTAACAGAACATTATACAGCCTTTACAAAGGCATGCTTACAAAAATTTCAGTAACATGATAAATGCTTATAATAAACTACCAAAAAGCATTCACAAACGGTAAGCTTATTTCTTATAAAAGACTAACAACAACTGACAACGTTGAGAAAGTACTTAACAAGTGATTTCTTCTTTTCTCTCTTTTCTTTTTTAGACAGAGTCTCACTTTGTCACTCAGGCTGGAGTGCAGTGTTGGCATCTCAGCTTACTGCAACCTCCATTTCCTGGGTTCAGGCGATTCTCGTGCCTCAGCCACCCAAGTAGTTGGGACCACAGGTGTGCACCACCACACCTGGCTAATTTTTTGTATTTTTAGTAAAGATGGGGTTTCACCATGTTGGCCAGGCTGGTCTCAAACTTCTGACCTCAAGGGATCCCCCCCGTCTCAGCCTCCCAAAGTGCTGGGATTACAGGCATGAACCACCGCTCCCTGCCTCTTCTTTTCTCATATAATTTGAATAAATTATTCCTACGAGGTTCTATGGGTCCCATGGCCTCCAAAGTTTTAATACTTGTCAGAATTATTCAAAACATTTTAAAAAGGAAAAAATAATCTTTTATACTCATAATGAAGGCAGTATTCACCATGTCTTCATATTCATTTTTACCTTGATGCCAACCACCTGTGATTTGTTAAAACACTAAAAATTAAAAGGAAACTAAAAATACTTACTAGCGTTTTAAATCACAACAGCTCATAATTTATTGATCAGTATTTTCAGAGATCCAGAAAGCTATGTCTGGATACACAGCTGAGTGAAGATGGCTATGGGAACCAGATTATTTGCCATCGCCAGACATTCAAGTTTTCAAACTTCAACTTTATTAAGACGGCATCATGAACGTTTCAAAACATCAAAGTGAATAAGGCCAAGAATGGGAGCAGATTATCCCCTGTCATAAATACTTCCCATCTGGCTGTTGTGGAATGCCAGCATGTTGGAACTTGCTGCTCACCTCACAGTGTCTCATTCTTTTCAGGATGGCATTGCTGACTTCCTAGCAATTGGGAAGAGAAAAATTCCAAGGCTAGGGTGGCTCTTTTTCTGAGCTAGTTAATGCCCTTGGTTTGATATGACGTGTTCCTCAGTTGAGTGGAACTGTCTTGCCCGATGCTACGGACAACTAATGAATCCCATGGAGTGCCGTCCTAATTCAATTGAATGTGACAAATTTAATAATGCCTGAGCAAATAGATGTAGGCCATGAGGAGGAGTCACAAACACAGTGTAACATCATGCCTGGCCTCAAGGAACTCACACAGCCCCTTGGGTGAGATGGTTTGCTTCCTGATCTAGAGTCACTAGGGAGGCAAAGCAGGTGCCTCGAGGAACCAGGCCACAGACAAGTGACTTCACAAATAACACAAATGTTCCTGCTTCATGCCACTAGCTCGCCCCTTCCCCAAGAAGATGGAAGAAGTTCTTGAAGGCCAGAGGAAGGGGGATACTTTTAGTGGGGCTCAGTCATTACCCTGAATCCATCCACTAGTCTCCAAAAATCAAGCACTCAATTCTCCATCAACAGAGCTGAAATGGGCTCTAATTTTTGGTAACATTGCCAGTGGTAAAATCACTAAAGGAAAAAAAAATCTTTCATGTTCCACTCTCCACTCAACTCTCTTTGTTGTCCTGAGGAGATTAAGTCCACTTCTACTACTTATAGCCCTGGGTTTAGGATAGAGACAGAAGATAGACCAGTCACTATCATTTCATACAAGCTTATCTGCTGGCATGAGCAAAGCACCCTGAAGGTGCTGGAAGGTGCAACCAACTCTCCTGAGAAAGGCCAGAGAAGACTCCACGAAAGAGATGCACTAATTCAAGGTGGGTCTAGAAGAATGAAAAATGCCTCCCCAGCAAGGATTTCCCATCCAGGCAGAGCTAACAGCTGTTTCATGTAGAGCATGCATGTGCACAGGGCAAGTGTAACCAGGTGAGACGGAATGGAGAGAGGCAAGTGCGAGCCGAAAGGGAAGGGAACAACACTGGGCAGTGTCCACTTTGTGCCACACACTGTGCCAGATCTTCACTTACATGGCCTTTCATACTGCCCCCCACCAACCTCCTAAGGTGGTCATGCTGCCCTACACTAAACTGGAGCTCTGCAAGGTGAAGTAATTTGCCCAAGGTTTCATAGCTCTTAGGTAGTAATGCTCTAATCCTCCTGTGATTTTCAAATTATCCTTGGCAATGGGATTCTTTTTTCCAAAAAAAATCTCAACTGAATCATAAGTAGCCCAGATCATAAAAGGTTCACAATATATCTTTAAAACTATCTTTGAAGGAGAGCCACTTCAGCAAGGCAGCCAGATGGCAGTGTGTTCTGGAGTGAACGGAAGAGGAAGCCACAGATCAGAGAAGCTGCAGACAGGTCGGTTAACCATCCTTTCAAATGTTAACCTTCAGTCAGCAATTTCTCAAATTCTACTAGATAACCTGTGGAACTAAAGGGTAAAAACCAAATAAACCTTTCTGCTTCCTAGACTTGAATTTTAAAATGACATGGTCTTTCCATAAACTTTTAATTTGTGCATCTCAACAACAACAACAACAACAAAGAGGTAGCCTCCCATCATCCAGGTACAATATCATCCTGTCTGTATGGCATAGCACAAGGCAGCTTTGAGCCCGCACTCAATGTTCTGCAGTTGTCACAGAAACATGGTGGACATTCTCTGATTGTTGTACTGGGAGGAAAATTAGTCTCTGGCACTGTAATCCGAGCCTGATACTTGTTTTTCTGCAACTTCTCAACTGATGTATGTGTCCAAGGGGAAGTCAACTTCCACAAATATAAATATCCTCTCTCATCAGGAAAACAGTGCCACTTCCCTCACGGGCCATCTTCAGAGATGGTTCACCCAAAGGCACAGATTTAAAAAAAACAAAACTATATTTTTTTGTTAGGGGCAGGCAAGAGGATGGATCATCAAATACAGACAGCAATATCTAGCACTGCTTCTTATGACCCATTGCTGATGAAGGTCATCCATAACTGACAGACACAGATGCCAGGACAGATAGGACCACTGATAAGTTCCCCTTCTAAGCATTCAAATAAGAAGAGAAAGATGCCAAAGGACTGACTGGAGGCTTCTTATTAAACAGGAGACTCTGAATGGCACTGTGCTAACTCCCAGATGACTCAAAGTCTAGGAGAGTTTTCACTTTATACTTCTAAGTTATAACTTAAGAGAGTACTATAGATATATTAAGCATTATTAGGTGCTTTGATAACTTCATTTTAAAAATTACTTCTGAAACTTAATTTTTATTTTTTTAGAGACAGGGTCTCACTCTGTTTCCCAGGCTGGAGTGCAGTGGCACGATCACAGCTTTCTGCAGCCTTGAATTCCTGGGCTCAAACATTCCTCCTGCCTCAGCCTCCCAAAGTGCTAGGATTACAGGCATGAGCCATCATACTCAGCCTTAATATTTTAATAGTGTAAAAATTGTAAAAAATAAAAAGATTATGTTGGTAGATTAGAGAAACATAAAATAAATGTAGTTAATCACCTTGAGACAATGCTCACACAAGGCTGATTTTGAATTTTTTCATATTCATTTCATGTACTACCAGTGACTCTCTGCTATGTATTTCACTGTAGGAAAATAAGAACAAGGATGTGATGTTCCCTCAGGGTCCACCATCACATACAGAATGGGCCAAGATAAGCTCCCAAATGAAAAGGCTAAATTCAACCTCCAATAAAAGTTGTCTTTTCTCGTCAACTTTAATGAGCTAAAATGCATTCATAATAAAAGCCAAGGTAGCCCTCAGAGTCTTCTGCTAGCTATTCAATCACTTCTTTTTTAAATTTTATACTTTCCTTATAGTGTCCTGGCAAATAGCTTAAACTTTTATTTGTGGCTTTAAAAACACCTATAACAAAAATAATATATCACTTAGCAGTAAGCCTGCAGATGCTTTAAAAAAGTTTAAAGACCTACTAAACTGGAAGGCAGCAATGGAGTTGACAGTAAGATTATATTAGTCATCAGCATGATCATGAAATTAACCTTCAGATGCACTATTCTATCACTATTTTATTGTGAAGGTACGACTATGTCTATTCTGTTCTGACAGTATCAACAACTATGACATGAAATTCAAAAAAAAGATTTTCAGTAACTTTTAATCCCATTTCACTCAAAAATTTGAAGGTTATACTACATTGGAGATGCACTTATAGATTAAATTGAAGAAACTGAACCCAAATATTCAAAAAGGGCTTCAGTAAGGACCATGTGCAAACAAAACAAAGCTTTATTGCTAATATCACGTAGCTTTCATCAGCAGTAGCACACCCCAGCTTTTCTCCTCCTACTAGGGCTGCTACTTCTCGGTATGCTCTCTATCCACCCTGAAATGTAGAAATTCCCAAAGCTTGTTCCTAAGCCTCCTTCTTTTCTCAATCTTTATTCTCTCCATAGCTTTATTTATCAACTACATACTAATGATCCTTAAATTTAAGTTTCCATTCCATATTTCTCTTCTGAGCACCAGCCCCATCTGTCCCATCTGTGCTCTTTCCCCTAAGATGTCTCACAGGCATCTCAAATTTAATGTGCCCCATACTGAACTCATGCCCTAACTAGTCACACCAACTGGTTCTGGCCAGTCTATGCAGAATGCGCAGTAAGGGTTTTTGTATCCTCTGCTTCACCGTTTGACATTGGAGGGTGGAAAAGTCCACCCACAGATCGTGTTAACCCCACCATTTTTTGTAGATGGGACCCATGGAGAGGCATGAAGCTCAATCACGCATGTGCACATTTCTCCCTTCATTAATATTTATGACTCCTCCTATGGCCTATTGAATATGCTTATTTGGCCACCACATTCAGCATAAATTCCTGTTCCCTTTGTCCCTCACTCTTAAGTATCTGTTTCTGGCTTCTGGCTGGAGGCTATGCTTCCCAGCCTGTCAGAATGGCCACTCTGCAGGCTGTAACCCTTTATGAGAAAGAAAGTCTCCTCTTCTCCTTTTCTAAATTGTAATTTTTTCCAATTTAACACAGTGTTGTCTGAAAAATTCTCCACACAGTTCTCAATCAACAACAAAATTTTGTTCACACCTCCTATGGTTTGAATGTGTCCTCCAAACTTCATGTGTTAAAAACTTAATCCCCAATTCAAGAGTGTTGAGAGGTGGAACCTCTGAGAAGTGATTAGGCCACGAGGCCTCTGCCCTCATGGATGGAGTAATGCCATTATGGAAGGAGTGGGTTAGTTATTATAGGAATGGTTTCTTCATAAAAAGAATGAGTTCAACCCCATATGCTCTCGTCCTTCTGCCATGAGATAATGCAGCAATAAGGCCTTCACCAGTTGCCAGCACCCTGATATTGCCAGCACTCTAATAATCCAGCCTCCAGAACTTGATAAATGTATTTCCTTTCTTTTTGAATTACCCTGTCTGTGATATTCATGTTACAGCAGCATGAAATAAACTAATACACCATCCAAAGTAAAATATCTCTCATTAGGCTTGGGAATTCTCTGGGCTATTCTTACTCAAGATCTTTTTTTTTTTTTTTTTTTTGAGACGGAGTCTCACTCTGTCACCCAGGCTGGAGTGCAGTGGCACGATCTTGGCTCACTGCAACATCCACCTCTCGGGTTCAAGTGATTCTCTGCCTCAGCCTCCCAAGTAGCTGGGATTACAGGCATGAGCCACCATGCCCGGCTAATTTTTTGTATTTTTTAGCAGAGATGGGGTTTCACGATGTTAGCCAGGATGGTCTCGATCTCCTGACCTCGTGATCAGCCCACCTCAGCCTCCCAAAGTACTGGGATTAGAGGTGTGAGCCACCATGCCCGGCCAAGATCTTTATCAATATCACTTTCACATGACCACATGATTTCTAAGAACATTGAATTTGAGTTCAGGCCCTATCAGGCAGGCCTATAACTGACACAGACACCTGGGATTTTAATCACTGCATATTTCCTTCTGAGACTAGCAATAAAAGTAAGGGTTAGGCCCAATAAAACCCCCACTTATGTGCCTGAACTCTAATTCAATATTCTTAGAAATCATGTGGTCACATGAAAGTGATATTGATAAAGGTTAGCCTCCTAGCAGATACTTCCCATACAACTCAGAGTAAAGTCCAAAGTTTCCTTGTGACGCCAACACCCTCTGTGAGCCCCTGCTTTGTTCTAATCACACTGGCCTCTATGCTAATGCTACTCACACAGTCCAAGCCAACTCCCACCCCACACACTGACTCCTTATGGCCTTTGCACTTTCTATTCCTCCTGCGGCACACTCCTTCACAGGATATACTAATGATTTCTTCCCTGGCATCATTCAGGTCTCTGCTCAAATGTCAGACCTTATCAGAGAGGGCTTCCTTGGCCATGCTACTCTACATCCATCCTAACTGCTCTTAGTCCCTGGGCTCTGCTTTATTTTTCTTCTTCTTATTTGTCACAACAAATTATACATGTATTGTCTGTCTTCCCCAGCTGGAATATAAGGCTCATAAAGACAGGAACTTTGTTTTGTTTCAGATTATATTTCCAGTGCCTAAAATAGTACATGGTAAGTACTCAGAAAATGTTTATTGAATGAATAAATAAAAGTATAAATGAGTGAGGCTCTACTGGAAATGAAAGCAGCAGGATTGAGGCCTCTTCAATCCAAAACTGCAGGAGGACTTGGAGGAGCAGCTTAGGTCACTGTACTCTGAAGTCAATGAGTCAATATGCAGCCCCACATGCAGGAGGATAAAGAAGGGAGGGCTGGGTTCATGGGGTTCTAGGTAGGGATGAGTCCCAGAGGCCTGCAGCTAGATGGGTCTCCTGCCAAATAAACAGATGAGATTCTGGCAGTTGGGGCAGGAGAACAGGGAATCCCTAGGATGGTATCTCTAGAAATAAGAATTGGGATGCAGGTGGCCTTGTTACCTGGAGATGGATGGCATGTGCTGCCTTTTTAACTTTGACTTCTTTTTTGTAACCTGTCTTTTCAAATCACTTAACCAAATACCAGATTTAAGGAATTACTGAATTAATTCACAATTTCACTCCTCATTACTGCCACCCCAACGTAGACTCAGGGAGTCCCATATATCATCTTATTGCAAAACTCTTTCCCTTGCTCTAAGTACTTAAAGTATTACCCAATGGCTCTCTAGCCTGAGTTTCTTGAGAAAAGCTTGTTATGCTCTTAGCATGGAACACAATGGCCAGCACTCAGTATGTGTCAATAAATGTCTGATGACTTAATAAGTATATTTGAATAGATCTCCCAGAAGACACTGAGCTAAATATTCATTAACAAGCATCATTAATTTTGTGTTATTATTGTCTTATATTCAATTATGCATGAAAAGTTCTGAATAGAGGTTAGTTTGAGAGTTGGGAGACTCACAAAATAAATAAGGAATTTCCACAAGTCAAGTAAAGTGTGATAAGACCAAGTGATATTAATAAAATCTTTATCTAAAATGTGGACTTTCCAGAGATTCCTACTTAACCAGGGAGAAAAAAAAATGTATGTGAGGAAGACGATGATTATACTTGTGTATTTTTTATTTTTCAATATTTCAATTTTAGCATTTTGAATACAATTTAAAATTACTGTTAATACTTAGAGTATAAGGAACATATTATCTCTTTCCTTTTCAAAGAAAAGGCTTAGTATTTTCATAAAAATACTGTTTTGTGTGATTTTGCTGGGTGCAGTGGCTCACACCTGTAGTCCCAGCACTTTGTGAGTCCCAAGGACAGATGGATTGTGTGAGATCAGGAGTTCAAGCCCAGCCTGGCCAACATGGTGAAACCTCATCTCTACTAAAAATACAAAAATTAGCCAGGCATGGTGATGTGTGCCTGTAGTTCCAGCTACTTGGGAGGCTACTTGTGGAGTCCCAGCATAAGAATCGCTTGAACCCAGGAGGCAGAGGTTGCAGTGAGCCAAAATCACATCACTGCACTCCAGCCTGGGTGACAGAGTGAGACCCTCTCTCAAAAAATAATTAATTAATTGAATGTGATAATTATTTAATGTGATAACAAATAAATTTGAAAATAATTAATGTGATTTTATATCCGAGGTTAATTTTTTTTCTTACAAGTAGAATATTCCACATGGTTAATTCCGCAACATTTATCAAATGTATATAATGTACAAGTCAATATGCTAGGCTCAGTTAAAGAATACAAGTTCACATAACAAAAACTCTGTGGTGGACTTACTAAGCTCTATATATTCTTTTGAAATTGCTATTTATATTTAGTTATATTTATAAATTTATTAAATATATTTACGTTATATTTATATTAAAACCCCTTTGTAGGGAGACATACTGTATATGAAATGTCTTCAGCCATATAGTGATATATGACATATCTTGACCATAACTACATATAGTCTCTAATGTGAGCATTGTTTTTGCTCCCAATACCAATATCATCATTACAGTGAGGTAATACTTTGCACTCTTCATCTCAACACTCATTTTTAATAAATGACCTCAAACATCATGCTCCAAAAGAGCAACCTTCTAATGGCTTTCCAGTGCACTGAGTATAAAACCTACTCCAATGCCCCCTCCCCAAATATGTGAGGCTGGCTCCTCATTCTCTCGCAGGTTGTAGCTTAAATGCCTCAAATGCAGAGAGGTCTTCCTTGACCATCTGATCTAAATGAGCGCATGCACTCTCTATGACATCAGATTTCTTGACTTCCCTTACAGCACTTTTTGAATGCCTGAAATTGCCTTGCTCATTTATATGTTTCCTGTTTGTGTCCTCCATTTACAATGTAAGCTCCTCCATAACTTTTTGTTTTGGTCATTACTGGATCCCCAGCTGGCAGCACAAATATTTAATGAATCCTTTATTAATTAATAAACCTTCTCCTGAGCCAAGTTTACTTTTTAACGCATGTTATAAGAGATTTTATGTGTCTTATAAGTAAGTAAATAAATGTATAGGCATAAATTCCTACACAGTGTTCTGCGTTATTGTTGTGTAAGAAGATCTGTCTCATATTTGACAAAATGAGTCATAATATAATTTAACAGCACCTGCTGAATGAATCTCTCTAAATAATCATTTGTTGAACAAATGAACGAAAATAATTTTGTTCAAAATTACTGACTGAGATCCATAAAGGAGAATAGAGTTATTACAATAGAATAATATCCTTCAACTTTTAGAAGAAAACCAAAACATTTTTTATTTTAGTTGTAAATTATTTTTGTAGGAATATAATAGTTGTGGAAAAATTGAAATTGGCACTCAAAAACCACCTCAAATTGACTGCTACTGTAAGTTTAATAGTTCCCTTTACTCTCAGTAAGTGTTTTTAGACAATAAAATACCCTGCAGAGGTATGTGTAAGATCCAAATTCCTCTTCTGGAATAAGTCAAAGTTCATTGCCATAAAACTAGGTACTGTGATGTGGTTGAATTTTCTTTGGAAAAGAGAGTAAAACCAGAAGTTTCAAAATTCAGGAAGTTTGTTTCTGGGCAATCAGTGACTAACATTATAGAAGTTTTCTAGGGGAAAAATCTCAAGCATTTTCATGGCCAGGTGAGGTTGCTCACACTTGTAATCCCAGTACTTTGGGAGGCTGAGGTGGGTGGATTACCTGAGGTCAGGAGTTCGAGACCAGCCTGGCCAACATGGTGAAACTCCATCTCTACTAAAAATAACAACAACAAAAAATTAGCCTGGCGTGGTGGTGTGCCCCTGTAATCCCAGCTACTCGGGAGGTTGAGGGAGGAAAATCGCTTGAACCTGAGAGGCGGAGATTGCAGTGAGCTCAGATCATGCCACTGCACTCCAGCCTGACTGGTGACAGAGCGAGACTCCGTCTGAAAAAAAAAAAACAAAAACAAAAACAAAAACAAAAACTCAGGCATTTTCAGATCCCACCTCCCAGCAAAACTTTGTCTAAGGTCATCTGCTAGGGACATAGCCATGGACAAAACAGTTACAGGCCTGCTCTCACTTGGGTTACAGCCCCAGTGAAAAGTGCAGTTAGAACACTCCATGACTACTAGGACCTAATATCCAAGGCTACAGAGGCGGGGCTGTCAGGGGTTTAGCTCTGCAAAAAGGGGCTCTCATCCTACATCAATCAACTTCTCTCACGGGCTGTTCCACAGCAGAGTCTGAAGAGTCCCCAAACAGGATATGTATAACACTGGCTTTCAAAAAATCATTCACAAGCTACTTTTTTCTATCATGGGCCCCTATCTGCATGTTCAGAAACATAAGTAAATTTTTAAAAGTGAAATGAATCACAATATCTTACATAGTCTACATTCTAAAAGGGAGATTTGGGTAACAAAGGAACAAAATCAGCAGTTAGCATAAACTATTCTTTTTTTCAAAATGGTGGCTTTTTTAAATTTAAAAATAAAAACAATCACCTAGTGAGAGCATGTGAAGGGTAGTTCCATGCACTGTCAGTCATAACTTCAGTTATTTGAAAATCAGTTTGGCATTAAGTATCAAGAGCCTGAAATTTTCATACCCTTTGACCCAGGAATTATCGTTCCACGAATCTTTTTAAAAGAAGTAATCTGATAAACATATATAAAATGGAATATAAATGCATTTATAACCCTTATGCACAAAAAACAGATTCTGAAATTTGAAGAAAGATTCATCAAAGTGCCATTTATAATATCAAATATTTGGAAATGGCCTAAAAGTTCAATTTTAAGGGAATAGTTAATAAATTATGATATGTCCACATAATCCAATATTATACTGACATTAATAAAGCTTGTCTAGAAGTTGGAAAATATTAAGACATAAGATTAAGCAAACAGAGTAGGTTGTAATACACTATTAAGCATTATGGAAAAAATCATTAAAAATAAGGAGAAAGAAAATGCCAAAATGTTATGAGTGCCTTTGGGTCATAGGATTACAGGCAAATTTTCTCCCTGACTTTTTATACTTAATGTATTTTTCTAAGGTTTTTATTGGGAGTGTGTATCGCCTTTATGATTAGAAAATCTAACAACATCTCTTCAGAAATGCTAACTCCATTTTATTGCAAATACTTGCACATGTATGTTCACTAAGCCGATCTGACTTACTTTGCCAAGGGAAACAAAATTTGTGTCTCTCCTATGCCAACCTCAGCTTAGAGACAGTACTGAGATTCTTTGGATTCATCCTGCATTTAAGCCCAAAGATGTTGATTCTCAAAAGGAAAATACTTTTTTTTCTCCCCAGCAGTTGCTAATCTATCAGCACCTCTGTGATTAGCTCACTATTTACAAGAAAGAGCCTACTCCTATTCACCATTGCTTTTGTGTCACAGGCCTCTAATATTCTTTGCATATCTCTACCAGCTTTATTTCAAAGCATTGTAACCATTTGTTTACATATTATTCTATTGAGTTGTTCTAAAAGTTTTACACATGGTTGTTTTACCTCTCCGAATAGGCTACAAGGTTCTCATAAATACTTCTATTTTTATACACCTTCTCATTCCCCTTCCTCTTGTTGTACATACATACACAGTCAATTGCGCACACATCCAGTCACACACCTAAGCAGATACAAATTTGGCCTTGTATTTGTTGGGGAACGATATGATGTCACTCACATTCTATTAGTAACTCATTTTATTTAGAGCATCCTCAAGTACACACCTTTGTAACTAGAGTGTTTCATGAACCTGCTACATTCAGCATGTGCTAGCGAGTGTCCTCTCTCCCTCTCTATATGTATCTACTTCTCATTTTTTCACATTTCAGGGCAGAGTATCTGTATGTATAAAGGTAAATTCAGGCCATGGCAGCTGGCAGAGGTCCCTTCTCTTGAACTGAAATCAGTGACTTAAATTAAGCCTTCCAAACATCTGACTTGCTGACGTATCTACCCTGCATAATGATAGAGATCCTGTACTGAGGGGAAAAAACCTACTAGATTATTAAGTTTTCTGCCAAAGCCAGATATAATCCTGCTGGACAATTCTCTTCAGACGGTCTGCTCTTATCTCACACTCAGATGTCTAAAAGTTAGCTTACTGTCTTCCTTCACAACCATATGCCCCTCCTGATTTCCCCATTTCCATCTCTCAGACTTGATATTGACCTTGTCCTGCTAGCACCAGGATGACTCCCTGAAGATCCAGGAAGAGGTCTGGATTCCAACAGATCTGGGTTCCATGCCAGCTCTTTCACTTTCCAGTCTGGCTCCAGGAGCTCGGGCAAGTCACTTAACCTTCTGAGCCTCCATTTCCTGGCTCAAGAAAAGTGGCGATGGTGGGGAGGCATAATATTTACCCTTCTGGAATTATAATGAAGATTTAGTGAGCTTACGTATCTAAGGCGCATGGCCTTACAAACGTTAGCTCCTTCCCTGATAGTGCCTGACAACTAATAAAATCCTGTCTCCCTCTGAGGAGCTGCCCATTCCATATTCTTATCAACTTACACCAGGAAGGATATTTAAAGCCATGGCAGATGGTAGAGTTCCTGTTCTCAGGTCAACAATCAAACTCCAGTTGTTCTATTGATCTGCCCATCTGTTCAACTGCCTGATAATTTTCCCATCCCCTTTCCTTGCTATACCCCAAACCCTAAATCCAGAATGGATGCATGTGATATTCTTTCCTTTCCAAGAATGTCTTACCTTGACATTCTTGTCCAGGTTGGCTCTGAGCATGAATGTTATCCACTTTCACCCTAATAACCTCTGTTCTGTGCCTTCTATTTGACCTGGAATTCTGGCACTCTCATTTCCTATCAGAAGGGCCAACCTTTAGCTGGTCCTTCAGTTTGGCCTGATACAGTGAATTTGACTTTGAGGTTGAGAGGTAGTTTTGCATAGTGGTTAAAGCAAGGCTTTGATGTCCGACTGCCAGGGTTTGAATTCCAGCTGTACTGCTTAATGGCCTCATAACCTTCAGTAAGTTATTTACCTCCCTGACTTTATATAAACATTAATATAATAACTTTAAAGTATGCAACATGAACCTACCATACTAAGTAGATCCTTGGTAAATGTCAGTTCTATACATGCCCCTAGGACTCATGGTGACCACAGGCCTCCTGTCTACACAATCTATTTGCTATTAACCTATCTACCACGCATAGCCATTTCACCTACTGGCCCAGGATGTCTTCCTAGTCTACTCCCTCCTGGCCTATTTCATTCCACAAATGCTTCTGTCAACAAAGATGCTCCTTCATCCTGACATATAACCTCATAAGAACTTCATAATATTGCTCACAAATTCTTGCTGCCATTACTCTAATTGGAAACCTATCATCTTATGCCTCCTAAATGAAAATCCTAATCTGTGCCTGCCACTCCCCTCTGTGCATTTCCAACAACCCAATGTATTTGCATAAACAATAGTTCTGTGTTAATCACTTCAGCTCCCTGTTCAAACTTTCACTGGCTCTACAATGGCCAAAGTAGGGGGTATCCAATCTCATCATCACTAGATGGGCAGGGCTTTTGGAAACAAAATCTCTGGGCTGGAAATAAGGCACAGGGATATTTGCTAGAAGTACATAGATATGAATAAATGGTGGCTTCCCATTCATTCCAGAATGGGTGTTTCCCATTCTGGAAACAATCCTCCTTTTAATAAAGTTTAAACATGAGGGCATTATTTCATCACTGGGCTATACCTTGCTTGGGAGAAAGGTCCCACTTTTGGGATACGCATTGTCTTGGGCACCTGAGTTGCTTCCATGTGCAAACTCCAGATCATTGTGCAGAGGGCTGTCCCAAAAAAGGAAGGAATTATTCCCAATAATAGACTATTGTTTTTGATTGGCAGCATTATTTTCTTGGGAGAACCACAACTCTATGTAATCTTGACAGAACTGCCTATCATAGTGCCCTACCAGCCTCCTCCTCCTCATCCCAGCACCAGAACCACATATACACAGGGTTGGGCACATGATTTAGTCCAATACAATCAGAGTAGCACTCTCTGCTAGACACAGAGACCAATTCAATTACCACTGAGCAGGGCCAATCAGAGCCCTTCAAGGAGATTTATAAAAATGGGACCTGGAAGAGAAAGGACCTCTTTTTCTCATAGATGAAAAGCCCAGGAATGTAGGTTTAGAAATACCCACAGTCATCTTTCTCCATATCCAGAAAGAGTGCCTCAGAATACAGCTGACCCAGAGAGAAGTGGGACTGAGAAATGGGGAGAGAGAGAAAGAACCTCGACAAAGTTGTGTAAGTCTCTGAGTTCCAGCCATGATTGAAGCAAGGACCACCTTTGGACTTTCTGGTCCAATGAGCCAGTAAGTCCTTTTTTGCTTTACCTAGTTAAATATTCACACATGCAAGCAAATGAATCCTGAGTAACTCCCTTCTACATGAACACAAAGTGGGGTGGTGAACACACAGTTGGGTGGTAAGCAGAGACTTGTCCCCCCTTGGTGCACTTCATGCTCAGAGCAGAGTGATTAGGGCTCTACAGGAAGGAATGTACAGACACTCATCTTACACCTTTCTAGATTTCTATGCCTTCTGTGGAATTTCACCTCTGGTGACAAAGTTTCCAAAGCACAACTTGCAGAACACATCCTATCAATTAATGATACAGTGGCCCCAGAATCCTCGCCTTTATATGAAATGCATGGATTTCCTTTTTCCAGCATCACTAAAAGCTCTTGGAAGAGTCATATCAATTACTCTGTGATAGTCAAAGCCCCAGAATTCCTGCTGGGGAAAGGGGGACCTTAGAGGAGGAGTGGGCACAGAACAGGAGCAGTAAGATTAAACATCAATAATCAGAATTCAAGGCATTTCAGGAAGTCTTGAGCTCGTAATTGGAGACTTCTGTGTTCCAGAATGTAACCTAAATTCTTACGCAGAAATTCAACCTCACCTAAAATCTGACCCTAACCTTATGTCTCTCTCCTGTTTACTCAGGGTTTCCAAAGTGAGCTTTAGCTTCTCCTATCTCTACAAATCCTGCAGAAAGGCAGTGGCGCATACTGGTGCAGATGTGCTTTGCAGTATTAGTCCCAGCTTCATCACCTTTCTGCTCTAATTACTTCCGAGGGTTGTTACAAAAATCTATTGCATCATTTGTGAAAATTCATGGAAAACCACCCAGTACTAAGTGAAAGCTGGTATTTTTATTATTTTATTATGTATTTTCAATTCACATAATCAATGTTAGGTCAGATGTCCCAGGCCAGACATCTTTTACTTCTCTTTGCCATTTCCCATTCAATACAACTAGCAAGACCCTCCAGCCTGGCTTCCTTCAACCAAAACCCTACAAACCACCCTCCTACACACACACACTGACTTCTGTCTCTCTTTAATTCTGCCAGAATTTGCCTTGCAGCATTTTAAAGAGAGACCATAAAGATCGTCAGTCCAAAGCCCTCATTCTGCAGATAAGGGCACCAAGGAGCAGAAAGGTGGAGGAACTTAGCCACTTACCCACAGCCACCTAATTAGTGACTCAGTCAAGATGACAACTCCCCATCCAGGTCCCTCTGCAACCCACTATGCTGCTTCCCAGTCTGCACTGGTCCCCTGCTGCTCTCAGACCACCTCAGCTGCCAGGTGATCTGTGGTACATTTATCAGTCCCCTCTCCATCAGCCTATAAGCCCATAGAAAAGGCCTGGAAGGGTAGCTAGCATGACACCACAATAAGCACTCACTGATGTTTTCTGAGTGTTTGAGCACATATCAGATCTCAGCAGACAAAACATAGCGTAAGTCCAGGAACAAGTGGATCTGCTTGATAAAACTGTAAATCAGATATACATTCCTTAATAAAATGAGGTCCATCTCATTGCAGGTTTGGATTTCTGTTGCTGCACAAGTTATTTTTCCTCTTTTAAATTCTACCCTCTATTTGATAAGTAACGTGTATGACTACAAGGGCTTATTTTTTATCCTCTACTAATTTTGCTTAAGAAATGTAAAAGTTGACATTTGCTTTTATCTTTGTTCTTATCTATCTTCCTAAGCTAAATATGAATTTCTTTCCTTTATGCTAAGAGTCATCATGAGAAGTACAGCATTTAACCAATCAGTTCAGATCCGTTCCCTCTATATGTCAGTAGTTATCCTTTTCTGGCCAATGAGCTATTGTCAAAATTCTGAAGCTACACAAGTCCAAATATAACAATCTAACTCCTGTAGTATTCAAAAGCTTCACTAAAAATTCCACTAAGTTAAAATAACAAGTACAGCCATCCCTCTTTACAATGATCTTTCCTGAAGAATCCCTTCTGATTACGGGTGTCTTCAGACACTACAGCATTTACCTAGACCTGCCTCAAAGGCAACAGGTGAAGCCTTTCTGTGCTAACTGCCTGGAATTTACCTACAGGGACTTTCCATACAACTCTAATGAAGGCTTTCCCAGCCCAGATACAAAGCTAATTATAACCAGGGTTACAAATTATAGTTACATTATCTCATAATTATGAGCTATCTAGTAGGACTTGGTTAAAAAATCATTCTAAACACCTCAGTGTGTGTTTTTTACAGTAAAAAAATCATACTGTTAAATTGTCAAAGCATTTAACTATAGTTTCCACTTAATGGAAGCATTATTTTCTGTTTAGAAGGACTTCTATTCTTCACTTGAGGTGTTTATAAAGAATGAAACTACAACTACATACTTCTGTGTAGGTAAACAGTGGGAAAATAAAGTAAGGTTTAAAAAGTTTCAAAATTTAGTCTACTTTTCACAAAATGATAATGCTTTCTAGTATCAGTAGCCAAATAACAAATTGAAGGTCTTTTTATAAGTGTTCCATAATTCAAGAAACGACAAAGTAAATAGCTTTCACAAGCTCTGGTAATATTTATGCATACAGCACTATAGAAAGTGTGCCTCAAACTTGGTTTGATTGCAAAACCGAGAGTTCAATATTCTTTCTTATAAACAAGAATAATCATCGATTCTTGAAATGTTTTCTATGCAGTTGTCCATAACTACTTCTGAAGGTATTCAGAAGAGACAAGGCAAGAGACACTTTAGTCCAACATATTTAGTTTTTAAATACACCAGACTAAGGTGGACCGGACTAAGGCTGATTCCAATTAGTCAATTACCTGTATGTGCTGCATCTGCCTTTCTCTCCGACATTACCAATGCCCGGTACTGAACAATGAATTGTTATTTAAAAAAAACACACAAACACACACACATTTTTCTAAATCAAACAGCGGTAAATACACACAGAGAGCTTGCGCCTACACAATGTGAAGTGTTGGCTGGAACAATTTATAGCAAAAGAATGATTAATGAAGCAAATCTTAGAAGCCCTCAGTCCTTTCTCTTACAGACAAGACTACAGGGAGAAGAGTAGTGCTGAATTTTGCAAATAATTGCTTTGCCTCTCCATTTTGCCTGTGTAGATTCTACCCCATCCAGATACTGCTTTACGAAACCCTGACCATACTTTGCTCAATCATGAATTAACGCTGTGGACATTACAGAGAATGCTGACTCTCAGGAACCGAGACAAAGGAGGGTGTTGCTTGGAGAAACCCAGCCAGGCGCTCCAGTACTCCGGGTTCTTGGAGGCTGCCCCGCACGGCTTCTCTCGCGCTCCCGGGACTGGGGAGTCTGGACCTGATGGCGGACTTGGTTTATTTCCCAAACTTTAGGAGAGACAGCGTTTACCTAACTCTGGAGGCTGTAGCGGAGGGGAGGGGAGGGCAGAGGGCTGAAGAAGTGCCCGGTTTCGGCTGCGGTGGCCGCCCACCCACCTCCCCACTCCCGTCAGCACCCTTTCCTTCCCCTCACCTGTCCTGAGCACCGGGCCCTGGGGGTCGGGTCGCCTCTCCCTGTTCTCAGTCCTGGTCTCACTCCAGGAGCTGTCGGGACGTCGGGCGCCTCTGGAGGCGGACGAAGAAGGCGGCAGGGTCGGGGGCGTCAGCGGGAATCTCGGCCGCCGCGGGCAGCCGCGGTCTCCCTCCCCATCCCAGGGCTCGGGCGGCCACCGCGGGCGGATGAGTCAGGCGAGGGGGCGGGTGGCAAGGGGTGCAAGCGGACGGAGGGTGGGGGCGCCCCTATGCCCGCGCCGGGGGGGCACCGGAGGCCTCGGGGCAGGGGATGCGCCGCTGCCGGTGCTCACAGAGGGCCGCCGCCATCCGGGCGCAGAGTCCAGGCGCGCCTGCCCTCGGAGGGCACCGGGCGCAGCAAGCCGGGCAGGGGAGAGGGAGTCGCCGCTCAGGCGGCGCCGCCACCGCGTCCAAGAAAGACAAAAGGGACCGGGAACGGGAGGGGAAAAGTTTTCTGCTCGGCTCCAGATGGATCCCAGCCCCAAACCTCACGCCATAAAGCCCCGAAGAGGCGGGTTGGGGGCGGGGGCCGGGGCGGACTTCCAGGGGCGTGGCTGCGCGCCTGCGACCCCGGACCGTGCCAATCTCGCCGCCGCCCCAAAACCTGTGGGAAACCCCAGTCCTGCCACCCACTCCTCCTGGAGGACGCAGACAGGATCTGCTCTGCAGGAGCCCAGGCCGGCCGATCCGCGTCCCGGCCACAAAGTTGCACTTCGAGAGCCCAAATCACCCGCAGACAAAACCCATCTTTGGGAACAAAGTACCCGCTTGCAGGCGCTCTTCCCGGGCTGGAAGGCTGGCGTGCGGAAACGGACACACCCACCCGTGGGGCCCGCCTCTAGCTACCGCGGGACCACCGGTTACCGAGCCAGGGACCCGGCTCCCCCAGTTCTCCGGAGCGGCTGGGGAGCTCCAGCCGACTCGCAGTATTCCCGGAGCAGGCACCGCAGGACCCTGGCTCCACGCCCCTCGGACGCTTTCTCCTCAGATGCCGCCCGGCGGGCCGGGGTCCCCCTGGCGGGCTGCGCGGGCGCTGCGCGAGCTAAACCAAACCTGGCCGGAAAAGACGCGGCCAAGGCCCGCTCCGTCCACGCTTCCCGCCGGCCCGGCAAGGGGTTCCGGAGAACGGCTTGGGGGGGCGAGAACCATGGGCGGGGGAAATGGAAGACAGAGGGAACTGAAGCACGGGGGTCTTCGATGAGCAGTGCGGATGTTCGACTCCAAACATCAAAGCCAACGAGAGGTTCAGGTTACTCCTCCTTGACCCCAAACATCCAGTGAGTGGAGACTGGCCTGTTCACAGAGTAAAATATGTCGTCTCTAATTCGGCAAAGACGGTGATGACTGTATATATGCAGGCCAATTCCGTAAGTAAAGTTTCATGTAAAACTAATTACCGGATATTCCAACCACCCCCTGTGCAGGCCAGCCGCATGCACAAGGTGTGTGCTATGCTTGTGTCCCCTGGATCTGTTTTAAGTGATAGAAGGCAAGTATGATATTCTGGTGCAGTGTATTTGTTTATTTCGGCGTGTGATCTGTTTATCTCGTTTTCAAGAAAAGTTTGCTTCTGGGGGGGTATAAAATCCGTGTTTGGGGGGTGGGGGAGAGCCATGCAAAAATTTCCACATTAGAAAAAAAAGTCTTTAAAATCAGATATGGCAATGAGAAGAGACTGTAGAAATGGATTTCCTGTGGTATAACCTTCTTGCCTTGACTAGAAGAATTTAGAGATTGGGCACTTTTAGTGGAGATGTCACAATCAAAATGTTTTATAAAAAGAAAGAAAAGAAAACTAAAGGAGTTACGGTGGGGGAAGGATGAGTCACCTTTATAAACCATCTGTGGTTTTATTTTTACCCCACCTGCATCTAGTATTCTAGCCCACAGCCACCTGCTCAATTCTCTTAGGTTTTCTTAAATGTGTTTGTCAAGCACCATATCAAAGGAGTGTGCTTCCATTGGGCCCTCTTCCTAGTTACCTCTACATTTTATAAAGAAACACCCTGAAGCCACATTGTCTGTAAAGCTCCTGAGAGGAAACACCTCCTGGTTCCCCTCACTATCTAAGGAGTGAGTAATAGGAATAGGCTCATAGTCCATAGATCATTTGAGGTGACATCCTCTCTAAGACCCATGGTAAAACGTTTAAAATGGTCATCTAGCCATTTTAAGCATTGAGTGACTGAGCCGTCCTCAAAAAGAGACTGATGAGAGCCATGAAAAAAGGAATAAGCACATTCTTAAGGCCACAGATATTGATGCTTCCTCATTTATGAACTATGAACTCAGATTTTAGTGATTTACCAAAAAAGAAGAAAGATAGACTAAGTAAAATCACCAAAAGGGAATTATTTAGATTTCTTTTTAAAATAATTACTATTAGTCTCAGAAGAGGCGGGTAAAATGGCCTGTAAATAGAGGATTATTTGCAATTCAGTAGTCCGAGCAACTCTCAACACATTAGTTATAAATTTTCCCTGACCTTGAGTGCTCAAGGGAATCTCAGGTAAATTATTTATCCTTACTAATGGCCAATATCTTCCCATCTGACAGTGAATATACCATGCCAGTAATGGATTTTGAATTCAGCTACACATCGGCTTTGGAAATAATGGATAGAAGTCAACTATTTTCTACTTCTCGCCATCAAGTAGCACTGCACTTCACACATAATATTTTTTGCTGTGTCTATATGAGATATGTAAATTTCCACTAGAACAAGCCCATCTTATAAGAGTGCATAGTAGAAAGAGAGTAATCCAAGTGTCCTGTAATCCAAGCTCCACCACCTACTAACAGAGGGACTTGGTACCTCATTTCTCCCATCCCTTAAGTAGGAACAAAGTATCTATTTCAAAGTGTTGTGAAAATTGAATGAAATGATGTGTATAATATTCTTCCTACAAGTCACAGATCCTCAATACATATGTGATTGAACATATATACACTCACATCAAACTTGTTTTAATGCAATTAACATCATCAAAAAAAGGCTCTTCCTCTGGAATCAAGAATTAACATGAAAAAAGGTCAAAATATGAAGATCAACATTTTCACTCTTGGTATAGTATTATAAAAGTCTGATGGATGGCAATTCATATTTAATGAATTAATTTTGGAAACATACGTTGAAATGAAAAAGAATGAGTATTCTTAAGAGGTCATGTAACAAGGCTAAGAGAAGGGCTATTAGAAAATTTGTGTGGGATTATATTCATTTCCTCTTGCCTTAAATGTAGCCCATAGCATTTTTAGGCCTGAGAAGGGATCCTTAAACAGAAAATAAAAATGTCTTCAATGGGAAAAAATAGAATTGTTTGCTAGATTTTTATCTGAATGGCTTTGTTCTTGATGTGAAATAGATTGATAGTCTTAAAACCCCTGTAGTATTTCTGCTAGCAGCCATGGGTGCTTTTTCAAAGTAGAGGGTAAAGTCAATAAAGAAAATGAACTTTCTGACTTTATTCTTGAAATAAGTAAATAGGGGGAGGAATATAGGATAAAGAAAAAGGTAGAGGAAATATATTTAAAAATAAAATTTTAAGGTCATTTTTATTTCACCGTGATTTTGAATAGCACTTTGTCATACTTTTCATGTTTTCTTTCTCATTATGTGCAATTGACTAATAGTTCAGTGGATTTCACAGCAGAAAGATGTTGCTAATTTCTTTTCTGTTCATTAAATGTGCAAGTAACAGTGCTAACCCCTCTCAGATTGATGTTTTATAATGTTGAGGCTGATACGACTACTTAAATATTTATAAATTCTGTATTAGATACAGAATCATCTATATTAGATAATCAGATACCTCCTTGTTAGATAATAAACCTGATTAGATTCTTTTTGCCTGAGGGGCACTGGCAGCGTACCATTTAGAAATGTGAAAGGAGCCATACTCTCTCCCTTCCAAAGCCCAGTTCTTTCCTCTGAACAGATTTGTGCCTGTTGAAGGATAATCACCAAGTAGCTTATAGAAATCCAAAAATTACTTTTTAAAGATTTTGACTGTTTTTGTTGCAAGAATCTACCTGTAGAAGATAATAGAGATTTGACTGAAATGAGAGAAGATGGTAGTGGTGGCCCACCTGTTCCACTGTCCATGGTACTGAACCAGTCATTCTTTCGTTAGTGCCTGACTACTCAAAAGCATAGTCCGAGACTCGGCAATATTTGCATCACGGGGGAACTGTTAGAATAGCAAGATCTCAGGCCCTTGCCCAAACCTATTAAATCATACTCTGCAACTCAGCAACATACTCAAGTGATCTGTCTGCATGTTAATATTTGAAAAGCACTGCACTAGGGCACTGTTCATATGTCCTCTGACTTCCCTGGTGCTCTGCTTATATCAGCCTTCACTTCAGTCCCTTCCAGAAGCACAGCCCAAATGCTGCCTTTTTAGCTACATTTCAGTTGGTGATGGTGGTGTGGTGTTACACAGAGAGCATAGCCTTTGACCCGAACAGCCGGGCTAAAATATTAACTTTTACTGACTATTCTGGGTTTAATTGCCCTCATCCATAAACTGCCAATAATTTTAACATGTCCACATAACACTGATTTAAGTGTTCACTGATAATAAAATTATAGTTGTAAAACATTTGGGTCGGCATGTAGCAGATGTTCAACAAATCTCTCAGGCACTGTGTGAGTGATACTTCCCCAACCCAAGAAGGGGTGCCTCTCAGCATAACATTCTCAGACACTGTGAAAATTTATTGTAAAAGAATTTAATTCTGCAGTTTCTGCTCAATCAAAACAGTACAACCACATTAAATTAGTTGACAAAATAAAATTTTAAAATTCACTACATCATCTTTCTGTTTGGGATTTATCCATCCATAATCATGATCTAGAGTAAAGAAAAATAAGGTTTTTCTTAACAATTTTATTAGATCTGTTTTTATTAAATTAGAACAAAACTACTTGGCATCTTGAATTCTAAAATGTTTATAAATATCAAGATTTCTTAATCCTACAGCCAACAGACTGTACACACATACAGCTGAGTTTGTAAACAGTAATCATTTAGACCTGAATTAAGCCACAATTTTGGTAAAATATAATGCAGTTTAAATCGTGCTATTTAGGGGTCCAGGGAATACCCTTTCATGTTGCGGGAAGTCAGGGACCCCCAAACGGAGGGACCAGCTGAAGCCATGGCAGAAGAACATGGATTGTGAAGATTTCATGGACATTTATTAGTTCCCCCAAATTAATACTTTTATAATTTCTTATGCCTGTCTTTACTGCAATCTCTAAACACAAATTGTGAAGTTTTCATGGACACTTATCACTTCCCCAATCAATATCCTTGTGATTTCCTATGCCTGTCTTTACTTTAATCTCTTAATTCTGTCATCTCGTAAGCTGAGGAGGATATATGTTGCCTCAGGACCCTGTGATAATTGCGTTAACTGCACAAATTGTAGAGCATGTGTGTTTGAAGAATATGAAATCTGGGCACCTTGAAAAAAGAACAGTATAACAGCAATTGTTCAGGGAATAAGAGAGATAACCTTAAACTCTGACCTCCAGTGAGCCGGGCGGGACAGAGCCATATTTCTCTTCTTTCAAAAGCAAATGGGAGAAATATTGCTGAATTATTTTCTCAGCAATGAACATCCCTGAGAAAGAGAATATGCCCCTGAGGGTGGGTCTCTAAAATGGCCCCCTTGGGTGTGGCCATCTTCTATGGTCGAAACTGTAGGGATGAAATAAATCCCAGTCTCCCATAGCGCTCCCAGGCTTATTAGGAAGAGGAAATTCACGCCTAATAAATTTTGGTCAGACTGGTTGCTCTCAAACCCTGTCTCCTGATAAGATGTTATCAATGACAATGGTGCCCGAAACTTCATTAGCAATTTTAATTTTGCCCCGGTCCTGTGGTCCTGTGTTCTCACCCTGCCTCCATTTGCCTTGTGATATTCTATTACCTTGTGAAGTACATGATCTTTGTGACCCACACCCTATTCGTACACTCCCTCCTCTTTGAAAGTCCCTAATAAAAACTTACTGGTTTTGTGGCTTGTGGGACATCACAGAACCTACCAACATGTGATGTCTCCCCCAGATGCCCAGCTTTAAAATTTCTCTCTTTTGTGCTCTGTCCCTTTATTTCTCAACCTGGCCGACACTTAGGGAAAATAGAAAAGGACCTACATGACTATTGGGGCAGGTTCCCCGATACTTTCACACATTTCTTTTGGAACATGAGAAAACGTTGGCACATTCATTTTTCAAGAGAAACTTCAAACCTGATAATCTGTTCTGTAAACAATAGTCATTTAATGAGTTTTGACACTGGGGATTATTGCTCATTGTGTCATTGCTGATCTAGAAACACCTGTTTATATAAGGAAATAAGCTGCAATGAACTTGAGCATGTCAGATCTTCTCTTAGACATTACATTTATTCTTTGCATTAGATACCATTCTTTGCCACTCCTTCAATTTTTAGTTTATGAACACAAGTGCCCAGCTTAAGATCACATAACCACAGAATGACAGGGCCATGGCTGGAAACTGGATCTTCCTATTCCTAGTTCAGTACTTATTTAGCACTCATAAAACATGACTCATGTTAGAGTGCTTTACAGGTCCCAAGTGATTGAAAGATTTAGCATATCCCTGGAAGCTATGCATTTTCCCAGCCTTACCACTCCTTCACACCTAAGGAAACAGCCTTGTGATAAAATGTGAGTAGAGTTTCAGTTTTAGATTGTTCTTTTATTAATTCAGAAAGCATTCACATAATGTATTGGGCATTATATTCAGTTGGGCTGTATAGAAATGAGCGAGTGAGAGCCCTTTTCTGCATATTTATTGTGGTCTGGTGTGTTTGGCATCTTTGTAAGCACATAGCTGCAGTATGAAAAGTGCCCTAATGGGTACAAAATGGTGATATAAAATAAGGATCATCAGAAATCCTTTGTTCAAAGGAGAATTCAAAGACATAGGGATCCAAGATCTTGGCTCTGAAAGATGCAGAGACTTCAAAAGGTAGACAAGGATGTAACAGAATTCAAAGAGAGGGAAATGTGTGTGCAATTTCCAGAAAAGAACACAGTATTGTGCACTCAGAGAAGTGTAGGAAGAATCACTGTGGCTGGAGTGTGGGAAGGCATAGGAGAAATAGGCAGAGGCCAGCTTACAGTGGGCTTTGCATTCCAGATTAAGAATTTGTTCTGTGTACTCAAACAAATCAGACCCAATCAAAAGTTGAAGTTTAGATACATATAAAATCAGTGGATTTTAGTATTGTATATAGTGATAAAAATATCATATAAAATTATTATACAGTACTTACTATGAAATGGGCACTATTCTAAGCATTTTATAACTATTAACTCTTCATAATAGTCTTTTAGAGCAAGCACTAATTTTTTCTCCATTTTACAGCTGAAATAACTGGAGTAAGGGAGATTAAGTAGTTTATCCAAGTAAGTAAGTGGAGGAACTGGGCTCATGAGCCCACGCAGTCTGATGCTAAGGCCTGTGCTCTCAACAACTGTGATAGCTACCTCTTGGTGAAACTGGAAATCACCTCTGTGCCCATCAATAAAAGACTACTTAAATTACAACATGTTCATACAATGGAATACCATGCAGCATTAGACAAAAGATCTATATCCACGGATATGAGTAGGGGTTAAGGAGACATTGTTAGTGAGAAAATAACTTGTAGAATCTTGTATAGTGTGATCCCATCTTTGTTAAAATGTGTGTGTGTGTGTGTGTGTGTGTGTGTGTGTGTAAGACATAGTGGGATATACACAAAAATATTAACAGAGGCTACCAATGGGGAATGAAATTGAAGAGTAAGGGTATTACTCTAAATTTTTATTTTAGACAATTTTTTTCTTTCAAAATTTTCTTAGTGAAATTGTATTATTTTGATAATGAACAGTTTAAAAAAATAACAACAACAACCATCAAGCCCTTTTCCTCCTCTGTCAACTGTGGACACAGCAGTCAGATGGAGCTTACTGATAAATGACAGATTTTGGAAGTTCACCTTCACATTTTCAGAACTTTCCTGACATGTACACACAACAACAAATTTAAAAACTGGATTTCACCTTAGAATTGATCAGCTAAGATGCAAGATTTTTGGAATCCTTAATGAGATCTGCAATCAGAATTGAAAGCTTCCTGAAATCCCAGTGTGTCTAAAAGCAAGTTTTAAGGAATCTTCTGGCAAGTGTAATCAATGTGAAGCTTCCTTCCATTTGCTTCTTTTAGATACGTGAAAGAATAATTTACTTCAAAACACAGAAAAAGGCAAGGTAATGGTTGCTTGATTTTTAAATATCCTGCTAGGGAAAATGTTATCTACTTAGATTCTTCTGCTTCTATGTCAAAGAAAATGCAGCTTTCTGCCAAAGGATATTTGATTATCAACCCACAGTAGATAAAAAGAGCAGACAGAAAATAATAAATTTTTACTATGAGAGAAATTAACTCTACTCACTAGTCTTATACCTAATTTAGTATTTCCTTTCCTACTGACAAGGTAAATCTTCATTTCTCAAGTACTTGCCAAATCAGCTCTTTTGTCTTCCTGTTAATGTCCTCATTACTTACTTAAACAAAATTTTGGCATGTGCCAACAAAAAACATGATGACCGTGCTTTCACAAAGTTTACCCAAACATACTCATGAGCAATGCTCTTTTACAGTGTTTAATAAAGTGTGTCAGGTAGCAGCAGGTTTTTCCTTCACAGGTTGATCAATTACCTACTAGAGATTTGAAATTATTTTTTTAACATTGAGAGGGAAGATACACATTAGAATGTTGGAGCTCCGAGAGTTTAACTTGCCAAGGATCTAGCAGCAAACGAATGTTAAGGCTAGGACAAGAACACAGGTCTCCTGTCTTCATGTTCATTATCCCCTATGCAAAAATACTCTCTTAATGGGAAATGGTTATAACAGGAGTACAGGTGGTTTGCCAGGGGCTACTGCAAGTCAGGAGTTAATGTGGTACAGCCTCCTGGCTGAGCAATTTTGCTGGATGATTGAAGGGAGATTTTTTTTAACTGAAATTAAAAGATGCCGGCCGGGTGTGGTGGCTCACGCCTGTAATCCCAGGACTTTGGGAGGCCGAGGCGGGCAGATCATGAGGTCAGGAGATCAAGACCATCCTGGCTAACACGGTGAAACCCCGTCTCTACTAAAAATACAAAAAATTAGCCTGGCGTGGTGGTGGGCACCTGTAGTCCCAGCTACTCGGGAGGCTGAGGCAGGAGAATGGCGTGAACCCGGGAGGCGGAGCTTGCAGTGAGCCAAGATCACGCCACTGCACTCCAGCCTGGGTGACAAAGTGAGACTCCGTCTCAAAAAAAAAAAAAAAAAAAAAAAAGATGCCATGGCAGATAATTTTTTAAATCTCATAGATTTTTAAAGATAAAATACAAAATATCAAGAAATTCTGCATTCCCATCTAATGATTTGACCTATGTGCCCACTTCATGATACAGTAGATACAAAGGTAAAAGTCCGTTTTCCTCAGCAAAAGGGATAGTTTGATGGAAGTGTTTGTGAATCACTTGCAAAATGGGAAGCTAAGCAACATTGAGTCACTCAGATTTGAAAGCATATGAAATATGAATTAATTGTGGCTGTCTGGTTGTCCTCTTAATTTCTTCCCTGTAGTCCCAACAGGTAAGTGACTTCTTCATAGAAATGGGAACTTACTAGGTCCAGAAAAGAACAAAAGATTGAGGATTGAGCTCAATTCAATGAGCTCCACCCTCAGAGAAAAAAGGAAAACTAGCAAAGCTGTTGGGCACTCTGGTACCGTCTACAGGAATATCAGAAACAATCAACTTGTGATAACAACTATTTGTTCCTTTATTCAATACACTTTTCATGTGTTCCTACTACTATGTTCCAGACCATAGTCTTCACCCTTAATGACTTAGATGCCGGAGGGGCAGATAATAATTACATATGTAATATAATGTTTGGAAATGATACATGCTATGAAGAAAAATAAGGTAGGGTAAGAGGCTAGACAGTAATCCTGGGATGAGAATGTGGTTTTATATAGAATATCAGAGAAGTTCTCTTTAGGATGTAATATTTGAGCAGATATCTGCATAAAATAAGGCAGAAGCTTTACAGATATCTGTAGCCGGGGCAGACCAGGCTGAGGAAAAGGCAAATGCAGAAACTCTGAGCTAGAGTGTTCTGGGTATGTGTAGGGACCAACCAGACGGCCCTTCCAGCTGAGAAGATGAGGAAAAGGGTGAATACTGATTGATGAGAGAGGATAAGGAGTCAGAGACCTGGTCATCCAGGGCTTTGTAGGACTCAGGTTTTGATTATAGGTTTGATGGGAAACCAACGAAGACTTTAAAACAGTGAGTGACTTGATCTTATTTATATGTTGTACAATCTGATTCGCATTTTCACAATCCTGAGAATTTAGCAAGATTTTCAAACTGATGGCAATTGAAAAAAAGGAACAGACAAAATAGGCTGCACCTCTAAAAGGCTGTAGCAAGGAAAAATGGCACTGATGGGAAAGTGTCTCAGAATGGAAAAGACAGTGTGGAATTTTAATTGATGTAAATCTTTTGTGGTTTCTCCAAATATTCACTAAATCATGCGCTCTACACTTTGTGTGAGATGTTTCTCTAATAGCCACTGGGCTGAAGTACTCCTGCTTCTTCTTGTGGTGTTTCTGGGGCTGCCCCTCTTGTCTCTGACCCCTCTTACTGGTGCTTCTCCATTTTTCCTGTGTCTGTCATGTCATCTTGCCTCACTAATGATAGATCCCTGGGGACTACCCCACTGAAGCACAATTTTCTTTTATTGCCTGGTGGGTTTAGCATTTTTCTGTTTGAAAATGGTATTTCTTGATAGTAAGAGCATCATGTGACCACAACCTTCCTCCATTAGAGAAGATGTTATGTCTTTTCAGTCTTTGAAACTACATGGATAAACAAAAAGAACTGGATTAAGGAAGAGTTGTACATGTCATTCAAGTTTAAAAACGGAGGTGACACCAATGTAAGTTGCATCCTTATTTTTTATTTTATTTTATTTTTTTGAGACAGAGTCTCACTCTGTCACCTAGGCTGGAGTGCAGTGGTGCAATATCAGCTCATTGCAACCTCCGCCTCAGAGGTTCAAATGATTCTCCTGCCTCAGCCTCCTGAGTAGCTGATATTACAGGTGTATGCTACCATGCTCGGCTAATTGTTGTATTTTTAGTAGAGACGGGGTTTCACCATGTTGGCTAGGCTGGTCTCGAGCTCCCGGCCTCAGGTGATCCACCTGCCTTGGCCTCCCAAAGTGCTAGGATCACAGGCGTGAGCCACCGTGCCTGGGCAGTTGCATCCTTATTGTAAACAAATGTACCCTACAGGTGCTGCTACAGATGGCATGTAGGATGCAAAGTTCTGAAGTTCACTTTATCTGGGAAACCTACACATCACTGATTGCTGAGGAGGTCAGAGTCTTTAAAGATAAACTTTTTCTGCATTTTTAATAATCAGTTGATTTCCCAAGGGGAGTGTGGCTCTGGAATGCCATATCCTTTTTTTTTAGTTTAGCACTGGTTTAAAAGGTTAGCAGGTCTCAAAGGAGGCTCTGCTATCTCTTCAAATTTGAATTAGCACCATCAGCTATGCCAAGGGACATCTACTTTAATTTATTTTTGTTAACTTTTATTTCAGGTTTACGGGTACATGTGCAGGTTTGTTATATAGGTAAATTCGTGTCACAGAGGGTTGTTGACAGATTATTTTGTCACCCGTGTACTAAACCTGGTGCCCAATAGTTATTTTTTTAATCCTCTCCCTTCCCCACCCTTCACCCTCACATAGGCCCCAGTGTCTGTTGTTTCTCATCATTTAGCTCCCACTTATAAGTGAGAACATGTGATATTTGGTTTTCTGTTACTACATTAGTTTGCTAAGGATGATGGCCTCCTGCCCCATCCATGTTGCTGCAAAGGATGTGATCTCTTTCTTTTTTATGGCTGCATAGTATTCCATGGTGTATATGTACCACATTTTCTTTATCCAGTCTACCAGTGGTGAGCAATTTAGGTGGATTCCATGTCTGCTATTGTGAATAGCACTGCAGTGAACATATGCATGAATGTGTCTTTATGATAGAACAATTTACATTACTTTGGGTATATACTCAGTAATGGGATTACTGGGTCAAATGGTAGGTCTGTTTTTAGGTCTTTAAGGAATTACCACACTTCTTTCCACAATGGTTGAACTAATTTACACTCCCACCAACAGTGTATGAGCATTCCTTTTTCTCTACAACCTCACTAGCATCTGTTATTTTTTTGACTTTTTAATAATAGCCATTCTGACTGGTGTGAGATAGTATCTCACTGTGGTTTTGATTTGCATTTCTCTAATGATCAGTGATGTTGAGCTTGTTTTCATATGCTCGTTGGCTGCATGTATGTCTTCTTTTGAAAAGTTTCTGTTCATGTCCTTTGCCCACTTTTTAATGGGGTTGTTTGTTTTTTTCTTGCAAAGTTGTTTACGTTCCTTATAGATGCTGGATATTAGACTTTTTTTCAGATGCATAGTTTGCAAATATTTTCTACTCTTCTGTAGATTGTCTGTTTACTCCATTGATAGTTTCTTTTGCTGTGGAATACCATACTTTTAAGGAGAACTGATGTCTGAGATATGGCTTATAGCCTGCAGACACAGATGTGTATCCCTCTGTGAGTCTCGGATTTTTAGGGGAGTTAGTTTGATCTTTCCTTCTGGTCTCATTTGTCTTCTACTCTTCCCTTTGTCCCTTTGCTCCCTAAAATAGTGTATTTGAGATGGCTGATGTAGAAGTCAAAGCTTATTTTGGATAACCAATTTTATTTTTGTAGTAAATTTGAGGGTTACAAAATCTGGATTAAAAAGAGGGCTAGAAATCCCAACTGACATCCTAATTTGTGGTTTGTCAGAAGATATCGCAGATCATGTTATTTGAAGTTGTACCTTTATTTCCTATATTAAGTGCAGTGATAGAAATTAGAATTTTATTTTTGGAAACCCATTTCAAAATATAAAATACAAAAATTAATAACCTAAATAAATAAAACAAAAACACATGTGTTAGGTGCTTATGTCCTGGAAGGCTCTTCTCCTCCCCTCTAGGTTTGACCAACTGCATATACACAAAACAACTGATGGCCAAGTAGAGGCCAAAGTATCAGTTTTATTTATGGTAATGCAAACATATTAAACAACTCCAAAATGCAGAGCTATCAAATAAAAGCTGGATTAGAGATATTATTATGGACCAAATCATTCTACTGCCTCTCTCTCCATCACTGGATCTTCTGTCTCAGACAGTTAAGCTGGAACAGAAAGAAAGACTAGATGCAGAACAGAGTGCTGGCCTTTCTAACTGGTAGTGAGTATAGCATTTCAAAAGGAAATAGATGTGAACAAGAGGAACCTTTCACACAAGACCCCAAAATAAGTCAAGAAAGGAACAAGAAGTATTTACTCTTTGCTTTTTGCCGATAGAAACATGAAGAAATGGAAAATAAATGTGTCAACTCCTTCCAATATTTTGGTTTTAAACAATTATTAATTAGGTAAAACCAAAAATTTCTACAGTATATCATAAATGATCCTTTTAGCTAAAGCTCATTAATATAAGAGCTCTGAGAATTTCAGAATGTAGATGTAGACACATCTGTTATAGGTAAATCTCCCCAGAGCAGTATATGTTTTCTTTGCTGTTCATAGAAACTGTGAGTTCTTTTCAAAATTAAGGTCTACTATTCAAAATGTTTAATTTCTAACTCAGTGAGCATGAAGACCACAGACACACTGGAAGGGCAAGTTCTAGGAAAGTGAAATTTTCATATTCTTCAATAATCTTCACTCTAAGTGCAGCTACACAATGAGCTTGAGTGGCCCTATCCTTGACTTTGCATTAGCACTTAGATGTGTGGATCAGGTGGGTATTTGGGGTCCCTTTGATTGGAGGTAATTTGCAATCATAAACAGGAGAATTGTTGGTTACTAATGGCAGGGGTGATATTTTATTGATAGTAAGAAAAGTCGTAAAGTGAAGAAGTTCCAATTCAAAACTCCTTAAGTTGTGAGGCATACTTGAGTTTTAATATATGATGAGAAAAACTGCTGAAATAATTTTAATGGGCTTCTACTCATAAAGTCTTAATATCTTGATTTATTAATATAGCTCCTTGACTCGAGTTTATCCCCTTTCTATGTAAAACAACCATATTAATTTTTAATTTATGTTATTTATTATTATACTTTAAGTTTTAGGATACATGTGCACAATGTGCAGGTTTGTTACATATGCATACATGTGCCATGTTGGTGTGCTGCACCCATTAACTCGTCATTTAACATTAGGTATTTCTCCTAATACTATCCCTCCCCCCTCCCCCCAACACACAACAGACCATGGTGTGTGATGTTCCCCTTCCTGTGTCCATGTGTTCTCATTGTTCAATTCCCACCTACGAGTGAGAAAATGCGGTGTTTGGTTTTTTGTCCTTGTGATAGTTTGCTGAGAATGATGGTTTCCAGCTTCATTCATGTCCCTACAAAGGACATGAACTCATCATTTTTTATGGCTGCCTAGTATTCCATGGTGTATATGTGCCACATTTTCTTAATCCAGTCTATCATTGATGGACATTTGGGTTGGTTCCAAATCTTTGCTATTGTGAATAGTGCCGCAATAAACATATGTGTGCATGTGTCTTTAGAGCAGCATGTTTTATAATCCTTTGGGTATATACCCAGTAATGGGATGGGTGGGTCAAATGGTATTTCTAGTTCTAGATCACATTGACTTCCACAATGGGTGAACTAGTTCACAGTCCCACCAACAGTGTAAAAGTGTTCCTATTTCTCCACATCCTCTCCAGCACCTGTTGTTTCCTGACTTTTTAATGATCACCATTCTAACTGGTGTGAGATGGTATCTCATTGTGGTTTTGATCTGCATTTCTCTGATGGCCAGTGATGATGAGCATTTTTTCGTGTGTCTTTTGGCTGCATAAATGTCTTCTTTTGAGAAGTGTCTGTTCATATCCTTTGCCCACTTTTTGATGGGGTTGTTTGTTTTTTTCTTGTAAATTTGTTGGAGTTCATTGAAGATTCTGGATATTGGCCCTTTGTCAGACGAGTAGATTGCAAAAATTTTCTCCCATTCTGTAGGTTGCCTGTTCACTCTGATGGTAGTTTCTTTTGCTGTGCAGAAGCTCTTTAGTTTAATTAGATCCCATTTGTTAATTTTGGCTTTTGTTGCCATTGCTTTTGGTGTTTTAGACAAAAAGTCTTTGTCCATGCCTATGTCCTGAGTGGTATCGCCTAGGTTTTCTTCTCGGGTTTTTATGGTTTTAGGTCTAACCTGTAAGTCTTTAATCCATCCCCAATTAATTTTTGTATAAGGTGTAAGGAAGGGATCCAGTTTCAGCTTTCTACATATGGCTAGCCACTTTTCTCAGCACCATTTATTAAATAGGGAATGCTTTCCCCATTGCTTGGTTTTGATGGGTTTGTCAAAGATCAGATGGTTGTAGATATGCGGCATTATCTCTGAGGGCTCTGTTCTGTTCCATTGGTCTATATCTCTGTTTTGGTACTAGTACCATGCTGTTTTGGTTACTGTAGCCTTGTAGTATAGTTTGAAGTCAGGTAGCGTGATGCCTCCAGCTTTGCCTAAACTTTTGGCTTAAGATTGTCTTGGCAATGTGGGCTCTTTTTTGGTTCCATATGAACTTTAAAGTAGTTTTTCCAATTCTGTGAAGAAAGTCATTGGTAGTTTGATGGGAATGGCATTGAATCTATAAATTACCTTGGGCAGTATGGCCATTTTCACGATACTGATTCTTCCTACCCATGAGCGTGGAATGTTCTTCCATTTGTTTGTATCCTCTTTTATTTCATCGAGCAGTGGTTTGTAGTTCTCCTTGAAGAGGTCCTTCATGTCCCTTGTAAGTTGGATTCCTAGGTATTTTATTCTCTTTGAAGCAATTGTGAATGGGAGTTCACTCATGATTTGGCTCTCTGTTTGTCTGTTATTGGTGTATAAGAATGCTTGTGATTTTTGCACATTGATTTTGTATCCTGAGACTTTGCTGAAGTTGCTTATCAGCTTAAGGAGATTTTTGGCTGAGATGATGGGGTTTTCTAGATATACAATCATGTCATCTGCAAACAGGGACAATTTGACTTTCTCTTTTCCTAATTGAATGCCCTTTATTTCTTTCTCCTGCCTGAATGCCCTGCCCAGAACTTCTAACACTATGTTGAATAGGAGTGGTGAGAGAGGGCATCCCTGTCTTGTGCCAGTTTTCAAAGGGAATGCTTCCAGTTTTTGTCCATTCAGTATGATATTGGCTGTGGGTTTGTCATAGATAGCTCTTATTATTTTGAGATACATCACATCAATACCTAATTTATTGAGAGTTTTTAGTATGAAGGGCTGTTGAATTTTGTCAAAGGCCTTTTCTGCATCTATTGAGATAATCATGTGGTTTTGGTCTTTGGTTCTGTTTATATGCTGGATTACATTTATTGATTTGCATATGTTGAACCAGCCTTGCATCCCAGGGATGAAGCCCACTTGATCATGGTGGATAAGCTTTTTGATGTGCTGCTGGATTCGATTTGCCAGTATTTTATTGAGGATTTTTGCATCGATGTTCATCAAGGATATTGGTCTAAAATTCTCTTTTTTTTGTTGTGTCTGTGCCAAGCTTTGGTATCAAGATGATGCTGGCCTCATAAAATGAGTTAGGGAGGATTCCCTCTTTTTCTATTGATTGGAATAATTTCAGAAGGAATGGTACCAGCTCCTCCTTGTACCTCTGGTAGAATTTGGCTGTGAATCCATCTGGTCCTGGACTTTTTTTGGTTGGTAAGCTATTAATTATTGCCTCAATTTCAGAGCCTGTTATTGGTCTATTCAGAGATTCAACTTCTTCCCGGTTTAGTCTTGGGAGGGATGAGGAATTTATCCATTTCTTCTAGATTGTCTAGTTTATTTGCATAGAGGTCTTTATAGTATTCTCTGATGGTAGTTTGTATTTCTGTGGATTGGTGGTGATATCCCCTTTATCATTTTTTATTGTGTCTATTTGATTCTTCTCTCTTTTCTTCTTTATTAGTCTTGCTAGCGGTCTATCAATTTTGTTGATCTTTTCAAAAAACCATCTCCTGGATTCATTGATTTTTTGAAGGGTTTTTTGTGTCTCTATTTCCTTCAGTTCTGCTCTGATCTTAGTTATTTCTTGCCTTCTGATAGCTTTTGAATGTGTTTGCTCTTGCTTCTCTAGTTCTTTTAATTGTGATGTTAGGGTGTCCATTTTAGATCTTTCCTGCTTTCTCTTGTGGGCATTTAGTGCTATGAATTTCCCTCTACACACTGTTTTGAATGTGTCCCAGAGATGCTGGTATGTTGTGTCTTTGTTCTCGTTGGTTTCAAAGAACATCTTTATTTCTGCCTTCATTTCGTTATGTACCCAGTAGTCATTCAGGAGCAGGTTGTTCAGTTTCCATGTAGTTGAGTGGTTTTGAGTGAGTTTCTTAATCCTGAGTTCTAGTTTGATTGCACTGTGGTCTGAGAGACAGTTTGTTATAATTTCTGTTCTTTTACATTTGCTGAGGAGTGCTTTACTTCCAACTATGTGGTCAATTTTGGAATAGGTGTGGTGTGGTGCTGAAAAGACTGTATATTCTGTTGATTTGGGGTGGAGAGTTCTGTAGATGTCTATTAGGTCCGCTTGCTGCAGAGCTGAGTTCAGTTCCTGGATATCCTTGTTAACTTTCTGTCTCGTTGATTTGTCTAATGTTGACAGTGGGGTGTTAAAGTCTCCCATTATTATTGTGTGGGAGTCTAAGTCTCTTTGTAGGTCTCTAAGGACTTGCTTTATGAATCTGGATGCTCTTGTATTGGGTGCATATATATTTAGGATAGTTAGCTCTTCTTGTTGAATTGATCCCTTTACCATTATGTAATGGCCTTCTTTGTCTCTTTTGATCTTTGTTGGTTTAAAGTGTGTTTTATCCGAGACTAGGATTGCAACCCCTGCCTTTTTTTGTTTTCCATTTGCTTGGTAGATCTTCCTCCATCCCTTTATTTTGAGCCTATGTGTGTCTCTGCACATAAGATGGGTTTCCTGAATACAGCACACTGATGGGTCATGACTCTTTATCCAATTTGCCAGTCTGTCTCTTTTAATTGGAGCATTTAATCCATTTACATTTAAGGTTAATATTGTTATGTGTGAATTTGATGCTGCCATTATGGTGTTAACTGGTTATTTTGCTCATTGGTTGCTGCAGTTTCTTCCTAGCCTCGATGTTCTTTACAATTTGGCATGTTTTTGCAGTGGCTGGTACCGGTTGTTCCTTTCCATGTTTAGTGCTTCCTTCAGGAGCTCTTGTAAGGCAGGCCTGGTGGTGACAAAATCTCTCAGCATTTGCTTGTCTGTAAAGGATTTTATTTCTCCTTCACATATGAAGCCTAGTTTGGCTGGATATGAAATTCTGGGTTGAAAATTCTTTTCTTTAAGAATGTTGAATATTGGCCCCCACTCTCTTCTGGCTTGTAGAGTTTCTGCGGAGAGATCAGTTGTTAGTCTGATGGGCTTCCCTTTGTGGGTAACCCGAGCTTTCTCTCTGGCTGCCCTTAACATTTTTTCCTTCATTTCAACTTTGGTGAATCTGACAATTATGTGTCTTGGAGTTGCTATTTTCAAGGAGTATCTTTGTGGCATTCTCTGTATTTCCTGAATTTGAATATTGGCCTGCCTTACTAGATTGGGGAAGTTCTCCTGGATAATATCCTGCAAAGTGTGTTCCAACTTGGTTCCATTCTCCCCGTCACTTTCAGGTACACCAATCAGACGTAGATTTGGTCTTTTCACATAGTCCCATATTTCTTGGAGGCTTTGTTCATTTCTTCTTATTCTTTTTTCTCTAGTCTTCTCTTCTCACTTCGTTTCATTCATTTGATCTTCCATCACTGACACCCTTTCTTCCAGTTGATTGAATTGGCTACTGAGGCTTGTGCATTCATCACATAGTTCTCGTGCCATTGTTTTCAGCTCCATCAGGTCCTTTAAGGACTTCTCTGCATTTGTTATTCTAGTTAGCCGTTTGTCTAATTTTTTTTCAAGGTTTTTACCTTCTTTGCCATGGGTTTGAACTTCCTCCTTTAGCTTGGAGTAGTTTGATCATCTGAAGCCTTGTTCTCTCAACTCGTCAAAGTCATTCTCCATCCAGTTTTGTTCTGTTGCTGGTGAGGAGCATTCCTTTGGAGGAGGAGAGGCACTCTGCTTTTTAGAGTTTCCAGTTTTTCTGCTCTGTTTTTTCCCCATCTTTGTGGTTTTATCTACCTTTGGTCTTTGATGATAGTGACGTACAGATGGGGTTTTGGTGTGGATGTCCTTTCTGTTTATTAGTTTTCCTTCTAACAGTCAGGACCCTCAGCTGCAGGTCTGTTGGAGTTTGCTGGAGGTCCACTCCAGATGCTGTTTCCCTGGGTATCAGCAGCAGAGGCTGCAGAACAGCGGATATTGGTGAACAGCAAATGTTGCTGCCTGATCGTTCCTCTGGAAGTTTTGTCTCAGAGGAGTACCCCTCCGTGTGAGGTGTCAGTCCACCCCTACTGGGGGGGTGCCTCCCAGTTAAGCTACTCAGGGGTCAGGGACCCACTTGAGGAGACAGTCTGTCCGTTCTCAGATCTCCAGCTGCGTGCTGGGAGAACCACTAGTCTCTTCAAAGCTGTCAGACAGGGACATTTAAGTCTGCAGACGTTTCTGCTGCCTTTTGTTTGGCTATGCCCGGCCCCCAGAGGTGGAGTCTACAGAGGCAGGCAGGCCTCCTTGGGCTGTGGTGGGCTCCACCCAGTTCGAGCTTCCCAGCCACTTTGTTTACCTACTCAAGCCTCAGCAATGGGGCAATGGCCGGAGCCCCTCCCCCATCCTCACTGCCACCTTGCAGTTTGATGTCAGACTGGTGTGCTAGCAATGAGCGAGGCTCCGTGGGCATAGGACCCTCCAAGCCAGGCACAGGATATAATCTCCTGGTGTGCCGTTTGCTAAGACCACTGGAAAAGCGCAGTATTAGTGTGGGAGTGACCCGATTTTCCAGGTGCCATCTGTCACCCTTTTCTTTGACTAGGAAAGGGAATTCCCTGACCCCTTGCACTTCCCAGGGGAGGCGATCCCTCACCCTGCTTCAGCTCATGCTCGGTGTGCTGCACCCACTGTCCTGCACCCACTGTCTGACACTCCCCAGTGAGATGAACCCAGTACCTCAGTTGGAAATGCAGAAATCACCCATCTTCTGCGTCACTCACGCTGGGAGCTGTAGACTGTAGCTGTTCCTGTTTGGCCATCTTGGCTCCTCCTCCCAACCATATTAATTTTTAATCAAGTTTTTCTTTCTGAAAACTTCCATGGCTGCATATTGCAAAAAGATAAAGTGCAAAATATTCAGCCTGTCATAACAACCTAGTGTGCTTTTTACCCTTGTAGCCTTATCCAAAACCCTTCTCATGGAACTAACAGAACTGCCTTCCCTGGATGTCCTGACAGTTAATTTGGGAACAGGCACAATGACACATGACCCATGACAGATACTGAGACTTTTCTGGTTCCAATTATGAGAATCTGTTCTCTGCCTTTTGCTTCTTGAGCTCCCTACATTCATATGTGAAGTCAGGCAGGCTTCTTTTGTACCACTTGAGGACAACTGACAAATTCTCTCCTTCCTGCTGTGTTATGGGGCCTAGAAGAAGCTCAGTGTCTGTATTTACTCATTCAATAAACAGGTGCCAAGGGCCTGCCATATGCCAGGTACTGAGGATTCAAAGGCATTCCAAACCCTGCTGCCTCTCGGGGGTGTTTCAGGAGACTTGGACACAGTCCTTATCCCCATGTCCCCCAAACCAATCTCATCCATAATTTTACCTAAGCCTTGTCATAGCCTGGAGGATTTGTATTCCCTAACACAAATACAGTTCCATCTAGATTAACACAGCTTCTCCTGTTTTATCCAAAACACTCCTGGGTGATGAACACCCTGACAGGCAGGAGGAGCTGAGTTGTCTACACAGCTGCCTAACAGGAAATACCTCAGTGGATGGCGGCTGCTTGTTTCTGCAGAAAAGAGGTTGTGAGTTTCTGAGGCTTGCCTTTTTCATTCCTAGGCTTCTTTTTCTAATATCCTTCCCTCTTCAGGGGAGCCACTTGTCCTCTACCTCCACCTCCACACAAGTATCTAATACTTTCCTGCTTACGCAGGCTTCTTCCACCTCCACTCCCATTCCCTGATCCCCAGAACAGAAAATTCAGCTCAACTCCACACTCATTTATTAAAGACATATTAAGTATTGAGCCACTTACTTATTGCCCCACCTTAAGAGGTTCAGAATAAATGGAAGAATTTGATGGAAATTTAATCACAGCCTAGTTTTGGTTCATAAAGCATCCCTTTTTCCTCCATTTGTGTACTGTGATAAAAACAAGTTGTGCAGACATTTTGGTAGAGGAGATGGAGGGGGGTGGGCATAGGGGGGCAGGTGTCCTGAAACAGTAAAAGGAAATTTTTTTAGGCCAAAGTAAAAGGAATGCAGTCTTTCTCTTTTTTTTTTTTTTTTTTTTTTTTTTTTGCTGTTGTTGTTCTTTCTGCTTCCTTTCCCTTCACTTCTACCCCCTCTCCTCCTTCTTTCTTTCTTTCTGGAAAATATGCATATATTGGGGTGAGTGGCATCTGCAGCAAAGGATTCCCTGTTACAAGCCAGGGAATGGCTGGGCTCCATGGCTCACGCCAGTAATCTCAGCACTCAGCACTTTGAGAGGCTGAGATGGGTAGGTCACTTGAGGCCAGGACTTCAAGACCAGCCTGGCCAACATGGCGAATCCCCATCTTTATTAAAAATACAAAAATTAGCCAGGCCTGATGGTGTTTGCCTGAAATCCCAGCTGCTCAGGAGGCTGAGGCAGGAGAATGAATTTAACCTGGGAGGCGGAGGTTGCAGTGAGCCGAAATCACATCGCTGCACTCCAGCCTGGGCGACAGAGCGAGACTCTGTCCCCCGTAAAAAAAGAAGCCAGGGAAGGTCAGAAACAAGTATCTCCAGAAGAATGTTTAAGCAGAATATATTAAGAGAATAAATGTGGATTAAAAAATAGATTCCAGGATTTTGCCAATGGGCAAACATACAGATAGCGAGAGACATACATGTAGGAAAAACACTGGGAGGACAAATAACAAAATGTTAGCAGCTGTTCTTACTAGTTGGAGTTAGAGGAGAATTTTCTTTTTTATGTATTACCAAATTTTCTGCAGTGAACGTTTGTTACTCTATAATAAAATAAATAAGTTGGTAATAAGACAAGGAAAACAAAAGCCAGAAAAGCTTTTGTCCCTGAAGGTTACTTGCTGCCTTGTGTGCCCAGTGGGCCACTCTCTTATGGGGGTTATTGAGGTAAAAGGGGTGTCCTTGACCCTTTTTTTTTTGTTTGTTTTTAAGACAGAGTCTCACTTTGTCGCCCAGGCTGGATTACAGTGGTGCGACCTCGGTTCACTGTAACTTCCACCTCCCCGGTTCAAGCGATTCTCCCGCCTCGGCCTCCCAAGTAGCTGGGATTACAGGCACCCACCACCATGCCCGGTTAATTTTTGTATTTTTAGTAGAGACAGGGTTTCGCCATGTTGGCTAGGCTGGTCTCAAACCCCTGACCTCAAGTGATCCACCCAACTCAGCCTCTCAAAGTGCTGGGATTACAGGCCTGAGCCAGAGCTCCCAGCCCATGACTCATTGTCAATAATTTCTTCTAGCACTGATACCTTTTCTCCTGCCATTTTCATCCACTTCTAGGCTACTTCTTAGTACACCCAGCCCCTAACTCACCCAGCCCATGCATACCCTTTGCCCTAGGACTGAGCTCTCCCCACAGTGAACCAGCTCTCATAGTCTGACTTCCACGAAAGGAATATGTGGACAATCTTTGAATCAGGAAAATAACAGAAAATTGAGCCTATAGGACACATATAGCTTTCTTACAATACTGCAGAGATATGCCTTTTATTATTTAAATATTTCTCACCCATGCATCAGTATGTTATTTTTGTACTGGCAATGAAGTGTGTGTCAAAGCCCTATGTGACTAGAAAGCATCCTTTTCATTGTCTTGGTCATGACTTTTGATATAGGTAGCTCACTTATGATCCCGATTTGTGGAGACTTGGAGTTGACTCAGGGGACCTCAGGGAGAATGTCCGAGCTTTCAGTGAAATGAAATCCTTTTTATAGTAAGTTAAAAAGATTATTTGAAAAAGATTCTGTGTTTATTGATAATGCAGACCTGAAATTGCCCTTCATACTAGATTTAATATAAAATTAGACAAAAAACTAAAAGTACACAGAAATCAGTAATTCTAGAAGTGATTAAATTTCACTCTAAACTTCCAAAAAGTTGTCTACTTTCAGAAATTTCCTAAAATGACTTACTTAACTCATTTTAGAAAAGTCTTGTTCCTTGTATAGTTGAATCAAGGCCCCACCATGGTCAAAATGTCCTAGGTTCACCATCTACATTGCTTACTAAGTCATGATCAGCAGCACTTCCTTTCCTTTAACACTCTGTAGATAAAGCCTTTGAGAATTTTATCAGATTTGAATAATATTTCTTATTGCCACCTTTCAGGAAAGCTACTTAGGTCAAGAACAGTTAAAATCAATTAAATAATGAGTTACATATAAAATTTACCACACAATGAAGTGTTGGGTTAAACAATTTTCTTTCTAATCTTTTATTTTAATAATGGAGTCTCACTGTTTTAGTTATAATTAAAGAAAAAGAGGTGTTTATTCCTGGTATTATGAAAGCCTGTCTAGCTGATATGGTATTTTATGTTTTTTAAAGAAGAGAAATTCCTTAAAAAATAAGAATACACTGTAGTTTACAGAGTCTCTAAAGTGAGTTTTAAAGAGATTAACTTTAATTAATTATAAATGTGATTGCAAGATATTAAAATTAATAACCCAATTCTTAGCTAAAATTAATTGAAAATGATGCTTAATGCACAGTTTGCTTAGCAATTACATTTTTATATTTTCACATTAATTTTCCAAAAAGCTCCTGCTCAGTTTATGCATGATAGCAAAAAACAGCTCATTATGATTCCAAAACAATTTTTTCTGGGGTTTGTAAGCAACATCTTGTTAAAACAAAAACAAGGCTTTAAATCTCTAGTTCTTAACCATTCTATTTTATTTGATATATATTTATTAGACAGAGGGTCTTTTGAGAATCTGGTAAAAGCTATGGCCCCTTATTCCAGAAAAAGACAGATGCAATCATATTCACAATTTTGTCCCATGCTCATAGAGGGTTTCCTGACAACTTGATGTCTTTCTGTGGACCACCCAACTAACCAAAGACCCAAAGTTAAGAACTACTGTCCCAAAACAAAGCAAACAATTATGGTAAGGTCAGGAGACATGTCAATGTTTTTGCTTTGTAGGAACTCTTTATTTTCTTATTAAGTTAAATCCATTGGTGGAATAAAAAGAATATTTTATGGATTTTTTAAAATTTATGGAGCTAAATTTACAAAGGTGTTTAGAGGTGGAAAACACATGATGGTACATTTTAACACAGAAAATGGGGAAGACACGGTGAAATGTCATCCTTTAGCCATTTATTTCCTAAAAGGCCTCAAAAGATCATGTTTCCATGTGTTTAACAATCTGCTAAAATAACAACAAGCCTCCCACTCATAAGTGCTGCCATCAGCCCCACTCTTAGTATACCAATTCCAGGATGTCATCCACATCCTTACATACTGACAGATGAAAGCCACTCCTCATTGTCAAAGTTCTCACTGCAAACACACCCTTGCATGTGCCGTGAACTTTACTGACTCAGAGTATTTTCTTTCACCTTTATATAATTTAAATATTATTGAAGTTTTAAGCTGGAGTGGGCTTCAACTAACTAGAGTAAGCTTCATTTAATTTTGAGGCAAGTTAAGTATGATTTTATTCTACTTCTTACTCAACGAATCTGCTCAGCAGGTTCTTAAGTGAGAGAAATTAACAACAAAAGAACTAAACTAAAACCTGAATTAAAAACAAGAACTAGGCATTCCTATGCATCTTTATTCTAAAAGTCATTAAAGTTTGACCATTTTGCATTGTACATGGGGTAGTCATCAGTCAGCTGAAGGATTCTGATGTGATATCATGTGTTAAAGCAAAACAGAGTAATAGACCATATTGGTTATTATCACTAATTTATTTATTTCCTTCCTTCCTTCCTCCCTCCCTCTCTTCCTCCCTCCCTCCCTCTGTGTTTCTTTCACAGCAAACTCAAACAATACACAAACAGTAACACTGAGAGTTTGTGGAATCCCACATCAATAAGGCTTAATTATTAAAGGTACCTAAAACTTTATGTGTTCTAAATGTACTGAAAACCTTTTAATGTTTCTGGCATCATTTTTTGCATCCAGACAAATTTCACTCAAGGATGACACACCCCAACTGAGGCCTGACTGCATCACAGAAATCAAACATCTTCAAACAAATAAATAAACAAAAATGTTTAAGAAAAGACTGAAGCACAAAACCTTCAAATTCATCATAAAGGAAACCAGATGACTGGTTACAATAGCAGGAAATCTCACACTAAGGTGTTTGTGAAGAAAGTCTCAAAATGATATAAACATAAATATGATCAGAATATCCAATTGGATCAGACCTAGTATTTTCTTTCTCTTAGAGTTTCCAAGGAATTTTTGTAGAATTAAAAGATGAAATTGTGAGAATCTATTTTCATTTTACTTTAACCCTTCTAATTTTTACTTAATTGATTAGTATTTGTGGTAATAAGAGCAATGGCTCCTCAAAGATGTCCATACCCCAATCCCCCAGAAACTGTGACTATGTCATGTTGTATAGCAATGGGGAATTACAACTGTAGATGGAATTAGGTTTGCTAATCAGCTGACATTGAGAAGGGGAGATTATCCTGGATTATCCAAGTGTCCCAGTGGAATCCTCAGGATCCTTATAAGCAAAAGAGCTGGGGAGGCAAGAGAGTCAAAATCAGAGAAAAATTCGAAGATGCTATACTAGTGGCTTTGAAGACTGAAGAGGCCACAGGTCAAAGAATTCAGAAAAAGGCAAGGAAACAGATTCTCCCCTAGAGCCTCAAGAAGGAACTAGCCCTGTGGATACCTTGATTTTAGCCCAGTAAGACTCATTGTGGACTTTTGGTTCCAGAATTATGAAACAAATTTGCATTGCTTAAACCACTAATTAACTGGTAATTTGTTATAGCAGCAATAGAAAGCTAATGCAATATTATTGAACACATATTGTAAACCATCTGTGCATTATAGATTAGATGTAAGTCATGGTCCCTAACCTCAGTAAGATTAGTGGAGATTATATCCTCTGCATATCATTGAGTGAGCCCTCTGAGGGAACCTATGGCAATATTAAGAGTCCCATAACTTTTGAGGGATTACATTAGGAGGATATAGATGATTACATAAATGGAGAGAAATAGACTTGGAAATGAATGGAGAATATTCAAATTGGAAAGGCTATCATCTTTCATTGAATCAGGACTTATATCCTGATAATCACACTACTACTGATATTTTTTCTACACCCAACCACTGGCTATAGAAGGTAAGAGTGTGAAGTAATTCTTGCAAGTCCTATTTTCTGAAAGAGGAGTTTAGAAAGGAGAAAGAGCATGGAATAAAGAGGAAAAAAAGCATAAATGTGGATTTCGTCCATTCTCATACTGGTATAAAAAACTGCCCTAGACTGGATAACTTATAAAGAAAAGAGGTTTAATTGACTCACAGTTCTGCATGGCTGGGGAGGCCTCAGGAAACTTAACAATCATGGCAGAAGGGGAAGCAGGCACATCTTACATGGTGGCAGAAGAGAGAAGAGTATGTGAAGGAAGAACTGTCACTTATAAAACCATCAGGTCTCATGAGAACTCACTCACTATCACAAGAACAGCATGGAGGAACCCACCCCTATGATCCAATCATCTCTTTCCAGGTCCCTCCCTTGACATGTAGGATGTATGGGAATTACAATTTAAGATGAGATTCGGGGCTGGGAGCAGTGGCTCACACCTGTAATCCCAGCACTTTGGGAAGCTGAGGTGGGTGGATCACGAGGTCAGGGGATCGAGACCATCCTGGCTAACACAGTAAAACTCCATCTCTACTAAAAATACAAAAAAATTAGCCGGGCGTGGTGGCAGGCACCTGTAGTCCCAGCTACTTGGGAGGCTGAGGCAGGAGAATGGCATGAACCTGGGAGGTGGAGCTTGCAGTGAGCTGAGATTGTGCTGCTACACTCCAGCCTGGGCAACAAAGGGAGACTCCATCTCAAAAAAACAAAACAAAACGAAAAGATGAGATTTGGGTAGGGACACAGAGCCAGAGCATATCATTCTGCCCCTGGCCCCTCCCAAATCTCACATCCTTTTTACATTTCAAAACCAATCATGCCTTCCCAACAGTCCCTTCAAAGTCTTAACTCATTCCACAATTAACCCAAAAGTCCAAGTCCAAAGTCTCATCTGAGACAAGGCAAGTCCCTTCCACCTAGGAGCCTGTAAAATCAAAAGCAAGTTAGTTACTTCCAACATATAATATTAGTATAGGAATTGGATAAATGCTCCCATTCCAAATGGGATAAATTGCCCAAAATAAAGGGGCTGTAGGCCTCACGCAAGTCTGAAATCCAGCAGGGCAGTCATTAAATCTTAAAGCTCTAAAATAATCTCCCTTGACTCCACGTCTTACATCCAAGGCACACTGATGCAAAGGGTGAGCTCCCACAGCCTTGGGCAGCTGTGCCCCTGTGGGTCTATAGGATTCAGCCCCTGAGGCTGCTGTCATGGGCTGGCATTGAGTGCCTGTGACTTTTCCAGGCACATGGTGCAAGCTGTTTTTGGATCTTCCACTCTGGGGTCTGGAGGATGGTGGCTCTCTTCTCACAGCTCCACTAGGCAGTGCCCTAGTGGGGATTCTGTGTGGGGGCTACAACCCCACATTTCCCTTTCACACTGCCCTAGCAGAATTTCTCTGTGAAGGCTCTGCCCCTTGCAGCAGACTTCTGCCTGTACATCCAGACATTTCCATAAATCCTCTGAAATTTAGGCAGAAGTTCCCAAATCTCGTTTCTTGACTTCTGTGCATCCAAAGGCCAAACACTACTTGGAAGCTGCCAAGTCTTGGGGCTTGAACCCTCTGAAGCAATGGTCCAAGCTGTATCATGGCCCTTTTTAGCCCCAGCTGGAGCTGGAGCAGCTGGAACGCAGGGCACCAAGTCCCCAGGCTACACAAAGCAGCGGGGGCCCTGGGCCCAGCCCATGAAACCATTTTTCCCTCCTAGACCTCAGGCCTGTGATGGGAAGGGCTGCTGTGAAGGTCTCTGACATGCTCTGGAGAAATTTTCCCCATTGCCTTGGTGATTAGCATTTGATACCTTGTTATTTATGCAAATTTCTGCAGTGAACTTGAATTTCTTCCCAGAAAATGAGGTTTTCTTTTCTACCACGTGGTCAAGCTGTAAATTTTCCAAACTTTTATGCTCTGCTTCCCTCTTAAACATGAGTTCCAATTTCAGATCATCTCTCTCAAGTTCAAAGTTCCACAGATCTCTACGGCACGGGCAAAATGCCACCAGTCTCTTTGTTAAAGCACAGCAAGAGTAACCTTTGCTCCAGTTCCCAGTAAGTTCCTCATCTCTACCTGAGACCAGCTCAGCCTGGGCTTCATTGTCCACATTGCTGTCAGCATTTTGGTCAAAACCATGTAACAAGTCTCTAAGAAGTTCCAAACTTCCCCACATATTCCTTTCTTCTTCTAGGCCCTCCAAATTGTTCCTACCTCTGCCTATTACCCAAAGTTGCTTCCACATTTTTGGGTATCTTTATACCCAAAGGCAGGGGGTACCATTCCCAGTACCAATTTACTATAGTAGTCCATTCTCACACTGCTATAAAGAACTGCCTACGACTGGGTAATTTATAAAGAAAAGAGGTTTATTGACTCATTTTATGACACGTCTTATTGACTGACAGTTCTGCATGGCTGAGGAGGCCTCAGGAAACTTATAATCATGGTGGAAGGGGAAGCAGGCACGTCTTAATTGGTGGCAGAAGAGAGAAAAGTGTGTGCAGGAGGAACTGTCAAACACTTATAAAACCATCAAATCTCATGAGAACTCACTCACTATCACAAGAACAGCATGGGGAAACCACCCCCATGATCCAGTCACCTCCCACCAGATCCCTCCCTCAACACATGAGGATTATGGGGATTATAATTTGAGATGAGATTTGGGTGGGGACACAGAGCCAGCCCATATCAAGGCACCCAGCTGTACTCAGTGCAAACGGTACTGCTGATGATGGTGGAAACCAACATTGCCCAATTTGCATTTGTGTCAGGCTGGTCTTACAATCTTTGCTGGTGGCGTTAAGCATCTAAAGATCTAGTTAAGGCTTGATTGTAACTTATATTCAGGGCTTTATAGCTGAGGCATATATTTGCATGAGTATAAACATTGATTCATGTGTAGAAACTGATCCTCTACAAAGACCACCACAAAATTGTGTAGCAAGGTGCAAATTCCACATCTTGAATGGAAGGGTTGAAAAAGAGTGAATTACACCTTCAGATTTTGGCATAGGTACAAAGAAGTGCTACCCTGACCCTCAAAGCAAAGCAATTACCTTTCCCTCCTAGCATAGGGACCAAAAGAATCACCAACCAGCATTCTGTCAGGCATTAAGCCACAACATATAAGCAGGAAGCACAATGATGGCAGGCACTCTGCCATTACTCATATGAACAGGTGATTGCTTAGGTTTCACTCTTATGGGAAACACAAATATGAGAATGGAACAAAATATGGAACGAAAATAAATATGGAACCAGTTATCCAAAATGTTACTTCCACTCACCTAGGATATTCTCCACAACTGTAGTAAATTCTCTTCCTTTTTTTAGAACAAAACTTTCCCAGAGATAGCCCCATGCACTATGTTGGAACTCTTCAAGGTAGTATTACATAGTGTTTAGATGCACACGTATCAGAATTCAAATCCTGGCTCTGCCACTGTGTGACCCTAGCAATGTGAACCTCATTTTCCTTATCTGTAAAGCAGGGATACTAGAAAATATCTCATATGTGGGTTTTTTTGGTAATTAAAGAGATAATTTATGTAACATGCTTAATACATTGTATTACTAAATTTTTAAATTTTATTGTATTATTATTATACTTTAAGTTTTAGGGTACATGTGCACAATGTACAGGTTGGTTACATATGTATACATGTGCCATGCTGGTGTGCTGCACCCATTAACTCATCATTTAGCTTTAGGTATATCTCCTAATGCTATCCCTCCCCACTTCCCCCACCCCACAACAGTCCCCAGAGTGTGATGTTCCCCTTCCTGTGTCCATGTGTTCTCATTGTTCAGTTCCTACCTATGAGTGAGAATATGCGGTGTTTGGTTTTTTGTTCTTGCGATAGTTTACTGAGAATGATGATTTCCAATTTCATTCATGTCCCTACAAAGGACATGAACTCATCATTTTTTATGGCTGCATAGTATTCCATGGTGCATATGTGCCACATTTTCTTAATCCAGTCTATCATTGTGGGACATTTGGGTTGGTTCCAAGTCTTTGCTATTGTGAATAGAGCCGCAATAAACATACGTGTGCATGTGTCTTTATAGCAGCATGATTTATAGTCCTTTGGGTATATACCCAGTAATGGGATGGCTGGGTCAAATGGTATTTCTAGTTCTAGATCTGTATTACTAAATGTTAGCTTTTATCTTAATAGCTGAAGCATAGTCATCTACTGACACAGAGTATGTGTTTGATAATGTTGGCTTACAAAACCCCAGCTTTGATCATGTTGATTGAGTGGATAAATGAATAATGATTGTGTATCTGACTTGTTTGTATCTATAGCATGTAATGAGTACATTGTCCTTCACTTAGTAGGACACAGGTGGCCCTCTATCAGGAAGATGCATTAATGGAATTGTCTCCTGAGTGGCAACTCAGTTGAGCTAAGCCATCATATTCCTTGATGTGTTTGTCAGGCGACAAGTCATATACATTGGAGAGTTAGTGTTGGTTGGGATCAGGGCTATACTACTCAGTCTTGGCACATTGTTTTCTGGTTTTGGAATGAACCTACTCATACAGGGAGAGAACCCACAACCTTGGCTGTATTTCCATTCACCCTGGAGCATGAAAAATCTGCTAATTGACTGCCTGCTGACCACTTGGCTCATCTTTGGGAATAGGAAAGCCAACTTTGAGAAAAATAGCGGCTGGGAGCCTAACCCTTTGCTGCTGTCAGGTCTTGGCCCCATCCCCTGCAGCTCAGAGACAAAGGTGATTGATATTGCCAAGTGTTTTGCAAATATTATAAATCTTTTAAATGAAAAGAGTTGATTGATAAATGACATGCTGTCCTTTTCACACTAAGCATGCATGCTGGCTGTCTGCTGGTAACAGATTTGTCTACTGTAAATATAACCTGGTTGTTCACATCTCCCTGCATTTCTCAGATAACCACACGGATGGTGCAGCATAAAAAGAACTATACCAGAAGTTGGGGAACATGGGCTTTCATTCTGGATCTGCCACACATTGTATATATAGTTTTGAGTAAGGGGGAAGAAACCAGCATTGTTGAATATCTTCCAAATACGAGTCTCTGGGTAAGATACTGGAAATGCATGTAACCTCTTTAAATCTTCCCAACAACCTTGGAAGGCAAGTGTAATGATCCCCGTTTTATATATCAAGAAGGTGAATCTCAGAGAGACTGTATAACTTGCCCAAGATTACTGACCTTAACAAGTAGCAGAATCAAGAAATTAACTTAGTTCTGCTCATTTTAAAGCCGTTGCTGTTTCTACCATACTATGTTGCCTCTGAAACTCAATTGCCTCATCTGTAAAATGAAAGAGGTGAACTATGTGGGTATCTACCTTTTTTTCAGGAAAGGACTGCATTAGACCAAAACCCAATGCCGTGAGGACCACAGTCTTTTTTTGTTTGTTTTTTTCCTTAAAAGTTTTTTCTTTAATAATATGCCCATGGCTTATGTAGAAGTGTTGCAAGATCTTCCACTGAGATAGTAATTTGTTTAAATGTGTTTCCCTCCTCCTCTCTTCCCACCACCAATTTCAAGCAATGAGCGTGGTTGTGCTTCTTTGCCTCAGATGATATTTGTGGCAGGATGGACAGCAGAAGCCACTTGAAATCAGAGAATATTCTTAGTTTTTTTTAAAACCTATGCTCCCCGATATTATTATGGTAAGTGTGCCAGGGGATGAGGAAGGAGAAAGCAGTGCCTTTGAGGTCAACAGAGGGAGGAGGAAAGATTTATCCAGAGAAGAAAAAGAATGGTATTTTCTGTGCAGGAACCTGAGCATAGCTCCTTGGCAGAGCCTCAGAGAAGCGGCAGCCCCACTGAGGAGTCTGGCTATCCTCTGAGTCCAGAGAAACTGGGTCCCAAGCCCAGAGTCTGCAGCCTTAGAAAAGATTCCTGGGCCTCCATGTGGCATGGAAGCAGAGAGCACACAGGCTTGAAGCGTGACTATAGATGACTGTGATGAGCTAGAGATGAAACTCTCTTTCTCCATCTGTCAGCACCAAAACATTTCCTTGATTTTTATGCAGCCTTAATGACTAAAACTAAATGTCTCCCCTGTCGGACAGTACAAGAGCTTATATCAGATTTTATATTGATTTAAAATAGTAAAGGTCCCTTCTTCAAGGTTTAATTTTAAAGGAATTAAATATGAGCTACTCAAAATTCTATATTAAATTAGACTCAGCTTCCAGTGGAATTGCTAATTGATCCAAGTCTATTTAACAATATAATTGCTAGTAGTCAGTCATGAAGCAATCATTCAGAAAAGGGTTATGATGTGCTGAACCACTAGTTCATACTTAAGTTACAATATACATCTCGGAATCTTAGTTACTCCTGAGGAGAAGGTGGAGCAATGAGATCAGGGAGGAGCACAAAGGGACATGGGTGGTTGTGGGTCAAAGTCAAAAGTCTAAATCTTGAATGGGTGGTGGGAGTATCAGTCTTTGCTTTATTATATATAATTCATAACTTACACATGCACAACAAATACTCTTTTGCATGTCTCAAATATTATAGTAAAATATGTTTTCATGCTGAAAACCTTTAGCAAAAAAGACCTAGGTCATAATCCTAATACATATCCCCAGAAGATTTGCTTTTCTACTCTGCCAGAAGACTGATTTACACCTTCTCATCACTCCTCAAAACTTGTCACCCCCTTAACACACACACACACACACACACACACACACACACACACACACGCATACTCAACTGTGGCCCTGTCTTGAACTTTATTGAGGAAATAAGCACAATGATTATGTTCTAATCACTAAATCTACCAAGTGGCTTGCATCTGATCTTTACTTTCTTCCTTCTCTTCTGCTACAATATAAAAATTATAGCAGTTCCTCCACAGGTCTGGATCGTATCTCCTCCAGTACATAAAGATGTTTCTGCTGTATCAGCTTGCAGGTGCTATAGTATCTCTCCTTCAATAAAACAACCACAAACAGCCTCTCGGGACCTAGGGTTCCCTCAGCTAATTCTTTCTCCTTCACAGCAAAATTCTTTCTAAAAATCTGAACATTCTAATGGCCTAAATTTTCTCATTTCCTAGTTTTCTCCTTAGCCTACTTAGCTGCATATCTCCACTCAAACCACTGAGGTTGAGAGCACAAAATTCCCCCATATTGTCAAATCCAACCATCACTTTTCTGTTTGCTACTTTCATGAGCTGTCAGCATGTTATTCAATATACTTGAGTGCTCCTTCTAAAATACTCCACTTCTGTGGTTTTCCACCCACCTCAACTGCTACCTTCTTCAGTCCCACTTCTGACACCTTCTCTGTCAAATTCTAACTATTGGACTGACCAGGACACTTTCTCTGACTTTACCTCTAACCCCTCCCTTTTGCTCCAAACTCATATATATAGATGCTTTCTTGACATTTCCATCTGAATATGTAATTTACCTCTCAAACTTAACATGTCTAAAACAGAACTCCTGCTTTCCTTCTAATCTTACCCAATCTTTTCCTTCTCCATAAGTAGCACCACCTTCTACAGCCTCAATTACTCAAAACCAAAATCTAGGAACCACAATCCATTCATCTCATAACTTTCCCTTTCATGTTCAAATCCTCAAGCCCTGGCAACTCTACTCCAAAGAATGCCACAAGCTTATCACCTCTGTTCTAGTTCTATCACTACCATCCTAATTCAACCATCATTGTATTTTGTTTTATCTACTGCCATAGCCTCCTAACTAATCCATTGATTCCACTTTTAAATTTTCACAAACTACCCTCAAAATGACAGTCAGAGATACTTTTAAGCAGAAATCAGAGCATGCCTGCCTGGCATGATTAACCCCTAATGATTGCAGAGCCTACTTCACCTCGATGTCCAGGTATTGTGTGAAATGTCACCTCTTAAGAGAATACATACCTCACCATGCTATGTAAAGTCATAAACACACAGAAGCACATAAACATACATATATATATTTATTTTTTACCATTTTTAAAACTAGTTAGCATAAAATGCTGGCACATAGTAAAAGCTTATGAACTTTTTTATTTTTTTTGAGATGGAGTCTCACTCTGTTGCCCAGACTGGAGTGCAATGGTGCTATCTTAGCTCACTGCAACCTCGGCCTCCCGGGTTCAAGCGACTCTCCAGCCTCAGCCTCCTGAGTAGCTGGGATTACAGGTGCATGCCACCACACCTAATTTTTGTATTTTTTTAGTAGAGACGGGGTTTCACCATGTTGGTCAGGCTGGTCTCGAACTCCTGACCTTGTGATCTGCCCTCCTCGGCCTCCCAAAGTGCTGGGATTACAGATGTGAGCCACTGCACCCAGCCAAACTTTATGTATTTATTTTTTATCCAGTCACTAATATGACTTTCCTCATCAACTCAGATTTTTTTTTAAAGTAAGTTCTCTTGAATTTTCTATTAAACAATCTTATTTTCTGGATATAATGTTAATGTTGTCTTCTCCTTTATACTTGTTTTATGTCTTATTTGCCTTGTATTATTGGATTGTACAGAATATCCAAAGCAATGTTGAATGTCAATGATCATAGTAAACAGCAGCCTTACGGCTCTGACTTTAATAGAAGTAGCTCCAGTATAACATTAGCTGTGGTGACTTCTTTGTTTGGGAGCTTCATGCAAATTCTACTTTTTCTGCTCATATATTAGTACTCTAATATCCTTGATTTAGTTATAACTTCCTTTAATATTCAGTCATGGCTTAAGTTAATTTCTACTCCCTGTTGCACCAGCTTATATTCTAAGAAATATCCTATCCCTTAAAATGACTTCTGCAGATAGCTAAACTCATCCGTATTCTGTTCACTTTTTAGTATCAATGTCAGCAAATAATCTGATTTTCAGATTCTTAAGAGAGATAAATGAGCACAGAGGAATGTTTATGGTACCAAGTGACCTAGAGACTTTATAAGTGGTAGAGATTGTAGTTTCTTTTCCTAATTCTTCCAAGCTGGGTCAAGGGAGCAGGTAGCACCCAAACAGCCGATGCTCACTCAGCTCATCAGAAGAAAAACCCAAGCCACCTCCAATCTACCCCTTCCACCAGTAATTTTTGGTATCCCCACTGGTTGCTACAAATTCCTGGCTTCTTAGTTCTTCTAGCTCAGGAGTATCAGTTACATAATTCTTCTTTAACTACACTTCCTCAGTAAGATATTAAAATGTTCCTCAAACTCAATGGTCACATAATTTAATTTCCTCCCTTTCCCTATTCTAAACTAACCATCTCCAGCAGCCATATCCAGTTATATTTCTAAGTAAACCAGCTTCCAAAAACATAGCTACATGACTGAATCTCACTACGCTTTGAGGTCCTGATATTGGTAACTTTAGATTATTTATGTAGATTAAAGCTTAGATAGCAATAGAAATTCATATAGGCTATTTTAAGAAAGTTTATATCACAAAATATAGCCATTTTAACTGCATCCCAGGTCTTCTATACCAACACCCCAAAATGTCTTTGCATTTAATAGGATGCCCTCTATTACGTACAAGTGCCCTTTGTTATCCACCTCAAATTTAGAAAATATCCTCTCATCTTCTGGGCCTGCCGACCTTTCAGGCAACAATCCTTACTTCATCACACATGAAATGTACTATGCTGCAATTACTCATCTCTTCTACACTTATCAGAGTCACAGAACCATTTTCTTTCATTTCTTTTTTATCTTTAAGTTCTGGGATACATGTGCTGAATGTGCAGGTTTGGTACATAGGTATACATGTGCCATGGTGGTTTGCTGCTCCTATCACCCTGTCATCTAGGTTTTAAGCCCTGCATGCATTAAGTGTTTGTCCTAATGCTCTCCCTCCCCTTTCCCCCCACCCCCCAACAGGCCCCAGTGTGTGATGTTCCCCTCCCTGTGTCCATGTGTTCTCATTGTTCAACTCCCTCTTATAAGTGAGAACATGCAGTGTTTGGTTTTCTGTTCCTGTGTTAGTTTGCTGAGGATGATGATTTCCAGCTTTAGCCATGTCCCTGCAAAGGACATGAACTCATTCTTTTTTATGGCTGCATAGTACTCCATGACATATATGTGCCACATTTTCTTTATCCAGTCTATCATTGATGGGCATTTGGGTTGGTTCCAAGTCTTTGCTATTGTAAATAGTTCTGCAGTAAACATAAGTGTGCATGTGTCTTTATAGTAGAATGATTTATAATCCTTTGGGTATATACCCGGTAATGAGATTGCTGGGTCAAATGGTATTTCTGGTTCCAGATCCTTGAGGAATCGCCACACTGTCTTCCACAATGGTTGAAATAATTTACACTCCTACCAACTGAACCATTTTCATTTGGCTTTTTAAAAATTTCATTCTACTGCCATCCAGGACCTCATTTTGGGTGCTTTTTATGTGAAAATGGATTGTAAAGATATCAGGCAGATGTCATTAGTCCCCAGAATGAATGTGGTTTTGCTAATAGAGGCAGGTCTAATTAGCAATACTAAACTTTACCAGGCTTTTTTTTTTTTTTTTTGAGATTCATTGATTCTGTTAATCTATATTTAGCTACTATAAAAAAGGCAGTGGTAATGATGGTAGCCACCATACCAAAGATAATTGGAAAAATATGGTCTGCTAAATTCAAACAGAAAGTAGAAGCGGATTAACAATGACCAAGGCATATACATGTAATATAAATAAGTAGGCAGATAATAGATAGGTGATAGATAAGAGAGAGAGAGAGAGAGAGAGGGAGAGAGAGAGATATTGGTCTACACCTAGATCCCCTCCCTCTCTTACTTGTGGCCATCTAAAGACAATCTCTTATATTCTCGTTTCCCTCTGACACTCTCAACCTTGTCTTGGTAAATCTGCCATTTTTCCTTTATACTCATAAACCTTACACTTACTTGCTTTCCACTTAGATTTCTCTACATTACAACTATCTACTTTGGATCCCAAATGATTTTCTATATTTTATCCAGAAGATTTCTTGAAGTTGAGAATAGGTGGATAGAGAGTTCCAGCAAACTGGGTACTTGGATGACTAGAACAAATGGAAGGCTTTTCTAAGGTTCAGAAATTGTTTTTGGCTAAACAGCCTTGGTCTTGAGGCCTAATTGATCCTAGTGTCAGCATGATGGGCTGAGGGAGGTAAGCTGACAGTGTGCAGAGTAGAGGCTGAGAGGACCAAGCTTGCTTTTGGGTTGACCTCATGTGTAGTCATCTGATAATAAAACCTCAAAGTCCAAGATAACTTGGATTCAGTTTCCTCATAGGCTAATGTGAATATACAGAAGTCCTACTCTTTTAGGTGGAGTTATGGGATTAGTATTGCCTGGGCATTGATGGCACATAAGTGGTAGCATCTTAACCCTGAAAGAGGTGGGGAAAAAGTGAATTTCAAATTGAAACAGGACCCTAGCCAGAGCCTCTAGGTAGTAGACAGAGTTTAGCCCACCAGGAAGTGAGGGTTGGCAAGTACTGAGCTGTTGTTTGGCCAAAACCAGCAATCAGAGACCAGGGCACATAGCTCCAGGTCCAGCAGGTCCTGTAATATGAATCAGAATTGGGGCATGAGTCCCAACACACGATAGGCTTACCAGGAGCAACTGTGGAAAGGGTATCAGCCAATTATCCCATGGGTCCACTTCCAGGGTCTCACATGAGATCTGCAACATTGATCAGCAGGTGAATTTCAAACCTCAGCTTCAATGGGAGACTCAGAAAGTAGACAGAAGACAGGCAGCTACAGGTAGGGGTAGAATGGACCATATCTAGAGAGTTAGAGCCTTCTTGGCTGGTCCATATTTTAATATTTTAATCCCATTTCTGGAGATAAACAATGCTTGCCTCATTAATTCTCCTGATTGGTTTGAAAAAATGCTTTTTAATTAATTTTTCATTCACTTCTTCCTTATTTTCTTTGTTGATCTCTTCACGTATAGGTTTCATCAGTCATAATATGGGTATTGTAGTCACTTCTACCTTATAAATTCTTCTGAGTATTAAAATGACAAAATGTTAAAAAGTATCTTACATTTAGCATAATGCTGGATGCATACTTCTCAATATGGTGGTTATTACAAATATTAATATCAATATCTGTTCCACACAGATTGTAAATACCAGCTGTCAATTTAGTGAGTCTCTACTTTAATCAACTTAGTAAGGCTTCATGCCAAGTTGACCATTTACTCAGTTTTAATTTTGATACCTTTTTGATGCATAAGTCTAATGGCTATTTTTATTAGATTGATTTTTATTTAAAGAGTTGTCTGGTTTATCATCCATTAATTTAGAATTTGCTAGTTACTAAATAGAGAATTTCATGTTTTTCAGTCCTAAATCTCTAATATTTAAGAGACTTACTGATATTCTAGAGAAAAATTAATGTCTTTTTAAAAGCTATAAATTTGATATTTAATGATAAATTCAATTTAGTTCAGTTCTAGAATCTGGAGAATGGTAATATCTGTTTACTGGCAGCTTTCTTTAGAATGAACTTCTTTAGCCTCTGATTTTTTTTAAAGTTTAAATTTTGACTGATGTGTTTCATGGAAAAAAATGCACATGCCAATGCTTATTTTTCATAGTAAAATTCATTGATTTATAGCTGTCCATCTGTATAAACTTCATGTCCCGGGGTTTCAAATTCATTTAAGGAAACAAGAATACAGTCTAGGAAAGGAAGGTAAAGTATTTTATAATTTATGAGGTACATACTGGGAAGAAACATGCCAAGCTAAAACAAATGCTTTCCTGTGAAAAGAAAAAGTATCACGTGAATTATAATGGAATTATTTGTTCAATGTTTGTTTATAAATCCAATTATTAAAAACCTGAAATAAATTACAATTTAAAATATAACTATCTTACAGTTAAAAATGGTATTCACTGCAGTATCTCATCTATATCCACCAGGGTAGTGCCTGTGGTTGGATGACTGGTGCAGTTTACAACTGGAGTGGTGGAGTAGACGTTCACATTATCCTCTATGGGACTAGTACCCATGCCCAGAATAGTGCAGTGCACAATGTGTACAGCTGTACTCAGTGGCCCTAGCTATGGCAGACACACTCGTAATTAGTGGCGATCCTAAATTCCTGTGGCATCCAAGTTGTTCATTCCACAAAAAGAAAAAACAAGTACAAATATTTATGGACTGCCTTCTGTGCACCATTAAAATTACTACAATGTTTAAGAAAGAATTCCTACCCAAAAGGAGCACAGAGAGAAAGCCAGACAGATGAACAGTAAAATAGAATGTGATACAAGAATTCAGTTAGAGAAATGTACAAGGTACAATAGGACAAAAGAAAGGGGGCATGTAATACAACCTGGGACTTCAGAAAAAAGTTACTAAAAAATACGTCACATTGGCTCAGCAATGAGGATGAGCAGAAGTTTGCAAAAAAAAAAAAAAAATGACCAGGCATTTCTAGAGATGGAAACATCCTAGGTAAAGTCATAGGGGCAGGAGATATCAGGGTATATGGCAGGAGACATAATCAGCTCAGTAGTATTTAAGCATACAACATAGGACAAGAGTAGAGAAACATGAGGCTAGAATTAAGGCAGGTGGCTGACATACAAATAGAGTCAGAAAATCCAAACTATAAGCTACTGCAGTAGTCCAGATAAGAGATGCTTAATGCTTAAACTAGGATCGAGATGGCAAGAGTGAAAATAAGGGGATAGATTGGATAAATATTCATCATTTATTCATTCCTCTGACATTCGTTGAGTTTTAAGGACTATGCTCAATATGCCCCTGAGTTTATCAACCAAGTCCCTGCCCACGTGGCAGATGCAGTCATGTAAGGGAGACGCATGGGAGGCAAACTTGAGGATTAAGTGTCTGACAGAATTGAAAAGTAGGCAAGTGAAAGCCAGGCCGGTCAACTTCTAGATTTTTGATGGGCAGCTGCTAGATGTGGCCCATTCTCTAAATCGGTATTACTGTGGGAGGAGAGGATGATGATGAGTTCAGGAACGGGTACATTGAACTCAAAACACTCGAACCATGACATTTAAAGAGTAATTTCAGCATTGAATTGTGCCAAAAATATAAAGAAATACATAAATCATACACAGCGTGATGCTTAATTTTGGTGTCACCTTGACTGGCTTAAGGGATATCCAGATAGCTGGTAAAGTATTATTTCTGGGTGTGTCTGTGAGGATGTTTCCAGAAGAGATGAGCATTTGAGCATCCTATTAAACAATCTTATTTTCTGTGAGGATGTTTCCAGAAGAGATGAACATTTGAATTAGTAGACTGAGTCAAGAAGATGGCCCTCACGAGTGTGGGTGGGCATCATCCAATCTGTCGAGAGCCTGAACAATAAGACAGAGGGAAGGTGAATTCTCTCTCTTCAGGAGCTGGGACACCACCATCTCCTGCCCTTGGACATCAGACCTCCAGGTTCTCCAGCCTTCAGACTCTGGAGTTTGCAGCAGGAACAGCTCACGAGGTTCGCAGGTCTTTTGTCCTCACACAGCTTCCTTAGCTCTCCTTGCAGACACCATATCAAGGGACTCTTGGCCTCCATAATCATATGAGTCAATTTCCATAATAAATCCCTTCTTACATATCTCTCTATATATAAGTTCTTTTTCTCTGGAGAACCCTGACTAACATACTACATATACATAAATACATAAAACTACAATGAGATTTCTGCTAAAGGAAAAACCTGCTCGATAGAGCTCTTGTTTATGAATGGATGGATATAGTTCTTCAGAGCTGAATTGTACGTGCAGTATTTCATTTAAGGCTCCACTGATATTTATGGCAGTAAAAAGATGTTCAATTTAAAATGACAAACTTATAATTTAAAGCAATAAAAAGATACACAAGAACCCCTGGCTCCTTGGCAAGATTGGACTGCAGCCTCACAGTGTGAGGCACCGGGAAAGAATTTGTTCTTGTGTGTAGGCTGAACCCAGACCAGTAGGCGATTGCATCTGGGCAAGATCTGTGAATGAGTTAACATTTTTCTATTCCAAAAAAAAAAAAATGTTCTCCAAAAAGTAGTTTTTGTTATTTTACTTTCAGCTGTTTTCAAGGATAATGTTCAGATTTTTTGAATTCAGGAATTCACTTGAGGTATTTAACAGATCTTTCGGCTTCTTCCCAGCCTAATTTTCCTAATAAGCAGCATTTTAACCTACTTTCTTTAAGAAAAGAGAAATAACTTCAAGGGGAAAGAAAGTAGAGTAAGCTGATACAAACACTCCAGAAAGTGCTTCACAATTTGAAAAGTGTCTAAGAATGAAACTTTATATTTTGATGGTAAAAAAAGCTAGTTCCAAAAATAATTATGCCTTAATATTACACAAATTCATTCAACCATATGAAAAATATAGACTGTCAAGAATATTCTTCACAAACATTTCTTAACAGCAAAATCAATCACAGTTAACATACTCATCATATGTATGGCTTTTGCCAAATTCGAGCAGCAATCTGTTTAAAAGGAGAAAAAAGCACTAAATATGAGTCCTCGTTTCTAATCTGAAAATAAGAGGGTTGACCTAATGATCTCGAAGGTAACTGCTAATTTAAAAAGCCTGCTATCCTAGATCAGTATTTTGAGATTAAACTAATCTTTCCAAACTAAACTTTCTAAACTTTGTAAATTATTAACAGTAATTTGCTCTATGTAAAATGTTAAGACATTTTGAAGGTTTATTTAAATTTAAAGTGTTCTATTTTGAATCATGCAAGATTGATATGTTATAAAAAAAAAGTTCCAAGATGTTAAATGCCAGAGTGTATTTATTCATTCATCCCTTGTGCATCCCATGCACACCATCATATTGAGCCATTTATTTATTCATTCATTGGTTTAAATATTTATTGAGCATATGCTGCATAGCCAGCACTTAAAAGACACTAATGAAAGGGAACCAGAAGACACATTTTCTGCCCTTTTCCCTTAGAACCTGATTGGATGGGAAATTCTTTTTTTTTTTTTTTTTTTTTTTGAGACAGAGTCTACCTCTGTGACCCAGGCTGCAGTATAGTGTCACGATCTCAGCTCACTGCAACCTCCGCCTCCCGGGTTCAAACAATTCTTCTGCCTCAGCCTCCTGAGTAGCTGGGATTACAGGCACATGCCACCACGCCCAGATAAGTTTTGTATTTTAAGTAGAGATGGTGTTTCACCATGTTGGCCAGGCTGGTCTTGAACTCCTGGCCTCAAGTGATCCGCCTGCCTTGGCCTCCCAAAGTGCTAGGATTACAGGTGTGAGCCACCATGCCTGGCCTGGACAGGAAATTCCTGAATGGTGCTTAACATGTACAGCAATAGTCTAAGCACTCATCATACAAAAAAAAAAAAAATTGGAAATTTTACCTTGCAAAATATTAGTGTGTCTTTGTCCATAATTTCAGGGAAATACAAGTGAAAGAGTGAATTAAGATACTTGAATGATGTGACTTGTCAGGGATTTGCTGCCAAGAGCATCTCACAGGGAAGCCAGGAGTGTGGATGGGTAAAGAGGAAGTAGGGATCTGGGAACTGAAAACCCCAACATAGAGGCTTCAGGGAGCCTGGTTTTTGCAAGGTCTGGGAAAGAGGTATCCGTTGTCCTGTTCTCTCACTTGTCTCTATTTTATATCTGTCTAACATTCACCTATCAGAAGAATCACTTAAAAACATTATATTTATTATGAACAGCAGACATTATTTGCTGTTTTGACTTTTTATAAAATGCTCCATGGTAACTGCTTGTAAAACGGTTTTATTTTATATGTCAATGGCCTTTGCATGATAGTCCTTGTCTGACTTTCCATCTATTATTCCATGAACATTTTCTATTGTCAACTTTTAAATGCTAGGAAAAAAACAAACTAGTGGCTTGAGAGTCAAGCCTATTCCATTTTCTGTTAACCAGCAAATCACTCCCATACTGCCACCTAGTGGGCCATAGCAGCAGCTTCCACGATTGACAGAAATTGTTAATTCAAGTAAACTCAAATTTAGGATTCTTCAAAATTTCTGCTTTTGCATTAGTTGCTTGGAATACTCAAATCATCTTAACATAAAAATGATATCATGAATGGTTGTTAGGTTTCCACCTTGCTCATAAAACCATTGATCCCACATAAAACCATTGAACCATTTGCTTTGGTTTGGTTTGGTTTTTTGAGACAGTCTCACTCACTCTGTCGCCCAGGCTGGGGTGCAGTGGTGCAATCTCGGCTCACTGCAACTTCTGCCTCCCGAGTTCAAGTGATTCTCCTGCCTCAGCCTCCGAGTAGCTGGAATTACAGGCGTGTGTCACCATGCCCGGCTACTACAATGTACTTTGAATGAACACTGTCTATGTATGCAGACCTATCTGTAGTCACAGCTCCGTGGAGATGTCTCGTGTCATCTCACTTGTACCTTCTGCTCTTACTCGTCCTACAATCTATGAGAAAATGCCTGATTCCCAGCCTTCCACTCCAGCCTTGATGCCTCGACCTGTACTCTGGCTTGGGCAGAAAAAGAACTTCCTTGGGGTCCATCTCTCTCTCTCTCAGCCTGCTGCTGGTTCCTGAAGCTGTGGCTCAACCAAGAACCAGATTCCGCCTCTGTCCCTGTCCCAATTCTGGACTAGCCTCCATTCCACCCTTGCCTGGCCCCTTTGGATGCCTCGCTCCAGCCTTGCCTCTCTGATGGCTCAGTTAAACCCTCACTAATGAGTTCCCATAGTGATTTTCACCCTGTGGCTGGATCAGGCCCTCACAGCTCCTCTTGACCAGAGAGGTAGTTGTCTTCTCTGCTTATTCCTCCTTTCCAAATATTTTTAAGTGTATGATGAATTAGTAGTGTGTTTGCCTGATCCTAGGGAAAAAGGGACACAGTAGCTTAAGGAATTTCTCATTCTTCTGGTTTTCTGTGATGGCCTCTGTCCTTGAGTTGAGGTCTGAATATATGTAGAATATATCTAGCTAAAAGGAGCCTGCCTTATAGTCTAGACTTTTTTTTCAAATTTTATATAAAGGTGTCAAATATGTAATGGATATATACGTAGCTTGGCCAGGCAGTGTTTCGGGCCCTAGATATAAGATGCTGTTCTCATCTTATTTTATTGGGGGAATGAGAGACAGACAGCAAGTTAGCACATATATAACATATAATAATACTTTGAATGATGAAAAATGTCTTGAATGAGAAAAAACAAGGTAAGAGGACAATGAGTACTGGGAATTGTATGTGTCAGTGGGGATATTTTACATAGTTTTCTAAGGAACACCTCTGGATTAGTTGTCTATGGCTGCATAAAAAATTATCCAGAGGTTTAGCAGCTTAAAATAACAAACATTTATTACTTCGCCATTTCCATGGGTCAGCAATCCAGGTGCAGATGAACTGGGTGCCTGTGAATCAAGGAGGTCTCTCACAAGTCAGCCATCAGGGTTGGGGCTGCAATCATTTCCAAGCTTAACTGGGAGAGTATCTGCTTCCAAGCTCACTCACATGGCCAGTGACAAGCCCCAGGTGCTCACTGGCTCTCGATCACAGATATCAGTTTCTTGCCTTATAGGTCTGTCCGTAAGGCAATTGACAAGAGTTCTAAGAAAGATAGAATGAGAAAGACTGGTACAGAGCATGAAAGATGTAAGCCAGACTCTTTTTGTAACCTCATTGTGGAGGTGGCATCCTATCACTTCATTGCATTCTATTTGCTACAAGTGAGTCACTAGGTCCAGCCCACACTCACCTAGTAAATACAAGCAGGCAGAGATCATTGGGAGTTATGTTAGACAAAGTGATATTGGATGAGAGGCTAGAATGAAGTAAGGAGCAAACTCTCTGGGGAAGCATTACCCATGTCAAGGGATCAGCAAATATGTAAACCTTGAGACAGGCACATTCTTGATGTGTTCAAAGAACAGCAAGATTTGCTTGTCTGGAGCCCAGGAAGCAAAGGAGAGAAGCACAGAAGATGAAGTCAGATATACCTGGAAGGTAGACATGGACCTGCTGTGTATCACTATAGATCAGTGTGTAATTTTAAGAATTTTATATAAATGGAATTAGACATTTATATAAATAATAATCAGCATAATTGTTTTGAGATTTATCCATGTTCTTGAGTATATCAATAATCCATTCCTCTTTATGTCATTGATTGTAACACTGTTAATCTATTCACCTGTTGATGGGCATTTAGGTTGTTTTTAGTTTGGGGCCGTTACAAACAAAGTTGCTATAAACATTCATGTGCAAATCTTTTTATTTATCTTGGATAGTTACATGAGCACGCAATACCTGAGTCATACAGCAGCTATATGTATCTTTTTTAAAACTGCCAAGCTGTTTTCCAAAGTGGCAGGACCATTTTCCATTCCCACCATTCAATGTGTGAGAATTCCAGTTGCTCCACATTCTCCCCCAACATTTGATTTTTAATTTTAGCCATTCTAATACGTGCATAGTGACATTCTTTTGTGGCTTTAGTTTTCCTTTCCTCAATGATTAGTGCTATTTAACATTTTTTCATCTACCTACTTGCTATTCATTTATCTTCTTTGATGAAGCTTCTGTTCAGATTTCCCCCATTTCTTTTTTTGAAGAGGAAAGAGTTGTTTGAGTTTTGAGAATTCTCTGTATATTCTGGATCTGAGTCTTTTATTAGATATGCGTTTGATATTTATTTCCCATTTTTTCCATTTGTTCTTTATTGCCTTTTTCCTTTTACTGCCTTCTTTTGGATGGATTGAATAGTTTGTATTATTCCATTTTCATATTCTCCACAATTTTTTAATGTGTTGGGGGACGTGTGTGTGTGCATGTGTGTGTGTGTTTATTTTTTTCTCTTTGCAATTCATTTTGGAAACTTTTTATTGATCTGCTTCAAGTTTACTGATTCTTTTCTTAGCCATGTCAGGTCTACAATTATTTCTAATTTTCCCCTTCTGGGTATTTTTTGTTTATTTGTTTTGCTGCTGCTTTCATGCATTTTACTTCTACATGTTAAACTTACACATTAAAACCCCACAATATTTGGTTTTTAATTCTGCCTCAAGCCATTGATTATATTTTAAAGATATTTAATAAGAAAATTCTCTATATTTTTCTACATGCCATTTCTTAATTCTCTTCATTATTTTGTATAGGACCAAATTTCCATCTAGCATCATTTGCCTTATGCTTGAAAGACTTCTTTCAACATTTTTTGTAGGGCAGGGTCTGCTGGTGATTAATTCCTTTAACTAATATGTACCTTCATTTTTGCAAGATGTTTTCCCTGGATAAAAAATTACAGGCTGAAAGTTTTGTTTTTGTTTTTTCAGTATTTACTGATGTTGCTCCACTGTTGTCTAGTTTGCATTGTTTTCATCAAGAACTCTGCTCTCCTCCTTGTCTTTTTTCCTTTGTATCTAATGTGTCTTTCGCTTCGGGCTTTTAAATTTTTCTTTTTTTAACTGGTTTTAAGCAATTTCATTATAACGTGTCTTTGCATACTTTTCTTCATGTTTCCTATGCTTGGAGTTCTTTAAGATTCTTAGACCTGAGGTTTATAATTTTCATCACATTTGGAAATGTTTTTAGTAATTATTTCTTTCAAATGTTTTTCTGTCCCTCTCTCTCTTCTCCTGTGGGGGTTCCAAATTCTCCTGTATTAGTTTGCTTGAAGTTGCCTCACAACCCACTGATGCTTTATTGATTCGTTCAGGATTTTTTCCTTCTTGGATAGTTTCATTTGGGATAATTTCTATTACCATGTCTTCAAGTTCACTCATCATTTTTTCTGCAATACCTAATCTGTCATTGATCCAGTCTGTCTTTTTATCTCACACATTATAATTTTAACCTTAAGAAATTCGATTTTTGTATCTTCATATCTATAACTAACAGTTCAATCTTTTCTCTAGCTCCATAAATATATGGAATATCTATGTTCTGTTTTAATAACAGAACTAACAACCTTATCAATAAGCTTAATGTCTTCAATAACTGATTATCCATGTAATTTCTGGGCTAATTTCAACTAATTATTCTTTACCAGCTTGTGGGCCCTGTTTTCCTGTGTCTTTCCATGCCTATTAATATTTTATTAGATGGGCTGGGCACAGTGGCTCATGCCTGTAATCCCAGCACTTTGGGAGGACAAGGTGAGCAGATCACTTGAGGTCAGGTGTTCAAGACCAGCCTAGCCAACATAGTGAAACCCCATCACTACTAAAAATACAAAAATTAGCTGAGCATGGTGGCGTGTGCCTGTAATCCCAGCTACTCAGGAGGCTGAGGCACAAGAATCACTTGAACTCAGGAGGTAGAGGTTGCAGTGAGCCGAGATCTCACCACTGCACACCAGCCTGGGCGACAGAGTGAGACTTTGTCTCAAAATAAAAAATTAAAAAAAAAATTTTTTTATTAGATGTCAAACATTGTAAAATTTAGCTTCTTGGGTGCTGCATATGTATTTTATTTCTATAAATATTCTTGAGCTTTGTTATGGGAGATAGTTCATTGGAAAGCATATGATCATTTTGAGTCTTGTTTTTTTAAGCTTTGTTAGGCAGAAACAGAGCAGTGATAGTCCAGGCCTGACTTTAGCTGTACTAATGAGGCAAAATTCTTCTGAGTACTCTACTCAAATGCCCACTGAATTATGAGGCTTTCCATTCTGGCTGGTGGGAAGAAGTTCCAGTTGCGGCTCCATGTGAGCTCCAAGGATTTCGCCTCTAATCCTTTAGATTCTTGCCCCCAGCCTTGGGTGGTTTCCTAACATGCATGTGTTGATCAGTACTCAGTTGAATACTTAAAGACTCCCTACAGGTCTGCGTAGTTTTCAATCTATGTAGTTCTCTCTTTTCTGGCATTCTACTCTGTGGCCTCTAGCCACCTTGGCCTTCCCGGTCAATCAACATTGTCTGCTTACTCTGAGAATCTTACCCTGAGAATCTCCTTACTCTGAGAATATAGGCCTGCAGCCTGAATACTCTCTCCAGGCAGTAAGCTGGGACACTATAGGGCTTACCTTGCTTATTTCTCATCTCTCCAGCATCACTGTCCTTTGTTGCCGGCACACAATGTCTTGAGAACTGCTGTTTTGTATATTTTTTTCCAGTTTTCCAGTTGCTTCCAGTGGGGAATAAATCCTGTCCCTGTCATTCCATCTTGATCAAGAGCAGAAATTAAAAGTGCATTTTTAGAACAGCCATTCTACTTATTCTGCCATTTATCTATCTACAAAAACAACTCATCCTTTAAGTCCAAATATAATATCAGTTTCTTTGTATAAGACTTTCCTGACATTCCCAGTATTTCCTAATGAACCCTATTACAGCATTTATCACAATGTATTTTAATTATTTGGTTATATGTATATCTCCTCTGTTAGGAGAGATATACATAGTATCATATATCATAATAAAATACATGCATTTCTATTCCCAGTGCCTAGAACAATAAGTAACACGTAGTAGGCGTCCAACAAATATTTTATGGATGTTCTGTGAGCTCTTTGTGGTTCTTCTTTGGAAAGTTCTCATGAACTGGCCATCAGTTCATCTAAATCTGGAATGTCAGCCTTCCCATCAGGATTTTAGGATTTTAGGAAAGCGTTGGGCTCCATCACTGCCTTCTTTCTCCCACTCCCTTATCACCTAGTTGCTGACAGGTGTTCAGGAAAATTATAGCTAATAGTAATCATAAGAACAGTAAGGCAAATAGCTGGTGGTGCCTACTAGTACATCCAAATTGTAACTCAGGATTTCTCACTGGTCCATCTGCATTAAATTCTAAAAATCCACAGACCAGGAGTCAGAAGGCCTGATGTGCAGTCTGCTCTGTCACCTCCTGGCTGTACAAACCAGAGCTGTTAACCAACCTCTTAAAGCCATTTTGTGGTCAAGAAAATGGGAATGATAATAATACAGGTTTACAATATTTTGTCTGCAATTTCAAAATCCTAAAAGCTGTGAAAATCAAATCCTTTGTCATAACTCATCTGGCATCAAAATCTGACCTATATGAAATGAACTCATGTGAAGCTCTTTAACACTTTTATTTGATCCCATTATGATCCCTCAGACCCTCCTGGGTATAGTGTATAATGTATGCTAAGGCCACCAACATATCTTTCTAAAAATTGAAAAATTCTAAATTCCAAAATCTGACCCCAATGCATTCACCTTAATAGAGCATACACTTGGGCCAAGCATTTCCTAAAAGGGACTGTGGTTCTTTCCCTACCTCATGGGGTATTTGTGAGGTGTAAGGATAACATAAATTAAAGCTCTTATCATAGTACCTGAATGCAGTAGGCCCTCATGAATTCAAGTTATTATTATTTTTTAATTATAAAAATTTTTAGCCCAAAATACATTTTCTCAGTTCTTCTGGAAAAGCACAAATAACCTATAGCACACTCTTCTAGCAATGTACTCAAGTTTTCTATTCCCTTTCTCTTCTTTTTTCTTTTTCTCACATTTTCTTATCCTTCCTTCCTTTCACTCTTCCTAATATTCCATTCTTTTTTTTTTTTTTTTTTTTTTTAAGACAGCCTTGCTCTGTTGCCTAGGCTGGAATGCAGTGCCATGATCTCGGCTCACTGCAACCTCCGCCTCCCAGGCTCAAGCAATTCTCCTGCCTCAGCCTCGCGAGTAGCTGGGGTTACAGGCGACTGCCACCACACCTGGCTAATTTTTGTATTTTTAGTAGAGATGGGGTTTTGCCAGGTTGGCCAGGCTGGTCTCGAACTCCTGACCTCAAGTGATCCACCCACCTCGGCCTCCCGAAGTGCTGGGATTACAAGGGTGAGCCACCACGCCCGGCCCCTAATATCCCATTCTTTTAGTCTCTTTGAGAGTGTGAAGAAAGATATGAACCTTCTTTCCAGAAAATCACTCCTTAGCACATATATACACACTTTCACATGCCCTTTTATGGAAGTCACAAAGTCCCCCAAGTCCATCAGGGGATCCTACTTTGGGGAGCTCATCGTTATAGAATTAATATCATATGTATAAGAAAAATACCATTCACGTGATGTATTACTGTTTACCAATAATTTAAATTATTTAAAAAATCATTTTATATTAAAAATACTATGCAAAATGTTTAAATGTTTGGAAAAAATGAAAATATTTCCAAAACAAATAAAAGGAATAACAGGTAAGTTACTATCCTGAATAACTTAGGCAGGTGAATCAACCAAACAACCTTTTATGGATATTATCAGTTCTATTTTTCTATGATTCTATTCGTGTCAACAATTTAAATTCGTGTAGTACATATAGCTTATAAAGTGCTTTTATATATATTAACTCCATAAATCCTCATAGCCTTCTTGAGAGTTGGGAAAGAGGCACATATTATCTTCATTTTACAGATTTAAAAATCAGACAGGCCAAATGACTTTATGTAAGGTCACATAACTCAATCTCCAAATGTCTAATCCAGTGATTATGCCAACACATTCACTGGTTCTTATGAAAATTATTCCCATATATAACTCTTCCATTCCAAGTTTTCATTGACACTCTAAACCATATTTGCATTTGACTTCTTTTATATATATGTATCTCTGAAATATATATATTTACATGATATTTTTCTGACATACTATAAGATGGTGGCTGTAACTGCTTCCCTCCTGTATTTTCTATTGACTTTCATGTAAGCACATAGGTTACACAACATGCCAATATAAGCCAAAAATATTGCTGTGAAAATCAAGGACAAGAACACCATATTATTCTCAATGCTCATTAGCTTGAAAGCAAAAGCACAATATAGTATATAGTTTGAGGAGGGAACTTGTAGTTTGTCCATGTATTAAGATTCAAATAAGTCATAATACAATGGAAATATTAATTCATATTTAGTGAGTATGTGATAACTAATACTTTTTAAAGTACTGGTATTCAGAAAGCACTGCTTATTCCTAGAAGCAGCTGGAGGGCATTTTTCAAAATTGCATGTAGCTATACCTGTAGAAAACTCAAAAGAAGTCCAATGCCAGGTCAAAGTTTTGTTCATAGGACACTTAGTTTATTTTATCTATTATGTTTTTCACAATTCCCCTATTGACGGAATTTTACTCCTGAGAGATTCAGTGACTTTCCCAGAGCCAGATATTTATCTGTGAAGAATTTCCACCTATCATTTTGTTAATTATTGAAATTAAATTCAATTCAATATCCTTTTTGGTTACTTCTTATGGCTAAATCCCACCTGATCCCTTAAAGTCATGAATTGAGCTCTCTCATCAATAAGAGGAATTATGCATGAGCAAGTATGACTAATACCTAAATAACACTTTCTGATTGCATCTAAGAGTAAATTAAAGAGAAAGTCTAACTGTAAGAACGTATGCCTTTGATTTTGTGGGTAAAATGGCAACCTGTAATCTCTATGTTTTTAAGTGATGAATCATAACCCAACATAGGTGTCTATTTGAAATTTATAATGGGTTTTTATAAATACTGTCTTGCTTAAAGGTGTCTATTTTGGAGGTCCCTTTATTTCAGGGCCTCTTAAGGGCTATATTGTTAGTTTCAAATGTTGCTTTTATTGAACAGATGATAAAGATATAACAATCAGGGCTTTAGGCAGAACAAAAGAAACATGAAAAGAGTGTTTTTTGTACCTTCAAATTTCCATTTTTTTCTTTAACCAAAACCATTAATAACACCTCTCCAGTGTACATATTTTACGTCCTTTCCACCTTCCCTCTCATCCAAACCTAGTTTCAGATAAGCAGCTGGAAATTCTGGCTACACGTAGCAGATTAAACACACATGTTTACTATTGCTCCTCTGTAACACGCCAAAATGAAAATAAATGCTTAAAAGCCATAAATCTACAAGAACAAAGAGAATGGGAGAGCAGATAACAGCAGATGAGAGATGTCAACAAAACTTTAGAGTCAAGAAAGCAGATGGATAAATAGCAATTGATTTGGCAGACCAGAGAAAACAGAACTGTGAGCTTGCAGGGAAGGAAGCTGCTTAGCTCTGGTGAATCTTGGAAATACTTAAATCTCGGGATAGTAGGTACCTCTGATAGCAGGACTTCAGGGCAAAGCTGCCAACTGGAGGATAGACTGAAAGTTTATGTGAAGCTCAGTTACACCCCAGATCCCCTCTCCAGGAACCTGGCCCTCTTCTACCTCTATGGAACAGATTTACCTTTGGAGAGATTTACAGCTGAAAATGGACAGTGGGGTGGCATTGGTGAAAGGCAACACAGAAAGTGAGGGAATTTAATAGAGTCTACCAACTGAATTGTGAGTCTCAAGTCCCTTTTCCTTTTGTCTCCCAGATTGCTTACAGCTGCACTTTTATTTTCCGGGCAGGAGAGAGAATTCCTTAAGGAGTCAGTGGTTATCAATGTAGGGTAATTTCGTCCACTAGGGGAACATGTTGACAATGTCTCAAAACATGTTTGTTTCACACACCTGGTGTATGGATCGGGGCTGTTGGGGGTAGCCATCTAGTGGATAGACACCAGGGATGCTGCTAAACATCCTACAAATACACAGGCCAGCGCCACACAACAAATTACCCAGCACAAAATGTCAATAGTGCCAACATTAAGAAATCCTGCACCATGACAGTGCTTTTCAAAGTGTACTCTCCAAGCCCACAGCATGCTCAGCAGCTGGGAACTTGTTAGAAATGCAAGCCTACCCAGACCTACCCAATCACCAACTTTGGCGGTGAGTCTTGGCCTTCTGTGTTTTAACAGGCTCTCCAAGAGATTCTAACTCAGTCACAGTTTGAACCACTACTGAACCACTGCTGTTAGGAAGCTACAACCCAAAAGAAAAGCCCCACAGATGCTGAGAGCTGGTGATCCTCAGGGTGAGTGTGCAACTGCCTCGCGTTCCCATCACGTGCTATGCACTACGAGACTGCCATCAACTTGTTAATAAATGACTCTTAAAAAAGAATAACCAGCCAGATAAATCACCAAATTATTGAGAAAAAGTGTCTAACATGAAAGTCAGGGACCCAAACAAACAAAAGATATGTGTGTGTGTGTGTGCATGTATACTCACACATAAGGCCTATAATTACTGTCTTCAACAAGATAAGGTAGGTTTCAACAAAACAAGGCAATGCCATTTTAGGCTGGATGATTTTAAAAGAAAAAAAGTTTAGAAAGCAAAAATTATCATTAAAAGAATAAAGAAAAAGAAGAAAAGTCAAGGCACAGAACTAAAATAGGGAATTGCAAATCACAGCCCAAACTAAAACGAGAATAACTTGATGCTGAGTTCCAGACTGAATGGGGTAAAATTACTTCACTGTCTCCTACTCAAAGACTGGATTGGCCCTGGACCCATAGATGGTTAAAATGAGAAAAGACTCCACCTCTGGCTGAGGAGGACTCTAAGGGTAAGGGACAGGAAGGGCCTGAGGAGGAAAGAGCACCGTGTAACGGTACGGTGAGCAAGCATGATTCAGGAATCAATGCATTACTTTCCTTTCGTCTCCCATTGTTGTTTTAAAATTTCTTCAGTGGAAAATGCCTTCTGCTTTTTGATAAAAGCCTTGGCAGTTTCCTGGCTTCTCACTCTTAAGTAATGGAGAGTTCAACCATCACTTAAAGTCACAAAACGAAGTCTCAATTTACACATGAAATGTGTCCAGTCCAATACATCAATCAACACTTCCATATTTATTTAGGGTAAGAGGTCTCCTTTTCCTCTTTTAGCTACAAGCCACAGAAGCAAGAATTTGTTCATTAGGAAGGAAGAGGTGTTTGTTAGCTGTGGCTTGCCTCTTTCTCATACTGTTTCTCCCCTCTTTGCTATCTGTGGTTTCAGCCCCTCAGGTATGGCAAGTGGGGGCGGGGGAGAAGCAAAGGGATGCTTTCTGGGCTGGTTTCAGGCAGGCTCCTTCTCTCGCTGGTACTTCTTTGGGCTCATCAAAGGCCCCCCTCCTGATGGGGAATGAAATCTATTCCTGTAGTTGTCACTCAGTCCTTGGATCCTGGTTCTCTAGCTATCCACCCAAACAGAGACCCTGTGTGGAAGGTCCTCTAGGACAGGACTTGAAACTGCTCCAGTCCATCTCATTTGGCTCTTTTTTCCCCTCTCCTCAACATGGCTGTCATCTGGTCCCAGAAGACTCTTATATCCTTTGCCCTGGTAAATGTGGACAGAGGAGACCATCTCAGCGCAGCCACCTCCACTCTGCTGCACTGGCCTCTTAAACTTGTTCAACTACTGGGCCTAAAAGAAAGCAGTAGTCTGGCAGATGTCTTCACAAATTTTTTTTCAACACTTCAGGTATTCCCTTTACTCTTAGTCTCAGTCAGTTTTTTAAAAATGTAGGGTCCTCACGCCTGTAAAATTTCCCCCTCACTTTCTTAGAAAACTTCGGAATACTGCTCTATGGGCACACAGAACCATGAGAGTGTCTGCAACAGCGACCAGGGAGCAGTAGGCTGGAGGAACCCCTCCTTGCCTGTGCCTTCAGGAGGGCAATAACTTCTCCAAGCCCCTATGTCCTCGTCTCTCATAAAATGCCTCTTTCATAAAATGTAAGTGCTTTCTAAATAAACTTTCAGTCCTAATATGTTTTGATTCTGACATACACTATTTTGGTAGCTGGATGGATAAAATCTATATTCACAATAGAAAAGGCTCAATTATAATAAAAGATTCAAGATCCTTTTTAAATGTAGCTCCTCCCCTCCGTAGGTGCATGATTTACGGGAGGAGGTGAGGTGGTGCACGGTATGTGTGGTTCTTTGTCAGGGCCCTGGCTCAGCTTTACTCTCTATTCAGCCCTCCCCAGCGCTGGAGCCATACATCCAAGGTACACCTCGCCAGTGCCCTCGCATTGGGCTGGTGCTGATACACTCTCCCTGCTTAATCCCCCGAAAAAGAATATTAGCTGTGATTTCAGTTTTAATCATTGAAAAATCGAAACCTACTAAATCCAACATATTGCTGTAGTTACTGAGGGTCTCACACTGGAGGATCCATTTCTTCTCTGCAGTCGAAAAAATTAGTGGCTATGTTAATAAATATACATTTACAATCAGTCTTCAGCTCATTATTTTTGCAATATAATTCAGATCCTTAAGCCTCTGAGATACGCAGTCTGCAGTTGTAGGGCATAGAAATACACAGGTGTTAAATTATCTGCAGAGAGCACGTTTACTGTAATTTTGAATTCAGTAGAAGTACATTATTTATTGCTTGGAAAAATTATAGCACTAAAATAGAATATAAAAACTATAACATTCAAGGAAATTGTGTTCCCCAGCTCAGAACCAAAACTATATCTACGTACAATGTGTGGAATTTTGTTATAATGTGGTATATTGTGCCTTGCTTTCTTTAAACAAAAAGAATTCAAATATTTTCTTTAACCAAAAAGTATTTTTAGAAGGCAGAGGTAATTAACCTTGGAAAGCCAATTATTCCTTTGGTTAATTATAAAATAAAATATAGAAAGCATTTCTATCAGTAAAAATTCTCCTTATGAGGGTTTTAAAACTCACCATATATGAAATGAAATCTTCTCAAAAGGCAATGCAGTATAGGATTACTAAGATTACATTTGCAATACAGATATTACAATATTCATAAAGATACAGAAGCAATTACGGTGATGATATTTTGCATTCTTTGAAACAGTTGAAACGGATTCTGTTTCAAATGGATAGGCATGCCAGAAAATTCTGGGAGAATATTATTCTCTAAGGTAAGAATAGAGAAACCATGAGTGTACACGATTCTTCTTTTATTTTTCTATGCATCTGCAGCCCATTTGGGGTTTGGATTTGAAATGCAGTGTTATGCTCAGACAGAAACAGGTATTAACTTAATTGAATAACAGAATTACCTGTAATTTTGTAAATTGCAGAAAGGTTTTTCTCTCTCTCTCCCTCTCTCTCTCTTCATATGATATTAGTAAGTGATTGCTTTCTGAGCTGGAAGGAGAAAACTGGGAAGGCTGAAATATACAATTAAAAAGGTGTTAGATAGGGAGCTTTTACCTCCCAATGGCACAGGATACTAGCAGAGGACAGTCAAGGACACCAGTTAACAAATGCAATGGCAGTGAAAATGGATTCTGACTCTCCACTCAGCAAAATAATTGGTGTCCCAAGTCCTTCAAGTTTACTTCTTTCCTCTGGTAAGGTGCCAGGAAATTCATCCTTCTTGGTTACTGTTAGGCTTTTTGCTGTTTTCAATTCCACTGCTTGGTGGCTAGATGCGCTTTGACTTAAGCACTTCAAGAGGACCACACCTGTGCTACTTGTTCTGATTTTTTTACTCTGTAGTTGCCGATATCAATGATTTTAAAAGCACTAGCATTGACTTTGTGGACTTAAAAGCAACAACAATAATGGATTCAAGAACAGTAGCTACAATTTATTGAGCATGTTTTGTGTGCCATGATATTAAATATAATACCATCTGATCTGCTTCCCACAAAAGCCCTGTGAAGTGGGGGATATTATTATACCCATTTTACAGATAAGGAAAGTGAAACTTGCTGAAAGTCATACAAGCTAGAGCTGGGTTATAAACACAGAATTTGGAATCTAACATTTATGCTCTTATGCCTCACATTCTAGTTTCCCCACATTGTAAGTAGTAGTATTTTCTGACTGTTTATACTATGCAAGGGATGATATCAAGTACTCTACATGCATCTTTTAAGTTATGACTACAGTGCTTGAAATACTCTGTCTCTTGTCTAATGAACTTGGAGAAGGCTCTCTTCTCACTAGGGTCAAACTTATGTAATAAGACTGCTGAAAGTTGTAGCCAAACCTTATTATCAGAGATCAAATATGAGTGTGGATTTTGCCATTCACCAACTTGGTGAAGTTATTTAAATTCTCTGATTCTTTTTCATTAAAATAAGGATAATAATTATGCCTGTTTCATGAGTCTTAAAGAGAATTATGAATTATTTCATTAAAGATCACCATGCACTCATTCTCAATAAATTTCAGCTATTGTGATATTAATTTTGGTATTTTACATATGAAAGGTAGATTTATAACTCTCATTCCCAAGTAGCTTGGGCCATTTTTATGTGGAGGTAGGTCAAAATGGCAATTGTGAATCAGTATCTAAGAAGTGTTTCAGCATCCTGATTTACTTCTATATTGGGGTCAATTCATTTCTCACTGAAAAAATTTTCCCCTTGATTTGAGGCAGACTTTATCCTTCCCTTGTTCCAGAGTCCTAATCTAGTTATCTAGAAAATACTTACTAGCCCAGAAATTCATTTTATCTATCTTTTACAAGGTCCAATGTGTTACCATCAAAATTGGGTATTATGCTATTTCCAGGATGGCCCAACCTTCTAGGTTGGCCTACAGATGAGCTTTCTCCCCAAGGACATTTCCTACACACACACACAAAAGAATAGAATAGAATAGAATAGAATAGAATAGAATAGAATAGAATAGAATAGAATAGAATAGAATAGAATAGAATAGAATAGAATAGAATTCTATGAACTTGCCAAATTGAGGAGGTTGAGATACAATGAGGACCTCGACTCTCTCCAGAATTTATAGGCATCTAAAAACCTTCCAAGATTATTATAACTTCCTGGAGAGAGAAGCTGTCCCTCATACCCCAGGAATTTCTTAGTCATGCACACCAGTTTCTGATTTAGTCAAGACTAACAGAGCTAAACCAAACAAACCCAAACAAATAAAGTAAAGGTCAAACAAAAGCTTGTTTGTTCAGAGAGGCCAAATGTGCATCAGAATGTGAGAGAAACCTTCCAGGATTATATGGTATCTACATTTAACCAATGATGGGTGTTCTTTAAAAACTTAAGTTTAAAATATTTGATGGGAGGCCCTCAGACTACCTGTGAGATGAAACTCTTCTGGCTCATGTTTGGCCACATACATCTATGTCAAAAGATATTATGAAAGCACAGGTCTTAACTGGCTATACACAAACTGGTTTTTTACAATCTTTGGTTCTAAAACAACTGTCTCAAATTCTATAGATGCTAAACCCTCTCAGACCAGCATCTATCTGCTTATACAAAAACATTGATTATAATGATTAAGTTAAATAAAGTGTGGGCCTACTACATTTTGTAACCAAAGCTTTTAAAAGCTTATTCTAACTTGTGGACATAACCATTAGCAACCAATTGACCTAAATTAATTCTGTAGTAAAATTCTATAAAAATGAACTGAGGATCATAGTTATTTGATTTTCAAAATTCTCTATTTTCCCCATGGTTTGTGGAACAGTCCACCCCAATATTAAGCCCAATTTTCCTTTATTAAATTATAAACCTAAGTTTCTTAAATCAATATTCTAATTCCTCTCTTAAAGAATATTTGAATAATACCATTAATAGGTCTTTGAAGAACTCTTATTTTCACAGTTAATTACAAAGAAAAGAAGGAAAAGAAAGCTTAACTCCAAATCTATCTCTCCCAATGCTCACAAAAAGATTAGCTACGTAATTTTTCAGAGACCCATGCAAAATAAAAATGTGGGACCTCTTGTTCAAAAATTAAAAACTCCAAGACAGCAACAGCAGAGCATTACAGTGCAAGAGACGGCCCTGTGGACCTGCACAGATCTCATGCCCTTGTGAGCCTTGCTCACAACTGCATTCACCCCATGTATAATCTCTCACATTTAGGGAATGCTTCTTTTCACTCCATGTGTAAGTTTAGATATGTGTATAAAGTTTGATCTTTGTGAATTCACAAATATCACAGAATTCTTTAGATACATGAAAGTGTGTCCAGAAGCACAAAAAATACAGTAAAAATGTATTAAAATGATTCAAAAAGGCTAGGAAACAGAGAGAATGAGAGAATAAGTCAGAACAATAGCTAGATCATCCGCATCTTTTGTCACATTTTAGAAATAGAACCTCAGTAGTGAAGTAGTAGTTAAAACTTTAATCAGTAGCTTAAAATATCATTATAGAAAGAAAACACCAGGATGAGATGGTTTATCAGTTGGTTCTGGCAAATATTAATTAATAGTTTCATGTTCATGAACTCTTTCAAAGAATAGAAAAAGAAAGAACATTCTCTGTCTCATTCTATAAGGTTAGTATAAATCTTGATACTGTGATGTCTAATGTTTTCTCTCTACTCCATACTTGCCCTGTATACACTTATCTTTGGGGCTGGAAGTCTGCAAGCTATATTTCATAATCTCCTTGCCATCTGGCTTCCTGTTTGTTCCTGCTAATGTGAGGCACTGACAAGAGACTGGACAGTTAGTGGAATAGAAGCAATTTGTTTCTAATTTCTGTCGGTTCAACCAGCCATGGTAGATTTAGCTGTCATGGTGGCAGCCACCTGTGAGAGTAGATGCTTAGCAGAAGAGTAACTGCTTAGTCAACTTCCTTCCAGCTACAGCAGCCTCAGAATCGTAGCAAACATAGGCATCAGGTAATATCATTTTTCTTTTGCTTCTCTAACCCTCATTTACCTTCATTGGGTAATTAATCTTTCCTTTTTTGTTCCTCTAACTCTCCTAACAACTTTGTAATAAATTTAATTTCCTGTTTTAAATTTCACCTTCTTGCAAGTCTAAAATGATCCTATATTTTTCTGCTTAGACAGTGATTAATTTAGTGCTTAAATAATCCAAGAATAGTTGATAAAGTAAATATTTTTTAAGTAAAAATGTCCTGCTATGGTCTGAATGTTTGTACACTCCCTACCCAATTCATACGTTGAAACCTAATCCTTAGTGTGATAGTATTGGAAGGTGGAGCTTCTGGGAGGTAACTAGATCAGTGGGATTAGTGTCCTTATAAAAGAGACCCTAGAGAACTGCCTTTTCCTTCCACCATGTGAGGACACATTGTAAGGCATCATCTATGAACCAAAAGCTGGCTCTCACTGGACACTGAATCTGCTGCCATCTTGATCTTGGACTTCCAAGTATTCAGAAATAGGAGAAATAAATTTATTTTGTTTGTAAGTTATGCAGTTTATGGTGTTTTGTTATAGAAGCCCAAACAGACTAGGACAAGTCCTAAACAAAATATTAGCATTAGCAATATTAGCACATTAGCAATTTATTTTAAAAGATGAGATTGCCAAGTTGTATTTATTCCAAGATTTCAAGGTTGTTTGAATATCAGCAGATCAATCAACACATTGCATCCCAATAATATCTGAAAGGAGGAAAACCATATGACCTTCTTTACAGACTCAGGAAAGATATTTAACAAAATTTAATATCCATTCATGACTAAAATTCTTATCTAACTGGTAGAATTGAATGTTCATAACATGAAAAAGGGAATCTACAAAGGCCTTATTGCTATCATTTTTCTAAAAGAATATAAACATTCTCTTTAGAATCAGGAAAAATTATTATTCCTATCACAATTTCTGTTCAACATTGTTCTGGAGATTATAGACAGGGTAGTAAGATAAGGAAAAAATAAGTCAAAGAATTAAGTATTTAAAATTGAGAACAAATACTATAATTCTTTAGATGATACAGTTGAAAGTTTACACATAAAACCCACAGAATATATAGAAAAATATTAGGATATATAAGAGTTTAGCAGTGTTGCTAGAAATAAAACCAATGTAAATAAATCTACTTCATTTCTATATACCAGCAACAAATAGAAAATGTAATTTTACACTTTGGGAGGCTGAGGTGGGCGGATTGCCTGAGCTCAGGAGTTCAAGACCAGCCTGCGCAACATGGTGAAACCCCATCTCTACTAAAAATACAGAAAGTTAGCAGGGCATGCTGATGCACATGTGTGGTCCCAGCTACTTGAAAGGCTGAGGCATGACAATCACTTGAACACAGGAGACAGAGGCTACAGTGAGCCAAGATTGCACCACTGCACTCCAGCCTGGGCAGCAGAGTGAGACTCTGTCTCAAAAAAAAAAAAAAAAAAAAAAAAAAGGAAGAAAATGTAATTTTAGTGTTTATAGTAGCAACTAAGTAAAAACCATTAAAATATGTAAGCACTTTGTAGAAAAATTACAAAAGTTTATTGAAAGATATCTTAAAATACCTAAATAAGTAGAGTGATACGCCATCTTTTTAGAAAGACTCAATATAGTTTTTTAAATATCAATTATAATCTCGACTTAAAGTTTGGATAAAATTAAAATTTCGGCATAATTTTTTTTCATGGAACTTAGCAAGATGATTCTATGCACTGAATTCCAAGAGTCCGGAAAAGAGCCAAAACTCTCCTAAAGCAAAAGAGTAAGTGGAGAGATTTGTTTTAACTTCAGTAAAAAGTCATAAAGCTCTAGCAACTAAGATGAAAGTGTAATATTAGCATAGACATAGAGAATGTGTTCAGTGGAACTAAAGAGAGAAGCCCAACAACTAATCTATACATTTATGGAAACTTGATTTATGAACAAATTTGGCACTTCACCCAGCACTTTGGGAGGCCGAGGCGGGTGAATCACCTGATGTCAGGAGTTCGAGACCAGCCTGGCCAACATGGTGAAACCCTGTCTCTACTAAAAATACAAAAATTAGCTGGGTATGGTGGCATGTGTCTGTAGTCCCAGCTACTCAGGAGGCTGAGGCAGGAGAATCGCTTGAACCCAAGAGGCGGAGGTTGCAGTAAGCCGAGATCACATCACTGCACTTCAGCCTGGGTGGCACTTCAGATCAATGGGAAAATTAGGACTGTTCAACAATGTTGACAAAACCATTGTTTAACCGTGTAAGAAAAAAGCTGGATATGTACCTCATATAATACATAAAAATCAGTCCCAGGAAATTTAAAACTTACATTTGAAAGGGAAAACATTTAAACATATAGGAGAAAATGTAGATAAATGTTTATACACTCAAGTTAGAATTTATTAAAGAAAAAACAAAAATGACAAACTTAAAGGAAAATATTTATAAATTCGAAAACTTTAAAATTAAAACCTTATGTTAATCAAAACATAATAAAAACACGAAAAAAACTGGAAGATAGACTTGCAACACACATACAAAATAAAGAATTAAAATGTAGAATATATTCAGAATGGAGGTGACATTATTTTATATATTGTTTTAAAAGATTACCAGGCCAATAAAGTGCATATAGGTGCAATAGTGAAAACTGGGACAGGAGTTAAGAGGCAAGCTAGGTGAATGGTGATGGAATTTTGGACTGGGGTGGTAGAGCAGTGGAGAAAAAGGAAGCAGATGGATTCCAGATGTGTTTTTGCATGTGTGGCCAACATAACTCACTGATGAATGGTATGTGGATTTTAAAGAAAAGGAAAAAATTTGATTTTGACTCCAAACTTTTTGGCTTAATCAACTGGGTAAATGAGTTTCTATAAATAAATACATTTATTTCTATTCATGGAAAGGCCTGGGAGAGGAAAAGGTTCAGATTGAGGAGGAATATAGAGTTAACCTTTTGGCCATGTTAAGTTTAAGTTGCCTATTAAGTACCTAAATGGAGATATTGGCTCCATTACAATAGACACTAGCTGCTTTAGTTCAGACCTCAACAGAGAGATCAGACATAGAAGAATAATTTGGATGTCATTGGCCATATGTGGTGTGAGGGTATCTATTTTTTTCTCCTGTACTGTGATATGAAACAGAAAAGATTGTGATTTGTGATTCTGGAGATGAAAGACAAAGTGAAGAGGACCCCTACTTACAGGAGACATGCTGCCCCTGAACAATAGAGGCAGGAAAGGTACCGAAGAGAGCAATGTTCAGTAGAGTCCCCCAGGGCAGGCACACAGTCGATCACCTCTAGGAACAGTAATATGTGGTACTGAGTATTATTGTATTATAGATTCAGGGGATACATGTGCAGTTTGTTACATGGGTGTATTGCATAATGCTGAGGTTTGGGCTTGTAGTTAACTCGCCACCCAAACAGCGAACATAGTACCCAACAGGCAGTTTTTCAACCCTTGCCCCCTCAAATTTTAAAGCCTCTGGTATCTATTGTTTCCATCTTTATGTTCACATGTACCCATTGTTTAGCTCTTACTTATAAGTGGTAACTTGTGGTACTTGATTTTCTGTTTGTGCATTAGTTCACTTAGGCCTCTGGCTGCATCTATGTTACTGCAAAAAAATATTATTTCATTCTTTTTTATGGCTGCATAGTATTCCATGGTGCATATGTACCACATTTTCCTTGTCGAACCCACCACTGATGGTCACTTAGGTTGATTCCATGTCTTTGCAATTGTGAATACTGCTGAGATAAACATACAAGTGCAGGTGTCTTTTTGATAAAACAATTTATTTTCCTTTGGACAGATACTCAGCAGTGGGATTGCTGGGTCAAATGGTAGTTCTATTTTTAGTTCTTTGAGAAATCTCAATACTGTTTTCCATAAGGGTTGAACTACTTCACTTTCTCACCAACAGTGTGTAAGTGTTCTCTTTTCTTCATATCTTTGCCAATATCTGTTATTTTTGACTTTTTAATAATAGCTATTTTGACTGGTGTGAGATGGTATCTCATTATGGTTTTAATTTGCATTTCTCTGATGATTAGTGTTGATGAGCATTTTTTCCTATGTTTGTTGGCCTCTTGTATATCTTCTTTTCAGAAATCTTTGTTCATGTCCTTTGCCTGCTTTTTAATGGGCTATTTGTTTAAGTTCCATATAGATTCTGGATATTAGTCCTTTGTTGCATGCATACTTTTCTCATTCTGGAGGTTGTCTGTTTATTCTATTGATTGTTTCTGGTTTGTGTGTTTGTTTGTTTATTGTTTGCTGTGCAGAAGCTCTTCAGTTTAATTACATCTCATTTGTCTATTTTTGGTTTTGTTGCCTTTGCTATTCAGGTCTTAGTCATAAATTCTTTGTCTAGGCCAATGTCCACAAGAGTTTTTCCTGAATTTTCATATTTTGAGGTCATAAATTTAAGTATTTAATTCCTCTTGAGTTAATTTTTTATATGGTGAGAGGTGGGGGTCCAGTTTCATTCTTCTGTGTATGGATACTCAGTTTTCTCAGACCATTTATTGAATAAGATGTCCTTCCTCCATTGTTTATTTTTGTCAACTTTGTCAAAGACCAGTTGGTTGTAGGTGTGGCTTTATTTCTGGGTTTTCTATTCTGTTCCACTGATCTATGTGTCTGGTTTTTGTTTGTTTGTTTGTTTTTCACTATTACAATGCTGTTTTGGTTACCATAGCCATATGGTATAGTTTAAACTCAGGCAACGTGATGCCTCCAGATTTGTTCTTTTTGCTGAGGATTGCTTTGGCTATTTGGGCTCTTTGGGGGTTTCACATGAATTTTAGAATTGTTTTTTCTAATTCTGTGAAAAAATGGCATTGGTAATTTGATAGGAATAGCATTGAATTTATGGATTGCTTTGGGCAGTATGGTCATTTTAATGATATTGATTCTTCTTGTTCATGGGGATGGGATACTTTTCCATTTGTTTGCGCCATCGGTGATCTCACTCATCAGTGTTATGCAGTTCTCCTTGTAAAGATCTTTCGCCTTCTTGGTTTAGTGTATTCCTAAGTATTTTCTTTTTTGTTTGGCTATTGTAAATGGGATTGAGTTCTCAATTTGGTTTTCAGCTTGAACATCCTGGATGTATAGAAATGCTACTGGTATTTAATAGCAAAGACTTAGAACCAACCCAAATATGCATTAATGATAGACTGGATTAAGAAAATGTGGCACATATACACCATGAAATACTACGCAGCCATAAAAAAGAATGAGTTTGTGTCCTTTGCAGGGACATGGATGAAGCTGGAAACCATCATTCTCAGCAAATTATCACAAGGACAGAAAACCAAACGCCGCATGTTCTCACTCATAGGTGGGAGTTGAACAGTGAGAACACGTGGACACAGGGCGGGGAACATCAGACACCGGGGCTGGTTGGAGGTGGGGGGCTGAGGGAGGGATAGCATTAGGTGAAATACCTAATGTAAATGACGAGTTGATGGGTGCAGCAAACCAACATGGGACATGTATACCTACGTAACAAACCTGCATGTTGTGCACAGGTACCCTAGAACTTAAAGTATAATAATAATAATAAAGAAATGCTACTGATATTTGTATGTTGATTTTGTATCCTGAAGTTTTGCTGAATTCATTTATCATGTCTAGGAGTCTTTCAGAGAAATCCTTAGGATTTTCTAGGTATAGAATCATGTCATCAGAGAACAGAGATAATTTGACTTTCTCTTTTCCTATGTGGATGCCTTTTATTTCTTTATTTTTTCTGAATTCTGTAGCTAGAACTTTCAGTACTATGTTGAATAGGAGTGGTACAAGTGGGCATCCATGTTTTGTGCCAGTTCTTAGGGGGAATGCTTGCTTCAAGCTTTTGCCCATTGAATATCATGTCAGCTGTGGGTTTGCAATAAATGGCTCTTATTATTTTGAGATATGTTCCTTCAGTGCCTAGTTTGTTAATGCCTAGTTTGTTGAGGGTTTTTATCATGAAGAGACATTGGATTTTTTTATCAAATGCTTTTTCTGTCTATTGAGATGATCATATAATTTTGGTTTTTAATTTTGTTTATGTGATGAATCACATTTATTGATTTGCATATGTTGAAACATCCTTGCATCCCAGGAATAAAACCCTCTTGATTGTGATAAATTATCTTTTTGATGCACTGCTGGATTTGGTTTGCTAGTAGTTTGCTGAGGATTTTTGTGTTTGTGTTTATCAAGGATATTGGCTTGTAGTTTCCTTTTTGTTTTGTCCTTGCCAGATTTTGGTATCAGGATGATACTGGCTTTACAGAATGAGTTAGAGAAGAATACGTCTGACTTGATTTTTTGCAATACTTTCAGTAAGATTAGTACCAGTTCTTCTTTGAACATCTGGTAGAATTTGGCTCTAAATGCATCTGGTCCAGGGCTTTTATTGTTTGGTAGATTTTTTATTACTGATTCAATTTCACAATTAATTATTGGTCTGTTCAGCATTTCAATTTCTTCCTGGTTCACTCTTGGGAGGTTTCATGTTTCCAGAAAATTATTCGTTTTCTATAGATATTCTAGTGTGTGCACAGAGATGTTCCTAGTAGTCTCTGAGGATCTTTTGTATTTTTGTGGTATCAGTTGTAATGCTAGTGCTACCTCTGTCACTTCTGAATGTGGTTATTTGCACAATCTTGTTTTCTTGGTTAATCTAGGACAATCTATCAATTTTGTTTATCCTTTCAAAAAACCAACTTCTTGTTTTGTTGATCCTTTGTCTGGTTTTTTGGCCTCAATTTCATCTAGTTTTGCTATAATCTTTGTTATTGCTTTTCTTCTGTTAGCTTTGTGTTTGCTTTGTTTTTGTTTATCTAGTTCCTTTAGGTGCAACATTAGGTTGTTAATTTGAGATCTCTTTGTGATGTCGGCATTTAGTGCTATAAACTTTTCTCTTAATACTGCTTTCATTATGTCCCAGAGATTTTGGTGTGTTGTGTCTCCATTCTCATTTGTTTCAAAATATTTTTATATTTCTGCGTTAATTTTGTTCTTTACCCAAAAGTCATTCAGAAGCAAATTGTTTAGTTTCCACGTACATCTGTTGTTTTGAGTGTTCTTCTTGGTATTGATTTATAATTTTACTTCACTGTGGTCTGAGAAGATGCTTGATATGATATGATTTCAGTTTTTAAAAATGTACTGAGATTCTCTGTAATACCAAGTGTATGGTCAATTTTAGAGAATTTTTCATAGCACAGATTAGAAAAATTATATTATGTGATTGTGGGGTGGAATATTCTGTAGATGTCTATTAGGTCCATTTGGTCAAGAGTCCAATTTAAGTCCAGAGTTTCTTTGTTAGTTTTCTGCCACAGTGATCTGTCTAGTGTTGTCAGTGGAGTGTTGAAGTCACCCACTGTTATTGGATCACTGTCTATCTTTCTCTTTAGGTCTAGTAGAATTTGTTTTATAAATGTGGGTACTCTGATGTTCAGTGCATACGCAGTGTTGAATTGAACCCTTTATCATTAAATAATGCCCTTCTGTCTCTTTTCTTACTGTTGTTGCTTTAAAGTCTGTTTTATCTGATATAAAAATAGTAACCTCTGCTGTTTTTTGTTTTCCATTTGTGTGATTGATCTTTCTCCATCCCTTTATTTTGAGCCTATGAATGTTTTTACACATAAGATAGGTCTCTTGAAGGCGGTGGAAGCTTGGGTCTTATTTCTGCCCAATGTGCCACTCTGTGTCTTTTAAGTGAAGCATTTAAGCTTTTTGTTTATCTAGTTCCTTTAGGTGCAATGTTAGGTTGTTAATTTGAGATCTCTCTTTGTGATGTCGGCATTTAGTGCTATAAACTTTTCTCTTAATACTGCTTTCGTTATGTCCCAGAGGTTAATATCGATATGTGAGGTTTGTTCCTGTCATACTGTTGCTAAGTGATAAATAGTGTAGTCTCAATTATATAATTGCCTTATATGATCTGTGTACTTATGTGTGCTTTTATGGTAGCAAGCGTCATTCTTTTGTTTCCATGTGCAGATCTCTTCTGAGTATTTTTTTAAGACTGATCTGGTAATGACAAATTCCCGTAGCATTTGCTTCTCTGGGAATGACTTTACTTCTCCTTCGTTTATGAAGCTTGTTTGGCAGGATATGAAATTCTTGGCAGCATTTTCTTTTCTTTAAGAAGGCTAAAACTAGGCCCCCAATCTCTTTTGGTTTGTAATGTTTCTGCTGAGAAGTCTACTGTTAGTCTGATGGGATTTCCTTTATAGGTAATTTTGACCCTTTTCTCTAGTTGCCTTTAAGATTTTTCCCCTTCACATTGACCTTGGATAGTCTGATGACTGTACCTCAGGAATGGTCATATGGTGAAGTGTCTTGCAGGTGTTCTCTGAATTTCTTATATCTGGATGTTGACTTCTCTAGCAAGATTAGGGAAATTTTCCTGAATTTTTTTCCTCAAGTATGTTTTCCAAGTTGCTTGCTTTTTCTTTTTTCTCAGGAATGCCAATGTCAGTAAATTTGGTCACTTTACATAATCCTATATTTCTCTAAGGCTTTGATCATTTTTTAAAATTCTGTTTTCTTGATTTTTGTCTGACTGGGTGAATTCAAAAGACCAGCGTTCAAGCTCTGAAATGCTTTCTTCTGCTTTGCCTAGCCTATTGTTAAAGATTCCAACTGTATTTTTAAATCCTTTAGGGAATGTTTCTATTCCAGAAGTTCTATTTGGTTTTTTCTTAATATAGCTGTCTTGTCTTTTATATCTTGAATCATTTTTCTGGCTTCTTCTTATTGGATTTCAACTTTCTCTTGGATCTCATTGAGTTTCCTTGCAATTTATATTTTGAATTCTTTTTCTGTCATTTCAAACTTTTCAATTTGATTAGGATCCATTGCTAGAAAGAGAATGCAATCCTTCGGAGGGGTCAAGAACTCTGGCTTTTAGTACTTTCAGAGTTCTTGTGCTGATTCCTTCTCATCTGAGGGAACTGGTGCTTCTTATTTTTGAATTTTCTATTGTTTGGATGGGACATTTTTATTTTTAAATTCTTTTTTCTCTTGAGGGCCTGACTAAGGTGTACACTGCATATGGTCATTTGGCTTCATTCCTGGGTGTTTTCAGTGGGCCAAGACTCTATATGGGTTCATTGGTTGTGGATAGCTTCTGTGCAGTGGCTTTCTTAGATGTTGCTTGTTGTAGTGATGCATTGGATGTATGAGCCAACAAACTATCTCCTTCAGGACTGACTGAGAGTTCTGATATCTCAGAAAGCTTGTCCCATGTACCAGCACTTAGCCTGTCTGGCAGCAGGCTTGCTTTTTATTTGGTGATGCAGTTCAGGCTGCAATCCAATAGATGGTGCTTAAGTGTAAAAGCTGGCTTGTCGTCAGGTGGACTGATGATGAGTGGAAGCACCTGCCCTGAAGGATGGGTGGTAGGAAGAGATTGTGTTGGGGTGCACTGAAGTGTCAGGGGAAGGGGCTGGGGTGTGTACCAACTCCTCATCCTGAGTTGGCAGGAATGTGATCCACTTCCCTATCACACCCCTGTCATAGGGCTCATGACCCTTATTTCATAAAGACTGACCTTTGGTTCCCCACCACAGTGTGGCTGCAGGCCCTGGACACACCCCTCTGAGAGCTACCCCAATATGGGCTCAGGGCAGACCCTCTTCCCTTGGTCCAGAGCAGGCAACTCTATGGCCAATCTCTCCTCCATTGCTAGATGCTACTGCTCTGTATAGGGACTAGGGATGGGGAGTTGGGCTTTGTACAAGCTCAAACGGCATGGACTCACTTTCAGCGAGGGTGAAGCCACCACAAAAAGTATGAAAAACACTTTCTCCAAGTGCATGTGCTCTGGCCCCCGGTGGGAAGTTGCATCCCCAACAAGTTATCGGGGAAGGCAGGAGATGATATTCCTTCACATCTGTTCCTGGGAGCCAGTGCCGCCCACTTCAGTAACTGGTGCTGTGCCCTTATTTCCTTTGTCATGAGGGGGCTTTTGTAGGGCTCCTCCCACCAAGGGCACTCCCACCTACCCTTTCCATGGACTCTGAGTTTCCTGGGTTGACCTTTACCAGACTCTTGCTGCTTTCCTTTTTTGTACCCCAGCTCCTTCCCATAGGCACTCCAACAGATCCTGGTTCTCTTCTCTCAGCTTTCCATTCAGAACTTGTCCATTCACCAGTAACTTTGATCTTTCTGAGGAGAACTGACATCCAGTGTCTCTGGTCAGCCATCTGCTCTTATCACCAAATTCTCCCATTTACCTTCTTGGCATTCTCTTTTCATCCACCAACATGGTCCCCCATGGGACCCCGTGGGCCACCTGGATACTGATTTGCATCAAGAATTGAGGAGGCCTCAGGAAATGAAGAGGAAGGGAAGAAGCGGGTGACAGGAAGCAGGAGAAGGCAAGGCAGGAGAAAGAGACAAGGCAAGACCTCAGTACTCAGTATTATGTTTTTGTTTCCCATATTGCAGTCTCCAAGTGTCTTTACTGATGTGTCTATGTTTGGGAAAACTAAACTTGCCATTTTTACTATTATGTCTATGCCTAGGGTCAAGAAGGGCAGGGAAGTGGCAGCAGCCTAGAAAGCAGGTATAATGCAGTAAGGGGCAACAAATAGAAAAGCCCAGAACATCAGTCCATAGCAGCATGATATGGAATGACTGACTACCCAATATCCATTTTCTACCCCACCTGGGTCTGGGAGAGGGGGGACAAGGATCACTGATTAATATGGGCCAATTATGATAATCCCATTCCCCTTGCTGGAAGTTGTCAGTGGAAAGGCCTAAGCTCATTTAAACCAATGAGAGATGAGGAGAGTTTTGCTGTGGTCTCCTAGGAAAGAAATATCTTAACTCTTAAGAGTAAGTTACAAACAGTCAAGTTCTTTCTTCTTAGACTTGAAAATGGAAGCCTGTATTCCCAAATGCTACTGACTACAATCCTATGACCGCAAGAGAAATTTAGGATGCAATTTATCTAGTGGATGTAGTTGCAGATAGACAAAAAGAACCCAAGTCCATCTCATCAAACCACCACCTCTGAGGCATGCCCTACCTCTGCAGTGCCTTGATGTGAGTCAATACCTTCAATAGTGAAGCCCAACTTGAGTCAGGTTTATGCCAGTTGAAGCTGAAAACTTTGTAACTGATACAGACTGATAAAAAAATAATCAGAGAGGCTGGACGTGGTGGCTCACGCCTATAATCCCAGCACTTTGGGAGGCCGAGGTGGATGGTTCACCTGAGGTCGGGAGTTCGAGACCAGCCTGACCAACACAGAGAAACCTCATCTCTACTAAAAATACAAAATTAGCTGGATGTGGTGGTGCATGCCTGTAATCCCAGCTACTTGGGAGGCTGAGGCGGGAGAATTGCTTGAACCCTGAAGGCAGAGGTTGCGGAAAGGTGAGATCGTGCCGTTGCACTCCAGCCCGGGCAACAAGAGCAAAACTCCGTAAAAAAAAAAAAAAAAAAAAAAAAAAAAAAAAAATCAGAGAAATGTATGGAAAAATTAGACATTCCTGGAATTCAAAAATATTATAGGAAAGAAATACAATAACAATAAATAAATTGCCTGCAAATAATCAAGGTATGCAAGATTGGACTATAATTGTTGGATACTGAAGGGCAAACTGACCCTGGAGATGAAGGACTTGGAGGCATTCGAGACATTCAGAATACTCAATCATGTACAAATTTTTACACAACCAAAAAGCAGGGAGTTATATAATTTTGAGGTCATTCTAACAGCCATATTGCAAAAAAAAAAAAAATTAATCCTTGCAAAAATAAAAATTAATCCTTGAAATTAGAAACATTAATAAATATGTCATGCTAATGATTAAGATCTTTTTCAGTTGAATGAAATATAAGAATAAAAAAGAAACAATGTTTTACCTTGGTTCTTAATCATTAACCCTCCTTCTGAAGAGTCTAAAGAACTTCACAAATAAAATAAACATTAATAACGAGGGGCTGAACAGAATTCCTTTTAAAAAATACACACAGTGTTCAAGCAAATATTTTCTTAGATTAGTCTGAAATACCCTGAAGAAAAGTTTATTCAAGATTCTCTGAAGTGATTTTCAGAGTTGTGTAGATTTTAGGCTTGCTTTGCTTTAAACAAAGCCTTTTGAAGTCTAGTATAATAAGTATGGCATAGCATCCTTGAGCTCATCCAAATTGAAATTAAAGAAGAAAAATAGTTATCCTGTTAAGTAAGCAGTCTCCTTTTAAAAATATGAAACTATGATTTAAAAAATCATAATGTATTCTTGCTTACTAGCTCTTCAAATCTGTATCTCTCAGTCCCTACTGTCACACCAAAGGAATGTCTTGGGGGTGAAATCTCTGTCCTTTACAGAGGAGAGGCAATCACTTAAATCAAGGTAATCCAAGAGGTTGTCTGCCCTCTTCTGGTCAGTCTTGAAGCCTGAGCAGGCTCTGCTCCCACTGCTAAGATGCTGTGTGCATAAGGCCCATGTTGTGAGTGTCTTTCCTTACCCGTATAGCATAAGACTTCCGCAACATCAAAAGCCAATCCCTATCAAGAAAAGTTTAGAGACTCACGAGACAAACTATGAAGTCTTTGGTAGTATGGAGCACTAAAAACAAGTTTTCAGCATAAAGTGGTGTGGAGTGCCCCTAAATCTGGTGACACAATCCACTCACTTCTGGCAATTATAAAATAGAGTCAGTCCTCATTGAATTAATCATATGTCAACATCAAATATTATCCTACATCTTTCAGGACTGGTTTTTAAAAATGTTTATGGAAACTGTGGAAGCATCACTGGGGCTATTCTTAGGACTATAATATAACTAAAGAAAGCAACTTCCTACTTAAGGATATTGTCACCTATCACAAAAAAACATGGTCACAAAAAGGTGGTAATCTGTGTAAGAGAGTAATATTTTAGATAATAACATTATTTCGATCTTTGTCTAAAGGAAAGAGGCAATGCAGCCAGAAAACACCTGTTTTTTAATTACTAGAGTGAGGGGACCAGAATGTTGTGATACATTGTGGGTCAAGGATACTTGTGAGCTTTTCATCAATAGCCTCAGTCAAAGATGTCAAATACACAGCAAGCTCAGCTCACACTAGCAGTCTTGGACAGGTGTAAGACACTGTCATTCAATCATAGCATTCCTTTTCACTGGCCTCAAATGTCATTTTGAACTACTTTCCAACCCAGCACCCCAAGCAAATGGAGTTGGTCCGTAATATAAAACCAAAATGCTTCTCTAGTATAGATGCAACTGTCAAGTTCCCGTTAACCAAATTGTGAACTCTTGAAACATAATTTTAAATACTAATTGAGGATTAGGGACTTTGATGCAAGGAGAAAGCAGTAACTTAGATTAATCTTCCATTAATTAGAAACAGATAGAAACAGCTTTCATTGTAACTGAATAAATTGACATTGTGAATCACATACACAACAATCATTTCTGAGTTTGACACTTAACAGTTGTTCCTGGCCGGGCATGGTGGTTCACGCATGTAATCCCAGCACTTTGGGAGGCCGAGGCGGGCAGATCACGAGGTCAGGAGATCGAGACCATCCTGGCTAACACAGTGAAACCCCGTCTCTACTAAAAATACAAAAAATTAGCCGGGCGTGGTGACGGGCGCCTGTAGTCCCAGCTACTTGGGAGGCTGAGGCAGGAGAATGGTGTGAACCTGGGAGGTGGAGCTTGCAGTGAGCCAAGATCAAGCCACTGCACTCCAGCCTGGGCGACAGAGCGAGACTCTCTCTCAAAAACAAAACAAAACAAAACAAACAAACAAACAAAAAAGAGTTGTTCCGGGCCGGGCATGGTGACACACGCCTGGAATCCCAGCACTTTGAGAGGCCAAGGCAAGTGGATCACCTGAGATCAGGAGTTCGAGACCAGCCCGGCCAACAGGGTGAAACCCTGTGTCTACTAAAAATACAAAAATTAGCCGGGCATGGTGGCGCATGTCTGGAATCCCAGCTACTTGGGAGGCTGACGCAGGAGAACTGCTTGAGCCCGGGAGGTGGAGGTTGCAGTGAGCTGAGATTGCGCCACTGAACTCCAGCACTCCAGCACTCCAGCCTGGGTGACAAGAGCGAGACTCCGTCTCAAAAAAAAAAAAAAAAGAAAGAAAGAAAAAAAAAGTTATTCCTGAGAATTGAATCACCTAAGTTCTAAGTTCCTGATGAAACTGAAGTTCAAAATGTGAAAATCTAGGATCCGCATTCTGGGTCAGTGGCTCTGCCTACTTACTGCCAACCTGTGAGAGCCTTCCTTGGTGGCCAGCTCTTCATCTCATCTCTGTAAGTGCAGCAAAAATGGACTTCTTATTCATAATTTAGTAAATTCACAGTTTTGAAAACAGATTAAGTATTAGATTAGCTTAATAATAAAGGTCACATAACTGACCTGTTAAATTTTTAATTCCTTTTTAATTTTTATTTTCTTTTTCTAAGCTAAATTATTTTTATCTGAACACTTAGACATAATATATAAAGGCACATTAAGAACCCACAGATTTGCCCACATACTGTGACTCTAACGAAATTGGGAAATTACTAAATGTACACTTATGTCGCTGAAGGAGAACCCATAATTAATCAAGTAATTCTGAAATTGGGAAATTATTAAATATACACTTATGTCACTAAAGGAAAACCCACAGTTAATCAGGTAATTCTGAGAAATTAGTTTGAAATGATAAAAATCACATGATTATTAGCAAATAACATTACATATCAACAAATTGCTTTAGATCATGCTGGTATGTTCAGATGCAGAGAAATAAATATGCTATGACCCTCTGAGATGATGGCAAAGAATTAATGAATAACTTCACATGATATTAATAATCCAGCACCAAGATACCACCCACAAAGCAGCAAAGCTTTTTAGCTGACAGATGGCTAACTTGTTATTCTCTATCAAACTACAGAGTCAACCATGAGCCTGAGTTGTAAGGCTCAGCTACCATCTTCAAAAGGTCAATTATCGGCTGGGCATGGTGGCTCACACCTGTAATCCCAGCACTTTGGAAGGCTAAGACGAGTGGATCACCTGAGGTCAGGAGTTTGAGACCAGCCTGGCCAACATGGCTAAACTCCATCTCTACTAAAAATACAAAAACAAAATATAAATAAAAAGCCAGGTGTGGTGGCAGGTGCCTGTAATCCCTGCTACTTGGGAGGCTGAGGCAGGAGAATCACTTGAACTCAGGAAGCAGAGGTTCCAGTGAGCCAAGATTGCACCACTGCACTCCAGCCTGGGCGACAGAGTGAGACTCCTTCTCAAAAATAAATAAATAAATAAAGTCAGTTGTCATCACCATGTATGGCATGCATATTTTGTGAACCACACATCAGAATGAAAGGTCTGACAGAGTATGTGAATGGGAATAATAAGGCAGAATATTGAAAGTGTGACTGTTTCGGTAAATCCAGGATGACTGACTGCTGTCCTTATACTCAGACCCAGAGGAAAGGGAAAACAGCAGGACTAGCAAACAGAAAAATTTCTTTTTTATTTAAAATTTGTATATTGTTATATTTTCAGATTTAATAACAGTAATAATAATGGCTTTTGTTTAATAGTAGCCAAATTTACTGCACATTTACTCCATACTATCTTATTCTGAACACACTACATGTGTGTTCTATATTGAATCTCACAACAGCTCTGTAAGGTGGTTTAACAGATGAGAACACTGAATCACAGAAAGAATGCAATATTTGCTGAAGGACTCTTAGCTCCCAAAGGTAGAGTTAGAATTAAATTCAGGCAACCTAAATCAAGAGCCCAGATATTCATCTTAATGCTGTATTGTGCTGCTTAATTTTACGTGTCAACTAGGCTAGGCAATTGTACCCCAGTTGTTTAGTATATACTAGACTGCATGTTTCTGTGAAGGTGTTTTTATATACGATTAACATTTAAAAGGTAAACCTCGAGTAAAGCAGATTACTCTCATATCATGGGTGAGCCTCATCTAATTAATCAAAGCCATTAAGAGCAAAGACTGAGGTTTCCTGAAGAAGAAGCAATTCTAACTCAAGAGTGTAACATAGAAATCCTGCCTAAATTTCCAGCCGGCAAGTGTGGGACTCTATACTACAACACCAGCTCTTCCTGGAATTTTCAACCTGCTCTCCTGTTTATGGATTTCAGACTTGCCAGTCCGCATAATCACACGAACCAATTCCGTAAAATAAATTCTCTCTTGAATACACACACACACACACCCCATATTGGTTTTGCTTCTGTGGAGAACCCTGACTAATACATGTATATTTGTATATCTGAAGTTTCTATTATATAACATTATATTATATAACCTTTATCATAATCCTATGCCCCAGGTAAAACAAGCATTATTAACATTTTACAGATAAATGAAATGAAGCCAACAGAAGGCAGATTATCCAAATCAAAGCTCTAGTACGTGATAAAGTCTGAACTAAAACATAGATCCAAGATTACGAGATCTGCCAGTACATGTATTAGTTTGGCTACAGCAAATATGTTATATATTTCTGGAAGGATATGAGTTTGCCATCACCTACCTAGGTCTTCTGACTACATGGTTTAAAAATCTTTTCTTGGGCTGGGCACGGTGGTTCACACCTATAATCCCAGCACTTTGGGGGGCCAAGGGAGGTGGATGGCTTGAGGTCAGGAGTTCGAGACCAGCCTGGCCAACATGGTGAAACCCCATCTCTGCTGAAAATACAAAAATTAGCCAGACATGGTGGCAGGTGCCCCTAATCCCAGCTACTCAGGAGGCTGAGGCAGGGGAATCACTTGAACCTGGGAGGTGGAGGTTGCAGTGAGCCGAGATCGTGCCACTGCACTCTAACCTGGGTGACAGAGTGAGACTCTGTCTCTCTCTCTCTCTATATATATTTTTTTTTCTTTACCTTTTACTACCTCTCAAATAAATAAGTGCCGCTTATCAGATAATTCAAACAAACAAGAAGAGGAGAACACTGGATTGACAGTTGTGGAAAAAGTCTGCCTCCTAGCCATTTTCTAGAGCTAACATAATATGCAAATAGGCAAAGATGTGGAAAATAGAATCAAGAAAAGCCACATCTTCATTTGTATTTTCAAATACGTATGGAGTCCCTATTGCACAGTGTGTACACTTGTCCTTTGAATGATGGCTAAAGAAGTGTGTTATTATTGAGTCACAGAGCAGTGAGTCTATGCTAAAAGCCTATAAAGTACTTCTAGCATTTAAAGTAGCCTCAACAACAACATCCTTCTCCTTAAGCTCATTCACCATGTCTCCTGTGCACCACCCTTAATTGTGTTATTTATTAGATGTGTAGTCTTACAAGACAAAAAATAATAAGGTCCCCAGACAAGTGTTACCACAGTTAACACTCAGTAGGTCTAATCCATGAAATAAGAGATTATAGAAGGGCGCATAGAAGTTAACCAAAGGGTGATGTTTGCTAGCAGAAAGTAAAGAGCAATACTGTGTCAATACTTGAAAAGATACCATCTTAAATAGAGTGAAATAGCTGTGTTGTGAGCATTTATTAGCATTTACACCCCTCATAAGACTGTAATCACCAACCTTTAGCTCTTCTCAGCAGTCTCAGTCTATTTCACTTGGCAACTACTCTCCCACTCACCTAAGTAAATTTTGCAAACCTATCACTATCTTTAAACCATTGATTTCCTCCTCTCATCCCAGCTTCACAGAGGAAATAGAAGCCATAGATTTGGAGTTACCTAAACATCCACATTAGTTTCCATCCACATTTCTCCTTTTACATTGGTGGAGGTGACCCTCCTCCTACCCAAAGCCGAACTTTCACCTGTCCCTTTGGCTTCCATCTTGTGATGATTAATTTGATGTGTTACCTTGGCTAGGCTATGGTACACAGTTGTTTAGTCAAACACCAGTCTAGCTGTTGCTATGAAGCTATTTTTTTTCAGATGTGATTAACATTTAAATCAGTAGACTTTGAGTAAACAAATTACTCTCCGTAATGTAGGTGGACCTCATTCAGTAAGTTGAAGGCCTTTAGGGAAAAGACTGAGGTACCCAGAAGAAGAAGGAATTCTGCCTTCAAACTTGAGACTGCAACATTGACTCCTGCCAAAATTTCCAGCCTGCTGGCATCCTGCCCTACGAATTTCAGACTTGCCAGCCCCCACAATATGGTGAGCCAACTCCTTAAAATCAATCTCTTTTTTCTCTGTCTTTCTCTATATAGATGTATAGATATATCTGGTTCTATTTATCTAGAGTACTCTGACTCATACACATCCTCATCTACTTTCTTGGGAACCTCACAAAAGGGCTTCCTAATATTTTTCACAAAATGGTCTACTTAAAAACAAATTTGCATAACACACTGGCTGCTTATAGCTGGAAGCTTGTGCCACCTGGAGCGGAGGACATCAAGACTTCAGCACACCTGTAACTCTTTTTTTTTTTTTTTTTGAGACGGAGTCATGCTCTGTCACCAGGCTGGAGTGCAGTGGCGTGATCTCAGCTCACTGCAACCTCCGCCTCCCGGGTTCAAGCGATTCTCCTGCCTCAACCTCCCGAGGAGCTGGGACTACAGGTGCGTGACACCATGCCCGTGCTAATTTTTGTATTTTTAGTAGAGACAAGGTTTCACTATGTTGGCCAGGATGGTCTTGATTGCTTAACCTCGTGATCTGCCTGCCTCGGCCTCCCAAAGTGCTGGGATTATAGGTGTGAGCCACTGCGCCCGGCCACACCTGTAACTCTTAGCTGCAGCATCCTTCTAGAGGATCTCTTCATAACCCTTTGCTTACTTCTCTCCCTTGTGTGTTCTACCTCTCATTGGATTTTAAACAAGTCCAAGGCTATCAGGTTAAAAAAGATAAAATAAAATAGAATACAGGTTTTCAAATCTTCCTCAAATTAACACCTTATTTCTTTTTCCTGTTTCACACTTTTTATAGTTATTTATTCTGCTTTTCCCCTTTTTGTTCCTCCCATTCAAGTATTTGTTGAAGGAATAAAGAAATGAATGAATAATTGTCTACTAAATGCAAGAATGCTAGGCACTATGGGGACTATCAAGATACATGAAAATTACTCCTTAAACAAGGCATATATTGGTACAAATAAGCATATGTATAAAATGTTATGTGATTGTTATAAGCAACAAGGCAGAAAGAAGTATGGCGTGTCAAAGGATGAGAATTGTTTGGAAGATTTCTAGGAGGAGACTAAACTTAGGTAAAGATCATTACAGCAAAGTACATACCATATATGCTCATTTAGAAGACAGAAGAAAAAAACTGGAGCCAAGCAAAACGATAGGTAAGAAATGTGGCATCCAAAGTAATTCTGGAGGTAGGCAAATGTTTAGGGGAAGGAGAGATTTTGAAAGATAGAACAAGGCTAGGCACAGTGGCTCATGCCTGTAATGCCAGCACTTTGGGAGGCCGAGGCAGGCAGATTCTTTGAGGTCAGGAGTTTGAGACCAGTCTGGGCAGCATGGTGAAACCCCGTCTGTACTAAAAATACAAAAATTAGCCAGGCGTGGTTGTGTGCACCTCTAGTCAGCTACTCAGGAGGCTGAGGCAGGAGAATCACTTGAGCCTGAGAGGTGGAGGTTGCAATGAGCAGAGATCTTACCGCTGCACTCCAGCCTGGGCGACAGAGCAAGACTCTATCTCAAAACAAATAAATAAAGAATGAGCTTCTCTAGGGATAAATTAATTTTGGAGAAGCCAATGAAGGAGAAAATTTAAAGAAAATACAGAAGCATCGGGAGAATAGAAAAAATATATGGATATCTATATCTATGTAATTTTCAATGAGTAGGCCAAGGGTACATACCTAGAGAACAGTTTCCACAAAAAAAGAGAGAAAATTTGAAGCAAAAACTAGATGATCATATGTTAAAAGCACATGAAGGAACGGAGGCAATAAATACCAAGTGTTCTTTCAAAAGAAAGGAACTGTGCCGTAACCTTGACATCCCTTTGAAGCTTCAGCATTCTTCATCCCATGTCTCCAGTCTGTCATTAAGGCTCACTCTTCCTCTCAGAAATGCCTACCATCTTGATCTTTCCTTTTCCCTTGCTACACTGCCTCTCTCCTACCTTAATTGGTTTCCTTGATGCTCACTTTTCCTCCCTTCTGGCCATCCTGTGTTGGGTCAATGAAGTGTGTGAGATAAAGGCAGATGGTGCCACAGGAGGCACGGCATAGCATGGAAGAAAGCAGGTAAGAGCCTGGCTTCTGGTGCTAAACAAACTTAGTTTCAATCTTATCACTATCTGATCCTAAGCAAATTATTTCAGTTCATAAACCTATTTCTTCATTTATAAAACATGGGCAATACCTTCCTGATTGATTTGTTATAAGGTTCAAATAAAATAAAATATGCTAAATAGACAGATATATGTACCCAAGGTGCATAATCATTTTTATTATGACAACAAACTAGTGTTTCTAAAGCACTGCCTTTATTATCTCATATCCGTGATCAAAAGTCTTCAAGGTCCTACCATCTCTTATGGCTTTAAATGTAAATTTCTCTCTCCTAAACTATGAAATCTTGGGCTGGGACTTGTCTTAGTTATCTTTGCAACCCCAGTGAAACACTAGTGCCATTTATTCAACACACATTTCCTTTAACTGGGAATAAGATGGACTTTTAAAATTGTCACTGGGCATAATAAGATGCTATTGGCTTCAAGTAACAGAAAATACAACTAGCAATGACATTACAAAATACATGCTTATCGCATATAACAGAATTATAGATATAGTGAGTTTCTGGATTAGTTGGCTCTATAATGTCATGTTTTTTCTCTCCTCATCCTCCACCCTTAGCATATTGGCTTTTTATCCTCAACCGTGCACCCTCATGCTTCCAACTGGCTGACATAGCTTTGGGCATCATGACCTCTCATGAACACATTTAAAGTAGGAATCAGTGAAGACAAGCAACATGAGAGCTCTCCTTACTTCCCTCTCTCTCTCTTTACTAGTGAGGCTGCTTTTCTGGATTTTATTTGCTTGATTCTCTTTCTCTCAATTTGATCTGTAATTGTTGGAAATCCCAGGGTTCTAAATTGGGTTTTCTTCACTACTAACTCTCCTTGATGACTGTGAATACTCATGCTTTCAAAAAATGTATTCAGATAACTGCCAAATGTATCTTTCAGCCCACATCTCTTCAAGCTCCATGTTTATATATCCAATTCATATCTCCACTTGGTGTCTACTATATATAACGTTTTGCAACTCTTTTGTCATTCAGTATTATGGAATGATCAGATGGAATTATCCATCTTATCCATGAGATCTAGTCCATTTTTAACCATTGAATACTAACTGAATGTATAAATCAGTCTCAGTTTAGCTATCTACTTCCTTGACTTGGGACAGTTGTTTCTACTCTTTGCTATTACAAACAGAGATGCAAATAAAGAATTTTACATGTCTGCTTACTCTACTATTATGGAACAAGCATTTATCTCCCCCATAGAACTGTGGGTTTACCTATTTCTCCTTCTTATTGTATAAAATGTTCTCTATATATGTTGTTGGAGGCATATATATTTTGAAATGTTATTACTTCCTTGTGACTTGAATCTTTTATCAACGCGTAGTAACCATCTTCATCCCTAATAATGCTATCCCTCTCCGAGTGCATTCTTTATGTTAATATAGATACACTAGCCTAATTTTGATTATTTACCTGGTCAACTTTTTCTCATCCTTTTACTTTAAGTCATTTTATGCCATGATATTTATGTTTATGTTCCCTTATAAAGACAATTTTATTGAATACTTACCACCCAATTTATGGCCTTGCTCCTTTAACTGGAGAATTTTGCTCATATGACATTCTTTTGATTGCTGAAATATTTGGATTTATATCTATCTTCTCTTTCTCTCTCCCTCTCTCTCTCTTTTTCAGATTTCTCTTTAAAATGATTTTTTATCTTTTCCTGCCTTCTATAAGATTAACTAAGTTATCTTTAATCCTTGTTATTCTCTAGTTATTTAGATATTATATGATCAGTTTCTGTTTTTAAGTGATTATGTTGAAATTGCTAACATATATACTTGATTAAACAGGAACTAAAATTGAAATCAATAATTCTAACCTTCTTCTAATAAAAATTACTCATCTTCTTATTAAGTGTTAGAGATGTTTGGAATTTTATTATATCTTGATATTATTACCAAAATTAATAACCATTATCATTACTGTTCTGTGTAAGAAATGCTTCTTAGGCCGGGCATGGTGGCTCACGCCTATAATCCCAACACTTTGGGAGGCTGAAGTGGGCAAATCACTTGAAGTCAGGAGTTCAAGACCAGCCTGGCCAACATGGTAAAACCGGGTCTCTACTAAAAAGACAAGAATTAGCCTGGCGTGATGGCACACGCCTCTTATCACATGGAAATCACAGCTACTTGGGAGGCTGAGGAAGGAGAATCACTGGAACCTGGGAGGCAGAGGTTGTGGTGAGCCAGGATAGCGCCACTGCACTCCAGGCTGGGTGACAGAGCAAGACCCTCTCTCAAAAAAATAATAATAACAATCCTTCTTTATATTGACCCACATGTTTACTAGTTTCTTTGCTTACCATCATTACTTGAAGCCTATTCTTTCTGGCTTTTTCCTTACTTATATCCTTTAAAAGTCGTTATTCATCATAGATCTGAAAGTGGTAAATACTCTTAATTTTGTCAAAAAATTATTTTTAACTCTCCTTCCCAAATGACAGTTTGTATAATTTATTCTAGATTAACAATTATTTTCTCTTAGTAATTTGAAGAAAGGCAATACAATATACCGTTTCTCTTTAGCCTTTTTTCTTGCTATTAAAAGCATGTGACAGCATAATTTTTGTTTCTTTTTAGGTAATCTGTATTTTCTCGCTGATTGCCTTCTAGATCCTCTTTTTGTCTTTGGTATTTGATGGTTTTACTATAAGGCTCTATGTGTGATTTATTTTTATTTAGCCTGCTCATGACTTATAATGTTGCCTTAATCTAAGGATTCATATATTTCATACATTCTGGAAAACTCTCAGCCATTACCTCAACATATTACTTCTCCCTCTTCTCTCAAACACCACCTTCTACAACTCCTACCTGACTGTGGCTCTCATTCTAACCTTCATATCTGTTAATTTCTCCTACCTGTTTTCTAATTCTTTATCTCTCAGTGCTATATTCTGAGTAATAGTCTTCATTCCAACTCTGTTTGCAAGTCCTTTAGTTGTATATTACTTTCAGTTTAGTCTATTGACTTTTTTATTTCTAGAAATTATATTTCATTCTTTTTCAAATGTGCCGTTTTTTGTAGTGCCTTTTTTTCCTTAGGATTTAAATTCCACATTTTATTTTTTATTCATTTAGGACAAACCAATTTTATAATCTCGACCAGTGCCCTAGGAGCTGAAATTCTTGGGGTTCCGATTATCCCCATTGCTGTGTCTGTTGACTTATAAATTGTTGCTGAATAGCATCTGTTGAGGGCATGCCTCCCTGAAAGTTTTATATTTGCTTCTTTTACATGCCCCAAGAGAATCACCCTGCTGGGTCCAATTTTTATACCAATCTCTTTCTTTCAAGGTTTCCAGACTTTGTGAGAAGTTATTATTTTGAATCTTGAGCCTGCATGAAACACAAGTTTGGAATTTGAATTCTCAGAAAATTCTCTTTTGTTTCAGCTGTTACTTTTAGCGTCCTTGTCTTCTCTGTACCAGTGAGTAGATTTTTTTTTTCTTAGAACACTCTTTCTCTGAGGGTTTCCCTGAAGTCCAGTACTTTTGAAAGTCCCATATTTATTCAGTGGTCTCCATTTCAATCCCCCTCTTGTTTTGAATACAAAGCTTCAGTTTCTGTTCCCATGAGGATTTTAAACTCTAAGCCTCTGTACTATTGAGACCAAGACTACTTCAGGGCAGTCACAACAGCTCATGTTTTCACACACTTCAGTTTGCCACCAGGGGAGGCTCTATTCTTCCTTGTATGATCAACTATGCATTTATACTTGCCTATGTATATAATATATATAACATGTATTTCATAGGTGTTGGTAGTAGAATTTTCTGCTTCTTGTTTTCCTCTGTTTGTTATCTCCTTAAGACTACCATCTCTTTAGGACTAGAACACAAGGCCATTTCCCTAGTTATGGAAGCCAATTTAATGCAAAGAGTAAGGCCAAATCTTTCTCTCTCTCTTTCTCTCTCTACCCCCCATCTCCCTGCACGTGTGCGTGTGTGCTTGTGTGTGTGCGTGTGTGTGTGGCTTGTGTGAATATGTTAAGTAAGTAAAGCAAGGCCTCAGCCAGGTAAGACTTTCCTGAGTAGCTCTGTCATGTCTTGAAGGAAGAAGAATTTACTACAGAGGCAGAGGATATCTGTTCTAGGCAGAGTATGGCATGTGCAAATGCTGAAAAGTTTAAGAAAACATGGATTATTTGAAGATCTGTGAGTAGGTCTATTCCACTGGCGCATAAGCTTAACATGGGGAAATGTTAAGGAGTCAAGGAGTGCAGTGACACGATCTCGGCTCACTGCAACCTCCACCTCCTGACTTCAAGTGATTCTCCCGCCTCAGCCTCCTAAGTACCTGGAACTACAGACAAGTGGCACTGGCCAATTTTTTTATTTTTAGTAGAGACATGGTTTCTCCATGTTGCCCAGGCTGGTCTCAAACTCCTGACCTCAGGCGATCCTCCTGCCTTGGCCTCCCAAAGTGCTGGGATTATAGGTGTGAGCCACCATACCCAGCTGAAATACATTTTAATTCCATTGTAAGAAGCTTATATTTTATCCTAAAGGCCATTGAAAGCTCTTGAAGGATTTCAAGCAGAAGAGTGACATGATTAGATTTCCTCTATAGAGAGAGTGGAAAAATGAAGAACAGATGCAGGGAGATAAGAGGACATTGCATTCATTCACAAGCTTTCAAGTTCTTTTGGAAAATGTGGGCTCTGTCTTCCCCATCTTGGCAATGGTGCACCTCTAACCCTAATTTAACATCCCCAGTGGTGCACATCTGATGGCCCTGAAATGTAAATAAAGAGGAAATAATAACTTTATACTATAAAATCAGTAAGCAAGAGACTTTTCATTTCTCTAACAGTTTGAAGTGTGGTGATTCCAACTATGCTCAATCACACTAACCAGTAGTTTTCCCTTATACACAGTATTGCTTTCCATAATTTCAGTTACCTGTCATTAGCCACAATCCAAAATAGGGGAGGACAGTACAATGGGATATTTTGAAAGAGAGAGATAGAGAGAGACACATTCACATAATTTGCATTACAGTATGTTGTTGTAATTGTTCTATTTTATTATTAGCTATTGTTGTTAATCTCTTAGTATGCCTAATTTATAAATTAGACTTTATTATAGGCACATATGTGTAGGAAAGAAACATAGTATATAGAAAGTTCAATACTATCCATGGTTTCAGGCATCCACTGGAGGTCTTGGAATGTATCCCCTGAGGGTATCAGAGAACTACTGTGTCACATTTTTAATGTGAACATTTATTTTGAAGTATATATTACACATATCATAATTAGCATATTATAATTATCCTGATGGTGATATAGATGATTACTAAATTTTAATATGAAAATAAAGAGGGAAGGCAAGAAGATAAAGACTATCTTTAGATAACTCCTGTCCCAAGGAGTTTACGACTGCAATGTAATGTTCCAAATAACTATAATATGGGATTCTATGTGTACATGCTGAAATAGAACCATGAACAATGGCCAAATGGGTACAGAATCCAAGTGGGACACAGTAAATTTGAGTGCAGGAACAAAAAGTCTGAGAAATTTTGATTAGGCAATTGGGAAGCTAGAAGAGAGTTCAGAGGAGAGGCTAGACATAGAAGATGCCTGTCTAAAGGTGATATTTTCAAGCTTTGGGAGGGAATGTGAGTGCCACGGGGAGGCATGTGAGAGAAGAGAAGAGGGCCAAAAAATGAACCTTCTGCAGATCCTGCCGGAGGGGACAGGAAAATAAATTGAACCAGGAAGAAGGTTTGGGAATGGTGAGAAGGGTAAGAGGTATGTCATTACATGCCATTATCAAGGGCAAAAAAATAATTAAATGTCAAACCACAAGAAAGACCTGCAAGGTGAAACGCTTGTGCAGTTTAATAACTTCGTGATTAGGAGGCTGGTTATAAGCTGCAAGAGAATAGCTTCAGTAAATAGGAAAACAAAGATTATGATGAGCCAAGCAGTGAATGGGAACTTTTAAAAGTAGAAGTAGCTAGTGAAAAACAACACAACAGAAAACATTTGAGTTTGGTGATAAGAAAGAGGGAAATGGAAAAATAGCCTAAAGCAAAGTTTTAGTTTGTTTTGAGTGGTTTTTTATTTTTAACTTAGGAAAGATAATTATTATTTGCAACTGAAGATAAGAGTCAAAGGGGAGAAAGAAATAAAAATTTGAAAGACAAAGATAATGTCCCTGGGAGGTGCAGCTCAAAGACTAGGTAATAATAAAGACTGCTTTTTATTTAGCTCCTACTGTATGTCAGGTGGTGTATTAGTCCGTTTCTCACAATGCTATGAAGACATACCCAAGACTGGGTAATTTATAAAGAAAAGAGGTTTAGGCCAGGCACAGTGGCTCACACCTGTAATCCCATCACTTTGGGAGGCCGAGGCGGGTGGGTCACCTGAGGTCAGGAGTTTGAGACCAGCCTGGCCAACATGATGAAACCCTGTCTGTACTAAATGTACAAAAATTAGCCAGGCCTGCTGGCAGGTGCCTGTAATCCCAGCTTTTTGGGAGGCTGAGGCAGGAGAATCGCTTGAACCTGGGAGGTGGAGGTTGCAGTGAGAGTGCACCATTGCACTCCAGCCTGAGCAACAAGAGTGAAACTCCATCTCAAAAAAAAAAAAAAAAAAAGGTTTAATTGATTCACAGTTCCATATGGCTGGGGAGGCCTCAGGAAACTTACAATCATGGAGGAAGGCACCTCTTTACAGGGTGGCAGGAGAGAGAATGAGTGCCAGCAGGGGAAATGCCAGATGCTTATAAAACGATCAGACCTCATGAGAACTCACTCACTGTCATGAGAACTGCATGGGGAAAACCGCCCCCATGATTCACATACCTCCCACTGGGACCCTCTCATGACACATGGGGATTATAAGGATGACAATTTAAGATGATATTTAGTGGGGGACACAGCCAAACCATATCTGGTGGAGTACCAGGAACAGGAACTTTATATCCATTAAATTCTATAATCTTATAATAATACTATTAGATAGATATTATTAAGCTCATTTTATGATTTAGGAAACTGAGACTCATGATGGTGAAATAACTTGCCAAGGTCATACAGTAAGTTAAGTAGTGGAGCTGAGAATTAAATTCAGATCCAACTTGATTCTAAGGTTCATTCTCTAACCCTTGTACTAGATTGACCCTAGCATGGGAGAATATTTGATAGAATTGCAGAGTCTAACCACATCGTGTCTCCCCACCGTCTATGTAACTACAGTAGGCTGCAGTAAGTGATACACTCAAGCTAAGGTCAGAGCGTGCAGTAGGCATTATTGTGCTTTACTACTATCCAGTTCTCCTTCCTTTCCAGGCACGTGGAAGAATGAACCTCTCAGCTCCTTATTGTGCAGGAAAATATGAATAGTTAAAGCCAGTGAAATGTGAGCAAAAGTAAGATGCCACTTCTGGACTGAGGCAATGAAAAGCCTTATTTTCCAGTTTCACCCTTCCTCCACTGTGCCAGTTGTAGGGAGGCCTTGAATTGAGCCATCTCAATTCAATTTTGACAGGACTAAAAGACTGAAGCCAACTAGATGGCTAAGCCATAATTTGTAGGAAAACAACTCTGAAGAATAGAAAACAACTCTGCAATGGAAATTGTATGAATAAGAAATACTCTTTTATTGTGTTAATTTGTAACTGCCCAATGGGTTCACCTTGCCCACTGCCTAGACAGAGCTGTTTTATCAAGACAGGGGAATTGCAATAGAGAAACGGTAATTCACACAGAGCTGGCTATGCAGGAGGCTGGAGTTTTATTATTACTCAAATCAGACTCCCCAAGTATTCAAGGATCAGAGTTTTTAAGGATAATTTGGTAGGTGGTGGGGCCAGTGAGTTGGGAGTGCTGATTGGTCAGGTCAGAGATGAAATCATAGGGAGTCGAAGCTGTCTACTTGTGCTGTATCAGTTCCTGGGTGGGGTCCACAAGATTGGATGAGCCAGTTTATCAATCTGAGTGGTGCCAAGTGATCCATAAAGTGCAGGGTCTGCAAACTATCTCAAGCACTGCTCTTAGGTTATACAATAGTGATGTTATACCCAGCAGCAATTTGGGGAGTTTTGGAATCTTGTAGCTTCCAGCTGCATGGCCCCTAAACTATAATTTCTAATCTTGTGGCTACTTTGTTAGTCCTACAAAGGCAATCTAGTCCCCAAGCAAGAAGGAGATTTGTTTTGGGAAAGGGCTGTTACCATCTTTGTTTCAAACTATAAACTATAAGCTAAGTTCCTCCCAAAGTTAATTCACCCTACACCCAGGAATGAACAGAGACAGCTTGGAGGTTAGAAGCAAGAAGGAGTCGGTTAGCTCAGATCTCTGTCATTGTCTCAGTTATAATTTTACAATGGTGATTTCAAAACATCTAACATTAGAGGATTGCTTGTTACCACATTATAAACCAAGCCTGTGCCTCAGAGAACCAAGGAAGAACATCCAATCTGTACCTGGGGCATTCATAAAAAGATCCTTGAAAGAAGTGACACCTAAGTTATTCCTAAGGATGAACAGGAGTTATATAAGCAACAAGCAGGAGAAAAAATAGAAAAAGGAGAACCAGTAGACTGTACACCATTTATGAATGTTTAATAGAACAAGATGGTATGTTTGAAGAAGAGTATGGCTGATCAATTAGTGTCAATGAGCACTGCCTTTGAAATTGCCTTTGCAAAGATTATAACAGCAAAAGAAGTCTAGCATGGCTGACTCCATCTTGCTTCTAGCCTTACAGGCTGGCTGTCCTTGTTCATTCCTGAGTGTAAGCCAAGCTAACCATGGGAGGAATGTAGTATATAGTTTAACTTTGAAACAAGAATGATAATAGTCCCACCCTAAAACTGACCCACTCTTTGTTTGAGGACTGAAACTGTCTGTGTAAAACTAATGAAAGGCCACAAGATAAGGATTATGGTAGAGGCCTAAATTATGCCTAAGATGTAGGCAGAGTTAAATGAGAACAAGCCATTGTTTCATAACTTTCTTTTCTATAATCCCTTACTTCTCAGGAATCATGTGGCCATAAGTCACAAGATTTTTGTCTTTCTCAATTGCTTTTATAGATAACATTACTATTTTAGAACCTACAATTGGTCTTTTGAGATGTTTTTCTGACTTTTGCATTCTGGTGACCAACTGGCTCTACTTGGACCTGTGCTTCATGACTTGACCAGTCCTGTGGCCCCCACCCTGAGGCTGACTCAGCACACGAGAACCATTTTCCACACCCCTATTTTCATCTCCAACCAATCAGCAGCACCCATTCCCTAGCCTTCTACCCATGATATTATCCATAAAAACCTAGCCTTGGAGTTCTCAGGGAAGCTGATATGAGTAATGAATTCCTGTCTTCTACTTGGCTAACCCTGCATTAATTAAACTCTTTCTCTACTGCAATCCTGCAGTCTCAGTGAATTGGTTTTATTTGGGCAGTGGGCAAGAAGAACCCATTAGGGAATTATACCCTTATTATAATGTAAGTGTATATACATACATAGGTTCTTACTCTGTGTTACTTATTCTGCTTTCATGATACATGTGTCCATACTTGTTTAAATAACACACTTCTTTAATTATTATAGCTTTATAATATTTTTAATATGCTTAATATCTGTTATGAGAGACTCATATTATTCCACCCACTCTTTACTTACCTATACATTCTTGTTTATTCTTGCAGAAAAGTATTAGAACCTGACCTTAGTAAACTGATTAAAGCTTTATACTTGTACTAGTTTCCTATTCCTGCTATAATTCATTACCACAATGATAAGGCCTTAAAATGATTATTTAACCAATTTATTATCTTACTGTTCAGAAAGTCAGAACTCTGGAATCAGAGGTTTTCTGAGCTAAAATCAAGGTATCATTAGGCCTGAGTTCCTTCTGTAGATTCTAGGGGAGAATCTGTTTCCTTACTTTTTCTCTCTTCTAAAGGCCACATACTTTCTTTGGTTTATGGCCCCTCCTTCTATTTTCAAAGTACGTAATTCCAACTCCTGTTTCTGTCTTCTCTCTGAACCTCCTGTTTCCCTGTTATAAGGACCCTGTAATTACATTAAGCCCACCTAGATTACATAAGCCCACCAGGAAAATTTTCCCCTTCTCAAAATCCTTAATTATTTCTTCAAAGTTCCTTCCATCATGTAAGGCAACATATTCATAGATTCTAGGTATTAGAATGTGAACATCCTTGCAGGGCCATTATCCAGCCTACCACAATACTTAAAAGATGTCCGAGCAAGGTCATAATCAAAGAGTTAGAGGGGGAGAAAACGTTTTAAAATAAGAACACAACCATACTGATATGGATTGTAAATGTAAATAATAAAAAGAATATGATATACAAAGAAGAAAATAATGTAATGTTCAGGGAAGAGGAGGGCAAGACTTGAAGATCAGGAAAATAAAAATTTGAATCAAGACCAAATAGGTGATTTAATAATTATAATATATTAATAAATGATTTTTCTCCCATATCATTAGTTGAGGGAGGTATTGGTAAATTAATAAACTCAAATTTATATCATAAATAGATTGCTATATACAATTGTGCTTTAACTGTGTACTCTAGTTAAATTATATAGTGGTTATTATAAACTAAATATATACTTGTGATTCCTCCAAAGTTCAGTGTAATTCAGCCCTACTGGGAGTTGAGACAAATAGATTTCTGAACTGTTTGGGATTTATCTGAGTATTTTTGTCAAGATTTAAAACCCAGAGCTGACAAGGTAAAAAGGTAAAATCTCTTTCGACTATTTTTTAATATGGCTTATCATTATGTCAATAAAATTTAAAATGCTGATAATGGGACCCAGGCTGATTCAAGAAGCAAAATAAATCAGCAAGTAAGTCTTCACAGTCAAAGTTGAGAGCTACTGGTATCAAGATAACTTCTGTCTACAGGAAATACAGGAGAAAAAATAAATAAATAAATGACACCACAAGGAATCAAAGAGAAAAATACAGAATTAAGGCATTTATGAGCAGTGTTTCTCACATTTAATGGGCATACAACTCACCTAAGAATCTTATCAAAATGTATATTTTGATACAGTAGGTCTAGAGACCTGAAATTCTACATTTCATGTAAGATCCCAGTTGATGCCAGTACTGCTGGTCAGCAGACTATATTTTGAGTGCCAAGGGTCCAAAAAAAGGACTAACCTGATAGTTCCCAAAAGTCCATAGTATGAAGAAAAAAATAGCAAAGTAGGAATTGTAAGGGACTAAGTTTAAGAGTCTTAAGAGACATTGCAATCAAATATAAAGGGAGAGGGACTTCAGTAATATACTGGAATAGGAAATCACAGCCCTTGTCCCCTCCTCAACAGAAACACCAAAAAAAAAAAAGATATTTAGGCCAAACTGCCTTTATCAGAACTCCAGATTCCAATTAAGAAGTTGCAGTGCTCAGATGAACACATCACAGAGAAAAATCCCTTCAAAATGGGAAAGAGAAACAGTTTCACTTTACCTGTGTCAGCCCCTCCTCCAAGCCAGCAGAGCTCAACATAAAATCTCTTTGGCCCAAAATATGTCCTAAGGATGGATGGAGTCCTATTTACATGTGTCCCACTTGCAGCTGAGGAACCCTAAAAAACAGCAGCCCACCCTAAGCTGTATACCCCAGACTCACATGTCACTCGACTAAAATATGGAAGGACATCCTATTCTTGGAAGACTAGAACAGAGCCTGGGATTTTCCAGACAGTCCCTCCCTATCTGAGAATGTTGCATTCCCTGTACATTCTATAGTTATACTTCAAAATTATAAGCAAGAAAAGGGAGAGAACTGGGTTGGTCCAAGGCCACTCAGAGAACTGCTCTGCACAAGGGAGTCTCCATAAGACTATCAGTGGATTTCTTATCAGAAACCTTACCAGCCAGGAGACAGTGGTAGGATATAGTCAAGGTACTGAAAGACAAATCCTGTATACCAAGAATACGATACCCAGCAAAACTGTTCTTCAGAAATGGAGAGGTAAAGATTGTCCTAGATAAATGAAAACTGAGGGAATACCTTATTATCAGAACTGCTTTATAAAAATTCTAAAGGTAATTATTCAACTTGAAATAAAAGGATGCTGAAGTGCAACACAGAAGCATATAAAAGTGTAAAATTCACTTGTAGAGTTAAGTATATAAACAGAATAATACTGTAATGATGGTGTGTAAATTGATTTTAATTTTAGTACACAAGCTAAAAGTCAAAAAATATTAAGAATAACTTTACAAAAATTCGTTAATGAAGTTACAGTATAAACAGATACAAATTTTGACATCAATAATATAAATTGTGTAGCGGGGAGTAAAAGTATAGAGATATTTGCATGCAATTAAAGCATACTTAATACTTCTAAGTTGTTATCAGCTTAAAATGGATGGTTTTAGTAATAAAATATTTTACATATGCCTTATGGTAACCACACACAAAAATACATACAGAAGATACAAAAAAGAAAAAGAGAAAGAGAATAAAGACTATATCTACAAAAAAAATCAATAAAATGCCAAGAAAAGCATCAAGAGGAGAAAAAAGAACAAAAGAACTACAAAGCAGGAAACAACAAAACGGCAATTGTAAGTTCTTCTCTACCAATAATTACTTTAAATATAAATGGATTAAAGTCCCCAATCAAAAGACATAGAGTGATTAAATGGTTAATTTTAAGAGACCCAACTATATGTTGTCTACAAGAGACTCATTTTAGATTTAAGGATACACATAGGCTAAAAGTGAAGTGATAGAAAAAGATATTCTGTACAAATAGTGACCAAATGAGAGCAGAGGTGACTATACTTCTGTCAAACAAAACAGACCTTATTCACAAGACAAAGAAATACATTATATAATGATAAAAGGTCTCTTCATCAGGAAGATATAACAATAATAAATATGTGTGCACCTACCATCATTTGTAAATATATAAAGCAAATATTAAGGGAACTAAAAAGAGAAATGAGCAAAAATACAATAATAATAAAAAGCTTCATGTCACCTCAGAGCCAGTGTCAGAGAAATAAAATTAAAAAAAAAGAACTTCAATACTCCAACATAAAAAAATCAATAAAGAAACAGCACACTTGAACAATACTATAAACCAAATAAATAAAAAAACTCCAAGTGTCTATGATATCTGAGGATGAGGATGCTAAAATCTGTGTCTACTAGTCTGTTGAAGTTTTCCTACAGATTCCAGTCATTCTGGTCTTCCCAATCTATGATAAATGAGTAGGCCATCGTTAAAAGTTCATATCTACCTAATTATGGTGGCATGTCCCAGGAATCCCAGCTACTTGGGAAGCTGAGCTGGGAGGATCACTTAAACCCAAGTACTTGAGACCAGCCTGGGCAACATAGCAAGACTTCATATCAAATAAAATAAAATAAAAATTTGAGAAGTTGAGATTCAATGTTGTACACCAACTAAAGCAATAAAAACTAATCCCACCTTGCATGCAATTACTTCATATTTCCACAAAGAACAATAATATTTAATTATCAGTTGGAGATTTATTATCTCATCACTAGCCAATTAATCCTCCTGGTATTTTAAGGGAATGTATTCCTGGCTCTCTAATTATTTCCTCATTGTTTATATACATCAGAAGTATTGGACCTATTTTGGGGGAGGTGGCTGTTTAGAACACTGTAAAGACTTAGATGTGAAATAATTTAAAATAATAAATAGATAAATAAGTTAGATACTGACTGTCCCAATCTGATCCCAGGTCCTAAGACAACCATGAAAAAGTAATTGATTTTAGCCATGCTTGAATTCAATTCATTTAATAAAGACTGACAAATCCTTATACAGGAATACATGTCAGTAAAGATAGCATTTCAAAACAGAGAAAAAGGGATTATTAAATAAATGGAGATGGGATAATGGTCAGCCATTTGAAAAATAAATATAACTGGATGTTTCCTTTACTCTTTTCACAAAAATAACTTACAAGGGAATCAAAACTTTAAACGTAACAATATAAGAGTATTATTTATAATCTTGGAAAAGATAAGACCTTTTAAGGCCAAACATAAAACTCAATAAAATGCAAATTAAAAGATGGATGATGATGATGGTTTGGCTGTGTCCCCACCCAAATCTTACCTTGAATTGTAATAATCCCCACATGTCATGGGAGGGACCCAGTGGGAGGTAATTGAATCATGGGGACGGGTCTTTCCCATGCTGTTCTCATGATAGTGAATAAGTCTCATGAGATCTGATGGTTTTATAAATGAGAGTTCCCCTGCACACGCTCTTGCCTGCCACCATGTAAGATGTTCGTTAGCTCTTCCTTCATCTTCTGCCACGAATATGAGGCCTCCTCAGCCATGTGGAACTGTGAGTCCATTAAACCTCTTTCCTTTATTAATTACCCAGTCTCGATATGTCTTTATTAGCAGAGTGAAAACAGACTAATACAATGGATATATTTGCCTATGTAAAATCTGCTGAGGGAGAAAGAAAACAAGAAAGTCAAACGCAAATAACAAAAACTGTGAAACCATATTTGCAACACATATGACCAACAAAATATTATTTTCTAAATATATAAGGAGTATTTACAAATCAACAATTTAAAAAACACTGGATAGATTATGGACAAAGGAAATAAACATAAGAAAATCTTAAAAAGGTAAGAAAAGATGCTCATTCACAATCTTAAAAATGCTAATAAAAATCACAATGAGAAAACATTTTAACCCAATCAAATTTGTAAGCATCAAATAGCTTGATAGTACACAGGGATAGGGAAGTTGAGGGGAAACAGAAATTCTTATAGATTGCTGACAAGAGGTTTGTGCAGTGGCTCATGCTTGCACTCCCAGCACTTTGGGAGGCTGAGGCAGGTAGATTGCTTGAGCTTAGGGGTTCCAGACCAACCTGGGCAACATGGCGAAACCCTGTCTCTACAAAAAATCCAAAAACCAGCCAAGTATGGTGTGGTGCTCCTGTAGTCCCAGCTACTTGGGAGGCAAAGGCAGGAGAATCGCTTGAGCCCAGGAGGTGGAGGTTGCAGTGAACCAAGATGGCGCCACAGTGCACTTCAGCCTGAGCAACAGAGTGAGACCCTAAGGAAAAAAAAACAAAAAAAAACAAAAAAAACAAGATTGGGTACAAATTCTTTTGAAGGCAATTTGGCAGTATCTGCCAATATTTAAAATGTGCACATCCTTTGAACTAGGAATTTCACTTTTAAGAATTTTCCACAGATATATTCATACAGTTACTTTAAGAAATATGTATGTAAGTGTTTCCTGCAGTATTATTTATAACAACAAAAAATACCCTAATATTATCTTAAAATCCATGAGTAAAAGACTGGCTAAACAAATTATTTATTCATACAATGGGATATTTTAGAGCTATCAAAATCAATAAAATAGATCTATGTGTTCATGTATCTGTAAGACCATATGCAGGCCACATGAAAATATTCTGGGGAGATTACTTTCTGAAAAAGTGATGTTTAGACTATGCATGGTTTATATTTGTAAGTGAGAAATTTTGGTTTAGGTTTAACTACTTAGGCAAATTATTGCTTGTTTAACCCTTTTACCTAAAGTCCCAGGAAGGGGTGCTGAAGCTGAAACAGAAAGAGAAGATTGCTTCAGGCCAATGACGTCCTAGAAAACATCACAAGATATGGAGCTAACCTACATGTTTGAGTCATAGTTTCATGTGGACTACTAAGACATCCTGGCCTGACGCAGGGGCTCAAGCCCGTAATCCCAGCACTTTGGGAGGCTGAGGTGGGCAAATCTCTTGAGGCCAGGAGTTTGAGACCAGCCTGGCCAACATGGTGAAACCCCATCTCTACTAAAAATACAAAAGTTAGCCAGGGCCTGGTGGCACACACCTGTAGTCCCAGCTACTCTGGAGGCTGAGGCACAAAAATCACATGAACCTGGGAGGCAGAAATTTCAGTGAGCTGAGATCATGTCACTGCACTCCAGCCTGGGCAACAGAGTGACACACTGTCACACTCTGTCTCAAAAAAGAATTTCCACAGCCTTAAAAATTCTATAATTATGATTGTGGAGGGTTGAAATCATGCAGAGTTTGCATTCTGACCACAATGAAATTAAAATGAAAACCAATAACAGAAAGAGAACTAGAAAATGTTCAGATGTTTGATAATTAAGCAACACACTTCCAAATAGTCCATGGATCAAAAAAGGAATGACAATAGAAATTAGAAAATATGTGACATACTGCTAAAGCAACCCTGGTAAGGAAGCCTGTACCACTAAGTTCTTAGACTGAGGAAAGACCTCAGATGAACAGTAAGTGTTGCTACCTGAATAAAGTAGAAAAAGAGGAGTAAAATAAACCCAAAGCAAGCAGAAGGAAGGATATAATAGTGTTAAGAACAGAAACATTTAAAATGAAAAGGACACAATAGAGACAGTCAATGAAAAAAAGTGCTGTTTCTTTGAAAAAAAATCAATAAAATTGATAAACCTCTAGGAAGACTGACAAAAAGAAAAAGAGAGAAGACACATATTACCAATATCAGAATGGAAACCAGGGATATTACTACCAATCCTTTAGCCATTAAAGGGATAGTAAGAAAATACTACAAACAACTTTATGTTCGTAAATTCAACAACTTAGGAGAAATTGACTAAATTCTCAAAAATCACAAACTCCTGAAATAAAACCAAGATGAAATAGATAATCTGAGTAGTCCCATAACCATGAAAGAAATTGAAGTCATATTTTTAAAACCCTCTAAAAAAGAATATCCAGCCCCAAATGGTTTCACTTGATTATTCTACCAAACATTTCAAAAAGAATAGAGAACCTAGAAATATGCCCATGAATATACCCAATGATTTTTGACAAAGAGCAAAGCGTTATTCAATGGAGAAAGGAAAGCCTTTGCGACAAATGGTGCTGGAGCAATTGAACGTATATAGGCAAAAAAATAAAAGAACCTCAACCTAAACTTCACAACTTATACCAAAATTAATTCAAAAATGGATCACGGACTTAAAGTTAAGAGTATAAGAATTTAAGAATAAGAAAAGGAGTAAAACTTCGGGAACTAGGGCTAGGCAAATAATCCTCAGACCTGACATCAAAAGCATAATCCATAAAAGGGAAAAAAATGATAAATGGAACCTCATGTAAATTTAAAACTTTTGCTGAGCAAAATATCTTATTAAGAGGATAAAAAGGCAAGTTACAGTGTAGTAGAAATATTGGGAAAATCACATATCTGACAAAGGAATAGTACAGCCATGCATCATTTAATGGCAGAGATACATTCTGAGAAATGTGTTTTTAGGTGGTTTTGTCATTGTGTGAACATCATAGAGTGCACTTACACAAGCCTAGATGGTATAGCCTACTACACACCTAGGCTATATGGGATAGCCTATTGCTGTTAGGCTACAAACCTTTACAACACGTTACTATACTGAATATTATCAGCAATTGTAACACAATGGTAAGTATGTATCTAAACAGAAAAAGTATGGTAAAAATATGGTATAAACATCAAAAAGTGGTGCATCTATATAGGACACTTACCCTAACTGGTGCTTGCAAGGCTAGAAGTTGCTCTGTATGAGTGGGTGAGTGAGTGGTGAGTGAATATGAAGGCCTAGGGCATTATTGTACACTACTGTAAATTTTATAAACCTGTACACTTAGGCTACACTAAAATTATTTTTAAAAGCATTTCTTTCTTCAACAATATATTAACCTTAGCTTACTATAACTTTTTTACCTTATAAGTTCTCTCATGTTTCAAAATTTTTGTACTCCTTTGTAGTAACACTTAGATTAAAATATAAACACATTGTATAGCTGTATAAAAATATTTTCTTTCTTGTATCCTTAGTCTGTAAACTTTTTTCGATTTTTAAAATTTTTTTATTTTTATATTTTACTTTTTGTTAAAAACTAAGACACAAACACACACAGCAGCCTAGGCTTCCACAGGGCTGGGATCATCAATGTCTTTACAGGACTGAAAGCATAATAGGTTTGTTTACACCAGCATCACCACAAACGTGAGTTATGCATTGTGCTATGAAATTATGATGGTTACAATGTCACTACATGATAGGAATTTTTCTGCTTCATTGTAATTTAATGGGACCACCATGCTTTTGTAGCAGGATGAGCCACAGACAAAACTCCTCAGACATGGAGTTAAAGAAGGAAGGGGTTTATTTGGCCGGGAGCATCAGCAAGACTCCTGTCTCAAGAGCCGAGCTCGTTCACAACTCTATGGGGCTCCATGTGAGAGGGTCGTGATCAATTGAGCAAGCAGGGCATAAGTGACAGGGGCTGCATGCACTGGTGGTCAGAGTGAAACAGAACAGACCAGGAAGTTTCACAATGTCTTTCTATACAATGTCTGGAATCTGTAGATAACATCACTTGCTAGGTCAGGGGTCAAATTTTAACTACCAGGCTTAGGTCAGGCAGGCCCAGGCCTGGTTTTAGGTCTGGTTCCTTGGTTTTGGGTCTGGTTCCTAGGTGCCGGGCTACCTGCCTTCAGTTTTGCTTCTCTTTCCTTTTCTGAGTATAAAACAATATAAAACAGTATGAGAGGGTCTGTCTCTGTTCTCTCATTTCCCCACTTTGAGACTCTCACTTTTTATTAGTGGCAGTTCTCACTCTTATTTTCACTACTTACGTCTTCCTGTGCAATAGATTGATAATGATTCATATGGTACACTTGTGCTGAAGCATTTTGGTGAACTAAGGTAGTGATGAAGCTTTTTATCATTTGAAGAAGTACGGGTAGCAAACAAGGGAGCAGTAAGCAGGTTCCTATTACTACTATAACTCCTATTATAAGGGTTTTAAATCCTCCTAGTGCTGGGAACCAATTTCCAAACATGGCCCCAGGATCAAATCCATGCCACACTTGCACGGGCACATGTGCCAGTTTTGTTATATCTTTAACTATGTCTTTAACTACTTGCCCCGATCATCTATGTGTAGACAGCAATTAGTAAGGTTAAATTTTCCACAAACCCCTCCTTCAGCCAGTAGCAAGTAGTCGAGAGCTAGTCTATTTTGATAGATAGCATTCCTCGTCTGAGTTTCTCACCGGGCTAGAATAGTCAAGGCTTGACCGGTTTTATTAGTGATGATTTCTAAAACAGCTTGCAACAATATGATTTGGTTGAGCATGTAAATGGGGGTCCGGTATCCTCATGAGCCATCTTGTGCCCAAGTGGCAGGCCTATAATATCGTATAATTCTCTCAGGAGGCCATTCATCATCTTTCCAATCACCTATGGCTATGCTTCGCTTTTCGCAAGAAGCATAGGCAGGGAAGCCTAGGAGTTCGCCTGTTTTTACGGGCAGTAGGAAGAAAGATGGTTTAATAATTCCAATAACACAACTACCTGCCTACTGGTCAGGTAATTTGGCATAAGGTCTATGCCTACATATCCCGTATAATCCAGTGGGGGCTGTCCAGTCCCGGTGGGACTCTGGGAGGATCTACATGGTTTGCAACTTTGGGAATTTACTAAATGGATTTTTTTTAGTATGGTTTGAACTCCACTAGGTGGCTGTTTTTGTAATACTATTGTACAGTTTTTGCCTAAGGCAGCTGAGTCTTCCTACAGGAAGGGTGAAGTCCTTCCCTACTCTTGCTATACAGTATTGTCTAATGATTGAGGCTTTTAGGACCTACAAGCTATCAGGGTGATTTTTTTTGAGCCGGGAATTCATCAGGAACTGGGTTTATAGGTACAAATTCTTGGGCTTCCTATGGCCATTGATCTCCTATTACAGTTCCTCCACATACATAACATGAAGTGACATTGAGAGACTGGGCTACATGCTCAGCTAATTGCAAAAACAAATTTCTTGTTTTTCCTGGAATTTCTGGTACTGGCACATTCAGTTCATCATAGAAGGTTTGAAATAATGGCTCAGGAGAGCGTTTATAAACTTTTCCTCAAACCACGATATTTACTTGAAGATCCATTTCAGCTCCATCAATTTCTAGGGTTACACGTTCCCCTTTTTTCTAGCGAGGATTAAGGGGGTTGGTTATTACTAGTTCTAAGGGGTTACACTGACCACTGGTACAGGAAGGGCCACTTTTCCCTTGCTGAAGGTGGACAGGATTTTTTCATTTTTTTAATCCAAGTAGCCTAAATGACATGAGACCAGTATCCACATTTATTTTTACACAGTCTTAATTTATGATAAACGTACTTATTTTCTGCCATATAGCCTCTTTCTTAATTAAGAGAACCACATCCTATTTCTAACTTATTACTATTAATGACAGCACAGGCATCAAATTTCAAGGTGATTCATTTGGGCACCTCTTTTTTTTCTGTTTTGGCTAACACTTTACTCATATCGTTTATGAGCCCCCACCAGTCTTCAGTTCTTAATCTTATTTTAAAAACTGTGGTCATGGGAGGCTCAGATGGGTCATAACACACATTAGGTTGGTCATTTCCTGGGCTACATACCTTGTATAGAGTAACATTATACAAACAAGTTCTTTTTAGGGTTCCAGTACACTTATAATAACTGTAAAATAATAGGACCGTAGCAACTTTTTGTCCTACCTCAGTGACATGATGTATACACTAGGAACAGCCCTCAGTCTGAGGAAGGTCAGTTGAAGTCCTTACTGTACAAGTCCAGTTTTTAAGGAAAATGAGTCCCGTGATGAGTTTCCTCATGCTTCGGCCGTGCATGGACCAGTCAGCTTCCAGGTGTGACTGAAGCAGGGCTTGTTATCTTCTTCAGAGCCACTTTGCAGGGGTTGGTGAAGCTGCTCCCATCCACGTACAGCTCTCAGTCTACTGCTGTTTAAGGATGGTTTGGAGGTTGGGCCCACTAGAATAAACTGAGTCCAATACCTCTACACAGTTATGTTCAACTGGGCTCTCTGATACCAGGAGCAAGGTGGCGGGGTTTAGGGTGTTGTAAACTTCAATGGTTATGCGGGGATTTTCATAGATCAAGCTTTGATATCTAGTTAGTCTAGCATTCATTAGCTAATGATGTCCTTTGGTATTTATTAAAGTCACCACAGCATGGGGGTACTTTATGTTTAGGTTTTGCCTAAGAGTTAGCTTATCTGCTTCTTGTGCTAACAAGGCCATTGCTGCCAGGGCCCTTAGACATGGGGGCCAGCCTTTGGAAACCCCATCTAGTTGTTTTGAGAGATAGGCCACTGGCCTTTGCCAGCGCCCTACAGTCTGGGTTAAAACTCCAACTGCCATTTTTTTTTTTTCTGACACATAGGGTATAAAGGGTTTTGTCAGGTCAGGTAGCCCCAGGACTGAGGCCGACATGAGTTTTTCTTTTAACTCATGAAAAGCTTGTTGCTGTTGGTTGTAATAGATGTAGTTTATCTAATCTACATTTTTATTAACTGTCACCCACTAAAATATTGACTTAAATCCTGTAGCTATTTGATTTCAAGCTTTAAATTGATCTGGTATTCCTTGCAGGGCTCCAATTGCATCTAAATAGATGTGAGAGTTGAAAGACCCATAAGGGGCTTCTCCCGCTTTATGATGTCTTATTTTTTCTACCTCTGGTTGATGAAATGCCAGGGTAAAAGGGACAGCCACATGGACTAAAGCACAAGTGCCACTCTAGTTATTTGGCAGAGTGCCCAGTAAAGGTCCACCACAATACCACCACACATCCACTCGGGGATGAACAAGGGCTGACTGATTGATAAGCTCTTGAAAATTCTTAAACTCATCACATCCCTTCAGGTCTCCAAGGAATGCTATTTCCTCCCTGTCATGAGAGACATGAAGTGAACTTAGTGTTGGGAGATGGAAGCTGGATGGCCTTTGGCAGCTGAACCGCAGGGTGCCAGACTTCGGGATAGAACACAGAGAGCTTGGCATGACTTATTACTCCAGGCTGTAGAATACGGGAAAAGAGCTACCATGCAGCCTATGCATGGTCGACTGGAGGACCACCTTAGTGGGAGGGGGACAATCTGGGCCTCTGGCCTGCCATGTGCACAAGCATAACAATTGCTTTTGTTTAACATGCAGATGGAATATTTGATCCATTTTAACCAGGCATTTGCATCTTGGTATCCTGTCTTAATTGCTAAAGTTTGTTGTAAGTCTTTAACTTCCATGATCCTCTAGTAAAATGAATGTATGATTTTAGGAAATTACAAAAACTGGTTGGGGCAGTCCATCCTTGCTCTTTAGTGGTCCACAGAATGTTGGACCAACTATGGCATGAAAACTCTACATCGGGGGGCAAGACTCCTGGTCGGCACTGGGGTCTTTATCGAAATCTCCCCCGATTAAATGGTCCTAGTTTACTAATGCCCAGTCTAAGGAGAGTCAGGAGGAACAGAAGTACTTTTCTGAAGTAGAAAGCTGTCTTTGACTTGGCAAGTCTCCACAAGGCAAGCATTAGATGCAATAGTTTGAGGCGAAATTGACTTGGTTATGTTAATAACTAGATGGTCAGCAATAGAACGAGGAAAGAAGAAAGAGTAATAGCGTAGATGAAACGAGTTAAATTTTTCTTAGCTTTAGTTTGGTAGGGTTTTCCCCTGGGACTATGGCCCACGACTCTGGAGGGGGTGGCGCTTTCTTGAGTCGGGCATGATGAGTCTATCCTTTTTTGCTGTATGAACAGCATTCTTGGTGGTTAGCAGCACAAGGTAGGGTCCTTCTGAGGCTGGCTCGAGTTTTTCTTCTTTCCACCTTTTGACGAGAACGTGATCTTCAGGCTGGCTCTGGTTTACCGGAAATTCTAAGGGTGGTACAAGTGCTAAAAGACTTTTAGTTTTTGAGGGAAAGGAAAGTGGAAGATAAACCAAGTATATAATTTTTAAGAAATTGATCTTTTGTTTTAAATGTGGGGACCTTGGCAGTGGACTTTATAGTCCTTAGTGCTTTTTTACTGAGAAATTTCCTTTAGCACCTATTTTTATTAGGTTTTAAACCAAAGAAAGCCAAATACCATTTTACATTTAACAATGCTTCCTGTATGATTTTTATACCAGATAAGTTAAATTTTACATTTATATTAGTGTGTTATTAATGTTAAACCTAATTTTAATAAAACCTTGTAGACATTTATCCAATTTTTAATATTTGACTATAAGGTAAGATTTTATAGATTCTTTTTAACCTTTTATAATTTTTGCTAAAGAGCAGGTTTGTGTTTTAAGGAAAACCTGTTATGCTTTTATTTTTATGTCCAGTTTACAGAAAAACTGGATGATACCTCTTTAACTTTGGCCAATGTCTACACACAGAATTTTTTTTCAATTAACATTTTGAAACTTGATTAAACCTTTAAAACAAAATATACATATTTATAACCTTTTAATGTAGGTAAAGCTTTACATTCTTATGGCTCCTTATAATTCTTACTACTAGAAGTATATTTTAATTTCTTTATATACCTTGCACATAAACTGTTTCTTTAATAGTTTTACATTTAGGAGGCCTAATTACTTTTAAATTATACAACATTTCTTGCATGAATTTCCTTTTATAACCTTTTTTTTTTTCAATTACCTGGGAGGAACCATCCATCATCCTGTCCTGAAGGGAGTTCCTCTTAGGTCTGGTTGGACCTTTGTATGGTAATTAAGATTTAAATCCCTTGTTAGGAAACCTGCTGGGTTAAGGGAATTTCCTTTTTTTTTTTTCTAACAGAATAGCCCCATATTTTAAGATTTTTGAGTTAGTAAGCTACTTTTTTGCCTTTTTGATTTAGGATAGCTCTGAACTGAACTAGTGAGGTGTGCTCACAATGAGGTTTCCTCTAAAAGTTTTTTTTTTTCTTACTTTTTTTCTGTTAGCAAAGCAGTTGCCACTACAAATTGAATGCATTTGGGCCATCCACAGGTTACTGGGTCAAGGATTTTTGATAGGAAGGCCTCAGTGCTTTCGAGATATGCCCTTGTTTACACTGACAACAAAGTGGTATTGGAGTGTTATAGGCTTACGAAGAATACCTTCAATTATCAATTACAGGTTTTAAATTTACCTTGGCTTTTAAAGGAATAGGGTACACCATTTTTTTTTTCTTAACTACTTGTATATATCTCTCTTTGACTTTGTCTTTCTCTCTTTGACTTTCCTTTTGGCTCTGTCTCTTCCTCTCTTTCTCTGCCTCTCTCTTTCTCCTCTCTGTCTCTCTCTCTGTCTCTCTCTGCCTGGCTTATAATGCAGTTCTTTGAACCACTGTGGAGAGATCTAAAACCAGCTGTAACCAAGTGTCTATGTATGGGAACTGGTCTGGATGCCCGGGATTTACAGGTTACCTTGTGCCATACCTTTGAAACAAGGGACCTGTCCAGGCTTCCTTCTGATGGCCAACCCACCTCTAATGCTGGCTGGTCTATTTTACACAAAGTTTTAAGTTTTCCTGGTGTCATAGTACTACATAGTCTCCTTTAAATCCTTTTTGAAATTTTTCAACATAGTTCCTAGTAGGGTGAGCTTATTTGTGCCTGACCCATGCTTCTTCGAGACAAAACACCACGCTCACACCACACACACACCACAAAACAAAGAATGGGTAAAAAGGGCACACACACACTTTTGCAGTTTACACCAAATCAAAATCAAAACCAAAATCAGAGTATCCAGAAATCAAAACCAAAGTATCAAGCAATCCAAGTCAAGTCAAAAACAAAAACCAAAGTGCTGGTACAGGCACACCGTGGGTGATCAGGCCATGCTTCCACTCAAATGGAGTAGGCAAGTTCCCAAGACCGGTCCTGTCAAGCAATTCAAACCAAGTCAAAACCAAAACCAAAGTGCCGATAAAGGCACGCCGTGGGTGATCAGGCCACGCTTCCACTCAAATGGAGTAGGCAAGTTCCCAAGACCGGTCCTGTCAAGCAATTCAAACCAAGTCAAAACCAAAACCAAAACCAAAGTGCTGATAAAGGCACGCCGTGGGTGATCAGGCCACGCTTCCACTCAAATGGAGTAGGCAAGTTCCCAACACCGGTCCTGTCAAGCAATTCAAACCAAGTCAAAACCAAAACCAAAACCAAAGTGCCAATAAAGGCATGCTGTGGGTGATCAGGCCACACTTCCACTCAAATGGAGTGGGCAAGTTCCCAAGACCAGTCCTGTCAAGCAATTCAAACCGAGTCAAAACCAAAACCAAAACCAAACCAAAGTGCCGATAAAGGTACACCGTGGGTCATCAGACCACACTTCCACTCAAACAGAGTAGGCAAGTTCCAAAGACTAGTCTTACCAAGTTTCAGATGTCCAGACTCCAAGTACCAGTTCCTTCCCGGTGTTCAGCCACTGCGTTGATCCTCCACAGGGGGCTGCCACACACTGCTCTGGTGAGGCGTCTCACTGGGCAAATGCCTACCCGGGAGTGCTCTCAGGATCCGCATGGCTTGGGCTGGTTGGAGTCCCCTGCAGGGATGTTCCACAGGGCAGGCTTAAGTCACCTAAGGAGCTGCCTCGACCATTCGCCAATCACCTTGCTTCCCGGTCAGGGAACCAAGAAATGTAGCAGGGCCAGCTGCAGACAAAACTCCTCAGACACTGAGTTAAAGAAGGAAGGGGTTTATTCAGCCGGGAGCATTGGCAAGACTCCTGTCTCAAGAGCCAAGCTCCCCAAGTGAGCAATTCTTGTCCCTTTTAAGGGCTCACAACTCTATGGGGGTCCGTGAGAGAGGGTCGTGATCAACTGAGCAAGCAAGAGGTACGTGACAGGGGCTGCATGCACTGGTGGTCAGAGTGAAACAGAACAGACCAGGAAGTTTCACAATGTCTTTCTATACAATGTCTGGAATCTATAGATAACATCAGTTGCTAGGTCTGGGGTTGAATTTTAACCACCAGGCTTAGGTCAGGCAGGCCCAGGCCTGGTTTCAGGTCTGGTTCCTTGGTTTTGGGTCTGGTTCCTAGGCACCGGGCTACCTGCCTTTAGTTTCACTTCTCTTTCCTTTTCTGAGTATAAAACAATATGAGAGGGTCTGTCTCTATTCTCTCACTATATGTAGTCCATTGTTGAACAAAACATTATTATGCAGTATGTGACTGTATCTATGATATAGAAAGGACTCTAAGAACTCAATAGTTCAAAAGACTAATTAGAAAATGGCCAAAAAACTGAAGAATCCTTGTGATGATGTACTTATTCTTATCTTGACTGTGGTAGATACCTGAAACACGTGATAAAATTGCAGAGAACTAAATGCAGCACACAAATGAGCACAAGTAAAACAAAAAAAAATTGAACAATTTCAGTGGATTAAGTTAATGTCAATATCTTGTTTTTAGCATTGTACTAAAGTTTTGTGAGATGTTATCACTAGAGGAATCTGGGTAAAGGATAGGCAGGCTCTCTCTGTGTTACTTCCTATAACTTTGCACATGAGTGCACAGTTATCTCAAAATAAAAAGTTTTGTTAAAAAAAATACATTGAGTCCAGGTTTTGTGCTCCTCTGACCTGGCAGGCCTTTTCCTCTAAATCGGGTACTGAGACAATGGTAAAGGGCCTGTTTCTATTCACTGTATCTTTTGATCATTTATGTGTTTCTATGGTTTGAATGTTTGTCCCTTCCAAATCTCATGCTGAAATTTTATTCCCAATGTTGAAGATGGGGCCTAATGGGAGATGTTTGGATCATGGAGGCTGATCACTCATGAAAAATTAATATCCTCACTCAGGTGAGTGAGTTCTCACTGCATTCATTCCCAAGAGAACTGATTGTTAAAAAGAGCTCCACGCTCTTGCTTTCTCTCTCACCATGTGATCACTGCACACATCAGCTCCCCTTTGCCCTCTACAGTGAGTGGAAGGAGCCTCAGGCCCTCTCACCAGATGCAGATGCCCAATTTTGAACTTTCTAACCATCAGAATCATAAGCCAAATAAACCTTTTTTAAAAAATAAATTACTCAGCCTCAATATTCCTTTATAGCAGCATAAAACAGACTAAAACTTAAGGGTTTCTTTGCTCTGCTATTACTGGCTAAATAGAAAACCTTTGGGAAAGTAACCTAAGACTGAGATTTCTCCTTAATCCTCTCTCATCATGAACCTATAACCAACCTGTATGGGCTAGGCCAGCTCACCTCCTCTCTATTTCTCTTCTAACTTACTTCATATCTTTCCTTTGTTTCCACTGTAAAAGTCATAAAATGGTAGATCTCACTAATTGTTCCCACTTCCTCAGTTCCTGTTTACTCTTATTCAGTACTATTAATAATCTACTTGCTAAAATCACTAAAATCTCCCAAATTGCCCCAAATTTTAAAGAAATTTGAACTAAATGATAATCAAAAGGTAACATCAAATCTGTGGGATATAACCACAACAATCCCTAATTTAAAAAAATCTTCCCAAAATAAAATTCTAAAAGTATATTTATATAGAAATTCTAAAAAATGAAAGCTAATCTACAGTGAAAGAAAGTAGATGAGTGGTTGCTGGGTGATAAGGAGGTGAGAAGGTTCCAAATAGAAGGATTATGAAGGAGCATAAAGACTCTTTTGTGTGTGATAGTTAGGTTCATTATCTTGATTGTTGTGATAATTTCACAGGACTATTCATATGTCAAAACTTATCAAATTGTGCACTTTAAATATGTGTGTCCGATTTTACCTCAATAATGTTAATTTTAACTAGTTGATAAACCCAAAATAAGACTGGAAATACACAAAGAACAGAAGGGACAAATGGACAACAATTAGCAAATGGCAGATTTAAATCATCCCTATCAATAATTACATAAATGTAAATAGACTAGACACTTCAATTAAAAGACAGAGATTCTCAGGCTGGATAAAAAAGCAAGAGCTACCATGTGCTCTCTACAAGAAACCAACTTTAAATATTCAGGGAGAGATAGGTAGAATGTAAAAGGAGAGAAAACAATATGCCATTAAAACAATAAGAATACGAAAGCTGGCATGACTATATTTATATCAAACATAATAGATCAAAAGATACATACAAGAATGTTCAAAACAGCTTATTGATAATAGTCAAAACATGCCCATTTATAGTAGAATGTAAAAATAAATAGTTATATATTTATTCCACGGAACACTCACAATAATTAAAAAGAAAAAACTACTCCAATATGATGTACAATAACATGTATTGTATGAACATGAACAAACAGAAACATATGTTGCTACAAGCAATAACAGATGTCACAGATATAAGTGCATGGATCGTATACTTCCATTTTTGCCTTAAGAAGAGACAAAACTAATCTATGGAAATACAAGACAGAATAGTGTTTACCTTCAGAGTACCAGCAGGAAGGGGCAGAAAGGAATTTCCTAGATAGTTAGAAATGTTCTATAACCTCATCTTATTGTTTATTTGCTGGGTGTATATATTTATATTAAATTCATCAAGTTGTATACTTAAAATTTGTACATTTTGCTGTGTGTCCATTATAATTTCAATTAAAAATTGCTTGTCAATAAGATTTTTCTAAAAATTAAAACAATATTTCTATAACATTTTGAGTAAATTAGATATGAATAAGTACCAGAAAGTTTGATCTAGAGAGGAGAGTTGGCATTGAGATGTATTCAGAATAGTAATTGAGGGATAGGGAATTAAAGGTCCCTGACTTATGGGTTTTCTTATACTGTCAGGAGTGAAATTATTCTTCTAATTTTAAAAATAAATGAAATGAATGACAACTACTATATGAAACCAATTTCTCTGTTATTACTAAAATGCCTTAAATCAGGTCAATGCAGTCATGAGACTAAAAGACTTGTACACCAGGACTGTCTTAGTCTTTTTGGTCTGCCATAACAAAATATAAGGCTGGGTAACTTAAAAACAGAATTTTATTTTCTCACAACTCTGAAGGCTGGGAAGTCCAAGATCAAGGTGCTGGCCAATTCAGTTTCTGATGAGGGCCTTCTTTCTGTCTTGCAGATGGCTCCCTTATTCCTCTGTCCTTATAAGGAGAGAGAGAGAGAGAGACAGAGAGAGATCTTTCCCTTATTATAAGGCAACAGTCTTATCAGATTAGGACCCCAACCTTAGTCTTTACTAAGGCTTAATTGTCTCTTAAAGAACTCTTCTCCAGACATAGTCATATTGGGGGTTAAGGCCTCTACATATTAATTTGGAGTTGGGGACACAATTCAGTTAGCAAGGACACAGAAAATATTTTTAGAGAGTTACTTACACAGCAACTATTTCCAAAAGAATCTGAGATAGCTAAATAGTGATTTGGGGTTACTTGTAAAATAACCCTTATTTCATGCCATTTCAGAAAACTGAATAAAATGTCTCACAAAGTGATAGAAAATTAAACTCATCCATTTAATGGTATCTGGTTAAGCTGGAACATCTGGGTTTGATGTTTAAAATAAGTTTGAAACCATAAAATGTTTTATTTTTTATGTCAATTCTGTTTCATTTCTTTTATTGGAGAAAGAGCTTAGGCAACAACATCTGTTTCCATGAGCATTGGGAGAGGACTGCATATTGACAAAGCATGTAGTCATAAACAGACAAGTAAGAGGACAAAGACTCTCCTAGCTAAAAAGTGGAATGACATGCAGCAATACAAATTAGAGAGACCTCTGAGCAAAAGAAAAAAAATTGCTTCCAAGAAGAATCATAGCAGTCAAGGAAATATTCTACAAAGAATGATAATGGTTATGAATTTTAAAAAGTATTTTATTTTTACATGGCAGAAAATAGTCAAGATTTAGTGCACAGTGGTCACTGGTCTTGAAAGCTCCTTGGAGTACAATTACATGTGGTCGTCTCAGATTCCAATAGAAAGGGCATATAACTAGGTAAAATAGCAAATCATTCTATGTTATAAAAGTCCTAGTTGCAGAAGAGAATCTGATATGAAGATCTCATATCTAACTTGTGCTAAAATACAAGAAGCCTGGAGTTCCACAATTAATTAAGCAGCTCATCAATGAAATCAAGAGTCCAAACCCTTTCTATCTTTCCAGTGTGCATCTTTATCTATTTGGTGCTTTTGCTTGTTCTCATGATTTCAGAATGGCAAAAGTCTATACTAGATAAACAAAACAAAAATAGAAAAATGTCAAAGTATGCTACTACCAAAAAACCATCAAACCACAAAGGAAGACAGCAACCAAGAAAGAAAGAAGCAAAATACCTACAAAACAACCAGAAAACAATTAATGTAATGGTGTTAGTAAGTTTTTGCTTATCAATAATTACTTTGAATGTAAATGGATTAAGTTATCTAATAAAGAGACATAAAATGACTGAATGGTTTAAAAAAAAAAAAGACAAGACCCAACTATATGTTGCCGACATGAGACTAACTTTACTTTTAATAATATAGACTGGGGTCAGGTGTGGTGGCTCACACTTGTAATCCCAGCACTTTGGGAGGCTGAGGTGGGGGGATCGCTTGAGTTCAGGAGTTCAAGACAAGCCTGTGCCATGTAGTCAGATTTTGTGTCTATCTATCAAAAAGAATATTTAAAAAAATAGAATATGTAATAAAACCAAAAGTAGGGAAAAAGATATTTCACACAAAGGATTCAAAAGAGAACAAGGATAGCTATTCTTAGATAAAATATACTTTAAATTTAAAACTGTAGAAAAGCGATCAATTCATCAAGAGGATATAACAATTGTAAATATTTATGCACCCAATATTTGAACACATAAATATATAAAGCAAATGTTAAAGGATCTGAAAAGAGAGATAGATTGCATACAATAATAGTAGGGGGCTTCAATACCCTATTATCAACAATGAGCAGATCATCCAGATAGAAAATTAATAAGGAAACACTGGACTCAAACAATGCTTTAGATCAAATGGACCTAACTGATGTTGCAGAACATTACATCCAACAGCAACAGAATATGGGTTCTTTTTAAGCACACACAGAACATTCTTCACGATAGATCATATCTTAGACCACAAGACAACTCTTACCAAAGTTAAGAAAACTGAAATCATATAAAGTACCATTTTCTGATCACAATGGTATGAAACTAGAAGTCAATAACAAGAGGAATTGTGGAAAGTTTACAAATACTTGGAAAGTAAACAACATTCTCCTGAACAACAAATAGGTCAATGAAGAAATTAAAAGAGAAATTGAAACAATATCTTGAGACAAACATGGAAACACAACATACCAAAACTTATGAAATGCCACAAACACAGTTTGAAGAGGAAAGTTTTAAGCAATGATTATTTACATCAAAAAAGAAGAAAGATATAAAATAAACAACTGTACACCTCCAGAAAATTTAAAAGCCAATTCTACCAAACATTTAAAGAAGAACTAATACCAATTCTTCAAAAATTTCCCAAAAAGTCAAAGAGGAGGGAATACTTTGACACTCCTTTTATGAGGCCACTATTACCTTGATTCCAAAGCCAGACAAAGATATCACAAGAAAAGAGTAATGAAGAATCATCTGAGAAACAAAGCAAAACTATCCAGTTATGTATAAGGAGGAAAAATCAGGCTGGCTTCAAACTCTTCACAGCAGTATTCAATACTGGCTTACACCTGTAATCCCAGCACTTGGGGAGGCCAAGGCAGGCAGATTGCTTGAGCCTAGGAATTTGAGACCAGCCTGGGCAACATGGCAAAACCTTATCTCTACTAAAAATACAAAAAGGCAGGACTCGGTGGCTCATGCCTGTAATACCAGCACTTTAGGAGGCTGAGGTGGGTGGATAACCTGAGGTCGGGAGTTCGAGAGTGGCCTGCCCAACATGGCCAAAGCCTGTCTCTATCAAACATACAAAAGATTAGCCAGGTGTGGTGGCAGGGCACCTGTAATCCCAGCTACTCGGGAGGCTGAGGGAGGAGAATTCCTTGAACCTGGGAGGCAGAGCTTGCAGTGAGCTGAGATCACGCCACTGCACTCCAGCCTGGGCAATAAGAGCAAAACTCTGTCTCAGAAAATAATAATAATAAAATAAATAAATAAATAAATAAAAATACAAAAAGTTAGCTGAGCGTAGTGGCACACACTTGTAGTCCCAGATACTTGGGAGCTGAGGTAGGCAAATCAAGTGAGCCCAGGAAGTCAAGGCTGCAGTGAGCCATGATCTTGCTCCTGCACTCCAGCCTGGGTGACAGGAGTGAGACTTTGTCTCAAAAAAAAAGATGGGTAACTACAGCAAAATGCTTACTGGGACATTTTGAATGTATCTAATTACAGACCTCAGACCAAAACAAACATGAGCAATACAGTAACAGGAGAGAATTTAAATGTTATATACCCTAACAATGAAGATACACTAATAACAGGAGGAGAGGTAAGGGGTAAATAACATTATTTAATGATGAAAAATCACATAAAAGAGGTATAAGCACATTTATTAGTACAAAGATATACCCCCCTCCACCAAAAAAAAATAATAATTTTAATTTGGTGGCAAGGAAGAAATAGAAGGAAATATTACACTAATTTATTTCTTAAAATAGAAAGCATTGATATTTACTTTAAAAGGTGAGAATATAAAATTATACATATAACACATATTTAAAATCTTATATTCTATAAATATAGCATTGTTGAGTTATATTTATAAAATTATAGAAAAATGCAAGTTCTCTTAACTGTCAGAAGACTTCTGCAAATAAGACAAGAAAATGGATCACATTGTTAATGATTTTTAAGCCCTAAAATATTCAAAATAACACACAAGGTAAATACCTAGAATTAAAGATATTATCATATCAATAAATGTAAGCTCATCTATTGAAAAAGAATTTTAGGTAGTAGCTCAAGATGGTTGTAGCCCACTGGTTCCAACTAAACAAGGACTGCACCCAGACTCACAAGAACTTGAAGTTTTCCTCTATTCTTTCTGCCTCCGAGAGAAGCCAGAGCTGGACTCACACAAGGATAAGAAAAAGAGCTCACTTATTTTTGTCTTATTTCAAATTACTTCTACCACAGGAAACTTGTCACTAATAAAGAGTTCCCAGAAAAGGATGTGCTGGAAGTAGTGAAGTTTTATAACACTGCATCTCCTGCGCAATTGCTAAGGAAAGGATACAGCACAATATGAACTGAACTTCACTAGGTTGTGTAAAGTATGTACACAGAATCCTGCAGAGGCATGGAAAAAACCTGACCCAGATGGCCTTCACCTGTCTGATTACTGGAAATGTAAACAGCTAATCAAGAATGGCGTTTTCTGTAAGTATGGAAATTATGACTAAAATAATTTTACCAATGTCATCGTCTTAAAACCTACCAAAAAGCAAAGATTCTTCAGGAGAGCAGATACCCAATATAGACTGAGAATGTAACACCAAAATTCCAGGGATCGAGAGAACCCTTCCACAGAGCGCATCTCTGAAGCTTGCTCCTGTGCCACAGCTGAATTAATAGTTGAAGCTAAGCCTACCAGTGGACAGCTGTTTTGGTTGCCACAAAGGAATTCCAACCCAAATCCAGGAAACCAAAAACAAACGACACTTCAGGCGGCAGAAACCCTTTCAAGTTTCTACTTGTGTTTTCTTAGCTAGTGTTGTAACAAAGCTTTACACCAGCAGCTGGTTTAGTTTGTCAGTTGAAGTTTTTACGGAAATTTAAATCAGACGAGGGCAAGATTTGGCCAAGTGATTTGCCTTGTTTTCACCCCCCAGTGAGCTATTTGCAGCTACTTGGTTTACTCTTTCTTTTTCTCTCTCTGTAATTAAACTAAAGTTTTGAATAAAAGATAGTGTACCCATATTTCTTATGAACAAATATCTATTTCAGGAAGAAAAAAAATGAGATGTAAAGGAAAGCAAAGACTGTTAAAATAGAGAAAAAAGCTTACTCTAATTATATGCTGTCTATACAAGACTCACTTTAGATCCAAAATGCAAATAAGTTGGAAGTGAAAGGATAGAAAAAGATATATATACCCTTCAAAATCAGTAATCAAGGAGAGCTGGGGTGGCTATGTTAATATCAGAAAAATAGGCTTTAAGACACAAGTTGTTACTAGAATTAGGCAAGGACATTTTATAATGAAAGGGTCAAAATGTCAAGAAGATATAATAATTATAAATATATATGCATGAAACAACAGAGCCCAAAACACATGAAGTGAAAACAGACAGAACTGAAGAGAGAAGAAGACAACAATAATGGAGCCTTCAATAGCCCACTTTCAACAAGGAATAGAACATCTAAACAGAAGTTCAATAAAAAAAAAAGAGGACTTAAACAATGCTATAAACTCACTAGACCTAACACATCTGTAGAACCCTCAGGATCAGATTATTCTGTATTATTTTCTTAACAATTACACAAGAGACCCAGAATAGCCAAAACAATCTTGAAAAATAAGAACAAAGTTGGAGGACTCATACCTTCCTATTTCAAAACTTGCTACGAAGCTACAGAAATCTAGATTGTATGGTACTGGCACAAGTATAGATCAATGAAATAAACTTGAAAGCCTAGAAAGAAATCTTCACCTCTAGGATTAAGTGATTTTGGACAAGTATGCTAAGCCCATTCAATCAGGGAAATAATAATCTTTCAACAAATTGTGCTGGACCAACATCCAATGCTAAAGAATGAAATTCCATTTTTTCCTCACCTCATATACAAAAATTATCTGACATAGATAAAAGACCTAAATATAAGGGTTATCATTATAAAAGTTTTAGAAAAAAACAGACGAAAAATTTGTGTCCTTGCATTATTCAATGGTTTCTTCAATATGACACCAAAAACATACTCAACCAAAGAAAAAAACTAGATAAATTAGACTTCATCAAAATTTAAAACATCTGTGCTTCAAAGAACACTATCAAGAAGGTTGAAAAGATATAGAATCAAGAATGTATAAATAACTCTTACAACTCAAGAGTGTAAGACAAATAACCAAAATTTTAAAAGGGCAAAGAGTTTAAACAGACATTTCTCCAAAGATATGCAAATGGCCCATAGATGCATACAGAGATGTGTCTCTATCCATAATGGAAATGCAACTCAAAACCACAATAAGATACCACTTTATGCCCACTTGGATGGCTATAATCAAAAAGACAGATAATAGCAAGTATTGGCAAGAATGTGGAGAAATTCAAACCTGCATTCACTGCTGTTGGGAATATAAAATGTTTCTGCTGTTTTAGAAAACTGACATTTCCTCAAAAGATGAAACAGGGTTATCATATTACCCAGCAATACCACTGCTAAGTATATACACAAGAGAAATGAAAACATATGTCTACATAAAAATTTGTACATGCATGTTTGTAGCAGCAGTATTCATAAGAGCCCAGAAGTAGAAAAAACCCAAATCCATCAACAGATAAATGGATATAAACAAAATGTGGTATGTTAATACGATGGAATATTATGTGGTCATAGAAAAGAATGAAGTACTTATCCATGCTATAATATGAATGAACCTTAAAACCATTATGTTAGGAGAAAGATGGCAGACACAAAGGACCACATATTGTACAATGCCATTCATATGAAATGTCCAGAATATGCACATCGAAAGAGACAAAGGGCAGATTAGTGGTTGCTTGGGGAGATGATAGAACAATGGGTGAGGGTGGAATGGAGAGTGACTGCTAATGTCTATGCAGTTTCTTTTTGGGGTAATATAACTAGTCTTAAATTGAGGTGATAGTTGCACATCTCTGGAAATATACTAAAAATCAATATACTGTAAACTTCAATGGGTAAATTTCATGTTATGTGAAATCTATTCCAATAAACATATAAAATGGGGGAGACTACTATTTAGTAGGCATAACTGCTTCTACTGCTTTTCTTCACCTCTTCTCTTCCTAGTCCTTTAGCACTAGGGCAAAAGAATAAGGGCGCCTGGTAGACCCTGTTTTGATAACGTAGAATAGGAGGGGGAAAGCTTTGGAAGATGTCAAATGCAGTGTCCAAAAATAATGGTACTTTTGTGACTGTCTTTAGAAATACCTTTATTCAATGTGCTGTGCTTATGCCTCTTTTTGGTTTCTAATCTCAGCCAAACCTGTCTCACTGTAATGTTGGTGATTCCAGTCTACACCCATAGCTGTATGTAACTGTTGCAGAGCTATCTGGGGGCTCCTGTGCCTCTCCATTCCCGCATATTTCCTATTACTTCATCCCTGGGAGCACCGTGTTGTTTAGCATCAAACTCTGTGATTGATCAGGGTTGGATGCTGTAAATGGGGAGCCCTCCTTTAGGTTGTTACCATAAAGCTTGTATCTGGACTTCCTCAGAGCGTGTGGGTCTCAGTGAGACTATTTTGGAACTCTAAATGGCTAGAGTCTTGCTTTTTTTTGTTTTTCCCTGGATAACCTTCAGTATTATGTCACGTTCTACTCAGAAATATAACTTCTCTGGAAAGGCTCTTTTGATAAAGAACTTACCCTAACACTGATCATCCTGGGTGCCTTCAAACCTACCATTCTTTGTGTCCCATAGCTCATTGCTTACTAGGTGGGTCTGGAGTGTAATTTTTAGATAGTACAGACTGTAAATATCTTTTGAGCTTATCATATTGCTATGCCCCAGTTAGTCTGTCTCTTCTATTGGCTTCTTACTTTCATTCCTTGTTTCCTTAATTCTGTATAATAGAATAAAAGCATACACCGTGGGATGCAGATGTTGATAAATACATGTATACAAGCTGCCGTAAGTACAGATGCTGGAGTTTTAAAACTCTAGCCAGCACTCAGAATGTTCATAGCTGCAAAACGTTAAGATAATTACAGTGAAAGCACCCATTGCTTCTCCCTTCTAAGCTCCCAGACACCATTTCTTTTCAGAAATGAGGCTTTGGATGTATTCAAGAAAAAAAATAAAAACAAAATTAACAGAAAGCCATTTTTACTAGATTAAGACAATAGGTGTAAAAGAGATACTCTTTGGCCAATTAGGGTAAGTCATATTAGACTCATGAAGACAAAGAGGAGCTAAAATCAGGACATTGTGTCCAGTTCATGCTAATTGTTTAGGTCCCAGCCCTTTTATTTCCTTTCCTGGGAATTTCTGATACCCAACATGGCCCAAGTTCATATCTATGGGGCATGCCACTGGTCCTTCCTAAGCTGTATTACCAAGTTTTCCAGGAAAGAGAGAGGTGTTCTGGAAGGGTGGATTTCCAAATGATTATCTCATGGATAAATTTTATTCTTTAAAAGTGATATTGAGCCCCATACCAGACGCTCGGTGAGACAAACACAGATGATATTTCTGCCCTTGAGGCCTGGTTTTAATCAAGTTTTACATCTGATTGCCACCTAATTATTAATTTAACATTTCCTAGAGCTCCAGGAATAAGAGCAGGATTCATTGTTAAGGTTTCTAGGTGGCATCTTAGCCAAACTGCTTATAAATGGAGCATAGATCCTTTCTTGAAACCTTCTCTCCGTTCCTTCCTTCTACCCTCAAGGAGAGCCTGCCTTATTACTGCAGAGTTCTGCCCATGGTTTCGGTCAGCACTAATTCCCCCAGTGCCAGATACTGCCATGCTTGGAGCGTCTTCCTTGCTTTTTTCTTTCTCCTGAGGCCTTGCAAGGACCTAGGGGATGGACAGGCTGAGGATTGAACAGACAAGTGTAGTGAGTAGACTGGCATCCCTGGGGTGGCAACAAGCAGTGCACTTCTATTTGTTTCTCAGGCATCAAATACTCTTCCTTGTTAACAAAGTAGGGTGACTCCTCTAGGGTGATTTTGTTTCTGCACATTTTATAACTCTCAGGGGAGTTAGTGAGATACAAGAAAAGAAGAAACTGAGATGCTCAAGGAACAGAACCAGAGGAACACTGCTCCCTGCAGCATGGTTTTGATCTAGACATTAAGTGGTTATTTGTTGGGGCCATTGGCTGTGATTTGTGTGTTTGAACAATGTTGAAATGCTGTGAGTGACTTTTTGTTAATAAAGGCAAAGAAGCAAACAAAACAAACTTTTCAGATTGGAACACACACACACACACACACACACACACACACACGCAAAACACTTAAAAATGAAATGATTCAGAACAGTTCAAAATAACAGGGTGATCAAAAGTATACCAGACAAATGCTATCAAAGGGAAAGCAGATGTATGAATCTTAATATCAGCAAGGTTGAAAGCTAGCCAAAAATAAATGCCACAATAAAGGGCAGTTTACAATACTATGGGGTGCACATCACACTAAATATATTAGGAATACTTATGAACCAAATGATATAACAACAATCATAAAAGAAACAGAAGACGCAAGCAGAAACAGAAACACACTAGAGGTAGACAACTGTAATGCACCTACTTAGGCTATGATGGATGCAACAGTTAAAACTTAAGTAAAGACACAGAAATGTTAAATAACCTAATAATAACATTCATCTAATAGTAATCCAAATCTTCCATTCCTTTTCTACGTAGCAGTCAAATATGTCTGTAAAAAACTCATCAACTATATGATTATCCTGAGATATATTTCAGACAATAAAGACAGGATGAATACCTGGCTTTGTTCTCTTATGCACCAGTTTTCAAAATTTTGGTAGTTCACTGAGCATCTTCCAATGGTGGTCCCATGGTTGTGTTTTTGTATCATTACAAATTCACGATTTTAAATATATTTGCAGTGTTTCAATCCTTTACAAATATTATTCATATTAATGGTTAGATTGTCCCATCTTAGTCCAGTGGGAACATTTTCCTTTTTTTTTTTTTTTGAGATGGAGTCTCACTCTGTCCTCCAGGCTGCAGTGCAGTGGAACAATCTCGGCTCACTGCAACCTCTGCCTTCCAGGTTTAAGTGATTCTCCTGTCTCAGCCTCCCATGTAGCTGGGTTTACAGGTGTGCACCATACTTCGCTAAGTTTTGTATTTTTAATAGAGATGGGGTTTCACCATGTTGGTCAGGCTGGTCTTGAGCTCCTGACCTAAGGTGATCCGCCCGCCTCGGCCTCTCAAAGTGTTGGGATTACGGGCGTGAGCCACCACACCCAGCCAGGAACATTTTCATGATGATTCCTGACTCCTTTGACATGACAACAATAATCTTTAATAGCTCCTTTTATTTCTAATGTGCAGGATGTCTCAGGTTCATTTTATTCACTTCTTGCTCTAGACAGGAAATCAGTCATTTCTCCAAGGAGAGTTGGTTCCTTTGGAAATAGTATTTAGAAATAATAATCTGGGTTCTAGGAGTGCTCATTGTTTCTAGGCCTTTTTAGTAGTTAAAGTAATATATATTGAAAATAAATCATATGTTCATAATGTTATTTCCAACTCACATTTACCTTTTCAATTGTGACAGTCTCGTTCTGTTACCCAGGCTGGAGTGCAACGGCACAATCTAGGCTCACTGCAACCTCCAGTTCCCAGGTTCAAACCATTCTCCTGCCTTAGCCACCCAAGTAGCTGGGATTACAGGCACCCACCATCATGCCCGGCTAATTGTTGTATTTTTGTAGAGATGGGGTTTCCCATGTTGGCCAGATTGGTCTTGAACTCCTGACCTCAGGTGATCCACCCGCCTCAGCTTCCCAAAGTGCTGGGATTATAAGCATGAGCCCGGCCAAACTGTGCATTTGTATATGCTCTTTCCCACAACTAAAATACCGTTTTCCAGCATCAACATAATTACCCATTTAGTACACATGCAACATTCTCAAAAAAAAAAAAATACCAATACAAGTGCCAAGGCATGATTACCGAAAACAGCTTATAATCAGTTTTTCTTGGTCTTTAGGGTGTACCCACTAGTCATGTATAGTCAAGTTAATGTGATTTTAAGCTATTTGAAATAATTCCTCTTTTGTGTGGTTACACTTCCAACTTGATATACTATTGTGTTCCTTTGTTTCATTTTGCTTTCAGTTTTTAGAGATGGCTTTCAAAATTTTTACTGTTTATAATTATGTAACATATTTACACTGTTTTAAAGTTAAATCTATAAAACAAGGTACATATATTTATATTTTTCATATGTTTGTATGTCTTGATTTTTAGTATATTTTCTGGAGGCTTAGCCTTGATCTTTGTTCTCCAGGATTCCCAATTGTTCTATGAACTTCTGAACATCTTTTAAATAAACTTTCTCTATTTACTGCTTGAATTGCTTCTGATACTTGCAACTGGGGGAATGGCTGTTAAGTGGGCAGCTAACTCAATTTGCAGATTGATCTATGCTTCCCTGCAACTGGCTTTGCATGAACAAAATCTCAGTAAGTGACAGATTTCAGAGTTATTGAAATTTCTATTGCACCTTTCCCATCCTCCTACCTTCTCCTATGTTCGTGTAACTGAGGGAAGACACACGCATGATTTGCCACAAAATAGAAAAAAAAATGTTGCAGTACAACATTTGAGCACCACCTCTAAGATATGGAAGAGGCTAGAATAAATTTTAAGTAGCTACCTCAGTTGGCATCTCATAGAATTCTTGCCCTACCCTGTTATGTAGAGTTTTACATACATTTCAAGAGTTTCATTACACTCCCTGAGGCCAATACATGGTTCTGCTCCAAAGGAAGGTTGAGAAGAAGCTTAAGCTTATTGGGGGGCCTCACTTATTGTGTTGCGGCCACCAATGTGCACTCAGAGAGTTTTCCTTTATTAGATTTCAAAAGACACAGTGCAATAGCAGTGTTTGTCCTGGCAGGTGCCAGTGACCTCCAACCTAAGTGGAATATCAATTCCACTCTTTGAGTCCAGTGTAAGTCTGAATTGAGAGTGTCAACACATGGAAGCTGTGAGAGAGCACACTTTCCTTCCCTTGTTTATACTTGGAAACACATGGCACCCTGAAAAAAGTGGGAGTTTTGAAAACTATGAATTAGATCTGAAGATGAAATATAAAAGTGTCATGTTGAAATAACGTTACTTGTTCCTTTCCAAAGCTAAGAGTCCTTCTACAATCTTCTAGACATTTCTGATCACAGTGTATTTTCTACTTGCCTTTGGCAGCAGAAACAACTTTTAACCACTATTCAAAGTAGTCTAGCACTTTCCACACAACTTTAGTTCTTATAGAAAATGGCAGTGCCGTGGCTGTAGTTCCAATGTCTTGTGGTACATTTTCCTAGAAACATTCATAGATATGCATCCAGAACACTCCTAATTCAAATGAATTTGTTGACTTTTACAGAGTTCACCATGTATAAGAATTCATACAGCCCACGAGCACATCAGAACACTTCAGTCACAATACTGCTTTCCATGCATGCGTCCTAACAATCTTCTTTTCAATGTTCCCCTAGAAAATGTCTTGTAAGCAAAAATGGCAAACATTTACTGAGGGATCACTAGGGGCCCAGCATCATTCTATGGCTTTCTTCTATGTGATTCTACAGCACCATCTCAGTTAATCACTACAGCAACCCTATGGCATCTGCACACTATTGTGCTTTATTTTTATTTTTATTTTTATTTTTATTTTTATTTTTATTTTTTTTTTGAGACAGGCTCGTCCTGTCACCCAGGCTGGAGTACAGTGGCACGATCTCAGCTCACTGCAACCTCCACCTCCTGGGTTCAGGCGATTCTCATGCCTCGGCCTCCCGAGTAGCTGGGATTGCAGGTGCACAGCACCACACCCGGCTAATTTTTGTATTTTTAGTAGAGATGGGCTTTCTTCATGTTGGTCAGGCTGATCTCGAACTCCTGAGTTCAGGTGATTCTCCCTGCCTGGGCCTCCCAAAGTGCTGGGATTACAAGGCTGGGCCACCATGCCCAGCCCTACTGCGCTATTTTGTAGGTGAACAAACTAAGTCACAGAAATATTAAGTACTTTACCGGAGATTGCATAGCTAGAGAATGAAGGAGCCAAGGATCAAACCCAGACATATGACCTTGAGCCTGTTCTTCAACACACTTGACGCCTTCCTAATGGAAAAATGCTAGCTGAGAAGTTTCTCAATCATTTACAGGCTTTTATGACACATCCTAAGGTTAGTGGGGCTACAAATTGTCTTTTAAATAGAAGTTTTATCTGTCTTTGTCACAGGCATGAAATATTTTCCTTTAAATCAAATAAACCAATAAAACTAAATTACATAGCCCAATTAAAATGTACTTTCTACTTGCTAGGAACAAATTTAATAGTCTTACTTACACAGAAAAAGAGCCATTATTTGAAATCTATCTTCTTTTTTGTATTTGCAAACTGATTAAAATTTTGTTACTCATTTATCTAATGAGAATTTAATGGGTTACCTACTCTTTTATCTAGGCTCATAAACAAGAAATCCAAAATCAAGTGGAAAGTTGCAGACATATATATTCATGAGACTGTTGGAGAACACAACAACATTCAAGTAGCAGCAGATACATTTTGAAATTTTTTATTACATAATGTGTTTGTGGTGTGTGCATATGGTTGTGCACTTGTGTCTGTGTGTGTAACGTAAGAGATACTATTCTTCCCAATTATTCCACCTTTGGGAAAACGCCCAAGTTCATTGATCCCCATAGTTTTTAAAGGGCTCTTAGAATTATATACATATATATTTAGCACAGTCAGTATTTTTCAGAGTTGAAAGAGCCTAGAATTCGATAAGAACTCAGGTCAAATTTTAGTTCTGTACTTAATAGTTATGTAACTTTGCACAAATTATTAAACCTTGCTAAGCCTGTTTCTTAACCTGAAAAAATGGAAATGCTACTTATCTTGTAAGGAGATTGCTAAGATTAAGTGAAATAATATTTGAGGAATACACAGCATCTGGTACTTTAGATGTCAGTTCCAATTCTCTCTTCCCCTCTGTCTTGTATTCTTTCCTCTCTTAGCAAAGGGGTGGTGAGCCATGGGGAGGTAGAGGTAGAGGTAGAGGTGTCTTCTGCTTAGGAGAAGGCTTTACTTGAAGGACTCAGCAAAGTCTGGTGGGATCAGAGAAGAGGAAGGGAGCAGGCTTCTTAGGCTCAAATTTTTAAGGAAGAGAGAAATAAAAGGACCTAAAATTCCTTTCCACTTATCTAACCCATCTTACCAGGACAGAAAAGTAGTTAGAGATTCCAGTAGAGACATAATTGACAAGCACTTGTCCCCGTTGGGTCATGTGCCCTTTCACATGTGGGTGGGCTGTGAAAGAAAGATGAGGCTCTTGGGATTGTAGCGGGGGAACAACTTTGGGAGGAGGCTGTTGCTCTTTGCCTCTGTGATGTGAAACTATACTCAGGCTAGTGGATGAATGCTTCTGCACCATGGGGCTGCATTGCAGAATCCCTGAGATACCCCAGGCAATGAAGGAGCTGAGCTATGGCCACAGCTGACACCTGCTGTTGACCCCAAGACTTGCCCTCTTCACCTGGCAGTGCCTGACTCCAGCTATCAAAGGGATGCCGGCTCAGCCACCAGAGCTAACTGTGCTTCCTAAGCTGAAGGCAAACCATTGGCAACTGCATTTCCCCACATCTTACTCCTCACAGTGCATCTCAGTGTCCTTATTGTGCCTCAGCTTCCTGATTTGAGCAGAGGGAGAGCTCTTTGGACAGGCCAGCTCTGGATATTATTTTACAAGTCATTACTATAATTTCAGCTTGGAGCCTGTTCTTCCCAGATCTTTACATGGCCACTTCCTTCTTATTCCTCAGAGAGGTCCTCCCTGTGAACATCAAAGAAGTATAGCCCTCATTTTCAGTTCATCATCTAATGTATTACCTGTTTGACTTCCCTTCTCACATGTATTACTATCCAAAATGTCTTGTTTACTTATCCATGATCGTGTTTTCCCTTACCTGCAGTCCAGTTCTAGAAAACAAGAACTTTTCGTGTATAATTTAGGGATTGGCAAACTACTGCCAGTGGGCCAAATCTGGCCTACTGCCTGTTTTTGTAAATAAAGTTTTATTCAAACACATCCACACTCACTTATTGACATATTATCTATGACAGTGTTTGTACTACAATAGCAGAGTTGAGTGGCTGAGACAGACACTGTCTAGCCAACAAAACCTAAAATATTTATTCTTTGGCCCTTTATAGAAAAAAAAATTGCCAACCTATTCTCCCTTGATAGGCTTTAGATACTGTTGCATTAAAAGGTTATAATATGAGTAGCTAAAGAATCATAACAGATAATATTGACACTTATCCTTAAAGTTTTCCACTGTTTTTTGTTGCTGCTGGTGGCGGTAGTATGTTTGGTAGGAGTCAGGACTGAATTTCCTGCCATATTTTCAGAGCTACATTAAACGAATGGATTTGATCCTGAAAAATATCAGGTCTCTTAAATATACTTTTAAAAATAAAGTTCATTTTAAAAGACAATGAAAATTCATTACTGAAAATGTAGAATAGGTGGGAAAAACACAGTCACAGAAACACCTGTGGCTGTTTTTTCCCAGGTATGCCCTCTTTCAAAAAAAATTAAAATTAAAAATTAAAAAAAGAAAATAAAATGTAGAATAGGAAAAAATTAACTCCATCCCATTTTTCAGGGACAGATGATAACATCAAACACTCTCCTTTTGGGTCTTTATTCCAAATATAAGAAATTTTTCAAAGTTGTGTTCATATTAGTATTAAAATATTTCCATTTTGCTTTTTAATTTAATATAAAGAATATTTTCTTATATATTAGTAAGGGGTAATTGGTGGCAAGTCACAGAAACAAAGGCTAAGTAAAAAAGAAAATTTATTGAAAAGTTTTAGGGTAGCAAATAGAATCACAGGAAGTTTAAGGCCGGGTGCAGTGGCTCATGCCTGTAATCCTAGCACTTTGGCAGACCAAGGCAGGTGGATCATAAGGTCAGGGATTCAAGACCAGCCTGGCCAACATAGTGAAACCCTGTCTCTACCAAAAATACAAAAATTAGCTGGGCGTGGTGGCACACACCTGTAGTCCCAGCTCCTTGGGAGGCTGAAGCAGGAGAATCACTTGAACCCGGGAGGCAGAGGTTGCAGTGAAGTGAGCCGAGACTGCGCCATTGCACTCCAGCCTGGGCGACAAGAGTGAGACTCCATCTCAAAAAAAAAAAAAAAAAAAAAGGAGGTTTAAGTACAAAACAGGTTCTTCAGGGGGCCAATAGATCAGCTAAAGCTGTTTCTAGATTTGTATCACTCTGATCAATATTCAAATGTCTGGCAAAGAGAGTCTGACTGTCCCAGCAGGAGTCTTGTTGCCTCCTTTGGCCAGGGGCTACTGGAGCATCCTGACTGACAGTTCGCCAAAGAGGAATTCAACAGGAGAAGGAAGTGTGCCTCCAAGATACTGAGGTGGTATTACTAGTAGAAGGAGAGAAGGGAGTCCAGGTAAAGACAGGTGTTCACTGTCTTTGTTTCATGCTGCTATAATAGAATACTTGAGACTGCGTAATTTATAAGGAACAAAAATTTCTTCCCTCACAATTCTGAGGCCGGGAAGTCTAAGAACAAGGAACTGGCATCCGGTGTGGGCATTCTTTCTGAGTCCTCACATGGTGGAAGGGCAAGGGAGGGGCAGACTCTGTGTCCTCACATTACAAAAGGGCAGAAGAGAGAGAATCAAACCTCATAAGCCCTTTTAATAACAGCATTAATTCATTCATAAGGGAAGGGCCCTCACAACCTACACACTTCCCAAAAGGCCCCACTTCCCAACACAGTCACATTGGGAATTACGTTTCCAACACACGATTTTTGAGGGACACATTTAAACCACAGCATTCACTATGACATGTTGTTACAGACTTTTCCTAAATTGATTTAGACTGTTTTCAAAATTGATGTAAGAGCCAATAATTTAATAGGATGGAAAGAATTTTCCTTTGCCTCTGATCCCACAGACGTCTGTGATTACTCATCTCTCTGACATTTTGCCATCTCTGAGCATTACAGCTTATTCCACGTGTTCCCTCTTTGACTCTGTTTGGTCCTGTGGATCTTTTATTAAGACACACAGAGATTTGGTGCTTGTTGTATGAATTGGGGTCATCAGCAGTGGGTGCCTTGGGACTCCAGAGGAATTCCACAGCATCTTATGGTATGGGTTAAGGAAAATGTTGTATGTGAGAAGAGGAACCTTCCAGAGCTAAGGCCAGAAAAAGAAGAAAATGCAGGAAATCTTGTCCTTCTTCTATTTTTTCCATGAAGGGACATCATAATACCAGGCGCTGTGCTGATAACATGTGCAGCATGGGTTTGCATTCCAGGAGAGGGACCCAATTCTTCTGGTGCTCTGCTGTTTAATAAGGCTTTATACAGAATGGATTTGGCTTGTTAGCTATTTACATGATATTGGCTGCCCAGCAATGTGAGAAGCCAGCAGTGCTCTGGGAAGCTGAGCTTGGACACACCCCTCCTATTAAGAATAGGGAGCCCTGGTCTCAACTAGCTTGTCTTCCGGTCAACCCACAGTGAGTGTGTCAGGTGGCTTGGCACATTTTTCTTAGGTCCAGGAACCAAATTTCTGCAGTGGAAAGGAAAGAAGAGAAGTTTGGAGCAAAACTTGCCCCTCAAAATGGAAACCAACCTACTGATAAAGGTTTGTGTTTTTTTACTTAGAAATAGGAATGTACTGGCTTGTAGCATTTTTTGGTCTCACTTACTGTGATACCTCAGACAAGTGACCCAGTTGCTTGCTTGTTCTTCACCTGTCTTTCTCTTACCTCCCCTCTACAGTGTTCAAATCTGTAATAGAAGTAGTTGGACTTCATACTTCTTAGATCTCTTCTTGCTCTTAACTCCTATAAATCTATATTTATAGAGTTGATTATAAATATTATTTGGTGAACCAAAAAACGCCTTCACTGGCTAAGGTTTCTTTAATGATGTAATATTAAAAATTTATTTGTAAATTTTTCCATCAATCTAGTCTCCTAATGGCTTATATAAGTGCCTCAATATACCTACAGATAGATATTTTCTAAGCTGCCACTACAGATGGTTTACAGTTTACTCATCTTTCGCTCATGGTTGCAAAGCAGACCCTAGAAAATGGTACACCCCACACCATTTCACAATATGCCGGAAAGAGTGAGAAACTAGAAATCAGGAAATAGAGGCAGCTTTATCTCCATTTGCAAGGTAGCTGTGTAGCCTCAGGAGAGTCAGTCCACTTCTCTGGCCCTCTGGTGGTTGTTTGATGACTCTCTCTCAGACATCATCTCTTAGGTGTTCCTCAAGCATTCTGCTCCTCTTCTTAAAATCTGGGAAACTGGCCAGGGATGATGGCTCACGCCTGTAATCCCAGCACTTTGGGAGGCCGAAGCAGGCGGATGACTTGAGATCAGGAGTTTGAGACCAGCCTAGCCAACATAGTGAAACCCCGTCTCTACTAAAAATAAAAAAATTAGCCAGGTGTGGTGGTGGGCACCTGTAATCCCAGCTACTCGGGAGGCTGAGGCAGGAGAATCACCTGAACCCAGGAGGCACAGGTTGCAGTGAGCTGAGATTGCACCACTACACTCCAGCCTGGGCGACAGAGTGAGACTCTGTCTCAAAACAAACAAACAAATCTGGGAAACTAAGAACATTTCTCCCATCTACCTTGTCTTCTCCATCCCTTCCTGGTCCACATATGGCCAAGCAGTAATGTGTTTACCATGTCCATATGGGCATGTGGACAGCATGGGCTCAGTTTCCCCTCTTGCTCGTATTCTTTCCTAGGGTCCTTTTAGAACCATGCATTTCCTAGACCAAGTATTTTTTTTTTTGTCCTTTTACTTTTCTTTTGATCATTCTTCACAAATGCCAAGAGACAATTTTCTTTCTCCCTTTCTTTTTTTAAAATAATTAAACATGATCTCTTGCTATTGTTCCTCCTTACTCATATTAGTTTAAAGAATTGACTTGATAGAACTAAAAGTCAGTAATTATTTTTGATTTCCAAATATCTTTATATGCTACTTTTTATAGGGAGAAAAACAATATTAGTTGATAAAATAATCCACTTGCTATCTTCCCACAATATTTTTTCGTTTTTAATAACTATCAATTATTGACTTAACTGCCAACATTGATCACATAAATATTAATCCCCAGTCATAAGACTATTGGGTTTTTGCCTCTGTGCACGTAGTTATCCCTGAATAAATTTCATTTTATAAAATATTGATAATGCTGAAAATTTGTTTTTTTATAAATGTGTATGACTTTGGAATACTTTGAACTATAAAACAAACTAAAAATATGATGATTGAGAACATTCAGCATCTTTAGTTCTTTTTTCTTTTATTTTAATCCCCTATTTTGAGAATTAATTCTAATTAATTTTCATTGTGACTTAAATTTGCAAAAACAACAGCTAAATAGGTTTAGCATTTATCGTTTTTTTATGTTTCCTAGACTTGGAATTGAAACTTTGCTAAATAAATATTTTTAAACACCCTACATTTGCGTTCCTTTTAATAATCACAAACATAAAATCACTGAATTCTCACAACTAATAAACTAAACTAAAGTATTACCTGAATCAATTTGGAGGTTGCATTTACTTTTAGACACAATCCCTTGTTTAGATCAGATTCAAATCTTGGTTAAGACACTTACGAGTAGTTTGAGTTGGTAATGTATTCACCTCCCTGAGCCTCACTCTCCTTGTGTATACAATAAGGATGGTAACATTGACTTCAAAGGATTAAGGTGAAGTATAAATGCATATGTATTTGAAGTATCCAGCAATCAATAACGACAACCATTATTAATTAATTATTAGACATTTTAAAGCAGTAAAAAAAAAATCTGACCCTTATCAAAATATATCTCTATCATTTCTATCCTTTGAATGGTCATTGGGCAGCAGTTCTGGGTAAAAGTATTTCAAGATAGCTCAGAAATTTAGATCAATTCAAAATGTACCAAGTACAAAATGCCAAGTTCTTTGCAAAAAGATGAGATATGAGAACTAGCTAGGAAAGAATTATATACAGGGGATTATGTGAGCATAATAGAGTGGAGGGGGGCTGTAATGCATACAACTAAAATATGTGTTCAAAAATAATTTTAATAATAAGTTACCATTAATTGAGACATATTTCTTGTGAAACAGAATAGTAGCGCCTCACTACCCAGACCCCTTGACCTTCAGTCCTCAACAATTCATAATCAACACATTCTTCCTGAACTGCTGAAGATAGAAAAAACATTTTTAAAAAAAATCAGCACAGCTTTATTTTTTAATTAATGTAGTACATAGTAGTCATTAATTATAATAAACCTATAATAAAGTTAGAAATGATGATGAGTTTTCAAAAATATTAAGTTTGAGTTGGTTTTATATTATTAGCAGGGTTGGATAAAATTGGGCAATATTTTATTGATTGCAATGAAATGCAAATGGCTGAATCTTTTGTTAGTTTCCTGTTTGTAACCATATGAAGTTGATACAAGGGAAAAATCTTTCAAAATAAAAAGCCTATTGTCAAAAGGAAAATTATAAAACATAACAAAAAAAGTTAAAACTTTAACAGGCTAAAATTACTGATTAATGCAAATGACAAAACACCAATATTTTCATCTAATGAAATAACCAGCACTACTGATTACATAATATAAACTGGTCATGATAACTTGGGTAATATAAAAAGTCAATCATGGCCTGGTGCAGTGGCTCACGCCTGTAATCCCAACACTTTGAGAGGCCATGATGGGTGGATCACAAGGTCAGGAGTTTGAGACCAGCCTGGCCAACATGGTGAAACCTCATCTCTACTAAAAACACAAAAATTAGCCGGGTGCGGTGGTGGGCGCCTGTAATCCCAGCTACTCAGGAAGCTGAGGTAGGAGAATTGCTTCAACCCGGGAGGCGGGGGTTGCAGTGGGCTGAGATCACGCCATTGCACTCCAGCCTAAGTGACAGAGCATGACTCCATCTCGGAAAAAAAAAAAAAAAGTCAATCATTTTCTTGCTTTCTTCTTAACTATAATTTATTTAGGGCAGGGAAAGAGACCTGAGGTCTAACTTCCGCTGTCTTTGTCACTTCATGCTGTGTAACAAAATAGCACAGACTATTTTGCAGAGATTAACACACATGTGTAATCCACCGTATTTAATCAAAACTTCCACAAAACTACTTTTAAAATTAAATAGTTTGAAGTGTTTTGCTATTAAATAAAATTCCTAAATAATTTGTATACAAAGACTTGGAGAAATAAAATCAATGCACTCATTTAAAAATCTGTAATAGATATATCTAATCTTTAACTAGTAACATCTTGAAAGTATTATTAAAATCTAATGATTTAATAATTGTTTAGGTTATGTGTATTGGGTGTTTGACCTCTAGGTTCAAAACCCAGCAGCTTTCCTTATTAGCTATTAAATTGTTTTTCTACATCTCTACATCTCAACTACAGAGTGAACATAACAATAGTGCTACCACACAGAGGAGTAAATGATACAATACCTGTAAATCATTTGCACAGTTCTTGGAACATATAAATTGCTCAGTAAATGTTACTCTTGTTATTCTCATTATACTTAAATACAAATTGAAAAAATTAGCCTCTACTACATAATTTGAACATAAAACCATATATTATACTTACTCGTTTCATAAACATTTTTGAATACTGAGAAGCAATTACTCTATTATTAACTTTTGAGGAAGCAATTGACTTAGATTCAACACAATGTCTTTTTACCTAAAATTTGAGAGTCTGAAAGCTTATCATTTTAGCTATATGTTTTGAAAGCCTCAGGCCATGATCCAGGTAGAGAATCTTCCTTTTAGTTTTTTTGACTGCCGATACTTTGTGTTCAATCTAATAACAGTGACCTTATACTTAATGATCTAGATTTCCAATCCATGAAAAGAAATTTAAAAGAAAAATTACATCATTGAAAAAGCCACTATTAAATTCAAAACTCACTACAATGCTCAAGCACAGTAGGGAATAAAATTATTATTTTCAAACTCAGTGCAAAGACTTGGAATTGGTTTGTAAAAAAGGACTTGCAAAAATAACAGTTTTACCTTAGAGTTGAATGATGAGAGTACTACACACAATATGATTTAGTTCTACCAGAAGACAATATGATTACATTTAAGCAAGTTACATCAGAGAAAAACTTAGCTGTTTTCATATTACTTTAATAAAGTCAAAATATAAACTCAATTTGTCAATTTAAAGAACTACAATTTCCCTATTTCCTTTTTTTTGAGACAGGGTTATGCTCTGTAGCCCAGGCTGGAGTGCAGTGTCACAATCACCACTCACAGCAGCCTTGACCTCCCAAGCTGAAGCGATCCTCCCACCTCAGCCTCCTGAGTTGCTGGGACCACACATGCACACCACCATGCCTGGCTAATTTATTTTTATTTCTAGTAGAAACAGGGTCTCCCTATGTTGCCCAGACTGTTCTCGAACTCCTGGGCTCAAGTAATCCTCCCAAAATGCTGGGATTACTGGCATGAGCCATGGTGCCTGTCCCTCTATTTCCTTTTAAAGTTTATTGTGTATTCAAACAGTTTAGAAAAAATGTATAAAGATTAGAGTGTAAAGAAAAACTAGTTTTCAATTTCTGACAAGACAAGTGAATATTAGAGCATGGATCACCCATTTCCTATCTGTAGGGGAGGAAACCAGTGGTAGGCTGAACTCTGAACAGAGCTCTGTATGTGTTCAAGCACAACCATCATCTTACACGTTGGTTCAAATTTGCTATGCAGATTTGGTAGTGATCCAGGACATGTAACTTCTGGGATGATGGAAATGTCCATTATATTGATTATGATAATTGTTTTATGAAAATAGAGATATACATATATATGAAAAGATAGCCATATATTCATGGATATATATGTGTGTGTCAAAATGTATCATATTGTCCCCTTTACATGTGTGTCATTTGTTGAACATGAATTAAACATTAAGTTTCTTTAAGAAATCTCTTATTGATATTGAGAAGAAATAGTCAAGGAACCTAATAGAGAAATATGTACTTTATATAAAAATAAATAATTGCACTCCAGCTTGGGCAACAAGAGTGAAACACCGTTTCAAATAAATAAATAAATAAATAAATAAAAATGGATTTTGACCATATGAAGAAATAATTAAATTTACACATAAGAGAAGCAAAAATTAAGCCTCAGCTAACTACATACAAGTGACAAAAATCCCATAGTTTGGCAACTTCCAATGAATGACAAGGAAGGATGAGAGTTAGACATCACTCTTCTGTGTTGCTAATAGCAATGAAAAATAAATGATAAATCCCTATGGAGGGCAGTTTGGCAATTTCTACCAAAATTTCTGCAAAAATGACAAATGCATTTAATTTTAACCTGGCATTCATTCTCTGGGGAATTCATTCTACAAATTGTGATACTTGTAATAAATGACATATGCAGCATTGTATGGGGCTATATTCAGGTTGCAGAGTATATGAAAAGATTATCCATAAACCCCACTTTTTAAAAGGAAGTAATTTCATCTTAATTGCAAAAGCAACTAGTTTGTATTAGAGAGAATGTGTCATAAGATTAATTTTTAAAACAAAGTTGATTTCTACACCTTGAACACTAGATTCATCTTATAAATTCAGCCCATAAGCTTCCATGATGATAGAATTCAAGTGGTTCTATTTCAGGGTTTTGATTTAAAAAGAGAAACCAGCATACCCCAAAGAACAAATATCACCTTTCAGCCTGTCTTGCTTTTTAAAGTGATTCCTTCCTAAGAAATCGCTGTTGAATAGAAACTCAACCAGATGCTTGACATTTTTTCCTCTGTTCAGCTCGGGATCCTTGATGACCTCATTTGCTTTTCATTCACATTGCTGGACTGCTGGGAGGACAGTGTGAAGCTTCTGTTCATCTGAAATTTAAATCAAATCCTTTCCATGTTTAGTTTGAAATCCAAAGCATCAATGATCACTACCAATCAAGGCAGAGAGTTAAAAGTTGTCTAATAGGGTTGATGGGTGCAGCAAACCACCGTGGCACATGTATACCTATTTAACAGACCTGCACATCCTGCACATGTATCCCAGAACTTAAAGTATAATAATAACTGTAATCATAAGTACAGCACTTAAATGAGTTCTGTGATGCTTTCTAGTGAATTACTGGACCTAGTGTGGTCATGGAAATCCACAAATTTGTAGCCACCCAGCTAGCCAGAAGTGAGGGTAGCCCTGGAGACCCCTGAACTTGCAGTTGGTGCCTGAAGTGGGGGAAGCCCTATGGGAGATTGTGCCCTCAGACTTTGAAGTTTGGAAAACTCATTGTGCTGTCCTTCCTGAAGGACAGCCAGCCCTGTCTCTGCCAATCAGAAGCTTGGCACAGTAATCTCAGCTCGTGTCACGCATCAAATGACCTGAAGCTTGTACCACATCTCTGAAATGCTCTCTCTTTATCTTCCTACTGGCCAATTCCTTCAAAAAGCATCTTGAAAAATATTGTAATTTTTTCATTAAAAATATTGGTTATCTTAGCAAATAGTATCAAGTGCCCCTTTCATGCCATACCATTAGTAAAAGAAATAATAAAGGAGCAATAAATGCTAAGTGCTAGCATTTGCTAATTGTTTTTTTGTGATGCCTCAGTTTTATGAACCAGGTACAGTTATGATCTTTCTTTTCGCAGATGAGGAAAAGGAGGTTTAGGGTTATGTAACTTGTTCAAAGTCATACATCCAGAAAGGAGGAAAACCAACATGTAGACCTTATTTTTTTTGATTCTATCACTTGAACTCGTAAACTGTATACTCTCAGAACATAGTGTTTCAAATTGTGCTGACAGGTAGATATATTTTTGGAATGAGTAGCACTCTTAATTTTGGTTTTTCAAGAAGTGGATCCTGACAGATCTTGGGTGCAAATAAATACTAGGAAAGGAGCAGAAAAATGAAACAGGATAGTAAGACAGCCTGTAAAGAGTGCATTAATTAGCCCATTAACACTGACGGTAACTGAACTCGATCCTGCTTGGGAACTCTCAAAATCTGAGTAGAAGTTGTGCCTCTGAAAAATCTATAATGGCCTTGTCCAATCCTTTGGAGTCTTTTAAACACCAATCAGTCTATTGTAAGACTGTTCCATTTCCAGCCTATCCTGGGCACCATGGCCTCTAGTTGCAATGGAATTCCCCAGACAGTGGACAAAAAGGCCTTTCCTACACTGTATTGGCTAGGCCTGTGAGGCTGTGGGTGGACACTGACAAGTTCCTGGGTCACTATCGATCCAGGAACTGTCTATCTGTAATGTCTACTACAGTAGCCACATGTGGCCATTTGAATTTAAATTAATTAAAATTAAATAAAATTAAAATTTGTATCCCCAATCATATTACTGACATTTCAAATGCTCAGTAACCATGAGGTAGGAGCTACAAAACTGACTAATGCAGATATAGAACACTTCCATCAAAACAGAGAGTTCTACTGTCCAGTGCTAGTTTATGCTATTTAGGATCATTTTTGGAATGTTCCTTCAAGAAAACAGTGTGGGAAAAAAAAACAAACTATAATTGTTCATACCTTTTGACTGAATATTCCTGATTGCTCAAGGAAATAATCCTTGAACTACCTATGAGCCACCTATGAAAAAAGGTGATCAGCATAGCATTGTTTTTAATAACACACATACACATACACACAGAAACAATTTAAACACCCAACATTTAAAAGGTATGTCTAATTAATTTATACTTCTGCAAATTGAAATGCTATCCTTAAAAATTACTTTTTTTATTTTTATTTTTTTTTGAGACGGAGTTTCACTCTTGTCGCCCAGACTGGAGTGCAATGGCGTGATCTTGGCTCACGGCAACCTCCGCCTCCCAGGTTCAAGTGGATCTCCTGCCTCAGCCTCCCCAGTAGCTGGGATTACAGGCATCCATCGCCACCCCTGGCTAAGTTTTCTATTTTTAGTAGAGACAGGGTTTCACCATGTTGGCCAGGCTAGTCATGAACTCCTGACCTTAAGTGATCTGCCCGCCTCAGCTTCCCAAAGAGCTAGGATTACAGGTGTGAACCACTGTGCCTGGCCTAAAAATTACATTTTAGAAAGTTGAATAACATGGGAAAAAATTTTTATATCAGGCAAAATGACAGAAGTACGAAATAAATATAAATTTAAAAATAAATCGTGTATTATTATCTTAACTGTATTAAAATATATAAGATTTAAATATTTTTCCTTGTATATTCTCCACATTTTCTATCATGATAATGTTATTTCTATTATCATAACTAAAATCAAAATATGTTGCACCCATGCACACAATTTTTAAGGTCTTTGAAATCTTTATTTTCTTATTTAAGTCATTAATAGCACTGTTGAACAGAACATGACTAAAGGCTAAACTGAGGGGCAAGACACTGAGACTCTTCCCCCAGGTGAAAGGTAGCGGCCTCAGAAGTTTTCAGGTGTAAGTATTCAATACCAATTTTAACTCTTCCTTAATGTCTTAGCAATCAACCCATATTTATTTATGTTGACTACAAGATGTTCATAAGAGTTCTGTAAGCAGGTCGGAATATGTTTGCTCATTCAATTTATTCAACAAATATTTATTGAGAAATCACTCTGTGCCAAGCTAAACAGGAAAGGTCCAAGGATTGTGCATAGAAGAGGCGAAGAGGCCGGGCATGGTGGCTCATGCCTGTAATCCCAGCACTTTGGGAGACCGAGGCAGGTGGATCACCTGAGGTCAGGAGTTCAAGACCAGCCTGGCCAACATAGTGAAACCTGTCTCTACTAAAAAGTACAAAAATGTGCTGGGCATGGTGGCGGGCACCTGTAATCCCAGCTACTCGGGAGGCTGAGGCAGGAGAATCGCTTGAACCCAGGAGGCAGAGGTTTCAGTGAGCTGAGATTGCACCATTGCACTCCAGCCTGGGAGACAGAGCAAGACTCCGTCTAAAAAAAGAAAAAAAAGAAGAAGAAGGAGAGGCGAACAAACCTAGCCTTACTTTTAAGGACAGTGGACCACCATGTTCTGGGCATGAATTGAACAGCACAAAAAAGTCCCCCTGCCCAGCTGTTACTGCTGGGTTTCCCAGCCTGCCGAACATTCATATTATATACTTTGGATTGTGATGCAAACCCTCGAGGTGCAAAGAGTTCCAACATAATACCGTTCTCCTGATAGGCTCGAAGTAATAGCTTCAGTGTTCAGGAACTCTTAACGGCACTCTATGCAAATAAATCTGTGTTATTTTCTTTAACCATTTTATCATCAGACCTGTTCTGCACCACAAATTGTATTACATAAGATATAATGCTGTACATCACAATTTGCTGTAAAACATTTTATAGTATTTGTATGAGCAGGTAATTGTTTTATGAATTATGACTAGAGAAAAATAATTTCTCCAGCTGTGAAACTTACCTATATTTCAGAGTCTGTAGTTATCTGTTTGACAGCCATTAAAACTGGTCACTGTGGTGAGCTTTGCTGACTCTCTTTTGCTTTGAGCTTCCTTCCCCTCCTAGCTCCTCCCTATGCGGTTCATTTACTCATCATGAATTGATGGCTTCCTTTGTGCCAAACGTAGCACTAAGCGCTAAAAATACGAAGTTGGATAGGAAACAGCCCTTGCTCTCAAATAACATAAAGTCTAATGGGGGAAAACACAGGTCTGTAATCAATTTTATTCCTAGGTGACAAATGCCATAATGGAAGCATAACATGATGTTATGGTGCACCTAATTCATGTTTAGTCGCCTCCAGTTTCTCTTAATACCTATGACTTACCTCACTGTTTAAGAAAGTGTCAGCACACAGGTATAAATCTCAGTCCAATAGCTCAGGAGCACAAGACATGAAGCTTCCACTGTTTCATGGGAATTTATATTCCCATGAATACTAAGTTCATGGCTCTGAGCCCCACTTCCACCAGGGTAAAGAGAAAGATAAGTGACCTCAGTTCTTCCTGGGGATCCGCCACTCTTACTTCCTAGGGCTGTGTCATGAAGTCTACGACATGGGCGCTGCTAAGGCATTGGGAATGAATGGGTGCTCTAGTGGGGAATCTTACCTTTGGTCATCGGACATGTAGTTTTCTATCAAAATATCCACTGTCCCTGTCAACACAGTCCTCAGGACCAGAGGCTCACTACTACATCTGGGCCATGCTTGGGCACGAGAAATTGGTCAAGGCCTCTGGGGCTCCCGTTTATGCAAACTCACAGCACAGCATTGCTTTCTTGGGCATTGCTGTCTTCTCAGCAGTGCTACCAAGAAGGAAGGCCAAGGTCCTTCTCTCTCAGAGGACTCTCTCTCCAGTCTAGGGAAGTCCTCCTGTCTTTATGTTTCACCAGAACACACTCTCTAAGCCTGGGAAGCAACTAAATTTCCCTTAAGGCTCAAGCTTTTGTTTATAAAAACCAGAAACACCTGTAATAATGTATTGTTTCCACACTGCCCTATTCCTTCCCAATGGCAAGGAGCCCAGAGCCCACTTGGGAGAGAGGTGGCAGTGAGGAAGAAGGAATGTGGGCTTGGGAATGATCCCAGACACACGTAGAAATCCCTCTGCCCAGTACTGTCTGCTTACAGCTCCCACATGCGGGCTTCCATCAGGGTCCATGTTGAGTCCATTGCATGCAGTTGAAGAGAAGACTCAAGAAGGAGGAACATGCGTGAAAACATCTTTCCTTGTTTCTGGATGTCTGCTTTCCTTTCTGCCTTGCTTAACACCCGCGGCTCCCAGCCCTGACTGCACATTGGAACCACAGAGGAGAGCTTTAAAAAATACCTATGACCCACCCTCTTGAAATGCTCATGTAATTGGACAGATATGGAAGCTGGATATCAGCTTTTTTTAAGCTCCCCTGGAGATTAACTTGCAGCCAGAGGTAAGAATCGAACCATTCCTGTGCCCGTCCATTTCTGGTTCTCCCAAATTCCATTTTGTTAGCCCAGCCCTGCACTTTTTGAACTTTCAGGTTCATCATGGCATGCAGAAAAAAAACAATTTTTAATGCACAACGGGTTAAACAAGTGAGGCTGCTTGAAGCCTCTGGACACCTGGAAGGAGCTCTAGCTGCAGCAAAGAGAACAATCGAGTTCTCACAACCTGTCAACAGACTGGAGGTCACCACTGTGCTGAGATGCTGGAGTTGTGAACTCTTTGTTAAGATATCCATCTGGCTTTGTATATACAACATGTATATCATATTATAATGCTCAGCACAGGGAATACAAGGATGGAAACACACAATTGTCATTATGCATAGGCTTCTGGTTTATATCAGGATGAAAATACCTTATAGGCTGGTATCCTTAAGTGTAACTAGTTTTACTTGCTTTGCTGGACCTGATTTTTCTTAAAAAGGGTATCCTTATTCAATTAGCTGTGCATCCTTGGGCAAATCACTTGGCTTTTCTGAAATTCTCTCGTTTCCATTTAGGAAACGAGAGGATTTTACCAGGTGTGGAAGATCCACATAGGTCTCCGTGTCTGCTAATGCTGCAGCAGGAAATCAGAGGACGTCGAATGATTCCTTTGATTTTTCTTTTCTTTTTTTTTTTTTTGAGATGGAGTTTTGCTTTTGTCGCACAGGCTGGAGTGTGGTGGCACAATCTTGGCTCACTGCAACCTCTGCCTACCAGGTTCAAGCGATTCTCCTGCCTCAGCCTCTCAAGTAGCTGGGACTATAGGCACATGCCACCATGCCCGGCTAATGTTTGTATTTCTGGTAGAGACGAGGTTTCACCATGTTGGCCAGACTGGCCTTGAACTCCTGGCCTCAAGCAATCCACCCACCTTGGCCTCTCAAAGTTCTGGGATTACAGGCATGAGCCACCGTGCCTGGCAAGATTCCTCTGATTTTTTGAACTATCAAAAGCAGACCACTAAAGCAGAGACTTGAGCAGCTATTTGCACACCCCTGTGTTCGTATCAGCGTTATTCAAAATAGTCAAAAGATTGAAAAAGCCCAAATGTCCACTGTCAAGTGAATGGATAAACAAAATATGGTATATACATCAAATGGAATATTACTCAGCCTTAAAAATGAAGGCGATTCTCACACAAGCTACATGAATGAACCTTGAAAACATTATACTGAGAGAAATAATCCAGATACAAAAAAACAAATATTGTATGATTCCACTTATATGGCATACCTAAAATAGTCAAATTCATGGAGATAGAAAGCAAAATAATGGTCATCAGGGACTAGGGCTGCAGGGTGAATATGGGAGTTATTGTTCCATGGGTACAGAGTTTCATTTTGGGGATGATGAAAATGTTCTGGAAATGGATAATAGTGATGGTTGCACAATAATGTGAATATACTTATTGTCACTCAATTGTACCCTCAAAAAGGGTTAAGACGGTAAACTTTACATTATGTATATTTTTGCACAATTTATTTAAATGTAAAAAATATCAGATTACTGTATTTATTGTACATCCTTAGCTTTATGAAAAATCCTTGTAAACACAATGTTACTAATTTAATTTCAGTGATGTAAATAATTTTTTTTTTTGAGACAGAGTTTCGCTCTTATCGCCCAGGCTGGAGTGCAATGGCATGATCTCGGCTCACTGCAACCTCCGCTTCCCAGGTTCAAGCGATTCTCCTGCCTACAGAAAAGCTACACTGACAGTAGCTGGGATTACAGGCGCCTGCCACCATGCCCAGCTTATTTTTAGTAGAGACGGGGTTTCACCATGTTGACCAGGCTGGTCTTGAACTCCTGACCTCAGGTGATGCACCCGCCTTGGCCTCCCAAAGTGCTGGGATTACAGGCGTGAGCCATGGTGCCCGGCCCCTCATAATTATTTTTATAAAGTGTTATACACATTTCTCAAAGGTATAATTTGTGCATAATGACATTTGGGGATGGTGTGCTAACTTTGACCTATAGGGCTCTGTACATTGGAAATAAATCATAATAAATCTTTCAATTGCTCCTCAAACTTGGCTGATCATAAGAATCAATGGTAATGATTAGAAATACTATAAGAACTCACTCTACCCACCTGAATCAGAATCTTCTAAGAAAGGGCTTAGGAATCAATATTTTCATGAAGTACACCCCTTGTTCTTATATTAGGTAAGTTGGAAAATCATTCTTAAAAATAAAATTCTGAATTCTGAGTTCAACAGAGAGAAACACAGGGGATCAGCAGCAACCTCTGCACCCTTCAATAACACCTCAAGCTCCAGTCTGCCCATCAGGCTCTCCAGAAAGGTAGAATGACAGCTTCACTAATACCCCTTCCTGGGAAAAGCGGCGCTGTCCTGAATTACTGCAGATACTTCTGCAACAGTGGATAGAAGACTGTACCAGGAAGAGAATAACTGGATGAGATAACTCAACAAGTGATCACATCAATTAGATAAGAAGGGTGATGTGATCAGAAGACAATGGAGCCAGGATTAAGCCAACATCAGGCTGACCCCTCAATTTCCTTAGGCGTCTCTCCTTAGCACTTTACCAGGAATAGGTGCCCAGGCAAGCATTTTTCAAGCTTCCAAATGCCAAGGAGTTTGAAATGACAAGTTAGTTTTTGGCCTGGTTATAGAAATACTGAATTTTCTCATATCTTAAGCTTTTTGGATGACCTAATATATGAATAAATATTTTTCCTCTTCTTCCAACTACTCTCACCTTTATATTGGTGTGCCACATTTGTTCCCATATGTAATCAAAGAATGGTAGAAGTGAGTAGGCAGCAGTTAAGATTGGAATGTAAGGATTTTTAAAAATAAGTTTACCTTGGAACAATCTAAAGAGGAAAGCTATGTGCTATTATAATCCTTACAGTCTTTATTTCTAATATGCCTATCTTACTGAAACTGATCCAGTAGTCCCATAGACAGTTTTTCTTAAATATAGAAATTAATCCTTCTGGTTTTAAAGCTTGAAACTCACCAGATCCAGACAATGAGATACCAGCCTCTCATTCATTGTAATTGCTCCCTTACTCCTTCCACATTCTTGTTTTCCCATACATATTTAACATTTCTTCCCCGCTATATAAACCTCTAATTTTAGTTGATCAGGAAGATGGATTTGAGACTGAGCTCCCATTTCCTGGACTGCAGCACCTGATTAAAGCCTTCTTCCTTGGCAATACTTGTTGTCTCAGTCGTTGGCTTTCTGTGCAGCAAATAGCAGGACCTAAACTGAACCCCTGGTGTTTCAGTAACATTATTTTTTACTTGTTAATCATTCACATAACCTTTTCCTCTCCTCCTTACTTTCTTCCCCATGCTCACTCACTCTCTTGCTCAGTACTGCTCTCTGTCTCTGTCTGTCTCTCTTTATCTCTCTCTAACACACACACATACACACAAATTCAGACACACAGACTCATATTTAATGATGGACTATAGCCTACCAATTGGTATGAATTTTACCTTTTGGGCCAACTCTAAAAAGAGTGCTTCGGGCTGGGCGTGGTGACTCATGCCTGTAATCTCAGCACTTTAGGAGGCCGAGGCAGGCGGTTCATGAGGTCAGGAGATCGAGATCATCCTGGCTAACACAGTGAAACCCCATCTCTACTAAAAATACAAAAACTTAGCTGGGCGTGGTGGCACGTGCCTGTAGTCCCAGATACTCAGGAGGCTGAGGCAGGAGAATCGCTTAAACCCAGGAGGTGGAAGTTGCAGTGAGCTGAGATCGTGCCATTACACTCCAGCCTGGGTGACAAAGGGAGACTCCATCTCAAAAATAATAATAATAATAATAATAATAATAATAATAATAATAAATAAATAGAGTGCTTTTGCATAAACAAAAGTTTGAACATTCTGGCCCGTCCTCACATGAACCTAGGGCTGGCAGAAGCATGAGCATTTGTCACTCATGAGAAACACAGGGTCCTATGCCTTTTTGTGTCTCCACACCTCCCATCTGTGCTTTGCTTTTGATACGGGAGGCGGGCAGGGAAGTGCTGGGTAGAGAAGAATGGGGTCCCTGGCTAGGGCTCCACCCTCAGGCCTGTACCCATGGACGTAAGTGAGAACAGGCACTCCTGTTTTCACGCCCAAATGTTGCATTTTCCAAAAGCACTCTGGCCCGCCACACCCCCATCCTCTGCCTATAAAAACCCTGAGACCCTAGCGGGCACAGACACAAGCGGCTGGACATCAAGAGGAACACACTGGCAGAATACACTGACAGACTGGCAGGACATCAACAGCAGTATGATGTGGACCACGTAGAATTTGCCTGGGGGTGGTTGGAGGAGAGTCAGGCCACTGAGCGGCCTGACTCCAGGGGAAGACCGCCTTCCCATTCCATTCCCCTTGTGGATCCCATCCATCTGCTGAGAGCTACTTCCACCAGTCAATAAAACTGTGCACCCATTCTCCAAGCCTACATGTGATTCAATTTTTCTGGTACATTAAGGCAAGAACCTTGGGATACAGAAAGCCCTCTGTCCTTGCGATAAGGCAGAGGATCTAATTGAGCTGATTAACACAAGCCACCTGCGGATGGCTAAGCTGAAAGACTGCACTGTAACACACTCCCACTGGGGCTTCTGGAGCTGTAAACACTCAACCCTAGGTGCTGCCATGGGGTAGGAGCCCATGCTCCCCATGACCTGCCCGTCTGCATGCTCCCTCTAGGGGTTTGAGCTGCAGGGTACTGAAGAAGCGAGTCACACCCATCGCACGCCCTGCAAGGGTGTTTCCAAGTTTCACTTTGAGTCACACTGCATTAAGAAGATCCACTACCTTGCATCCCCTTCTTCCTGAAGAGGCCTACAAAGTCAGACCAGCACTTAGTGTTAACAGATCAAGAGAGCCCAGCTTGACTCTACCAGCTGAGCAATATAGGTGGATACAGAAGTCACCTTTCATGTGTTCTAACAAATGAGTAACTCCAAAAAAATAGTTGTAATATTTTAATAATGTAAGTTCTTGCCACTACTCAGAGCTATAAAATGTTCAGCTATCACCTGCACTATCACGTACACACTGAGCTATGTAACGAGAATTACATTCAGCCAATGTCTGCTAAATAAAGGTTTGTGCATTTTAGTTCAATGATGTAGCTACAAAGAAAATGAAGCCTCAAGACACTAGAACCTTCTGAGATGCAAAGCTTTGAGTCCTTGACTTTGAATTCAATGTCTAAATTCTAATACATTATTATTATATCTGCCTTAAGATTGATATAGGAAATTTTTTTTCTAGTTAGTGTTATTTCTTCTAGGAGCTTAAAAAAGGTAACTAAGGAAGAATTAAATGTTCCAAAGATATATTATGGTAAACATGTATGTACATACATGGGTATTTGTCACACTTGTCAGAATCTTCTTCCTTTGAGAGGTGCAAACGTTAGCTGTCTGAGATCCACCCTGTTTCAAACTTACCTTATGCTTCCTGTGTACTGTGAGGCTCCCAGTCTTGCTGTCTTTCAATGGGGCAGCCACTGCTCAGTTGCTGCCATTCAGAAATATGAACCCAGTATCACCAGAACTTTTGATTTTTCAAGAGAAACCAAGATTCCAGATTTGTAGGTGATATCTTCCATTTTTCAGATAAAACAAAGGAACCAGAACCACATCCACTGATCGGATTTGCCTGGGGAGGAGGGGTGCTCTCTCCTTTGATCTTCTCTTCTGGAAGAGATGGACCAAAAGCCTCTCCAGCAATAATCCGTAAATATCACTTTTTACCTTTTCTCTATAAAACTCTAACTTTTCTGATATTAAGATAAAATTCTTTCATTGAGAAAAATTTAAGAGTGGCAGATTACAAACAAAAAACATTAATTCCTCCAAACAGAGATTGCCACTTCTGCCTTCTAGTATATGCTTTCCCAGCCTTTGTGTAACCAAGCATTTCATTCTACTTTTATTTTATTCTTTCCACAAATCTGAATCATACTATTTTAAATTTATTTGCAGTTAACCATATCCATGACTGTTTCTCTCTACATAGTTATTTGTCTAGATACAATTTTTGATTACTACATAGTATTTTATTTTAAATATAAATTACTGTAATTCATTGGCCAATTCCTATTGCTGGAAATTTTATCTGTCCAATTTATTTGCTATTCGGACCATTGCTATGGCACACATCTTTGTGTTCATTTCTGTTAATGTCTTTAGGCACATTCTTAGAAATGCTATTTTGGGGTCAGAATGTAGAAATATTTTTAATGTTTTTGGCTTGCATTAGTACCCTTTAAAGTTGGATAGATTGGATTCAAATCACTTTTACCTTTACAAGCAAAGGAACCTTAGGCGAGTTACCCTGTAAACTCCAGGACTTTCAATTATAAAATGGGAATAATATGACAGGGCAAGTTGTGCCACTTTATACTCCCCTTAGCAGTGTGTAAGAGAACAACTGACCTTGCATTCTTGCTAATTTTCACCTTTTCCAATGGAATAAATGAAGATGGTATTTAATTATTTTTATTACAAATAATGTAGATTTTTCAGATACTGGTTTAAAATTTTGTTCAAGAGTTACCTATTCCTATTTTTTTCTATTGGTGTATTAATTTTTTAGTTGGTTTTATGGATTATAGAGTTGACCCTTGAACAACATGTGTTGGAACCTCTCAGGTCCACTTACATGCAGATTTTCTTCTGCCTCTGCCACCCCTGAGACAGCAAGACCAACTCTCCTCTTCCTCCTCCTCCTCCTCAGCCTACTCACTGCAAGACGACGAGTATGAAGATCTTTATGATGATCCACTTCCATGTAATAAATAGTAAATGTTTTCTCTTCCTTGTTATTTGCTTAATAACATTTTCTTTCCTCTAACTCATTTTATTGTAACAGTACTGTATATAATATATATAACATACAAAATATGTGTTAATTGTCTATGTTATCAGTTAAGATTCTGATCAATAGTAGGCTATTAGTAGTTAAGTTTGGGGGTAGTCAAAAGTTACTTGCAAATTTTCAACTGCATAGCAGAGTCAGCGTCCCAACCCCTGTGTCGTTCAAGGGTCCACTGTGATATATATGTGTACACATGCGTTTTTCCTTTTTAGTCAAATCTATCAATATTTTATTTTTATTATGTAATCTTAGATTATTTTAAACTCTTTTTAATTTTTCATATTTACATATTTAACTTATCTGAGGAATTTATTGTGTAGGTGTTATGAGGCATTATCCCAACAAAATATATTGACTAATCCCTTCTTTGTCACCAATTTTAAAGATCTTTTCACTGGCTGGGCGTGGTGGCTCATGCCTGTAATCCCAGCACTTTGGGAGGCCAAGGTGGGCAGATCACAAGGTCAGGAGATCGAGACCATCCTGGCTAACACAGTGAAACCCCGTCTCTACTAAAAACACAAAAAAATTAGCTGGGCGTGGTGGTGGGCACCCGTAGTCCCAGCTACTCGGGAGGTTGAGGCAGGAGAATGGCATGAACCCGGGAGGCGGAGCTTGCAGTGAGCCGAGATCGTGCCACTGCACTCCAGCCTGGGCAACAGAGCGAGACTGTCAAAAAAAAAAAAAGATATTTTCAGTACTTCCATATGAATGTTTCTGTTTCTAAGTTTCTATTCTGTTTCAATATCTGTTCTCTTTTCCTCCAGTACCATGCTGTTAATAGCATAACATTTTTTAACATCTGGAAGTGCAAGTCCTTTTGTCAAGCATTTTTCGTTCTTTTTACCTATTTATTCTTCCACATGAAAACTAGCCTCATAGTAAGTAAAACATATAACCACGTATGTATATTAATTGGAATTTATAAATTAATTCTGAGGGAAATGACATCTTCAAACTATCAAGACTTCTCAGTCACACATCCAGCTTTTCATAAAATTCAATAGCACAGTTCACAGTTACCATCTCTGGCAGGACTGTAATCTGTGTTGCTGAACCATAAGCTTTGGCTGTCAACGAGGCAGAAGCAGGGATAAACCATAAGTTTGACTCAAAGGCCAAAACACTAGGGTGTTTGTGACTCAAAAGTTCCAAAGTTCTGGGACTCTGGCTCATTGCTATTTTTGTTCATTAATTTAACTAAACCTCCCAGATAAGTGGCTCTTTAGTTTCTTTGAAAATGTAAAAATTGGCCAGGCTAGTGGCTCACACCTGTAATCCCAGCACTCTGGGGGGCCGAGGCAGGTGGATCACAAGCTCAGCAGTTCGAGACCAACCTGGCCAACATGGTGAAACCCCATTTCCACTAAATATACAAAAATTAGCCTGGCATGGTGGCACGCGTCTGTAATCCCAGCTACTCAGGAGGCTGAGGCAAAAGAATGGCTTGAATCCGGGAGGTGGAGGTTGCAATGAGCCGAGATAGTGCCACTGCACTCCAGTCTGGATGACAGAGCGAGACTCCATCTCAAAAAAATAGAAAAAGAAAAAAATGTAAACATATGAAATTTAAGTTACTATGACTGTGCTCACCACTTTTTCCTTCAAATTTATTGGAGGTGTTGTGAATTACAGACAACTCTGATAAGTCTTGCTAGATAAAAAGAACCAATGGAGACACTAATTTTTATAAAAGTAAGATTTTAATAACTTAAGCCATAGGAAATTACTGATCTTGAATTCTTGTATGTGCAAAAACGGCTGTTTCAGCACAATTCTCAATTGCAAAAATGTGGAACCAACCCCAAACCCCATCAATCAACAAGTGGATAAAGAAACTGTGGTATATATACGATAGAATACTACTCAACCATAAAAAGGAATGAATTAATGGCATTCGCAGTGACCTGGATGAGATTGGAGACTATTATTCTAAATGAAGTGACTCAGGAATGGAAAACCAAATATCATATGTTCTCATTCATAAGTGGGAGCTAAGCTATGAGGATGAAAAGGCATAGGAATGACACAATGGACTTTGAGGACTCGGGAAAAAGTGGGGAAAAGGGTGAGAGATAAAAGACTACAAATTGGGTGCAGTAATGTGTGCTCCAGTGATGTGTGCACCAAAATCTCACAAATCACCACTAAAGAACTTATGCAGGTAACCAAACACCACTTGTTCCCCAATAACCTATGAAAATAAAAATTAAAAAAAAATAAATCCCTGTAATTTAAAAAAAATGGCTGTTTCATATCGTTTAGCATAACGTATAGAGACAGCCCCTTTTGGTGTGTTTCACCTGTTTGCTGTCTGCTAGCTTTGTAGATGTCACTCCCTTTCAGACCGTGATGTATGAAAAAAATTAATAGTTTTGTTCCTTAAATGTTTAAAAGATTAATATAAATATCTATGTTTCCTAAAACGAAGGAAAACTGGTGCACATATGGATGTTTAGTAAAGGCTAAGCCCTTCCATCTCATACACAATTTGCTTCAAGAAAGAATGCTTTTCTGTCATTTATTTGACTCAGCTGCCTAAATAATCTTTCCAAAGCATGGAACATACTCTCAGTTCAATGACTCTCCCAAGCTTAAGCATATCTATAAACTCTTAACATTCTAAGCCTTTCTGCGATCTTCAGACCCTGTCTCCTGTGGTTGCCTACCATGTGGTTCCTATTCCAAGCAGCACGGTCCTCCCTGAGGTTCCAAAACATGACTCGTTTTTTTCTGGTTTTTTTTACTTTGAGTTCATTATATTGATCCTGCTTTCTCCAGCTTCTTTGCTATCTAAACTATGTCCATTATTTAGATTCCAAATCAAGATCCATTCGCTTCCAGGACACTGTGGGAAAATCCAGCCCCAGAGTGCTTTCTAAAGCATCCACCATGATTGGCTGTATATCATATTCTGCTTATCTATGTATCTTATCTTCTTAGTAAGGCTTCTAACTTCTTTAGTATATCATCATCCACCCCACTTTGGGCTATCTATCTAGGCAGTAAACGTCTTGGTGACTAACATCTGCAAATTATTTGAGTTGAATATTTCAGTTTTTATTTCATGTGGTCTGGTGATGGTTGGAAGAATATCATCAGGCCATAGTGGATGAGATGTTATGTTCCATTGGAACACCATGCTGCTATTGAGACACCTGAGTATAAACAGGTCCCCGGAGAGCCTCCGACAGCCTGCGCACTGAGAGAATGGGGTGGAGCCACGGAAGTTCACACGGTTTGCAGCGAGGAGGAACTGGCCCTTCTTATTCTGGTGTGGGAACTTGGAATTCAATCTGTGAGGCGAGAAGCATATACTAGCAGGACCCTCGCTCTGCTGAGAGCCACTGTTTCCCCTTTCTTTCCTTTTTGCCCAATAAATTCCATTCTTCTGACCCTTCAAAGTGTCTGTGAGCCTAATATTTCATGGCAGTGTGACAAGAACCCAGCTCTTAGCTGAACTAAAGAGAGAGTCCTACAACACTATCACCTCCCATGGTAGCGAGGCTGCTACCCAAGAGAATTGCCCAGACATTGTTTCATGTGACAGCCACATCCTTATTTTTGTACCTCAATTTTCCTTCTTTTTTACACGCCAGGCCTGGAACTGATTTGTGATAAATTGTTTGTCCCTTCAAGTTCAGCCACGGTAGGAGATACTTTTTCTCAGGGCAGAATGAGGTATTGATCCAGGAGTGGGCATATGCCGCCAGCAAAACTTTTAGGAATCTTTTGTTGTCTCAGCTTTTGGACTTCAGAGGAATAAAGCGAAAAATGCAAATAGAAAGAAAGATGACAAAAAGTTTTCATATTTTCTTAAAAAGTGCTCTTTTGTGGTCGAATGTTTTGTATGTTTTATATGATGTTTTATATGTTAGATTGTCCCTTGAAGATTATAAATCACGTTCACAGCAGGTGACCCTATTATCTTCCTTTGTAGTTTTAACAAATTTATTAAATAAAGCTTGCCCATATTTAGGCTGCTTTAGCTGAAGTCTTACCTCTTCTTGGCTTTAGTTAAATGAAGCCCTTTAATATTTAATACAAATTTATTTTCTTGATTTATAATTCAATCAAATAATGATAATGGTTTGTCAGGAGCATTCATACATAATGTATTATTAATTCTTCTTAAAAATGATACCACTATTCAACTATTTAGAGATAATGCTTGCCTTCACATTTTGAAATATTTTCGTATGTTTCTGAAGCTCAGAATAAAGCTACCAGATATATCTTTTCTCATTTGATATATAGTTTATGCCTTCATGGTGTAGAAGATCATAAATAATATATCCATTATTTATGTGAGAAGAAGTTGTAAAGTTACTACTCAAAGATGTTACGTTGTCTAGCCAGTGATATTGTTTTATTAACTCTCCAGAAAAGCTACTAGGCAAAAACTATATGCTTTTTTATTTTATTATGTTTGTATGATGTTATAATTTAACCTGTTTTGTTTTTCCCAGAAGTAGAATTGTGGTAAAAATCTGCAAATTTAAAAATACATGATCATTTCCAAGTACTCATTTTATTTTCAAATTTCCTTTTATCCATCGATGACTACAAGGCAGTATCTTCTGCTCTGCTTACCTTTTTATCTTCGAGTTTAGAGAATTCTTTTATTTTTTCTCTATTTTCTATTTTTTCCCTAAGTCCTAATCTTCGCAAGGAAGCCAGAAGTGTGATAGAAAGGTGTGATTTTTAATTTACACCAGAGTCTCGCAAATAATGACTTTTCACACCCTGCTATTGCTGCTTAGCCTAGGGGAGGGGTTCTGTGGCTACTGTTTGTCATAGCAAATTAAATCCACTGCTGAAATTCAGAAAGATGTTCTTCTATATTTAACCCTTGTTTTCAATTTTTCAAGTTGGTGTTTGTGAACACTTATGATTATGGGGCTTAATACTTTGAAGTCTACTTGTTTTCTAGGAAATGATTCTTGAAGACTATCTTTCCAGCTTGTCACATATGCAAGGTAAACATGTTTCCCCTTTTCCACTATTCTAACTATGATGTTGGTAATTGTAACTTCTTTAAATATACAAAAATGAGAAATACAACAATAGTTCCATTTAAAACTTCCATCAATAAAATTTAAATTCACGACTGATAACCATTTTAATCTTTCCTTATGATTCCATTTCTCCAAGAGTAGCTTTTTCCTTGGTCTTTACAGAATAGTCAGTATCTTAATTTGCAAGTAAATCTATATCATTTAGATTAAGATTTGAAATTGCCAAGTAAAGATAAAAGGTTAAAACGTTTTAAATTTATTTCAATCCCCCCCTCCACCCCACCCCTCTCCAAGTCCATCAGAGGTCCTTTGGATTGAATTACAAAAACAAGGAATAAGCTTCCTTAGGGAAATAGTTTTAAGTTTTCTAAGTGGTTGCAGACAAGTGGCATACAAAAATAACTGAAATAGTTAAAGAATATATCTTGCAAACTTGCCTACGCTTCTTTCACGATAATTATTAACATAAATAATTACTTTCCAATTTTGAATCTGCCCAATTAAGTAAAAAGTTTTCAGTCAGTGTGGTAGTTTATCCTAGTTATCTTACCAATCATAACAGTGTCCAAAAAAGTTCTAGAACTCAGAGGGGTATGTAAGAATAGTATTGGAAGGAAGGACAGAAACATTCAGATTCTCCAGAGAAATGTGGGTCCTACTTCCTCTTCTTGCTAACGGAAAACAATGAGAAGCAGCAAGTTACAATCTCCTTCTCCTAGCCAGGAGAAGCAAGGGGTTAACCAGTCTACTAAGGGGTTAACCAGTTTACTAAGTATCTCTGTCAGGCTTTTATCTGATCCTTCCTCCCTTCCTCTCCTGCCCACCCCTTCTGTAAATGTCAACCACTTCCTGAGGAGCCTGGTAGTGGTGAATTTCACACCTTTCTTTTCTTTGTGAAGAAACCTGGGTGTTAATGGTACAGGATTGGGTACCATTGTATGTCCCTGGCTGTCTGTTAGTAAAGCTTAGAGATGCCTGTGGAAAAAAAGTAGGAGAAGGTGAAGAAATTTGAGAAATGGGATGCTAGGAAATAGGTTTAAATCAGGTCTTATTTTTAAAGTGAGTGTGTGTTTTGTTAGCAATTTTTAAATGTACATTGTAAAAATAGTAATTTTAAAAAAGCTTAACATTGAGAAGATAAAGGAGTCTAGCAAAGGAAGCGGCTGACTGTTAAAAAAAAAATTAAGGCACAATCAGAAAGAAAAGCTGGAGAATTCTCTGACCTTTTGCTCTACAGGTGTATTTACAGGAGACAGCAATGGAAACCTGGTCAGTTGAGCAGGTCTGCAGTTGGTTGGTGGAGAAAAATTTAGGAGAGCTAGTTCATAGATTTCAAGGTGAGTTGTTTATGCTTTCCAAAAATTTTAATTGAGCAGCCTAGATATTCTGGTGTCCTCTGTTACTGAAAATTACTTTTGTTGCCAAATGTCTGTGTGCATGTCAATGTGGATGTGGGGTTGCTGCAGTAGAGAACTTTTCATTTCTTTATGGACTGTAGCAGAGTTTCCACTTGAAAGTAACATCCACAAGAGAATATAATATTTTAAGAACTCAAATAAAAAAGTCTTACGGGTCACTTAAAATACATATTTGATATATGCATTTAATATTGCTTTTGTTCTTAAGTAATACAGTATGTATTTTGTGTAGTGTTGGGTTTATAAAGTTGAATACTGGCTAGGAGCTATTACGAAGAATAATTTCCTAAGTTTTTTTTCCTTATAAAAACAATACCAGTTAGAGAGAATTAGAATGAGAAGGGTGTTAATGTAGAAATAATAAGTTTTTATTGTGATTCCATGTTCTGGTACTTTCTTAGGAGCAGGCATTGATTTGGAATTATGCAACATTGGAGTTTTATCTTTGTCAAAAATATGGATAAATTTATAATGTCAGGGGACAAGTTTAGATGATCCTTTTATCACTAGAGGTAATTTTGCCTCTTCAGAATGCCTGTGTTTTGCCGGAAAGTCATGTAGAAACTAATTTTTTTTCTTTTTCCCAGAGGAAGAAGTAAGTGGGGCCGCTCTTCTTGCACTTAATGATCGGATGGTTCAGCAACTGGTAAAGAAAATTGGGCACCAGGCTGTTCTGATGGATTTAATTAAAAAATACAAGCAGAACACTCAAGGACTGAAGTCCCCAGAAAACCCCAAAAAGGCAGCCCTGGTCATGCAAACAGAAGCAGCTCGAGAGTGAGTATGTTCATAAATGGCCTTATTTTTTTTTCCCAAGCTTTCCCAATGATGGCTAGAGCGTGACGTTTGGGTTTAAAGCCCTTGGAAAACTGTGACCGTTTTCAGCTAGATTGTATGTACGGTATTTCTAATATTTGAGCAAAGGACACTGTAAAATTTTAAGAATCAAGAAACGTTTTTATTCACCATTTTTTAAACATGGATTCCAATCATTAGGGATGTCCTATTAGCAAGGAGTTTCTATATAAAATGCTGTGGAACAAGCAGGTGAAATAGGTATGTAACACAAGGAGAAAGGGGATCCTGAAGCTCTGGTTTTAAAATCAGGGTTTGGGAAAGGCATCTTGATTGCTTCTTTGCTTTTCCCAAAACTATTTATTTATTAATCTATTTATTTATTTTCCTAGGATTTCTTAGAGTAATGAATTTATAGTCTTCTCTAGATGCCTTTACGATGTAATTTGCTAAACACGTTATTGTCACATGAGTATTCTAATTTTTTAAGAGTGTCCTTATAGTAATGAACACTATGAAACACCCCAAAAAATTATGTAGAAACATTAGTGGTGGCAGATAAAAGCTCTGAAGTTTGGGGACGGTTTTATTTGTTTGTTTTTTAATCACTGACTTCTGCAATGAAAAGAAATGATAACAGGATTTATAAGATTAAAAATTTCATTTTACACATCCATCTATGCCCTGGGATCATTTCAGCCATTCTGATTTGATTTTTCCATTTTCAAGATTTTTTTGAAGGGTTTCTAAGATTAAATAAATTTTAATGATTTTGATGATTGATAAAATCTATGTTTTTACGTTAATTTTTTGAGATTAGAGTGGTAATAATAGAGATTTCTCTTTCTCCTTGATAAATAATATAATGGTAGGGACCTGACATAAGCAAGTTTATTCCTAGAATATTTGAATATTTGGGACATGGAGGGGAATAGGTAGCCTTGAAGGGATGGTATAGAGCTGGAATGGAAATTCTACTAATTGATTTTTTTTAAAAAAAAAAAAGCTTTTTGTTTTTTTTAGAGATGGGTCTCAGTCTGACCCCCAGGCTGGAGTGCTGTGGCAGGATCATAGCTCACGGCAGCTTCGAATTCCTGGGCTCAAGCAATCCTCCTGCTTCCGCCTCCCAAGCAGTTGGGATTACAGGCACTCAACACCATGACTGGCTAATTTATTTTTATGTTTATTTTTATTTTTTAAACAAATGGTGGTTTCACTGTGTTGCCCAGGCTGGTCTCCAACTCCTGGCCTCAAGCCATCCTCCCACCTCAGCCTCCTAAAGCGCTGGGATTACAGGCAAGAGCTGCTTTGCCCGGCCCCTAACCAATTTATTTGAAGGATTTCTAAACATTGTTTTGGCATATCTATGTAAAAAAGGACGCTCTTGAACATGTAACTTTTGATGAAGTTCCCATTGCAAGCTTTTACTCCTTCCCAGCAAAGGAAGGGTAGGAACCTGAAAGAGAGATCAAAGTAATTTCCTTGCATTTTGGGATGAGTAGGACATTTGAGCTGGAAGTTCCCTTCCATTGAGTGGAATCTTGAAATTGCCTTAGGCACAGCTTAGAAGAAAACAGGCAGTCTTGTTTCCACTGCAAATCAGTTTATAATGTTCTCAAGTAAAAGAGAACTAGCTGGACTGCCAGGAAACCTGGGCTTCCTTCCTGGTTCTACTACTGACTTGGATTGATTATATTAAATGTTGGCATTCTTGTTTCTTCATCCGTACGTTGTGAAAAGTAATATGGTACTTACCTCCTCTTTAATTCACACTGATGTTAGGAGTATCACAGTCTTTGAGCAAATCTGTCCTTTTTCTCCTAGACTGAAATAGTCCTGTGTTAAGTATGAAACTTTGTTAACTGGGTTAACTAGTTTCAAACATGGCCAAGACTGGGACCACTCTTTGTCTGGGGATTTATGAGTGGGGACTTTGCACTGTACCCATAAGCAGCTGACTCACCTTAGGGATTTGTTTATCTTGTATTTAGATTAAATTATTCTGGTGCAGAATTACAATTGCATGTGAGAAGAGAATACTTATTGCTTTATATTTGATTAAAATTCTTGTTGGTTGTATTTGCTTATTGTCAAATATATTTATTATATGTTGTCACTTGACAATCATCAAGTGAGAATGATAGTAGAAAGAGGCATGAGAATATGCTGTTTAATTAAACCCCCTTAGAGAGTGTTTAAAAAAGATAGGAAACTTGGTGTACAGAAGAACCCTGAAGCTAGCTATCAAGACATCTGATTTTAACCCCCTCTTATGATATTAGCCCCTCAACTAGCCTTGGAGATTTGTCTGACCCCTTTTAGTTTTAGCTTCTTCAACTGTAAAATGAAGTAGGTAGAATAAGTGATACTTTAGGTCCGTTCTAAAGAGTCTGTGATGGCATTCTAGATCTGAGACAGCAGATAGGTTTCCATTTGAGTACAGATTCCCTTTAATGGCTAGTGATTGCCTGTGTGAACCCAAAAGTCTCTGAGACAGGTCTCAATCAATTTAGAAAGTTTATTTTGCCAAGGTTAAGGACCCGTCCATGACACAGCTTCAGGAGGTCCTGATGACATGTGCCCAATGTAGTCAGGTACAGCTTGCTTTTATACATTTTACGGAGACATAAGACATCAATCAGCGTAAGATTTACATTGGTTTGAACTGGAAGGGCAGGACAACTCAAAGCTGGGGCTTCCAGGTCACAGGTAGATTTTAAATTTTTCTGATTGGCAGCTCGGCGTGGTGGGTTATGCCTGTAATGCCAGCACTTTGGGAGGCCAAGGCGGGCAGATCACTTGAGGTCAGGAGTTTGAGACCAGCCTGACCAACATGGTGAAACCCCATCTCTACTAAAAATACAAAAATTAGCCAGACCTGGTGGCGGGTGCCTGTAATCCCAGCTACTCAGGAGGCTGAGGCAGGAGAATTGCTTGAACCTGGGAGGCAGAGGTTGCAGTGAGCCAAGATCATACCACTGCACTCCAGCCTAGGTGACAGAGTGAGACTCTGTCTCAGAAAAAAAAAAAAAAAAAAAAAAATTCTGATTGGCAATTGATTGAAAGAATTATTATCAATAGAAAGGAATGTCTGGGTTATGATAAGGGGTTGTGGCGACTAAGGTTTTCTCATGCAGATGAAGCCTCCAGGTAGCAGGCTTCAGAGAGAATAGATCATAAATGTTTCTCTTTTTTGTTTGAGATGGAGTCTGGCTTTGTCACCCAGGCTGGAATACAGTGGTGCTGTCTCGGCTCACTGCAACCTCTGCCTCCCAGGTTCAAGCAATTCTCCTGCCTCAGCCTCCTGAGTAGCTGGGACTATAGGCACATGCCACCATGCCCAGCTAATTTTTTGTATTTTTAGTAGAGACAGGGTTTCATCATATTAGCCAGGATGGTCTTAATCTCCTGACCGCGTGATCCACCTGCCTCAGCCTCCCAAAGTGCTGGGATTACAGGTGTGAGCTACCATGCCTTGCCCATAAATGTTTCTTATTAGACTTAAGGTCTGTGTTGATGTTAATGCTGGTCACCTTTTCCTCAATTCTAAAAGGGAGGAGGGTATAATGAGGCATGTTCAACCTTCCCTTCCCATCATGGCCTGAATTAGTTTTTCAGGTTAATTTTGGAATGCCTTTAGCTGAGAGGAGGGGTCCATTCAAATGGTTGGGGGCCTTAGAATTTTATTTTTGGTTTATACCTGACCTTTTTTTTTTTTTTTGATGGAGTTTCTCTCTTGTCGCCCAGGCTGGAGTGCAATGGCATGATTTCAGCTCACTGCAACCTCTGCCTCCCAGGTTCAAGTGATTCTCCTGCCTCAGTCTCCCAAGTAGCTGAGATTACAGGCACCTGCCACCATGTCCAGCTAATTTTTGTGTTTTCAGTAAAGACAGGGTTTTGTCATGTTGGCCAGGCTGGCCTCAAACTCCTGACCTCAGGTGATCCACCTGCCTCAGCCTCCCAAAATGCTGGGATTACAGATGTTGAGCCACCACACCTGGCCTGGCATGTTATTTTGAAAAGGATGTGTAGGCAACATCTGGGCAGGATATTTAGCATCCTGTTGATACCTCAGCAAATGATGGGGATATGAAATAGTTAGGCATATTTGCAGTTGCTTTTTGTTGTTGTTCTTGTTGAAACTGGTAGAAAATCATTGGTCAGGAAGGTGCAAAACTGAGTTCAAATCCTGGCACTGCTACTGAGTAGCTCACCAGGAGTTGCTCTGCCTTCTAGGCTTCAGTTGCATTACTTGGAAAATAAGGGAGCTAGCAGAGTATGTTTCTAAGATCCTGAGGTTTCACAGATAATAAAATGTCTCCCAAAATGGCAGAGAGCAGAGTAGGGATCTGGCAGAGTTTACTATTTAATTTTGCCAAACAAGAATATTAGCTAAAAAAGATACATTCTACGATCACCATCATTTCATAAAGGAAGGTATTGTCTTAATGCCATTTAAAAATAGGATAGACTGGTGAAAACAGCATTATGAACAGGCATCAGTCTGCCTCCTGGCACATAGGAACCACTGAATTAGATGACGCCAGAGGGGCCTTCTTTCCATTCTCTTAGTCATGAGTCTAACGTGGAACTGGGAAGTGGACACAGACCATGATGTTTACTCTGGGCTGGTGCTACCTTCAGAGCTGCTGTGAGATCAATGGTCATATCACCTCTTGAATAGTGCCTGACCCACCTCTTCTTTCTTAGTTACAGGGATGAAGAGTCCTCCAGTCCAGCCAGGCATGGGGAGCAGATGCCATCTTTCTATCCAGCTGAAAACCTTGATAATGGACTAATTGACCAAAGAGTATTGAAACAGAGGTGGGGGTACCAACTTTAAGACAGTTTAAAGCCAAATAACATTCTTCTCTATTTCTTTTTGATAAGGTTTCATATGTTTAGATGTATTTCTAATTTGAAACTTTTTGTTTTCCTGGAAGGGAATATATTTTTATCCAGCGATAAAGATACTTGGTAAAAGATGAAGATTAAATTTTCTGGTTTTTGTATTGGAAAAGTGAAGTTTTAGAATGATAGTATACATCTTTCAAGTATACATTTTTAAGAAAAAAGAGGATTTCTCTGTCATAAAATCTTCAAGGTGATTGGCAGCAGTCACAAAGATGGAATTTATTCAATGAATAATGTTCTATAGAATATCCCTTGGTGGAGTTTTTGTTTTGAATTTTGTAGTTGTTGCTTTAACTTGACTCTCCCGATAGAGGCAGGTAAGCATTTGCTTTATATTCCAGTTATTTTGGTAAACATTTTCTCTATGTTCCTACACTGGGTTTTACGTAATGTATATTTCAATATATGGATTACAACTAAACAAAGGAAAAACTGTAGACTTAGAGAACCACATGTAGGATTTGGTGCTGAGATGGTCATAGGTAAGATATGATACGGAGGTCACGGCATCCCCTAGAATAGCGGTTCCCAACCTTTTTGACACCATGGACTGATTTCATGGAAGACAATTTTTCCAAGGACAGGGGTCAGGGGGATGGATTTAGGATGAGTCAAGCACATTCCATTTATTGCACACTTTATTTCTATTATTATATTCTAATATATAATAAAATAATTATACAACTCACCATAATGTAGAATCAGTGAGGGCCCTGAGCTTATTTTTCTGCAACTAGACAGTCCCATCTGGGGGTGATGGAAGACAGTGACAGATCATCAGGCATTAGATTCTCATAAGGAGTGCTCAACCTAGATCCTTCACATGCACAGTTCACAGTAGGGTTTGTGCTCCTATGAGAATCTAATGCTGCCACTGATCTCTCAGGAGGCGGAGCTCAGGTGGTAATGCCAGTGATGGGGTGTGGCTATAAATACAGATGAAACCTTGCTCGCTCACCCGCTGCTCACCTCCTGCTGTGTGGCTTGTTTCCTAACAGGCCATGAACCAGTCTGTGTCCTGAGGGTTAAGAACCCCTGTCCTACAGCATTTCACGGCCGTCCCACCCAGGCAATCCGTGCATCCATAACTCATATTACATATTGTCTCCAGTCACTAACAAGCAAATGCAATGCCTTAAACGTAGTTCATTGAAAAGAGAGACTGTCACCTTGCACACAAAGAATAATCGGGTAATAGCCAAGCAAGGATGTGGTCCTTCAGTTTTCACAACCCCTTTACACTATCAGCTCATTTTGCCCACAGAGCAGTACTGCAAGGTGGGCATTATTCTCTCCTTTTTGTAAATGAGTACAACCGAGATTTAGAGCAGTCAAAGGATTTCTAGCTATTTTTTCCAAGTGGACTGTTGTTGCCTCAGCACAGGACCTAGCCACCCTCAGCGTGAGAGCTCAGGGGACTGAGGGCAACAGCCTTGGATTCAGGCCTGCAAGGCCCCAGCAGCCCTATGAGTGCAGAGAAGAGCAGCCCCTTTGATGAGGAGCTCCTGCAAATGGGCTTTGGCTCTGGGCTCTCCTCTCCGCTCTTTTTCCCTCTCTTCAACCTTGGACCTCACCTCTAGCCCCACAGCCTCAGTGCCTCAAGATCTCCCAGTGTTAGGGCCCACTGACTCTTGTTTGGGGTGGCAACCAAGAAGGTGGAAGGCTATGTCGTAGGTGCAAAATCCATTGCCTTGGTCTTCCTGGATTGAACTATGATTCAGAAAGTGGAAATTCATTTGTAAGGTGGCTTCTTTCCCCTCCTTCCCACTCATGGGTGCTGGTTGATTCCTAGAGCTTTCCCGTGATTGGCTCCAGGTGCATGTAGTAAGCCATGAGCTCTCAACTACCCCTTCCAACACGAAGCTGCTAAATGCAGCCAGTCCACATGTCTATAACTGTGGAAGTGTGGGTAGAGTTGGGGTGAACAGTGATTAGCCCCAGTGCTACCTACCCTAGTAGCACTCTGTCTCTGTATCCTCATCTGCAAAATGGAAATAATAATGATACTTTCTCATGGTGTTGTTTTGAGCATTAAGAATAGATAATGCTTGCCAAGTTCCAAGCAGAGTGGAAGCACACAGAGGGCACTCGGTGTACAGCCATTTCTCCAGCCCTGCTCCTGGAGGTATTCCTACTTTCCTTAGGGTGTCTTTTCTCTGCCTACTTGACACAGCAGATGAGGATGCAACCTTCTATACCTGTAGGTCTTTTTTTTTCTTTTTCTTTTTTTTCTTTTTTTTTTTTTGATGAGATGGGGTCTATCACCATCTCTCTATCACCCAGGCTGGAGTGCAGTGATGCAATCAGGGCTCACTGCAGCCTTGATTTTCCAGGCTCCGGAAATCCTCCCGCCTTAGCCTTTGGAGTAGCTGAGCCCACAGGTGTGCACTACCAGGCCCAGCTAATTTTTTAATGATTTGTAGAAATGAGATCTAGTTGTGTTGCCCAAGCTCTCTTTTCTCCTTTCTAAGCCCTCTGACATTTTGTCCTCATCATGCTCCTGTGATACTGGCTAGGCAGGGTTATTATTCCAATTGTTTTCACATGGCTCATCAAAGGACCAGCCCCACACTTAATGGCATCTCACATTCTTCATAGCAGCTGGCAAGGGGGAGGAGAAAAATAGGACTGGCTAAGAAATTGAGAGAAATAGAAGGGTTTGGAAACTAGAAGTGGCACGCCCCTATCTTTATCTCTGGTCATAAAGTCTCTCCTAAGCCCTTTACTTATCTGTTTACCACCAGCTGCCCATCTCTGCATACCGCACCTTAGAATTAATGTTTCAAAAAGTAAACTTATCTGTCCTGCCTTAGTATATATTTGGCAGTAAGAAACAAAAATCCACTCACAGTAAAGACAAAGGGAGTTTATTGTGAGAAAAGCATTTCCCAGCATCCAAGGGCTGAACAAGTAAGTTCCCGAGCATGAAGACACAGGTGCTGGAAAGCCAGGGAGTGAAGTGGTCCCTACTTTTCTCACGGGTTGTCTCTGTCTCCATTCTGCTTCCCTGTCTAGTTGGCCTCATTTCCTTGCTTTTCCCTGCAAGGATAGATTTATCATACTACTTCTGGCTGTTCTGCTCCCCTCAAACTACCTGGCATACGACTGCCTTGCCCTAGTACCAACTCCAAAGGAAATGCTCCCTATAAACAGCTCAGGTCCTCCCAGCCAACTGACTCTGTCTTTCAGTGTTGCTTTGTTCATGGGCCCAGCGTGAATCAGGTGTCCCCTCCTGGGCAATCACTTGTGTGGGAGGAGGGGCCCATAAAGACAGGGTGAAGTATCTATTTTTAATATTTTCCCTATGGCCCTGCCCTTTATCCAGAGCTGTGGGCTGAGATGGGGCAGAAGATTCTCTCCCCTCCAATGTCCTATCTCAGATGGTGGTCCCACCATCCAACCCTGTGAGCCAAAGTGTTGGAGCCACTCTTGGTCCCTTTCTCCTGCCCCTCTGCCTAGGGCACTATTCAGTCAACAGTTGTTCATTAAGGGCCTACTGTATGATTTTTGTGTCATGGTGTATGGTTCTCTTCCTCTGCTCAACATCCTTCTATAGAAAGCCTCTGGTGACATTCCAGGCCAGGCACGGAGCCCTTCCTCTGTGTATAGTGTCATCTACTTAATCTCGTGCTTGACTGTAAACTAGCTAATAAAACTGATCACTTTAAAGTTTGTATTCTCTCATTAGACTATAAGTGCTTCAAGGACAATGACCATGTTTTTTCTTGCTGTTGTAAACCCAACATTTAGCTTGGCTCCTCACACATAGAGGCTCAATAGGAGCTTTAAAATGGAACTTGGGGCTGAGCATGGTGGCTCATGCCTGTAATCCCAGCACTCTGGGAGGCTGAGGTGGGTGGATCACCTGAGGTCAGGAGTTCGAGAGCAGTCTGGCCAACATGGTAAAACCCCGTCTCTACTAAAAATATAAAAATTAGCCTGGCATGGTATCATGCACCTGTAATCCCAGATACTTGAGAGGCAGAGGCAGTAGAATCACTTGAACCCAGGAGGCAGAGGTTGCAGTGAGCTGAGATCACTCCATTGCACTCCAGCCTAGGTGACATAGTGAGACTCTGTCCCAAAAAAATAAAATAAAATAAAATAAAATATAATAAAATAGAACTTGGGATGTGTGAGCCAATGAAAGACTGAATACACTTTCATAGGAAGGGATAAATGTTTGAATAACATCAATTTTTTTAGATCTTTTAATACAATCCATATACTAATTTTTTTTTTTTTTTTTTACAGAGCCAAACTCCAGGGCTCTATAAGCCATTCCTCCATAACAGGCTAGAAATCCAAAGGTATTTGACTACAGGCTTTCTTGAAGCCAGCCTTTTTCAAGAGGTAGAGAGAGGTGGGGAACAAGTGCCAGCTTTTGGAGTCTTACACATTGGGTTCAAATCCTGACTCCTCCACTTGCCCAACAAGTGGTCTCTGAACCATGTCTCCTGCACCTCAATATGTAGTCCTGTGAGGTCCCAATGATAGAACATATCAAAGCACCTGGCAGCTGTTACCACACCTCACAAGGTGGCAGTTACTATTCTTGTGATTTTTTTTTTCCTCTGTTCCCTGAAATGAACATATTCATTCCATCCCGATTGTGTGCTGACAAAAAAAAAAAAAAAAAGGCCTGGAAATTCACCTGACTCTGGCTCTTAGAATGACTCTAACAGTAGTGAAAATGAGGTGTGTGTTCCAGTGGGTGAATTGGGTGTCCAAGGAAACACTAGAGTGCTGTGGCACATTGCAGTTTTCTCCAGGGACAGCAGATACCGTGCTTTTTTTTTTCTTTTTTTGAGATAGGGTCTCGTTCTGTCACCCAGGCTGGAGTGCAGTGGCGCTATCTCAGCTCATTGCAATCTCCACTTCCCAGGCTCAAACAGTCCTCCCACCTCAGTATCCTCACTGCAGGCATGCACTGCCACACACTGCTAATTTTTGTATTTTTTGTAGACAGAGGGTTTCAACATGTTGCCCAGGCTAGTCATGAAGATACTGTGCTCTTTACTGAATTGCTTAAATGCCCTTTCTGGAAGGAGGAATTAATAGGTCCCATCCTCATCATGTGCTGGTGATTTTTTGGGAAGAGCTTTTTTTGCAGTGTTATTCTTTGCTTTTTTGTCTACCCTGTTTGAAACTGTTCACCTCTCTTTTAGTAGCTAATAAGGCATGAAAGTAGATAAACAGGTAGAGGCTTCCTAAATGTTACTTTAAAGGCTTCTCACCTGAACTTTAAATATATGTGTCCAGATGTTTTGCTTCCGCTTTTGGGTATAATTATAAATTAGTCATGGTTTCATGCATATTTAAAAATTATTTTAATTACAAACTTTTTTTTTTTCGGTCTGGCCACTGCAATGAAATGGTATAGAATAAGCTAATCCTTCTGCCTATGTTCAGTGATTAAGGCAAATGTCAATGGATTTTCAACATATTTGATGCGTTGTTTGCAGGCTCTTTCACACAGGTAGTTCAGGCAAGGGGCCATACAGTTGTGTGTGCATCCAATACCAGTGTGTAATAAAGGGAAGCTGCAAGGAAGTGTGCCAGCCTAGTTATGGGTTCATTAATGCAGGTTCCAGTTAGATGTGTGATTTGTCTTCTCAATTCCTACTCCTCAATTCCTTGGTCCTCTACAGGCCAAGAGCTCTGGGTTGGGGAAGTATGAGACGAACCAGTCTTATTCATCTGTGCAGTCCCTGACACAGGTGATCAACAATGTTCATTGCATGAAGGAACAGATGTATTAAGCATTTTCTGTGGGCTCTGCTTAATTGAAATATATGTAACCACAACAGATAATGAAAGAGCCTTGTAGGAAGACATGGGGGTGAGATGCAATGTCTTGAGATCCATTGTCACTCATGGTGATTCAATCATAGAGCTAAAAAGCAGATGGTCTGGGAGAGCAGTAAGTATATGTATTAGTCCAGGATGTCAAACCTGCTAATAACCAGGGTTGGTAAGTCTGGAGATGAGGATAGGCAAGTATTTGAGTTTAGTTTTAAACCCTAGCTCTGTCATTTACCAGCTGAGTAACCTTGGACAAGTTATATAACCTTACTAGGTCTCACTTTTCTTATCTGTAAAATACATAGAAGAATGAATTAATTTATGAAAAAAATGCTTAGGAGCTCATTAGTTTTACCTATTGTTGTTCTTGTCTGGGTAGTCACTAAGACACAGAGTCCAAGGAGATTTGAAAAAATTCTGCTCTCGATTCTAACAAGTGGTCCCAAAGCGGAAGCAGCTCTAGGAAGTGCAGGTAGGCCAGCAGTGTCTGGAAGCCTTCCCAGGACTCAGGGCTCCAGACAAGAGGAGCATATGCTTCAGGCCTCCCAAAAGGCCTGGGACACCAGTCGGTTGTTGCTGTAGAAAACAAAACAGAAACAAGGTGTGTGAACCGATATGTATAATGAGGTGAAGAGGGAAGTTTCAAGAATCTGATTAGAGAAGCCCAGTCACCACTGCGGGGGAGGAGGGGGGGCATCAAAGACCACACAGGTGTTGAATTGACACGTTTAGATCCTGAGTCCCAGGGCAGTGGAGCAAGGATCTGAGAGGGAAATGCAAGATCCCATCATTTTGTACCACTTGCATGTGTAGAACCTCATGCCTAAAGGTTCTGTGTTGTGGAAATATTACATACTAATTCTATTCCTTGATTAGAGATTTCCAGCATACAGTAATGTAGTAATGTAGGCTTTGAGGAGTCTTATAGTAAAACAAACAAAAAATCCCACTTAACTTTGTTTAACCCAGGATTTCTCTTTGTGTAACATCTATTAACATTACAACAAAACACCTTAGGAAATACTTATTTAAAGATTCCTTACCTAAATCAGGATTCATCCATTCATTCAATATGTAAATAATTACTGAGTGCTTACTACGTGTGAGACACTGTTGTAGGTATTGGGGATACAGTAGGGAAAAACTGACCAAGCCTCCCACTTTGCAGAGCTCACCTTCTAATGTAAGGAGAAAAATAGATAAAATAAATATAACATTAGGTTATAAATTTGCTTAAATGCTATGAAGACCAGTGATGCAAAAAAGCAGGAGCGGGGATACAGAGTGAGCAGTGTGTGCATGTACATGTATGTGTCAATGTACAGGAGGGTTCTGTTTCAGATGGGGTTCTCAGGGAAGTCCTTTCAACTTTGACTAGGTGATATTAGAGCAGGGACCCTAATGAAGTGAGGAATATTGGCTTTGAGCTAGAGCCAAACTTTCTGTCAGGGGAAGATATCTGTGGACAGTATTATTAAGTCTTTAGAGAGGTCCAAAGTAATCTTGATTTCTAATCTGTTTTTCTTTTGTTCAGTCCAAATTACTGACTATACCCCATGGGCTAGGTACTATGTAGACATGGGGTTGGGGATGGATACTTTATTCCTTTCCTTGGGGAATTCAGAGTCTGGTAGACAAGACAGATATGTAAGCGAGTACCTGCAACACAGAAAAATATGCCAAAAGAGAAATGGAGAAGTAACACAGAGAGAGGGAGAAATAAGACTTTCTGGGAAGTAAGCGTGGCGAAGGCCTCTAGGGAAAGGCTTCACAAACACTGAAGGAGGATTTTGAAAGATGATTAGAGGTTTATCTTAAGGAAAATGAAGCAGGAGAAGAAAAGGACATTCACAGTATGTGCAAGTGTACAAACACCTGAAATAGCATGGAGGATTCTGTTTGGATTATTTTTGGAATGTGATAGAGGCAGAGAAGATGGAGTTGCTGTAAATGGTGAGATTCTGTTAGAGAGGTGAGGAGGGGACTTCCATGCCATACTAAGCATCTCTTAACTTTGCACATTAAATTCACCTAGTGGACTTACAGGAAAAATACCAATGTCCTAAACTGATTCTTCTCAAATTCTATTGTACTTATAAAACACTGAGGAATCTTGTTAAAACACAGACTCTGATTTAGTAGGTTAGGGTGGGGCCTGGGATTCTGCAATTCTTAATTCCAGTGCTGTTCTAAGACCACGTTTTGAGTAACAAAGGATTAGATGAATAAGAACTTCTGGGGATGAGACTTGTGCATCAGTATTTTTTTTAAGGTTCCACAAGTAATTATAATGTATAGTGAGAATTGAAAACTACTGCTGTAGGTTAGGGAATAATCAAAGAGATTCAGTGATTTGATCAGGTATACATAGTTTTCATCATTTATTGTGGCAGTGATGTAGAGAATGGATTGGAGAAAAATGAAAGGAGGAAGACCCATCAAAACACTAGACTAAAGTTCAAGCAAGAATTGATGAAGGTCTAAGCTAAGACGGTGGTAACAGGCATCAAAAGGATATTTAAATATAAAATCAACAGGACATGGTGGGCCTGTTACTGAGGAGAAGAGGAGAGTTTGCTGGGTGGTAAACTTTCTCCTGTACTTCTGGCTTGTATAACTAGTGATGCTATCAACCAACATGAGAAAACAAACATGAGAATAGCATTGTGAAGAATATGACCAACAGCTTATTCAACAGAACTTAGCGGGATGAAAGAAAAACAGGGATTCTGATAAAGCTAGGGCTTCTTCACACTCTTTTCCATATTAACATTTTATATAGAAAACACTCAACAGAGTCAGTCTAAACAGTTCAATAACACCACCACCTCCCAAATGAAGAGAGGCCCTCCTCATTTTTGTTTAAAGACCCAGTTTTCTATATTCCTCAGTAGCTACTGAATGTCCTTGCCCACTTTGATTGCTGGTGATAAATTAAAACACATTTTAACACTTCTGAACTGCAAAAATAGTACTACTGAACCATTTTGCAACAACTGAGCATGTCATGCCTCATTCCCCTTTTTTTTTTTTTTTTTTTTTGTGGGTCGGGGGACAGAGTCTGGCTCCATTGCCCTGGCTGGAGTGCAGTGGTGTGATCTCGGCTCACTGCAAGCTCTGCCTCCCGGGTTCAAGCAATTCTCCTGCCTCAGCCTCCCAAGTAGCTGGGACTACAGTTGCATGCAACCACGCCCGGCTAATTTTTTTTTTTTTTGTATTTTTAGTACAGATGGGGTTTCACCGTGTTAGCCAGGATGGTCTCTATCTCCTGACCTCGTGATCCACCTGCCTCAGCCTCCCAAAGTGCTTAGATTACAGGCGCATGAATGAGGAAGAAAAAAAGAAAAGAGGGACTGAGAGGTGATAGCTCTGTGAGACTTGTTGACGTGCATGTCATGGTAGTAGATAAGATAAAGGGCTGAGTTTCTGAAACTTTGCATTTCTGTTAATACCAAGAGGAATTGGGGAATGGGAAGATTTAAAAGTTTTTTTTTTCTGCTTTGTTTTTGATGAATTAGGGCCCCAAAGACTCCCGAGGCCTTGAATCTCACACTGGGGGCCAATAACATAGAGGGTTTGAGAGACATCTGTCTATCTTTGCCAAGACATGGTGCCTGATGCTGGTCACATCTCTCTTTTCTTTGTGCTTGATTATAGGTTCACACATGCATTTCAGACATGTAATTCCTCTGGAAATCTCATAAATTTATTGCCAGGTGTGAGAGCCCTGGGCTATAAAACATAAATTAAAAGCAAACATCAAAATTATAGGAATGTGGCTCAAACATTTTTCAGAATTCACGGTGGGTACCATCAGTTGCAGCAACAAAACAGCATTTTCTTCATAGTTTAGGGGTGCTTTGAAGTGACATTGTTCAATATCTTCAGAGACAGCATCTCACCTTGTTCATTGGCACGTGTCTCTATTGAGCTCTTCAAAACTTCTTGTTTGTTTTCTTAGCAGTAGCTACTCTTGCCAAGATAAAGAAGGTAATTCCCAGGTTACTGGCATAATTAACTCAGAAGCAGAATTTCTGATTCACTTGTAGTTTGGTAAAGTTTGTTCCCTATTTGGAAGGGATGTGTACCATAACATCTTCTATCCTAGGATAAAATGACAGCAAATTCTTTAAACAGATATCTAAGCCTCCCCTGGCTTCTTCCTCTTCTATGTCCCCAAAACATCTCAGGTTTGGGATGTTGCAGAGATCACATGCCATTTAGCTTCAGAGTTGATAATATAAACCTGGGTATCCCAATCTATACCATTTTCAGTGTATAAAGTCTGCAGGCTTGGATGTAGAGAGGAATTAAATGAAAATGGGATGCCACAATACAGCCACTTGTGGGGCACAATTTCTTTCAGTTCAGTCCCTGGAAAGCAGCATAGTTGTCACTGCTTTCTCTCCCAATGGTGGGAGTACTAATACTATTGCTGGTGGCACTTGAGATGTGAAGACCAAGTCCTGTAGCCAGGATGTGTATTCTTCACAGCAAAGTGTTCCACTTGTCCCTTGTTCTCCTCCCTGGAGGACCAGAAAGTAATACTATTTTACAAGACTAGGAAAATATCACAGTTCCTCAAAGTAGGAGATTGTCTCCAAGTGGGTGCCCTTGGAGAAAGGTACAATTTGTGCCCCGAAATTTGGGAAAACAGGGATGATTTATGAGCTATGACTCCAAAGGTCAACCAGGGTTCAGCTGAGTGTGATATGAACTCTGCCCTGGGTCCCATAAAGCCACATGGGGTGCAACTGAAGCCTGGTGAGATGCTTAGAAAACAGCTTTTGGAGGGTTTATTTTTGGCGTGTCTGACCTTTTTGTAATTCTCAAGAGTCACAGTCTAGTTCTCAGATACCTTTTGTGTTTCCAGAGGTTTCCACCTCAGTCTCTAGATCTGCCTCTCTAGTGTTCCCCACTGGTTTTTGTATCTCAAATTTATGGGCTTAGTAACCTGGCACTTCTTTTCACTCACCACTTGGTTTGGTGCCTTGCTAGTGAGTGGTTTCTTTGTCATCAGTGGGCTGTTTTAGCACAACAGAGAGCTCCTTTTTGAAAGGTGACAATTTTATGTCTGAAAACACAAATTTAGGCTAGATGTGGTGGCTCACATCTCTAATTCCAACACTTTGGGAGGCCAAGGCAGGAGAATCACTTGAGGCCAGGAGTTTGAGACCAGCCTGGGCAACATAGCAAGACCTCATCTCTACAAAAATAAATTTTAAAAATTAGCTGGGTGTGGTGATGCATGCTTGTAGTCCTAGCTGCTCAGGAGGCTAAGGGGGGAGGCTTCCATTGAGCCCAGGAGTTTGAGGCTGCAGTGAGTCATCATTGTGCCACTTCACTCCTGCCTGGATAACAGACAGAGACCCTGTTTTCATGCGCGTCCGTGTGAAGAGACCACCAAACAGGCTTTGTGTGAGCAACATGGCTGTTTATTTCACCTGGGTGCAGGCGGGCTGAGTCCAAAAAGAGAGTCAGCGAAGAGAGATGGGGTGGGGCCGTTTTATAGGATTTGGGTAGGTAAAGGAAAAAGGGGTGTTGTTCTCTGGCAGGCAGGACTGAGGGGGTCACAAGGTACTCAGTGGGGGAGCTTTTGAGCCAGGATGAGCCAGGAGGAGGAATTTCGCAAGACAATGTCATCAGTTAAAGCAGGAACAGGCCATTTTCACTTCTTTTGTGGTGGAATGTCATCAGTTAAGGCAGGAACCGGCCATCTGGATGTGTACGTGCAGGCCACAGGGAATATGATGGCTTAGCTTGGGCTCAGAGGCCTGATATTCCTATCTTCTTATATTAATAAGAAAAATAAAATGAAATAGTGGTAAAGTGTTCGGACAGCGAAAATTTTGGGGGATGGTATGGAGAGATAATGGGCGATGTTTCTCAGGGCTGCTTCGAGCGGGATTAGGGGTGGCATGGGAACCTAGAGTGGGAGAGATTAATCTGAAGGGAGATTTTGTGGTAAGGGGTGATATTGTGGGGTTGTTAGAAGGAATATTTGTCATTTAGAATTATTGGTGATGGCCTGGATACAGTTTTGTATGAATTGAAAAACTAAATGGAATGAGAGAAGGAGAAAAATAGGTATAAAAGGTCTAAGAATTGGGACGACTCAGGACATCTGATTAGAGAGTGCCTAAGGAGATTCAGCATAGTCCTACCAGCAAAGATTATTTACTTCAAGAGTTAAGAGTGGCAGTTTGGGGATAGCACCAGGAAATATCAGCTGTGATGGCTTGGAGAAACGGTGTAAACCGGCAGTGTAAACAAGAGCAGGGCATGTATGAGTAGTTGAGAACGGTGAATAAGAGTATGACTAGACAGAAGATAGTAGGGATGACAAGTTTTTTGGGGCACAGTCTAAGTTGGTCTGGTGTCTGGAATGAGACTGGGCCTAATAAAACGGAGCGTCTATACAGGAGCTCAAATGGGCTGTACCTTGTAGCATTCTGAGGACAGGTCTGACTTCTGAGAAGGGAAAGTAGTAAAAGTATTGTCCAGTCCTTTTTAAGTTGGTGGCTGAGCTTGGTGAGGTGTGTTTTTAAAAGACCTTTACTCCGTTCTACTTTTCCTGAAGATGGAGGACCGTAAGGGATATAAAGGTTTCACTGAATACTAAGAGCCTGAAAAACTGCTTGGCTGATTTGACTAATAAAGGCTGGTCTGTTATCAGACTGTAGAGAGGTGGGAAGGCTAAACTGAGGAATTATGTCTGACAGAAGGGAAGAAATGACTGCGGTGGCCTTCTCAGACCCTGTAGGAAAGGCCTCTACCTATCCAGTGAAAGTGTCTACCTAGACTAAGAGGTATTTTAGTTATCTGACTCGGGGCATGTTGAGTAAAGCTAATTTGCCAGTCCTGGGTGGGGGCAAATCCTCAAGCTTGATGTGTAGGGAAGGGAGGGGGCCTGAATAATCCCTGAGGAGTAGTAGAATAGCAGATGGAACACTGAGAAGTTATTTCCTTGAGGATAGATTTCCACGATGGAAAGGAAATGAGAGGTTCTAAGAGGCGGGCTAGTGGCTTGTACTATAGCATAGCCTGCCTTTGCTGGTGTGTGGCGATTAGGCCTGGTGGAGCTGCCATCAATAAACTAAGTGTGATCAGGGTGAGAAACAGGGAAGAAGGAAATGTGGGGAAATGGGGTGAACGTCAGGTGGATCAGAGAGATACAGTCATGAGGGTCAGGTGTGGTATCAGGAATAATGTGGGAGGCCAGATTGAAGTCTGGGCCAGGAACAATGATAATTGTGGGACTTAACAAAGAGTGAGTACAGCTGAAGGAGCTGGGGAGCAGAAAGTATATGAATCAGGTATGAGGAAGAAGATAGATTTTGGAAGTTATGAGAACTGTAGAGAGTGAGTTGAGCATAGTTTGTTATTTTAAAGGCCTCTGAAAGTATTAGGGGGGCAGGAGCCACTGCACGGAGACATGATGGTCAGCCTAAAACAGTAAGGTCAAGTTGTTTGGACAAAAAGGCTACAGGACGCGATCCCAGTCCTGTAAAAATTCTGACTGCACAGCCCTGCACTTCAGCTGTGTGTAATGAAAAGGGTTGGGATGAGTCAGGGAGAGCTCGGTTGTGGGCAGTCTCTAAAGCTGTCTTCAAGGAACAGAAAAACGAGTGGGGAAAGGATTTAGGATCTATGGGGTCAGCTAGGTTTCTTTTTGTGAGTTTATATAATGGTTTTGTTAGGATGGCAAAACCAGGTATCTAAAGTCGAAAGTATCTAACCATGCCTAGGATGTAGAAGGTGTTGGGGTTTGAGAGATCAGTCAGACATGATCGGCAGGGAGAGCACGTGTGTTTTTATAAGAATTACGCTGAGACAGGTAACAGATGAGGAAGAAATTTGAGCTTGACTGAAGTAATGAGGGATGTCTGTGAAGCCTTGCAGCAGTACAGCCCAGGTAATTTGCTGAGCCTGATGGGTGTCAGGGTCAGTCCAAGTGAAAGCGAAGAGAGGCTGGGATGAAGGGTGCAAAGGAATAGTAAAGAAAGCATGTTTGAGATCTAGAACAGAATAATGGGTTGTAGAGGGAGGTATTGAGGATAGGAGAGTATATGGGTTCGGCACCATGGGGTGGATAGGCAAAACAATTTGGTTGATAAGGCGCAGATCCTGAACTAACTTGTAAGGCTTGTCTTGTTCTAGGATAGGTAAAATGGGGGAATTGTAAGGAGAGTTTATAGGCTTTAAAACACCATGCTGTAGCAGGCGAGTGATAACAGGCTTTAATGCCCAAAGCGTGCTGTGGGATGGGATCTTGGCATTGAGCAGGGCAAAGGTGATTAGGTTTTAATGAGATGGTAAGGGGTGCATAATCGGTCACCAAGGAGGGATTAGAGGTATCTTATACTTGTGGGTTAAGGTAGGGGGATACAAGAGGAGGACATGAAGGAGGCTTTGGGTTGGGGAGAAGGGCAGCAATGAGATGCGGCTGTAGTCCAGGAATAGTCAGGGAAGCAGATAATTTAGTTAAAGTGCCTCAGCCTAATAAGGGAACTGGGCAGGTGGGGATAATTAAAAAGGGGTGCTTAAAAGAGTATTGTCTAAGTTGGCACCAGAGTTGGGGGGTTTTAAGAGGTTTAGAAGCCTGGCCGCCAATACCCACAACAGTTATGGAGGCAAGGGAAACAGGCCCTTGAAAAGAAGGTAATGTGCAGTGGGTAGCCTCCATATTGATTAAGAAGGGGACAGACTTACCCTCCACTGTGAGAGTTACCTAGAGCATCTGTGATGGTCCTGTAGGCTTCCAAGGTGATCAGGCAGTGTCAGTCTTCAGCTGCTAAGCCGAGAAGATCTGGGAAGGACTCAGTCAGAGAGCCTTGGGCCAGAGTTCCATGGGCTCTGGGAGTGGTTGCCAAGTGAGTTGAACAGTCCAATTTCCAGTGGGGTCCTGCACAGATGGGACGCGGCTTAGGAGGAATTCTGGGCTGTGAGCATTCCTTGGCCCAGTGGCCAGATTTCTGGCACTTGTAGCAAGCTCCTGGGAGAGGAGGTTCTGGAGAAATGCCTGGCCGCTGTGGTTCAGGCATTTGGAAGTTCTTGTGTGCTGGAGATGTGGCTGGGGTTTGTCTCACAGTGGAGGCAAGGAATTGCAACTTTTTTCTATTATTGTACACCTTGAAGGTGAGGTTAATTAAATCCTGTTGTAGGGTTTGAGGGCCAGAATTTAATTTTTGGAGTTTTATTTAATGTCAGGAGCAGATTGGGTAATAAAATGTATATTGAGAATAAGACAGCCTTTTGACCTTTTAGGGTCTAGGGCTGTAAAGTGTCTCAGGGTTGCTACCGAACAAGCCATGAACTGGGCTGGGATTTTTATATTTGACGAAAAAGAGTCTAAATGCTAACTGATTTGGGAGAGGTCGGATAAAGAAAAAGGAGCATTAACCTTGACTATACCTTTAGCTCCAGCCACCTTTTTAAGAGGAAATTGCTGGGCAGGTGGGGGAGGGCTAGTCGCAGAATGAAACTGTAAGCCAGACTGGGTGTGAGGAGGGGTGGTGATAAAAAGATTATAGAGTGGAGGAGCGGAGGCTGAGGAAGAATTGGGACCTAGCTCGACCTGGCGAGAAGCAGCCTGGGGAGGAGGGGAGAGGTCAGATGGGTCTGGAGAAAAGGAAGATTAGAAAGACCCAGTGACGCTTGGGGTTGGGACTGAGGGGACAGGAGGGAGGGAAAGAAGGAAGATTTGGGACAAGTTGCATTGGGCACAGAGACTAGGAAGGGACTGATGTGTAAAAGAATGCCTGGACATCAGGCACCTCAGACCGTTTGCCTATTTTACAACAAGAATTATTTAGATCTTGCAGGATGGAAAACTTGAAAGTGCCATTTTCTGGCTATTTGGAACTACTGTCGAGTTTGTATTGGGGTCAAGCGGCATTGCAGAAGAAAATAAGGCATTTAGGTTTTAGGTCAGGTGTGAGTTGAAGAGGTTTTAAGTTCTTGAGAGCACAGGCTAAGGGAGTTGGAGGAATGGAGGGTGGAAAGTTGCCCATAGTGAAGGAGGCAAGCCCAGAGAAAAGGGAGAGTAGAGACACAGAGGGAAGGGGTTCAGGGGTTCTTACCCTCCAGAAAAGCGGGAAAGGGGTCAGGGCACAGAAATAAGGGGTTGGGGCACAGAGATAAGAGGTCGGGGCGTGGAAATAAGGGATCAGGGCGCAGAGATAAGAGGTCAGGGCACGGAAATAAGGGATTGGGGTGCAGAGATGTAAGAGGTCAGGGCACAGAAATAAGGGATCGGGGAGCAGAGATATGAGGTTGGGGTACTTGCCCCTCCCCCAGAAAAGTGGGACTTGCTGCTAAGTGTGAAGGAGAAGGGGTTGGGGGTTTCTTGCCCCCCAGAAAGGCGGAGAAGGGGTAGAGACATGGAGAGAAGGGGTTGGGGTACTTGCCCCTCCCCCAGAAAAGTGGGACTTCCTGCTAAAGGTGAAGGACCAAGGCAGGTGTCCCTGTGTAGTGTGACACCTCTGAAATGTGGGTGAATAATCAGAGAGGCGTCCCTGCAATGATTAAACACCAAGGGAAGGCTGCCTTCCCAGTCTGTGACTGGCACCGGAGTTTTGGGTCCACGGATGAAACGTGTCTCCTTTGTCTCTACCAGAAAATGAAAGGAATTGAAATTAAAAGAAGGGAGAGATTGAAGTGTGGCGCCAAGATTGAAAGGAGAAAGAGGTTGAGGGATAGTGAGGGAGGTTGGAGAAGTAAGTAAAAAGAGGCCACTTACTGGATTTGAAATTGGTGAGATGTTTCTTGGGCTGGTTGGTCTGAAGACCTGAGGTCGTAGGTGGATCTTTCTCACGGAGCAAAGAGCAGGAGGACAGGGGATTGATCTCCCAAGGGAGGTTCCCCGATCCGAGTCACGGCACCAAATTTCATGCGCGACCGTGTGAAGAGACCACCAAACAGGCTTTGTGTGAGCAACATGGCTGTTTATTTTACCTGGGTGCTGGTGGCTGAGTCCAAAAAGAGAGTCAGCGAAGGGAGATGGGGTGGGGCCATTTTATAGGATTTGGGAAGGTAAAGGAAAAAGGGGGGTTGTTCTCTGGTGGGCAGGAGTGGGGGTCACAAGGTACTCAGTGGGGGAGCTTTTGAGCCAGGATGAGCCAGGAGAAGGAATTTCACAAGACAATGTCATCAGTTAAAGCAGGAACAGGACATTTTCACTTCTTTTGTGGTGGAATGTCATCAGTTAAGGCAGAAACCGGCCATCTGGATGTGTATGTGCAGGTCACAGGGAATATGATGGCTTAGCTTGGGCTCAGAGGCCTGACACCTGTCTCTTAAAAAAGAAAAGAAAACACAAGTTTATAGAACTACAGACCATCTTTATCAATCATACAATGTTATATTTGATATTTTATATCTTTCTCAAGCATTGCTAAACCTTTCTACAATATTTTTGTCACAAACTATTTCATTCAACAAGGACGTAGGAAAATCAAGACAGATAAGGAGACTAGATGTAGTTGAGTGCTCACAGGGCCAGTGTTGGACCAGGCCAGGTGGGGGATTCAGATGAGGAGAACCACATGCATGGCAGGAGTGTGGCAGTGAGTAAAATCTACCTGAGAAGAAGGCTTGAGATAAACCTAGAAGAATGAGGGCAACTGAGGGCAACAAAGTAAGCGAAGAAACTGCTAACACATGCATAGTGCATTCTGGAGATTTAGTAAGGCTTGTGTCTGGACTGGATCTGAGAATTCACATTGTGTAGCAGTTGATAATAAGAGAGTACAAAAACTTCTAATTAGTAAATATGAAGAATTCAAATTTGGGATTTTAAGAAATTACAGACCATTGACTTTTATTTTTCTCATAGAATTTTAAAATCCTATCACCTGTTTTATTTGTAGAAGTAAAAAGAGAATGAAAAAATTCCTTTAAATTTAAGTCAATGAAATTGGAAGCACCAATTTCAACAAAGCGAGAAACTGCGGCTCAGTTAAAAAAAAAAAAAAGGAAGGAAGCAACAGTTTTAAACTCTTAAGCTTCCTCTAATTCGAAAAGAAATACTGAAGCTTTCTAGTTTGAAAATTCAAGAGCTTACTTTTTCCCTAAGGCAATATTATCTACTTTCATGGGGATAAAATAACTGCCAAACACTCAATAGCTCCAAAAGGGGTTTAAATACAGAGAACAGACTCAGTTTTCCTTCCAAATGCGAATGTTTATATCCAAACATGTCAACAAATCATAGTTATTTTCCTCTTCCTGGGGAGCCCCAGGAACCCAAAGGGATGATAATTAAGGGATGGGCCTGGCTCACAGTTGTCCTCAGAAATAGGAAGCAGTAACTCTCCTCTCAGGGAGACCACATACTGAAGATGTTAATTGGTCAAAGAGACTGACATAGTAAACTCTCACTGCATAGTAAACTCTCACGGTGTCTAATTGTTGGGGGTAGAAGAATCCTGAATCACCCATGTCACTCAATATATATATGGGTTACATTGTCGGCAAACAGGAAGATTATCATGCATATGACAGTTGGAAAATGTGAAATCATGCAAAAGGCAGATATCTAGTATGGTCAAGTATTGAATGTGGACTTGCAGGTCTTCTATATACTTGGTCTTTAAACTATGGGACTTTTAAATTTGAAGTTAAATTCTACATTGGTTCCCAGTGGTGTTTCAGTACCAGAAATAGTGTTTGAAATTGGACATGATTATAGTGTCAAGCAAGATTGCCTTATTTTGCTTGGACCTTCAACTATGTCTTGGTTCCAAAAGTAGCCCTGGAAGCCATTGGCCAGCTCTACCTGGCCCCTCCACTGACCGACATGATTAAATCGGTGTTTATGTAAAATTGGATGATGGATCACAGAGGAGAAGGGTTTATGGCTATATAGGGGGATAAATTGTGAGGAGCTGCAATTAGAAAAAATGAGCTACTTTTCTTATTTTTTTTTAATCTCTTTTCCCAGTGTTTTTCAGATTGGATCATTTCTGTTGATCTGTCTTCAAATTCAATGACTATTTCCTCCTAAATCTCCATTCTGCTATTAATCCTATCTAGTACAATTTTTAATTTCAAATTTTGTATTTTTTTCTTCTAAATTTCTATTTGTTTCTTTTAAACAATTTCTATTTCTTTGCTAAATTTTCCTATCATTTCAGTCATTCTGGCCTATATGCCTTTAATTCACTGAACATTGTTAGAATGGCCGCTTTAAAATCCTTGCCGACATCTGGTTCATCTTAGCATCACATTCTAATGATTATCTTTACTCTTGAGGATGGATTACATTTTCTGGGTTTTTTTTTTGTACGTTACATAATTTTGGATTAAATATGAATGTTACAGTGTGGAGTCTCTTGAATCTGTTGTGTTCGCCCAAAGAGCGTTGACATTTTGTTCTAGGAAACCGCAAAATTGGTTGGACTCACGTGGAAAACTCAGTCTCCTGGTGTCAGTTAAAATCTGTTGAGTTCTTTTATCTTTAGTCCAGTTATGCACATGTGTAGTTCAGGATCATCCAGAGATTTGAACAGTTTATACACAGATTGTGGAGTTTTCCCTCATTAGCTCATTCTTTTCTGGGGTTTTCCTCTCCTTTTCCACATAATGGGTTGCCCGAAATCCTGCCCCCAAGTCTTTGAGTCCAGAAATACTACAGGTTTTTCTATTAGAGTTTTGGCAGCACAGCATGAGGCCTGCCTTCAGGCCAAAAGCCATGAAAAGGGAACCTCATCAAAGGCCCAGTGTCTTCCTCTTGTTCTAAGTGTAGGCTTCTTTTCAAAACCTGCATTCTGTTTTTCACATTTCAGTGTTTTCAGTTAATTTTTTTAAAATGTGTTTAATGTTTATGGTTAATGTTTCTGAGACAGCTGGTCCAGTGGGAGCTCATTAAGCCATTCCAGCAGAACTCTGCTAGGAGACTACTGAAGCAGTCCACATTTGAGTGGCGAATACTTGGATTAGTGTAGTAGCATGAACCATGGAAATAAGTAAATAAATACAGAGATAAAATGTAGGGAAAATTTCATGACACTTAGGAGTGAAAAATGAAGGTGAAAGACATCACGATGTTAAGCTTGAGTTGCTAACAGAAACGGGTACAGTAAAAGAAACAAGGAAATTGGAATTCTGTGTTAGTCCGCACAGGCTGCCAAACAAATACCATAGACTTGGTGACCTAAACATAGAAATTTATTTTTTGGTGGTTCTAGAGGCCGTAAGCCTGAGATCAAGGCACTGACCTCTTCCATTTCTGTTGAGGACCCTCTTTTTCACTTGCAGATGGCTACATTTTCTCTCTGACCTCACATGGCATACAGATCTTTTAAGAATACCAATCCCGTCATCTCAGGGCCCAACCTTATGATTTCATTTAACTAAATTACTTCCATAAAGGTCTGTCTCCAAGTACAGTCACGTTGGAGGTTAGGGCTTCAACATATAGAATTTGAAAGGAACACAATTCAGTTCCTAGAAAATGAGAGCCTAGTTTTTGTTTTTTGGTTTTTTTTTTTTTTTGGTTTTTTTAAAGATTGTGAATTATTTTGGATTTGTTGAGTATGAGATGAACAATGTACAAGTTGTTGTTGGAGATCTAAGATGGAGCATGGAGAACAGATTATTGATGATAGATTTACAATCCATCAACATAAAGCTCAGAGCTGAGGCCATGGGGCTGGATGAGTTCTCTGAGGAAGAAAGCAAAAATCAATACAGAGGATTAAGGGGGCAGGAACCAAGCCATGTGCAAATTCTCACAGAAAGTAAAGGAGGTATAAATCAGCAAATAAACAAGTTGTCAGAGAGATTGGAAGAGAAGCAGGAAAATGAAACAGTGTCAAGGAAGTTAAGGAAGAAAAGGGGTGTGAGGAAGTAGTCAATAACACTAAATGCAGTTATGAAGCTCTTGTAAAAAGTTATGGTCAAAGGCCCTGAATTTGTCAATCAGGAAATCATTATTGACTTTAGAGGAAGCAGTCCCGGTGAGGTGATTGGGAAGAGATTGAGGTAAGAGAGGTTAGGGAAAAGCAGGATGAAGGTGATTTCAAAGACATGCCTGGAGCATAAATGGGGAGCCGAATCTACAGGGTAATGAATGCAATCACGGACCAGTGAAGTGTCCACATCTTTGCCGAGACCACATCAAATTCAGCCCTGCTTAGGTAGCTACTTCTTTCAGATGCCTGGTTTATTCTTTCAACAAAAAATCACTGTGTTATCAACTCTGCTAAGCAATGTTATATATACTGGAGATTAAACAAAAAGTCCCCGCCCTCATGTAACATCTGTGTTTCTTCTGCTCCCTACCAACTGCTGTTCTTCTGTGCTTTCAGATTGTTCCTTAGAGAGCTGGTGCTCACCTGAGCCCGTTCTTAACAGAGCCATCTTTCCTACCCTGTGTGAGCCTCATCAGAGTATACCATATGCTCTTTGGAAGCAGGGAAAGAATTGGATATTTTTTCACTCTTACTAAAGTTAGAAAATGTTGGAGAGTCAGTTAGCTTTTTTATGAAAATGCCATCTAATCATTTTTTAAATTAGCACCTAATACAATAATGATATGGCCAAGTATCAAATGTGTTGTCTTAACTTTATTATAAGTTTTATTTTATTGCAAATATAAGCTCTACACATAAGCTGAGAATTTAGTAAGCAGTGAACTCTGATTCAGTTAGCCGGGGGCCAACTGTAGGCATTAACATGTTTTAAAAGCTTCCTAGTTGATTCTACTGTGCACCCAGGATTGAGATACCTTGGGTTAGAGATCTGTTGCTTTGTGGTGCTGATTTTGTCGAAGAGCCTGGTTCTGAGGTGGGAACAGTAATATAACCATCCTTTGGGTTGAACTGCTGTCTGCTCCCTGCCCTTACTTTTGGCTGACTTATTATGGTGTTCTGCCCAATTCTAGCTTAATAAAAATATTATGAATAATCTTAACCTCACAGTAAAGCTTTTTTTAATCCAATGCAAATATAATTTTACAGATGAGAAATGATTTTGCCTGCAGTTATCTGCTTCCAAATTAGAATGTATTTTTAATTTCTGATGAGTCACTTTTCGTGTGTAATACTCATTTTGACTGGTATTAGGTGGCATGGGTTGGTTTTTAGTCAATTCCAGAATATCTTCTTACATTGTTTTAATGTAAAGAAAATGAAAATTTGATGCTTCTGATCTTTCCTAATACCTCTATTTAGAGCAAGATGGAGTATCTGTCTCCTTGGATCCTTTATATGTCTAGCTACATTGTGGATGTTTGATAGAAATAATACCATGCAGTATAGTCTCCGCCCCGACACTGAAAAAAAAAAGGAGGGAAAGTATGTAGAATAAAAAGACAAACAGTGTAACGAGCTTTATTTTATAACACTGGAACATTGAACTTATCTGTTGAGGTGGTACTAAGTAACATAACAACTTCAAAAACCTGGACCCGGCAGGCAGCTAATTTAGCTACTTGAAAATCACTGGGGAAAAGGAAATAGATGCTAAGATTACTGAAACCAGCTTAACACCTGCCAAGTTACATCGCTTTTAAAAAATGCTAGGAAGGCCCAGGCACGGTGGCTCACACCTGTAATCCCAGCGCTTTGGGAGGCCAAGGTGGGCAGATCACAAGGTCAGGAGATTGAGACCATCCTGGCCAACATGGTGAAACACTGTCTATACTAAAAATAAAAAAAATTAGCCAGGCACGGTGGCATGCGCCTGTAGTCCCAGCTACTCAGGAGGCTGAGGCAGGAGAATCGCTTGAACCCGGGAGGCGGAGGTTGCAGTGAGCCGAGATTGCACCACTGCACTCCAGCCTGGGTGACAGAGCAAGACTCCGTCTCAAAAAAAAAAAAAAAAAAAAATCCCAGGAAGGCACAAAAGACATCCAACAAAACTGGCCATTACTTTATACTTCTAGGTCTCAGTAGATACAGGAGAGGTAATTTGGCCATGGGAGAAAGAAACAAAGTAATAGAATATGGAAGAAAATGAGGATTGTGAAAGAGTAATTCGCATTTAGTAGACCCCTAATAAATACTGGTTGAATGAATGAACAAAATGAAAGAGAAACATACTAGAAAATAGATTGGGCTGCAGCGGAGACTTACATCTGGAAATATCCTGTTGTGGTATTGGGTCAAGTATTAAATACTGGTGTGCTTATTTTAGCCAGGACATAATTTCGCCACTGATATAGTAGGGACCGCCAAAGGGGGAAAAAAGGAAAGGGAGCTTATCATAAAAATAGATGTGAGAGTGCTTTCTCCTGTGTGCTTGATTCTCCATATCACATTATAGCTCGTGCATTCTTATAAAGGATGACCTAAAATGCTAAAAGAATCCTAGTCTTTCAAAATTCATCTGAATGTTGCTTGGGCCACTAAAGGTTCCATGGTCATCAGAAAATTAACCTACTTAGGCCAATTTAGGAAATCTTCCTGTTGTCTTCTACTTGGCTTGCCTCTGTTTCTTTACTTCCACCACAAATCGATCCTATTTATAAATGGGTTAAGAGCTACCTAGTGCCTTTGATTAATTGTTACTTGGACACTTTATTAATATTATAGAGTCTTCATTTTGCATACTCAGTGGTCAGTCACTAACTTTAAGGCTTGAACATTGTTCTGATAATTTTATAAACAGCCTTATTGACATTTCATTTACATAGCATAAAGTTCACCCATTTAAAGTGAACAAGAGGCTAGCTGTGTTGGCTCATGCCTGTAATCCCGACACTTTGGGAAGCCACAGCAAGAGGATCACTTGAGCCTAGAGTTCGAGATGAAACTGGGCAACATAGTGAGACCCCATCTCCACAAAAAATAAAAAATATTGGCTGGGCATGGTGGCACGTGCCTGTAGTCCCAGCTATTTGGGAGGCTGAAGTGGGAAGATTGCTTGAGACCAGGAGGTCAAGGCTGCAGTGAGCTGTGATTGCACCACTGCACACCAGCCTGGATGGCAGAGCAAGACTCTGTCTAAAAAAAAAAAAAAAAAAAAATTGGGCAGATGCAGTGGCTCAGGCCTGTAGTCCCAGCACTTTGGGAGGCCAAGGTGGGCAGATCACGAGGTCAGGAGATTGAGACCATCCTGGCCAACATGGTGAAACTCCATCTCTACTAAAATACAAAAAATTAGCCAGGTGTGGTGGCACATGCCTGTAGTCCCAGCTACTTGGGAGGCTGAGGCAGGGGAGTCACTTGAACCCAGGAGGCGGAGGTTGCAGTGAGCTGAGATCGTGCCACTGCACTCCAGCCTGGCGACAGAGTGAGACTCCATCTTAAAAAATAATAATAATAAAATAAAAAATAAAAAAGTGAATAGCTCAGTTAATTTTAGCAGCTTTATATGCTTGTACAACAAATAATCACTACCCATTTTATCCACCCTCATCCCCAGGCAACTCCTGATCTGCCTTCTGTAGTTATAGTTTTCTGTAGCCCTTCATAGAAATTTCATCTGGATAGAATCGGAATATCTGTTACTTATATTTAATTTGGAAACTAAGTTCACCTTATCAAAATAGGCAAAGACAAACTAAATTAGGTGGATCTTGTATTTAATTATAAACAACAGCAGAATAAATTAATTAGAAGAATTTTCTTAACAGGTGCTAAGACTTTATGGTAGGCCTCATTTGCTTTGCTGAATTGCAATGTATTTTCTTTTTGTTAAGTATATTGTCTAGTTTTGAGCTATGCATTACATTTTCTCTTTAAGAAAAATGAATTAGTATGCATTTCAACTTCAGGCTTTATTCTAAAGTCTATATTATTATGACTTTTTCTAAAGAATACATATTTATGTGTTGTGTGAATGGACAAAGACACTTAATGAGCCTTCAAACATTTGTGGATGGATGAATGGATGGAAGATGGCTTGATGACTTCCATATATTTGGGTCTCAGGAAAGTTGTTTATTTCATAAGTTCTCAGGATGTAGCAAATTAATAAACTGCATATATTTGGAATAGAATTTCATTCTTTGTGTGTTTTTATTTCACAGAAGAAATGTGAAACAAATTCTAGCAAGAAGCAAAGCATTACAGTGGACGAAGTCCTATGTTTTACCAGAGTTTCCCTATGATGTCAAATGCATGTTAGCAGAGCAGAAGTGCCCGGATCACAGCATGAGGATAAGGATCATTGAGTTTCTCCAGGCCGACATGACTAAGTATCTGGAAGGCTCACTGTGAGTGACAACAGGACAAGCTTGCTGCTTTGGGAAAGGGTCTGTTTCAGAATAGAGTAGAATTCCTGTGGAATCAACTCTCTTCAGATTGTGGATGATATATTGGTAATAGGTCCCAATTGCCCAATATTTAAATCTCTTTTTGTTATATAGAAAAATGTGAAGAAAAATGAGTGTAATTAGACTCATCTTAAAGGAAGGAATGTGGTTTGCTTGAAGTGAAACATATCCTCCTTGTTTTGGTGAACAGGTACCCCAGCACCCAGCAGTACAATGACGTGGTTAATGCCCTGCTGCAGGCCCACCCTTTCCTGGATGAGGATGGCTGTGGCTTCGTAAGTGACCACATGGCACCATCCTGTTAATTTCAGACTATCTTAAAATAATTGCCTTGTGTTGCCCAGTAATTTTATGCTTCACCCATCTTTTCTTGGTGTCTCTCTCTCTCTCTCTCATTCTGTCTATGTATCTAGGTCTATCTGTTTCTGTTTTTCTGACTCTTTGTCTCTTTAATCTCTCTCCAACTTTGTTTCTGTCTTTCACTTTCTGTTAGTCCATGCTTCTTTCTTGACTTTGCGCTCTCTCTCTCTCTGGCTCTCTCTCTTTCTCTCTCTGTCTCCTTGTCTTCCCTTTTTCATAACTTCTTGGTCTCTCTCTGCCCTGTGTTTCTTTGTCTTCTTTGTCTCTCTCTGTCATCATGTTGCTGTCCTGTCAAAACTGGAAGCTCAGTGCAACAGAGCTGATCAGGAGTTGCCTAGGGCTGAGGGTGGCCAAAATGGATAGTGATTATGGTTGCACAAGCATATAAAGTTGCTAAAATTGAGCTGTTCGCTTTAGAGTCTTAAGGGTTTTAAGGGTTAGGAAGGGTCTTTAGGAGATGTGACACATAGAAAGAGAAAGACATGGCTGCACCTGCTTCGGAGCTGTCATCAAGTGTTTCTTGCCTTCTCAGACCCAGTGGAGCTGTTGTCTGGCTTTGAGGTCTGGGCCTCCAGCCTTACCTGGCCCTGTCAGATCTCTGCTTTCTGTCCTGATAAAAACAGACCCTCAGGATGCTCTGGGGCAGCAGTTCTTTTTTTTTTTTTTCCTTTTTTTTTTTTTGAGACGGAGTCTCGCTCTCTCACTCAGGCTGGAGTATAGTGGCGCGATCTCAGCTCACTGCAACCTCCGCCTCCTGGGTTCAAGCAATTCTCTGGGGCAGCAGTTCTAAGCTCTGGTTGCACATTAGGATTCCTAGAGATTCAGATTGAATTAATTTGAGGATGGGATTATTCTAATGTACAACCACGGCTGAGAACCACTGCCGCTGACGTTTCAACACAAAGTTTGCTGTTTGAACCTGCCTGTCTCCTGGATTTCAAAGACCACTGTCTTCATTGCACAACAATGTGAATATAATCAACACTATTGAACTGTACCTAAGAATAGTTAATAAAAAACTGAGTGTTTATGATGCTGTAACTTTATGAGTTAAGGAACAATTACAAGGAACTGTAGCTATGTATACAAAAAGGTAGATGGTCTATTATTCCCTGTATCTCTATATGCCATATGCATACACATTGGTAGGCATATCTAAAGAAGATAGATGTCTTTTTGTGCTTTACTGTCTCAGATGTCTGTGAAAAGATATTTTTTGCTGTGCTTTCTTAAGGACATGGAATTTCAGCAATTATTTCCAAGAACAACAAAGGATAAATGCCAATTATCTATGAATATAAAGACATTTTAAGGCTCTGTTTCCTCCCTCCCTTCCTCCTTTCCTTCCATCCTTCTTTCCTTCCTTCCTTCCTTCCTCCCTCCCCTCCCTCCTTCTTTCTTCCCTCCTTCCTTTCTTCCTTCCTTATTTGTATTTACCCCTCCCTCCCTCTCTCCCTCCCTTCCTTCCTTCTTTCCTTCCTTCCTTTCTTCCTTCTTTTTTTGTATTTTCAAGAAAAGGTTCATTATATATGGAGAGAATCACAGAATTTTCTCAGTGGGAGAGGTAATTAAAGGTTTTTTTCACCACTCAGACTGAGGAAAGATGTTGTATACCATGTCTGGAAAAATGATAGTTATTGAAGCCAAGATTAGAATTCAGGTATTCTTGCTTCTAGGATGACATCCTTTCCAAAATATGCTGCTGCATATAAAGTGCACTACAGAAGAAACTGAATTTCCTCTAAAAAAACAAAACAAAGCGAAGGAAAAAAAACAAGGCAACAACAACAATACTACACAAACCTGGCATCCCAACATTGACAATCATGTCAATATGGCTGACAAAACTGATTCTCGGAATTTCTTCTACACTGGAGATACATCTACCAACTTAATGTCTAATCAGTGTTACTGTGTATAGAACTTGTGGTTTTTTTTTTTTTTTTTTTTTTTGAGACAGAGTCTTGCTCTGTCGCCCAGGCTGGAGTGCAGTGGCACGATCTCGACTCACTGCAAGCTCCGCCTCATGGGTTCACGCCATTCTCCTGCCTCAGCCTCCCGAGTAGCTGGGACTACAGGTGCCCCCCACCACGCCCAGGTAATTTGTTGTATTTTTAGTAGACATGGATTTTCACCATGTTAGCCAGGATAGAACTTGTGTTTTTTTTTTAAATTTACATTTACTGTTTGAATAAATTACATATTTACATAGCTCAAAATTCAAAAACTACAAAAGGGTATAAATAGAAAAGTTTCCCACCCGCCCTTGCTTCTGCAGCCACCTAATTTTCCTCCCCATAAGTAACCAATACTATTAGAGTCCCTCTAGAGAATCTTTGCATATACCTAAGCAAATCCATATTGATTCAATACCTTTTGACCTTTAGTTTGATGGTTATCAAAGTGAGACATGTACAAAGTAACAAATAATGCTTTCTTTGCTCTTGTGTCCATTTTATCCACATCTGTTCCCAGTGACATTCACTAAGGACCGTTAACTGATAAAGAGATGTGTGCAAAATTGCTTAGCAGATTAGGGCTCAGATTTGCACTCATAGAGTAGAAGGAGAAACTCTGGTGCCTGGATGGATGTTTACCCAAATTCTCCCTGCGAGTGTGTGTGAGGTTGTGTTTCTAATGTTACAGTGGAAAATGTACAAAATTTCAGAGAACATTAATGGGAGGCAGGGGTGGAGAAAGAAAAAGGGTGCACAAACTTGGTTATTTTTAGGGCTAAGTTTATTTTTAACTCTTAATTTTGAAAAATTTGGGGCCGGGTACGGTGGCTCATGCCTATAATCCCAGCACTTTGGGAGGCCAAGGCGGGCAGATCACCTGAGGTCAGGAGTTTGAGACCAGCCTGGCCAACATGGTGAAACTCTCTCTCTACTAAAAATACAAAAATTAGCCGGGCATGGTGGTGGGCACCTTTAATCCCAGCTACTCAGGAGGCTGAGGCAGGAGAATCGCTTGAACCGGGAGGCCGAGGTTGCAGTGAGCTGAGATCACGCCATTGCACTCCAGCCCAGGTAACAAGAGCGGAACTCCGTCTCAAAAGAAAAAAGAAAGAAAGAAAAAGAAAAAAGAAAAGAAAAGTTTCAAATCTGAACAAAAGTTGAAAGAATGCTACATTGATATGCATATACTCCTAACAACATGGATTTTCTCAACCTCTTGACTGTTTACCTTTGGGGCTGGATAATTCTTTCTGCTGGGGACTGTCTAGTACATTGAAGTATATTTAGTAGCATCCCTGGCACCCACTAGGTGTGAGTAGCACTCTGTCCACCCAGTTGTAACAACCAGACATGTCCCCAAACATCACTAAAGTAAGCACACTACAGAATAAAGCAAAATTTCTCTTAAAAAACAAAACAAAGCAACAACAACAACAAAACCAAACAAGGGGAGGGAGAGGAGCAACATCACGTCACTGGCTGAGAGTTACTGATCTAGATTAGGGATTTTTTTGCCACATTTATTTTTCTTCTGTCATATTTGTTTGCTTGTTTGTTTGTTTTGGTTGAGCATTTAAAAGCAAGTTGCAGATGTCATCCCTAAACACCATAACATATATAAGAACAGCTGGGAGTGGTGGTTCACGCCTATAATCTCAGCATTTTGGGAGGCCAAGGCGGACGGATCACTTGATCCCAGGAGTTCAAGACCAGCCTGGGCAACATGGTAAAACCCCATCCCTACAAAAAAAAAAAAAAAAAAAAAAAAAAAATTAGCCAGGTATGGTGGCATGAGCCTGTAGTCTCAGCTACTTGGGAGGCTGAGGTGGGAGGACCACTAGAGCCCAGGAGGTTGAGACAGCAGTGAGCTATGATTGCACTACTGCACTCCGGCCTGGATGACAGAGCAAAACCCTGTCTCAAAAATAATAATAATAAAAAAAAAGGTCGTGTACGGTGGTTCACGCCTGTAATCCTAGCACTTTGGGAGGCTGAGGCGGGTGGATCACCTGAGGTCAGGAGTTCAAGACCATCCTGGCCAACATGGTGAAACCCCGTTTCTACTAAAAACACAAAAATTAGCTGGGCATGGTGGCAGGTAACTGTATTCCCAGCTACACGGGAGGCTGAGGCAGGAGAATCGCTTGAACCCAGGAGGCAGAGGTTGCAGTGAGCCAAGATCAGTGTCGTCGTACTCTAGCCTGGGGGACAAGAGCGAGACTTCATCTCCAAAAAAAAAAAAAAAAAAAGAATAAGGACAATCTCTTATATAACCACAATACCATTCTTATACCCAAGAAAATTAGCAATAAGTGCATAATATCATATACAATCCATATTCACATTTCTCCAATTTTTCAAAAATGTTTTAAAGATAGTTTTTTGCTATAATATCTAATTGAGTATTATGCATTGCATTCGTTATTATGTCTCTTTAATTTTTTTTTTTTTTTTGCCTAGACAGTCTCTCCATACCCTTTTTTATTTTTCTGGATATTTGCTTTTTGGACAAGTCTAGTCCAGTTGCCATGTAAGACGGTCCACATTCTGCATTTGAATGTGCAAAGATCTGCTCGTGATGCTGTGGACTGCTTCATATGTCACAACAGGAGGTCTGCAATTTCAGGGCCATTTTTTATTTCAGAGTGGTTGACGGAGAGCTGTCTTCATGTAGAACTTTCTACACCCTCTCTAGCTGGAAACATGGAGGAGAGGGATGATTATTCTATAACATAAATATTTCCTACTGAGTCTGCCTACCTGAGGCGTCTGCGTAAGTAACTCATGGTGTCAGGCATATAGCAGATTCTCAGTAAATATTCATTGATTGAATACTCATGTGGAAGATTGTATTTGATTTGTCCTTTTTCTGTTCCTATCAGACAGTTAATAAGGAGAGATGGGAGAGGCTAGAAAGAAGAAATTGGCAATTTAAAAATGTCCTAGCCGTTGATTGCTATAATACCTCCCACCAGGTTCAGCACATTTAGAAACCCTTCAGAGCTACAGGAAACATATGGAAAAAAAATGTACTATACTTGCTTTAGTTCATATTTCATGGCTAAGAAAAATACAAGCCATTCTTTTTGTCTGTTCTGTGGTAAAACAGCAATGGTAAAGTCCAGGCTCACAAGCAAGCCTATGGGAGGTGATAAGGCACCTCTGACTCATGCATACCTGGGAGCTTAATCAGTGCTGAAGCCATACTCCAACCCTCAACCACTGCCTTTCTTACTAGGGCTGTTGAAGGACTTTACAAACAGCACTTTAGTTTACAAATATCTTCTATGAGTAGCTACTCACTCTCCCAAAAGGCTAGTGCAGTTGATAGGACAGATCTTATTGTTCCGTTTTATAGTTGAAGAAACTAAAATTAAGAGGGGTTACTTGGCTGATATGTATTCACACTAGTACTTGGACCTGCAGTCTTCCCAACTTAGGCTATGGTGCTTTCAGGGATTACTCTCATTGGGACTTACAAACCATATAACCAGGAATGGCAAAATCTAAGTGCCAAGCATTTGGCTAATGTTATTTTGGTGTCATTCCCATTGGCCCATGAGGAAATAGAGCTTAGAAAACATGCCCAAAGCCATTTGGCGACTTACCACTTTCTCTCTTGGCCAGGGCTCGAGGGAAACACAGGCCCATATGCCTGCAGGGGTTTTTTTTTTTTTCCCTTCCCCGCACTCACTGTGGGGATCTATTCAATCACACGGCATTGCAGCGGAGAAGAGCAGCAGAAGCAGCCCTAAGGCACTGTCTTCAAGAAGGGTTGGGCCAGCCGGGCGCGTGGTGGCTCACGCCTGTAATCCCAGCACTTTGGGATGCCGAGGTGCGCAGATTACCTGAGGTTGGGAGTTTGAGTCCAGCCTGACTAACATGGAGAAACCTCGTCTCTACTAAAAATACAAAAAATTAGCTGGCTGTGGTGGCACATGTCTGTAATCCCAGCTACTCAGGAGGCTGAGGCAGGAGAATCGCTTGAGCCCAGGAGGTGGAGATTGCAGTGAGCCAAGATTGCGCCATTGCACTCCAGCCTGAGCAACAAGAGTGAAACTCCGTCTAAAAAAAAAAAGAAGGGTTGAGCCACCACTCATGCAGTGAGTTAGTTACCAGCTAAGCACTGCCAAGACTCAGAGTCTTGCTTCTGGTCTGTCATGCTGACACCTGCATCTCCTGCTTCACAGAGTATTGACACAAGACATCAAACATTTATAGTTTCTAGCATGCATGAAGCACCGTGCTGGGCTTGGTGGGCAAAGCAGGCATGAGCCTTTCTTTATGTGCTTATAGCCTAGAGGAAAGGAAGGAAGGAAGGAAGTGAAGGAGGGAAAAGAGAAAGGAAAAGAAAAGAAAAAGAAATATAAATAGAAACAGACAAAGTATCACATAGATGAGGGTAGATTACCACTGTGATAAGTGCCAGTGAAGAAAGGAGAGATCCAACACCAAGCTGTTACAGAAGCCAGAGGACACTTCCATGAAGCACAGGCTAAGCTGAGACCTGAAGGCAAAGCAAGGGTTAACTACATACCATCTAGGTGTGGGAACAGAGGGATAAAGCTTTCCAGGCCCAAACTGAAGGCCCAGCAGTGGAAGAGATGTTGGCATATTGAGGTAGAAGTCCAGGGGTGCTTCCTAGGTATTGTCCATGTCTCTGGTCTCACAAAAACTCCACATGCCAGACAGATCCTTCCAGAGCTCAAATCTGGACCATTCACTCTCCCAACTCAACATGGCCTAGGAAGACTTCCTAACCTGGCTGTTCTGACGAATTCTCTGTAGAGGTTTAAAAAATACAGACATCTGGGCTCCATTCCAATCTCCCGAACAGTAGCAAGCAGCAGCATCACATGGGAACTTGCAAGAAACGCACACTCTCAGCTTACCCGTGACCTCAAAATCAGAGATGCTGAGAGTGGTGCTCAGCAACCTGTGCTCTAACAGGTCCTCCAGGAATTGATTCAGGCTAAATTTTGAGAACCATTGCTTTAGAGGAAAGACCAAGGGCAAAAGTTCCTATGAGATTCTAATACAGCCTGTCCACAGAGACAGATTTAAGATCTGGTTCAGGATTACATTGAGGTTCCTTAATGGGGTGACCATGGCCGTTGATGATTGGGCTGGCTCCTCTCTCCCACTTTATTTTTTACCCCATCCTCTGTCATTCCCTCATCTTGAGCTCTGTGCTCCAGCCTCGCGCAACTCTTGGTAGTTCTCTAAGGGGCACCAGCTCTCCCTCTATTCCATTGCACTTGCAGCTTCATCCTTCCGGAACTTCTGTGCATCTACCCAACTGGCATTTCCCATTGCTATCTCCATCCCTTCATGCAGTTACCTGACCCTAAGACCTAAGCCGCAGTTTAGATTCACTTCCTACAGGAAGGCTTTTATGATCTCCTAACACAATGTAAATGAATGATGTATCTTCCCCTATTATAATACTTTTCACTCTATATTGAAATTACTCATCCCTCTGCTACACTGAAAGTGAGGTCCACCTACACCCTTCTCCCTCCCAGAGTGGGGAGTTGGTCTTTTTGTTTGAAACAGTAGAGGCACCACACACACTTAGGGAGTGAATGCCAATAGTACTCATCAAAACAAATTTCAAAAGATGACAGGAAATTATTTTTAAAGAAAATGCATCAATCCATAAGCCACTATCAGGTCTTTTCTAGAACCCACTAGAAAAATGGAATTGGTTGTGGAGACAGAGTATAGTGGAAAGTATCACTTTTGGGAATTAGAAAATCCAGGTTCAAGAACCAATATATTTACTCAATAACCATATGACATTGGGAAAAGATTTATATTTCTGTGACTTTGTCTGCTTACCTATAACTTAGGGTTTATAATTTCTGTAGCAGTGTCACAAGATTGCTGTGAGGATAAAAGGAAGGATAGATATATTGTTTCTATTACCATGATGTGAAAATAATTTCAAGCCCAAAGATGATAGGTATGTATTGTTGTTGTATAGACGTATTGTTTATATAGGATTATCTCAATCTCCTTGAAGATTAACTGGTCTGTTTTATTTTACAGTTTTTATGGAAACGAGCCCTCAAAGATCGCTTTAAATATGTTCGAAGACCCATAGAAGATGATGAGCAAGTGATTAGAAATAAGTGTAAATTTGGACACCGAAGAGGCCAGACAAGGAAATCTCTTGCTGATATAAGATTTGATGAAATTAAACTTGTCCAGATAAAAGTAAGATTGAATTCCTAAATGTTCTGATGACTTGATAGATTGATATATTGATTAAGGGATAATAAATAATAGCATTTAAAATAATTAAAACAAAATAAGATACCTTTTTAAAATTTGAAGTGTAGTTAAGAACCAAGAAAGTCTGTTTTGCCTGGCTAACAATGAGCGTGATATTTCCAAGAAAAGAATTCCCAAAACAATTACTGAACATCTCGTGTCCAGTTTTTTTCACAACCTTCAAAAACTTCAAAAAACCCTTAAGTTCGAGTCCTTGAATAATTTTTTTTTTTGCTCTTATCCTACAATGCGTCTTATGTTCTTGATGCTCTTATTGCTACAGGAAGTTTTTTAATACTCACATTGTCTGAGTTAGGTAGCCTCTGGTCTCCAGGTTTCAGGGAAGAAATAACCCACATGCATGGATACAAAACTCCATTGTGGCCTTCCCTTCCCTGCTGGTCCTGAAGCCTTTCCACCCCAACCCAGAAGTGGCTGTCGGGAGCTCCAGGCTGAGGGCCCGTGGGAGGGCCTGGAGATTCAACCCTCAGCACCTGGGAGGTCATGGGAATTCCAATTGTCTGAGATCCTATATATATTCCTTTTCTACCTCAGAGCACCGAAATTCCTCAGAAACAAAAATTTCCCCTGCTATCAAAGTAGATTGAACTCTTTAACAAGGATGTCTGAACTACCAAGTATGAAAGTGAAATCTCTTGTCCTCCCAATTCTGTTTCTATCTTGATCCAATGTGAATATGTAAATCCTAACTCTTCAACAAACATGTTTATATTAGTGAATGTATTTGGTGTAAATATTCTATTTTCTTTTTCATCTGGTATATTTATTGGATAATAAAAGGGCAAAGCATTGAGTCACCTCAGTTTTACTAGTGCTAGTTATAAGATCCATAGGATAGGAATATTTTAAATATATTTTGTAAACCACTTATCCCAGCATCATGCATCATGCAAAACTCGGGTGAAAGTATGTACTTTAAATATCTTATTCTAATTTTCAGTGAGACTTTCAAAATAATAGGTCAGTCAAGATAACATAGTTCTAAAACTGTTCTTTGACAAAAAGACAAGACAGCTGAAAGGTGCCCTAAAAGAAACTTTTTAGAAACTTTGAAAAATTCCAATTACAAACTAAAATTATAAGATAGAATCATATTTATTTGGCAATCTTTTATGTTCTTAAAAATCACTTTGTGAGAGGGACCAAGATGGCCGAATAGGAACAGCTCCAGTCTGCAGCTAGCTCCCAAAGAGACCAATGCAGAAGGTGGGTAATTTCTGCATTTCCAACTGAGGTACCCACTTCATCTCATTGGGACTGGTTAGGCAATGGGTCCAATGCACAGAGGATGAACAGAAGCTGGGTGAGGCATTGCTTCACCTGGGAATTGCAAGGAGCCAGGGACCTCCTTCCCCAAGCCAAAGGAAGCCATGAGGGACTGTGCTACCTGGCTGGGTTACTACACTTTTCCCACAGTTTTTGCAATCTGCAGATCAGGAGATTGCCTCGTATGCCTACACCACCAGGGCCCTGGGTTTCAAGCACAAAATTGGGTGGCTGTTTGGGCAGACACTGAGCTAGCTGCAGGACTATTTTTTCATACCCCAGTGGCGCCTGAACCCCAGTGAGACAGAACTGTTCAATCCCCTGGAAAAGAGGCTGAAGCCAGGGAGCCAAGTGGTCTTGCTCAGTGGGTCCCACTCCCATGGAGCCCAGCAAGCTAAGAACCACGGGCTTGAAATTCTCACTGCCAGCACAGCAGTCTGAAGTTGACCTGGGATGATCGAGCTTGGTGGGGGGAGGGCTGTCCGCCATTACTGGGGCTTTAGTAGGCAGTTTTCTCCTGACAGTACTAAGGAGCTGGGAGGTCTGGGCTGGACACAGCAAAGTGGCTGTGGCCAGACTGCTTCTCTAGATTCCTCCTCACTGGGCAGGGCATCTCTGAAGGAAAGGTAACAGCCCCACTCAGGGGCTTACAGACATAATCCCCATCTCCATGGGACAGAGTGCCTGGGGGAAGGGGCAGCTGTGGGTGCAGCTTCAGTGGCTTTAATCCTTCCTGCCTGCTGGCTCTGAAGAGAGCAGCTGATTCTGACAAGAGGGATTCTCCCAGCACAGCGCACCAGCTCTGCTAAGGGACAGACTGCCTCCTCAAGTGGGTCCCTGACCCCAGTGCCTCCTGACTGGGAGAAACCTCCCAACAGGGGTCGACAGACACCTCATTCAGGAGAGCTCTGGCTGGCATCTGGCCAGTGCCCCTCTGGGACGAAGCTTCCAGAGGAAGGACTAGGCAGTGATCTTTGCTGTTCTGCAGCCTCAACTGGTAATACCCAGACGAATAGCATCTGGAGTGGACCTCCAGCAAACTGTAGCAGACCTGCAGAAGAGGGATCTGTTAGAAGAAAAACTAACAAACAAAAAGCAACATCATCAATGTCAACATAAAGGACTCCCACACAAAAATCCCATCCAAAGGTCATCAAAGATCAAAGGTAGATAAATCCATGAAGATGAGGAAAAACCAGTGCAAAAACGCTGAAAATTCCAAAAACCAGAATTCCTCTTCTCCTCCAAATGACAGCAACTCCTTTCCAACAAGGGCACAAAACTGAACAGAAAATGAGATTGATGACGGCTTCAGAAGGTGGGTAATAACAAACTCCTCTGAGCTAAAGGAGCATGTTCTAACCCAAAGCAAGGAAGCTAAGAACCTTGATAAAAGGTTACAGGAACTGTTAACTAGAATAACCAGTTTAGAGAGGAACATAAATGACCTGATGGAGCTGAAAAACACAGGACGAGAACTTCGTCAAGTATCCATAGTGGAATCAATCAAGTGGAAGAAAGGATATCAAAGATTGAAGATCAACTTACTGAAATAAGGCATGAAGAAAAGATTAGAGAAAAAAGAATGAAAATGAATGAACAAAGCCTCCAAGAAATATGGGACTATGTAAAAAGAACAAACATACAATTGATAGGTGTACCTGAAAGTGACAGGGAGAATGGAACCAAGTTGGAAAACACACTTCTGGTTATTATCCAGGAGAACTTCCCCAACCTAGCAAGACAGGCCAACATGCAAATTCAGGAAATACAGAGAACACCACTAAGATACTCCTCAAGAAGAGCAACCCAAAACACATGATTGTCAGACTCACCAGGGTTGAAACGAAGGAAAAAATGTTAAGGGCAGCCAGAGAGAAAGGCCAGGTTACCCATAAAGGGAAGCCCATTAGACTAACAGCAGATCTCTCTGCAGAAACCCTACAAGCCAGAAAAGAGTGGGGTCCAATATTCAACATTCTTAAAGAAAAGAATTTTCAACCCAAAATTTCATATCCAGCCAAACTAAGCTTCATATGTGGAGGAGAAATAAAATCCTCTACAGACAAGCAAATGCTGAGGGGTTTTGTCACCACTGGGCCTGCTTTACAAGAGCTCCTTAAGGAAGCACAAAATATGGAAAGGAAAAACTGGTACCAGCCACTGCAAAAACAAACCAAAATATAAAGACCAATGCCGCGATAAACTGCATCAACTAATGGGCAAAATAACCAGCTAGCATCATGATGACAGGATCAAATTCACACATAACAATATTAGCCTTAAATGTAAATGGACTAAATGCCTCAATTAAAAGACACAGACTGGCAAATTGGATAAAGAGTCAAGACCCATCAGTGTGCTGCATTCAGGAGACCCATCTCAGGTGCAAAGACACACATAGGCTCAAAACAAAGGGATGGAGGAATATTTACAAAGCAAATGGAAAGCAAAAAAAGAGTAGGGGTTGCAATCCTAGTCTCTGATAAAACAGACTTTATACCAACAAAGATCATAAAAGACAAAGAAAGGCATTACATAATGGTAAAGGGATCAATGCAACAAGAAGAGCTAACTATGCTAAATATATATGCACCTAGTACAGGAGCACCCAGATTCATAAAACCAGTTCTTGGAGACCTGCAAAGAGACTTAGACTCCCACACAATAATAGTAGGCGACTTTAACACCCCACTGTCAATATTAGACAGATCAACGAGTCAGAAAATTAACAAGGATATTCAGGACTTGAACTCAGCTCTGAACCAAGTGGACCTAATAGATATCTGCAGAACTCTCCACCTCAAATCAACAGAACATAGATTCTTCTCAGTGCCACACAGCACGTATTCTAAAATTGATCACATAATTGGAAGTAAAACACTCCTCAGCAAATGTAAAAGAATGGAAATCATAACAGTCTCTCAGACTGCAGTGCAATCAAATTAGAGCTCAGGATTAAGAAACTCACTGAAAACTGCACAACTACATGGAAATTGAACAGCCTGCTCCTGAATGATACTGGGTAAATAATGAAATGAAGGCAGAAACAAAGATGTTCTTTGAAACCAGTGAGAACAAAGATACAATGTACCAGAAGATTTCAGGCCAATATCCCTGACAAACATCAACACAAAAATCTTCAATAAAATACTAGCAAACCAAATCCAGCAGCACATCAAAAAGTTTATCCCCCACAATCAAGTCAGCTTTATCCCTGGTGTGCAAGGCTGGTTCAACATAAGCAAATCAATAAACATAATCCATTACATAAACAGAACCAATGACAAAAACCACATGCCTATCTCAATAGATGCAGAAAAGGCCTTTGATAAAATTCAACATCGCTTGATGCTAAAAACTCTCAATAACCTAGGTATTGATGGAACATATCTCAAAATAAGAGCTAGTTATGACAAACCCATAGCCAACATCACACTGAATGGGCAAAAGCTGGAAGCATTCCCTTTGAAAACCAGCACAAGACAAGGATGCCCTCTCTCACCACTCTTATTCAAGATAGTATTGGAAGTTCTGGCCTGAGCAGTCAGGCAAGAGAAAGAAATAAAGAGTATTCAAATAGGATGAGAGGAAGTCAAATTGTCTCTGTTTGCAGACGACATGATTGTATATTTAGAAAACACCATCATCTCGCCCAAAAACTCCTTAAGCTGATAAACAACTTCAGCAAATTCTCAGGATACAAAATCAATGTGCAAAAACCACAAGCATTCCTATACACCAATAATAGACAAACAGCCAAATCATGAGTGAACTCCCATTTGCGACTGCTACAAAGAGAATAAAATACCTAGGAATACAACCTACAAGGGACATGAAGGACCTCTTCAAGGAGAACTACAAACCACTGCTCAAGAAATAAGACAGGACACAAAGGAAAAGAAAGACATTCCATGCTCATGGATAGGAAGAGTCAGTATCATGAAAATGGCCATACTGCCTAAAGTAATTTACAGATTCAATGCTATTCCCATCAAGCTACCAGTATTTACAATCGCAAAGACTTGGAACCAACCCAAATGCCATCAATGATAGACTGGATAAAGAAAATGTGGCACATATACACCACGGAATACTATGCAGCCATAAAAAAGAATGAGTTCATGTCCTTTACAGGGACATGGATGAAGCTGGAAGCCATCATTCTCAGCAAACTGACACAGAAACAGGAAACCAAACACACCACGTGTTCTCATTCATAAGTTGGAATTGAACAATGAAAACATGGACACAGGGAGGGGAACATCACACACCAGGGCCTGTTGGCGGTGGGGGACAAGGGGAGGGAGAGCATTAGGACAAACACCTAATACATGTGGGTCTTATAACCTAGATGACAGGTTGATAGGTGCAGCAAACCACCATGGTACATGTGTACCTATTAACAAACCTGCACTTTCTGCACATGTATCCCAAAACTTAAAATGAAATAAAATAAAAATCACTTTGTAAAATAACAGCATTACATTATGCATAAGTTACTTTTCTCAAACATTTGATTTTCAGTAGAATAAAGGTGGAGTTCCTTTCCATTCAGTTTCCCCTCTTTTTCTATGAGGTATTTCCCACCAAAATTCAACGGAATTGATGAATGGTAAAATCAATTGTCCCCAGCAGTTGTCCCCAGCCTTAGAACTCAAGGGTCAGTCCGCGGGATAAGAGGTCACACCCCTGGACACGAGTCTAAATACAAGCCCACCTCTTGTGTTGACACATCATCTTTTAACCAGCTTGTACACTCACATTTTCTGTCCCTTCTTCATGGAACTACACTCTTCGTGGTTTTTCCTTTCTAGCCCCCAAGACATGCTTGAATCCTAAGATGAACCCTGCTATGGTCAATCCAGGGCCCTTTGCTACAGAAAGAACAGGGAATTGAATGTATTGGGGTTAGCAGTTAAATGGTAATGGAATTTAGTTTTGACCTTCCTGCCAGCTAAGGCTAAAAAAGAGACGATAGGGTGGTCATTGTTGACGTCTACAGAGACAACATTTTTGCTGGCAAACAAATCTAATTAGTAAGGATTTAACTTTTTTCCCCCTTACAAATAGTGCAAATCGCTGATTCTTTGAAGACTATAGCCTCTCCGTTTATGCTCTCATGTTCTGTAAAGCAAAAAGCTTTAAAGGATGAGAAAACTATTTATAATGGAATATTACAGAAACACTCTGTTTCTGTATTTTGTACACTACATGGGGATTAAGCAAATGTACAAACACTAAGAAGTGTGTGTGTGTGGGGGGGTTCCATCATTTGAATTTATCTCATATAATTTTATTTTTCAGAGTGATTACCAACATTATTTTTAATCTTTGGTTTGAACTTCTTCCGTCGATAGCTCCTTTGTAATGTCTTTAAGATTGCTGAGCCAGGCATGGTGGCTCATTAATCCCAGCACTTTGGGAGACTGAGACAGGAGGATTACTTGAGTCCATGTGTCACGTATATTGAAACCAGCCTGGGCAACATAGTGAGACCCCCTCTTTACAAAAACTAAACAAAATTAGCCAGGTCTGGTGGCATGTGCCTGTAAGTCCTAGCTACTCATGAGGCTGAGGTGGTGAGAACCGCTTGAGCCAGGGAGGTTGAGACTTCAGTGAGCTGAGAATGCACCACTGCACTCTAGCCTGGGTGACAGAGCCAGACCCTGTCTCAAGAAAAAAAGAAAAAGAAAAAGATTTCTGAACATTAAAAATGTTTAAGACACACTTGGGTAACTCTCACCTTTTAAAATTTTTTAACTGGGCACAATATTTTTATAATACAGAAAAAAATTATTTCCTATGCTGCAGAGATCGAAAATGTTGATGCAGGCAAGACACAGGAGTCTGGCCATTCACTCAAAGGCAAGAAAGTGAGTTTGGCTAAACTGGAGGAAGATCTTGGGAAGGGATAAATAGAGGAAGAGATTTTCTTTTGTTTTGCTTAATTTTCTTTCTGTTTTTTTCCTTTGGTGGTCTGATGGGATTTACCAAAGAATTGAAGGTAGATGTCTTAATGAAAGAAGGTGGATTTTTTGTTTGTTTGTTTTTTGTTTTTTTTGGGTGGTGTTTCACTCGTCGCCCAGGCTGGAGTGCAGTTGCATGATCTTGGCTCACTGCAACCTCTGCCTCCTGGATTCAAGCGATTCTCCTGCCTCAGCCTCCTGAGTAGCTGGGATTACAGGCATGCAACACCATGCCCTGCTAATTTTTTGTATTTTTAGTAAAGATGGGGTTTTGCCAAGTTGGGCAGGCTGGTCTCGAACTCCTGACCTCAGGTGATCCGCCCACCTTGGCCTCCCAAAGTGCTAGGATTACAGGCATGAGCCACCGCGCCTGGCCAGGGTGGATTTCTTAGTTCTGTCACATGGGCTTCCACAGGTAGACCAGGCAGCTGCAGAACTTCTGCAGGTCTGAGCAGAGGGGGCAGATCTTTTGTCCCTAACCCTCCACCCACTGCATTCTCTTTGCCATTTTTGCTCTGCTTAGGCTATATTCTTTGGCTGCAAAACTTGAAGCATCTGCAATGCCAAAGCACCACCTGTGAGTCAACATACCTGAGTTCCTCATGTCCCACTGCTAGCAAGACGTATCATCATGTTATATATATAGCTTTGCTTGTCAGAATCCCACATTATGTTCCCAGACCAATCTTGCATAATGCCGGGTATTTTGCAATGTTTAAAAATGCCTTTCCAATCTCAAGACCTCATGTGGCTGCATGTATGGTCGTGCAGTCAATGCAGCAGCTGTGCCATCGCTTCTTATGCATCTGACTTTTAGTTTTAGGTCCAGAGAGCGTATAGCCCCATGAATTGATAAATCTGCTTTCTTTTCTTAAGTGTCTTACTGTACCTCATCGTGTATTTATAAACAGATATAATTAGATTCTTAAACCAGTACACTTAACTGAGTAATTTCATAAGTTACTGACAGTATCTTGTTAAAATAATGAAAATGTTGGATTTAAAAGCTTACAGGAATTGTGTGGAACTGCATGGCAATGTAAGATTGTACTTTATACAGTAGTATTTTTTTGTCATAATCCTTAGGTGTTAAAGTTGAATGAATCCAACTTCTCACTTCATGGCACATTATCACTGTTGCCCTGTGCTGGATCTTTTTCTGGTTTTATTATTCCTTTCTGTCCCCATTTCTATCTGCCTTTCTCCCCACCTCTGACTGTAGGAAACCATTTTAAAGCGTTTCATATGTATTTTTTGTTTGTTTGTAAATGTTCCAGAATGTGTTCTGTCATTTGGGGTTCATGTATATTTGATTTAACATAAATGAGGATTCTTTACCTCATTCGGTTTCACCTTTTAAACTGACACTCTTTTAAAGATTCATTCGTGTATATTTCAAGTCCATTGATTTTAACCATTATAGAGTACTCTTGCCTCAAGTCCTGTTCCCACTATAAATTGCGCCACAGAGAACACCGTTATGCATACCTGGTTATGAAGCTATGTGTCCTTTCTTTGGGTTGCACATCCAGAAGTGGAACTGATGGGGCTCAAGGCATGCGTGTACTTAATTTGACCAGTTGCTCTTCAGAAAGACTTTGCTAGTCTCACTCCCACACCAGTGCAGATCCCTGTATTCCTGCCAATGCTTACCATTATCTAGCCTTCAAAATGCTGCTGAGACTAATAGGTATAAAGCATAATTTCATTCTTGCTGTGATTTACATTTCCATGGATTACTGAGTCTGGGCATCTCTTCATATGTGTGTTAGCCTTTTGCATTTCTTCTAGAAAATTACCTCTTTAGATCCATTGCCTGTTTTCTAATGGGTTTGCATCTTTTTCTTGTTGATTTGTAGACTGCAGTCTTTCCCATACCCCAAGTCACAAAGTTACTCCCTTATTCTTTCTTCTATTATGTTTGTAATTTTAACTTTCATGTTTAAATCTTTAAGTCATCTGCAGTTCATCTTTGATAGACCAGTGGAATAAGAGAGAATGCCCAGAATACACCCAAGTCTATTTGGGAACTTAATATACAATAAAAGTGGCACCATAAACCCATGAAGAAAATGGGCTGTTTTGTAACTGGTGTTGAGAAAGTGGTTCATTACGTGGAGATCTCTATTTAACAGCATATACAGACTGTTCTTATGCCATTCTATATTGCATTTTCTACTTAGTGTTTATTACTTAGTACTACTTAGTGTAGAGACATTTTTTGTTGCCCAGTGGAAGATATGCTGTGTCAGGGAAGTCCCTCAGTGGAGAAGATTCTGTGTAAGTTCATCCTCATTTTCAGAATAAGGGGAAGAGGGAGTCCTCTTAAACCAGCCCCCAGGACCCCCTTGTAGCATCTGCCCTCTCACAGAATGACATCCTGGGCTGTGGTGCCATGAATGGAGGAAGTGTTAAACCAAAAGAAGGTTCTGAGCATCGGCCAGCACAGGGAGCACCAGGACAAGCTCTGGCTAGCTCTTGGGGAAGCATCCTGCTGTAACTGGATGGAGATGGACTGGTGGAGGGATCCTGCTCTTACTGTCCTGACCCTGGGATGAAGGAGGTCGTATCTGGTCTACATGGGGCACGGGACCTTGGATCCCCATGTCATCATAGCTCGATGTTCATCCTTTCCTTGGGGATCTCTTCAACCAAAAAATTCCTTGATGGTCCTCTTGGCCTCTGTCAAATGCCCCATTTGAAGCATCAGGATGTAAACATACTTACCGAAATGCTTAATTTCTTAATACTTTCTTGACTAATGCATGCATTTTCTTTTCTTAATTACTAAAGTTTCTTTCAGCCGGTAGAGCTATCAACCTATTATCATAAACTTTCTGGCCATGAAAAAAAAAGCTGACTTTGATAATAGCCAGTGATTCTTTAGAAATTTTCTGAAAAAATTTTGATGTGTACTGTATAGGTGTCTAGCTCTTTACATTTATGGCTGATCTTTTCAACTACTTTGAAAAGATTCTCCTCTGTCTTTATGGGGTAAATTCACTCTAAATTTGATATTTGGTGAAAATAATTTTGTTTTCTTGAAGCAGAATACAAAGGATGTAAATACCATTTACATCTCAGCTGGAGCCTTGGCTTATCTCTGTGTTTTTTTGTTTGTTTGTTTTTGTTGGTTTTTGTTTTGTTTTGTTTTCTAACTGCAATGGAGTTTTCTTGATTTGGAAGCTCTTAATGTTATGTAGGTGCATAGATCATTTTATCTTTGTCAGTTAGTTTAATCTACATTTGGTTTCTGTTTTGCTTTAAGCGTTTTAAATAAGTAACAGTCCTATTAGTTTCTTCAAAATTTCTTTTAATTTCATCACTAAGAGGTCTTCATTTTATGATGTATTCATTATTTCTGATTCCAAGTTCTTACAATGTATGTTGTCTTCTCCAGAAACAACAGTTGTTTGAATTTTTTAGTTCCTTGTTTATCATCTTTCTAGTAGTTCTATTTATTATTGAAAGTGAAGTATTGAAGTCTCCAACTATAATTCTGGAATTGTCTATTTTGCCTTTCAGTTCTGTCAGTTTTTGTCTCATGGTTTTGGGGGCTCTGTTGTTAGGTGTATATAAGTTTATAATTGCTATATCTTCCTGATGTAACCCTCCCAGCCCTGTTACTTACCAGTTTAACCAATTTTTTCCCTTTGTACAATCAGCAGGATTGTCCTTCTCTACCCTCTTGAAGTTAGGTGTGGTGACAAGGCTGGCCAATGAAATGTGAGCAGATGTGACATGAGCATTAAAGATCCAGTATACAATTCCTCATTTTCCCCTTTTTTTAGTGACAACTGACAACATTCTAGATGATCGAGCCATGTCCTTGGGTAAGGGGGATAGGAGCAGGACCCAAGGTGGGCATGTCATATGTGTGATAAACTTTTGTCACTATAAAGTGTGGGGGTTATCAGGTGCGGCAGTGTAATCTTGCCTGTTGCAGGTAATACCAGGGACTCCGAACACACTGTCAAGCATTCGATCCACTTCTCTGTGATTCTCCTGTGCCTGTGCTGCTTCATGAAGCAATGAAGGCATTTTTTGAGGATCAGGCTAGTCCTACCATCCTCCCTTGTGGTTTTACAATCTGTGTCCTTGTACTATCTTTAGCGTGGGGAAATATATGAGAGTTACTGCCATTTGTTGTAATAAGAACACTTAGAACATAGGAAAAAATGATTTTGCTTTAAGTAAAAACACCTAGTTTTCATTTTTACAGCTAATTTATTTGAAGATTCTTTCTAAGCCCTCAGTACTAGGAATTGATTGTCTCCTTTGTGACCTTAATGTTAAGGACATTTCTCTAAGTCTGAAACATAGAGGAAAAAATACCTAACATTTTGCCGCATTCTGATGTGAAATATTCTATCAAATATATACTGGAACAACATGGCAATTTCTTTAGAGAGGTTAACTTGTGCCTCTTTTTTTTTTTTTTTCAACCTACTTTATGTGTAGGATACTGATGCATGGATTTGATAAATGCTTTTAGGATGTTCTTGTATTCCAAAGCCTTCCACATAAACTACCAGGTGTTAAATTATTAACACTATACCTATAATTCATTTCTCTCTTAAAACATTTTCTTTTCCTACTTATTGGGTACATATATACCCTATAGCTTTGAAAGCTATGAAATAGCTTTGTGTGTTAGATTTATTTGGCTTGGAAATAAAATAGAATTAAAGTTGCACAAAAACTACCTAGTGAGTCAAATGTTAAGAATATTTACTAAGTTTCTTTGGATTTATCTTACAACACTTACTGTTGGTTTTTTACTAGGCCTGACACATAATGATTTATTGCATAAATACTAATTATTTTATAGCCTTTTCCACAGATGTTTCTCTCATGATAGAAAATTGAACAAGACAGCAAAAGTTGAAGACAAATCTTGACAGTTAATTTCATTCTACATAGAGTGCAATTACTGTCATTAGCAGGTGGCATATTTACTAATACTGCGAAGTTTTACAAGTAAGCTGCACACTTGGAAACATGGGGCAAGGTTGCATGGGTGAAACTCTGCCTGCTGATTGACTGAGACACATGCCTGAATGCTAAGCTAAGCTACTGTTCAAGTTCCATAGGGGGTACATCATTTCCAAGTCAACACTTGACGACAATAGAATTGGAAATGAGGATGACTGGGATTTGGTATGAGGAAACACCTAGTATCTAACACAACACTGTCCAATAGAAATATAATATGTGCTGCATATGTAGTTTTTAATTTTCTAGTAGCAGAAATTTTTAAAAAGTGGCAAATGGAATTAACGTTAATAGTATATTTAACTCACTATATGCAAAATATTATTTCAACATGTAATCATTCTTAAAAATTTTTAATGAGATATTTTACATTCTTTTTTTTTGCATACTAAATAGTTGAAATACAGTGTTTGCACTTACATTTCAATTTGGGCTATCTCTGGGGGAAAAAGAAAAGCCAGGTTCAGTGGCACATGCCTGTAGTCCCAGCTACTTGGGAGGCAAATGCAGGAGGACTGCTTGAGCCCAGGAGTTAGAATCCAGCTGGGCAATATAGCAAAACCCACTCTTCTATTAAAAAATAATAAAAATGACAATTAAATTTGTTAAAAATTAGAAATATCAATTTGGGCTAGTCACATTTCACGTGCTCAGAAGCCACATGTGGCTAGTGGCTACCATACTGGACAGCTCAGACAAATACACCCCTTGGGTAATTAGAGAATAAGTGAGATGACAATTTGCAGAGAACACTATAGTTAGCCAGGAGTATGTCCAGTTACTTGCTGGTGATGTTCAGAAGCTACAGTCCACAATCTTAGGTATGAAACCTTTATTTACATAGTGCCTTTAAAGTAGATTTTTCATAGGGTATTTATAAGAATTATTCAGGGACCAGATGCAGTGACTCATGCCTGTAACCCCAGCACTTTGGGAGCTGAAATGGGAGAAAGCCTTGAGCCCAGGAGTTCACGACAAGCTTGGGCAACATGGCAAGATACCGTTTTCTTAAAAAAATTTTTTTAAAGAGAATTATTCCATTTTCATAACAAGATACTCTCTTTGTAAACTTTTTCAGATTGTGGAATATAGAACAAAGTTATCTTTATAAAAGTCAAGATGAGTTTTTATTCATTTCTGGGAGATAAAAAAGCTATAACTACATTTTTAACCATGCCGTCTTACTACTTCAAAAGCAGACTCATTCTTCTGTTGAAATCAAACTTAGAAATATTCTCCTCCTTATTTCTGCTCCAGCTGTCAGCTTAAACTAAAAGTTGGCTAGAACTATGCTCTGCTATTACAACCAACTCTGTGAGAGCTTAGGTTACTGTGGTGTTGGAGTAGAGAGACCACACTCTATGTTGCCAAAACTGGTGTGGTAAAGGAAGCATAGCATACGCTCTTTATACAATTTGTTTGGCTTTAACTCAAGTTAATGTTCTGGTTAATTTACGCTGATTCCTCTAAAGTCACACATCTCAAAGGTGAGTCCTACACTTCCCTTCAGTGTATTTCTTGGCCTGAAGTGATCTCTTTCGTGCTTCATGTCTACTTTCTTTGATTCCTCCTTGAGCACGGCCCTCCATTAACTTTGTCTGCTGAGACAGACATCTTGAAGTCAACAGTCAGCAGCTGTTTCCAGCTGCTGTTCTGTAAGATTCAGACATTTCTTACTCACTAGTTGCCTCATTTCAACGTGCACTGTTAAAGAAATCAGCCTGTTAGAGAAGTGAGGAAATACCCTAAAAGAAACCTGCACACCTGAGCATCTCTGTGCTTGGAAAAGTCACTTCCCCTTTGAGGGTCTCAATTTGCCCATCAGTAAAGTGTGAGGCATGGACTAGGTGGTTTCTAAGTTCTTTCCAGCTTTAATAATATATAAATCATTAACAGTATATCTAACAATATATAAATCTAACAATATGTAAATCATTAAAATGGTGAGAATTTTAAATTCTGATGTAGCTTTTTAATAATTAGGAAAATCACTTCAGTCTAGAATACAACCCACCAACACTGTGTTAATCCCATCAGTCTGATCAGGTGGAAGTTATCTAGAAACTTTATTTTCATGATTGGGTAAGAGTTTTGGAGGAAGTAGTACATTATAAATACAGTAATATCTAAATGTCAATATCAGCAATTATATAACTTCTACTATATTTCAGTAGATGAAAGAAAGCCATTTAGATAATTAAAACATTTTTTCTGTACTTTAAAAAATTAAAATGTTTTCTTACTTAAGAAATTGTCATTCTATGCATTTGAGACATACAGAAGAAAAACTACATACGTAACATATATGTAGTTTATGAGACAAAATAAACACTGTTAACTCAGCATTTAACTTTAGAACTAGAACACTGCCTGCACCATTGTGTGTGCCTGAGTTTTCCTCCCCTCTCCTGTCACCTGCCTTTCCAACACCACAGGCCTCTAGAACTAATCACTATTCTGAATTTTATGTTTATCATTCACCTGTTTTAAAAATAAATGACATTGTCACATATGCATGAATTCTTAAGGGATATATTGCTTAGTTTTGCTTGTTTTTTTTTCAAGCACATATTTTATTTGAATAAATCCTCTGTAGTCCATTTTTATGTTCAACAGTTTAAAACATATACAAACAAAGCTTGAAAGTAAATGAAGATCTGACATATCTGAAGCTTAAAGATTTTTATTTTTCTTTTCACCACCTTCCACATTTTACATTTGAAACTCCTTGGCTTCGTTGACAATCCATTATCCTGGTTCTCCTGCTCCTATAATTTTCTCCCTTTCTATATATCTAAATCTAGATAATTTAAAAGAAATATCAAATCTCTATCTCTGCATTCACAAGTTTCCTAGCTATTCTTCCAACCTCAATTAAAAGATTTCATCGCCTTTAAGTCCCAGCTTTAAACCCTGGCCGTCTATGGTTTTCCACAATCTTCAGATTTGCTCTGCTAAACATTCCCGTAACATGCTCTGCCCTTCCTGTCTCTCCACCCAGAACTGTCCTTTCTTCTTTCAAATTCTATTATCCCTTAAAATCTGATCAGTTCCTCATCTTCCACGAATTTTCCTTCACTACCCCAGCCTAAAACAAATTCTAGTTTTGCTTGTTTTTAAGGTTTACAAAATGATATGAAAACTATATGTTGGCTTTGATAAGTTCCTTTTTTTCAATCAATGTAATGTCACTGGAATTCATCCAGGTTGTTCAGTTGAGTGTAGTTTATTCGTTTTCCTGTTGGTTTAATCTATTGTGACAGGCAACCAGTTTATTTGGCTCTTCTCTTCTTAACGGATATTTGATTTGTTTCCAGTGTTGGCTGTTATGAACTATGCTGCTGTGATTATTCTTGTATGTGTGTCTTGAAGCATATGTGAAGATTTTTTTCAAGGATTTATACTTAGGAGTGGATTTGCTGGCTCACTGGCTCACAGGGTGTGCAGATATTCAACTCTGTAAGACAGTGCCAAATTATTTTCCTGGATGATTAAGCTCCCTGAGCAGCACTCGTTAATCATCTGATTTCTTTTCCACTCACCCCACCCCCATGCAATGCCACCACCCCACTTCCAATCTATTGGGAATACAATGGTACTGTGTTTGGCTTCCATTTTAGTTATGTATGAGGGTGATCATCTTTTCATATGTTTATGAAATATTCATGTTTCCTCCTCTGTAAAGTGTCTGTTCATGTCTTTTGCTTATTTTTCTATGAGGCTGCCTTTTTTTCAATTTACTTGTAAAAATCCTTTGTATATTCTGTATTCTACTCCTTTACTAATTATATTTGTTCCCAATATCTTCTCACAGTTTGTGCCTTGCCTTTTAAATTTCTTTCTGGTGTCTTTTGACAAGGAAAGACAAGGTTGCAATTTTAATGTAGTTAGAGTTATCAATCATTTGTCTTATGATCAGTGCTTCTGAGGCAGGAGAATAGGGTCTGAAGGCAGGAAGCCTAAGGCCAATTTGCACCAACTTCCTCGAACTGAATCAAAAGGAAAACCCCAACTTTTCATGCCCAGGTAACAAAAGGACCAGAGGCTACTCCCTTTGCAATCTCCCACCCGCCTCTGTGTGGCAGATGAAAAATGGAAAGTACCTCTGTATTAGTCTGTTTTCACACTGCTGATAAAGACATACCTGAGACCGGGCAATTTACAAAATAAAGAGGCTTATTGAACTTACAGTTACACATGACTGGGGAGGCCTCACAATTATGTCAGAAGGCAAGGAGGAGAAAGTCACATCTTCTGTGGATGGCAACAGGCAAACAGAGAGCTTGTGCAGAGAAACTCCCGTTTTTAAAACCATTGGATCTTGTGAGACCCATTCACTACCATGAGAACAGCATGAGAAAGACTTGCCCCCATGATTCAATCATCTCCCAACTGGTCCTTCCCACAACAGGTGGGAATTATGGGAGCTACAAGATGAGATTTGGGTGGGGACACAGAGCCAAACCATATCAACCTCTGATTGGTCCCCTCTTGCAACCAGTCAGACTGGTAGCAGGCCTAGTCTTCATTTGCATTGGGATATAACTTTGTTACTTCACTACTTCACTTCAGCCTCTGGTCCCTTCCCACAACCAATCAGACATTTGCATAGAGTGTAATTTTGTAACTTCAGCCACTGATTGGTCACCTTCCACAACCAATCAGACTGGTCGTGGGCCTCTCCTGTATTTACATAGGGTGTAAACCGAGTCACCAGTGGGAAACCACTAGAGGCTATTTAAAACCCAGAAAATTCTCTTGAGCAGCCAGCTTGAGCCCGCTCCCACTCTGTGGAGTATACTTTTGTTTCAATAAATCTGATTTTTGTTGCTTCTTTATTTCATGGCTTTGTTGTGCATTTCTTCCAATTCTTTGTTCAAAACGCCAAGAACCTGGACAACTTGTAGTCAAGGCCCTCCACTGGTAACACTTTTAGGAAATCCTTTCTTACCTTGAAGTGATAAGAAATATTTCTATATTTTCTTTAAATTTTTTTAAGTTTTTGCTCTTAAAATTTAACTTCTTAAGCCATATGGGATTTTTTTTTTCCTTATGGATAGAAAATTTTCTTGCACCTTTCAGAAAATAGTCATTCTCTTCCTCAGATTCGTGATGCCATCTCTGTTGTTTCCATGGCTCTGTGTCTAGAAGCTCTGCTGTTTTCCGCTAGTAAAGTCATCTATCCCTGCATCAATACCAACTTCCTTACTTACATAGCTGTAAAATGTCTTGATACTTTCCCATCACTGCTTTATTATTCTTTAAGAATGCCTTGGTCATTCTTGAGGTTTTTAATCTTTCAAATGAGTTTTAGAATCAGCTAGTCAAGTTCTGATAAAAAAAATTGTGGTTTTTGATAGGTTTGGGATTTTGACAGAAATATTGAATCAGCAGCTCTACTTGGAGAAAGATGACTTTCTTACAATATTGAATCTTGCTAGCTGTGAACATAATAGGCTATCCATTTATTTAAGTCTCATTAATATTTTATAGTTTCATAATTTTCTTAAAAGTCTTCCACATTTTTTGTTAGTTTTATTCCTAGGTATCTTATAAGGTTTTTTTTGCAATTTAATTTTTTTTTTTTGCAAAATATAATTGTAAAAAATTGTATTTTCTATGTTAGCGTATGTTAGAATATTTATCTTGTATTCAGTTGCTCTGAAAAACTCAGCTGTAACAAATTACATATGCATGATTTTAAGTTTTCTCTTGAACAATCACATCATCTATGAATATTGACAATTTCGTTTCTATCTTTTCAATTTTTATACCTTTTATTTTCCTGTCTTACTACTCTGACTAGAATTTCAGTATAGGCTGAGTAAGAGTTTAATAAAGCACCTTTGTGTTGCTTCTGATTTTAAAGATTATTCTTTTAAAATTTCACCATTAAAAATCATATCTGTCAGGCGTGGTGGCTCATGCCTGTAATCCCAACAATTTGGGAGGCCAAGGTAGCAGATCACTTAAGCCCAGGGGTTCAAGACCAGCCTGGGCAACATGGCAAGACCTGTCTCTACAAAAAATACAAAAATTAACCAGATGTGGTGGCATGGCCCTGTAGGCCCATCTGTTGGGACAGTTGATCACTTGTGCCTGGAAGTTTGAGGCTGCACTGAGCTGTGATCACGCCACTGCACTTCAGCCTGGGTGACAGAGTGAGACCTTGTCTCAAAAAAAAAAAATATGTTAGCTCTAGGTTTTTGGTATATAACTTTATAGGTTTTGAAAATTTCTCTTATTTTGACAAAAGTTTTTTTCTTTAATCATAGAGGGATATTATAAGATACTTTTTCTGCGTTATTTGAAATGGTCATGTTTTTTCATCTTTAATTAGTTAATTAATGCAGTATATGACGTTTACACATGTTTAGATAATCCAAGTAAAATTATGGAACTGTTGTAATTTTATTATTTATTTATTTATTTATTTATTTATTTATTTATTTATTTATTTTTTGAGACGGAGTCTCACTCTGTTGCCTAGGCTGGAGCACAGTGGCACCATCTTGGCTCACCACAACCTCTGTCCCCCAGGTTCAAACGATTCTCCTGTCTCAGTCCCCCGGGTAGCTGGGATTACAGGAATGTGCCACCACACCTGGCTACTTTTTTGTATTTTTAGTAGAGACAGGGTTTCACCATGTTAGCCAGGCTGGTCTCAAACTCCTGACCTAAGGTGATCCACCCGCCTCGGCCTCCCAACATTTATTATTGTTTTTGTAGAGATAGAGCCTTGCTATGTTGCCCTGGCTTCTCTCAAACTCCTGGCCTCAAGTAACCCTCAGCCTCAGCCTCCCAAAGTATTGGGATTACTGGGTGTGAGCTGCTGTGCCCAACAATCATACTGTTCATACACCACGTTTCTCAAAACCTACCTCTTTTCTGCCCCGAATCTTTCTATAACAGTGGCCCCCAAACTGAGATTTTAGTATGATAGTATGTGAAACGTAATGGGTAAATCAATCATGTTTTCTTTTAATTTGCTATAGTTCCCTTACCAATGTCAAACTACCCTTGAGTTTCTGAGGTATAATAAATTCAAGTTAGTTGTTCCTTGTTTCTAATATCTGCAACTTTGTTCATGAACGAGAGTGACTGCACTTTTCCTTTCTTACACTGTTCTTTCAGGTTTGGGGATCAGTGTCATAGAGGCTTCAAAGGATGGGTTAGAGAGTATTCCTTTTTTTTCTTTTCTTTTTTTTTGAGACAGTCTTGCTCTGTCTCCCAGGTTGCAGTGCAGTGGTGTGATCTCGGCTCTGCTTCCCGGTTCAAGCAATTCTCATGCCTCAGCCTCCCAAGTAGCTGGGATTACAGGTGCATGCTACTGTGTCGGCTAATTTTTGTATTTTTAGTAGAGGTGGGGTTTCGCTATGTTGGCTAGGCTGGTCTTGAACTCCTGGCTTTAGGTGATCCTCCTGACTCGTCCTTCCAAAGTGCTGGGATTACAGGTGTGAGCCACCATGCCTGGCCTCCTTTCCTTTTTCTTGAAAAATTTTGCATAAATTTGAACACTCTGTTTCAAAAGTTAAGTAGATTTTGTCTGTAAAACCCTCAAGTCTTTCTTGGTATTTTCTTTGTGGAAAGACTTTTATCTTCCAACTAAATTTGTATAAGATTATAGGAACTTCTTCTTAATTTTGATAATTTTATTTTTCTAGGCGTTCCTTCACTTGGTTTAGGTCTTGTTAGTCATTCTGTGTTCACAGAAAGTAGATCTACTGAGGCTTTCCTATGTGCTTGTAAAAGCCTTGATATAAGAGGATTGTAGATTCCTTATCACCTTTTTCGTCTTTTATAGGTATCATCTGTTCACATTCTGGTCAGCTAGACAGTTGATCAACTTTGATTTGCATGCAGTTCAGCTGACTGTCCTCTTAACTCATATTTCTAGAAAGATATTTTTCTTATTTCCTCAAAGCTGATTGTCTTAGATTTTCAACAAGAATAAGTGAGGTGTTTCTTAGCTGCCCCCACTCCGCCCAACGTACCCAGTTGTATAGTGAATAAAATTATTAGTTTAATGATTTAGCATCAGAAAATAACCACTGTTATTATTTTGAATTTGGATTATATGGCATGGTACTGCAGCTATAAAAAGGCATTTAAAAAGAAAAAAGATAATAGTAATAACAAAACCTTAATACTTTTAAAAATATCTTCTTAACATTTTATCTTCTAAAATTGAAATGCATAGAAATGAGCAACATTTGATTCAGTGGGAACCTTCTGGATAATCTGTCTCTATATAAAAGGATAACGTAGGAATTAAAGTAACTCTTTTAGATCTTTCAAGAGAATAGATTATAATTCCATGATAAGTAATTAACTATCTAATTTATTGTCATTAAAGACTGTCCATTTATTAGTTATGCTCAATGTCAAGTGTAACCAGGTATGGTGATACTCACCTTAGGAATGAGTTAAGAGTGTGCAATAACAGCCTGAAATTCAAGTTTTTATAGAAACATGGAATCCATTGATATGTTGAAAATGTTTTGCAGGAAGAAGCTGTTTGTTTTGATTCTGAGCTAGATGAACATATTAAGTGGTTCCAGCAAGAATACGTGAAAACAGAAAAGGACTGGAGAGAAATTGACAAGAGAATGAGCCAAACTTTGGAAATAAGAAGAAAGATGATTGGCAGCCGAACACCTCTGAAGGACATTCTTAAACTGTTTCCTTTCTTGAAGTGCCCTTATCAGGTATCTTTATTCTATATATATATACACACACATATATATGTATATACACACACACACATATTTTAATATTATATATACATACATATATATATATATATATATATATTTTTTTTTTTTTTTTTTTTTTTTCAGACAGAGTCTTGCTCTGTCGCCCAGGCTGGAGTGCAATGGCCTGCGATCTCAGCTCACTGCAACCTCTGCCTCCCAGGTTCAAGCGAATCTCCTGCCTCAGCCTCCTGAGTAGCTGGGACTACAAGTGTGTGCCACCATGCCCAACTAGTTTTTGTATTTTCAGTAGAGATGGGGTTTCACCATCTTGACCAGGTTGGTCTTGAACTCCTGACCTCAGGTGATCTGCCTGCCTTAGCCTCTCAAAGTGCTGGGATTACAGTGTCCAAATGGATTTTTCCCTCTTTCCTCTTGGAGTGGTAACAGGACAACATAGCAAGACAGTGGGGGTGAATCTCAGTGGGGTGTGAGGCCCAAAGGCTGCAACTAGAGCCATTTGATAGGAATTTCAGGAAGCAGACCCTCCCCACCCACCCTCTTTCCTAACCATGAAAAAGGAAAAATTAAAAAAAAAAAAAAAGAATTTCAGTAGCATATTCAGATAATAGGCACCAGCTGCCTTCAGAACTAAAGAGTTCTCTGTCATTGGACATATTGTGGAGGGTGGCGGATCATCACTTAGGGGTATTTTGACAGTGTGAATCATTATTCCCTTTCATGCTTTTATGTAATCAAGGTAGTTTATTAAGGAACTGTTATTATGCATCCTTAGTAAAAATACGTTTCCTTTATGATCCCAAATAATTTCATAAGTGTCCTTAAATATATATGAAATTTAGGGCCAGGCATGGTGGCTCATGCCTGTAATCCCAGCACTTTGGGAGGCTGAGGTGGGTGGATTGCTTGAGCCCAGGAGTTCAAGACCCGCCTCAGCAACCTGGTAAAACCCCATCTCTACTAAAAGTACAAAAATTACCCCAGCTTAGTGGTGCGTGCCTGTAGTCCCAACTATTCTGGGAGGCTAAGGCACGAGGATCACCTAAACCTGGGGAGGTCAAGGCTGCAGTGAGCCATGACTGAGCCACTGTACTGCAGCTTGGTGACACAGTGAGACCCTGTCTCAAATTTTAAAAAATAAATAAATAAATAAATATATATATATATATATGAAATTTAATGGGTAAATCAATCAAATACCCTTCCATTTAGTTCACTTAGAGTGGCCATTCAAGGTTCTTTCACAATTTTAGTGTAATTTTTGGTGGTGGTATATAATGAAAGATCATCAAAGGTTTTACCCGAGAACATATTTCATGGAGAAATTCTATGTATTCAATTAACCAAATTAAACATGAAACATCTACATATTTTTCTTCTGAGCAAAGGGAAATAAGAATTGCCTGTATTATTTTAATAGAAACATAAGTAGCAAATATCTGAATGCTTCTCTGTAACAGCATGTTCTCAGTGCTTTCCACGGATTAATCTACCTAATCCTCTCAGCAACCATACTGTGGCTTTCGCTTGTTTCCCCTTAATCTTCAGGTTGTAAGGAACTGTAATAGCCAGTCATCTCTGGCTGTTAGAAAAGTATGCCAAATGGACACATCTGCAAAATACAGTTTTAAAGCAAAAGCCTGTCAAACTTACGGTCTATACACTCCTTACATGTAGGGAGCACGTGTTAATATTAACAGTTCCCAAAGTGCCTAGCAGAGCACCACGTGTGACACAGCAATGTAATCTTGATTTTGTGAATGCTGAGTGAATTAGTGGAGGTTGGTAAGGCTGTTGTGATCACTAATGTCGTAGCCTTAGGGGTCTTCATTGGAGTGTGGCCTACAAAGGCTTAGTGATGAATATAAATGGACTATGTTAAGCAGCTTTTCAAAGAACCATTGGTGACAGTAAGGTGGAGGTCTGTCATAGCTTATGTGAGGAGCAGAGAGATTTCAGACCTGATGCTGTCCCCTGTGCTTTTGTCCAGGCCTCCTGCTGTGGCATAGGTGTATCTTCCGCACCATTCCTCAAGTATTTCACCCTTTATATCCAAAATATGGAGTATGGTTTTTGTAATGACTGTACTTATTGAATAGAGTTGCCTGTTGATTGTTTTATTTATTTATTTATTTATTTATTGAGACAGAGTCTTACTTTGTCGCCCAGGCTGGAGTGCAGTGGCACAATCTTGGCTCACTGCAGCCTCTGCCTCCCAGGTTCAAGTGATTTTCCTGCCTCAGCCTCCCAAGTAGCTGGGACTACGGATGCACGCCACCACGCCTGGCTAATTTTTATATTTTTAGTAGAGATGGGGTTTCACCATGTTGGTCAGGCTGGTCTTGAACTCCTGAGCTCAGGTGATCCACCTGCCTCAGCCTCCCAAAGTGCTGGGATTACAGCTGTGAGCCACCGTGCCCGACCTGATTGTTTTAGACAAAAGAACGAATCATTTTCGGTTTTTCCAGGAAGTACCTCCCTGACTCAGCCCTAGGCAGCTGGGATTTCCAATTTATAAAACTCTTGTGTGCCTCCTAAAATAAAAGCAAGTTTGACCTCGCAAATACCTAGTTAACAAATGATCCCGTAAGAGGACAGTTGTCCCTGCACCAAACCACCCCCACCGCCTGTTGCTCCTGCCATTGTGAAAACACTGAGTGCTTAGGGAGCTGGTGGAGACAGGGTGGCAGAACAGCAGCAGCCGGGGTGGGCGGTGGTCCTGGCTGTTAACACTGACCCCCCATCACCTCCATGCTCATTAACCTCCTTCCTCAAAAAACTTTCTTTCAACAAGGCATTTAAAAATTCAGAATGTAACCATTTACTTTATTAGATTATCTAAAATATTATCAACTAGGAATGTGTTACTGGGATCTACTGGATGTTGCACAAGACAAGTAGGAGGGAGTTGAGAAGGAAAATACCAAACACAAACTGAAACCCTTCCCCAAATTTTCCAAAAAATCCTTTCAGATGCCATAGTTTCTGCCTTCCTGAGAAACAATTTCAATCATCATCTCTTTAAGTGAAGTACGTGAGAATCGCCAGCTAATAAAGTCTCAAAAAATTAAAAAAATCGGCCAGGCATGGTGGCTCATGCCTGTAATCCCAGCACTTTGGGAGGCCGAGGCGGGCAGATCACCTGAGGTCAGGAGTTCGAGACAAGGCTGACCAACGTGGAGAAACACTGTCTCTACTAAAAATACAAAATTAGCCGGGCGTGGTGGCACATGCCTGTAATCCCAGCTACTAAGGAGGCTGAGGCAGGAGAATCGCTTGAACCTGGGAGACGGAGGGTGCGGTGAGCCGAGATTGCGCCACTGCACTCCAGTCTGGGCAACAAGAGTGAAACTCCGTGTTAAAAATAAATAAATAAATAAATTTAAAAAATAAAGAATTTGAGTTTGGTTTTGGCCCAAATGGAGTAACTGGTACTGGTCTAGTCTTCCCACTGTTAACATGGATAAAGCTGGAAAAAAAAAATATGTATGAGGCAACTGCACTCAGGCATTAAGGTACAGGCAATGCAGGACCCTGATCCTTGGTAACGGAAAGACATAAGATGTGCCTCAGTTTTGTGCATGGGTTACTTTCTAGCTCACTGTACAGAATGGTGGGAGGCAAGCAGCATGCGGAGGTCTCATGGAGCTGCACAGGAAGAGATTAAAGTTGAGGAATGATGAAGCAGCTGGCCTTTGTAGGACAGGCACTGGAGGAAAGTGGGCTGGGCCGAAGTCTACACACGGATCCCCTGGGGATCCTTGGCTGAGAGCCGAGACTTCACACAGTGTTGCTAATAAGAATTCAGGCTAGGTGTGGTGGCTCACGCCTGTAATCCCAACACTTTGGGAGGCTGAGGCAGGCAGATCACTTGAGGTCGGGAGTTCGAGACCAGCCTGGCCAACATGGTGAAACCCTGTCTCTACTAAAAATACAAAAATTAGCCGGGTGTGGTGGCACACACCTGTAATCCCAGCTACTCAGGAGGCTGAGGCAGGAGAATGGCTTGAACCTGGAAGGCAGAGGCTATAGTGAGCCGAGATTGTGCCACTGGACTCCAGCCTGGGCGATGGAGTGAGATTCTGTCTCAAAAAAAAAAAAAAAAGAATTCTGGCCCAGTGTGTAGAGACCCTGCAGAACACCTCAGCATTCATCTGAGACTCCAGAAAACAATGCCTCATGAGTGAGAACCATGCCTAAGTTTGAGCCAGGACCTTAGCTAGGACTAAGGACAAACAACAAAACAGAATTGCCGAAAGAAATGATAAAATCAAGTCTGACAGGACCAGAAGATCCACCATAATTTATCTGCCTATCAGAACAAAATTTAACACCCTTTAAAGGAACATAATTTAATCCAGACTCCCCACTAGTGGATCACTAGAGGTTACAGTGAGCGGCGCCATTCCCATTTCCAACTCTTGGTTCCTGGACCCATGAATTCTGGCTATGGAAGAAACTGCACTGTATGCTGGATGCTGATTCAGAGCTTATACAGCCTGGGAGAACCTTGTCCCAGCCCCACAAGGTATTGCCACCTAGCTGGTGCTGTAACTGAGTCTTCAACAGGCCACTCCACCAGTCTGGCAAGCCAGCTGCTTCAGGACAGGACGGTGGGGAACAGGATAAGACCAGTAAATTCCATGTATCATCACCATAGGGAATCTCAGCAGAGAAATGAAATACACGCACACACACACGCGCGCACACACACACACATGAACCAAATTGAAATTCAGAGCTGAAAAGAACAGTTATCTGAAATGAAAACATCACCATGTGCGTAGGCTTAAAAGCATATTGGAAAATGAAAAGAAAGGAGCTGTGAATCTGCAGATAGATTAATAGAAATTATCCAGTCTGAGTAACAGAAAGAAAAAGGATTAAGATGATTAATTTGTAGGACATAATCTGGGGTTGTGAAAAGGGGGGCTTTCTTTTTGTTCCAACTTTTAGGTTCAGCAGGGGATACGTCGTGCAGGTTTGTTATATAAGTAGATTGCATGTCGTGGGGGTTTGGTGTACAGGTTATTTCATCACCCAGGTAGCGGGCATAATACCCGATAGGTAGTTTTTCGATCCTCACCTTCCACCCACCCTCTAATCTCAAGTGGACTCCGGGGTCTATTGTTCCCTTCTTTGTGTCCATGTGTACTCAGTGGTTAGCTCCCACTTATAAGAAAGAACATGCAGTATCTGGTTTTCTAGTCCTGCATTAATTTGCTTAGAACAATGGCCTCCAGCTACACCTATGTTGCTGCAAAGGACATGATTTCATTCTTTTTTATGGCTATGTAGTATTCCATGGTGTACATGTACATTTTCTTTATCCAGTCTGCTATTGATGGGCATCTAGGTGGATTCCATGTTATTGCTATTGTGAATAGTGCTGCAATGAATATATGTGTGCATGCGTCTTTCTTTATATTCCTTTGGGTATATACCCAGTAATGGGATTGTTGGGTCAAATGGTAGCTCTGTTTTAAGTTCTTTGAGAAATCTCCAAACGGCTTTCCACAGTGGCTGAACTAATTTACATTCCCACTAGCAGTGTATAAGTGTTGGAGGCTTTCCTGTGGCTGACCATTCACAGCTGGGAGCTTGGCTACACAGATGTTAGTGCTCATAAGTAAATACACTGAGATATAATGGGAGCCAGGAATCTCACTGTTGAAGAGAGTTAGAAGCTTGGGAAGGGGAAGGTTAGGAAAAGCCCTGTGGTATTGGTTTGGAATTGAAAGTATCAATGTGAATTCATGGTTTTAGTCTTTATGTATGGCTATTTAATATTTACATATATAGTTATTGGTGTTTCTGGATCAACGGGTGCCTTTGTTTATGTAAATTCAAACATTTCCTAGATTTCTTCTATGAGAAAGTCTAAAGCAATAACATCTCCGTAGCAAGTTGCACACCAGGGCTGAAATCTTGGTTTTTTTTGGTTGGGTTTTTTTTGAGAAAGTCTCTCTGTTGTCCAGGCTGGAGTGTCATGATCATGGCTCACTGCAGCCTTGGCCTCCCAGGGCTCAGGTGATCCTTCTACCTCAGCCTCCTGAGTATCTGGGACTACAGGCATGTGCCACCATACCTGGCAAATTTTTGTATTTTTTGTAGAGACAGATTTCGCCATGTTGCTCAGGCTGGTCTCAAACTCCTGGGCTCAAATGATCCTTCTGCCCTGGCCTCCCAAAGTGCTAGGATTATAGGCATGAGCCACAGTGCCTGGCCTGAAATCTTAGTTTTTAAAGCCATTCTTCATGAAAAGGAATTAGGGTTCGTGGAGAAATAGCTCACTACAGGGTTGGGGGCAAAACAAAAATGAAAACAACAACAACAAACCAAGACGAGTCAAGACGAGTCTGAAATACTGTGTAATGCCAGAAATGAAGGAAGTGCTTGCACACTAATAAGGACATGCCAAGAGGGCACGGCAGTCTGTTTGAAGCGACTCCTACTGGCCAAGTCTGGGCAATTCGAGCAATTCTATAAATAATGAAAGGATCAGATTTGTAACCGTTTGGGTAAAATGGGAATTGATTAACCTGTAGTGATAGAAATAAGTAAGTAAATATATGTGGAAGAAAAGAAACTATCTTAAAATAGAAAGCCAACTAATCCATGTAGAAAGAAAGGAATTAGAAAAGTCACCATTTGGCAACTATTGTAGTAGTACTTGATTCAGGCAAGAATCATTAATGGATGTGGAATCTGATGGATCAAAGTTATACAAGGAACAAGATATTGACATAAACTCAAGGTATCTCCTCATAAAATACAACATATATTAATTTTACGTGGAAAAACCTGGTGAATTCCATTTCTAATCAAGTAATAAAAATTATCTCCAATACTGGGACCAGTTACCATTTTGTGCTTCCGGACACAGTGAGAAATGCTAATATTCTTGCCAGAAATGCATAAATCTTGAAATATCATAAAACTTCCAAGGAGAAATGTTCTACAAAGTAACTGGCCTCCACTTTTCAGAAACCGTCAAGGAAACTAACAAGTTGTTTCAGACTGGAGACTAGAGAGGCGTGGTATCTAAATCTCATATGGGATCCTGGATTAGATCCTGGGCCTGTTAAGAATATGACTGGAACAACTGGCAAATTTGAATGGAATGTGTAGTAGATTTTCCTGAATTTGGGTGCTCTTGTACTTAGGAAATACACAATGAGGTATTAAGGAATAGTGGGGCATTGTATCTACAGCTCATTTTCAACTGGATCAGAAATTGGGGGAAGCTGCACAGAGGGCACTTGTAAGTTCTGTTTACTATTTCTGCAACTTTAATGCAAACTTGAAATTATTTCAAAACATAAAAAGTCAGAAAAGAAATTCTTAGGCTATGAGCCCAGAACAGTGGCGTATTCACCTCCTTCATCCTTCCCTTCACATCTTCCTGCTGAGAAAACGGTTTTCTAACGGTATTAATCTAGATTAGTGGTCCACTGTGGGTTGCCTGGTAACAAAGCCACTATGCCTTATGCATTCCAGCTTTCTGACAACTTAACTTTCAGACCTAATCTCTAGGCAATTTATGATCTACCAAAACATTCAAGGAACAATGAGGCCCAGTGGGTAGTATGTGATTGTTCTTTATAGTTTTAGGAAAAGCAATGACTAAATTAATTCACTGGAGTGTGGGTGGCTAATAATCTGATAATGCCACTGTCAAAAACAGGAGGGGGAGTGGTGGTGGAATCCTCTGAGGGGGAAGAGTTCAGGCAGTGGTAGGATGGGGTAGTTTGAGGAAAGGGACTTCCATAAAGTAAACTGGTTTTGCTTTGAACTTGTAGTCAAATCTGCACATACATTGTTTCTTTTTCTTTCTTTTCTTTTGAGACAGGGTCTCACTACGTTGCCCAGGCTGGAGTGCAGTGGCACAGTCTCGGTTCACTGCAGTCTCGATCTCCCCGGGCTAAGGCAATCTTCCCACCTCAGCCTCCTGAGTAGCTGAGACTATACACGTATGTTGCCATGCCCAGCTAATTTTTGTGTTTTGTAGAGACAGGGTTTTTCTGTGTTGCCCAGGCTGGTCTCAAACTCCTGGGCTCAAGTGATCCTCCTGCCCTGGCCTCCCAAAATGCTGGGATTATAATCATGAGCCACCGTGCCCAGCCATATATCGTTTTTCACTGTTTACCTCTGTCTACTCTTAGTTTCTAAAGCACTCTCCTTTACCTAAATTTAGGATACTATGGTTAAGTATTTGTCAGGGCTTGCTTCCTAAAATCTAACAGTTTTGTTCTTTGCTGCTTGTTGAACAAGACATAACAATGTAGTCACCTAAAGAAATGTAAGATCTTAGAACCTTAGCTGGGTAACCCAAATAGCCTGCATATGCATACACCCTTTGAATCCTCATTTAGTTGAGTCTGCATCCAAAGTTTTAGTTCTGTAGGTTTAGAAATTTGCCATGCCCATTATTTATCATTTCAAATTCATTTCAGGCTTTCATTCTTTTCTCCTCCCTCATCCTAAGGCTTTAATTCTCCACTAAAACTTCTAAAATATTGAGTACTTAGTGTAAACCAGCATTCAAAGCTTAATTCTAAAGGTTTTATGTCTTTACATTCTATATATTAGCTTTTCTTGTGATCTGATGTATCCATTGCTTTCTTCTTTTGTCAGATGTTCAGAGAATTCCAACTTCTTACAAGAACAGATATTTATAAGAAAACAAGGCACATTTTGGAATCCTATTCAGAAAATATACTGACTTCTTTTTCAGTGGTGGACAATCCAATCAATATTGTATTGCAAGAAAAAATGAAACATTACACAGATGAAGACATGTTGAAATGTTAGTAAACCTTATGGAGTGGTGTGATTTCATCTGTTATTTATCAGAATATCTAGAAAAGTTATGCTTTGGTAGTCAGTAAAATTCAGTAGTTTACATTTATTGAGTTTTAAAAATATATTTAAAAATTAAAAATTTACATTACTAAAATATATTTAATAATAATTTTCAATATTTAAGTAATAAGTGAAACAACTGGTGGGGAAAAAAAAGAATTTTTCCAATTAGAGGAGGAGGAGAGGTATAGATTTTAAAAGTATACTGGATATTGTAAAATTATATTTAGGGAACTAGTAACCAGTTAATTTTACAATACAAATCACAAGGGGCAGCATAAATTCTTCCTGGCTGATGGACAGACAGTACAGAACTCTTGTCTTCTGGAAGTGCTCTGGAGGGCAGATACGAGATTTTGAATGTTTTATTAGAAGAGGGTATGGTTTAAAAAGGTGTGAAACATTGATCTAAGAAGGCTAGTTTGTTTTCTGTCCAAGGTAACAAAAAATCCAGATGTTTCAATACTAGCTTAGCTTACAATTGCTAAAAGCTTATTTTTACTTCACATGTTAACATATTTGCTTTGACAGACATGAAGATGACAGCCACATGTTTACTCCTCCCAGATGTTTTTGGGGATGATCCCAGCCTTTTTGTCATCATGAATGAACAGGTATGTAGTATGTGAATGGCCACTAGTTTGACATTTTACATCTTCATGCGATTATTTATATTATTTATTTACTTATATTTTTGAGATGGAGTCTCACTCTTTTGCCCAGGCTGGAGTACAATGGCGTGATCTTGGCTCACTGCAGCCTCCACCTCCTGGTTCAAGCGATTCTCGTGCCTCAGCCTCCCAAGTAGCTGGGATTATAGGCATGCACCACCACGCCCAGCTAATTTTTGTATTTTAGTAGAGACGGGGTTTCACGGTGTTGGTCAGGCTGGTCTGGAACTCCTGACCTCAGGTGATCCACCTGCCTTGGCCTCCCAAAGTGCTGGGATTACAGGCATGAGCTACTGAGCCCAACCGCGATAACTTATTTAAAAGCAAAGTTGGTGGTCTATTTTGAAGTATGTTTGTCATATTTACAAATATGCTACATTGCAACAAGCTGATTTATTGTAATACCATGATTAAGTTCAGATGTTTTATTATTTAGCTATTTTACGTATCATGGTAATGACTCCACTCTTTTTTTCAGGTGCAAGTGTCCACACCTGTGTTGGAAGTTAAAAACCCTTTCAACATGGAGGTCTGCGAATTTTCTTTATATTTAGAAAGGGAGAGGCTCACAAAGGTGGACGACTGTGTTACAGCCTTGGCTGCGCTAGTAGCTGCCTTTCATGTATTTAGGATTGAGTGTCCAAGAAGACTGTCCCAAACTTTCAACTTCCTAGAAACGCTGATTTTCGATATGCACAGTCCTTATTTTCCTTCTTTGAAAGAAAAGGAAAACGAAGTAGGATTTCAGCACCCACTCACTTAATAGCATGCCAAATATTGTACTGGAATTTACCTCTGGGAAAACTGAAGCTTCATAAGAAATTGTTTTGATTTAGGGTTGTGGTAGAGGTAGGTATGAGAAAATCATCTTGTATTTATAGATGCTAATGAATTTCAATGCTTTCTATCTTTACACTTAGATATTAAGTTCTTTGTGAAATTCTGTAATAAAATTCTACTTCATTAAAGAGCTGTCGATTTATTTTGAGTTTTTAGAAATTCCGCAGTTAAGTTATATTTTCAGAGGTGCCTCAGTTTTTTTGAAATACACTGTACTCAAATCCTTCAGGTTAGAGAATGGCCTTGGACTGAATTCAGCATGCCCACTTAATGCACAGGAGCTGCACATTTATGGCCTGTGGGCTGTCTCTTTGGTCTGAACATCACTTGGGAACATTTTGAACTTGCATTGAACATTTCAAGAAGGGACACATACTCTTCTCTCCCTCAGGGGATCTGCCTTGCCCCAGGAGATCTGGTTGTCTTTAATCGCTTGTTGAGAATAAGGGCTGCGGCATTTTTGAGGTCTCCTCATTGCTGGCTGATCTTGCTGGTACAGGTCCTGATGTCTGTGACCTGTGTTCATCTGCTACTGCTTCTCGCCTTGGAAACACAGTGACTCATCCTGCATGCCCAACTGGCTACTGCCCAGAGTCCAGTTCTATCTGTTCTGCTCTTAACAATGGCTGCATAAGTACTTTTTGGGTCTAACAAGACTCAGTGCACTCTCCCTCTTTCCAACTATTTCACAAGGTAAGAACTATAGTTTAAGGTGCCCCTTGATGTTATTATCAAAATATCAACATGACTTATTAGCTTTGGAAGATAGACCAGGGCCTTTTGGGAACAGAAAAGGGATTTAAGTGTGTTAAAAATACCTACACAGCATGGTGGGATGAACATTTCCTGGGTTACATGTTCAAATTAATTTTTTTTTAAGTTTAAGAAAGGCTCATGTGGGCCGGGCACGGTGGCTCACACCTGTAATCCTGGCACTTTGGGAGGCCAAGATGGGCAGATCACCTGAGGTCAGGAGTTCGAGACCAGCCTGGCTAATAATGTGAAACGCTGTCTCTACTAAAAAAACAAATTAGCCGGGTGTGGTAGCACATGCCTGTAGTCCCAGCTACTTGGGAGGCTGAGGCAGGAGAACTGCTTGAACCTGGGAGGCGGAGGTTGCAGTGAGCCAAGATCATGCAATTGTACTCCAGCCTGGGCAACAGAATGAGACTGTGTCTCAACAAACAAACAAACAAAAACAAAAGAAAGGTTCATGCAAACTATTGAAGAAATAGTTTTACACTACCCATCTCTGGAAATAACTGCAAAATATTTATTCTATCACTGAAATGACAACAGCCTGCTAGATATCTTTCTCTCTCTAAGGACTGTTCATTAAAACGCTAAAGCCAGTGAGATAAAAGAAGTCAAAGAACAGTTGCCCATTTCTACAATCACTATTAATTAACTACTTACATCAAAACACAGGCAGAGTAAGTAACAATTTGGCACAAGTCATTTTGCCTAACCTAGTTCCTATCCTCCAGTAATCATTTCTTCCCTTTCATTAGAATGTACCTTTAGTTCCTTACAAACTTTCCTTTATTTCCCCAAATTACTCCTTCTTCCTTTTAGTCCTTTATTCCCAAATAAACTTACCAAGTTCTTACAGATTCTTTTCCTTATAAGGTATACATCCCTATGGCTGAAGTTGAATGACAGCCTCTCTCAGGCCATGACAGGATGACAAGGTGAGCTACAAGGAAACTGCAGTGAAGTTTGGCTCCAAGCATGACACAGACATGGGCTGACCTTGAAGGTAGATTCAAGCCCATTTTATTGTCTTTCTCAATGGTGTATCTATCCCCAGTGCCCAGCACATCCTGACACTTGCTAAATTCAACACTGCTTGACCAACATACCCTATTTTATTTAGGGGCTGAGTCTACTGAATCTAGAAGTTGCAGAATGGCAGCCTGAGGACAAATATCAACCTGCACAAAGGTTGTATTTGGCTTGCGCAGTGTTTTCAATTTTTTAAAAAAAATGCCTTTAGATGGGAAGGTCCTATCAAGGTCTATATTTTCTATTCCTCCCTTTTCTCTCTTTTATTTTTATTTTTTTGAGATGGGGTCTTGCTATGTTGCCCAGGCTGGTCTCGAAATCCTTGGGCTCAAGAGATCCTCCTGCCTCAGCCTCCTGAGTAGCTGGGATTACAGGGTTGAGCCACTGAGCTTGGCTTCCACCGTCTGTCTTACCCCAAGCCTGCATCTCTCACTTCAGAGATCTCCCTACAATCATGGTGCCCTATATTCTCTGTTAAAACTTAGACTATATCCCAGGGATGGAGTGGTGAGAGTTTTCACCTTCTTGAGGTACAGTGAATTCCTCACCACCCTACAGATGCTTAATGCCTTGCCTCTAACATGTAACAACATGTTGCATAGAATGAGTGGATGTCTTCAATAAGATTTTAAAAATTGCCCGGGAGTGGTGGCTCATGCCTGTAATCCCAGCACTTTGGGAGGCTGAGGCAGGCAGATGACCTGAGGTCAGGAGTTCAAGACCAGCCTGGCCAACACGGCAAAACCCCATCTCTACTAAAAATACCAAAATTAGCCAGCCGTGGTGGCGGGTACCTGTAATCCCAGCTACTCAGGAGGCTGAGGCAGGAGAATCACTTGAACCCAGGAGGCAGAGGTTGCAGTGAGCCGACAGTGCACCACTGCACTCCAGCCTGGGGGACAGAGAGAGACTCTGTCTCCAAAAAAAAAAAAAAAAAAAAAAAAAGAAGAAGATGTTTAAAATCTCATGATTTAAACTATGCTTTAGTTCTATGCTTTACACTTGAAAAAAATTCCCAATGGGGATGAATTGGACTTGACCTAACAATATAATCTTTCAATATTTTTGTCATCATCTTGGGACACAGTTTGACAATTCTGAATCCTACAGATTCATTACATAGCTAGTAATGTCCAAATACTTGATGCTCTTCCTGTTCTTGTTCTGCCTCTCCTATTTGAGAAGCTTTCTTAAAAATCATACATATGTAAAAAGCATCTGTAATTAAGATTTTATTTCATTCATGTCAGATATAACAAGTACAACTTGAATGTACAAATTCTGAACAAAACATAAAAAAGAAAAAACAGCAACAAAAAACTTATTTAAGCAGATTCATGCAAATAAATGACTGGGACACTGCAGATGTCACTGACCCTGTTTTACCTTGAATTGGCAAATGCAAAGGACTGCTAATGGACTTCCAACAGGGATATCAAAGGAAGTCCTACATCATAAAAAACGAAAGCAACTAAAGAAGAGGTGGAACTTACCCCAGAATTCAGACAGCATGCTACAAACTTACTTTCTATTTTTAAAATAGTCCTTGAATAAATATCCAATCCTGGAATCAGAAAGTACATCAAAAGACGGACAAAATAATTTACCTTTTGCCTTAGAAATGCATTCTTGCAAAAGAAACACTACCAGCTATCAATTTATAATCAAGGGTTTTCATTTAAAGTGCATCTGTATGCTTATATATCGAGGCAAAGTATTCTACAGAAAAAGGAATCCTTCCAAAACGGAGGTTCTTGGGCAATTACTTTGGGAAATCACCTCCCTGATCTGTGAGCATTTCAAATTTTGTGTCAACTGAAGTTGCTCCTTCACACCTTGTCTTTTCAGCAAAATCACAATACTCGCTCTCTAGCCAACCCTGAAAAAAACCTTTGGGTTTGGAGGACAATGCATGACCTGAGACAGCGCTCTGTACAGATTAGTGTTTCTGTTGACAGAATGAGCTCTTAGTCTCTGTAAACCACCACAATTTCATCAATGAAAATTAGAAGCTCAAGATCATCTCATAAATAGTTCAAGACCCTCACAAACATTCCCCCCAACCATAACTGCATACAACTGCGTACTCCTCTGACACCATCTGGCTCTTGTAAACACCGGGGCACCAAGATGAGTGAGACTGATGCCACTCAAAATACACTACCTAATTTATTTATGTTTATATATTTTATTTTTCAATTTCATTCTTTTATATACATGTTTTTGGTAATTATAGTAAAGATGCTGGTGAAAAGTAATTTGTTTAACATTTCATAATGCGTGCAAAAGGAAAAATACTGATTCAAAGAAAAGTCATTCTTACAACTATTCAGCCCTGACAATTATGACAAGCAGTTAGGCAATATCATGACTTGCAAAGTTATACTTAGCATAATGTTGCAATTCAAAATATGGCACAAAATTAACAATACAGATAACAGTCCTACTGGCTAAACTTAGCCAGGTTTCGACTAATTTGGTTTAAATTGAAATTTGATTATATAAAAAGGTTTCTGAAAGTATTGAAAAAGAAACAGTGTACATGAAAGAGAATTCAACAATGTTTACAAAATGCCAAAAGTTCTTACTCTGCCCCCCATTACCATAAATAATTAATGAAGCCCCCCTTCCCCCCACCCCCCAGACTCAAAAAGATTTACAAAGATAAATTTAGCTCAGTGAACAGAACCAAAAGATGACTGTTGTTAGACAGTACCTGGTTAAAAGCTCAAGCACTTTCATAAGAATTCATATATATTGTCTCTTGAGTAATATAAATAATCCGATAGTGTTGCTCTTTTGAGTTTTGGAGACTTCTCACTTAGGAGTTATAACCGTCCTTGTGCTTTGAATAAAACATGAGCTTTAAAGCAGAATGCTGATGGTATTCAGAATTCACCATCTTCAAAGTTCATTGTGAGAATTCTTCTCTGCAGCTTTGAACATCAGGATGGAATTGAAAATTTTGAGAGCAGGGCCCAGTTTAATGCTCATAATTTTAACAATGTCTGTTTGAGTCATAAGTAGAAATGCTTCTCCATCAATTTGCTAAAATGGGGGAAAAAAACAACAGAATGTGGATTAACAAGATGCAGTGTTGTAGAAAATATTCAAGGTTAAATTACCAGCTGTCTTCTACATAGCAATGCTAAAAAAGCACAGAGAAGTTCACGTGTGCAATGACATTTCTTGATATATGGACCTTTCTTATCCACAATGACACATCCCAAAGTGGACTGGGAACAAAGTAAACTAATTCACCTGAAAAACCAGCCAAAGGAAAACAGAAGGTGCCCATATCTTCCTGTGATTACTCTGAATTAGTTGTAGAGTTAAGAAGAATATGGAAAAATCCAGGATGCCCAAAGTCTAGTTTTTATCATGGCAGGTTTTAAAATTAGAAGAGATAACAGGTACATGAATGTTTGTGGACATAAAATAACTCAGGCAAACATATCAGCTACATGCAACATTTTTTTTTTTTCCAGAATTAGCCTTCCACCATGAAGAAAAGAAAATCAGAAAGATAACACTTATCTCTAGTGTGGCCACAGTTAAGTCTTTACACACAGAAGAAAAGCATTTACTAACGGGGCAATCAAACAGTGAATGTGAGGCTGGTGTTACGAGTCACTGACTTTAAGGTGGTTCTTCTAATACGCAGGTAGGGTAACTATGAGAAAGACCCTTCCTCTCTCTGGACATCTTCTAAGACAAAAGTCTATGCTTCTGAAAAATAGGCTACTATTCTCTAGAAGTTCAAAGGTACAACACATCTTTTAGGTTAAAAGATAAAATACTATGAAAATGATGTCTGGCTTACTGGGCAGAGCAAAGAAACAGTCTTTCATTATGACTTTCAGCTCTTCTATCACCTTAAAAAAAAAAAGTTTCCCTTTCAGTTTTCCCACCTTGTACAAAAAGTAAAACACACTTTTGTTCTCTGCCTTAGAACATCAGAAACCTTGACAGCAACGCACTCCGTTATGGGTTGAATGGTGTCCCTGTCACAAAAATTCGTATATTGATGTCCTGACTCCCAGTACCTCAGAATGTGACTTTTATTTGGAAATAGGGTCAGTGCAGAGGTAACTGGTTAAGATGAGGTCACACTGGAGTAGGGTGGGTGCCTAATCCAATTATGACTGGTATCCTCATAAAAAGGAGAGATCTGGAGAAAGAGACACATATAGAGGGAAGGCAACGTAAAGACCCAAAGAGAGACCACCATCTACAAGTCACATCTACAAGTCAAGGAGAGAGGCCCAGGACAGATTCTTTCCTCACAGCCCTCGGGAGGAAGCAACCCTGCCAACCCCCTGACTTCTAGCCTTCTTCAGATTCTCAGCTTCTAGAACTGTGAGACGATGCATTTCTGCCATTTAAGCCACCCGTTTGTGGTTGGCATTGTTATGGTGGCCCTAGCAAACTAAGACAACTCTAAATTCTGCAAACAGTTCTCTAAACAAGGCTGATATAATTAAATTGCTACTTCTTAAGATTTTCCTCTCTCCTTTAAAAATGAAAGACCTGTAAATATAGACTGCCTAAATGCTTCATCAGTAAGAACTGGAGTCATCTTACACAACTTCTTCAAGTAACAATTATGTGGAAAAAGTGTGCTAATTTCAGTAAAAAGACATCCTGCTGTTGTAAACTAGAAGGAAAGACGTTCCAGTGTTAATCTCCAAGTGTAGCACCGTTAAGCGGCAGGTATGAGAAATGTTCTCCTGTTTTCTGGAAACATTGGTCTGTTCTCATTTGCTTGTGCTATGACAGTCCTCTGATAAAGCAAGGTCAGGAAGAAAGGCAGATCTATTAACACTTCGCTCAACCAAGGCAGACCTTAGTACAATGGACAGCCTTATAGAAGTCTTCTAAGTCATTAATGAAAATGTCAACTGACATTCCCAAGGAGCCCACTACAAAGGCTGACTGGTTTATTACAACCTTGGCCCTACTGAAGGCCTGGCGCAGACAGCAAGTCTCCTTCTGAAACTATGTAAGAGTATAACACAACAGGTAACTGATGAAAAAAAAAAACATCCAGAGAACTTAGTGGCTGGGATTTGAAGTTAAAAGTGGGACAGTAAGGATACATTTTGGTAGGTTGTTATTTATAAGGTTACATACACTAGAAAGAAAAAAAATCTTGAGGCTACTTCCAAACTCTTTATTACATACAGGTTGCTCTGACATGTGGCCATACAAACAAGTCTTGATTGGAAGGAAGTCAACTTAATTCAGGAAAGTACATCCTAAGAACAACAGTGACCACTGCAATGTATTACAAGGCTTACTTTTTTTTCGGTTAGCTTCTGCAATGCATATACAATGCCATTATTCCAGACATTAGGTGTCTTGCTAATGGCCTAAAACAAAGGAGAGGGATTTGGAATTCAGGAGCTCTGGCCTTCCATTTCACTGCCCTTTCCACTATTCACTATTTGTTCTTTTCCAATGCCTTAACTCGAAACCACAGTGACATGCTCTGTCTGAGTGAGTCTTTCTCAGAGTGTAAAGGCATGAATGTATTCACTCAACAAAAATATACTGAATGTCTATTATATTCCAAACACTCTTCTTGGGCTTAGACATATAGCAGGGAATAAAACAAATAAAACCAAGCAAGCAAAAAACTTTTTGTGGAATTTACATTCTAGAAGTGGTAGACAGACCATAAGCCAATAAACATACTAAGTAAGCCAATTAATTAGTAAGTTAGAAAGTGACTCATGTTGGCCAGGAGCAGCGGCTCATGAGTGTAATTGCAGCACTTTGGGAGGCTGAAGTCAGTGGATCACTTGAGGTCAGGAGTTCAAGACCAGTGTGGCCAATATGGTGAAACCACATCTCTACTAAAAATACAAAAATTAGCCGGGTGTGGTGGCACGCACCTGCAGTCCCAGCTACTTGGGAGGCTGAAGCATGAGAATAGCTTGAACCTGGGAGGCAGAGGTTGCAGTGAGCTAATATTGTGCCACTACACTCCAGCCTGGGCGACAGAGTGAGGCTCTGTCTCAAAAAAAAAAGGTGATTTGTGCTATGATTAAACAGAGCTGACTAGGAAGATGAATGGGCAGCAGGAGCAGGGATGCATGTGTGGTGACAAGAGGCAATTTCAAGTAAGAAAGTCAGGGCAGGACTAATTGGCAAGCTGGCATCTGAGCAGAAGAAGTGAGCCACATGAACATCTGGAGGAAGAGTGTTCTGTGCAGAAGGAGGAGCGGGAGCAAGCCTGGACAATCAGAGGAAGAGCAAGGAGGCCAGCACGTAGACTCGTGAGGGGCAGTGTAAACAAAAAGCCAGGGGGCAAGAGAGGTAATGAGGTGTCAGACTGCAGGCCCTTGTAAGGACTTCTGCTTTTACTCTGATTGAGAGATGAAGCTATTGGAAGGACCTGAACAGAGGAGTGACATGGTTTGACTTATGTTTCAGCAGGGTAACCTTGGCTGTGCTGGGAATAGACTGTAGAGGAGCAAAAACAGAAGCAGGAAAATGAGTTTGGAGGTTACTGCACTAATCCAAGTGGGAGAGGATGGTGGCGCAGACCAGGGTGGTGGTGGCAGTAGGGTGATAAGGGTTTTACATGTTTCAAAGATACACCCAATAGGATTTTCAACAGATGAGATGTGGCATGTGTAAGAGAGAAGTCAAGGATAATTTCCAACAACAGCCTATCTGAATACTTGTCCTTTGCCTTTTAAAGATGATTTATAAGACTTCGGTTAGATTTGTACTATGGTTTACTTGTAGGACTCAAAACCCAAACCCACTGACCTTGTGAGACACTTGAGAACAAGGACTAGGTTTCATTATTTTCGAATCATCCTTCTCACAAGAGCATGACACAAAGTAACATACTCATGGTCGGAATTTAACAAATGTGCACAAGATGAATGAATGAAGGAGTAAATGAATGAATAATTCATATCGACAGAGAATATTAACTATCTCACTCCTCCAGAAAAGGATCTAGCTTTGAGCATATTTGGTAACTGAGGAACATCTCCAAAGACAATCTGCCATGAATAAAAAAAATTACTCAAAAAATAGCATCTCATTTTGAATTTAAACTTGAATCTTACTCAAACTGAATAATAGAGCAAACCTATAGGGATTATCTAGATAACAACAGAATAAAAAAACAGAAGTTATAAAAGAGATGCATTATAAATTTATTTTCAAAAATGCTTTATTATTTTCAAAGGTAATGACAACATGACATTTTCCAAGACAGACCAACAGCTCCCTATGTGGCTCTAAGTCTGCTCAGCGATACAGAATGAATTCAGGCTGGGCACGGTGGCTCACGTCTGTAATCTCAGCACTTTGGGAGGCCGAGGTGGGCAGATCACCTGAGGTCAGGAGTTCGAGACCAGCCTGGCCAACACGGTGAAACCAAGTCTCTACTAAAAATACAAAAAAAATTAGCCGAGCGTGGTGGCGGGCACCTGTAATCCCAGCTACTCAGGTGGCTGAGGCAGGAGAATCGCCTCTGCCAGGAGGCGGAGGTTGCAGTGAGCACTCTAGCCCAGGAGAGAAGAGCAAGACTCCATCTCGATTTAAAAAAAAAAAAAAAAAAAAGGAAAAAACAGAAAATGAATTGAGAGTATCAGTGAAGACACTCAGGACTTAGGGAAAGAAAATCTGAATAACTGCCAATTAAAGATCAAACAGAGAGAAAATAAAACCTTTGCACAATAAGAACATAAATCAGAAAAAGGATGTTGGAAATCAGATCCTTGTGCATTTTAACAAGCTTTCATCTAACGCATAAATTATACCTAACAGTATAACAACACTGACAACTGGTGGCTGGATTGTTAGCTGTGTCTATACTCCTGCAATGAAATGGAAAGTGTGCTGTTCTTAACAGTTGAGCTTTACACATAGGGGCAAACAAGTTGTGTATGCGTGTAACTGTAGACAGCAGATGTTGGAGAGCACCTTCTGAGATTACTCAGTCTACTTTCTGCCTTCTGGCAGGAGTAGACACAGCCAAAATCAGAGGGGTAATTGACTGCTTTGCTTGGAGGAGATGACAGGCAAGTGGCTTATTTTTAAAGGTCTCTACTGAAAAGGGTCTCCTGCTGTACGCTTACAGAATTAAAAGTTAGAAACCAGATTCCTTTTTATTCTAGTGCTCACTGTAAGTGATATCATTCTTAATCACCCCTTATATTGAAGTTTTGGAGAGGGAGTTGAAAACAACTAATAAAATAATCTTCCAAAAGTGGACTGTGATAAATATCTTATTATAAACATTATTGAGGAATGTATATGACTTAAGGGATTTTTTTAGACATAATGCTAATATTACTTATTATAAACCTCAAATGGAGTCAATCATGGTGTTGTTAGAATGACACTGGAAAATAAAATAATGGAAACTAATTTCACTTTATTAAAAAGAGAAAATGTTGCTTCTTTCTTTCTTTGGCTTCCTCTGTGCTATAAACTATATAAATGCATGCTATTAAGTTCTGTGGGTTTTCTTTTTATAAGGAGCCTAGTGTTACTGCTGTGGGGTATCATAAAATGGTACTCACAAACATTCTTATGCATCTCATCTTATACAAAGACATTTTTATACAACTGATTCATACTGCCTGTTAGTATACATCAATTTGTCAATTTCAACACACCCCATCTCTTTTTGACTCTGCCAATTCCACACATTTCACCTTCCACTGCATTTCAGTGCTTTGATCCCATTAAGTAACATATTGCAATTTAGTGGAATACTTACTTCATCTTTAAATACCTTTCCATGTTCTTCACACCCAGGTAAGCTCTGTATAAATTCTGACACCTGTCAAAAGCAATATCAAAATTCCCAGTTAAAAAACACAGTCAGAATCTAAATGCTACAGGTTCAAAACATTTAACCCATATGCATTAGTTATTTCTCTCACAATAATTTCTTCTCTTTCAGAAAAAAAAAGACTAAACGCTACCTACGCTCAATGTTCCACACCTCTTAAGCCAGTAATCCTGTATCTGGTGTCGGGCAGCAAAGAAAATAAAATATACCTCGTCTGTGCTCCATTTGGAAACTTTACTGGCAGGGATTCCTGCGACAGTTGGAAGAAGTTTGCTTTGCTGCTCCCAGCGCAAGGGCAGACATGGAATTGGGGACTTAAAGGACAGAAAGACAGCTGACCGACGCTGTGCCTGCTGGACGGTGGGTTCTTCCCGGGCACCTGGTCAATGAAAACAAATGGGAAATCACTCTCTGAAAGCAGCAAGAAAGCCCCAAATGCCGTGCATCTCCCAGATAACGAGACTGGAGGTGGGAGTGGTTAAAGCATTGGTTCCTTTCAGCATTATACTATTGAATAGGCTCTTCTTTGTCTTTACTGAAGGTCACTATAAAAAACAACCTGTAAATTCAACTGATATCATTTGCTACAGCACTCATTACTAAAGACATGCTTCATTATGTTGTTCAACGTTGTCTCTTTAATGCTTCAGATAAGAAACGTGCCTCAAAGTTTTAATGGGAAGGAAAGTTAGTCTTATTCTAGGAAGTTGTTTATTTGCTCCCCTTTCTGCTTTGGATGTTGTAAAGGTAACAGCCAAGTTGCATCTCACGTCTAACACCTGTGCTTACCATGTATTCACAGTTGGCATACTTTCTCTCTCCTTTTGTCTCAGGGCTTGGTTTGGTTTTTTAACTTCTTATTTACTAATCATACTGATTTTTTAAATAGCCAATTCAATTTTTTGACAGGGATATGAAATTATTGCAATAAAAATAAAACAGCAGAAATGCAAATGTTTTTGTAATTTTTTACTTGTTCAGATCAAAATTAAAACTACTAAATATTCTTACTGTAGCCTGGGCAACAAGACAAGGTCCCATCTCTTGAAAGAAAAAAAAAAACCCTACTGAATATTCTATTTATGTTAGAGCTTCTGAACCCAAAGCTAGTTTTATGGCTGCTTTCCTAAAACGGCCATTCTCTAGCAAAGGATTTTTGTCCTCTGGACGCTTGACTTAGAGCTGTCAATCGTCGTCTCCTTATGGTCCTTTAGAACAGAAACCTTTTCTGAAAACTCTGTATTCAAAGCACCTCAGAAGAAAGGCACCTCCCATACATTTCCTCTCTGCTCACACACCAGCTCAGTTACAAGGACACCTCAATTCTATCACAAAGCCTTGCTTTTATATCTCTAAGATCTACAGAAAGACACAGAAATCACTAAGTGTAAAGTTCACTGAATTTTCACAAAGTGAACACACCCATGTAACCAACACCCTGACTGAAAACAAAACGTGGCCAGCACACCCTTCCAATCGCACCTCATCTGTCAAGGGTGACCACTTCCTTGACTACTAACACCATAGATTCATTTACCCTTTTTTGAATTGTATTTAAAATGGAAACTTGGGTATCTGGCTTCTTTCTCTAAACAGCATGTTTCTGAGATTCATCCACATTGTTGTGAGTAGTAGAAGTTACCTTCTCTTTCTTGTATGGTTTTTGTGGCTGTGAATACTCTATAATTTATTTGGAGATCATGAACAATGAGCATCTGAGTTGTTTTTAATTTGGTGCTATTACAAACAGTGCTATTACAAACATTCTTGTACAGATTATTTTGTCAGAGGCGTTTGAACCAGAGCAACTCCATCTTGAGCAGGAGCTGGGTAAAATGAGGCTGATACCTACTGGGTCTGAGACAACTGCATTCCCAGATGGTTAAGGCATTCTAAGTCACAGGATGAGCTAGGAGATGTGGACAAGATACAGGTCATAAAGACCTTGCTGATAAAACAGACTGCAGTAAAGAAGCCAGACAAAACCCACCAAAACCAAGTGACCTCTGGTCGTCCTCACTGCTACACTCTCACCAGCGCCAGGACAGTTTACAATTGTCATGTCAACATCAGGAAGTTACCCTATACAGTCTAAAAAGGGGAGGCACAAATAATCCACCCCCTGTTTAGCATATCATCAAGAAATAACCACAAAAATGGGCAACCATTTGGAGTAGTCATTCTTTATTCCTTTCCTTTCCTAATACACTTTTGCATCCTCACTTCACTCTCTGGACTTGCCCCAAATTCTTTCTTGCGCGAGACCCAAGAATCCTCTCCTGGGGTCTGGACTGCGACCCTTTCCTGGTAACAATTTCTTGAATGTACGTATGTGTTTCCATTGCACATATACCAAAGAGTGAAACTCTGAGGTCGCAGCATGTGTGTACATTAAGCTTTGGTAAATCCTGTCAGCTTTCCAAAACAACTGCAGAATACCTACCAACAGCATATGACAGTTCCAATTGCTTCACCTCCACACCAATGCTTGGTATTGTCTATCTTTTTCTTTTTAACCGTTTAGTGGGTGTATAGTGGTATCACATTATGGTTACAAATGCATTCCATGATTAATGATAATCTTTCCCTATGTTTATTGTCCACATAGAGAGGCTCTTTTGTAAAGGGCTTATTTCTACTAGACAAATTTCCAATAGATAAATTTGGTTAAGAAATGACTTCTTTACAATATTGAGTCTTCCAATCCATGAAGAAGCTAAATCCCTCAATTTCTTTGGCTCTTCTTTAATATCTCTCATTAATATTTTGTCATTTTCAGGTAGAGATCTTGCACATCTTTTGTTAAATTTATTCCTATGTATCAGATGTTTCCTGAGGCTGTTATAAGTGGTAAATTTTTAAAAAATTTATTTCTTATTGTTCTGTTACAGTTTTCTAATAAGTTTATTCTTAAACTAGCCTAATCCAAAATTTGAATTGCTCTGAATGCTAGAAAGTCACTATGCTGAGTCAAAAATCTATTTTACTGGAGTTGACACCCACTGGTTCTGGTACTACCTCATTGAGCTTATACAGAAAAATTCTAGTGTCTGCTCCACATGAAACATTTCAAATCTTCAAATATGTTTTAAAAAGCCATCATTATCCCTCTTTCCACATTTCATCCAATCAACCTCAAAGGTGCAGGTCCTCATCCCATTTTATTGAATATCTATTATGAACCAAATACATAAAGCAGAAAGTTTGTTTTTATTCTCTTTTTCTTTTTGAATTGCCCAGATTTAAGGAATTTTTGTGTAGCAAAATACGGAGTAACTTAAAAACATCTTTTTAATCTCAGGTATTCTAAAGAGCTTAGCTATTATTTGAAATACAATATTTGTACATATTTTATAAGACAGCTTTATATGAAATGGTAAGATTTCCAATTCTACACTACAGTAATACCATAGGGCTGACTTTATAATTTGTATCCTGAGTGCATGCCATATAATTAGTCTTTTCCAAAGCCATAGTCTTTATCCTATTACTGTTTATGTTCTATTAACACTCAGCACTGTTCATTCTATCACTGCAGACCTACTCTTCCATTTTATTTTCTGCTAAAAGCTGTATTAGTCACAATTCATTTCTAATGTTCCGCACATTGTTCCTTAGAAAAATAACTAACCCATTCTAAGGAAATGACTAAAAACACCAAAGCCCTTATGTCTGTGGTTGCCTCTGCATGTCTTTAAGCCTGATACGATAAATAGGCCTAGATATACATACTCTTCCAATCCTAGTACCAACTCTGCCTCCTTCGCATTAAGACTTTCCTTCCTTTTGCTGAGTCTTCCTCGCTAACTGATGTTATCTGCCACACAGCATGCCACCTCCTATGATTTTAATCCAAAAGGAATAAAGAAAGCAGCTTCATTTGAGCAAATTTGTACTGCATTCCTTGAATTGCAAAGAAAAGTGACTCCAGGTTTTTGTTTTAACATGTTATGACATAGGCTAAAATAAATGCAAATAGACTCTGGCTCCAGTAGGTGGTTCAGTGCCAAGAGTAAGGAAGAGTAGGTTTAAATGTGCACAGTATGCCTCGGGAAACAGAGCCTCGTGTTCTAAAGACATTTCAGCCACCTCCCTTTGCCTGGGACCCTATTTCGTACCACTCTCCTCTCAAACCATTGACATGCATGGAAAAGAAAATTTTTAAGAAGTTTTCTATATTTCTGAAGTTTTCTGTGATGAAAATTGACCAAAGGTATGTGATCAAACTCTTTTCTCACTTGCCCCACTTGGTTTCGGGTTGTGTGCTTCCACAGTGAGTAAAAAATATTTTAGGCTGACTGCGAATAACTAAAATTACCATATGGAAGGAATGGTCATCCTTCCTGATTCTTGATTCAACAATCTGATAAATTTTATTTGTAGAACCAAAGCTGTCATCCTCAACAGTGGAAAGATAAGAATTAAGAGAAAAGTGACAGTACATTAAAATGGACACAGTATACTGCAGAGAAAAATAATAATATTCATTATGTTTATGAACAAATTAATCTATTCAGTCTAATGTTTAATCAAATAATCACTACTTTTAAAAAATTTTCTCAGTGAGGCCTATACATATGTATGAGAAAGAGACAGACACTAAAGACCTCTAGTCATGAATAAGAGGCATAAAGACCAATGTTTTGTTGAAAAAAAGATAAAAAGATTTTTGTGTGCCAAATTTGAAGATCCAAATCTACCTACAAGTCAGACAGGACCAGCTGAAAAGTAGCTTCCAGTCTTAGAACACAGCACCACCAATATCCCTGGCCCTACACACCATGAGATATTGCACGGTATAAGGAATGTACTGTTAGGATCTCTTTTATACTCAAATTTCAAACATTCACTGGCAAAGCCCCAGTAAGAGGTGCCTCTACCGACCCTGCACCTGTGCACCTCCAACAGGGTCAGCAGATGCTCTCTGGATAGATCGGATGGATGGCACCTTCCAGCGAGATAAAAGAATGTCTCCCATTCTTATCTTCATCATGCACTGGTATGCTAAAGAAACCACAAAACACTCCAAGGAGCAGCTTTGGGCAAAAGTCTTTTCTCTCACCTGGAAAAGATTCCTTCTGAGTTATCATCCACTGACTCCACAATTCCAAGTTTAGAAGTTCATCTTAAGAAAATAATGAAGCACGAACGCTAACAATCATCTCAAAGTCAGTTACAGTGGAGGGTCTCTGGTACGTATGTAACTGTACTGAGATGAAGACTATATTCCCCAGCTTCCTTTTCAGCTAAAAGTGGCCATATGACTAACGGACATAAGCAGAAGTGGAATCTACAACATCCTGTGAGTTCTGCTAATTGGACTTGGAAGTGCTCTTAAAGGCTGACAGCACACCCACCACCACTCCCCCAATATGTCCCTCCTTCCTGCTGGGTAGAATAGTACTTTAATGGCTAGCCTTCCAGCAACCACCTCTAACCATGATATGGTGTTGGGAATACGTGCTCTGCAAGGCAGAGCAGCAAGATAAATGGAATCTGATTTCCTGACACTGTTAAGTACCATTTAAATCCTGGACCAAGCTCTGTACTTCCTTTATGTGGAAGAGAAATAAGCCTCTTTTACCTTACATAAGCCACTTTATGTGTTTTATATTACACACACACACACCCCCCTAACCCTAATCACTACTAAAGTTTACTGCAAAAACATTTATAACAGTCAGAAATACAAAATAACTAGCCTAGATAACCCAACAGTAGGGGATTGGTTTGTTAAGTGATGCTACATCCATCCACAGAGAGAATATTTAACATTATGTTGCAAGAAGTATAAATACTTATGCAAACTGCAGGTTACAAAGTATTTTGTACACTTCAGATAGAAACAGTCTAAAAAAGTAGGTCCCCACATTCAGAAAATGGTATAAAATTACACATAATTTTGATTTTCTCCATTTTGCTTCCCTGTATTTGCTAATTGTTCTATAATAAACGTATTATTTGGATAATAAAAGTTATATAAACTAGCAGCAGGTATTAAATAAACTACTTAATGTTACTAAAAAAAACAAAAAAATGGAAGTCTCACTTTGGTGACTTGGAAAGCAATTTAATGCACTTGTGGAACTATATCATTAAAACAACATCAATCGCTGGGTCTCGTTAATATCAGAAGAAAATGATAGATGGGAGTAATAGTAAGAAAAATAAGTTTGTGGATCTTTGACTTCATTATTTCATCCCTCTAAAAAAGCAGCAAACAAGGATGTTTTTTAAATGTTGATTCTTAGTGATAAAGGCCTGCCTCTATTGTTTACCATATGAAAGTTCTTCATTCAGCAATTATTTATTCAGCACTGTACTGTATCAGAAACTTGAAGGCTATATAAATACAGCATATACTTGCAGACTTTTGTTAGGCTACAGAGGACAATGACCCAAAATGTGGCGCTTTGGCATGCTAAATGCTCTGAATTAAAGGAAACTGAAAGACCTCAGAAGTAAGCCTCAGAAGCAAGGTCTCCCTTTGACCTTCCCCCATGCCCTGGTCTCTCTGTTCCCTTCTTTCCCACGTGCAGAGAGAAGTTCTCTAGAATTTCCTTATCTGACTAAGAAAACTTCTTTCCAAAAGAAATGCTATTGCCAACTTAGAAGTCTCATCAAATAGCCAAGAAAGATTTAACCACTAAAAGTCATCACCATGCTCAGAGAGACTTTTCATCTATTCTTCTCAGGGCAGCTCCAAGAGATTACCCAAGAGACATTATCTACATAGTAAGACCAACATTTGTTCACAGTGAAGTTCTGCTCCTCACCTGCCTGCAACCTCCCACAGAACTCAGAGAAATTTTGTCCCAGGCCATTGTTCTTTGGGCTCATTCATTTCTCCTGAAAATTATTTACTACCCCTCACAACTGCCTATACCAATCCCACCCCCATTCTCCTTTCTTCTATGAAAAGGGGTCACAAGCTTCAACCATTGGACTTGAGTCTCATATTTGCAGGACTCCCACGTTTATGCACATTAATACATTCTGTATGCCTCTTTCTCCTATTAATCTATTGTCAGTCATCTCAGTGAACCTTCAGAGAAGGCAGAGGGGAAGCTTACCCTCTGTCCCTACACTTTTTTGAAATGAAGTTTAATAAATAATAATGTCATTATCCAAAGTAGAAATCTGCAAATCAAATCTGCTCACATGCCTCTCATTTCTGGTTGAGTACAGGTATTAAAATTCCTGATTTGGCTTAGGGTAGAAGAAAGTGATGCAGAGAAAATACCTTTGTAAAAAGACTTTTCAAATAAAGATGATCCTGAAATAAACATCCTCTGGTGTTTCAGGAGAAACAAGACAATAAATCTTCAATGAACACTACCTAAACCAAATATGAGGTCTTTTGGTGGAAAGAGACATCTCTAATACCATGGAGGGTAAGAACCTGCTTCCTACCAGACTGTTTCCATTAGGGCCCAACAGAACCATCATGTGGTAGGCTGACCCAGGAGGGCAAGTGCCAGACAAAAGGAGGTGAGAATCTGGCATGTTATAAAGTAGAATTCAGTTCTCTCCACACATGAGCCACCCAGGAGAGAGAGTGGCTGCAGAAGGGAAAACAAAACCATACCTTTCCCAGGAATACAACAATTTAAATTTGAAGGTCAAACTATTCAATTCTTTACTAATGGGACTTCCATAATGGTAGGAATGAGCTACTTATTCAGGTAGAGAAGACAGAAGCAAAAAAAGAGAGGGAGGGAGGGAGGGAAAGAGGTAAGGAGGGAGGGAGGGAGCGAGGGAGGGAAGTATTGAGTTAAAGTCCCCAAAGATCAAATTCAGTAGCATAGCAGGATTCATCCCCAAAAGCTCATAATTACACATACTCTACTGTACTAAACACAATTAACAGAAGAAATGGGTGGGGGGGAGGGAAATATCCTTTTTTAAGAGGGGTGTGTGTGTGTGCATGCGTGTCTTTTAAATCAATTTGCTCCTAGACTCAAAACAGGCCTCATGGACCTACGGAGTCTTAAATCCTCTTGACATTGTAAAGCAACTTAGGGTGGTTTCTCAAGTCTCCTCTAGAATAAATGCTACCCACACTGCAAGGGGCATTCTCTCCCAACCCCAGGCCACCCCAGCCAGGCTAGGTTTGAAAGGGCTGCTTCTGCCACTGGAGGAATGGAAATGAGAATGAACACTGGTGGGCACCTGTAGGTTCACTAGAGGGCTCCAGAATGGAGCACATCTGTCTGACCTTCAGCCTTGGGTTTGAAAGAGGAATTGTGCCAGGACTCAAATGGGAACATTAAGCATTTAGTGTTCTTCACAAAAGACCTTGGGAAAACTTCTCGGGACGCAAAAATGATCAAACAGAAAACAATTACCATGGGGCCTCTGATAAAAAGTTCTAGAAAACATCAGAAGAAGAGCACTGAGTTATAGACAGAAGAGTTTCATGACGTTAGCAATGCACAAGGGGAAATAAACTCTATAAAACAAAAAATAGGCTATGAAAAGAGAACAAGCCAATGTAGGAAATCACAGGAAAATAAGAGACACTGCTGTTAAAATTCATGTTAAAGGCAGTAAATAGCACACTCGACAGAACGAGAGACTGAGTGAGCTATTTCAACTTGAAAAACATGTTGACAACATCACAAAATGCCAAAGTTGTTAAAATATTAAAATACTTCCATATTGGTTGGCAATAGTTACTCCCCACCATGTAGTCAGTCCCTTGTGGGACTTCCCCAAGATCCAGCATCTAAGCATAACTTCTGTTACAGCACGGAGCCTCCAGGACCCCGCTCCAGTACTAAGACGACTGTTTAACTGTCCTGTGCCATGTTGGTTACCAAATGAGCTGTTAAGTATTTTATTTTATTTTTTTTTTTTTGAGATGGAGTTTCGCTCTTGTTGCCCAGGCTGGAGTGCAATGGCATGATCTCAGCTCACTGCAACCTCCACCTCCCAGGTTCAAGTGATTCTCCTGCCTCAGCCTCCCGAGTAGCTGGGATTACAGCCATGAGCCACCATGCCCGGCTGATTTCGTATTTTTAGTAAAGACTGGGTTTCTCCATGTTGGTCAGGCTGGTCTCAAACTCCTGACCTCAGGTGATCCACCCGCCTCGGCCTCCCAAAGTGTTGGGATTATAGGCGTGAGCCACCACACCTGGCCCCTGTTAAGTATTTTTGATATCATTCCTTGGGTCTAGCCCAAGAAGAATAGGTATTACCTTCAAGAAAGATACAAATGAAGCAGAAGTATTAATAATAATCAAAACTATAACTTAAGGAAGCTTTCTGGATTTAAGAAGACTGAATCAAAAAATCAAAAAGGCTCATGACTTCCCAGGCAAAACATCACAAAAGAAGGCAGAATTTAAGAGCCAGGTTCATTTTCAAAACCAAGAGAGTAGACTGAATTTAGGTGGCCTAATCTCACATAAAGGGATATTTTGGTTTGTTTCTTTTGTTTTGTCTGATTTTCCCTCAAAGAAAAACAGACCAAACATCTGGCTGAATATAGTGAATCTGTGGTGGGCCATTCTTTGCGCCCTTCAGAACCAGGGCTTCATTCTCCCTGTGGAATGCAGATGCTCAAAGCTGCCTCCCTCTCCCGGAACTGTCCAAAGCCAAAGGGAGCTTCCTTGCCCGAGAACATGTGCCCCTCCCAGCAAACATCCGAGGATTGGTCAATTTAGAGATACAAAAGCCTGGTTCCCTTGCCTGAATTTGGGATAACTCCGAACCGCCACCTGCACAACTTGTGGGATGGGCTAAGGCCTCTGCTATAACTACATCACAGCTCAGCTTCTCCGTCTGCCCAATCCTGCTTCTTTTGCTCTCTCACTGTTGTTGCTCCCAAGAATACTCACTAACAAACCTTTTGCACAAAACACTCTCGGGGTCTGTTTCCAGGGAACCCCATATAAGGCACTCAGCCAGGGCTCTATTAAGAACTGAGAGGCAGGAGGAAACCCACTGACTAGGCTCCGAGAGGTCCCCAGTGTCACTGAGAAACGTCTTCAGATACTATAAGCCTTGGTTTCGGACCAAAGCTCCCTGGATTTTAGGTGAAGACAACCAGTAAACTACTGGATGGTGCTATCCAGTACCGGACAAAGTGCTATCCAAATCTCTTTCATACAAAATGGTTCTTGAAAAACCATTTTGAAAAGATAAAAGAAATCTAAGGCTAAGAAAGATGTTAAAAGAAAGCCTAGAATCGTAACATATTTTCACTATAGATAAATTTTATGTTACAATCTTATTCAAAATGTTTCAGAAACATGAAAAAGAAGAAAAATTACATTGATTTTAGGAGGCTACAGCTGGATGAGACAGTAAAGGAGAACATTATAGGCCAATCTCACCTATAAAAATATGTGCAATAATTCTCAAAACAACTTATTTTATGAAGCTCTCTTTCACTAACAAAAAGTAAGACAATAAGCAAAACATGCACATTGAACTACAGGTTTTACAGGTAAAAAAACAATAAAAATAAATGACTTGAAAAATTACAAAATTAAGAATTATATATGACTCCTAGCAATGGTTCCTTGAAAGGAATAATAAAACAAAAACTTAGGCAATTCAAATCAAGAAAAACAGAAAGAAAAAAATTAGAAAGACATAAAACTACCAAATAAAGAAGAGAATACCATGCATAGTGTATGTTAATAAACTGGAAATTCTCCATTATGCAAACAATTTTCAGAAAGAAATTATGAAAATTGGCCCAGCAAATAAAATGGAAAGTTAAATAAACACTGAGTTAAAAAGATCGCTGAGAAACTAAATATGTTATCAAATTATTACTCCCTCAACAAGTTTAAAGCCTAGAAGATTTTATTATCAATCTATCTGAACTTTTAATGATCAGGTAATTCCATACAATAGACACTTATTCCACAATACTACTACTATTAATAAGAGTGAATACTCCAGCCACTGATGCATTTAATCCTCACAATAATCCAATGATATAGATACCATTACTACATCCATTTTACACAAGACGAAACTGAGGCACAAACAGGTTAGGTACTTTGCCCAGAGCTAGCCGCACAGCTAGGAAGTAGTAGAGCTGAGACCTGAATGAAGGCCATGCTCTTACCTCCTCTTATAAACCACCATTCACAAAGAAAGGCCAAAGCTTTTGTCTAAGAATTCAAAATAGCCCTGATAACAAAACCTTCATATATTAAATATTTTTCTGCCTTTTTCCATAATCAGAAACATTTTAAATAATCGAATACTTGCATAGCACTTTCTATGTGCCAGGCACTGTTCTAAGCAAGCTACAAATGTGACTGTACTTCATCCTCATTACAATCTTATGAGGGAGGTATACTATCATCATCCTCCTGGATAGACAGATAAAGAAACAGAAACACTCAGAGGTATGTGATGACATGTCTAAGATCACACAGCAGCAGGTGGCAGAGCAGAGATTCCAACTCTGACCATTTATAGGCTTTGTACACCGTGCTACATAAACACCATAAGGGGTGCTGAAGACAGCACTGACTATAACTTTTAAATTAATCATAAATGGTTGCTTTATGAAAATCAGATATGGAAATCAAAGCATCACTTATGAAATAGGTCACTGCAAGCAAACAGCCATCAGGTGCCATTCTCAAATCTTATAGTAATCTAAACAAAACTATTTACATGAAAAGCAAAGTCCCCAGGGACAATCAAAATCATAATCAGACTGACATTTTCTTATAAAAAATAAATAATTATTGTTATATTTGATTTATAAATACCATCTATACTATGACTAACAGTTATTACAACTTCATTGCTTAATTAAACCACTCGCTCTGTAGCTCAGACTAGAGTGCAATGGTGTGATCTTGGTTCACTGCAACCTCTGCCTCCGAGGTTCAATTGATTCTCCTGCCTCAGCCTCCCGAGTAGCTGGGACTACAGGCATGTGCCACCACACCTGGTTAATTTTTGTATTTTTAGTAGAGATGGGGTTTCACCGTGTTGGCCAGGCTGGTCTCAAACTCCTGACCTCAGGTGATCTGCCTGCCTTGGCCTCCCAAAGCAATATATTTTTAACAAAGATGTAGGACAAATTATTTCCTCCAATACAACTTAAAACATTGTTCAAGGAATTTTTTTTTTCATTTTGTGATATTAGATTAAGACAATATTCTATCTGGATTTCAAAACACATTCTGAATTGCGTTTTAAACACAGGAAGCAAATGATATCAACAATACTAAAGAAAATGTGTGACAAGGTCCTAAGAGAATGTCTTACCAAACTTTATGTACAATATTGTACCAATATGTGAGACTGTTAATACAGACCATAAATGAATCCATATAAAAAATTACATACTATATTGATACTAAACAATAAACTTTTGCTGCCTGCAAAAAAGAATAAGTTAACCAAACTTAAAGTTCATCTTTTGCAGCCATAAAAAAGAATGAGATCATGTCTTCTGCGGGAACATGGATGGAGCTGGAGGCTATTACTCTCAGCAAACTAATGCAGGAACAGAAAAAAAAGTACTGCATGCTCTCACTTACACATGGGAGCTAAATGATGAGAACCTACAAACACGAAGAAGGAAAGGACAGACACTGGAGTCTACTTGCCAGGGGAGGCCAGGAGGAGGCAGAGGATCAGAAAAGGTAACTATCAGGTACTGGGCTTAATTCGTGGGTGATGAAATAATCTGTATAACAAACCCTCATGACACGAGTTTACCTATGTAACAAACCTTCACATGTATCCCTGAACCTAAAATAAAACAATAAAAATAAAAAATAAAATTCATTTTTAACATAAAAGAGACTGTTGTATTCCAGTTAAGGCTTTGATTGTTTCATATTAGCAGTAATACACATTAGTAATATGAGAATTATTATGGCTACCTCTGGCTTCATGTGATGTTCTCATTTCACTTTCTGTTCTCTCTTCAAAGTCTTCTTTGACATCATCAGCATGCTGGTCTCTAAGAAAAACAGGCATTTCAATATTTTATAAGAGAAACATTTTAAAAAAATGGTTCAGAACTACATCTCAACAAGTGCTTTTCCTAATTTTAAACCAAAGGATGCTACTAAAGTGTTAGAAAGGATATATAGTTCTCCTACAAGGCAATTAATTAATAACACCTATAAATGCCCATTTTCCTCATTATCAATTTTCATTTCCTATTCAGGAAGAAGATTTAAAGCTAAAGATAATAAAATGAACTATTCTGGAAAATGTAGCTATTGAATAATTCAACTACAATTTGGGACATGTATTCATGTGGAATTTTACTTACACAGTTTGGTAAGACTTCTATTTAAAGAAAGAAGACGTTTTGGAAGTCCACACCATTGAACTAAATCACTATATACGACTCAGCACTGGGATTTGGATGGAGGCTAAGACTGGCTTGGGGGAATCAATCCCAATTCTAGGAAGCTTTTCCTGGCTTAATCAGGTCAAGTCCACCCGCTGAAGTGATTTCACCTCTTTCTGACCAGGAGTAACCTAATGCTAAACTAAACATGCCAGAGATGCTCCAAAATGGAATAGATCCATTACAGTCTTAATTCAGAGCTTTTCTCCTTATGTCAAGGGCAAAAACGGGTTTGTTTGTTTTTTTAAAAAAAGGAACTACTTTTCTTACGTTTCAGGGACTTAAAATTTTTCAACCTAATGTATTCCATTCTCAGGGTTCACAATAAACCCCATTTTGCAATTTCTTCTATCCAGAATATGCTATCTGGCCTACACACTTTAGTGCTTTATAGTATTCTGTGTTTATGATGTGCTACTGTTTCATACATGCTGTTACCGTTACAAATATACGTGAGTTTCTTAAAGATCCAGAGCATACTTCTGTTAAGTTTTAATAACGGGGCAAATACATTTGAAACAAAATATCCCAACAAATATAAAAGGAGTTCTATAGTTTTAATTACAAAGGCACTAATTGAGTCTCCATTTGAAAATATAATAATTAACACAATGACACTAACACAGTAAGCATGCAATAAATACATGTTTTCTATTTTTACTGCTATTTTTAAATTATGTATTGTTTATTTGTGATTATCCTGTGAGGAGATACTATTTTTAAGAAAGATCATTTCCAGGAGCAAATGCAAAATTTCATTTGAATCTGAACTCCCCGGCTTAGTTCATGCTAAAGACAACTTGCTACAACTGCTGAAGTATACTTGCTCTTTTGAAAATGGGGGAGAATCATTATTTTTTTTTCCAAGAGAAATCAATTAAATGGCAACAGGGTCTCTTATTCCACAGAAAGTAGAAGGATGAAGCTACGGTAAAAACAAATGTAAGAGTATCACTGATAACTGGAGAAAGAACATTAGTTGAAGTATTGATAAAAATTGTGTTTTCTATGTAAAAATAATGCTGCAGCTATGCTTGGTAATTACAACATGTTAAAATTAGCTTACCATGCTAAAATTAACTTCTATGAACTTCCAAATTTGTTTTATATTAAATTGGAAATAATATTGAGTGCACAAATTCTATCCCAGAAAGTATTGTGGTCAACAAATAGTTTGTAGATGGCTATATCAATTATTATTAAAAACCATACACTACAGTCATATAACTTAAAATTGGCATTTCCCAAATAAAGCAAATTTCCAATTATTGTGGCTTTTCTAGAAGCTCTGATGAGTAGTTGATATTTTTTTTTTAAATAGAGAGAGAAACACCATGAGTCCAAAAGCTAAAAAGTCAAAATTTTCTGTATATTTCAGTTTTCAGGATCACAATTATCCACCAATAATCAGCAGTTACCCTTTTGTGGATTTATTAAAGTATACTATTCCTTTAAAATAAGCTTTGTTAAAATAAAGATAGAAGACTTGAGCTATGAAAAAAGTTCCCTTGTTTTCTTATGCCTGAATACAATGACAATTACTTATTTTCTGAACTCCAAGAAAAAGATCACTTTCCAAGAGGGAACAGAGATAGAATAAGAAAGTAAAATCTTTGACCCAAAAAATTTCCTCATACCTGGATCTGACATAACCTATCCCAAAAGAGAAGCAGAATGGAAGCTATGTAGTCTTACATAATTTATGTTGCTTCATTATAGAAGCATGTTCAGTTTTCACTGTCCCAGTTTTAACTCATGACACTTCATTAAATTGGACCCATACAAACCTGGGAATATATAAACACAGATATGTATTTTTACCAAACATGAAGAACTCCACAAAAAATGTTTATTGAATGTTTTATTTCAGGTTAATGTATTGATTCTGCAAATTCCTTCAAATTAAAAGCGCCTATACCCCTGAGGTTCTATGTGCTGTTTCCTTTAGCTAGAGAGTGGAAAGGTGGAAGACGGGGTCAATCTGCACAGTCTCTTAGAACAGGCATTATGAAACAGATGGGTGAATAGAACCACTGGAGCGAGCAGAATCTTAATCGAGCACATCCAGACATGTGGAAACAGTTAATATTAATAAGAAAAGTTCACTTCTTAAGAACACAGTATGAGCCAAAGACTGACTGAGCTTTTTACATGCCCCATATTTTATAACACGCCTTGAAGGAAGGTTTATTACTATAGCCACAGAAATGTAGAGAAGTTAAGACTAAATTCACAGGGCGAGTATAGCACCCGTTCTTCTTGACACCAAAATCTGCAATTGGATTCAATCGTCTTTTATTTTTACACTTGTGTTTTTCTAAAATAAAGTATGATATATGAAGTTAAGGGAAACATGCTTTTTGTGCCATAAACTTATTCTCCAAATTGTCTTTCATTGATAAGGTCAGGAATGAAGAGACTGACTCTGTATTCTCATTTGTTTTACATTTTATTTAAAATAAAAATTGAGGCCAGGCACAGTGGCTCATGCTTCTAATAACAACACTTTGGGAGACTGAGGCGGGAGGATTGCTTGAGTCCAGGAATTCGAGGCCAGCCTGAGAAACACAGTGAGACTGTGTCTCCACAAAAAAAAAAAAAAAAAAAAAAAAAAAAGTCAGGCGTGCTGGCATGCGCCTGTAGTCCCAGCTACTTGGGAAGCTGAGGCAGGTGGGTCACTTTAGCCTTGGAGGACAAAGCTGCGGTGAGCCATGATTGCACCACTGCACTTCAGCCTCGGTGACAAAGTGAGACTGTGTCTCAGAAAGAAAAAAACAAGAAAAATTGTTTATTCAATTGGACAACCATTATTTCTCTCTACTATAAGGTAGAATTTCATTACGCAAATTCTGGCTGAATATGCACTGTGATGAATCTTTCTCTACACAAAAATGAAATCCTTGTTCTAGAATTTCAACTTCCTAAGCAAAATGTTATTTTAGCTACATAGTCTTCCAATTACAGACAAAATATGATTATATCAGAATGCCAAAACTCTGGGATAATGTTACAGTACACTCTGGAGCAGAGTAAAAGATATGCTTCTTGACAGATTTGCGGCATTATTCACAATAGCAAAGACTTGGAACCAACCCAAATGTCCAACAATGATAGACTGGATTAAGAAAATGTGGCACATATACACCATGGAATACTATGCAGCCATAAAAAATGATGAGTTCGTGTCCTTTGTAGGGACATGGATGAAATTGGAAATCATCATTCTCAGTAAACTATCACAAGAACAAAAAACCAAACACGGCATATTCTCACTCATAGGTGGGAATTGAACAATGAGATCACATGGACACAGGAAGGGGAATATCACACTCTGGGGACTGTGGTGGGGTGGGGGGAGGGGGGAGGGATAGCATTGGGAGATATACCTAATGCTAGATGACGAGTTAGTGGGTGCAGCGCACCAGCATGGCACATGTATACATATGTAACTAACCTGCACAATGTGCACATGTACCCTAAAACTTAAAGTATAATAAAAAAATAAAAAAATAAATAAATAAATAAATAAAAAATAAGAGGAAAAAAAAATAAAAAAAATAAAAATGACAACCAGAAATATTTTCATGCTATATTTTAATACCACAATTATTGTCAACCTAAACATTTCCTGACCTGCTTTCCTTGATCAACATTTTTCATTATCAACAATTTCGTTTCAAAAGAGGGTACAAGCTGCTTAGGCGCAAGTGTGCGATTTTTTTTTTTTAAGAGATAGATCTCACTCCACTGTCCAGGCTGGAGTGCAGTGGTGCCATCATTAGCTCACTGTAACCTCAAACTCATGCTCAAGTGCTTCTCCAGCCTCAGCCTCCCAAGTAGCTGAAACTACAGGCATGCGCTACCATGCCTGGCTAATTTTTAATTTTTTTGTAGAAACAGCGTGTCACTATGTTGCTCAGGGCTGGTCTGAATTTCTGGCTTCAAGCAATCCTCCTGCCTCACCCTCTCAAAGCATTGAGATTACCCACACTGCAGCTGGGTGCATGAATCTTAACATGGAGGAAGCAGCCCAGCAATAGTGGTTACACATATGATCTTAGGAAGTGAAGAGATCTGGTTTAAATTTCAGTTCTGCTACTCACTAGGTTTACACGACCATCAGCAAATTACTTAATTTGTCTAATTCTCAGTTACATCATTGGTAAAACAAGGATAATAAATCCTTTACGTCAGAGGGGCATGTTAAGAATGAAATAAAATAATGTATAGAAAGCACTTAGCACAGAGCCAGGCACTTAAGTAGGAGCATGATGCACAGCAGCTATTCCTAGTTATAAATTACTTATATTGTAGGATAAAATTATCTACTGACACCTGTTGTCTTTAACTAACCTTTCTTCAACTATTAAAATAGCTTTTAGAGTAATGGTTCCAAGCACAGACTACAGTCAGACTGTCTGGGTTATAACCCAGGTCTGCTACGGACTAGCTATGTGGCCTCTAACCAAAGGAGGTTCCATGTTTGTAGAATGAAGGTGTGATGATAGCAACTACACCACATAAGGTATCATGAAGATTAAATGCACCCACATAGGTAAAAGCACCTAAAAAAAAGTGCATGGAAAACAGCAATTTCTCTTGGAATTTCAGAATTTTCAAGAAGCCATTTACTGCAATATTTCTTTAGTTGCAATTCAATACAATTCAATTCAATTCAATACATTTCAGTTGTATTGAATGGAAATACAATCATAGTGAAATCTTACTCAAGAATACTTTTGGTTTTTAATAAAGACAGTGGAATCCACTTGAATGGAAAAATGTATTCTTTATGACTCAGTATTTTCTTTTTCTCTGTAATTATGTGTCACTTTTTAGAGGTCTTACTGTCTTAATCTAATTATGCTTTGTGATAAATATTAGTAAAACAGACATTAGAATGGTAAATGCATAGGATGGCAGTTGAATATGTGCAGCTGTATTTCTTCAAGTCTGTTTGTCATATAAAAACAATTTCTAACCAATTACGTTTCAATTAGTTCCAGTCTGTTAAAAAATATTGAAAAACAAATTATTTTGCCCCAATTTAGGGATTTATCGATTTCCGCCACCTCTTTAAGTCCAGCAGGAAAGGAGGCAGATGCAGATTGCCATGTAGATTGAAATATTTGCCAACCAGGTTAGGAAGCTCGGATTGACAGTTATTGCTGGCCCAGCATCAGAGACATGGCTACCTTGCGGCAGCTCAAGTGTGAAAGTTCACTCCTTAGTTTGGCTTGGTTTAAAATAACGCCACCCTTCTCTTTTCAAAATAGCTTATTCTAGTCTCATGGGGCCTTTGCAGAACTGAAAGAGACTTGTACTTCCCCAGTAACAAGCGGGGAAGATGACTACCAGAGAGCTCTAAAAAATGTAGTTTTTCTGTTTTGGCCATCAAAAGAATGTCTCTTTGCATGCTCCCAGCATTTTTTTTTTTTTTAAGTTTCTGAGCTGTGACTTACTCGCAGGTAAAAACATAAGGGAATGAGAATCTCCACATTCTCTAAAGAAAGTTTAAAAGAATACTTGAACTGCCTCCAAAATGCCTCGTACAAATGAAGAGCGACTGTACTTGAGGAGCTTCAGGTCAAGGAGATCACCACCTTCGAAGGGATTCAGAAAAAGATGGCAAATAAAACCAGTGGGACTTGGGACTAAAACTTCTGCAACTATGAGTAACATTCAAATAAAGAGTTTTTAAAATTAAATTCCTTTTGAGATGATACAACAGCAACGGTTTTACTGAATTATGTTTTCATAAACATCACCCAGGAGAGGTAAACATGGTTTACTGTGTATCTAATGAATAAAAACATTTTGGTTAACAGGCCTATTTAATTATAATTTAGCATAAGGACCATACGCTAGTGAAAGAATACAATAAAAGGAATATAATGAATAAATGAGGTGGGTATTACCAAGATAACAAGGAAAAACCCTCCAGAAAAACTCAGCAATTAATCCTCTTATTAAATGAAAAGCCTTAACGAATAAGGTGAGGTTTGGGAAATAAAGATGATGTCTCTTAAGAGTGAGACTCTATTACTTTGTTGTTGTTGTTGTGGAAAAGAGAACAGATGTCACCGCTTTTCTACTCTACAGAAAAGGGTTTCCTGAGTCAGAAATTGGTGATATTCAAGGAGATAGAGTAAGATCCTGTTACAATATTGTTCCAACAACTTCACAGGCATATAGCAATAACACAGTCATCTTATCCCTGCACTTTGAATGGCTGCCTTGGTGTCACAGTGGTTGGCATCAGAACTGTGAGTGTTTTAACTAAACACTAAGCTACTCTTTGGGGTACATAAACAACTACACAGATTTAACTCAAGTTCTCAAGAGCTAGAATAGGAAAACACTTCCAGAGCTCCTAATTCATACCTGGAAGCCCATCAACAAAAAGGGAGAAGAGGTTTTACAATAGCCAGAGAATGCCTAGTCATTGAAATTACTTTCGCCGATATTCAACATGAAGCTCTCGGCCCAGAAGACCTCATGGGGCAAAAAACCAACTTCCCAAGGTTTACTAATTAACTTTTGTAATCTTTTAGAATGGTTGGCTCTAAATTGATTTTATTCTATTTGATGTGATAGTTTTGCAAAGCAAATAGATTTATATATGCTTTTAGCTTCATACTTTATGTTAGCTTGCTTTCCTATCTGTTTAACAGGGTACAGACTCGGCTTTCGGTGTGACTAGCAAAATTGGATTCGTGCTAAAAATATAAACCAGATTGATGTCTGCAATTCTTGCAACCGCTCTATGTAGTTCTCATAGTGGAAACACTGGTCTTACAACTTGAGAAGCCATTTTAATGGCCTATAATGAACTGAACAGACTGATTTCTGCCATTAGACCAGTTAAGCAGTGGGCATTTGCCTTGCAAGGTAATCTAAGCATTTGGCAGGCATTTTAAAGCTGCTTTATTGTGTTTCTGTGGCTGATGTTTAGCAGGCTTAAACAACATGGGAGCTCAAAACATTAAGTGATTTTTAATAGAGATAGTACCTAATTTAGAACACAATTATAAGCAGCTATAGAATAGATTTCATGAGAACAAGGCTATGTGGGATGGATGCCCGATGTTTCCCAACTAATAACACATTGTGAAGTATTACCCCTGAAAAGGGTGTTTTCATTCAGTAGTGATTCCCAAAGCCTGATTTATAGACTACTTGCATCTGTCACCTGGGAGGGCTGGTTAAAAAATGAAGATTCCTGTGCCTTCATTTTTATGAACACAAGAATTCCATTTCCTGAATGAGTACCTCCGGGAGCAGTGCCTCAAAAGCCACATTTTTAACAAGCATCTCAAATGATTCTGGTGCAAATCAAAGTTTGAGACCCACAGTTTTATTAAGACATACAGAGAAACACATATATTGTTTCACTCAGCTGTAGATATGCAGAGATTTAAGTTATCAGTCCCCAGGAAAAGCTACTCCACTCACTGGTAGAGCCCATGCCTCAACATCTTGCCTCTAGGAGCAGCGTGAGGGCAGAGATGAGCTGCCACTGTCCACAGTGAGGAAAGCATCTTTTCACAGCAAGCACTGGCACAAAAGACACTCCTCATACTTCTGATGAATAAATGGATCACTGGGATAGGATTGCATACTCACATTTCTGTCTATAAGGACCACGTACTCACATTTCTATCTAGAGGCACTGGGACTTCCCTTCACTCACACCCATTTGACAAGTCTCTGTAGGAAAAGAGATCCAAGCATTCGGCATACCAGGTGGATTCAGGGTGGGACCGTCTTAATATGGGGCAGAGCTTCCCGATGAGGATGCCCTGAATCCTAGGGTACAAATGTTCTGAGATACTGATCCCCACAGCCCGCTGCATCCCTCTCTGGTGACTGGTAGGCAGCCTCATCCATTTCTTTGGTGTTCGACACAAACATTGTCATTTCTGTGGTATCATTTTCTATGTGGGCCAGGAAACTAAACAACAACAGTTTGGGACATACCACTCTAATTAATGAGAGAGTGCAGGTATGTTTTTGGGGAATTTATCTCAACATTTAATAATCACTCCTTACATATCTGGAATGGTGATCTCACAGTTCAAAGTGTAGGAGTTTTAACTGAACAGAAATGTTATACAGCTATTGCCTCTTAGGTTACATAACTGATAGCTGTCCATGGAAGACAGATGGATGGTTCGAGGTCACTACTGCACGCAAGGGAGTGTGCTCAGGTTAGGGCAACTCGGAGAGTAAGAAAAGACATGGCCCCTGCCTTTATGGAGCACATCATCAAGCAAAGTACACAGAGGTGTTTACCCAAGAACGTCAACAGCATTGGGACGTGAGATGAGAAAGCATGTAATGAAGGACTTGGTCCAAAATCTGGATGATCAGATAAAGCTTCCCTGAGGAAAGGAGAGTGAATCTGACACCCCAAAGATGAGAGATTAGCTAGGAGATGGCACAGAGAGGATCTAGACAGAGGGAAAGGAGGTATCTCAGGACAGGGTGGCTGAAGCATAGGTTGAAAAAAGAGCCTGCAGAGACAAAGCAGGAGTTAGGCAGGGGCCAGATGACACAAGGCTTTGTAGGCCATGCTGAGAATTAGGGTCTTAATTCCAAGAATAACGGGAAGTCATTGAGTTTTGAGCAGGGGGACAGACACTCACATAAATATTTGAGTCTGGACTCCAAAGCTCTAGCCTGGCAGAATGTGGTGGGCTAAGATAGGACCTCAAATCTGAGTTTTAAGGAAGTCCCAGGGGATCTGATATGAAGCCAAATTTGGGAATGAGTGTGATGGAACATTAGCTGCCCATGGCTCTATTCTGAGCAGGTGACCTTTAAAATAATGTTATGACAGGAAAAGGACATTCATTCCTCACACTGTTAACTTATGCTAGTCCTATTACAAATAAGCTCTGAATCAAAAGCAACGTCAGCACATCACTCATTCTGGGGACTGCCTGGCATCTGGAATAGGCATTGGGTTGATGCCACAGCCCACAGCTTCACTTCAGCACACACCAGCCTGATCCACCTGTCTCACCTGCGCTGATTTCCTGCAGGACTTCCCTGGGCTCTGGCTGCTTGGCCTGCTGTGTGGCAGGGAGGATGTGCTGGGGAATTAACATGTACAGCCTCACTCTGGTTCAAGGAAATTGGTGTTTCAGTAGTTCAGCTCCCTCATCCCTATGGTGGGCTAACTCTGAGATATGCAATTTACAAGAAATTCCAGAGTTTTCCCAGCAGGTCTGTGTTCCTGCTGTCCATGGTGGTAACCAGCGTGACAACTAAGCTTTTTCTGGCTGTCTGCCCTTCCCTGCATCACTTCCTTACTTGCCTACTGATATTTTCTTGACCTACTAAGTAAACTACTTGCAATTAAATCCTTGTCTCAGAGTTTGCTTCCAAGGATGCAAATTGTCTCTTGTGTGGCAAAGTGCATTAAAAAAAAATCATAATGTCTGGCAACCAAATTTTAGTAAATTCTTAAGAAAAATGCAAAGAAAATTTGTTAAAATCTGAGTGGGAAATTACATCCAGGTGAGTAATGTGATATTAAGGGAATCTCTTGCTTGAGCAATCTATTCAAAGCTTAACTTAAGAATAGCAAAGAAAACTAGGTATTGATGGAACATATCTCAAAATAATAAGAGCTATTTATGACAAACCCATAGCCAATATCATACTAAATGGGCAAAAGCTGGAAGCATTCCCTTTGAAAACCGGCACAAGACAAGGATGCCCTCTCTCATCACTCCTATTCAACATAGTATTGGAAGTTCTGGCCAGGGCAATCAGGCAAGAGAAAGAAATAAAGCATATTTAAATAGGAAGAGAGGAAGTCAAATTGTCTGTTTGTGGACGACATGATTGTATATTTAGAAAACCCCATCATCTCAGCCCAAAATCTCCTTAAGCTGATAAGCAACTTCAGCAAAGTCTCAGGATACAAAATCAATGTGCAAAAATCACAAGCATTCCTATACACCAATAATAGACAAACAGAGAGTCAAATCATGAGTGAACTCCCATTCACAATTGCTACAAAGAGAATAAAACACCTAGGAATAAAACTTAGAAGGGACGTGAAGGACCTCTTCAAGGCGAACTACAAACCACTGCTCAAGGAAATAAGAGAGGACACAAATGGACAACATTCCATGCTCATGGATAGGAAGAAACAATATCGTGAAAATGGCCATACTGCCCAAAGTAATTTATAGATTCAATGCTATTCCCATCAGGCCACCAGTGACTTTCTTCACAGAATTAGAAATAAACTACTTTAAACTTCATATGGAACCAAAGAAGAGTCCATATAGCCAAGACAATCCTAAGCAAAATGAACCAAGCTGGAGGCATCACACTACCTGACTTCAAACTATACTACAAGGCTACGGTAACCAAAACAGCATGGTACTGGTACCAAAACAGATATATAAACCAATGGAAGAGAACAGAGACCTCAGAAATAACACCACACATGTACAACTATCTAATCTTCGACAAACCTAACAAAAACAAGCAAGCGGGAAACGATTTTCTATTTAATAAATGGTGCTGGGAAAACTGGCTAGCCATATGCAGAAAACAGAAACTGGACTCCTTCCTTACACCTTATACAAAAATTAAACTAAGATGGATTAAAGACTTACATGTAAAACCCAAAACCCTAGAAGAAAACATAGGCAGTACCATTCAGGACATAGGCATGGGCAAAGACTTCATGACTAAAACACCAAAAGCAACTGCAACAAAAGCCAAAATTGACAAATGGGATCTAATCAAACTAAAGAGCTTCTGCACAGCAAAAGAAACTATCATCAGAGTAAGCAGGCAACCTACAGCATGGGAGAAAATTTTTGCAAGCTACCCATCTGACAAAGGTCTAAGATCCAGAATCTATAAGGAACTTAAACAAATTTACAAGAAAAAAACAAACAACCCCATCAAAAAGTGGGTAAAGGATATGAATAGACACTTCTCAAACGAAGACATTTTGTGGCCAACAAACATGTGAAAACAAGCTCATCATCACTGGTCATTAGATAAATGCAAATCAAAACCACAATGAGATACCATCTCATGCCAGTTAGAATGGTGATTATCAAAAAGTCACGAAACAACAGATGCTGGAGAGGATGTGGAGAAATAGGAACACTTTTACACTGTTGGTGGGAGTGTAAATTAGCTCAATCATTATAGAAGACACTGTGGCAATTCCTCAAGGATCTAGAACCAGAAATACCATTTGACCCAGCAATCCCATTACTGGATATATACCCAAAGTATTATAAATCATGCTACTATAAAGACACATGAACACATATGTTTACTGCAGCACTATTTACAATAGCAAAGACTTGGAACCAATCCAAATGCCCATCAATCATAGACTGGATAAAGAAAATGTGACACACATACACCATGAAATGCTATGCAGCCATAAAAAAGAATGAGTTCATGTCCTTTGCAGGGACATGGATGAAGCTGGAAGCCATCATTCTCAGCATACTAACAAAGGAACAGAAAACCAAACACCACACGTTCTCACTCATAAGTGGGAGCTGAACAATGAAAACACACGGAAACAGGGAGGGGAACATCACACACGGGGGCCTGTCAGCGGGGGACAGGGGCAAGGGGAGGGAGAGCATTAGCACAAATAGTTAAGGCATGTGGGGCTTAAAACTTAGGAGATAGGTTGATAGGTGCAGCAAACTACCATGGCACATGTATACCTATGTAACAAACCTGCACATTCTGCACATGTACCCTACAACTTAAAGTAAAATAAAAATAAATAAATAAATACCAAATAAAATAAAATCCTCCCCCCACCAAAAAAAAAATATAGTAAACAAATGGTCCAGCCATTCATTTGCTCCTAAGGAATAAAAGACATATAATGAAACAAAGTAATCTATTTCTCTTTCAACAACACTAATAAAAACTAACATTTGGCCGGGGACATTGGCTGATGCCTGTAATCCCAGCAATTTGGGAGGCCGAGGCAACAGATCAGGAAGTCAGGAGATTGAGACCATCCTGGCTAACATGGTAAAACTCCGTCTCCACTAAAAACACAAAAAATTAGCTGGGCGTGGTGGCACACGCCTGTAATCCCAGCTACTCGGGAGGCTGAGGCAGGCGAATCCCTTGAACCTGGGAGGCGGAGGTTGCAGTGAGCCAAGATCACGCCACTGCACTCCAGCCTGGGTGACAGAGCAAGACTCCATCTAAAAAAAAAAAAAAAAAAAAAACAAAAAAAAAACCACCTAACATTTATTGAGGGCTTATGACTTATTAATCACTATTCCAAGAGCTTCATATTTGCATTTTTCATCTCATGTAATCCTCATAAATTATGAGATTCAAAGTGAAGAGCTATTGAGTAATTCATCAAAGATCATAAACCTAGCAAGTAGGGAAGCCGAGATTTAAATCCAAGCAGTGCCCCATGTTCCTAATCACCACATTCTGCTGCTCTTTTCTGGAGGAACAGAAAACACCATGGTGTTGCTCTTGCTGTGCTGGGCTTCAACCACTCACTCATTTGTTCCTTGGGCCTGCATCAAAGACAGAACTAATCTTCAGAGCTACATTAAGAGCTTAGATGGCCATGCATGCAGAACAATGGCAAAAAGCCAAGTGTTAAAGTTGCATGGGAGGAAAAAAACCCCTAAGAGAGTTTAGTTGCATCAACTTTCTACCTCCAAAGTTTTAGTGTCTCTCACTGGTTTATGTACCTTAAACTATAACTAAGACAGTACTAAACAGAAAAAAGGTTGGCATCACTGACAGCATTTGCTCAGGAAGATAACATTTGAGGAAAATTGCCAGAAGAAACAAGAACCATGCTTGTATAATGTATGGGACACCAAGTATAGCACCTAGAAAATGCTTAACAAATGTTTTTTTAATATATCAGTATTTATTGTCATTTAGTTTTACTTTTATAGACACTTTACAGGAATTATAGAAGCTTCAATGAAGATGAGATTACTTGCTACCTCTAGGTTTTAAGGCATTAAATTCTTTTTAGTTAAACAGAAAGCTCAGGATCCTCATAACCTTTTTTATTTTTCAACCTCTTTGTATACTGCTGATTTATCCAAGGTGGAACTGACTTACTGCATCCTGGTTATGTGGGAAGAAGAAAGAAAAAATATAAAACTCTAAATAAATAGTTAGAAAGTCTAAGTTGTAGCTCTTTTACATTTCCTACATATTAAAACTGTAGTTTTGGCCAAACCTGGTACAGAAAGTGAGTGAGTCAAGAAGATACAGTTCAACCTATGAACACCTCTACAGAGCACTCACCTCTGAACCCTTAAGAAAAAGACTCCAGGGTGTCTAGGGAGAGGTATCAAGTCATGACACTAGGACAAATTGGGTCCTACCACTGCTTCTCACTCCTGGCTGATCTCAGGCCAGAGGATGGTCATTGCTACTCTGCCAGTATCTTCTCAAGGGTTAGACATGGACACCTCTGATCATTTTCACAATAATCAAATGGGACACTTTGACATGATTAAGACACATGCATACACACAATTCAAAACATAAGATTACTAGTAATGTGGCATGCTCAGGATTTTCCTGAAAAGGAGGAAACCCATTGGGAAATGAGTGGAAGGGCATTTCTTTACCTCTTAAAGATATGTTTCCAGCCTTGGGTTACACTCAAAGTTAAGGTTTATAAGAGACCAACAGGAAGGGAGAAGGGCTCTTTGACCTCTTGGAAAAAATGTGAGTCAGGATGGAAGATGGGGAGCTTTGGAAGGGGAGGAGATGATTAGGAGAAGAATTCTAAGACCAGCGTTGCTGCATACCTCAATGGTAATCAAACTTCCTACCACTAACACCTTCTGAGTGGAGCCATTTCAGCAGATCACTAGCTCACAGGCTGCTTCGGACATTTTCATTTCTTGCTTGATTCCCAGGGCCGCAAAAAGGGGAAGTGGCAGAAAGGGAGGCTCAACTGACAAACTAAAGTACTGCTTTGCACATATACAGTGATATAGAGCAAGGACATACATTTCATTTTATTTTTGACAGTGGAGGTGACAATCCTAAGTGAGTCAATTCAAGGTCTCAGTGAGTAAAGGCTTTCATTGAAACCCCAGAGAGAGGATGGGAACTTTCAAACCCACTCATTTTTGCAGAAAAGTTACAAAAACAGTGAAAAGACAAGGAAAAGTAATGGCAGGTCAGACCTCATTGACTCAAAAGATGGTATGCCAAGTACTTGCACAGACATTATTTCATTTAATTATTAATAGGTAATAATTATTAGGTAATCAATAATTAGGTTTTAATAGGTAGTAATTACTAATGATAAGTATTAATAGGCATAGGCAAAAATATCATTTTAAAAATATTTAGACATGAAATATGTGCAATGGGTTATAAATAGAAAACTTTAAAATGTCTGAGATTGTTTCCTTGATCACAAATGCTGACCATGAGGAAGGCCCAGGACCACACGTGAACAGAAGACAGAACACCGAAACGGTTAGACTCATTATAAAGATTACTCTACTCTTATATGGATTTACAGCCAAAAAGGAATCCACAAAATCATCCAAACTAACCACTTCTTTGCTCTGTGAGAAGACTTTGGCTCCAGGTATTTGGACCAAGCAACCAGACAATTATTGAAAAACCTACAACAGGCACTACCAACCCTTCTGAGTATTCTGTTGATACTTTTTAAACAATAAACAATTTTTAAATTTTTTAAAACCAATTTTGAAATCTAAAGCGTATTCTTACCACCGTTTTAGTCAATGAACCCTGTATCTATAATCATGTCTACATGAGTTAATAACCGTTATATGTTTTAAAGTTAATTTTTTTTTTTTTTTTTTGAGACAGGGTCTCACTCTGTCACCCAGGCTGAAGTGCAGTGTCATGATCCTGGCTCACTGCAGCCTCGACCTCCCAGGCTCAAATGATCCTGGTAAATTTTTTCAAGTGACCCTCATTTTTGGATGCTGGGATTTGGTAAATGAGTTTATGTTATCAGTCGTGGTTTTAAGGATTTAAAAAACCATCACTGTTGTTAATACCAGAAGAAGTTGTAGGTGTCCCCTACTCCATCCAAAGGGTAAACTGCTTCTCTATAAAGAAAACAATCCTTTAGTTTAAATGCCATTACTCCTATGACAATGCATTGATTTAAATGCCCACTAGGTTCATCCAGAATAACGGAAATTATAAAATATAAAAATAAACTAGGTAGCCTTAGGTTTTAAAGTAATTCATAAAAGAGAAAGCCAAAACCTAAGTATTAAGAAATGTCTTTTTCCTAATCTGTTCTTTCTTTTAATAGCATCCTCAGTTAATATCAGGGAATGGATCACTTGCTTAAAGATGTATCAGTTTGGTTCTTCACTTAATAAACCACTGGGGTTAAACATTCCAACTCAAGTAAAAACTAAATGACTGGGCTTATAAAACAATTAACATATTAATAATTAAATGAAATAATGTATATGCAAGTACTTGGCATATAATGAGCACTAAAAGAAATAATGTCCATTCTTCACCAGTCCACTACTTTACTGATAAAGGTTGACTCTATGTAAGTATTGATCAATTCATGCAGAAATATTAACTGGTATGCAGTAAAATGACTGGAATTTCCAAATTCCTACCTCTAACACCAAGCAAATTAAAAAAAAAAAATGAGTCAGAGAAAAATCCTGCCTGATTTGGACATGCTTTTATCAATTCTCTAATTTTTTTTTTTTAAGTTCAAGTACTGATCTCTACCATCATTTCACATTAAGTCAGGTGTATTTTCAACAATCTCCAAGAAAACATTGCTATAGGAAATAAAATATCTAAAAGATAAAAAATCTCTTTAAATTAGAGTACTTCTAAACAATGCTAATATTAGCTCTTTGATTACCTGATTTCAGGGGAAGAAGAGCTTTCATTTGCATCTGTCCTTTTATTTCTTGGAAATGACGGACTAGCCGGAGGCATCTCACCACTTAAGCGGTCTGGAAAAATACGGTCTTTATTCAAATTGATTTCTGAATAGGGACAGTTGGCAGCACTAACAGATTAAAAGAAAAGAAAAAAAAAAGAACATTGAACATTTCCATTAGGCCATACTTCTTCCAATTAAAATGACAGGATACAGAATATAAAATTCTAAAATTTAACTGAATATGTTATATTGTTATATTTTATAATCATACATACAGCATATTTTATCTTTAAAACATAACAAATATATACAAATAGGAAATAGGTTTTTACACTAGACTTTAAGAAGGAATCTGTTGCAATCTTCAGAACTGAGCAAGAGTCACTGAAGGATTACCTCTGTGCATATCTCTGGAAACAATCAGCCCCAAGAAAGAAATGCTTAAGACATCATTCAGGACAAAGGTGGGAGAGAGACTGATTGATTGGTTAATGGAGCAGATTTGCTTCTGCTTCCTAAGGGGATCCTCCAGGACCAGGGCAGTCACACGCTATTTAATTTCCTTTTTTAATAGTTATTACCCTCCAAAGGAAGGAGGTTTCCTCATGGGCTGTTCCCTGTGTTCAGGTCTGGACCTATGCCTGATGTTCTAGAAAATACATGGATCAATTTGTAGCTAATCTTGTTCATAAGATGAAAAAGGACCAGAGGCCAACTTGGATAATGATGCACAGAGCTCATTTCCCTTCCATTTGTGACTACCAGTTGGTCTCTCAGGTCTCATTTGGTGATCATTCCTGAAAGGAAATTGAGGTCACTCACTGTTAATTCACCATTAGTATACTCCTGTGCCCAGGTCTTCAGCATTCCAGTCTCTGAAACAACTGGGCAACTGCTGTATCTCAGACCCCAATATACATGGGCCTCCCCAAATAACTGCCTATCTTGCCTCTCTGCTTTTGGGAAGCATTCTTAAATCTGGAAATGGTTTGGGCCTTAGGTAAATTACATCAGAATCTTCTATGTTCTTTTCTTCAGTGTAGATGACAGTGAGAATGTTGATAATCACCCAGGGAAAATTTTTAAACAGTGTCTAGCTACCCTCTACCAAGAGAATCTGATACACCCTCCTAGGAAAAGGAGGGAAGAGTTAAAAGGGTTGCCAGGTGATTCTGATAATGGCCTATAAGATATATCACAGATATCTCATAAGCAAAAATTCTAACTTTATTTTCTTTAAATACTGCTAGTCTACACTGGTATCTATCCAAAAGAAGAAAGCAAATAACATCTGATCATGTGCTGACATAAATTTATATAATGTTAGCTTAACATCAACAAAAACAAAAACCAGTGACATTTATGGAGCACTTATGATATATCAAGCACTGTGCTAAGTGCTTTACATGCAATATTTTACTTTATCTTGCCAACATCCCAGAAAAAAGCATTTCATGCAACAAATTAAAGCTTACAACAGTTAAGTAACTTCAGTCTTTATTTCGTTCATTTATTCAAGAAGCACTTATCATGCATTTATTATGTGCTAATTACCTTTCCAGGCATTGGAAACTCAGTGGACAATAAAAAGACAAGAAAGCAGCTCTCTGGTTTCACGGAGCTGATATTCCAGGGGGAGATCGGCAGTACACAATTATACACATAAATTAGATAACTTCATATGGTGATAAACACCATGAAAAAGAAATACCATGATATAAAAGAGGGTGTGAGGATGCTATGACGGAGTGGTGAGGAAGGTCCTCCTTGGAGAAGAAGCACCCGAGCAGAGCTGTAATGGTCAGGAAGAAGATCCGTAGGGAAACAATGTGGGAAAGAATGTTCCAGGGGATGGGAGGAGCAGTGCCAACAGGAAAAGCTTGGTTTGTTTGAGGGAAAGAGAGACCAGGGTTGGCTAGAGTGTGATGGGGATGAGATGAACCGGGAGAAGCAGGCAGGCAAATATCATGTAGAGCCTAGCAGGCCAGTCAGGACTTTATATTTTTAGCAAACATTACATCTGAAGCTGATGGAAGATCTTCAAATAAGAGAATGACAAGGTTTGATTTACAATTTTAAGGATTACTCAGGATGCCTTTTGGAGAGAAGATTTTAAAGACAGAGAAGATTTCAAGGGACAGAACTGGAGCAAGAAAAGTTACTTAAAAGTTATTTCTCTTTTTGGAGAGAGGATTTTGAAAGCAGAGAAGATTCCAATGGGACAAAATTGAAGAAAGAAAAGTTGTTCAAGAGTAAAGGTATGACGTAACTTGGATTTGTGTGGTTGAGATGGGGCAAAAATGAAGAAGAGAGTCACAGTATCCTTTGTCATCCCAAGAAGACCTGTGGATGGATGGGAGATGGGAAGCAATGGAAAGGAAGAGTTCAGGAATGGCCATTTGGTTTTTGGCTTGAAGAACTTGGTGGTAACAGAGGTGCCTTTTTTTTTTCCCCCTGAGATAGAATGACTAAGGAGAAGATGATTTGGGGGTAATATCAGAAATTGTGGAATTTGTTTATTAGACATCCAAGCAGAGATGTTACTTGCCCAAGGTCACATAGCAATGAAGTAGCTCAGCAAAATGAACACACTATTTCACGCATCGCCATGAGCATGGGCAGACGGTAGTATTTCATTGTATTCATTTAGTAATAATGTGAAGGAAAATCCATTCCCAACTATGATGTCTCTTTATATGTTTCACGGGATCCTAATTCAGAGTTCATGGATGCAGGTGACCAAAACCAATTCTGCCTAACTTGAGCAGAAAACACTCACTGTAAGGGCATTTGACAGATCAACAGGAAGGCCAGAAAAATCAGGGTTGGGTAGGAAGCAGGGTACAAGCAACACACTCCCTCAAAACGATCTGCACAGGAGGAGGCTGCTGGGCATGTGGCCCTCACGCCACTGCTCTCAGTCCCCCTGCCCTTTCCAGGCCCTGGTGTAGTCCTCAGTTCCATGGAGGCTGCAATCGCAAGGTCTGACCTGCCTTCACCTCATTCCTCAAGATGGAAAGCCCGGATGGCAGCATCTGATTGGTGGGTGTGGGATTCCTGCCCACAATGAAACTGCCAAAGGCCTGAGAAAGGGAAGCCTCGGTCCCTTGTGGCTCCCTAGTAGGAGGTGTCAGACCTAACATCACCTTGACTTCAAGGAAAATACAAATGTTCACTAAACATTTCTACTCAGATGTCTCAGTGTCACCTCACAATAAATATGTTTAAAAACAACTTTATCACCTTTAACAAATCACGCCCCTCCACCCAAAAATGATTAAAAATTCACTCTCCCAAAAGATAAACACAACTAGTTCCTCCTACTGTTCCTGACTCTGTTTATGACAAAATAAATTTATTAACCCAACCTCAGGTCTTCACCATCTTTGACTCCACTCTATTATTTGTTCCTTATATTGTGTGTTTTTGTTGCAAATTTATCTACTTAAGCTTCGTGGCAGCAAAAAATAATAACAATTTAAGGACTTTTTTAGTTTCTCTAAATAAACTGTATGCAAGCTATTCCTCGAATATCATGACCAGCATTTCATTCATTGTTATACGCTTGGCCTTACAATTATTAAATAACTGTATATATATTAAAATTGAAATTTTACTGTATATGAAGAAAGTGACAGGTTCTCTTCTTTACCTCATCCACCTTCGACAATGGGAAGACTCGCAGGATTCTTAGATGGGCTGGGTCCCCAATTTAGCACTAATTACAGTTACAGTGTAGACAATTTATATTCTAAGCCCTAGGAGGGCAGCATCGTCACCTATTTGTTGAATAAATGAAAGAATATCTCTCTAAATCACCATATGTAAACTTGGATAGCTCAAGAGAGGGGTAAGACTGCAGCCATTATGACACTTACCATTTAAATATCTTTTTTTTTTTTTTTGAAAATAGATTGCTAGGACCAGAGAGTAATTTCAATTATAAAATCTCAACCTAAAGCAGGGAAAAACATTCAAAGCCCTCAAAGCAGTGATTTACTAATGATCTACCAAGGGTAGCCTATCAGCTATTGATTTTATGTTAACCTCCTTTCTCTGAACCCTGAGAAGAGTCAAAAGGGTCAACAAACCTCCCATTTTCACACCTACTCTGGGGTAAAGAGGAAAGCCAGCTGGCTCCTGAAGTGGGAGGTGATGACAAAATGGAACGCCACAAAATGCAAAAGGAGCTCAGGTGACTGGACATGCATGGAGGCGGACATCAGGGAGCCTGGTTCTGACCCTGCTCTGCTGCTTCATCCTCCACTCAATAATGAGCAAGCACAGGCTCCGAGATTCTGTTTCATCTGTAAAATGAGGATGGTAGTAACAAAACTGACCTCGGATTAAGTGCATTACCCAGGCCAAATGTTTACATTACCTATTTAATTCTCACAATCCTAAGAAGTAGTTCCTTTGGGGCTTAGACAGGGATGTTGTTTAGTGTCTTCAATCAGTTCCTGATGGAATTACATTAGGAACTGTGGCTATCTCTTAACCACTATACTATATGGGTGAATAGTACCCTTGCACATTGAAGAATTTCCTTATTCCTAACCCATGACAATGAACTTGATCTGAGAGTACCATCTTCTAGCAAGATGCCACTGCCTGCTGCCTGTACTCATAGAACTAACATGGATTGTGTGCTTAGGAAGTGTCAGGCACTGTTCCAAAATTAACTCCTTTACTTATCACACTATTCTTATTAAGCAGATACTATTGTCACCAATTTATTTTATAAATGAGGACACCGGCACAAAGAAGTTAAGTATTGGCTCAAGGTCACAGAGCTTTGTAAATAATCTTATCTGATGGCTTTAAAAACAAAAGCCAACCTATAGAACGTGGGTCAAGTATTTCACTATTTCATCTATTCCCATTAACCAGCCCTTGGAATAAAAATTAGGGTAAAATTCACAAGCAATTATGTTTTTGAGGAGTTGGAACGACTCCTGTGTCACTTCAAAGAACACAAGTGACATATGTGATCTGCATCATGTTAGAAATGTTGCTTTTTCTGTTCCATATTTGTTCTGTTATGTACAGATACAAAATTGTTAACTTCTAAAACTGCATATGAACTTTAAAAAACTCACCAGTGCTAATTAAACATCTATGGAAAAAGTTGGTTCTCACTAGGCTTATAGACTTCTAATTTCTCACGTACTAAGTTTCTAGTGACAAAACTTTAATAAGGTGTGGCTTACCACATAACGTGTGTATGTTCTGTCATGGTTAGACACGTGCACATGTATATGTACAACTCTTTACTATTATGCAACTCCTCAGCAAGCAGAAGAACAGAGTCCCATAGGATGATACTGTTCTCTACTCTAAGTACTTTATTGAGGTGCATCCTACACTATTAGCATATTATTTCACATATCAGCTAAATATGCAAATACTTGCCCCACTGGCTCCTCTAAGAATGTTTTTTTCTAGGGAAGGCTGGTCCAGCTCATTAGGTGTGGTAGAAGGATGCCTTATTCACTGTTCTCCAATGCCACCTTAAAAACCCTTTTAATTGTAATTTTTATTGTATATTTTTATACAATAAAATATACAATATACAATAATTGTATATTTTTAACAATTAGGCAACATCTCCAGTTTTCTAAGTTCTCGCACAATCATTTTCGCACTCTGTCCTGACAAAAAACAGTTAAAAAAAAAAAAAAAAAAAAAGAAAAACACACGAGGCAGGCTCTATCAGGCCACTGTGCATTGCATGAATGCCCAGCAGTTAAGAGCAGGGACTTCAGTGCCTTACAAGCCTGGGTTGAATTCTGATTCCGCCAATGTACAATCTCAGGTGCTTCCTTAAGCATTTCAATTCTCTGTCTCCTCATCTATAAAACAAGAACTAGAAAAGTGCCTAACATTCACAGAGCTCCTGTGAGGACCAAATGAGGTCACACATTAAGTCCTTGAAGCAGTGCCTGGAACATAGGAAGTCATCAATAAATCCCACCGATTATTATTATTTAAAAAGAAGAGTGACATTTAACCCCTATTGTGTAAAAAGAACATCAGCAAAAAGTAAACAGCAATAAAAACTCCGTAACATACCTCATTATGAATGCTCTGCTTCCCTCATAAAAAGCTGACGCTTCTCTCTGAGCGCCACTCCACTCCTGCCTCTATGAGAATCTGTTTACACCAGACTGGCCTCTTTAGAAGGAGGGACCCTCTCCTCTATACAGTCCCTCACCTAACCCAGCAGGTGACATAAAGAAGGCACTTAACAAAGGTTTGTTCACGGATAGATGCATGGTGAATTAATATGATGTTTACAGCTTGCAGGGGCATACCAAGAGTTACTAATGTTGAAAACATTCCATGGACTTCATTAATATCCTTTAGGTGTTTCTGAAAACATTCCTTTCTCTTTTCTTGTTTAATTTCTCCAAGACCAAATCTTACAAAGAAAAGATTCAGTTCTGAAGGCACTTGATGTGCAGAATGTTTACTTTTTTTTTTTGAGATGGAGTTTCGCTCTTGTTGCCCAGGCTGAAGTGCAGTGGCGCAATCTTGGCTCACTGCAACCTCTGCCTCCTGGGTTCAAGTGATTCTCCTGCCTCAGCCTCCGGAGTAGCTGGGATTGCAGGCATGCACCACCACATCCGGCTAATTTTGTATTTTTGGTAGAGATGGGGTTTCTTCACGTTGGTCAGGCTGGTCTAGAACTCCCGATCTAAGATGATTTGCCTGCCTTGGCCTCCCAAAGTGCTGGAATCACAGACATGAGCCACTGCGCCTGGCCAAATGTCTACTTTTATATAACTTTATTTCCTTTAATCTCTTCCCATTCCTTACCCTCTCTCGGTAGGCCAAATAAATGAAGTGACAAAGGGAAACACTGTGACACAACCAATATTAATGTTCCCTTGCTAGAGAGTTGGAATTAAGCAATCTGGCTCCTGAATACCCCTACAGATGAGAAAACCATACCCATCTCCAACTCTTTCACTGATCATTTATATTTCACCATTTTAAAAAACGTTAAATTATCAAGCTTCATTGTTTAGACACGTTTTGTTTTAACACTTCTTAGATCAAATTCAAACACTGTAATCTTCAGAGAAGGTAACAACAAACGCTAGTCAAAACAAAGTCTCTTGCTTATGTGTTCATTAAATTGATTATTTTTGCTAAAATAGCAACTTTCTTTGTTATCTATGCAAAGAGTGCATGTTTTGATACATGCAGTTTCTCAGTAATTAATCCAAAGAGAATTTTCTCATTATGTTTTCCTAAACACAGCATTCTTAGTAAGAACAAAAGTAAGAGCCAGTGAAATAAACCTTTCAAAGAATATCCACGACACAGTAAGCTCCTCCACAAGTCTACTAATGAAATGGAAAACAGGCTGTGCCTATTAAGGATTAATACCCGGCCAGAAAAAGAGCTTTAAGTGCTGTAAATAGGACAGCATAGTCAGGGAGTCTAAGAAAATCCAGTTCGAAGACTGAGGAGAAGGGATGTTAGCACTTGGGCAGAAACTGGGACCTCCAGGAGTTCTGTGAATTGCATCCCTTGGTCCAGGGGCTCGAGTCAACCAACAACTCTGCCCAAGGCACAAAATCTGCTAGTTATGCTCTCTATATGTGATAAGAAAATGAATACGGGTTCTTTATCAATGCTTGTCCTTTAAACCATCAGGTGTACTTCTGCCTCTCCTTCCAAGAAAATGAGTAATTCTCTATTATGATTCTAATTCCACTGGAAAGGGTTCCTTACCACATTCCTCTATAAAGTCTTCCACTAATCCTCTTAACAAGCACAACACTGCATCTATGAAGAAATGCTCTAAATATAACCACTGAAACTTGGTGAAATGGGTGTGGCCCAGCTGAGGAACCCTCGGAGGTCCACCTGCACACTTGGGGAAAGGCAGTCCTGATGAATGGCTGGGCCATCAGGGAGGGGACACAACTGTCACCACGGGCCTTGCTGTGAAAGGCAAACCTCTCCACTCAAACGTAAAGCAGTCCTAAGGAGACCATGGACACTGCCATAAGGTGTGTCTTCCTTCCAGAAGACCAAAAAAAGTTTTGTTTCACCTCCAATTGCACCTCAACAACATACTGTTAGTATTTACTCATTTTAAAATTTTCTTTGTTCTTTTTCTTCACAACTTGAACAAATTCTCTTTGCTCCAATGAACACTTTGTACAGCAGAAAGGGATGTGTGCCAAAGTTCTGATATTATTTGGTATCTTATGTTTTAATTAAATTATGTCCAGCTTTTATAGCTCCATCAGCCTGTGAATTCTTTGAAGGTTGGGTCTGTGACTAATTTATGGAGTAGTGTCTTGAGAGGCCATTAGAGGGGAGTGGTCCAGAGCAGAGTTCCCTTCTCCCCAGTTGGGAAGTAAGGCAAGTTACTAACCTCCCCAGTACCCCCCGTGGCCTCACCAAAACGTGGGGAAAAAAACAGTTCTTATATCATAGGGCTGTTACAAAGGGTATCCAAGATATGTAAAGCAATTAGAGCAATATCCTGCACAGAGTAAATAAATGTTCAATAAATATTAGTTCTTGTTGAAAAAATGCTGCTCGAAAATATTTACTGAGTTTCTAAACATATTGCTGCAGTTTGAATACCCCCTCCAAAACTCATGTTGAAATCTGATTGCCACTGTGACAATACAGAGGTGATCAGGCTCTGCCCTCCTGGATGGATTAATGACATTATCGCAGAAGTGGGTTTGTTATCATGGGAGCGGTTGTTATAAAAGCAGGTTTGGCCCTCTCTAGCTCTCTCACACATGCTCTCTTGCCCTCTACCTTCCGCAGCAAGAAAGCCCTCGCCATATGCTGGCCCCTGGATCTCAGACTTTCCAGCCTCCAGAAAGTGAGAAATAAATTTCTTTTCTTTACAAATTACCCAGTCTGTGGTATTCTATTATAGCAACACAAAACAAGTAAAACAATAATGGAAATTTAGTACGTTCATGAATTATTTCTGGCATCTAGATTTACATAATGGCTGAAAATCCAGCTGCCTTCACTAGGCAATATTTAATAACTTCCAAGATGTATCATATAAATTTTGGTTTGCAGTCAGACAAGCAACAAAAAGGATTTGCAAACGGAATCATCATCATCCTGTCTATGCTCAGACTTCTCACTCTGGAACATACTGAACCTCATAGAACATTAAGGAGAGTTGTTCGAAAAAGGAAGATTTGAGGTTGCAGAGATGAAAAAAAGAGAAAACTATATCCACATGAAAATAATTACAACAATTTTGCAATTCCTATTAATACTTGGAGGAACAGGTACAGTAATCTTCAAAATTTTTAAAGACCTAGATTCACAACCTGTACAAACTAGATAAACAAGGAATCATTTTGCTTAGTGGGCAATCCAGTTACTATGTAGTTAGAACATTATACCGACAAATTATTATTTTAAAACATACCTAAATAGGTGATACATTTATTCCTTAAAAATGCCAGTTGAATCACAGGAATTTCTTAGTACTTCAGTAATATTTTTTTAAAAGACAGGATCTTGCTATGTTGTCCAGGCTGATCTCGAACTCCTGGCCTCAAGTGATCCTCCCACCTTAGCCTCCCAAGTAGCTGTACTTTAGTAGTATTTTTAACTCTCTACAAAGATCCCTAAATCACCAAATACATCACATTTCAAATGCATAAATTTGGTTTTTTTTTAAAGTTACTTAGGGGTAAGAGAAAAATATTTTAAAATGCATTTTGGACCAATGCACTCTCATGTTTGACTATTTATATTGTGCATTTTGTGATCTTTGCTGTTAATCTACAATCATCTCATCTCTCATTATTCAAATTATCAAGTCACCCAATCAGATAATATTCTACCAAATGATATCAACGGAGTCTCCCCTCTTCTCATTATTAATGATCAATGCAAAATAACTACTGCAGAAACTAACTATTTGTAAATCTAGTCAGGTTGCCAAGAAAAGCCAAAAAGCTAGAGTAAATCCATTTTAAACTGTGAATGCATTTTCTCCCAGGAAGATTTTACTATAGATATTCCCTTCATTTTTACATGATCACCATGGTAACCACATTTCTTATGGATCTGAATTTAAAATTAGTTCACATCAATTTAGTATATATGAAATTCATTATATATACATGTATATGGAACACCTATATCTGACCAAGTGAGTGACAGCTACCACATACCTGTGAGGGCCCAGATGTCTCGCTCTCTTGAAATGGCCAATCCCTTTACATCCCGGGGTTGAGCATCCACCATGTTCTGAAGCTTCCATTAATTCTAAGGGGCCTATGAAAGAGCAAAGAAAAGAAAGAAGGGGCAAAATATTAAGCAAAAATCTGTGAAGAGTCAAATGTCTGGATCAGAATAAGGAAGAAAAAGACTCCCTAAAAATCCAATTTTTTAACCAACATACATAAACAGAAAAAGTAGATCCTATAAAAATGAAAAATATTTTAAAAGACGCTACGTTTAAAGGTTTTTCCTTATGACTATTCACACTAGTTATCTTTCTTCAACAATGAAATGATAAACTTTGACGTAACAATCTTTCAAAACGTCATAAAGTCCAGAGATATCTAAATACGAATTAACAAGAAGAGTCAAACAACTTTTATTAAGTAAATAACATAATTAAAGCATGAATACTCACATACTGTGAACACTTCAAGTACTATAGAAGAATCCAGAATGACAGTTCCAGATCCCTCCATGCTCTTCTTTCTACATTGCAGACCCTCCCTCATTCTGACCACTGATGTTAGTGTGGGCTCTCCTGGAAATTGTTCTAAGCATTCAGGCACATTCGGTTTTGTTTGATTTTGCCACATAAAAGGCACAACACAGATGTTTTATTTTGCCACATAAAGGCCCAATATCCTTCTTTGGTTTTTAACTTCTTGTCTTACAAATTTTTCTGTTGCAATACTAATATTCTTTGTGACTACTGCATAGTTTCTACAGCATAGTGCACCAAAATTTATTTAACCAATATTTTTCCCCAAGCTTTGTTATTCTAAATAGGCTACACTGAATGCCATGTACATGTGCCCTTATGCAGTTTGTATGTAGCATCCAGAAGTGAAGTCACTGGATACAGAAGTACACTAAATTTTTTAAAAACTTGATAATAATTTATTGTATTTCCTACATTTGTTTTGTATAATGTATACATTTTACTCCAAAATTAAGGCCGTGGTATGTTAAGTTCTCCACGTACCTTTTCTAAAATTTGAATTTAACTGAGATTTTTATTAAGATAATTATAGATTCACAAGCAGTTGTAAATAATAATACATAAGGAGCTCTCCTTCACACTTTGCCCAGTTTCTCCCAATGTTAACGTTTTGCAAAGCTATCATATAAAATTACTATCAGAATACTAATATTGAAACAATAAATTTTGAAAGTCTCACAAATTGTCTTCCAAAAATTCAACACTAATTGTAAAAGGTGATATTTATTTCTAAATAAAACAGAATGTCTATACACGCTTTACTTTTTCAGGCATTAAGTTTTTTTTCCATTTATATTTCTGTGACCGTGGTAATTAAAATGTAGTAAAAGGAAGGGATTACATAGAGAAGAAACATCAGTAGAGAGAGGAGGAGAAAAAGAAAGGGCTAAGGATGAAATCTTAAGAATGCTACATATGGAAATGGAAACATTTATACAAGCTATTCGTGTCTCTTACTCAAAGGAGGCTGAAGGGGATGTCCTGTTTTTGAACACCAGCCTACAGGGTGAATATCAGGAGAATCTGCATCTATCCAGTAATCATAGCAATTGTTCCAGCCATCAAAGTGAACCTGGATGACACAAGGACATTAACAGTACAAATTAAGTCATAAAAGTTCCTACAGTCAAAGTTCTGCCCACAGCATAACCATTTTCATTCTAACACATACAGTAGATTTAAAACCCAATAAATCAGTTCAATTATTCAAAATACTTCACTCATAATGTGAAAAAAAAGACATCTTTGAACCACCTTCAATGTATTATATAACCAGACATAAAGGCCCTGCCAAAAGCACTTTTTGGCCAACAGTTCTACAGACATATTATGTGTATTTCTCAACACCATGAGCAACATGAGAACAGGAACTGTTATAACATCTTCATATGATCAACATCAAGCACCCAATAAATATGCAGAAGGAGTTAAAAATTCAGGGAAGGGAGGGAGGGAAGATGAGAGGGGAGGGTAGAGAGGAAGGAGAGGAAAGGAGGACCTTTCAAGTAATGTCAAGCCTTCTGCAATTGTGTTGAAAATGATTTAAAAAAAAGCCTGCTAGACACACATTCAATTTACGAAATATCCCTCCACCCAGTGTGTTTTTAGATATCATTTTTTCCTTGCAAATAACTACAGTATTTCTCAAATATGTGTTCTATTATTGTTTTATTTTTAATTATTATGGGTATACATTTCTGAAGTACATGTGACATTTTGATATAGGCATATAATGTATAATGATCAAATCAGGGTAACTGGGGTATCCATCACCTCCAGCTTTCGTCATTTCTTTGTTTTATGAATATTCCAATTCTACTAGTTATTTAAAAATATATAAATTATTGTTAACTGTAGTCACCCTAATGTGCTACCAGATACTAGATCTTACTGATTCTATCTAACTCTATTTTTGCGCCTGTTAATCACCCCCACTTTATGCCCTACTCCCTGCTATGCTTCTCAGGCTCTGGCAACCCTTATTGTACCCTCTTGTCCTCATGAGTTCAATTTTTTTTAGCTCCCACATATGAGTGAGAACAAGCAATATTTGTCTTTCTGTGCCTGGCTTATTTCATTTAACATAATGTCCTCCAGGTTCATCCATGATGTTGCAAATGACAGTATTTAATTCTTTTTTTATGGCTGAATAATATCCCGTTGTGTATATATACCACTTCTCTTTATCCATTCCTCCAACTGGTGGGTACTTAGGTTCCTTCCATATCTTAGCTAGTGTGAAAAGATATGTCTTATTATAAAGCAGTCACTGCTACCATCTCTATGGCCATTGTGTGAAAGGGCAGTTGGTCTTCTAGTGATGGTCACTAGGAATCGACCATGTTTTTTTTAGGTTATTATATATTTTTTACCTTTTAGGATGAAGGGATATACTGAAATGCTTTAGATATTTTATTTTTAAATCAACTTTGCCAGTTATATCAACTGATCACAGGATATTAAAAAAACAAGTCTGCCAGTTAGATTTCTTTTTAGAAGTCTATGAACCTCTCATTCCTTACAAGACAACAGATGCCAGAGGGATAAAAAAGTCAAACACTAAAAATTGAACAATAAACATTCGAGAAGAATGTGTGAATGAACTTATTTGTAATCACAGAGTGGATCAGCCTTTGTAAGCAAAACACCAAACTCAAAAGCAGTAAAAGACTGATCAATTTGATTACATGAAAATTTAAAGCTTCAGAATGGCAAGTATTATAAAATAAAATGAAAGACCTACAAGAAACCCCCCAAAATACATTTGCAACACCTGTGTCAAGAACTCTCTTCCTCAATTTATAAAAATATGATGTATCAGCACAAAAAGATGAAACCCTACAGAAAGATGAAAAATGGAGGCAAATAGCTCATTATCCAAAACATAAATATAAATGTTTAGTAAATATATGAAAAGACAATAAATTTGAGGCCAGGCTCAGTGGTTCATGCCTGTAATCCCAGCACTTTGGGAGGCCAAGGAGGGAGGATCACTAGATCCCAGGAGTTCAAGATCAGCCTGGACAACATGGCAAACCCCATCTCTACAAAAAAAATAAAATAAAAATAAAAGCTAAGTGTAGTCCCAGCTACTCAGTTATGCTGAGGTGGGAGGATCACCTGAGCCTGGGAGGTTGAGGCTACAGTGAGCCAAGACCATATCACTGCACTCCAGCCTAGGCGACAGAGTGAGACCTTGTCTCAAAAAAAGAAAAAGAAAAGAAAAAAGAAGAAGAAGAAAAAAGACAATTGCTTTCACTTATAATTTAAAAACTACAAATTAAAATCACAAGATACAATTCTTCTCCTATTGGCCTGTTAAAAATGTTCACATTTTGGTAATTCCTACAGCTGGTTAAGAATGAGAATAAATGGGTGTTCTCATAGACCACTGACAAGAGTGTTAACTACTGAGATATTCCTGGAAAGCTATTTGGTAATAACAGTCGAGCACTTAAACGACATTAATTTTGACTTGATAATCTCAATAACTCATTGTTTGTATTAGAAAACAACTAGAAGTTACCACAGTGCCCATCATCAGGAGACTGGTTAATAAATTATGGTATATTCATATAATGAAATAGAATGCAGTTAGTAAAAGTATATATATATATATGTGCTTAAAATAATGTTCTTTGCAATGAGTCTTTCTTAAGCTTAGAAATAAATTAATCTTAGAATCAAAACCCCATAGAAAATATGAAAAGACGTGTGTCAGCAAGATAAGAGAATACCCCAAGAAAAGCAAAGTATGTGATCCAGGAAAATGAAATACAATCTAGTCTGTCAGCAAAGAGAAGTGTCAGGATGAAAGCTTTGTACCAGGCTTAGAGTATTTCCACCCACAGTGGAATAGGTGGCTGCTGAGTATGAGAAAGAGTTCGAGAAAAAAAGAAAAAGATAGAGTGTTGATGTAAAATTTTTCTCCCATTCTGTAGGTTGCCTATTCACTCTGATGGTAGTTTTTTTTTTTTGCTGTGAAAAATACTCATCATCACTGGTCATCAGAGAAATGTGTATCAAAACCACAATGAGATACCATCTCATGCCAGCTAGAATGGCAATTATTAAAAAGTCAGGAAACAACAGATGCTGGAGAGGATGTGGAGAAACAGGAACACTTTACACTTTTGGTGGGAGTGTAAACTAGTTCAACCATTGTGGAAGACAGTGTGGCGATTCCTCAAGGATCTAGAACTAGAAATACCATTTGACCCAGTGATCTCATTACTGGATATATACCCAAAGGATTATAAATTATGCTACTATAAAGACACATGCACATGTATGTTTATTGCGGCACTATTCACAATAGCAAAGACCTGGAACCAACCCAAATGTCCATCAATGATAGACTGGATTAAGAAAATGTGGCACATATACACCATGGAATACTATGCAGCCATAAAAAAGGATGAGTTCATGTCTTCTGCAGGGACATGGATGAAGCTGGAAACCATCATTCTCAGCAAACTATCACGAAGACAGAAAATCAAACACTGCATGTTCTAACTCATAGGCGGGAACTGAACAATGAGAAAACTTGGACACAGGGCGGGGAACATCACACACTGGGGCCTGTCATGGGGTGGGGGGCAGGGGGAGGGATAGCATTAGGAGAAATACCTAATGTAAATGACGAGTTAATGGCTGCAGTAAACCAACACGGCACATGTATACATATGTGACAAACCTGCACGTTGTACACATATATCCTAGAACTTAAAGTATAATAATAATAATAATAAAAAGATAGAGTACTGAAAAATATACTTGAGCTTTTGACTCAAAGGCATGTCAGATCCACTGTTGCACTTGTAAAAATCTAAGAAGACAAAAAAACTAAACTATGAACAAATTACTGACTCCCAAAAAAATAGTCACAAGGAGAAGACTACTTTGCTCAACAGTGAATGAGAACAAAACAATGTAAAATAACTACTGAAAAGATAAGGGGAAGGGAAGAAGGGCAAGATCTAAATCTTGAATTACCACAACATGAAGAAAATAAACCATATTTAAAATTGATGAACTGAGAAAGAGTAGAATATAGGTAATATTTTAGAAAATTACAGATAAAAAGGTCCTAAGCAAGAGCTAAAAGAGCTGACAGTTTTTGCCTCTGGGGAGCCAGGCTGGGGAGTGGGAAGGAATGAGGCAGGAATAATCTTCTATTACTAAAAACATAAATGAGAGCAAAACCATTCTAGGCCATTTTTCTTCAATGTCATCTGATCAAATATAGAACAATTTAAAATGTTTTACTATAATAGCTCAAGGTGTGAAATATGTAATCTTAAAAGATGATTTTACTTGAGTTGATTTTATCCCTGAAAAACTTAAAATATTAAGCTACACTAATAACTTGGTCTACATTTTCCTCCTCTTCTTCCTTCTTAAAAAAGAAAGATGAGTTTTCCTGCTGTCTAATCTCCCACTTATTAGATAAACTCCTACTGTTGCAGGCTTTTTATATTCTCAGAAGCTTCTGATGAATTCTGAAACTTAGTCACTGACCCCTGTATACAAGCCTTTTAAAGACCTCATAAATACTCAGATATTTGTTCCATGGTTCATCTTCAGCTATGAAATTAATTCCAGTAATTACCAAAAGATAATTGTCAACTGTACCCCTCACAGCCAGTATTTCTGGGGTGTTATGGACTGACCAGGATGTTGTATTAGAGAATCCAGCTAGAAGTAAGAGGTGGATTCTAGTCTACACTTTTCCTGTTAACTAACTGAACCACCCACTTGAGCATACTTGACCTCTCTGGGCCAAAAATTTCTCATATGTAAAATAAGAGAGTTGATCTACATTTTTAATTATAAAAGTAATATATATTCCAGAAACTAAACAAGTAAAAAACCTAACCATTTATACTTTCAGCACCCTGAAAGAAGCACTGTCATTACTTTGGTATGATTCTTTCCAGAATTGCTTATATATGTATGCTTGTAAAAAAAAAAACAACAGCAGATATCATAACATAATGTAAACCTGAATTTTTCAATTGTTGGTATTAAATAGTCTTCTAAAATATTTAATTTTAACATCATGTAGATAAAGAGTAATGCATTTTACCCATCAGCTACTGTGGTTGCTTCCAATGTTAAGTACTATAAACAGCACTGATATATTTTCCTTGGAGTTTTTATTTTTGCATATTCCTTTTGGCTATTCCCTTAACATTCTTAAATGAAAGGATAAACAACATTCTACGATTTTGTTAACCTATTGCCAAACTGCTCTTTGGAAAGGCTGAGACATTTTACATTCCCACCAGCCATATGTGATAATTAAATTTTCATGCAGTCGAACCAATATTTTTTTTCAATTCTGAGCAATCTGATTTATAAAAGTAATATTGTACTTAATTGTAAATGTATTTGATTACTTGTCTAGATTTTATTTTAAAAAATACTTCTAGTTCTAAAATACTGATTGCTTTATGACTTACATTACTACCAAATATAATAAGAAAATGCACTTGAAAATATGGTTAGCACAGGTCTTGCATTTATAAAATTTTCTAAAATGCTACATGATTCTATAATCTTAACAGTGAACTAAATGTTAAAATTTCTATTCTATAGAAATACCACATTTGTGGTTTTTCATGTTATTTTATAATTTATTTTATTATACACTATCTTATTAGAGATAGTTGAGAATGTAATTTTTTTAAAAAGGGCATAAACTTAAGACTCCTACAGCTTAGAACTAAGAAGTCATTCTGCCACTGCCAGTAATTAATAATTCATTTAATCTTTATGAGCCTCTCTGCCTCATCAGTAAAAGTGATAACAATGTATACTTCCCACAAATGTTAAATAATATGAGAACAGGGTTACCCTGTAAAACATCATGTACATTTAATGTCTTGCTGTTATAACTATTCTTATTCCTAATAGAAATTCCAAACAATTTTATGAAGTTAAGTAGAACAGGCATTGTTTTGGTCTGAGGGTGAAGTTAATGCTGAAGTAAGAAACAGAGACGAGCTCTTCTGGCTCCTTTCCTGAACTCCACTTCACTTTATCATGGCTGGACATAACAAGCTGATCCCATCTCCCTAAACATTTGCTTACTTTTTAAGAGGCATTTGACTTTTATTACTCTAATTAAAATCTGATTTTATTCATGAAATTATTTATCTTTACTTGGCCTATATTGAGATAGGATGTTCCTCTGAAAAGACTACTTCTAATCTACCCCACAAAAACATTAATCTTCAATTTTTTTAAAAAAGGGCATACTATCAGAGAATGAAGTATCTTTTCTTCTGAATATAATACTACTTTAATGTGTTGTATCTACTTTCTTTCTCCAAATACATACTCAAAATATTAAGTCATTCATAACTAAAGATAAATTGTTTTATGCAGATTAAAGGACAAACCTGGAAGAATGCTGATTTACAAAGATGCACAGCCAATTATTTTGCTTATTCCTATGATTTTACTAATTACAGGACTTCACAAGTTAAGTATCTACCAAAGTTTTTATCTAAAACATCTTATAACAAAAGACAAAGCCAACCCCCCACACAGAACACTTACTTTTACCCGGTGATCATCTGTGTCTGCCACAGTTGCTACTCTAATAAACATAGGGTTCCTTTTGTCTACAACCTCAAGCTTCATTTTTTTCTGGAATCCATGAGGAGGTTTCTGCCACAAAAAAAAATTTTACAGAGTGAGATAAAGAGGAAGAGAAGGTAAACTTGATGTTACAAAGAAGAAGAAGAAGAAAAAGCTGGCCAGGCGCGGTGGCTCACACCTGTAATCCCAGCACTTTGGAAGGCTGAGGCGGGCGGATCACTTGAGGCCAGGAGTTTGAGACCAGCCTGGCCAACATGGCTGAACCCTGTCTCTATTAAAAATACAAACAGTAGCCAGGCATGGTGGCATGCACCTGTAATCCCAGCTACTCGGGAGGCTGAGGCACAAGAATTGCTTTAGCCCAGGAGGTGGAGTAGTGAGGTGAGATTGTGCCACTGCACTCCAGCCTGGGCAACAGAGGGAGACTGTCTCAAAAAAATAAAAATTAAAAAAAGAAATAGCTGGGCTATTTAGAGAATGATGTCATAAAAGAAGACAGAAAAATTTTAAATGGTTAGAACTTGCTGTCATTTTTTAAATAAAGAAAGAAAATAAGAGAACCAGGCTTTCAAATTCTCAACTTTCCAGAGTAGCTCTGAACTTCACCCTGTCTGTCAAAAAATTCCAACACAGATGCACGAGCAAGGGAAATAGCAGAGTAAAATTCAAAATACTGTAGTTATTTGATTACTCAGATGGAAGACAAGAAAATTTTCTTATTATTTGGAGGTGTACTGGCAAAAATCAACAAGCATAAAATTTATTTTTAAATAGAGAGAGGAACAATATTAAAGTGGCTGAGATGAGACACCAAAATTAGAAGTGGTAATGGAGGCAAAAAGCAGAAGATATCTTTAAAACAGAAAATTAGCAATCAAACATAAAAGATAGAACCAGGAATGGGTTGGGGGAATCAACAGCTACCTACGCCTCAGTACTCAGCAGAAACTTATAAGCCTCTGAAAAACTCACAGACAGTGGAAGATAAGGTGATTGTTTGGCATAATGTTAGGCAAATTAGTTAATTTTCTGAGCTTCAGGTCCCTCTTCTGTAAAATGGGTATAAGAAAAGTGTTGCTGGGCAGGACGCGGTGGCTCATGCCTGTAATCCAGCACTTTGGGAGGCCGAGGTGGGTGGATTGCTTGAGCTCAGGAGTTTGAGACCAGCCCAGGCAACAGAGCAAAACCTCTTCTCTACAAAAAATACAAAAATTAGCCCAGCATGGTGGCATGTGCCTATAGTCCCAACTACTCAGGAAGCTGAGGTGGGAGGATCACTTAAGCCTGTGAGGTGGAGATTGTAGTGAGACGAGATCATGGCACTGCACTCCAGCCTGGGCAACAAAGCAAGACCCTGACTCAAACAACAAAAAAAGGGTTGCCATGAAAATTAAGTATGTTATATAAATAACACAGAGCAGTCAATGCAAGACACCTAAAAGACCAAACTAGAGAAATCTGTTTTCTCTCTGTTGTGACAGTAGACATGTAGGCTGATCTGTATGTAATTTTATTCGTTTAAAGTGAAGTGTAATGCAGCTCTGCTTCGCATCAGACAAGAATTTAAAGTTAAAGGGTGGGAGATAAAAATTCACAAATATGGCATAACTCTAAACAGTTTTCTTTTTTAAATCTTCAACTTACTATCAGATGAAATCACACACATTTTTTGATATAGTTTCTCTTCGTGCCTTATGGTTTTGCTCTTAAAATTTTTTTAAGAGCAAATTTGGACCTATACCTCATAATTAATTCTAACATTAAAAATCCTAGCAATTTATACATAAAAGGATGTCTTAAAGAAAATTATTTATCATAAGCTCATCATGACACATTTAAAAAAATAAATATTTGATATATTTTTCTTTTCTGTTAAATTCATGAGAAATCTAAATCATAAAGCAAGCTATTTGAGATGAAAAAATGAGAAATATATTTCACTTCTTATTCCTTCCTTGCATAGAAATGAGGTTCATTTGAATCTTAATACTTTATATGCAAGAAGCAATGACCCTGGGTTAGAAAGATACTGTAATAAAAGCAGATGATCTTGTATTTTGGTAATTAAACATGCTGATTTACAGCAATAAAATTAAAAAACCCAGCATCTCAGCTTGCCATAAACAAATCCAAATCAATTATCCATCAGTTTTTATTGAAAAATATTTTCATATTCTGTTCTGGTCTTTTAGAACATCTAGCTAAAAAGACAGAAGATTGCTTTAAGATTTCAACAACTGGCCCCACATGCTATCGAATCAAGCAGAATTATTTTCCAAGGAGACTTTAAAGTCCAAAATCAAAGCATTTTTTTGGATGACAACAACAAAAATTCCAGTAACAATTTTGACTTTAAAAATTGTAAAAATTCAAAAACATCTTATTTGGTGCTCTATTTTTTTCTCATTCCTATTCTGGTTTACTAATACCATCTTGTTCTGTTCTTCAATTTCAATAAATAAATGATCTCATCCACGCAAATTAATAAAATGTATCATCTTACCACTTTGAAAGCTCTTGCAGGAGCAGGTAAAGAATTGGTTTCTTCTAAGTATTTATCCCAAGAAAAATGTTTCACATTTGGATAACCTAAGAAAGAAAAATGTAAATCCTATGAGGTTTAACCAAAATGATAGCAAGAATAACAAACTGTCCAACAAAAATTATAAAATATTATAATCTAGAAAATTATGTTCATATATACATGACAACTTTACTCACACATTCAGAGCTATTAGTAATAATGAAATTGTTTTCATCTTGATCATTATTTTTCTATTACTTTTAAAATGAAAATTTTATAGATATATATAATTTATATTTTCAGATAAAGACAGTCTTACAAGACAGACACACAAATACCCTTTAGCAATTTTGTATTGGAGAATCTAGAAAAATCTGACATATGCAATAAAGGCAACACACAATTGTTTGTAAATGTGAAAATTAAGTAAGTTAAATGACCTTCAATATACAAATGTGCAAAAAAATGTACATAAGCAGAAAGTACTTATTAAAAAGAACATGGTAGATTTATATATATTAATATGTGAACAATTCCAGATATAACTTCATATTGTTCCAACAAACACACACAAATGATGTAACATTATTAATAGAATGTGTAAAAATATCTTCTCCTTCCTCCTGCCCTCTTTTGTTCCCTCCAGGGCCCCAAATCCATTAGGTAGGCATGAGCAGGAATAAACAGTGGCCCAGTATGGTGGGAAATTAGCCACATAAAGGGGACTGAGAAAAGCAGCAAATATATCAGAGATAATGTTAGCCAGGTTTGAGGGAAACCAGAATGAAGCTGATGTGTTGGATTTGAATTGGAACTAATGGCATAAATTCACAGTTTTCAATATATAAACAGACACAGAAATAGACATATACATTTTTGCATATATTTATACACATGTATTTCCTAGCTATATCAGCTTAAAGGCCTGGAAACATCAACACTCTTGTAGTAAATAAGCACACTTAGTGTTCAGATCTTAGTTTCTAAATATCATTCTCTACTAAAAAGAGGCACGGAACCTTGAAGAAATGGGTGACTCTAGATGGGGTCAGGGAAAGTATGAGATAAGCCTAGCTGTGCCAGAAAATAAGAAGTTCTCAAAAAATGATAAGAACATTTCAAAAGGACACTGAAATGTGCCTAAAGGGGCTATAACTGGTTACTATCTGAGAAAATCTGAATATGAAGATATATAATGCTAGCAATCAATTATAACTCACTGATAAAAATAGTAATCTATGGGTCTACACTGATACAGATAAATTGAACAAATAAATAGGAAGATAAGAAAAGCTATTCTTTGCAGGAAAATATCAACTAATTTTGTATAAGGAATGATGGAATAAGAAAAATTATAGTTTAGCACTGTCAGAATAATATAATTCATGCCAGGAATGTCAACAGATGCTAAAACTAGCAAATGACATTGGGACAAGATACACAGTCTCAAAGTATCTCTCCAGAAAATGTATCTCTCCAGAAAATACTTATTAGTTACAGAGAAAAAATAACTCCATTAGTAGACAAACCTAGCAAACACCATCTTGATCCATCAGTGGTAAAAGCGAACCAGTAAAGAGACAGACTGACATGATGAGCCACCTGAGAGAAGGAAATGAGAACACAGCACTATGTCTATGATATTCCTGCCAAAAATGCACAGTCTTCGTATGATCATGAGGAAATACCAATCCTACTCAAATTAAGTAACAATCTACAAAATGACAGATCTGTAATCCTCAAACTTATTAAGGTCATAAAAGTCAAGGAAAGCCTAATTAATAGAAGCTGGAGGGATCTGACAACTGAGATCCTTTTGCTAGGAATAACATCACTAGGACAACTGGCAAACTTGACTGGGTCTCTGAGTCAGGGGTATAGGTGAGTTTTGCACTGTTCTTGCAACCTTTCTGTACATTCAAAATTGTTCCAAAATAAAATGTTTAAAGAGTAAATATGCAGCCGGGTGCGGTGGCTCACGCCTGTAATCCCAGCATTTTGGGAGGCTGAGGCAGGTGGATCACGAGGTCAGGAGATTGAGACCATCCTGGCTAACATGGTGAAACCCCATCTCTACTAAAAAATGCAAAAAAAAAAAAATAGCCAGGTGTGGTAACACGTGCCTGTAGTCCCAGCTACTCAGGAGGCTTAGGTAGGAGAATCACTTGAACTCAGGAGGCGGAATTTACAGTGAGCCAAGATTGTACCACTGCACTCCTGCCTGGGCAACAGAGCAAGAATCCGTCTCAAAAAAAAAAAAAATGGAGTTAATACGCAAACATAGTTCTGTGTATACATTTTATGACATTTTTAAGGAACACATCTTGCACAATTTAAACAATTTAAATTAGAACATTCTACTAAATGAAACAAACTGAGGTGTACGCATGCATGTGTGTGACTTTGCATAGGCAAAAATGCTTTCCTGGAAACACATAAGGACAAACCATTAAAATATTAATAGAGATAACTGCAGTTCACTCTAAACTTAAAAACAAGCATGCATTAATGTATAATTTGGATAATTCAAAATAAAAATAGTTTTAAAAGGCATGAAGATTTTAATTTCTGAAAAGAACAATAAAGAGAGGCTGCGTGTTTAGAAAGAACGGAAACGTGGTGGTGGCCTAGAGGGCAGCTTAGTGGATGCAGAAATCTGTGAAGTACAAGGGGGTGAAGGAAGCAGCTGCTTAGGAAGCCCAGTGATTAGAATCCTTCTTTTCAGACAGATCAGAGATGACCCAGGAATCTGCCCTTAGAGAAAACAGATCAGAGAAAGGGTGTCTTTTTTGTTATGGGGCAAAGAGTAGCATCAGCACATGCCCAATAAATCAGTCTCACAATTTGGCAGTTTTGTTTGTTCATTTTTGCATTTTTTAATAGTGGCAAAATATACATAACATAAAATTTACCATTTTTACTATTGTAATGGCATTATGTATATTCATATTGTTGTGTATTTGGTATTTTCACATGCAATTTTGAATTTTTAAAATGTGTCAAAAAGCTATTTTTTTTTTCTCTTCGACTGAATTATAAACGTCCAGGAAAGGAGATAGATGGCTTGGTTCTTTGCCTCATGTTAAGAAGTCGGCAATAACGCCTTACACCACTCCTTCCAGGGTACATAACCAGGAACCTGTTGTTGTTCACTGGTTCATTGTTAATTAATCAGATCTCTGATCATGACCAAAAATGGTGGTACGGAAAGAAGGGCTGATAACAAACTGGGAAATCTAAAAGGATCCTCACAGCATTTTAGATGGTGATAGTGGCAAAGAAGCAACCATGGCAATCACTGGCCACTATTATTTTGTAAGCCGCAGGACAGACAAAGGAAGGTAGAATACAAGAAATCTTCCAGGCAGCACTATGTTTGGCACCATGAAACCATTAATACCTTGCTTTCTTTTTTTTTTTTTCTTTTTTCTTGAAACACTGTCTTGCTCTGTTGCCCAGGGTGGAGTGGCATAATCATAGCTGGCTGACTGCAGCCTCAAACTCCTGGGCTCAAGCAATCCTCCTGCCTCAGTCTCACAGACAGCAGGGACTATAGGTGCATGCCACCTCACCTGGCTGACTTAAAATTTTTTATAGAGACAGGGTCTCACTATGTTACCCAGGCAGGTCTTGAACTCCTGGGCTCAAGTGATCCTCCCGCCTCAGCCTCCCAAAGTGCTGAGATTATAGGCGTGAGCCATAGGTGCCTGGCCAATACTTTGCTTTAACCCTTCATGATTTATATCAATGCTGTTTCACTGTCAAAATAGTACTGTAAATAAGTCAAGACAGAGACTTTCCTCCCTTTATTATATGAGAAAACTCAGGGAGTGGATAGGACTTGACTTGCCTGTTACAGGAATGATAGGTCCTCCTGAGTGAGTAAATGATCAGACACTCTAAGTGAGACACTGTATCAAGGAACTGGAGACAAACGTAAAAATGAAACCAGCTGTTCCAATAGAATTTGAAGCTCTCCAATCTTGCAGCTTACATGCTGCAGGCTACATTCGAAAACAGCTCCTAGTAAACCCAGGACTCATCCTCTCTCTGTAATAAAGGCAATCTTCATTACTCCTGTAAGGGTCCACTAAGCAATTGTCTACTGCGCAGGGATGCTTTCAGTTTGATGATCCTGTCTTTTCATACCAGGAGTGGTCATGGCCCCTTGAGTAGTGATGTACGCACAAATACACTGTCTTGATTATGAAGAAACCGCAGAATCTGTTCTTTAGCACATAAAATAAACTCAAAATGATATAAAACAAGGACACTATTTATCAGCAGTTACACTGTTCCCCGTTAAAGAGACAGCAAATAAGCTGAGAAGGCTCTATGACTAGAGGCAGAGAGCAGAAGCGCCTGAAAACTTCAGAGAACACAAAGGCACCACTAGCATGAAGGTGCAAAATCTATTTTGGAACCAGGAATCACGACAGAAAAAGGAAAAGTGAGCGTGTGAGTTCTAAACTAAGTAAAAAAATCTAAAGCCTCAATTTCTCACTTAAACGTGAACACTGTGCTTCTGTGAGGACTGATGCTGACATGAAGTCTGGTCTCCAATCCACACACAAATGCTGTCCCTCTTATCCATTTTTCTGGACTTGCTCAAGCCTTAGACAATTTGCTTCTATGGTTAGACAATATATTTAAATATATACTAATATAAAGTCTAGAAATGAATTTCAAGTTGAGAAATGAAAGATCTTTTAAAACAGAACTTTTTTTTTTCCAAGAGAGACAAAATTTGAGACTCTGTTATGAACTAAGGCAATACTTAATATAGTTGAAAGTACATCAGCGGTGAGCAAACTAACGCCTGCAGGTTGGCTGCCTGTTTTTGTAAATAAACTGTTACTGCAACACACCCATGCACATTGGTTTACCTATTGTCTATGGCTGTTTTTGCACTACAACTGTTTTGAGTAGTGGTGACAGAAAACTGCATGGTCTGCAAAGCCAAAATATTTACTATCTGGCCCTTTACAGAAAAAGTCTGCCTACTCTTGAAGTCTACGAATAGTATTAGCCACATTAAAAAAACACACACCTGGTGGAGTAATAAGGGTTCTTCTATGTTCCTTACACCAACCAACTGGATGAATATGTGGACTTGATGCTTCACACCTGAAAGTTACACAAATTAAAAAACTGCAATTATCAGGATAAACTCACAAAAACTAGTAAAATAAAAAGAAAACTAGAGATCATGAGCACTTTACAGAGAGTTCTATTTATTACAATCAATCTAATTTGGAAAAAAATGCTAAACCAAAGAACTTTTTAATATATTAATACCAAGTGGATTTTTATTAGATAAACATTATATGGATTTGACACCATGCAATTTTCTTTTCCCCACAAATTTTGTTATATCCTGTAACTTCAACTACAGCAAAAATGCAAACATAATATCATTAAAATTTATAATTTAGATTCATTAAAATCATGTGGAACAATAAACTTAGACTGTGTGTACATAGGAAAACTAAAATTATTTCAGTATCGCTAAGGGCAAATGTACAAAGGCAGGAAGCCCAATCATCCTTAATAACCAACATGCTATTTCTGTTACCCATTAGAATAACAGAGACCAGGTATTAAGACAAACTATTACTCTCTTTTCTTTACCTCTTTCTTCTCCTTTCTGTCATCTCTACTACAGTCAAGCATCTATTTTTCCAAAGCCTCTTTATCAGCATGCATACCTGGTACATCTAATTCCTTGCTCCTAGTCATACTTTTGCCATGTTTTTCTCTTCTCAAAATGCAACATGTTTCAGCCTATTAACATCATATGGAACCCGAGTGTTCTGCAGAACATAGTCTGGAAAATGTTGGTCTAAAAGATGCCAAGGAGTCCAGTCAGTTTTGCTATACTAACTAGGAGGTCTGTTGAGTCCATACTGAGATCAGGAAATCTCAACACAGCCCTCTTGATGGGAAACTAGAAGGCAGAGAGCCAGGAAGGTAACAGTGTGGCTGGAGTTTCCAGGGAATAAGGAAGTCTTATGAATAGTGAAACAAATAATTTTCTACAAAATATCGTAAGTGGGTGAGATTAGCACACAGTCAACGAAGCCAAACTTTCTAAAGGCGCAGCCTGGGACAATAATACATTGTGAGTTCATGTAACCACTACTGAATGCTGATGGTTCTCAGAACTTACTTCAGTAGAAAATATCTTTTCCTTATTACTTAAAGGCTTCTTCCTTTATTCAGTTGTTATCTCATACTGTTTCTACCACAAACTATTTTTCTGGTCATTATTTTAGGAATATGAAAAAAAACCAAGCACTGCTAGGTCAATGCCAAGTTCATGCTGCAATCACTATATTTTTTACAATACATATTTTCATAAAAGGTATTTTAATACATAATTCATTAAGATGCACTTTTATAAATTATACAAACAAGGCTATGGAGCTCTACTTCCAGATATCCTAGTGTTTTCCTAAAAAAAATCATTTTGGTTATGGATTACTAATGTCTTACTGCCTTTATTTTAGGGAAGGATGTTAATTCATAGATAGCATCATAAAAAATGAAAAAATAACATATATATAATATTTAATTTTTTCCTTCTCAATCTAATAGAACTTAGAGAGTAGTTTTTATAATTATCTGTCGGACTCACAGTGTTTATTTTAAAGTAGAAACACTGAATATTACTCTTTGATTTTGCTGGATATACAAATTGCAATTAAGGAAAATACTGTGGTCTCTTAATGGTCATTCATTCTTGTACCATCTGAATCTAATATAAAGTTTAAATAATATCTAGATATTGATCAAAGTCGCCACTTAAAACAAAGAAGCTGCCTCAATAGAGAAGATAAAAATATTACTGTTTTTATCTATTTTACTTATATTTTCTTAATAAGCAAACAACACTTCACTCAAAAGTTGGAAGGCTGTGATAGCCTTCTGCTACTATTGTAAAACAAGTCATCTCTTAGTCCCATCTAGTGTTCAAAAGTAGAAACGTAACTGAAAAGAAATATGAAGAACAACTAAAGGTAAAAAGTATGACAAAACACTGATTGCTGTACTCTTCCTTTCTTCTGGGTTTTTATGTATATCATGAAAGAAGCCTCCATTTCAAATTTTTGAAATACATTTCATGTGTAAGTGCAAATTATTCATAATGACTGCTAAGACCCAATGAGACTCAGACGGTAAATTCTAAAAGGGCCAGAAACCAAAGAAATAACCTATTTTAAAAAAAATCCATGCTTATAAGGATAAAGTTAGGAGACATGAAGATCCTCATTTTATGGAAATCAAAGAGGTTAAGTGATTTCACCAAGCACTCGGGTAGAAAAGAAAGGGATTCTGGTTTTGTCAGTCACAGCCAAAAGCTAAACAAAAACTAATGCACACATGCTGGGCTCTGCAGTTTCAGCCAGAGTCAAAGGAGAACATTGCAAGATGCTTACTTATGGAAAACATCAAAGTCTCTCCATTAAGCAAGAGTGGTTTAGATTATTTGAAGAAATACAGGACACTTGGCTTCTTCACTGCCTATAACACAGACCATGATGACTCTACCAATTTATTACTCAGTACCCAACTCTCCTGGCTCCCCTTATATGTGAACTCTTCAGGGCCTCCATTACTCTGCACTTTACTACTAAACCCCAAACCTCATCAGCCCGAGTCATCAAGTGATCCTTTCCATCCCTAATTCATGTCCAATTCTATTACCCACAGTAGCTGTTTGAAATATTAATTTGCTTCAAGCTTAAAATCTTTCATTAACACAACGAATACTTGGAAGAGATAAAGGTGATAGCATCTCATCACCCTCGTATCAAATTTTCCTTTTACTTCTTCATTTTCTCCAGGCTGAGTGAAAAGAAAGTTTATTTCTTCTTGAGGCTAGCTGCTCCTAGGAGACTTGGTGCCACCTGTATTACCCATAGTTTCAGAAATCTCCACTCTCTCCCTCCACAGTGGCTTCCTGCCTTCTGCCTAAAAACCAAGCTCAAAAATGCTCATGGTGCAGGGAACCCTCCTTAGAAGTCAACTTCCTCTTAAGCAATAATCCATTTGCCTTCAGCACTAAACTTCTCTGCTTAATATCCCTTATCACTCTTCAACCTTTTGCAAATCAGTTTCTGTTCCTAAAACTCTTATTTTAATCCCCACGACACCTGATGGGACAGGTATTATTATCAATCCCTTTCAGAAGACAACTAAAGTTTAGAAGTGTTAAGTAATGCACTGAATAAACTGGCTGCCATTACCCAAACACATCCTACCCCTGGGCCAAAACACAAGGAAGTGCTTTCCTTAGCCAAGAATATTCCATCCCAACCTCTAAGTACCCATTCCTTCTTGGTCCAGCTCAAATCCCCATGTCCTCTAAGAAGCCCTCCCCAAGAGCCCTCCAGTGAGCTTGAGTCAGTCCTTCCCTCCAAGTGCCATCACCCCTCCAAGTGGTTGGTTCTAAAAATTAAGCAATAACCACCATCTAGCCCTGCACTCAAGACAGTGGTGTTTAGTTTCTCTCCTTCCCCAGACCATGAGCCCCCCAGAGTTGAAGTTCAGAACAGCCCAGGTTCCATTCATCTCCACGGCCTTCCCATCACCACCACCAACCAGTGCTTCCCAAATTTAACCAAATAGTGACAAGCCTATTAACTGACACTGCTCTAAGAAACTGACAACTTTTCAACATGATTTTAGGGAGACACATAAAATTACTACTGCTGTTAATCTGTAAATGTAAAAGAGATTCATCTCTAAAAAAAAAGTTTACACTACACTTACAGGCAATCAGGAAAAGGCCCACTGCTACATTTGTTCTAATTCACTAATAACCCTTTTCTTTTTCACAGATCTTTTTGTTACGAATTTTTGCCCTGACTCCACTGGGACACCAAAGTACAATGGAATAAAAAATGGCTGAAGCTGCAACCTCATTCATTTAGGCCTTCTACTAAACAATGGACCAAATCCTGTTGTCAATCCTTCCTGGATCCCAAAAGACAAGGGTACATGAAAATAACATTTTTTAAAAGAAAGGTTCCTTCCTAGTGCCTGGAAGAAAAGAGGTGACTGTTCTCTTTGTGTTCTGCCCCAGAGCCCAACCTTCAGGCAGATAATCAGGAAGGAGGCTGCAGTGGCGGGAGGACAGCAGTAACCTGGAGGTACCCTCCCCGTGGTACTGACCTACCTTCCTGGGTCCCTAAAGTTCTTTCTAGTGGCAATATTCTATTACATCTAGGATTATTCCTAAATCTAACAACTGTCAAGGAGATAGAATCGAACAGCTACCAACTATCAGTAACAAAAGCACAGAAGAAACCCAGAGGTGAAGCCATTTTTATTCTAATATATGCTATTTTCCTTTCATAGAAAGCTACTTTTTCAGTCCTACATAAATTTTTATCATGTTCCTCTTTGGAAGTTAGAAATGTTTTATTGCAACTAAACATGTAGTAACACAAATGTATACAGACACATATATATTTTCAAATTCCCACTAATGTAAAAAAGAGATAAAGAATTACTATTCAAATCAAAGCAAAAAATATCTCATTTCCAAACTATTTTAAATTGGGAAAGGCAACCCAATCTGTAACCTCAATTACATACCTAAGTAATTTATGCAGATAAAAACCATTCCAAAATTCAAAGATCAAAGAGCATAATATTTAGTAAAAGTGGAGAAATTCCAGAGCACTTAAACAATTTCCATTGCATCTTAACTGCATGTTGAGGAAGAAAACACACTGTTTTCGTTTTCAGAGAATTAACAAAAAATGATTTCATGTCAGTAGCTGGAAGTCTAAGTAATCCTCAAAGTACATTCCATCCTAAAAATAATTAGTTTGTGCTCATAAAAGCACAAAACTCGAGTTAAAAGAGATCAATTTTTTTCTTTTCTTTGTATTTTTAGAACCCAGGATCTTTTTAGAATCCAGGATCTTTTTTAGAACCCAGGATCCTTCCTGTTTGTTCCCTAGACATTTGGCATCGAAAAATGAACATGGCGAATTCTTCTAGACTCTCCCCTTACTTTTTTTCCACATGAATGTTTTCAAAGGCAACGCATCTTATGTCAAATCAGCAACTTATACCTTTAAAACACTGTAATACTTATGAGGCCACAAAAATAAACTGACATTCACCTATTTTGTTCAAATCAGGCAAAAGCTTTAAAAAAATCCTCCCCAAATAAACCTAACTTTAAAAACAAAATATTCTCATTTCAATAGATTCTAGTCATTGTTTTAGCGTTATTTATTAAGAAAAGGCCTGGAGCCCAGTTATCGCCCTAGTAGTGCCATCATCATAGCCCACCAAGCACAGAAGGAGACAAACAGGTTTGATTCAGGACAGATTTAGACTGTTTCCAAAGTTAAAGTTTTCTCATCCACTCACCCATTCAAAATATGTATAGAAAATCTTTACTGTTTTTGAAATTTTTATGTAGAGTCAGGGGTCTTGCTATGTTGACCAGGCTGGTCTCAAACTCCTGGGTTCAAGTGATCTCCCACCTTGGCCTCCTAAATTACTGGGACTACAGGCATAAGCCACCATGCAGGCCCAACAATTTTAAGTAAAACAAAAACCACCAATTTACAGTAAATAGGAGGAACAGAAGAACACAGTAAATAGGAGGAACAGAAGAACACAGTAAATAAGATGAGGTTTCAATCAGCAAATCAAACTGTGAGACTCAACAGTACAAACAACCTGGTGTCTTTAACAAAAGCTACAATCAACGAGGAAGAAAGGAGAGGAATAGGTATCTGTAAATTAAACGAGGTCAAGCAAGGTAATCACAAAGTGTACACCTTATTGGACCTAAAACCATCAAGCTAAAAATAAACAAAAATCCCACTAAAACAATAGGGAGAAATATTTAAGTATGTTAGTAATATCATAGTTATTATTATATTTTTAAAAATAAAAATAATTCCTCTCTTTAGAAGATATATACTGAAATGCTCTGATATCTGTCACTGATTTCGAAACAATCCCAGAGTTGGGATTTTAGGAGTAGGAATACAGAGGAAACATACTGGATATAAGTTGATAATTGTTGGTGCTGAGTAAAGGTTGCAGCAGGGCTGCTCTATTATTCTACTTTTGTATATGTTAGAAATTGACTGTATTTCAATGAAAAACTTTTATTATAAACTGAATATAAAGATGTCCTACAAGGAAAAATTATGCTCTGCAGAAAAAAGCTGGGAAAAACAAACAAAATATTCTAAAGCAGAGTCATGCCTTGGTATCAGCAGGAGATGGTGCCAGAAGCCCCTGTGGACACCAATATCTAAGGATGCTCAAGTCCCTTTTACAAAATGGCATAGTAATTGCATATAACCTACACACATCTTTCTGTTTACTTTATCTCCCTTATACTTTAAATCATTTCTAGATTACTGATAATACCTAATACAATGTAAATGCTATGTATTTACACAGCATTTATACAATTATTTACGTAGTTATACTACGTAAATAATTGTTATACTGTATATTTGTATTTGTATTATTTTTATTATTGTATTGCTATTTTTCTTTTTTTCATATTTTTGATCTGCAGTTGGTTGAATCCATGGATGTGCAACCCACAGATACAGAAGGCCAACCGTACTTGGGTCTGTGTAATCTAATCATGGAACTAACTGTCTACATTTTTTAAAAATTCTGCAAAAAGCGTAGGTAACATATAATAGAAAGCATTTTAAAAATATGAATAGCAAATGAATTTCAACATCTCTTCTTTTTTAAACAATGCAAGTAAAACTAATGAGTATCTAAGAATCCCATCTGAGAAGTAATGGAAATTATCAATGTGTCTACTGAATGTTTAAATATATGGATACTAAAAAATTAGGTCAAAAAACAAACCTCCTTGATATTTAGCAATATTTATATAAGTTAATATTCACTTATCCTATAACACAAGTTGTATTTTATAAAGATATCTGTTACTTCTCTAAAATATTCTCAATTCAAGTGTACTCTAGAAGGAACTAAACACTTTAGAAATGCCTTTTACTAGGAAACTGAATTACAGCAATCAATGAACATGAATTTGGTATGAAAAATCCTTATTTCAACTGTTTAATCAAAATATAATGGCTTTATTATAATTATTTTATAATTATATAATTGTAAAATATGTTGCTTTTACAACTTTGTGCAGGATATCTAAAAACTGCAAGGATTAAAAATAATATTCTTCAATATATTTTGTAGTCAGCTATTACGAATGTTTAAATTAGCTGGTGGGCATGAAAATAAGAAGGGAAGATTAAAATACGTGTGAACATATGTTGGGAATGTGGAGTGTGCAGACTGCACTTCCATAGTAGGAAGTCAACTAAAATACCAATCACAAAGCAAAATTAAAGGATGTTATTTAAAATATATCCCATATGGAACAGGTAAAAAATTAAAAATCTGTAACAGGAAAAAGTGGGGCAGAACACTGCTTTTTTTTGTTATAAGCGTTGCACTATTACTGTTTTCAAACCATTTACTTGGATAAATATTAAATTTTTAAAAGCACACAACAGAAAATGTCTCACCAATAGTCATAGCTCTCATCCCAGTTGTCAAAATGTACCAGGAAACGATTGTCCACCATATCTGTTACCGTAGCAACACAGATGAATGAGGGATTCTTTTTGTCTACTGCCTCAAGCTTCATACCAACTCGAAAGCCCGATGGGATCACTGTCTATGGAAACACACAGATTTAATTAGAGATAAGCACACACTTGACAACCACAAGAACTGCACACTCTCTGCACCTCCTGCTCAAAGGCCCAGCATCCACTGCTGTATTCACATAATTTAAAAATCATATGCCAGTTTCACAGCAGGGTCGCTTTCCAACAAGCCGCAAAAAAAAAAAAAAAAAAA